>NC_000004.12:126421381-128921381 GCF_000001405.40 Homo sapiens
TGAGCAGAGCATAACTCCCTTCAGGCCCCCAGATGACGTGTGTGGGTGCCAACAGGCAAAGTAAACCTACTATTTCTCCAGTTGCTAAATTGCTTTTTCTAAAACATCAGTAAAATGTTTCCACAAAATACTGTACTTCAATAAAATATTATTTTTAAAGTTATATGGTTTTCTAAGGTTAATTATTTTGTTGTATGGAATTTTGTAAATCACACTAGGAAAGTAAAGATTACTGTCTAGGAATTTTCTGTCTATTTTATGTACTCTCACATTAACTTCACACCACATATTCAGCTTAGAATTTATTCAAAAAGTGCATTTTTTAAAAAAAGATTTATTTGGCCAGCATAGTGAACATCTAGAGAACATCTCTTAACATACATCAAATGAAACAAAATAACTAAAGTAGAAAAGACAATGTTATCTGGGGACTAGGAGGTTCAGAGCCACATACATACAGCACTGTTTTTGAGAAATAGCTCCCACTAAAATACTACATGCTCCAAACTGGAGGAGTATACAATGAAGTAACAGAGAGTTTCACTATCTGAGATTTGTGTATATTATGTTGAATTAATATAGAATTATTTTCATAGATTTATTCTAAAAATCCTTACGAGTGGTATGTATTTGGAAATATGGCAGGTGTTTAGATAATTGAGGATTAATGTCCTAAAGGTCCATTTTGGCAATATGTTACAGATATGGTGCTAAGTGTGATGGAGAGGGCATAGGATGGTAGGGTCATCGTTGTGATCTGCACTTAGTTCACAGAAGAGTGATTTCCAGAATGAAGGTTCAGAGACAAGAAACAAACGTATAGTTTTAATTTTGTAGATAAAATTAACCTATTGAGAAATAATTTCATACTTTTTAGAAAACAAATATAGCAATGAATAGCACAAGTTTTCTCAACATAAATTCTTGCCATAGTAGCTAGCTAATTCCAAAGTAGCCGAATAAGCCAAATCCTAAGTGGTACGCAAGTGGTTTAGAAATGATACAATGTGTACAGAGTTTTGATGATAGGAAATGATATAAAACAAAGATTTATAAACTACTCAAGTTCCCTCATGCCACACTGGAGAGAATAGCAATATATTATTATGTAGAGAAAACAAGGAAGCATATTACTCATATACATTTCCTAAACTGTGAAATTAGGGAAAAATCTTCATTCCCGTGTCTAAGTTAATTCACATCTTTACATTTGTGAAACATCTAAAACAATTTTTTTTCAGCTAAAAAACTAGTTTTGGGAGGCCTTAGATTGCACTTGAATCCCAGAAAATATGGAGGTAAAGACTGAGACTCTTATTTAAAATAAAAATTAATTTAAAACTTTAAAATCTAAGAAAGTCTAAAATAATTAGTTGGTATAAAATAAAACATGTGGCGAATGTTTTAATAAGAAATTCACAAAAAGAAATACAAATGACACCACATAAAATAACTGTTTTAAAATTAAAAAAAGAAAAACATTTTTATAGCCATAAGATTTAAAACTATGAAATGTTTAGTAGCATTTAGTCATTTTTGCAACAATGCCTAAACCAATGGCAAGAGCTTCTTCCATACGTTTTCTTGTAGTAGTTTTAGAGTTTCATGTCCTATGTTTACGTTTTTAATCTATTTTGAATTCATTTTTGTATAAGATGTGAAGCAATGGTTCACTTTCATTCTTCTGTATGTAAATACCCAGTTTTTTTTTAACATTATTTATTCAAGACTGTCATTTCTCTACATGTGTTTTTGGCACTTTTGTCACAAATCAATTGATTAAACACGGGTTTAATTCTGAGTTCTCTATCCTGTTCTATTGGTTGAGCTGTCTGTTTTTATGCCAGGATCATACTGTTTTGATCACAATTACTTTATAATATGTTTTGGAATCAGGGAATGTGACACCTCCAGCTCTGTTCTTTTTGCTTGAGATTGTTTTGGCTGTTGAGAGTCTCTTGTGGTTCTATGTGAATTTAAGAACATTTTTCTATTTCTGTAAGAGTGGGAATTTTGATAAGAGATTACAATAAGTTTGCAGATTGGGTAGTATTAACATTTTATGAATATTAATTATTTCAGTCCATGAACATGGTTTATCTTTCTATTTATTTGTGTCTTCTTGCCTTTCTTTAAGCAGTGTTTTATAGTTTTCAGTATATAGCCATTCCTTGGTATTCTTGGGGTATTGGTTCCAGGACCTCCCACAGATACCAAAATCCATGAATGCTCAAGTCCCTGATATAAAATGGCATATTATTTGTTGTAAACTATGCACATCCTCTTGTATGCTTTAAATAATCTCTAGACTACTTATGATCCTAATACAAAAAAACTACGTAAATAATTGTTAGAACTGTGTTGTTTAGGAAATAATTGATTAGAAAATTATTTTTTAGAAAAAAAGCCTGTACATGCTCAATACAGAGGTAATTTTTTAAAAAAATATTTTTGATCTACGGTTGAATCCATGGATTCAGAATTTACAGGTAACAATGGCATACTATACAGGTCTTTTACCTCTTTGATTAAATTAAATTTACACTTATTTAACTTTTTGTTGCTATTGTAAATGTAAATGTTTTCTTTTTTAAGAATAATTCATTATTAATATATAGAAATGCTACAAATTTTTGTATGTTGATTGTGTATTGTTCAATACACAATAAAATTCAACTTTACTGACTTCATTTATCAGTTCTAACAGTTTTCTAGTGGAGTTTTTATGGTGTTTCTTACATATAAGATTAACTCTATTGCAAGAAAACAAACAACCTAATTAAAACATTGGCAAAAGATCTGAATAGACAGTTCTCAAAGAAGACATATATGTATGTGAAAAATGCTCAGTATCACTAACCATTAGGGAAATGAAAATTAAAAGTACAGTAAGATACACCTCCCATCTGTTACAATGGCTCTTATCAAAAAGATGAAAAATAACAAGTGTTGGTGAGGATGCAGAGAAAAAGAAACTTGATATAATATGGATATTTGTCATTGTCCAAATCACAAGTTGAATTGCAATCCCCAAAGCTGAAGTGGGAACTAGTGGGAGATGTTTGGGTCATGGGGACAGGGACAGATCTCACATAGCTTGGTACTCTTTTCGCAATAGTGAGTGAGTTCTTGCAAGATCTGGTTGTTTAAAACTGTGTGGCATCTCCCCCTTCCATCTCACTTGCTTCTGCTCTTGCCATATGATATGCCTTCTACCCCTTTGCCTTCTGACATGATTGGAAGCTTCCCAAGTCCTCTGCAGAAGCAGATGCTGCTATGCTTCCTGTTGCAGAACTATGATCCAATTAAAAATCTTTTCTTATGAGTTACTCAATCTCAGGTATTTCTTTATAGCAATGCAAGAACGGCCTAATGCAGAACTCTTATACATTGTTGGTAGAAATGCAAATTAGCACCATTATAGTAAACAGCCTAAAGTTTCCTCAGGACACTAAAAATAGAACTACCATATGATCCAGTAATACCACTCTGGATGTATATCCAAAGGAAGCGAAATCAATATGTCAAAGAGATATCTGTACTATCATGTTCATAGAAGCATTATACACAATAGCCAAGATACAGAATGAACCTAAGTGTTCAACAATGGATGAATGGATGAAGAAAATGTAGTATATATACACAATAGAATATTGGGAAAATTCTGTCATTCATGACAAGGATAAATCTGAAGGACATTATGCTAAGTGAAATAAGGCAAGCACAGAAGTTCAACTACCACATGATCTCACTTATATGTGTAATATAAAAAAGTTGAACCCACAAATGTACAGAGTTAAATGATGGCCTCACATAAAAAATGGTAAATAAGTGAAATGATGGATATGCTAGTTAGCTTGACTTAAACATTCCACATTGTATACATATATCAAAACATCACATTGTATCCCTTAAATATATACCATTATGATTTGTTAATCAAAAATAACATTAATAATCATGAATTTAAAATTTTAAAATAAATTAAAGTTGAAAGAGGAACTGCAAACATTGCTATAGAAAAGATTCCTTAATAATACCTAAAAGATTTATATAAAAATTCCTTTTTATTACATAAAATATTTTTAAACCCAGTCTTGATGTGAGATTTTTTAAAAATAGAAAACATTACTAAGTATCTGCAGAAAACTAGGACTTAACGTAATATATTAGATATTTAGTATTATTGTAACTACATTTATAGCAAGAAAAATTTCTAAATTTTGATTAAAGAATCTCACCAAATCTATCTACCAAAATCTGAAACAATGAAGAGCAATGATATAGAATAAATGAATACATTTGAATACCAACAAAACAAAGAACTCATTTTAACACTTAATAATATTCTAGAAAGCAAAATAAATAAGTAAATAAAACCTGAGACATCATTTGGCTTAGGAATTAATTTTATAAAAAGCCTCTTCCTGCCTATTTTTTGCTTCATCTTTTTGAGAAAGATGCAAATTACCTGAAGGCTGTGTTGGGACATCAAGTTCTAGTATAACTGCTGAAGTTGGTATTATTTTTATTTTGCTGTCACATAGAAGGTGTTGAATTTTTTTTTAATTATATGAGGTATATAGTAGGTGTGTATGTTTATTGGATACATGAGCTGTTTTGATACAGGCATGCAATACATAATAATCACATCATAGAAGATGGAATATTCATCTTTTCAAGCATTTATCTTTTGTGTTATGAACAATGCAATTATACTCTTTTAGTTATTTTAAAATGCATAATAAATTATTATTGACTGTAGTCACCTTGTTGTACTATTAAATACTATGCCTTGTTCATTCATTTTAACTATTTTTTTCTACCCATTAGACAGACATCCCCACCTACCCCCAATCCTCCGATTACCCTTCCCAGCCTCTGGTAACCATCCTTCTACTCTCTATCTCCATAGAATCAATTATTTTGATTTCTATATCCCATAAATAAGTGAAAACCTACAATGCTTTTCTTTCTGTGTCTGGCTTATTTCACTTAACATAATGACCTCCAATTTCATCCATGTTGTTGCAAATGATAGGATTTCATTTTTTTAATGGTTGTATAGTACTCCATTGTGTATAAGTACCACATTTTCTTTATCTATTCGTCTGCTGATGGACACTTAGGTTGTTTCAAATCTTGTCTACTGTGAACAGAGCTGTAACAAACATGGGAATGCAGATATCTCTTTGATATATTGATTTCCTTTCTTTTGGGTATATACCCAGCAGTGGGATTGTTGGATAATATGGTAGCTCTATGTTTAGTTTTTTGAGGAACCTCCAAACTGTTCTCCATAGTGGTTGCACTAATTTACATTCCCACCAACAGTGTATGAGGGTTCCTTTTTCTCCACATTCTTACCAGCATTTATTATTGGCTCTATTTGGATAAAAGCCATTTTTAATGGGATGAGATATCTCATTGTAGTTTTGATTTGCATTTCTCTGAGGATCAATGATGTTGAGCACCTTTTCATATGTCTGTTTACCATTTGAATGTCTTCTTTTGAGAAATGTCTTTCCAGATCTTCTGCCCATTTTTAAATCTGATTATTAGATCTTTTTTTTCCTATTGAGTTGTTTGAGCTCCTTAGATATTCCAGTTATTAATCCCAGACATTGGTATTCTAATATCTCATGATTCATCAATTATTTTCATCAAAACACAATATTAAAAGACAGACTGAAATATAATTAAAAAGAAAATGTTTAATTTTCTCACACTTATTAAAAAAATAATAAAAATTATCTCAAGCTACAAAAGCAAGATAATTTCTAGTAATATTCCAAAGTGAGGAACTAAATACAACAGATACAAATTTTGTAGTTCTTGAAGCAGTCAATTTAGTGAGTAGGGGGAAATGATTCATCTTATCTTACATACTATAGTTGAAGTATTACTCAAAATTTTCTTTGTCACATGCTAACCTCTTTATAAAATATATCAAATAATAGAAAGAAATTATACATTTACCTGACTTAGAGCTTTGGAAAGACCCAATCTTTTCACTTATATTTTTAGTAATTTCTTAGTTTACTTAATGCCTCTCAGAAGACAAACTTATTTAGTGAATTATAAGTTAAAATAAAACTTATTATTTAGAGGAGAGGATTGTCTCACTGTTCACTGTACAAACCACCAAAACCAAGTTGCCAGGATCAAAAAATTGTCCCAGCCATCATAGCTTCATAATGACTGATAGCAATTCAGTCCAAACAGATCTTGATATTTCATCTGGATCAGCCACATAAGTGCAAGTATGTTTATCAGCAGATTTGACCCAACAACTTAAGTAATTTAAAGAATTCAAAGTCAAATGTGATGCACTTGTTTTTATTTTGTTTTGTTTTGTTGCCTAATTTATAGGCCCCTTTAGTAAGAGGGTAAAAAGAACAGTGGAAGCAAGTGGTTAGGTTGAATTGGTTTAGAGAGTGTGAAGGTGGCCTCTCTGCAGAGCAGGGGGCCTGCCAGTAGTCTGGAATCTATGCTCTAACTATAAAACAGCCTTTACACTGAGCCTCGAGGGTCATTTTATAGGTGTTCTATAAACATTTTAAAGCTATTCTATAGCTGTTCCTTTTTTATAACTGCCCCATCTTATCCCTCCTGGAGATGCCGACCCAGCAGGGGGTGAGGTAATGGCCAGTTATGGAGATCAGAATGGATTGCTTTCTTTACTCACTCACCCTTCACCTACTGTTTAATGACCACCCAACGACTCCCAGCAAAACAAAAAGAAATCAGTAGGAATAGTTCTGAAAGGATACTCTAGACAAAGTCTAGATCTGAAGGTTTCCCCACTGCCACTCAGTGAATGAATGGCCCATCCTACTGTCCTTGTTTAAATACAGGCATAGTTATACGTAATACACACACACACACACACACACACACACACACAATGCAACTAAATCTGATATGGGAAGAGACAAATTCTTGGTAGGGCTCTCTCCCTTGTCATACCAGAGAGTTAAGTAATGTTCTTTGCATGGTGATCACGTGATGAATAAGAAAATATTCAGTGCCCAAAGCGCAATTTTGAGATTATGTGTTTAATCAATCTACCCTAGGAAAGAAAAAGTAGTGTTTAGGTTATTCTGAGTACATCGTCTATGGGGTAGCCTTGCTCTACAAGGAGTAGCTAAAAAAGAAAAAGAAAAAGTAATGTTTAAACCTGTAGATTTTTCTCAAACTATCAGAGAATTTTTAGTTTCTTTTGAGTATTGCCCTGATATGTTTTAAATTTCACTGAAAATTCCGGAAATAATGTGGCTAACAATGCACACAGCAGGAAGTAAGATTTTGGCTATTGTGATCGTCTTAAGTGTCAATTTAAACCATAATCTAGATTTGCAGTGAAGGTATTTGTAGATATCATTTTCCCCAGAAATCAGTTTACGTTTACTTTAAGTAAAGAAGATTATGGCTGACAATATGGGAGGGCCTTATCCAATCAGTAGAAGATCTTAGGAGCAAAGTCGAGGTTTCCTAGACAAGAATTTTTGCCTCCAGATGACAGCCTAAAATCTGCCTGTTTCAAGTCTGTTGGCCGTATTATAGGTTTCCAACTTGCCAGCTTTCACAATTCCATAAGCCATTTCTTAAAATAAATGTCTCTCTGTTGAATATCTCTCTATTTTCTATATAATTCTACTGATTCTGTTTCTCTGAAGAAACCTGACTAATGCAGTTATTAAATATTAAATTGCTCAAAAGATATACATAAATTTATCTTAATATATATAAACTATGTATATAGAAAGTTTTAATAAATACAGCAAGGATGCAGGGTACAAGATTCAAAATACAAAAATCAATTGTGTTTCCAGCAATGATCAACTTGAAAATAAAAGTAAGAAAACAATTTCACTTATGATAACATCAAAAATGATAAAACTCCTAGGAGCAGCTACAGAACATTGTTGAAAGAAATTAAAGGCCTGAAATGATGGAAAGCTACCTCATGTTTATTAATGGAAAAATTTAATATTTTTAAAGTGCCAGTACTCCTCAACTTGACGTATACATTCAAAGCAATTAGTATCAAAATTCCAGCTGGCTTCTTTGAAGAATTTACAAACTGATTGTGAAATTCAGGTGGAAATTTAAGGAGCTCAAAATAACCAAAAATGTGGAAAAAAAGAACAAAATGGGAGGACTCACACATCCTGACTGCAAAACTGCAGTGTTAAGGACATCGTGGTACTAACATAAGGATAGACAAATAGATCAATAGAATTAAGACTTCAGGAATAAACCCTCACATTTATAGTCAAATAATCTTCAGCAGTGGTGCCAAATAATTCAATGGGGAAAAAATTTTATTTTCAACAAAATGATGCAGAGAAAACACGATATCCACACGTAAAAGAATGAAGTTGGGCCTTAGCTCATATCACACATGAAAATTAATTCAAAATGTACTAAAGGTCTATATGTAAGAGCTAAATTTATAAAACTCTTGGAAAAGTACATATGTGTAAACCTTCACATCATGGGTTAGGCAATAGTTTCTAAGACATGACACCAAAGCCCCAGCAACAAAGGAAAATTTGATAAATTTGACTTCATCAAAATTTTTAAAATGTTTGTGCTTCAAAGGACAGTATGAAGAAAGTGAAAAGCCAACTCACTGAATGTGTAGGAATATTTGCAAAACATATATCTGATAAGAAGCTAGTATTCAGAATATAAAAAGAACCCTAACATCTCAACTATAAATAACCCAATTAAAAAATGTGAATAGACATTTCTCCAAAGAAGATGTACAAATACCCAATGAGCACATGAAAAGATGTTTGACGTCGTTAGTCATTAGGGAAAGGCACATCAAAATCACAATAAGATACCATTATCTTCTTCATATAATAAATAAAAGGATAACTGTACATCAAAGAGACTAATAATTAAGTGTTGGCACTAATGGGGATAAATTGAACACGTGCATTACTGTGGAAATGTAAAATTGTGTATCTACTTTAAAAAATAGTTTGGCAGTTTCTCAAAAACAAAAAGTTAAAGAGTTACCATATGACCCAGAAATTTCACTCCTAGCTATACACCTATGAGAAATGTAAACATACATCTATACAAAAAGTTGTACCTGAATGTACATTGAAGCATTACTCAAAATAGCCAAGAAGTGTAAGCAACCAAAATGCCCATCCATTCATGAATGACTAAACAAAATGCAGCATATCTATACAATGGAATATTATTCAACAACAAAGGAACAAAATGCTGATACATATCAAAATATAGATGAACATTGAATACATTATGCCAAGTTAAAGAAGCCAGACACAAAAGACCGCATATGGTACAATTCACTTTATATGAAACATACAAAACAGACAAATCAATAGAGATAAAAAGTACATCAGTGTTTACCAGAGTTTGAAGTGGGGAGGGAGAGAAAGGAAATGGCTGCTAATGGGTAAGTGGGTTCTGTTTGGCCTGGTGAAAATACTCTGGAATTAGGTAGTGGTGACGATTGCACAATTTTGTTAATATAATTAAAACTACTGAATTTTATCCTATAAAGTGGTGAATTTTATGATATGTGAATTACGTCTCAAAAAAGAACATAATAAAGTTTGAAAATCAGGTTGTATTATTAGTCCATTCTCGCACTGCTATAAAGAAATACCTGAGACTGGGCAATTTATAAAGAAAACAAAAGGGGTTTAATTGTCTCACAGTTCTGCAGGCTGTACAGGAAGTGTAGCGGCTTGTGCTTCTGGAGGGAGGCCTTAGGAAGCTTTCGATCATGGTAGAAGGCAAAGCAGAAGCGAGGCACTTCACATGGCTGGAGTAGGAGGAAGGAGGCGGGGAGGTGCCACACACTTGTAAACAAGCAAATCTCAGGAGAACGCACTATTGCAACAAAGCCAGGGCTGGTGGGGTGGTGAGGGAGGGATGGTGTTAAACCATGAGGAAACCTCCCCCATGAGCCAATCAACTCCCACCAGACCCCACTTCTAGCATTGGGGATTATATTTCAACATGAGAATTGGGCGGAGATACAGATTCAAACCATACCACATGATGAAAGCAATTGTATTATTTTGAGTAACTAATCTTCGATGACCTGAAATTTGGAATTTATTGAACTTTTTTATAAATTATTTTAGATATATAATGAAGATAAATGTATAGTCTTTTCTATTCTTTGCAAAGCATTTTTGGGAAAGTATCTTTTTTTCATCTTATATCCTAAATTGGTGAATTTCACAAATTGAAAACCTCCAGCTATTTTTATTTTGTTTTTCTTCCTTTTGTCCCCAATGTTAGTTTTCAAGGCATCTTTCTGTTTTAAAATACAGATTTTATTATTATTCAAGTCTGGTGAGGCCAACAGATCAAGGGATGACTGACGTCGAAAAGATAACTTGTTGCTTAGTTCCCAAAATGGACATACCATGCCATGAAAAAACAACATAAATTTATTTATAGGCACTAAGGTCAAATGAGACTTTAAGAAAATTTAAAAAAAAATTATCACTTGAATATATTAATAACCTTATTCCGTCTTCCCTTCTTCCCTGGGGAAATGCCAGGTTGGCCAGGAAGCTGTGGAAAAACAAGGTCAAGAGACTTTATTGTGGTTTTCAGGGAAAGAAGTGGGCAAGGTGGTGTAAGCAGGTTTAGGGTCACTACTTTAAGTAATCTCCACAGGTTCTGAGGCATAAGGACTGTTCCTAATACCTGGTACCCGGCCTTGGGGTGTTTGGAGCAAAGGAATATTGGTCCAGAGTTTTAGAACCTTATAGAAGAGGTGGGGTGTGGTGGTGGCTGTGAGTTCTGCATTGGTTAGTCTGCATATAAAAGACACAGTCACATTGGATCCTTTTCTGACTCTAGGGATTGGCTAGTCCCAGGACAGACAGTCTCACCAGGGTTCGTAAAGCGCCCCATATCAAAACTTCCTAACAGAGTGTGACATGCTTCACACACCCTCCTTGATTTCTTTACTTCGAAATCTACCCTCAAATGCTTTTAGTCTAATAAATTGAAGTGGTTGACATATTAAAATGTACCACCCCCAAGAGACACCACATACAAGCAGGCCTCATCCAACAGGTGAGTTAAATGCATATCATATAGGAAGTTCTTACAGAGGCTCCACAACAGCTGGGAGTTAGGCTATTCTGTCCTGTGTTTCCAGAAATAAGAGCTGATGGAATAGCAAACATAATATAAAGCACACTACAAATATTGTCATGTTGCTTTATTTATGTCATGACTCCTCTTTGTGACATTTAGAAAAGTCTTATAAATGGGAATCTAAACCAAATGCAAACCAGTATTCTCAAATAAATATGGAGGTCATAATACCAGGCTTATCATTAAGTCCACCAGCAAGCAAATGTGTTCAGTTGTCTTAGTGGTTTTTGTCAAATACAAAACTTAAGAGAACCAAAAAGTCTTGCCAGGTTTCCAACTCTTCTATTCCTTTAACTAGTTATTGTATTTCATTTTTGTTAAGGAATGCTTTAAACAAATATTTTTCTCTTAGATTCTTTATGAGTACTTATAGCTGCAGACATCCAACTGAAACTTTTTCTGCCCACTAGTTCCATATTTCATTTTAGTTAAATTTAGAGAATCCACCCTGGAAAGTGTGGCATATGGTATCATCGCACAGTGGAAAGAAGAATGTAGATTTGCTTACTGAGGGAAAGGCCAATGAGAATTTAAGAAGATTCAGAGGGCAAATCAAAATCATTGCATGTGCTAATAAATTTATCCCCTCTCCCAAATAAGAAAATTATATTTAAGTACACACACGCACACATGCACACAGTGATAAAAATTTGCACTCTTTTCTCATCACCATTGTAATTCTCAAATATGAGATCTTTCCTTTTAATTGTTCACTCACAAAGATTTAATTAGCCAAATTTCTAAAATGTGACAATCAAGCTGCCAAAAATCAGCCATAGTTTTGACTCGTAGGTCTGTAAAGAATTACTTGGTGGCAATCAGAATGAATTGCAAAGCTTATGTCCAAAAATTTTTTCATACCACATAAACACAGCAATTGGTGTGGTAATTCTTCTTGATTGCACTAGCTGGGGGAATTTAGCAGAAAATGCCAAAAGTTAGTTAAGGTATGCTATCTACTGGGCTATGTGTCATAAAACTGCTAAATACATGTACATGTAGATTATATACACATACACACATAAAATATATTCAATATAGAGTTTATTTTTAAGCTATGTTACTGAGAAACGAGTGCTATTAGGAACATAGAACCATCTTCTATACAGACACTAAAACTCAGGATTTACTTGGGCAAAGGTGGAATTCAGCACATTTAATATAGTTTTCTAATTCTCCCATGACATAGTGCTATTCTTCACATGAGTTTTGTTGTTTGTAAATACTGTTTATGTTCAGGGATAATAGAGGAATAAAAATGAATAAAAGAAAGCTGAGTTTCATGTTAAAAAATGATTGCTCCAGCTTGAATCCCTATTAATATGTTCTTATAACCAAATTTTATGTTTTCATCAAATCAAACTCTCATGGAGAATGGCAAGGTGCTAGCAGCTCAAAGTCACTATGCAAAAAAGTAATATCTCAAATAATATTAATACCTCTAACAGAAAGCATAGACACCATACACACTCATAACATGGTGTTAGACCTGTCAATCAAAACTGTGGCTGGTTTTTGGCAGCGTGATTATCACATTTTAGAAATTTGGCTAACTGAAACTTTGAGCGAACAATTAAAAGAAAAGATCTTATATTTGAGAATTAAAAGAGTGACAAAACAAGAATACAAATTCTTACTATTCGCTCTCTCTCTCTCTCTCTCTCTCTCTCTCTCTGTGTGTGTGTGTGTGTGTGTGTGTGTGTGTGTGTGTATTTAAATATAACTTTCTTATTTGGAGGAAGGGATAAGTAGGTGTTAATAGGAGTTCCAATTTCAAAATATGTCTGTTTTATTCATCAGCTGGACTTCTCTCTCAAAGATCAGTCAATTGATCTCAAATGCCCTTAAGAGTGTAAAAAATTGGCCGGCTCAGTGGCTTATACCTATAATCCCAGCATTTTGGGAGGCCGAGGCGGGTGGATCACCTGAAGTCAGGAGTTCGAGACCAGCCTAGCCAACATGGTGAAACCCCGTCTCTACTAAAAATACAAAAATTAGCCAGGCATGGTGGCAAGCGCCTATAGTCCAACCTACATGGGAGGCTGAGCCAGGAGAATCACTTGAACCCATGAGGCAGAGGTTGCAGTGAGCCGAGATCGTGCCACTGCACTCCAGCCTGGGTGACAGTGCAAGACTCCGTCTCAAAAAAAAAAAAAAAAGTGTAAAAATTAAATATTATCCCCAAGTATAGAGATCTTAATATCAACTTAAAAAAGAATGTTATATATCATAAAGCATGACACATCTATGAGTTAAAAACACTTTACCTGATGTTACCATCTGCTGGAACTAAGACTACTTCATGTGTCCCACGGTGCAGGGAGGGCAGAGGCAATAGGCGGAAGCTCCTCCAAAGAATACAGGAAGAGTGATGTTGGATGCAATCCTCTCATAAAAGAATTAAAATGACAAAATTCAGGATTACTCCCAAATGTGTAGCATTAAAAAAAGACAAGAGTAGTAACGTAAACGAGCATTTTTAATGCTGAAAACAAGCTACTTATCTAATTATAACCTTTATTTTGGAAAGAAAACACCAAATAATACAACAGATCTCTACAATTTAATGTACACATGCTATATACCAGCTTTTGTGCTAAGAAAATTAAGATTATTTTATTTATTCTTAGAACAACTCTAAACCATAGAAACTGTTAATGGCTCCTTTTTTATAAAGGAAACCTTAGAGAATAACTCCCTAAGTCTCACCTCATAAGTGGGCCCAGTATGTGAAGGGCTTAAAAGTTGTTATCCAGGAGTGATATTTAAAAACATATCAACGTGTTATTTATAGTTGACACTTCATTATTGCTAACTTTCAGATGATTTCTAAAAAGTCTTTTTATATTATTAATTTGTATAGAAAGATTACCAGTAAAATGTAATTTCTCCTAATGCTGTGTAAATATCCATGTTGAGACAAATCCCTCACCACACAGCTAAAATATAATGAGGCATCTTCAGTAGTTTTCTCTTTTTAGAAGTGATTCATTTATGTTCAGCAATTTCTTGGTCAGTTCAGGTCAGAAAGTCTAAGAGTGAGCAGGAGATTGTTTTTCCAGTGACAGACGTTACAGAGGAAGAAAGCAACAATGGAAGCTGGAAAAGTTTACTATGATACTAGTTATTTCCTTGTATGGAAAAATTCTTCCTTTATATGGACAAATTTTGATCAGGGTCAGTGGAAAATAACTGAAGTCTTTCAGAAAATTGCAGGGTTTCTTACACTCTTGGAAGGCACATCTGTCAGCACACTCAATCAAGCCATCATGTCACTGCTATTTCTTTAGAAAAGCCAAATAAATAGGTACACAAAGATTACATCAATTTAGGCGGAAGTTCTTAATCATCAAAGCTCAAATAATGGATGAAAAACATGTGTAACTTGCATTAAACAGATGGTTTTCCTACTCTAATGGCCTAGTTGACAATTGTAGGAGAGATAAAAAGAGAAGGTGAAAGAAAGATAACTTTAATTCAGATCATCCTGGTTTGTGGCCCTTTCAGTAAAGACTAAGTATAAGATCCCGGTTAAGATATTTAATCCATCTCAATTTTACTGTCCTCACATATAAAAGAAATATGCATAATATTAAAAATTTTTATATAGCTATAACTATGTCTGTATTGCTTGAGAGAGTAGGAGCTCCAAAACTGATAACTATTTTTATTAAGCCAGCCTTAGTCTTAAAAGTACTTTTTATTTTTGCTTCTTTCTTAGTTTTCTTTAAAAATAATTGTGATCAGAACACTTAAGATCCATACTCTTAACAAATTTTTAAGTGTACAAATGATTATAGATACAATGCTGTATAGTAGATCTTTGAAGCTTATTCACCTTGCTTTACCAAAACTTTGTGCCTGTTGATTAGTAAGTCCCCATTTCTCCTCCCTCCAGCCCCTAGCAACCATTTTATTCTTTGATTCCATGAATTTGACTATTTTAGATGTGTCATGTAAGTAGAATCATGCAGTATTTGTCTTTCTGTGACTGCCTTATTTCACTTAGCATAGTATCCTCAAAATTCACCCATATTGGCCAGGCGCAGTGGTTCATGCCTGTAATCTCAGCACTTTGGGAGGCAGAGGCGAGTGGATCACCTGAGCAGGAGTTCAAGACCAGCCTGGCCAACATGGTGAAACCCCATCTCTACTAAATATACAAAAACTAGCCAGGCGTGGTGGTGCATGCCTGTAATCCCAGCTACTCAGGAGGCTGAGGCAGGAGAATCACTTGAACCTGGGAGGTAGAGGTTGCAGTGAGCCGAGATCATGCCACTGCACTCCAGCCTGGGCAACAAGAGTGAAACTCCATCTAAAAAAAAAAAAAATTACCCATATTGTCACATATTTCAGAATTTCCTTTTTGTGAAGGCTGAATAGTATTCCACTGTATGTATTTACTACATTTTCTTTATCCATTCATCTGTTCATGGACATTTAAGTTTCTTCCATATCTTAGCTATTGTGAATAGTGCTGCAACAAACATAGGGGGACTCATATTTCTTGAAGATATTAACTTCAATTCTTTTGTATAAATATCTAGAAGTGGGATTGCTGTATATCATACCATAGTTCTATTTTTAAATTTCTGATGAATCTCCATACTATTTTCCATAGAAACTGCATCATTTTGCATCCCCACCAATAGTGTGCAAAGGTTTCAATTTCTCCACATATTCACCAGCACTTGTCTTTTGATATTTTGATAATAGACATCCTGACAGGTAAGAGGAAATATCTCATTTTGGTTTTGATTTGCATCTCCCTGATGATTAGTGATGTTGAACATCTTTGTCATATACCTGTTGGCCATTTTTATGTCTTCTTTGGAGAAATATCTATTCAGGTCCCTAGTCTATTTATTATTATTATTTTTTAATAGAGATGGTGGTCTCTCTATGTTGCCCAGGCAGGTCTCTAGCTCCTGGACTCAAGTGATCTGCCCACCTTGGTCTCCCAAAATGCTGGAATTAACCTGGTCCCTTTTAAATCAGGTTATTAGGTTTTTGCTTTTACTATGAGTCTCTTATTTTTTTGCAGATTAACCACTTATCAAATACACAGTTTGTAAATATTTTATCCCATTCCTTAGATCACCCTTTTCACTCTGTTTCTTCTTCTTCTTCTTATTTTTTAACACAGCAGAAGCTTTTTGGTTTTATGTAGTTCTACTTGTTTGTTTTTGTTTTTCTTGCCTTGCTTTTGGTGTCATATCACCTTATGGCTATTTCTAATGGTTACTTTTGAGTCACCTTCTTGATCAGTGTTTTCTCAAACTTATTTCTGAAAATTCTCAAGATTTACAAAATAAAACAGTAGGGATCCTTGAAAATACAGATTATATAATAAGAATTATGAATTTTGTAATGGAGGTATACCAATATTATAACATATAATCATTCCTAAAATTACTTTAATAATAGGGTCTTTTTTTTCCTGTAGGGTATTGATGGAACCTTGACAAAACACAGTTGTAATGAGCATATATTGCTTTTTCCCAGTTGTCTTTCTGCGATAACCAGCAGAATAAGAAAAAATTGAATAAGTTTTTCTGTGTACACTGGCACAAAATAAGGTCTTTGAAAATAAAATTGAGTTAAGCTTTTAAAACTTTTGAATTCTATAATAAAGAAAAGGCTTAGGAAATTCTCTCATCCTTTTCATGAATTCAGATAGCCACTTCTAACAGATATTCAAATAATGAAAGTGGTAAAAACTCAATTTCTAGCTCATAAGCCTGAAGAGACTTTAGAGTTAAATAAAGGATAAAATCCCAAGAATAAAAGTGTAGAAAAGCTCCTTATCTTCATCCTGTTTATTCAACATATAAGATCACTCTTTGATGTACACACAAATCTATCCCCGGGTGGGTAAAAAAAATAGGCTGGATGTTTTACTTCTGTAATGGGTGATTACTACACAAACTAAAATAAAGAAGGAACTAAAACTTTTTGTAGAAGATCAGGGAAAGAACACTTCACCTAAAGCACAAATTCATTCTTGTGATAAAATTTGAGTCTCTAGTTTTATGCTATGTGACGGACATAGAGCAGTTACAAAAACAAACATTTTTTGCATGTAACTTTATGTAAGCTTATTTTCTTTAAATATCAGAAGTGTAAAGGGAAATGAGTAAAATATTATATTTTGGAAAAGAGAGTAGAAAGGTAACAATCCAGAGATGTCAATCATTTATATTGTCCTTCGGTCATTCATACATACTTTCCACTGTGTTAAATGTTGCTGAGGGAGTAACGAGGGGAATTAAATGTGAAGAAACTCAAAGACAGTGGGTGAACTTAGAACAACGTCTAATGGAGTGATGGCCCAGAGGCCATTTTACAATGGGTTGAAAAGAAAGTGTCAGATGAAGAAATGGACACATTGATTATAAACATCTCATTTCATCAGTTTGGCTCAGGAGACTAGAAAAAACTAATGCTCTAACTGGTGTGTTTATTTTACTTTAATTGGTTAAATGTGAGGGTTTAATGGAGAAATTCGAGAGTTAAGAATAGAGTATGGGGAATTTTAGTTAAGAGAGAAGTTGAATATGCTGAGGAGAGAAGGAAAAAATTCAATGTAAGTTTCTGAGGAACTAGGAGGAGAAAGAAAAGAAATTATGCCGTGTTCGGGCAAAGAACCTGCTTTTAAAAAAGAAAAAGAATCAGAAACAATTGGTATCCTCTTTCATTTCAGTGCTTCTGTAACTTAAATATAGGCAAAAAGAAAAAAAAGAAAAAGAAAAAAAAACACAACTGAGAGCCTTTTAAATGCAGATTTGGGTTCATCAGGTCTGAGTTGGGGCCTTAGAGTCGACATTTCTAACAGATTTCCAGGTGCTTCTCATGCTGTAGTGAGCAGATCACATTCGCAGCAGCAAGGCTGTGTTTCTATATTTGGTACTAATAAATGACAAGCTCCCAGCATCTGGCTGTAATTTTCTATTAATTAGAAATGGCCATCAAACAGTTGGAGGGAGGAGAGTAAGGTTGGTTAGAATAAGGGTGGTTAGAGCATTGACATAATTTTTCAGAGGCCACGTGAGTTGATTGGACCAGAGACATGATAAAATTATAAGCAGTACATTGAGGGCCTCCCAGTATGTGTTGTGACCAATTTATAACAGAACTTGCCTCTGCTGATGGGTCTCTTTCCACATTCTCTGTCCAGAGAAAATGCACGGTTGGTTTCATCCAAGATTAGGGTTGTGTGTGGAGATACAATGCAAAAACAACAGAGAGTCAAGAATGTATGTTATTACTGAAAAGGTGCTCCATGTAAACTAAGCTGGTTAAATAAAGAGGGAAGTTAAGCGTCACTAGTGTTAACGAATAGAGAGCAATAAAGGGATCCTTGTTTGTAAGTATCACTAAGGTCAGATGTTTCTTTTTGTTTTTTGGATTTTGTTGTTTTATTTTAGTTTAATTTTTATTCTTGATGTATATTTATATGTTGCTATGTAACATAAGCTGATTAGAGTCTAATTCAATCAGCAGACATTAATTAAGAAGCATAAAGCTGGGAAATTCCCATGTCTGTTATGTGCACTAGTAAGGATCAGTAGCCTAAAGACCCACATTGCAGTGTTATTCTGCTCCTGTTCATAATTTACAAGATTGTACTCCAAATGGAGGCCTGTGAGTTTAGTATTCTGATCAATGATCTAAGGTATTGGCTAAAGAATTACAAGTAGAATACTGGGAAAAGGATAAAACTGATAGTGAAAAAAAAAAAGATTGTTGTTAAAATCAAATAAGAGTGTTTATGAATATAAGCCAGTTGAGCAGGATTCAGAGTTCATAATAAGCCATAGAGTTCATTACCTGAAGAGAAGGTTTACTTAAATCGTATTCAGTAGATGCAGCTGGGATTACAGAACAGGCTACAGGTCAGCCGACCAAACACCACAGATCTGCTAGAGACCACCAAGGAAGCCTTTGGCCCCCTCTTCTGAGAAGCACTGACCTGTAAAGACCATGTGTGAGTCAGGCCAGACTGGCCAGCAAAACTAAACTAGGAGTCAGGAGATAAAAAAACACTGCTCCAAAAATCCTTAAACCAAAGTCGCCTCAGTGATGTTCTACTCCTGCTATTTTAAAGGCAAGATTCTCTTAGTAAGAATGTTCTACTGCTGACATTTGAAAGACAAGATTCTCTTTGTGGAAGGTTTGCTGCCCAGGATTTACCAATCTTGTCTCTTCTTTGAAAAGCCCTTCCTTCAAAAGAAATACACTCCATCCACCACAGAATAACAAGCACAATTTGATATAAAAATTATTAATTCATAGCAATGGCAAAATATCACACAAAATCAGGTAACCTCCAGGTAGAATGTTTGTATTATTAAATTTATTTGGCTTAAAAGGAAGTCTCTTCTATTAAAGTTTTGAATATTTACCTCAATACTTTGAAAAAAATTAATTAATTTGATCATAGACAAATGATGGGAGACACTTCTAATCTGTATGAGACTCCTAAAGTTTTCTTCTGAGGTCCTAGGCCAAATACTGAAATATAAATAAAATATTTTTTGAACACACATGGGTGGCTATTCTATTTCAATAGAACTAGACATTTCATTCAGAAATGCCTTAAACTTTTTTTCCCCGGCATCCCACACAAGTTTCATGATTTGTGTCTCAGCTGTTTTTATTTTTTAAATTCTGTATCAATACTTGTGAACTCTGAACTTGCCCAGATGATAGTATTGCATTGGGTTAGAAGCATAGATAGAATCGGAGAACTGGAGTTCAAACTCCAGCTCTCCTCCTTAGTAACAGGGTTAACCATCAGCATTTGCTTAATCTCTCTGTGCCTCGTTTTCGCCAGCTTGGCAAGCTGTGAGTGCTATGCAAGTTTTGTTGAAGCAAAAATTGTTACTGGACAATTTAAACAGAAAGAGGATATTTTAGGTAAGGCTATTGAAATAGGGCAGAGAGGCCAGAATTCAGTATGAACTCAAACAGTGTGAAACAAAATGTGGGAGGCTTTTTAAGTGCTGTGGTGAGAGAGTGGAAAAGTACTAGAGGATACTAGCAGAGAAGTTGGTCACTGTGCAGAGCATACTGAGTTATTTATGAGTTTTCTTTTTTTTTTTTTCTGCATGGTTAGATCATCTTTGTATATTATGTGGCACCACTCACCCACATTAGGCTTACCCTCTCACAGGGGCTAGGAAATAGGAGCTATCTTCCTGAGATTGTGTCTGAAAAAGATAGCTCCCAGGTCCTTGAGGAAGACATTCTTGTATTAGAAACTAGCAGAAGGCCTTAAAAAAGATTTACGTCTCAAAGGAACAAAGAAAGAATTTACAATGACAAGTTTTCTAAAGTAAATAAATGCTCTTAAGTCAGAGTCTACAGTCAGGAAAAATGTCTACAATGTAGTCCAGCTGAGGGGAACATTAAGGTCTTCTTGGCCAGTATCTATTGTTGCTTTAATTATAATCATTATTGTTAAGATGAAAGTTTGAGCCTTCGACACCTGGTGAGTGAATGCACAGAAATGTTTTTTTTTTTTTAATTCCTGGGTTGTTATCAAATGATATTAAAATAACTTTTGTTTTTTCAGGACACCAGCAATGTCTGAATTCAGTTCAAAACACTTTCCTCTGCGCAGATTTTTCAACATGTGACATATACATGAGAATCAGTGACACATTGAAACCAAAATAGCACATATTTGTAGGATAAATGAAAATCCCAACGAAGGGAACTCTGATACATCCAGTTAGGTCTGCGAAGAAATCCCATTTCCTAGACAATTAAACCTAAATAGAATCTAACCAAGGCAGGCTATGTGGCCCGAGTACTACTCTGCTTTTTTCAACTAAACCTCGCTGACCTTTACTTTAAAAAATGTAGTTTATGGCCTAGTGCGGTGCCTCATGCCTGTAATCCCAGCACTTTAGGAGGCTGAGGCGGACAGATCACGAGGTCAGGAGTTAGAGACCAGCCTGACTAACATGGTGAAACCCGTGTCTACTAAAAATACAAAAATTTGCCAGGCATGGTGGCGTGCGCCTGTAATCCCAGTTACTCAGGAGGCTGAGGCAGGAGAATCGCTTGATCCTGGGAGATGGAGTTTGCAGTGAGCCAAGACTGTGCCACTGCACTCCAGCCTGGGCAACAGAGCGAGACTCCATCTCAAAAATAAAATAAAAAATAAATAAATAAATGAATAAAAGGAGTTTATAATTCTACTACATATTGGTAACCCAAATTAAAAGTACAGGTTACATAGAAAGTTGGGCCTTTTTACAACTCCTGATTGAGTGAATTGGATAGAAGTAGAACAGAAATCCACGGACTCCGGCTTTTTCATGCTCAGTGCACCCTAGAATCTGAAAACTTGGTAGCATTTCACCTTCTGTGGGAATGTCTGATACATTCCCACAGAAGACGTTCCTACAGAAGGCAGTAAAGCAGAAGAAGATTATACTCCTTTTAAAGGCATGAATGCTTGACTATCATTATTTCTCCTCCTAACCCCATTGCTCTCTCGGGCCCATTGGCATTTGATAGGCTGATATTTAAAATGAGGACTTGAATATCTCCTCTTGTCATCCACAGAAGGCTAATCTTGCTCTTAAACTTTCAATATCTTTTCTAAGGCTCTTTAACGTTTCAACTTCTTAGCCTGTCATCTTCCATTATTCTTTCTCACAAATGATTACCAAAATTCTCTAGCCTGATGGAGTCACTTTGTTCTTCAAGAGTAAAATAATTACACAAATGATCACTCCATTAATGATTTCTATTCTTCCTAATATTGCCAGCAATTGTTGAGAACTTATGTTTCTTCTCAGCACCTTGATATGTGCATTCATATCTCCACTAAATTATCAAGCTCTTTTTTTAAAACAGCCATGACTAATGACCCAAAATTTTAACAGGATCTTCCCGCTGCAGAAGACCCAGATAGTGATATAAAAGTAAAAATTGCAAAGGCAAATCTAAGTATGCATTATTTAAAGATTATTTGAATCATCAGTAAAGTACACTGAAGCATGTAATTTTCCAAGACGAGTTAGATATAAAAAGATTTAGTCAAAACATCCAATCCCTTTATTCACTTAAAATACATAGGAAAAGTGAGAAGTTTTAAGGCAAATGGAACTTGCAACTAAGTAAAATTAGCAGAGATCTGGTAAAATTATATCTAAACTAAAAACTAATAGAAGTTTTTGCATTTGTTCATTTGTAATTTTCTGTATTTGATGCAGGTAAAATAATTGAAAAGAAAAGTATCAGGGCATGAATTTTTGATAAATATGTTGTAATGCAGTAGAATTGTAAAGAAGGATATAGAGAAGTAAAATTATTTAGAAAATGGGTAATACATTATGGTCTGTGTGTATCAGTAAGTATAAACTAAGTAGTTCTGCATAATTATGCCATCTATTCAAATTTTTAAAATATTTATTATAAAATTATAACAATGTTGTTTGGATCTTCAATAGGCTACAAACTACTTAGAGTTTACACTCACTCTTGAGGACATAAAGGTTAAGTTAACATAGTAATGAGAGGATTTTTAACTAAAATGGAATGCCAGATGGAAAACGTACAAGAAACTATGGGAAAGTAGAAGAAGGTAAAACCAGAACTATCGGGGAAGGGCGTACATTTGTAGTGTGGAAGAAGAACCACTTTCACTGAGATAAGGCATTAAGAGTGGAAGTTAATGAACATTAATTGGAAAGCAAAGGGTATGTATTTGAGTCACATCCAGGAAAAGATATACATTTGCTATATATAGAAGTATGGGAATAGTTTGCAAGAGTGAAATTGTATATATTAGAAAAGGGGCTTAACAAAATTGGTAAAGGTTGAAATAAATGGGAGAAATTAGAGGAAGTGACAGATATAACTGAAAATTGTGCATTTTTGAAAATCCAATTGGAAGGGAAACTTTGGGTTTATTGTGGAACATGTTTCTTTAAAAATGAGATTTGATTCATTGTAGTTAAAGAATTCTGGGTTGGAGTTTCACCAGTAAGTGTGGAAGAACTGGTCAAGGTCGGGATGGTACGGAGTAAAAACTTTATGGTATTGGCAAAATAAGGCAGAATGATATGTGTTATATCCTGGATAGACAAGAAAGGAAACAATAACTGGGAGACATATAGAAAGAAGAGACTGATTATTCATGACATTAGGGAAGAAATAGAATCAGTGGAAGAGAAATAGATCATTGTCAGAATGTGGGATAGTAACATTTCAAGCTTCAGTAGTAGATAGTTTCACATATGCCTCTTTTCTTGAACTTTTTATTCTCTTATTAAAGTTCTCAACTCCTTTCTGTATTCACTCTTTAACCCACTTCCATCTGCCAATAGAAGTATTGTAAAAAGAGAAGCATCATCCAATCCCTTTATCTGTCAAAAAGAACTTTCTGAGAATATGAGACAATATTTAAATGTTAAAAAATGAATTTTATATGGAACTGCTAAATATCTGTTTCTCAGGAGCTTGATATTATAAGCACTAGTGATAGCCACATTATCACTTATTAGGATTAATAGATACGTCCTCAATGAAATTAATTAAAATATGATAAAAAATATATAAAATCTTTTAAAACAAATTGATAATCTAGCAAGTAATACTTGAAAGGCAAAAAAAATGGGATTGAGAGGCAGAAAGAGGATCAAAGGTGACTTTTACTTTGGGGAATTTTTTGAAACCCAGGGATTTGTCTTTGCAATGCACAAGGGACAGAAAGAAAAAAAAAATCCAGAGCTTGCCCAATGTTGAGAGTGCAAGAGGATATCCTCCATATTCAGCGCTGCAGTATATGGGGTAAACTAGAAATAAACTCTACCACCACACACACATACACAAATCAGCAAGGGAAATTGCTTGCCTTAGACCTTGCCACAAAGTTAAATAAAAGAGAAAAAAAATCATTTCCATGAGAACTTATCCACACTAGATAGTGCTTATATGTGTTTATAGATGAAATTTATACTCCCCCAAGACATTCCAAGCTGAAAATTTAGTTTAAAATGGTTTTGGGTGGTTATACACTCAGAAGTAAAAGAAGAGTACCTCTCAAGAAAGCCACAGAAACTACTGTCTTCAAAGAAGCCCATAAACCCAATTTTAAAACTAGAAAGTAGCAGGCAAAATTCACCTAATATGCAGGGAAATGAATTCCCATGATGCAACAACAGAAACATGGACTTGAATTTTTGAAACATGATATACCACAAATTATACTCACTTGTTCTTTTCATTTCTATAAAAAGATGATCTCATAGTTGACTCTGACACTCTCATTTTTGAATCCTTAAATCTGGGTTACATGTTAGCAGTTGCAAAAGGTTTTGGCCACATGTCCCATTTAGGGAACTAATTGTGCTTGATCCTAAACTTACAGTGATATTTACAGATACTTTGCCGAGAAGCCTATCCCCAATGAGCTATCACATAGTTGAGAGAATAAATATTGATATGGTTTGGATCTGTGTCTACACCCAAATCTCATGTTCCGTTGTAATCCCCATGTTGGACGTGGGGCCTGGTGATTGGTGATTGGATCGTTAGGGCAGTTTCTTGTGAATGGTTTAGCACCATCTTCTCGATGCTGCCCTTGCAGTACTGAGTGAGTTCTCATGAGATCTATTTGTTTAAAAGTGTGCAGCACAACCCCATCTCTCTCTTGCTCCTGCCTCAGCCATAGGGAGTCTCTATTCCCCCTTTGCCTTCTGCCATGATGGCAAGTTTCCTGAGGCCTCCCTAGAAGCCAGGCAGATTCCAGGATCATGCTTCCTGTAAGCCAGCAGAAAGGTGAGCCAATTAAACCTCTTTTTTAAAAAAATAAATTACTCAGTCTCAGGTATTTTTTTGTAGCAATGTGAGAATGGCCTAATACAAATATAGACCCAGTAAAGTCAAAGTGAGCATTTTACCTAACAATACAGGTTCTTTACATTAAAAAAAAATGTAAACGTATCTTTCTTTTCTAAGGCTGCTCACATCCTCTTGCTTTCCTAGAACGTCTGAGTTAGGTTACTATAGTTTCCTTTTACTATAGGAAACACACTACAGTCAAAAAATCGAGTGAGTCCATCCCGCTGCTTTTCTTTCCATAAATAAAGTAGAATTCTAGTTCTGCCGAATATTTAAGGTACTGTACTATCTGTCCCAACCCCACCCCCACCTCCCCACCGATCTTGCATTCTAGTATCTATTCTTTCAAAGGACACCACTAGATCAATTACATGCATACTTTAGGCTCAATCCTTATAGCTTTTTGTTTTCTTTATCTCTTCCCCAGATCTGGTGCTAACCAAAATCTAAGATATTAACCAACAGAAAACTATAGTTTATCATTGGCATAGTGCTTTGGCCTGACAAATGATGAGTTTCTTATCCAGCATTCTTGGAAGCAATACAAGCATTTTTAATAATCTTTTTAAATTACAGCTTAGGCCTTACATAAGCTACATTTAGTAGCAGACACTTTTCATATCACTGAACCAGTGAAATTACATCTGCAATATGATTCTCCCCAATAAGAGTTTCCAGTAATCATGCCCAACTATGTTCTCAATTTAGACCACTGGGATACAGAACAATATGTAACATGTCAGAATGTTTCTGCTTGTCACAGTGATGGAGCTCAGAGTAGAATAAGGGAGCAGCTTTTTAAACTTTAGGCGAAAAACAACCTTGCTCAAGCTTATACGTAAATATGTGGCAATTGTATTATTTCACTAGAAATGCATTTAAAAAACACATTTTCATTCACAAAATGTGGTTAAGGGGATTGCCTTTTTTTTTTTTTTTTTGTCAAATGTTGTCATGTGAGTAGAGAGGAGGAAGGAAACTCAGAAATTCCAATTCAGATGGCTTTAGTGCAGATAAAATCATTATCTCAAAATTCCAGGATCAGGTATATTTTTACTTCTGAAGATTGCATGCTCATATGATAGAACGAGAATTCAAATCACTGGCTGATTTGGGTTGATAAGTCTTCAAGCTAGAATGCTGCCTATTCTTACTACAGAATGTAAGTACTGCCTCATGGTTATGACTGGTGATGGCTAATAAAATGCCAAAAGCCACCTCAATATGGGTCTTACACAGAAGGTGAGTATTAGCTAATTCCTGGGGAGAAATGTTCTGTGCCTGAAAGTTACATATTGTTAGGTTATGACTTTTGATGAAAAAAACCACAATTACTTTTGCACCAATTTAATATCAACTATCCATCCTTAATTATTGTGTCATTACAGTAATGGCTTCATTGACCGAGTTAGTCTAACCCAGGAAGAGAATAATTCTTCTTTTTCTGCCATTCTGGGCTTTCGTAGTTTTCAGAGTGCTGCGCAGAGCCCCAAAGTAATTAAGAGGTGCTTCAGGGGCTGCTTAAGAATAAAATAGCCCCTGAAGAAGGTGAAGCTCCCACCCTCTGCATCCTACCCTTTGTGTCCACACAACATTTTTTCTATCTGATTCATCTGTGCAAGATGTGTTTGAAAAAATTTTCTTAATTACAGAAATAGAAAAAAATGTGAAAGCCACTGTTCTAAATAAGTGATATTTTGGTATAAATTATTTAGATGATCACAATTGTGCAGATCTCATTTTACACATAAATGAGAAGCTTGGAAAGTTTTGCACATAAATGACAAGTTTTGTCTAAAACCATAACAACCAAACAAAACAGCATTGTTATTGTCCCTGAGCTGCCAAAGATGACCTACTGTGCCTAGTGGGAACATGTTGTAGGCATATGTGCAAATACCTCATACCATGCAACTAAGATAATGGGAGTCTGCACATACAGGAATGCATAATAGCAAATTTTGCACTAATGTCCGTAAATGTGTCAGACGTGCCGGTTGAGTTTGATGAAGCTTATTGATTGCTGTCTTCTGGTCAAGGACGATGACACAGAGAATTTTTAAATTTTCACTTCTTGGTTTTATCAAAGGTACAGATGGATTTGTAGGTACTCTCTGAGTGAATTTAGCATATGAGCACGGTCTCTTGCAACTGAGAATGAGACATACTGTGTAAGAATTTGTCTGAATCTTTCCCAAGCTGTTGTCCAGATTTCATGGGATCTTGGAAGGCATATGCTCCCAAATCAACTTGATGTTCTTGATTGCTAATGTTTGCTTTATGGCCTTAACACTAAACATGTGTATACACATGTGACCACTTTACAGCCTAATGTCTCTGCATTTGTGCCGACTGTCTAACGGCACTTAATTCACCTAAAGGGATCTTTCCCATGAGACAGGTCTTTTCATTTTCTCAATTTTGAGATAATGGAATTTGAATAAGTTGCATTCGTAGATTTAAGAGACCACTTTTCATTCCAAGGATCTTTTGAGGACAGGAAGAGTACAATATTCAACCTTCACTGATACACGTTAATGAAGAAAATCTCTCAAAGGTTATTTAACTTATCTCGCATATGGCTATTTACAGTAATTATTTACTCCTATAAAACTACCAGCAATGATTCATGTTCTGTGCAATACTAGAGAGCAAAATATTTTAAATTAAATAGTGTTACACTGTAAAACTGCTTCACATTTTAAAATATTTTTATTTTTAGAATATTTATTTTTTAAACAATTAAATGGCACTTGCTTTTCAGTTCACCTCCCCATCTTTTCCCATTTCTCCTTTGACTAATAATATTAAAAACCTTCTTGCTATGAAGAAAATATGTAAATATTGAACTATATATTTTTATTTTTTTCTTTTTAGAATTAATATAAGTTGCTTTTGTACAGGATTAAAAATAAAAGTAAATTGTTGTACTTTACTTCTTTGATAGCTTTGACCTTGAAATCAACTTCAGACTTTTCTGGTAACATGGAAATACATGAGAATCATATAAAATTGTTATCTTAGTCAGTGACAAATGTTTACCTAAAAGATCAAAGTATATTTTCCTATAATAAAATAGTGTTTTGTCTTGAAGGAAGAAAAATTAGAGATGTAAAATCAGTTGATTTCTATTTGTTCTGTAAGTTTCCCAGAAGAATTCAAAACTTAATGTGCATTTTAAATGCTTTACAGATACTGAAGGATTCTTAGATCCCTTTGTCTAAGCCCCACCACAGTCACTTTCATCATTTTTTTTCTATTCTTTATCAGCACACACACACACACAAAAGCTTAAACGGTTTTCTGTTTCTTCTTGGTTTCTCTCAATTGCAAATATTTATAATGACCTCATATTACCTATTTTACCTTTGATTATATAAAATCTGATTATTATTCCTTCTTCAGATGTAAGTGAATTGCATCTATTTAAACACACCCAATGATTTTATCTGTTAATTGAGTACAGGAATCCTCAATGTTAAGTTCTGAATAAATTTCATACCAAATTAACCTAATTTTACTCTTGTCTCTGAGATCAAATCAACTATATAAGAGTATTCATTTCACTGAAAGCAGCATAAAGGGAAGATGCAATATGTTGTAGTGCATTTATTGTATCCATGTGGACATAATCTAAGTCTTTACTGAGAAATAAGGCTCATCAGATAATTTTTGTCAAATTATCTCTTTCTGATCTTGCATCATTATTTAGATGCTGCTAAGTAAGAAAACATGGTGTGCAAACCTTTACATTTTGTTTCTTAAACTTATACTCATTCATTTGTTCATTTATTAATTGAGTATCATATGTGCGACACACTGGACAAGACTCTGGAGATATGTGGGTTATGTTTTCTATTCTTTTGGAATGAAGCATATACTCCTGGTACCATCATTTATTAGTTATGTGACCAGATCTTTGATCATTTAAATTTTCTCTGCCTCAGTTTCCTCATCTATAACATGTGAGTCATAATTTTGTCTAAAACATCATTTTGGTAGTTGAGAAAATCAAATTACTTAATATACAGACGTGTTTGCGATTTGTATTGGGCAGTAGAATGTTAGCTTCTAATAGTAGTACATGTTGAGCATCCCTAATTTGAAAATCCAAAATCTAACATACTCCAAAATCCAAAACTTTCTGAGAGCCAACATAATGCTCACAAGTGGAATATTTTACCCCTGACCTTAAGTGATGGGTAAAGGTACACAACACACAGTTCATTCAATGTCCACAAGAGAAAAAATACCCTTGCGGCCCCCTTCAGCTGCAAAATTTCTTTTCTGCATATACCCAGATTCCCCCATGTAGGCAAGCCCCAAAAGCTCATAAAATGGTACAAGTCCAAGTTGGACGCACCAATAACAGGCTCCCCATTATACCCCCCACTTGGGGCCAAGACCTACATGCATTAGTCACAGTTTTTTTGCTTATTAACTGCTCTGTGATGTAAAGATGTTGTTGAAAATGTCAAAAAGGCCTGCAGATATCCCTATAACAAAAAGAGGAAGAACTTATGTTTATCTATAGCACAGAAAGTCAAGTAATTGCAACTGGACAGTGGTGTAAGTGTGAAACGTCTTACAGAAGAGTATGGTGTTGGAATGACCACTGTATATGACCTGAGGAAACAGAAAGATAAACTGTTGAGGTTCTGTGCTGAAAGTGATGAGCAGAAGTTAATGAAAAATAGGGAAATGCTGCACTAAGCTAAAAAATGGAGATCTTGATCATGTATTGAAAGAGTGGATCCATCAGTGTCACAATGAGCATATGCCACTTAATTATATGCTGATCATGAAATAAGATCTACCATGATAAACTGAAGGGAACTGTGAATATTTAACAGGCTGGTTGCAGAAAATTAAGAACATAGAATTAAATTTTTAAAGATTTGTGATGATAAAGCATCAGCTGATCACATAGCAGTACAGAAATTCTTTGATGAGTGTGCCAAGGTCATCACTAATGAAAATCTGTTGCCAGAACAAGTTTATAATGCTGATGAAGCATAACTGCTTTGGTGTTATTGCCCTAGAAAAACATTGACTACAACTGATGAGATAGCCCCTACAGAAGTTTAAAATGCCAAGAACAGAATAATTGTTCCGAGAAGTGTCAATGCAGCAGGAAAGCATGAGTGTAAACTTGCCATGATAGGCAAAAGCTTGAGTCATGACTACTTCCAAACAGTGACTTTTTTTTTACCAGTCCATTATTATGCTAACAGAAAAACATGGATCACCAGGGACATCTTTTCTGACTGATTTCACAAATATTTTGTACCAGCAGCTCAAGCTTACTGCAGGGAAGCTGAACTGGATGATGACTAAAAGATTTTGTTACTCCTTGACAACTGTTCTGTTCATCCTCCAGCTGAAATTCTCATAAAAATAATGTTTATGCTATGTACTTTCCCCCAAATGCATTTCATTAAGTCATCCACGTGACCAGGATTTCCTATTGTGAATATTGCTGCAATGAACATGGGCATGCAAATGTCTCTTTGAGATACTTTTGTGAGAACACCATTAAATTTTAAAACTGCTCATTAAAGGAAAGAACAAAGTGAAAAGGCAACCTGTAAAATGGGAAAATATTCGCAAATTATATTTCTGATAAGAGCTTAATATCTAGAATAAATAGAAGCTCCTACAACTCAGCAACAACAACAAAGTCCCAATTAAAAAAAAAGAAAAGAATTTGAATAGATGTTTAGATATTTCTCCAATGAAGATGTCCAAATGGCCAGTAAGCATATGAAAAAATATTCAACATCCCTAATCATTAGGAAAATGCAAATATAAACCACAATGAGACATCATCTCATTAAGATGGCCACTATCTGCTCCAACCACCCACCGCCCCCAAAAAAAGGGAGAAACAGAGCGGGAGAGAGAAGAAGAAGAAAATAACAAGTCTGAAGACATGGAGAAATTGAAAATTGGATCTCTATGGTGCATTGTTGGTGGGGTTGTACGTTGTTATGAATCCTATGGAAAACAGCATGGAAGTTCTCCAAAAAGTTAAAAACAGAACTACCATGTGATCTATGCATTTCCTTTCTGTGTTGCAGTTTTAAGTAAAATGGGTATATAGATTTCACTGGGAGGTGATATTTAAGCAGCAACTTGAGTCCCGTAAAGGAATTACCTATGAAGTTATCTGGGGAAAGAGTGTTTCAGCAGAAAGAACAGCTAGCTAGATGCTAAGAGACGTGCCTCTGGTATATGAAAATTTGCTAGGAGATCAGAGTGGCTACACAGAGTTACAGGGTAAGAGTAATAGTAGGTGAGTTCTGAAAAGAAACAGACAATGAAGGGTGATGTTAAGGAAGATAACGGATGTCCCTTTGAGGCTTGTGTATGATACAAAAGTTTTTAGATAGCTTCTGTGTCATCTGTGACAGTTGTATCAGATAACTTAAATAAATGTTTTCTTGAGGGTTTTCAGAAATGCAGGCACAGGAATACAATTCCTCGTGAGGACTCAACTCCTAATCTCAACTTCCTTTTTATTTATTTGATGATGTGGTACTTCCCTAGACCCCATTCTAGATGTTACAAAAAATGCAATAATTGTACTTTAATATCTTTATAAACTCCTAAAATTTTCTGAAAATTAATATATTCTACTCTAAGGGCTTCAGATAAGAGATTAGGGGCCCAGTGTGGTGGCTCATGCCTGTAATCCCAGCACTTTGGGATGCTGAGGCAGGGGGATCACATGAGGTCAGGGGTTTGAGACCAGTCTGGCGAACATGGAGAAACTCTGCCTCTTTGGAAAATACAAAAATTAGTCGGGCATGGTGGCACGCACCTATAATCCCAGCTACTCGGGAGGCTGAGGCAGGAGAATCACTTAAGCCCAGGAGAGCTGAGATTTGCCACTGAGATACAGCAAGACCCTGTCTCAAAAAAAAAAAAAAAAAAAAAAGGAGATTAGGGATCTGTAGTATGAAGTCCGAAGAAGTATTTTTCTCACTCCTTCTCTGGGATTGAAATGAAATTCGACAAGTAAGTTTACCTCTCAAGCTTTATTTTCTAAGAATCTCAGTTTAGATACACATTTTTAAACTTGTTTTTGGCTATAAACTACATTAATTTAAAACATAAAACCAACTTAAATTTCTAATATATATGATATTATAAAATATTCTGTACATAATGATTACATTACTCAATATCAATTCCTGCCATACCCAGTTTTATCTCACTTAAGGGCAAAAATTTATGCACCACTCAGTTATTGACCAAGTGAGAAACTGTATTAGGAAGTTTACCCTCTTCAGTGGCTGATCCTAGTTGTGTTTCTGGAGGTCAGACTAGAGCTAGAATCAATAATAGGTGCATATCTCTGCAGTGTCTGTCCTGTGTTCCACCTTCTTTTGAAGAATTTATGACTGCCCTTCTCCCTTGGTTCCCTAGGCACATATTCCAGGACCCCTATCAGACCCCTATCTGTCTATTAGGGCTGGATCCCTGTTCTGAATTACATCCAGTCCTTCTGGGAGCCTGAACCCTTTCCCAGGGTCTGCAAGTTCCCTTGCCTTCAAGACATGGACCCTTCTCTACATAGTCTAGCTGGAATCTTTCTCTAAGAAGATTTCTGGGAATTGTGCTGTCAACTACCATGTTAATAATTTTACTTTTGCCCAGGGCTCCACTCTGGTGCTCTCTGACCTGCTTAGATCTCCTTGGAGATGTATACAAACTCATGTTTCATTCAAGAGCTGTGATGGTCAATATTGACTGTCAACTTGAGTGGATTGAGGGATGCAAACATTTGAGTCAGTGGACTGGAGAAGCGACCCACCCTCAGTGTGGGTAAACAACATCTAATCAGCTGCCAGCACAGCTAGGATAAAAGCAGGCAGAGGAATGTGGAAGGACTAGACTGGCTAAGTCTTCTGGCGTCCATCTTTCTCCCATGCAGGATGCTTCCTGCGGTCAAACATTGGACTTCAAGTTCTTCAGCTTTTGGAGTCTTGGACCTATACCAGTGCTTTGCCAGGGGCTCTTGGGCCTTTGGCCACAGACTGAAGACTGCACTGTCAGCTTCCCTACTTTTGAGGTTTTGGAACTCAGACTGGCTTCCTTGCTCTCCTCAGCTTGCAGATGGCCTACTGTGGGACTTCACCTTGTGATCATGTGAGTCAATACTCCTTAACAAACTCCCTTGCATACATACATCTATCATATTAGTCCTGTCTCTCTAGAGAACCCTAACTCAAGATCTGATAACTAATCGCAAAGTAAGAGAATTCCTTGCATTCTAAGCTTTCCCTATTCCTAGTTTTCTTCCTTTCTCCCATCCTTTGGAGAATCAGCATGCTATTGCCCTAAAGTAACATGTTTTGATTCACACACATTTTCAAACAAGATCTGGGAGTTAAAGATTTAAAGCCTCTCACACAATTTATATATTTTTATCTGTTTAAGTATTTCTAAATCTCAAATGCAAATAATGTTTCTTCTACCAGAATAACTTAACATACGAGACAAAGTGATCCAATAAAGGTTAAAAAAATAGGATTTGACTGACAGACCTCATGTTATTTTAGGGTACATTTTATAGTGTCCATTTTATAGTGTCATATTACCAGAGGGTTAAACTTGATGTCTATTTCTTTAACCTATGTTGTCATTTAAAATATTTATCAATTTTGAAGAGAAAATATGAAACAACTTAACTAAATACATTGTCAAGCTTCAGTTATAGCAATGATGAAGTCATTTCATGTGAGGATGATAGAGTAGCCAAACTGAATAAAATGAATTTCAAGATTGATCATATTTTTCACAAAACTTTTTCTGCTGTTGTCCTAATGTGCACTTAAGATCTCAGAGAAACATGGTTTTCAAACTGATTTTTCTACCATGAAACTTAGTTGGCCATCCTAATCAGAATATAGTTAAAATCTCACTAGAATTGTTAGCAATTACTATTGAGGACATTATTGCTAGTTTTTAATTTAAGTGAGTGTGTGGGGATTGGCTGGCCTGTATCTGGGACCATACCCATTTAAGAATGTGTCACCAAAACACTTGAAAATGCTCAGTAGAACTTTTCTAAATTATTGGTTGACAAATAGGAAATAGTTGAGACTTGCTGAACACTGTATGTCAAGCACAATCTTTGTAATTAGCATTTAGTAGTTATAAAAAAGAAAACTGTCACATAGATATATTAATTTAATAAATATGACATCTCTAGCAAGGATTAATGGAATAGAAACTTGAATTTAGGTTTCTGGAGACAGGATACTACAGTGAAGCTTATGGATTTTGGAATCTGATTAGGTTATCTCGAACCTAGGATTAGTTACAATCGTGTAAAAGTAAATCAGAGAAATTAGTATCTGTATCACATGATCGTTAGAAAATTAAATATATGAAATAAGAATTCAATAAATGATTATGAAACCTTTTATTGATTTGTCAGTCAGGTTCTTGGTTCTTAACTATTCTACTTACTCTGTGATCCAATGATAAAATTGTTATATGAGGCACTTTTTATAGTCATAATTGTCCATGAAAATATGTGCAAGTTAGTAAATGGTGCATGTGTAATATCATATAACATGTGGCTACATATCAGATACGGCGTGGATACATCCTATACATCCTATTTCAATGCCAATCCAACCTTATTGTGCAATCAGGAATACATTTATTTATGCCTGCTCTTGTGTCCTAGCACTAGTCAGTTTCTCGCTGCTCATTTTTCTCACTGTGCATCCTTTCTTTACTCTCTATACAACATCCCATATATTTTGCACAACAGAAGGTATGTTAAAACGAATGTTCATTAAATACTTCCATGTATATTTTAGCTGCTATTATTCTTAATAATAATTCTTATATATACTCTTAATAATAATTCTTAATTCTCCAGATTCATGCAATAAAAAAGAAAACTGTGTTCTCCAAAATGCCTGATGTCTGTGAAAACTGTGCCTGTGCAAGCTATTCATGTTGTGTTACACTGATACAAAGAAAGGGTTTTAGAACTTTATCTGGCTTTTGGCAGGGGAGAAAAATATCACTTCTGAACTGCTTTTGACTTGGTAAATTTCCCACACTGTTGAGATGCATGGAAACTCATCTGACTATGGAAAGCTGTATTGAATGATCTGTAGTATTTTTGATTTTACTTCCATTGTGTGGGCTACATTTATGCCTGCCCAAATAGAGCTTCCCATTGACCAGAAATATAAACCAAACACAGCATGAGGAAAATTAATGAATTGCTTATTTTTGTAAACTATTATTTAGGAATATGCACAAATAAATTAGAAAATTTCATCTCTCATCTGTACCTAGAACTTTATGTCTGGGTAATTTAAAAGAATAATTGGTATGAAAAATTAAGAACTCCATATACAATTAAGGTCTACAAGAGAATATAAAAAAAGCAACTCCTTATTTTCTCTCAATTACATGAACAAAATAAAATTAATCATATGAGGATTAAAGTTTCTCACATCATGTATAAAAACTTGAGAAAAGTCTTTGATCTAATATTAACAATTTTCCAGCGTGAATCAAGCACTTTTTTAAAGGGCTTTCATTAACATGAGCTAAAGTTCTAATGACTTTGGAATTTGACTACAGCTGCACAAAAACAAGTCCAAAATGCGTCTTCTAAAATAGATGTTTGTGTTCCGTAATTTTTCAGTTCCATCAGACACAAGCACCTTTCAACTAATAAATAAATTGACATTTTCCCTTTTACTATACTAAAATGAAATTCAGAGATAAAAATAAACCTTTATGAATCTTATGGCATGGTCACCCTAAAATGTTTAATTGATTAGATGCTTTCACCGGTTTACAGTGAATATATTTTTTATTTAAGTTAAAATGCCTAGAAGTTAGTCTTCATGGAAACAAAGGAAAATGAAAAGCAAAGGTAGGTGGGCATTGAAACATAAACATTTATTAGGATAAGTAATAATAAATTAGACTTACTTGTCTATGATGAGAAAAAGGGTAAAATAAAAAAAGGCCATGCCAAAATGATATATTATTGACTACCAAAGTGAAAAAATTAAGGTGTGAAATACCTAGCTCATGTTGTCAACAAAGGTGTTAACATGTTAAACTGAGTATATACCATAAATTGCATATAGATACAGACATAGGTATAAATGTATAGAGATATATAATAAATCAGCAACATTATTCCCAGCTTATTTACTGTTAGTACTGTGGCCTCAAAATTATGCACTTACTGATTGGCTAGATATGATGTGCTGAATGAATAAATTCTAATGCTTAGTAGGATCAATAAAATACTTTTATTAGAATTAATCTTTCATCTACATACTGATTTTCTCCTAAATTGTTAGCCTCTTTGTGAAAGTTCCTGAAAATTTTGTTTTCAGTAATATAATAATTAGATATACAGACACCTAGAATTGAGATAAGTTTTGTCCACAGAATATTTATAATTTGTGTGTTCTATGAAGAAAGTATTTGATATGCAGGAGTGTTCTATGCACTGCCTCTGTGGCCTTTGCTCACTAAATACTAGAAGTTTCTTCCCAATCAGTAAAAGTGCAAAAATTACAAGTCACAAAAACTAGGTTTTTTTAAAAAAAAAAAGGTGACAGAAAAGTTTGTTCACAAATTGTCAACTCTGTCCTAGTACTACACCCTTCCTTTCTTTAGTCAACAGTCTGATTTCATAACAATCTTCCTTTACTCCATTTCTTTTCCTCAGTACGTTCTAGTCTTTTCCTTAACCAGGGCTCAATGTCTTTGCTCCCAAAGACCTTTGCCAAGTTAGCTGCAGGGTTGTCTCCTATTATTCAATCAGATGCCATCTTAAATTCACTTCCTAATAGAGGCTTTCCTTGGAAAGCCTGTTACCAGTAGCCATCTCACCTCGACCATGTCATTACTCCCCCATCATGTCACTACTCAACTCATTCTGTTTAATTTCTTTTGCAGCATCTACATTATTTACATCATTTTGTTCCTCCCTCACTGGAATGTAAGCCCTAAGAGGGCATGGACCATCCCTATATTGTTCAGCACTGTCGTCTCCTCAGTGCCTAGAAGAATGCCTGGCACACAGTAAGTACAAAGATAGGGACCTGAGTGAATGAGTGCATCTTTTATTCTTCTCTAGAACACATAATCACCAAGTCCTTTCACAGCTGACCACCACATTCAGGGGCTCTGGTGTCTTGAACTGCTGTTCAGCTTTCATATAGACAAAACGAAAAGCTACATGTGTGGGGATGGAGGTCTTGTCACAACCTCCAAATTTATTTTAAAGAATAATGTTGACATTCATTTCAAATTCAATTCCTTCACTCTTCAAATGTTTGCCTTATATCTCATTAAAATTACTTTAAATTATTTGGATATTTTTCCTAAAAATGTTTATATGGATGAAACCATTAAAAATGTGATTGCTGTGACTTCATCACATTTTTACTTAATACTGGTTCTTTTTAATCTTGTTTTAGTATTAAATAATTTCCCCCAAATAAAATAGAAATGTGGTCATTCCTGGTAGTGGACCTGACGTTATCAGATGAGTTTTCCTCTCCAGATGCCATGGTTTTATGTACTGTAAATGATCTTCTCATTACCAGATGGTATGAGAAAGAAACTGCTTCAGGGAGGTAGATGCTATAGAAGTCTGTACATTGAGTAGCAATAAAAAAAAGCAAATCTTTGTAAACTAGCCAGCAAAGCATCTTAACACAGCAGTGAGTATTGGGGAATGCAAACAGTGAACTCGCCATCTGACCAGATGTGGACATTCCTAATGGATGATAAGTTTAATTAACCAATAAAATGTTTTCAATTTAAAGCTTAAAGTGGTGATTATAATGTTTGTGTTCTTTGCCTAGACAGTACAGCTGAAGCAGAGATACCAAAAAAGCAAATTAGTTTGCAAACCAAATATTTACCAGACTAGCTCTTAATCTAGGCTATTTTTTATTGTTCTAAAACTTAAGATATGGAGGATGTAGAAAAATTACATGAAAATTGAGACAATTGCTGAAATACATGCTGATAACATTTTGCTTTTACTCTACACCTAATTCAAATCATGATTTTAACTGCAGTGGTTCTAAGTATAATTGTATTTTTTGAGTTAAGGACTTTACTTTAATCGTCATTCCATTTTATATATTTCTCATTTTAGAGTTGGTTCATTTGCCTGTTTTCTGGGTACATGTGATTATTTAATACATTTATACAATTGGTAAAGAAAAAAAATCTATGTACTTAGGACATCCATCACATTAAACATTTATCTTTTGTCTATGCTGGAAACATTTGAATTATTCTCTTGTAGCTATTTTTAAATATACAATAGATTATTGTAAACTATAGTCAACCTACTGATCTATCAAACACTAGGTATTATTTCTTCTATTAAACTGTGTATTTTTACTTATTATCAACTTCCCTTTATTTCCTGTCCCCTCTACAATTCTTGTCCTCTGGCAACTGTCATTCTACTCTCTTATCTCCATAAAATCATTTTTTTTAGCTCCCACATATGAGTGAGAGCGTGCCATATTTGTCTTTCTGTGCTTGGATTATTTCACTTAATATAAGGACCTCCAGGTCAATCCATTGGCTGCAAATAACAGGATTTTATTCTTTTAATGGTCCAATAATATTACACTGTGTATATATACCACATTTTCTTTCTATTCATCCATTGATGGGCACTTAGGTTGATTTCATATCTTGGCTGTTGTGAATAAATGGTGCTGCAATAAACATGGGAGCCAAATATCTTTTAAATGCATTGATTTCTTTTCTTTGTGATATATCCTCAGTAGTGAAATAACTGGAATATATGGTAGTTCTATTTTTAGTTTTTGAGGACCTGCCATACTGTTCTCCACAGTGGCTGTACTTATTTACGTTTCCACAACAGTGTACAAGGATTCTCCTTTCTCCACATCCTCACTGGCATCTAAGGTTTCCTTTATGATAAAAGGCATTCCAACTAGGGTGAGATGATATCCAATTGTGCTTTTGATTTGCATTTCTCTGATGATTAGTGATGTTGAGCATTTTTTCATATACGTGTTTGCCATTTGTATGTCTTCTTTTGAGAAATGTCTATTCAGATCATTTGACCATGTTTTAAATGGATTATTTGGCTTTTTGCTATTGTGTTGTTAATGCTCCTTGTATATTCTAGTATCAATTCCTTGTCGTATGGGTAGTTTCCACGTATTCTCTCCCATTCTGTGGGTTGTCTCTTCATTTTGCTGATTGTTTTCTTGTAGAAGAGGCATCTATTGCATAACTACTTTTCAAGATGCTCGGTCCCAAATATTTACCCCCTCCTGATTTAGGACACGTACACTTGAATGCTCAACTATTAATGTCAACTTAGCATATGTAAAACTAAATTCAACTTCATCTTTTTCTCTAGACTAGATTCTGTTGCTCATTACTTTCTTCTATCATTGTCATAGAGAAAAAACTTGAAAAAGACAGTCACTCTTTGACTCCTATGTGCCCCATCCTTATATTTTGCTTGTCATCAGCAGGCTTATCAATCATTCTTTTTATCATATATTTTTCATGTATTTATTATGTTTTCTACTCCTAAGCACCTGGTTTGACCTCACTGAAATATCTCTGAACTGCAGAATGAACTTCGGGCTTTTAATTTTTTAATCTAGAGGAAGTATACTGTTGGCCTAAATCTGATAGTCCTTATTGTCATAGCATTATTATCTTCAAGGACAAAAAATCTTATATTTTCCCTCTGAATTGAGTCAAAACTCAGAGATGATTAGGATTCACCTTTATTCATCTTTATCCATTTAACCTCACTTCCAGAAAAACCTCAGTGTGGATTAGTATCCAACTAGGAGATCTTACATTTTTACTCCCCTCTACCTTTTTTTAAGCTCCTAAAGATTAAGAAATGCAGTTTAATATATTTCATAGCACTTAAACATTTAACAGATAAATAATTAATTATAAATAAATTACAGTGCTTTTTGTAAAGTTTTTTTCCTGTTTTTCAAATACTAGCAGTAGTAGTGAATATATTGAGTTAATTAAAAGCAAATACTAGCAGTAGTAGTGAATATATTGAGTTAATTAAAAGCATAAAGTAAGTAACTTTAATCATCATTCAGTTGGTAGTCTGCATTCAAAATTTAAATATTCAAAAGTATTTATTAATTCTCTATTATGTATCAGGCAGTATTCTAGTCACTAGGAATATAGAAGTAAACAAAACATGGCAAGTTGTTGTATCTTAGTATTGCTGTCTACTCTGAGTCCTCATGTCATAATCCAACCCTTGAAATAGGTTGTTAATCATATATGTGAGTGTGTATAATATGTGTGTATATAATTATATAACCATATAATATAATCATGTAATATAATTATATTATCATATAATTCTATACACATATTATATACACACATATAAATATAAATATAATTATAATGTATAATTATACATATTACATTATATAATTGTATTATATTGTATATATGTTGTATATATGTGATGTATATTACACACACACACACACACACACACACACTTGTTTTGAAAAGATTCAAGACAATGAGAAGACCCACAGGAAAGATTTTTATCTAAATATTGTTATGGCTCTTGCTTGATGTTAATTAATAAATTTTCCATCTTTTAAAATATATATTTTACATAAAACACATGTGTATACACACTCATATATACACACACATACATTTTTCTTAATTCTATAACAAAGAAACTGACAAAGGAGCTTTTCTGGTCCACCCCATCCTTTATACTGACCATGCATACTTCATTCAGCAGCTCAGCAGTGTGTCATGAAAGATCCTCAGCTGTCACTTCATTTTCTTATGTTAAAATTAATCTGCAAACCCAGACCCCATATCGTAGATAATCATGGTCTGAAGCTGTTTTCTTTACCTGGTTTTAATGTAAGTATTCAGTGTTAAATTCTTTTTTACATAAATGCCTATACAATTTTACTGTAATTTCTATATCATAACAATGTAAACACAGGCATTTGTACTTCACTTTCTCACCAGTGCATGTTACTTTTCATATTCTCATTACAATCCACCAGTCTTTATAAAGTTGTCATAGAAATTAAAATATTATGCAATGACTACCTTGAATAATGATCACGAATGACAATTCTGAAAATATGCTACGAAAAGATGACAATGAATTCAGAGACTGGAATGCAAAGTGCTCTAGATGGGCACATAATACATGAATTTGGATCTATATCAATATTAAATTTTATTTGACATCTCTGAATTTATTATGGAAAAAGATATCATATTTATTCAATTAACTTGTTTGAGAGCTATTCTTCCTTATCAGTATCTTCTTAATTAGAACAAAATCAAATACTCACAGTACTCATTCTAATCATTGTGGAATCTTCCTACATTTTTAAACTCAAACTGCCTCCATTCTGATCCAATTTTCTTCTGGGTATACATTTTAGGGCCTGTAATCCTACGAATATCATTTCCTCTGGTCGCTTAATTTGAATGTGAACTTATTTGAAATTTTAAAATTTCAATTCATAAAATATATTTTATTTTTCCTTCTTTCCGACTCTAAGTACCTTATGTGGTGCACGTGAAATTAATTCCAGCTCTGTCCTCAAAGCAGAGTCAATGTCTGCATACTGTCCAGACTAATCTTGGCTCCTAAGAGGGCAAGGGATTTAGAAAATCAATTAAAATACTAAAATGGTTAATTTTATTCTTTAGAAGAAAATTACTGTGCTCTCCATTAACTGGATATACCTTTTACAATTAAGTATACAGAAGAGTATAAATGGTTTCAAATACTAAATTTCCTTATCCAAGGTAAACTTTTCATAAAGTTAGTATGTTTTAATCATAGATATTTTTGACATAAATGTGAACATTAATAATGTTAGTATACATGATGAGCCTATACAGTGCTATTTGGGACCCACGTATTCTCCTGAGGAAAAAAAAAATTAAGACAATTGGGAGCCCCCAGGAAAGATTTTTATATCTAAATATTGTTATGACTCTTGCTTGATGTTAATTATTAGATTTGCAATCTTCGAAAATATTTCTGAATATGATCAATTTTCATTTTAAATTAAGTTATTGCCATAAGTAAAAATTCATTGATACTATTACATAGGCTAGGATACTAAAACACAAACAAATGTTTTAATGTAAAGTGAGCTTATGGTCTAATTTGAAAAGCACAATATGTATTAAAAAAAGAAGAAAAATCACCAAGAGAACTATTTCTCATGTCAATGATTGTTTTTTAAGATGTGATAGAGATATTCCTAGAACAAATGTATTAGTGGTTCAGTTGCACAGGAAGGGAAGGCCTCATTCAATTTTGAAGTGAGCCTTGAAGGAACAGTTATCCTTAGATTAAAAAGAGAGGGGGGGAATTTTAGGCAGTAGAATGTTTAAACAGTGGAAACTGCTATGTATAATAGCTCGAAATGGGATTGAACATTATTTATTTATTTGAAATGACTTGCCTTTTAACAAGTTTGGATATATGTTTTAAAAATATTAAAAATATGAATTGAACATCTCAAATTTTTCTCAGGTCGGTCTCATTTCATCAAATCAGTTTCCACACTGATACATGTGGTTAGGTTTATCTGTGACACTAAAGTAGAAACTTAAAGATAATATTTTTAAAAGGAACTGTTATTGTCATTTTGAGGTAGAAAAGTCCTTTGAATTTGAAGGGAACAAAAATGAAAAGAATATTTAACTGCTAAGGTTGAGATCAAGGTGTTAGTATCTTCGTTTTCAACTCTACCTTTTCTCTTTGTTGTCATCATACCGTGTTCCATTCTCTTCTCTTTTCAATCAAGCTTTTTGTAAGCTCTGCGAACATAAAAATGTTGATAGAAGTCATGAGTCTACACAATATTGTAATGTGGGCTCCATGTACTCATCAAATACAAAGAATTCAAAAAAATTAAATTCCCATGCTGATTTTCAATCTAGAGGGTCAATTCTGATGCTATGCCTAAACAATATGCTATAATCAAACAGTTAAAATCAGAAACAAGATTGCAAATTGTTCTTGGATTGCACAGTATTATATAGTTAGGACTTAAAATACATATTATTTTTGTGTTCAGAATGTATGCTGTAAAATATATAATCGCTATCATACAAGCTCCAGTATATTAACTTTTTCAGACCCTTGGACCTAAGTTTCAGAACAGTAGTGGATAGCTGCTGAAAAGAAATACGTGCTAACAAAATTAAAGCAACATTTGTATATAGAGCAAATTTAAAATAAAACGATGATAAATAAAATTTGGGGGGATGATGAAATGTTCTAAAATTAGTGATAATTGTTGCATAACTAAATACACCAAAAACTGATAAATTGTATACCTTAAAAGCATGACTTTTATATTAGTCAGGGTTCTCTCTAGCAGGACAGGTGTAAAAGAATAGATGTAAATATGAAAGGGACTTTATTAAGGAGTATTGACTCACATGATCACAAGGTGAAGTCACACAATAGGCCATCTACAAGCTGAGGAGAACAAGGAAGCCAGTCTGAGTCCCAAAACCTCAAAAGTAGGGAAGCCAATAGTGCAGCCTTCAGTGTGTGGCCAAAGGTCCAAGAGACCCTGGCAAACCATTGGTATAGATCCAGAATCCAAAAGCTGAAGAACTCGGAGTCCGATGTTAAAGGGCAGGAAGCATCTAGCACAGGAGAAAGATGGAGGCCAGAAGACTCAGCTAGTCTACTTCTTCCATATTCCTCTGCCTACTTTTATTCTAGCTGTGCTGGCAGCTGATTAGATGGTGTCCACCCAGATTGAGGGTGGGTCTGCCTCTCCCAGCCCACTGACTCAAATGTTAATCTCCTTTGGCAACACTCTCACAGACGCACCCAAGACCAATACTTTGCATCCTTTAATCCAATCGAGTTGACAGTCAATATTAACCATCACAACTTTTATGATGTATACATTTTATCTCAAGAAAGCTGTTATACAGAAAAAGAACAGTACCAATAACAACAGCCAGAAGCAGTAGCACAGCATATCCAGTTTCTGGCTAAATTTACTTGATGGGACCTAAAAAAATTACACAACAGGTCTAGTAGTCCAACTGTGATGCAATACTTACCATTCTGGTATCTTTTTTCTCCTCTTTATCATGTTGTAATCCCTAAAGTAAAATGATTTTGTTAGGTTGATTGGTTACTATCTGAAATGTCTTGCTTTATCCACTAATTCCTGCACTTTGTTGCAGAATTAGTTTAATGTATACACTTAATTTAAAATATATATTCACTTTATGCAAAAAAAAAATTCCATGGGGGTGCTTCCCTCAAAAAAAAAAATGTGACTAGCAGACAATTTGAGACTATCACTTCTTCAGCACAGGGGACATTTCTGCCTCAACATATAACTCTAAAGTACTTTCTCTTAAGGTAATATAATTATTCATATACAATCAAATATGTACTTTATCTTTCTACATGAGGGATGGCAAATAAAATAGTAGGTCTTGATTGCTGCTTCCAAATATTACAGAATAGTTAGTTGTACCAGGCTGACACCTCCATGAAGAACAAGGAGAAAATCCATCTAAAATAAAATTAAAAATATATGTTTAAAAACACTGAAACACTATCAGGTTAACTAGCACATGAGAAGCAAAATATTAGGAAAGAGGAACTGTAAAGATATGAGCCAATACTCCACCAATACTGATTTTTCTTTATATGTCCTTTTTCTAGGTATAGGTTAGAGGTTGAAAATAATGGCAAATTATATGAGAAAACGCTACTTCTATTTCATGGAGATATCAGCAGTACCTATGACAGTGTCAGGTGACTAGAAAAATAGAAATTAAATATATGAAGTTCCAAGATCTTAATAAAAAAAATTCAGAGTACTAAACCAAATATTTTTCCACAAATACGTTGGCAAATGTCTAAACTCCAATGCACAGGAAGCTAACAGCCATGTAGCAAGTTACTAAAAAGCAATGCTGATAAGCTATACCATTGACCTGAGGAGATTTGGTAGGAGTTCAGATTCCTGAAAGCAGAAGACACAGGTAAAGACCATAGATTCTCACTTGGAATCCCTCCAAGGCTATGCCTTTGGAGAACAACAAGAGGCAATGCATTCTTTCTAATATTTAAGCCTAGCCTTACTAAAAATGCAAACCAATTTAGCTCATTTCCTGATTAGTTTTAGGCTAACAGTCCCATTCTGTCTTCCTAAAAAATAAAAAAAAGGAATAAATTCTCCGTGGAAGAAAAGAAATCATAGACAGCCTCTACAATTTTTTTATGTAGATTGTATTGCTTTTAGTTACTGAAAAGGGAAAAGAAAAAATTGAAAAATAGAAACAGACCCATAGATGACACAGCTCTTAGATGAATCAGAAAAGAACTATGAAATTGCTATGAATAATATATTCAGGAAATAAAAGAACATAAGAAAAAATAAGCGAAAATATGTTTATTTTCACCAGAAATATGGAGGTTTTATTTTATCACAGTCAATAGGAAATCTAGAACTGAAATATAAAAGCTGAAAGTAAGAATTCAATAGATGAATTTAACAGCAGATTAGACAAAGTAGAAGATGGGATTAGTGAACTAGAAGAAAGGTTAATAGATAATATTCAGGCTGAAGCAAAGAGAAAAAAAGTGTGAAAAAAAGAGCACAATAGAAACATTACACTGTAAAAATATAACAGTTTTATGAAGAAAGAGGAGAGAAGAGAAAAGGAGCAGAAATAGTAAAGATATGCTGAGAAATGTCAAAGACTAATAAAGACATCGAGTTAGAATTTTGAAAGTTCTGTGGACACCAAACAAGGTGACTAACTGAAACGGATGCTTCATCAATGAACATAATCATAAAACTGACCACCAAAATTACACGTGTGTGTGTGTGACAGTGTGTGGGTGTCTGTATGAGAAAAAGACGTATCACATCAAAGAACCTAATTTGAGACTGAGGATTTACCTTGCAATAGAAGATTTGAAAGCCAGGAAACAAACAAGTGCACTTTAAATGCTGGAAAAAAATTCATTCCTAATTCAGAATTTTTTACCAAATGCAAATATAATTCAAAAACAACTCTAAAATAACATTCTTTTCAGATAAAACAAAACTAATAAAATTTTTCGCCAGCCAACTTGCTTTAAAAGAAATACTAAATAAAATTATTTAGGCAAAATGGAAAAGATCCTATTCCTAAACATAGAAATGCATGAAGAAATGAAGAATGAGGATAAATACAAACATATATAAATGTATGTTACCCACCAAAATCAGTGATAAAACTATCTTGGGTATTAGAATATATACAGTATTATAATACATAAAAACAAAATAAAGGCAGGGGATAAATAGAATGATATAAAATATCCTAAGGTGTTAGTACATGCTAGGATTTGATAATATAGTTGATCCTTGAGCTACATAGGTTTCAGCTGCATAGGCCCACTCATAAACAGTTTTTAAAATAAGTATATTGGGAAATTTTCTGGAGATTCATGAAAAATTGAAAAAGCTAGCAGATGAACCACATAGCCTAGAAATATCAAAAAAAATAAGAAAATGTTAGGTATTTCATGAATGCATAAAATGTTTGTGGATAATAGTCAATTTTATCACTTACTACCATAAAAACACATGAATCTATTCTAAAAAGTTAAAATTTATCAAAACATAGGCATGCAAATACAGACCATATATAGCATCATTCACAGTTGAGAGAAATGTAAGCAAATGAAAAGATGCTGTATTAAACCATAACTCCATACAATTTACTGTGGTACACATTTTACTACTGTTGTAATTTTATAGTCACTTCCTGTTGCTATTGCACTGAACTCAAGTGTTAGGAGTATCTGCTTGCCTGCCATGAAAAATCATCCCCGCATGAGCAGTTTATCTCTTCAGTAAATTGTGTGTTGCAGTAAAAGGTGATCTCCTGTGGTTCTCACATATTTTTCATCATGTTTAGTGCAATAGCATAAACCTTGAGCAACACCAGAAGACCCATACAAAGTACCACCAGTGACACTGGAAGTGCCCACAAGAAGTAAAGACAATCCATGACATTAAAAGAAAAGTCAAGGCTGGGAGTGGTGGCTCATACCTATAATCTCAGCACTTTGGGAGGCCAAGTCAGGAAGTTCACTTGAGCTCAGGAGTTCAAGACCAGCCTGGGCAACATAGGGAGGCCTTGTCTCTACAAAAATAATAACAATAGTGATAAAATATTAGCTGGGTGCAGTGCCTGGCACCTGTAGTCCCACCTACTAAGGAGGCTAAGATGAGAGGAGGTCAGGGTTGTGGTGAACTATGATTGCAACACTGCACTCCAGCCTGGGCAACAGAACAGGGTCCTGTCTAAAAAGAAAGAGAGAAAGAATGGCAAAACCCTGTCTCTACTAAAAATACAAAAATTAGCCTGGCATGGTGGTGCATGCCTATAATCCTAGCTACTAGGGAGGCTGAGGCAGGAGAATCACTTGAACCCGGGAGGTGGAGGTTGCAGTGAGCTGAGATAGTGCCACTGCACTCCAGCCTGGATGACAGAGCGAGACTCCATCTCAAAAAAAAAAAAAAAAAATGAGAGAGAGAGAGAAAGGAAGGCAGGAAGGCAGGAAGGCAGACAGGCAGGAAGGAAGGCAGGCAGGCAGGAAGGCAGGAAGGAAGGAAGGAAGGAAGGAAGGAAGGAAGGAAGGAAGGAAGGAAGGAAGGAAGGAAGGAAAGGTTGAGTAGCTTGGTATTTAGATTAACATCTACAGTTGCAGTTGCTCGCCATTTGAGACTGATAATTCATCTTACAAACAGATGACTCAAACTTGTAGTATTCGTAAACACAGCACAGTACTGTAAATGCATTCTCTCTTCCTTATGGTTTTCTTAGTAACATTTTCTTTCTTTATTGTAAGAATACAGCATATAATACATATAATATTTTTTAAATGTGTGAACCGACTGTTTATGTTATTGGTAACGTTTCTGGTCAACAGTAGGCTATTAATAGGTAAGTTTCTAAGGAATCAAAAGTTATATACACTTTCTACTATATGAAGGCTCAGCACCCCAACCCCCACATCGTTCAAGGATCAACTGTAGATTATATTAAATCACATTATATTTATATTAGATCATTTTTATAATAAATCATATTAAGTCAAAATAAACATATGTTTTCGTCTCTACAGAAGTAGTTTTTTGTTGTTGTTTTTTTTTTTTTTTTTTTTTTGAGACAGTCTCACTCTGTCACCCAGGCTGCAGTGCAGTGGGGTGACCTCGGCTCGCTGCAACCTCCGCCTCCTGGGTTCAAGCAATTTTATTACCTCAGCCTCCCAAGTAGCTAGGACTATAGGCACGTGCCACCATGTCTGGCTAATTTTTGTATTTTTAGTAGAGATGGGGTTTCACCATGTTGACCAGACTGGTCTCGAACTCCTGACCTCAAGTGATCCACCCACCTTGGCCTCCCAGAGTGCTGGGATTACAAGTGTGAGCCACTGCACCCAGCTGAAATAGTTCTTAATAAGAGGAGATTTGGCATCTCAGAGGACATTTGGCAATATCAAGAGACATTTTGGTTTCTTGCCATTGGAAAGGAAAGGGCTACTGGCATGTAGCGAATAGATGTCAAACATGCTGCTAAACATCTTACAATGCACAGGACCACATCCATGACAAAAAAAAAAATGGCCCAAAATGTCAATATTGCCAAGGTTGAAAAATCCTGCTCTAGGTAACCAGGAGAAGATATGTATAAGACGTATGTCAAAGTGGAGAGATAGAATCATCTACTCAATTAAAAAAAAAAGGAAGAGAGAACAAAGGACTATGAAACAGGTTAACACATTATTCCAAAAAAAAAAAAAAACCCAAAAAGATTAAATGATAGATATAAACCCAAGCCCATAAGAGGTCATATTAAGTGTAAATTGCATAAATGTTTTATTTAAAACACTAGGATTATCAAACAGGATAAAAATTAAGTGTTTATACTTATCAAATATAGATAAAAATAACCAAATACAATCTATTATAAGAGAAAGGTGGACAATTTTAGCTGGCTTTACCAGATTCTCAGGCCTCAGCTAAGGTTTGGTATGGTGTGTATGGTGTGTTTCAATATTAGCATATGTAGACTATTGGGAAGTTTGTATCAGCCTAGTGCTTCCATCATAAACATTATAAAATTTCACCTAATTTCTTTAATGTTTCTCTTTTGAACTTTCAGGAGCTCTTCTGAAGTATCCAAAAGTTAATTCAAGGTCAAAAAGACTTGATTTTGATTTTGGAAAGTTTGCCAAAAATTAAGGTTCAAAACATTTGATCAAAATCTTATCACATAATTATTATGAAATAATATTTATTTAATCAAAAGTCTTAACAGGCCTGGCGCAGTGGCTTACACTTGTATTTCCAGCACTTTGAGAGGTTGAGGTGGGTGAACCATTTGATCCAGGAGTTCGAGATCAGCCTGGGCAACATGGAGAAATTCTGTCTCTACAAAAAAAAAGTAACAAAAATTAGCTGAATGTGGTGATACGTGCCTATATTCCCAGCTACTCAGGAAGCTGAGGTGGGAGGATCACTTGAGGCCAGGAAGAGGAGGTTGCAGTGAGTCAAGATTGTGCTACTGCACTCCAGCCTGGGTGACGCAGCAAGATCCTGTCTCCAAAAACTAAAAGTCTTTACAAAGACAAGCAACATGTAAAACCTGTTTTCTTTGCTCTCCCTTCTTTTTTGTAGCTTATTTAAAATGTAAACATAAATCTTTTATTATTTTTATTAATACTATAAAAGAAATTTGTTTTAAAGAGGGCTACATTCTAGATTTGCATTACTGATATTAAAGCTTAAATTTAACGCTTATAATAAACTTAATTTTAGTCAGTTTAACCACACAAGACTTTTCTTCACTTTAAAAAGTTTTATTTTTATGTTTTTTATTGATTTATTTTGAAAAAGATTTAAATATTTTAGACAGTTACCATTTTAATAAAAGCACACTGGTGTTTTGAACACTTAGTGTACATTTTTAAAATATTTTAGTAGCTTTAGTTACCTATATTTACCCAATATTATTTTTATTTACCAAAGATTACTAAAATCACATGAACACAGAAAGGATTTGGGTTTATATATTTAATTTATGAGCATTTATTTATTTATTTATTTTAAGTCAATTGAGTACCATGTGGATAATATTCAAAAACAGACATGTACACATGTATATATAAAAATATAGACAGATATAAAAAAGATTTTATAGGTTCAATTTTAAAATTTTAGTAATGAGACAGGTAAAACTCACTAGTTTAAAAGGATGGTTTTATTTAAATGGTCTTTTTAATGGAACAAGTTTCAGTTTATCTGTCCCACATGGCCAAAACTCTTCTTGAGTTCTAGAGAAAAAAGGGTAGAAAATATCAAAACACGGAAAAAAAGAAAAGTAGACTTTTTTTGTTTTTGTTTTGTTTTTGAGATTGAGACTTGCTCTGTTGCCCAGGCTAGAGTTCAGTGGCACAATCTTGGCTCACTGCACCTGGGTTCAAGTGATTCTCCTGCCTCAGCCTCCCGAGCAGCTGGGACTACAGGCGTGCACCACCACACCTGGCTAAGTTTTGTATTTTTAGTAGAGATGGGTTTTCACCATGTTGGCCAGGCTGATCTCAAACTCCTGACCTCAAGTGATCCACCCATCTTGGCCTCCCAAAGTGTTGGGAGGCAGGAGCCACTGTGCCCTGCCAAAAATGTAAACTTTTTAACGAAGGAGTTTGGTTGTGTCAGTTAGATGAGACACAGAGAAAGATTACACATGGATTACAAGGTAACATAAAAGCTGAAAAACTTGTTACAGAATTTTAAAAGAAAATATGTAATGAATCTATGAAAAAATTCAGAATCCCATTTAAAATAACCAGCTGAGAATGTAAAAATTTAGAGACCAATTTAGTTAGATAGGTGGCTTTTCAATTTAGTTTTTTTTTCTCTTTCTTTCTTTCTTTCCTTCCTTCCTTCTTTTTTTTAATGGGATTACAGAGTTCAGGACAGAGTCCACTAACAAAGAGGACTAAGAAAACATTTGGAGCTTTTAAATCCTAACATTTCCACATGAGAAAGGAGAGGCACAGGTGGAATGTGGAGCATTTATATCTTTAGAAATAAGGAAGCTAAGCTTGCAAAGAAATGAAAAAAATAGCAAATGAGAGTTTGACCCTCTGCAATAACGCTTACTGTAACATTTGTCAGTTACCTTTAAAAGTGACTGACAAATGTTACAGTAAGCAATTATTGCTGCAGAGTGACTTGTCAGTGTCTTGTGAGTTATCATACATTAAAAGGTCAAGTGTTTTTTAAGTATAAAATAACCCTTAGTGCCCCTAAAGACAAAATAAATGGCAGGGTGCTCAAATTAAATGAGCGCAGAATTTAAGATCTGAGAGAAACCCATTTACAACTCTTGAGGTCCCTTGAGGAAGATAGGATACTCTACAACAGGTGCTCAGTGGCACCTTTTCCTCCAAGAGTCTCAGGGCCACTAGAAGTCACTTTTTAAACTTTTTATATGATAGAACTCTGATATTCCTCTTAGCTTGAGGAGTTTATATCAAGTATCTGCATAAAAAATCAAAGGTGGGGCTGGGCACAGTGGTTCATGCCTGTAATCCCAACACTTTCGGAGTCCGAGGTGGGCAGATCACCTGAGGACAGGAGTTTGAGACTAGCCTGACCAACATGGCGAAACCCTGTCTCTACTAAAAATACAAAAAGATTAGCCAGGCGTGGTGGCGCATACCTGTAATCCCAGCTACTTGGAACACTGAGGCAGGAGAATCTCTTGATCCTGGGAAGCGGAGGTTGCACAAGAGTTGAACTCCATCTCAAAAAAAAAAAAAAAAAAAAAAAAATCTAAGATGGCACAAGAAAAGAGGGGTAAAAGTAACCTTTATTTCTCATGAAAGGTTGCAGCCTGCATAGTGGCCATTCTAACAGACTGGGAAACACAGCCTCTGGTCAGAAGCTGAACACAGACAATTCAAGGGAGGGGTAAAGGGAACAGGAACTTATGCTGATCAAGGCTGAATATCCATATTTAATAAGCTATAGGAGGAGAAATGAATATTTATAAAAGGAGAAATATGACCATGGGCAATTGAACTTCATGCCTCTCCATGGGACCCATGTTCAAAAAATGGCAGTGTTAGCATAATCCAAGTGTGGAGTTTGGGGCCATCTGGTATCAAAGGGTGAAGCAGAAGACCTGAGCATCCTTACTGAGCATCCTCTATAGACTGACCAGAACCACTTCTTGTTCGGTGGCCTCTTATCAGGCAAAAAAGGAGGGGCAGGGGCAGGCTATTTGTTGATAAAAGTGGTGGATTTTATTGAAAGGTCTGGATTCTGTTCAGCCCTTAGGGAAGAAACTCTGATTATGGATAGGGAGGGAGGAGACATAATGAGGTGTGTCTGACCCCTCATCTTGGTATGGCAGATAATTCAGTTTTCAAGGTTACTCTGGAGTCCCTTTGGCTAAGAGACGGTCCACTCAGTCAGTTGGGGGGGCTTAGAATTTTGTTTTTAGTTTATAAGTTTTAATTAATAGGAGTTCAAGAAAAGGGGTTCGGTTGACTAAGAGGTTCCTATGGGAGAAATAAGATACAACAGAGAAAGAGAAGCTTTTATTAAAAAACATTGTTTGAATATCAGCTTTTAATTAAAGTTTTTATTGCATAGTTCTTTAAAAATACGTATTTTTTAAAGAGGAGGAGTTCATATATATATATGAGGAGGAGAGTTCATATATATATATGAGGAGGAGACTTTACAGTATCTGCAAACAAGGAAGGTTTTGTGGTGGCAAACAGGGAAGGTTTTGGCGGCAAACAGGGAACGTTTTGTGGTGGATGAGAACAATGGATGGACTTTAAGTATGTTTTAGAAGTACATCTCTGTTTTTGTAGAGACTCAGTGTGCAAATCAAAGATACTTGTTCTTAATTTCCCTGAGAATTAGGTTGTGGCTTGAGTATCAAGGGGATAACCCATCCATTAGACTGCTTTATGTTCAATTCTCTTTATATGTATTTAGGAAGTAAGTTTTCAGCTAATATAGAAATTAAAAGATTTCTCTGGTTTACAGTTAGAGGCATTTGTCTTTAAAGTAATTTAATAAATGGTTTTCTTTTTATTTAAATATACAGTTGTATTTTTTAGCTAAGGAGAGAAAACTAAGTAAACAAATAAAATGCAAAAAAAGTTTTTATTATGTTCTGAATATACTAATTTTTAAAAATATCATTCTCTTAACTAACTGTAAACCAAAATTTTAAACCTATAGTTCTCTGATTCAATACTAAAACAAATATTTGAGACTAAACCTAAAAAACCTTTTTAAAAAGGGAGAAAGATACAACTCTTTTACAATCCAGACCACTCCCAAAGATAAGTGAAAAGAAAGAAAAGCCAGGTGGATCACCTGAGGTCAGGAGTTCGAGACCAGCCTGGTCAACATGGAGAAACGCTGTCTCTACTAAAAATACACAAATTAGCCAGGCATGGTGGTGCACGCCTGTAATCCCAGCTACTCGGGAGGCTGAGGCAGGAGAATCATTTGAACCCAGGAGGTGGAGGTTGCAGTGAGCTGGGATCGTGCCATTGCACTCCAGCCTGGGCAACGGGAGTGAAACTTCTTCTCAAATACATAAATAAATACATAAATAAAAGCTTAAATGCTTATCTGCAAATGGAGTGCAAACCACATTTCTGTCCAGTAACACTCTTGGGGCTCAGAGCCTTTTGCTGCCTATACACGTATACCCAGTAACCTGTGTGTTACTGATAGATGGAAAATTAAAAACAGTGACTAAAACAAATAAGAAATCAAAAGTTATCCATGGGGTAAGAAAGGATTACTAACAAATGGGTACCAAGAAAAGTCGAGTCACACAAATATAAACTTACAATGACAACAAAAAACTAATTTTTATAAATGTTCTTCACCTGAGCTGAAGGAATTGAAACAACCTTTGCAAAATTCTGACAGTAACAGAAATCTGACATAGTGGACTCCGTCTTGCTTCTGACCTCCAAATTGTTCTTGATCCTTCCTGGGTGTAGGCCAAGTTAACATTGGGAGCAATTTAGTTTATAGTATAATTTGAAAGCAAGGATGATAATAGTCCTTCCCTAAAACTAATCTTTTTGCTCAGGGACCAAAAACCACTTTGTAAGACTAACGAAAGGCCACAAGAATAGGATCATGGGAGGAACGTGAACTCTACTAAAATGTCTGTGTAGTTTCTATAATTCCTTACTGCTCAGGAGTCTTGTGGCTAGAGGTCATAAGATTTGTGACTGCTTCAATTGCTCCTATAGATAGCATCACTATTGTAAAACCTAAGATTGGCTTTTGAGATATTTTTCAGCCTGATCCCACCTGGACCAGTGACTCATGACTCAGCTTCTCCTGTGGCCCCACCCAGCAGCAGACTCATTACACAAGCACTGTTTTCCACACCTCTATGATTTTATCCCCAACCAATCAACAGCACCCATTCCCTAGCTCCCTGCCCACCAAATGGACCATAAAAGCCTTAACCTCCAAGCCTTTGGGACGATTGATTTGAGAGATAACTCCAGTTTTCTCTCATGGGCCAGCCTCAAGTCAATTAAACTCTTTCTCTACAGCAATGCTGTGGTCTTAGTGGATTGATTTTGTCTTTGCAGAGGGTAGGAAGAACCTGTCAGGTGATTACAGAATTTACTTAAGGAAATGGAGCTGGACTCAAGAGAGGGAGGTTTAAATCAAGGGTTTAGAGATCTAAAAGATCTTCTGGTTTAAAGAATCCTGAATTTGTTTTAAATCTGATTTATGCCTTTTAATCTTCTCAAAAGAGTCTCTAAGCCTAGTCATCATTTCCTTTGTATCTTTTTTTAGGTGCCAATAAGATAGCTTTTTAAGATGAGAGCTCTCTAAAATAGCTTTTTAATATAGTAAATTTATTTACCAACAACTCATGCCAATAAGCCTTTTAAAATAAAAAGTCCTAGATGTAACTTTCTAGGTTTAGAATACCTTGGACATAAGTGGCATTTTAAAAATGAACACAGAAGATGCAACCCTCTCATCTCCCCACAAATTTACTCCCAGAGTTTGGCTAGGATAGCAGAACATCTTTGTTGCCATGGTCAGTTAAGGATATTGTTTGTATGAATTATATCTTTGCCTCCCCCTCCACAAACATATGGATGGATACATGAACATGTGGACACGTGGGATGCCTTTGTTATCTGTGGAAGTTATCCAAGTTATTGGCGGCAAATCCATACAGTCTGCAGCAACTCAATTATTGCCTTCTCAGTAGAAAGAATTCAACTGAGAGGCATAAGGCAGAAGAAGAGACCAAGGCAAGTTTTAGAGCAGGAGTAGATGTTTATTAAAAAGCTTTAGAGGTTCAACATGGAGAAACCCTGTCTCTACTAAAAACACAATAATTAGCTGGGCACCTATAACCCAGCTACCTGGGAGGCTGAGGCAGGAGAATCACTTGAACCTGGGAGGCGGAGGTTGCATTAAGTGGAGTTTGCGCTGCGCCACTGCACTTTAGCCTGAGCAACAGAGCAAGATTCCATCAAAAAAAAAAAAAAAAAAAAAAAAAAAAAGCTTTAGAGCAGGAATGAACAGAAAGTAAAGTACACTTGAAAAGAGGCCAAGCAGGCAGCTTGGAGGTCAAGTGCCCCGTTTGAACATGGACTTCAGGTTTTATACGTTTGCCTACTTCTGGCATCTTGAGTCCCATTCCCTTAATTCTTCCCTTAGGGTGGGCTGCCTGCATCTCAGTGGTCTGTTAGTACCTGGGAGGTGAGTGTGTGCAGTGTTGTGTGTTTACTGGAGCTGTACACATGCTCACCTGAGGCATTCTTCCCTTTGCTGTGGAGTGCCCTTGGAAGGTCATATACCAGTTAAACTCTGCCATTTTGCCTCTTGGTGCGCATGTGTGAGCCGACTTGCCCAACTCCTGAGATCTTATTGGGAAGCTGCCGATCATCAGTTTCAGGTGTTTCTCTAGAATGGAAAACTGCCTTTCCCTGGCGCTGGTGGTGACCAATTATTATTTTAGAGTGGCATTGTGACAACTGCCTGACCATCACCCGATGGTCGCCTGACATTCCTGATGGGGTCGGGGGAGCCCTCTCCTGTTCCGCTCATGCCTGACTAGCTATGACTTTACACATTCAGTCACAGACCCATGAACCTGTGACACCAGGCAGGCACTTCTGGGACTGGACTTTCCCAGCACTAACGACGCAGATAAAAGATAGAGATGATACCTTTCAAACAAAGAGAGTGCTACTTAATAATCTTACATGTCTCAGGTTCCCAATCTTTTCAGACTTATTACTAGATGCGACCTTTCAGATTTGCACTGGAACTACACTACCAACTTTCTGGGTCTGCAGCTTGCACACGGCAGAATGTGGGACTTCCCAGCCTCCATAATTGTGGGAGCCAATCTCTCTTAATAAATCTATTCCTATTTTTGTAGGCAATTTTTTATTTACCAAAATTTTTTAATTACCAAATTTTTTATTTTTTAATTACCAAAATTTTTATATGTTTATCATGTACAACATGATGTTTTGGAACATGCATATACTGTGGAATGGCTGTGTGAAGCTAATTAACATACGTACTTATCACATAATTATCATTTTTTTGTGCTCAAGACATTTGAAATCTACTCTCTTAGTGATACAGACAGGAGGCAGGGAAATACTATGTAGGAAAGGGTGGAGTCCCTGGCAAGGGTTCCACCCTCAAGCCTGAACCTGCAGCCCTAAATGAGAACTTCGTATCCCTGTTTTCCCACCTGAATGTTGCCTTTTGGCCTGCCACACCCCCTATCCTGTGCCCATAAGAACCCCAGACCCTAGGCTAAAAACAGACACAGAAAAGAGAAGCATCTGAACATTGAGAGGAGAAGAAGCAGCCGGACATCGGAGACTACTGTCAGAGAGGAGTTTGGCTGGAGACAGTTGGAAAAGACCACCTTCCCACTCCATCTTCTTTCCAGCTCCCCATCCCACTGAGAGCCACTTCCGTTACTCAGTAAAATCCCCACATTCACCAACCTTCAAGTCCGTGTGACATCTTTCCTCTTGGGCACCAGACAAGGACCCAGGTGCAGGTGCAGGAGTCTGTCACACTGACTCTCCACTGAGTGGTTTAACACTTAAGCCATCTGCAGACAGCAAAGCTAAAAGAGCGTGCTGTAACACACCCTCTCTGGGGCCCCAGAGGTCATGGGCAACCCCTAGATGCTGCCATGGGCCGCTACAGGGTTTGCTCCTGCCACCACCCAAAGACACCTCTCCCAGCCCCTGTACCTGCTCACCCGTGTGTTCCCCCTCCTGCAAGCAGTTTGAGTGTTGCAGGCTAAGTGAGCTACCCTTTCACAAGTCCCATGAAGGGGTCGAGGAAATTATCCCATGTCAACTGGGTACTCTCCCGGGATTCATCAGATGGGTGAGTAACATGCAGATCTGTCTCTCCTTGTCCTCAGACTTTCCTCTGAGCTATGCCACTTGCAGGGAACAGGATGCAACCCTGCCATTTCTCTTTCTTTGAGTGAAAGGAATGTTGGCTCTGTTTCCCTTCATGGAGGCTTAGCTGTCACGTGGGACCAGGACAAAGTCCTGGGGCAGCTGTAGGCACCTGGCTGAGGCCACTCCTCGGTGTTACCGGAAGGCCCCTGGACTGGCCCCCAGTCTCTGACCACAGGCGCCAGCCAAGACCTCCAGACTTTTCTATGGCATCTTTTATTTTTCACAATTTGAAATGGCTCCTATCTTTTCTTTTATAATGTGAAGGGTTTTGCTACAGACTGCAGCTATGATATTAGGCAGAATGTAACTTTGGCCCAGCCATCAGAGGTGCAATTCAGAACAATGTGATTTCTGTTTGTTCTTAAAAGTGCGACCCGGAACCCTACCCCAATGGCCGCAGGCGCATTTGTGAAATGGGCAGGCATGCAGTGGCTCCCCTTCTTACTACCTCCCCACCTAGCTTGGATGCTTGGATGTGTCTGCAGTATGCAGGAGCCACATCCAATGGCTACAAGGGGTGGGAGAAAACCACTGCCCAGGGCTGCCGGGGGCCCAGGGCTGCCGCTGGGGCCCCGCTCAGCAGACAGGCTGGACTCTTTCACCCACCATTCCCTCCTGCCCCATGCTGGTGCCCACAGAGCATTTTCTTCTATGGCTGAGAGGTCCTTATCGGTCTGAACCGGGAGAGGAATACAGTAATTGAAGGAGCCCATTTGCATAGAACAGGAAGTTCTCTCCCCATCTCTTTTTTGTACTTTAAGCTGTTTCTTTTTTCTCTTCTAAGTGAGAGGCTTCTTTTCCCCAGGACTCTGCTTATGATAGGGAAAACAACGGAGGAGCGGCCCCTGCTGGCTATATCTTCAAATTTGGCAGGACCCCTTTGGGACTTCACGTAAATACTTCCATGCACCGCCATGAAATACCTTTTTTGTCCGAAACTCAATTCCAACTTTCAGGTTGAAGCCTTAGAATGGAAAACCAGATCTGAGGGATTCAAAGCCAGACAACAGGCACAGAGTAAATGGACAGGACCAATTCCTGCTGATTAAACCCCCATTTCATGAAAGGAGGCCATGCTCCATGGCGTAGATGAGGCCCAGGGAACTCAAGTGTTGTCGACAGTAGAAGGGATAGAGGCATAGGTTAGTGTGGATAATTCCTATTCTCTAGATCTTGCTTTATGGGTGCAAGCCGCATTGGCACCCATGGATGGCACATGCCAAGGTCCCTGGGATTCAGGGACAAAAAGATGGTGGAGAAAGGGGAGATGCCCACTTTCCCTATCCCTCACAGCCCAGGTTATTGTGGAAAGAAGGAAGGGAAATGAGGGATGCCTATTTCCCTTTCAGGATGGCAACCAGCTATCTTCATCACCCCCAGTTTATACTCCTCTGGACTGTATACTGAATCACTGGGACTGCTTTGACCTTCAGACTCTAAAGGAAAAATGTCTCATAGCCCTCTGCACAAAGGTTTGGCCAAATTATAACTTACAGGAAGGACTGGCTTGGCCTCAGAAAGAAACCATTTATTTCAATACCATCCTGCAGTGGGACCTTTTCTGTAAACATGAGGAAAAATGGTCTGAGGCCCCATATGTGCAGGCTTGCTATACCTGGCAGGACAATCCAGACCTTTGCTGACAGTGTAGGATTGATTCAGCCCTTAGTTTACTATCTCAGGAAAGGCTGCCGGGGCAGTCCTAGGGAACTAAAGAAATGAAACCCAGAGGCACCCCCAGCAGGGCAGCCAGCTCCCTCCAGCCCTCTTGCTCGGGGTCTGCCCCGTCCTCCCTGTTCAGCTTCTCTCTCTTGCTTGCCTCCTCCTAGAAATCCTCACCCTAGACAAGCTCCAGTCTCACTCTTGCCCCTTCAACAGATGCCTGGTGAATTGGGCCCCAGTAAGGTCCAGGTCCCCTTCTTTCTATAAGACTTAAAGCAAATTAAGGGGGATCTTGGCAAGTTTTTAGATGACCCTGACAGCTGTATAGAGGCTTTCCAGAATTTAAACCAAGTATTTGAACTCTCCTAGAAAGACATTATATTACTTTTGAATTAGACCTTGACAAACACTGAGAAGCAGCCACCTCTGCAAGCAGCAGAGAGATTTGGGGATGAGCTTTTTATTACATATGGTGTCAGGGAAGGGGCCAAACTTTACCCAACTGGAGGAAAAGCAGTACCAGTGGATGACCCTAAATGGGATCCCAATGATGAGATGGGAGAATGGAAGAGGAGACACTTTCAGATGTGCATAATAGAGGGCTTAAGTAGTACTAGAACTAAGTCTCTCAATTATACGAAGCTACTCATCATAGACCAGAGATATAATGAAAATCTCACTGCCTTCTTGGAGAGGCTAAGAGGGGCCTTGGTAAAGCACACCTCTCTATCTCTTGATTCCGTTGAGGGACAACTAATCCTAAATTACTGCCTAAATTACTCAGGCAGCCCCTGATATCAGGAGGAAGCTGCAGAAATGGAACAGGCCCTGGGGACAGATAGTATTTTAGAGGACCTCTTTAAAGTGGCCACGTTGGTCTTTTACAATAGAAATAGAGAGAAAAAAGAAAGAGGCAGAATCTTTAATGGCTACCATGCAAGCCCACAAACCTCAGAATTCCCAAGGTGCACATTTTAACAGATACACATGTAGCAAGAGCAGTAATCTTTCTTCTAAAGTTTAAACACTCCCATAAAAGGTTTAATTTCTTTCACCAGGGTGAAAGAGCTCAGGGTACTGTTGTGGGGTGAGGGAAGTGGGGGAGGGATAGCATTAAGAGATATACCTAATGTAAATGACGAGTTAATGGGTGCAGCACACCAACATGGCACATGTATACATATGTAACAAACCTTCATGTTGTGCACATGTACCCTGGAACTTAAAGTATAATTTTAAAAAGACTCTTTAAATGCTGTATGTACCAGCATTTCCATTTTATTTGTAACAAGAGATCCTTTGTATATGACACTTGACATTTTACATGCAAATACACATAATTTTTCAGAGGTATAGATATCCTTGCATCTGAAGAAAGTGTATCACCCCGAAGCCAGTTTGTTTATAAACTATTTTCTTAAATGGGAGAAAAAAAAGCCAACTCTGCCTCTATCAGAAATTAAAACTATGTTTGCACAGAAAATCTAGAGTAAACGTATTTTTAAATAAACTAGTCATCATATTTTACATAGAATTGTATTATATTCTTTGTAGTTAGTATTTCTCCTTTTTGCACTAGTAATTTTTCAGATATATTTTTTGAAAATTTACAAAATCTCTATTAACCTTTCATGAAAAGGTTAATTGAAAGAAGAATCTCTGCTTATAATAATATTCACTTGAGTCAAGAAGTTTGAAGAAGAAAATGACATAATGAATAATGTGCTTTGAAGCAGAATACTTCTTAAAGTCTATGATGTATTTGATCCCAATTGGATTAATTGGGACTTAGCAGTGATTTGCCTGAGTTCAAACATAGCTCAAAATTCTAAGGAGTCTGCTGCTTGACTAATCTAATATTTTAAAAAATCATTTTCTGTCAGTTCTCAGGAGTGGAAAGGAGAAGGGAGGAGAAAACATAAAAGGATGATTCCAGTTTATACTGGTCAGACTTGAGCTGTGTTTAGGAATATACAGACATGCAGAATATCTTGGATTTAGAATAATGGTTTGCACATAGTGTGAAGGCCAATGAGTTGACATATAAAATGTATTTAAAATGTTTTTGAGAATTTGATTATTTGTTATATAACTTAACATTATTACAACAACAGAGTATCAATATATGACTATGTGAAATTGTTTTAACCTGTACTTATCTACATTGAAAAGATGGATGGATAGATAGATCGAACAACAAGTTTTTAAATGGTCTGAGTAAATGTAAATTAGATGGCACAATGAAAATATAAAAAAATAGAAACAAGAAACCAATGGAAAGAAAGCAACCCCAAAATATTACTTGGTATATATATATTGCTGTTTGAAGGTATTCAATTTTTTAATCATTCAAAACACATAATCAAGTAGAATAAAGAGCTACTAGAGATTTTTCAATTTTCTGTGTTGATCAATTGAATTGTTGCCATACTGAAGTTTTTAAAATAAAATATTATAGTAACAATTCTTATTTACTCTGTACTATGTATCAGACTTTAAATATCATTCAGTTATTTTACTCTCAAAATAAATCTAAAAAATATATAATTTTATTATCCAATTTTAAAGATGAGTGAATTGCAATTCACAGAAGGTATATGCACTTTTCTCAAGGATGCACAGCTATTAAAAGTTTGGGACCAACATATAAATCTTGCAATCTGAATACATTTCCATTCTTTTATCTACTGCTGCATACAACTGTCTAGACTGTCAATAGTTTTGGTTCATCGGATATTTTATTTCATTAATGCTAAATGTTCAAACATGACCTGTTAGTGAGAAACTACAAAGAGTTAATTTGAGATCCTACCATCTACCTGAGTGATCTTTAGCATATGTGGAGTCAGAATGATAATGTTGGTATTGTGTAAAATGTATTTCAAATATTACCACAAATATGCAATTTTTAAAAATCAGGCGGCATAAAGAATAGTTTATCTGATTTTTCTTTGCTAGATTTTCATACAAAAAACAGGGACCCTAAATAAAAATATATAAGAACATGTATTTCAGTTGAGCTAGGGACGTTAAAAAATATATGCATACAGCATTAGATATTTCCTGGAGAGAACTGTAGTGCTCTGACAAAATAATGGACAGCTCAGAGAAAAAAAATAAAATCATTATTGTGATCCTCCTGTCTCAGACTCCTGGATAGCTGGGACTGCAGGCGTGTGCCACCATGACCCGCTACTTTTTGAATTTTTTGTAGAGATGGGGTTTCACCTTGTTGCCCAGGCTGGTCTCAAACCCCTGGGCTCATGCGACCTGCCTGCTTCGGCCTCCCAAAGTGCTGGGACTACAGGAATGGACCACTGCGCCTGGCCACAAAAATCATTGATTCTTAAAAAGAGTTCAGGGATTTGAAAGAAAGGAAGGAATAATATATTTGCCAACAATTTCTTATCTAGGATGTGTCCCAGAATCCCCAAGTGCAGTGCCGTATTTTCCTCTGACAGAATTTTACAAATATTTTCTATATCTTTAGTTCTTTATTGCAGATGTTCCAGAATGGTGAGAGCAATATTGAAGAAAGAGAATCAGTAAGAGAGAATTTGTGAAATAACACTTTCATGTGCATACTTGGAACAACCAGATGAGTGAAAAGGGTTCTTCAAACAAGGGATCAAGGCATAGCCTGAGATAAAAACCAGGTTGTGTCAGCAGTTGTAAAAGTTGCAAAGCAAATGTTAGTGGCAATTCGCTGAAAACAAATGCCACTTTTCCTTCAAAACAAACAAAACAAGGGAAGGAAAAAAGGAAATATTCAAAACTGAATTACACATTAATTGTGAACATATAACATTGTTTTTTAGTTTCAGACCATGCTCCTATATATTTATGACTTGAGGTTTCATTTACCTTCACAGTGGGGAAGAATTAAGAAACCTGCCTCTTCAGGCATTACTTTTCCTGGCAGGGAGATGGCGGGGTAGGTCTAGGACAAGATATTTCCAAAAGAGAGCATCTAAATGTAGGATAGGCATGACAAATCAATCATGGTAATTCAGATATTTTTATGAAGTGACGCTGGGAACTAATAAATTTATAGACACAAAATAATAGAATTATATATTAAGAGTTTCTCAGAAGTTATTACACAGACTTGTCACCTCCTCTTTACCACCATTCCTACACATACATAGTTCTCCAATAAAGTAAATGAAGCAAATAATAGAATTTGGGAAAATTGTCTAAGATCACACAAATGATCAGCTGCCCATCTGCACTGGAATTCATTCTCCTAAGTTCCCTAAAATACTTCAGAACTCCAAAAAGAACTGTAGGAATTCTATCCATTTGGGAATTTATTTTCAGGCCTTGAAATCAACCCAAGTCTGAATGGTTTTCAAAGCAATTGCCAATCAGCAGATTCCCCAGCAGCCTGAAAGGCACCTGGGAAAATCAGGATTGTCACAAAGCCATGTAAGTATTTTGGAAATATATTTTAATGAGGTGCTTTTCTTTGGGAAAAAGTTTGATTCTAATTAAAGAAGAAGCCAAGCTAATTCTTGCAGTTTCTTAAATACAATTTTGGGAGGTTCTTTTAGTTATGAAAAGTATAAAAATTTGACCCTGGACAAAGTTTAGGCAGAGTTTGTATTATTAATATGTACCCAAGCAAGTATTATATAGAAAATTTATGCTTTAATTTGTAAAGAGAGTGTTCTCAAATGGAAAGTTTCAATTTTGATGGACACTTCTGGATTCTAAATTTATCAGATTACTGGACTTCGGAGTTTAAAAAAATGAAGAACACTGCATTGTTATACTAGCTTATAAATTATAGCTGAAGAGGTCATTTTAGAATGTCTCTTCTATCAAAGTGGAAGCATAAGCTGTGCAAATGTGCAAAAATATTTATTGGACTCTCTTGCCCTGCTTCTAAATTTACCATAGAAATGTTTTGTATAAAGTTATATTGTCCTAGAGCTAAAGGTGATTTTAAGATAATGAGTTCAAAAGTTTCAAGCTCATTTCTAACTTTAGCTCTTACAGTTAGCAAAGTGTTTTTCTCTAGAAAAAGTGGCCCTGCTTTCATATTGTTGTTAACATTAGTAATTACTGAAATGTATCATATTTTAGCAAATATCAAGGAAATGCAGATTTTAAGTTACTTCCCCTTTATATCATGACGTACATTTTCAATTTTTTACTATTAAAAATAGGATTACAGAATTAAGAAATAACTCAGGAGAGTATCTAATTATCATGCAGATAATTTTCCTAGATTAATATGAATCCCATGCCAGTTCTGTGATCCTTAACTCTATAAAGTATCTTCATCAATTTTAACACTTCTTGTGGTGCCACTACTAAACTATACAGAATAAATGGGCATATAGATATGTGCCCATAAATAAAGACTTTGCAAAACAATAGTCAGAATCTGTCAATAATTCATTACAAAATTGTAGCACAGGTGATGCTGATTGGATATTTATTGAGCATTAAGCAGCAGAAACTGTGCTAGCCACTGGAAATATAAAAGTTTCTATGACTTGGCTCCTCTCCTCAAGGAGTTTAAAGCCCAGTAGGGAAGACAGGCTTGTACACAAATAATTATAATATTTCAATAAGTTATTTATTATAATCCTAGAAGGTCACAACAGAATGTTTATAAATTATAATAAAGGAGATTAGGGAAAGTCTCTTGGGATAGATGATATATTAGGCAAAAAATTAGTAGGATTTTCCAGAAAGACAAATACAGAAAAGCAGAACAGCAAAGAATTGCATGTGAAAAAATAAGCAGGTGAGAAAAAGCCAGACACAGTAAAGTAGGTCATTTCTTATGACTTGTTAATTCAATGTGTATGGGGATAGAGGTTGGCAGCAGATTAAATTAATTCAATGTGTATGGGCGTGGTGGGAGTAAGATCATACTAATAAATGTACTTCATGCTGTGAGTGGGAAGACATTTAAAATATCACAGTCAAAAAATCAGATTTCCCTTTGTAGAAAGATCAACCCTGGGATGAGAAGATCATTTCTGATGTTTGGTGTAAGTCTGGGAAAGAGAATTAATGTAGAGGTCACCAAGATGGAAAGGACAAGAAGATTTGAGCTTGGCTTGTCAAACTTGGCTTCACAAGTTTGATGAGTTCCACATGGTAAGGTATATACATGGAATTACTTTTTTTTTTCTCATAACTGTCACCAAATTTTTGTTAAACACCCTATCTTTCTGGGTAGCAAGGATACTTAAGCTCACCAGTCAGTAACAACTCAGTCTAATTTAATAACTTTTCATTAGATTCTTGCTTAAAACCAAGTTTAGGACAATTCAAAACATCCTCTCAAAGAGCTCATGTAGAAATTCCTTCAAATACAATAAGCTGTTACCTGCAGAAAAATCTGGGAGTGGGAAAAATTTCATATAAGATCTTGGTAACTGTAGAGTTGGCTTTCTTGGTTACGGTAGAGTACACAACTATTCTTTCTGATGACCCATTAGATGGCAACTGCATACATAGTGATGGCTTTAGAAAAGAGGATTTTCAGATAATACAAATATATGCATTTAGAATCATAAATTACAAATTATTAATAATAAAGGGACAAAATAATTTTTAAAGACAAGGCAGATTTATTTAAAGGTTGCAAAATTAACTAGAAATAAAAATATTGTCACTGAATATATTGGTTAAAGTTTAATTGGGAAAGAAGAGCAACTATGACCAATGATAACTAGAAATGTATTTTGGAAGTATACATTATGTAAATAAGGAAGGTACTAGGGAATTAAAAATCTGGAAGTTGATGCTGTATAATGAGAGAAGGAATTACTAACCAAATGTCCTCAATAACTAGCATAGTTGGAAAAGTCAGAGTTTACAGGCAAACCCAACGGTCCAAGCACATGTGGGCACCAGACTGATGATGCAGATTGGGAGAAGATGGAGCAGTTTATGGCAAACTGCTGCTTTTGTGTACCACTGCTTCTGCATCTGGTGGTGGGTCTTGGGCCAGTGTTAGTCAGCAAGGGCAGCATTCAGAAAGACAAACGGGCAGAAGACAAGCTGGGAGCCACTGAGGGCCTACATACGCCTGAGACTTACCCGTCCATGCCACCTTCTGAGTAATGGTCACCACTTTATTTTCACCTTTCAATTTTTATGCAAGATTCTCATTTGGCCAATCTAGCTGTGGTGACGTGGCATCTTATAATCATCTATTTACCATTTTTAACCTCCAAATAGAGAGATTACCAAAGTTGTTATTCTATTTACCTTTATGCTATTCTCTGCTTTATGAAAATATGCTAACACTTGGCTAAAAAAGAAATACATAAAATCCCACTTATCCATCTTAGGTTAAGTTCATTCTCATATTTGTCACACTCCCCCTTAGATATTCTGTAACCTAAATATTAACATATAAGGTTATCTTCTCTTAACATATTATGTAATGGTGGAGGAATAAGAAATTTTTAAAAGAACAATAATTGATAATACATACCTGCATACACATATTCACATCAAAGCAAAGAAGAAATAGAATGATGAAAGTCTTTGTTCCTACTGCTCACACAGTCATAGCTGCTGTTTAAAATATTCTTCCCTTTGTCCTCAGCAAGCAGCTTATCTGCTTATGGTTTGTTACTTGGTACATTGATACAATCCTTTATTCATGAAGCATCTCTGGCAGTAAAAGTCTTATCTTTATCAAGTTATGTTTTATTTTTCTATTGAAATTTATCACATGATACACGTGTGCTAGATCTCCCAGAAGGCTCTTGCATTTCAGACATACTCCTCTCTATCACCAGAAATTAAAGTGGGTGTATTAACAACCCAATTTTCCCTTGATAGAATCAACTCTTCCAACAAGTCAATTTCTTTTTTATCTCTTGGTTCAGTGGCAAGATAAACTCAAAGTGGCCAGGAAGCAGTTTCAACTTCCTATTTAATAGGACCAGTGCTTTGTTCCATGGTAAATGCAGTCTTCCCTTGAAAACTAAAACCTGTAAACTAGCAGAAGCCTAAGGTACAGACATACCAAGCAAAAATTTTGTTAGAGAATATTTCAGGGTAATTGTAAGAGATGTACTCTGTTTGTCATGCCATGACCCTTGAGCCCATGATTAGTGACTTTATCAAAAGAGCACTATTTATTGATTGCTTATTCAGTGCAATATACAGAAGGCCATTAGATTGGACTATCAGGGCAGCTACTCCAGGTGATAAGGAATTTAAACCAGTGAATTACAGGAGCATGAGCCCATTTCTAAATTCAATTTGCTGTAAAATGAATTCCCTGATCAGAATTAATGCTCTGTGGATTATCCTGATAAATAAGGCATTCAATAAATACATAATTGGTAATTTTGGCAGAAACATTGTGAAAAAGACATATTCATATCTATAGTGTCTATTTCAGTGAGAACAAAGAATGGTTTTTTTTCTTTTTTTCTGGAAGTGTTCCAACATAAGCCATAAGCAACCTACCATATCATGAGATTACTATTGGCCTCTCTTCTTGGCAAATGGGTACTCAGCAATGTACTCATGTTTAGCTTTTAGTCTTATCCTTATTGCCACTTTGTTCATTAGCCTATTAAGCAAGAACAAGGGCAGCTGAAGCAACAGGCAAACTGACACGCAAGGAATAAGTCATTTTGTCTACCCAATTAGTAAGATTCTCTCCAGCCAAGTTGGCTCTTTCGAGAGCATTTTGCTTATGGAACAATAATGCCTCTACACTCTTTGCTCATTTAAAGAGAATCATTCATAGTCATCTTCCTCAGATCACCATTCACCAGTTTACCAAATATGTTCTTTTTATGCCGCTATCATCCATGCAAATAATTATCTACTACCATTAAATAATTGAAGATCTGTATCTCCAGCCACCTCTCATTCCAGGTAAAACAGACAACAGATACACTGCACTAATCAAAGCTCTGCCATTTTGAGGCTTTTCTTTCATCACTTCTTTCAGGGCCACCCTTCAGGCAGTCATGCTGGACTTATCCACTTTTGAGTGGTGCTAGGATAATCATGCAGAACCATTACTAAACTGAGCCTAGTTTTTTTTTTCTTTCTTAGACATATAGTCATAGGGAAGATGCTATGAAGCTATACGTGGAAAGAAAGGGAGGCAATGTGACAGTGAGAAGTGACAGCGTGTTTGCAGCCCTCGCTCACTCTCGGTGCCTCCTTGGCCTCGGCGCCCACTCTGGCTGTGCTTGAGGTGCCCTTCAGCCCACCGCTGCACTGTGAGAGCCCCTCTCTGGGCTGGCTGAGGCCAGAGCCGGCTCCCTCTGCTTGCGGGGAGGTGTGGAGGGAGAGGTGCAGGCGGGAACTGGGGACGCTTCCAGGCCAGCGCGAGTTCTGGGTGGGTGTGGGCTCAGTGGGCCCGCACTCGCAGCGGCCGGCCGGTGCCGCCAGCCCTGGGCAGTGAGGGGCTGAGCACCCGGACCAGCAGCTGCGGAGGGTGCGCCGGGTCCCCCGGCACTGCTGGCCCGCCTGTGCCACGCTTGAACGCTCAGCCGCCTCCCCCTGGGGCAGCGCTTGGGACCTGCAGCCCACCATACACAAGCACCCCGTCCCCCCTACCCGCCTGCCCCTGCTCCGGCATGGCCCAAGCCTCTCCAACGGGTGCCACCCTGGCACAGGATCCACTGGGGGAAGCCAGCTGGGCTCCTGAGTCGGGTGGGGACTTGGAGAACTTTTATGTCTAGCTGGAGGATTGTAAATGCACCAAACAGCACTCTGTGTCTAGCTCTGGGTTTGTGGATGCACCAATCAGCACTCTGTATCTAGCTAATCTGGTGGGGACTTGGAGAACTTTTATGTCTAGCTAGAGGATTGTAAATGCACCAATCAGCACTCTGTGTCTAGCTCAAGGTTTGTAAATGCACCAATCAGTGCTCTGTGTCTAGCTAAAGGTTTGTAAATTCACCAATCAGTGCTCTGTGTCTAGCTAATCTAGTGGGGACTTGGAGAACTTTCATGTCTAGCTAGAGGATTGTAAATGCACCAATCAACACTCTGTGTCTAGCTAAAGGTTTGTAAATGCACCAATCAGTGCTCTGTGTCTAGCTAATCTAGTGGGGACTTGGAGAACTTTTATGTCTAGCTAGAGGATTGTAAATGCACCAATCAGCACTCTGTGTCTAGCTCAAGGTTTGTAAATGCACCAATCAGCACCCTGTCAAAACAGACCAATCAGCTCTCTGTAAAACGGACCAATCAGCAGGATGCGGGTGGGGTCAGATAAGGGAATAAAAGCAGGCTGCCCTGAGCCAGTAGTGGCAACCCACTTGGGTCCTCTTCCACACCATGGAAGCTTTGTTCTTTTGCTCTTTGCAATAAATCTTGCTGCTGCTCACTCTTTGGGTCCGCACTGCCTTTATGAGCTATAACACTCACCGTGAAGGTCTGCAGCTTCACTCCTGAAGCCAGTGAGACCACAAACCCACCAGAAGGAAGAAACTCCAAACATGTCCGAACATCAGAAGGAACAAACTCGAGACACACCATCTTTAAGAACCGTAACACTCACCGCGAGTGTTCGCGGCTTCATTCTTGAAGTCAGTGAGACCAAGAACCTACCAATTCCAGACACAGCAGGATGAGGATAGATGGAAGGAAACATGGGACAAAACACATTTGCTCCTATAAGTTACTTATAGCTTCTGGTCCTACTCAAGCTGAGTGTCACATGTACCACTCACCATAGGCATACCACTTTCTGCTTCTGTGGGTCAAACCACATGCATTTCATGATAAGTCTCTCAGGTATCATAGGAACTTGGTAGCGTGTTTTTAAGTGTTTAGTTTCTACTAAAGCCCAGTAGTAAGAGAGATGCATTTTTCCCTAAAAAGAAAAATAGTATATACAGAGGACAACATTAGCTTTGCTATAGATCCTATGGGTCTGTGTGGTAATTTACACATAGCAGCCAGCTAAAACCTCCACACAGTATCTCTCTCTGTCATAGACACCTGAATCACAGTTGTATCTGATGAAAAATACATAAACAGGATTTCATGGATGTTTGAGATAGAGTACTAGAGTGAGTCCCAAAAAGAGAGAGGAGACAGAATGGAGCATAAAACAATATTTGAATAAATAAAGACTAAAAACTTCCCAAATTTAGAGAAAGACATAAATTTAAAGATGCTCATTGGCCACACAGGAGAATAAATACAAACATGAAAAAGAAAACATGTCAGGCACATTGTAGTTATCCAGAAAAAATTCATTACATACTCATGTGCACAAAAAGAACAAATGACTGAAACTTTTAACTGTTCAGCTATCCCGTAAAAATCCCTCCAAATTCTAACATATTGAAGTCTAAGCCTCTGTTGTTTCTGTTCTGAAATAAAATTATGATCTAAAGCAAGCTTGTCCAACCTGAAACAAGATAGGGAAGAATAAGGAGCTAATTAAATATTTTGTCTCAGTAAAGTCTAGCTTTGGAAGGATAACATGGAAGTCATAGAGCATAAGTTACATTGCAACATTGTTCCACCTTAACAAAAGGTGTACTGTGTACTCCTTGTAGCAGTCAGTCATTATCTGCAGTCTGCCCCAAGGAGAAATGTAAGCCTTCCCAGGCAAGGTAGCTGAAGGCAATTCTCCCAAACAGAAGGCAACTGTAAGCTGTGAACTGTTAGCAGACACCACAATTATCCACTAGAGAATGAGAAAATCAGCCTGGTATAAAGTGACTGTGTGGGGTACAAACAGCACTTACTACGGACAATAATCTAAAAGAAAAATAATATCAAGACAAAAAAATTAAATCTAATTTGATTGAATGGGAGATAATAGACAAGAGAACATGGAAAATTCTAATTACTAATCTTTGACATAGTTTGGATATTTGTCTCCACCCTAATCTCATATTGAGATGTAATCCCCAGTGCTGGAGGTGGGGCCTGGTTGGAGGTGTTTGGATCATGGCTGTGGATCCCTCATGAATGGATCGGGCCACCTCCTTGGTGATAAGTGAGCTCTCACTCTGTGTTCACATGACATCTGGTCATGTAAACATGTGTGGCACTTCCCCCTCCACTCTCTCTCCCATTTGCTCCTGCTTTTGCCATGAGATGTGCCTGCTTTCCCTTCACCTTTTGCCATGATTGTAAGCTCTCCCTAGAAGCTGAGCAGATGCCAGCACCATAGTTCCTGTAAAGCCTGCAGAACTGTGAGCCAATTAAATCTCTTTCCTTTATAAATTATCCAGTCTCGGGTATTTCTTCATAGCAATGCAAGAATGGACTAACACAATCTTCAAACAGATTTGAGAAGATTTTTTCAATCAATTAAACAAAAGCGGAATACTATTTTAAAGAGGTTTCACCCTAGATAATGTTAGAGTAGTTTGTTTAAGACTAGCCATTTGCCAATAATCATAAACTCTGGCGGAGAGGTATAGAGGAGAAGATAAACAAACAAACTGAAGTCTCAAAAAAATCACCAAAAGCAAATAGGAACTAATGGGGCATACAACAATCTTTAAAGAGGTTGTGTAACACATGAGATCAACATCTAAGCAGAATTTTCCCTCAGTGAATTTCCCAGTTTACAGCAGACACTAGGGATAAGGCTCAAGCAGAAAATGTTAGCATTAAAAGGCTAAAAAGTCAGGAGTCAGAGTTCTGAACTACTTAGAGCAGTGTTTTCCAACCTTTTGGGCACCAGGGACTGGTTTCGTGGAGGACAATTTTTCCACAGATGAAGTAGGGATGAGCATTAGATTCTCATAAGAAGCATGCAACTTATATCTTTTGCATGCACAGTTCACAAGAGGATTCACACTCCTATGAGAATCTTTTGCCACATTAATTTGATAGAAGGCAGAGCTCAGGCATAACGCTCACTTGACTGCTGCTCGCCTCCTGCTGTGTGGCCGGGTTCCTAACAGTCCATGGACTGGTACTAGTCTGCGACCTGGGAACTGGGGACCTCTGACTTAAAGGCTATAGAGCAGAGTGTCCAATCTTTTGGCTTCTCTAGGCCAAACTGAGAGAAGAAGAACTGTTTTGGGCCACACATAAAAAACACTAACACTAACGATAGCTGAAGAGCTTAAAAAAAATTTCAAGAAAAAATCTCATAATGTTTTAAGAAAGTTTACGAATTTGTGTTGGGCAGCATTCGAAACTGTACTGGGCCGCATGTGGCCTGTGAGCCATGGGTTGGACAAGCCTGCCATAGAGAATCACAGAGAGGACAGCTTAAAAATCCCCTTGTCATTTTCCTTGAATCCTTGGTTGGTTCCTAAAATGTTTATGCACAAGACAAGATTTCAAGGAACTCTATAGAAAGCAAGGAACTCTATAGATTGCAAAGACAAATCAACTGAGCAGAGAATTTTACAACCACTAGGTGCTACGCAGACAGTTTGGAGTCTCGCTGAGTTAGAACATATCACATTTTCCACTGAAACTCAAGAAGGAGTGAGCCTTAGAAATAAGAAACATGATTTATGACTAAATGATATGCTCTAGAAATAAGGGCAGAGCTAAAATCACCTACCCCCTCAAAACAGTTGAAAATGAAGCATGCAAAAAATAATGGTGATCAGTAAATTCCTTCCCTGCAAGGGCAAAACTAAACACTATTTGGACAAAGATAAGCAAATTCTAGAGTCTCAATAATGTATCAATGTATGATATAAAGGATATATCAAATATATATGTATATAAAATAAAACTTAGTATACAATGGCAAGTAGGGAAAAAGTGCAATCCACAAACAAGAACAAAACCAGACAATATAAGGAAACCCTTAGACCACTTAGCAGATCAGAAGTTTAAAATAACAGTAAAGTTTTTAAAAAATGATAACAAAGTTTTATTATAATGGGTAGGTAATCAGTAATCTTAGGACAAGTATAAGCCATTACCTTAGCTGTATCCCAGCCTTTCAATAATGGAGACACTAGAATTTAAAAATACAATAATAAAATGATCATGTGGGCTCAAAAGCAGACTGACGCTACAGAAGAAAAATGATCAGTAAATCTGCAGAAATGTTACAAAAATTCAACCTGAAGCACAAGAGGAAATATGTAAGAAAAAATAGAGAAAGCCTCAATAACTAATAAGGCAGTAAAGAATATGCTGATATATGTACAATTTTAAGAAGAAAGAAAAAAAATTCTAAATTTTTATAAAAAGAAACAGAACATTAACTGTACAAAATTACGTATTTGCATACTTCTTATATTTTATAAATAGTTGTATTATTGAGATTTGGGGCCAGATAGTTGTTTGTTGTTTGAGGGCTGTCCTGTGCATTGTGGATGTTTAGCTGAATCTCTAGCGTCTACCCACTGTAAGCCCTACCACCCCCCAATATGGCAAATTAAAATGACTCCAAACCTTGTCAAATGCTTCATGGGAGTGGGTGGGGGATAAAATAATTTTCAGTTGAGAACACACAATATTAGCTTTTGATATTAATTTTCCATTGCCAATGTAAGAGGTCTCCACAATTTTAATGACTTAAAACACTACACACTTATATTAGAGTTTTTCTAGTTCATAAATCCAGGTACAGTGTGGCTTAAGTAAGTCCTATGTGTAGAGACTCACAAGGCTCAACTCAAGTTATCAGCACACTTTTCTGGAGGAAATTGATAAGCCAGTTTCCAAGCATTTTCAGTTTGTTGGTCAAATTCAGTTCCATACGGTTGTGAGAGTGAGGTTCCCATTTCCTTGCTTGCTATAAGCTGGGAAATATTCTCCACTTCTGGAGGTCACCTGCATTTTCTGGTTTGTAGCCTGTTTCATCTTCAATGCCAGGAATAGCAAGCAAAATTGTTCTCATGTTTCAAGTCCCTCTGCCCTGCCTTCTGTCACATCACTCAGCCTTCACTTGGAATAAATCATGCAGATGTTTATCACTATATTCATAGTTCCAAACTTAAAAATTCTAAAAAAAAAAGATCAAAATAGAATATTTTGTTCTTCATTTAGGAGAGTAAAGCTTCAAAATCAGTTTAATCTAATTTTTTCTTTATAGTTCATTTGACCTTGTTTCCATTGTAAAAATAAAAATGCCTCTCACTAAATGTACGAATGTACATGCAATCTGAAGGTGCTATATGGAAATTCTATGACTTATCTTACTACCTGAATTTAAAACGACAGTTTAAATCTGCTGCAATAACTTGGTTACCTACTATAGTAAAAGAGAAAAATAAAAGCAGAATTGATAAGATGTTTTCTCTCAGTTGGGAAATTCTATGATTCAACAGTGAAATTAAAAAGTTCTGAGGAAAAGAGACGGCAGTGAAAATTGAAGTTTTGGCTTATATTTTTGATGAAGGTAGAATAATGTTTTTCCCCATTGATTATATGAGAATGCATTTTAGTTGAGGCAATGGTTAACAGGCTCAAAATAAAATAATAACTTACTTTTTCATGTTTAGTAATCAGTAGCTCTTTGGGGATAAGTGAATATTTTATTACTGTAGAATGTTTTAGCGATTGAATTGACAGCTGGAGAAACAATGATTGCTAATTACAGGAGATAAAGGCATGAATAACATAGAAGTAGCATGTGAAAACATAACATTATTCTTATAGAATATATTTTGTATATTTAGTGTCCCAGATAGAATATAAGAAAAATTCCAAGCTTCCATCGCATGGGATTGTTTTTCTGTGTGTTTAGATTTTCTGTGAAAGAAAGTAGTAGTATATACATTACTTCATTACAATTGGCTCATACTCTTCAGTTCCTCAAGGGAAGCTATCAATATTATGCCATAATCAGTGTTCTAGAATTTTGATGTGAGGAAGTTAATAAAGAAAAGAGAGAAGAATCAAATAGACACAATAAAAAATGATAAAGGTAATATCACCACTGATCCCACAGAAGTACAAACTACCATCAAAGATACTAGAAACACCTCTATGCAAATAAACTAGAAAATGTAGAAGAAATGGATAAATTCCTGGACACATACACCCTCCCAAGACTAAACCAGGAAGAAGTCGAATCCCTGAATAGACCAATAACAAGTTCTGAAATTGAGGCAGTAATTAATAGTCTACCAACCAAAAAAAGCCCAGGACCAGAAGGATTCACAGCCAAATTCTACCAGAAGTACAAAGAGGAGCTGGTGCCATTCCTTCTGAAACTACTGCAAACAATAGAAAAAGAGGGACTCCTCCCTAACTCATTTGATGAGGCCAGCATCATCCTGATACCAAAACCTGGCAAAGACACAACAAAAAAAGAAAGTTTTAAGCCAATAAACCTGATGAACATCAATGCAAAAATCCTCATTAAATACTGGCAAACTGAATCCAGCAGCACATCAAAAAGCTTATCCACCAAGATCAAGTCGGCATCATATCTGGGATGCAACACTGGCTCAACATTTGCAAATCAATAAACATAATTCATCACATAAACAGAACCAACGACAAAAACCACATGATTATCTCAATAGATGCAGAAAAGGCCTTCAATAAAATTCAACATCCCTTTATGCTAAAAACACTCAATAAAGTAGGTATAGATGGAACATATCTCAAAATAATAAGAGCTATTTATGACAAACCCATAGCCAATATCATATTGAATGGGAAAAAGTTGGAAGCATTTCCTTTGAAAACTGGCACAAGACAGGATGCCCTCTCTCACCACTCCTAATCAACATAGTATTGGAAGTTCTGGCCGGGACAATCAGGCAAGAGAAATAAATAAAGGACATTCAAATAGGAAGAGAGGAAGTCAAATTGTCTCTGTATGCAGATGATATGATTGTATATTTAGAAAACCCCATCGTCTCAGCCCCAAAACTCTTTAAGCTGATAAGCAACTTCAGCAAAGTCTCATGATACAAAATCAACGTGCAAAAATCACAAGCATTTTTATACACCAATAATAGACAAGCAGAGAGACAAATCATGAGTGATCTCCCATTCACAATTGCTACAAAGAGAATAAAATACCTAGGAATACAACTTACCAGGGACTTGAAGGACCTCTTCAAGGAGAAATACAAACCACTGCTCAAGGAAATAAGAGAGGACACAAACAAATGGAAAAACATTCCATCCTCATGGATAGGAAGAATCAATATTGTGAAAAGGCAATACTGTTTAAAGTAATTTATAGATTCAATGCTATTTCCTTTAAGCTACCATTGAATTTCTTCACCAAATTAGAAAAATCTACTTTAAATTTTATATGGAACCAAAAAAGAGCCCATGTAGCCAAGACAATCCTAAGCAAGAAGAACAAAGCTGGAGGCATCATGCTACCTGACTTCAATCTATACTACAAGATTACAGTAACCAAAGCAGCATAGTACTGGTACCAAAACAGATATATAGATTAATGGAAGAGAACAGAGACATCACAACGTATCTACAACCATCTGATCTTCAACAAACCTGACAAAAACAAGCAATGGGGGAAAGGATTCCCTATTTAATAAATTGTACTGGGAAAACTGGCTAACCATATGCAGAAAACAGAAACTGGAACCCTTCCTTACACCTTATACAAAAATTAACTAAAGATGGATTAGGGACTTAAATGTAAAACCCAAAACCATAAAAACCCTAGAAGAAAAGCTTGGCAATGTCATTCAGGACATATGCATGGATAGACTACATGACTAAAACACCAAAATCTATTGCAACAAAAGTCAAAATTGACAAATGGGAAGGGTTATAAATCATACTACTATAAAGACACATGTACATGTATGTTTGTTATAGCACTATTTAGAATAGTGAAGAATTGGAACCAACCCAAATGCCCATCAGTGATAGACTGGATAAAGAAAATTGGCACATATACACCATGGAATACTATGCAGCCATAAAAAATGAGTTCATGTCCTTTGCAGGGACACAGATGAAGCTAGAAACCATTATTCTCAGCTAACTAACACAGGAACAGACAACCAAACACCACATGTTCTCACTCATAAGTGGGAGTTGAACAATGAGAACACATGGACACAGGGAGGGGAACATCACACACTGAGGCCTGTTGGTGGGTCAGGGGGAAGGGGAGGGAGAGCATTAGGACAAATACCTAATGCATGTGGGGCTTAAAACCTAGAAGACAGGTTAATAGGTGCAGCAAATCACCATGGCACATATATAGCTATGTAACAAACCTGCACGTTCTGCACATGTATCCCAGAACTTAAAGTAAAATAATTATTAAAAAAAAAATCTTACCAGCTAGAGAGTTTAAATTTCAGAGAAAAAAATATCAAAATTTTGTGATAACCCCAGACATGTTTCATATATTCTTTAATGAAAGCAACAAAGTACCTTTTATTAGTATTCTAATTTTCTCTACTTTGCTGTATTTTCATAAAGATTCAATTTTAAGTGCTATCCATGTTATAATATTAGACAGCTTTCAAAACGATCTACACCCTGAAGATTGTTTGCCATAACTTCCACAAGTGTATAAAGGATGTTTGAAGGAAAACCAAAAATTACCTATACCATAAAATAGCATTTTAAGAATCAAAAGAAACGAACAAAGCCTCCAAGAAATATGGGACTATTTGAAAAGACCAAATCTACATCAGACTGGTGTACTTGAAAGTGACGGGGAGAATGGGACTAAGTTGGAAAACACTCTGCAGGATATTATCCAGGAGAACTTCCCCAATCTAGCAAGGCAGGCCAACATTGAAATTCAGGAAATACAGAGAAAGACACAAAGATACTCCTCCAGAAAAGCAACTCCAAGACACATAATTGTCAGATTCACCAAAGCTGAAATGAAGGAAAAAATGTAAAGGGCAGCCAGAGAGAAAGGTCGGGTTACCCACAAAGGGAAGCCCATGAGACTAACAGCTGATCTCTCGGCAGAAACTCTACAAGCCAGAAGAGAGTGGGGGGGCCAATATTCAACGTTCTTAAAGAAAAGAATTTTCAACCCAGAATTTCATATCCAGCCAAACTAAGCTTCCTAAGTGAAGGAGAAATAAAATCCTTTACAGACAACAAATGCTGAGAGATTCTGTCACCACCAGGCCTGTCCTACAAGAGCTCCTGAGGGAACCACTAAACATGGAAAGGAACAGCCGGTAGCAGCCACTGCAAAAACATGCCAAATTGTGAAGACCATCAATGCTAGGAAGAAACTGCATCAACTAATGAGCAAAACAACCAGCTAACATCATAATGACAGGATCAAATTCACACATAACAATATTAACCTTAAATGTAAATGGGCTAAATGCTCCAATTAAAAGACACAGACTGGCAAATTGGATAAAGAATCAAGACCCATCAGTGTGCTGTATTCAGGAAACCCATCTCATGTGCAGAGACACACATAGGCTCAAAATAAAGGGATGGAGGAAGATCTACCAAGAAAATGGAAAACAACAAGAGGCAAGGGTTGCAATCCTAGTCTCTGATAAAACAGACTTTAAACCAACAAAGATCAAAAGAGACAAAGAAGGCCATTACATAATGGTAAAGGGATCAATTCAACAAGAAGAGCTAACTATCCTAAATGAACATTTACCCAATACAGGAGCACCCAGATTCATAAAGCAAGTCCTTAGAGACCTACAAAGAGACTTAGACTCCCACACAATAATAATGGGAGACTTTAACACCCCACTGTCAACATCAGACAGATCCACGAGACAGAAAGTTAACAAGGATATCCAGGAATTGAATTCAGCTCTGCACCAAGCAGATGTAACAGACATCTACAGAACTCTCCACCCCAAATCAACAGAATATACATTCTTCTCAGCACCATACCGCACCTATTCCAAAATTGACCACATAGTTGGAAGTAAAGCACTCCTCAGCAAATGTAAAAGAACAGAAATTATAACAAACTGTCTCTCAGACCACAGTGCAATCAAACTAGAACTCAGGATTAAGAAACTCACTCAAAACCGCTCAACTACATGGAAACTGAACAACCTGCTCCTGAATGACTACTGGGTACATAATGAAATGAAGGCAGAAATACAGATGTTCTTTGAAACCAACGAGAACAAAGACACAACATACCAGAATCTCTGGGACACATTCAAAGCAGTGTGTAGAGGGAAATTTATAGCACTAAATGCCCACAAGAGAAAGCAGGAAAGATCTAAAATTGACACCCTAACATCACAATTAAAAGAACTAGAGAAGCAAGAGCAAACACACTCAAAAGCTAGCAGAAGGCAAGAAATAACTAAGATCAGAGCAGAACTGAGGGAGATAGACACACAAAAACCCCTTTAAAAAATCAATGAATCCAGGAGCTGGTTTTTGGAAAAGATCAACAAAATTGATAGACCACTAGCAAGACTAATAAAGAAGAAAAGAGAGAAGAATCAAATAGATGCAATAAAAAATGATAAAGGGGATATCACCACCGATCCCACAGAAATACAAACTACCATCAGAGAATACTATAAACATCCCTATGCAAATAAACTAGAAAATCTAGAAGAAATGGATAAATTCCTCAACACATACACCCTCCCAAGACTAAACCAGGAAGAAGCTGAATGCCTGAATAGACCAATAACAGGCTCTGAAATTGAGGCAATAATTAGTAGCTTACCAACCGAAAATGTCCAGGACCAGATGGATTCACAGCCAAAATCTACCAGAGGTAAAAAGAGGAGATGGTACCTTTCCTTCTGAAACTATTCCAATCAATAGAAAAAGAATGAATCCTCCCTAACTCATTTTATGAGGCCAGTATCATCCTGATACCAAAGCCTGGCAGAGACACAGCAAAAAAAGAGAATTTTAGACTAATATCCCTGATGAACGTCGACACAAAAATCCTCAATAAAATACAGGCAAACCAAATCCAGCAGCACATCAGAAAGCTTATCCACCATGATCAAGTGGGCTTCATCCCTGGGATGCAAGAGGCTGGTTCAACATACGCAAATCAATAAATGTAATCCAGCATATAAACAGAATCAAAGACAAAAACCATATGATTATCTCAACAGATGCAGAAAAGGCCTTTGACAAAATTCAACAGCCCATCATATTTAAAACTCTCAATAAATTAGGTACTGATGGGACGTATCTTAAAATAATAAGAGCTATTTATGACAAACCCACAGCCAATATCATACTGAATGGGGAAAAACTGGAAGCATTCCCTTTGAAAACTGGCACAAGACAGGGATGCCCTCTCTCACCACTCCTATTCAACATAGTGTTGGAAGTTCTGGCCAGGGCAATTAGGCAGGAGAAAGAAATAAAGGGTATTCAATTAGGAAAAGAGGAAGTCAAATTGTCCCTGTTTGCAGATGACATGATTGTATATCTAGAAAACCCCATTGTCTCAGCCCAAAATCTCCTTAAGCTGATAAGCAACTTTAGCAAAGTCTCAGGATACAAAATCAATTTACAAAAATCACAAGCATTCTTATACACCAACAACAAACCAACAGAGAGCCAAATCATGAGTGAATTCCCATTCACAATTGCTTCAAGGAGAATAAAATACCTAGGAATCCAACTTACAAGGGATGTGAAGGACCTCTTCAAGGAGAACTACAAACCACTGCTCAATGAAATAAAAGAGGACACAATCAAATGGAAGAACATTCCATGCTCATGGGTAGGAAGCATCAATATCATGAAAATGGCCATACTGCCCAAGGTAATTTATAGATTCAATGCCATCCCCATCAAGCTACCAATGACTTTCTTCACAGAATTGGAAAAAACTACTTGAAAGTTCATATGGAAACAAAAAGGAGCCTGCATTGCCAAGTCAATCCTAAGCCAAAAGAACAAAGCTGGAGGCATCACGCTATCTGACTTCAAACTATGTTACAAGTCTACAGTAACCAAAACAGCACGGTACTGGTACCAAAAACAGAGATATAGACAAATGGAACAGAACAGAGCCCTCAGAAATAATACCACACATCTACAACTATCTGATCTTTGACAAACCTGACAAAAACAAGAAGTTGGGAAAGGATTCCCTATTTAATAAATGGTGCTGGGAAAACTGGCTAGCCATATGTAGAAAGCTGAAACTGGATCCCTTCCTTACACCCTATAAAAAAATTAATTCAAGATGGATTAAAGACTTACATGTTAGACCTAAAACCATAAAAACCCTAGAAGAAAACCTAGGCAATACCATTCAGGACATAGGTATGGGCAAGGACTTCATGTCTAAAACACCAAAAGCAATGGCAACAAAAGCCAAAATTGACAAATAGGATCTCATTAAACTAAAGAGCTTCTGCACAGCAAAAGAAACTACCATCAGAGTTGAACAGGCAACCTACAGAATGGGAGAAAATTTTTGCAATCTACTCATGTGACAAAGGGCTAATATCTAGAATCTACAAAGAACTCAAACAAATTTACAAGGAAAAAAAAACCCCATCAAAAAGTGGGTGAAGGATATGAACAGACACTTCTCAAAAGAAGACATTTATGCAGCCAACAGACACATGAAAAAATGCTCATCATCACTGGCTATCAGAGAAATGCAAATTAAAACCACAATGATATATCATCTCAGACCAGTTAGAATGGCGTTAAAAAGTCAGGAAACAAGGGGTGCTGGAGAGGATGTGGGGAAATAGGAACACTTTTACACTGTTGGTGGGACTGTAGTAGTTCAACCATTGTGGAAGGCAGGGTGCCGATTCCTTAGGGATCTAGAACTAGAAATACCATTTGACCCAGCCATCCCATTACTGGGTACATACCCAGAGGAATACAAATCATGCTGCTATAAAGACACATGCACATGTATGTTTATTGTGGCACTAATCACAATAGCAAAGACTTGGAACCAACCCAAATGTCCAACAATGATAGACTGGATTAAGAAAGTGTGGCACATATACACCATGGAATACTATGCGGCCATAAAAAATGATGAGTTCATGTCCTTCGTAGGGACATGGATGAAGCTGGAAACCATCATTCTCAGCAAACTATCGCAAGGACAAAAAGCCAAACATCGCATGTTCTCACTTATAGGTGGGAACTGAAAAATGAGAACACATGGACACAGGAAGGGGAACATCACACACTGGGGCCTGTTGTCGGGTGGGGGGAGGGGGGAGGGATAGCATTAGGAGCCATACCTAAGGTAAATGACGAGTTAATGGGTGCAGCACACCAACATGGCACATGTATACATATGTAACAAACCTGCACATTGTGCACATGTACCCTAGAACTTAAAGTATAATTTAAAAAAAAAAAATATATATATATATAAATTGTTACCACTTCCTTACCTCCCTTCCGGCTATCATATTATTTGGTATGCTCACCAAAGACAGATTTTAATGTATATTTTAAATTTCTTAAAAAGTTTGTATCAAGAACTCTAAGAAGAAAGTTGTTTTCTGCTGGAAAGTGGTAGAAAAATCAGAAATTAGCTAAACAATGCAATGATTTTCAGGGAGTTGTTCAATGTTAGTATATAAATTATTTTGTCCCTGTTTCTGAAAGCAGGAAAACATCTGAGAACATATTAAAGAACTAGCCCAAATAGGTTCATTTTGAACAAATGGCGAGAGAAGGAGAGAGTGAATGAAAGTAGTGAGCCAAGCTCTTTGTGTGATTCTTACTCCCAGTGAGGACCAGAAAGGAGAATCAAAAAGAAAGAGAACAAGCCCAATGCAAGAAATCATGCACTGGAATTGTTTCTTTCAGATTGAAGTGTTGGTTGACTATATCTTGTGTGTACTACATGGACTTTGTTGGCCTTCTGTTTTCCTTAATCAAGAAAACCCTAAGTTTGGGGCTCTGTTTATACAACAGATGATCTTTTGGCTATTAATAAAAATGTAAAATGCTTGGTAAAATAAAATAAAATAGGATTTTATACAAATTAATAATGGGAAGGGATATTAATCACAGTCTGAATACTGAGAACATTCAACTATTTGCTCACTTTGACTCACTGTAGTTGTTGAATTTTAGCAACTCTAAGAAATGTTTCCTTGTAGCTCTACAACCTAGTTTGAAACCTAACATAGTAATACCATGACATTCTGATAAGATTCCTTTCAGAATTGTCATTTATAACATTAAGATTGACAAGATAAATTCAAATAAAGAATTAAATGAATTAGTGAAATAGCTTAAAAAGATACATGGAAATTTCATTAATAAGTAAAGCTAAATATCACCCTTATTTATCAACAATTTGCAAAGTAAAAAATTTTGAAAGAAACAGGTTTTCATTAGCAATAGCAAATATTAATCTTCAATTTAGTACTAAACTTAATGAAAACTGGGTTAAAACAAATGAAAAGGTTACAAATTCTAATGGAAAATTTTAAAATAGAAACTAATCAATGGTAAATATACTATGTTCTTAGATGAAAATACTAAGTGCTATAGAAAGATCTGTTCTCACCAAGTTAATTTATAGATTTAACATATTTCAAATTAAAAATTCAACCACATTTTAAAAGGAATTACCTAAAATAATTATAAAATGTATAAGGATACATAAACAGTCAAGAACATTCAGTTTTTTTTTTTTTATTATACTTTAAGTTTTAGGGTACATGTGCACAAAGTGCAGGTTTGTTACATATGTATACATGTGCCATGTTGGTGTGCTGCACCCATTAACTCATCATTTAGCATTAGGTATATCTCCTAATGCTATCCCTCCCCCTGCCCCCACCCCACAACAGGCCCTGGTGTGTGATGTTCCCCTTCCTGTGTCCATGTGTTCTCATTGTTCAATTCCCACCTATGAGTGAGAACAAGCGGTGTTTGGTTTTTTGTCCTTGCGATAGTTTGCTGAGAATGATGGTTTCCCATTCAGTTTTATTCTAAAGAAAAATACATTGTTGGGTTGCAGGAAAAATGTAAGAATTATGAAGTCAGGAAGACCTACCTCATATGATAATGTGTCTTAAATATCTTAAACAAAACATACCATGTAAACACAGAAATACAGATCAATGGATAAAAGCTGTGAATTCATGAACTAACCCCTTTTTGATAAATTTCACCAAGTCATGAGTAAATTTTTAAGAGAAAAACAAAGCTGTAAAAGAAAGAGGAAAGTTTAATAAATCCTACTAGAAAATCTTGAGTTATATTAAGGGAAAATATACATTGTATTATAAAGACTTGTAAGGAAGAAATAAACTTAAAACAAGTTTAAAACTCAAATGACAGGCCAATGAAAATAAGTTATATTTCTTACCTTGCTTAAGAAACAAAACTTCTCTTGTTTTATGTAGTCAAGAAAAAAAAACAATTGATTGGAGACTATGCAATATATATTTTTGAACTTCTCTACAATAAAAAATACATCAATCAACTAGACCCGTCTTTGAAGGATATAGATGTATATATTCATACATGAGATATACATTCATGTTATATAATAGTGAAACCTGCAATTACTTTTGTTAATATTAAATTTTATATTATATACATTATATACATATGTATAACATTGTATATGATACTAATTCATCCAGAAAAAAGAAAGTTACCCTAAACATCTTACAGTAAGGATTGTCGAAAACAAGTAAACTATAAAATCTTAATAAAAAGCCTTTGAAAGAATATTCTTGTTTTAATTAAATATTACACTTTTTAATGTCTAAAATCTTTTTGAGAGAAAAATAACTATGGCAAAGTCCTCCATGAAACATACTATGACATAATAATGAACAGATGGCTTGATAAAGCTAGCCAAAGCTAAGTGTAAGTTAAATCCTCTGTGTGGGTGAGGTCTTATGTAATGATTAGATGATTTATGAGAAATTAATATTGGAAGCAAAGTGAAAAAATATCTCTAAATCAGGGAATATAGTATGTGAGAATCATGTAGGTGTATGACAGTGAGTGCAAGATGTGGAAATATTTTTACTCTTTGCAAAGTATAATCATTGTAAAATTGTGAAATGTGTATAATATTTAGTGCCACACAGTATATCTTTAATGGTACAAATGGGAACACACTGTATAAAAATCTCTCTGTTAAGGTACCCATCAAGGACTTTTAATTCTACATCTTTGTGATGTAGATGAATTAACATAACTGTGGGAATTTGGAATTCCTGACTCTTGCATTGTTAATTTCTCAACCTTAATGTTCTAATATCAGATCAGAATGACTACACATGGTGGATATTTCTATCAGCTCAAGATGTTTCTAGAATGTAGCATTTACACTTAAAAAATCATTTGAGAGGGAAGAAAAAAGCAAAAACAATCAGAGTCTGTTCTGTTGATTAGCAGCAGATCTCTTTATTAGTTGGAAGAGAATGTGAAAATGAATAAATACCCACAGTAGTGACAGAAGGTGGAAAAGTGACAGAAAAACAATGATTATTTATACATGTAAAATGTGTGAAATAAACCTCAGATTTTGGAGGAAAATGTCAAAAGGATAAAAAATAAAGAACTATCTTTATAAGTGTTTACTGACTTAAAGTAAAGCAAAAACTACCTTTAAAGATAATGTACATACTCACAAAAATAGTTGCCAGAATAAGATATCCAGGGAAACTTTTGAAATATTACTGTGTTACCTCATGAAGGATATGGCATAAGCAACAACATAGCGAAGGTGTTTCCTTGCATATTCTCCAATACTGCCTGTTTTCTGCTTCATTGCTTGGGTTAGGAAAAGCGGTAGAAAAGATTGGGTAATTATGTTTTTTCATTTTTATAAGAGAACATCATGATTGGAGATTGTGGCGTCTAATTAGAAACACTGCATTTTTAACAACTGATGCTCATAAATCTTTACGTTAACAGCAATCAGGAGCTTGAAAGGAATCTTAAAACAGATGTACTTGAACATGACTCCATGTTTAGAGTTTGATGAACCAGAGGGGCTTCCTGATTCTCTCATGGACAGTTTCTTATCTATTACACATCATTCCTCTATCCCTACAGTGTTATACATTCAAGACATACATGTAATTTCTGTCTGTCTTGCAGTCATCACTCAAGTAATTGGGAAGGTTAAATAGGAATCTCAAAGCTTGGAAAATGTGTTAGGTTTCAGTATTCCAGTGTTGTTGGCTTACTAGAAAAATATTTATTCTTAAAATTTATTTATAATTAAATTATTGATAAAATTTATTAAAATTTTTATGAAAGACAAAAGTAGGGGTGTGTGTGTGCATGTGTGTTGTGCATTCCAGAGAGTAAAAATCAGTTTTAAATGCTGAAAAACTTTTGACAGCAAGTTCTAGTAAAGGATTTTAGAATCCAATTTGTTCAAATAGTACAGATAAATGCTAAGTATTATCATCAAATCTGCTGTAGTAACCAAATGAGAAGTGCTTTGTTTCAAATAAATATTATTTTCATAATTATCACCATATAAACATTTATCAATGCTTGCAGAACAGACATACAGATTGACATCCTTTGTTGCTATAGATACAGATTATCCAAATAAAAAGACTATTATTGAATGCATAACACATTTTGGTGATTGAATATCAATTTATTCTGTGTATGCAAAATAATGAAGTAAGCAATGAATTAGGCCACGAATGTATCTCTCCCCTATTCTTCTTGGATGCCCCTTCTCCCTTCATATACGATGACTCTTATTTGCCTAGTGATTTGCTCTTTCTCTCAGATGCTAAGTCTTCCCTCTTTGTTTCAGTGGTATTATAGCCAATGCTTTGGCCTTTGCACTGTTCACTTCTCCTTCTATTATACTCAAATAATCAAATATTAATCAAATACCCTACTCTTTATTGCAATGACTGAGATAGATTTGGAAATATTTTTAAAAAGACATAAGAATTGTTCCCAGATATTTAAATCCAGTAGAAGAGAAAATATATGTATGCAAATAATTTTAATAAATTATAGAATGTGATAGAAAGACATTGCTGGACACTGGAGGATAAAGAAGTATGAACAAAGCAGAGATGAGAAAAAATATGCTAAAAGCAGAAAAAACAAAGTAAAAAATATGGGGGGATAAAAATTCTAGCTCTACATGGAAAATAACAACTGTATTTGGCTAGAATGATGGTTGAGGGGAAATGATCAAAGTTAATCTTTCATAGTACTTTGTAGTACTTTGGTTTTAAATCATAAAAGTCCCTGGGTGAAGAATGCAAGCTTCATTCTTTGGCAAATGTAGGCAAAGGTTTTTGAGAAAGGGATGGACATGATTAAATTTATGATTTAGGTAAAACTGTACTGGAAAACAGTGGGAATCAACTTCACAAGTAAACACAAAATAATATTTTTAAAATTTTAAGTTTGGTAACAGTTAAAATGAATGTATGAAGTTACTAGTGATGAAAAGGAATTCATGAAATAAAATTGAGGGGAACTCAAAAGGCAAACAAAGATAGACATGGAAGACTTTAATGTGCTTCAAAATGTACCACTAAATCCCTTTTTGATTTAGGCTAAAATTTGTGAGGGCAGGAGTTTCAAAAATTTTGTTATCATCGCTGAAGCCTCATTGTCTAGAAGAGCACCTGGCACACAGTAGTTCATCAATACCAATTGTGTAATGAATATAACTTATCAGATATTAATCAAAATCTTAGGCTAAAAAATCTAATTATCTTCCATACTCAGATTTATATTAATTATGAACTTATTTTCTAGTTCCCAGTGAATTAATTCAAATAACTAAGTCACTGTCAAAACCTGTTGTCACTCCCATTTCTCACCATATATAAAAATCAATTCAAAATGGATTAAACACTTAAATCTAAGACCTCAAACAACAAACTACTATAAGAAAACATTGGAGAAACCCTCCAGAACATTAATCTGGGCAAAAATACCTTGAGCAATACCCCTCAAGCACAGGCAACCAAAGCAAAAATGGACAAATGAGATCACATCAAGTTAAGAAGCTTATGCACAGCAAAGAAAACAGTCAACAAAGTTAAGAGACGACCTACAGTATAGAAGAAAATATTTGCAAACTATCTATATGACAGAAGATTCATAACTAGAATATACAAGATGATCAAAAACTCAGCAGGGAAAAGTATAATACTCTGATTTAAAAATGAGCAAAATAACTAAACAGACATTTCTGAAAACATACGCAAATGGCAAACAGGTATATGAAAAGGTGATCAATATCATTGATCAAATCAATGCTATCAAAATGCAAATCAAAACTATAATAAAATATCATTTCACTGCAGTTAAAATGGCTTTTATCCAAAAGGCAGGCAAGAACAAATACTGGTGAGGATGTGGAGAAAAGTTAACTCTCATACACTGTTGGTGGGGACATAAATTAGTATAACCGCTATGAAGAACAGGTTGGAAGTTCCTCAAAAAACTTAAAATAGAGCTCACATATGATTCAGAACTCTTTCTGCTAGGTATATACCCGAAAGAAAGGAAATCAGTATATCAAAGGGATATCTGCACTCCCATGTTTATTGTAACACTATTGACAATAGCCAAGATTTGGAAGCAACCTAAGTGTCCATCAACAGATGAATAAATAAAGAAAATGGAGTATTTACTATTCAGTCATAAGAGAACAAGATCTTGCCATTTGCAACAACATGGATGGAACTGGAGGTCATTATGTTCAGTGAAATAAGCCAGGCATAGAAAGACAAACATTGCCTACTTATTTATTTGTGGGTGCTAAAAATTAAAACAATTGAACTCATAGAGGTAGAGAGTAGAATGATAGTTACCAGAGGCTGAGAAGCACAGTGGGGGAAAGGAAGAGGGGATGTGTAATAGGTACAAAAATATAGTTAGACAGAAAAAATAAGACCTAGTATTTGATGGCACAGTAAGTAGAGTCACTACAATCAATAATAATTTATTGTACATGTTAAAATAACTAAAAGAGCATAATTGGATTTTTTGTAACACAAAGAATCAAGACTTCAATTGATGGATGCCTCACTTACCTTGATGTAATTATTATTCATTGTATGCAATATTAAACATTTGATGTACCCCATAAATATATACACCTACTATGTACCCACAAAAATTAAAACAAAATTTTTAAAAAACAATAAAATCTATACCAAAAGGCAAAAATAAACTCTATTTTTTAGTATGAGTACAGGGCACTATTTTAGGTACTATAGCATGAAGACACATAAGGCTTCAACCTATTTATTAATTGTGGTTGTTTAGCCTGCCAGAAATTTACATTTTATTTCACGAGGCAGATAAAGCATCTGTATTTAAAGCAGTTTATAAAGTCAAAAGCTTAAGGATAAACTTTATCACTAAATATTGACAGCAACACATCATGGGTCCCATGAGGGAGACAGTTTAAATTAGGTGTATTTGCATCATACAGACACAACTAGATGTCTTTCTGTATTTTCCAGGATGTATTTTCTTAATAGTGATCATGAATCAATCAACTCTCCTCCCAAAAGTAAACCTAGATCTTATGAAACTGTTTTCTTCTATTTAAATTATCTTTTATTAAAGGCCTAACTTATAATAAGAGTGGTTTTTTAAAAAATTAAGAGACGAAATGTCAAAAGAGTCATAAGAAGTTTGAAACTTAATGTATTTTTTCTTTTCCTTTGTAGTTGGCACATAATAAATATACATAATTATGGAGTACTGACTGGTATTTTGATGTGTGTATACAATGTGTAGATCCAATCAGGTTTATTGGCATATCCATTACCTCAAATATTTATTATTTATGTTAGGAATACTCAAAATCCTCTCTTCTAGCTTTTTGAAAAGATACAATAAATTATTATTAACTATATTCAACAAACAGAAGACTAGAACTTATTCCTCCTATATAGTTGTAATTTTGTGCCTGTTAACCAACTCTTCCCCTCCCTTTCCCCTTCCCAGACTGTAATTATCACAATTCTACTAATTGCTTCTATGAGCTCAACTTTTTTTTAGCTCCCGTATATGACTGAAAACATGCAGCATTTGTCTTTCTGGGCCTGGCTTATTTTACTTAATATCCTCTAGGCTCTTTCATGTTGCTGCAAATGACAGGCTTGCATTTTTTTTATGGCTGAATAGTATCCCAAAGTGTATACATACCACATTATCTTTATCCATTAATCTGTTTTCTTTATCTTTTGCTCTTTGGCAAGTCAACATAAAAAAATCATAGCATATCTTACAATATGGTAGTCTTGACATCAAATAATGATAGAAATAATTGTCTATTCAAGGTTTCCTTTATGGAGTTTGAATTGTTTCAGTCCATCACAATACAATAGAATAATTCACAGAACCTTAAGAGTGATACACCATCCGGCCAAGTGCAGTGGCTCACACCTGTAATCCCAGCACTTTGGGAGGCCAGGGTGGGTGAATCGCGAGGTCAGAAGTTCAGGACCAGCCTGGCCAACATGGTGAAACCCCATCTCTACTAAAAATACAAAAATTAGCTGGGTGTGGTGGCAGGCACCTGAATCCCAGCTACTTGGGAGACTGAGGCAGGAGAATCACTTGAATCTGGGAGGCAGAGGTTGCAGTGAGCCGAGATCGCACCACTGCACTTCAGCCCAGGTGACAGTGCGAGACTCTGTTTCAAAAAGAAAAACAAAAATAGATTGATACACCATCCAAAGCTATCAAAGATATTCTATGATATCAGGGCTTGTTCCTCTCCATCTCCATCCTTCCAACCAAGCACCCATTCTTCATGTGTCAGGTATAGTGTCTTCATGAGTCACTCTGGTGATATACAGTGTTAAATAAAGCAGAATCCCTGTGTTCAAAAAGGTTTAGAGTTCATGGAAAAGTTTCTCTAGAGACTTTTCTGTGTAACATTCAATCCTAGAGAATATACAGATGGTCAAAATCAACATGATTTCAGAATTTCTCACAACCAGTCTTTTTAAAACAAAAGTGTAGTCTCTGAGATCAGGGCATTCTAAATAGAAGTCCTGGTTCCACACTACTGAAATAGTAGTCCAAATGGTTCTACTAACTTCTGAAACTATAGTGGTTGAGCAGTATTTTCATAGGAAAATAAATTAAAATTAAGCAAATTTGTAAAAAAAAATCAATCAAATCAGAATGATCTGAAAATTTTTAGCAGAATTCCATAACTCAAATAACATTTTAGCCCATCATATAAAATTAAGTATGAAATTATATAGTACAGGAGGTAACTAGAGTACCAGTAGATTCAAAACTTCTAGCTTAGATCTAAGCTGTTTTAAATTGACAAATAAAAAATTTAAAAATTGTGTATCTTATCAAATTACTAAATAGTTGTCATAGCAGTCACTAACTAAAATATTTTATGCATTATCAGAAGATAAATATATAGAGTGGGCTTTCAGAGAGTGTGTCACAAGCAACACAAGAGACAATACAGTGTAATTCTAGCCTGTATTTTCCATAATTACACTGTGGAGAATTTTGCTCTACTGATAGTCTGCTTTGCAATGTTTCTGAACTTTCTCAAAAGAAGCTTAGCAAAACTCTACATATTGTGCATATGCAGTGAAGCAATTCTTTGCATTTTTATTTGTTGTCGTTTCCAAGATACAAATTGACAAGTTTCTTACTTGAGAAGATACCTAGTATATCTCTGGGTAACTATCTTCAGATGTGTGTGAAGATCTGTATCTTGGAAAAGAATTCCAAGTGGTATGGTAATAGAAAAGGTCCAGAAATACAAACAGGCAAAGCTTATAATAGGGTCTGAAATGCAATGAAAGACAGAATTTGCATTGACTGTAACCACTCTCTAGTCATTTTAAACACATCCTCACAGTCTAATCTACAAAGGGCACCTGCAAATTTTTGGCTATTACATCATTCTATAATTACGTTTTATGTCTTGGTTCACTAAAAGATGCCTGAATTTACATTTTATTTCATTGGAAAATCTCCTGGACCTTATATATTATTTGCTAATATCTGGCAAAGTTCTAGGATATTTCTCTTTTTCCACTGCTACCCTGTACCCCTTATTTTGTGGTCTCAAGTGTAATTTCTGGTGTTTCACCATGAACAACACTAGCAACTGGCAATCTGGTTCTCTTTATTTCTTTAAATTTCTCTGATACTTCAGCACTTTGTTTGCTATCCACAGGCTGGCTGATCTCACATGTTAACTGATATGTTAACTCCCCTGCTCAGGAAAAGGAATTAAATTCAGGAAGTTAAGACTGACAAGGAAATGAAGCAAAGCATTCCTGATGGTACATACTCCTCTGCCTAGGAGAATCTATAAGCATGTCTTCAATTGTGGTTTTGCAAATAAAAAATGTACTGGTACATAAGAATGTAGGTTGTGGATCACCACTATGCTTGTATAGCTACTGCTTTATAATGAAGTCATCCATTGAAATGCTCAAAATAACACTGGAAGAAATATAAGTAAATGACAACACAAATTCCAAGCTTTAGTAAAGTTTGCTATTACCTTTTAGATATGAGATCCATAATGACACCATTATTTTTCTAATCTCTTTTTGCAATCACTGTAACTATTCATTAAGTTTCACCTAGAATCCAAACTAAAAAGTGTTCTTCAATGATCATACTGAAAATTGAGCTAATACAGTACAGTTTTAATTTAGTAATGTCTTTGACAAGAGCATAGTGATAATATTAATGATCCAGAAGGCAGTTCACAAAGTACTAAGGCATAAAATATGAATGTGATAAAATCTTAGAAATTGTTGTAAACTGATGTTGAAACTTAGAAGAAACACATTACACTAAGAGTGGCAAGGGCGTTAAAGCTCAGATGTATGTAAATTATGGAATGTGGAAAAAAATGAGATAAAATTTGCAAAGTCTTCATCAGTATTCTTACTTGAATATGATTTATAATGGAAAATATTTGACTTAATTAGGAAAGTCTCAACAGCTAAAGAACAAAAACAAAAATAAATTAATAGGAAGGATAAATAAATAGAGAAATACTGACATGAATAGGGCATCTTGTGAATGACAGAAACAGTGACAGGTAATTATTAATTTTATGAAACATGTACACTGGTGTTTCAGCATAGTGCAATATGTGTTATATAAAAACTAGAAGTGTACCAAACCTCAACATAAATTCCATATATCACAGTCATTTTGTAATTTAACCCACACAACACCACAAAGTGGCTTTACTTCCTTTTTGCTTATGTCGCTTTTCTTTTCCAAATCATTGATTGACCATCAACTTTTAGAGGTTAGATAGTTTAAAAATTTGTTATTTTCATATTTCTGGGATAACTTTTTCTTGAGAGAGATTTGCAGAAAGCCAGATAAAGGATATTACCCATTTAGTTTAGAGTTACTTTTAAATCTCAGGAACTATATCCAGTCATTTTTTAGCTTTAATATGAGGGCTTATTGAATAATTTTCATTTAAAACTCTACAACAGGCACTTTCACTATTGATCTATGTTATCTTCTCATTTTCTCAATTTCACTCATTTCTCTCTGTCTCTGTCTTTGTCTCCCTCTTTCTCTAATTCCCTCTTCATTCACATTTATTAACTGATGCTAATATGGGGAAAATGATAAAAAATATTACATGGTATATATTTCTTATCAAATTTAAAAATTGGAACAAATCTTATATATTATTTAATCAACCTCTTCGTTTTACAGATTAACAGACTAAAGTTCAAATAAGATAAATAACTTCAGAAACTTCCATTTCCACCTGTTAACTGTTGGGATAATGTTTTCTCATGTTATACTCTTGTAAGCAGGACTTAGGTTCTGTGAATATCTTTACAATTATTTGTGGGCGTTCATTCTTCTGGTCTCAGTTTTACGAAATCAAGTTAATCAAATATAAATAATTACATAAAGGAAATGTTCATATTAAGGTTTAATGACTGTGTGAGGACACTATCCCAAAATATGACAGAATCCTCAGTGACAAAACTTTACATAAACTGTCTTTGCTTTAGGCCATAAATCACTTGTAGAATTTCCAGGTAATATACATGAGAATAAATAAGTAGCAAAAATGTCTTAAGAATAGAAAGAAAGTAAAAATAGAGGAACTAAAAAAGATATTTTCAATAAAGAATTTTGAATGTATGCAACTGTTTAAGATGTTCTTTGAAATACAGCAAAATGTTGTAATCATTGCATTTTGAAGAAATGGGAAGAAATTACCAAAAGAAGAAAGCAGGTCATACATAGAAGTGACACTTGGCTGGGCACGTTGGCTTGCGCTTCTAATCCCAGCACTTTGGGAAGCCAAGGAGGGCGGATAACGAGTCAGGAGATCGAGACCATCCTATCTTGGCCAACATGGTGAAACCCCGTCTCTACTAAAAATACAAAAACTAGCTGGGTGTGGTGGTGTGTACCTGTAGTCTCAGCTACTCGGGAGGCTGAGGCAGGAGAATCACTTGAACACGAGAGGTGGAGGTTGCAGTGAGCCGAGATCACGCACTGCATGCCAGCCAGGCCACAGAGCAAGACTCCGTCAAAAAAAAAAAAAAAGAAGAAGTGCCACTCGGACACTCGCAGGTTTCAAGATAAGGCTGATATTTCCATAGATGTGAACCTCCCCATAGCGAATCATTCATCAGGTATCTGTATATTGCAATGATATATAGATCATTAAGAATCTGTAATATACGAGAGAATATATGGGAGAATAAAGATTTGAGTTCTATTATTGAATAAATTAACCATAAAGTAAGAAGTGAGAGTTATCTCAATATGTCTAAAGATTAAACTGGAAATTAACTGCCGCATTTATTAATCCTCTGACCAGAACTGTAAGTAAAGTGTGAATAGAAATAAAGAAAAAATTTCTGGTGATGAGAATTTCATTTCTACTCAATAAATAGTAATAATCAAATATTTTAATATATTATTCTGAGTGAGTTATAAAAGACTAGCTTGAGGATTCACATGTCTTACTTACAAGTGACTACGTCAGTTAGCGTGAAGTTAATTTGAATCTAGGTAGTCACGCCCTAATTTCTGGACCATAAATGAAACTCAGACAAAGGCAAAGAGTACGATGAAAGCTGCATATTAGTGTTATATCCTCTAATGTGTGAGAATTCTGCCGAGTATGAAGACTTAATAGCATTTATAAAATTGTCTTAGTTGTTTCTGCTGAAGAGAAGCCGAGGATCCATGTTTAAAAGTCAAGCAGATGATATCCCACTTCTAGGATCCTCCTGTCTAATTATTTTACTAATATCCTATGGCCCTAGTTGTTTGAATAAAAAGGTAGATTCAGCTCAGCCAAGATTTTACTGTATTAAGGATCACAAGCCTGGCCCTTTGCAAGTTTGCTTTAGTAGAGCTTGGTCTCTGTAACATCAGCTTCTTCCTTGTGATGAAAGCGTCAGTGAGCCAGATCACTTGTGAAGGTCAGAAGCTTGCATAACCTCCAGCCATGGAAATCTTGCCTCTATGAACTACTGATTAATAAACTGTTATCTAGTGTAAACAATTAAAAATTGGAAAAAAATATAATTAACAATTTTCATATATTTGGCAACAGGAAAAGTAGGACTTGCCACAGGAGGGATGGGAAAATAACACAAATCCTATGATGCTCAAAATTATTATCTGAAGGCACTTTCTGGAGAGCAGCAAAAGGAGAGGAGACCCAGTGAAGGTATAGTTGTCTGACTGAGTTAAGGAGACAGAGCTTGGAACATATTATTTGGAGATACACTGTGAAAATTTGTAAATGCATATTGTAAATACCTGAACAACAATACAAAATGAAGATATAAGTAGTAAGAGGAAATAAGTGGAATACTAATAAACACAATTAGTTCAAAAGAATGCAAATTAATCTAAAAAAGAACACAGGAGAAAATAAAAACCAGTGGATGATCATAAAACACAATATTGATAATTATGCTAAATGTTGAAAATTTAAACACTCCAAATGAAAGGCAGAGACTGAATAAAAAAGGAAGACTCACATAACTATAGGAAATTGACAAGAAACATACTTTAAAGAAAGATGGCTTAAAATCAAAGGATAGAAAAAGATGAACATAATTTTCTATTAATGATAGTGAAACTGGAAGGACTATATTAATATCTATGTGGTTAATATCAAATTTAATGAAATATATTTCATGTGCTTATCAAGAAAACATAGCAATCAAAAATGTAAATGTACTTAATCTCAAAGTTTCAAAATATGTAAAGAAAAACTGAAAGAAGTAAAAGAGAAAAACAGACAACTTCACAACTATAGTAATAACTTTCAACAATCCTCTCTTAGTTAATAGACAAGTAGAATATTGGTGGAGCTACAGAAGAATTAGGACAACTTTATTAATCAAATTTATGTAACAAAATTTATAGATTAATATAAAAATTACAGAATACACTTTTTTTTCCAAAGTCATGCAGCATTCACTGAGTTTGGCCATAATTTGGGCTATAAAACCATTCTTAATAAATTTTAACAGGATTGAAATTTTATATGGCATTTCTCTGACCAGAGTGGAATTAAATTAGAAAATACTAACAGAAGTATGCCTAGAAAAATTCCCAAATTTTTGGAAAATAAACAGCATAGTCACAAACAAATCCATGGGTCAAAGAAGAAATTACAGATAAGTTAGAAAACAATTTGAACTAAATGAAAGTTAAACACATACTGCCAAAATTTTTGGAAAGCAACCAAGCCAAGCCTAGACAAAATTTAATATGTTCAAATGTTTGTTTTAGAAAAAAACATTGTGACCTAAGATTCCTTCTTAAAAAACTAGAAATATAAAAACAAATTAAACTTTAAATAAAGAGAACTGATTTAAAAAACTTACATTAAACAAATGGAAAATAGACAATACAGAAATAAATTAAGTCAATAGATTGTTTTTGAAAAGATAAATATGATTGATAAATTTCTTTCTATATACAGATCAACTGAAAAAGAGGAGAAACAGATTCATAATATCAATTAGGTAAGAGTACATATGTACATTTATTATTTGTCAACTAAAATAATATAAAAGGGTACATAGCACATGAAAGATTAAAAATTTTTTGAATAAATGGCTTGAAAATAAATCAGTCTTAGTCTAATGTTATTTCTAATTTTCAAAATCAAAAGGTGATTTCTTCTAGAAAAGCAATTGTCCTCAATGCTGCTTGAATATTTTACTTGAAAAATTTGAAAATATGTCACTCTTTTCTTTGATAGTTACAGTGCCTGGATTCTTGTGGAAAAAAAAATTCTATTACAATAGTCCCCCCTTATCTGCAGGGGAATTCAAGCCTCTTAGTCTATGCCTGAAACTGCAGATACTACTGAACCCTATATAGACTATGATTCTTCCTATACATACATACCTATGATGAAGTTTAATATATAAATCAGGTTCATTGAGATAATAACAACAATAACTAATAATAAAATAAAACAGTTACAACAATATGGCAGCATCACTACTCTTATGTTTTGGGGCCATTATTAAGTACAATAAGGGTTACTTGTCCATAAGCGCTGGATACTGCAGTAGGTTTGATAACTGAGATGGCAACTCAATACTAATTGGTAGGTACTACAAACAGCGTGGTTCCACGAGACAAAGGGATGATCCACCGCAAGGCAGGATGGAGCAGGATGGTGGGGGATTTCGTCATGATATTCAGATTGGCAGTAATTTCAGATCTATGAATTGGGTATTTCTAGAATGTTACACATAATATTTTTGAAACACAGGGTAACTGAAACCACAGAACGTGAACTCTTGGATAAGAGGGAGGGGGACTACCATATAGTATTTTTAGTAGTACTGTCATTGAAATGAAAGACCACTGGATTTTTTCAACTCTTCATTGATGCTAAATATATTGTCATAGGACTAGAGCCTGTCTCAGAATAATTTAAATATTGCTTAACTCAAGACATGGAATACTTTGTTGGATAGATAGTAAACATCCTCTTTTTCCTTGAGGAAAGAGAATTAAACAACATTGGCAAAATCCTATGAGGTACCATCCATCAGGAAAAGTGCATCAATACCTATTATTCTATCTCTTGTCCAAACTGGAACTACTTCTAGATGATTTTCTTTGATATTTGGCTGCTGGGAAGTATCATTTCAAAATCACTGAAATGATGCAATTATAAGTTGAGACAAATTGCTAATACACTTTCAAAATATGTATGTACATATTCTTTGCTTTAAATCAAATTCATGTCCTTCGTATACATATATGTAAAAAAAATACTCAAAATTCAAAACCCTTTTCATTTTACATAAATTCTGACATTCTGAAAATGCAAACTAATTCTAATATTTTGAAACATTAGTAAATGAATGTGAAAATATTAATTTTTCACAGATTAATAAAGTACAATCTATAAACACATTTGTATTCACAATAATATATGTTTACTAAAGCATTTTTTAGAATTTTATGTGTTATTTGGAATTAACATGAACTTAGTAGTTTTGCCAAGTTAGCCTTGTAGAAGAAACTGATATTCAGTTAAAGCAAACTGGTATTCAAGTGGAACTCCAAAAATACAGATTATGAAATCATTATTTCACTTAACAAGGAATGTTGGTCTTATAAGAAAAATCTCTACTTAATTCCATTAAATCTGAAATTCAATTGAACTTACAAGTTTCTTGTTCAAAGGCTGACATCTGTTCATTAAGTAATAGAAAAATGCTCAGAGGAGGTGTTCCGTAGCCATGCTTTATTACTAGTCACCATGTTGTTTCAGGCAAAGGTACATACTGGCGATTATTTTTATATCTTACTTATTTCAGTTGGCATTAACAAAAACACTTGTGTCCTTTACGCTCAGTAGTAGACTTGTACTTACCTGCTGAGGGATAAACAGTACAGCCCAGACCAAGTACCAGAAAGCAATATTCTAGATACAATCAAATAGAAAAAGGCAAAAAGAAAAAAGCTTTGGTTCTAAAAACCATAACAAAAATAATATTAAATTTTTGTAAATATGAGAAATAGCAGAGGATTATTTCTTAAGGATCATCATGTGAAGCAAGCCATTTATTTTTGTAAGGCATTTATCTTTAACTTAGTGATCACTGATGCCCCTAGCATGCGTTGCTATGCACAATTCATTTCAGATATGTATAAATTGTCATAGTTTGTAGTTTAACTTTAAAGGTAAACTAATTTGAAGTTAAAGTTAATTGTTGTTTAACTTTAAAGGTAAACTAATTTGAAGCTTTCTGACCAGTACTGATGGCCAGTACTGATTTCTTTCCAAGTGAAGTTTGCCTTCTTTTTTATGACAGTAGGCTGATTTAAAAATATTTCTCAGAAATAAATCATTTTCTTATTCTTATGCCAGAAAAATTAAAAGCATGCTAGAAGATATAATTCAATATGCACTTATGAATCATTCATAATTTGATAAGCCTGTTTGAGGCTGTAGAGGAAATCTAACTGGGAAAACGGGGAGAAAAGTATCTGCAAAGCAATGTTCACTCTTAATTTAGGTTGGGACTTGCCTGAGCATTATGTTTCCAATATTGCTTCTGTGATTTCACATGCATCAAATATCTAGAAATGTTTGTTTCAGATCCAGATACTTAGAAGAACAAAATTTTGATTGATTTTTTTCCTAGGTTGTAATAAATATCAGATTATGAATGGATATAACTAAGTTATTTATTGATGTTCTTCCTTTGATATCTATGATGTATCTCTACGAAGCATTCATTACTATACCATAATAATAGCTCACATTTATATAACTATGTATGAATATTTTACTACAAACTTTTAATATAAGAATGCATTTAATCCTCACAATTACATTTCAGGAATGCATAGACCAGAAGCTGAGAAAGAGGAAGAATACAAAACTTGTCCAAGTTCATACAGCAAGTAATTACTATGGCCAATATTTGGAAGAAGGTCAACTGCTTGAAAGTCTACATTCTTACCTTAATAAGATATCTTGTGGTTAGAAGAAGTAGTCTGATACAGTGTAGTGATTTAAAAGCATGTCAGAAAATTCTATGACATCCTCATATTGAAAGATTGTATCAATGTTTTCCAGATGAAATTGGTCATGCTCATGAAGATTTTAACCAATAGTGTAGAGTGAAAGTGATACTGTATGACTTTCTATGCTAGGTCATAAGAGACAATGCAACTTATACCTAACTGGGATATGTAGATTTGGAGCTTTGATCTACCAAATAAGAAGTCTGAATACCTTGAATTCCTTCATACAGCAAGGGAGCAAAGCCATCTGGAGAGGTTACACATAGAGATTCTGATTGAGAATAAGATATCTGTGCCTATGTACCAGACATGTGAATTAATGAACCTTCAGATTATTCCAGCACCCACCTTTCAACTCATCACCAGCATTCAAGTCTCTCTAGCTAAAGTTTTACAAACCATAGAATGAAAATGAGCCATCCTCTCAGTGCCCTATCCAAATTTCTAACCCATGGAATTCTTGCACATATAAAATAGTTTGCTTAAGGCACTAACTTTGGGCATAATTTGTTATACAACAAATTGCTGAAACAAATTTGGTACCTAGAAGAAGCATGCTGCTGTAACAGGAAACTAAAGCATATCACACTGACTTTGAGACTGATTGGCAGGAAGAAACTATAAAGGTTTTGAGGAGACTGTTGAAGGCTGAAGACAAAAGGTAAGAAATTGGTATTGAAAGATAACCTTTGTTATGTGCAGTTTGGCAACACTGACATTAATGATAGTGTGGAAATAGGAAATATATCTAATACATTCAATGATTCCCAGGCATAATATGGAATATTCCCCCTGTTTCTTTTCATTGGCATAATAAAATATGAGAAAACACAAGTTAAAAAAGGAAAAAAAATCTGATTTACAAGCAAAATATAGAGGAGATAGAAAGGATCCAGGGACAACTAGATTCAAAAATAAAACCATTTCTCTTCTCCCGTGTCTCAGGACAATATCTCAAATCTTAGGCATGTGAGCAAAAAGTCACAAATGTGGCCCAGCTTTTTTACAGCAAAATATAATAAAGATGAAGCTCAGGATCTGACAGTAAAATGCTTTGGTAAAATCTAAAAAAAAAGCTAAAGTAACATATTAAAAACTTTCAAATACAATCATGTGGTGCTTAACAATGAGGATAAGTTCTGAAAGACACATTGTTAGGTGATTTCAGCATTATGTAGACATTATAGAATGTACTTACACAAACCTAGATGATATAGCTACTACACACCTATGCTATATGGTATAGTTCATTGCTTCTAGGCTACAAACCTGTGCGCATTTTTACTCTACTGAATACTGTAGGCAGTTCTATCACAGTGGTAAGTATTTGTGTATCTAAATATAACATACAGAAGGTACAGTAAAAATACAGCATAAAAGTAAAAAAATGGTGCACCTGTGTAAAAAACTTACCATGAATGGAACTTATGGAACTAAGAGCTGCTTTGGGTGAGTCAGGGAGTGAGTGGTGAGTCAATGTGATGGCCTAGGACATTACTGTACATTACTGTAGACTTTATAAACACTATACATTTAAACTCCATTAACTTTATTAAACAATATTTTTCCTTCTTCAATACTAACTTAACCTTAGTTTACTGTAACATTTTATTTTGTACATTTTTAATTTTTTTAAGTTTTGGACTCCTTTGGGATAATACTTGTACAGCTATATAAAATATTTTCTTTATATGCTTATTCTGTCAGCATTTTTCTATTTTTACTTTTTAAACTTTTTGTTAAAAACTAAGGCATAAACACACATATTAGCCTAGGCCTACACAGGGTCAGGATCACTGATATCACTGTCTTCCAGCTCTGCATCTTGTCCTATTAGAAGGTGTTCAGTAGCAATAACATGCATGGAGCTGTCATTTCCTATGACAACAATGCCTTCTTCTGGAATACCTCCTAAAGATCTATTTGAGACTGTTTTACAGTTAACTTTTTTTATATACAAGTGGAAGGAATGCACTCTAAAATGATGATAAAAAGGATACTAAATACATAAACCAGTAACTGTTATTATTATCAAGTATTATGCACTGTACATAATTGTGTGTGCTATACTTTTATGTGACTGGCAGTGCAATAAGTTTGTTTACACCTGCTGTATTAGTCCATGTTCATGCTGCTGATAAAGACATACCCAGGACTGGGAAGAAAAAGAGATTTAATAGGACTTACAGTTCCATTTGGCTGGGGAGCCCTCAGAATCATGATAGGAGGAAAAAGGCACTTCTTACATGGTGGTGGCAAGAAAAAATGAGGAAGAAGCAAAAGTGGAAATCTCTGATAAACCCATCAGATCTCACGAGACTTACTCATTATCATGAGAATAGCAGGGAAAGACTGGTCCCCATGATTCAATTACCTCCCCCTGGGTCCCTCCCACAACACTTGAGAATTCTGGGAGATATAATTCAAGTTGAGATTTGGGTGGGGACACAGCCAAACCATCTCATTCTGCCACTGGCCCCTCCAAATCTCATGTCCTCACATTTCAAAACCAATTATGCCTTCCTAACAGTCCCCCAAACTCTTAACTCATTTCAGCATTAACCCAAAAGTCCACAGCCCAAAGTCCCATCTGACACAAGGAAAGTCCCTTCCACCTATGAGCCTGAAAAATCAAAATCAAGCTAGTTATTTCTTAGATACAATAGGGGTACAGGCATTGGGTAAATAAAGCTGTTCCAGATAAGAGAAATTGGCCAAAACAGAGGGGTTACAGGGCCCATGCATGTCTGAAATCCAGCAGGGCAGTCAAATTTTAAAGCTCCAAAATGATCTCCTTTGACCCCGGGTCTCACATCCAGGTCACGCTGATGCAAGAGGTGGGTGCCCATGGTCTTGAGCAACTCCACCTCTGTGGCTTTGCAAGGTACAGCCCTCCTCCTGGCTGCTTTCATGGGCCAGCATTGAGTGTCTGTGGCTTTTCCAGGCGCATGGTGCAAGCTGTCAGTAGATCTACCATTCGGAGGTCTGGAGAATGGTGGCTGTCTTCTCACAGCTCCACTAGGCAGTGCCCCAGTAGGGATTCTGTGTGGGCTCCGACCTCACATTTCCCTTCCACACTGCCCTAGAAGAGGTTCTTCTTGAGGGCCCCACCCCTGCAGCAAAGTTTTGCTTGGGCATCTGAGCATTTCCATACATCTTCTGAAATCTAGGCAGAGGTTCTCAAACCTCAATTCCTGACTTCTGTGCACCCACAGGCTCAACACCACATGAAAGCTTCCAAGGCTTGGGGCTTCCACCCTCTGAAGCCACAGCCCGAACTCTATATTGGCCTCTTTCAGCCATGGCTGGAGTGGCTGGGATGCAGGGCACAAAGTCCCTAGGCTGTACATAGCACAGAGACCCTGGGCCTGGCCCACAGAACCACTTTTCCTCCTGGGCTTCTGAGCCTGTGATGGGAGGGCCTGCCGTGAAGGTCTCTGCCATGGCCTGGAGACATTTTCCCCATTGTCTTGAAGATTAACATTAGGCTCCTTGCTACTTATACAAATTTCTGCAGTCAGCTTGAATTTCTCCTTAAAAAAAAAATGGGTTTCTCTTTTCTACTGCATTGTCAGGCCGAAAATTTTCTGAACTTTTATGCTCTGTTTCCCTTGTGAAATGGAATGCTTTTAACAGCACCCAAGTCACCTTTTGAATGCTTTGCTGCTTAGAAATTTCTTCCAACAGATACCCTAAATTATCTCTCAAGTTCAAAGTTCTACAAATCTCTAGGGCAGGGGCAAAATGCCACCAGTCTCTTTGCTAAAACATAACAAGAGTCACCTTTGCTCCAGTTCCCAACAAGTTCCTCATCTCTGTTTAAGACCACCTCAGCCTGGACCTTATTGTTCATATCACTATCAACAACATTTTTGTCATAGCCATTCAACAAGTCTCCAGGAGGTTCCAAACTTTCCCACATTTTTCTGTCTTCTTCTGAGCCCTACCAAACTGTTCCAACCTCTGCCTGTTATCCAGTTCCAAAGTCACTTCCACATTTTCAGGTATCTTTTCAGCAACAGCCCACTCCTGGTACCAATTTACTGTATTAGTCTGTTTTCATGCTGCTTATAAAGACAGATTTGAGACTGGGAAGAAAAGGAGGTTTAATTGGACTTACAGTTATACATGGCTCGAGAGGCCTCAGAATCACAGTGGGAAGCAAAAGGCACTTCTTACATGGTGATGGCAAGAGAAAAATGAGGAAAAAGCAAAAGCGAGAACTCCTGAGAAACCCATCAGTTCTTGTGAAACTTAATTCACTATCATGAGAATAGCATGGGAAAGACCGACCCCCATGATTCAATTACCTCCTCCTGGGTCCCTCCCACAACACGTGGGAATTCTGGGAGATACAATTAAAGTTGAGATTTGGGTGGGGACACAGCCAAACCATATCACCTGCATTACCACAAACATATAAATAATATGCTGCACTACAACATTAAGACTTCTATGACATCATTGGGCAGTTTTTCAGCTCCCTGATAATCTTATGGGACCACTGTTGTATAAACAGTCTGTTGTGGACCACAGTGACACTATATGGTGCATGACTATACACAAAAGCGTCTCAGGATCTTAAGGAAATGAATGAGAAAAGTCTCCAGCAATAGAATTTCTAAGAACCTTAAGGGCACTGTCCCACAGCAACTAAAAGAAAGCCTAGCATAAAAAAAGGGCTACTTTCAGGAGACTTATGAGTGTGGCTTTTGTCTAGTGAAGTAGATTGTAAATTGATATATGAGAAATCCACAAGGCTTTTAAAGGAATTATAACATCTTGGACTAATATGATAAAAGTCAAGGGCAAACGTTGTATTCCTTCACTGCTACAATTAGGAAACAAGCTGAGAAAAGCACTCAGCTGCAAATATGGACCATTTTTTAATGGAAAAGGAAGGATGACTCAGAGGGTGAAACTGAGACCTCAGAAGCTGAAACCAAAAGCCATATAAAAAAGCAACTCTCAGAGAACATAAAGCTGAGTCCTACTCAAGAAACTGGCAACATGTTCCCAGATGCAATTAAGAATTGCTACAGCACAGTGACTATTGTATACCTCCCGTTTTCTTGCCTTTTTAATGGAATAGTCTATAGTCATGATCCTATGCTTGTCCTACCAATATATGTTTAGGGATTGGGAGGCAAGTAACTTGTCTGCATAGTTCATAGGTCTTCAGATGCAGACAAACCAAACCACTCCTGAAGATATGAGAATCAGAAGAAGCTCATCCATGCCTGGACCTGGTCTAGGTGAAAAGTTTCTAGAATTTGACACCTACACTGTTACTATAAAAGAGAATTTGGAAAAGTCTTAGAGATGAGCATATTATAAAAAGTTGTAGGAACACAAATGATTTATAGCCAAAGGTCAGAAGTGGAGATTTACAAATTATGTCCACAAATGTTTGATACTTCTGCAATTGAGAGGCAGGTTTTATTTCTCCTGTCCTTGAATTTAGGCATGCGTGTAACTGCTTCAATTAACAGAGTTCAGTGAAATTGGCACAGTGTGATATGCAAGGCTAGGTCATAACAAGAATGAAACTTTGGCTCAAATTTGGCCGTGGACCCCTGAGCCATTATGTATGATGAGTCTGACTGCCCTGTGGTCACCATGCTTTCAAAAAGCCATGTTAGTGGCTGAGTGCGGTAGCTCATGCCTATAATCTCAGCACTTTGGGAGGCAGAGGCAGGTGGATCACCTGAGGTCAGGAGTTTGAGACCATACTGGCCAACATGATGAAACTCCGTCTCCACTAAAAATTCTAAAAAATTAGCTGGGCATGGTGGCGCATGCCTGTAATCCCAGCTACTAGGGAGGCTGAGGAAGGAGAATCTCTTGAACCCGGGAGACGAGGTTACAGTGAGCCAAGGTTGCACCATTGCACTCCAGCCTGGCTGACAGAGTCTCAAAAAAAAAAAAAGCCATGTCAAATAGATTACTAGAATCTTCTTTTTCTTCTGTAATTACACAGCTACATGATAGTCATTAATATTTAACAGTTTCATTTATTAATAGGTTTTTTTTGACATGGAGTCTCACTCTGTTGCCCAGGCTATAGTGCAGTGGCATGATCTTGGCTCACTGCAACCTCTGCTTCCCAGCTTCAAGCAATTCTTCTGTTTCAGACTCCCAAGTAGCTGGAACTACAGGTGCCCACCACCACACCCTGCTAGTTTTTGTATTTTTACTAGAGACAGGGTTTCACCATATTGGCCAGGCTGGTCTCGAACTCCTGATCTCAAAAGATCCACCCGCCTCAGCCTCCCAAAATGTTGGGATTACAGGTGTGAGCCACCATGCCCGTCTATTAATAGATTTAAGCAGTCAATTGAAAAGGCTTAACTGAAAAGAAGATATTAGTCTAGAGAGAGGAAAAACATCTAAGGGGAACTGTCATTATTTAATTCTGAAACTTTTCTCTAATACTCTGGAATTAAATCTCTCCCAAATGAGCAAAATTCCGGGCCTCTACATTCAGGTTTGACACTATTGAATATGACATTAGACAAAGTTGTCTTCCTAAATTTCCTCATATGCTCCCAATTCATGTACATACTCCCCCTTCACCCTTCAATAAATGCTTCCATAGTCTTTTAGTCCATTTTCATGCTGCTGATAAAGACATACATGAGACTGGGTAATTCATTTTTTAAAAAGATGTTTAATGGACTCACAGTTCCATGTGGCTGGGGAGGCCTCACAATCATGGTGGAAGGTGAAATACATGTCTTACATGGCAGCAGACAAGAGAGAAATAGGACCAAGTGAAAGAGGTTTCCCCTTACAAAACCACCAGATTTCATGATAGTTATTCACTACCATGAGAACAGTATGGGGGAGACTGCCCCTATGACTCAATTGTCTCCTACCGGGTCCTTTCCACAACATGTGGGAATTATGGGAGCTACAATTCAAGATGAGATTTGGGTGGGGACACAGCCAAACCATATCACATAGCATTTCGTTTTAAGTTCTAGACAACTCCCAGAGATCACAGCTTCAACCAACAATGAATGAACATGTTTAATGGATAAAATGAAACAAAAAAGCAAAAACAATTTTTTAATGTTTAAAAAGTTATTTTACACAAGATAATTGAAAATCATATACAAAACTGGGAAATACAACTTATCAGCAATCTCTCTCTCTATATATATATATGTATGTATACATATGTATACACACACACACACAACTATATATATGTGTGTGTTTGTGAGTGTGTATTTATACAGTTGACCCATAAACAACATAAATTTGAACTGTGTGGGTTCACTTACATGTGAATTTTCTTTCACCTCTGCCATCCCTGAGACAGCAAGACCAACCCCTCCTCTTCCTCTTCCTCTTCCTCCTCAGCCTACTCAACGTGAAGAGGACCTTTATGATAATCCACTTCCTCTTAATGAGTAGTAAATATATTTCTCTTACTTTTGATTTTTGTAATAACATTTTTTCCTCTAGCTTACTTTATTATAAGCATATAGAATATCATCTATAGAGAAAATATGTTTAACTAATCCTTAGGTTATTGGTAAGGCTTCTATTCAATAGTAGGCTATGAGTAGTTAAATTTGAGGGGAGTCAAAAATTATATGTAGGTTTTCTACTGTTGGGGGGCAATGCCCTAACCTAATGTTGTTCAAAGGTAAATTGTATATACATGTATCTATCCCTCAAACATAAAATAGTTACTGACTTAATATTTTTATAACTTAATAAACAATTATCACCACCTAAGAAATTGGTGTGTTCTGAACATAAAAAATAAAGCATTCCAACAAAATTATTTTAAGCCTTCTTGAAACTATTTTAAACTGATAAATGGTAAAATTCAGTTTAATAATTAACCGACATAATTTTAAACTAATCCAGTATCAGTTTCTTCTCAGAACATTTTTGAGGCTATTATTAAAAAACATTTATCAATTCTGAGTTACAAAAATCAAGCATAAACATGTAACCACTATGTAAAATTAGTTTTGCATTTATTAGCTTCTAATATAAAACAGTGCTGAAAATAAGTGAATAATAACTGAATGTGCTATTAACAAAATAGCCAACAGTTGATATGGTATCAGATAAATGCTATAAATGGATTAAGGTGGTGAGATTATTATGATATGTAAAGTGATGTTTTTCTGTTTTTTTCACTAGCTAGGAGGATTTCTTGAACACTTACTACATGCCAAAACTCTTCACTGGTCTCTGTCTTGACGAGATTTTAGTCAAGTAAATTTAAAAACACTGCAAAGAAATTTTAAAAAGCATTTTAAAAGCATGGAGAGTGGGGGTTTTCCATTTAAATTTTAAAATTAAAATTTTCCAATTTAAAAGCATTATATTTTATGTAGATCTTTGAGTCTGTTTAGTTTGGCGACAATACAAATCACAATGTGGCCTACTGGAAACCATCTATAGACCTGTGCTAAATATTATCCATCAACTATGTAGAAGGTGGATTGCATTCTTCAACTCTTAATTCACAACTCAATTTGGGAAACACTATTGAAAAGGTTCAGAGGGAGCTGACCTCACACCCCTGAACTGAGGAAACAGGGCCTGCATTCAGCAAAGTGGAGACTCATGCACATCAAATTACAGAGTTTTCGTTGGAGTTAGAATAATTGTTATGTGTAATATGCTAACTTGGCATATGGAGAAATATCATTTCAAAGTCATTTAGTGAATGCTTCAGATATTTGCAAACATTTGCATTTTCATTTGACATTTTTAACACTCTGTAAAAACACAACACAGTTGAACTCGATTTGCTTAGTGCACATATCAATTCATGAAAAAAACTGAAAACTACTAGTTTTATATTAAGATGATGAAAATGAACCTACATTGATTAAATGCTTAAATAAGTTTGGAACGAGTTTAACAAAAGCTTTCCAAACATTTGTGAAACTTTTTATAATCTTCCTTACATGTGGGATTGGTAGTAAAATCTGATACGAGGGTTAGCTTTTCAAATACATTTCAAAAATAATAAGACCTGTCAGTATTCCATTTGAATCATTAACTGTATACGGTCCCTTCCCATATGTACCAATGGCTTCCTCGCACACTTGTGGTTACAACATTACCTTCTACTGCTAAATGCATTCCCACCCCAATATACCTGCCTGCCTATTGTATATTTTGAGTTTCCTAGAAAATAAATTTAAAAGAATAAATGTAGTTTAAGGACTTTTTTTTTGCCTTTTACTAGTATTCTATTTTTTTCACACATGATTATTTTTCCCCTAGATACTGGAAGAGAAAGAATACTAAATTCAGACTTAGAAAACTGTAGATATGATCATAGATAATATTTTGACATGGGGAGATTCAAATAAAAGTCTCAGGCTTTCAATATGTTTGTCAACAGAAAGAGACGGACTGAAACTCAGAGAGGGATGGACTGAAACTCAGGGAGGGTTTCATCTTGGTGGCAACTTTAATCAATTTGTTAGTGGATATCTGAGAGCTGTTCTGAGAGATTCTGAAAACAAGCCCATTCAGACTAAGAATCCCAACTCCCAATGTGGATGAATGCCATGAACATGGGCTCATGATACTTGTGACAATGTTGCCATGTAGTTACCATATCTGCCCAAGATAATGTGCTAGGTTGTTTCCAGCTCTAACAGCCTATGATTCACTTATTCCACTCCCCTAAATTACTTCTATCACCAGAGGAAATAAGTCAATTCTTATTTTCACAGCTGGGGAAATTACTGTCAAAGTAAAATTTGGAAGTTATGTAAGTACCCTTTGTACCCTTTCTTAACTTTACTTTTACTGATAATGTTTATACTCAAATAGAAGAGTGGACTAGTCATAAAAAAAATAAAACAACAGAGGACTAAAAGGCTTTGCCAATACATGTGCTCAGATATTATTTCCAGTTTCCATAATACAATTTCAGTTTCTTACACAACAATTAAAACATGACAGTGCTCACCAAAACTACTTTCATCTTGCTATAGTGTACAGCTTTGCCTAGGTAAGAAAAGCATGGTAGGGTTGCTGAAAGTAGCTAAATGTGAAAACCATTGAATCTTTTCCTAAAGTCTTAATCTTGACTCATTATGAATATTTATTAAAGGATAATTATTTGGCAGACTTCTAACAATATGGAATCCTCAGATCTAACTTTGAAGTGTTGATATAAGAAGCAAAAATTTATTCCATGACAATAACACTAATACTGCCATTAATCCTGATACTAATGTAATAGTAACACTAGTAATAGATAATATTTACCATTTACTTTATGCCACTGTGCTAATGGGTTTACAAGTATGAATCCATTAAATCCTCACAATAGCCTCCCTTTATGTATTATCATAATTTGAGATAAATATGCAGTACATAATTTGTCTAAGATTATTTACATGGTTGAGTCCATGATTCAAACACAAGCATTCTAGTCCTATGGTGTCTTTAATTGGAAATTGTCACAGCAGAATAAAGTTCTTCAATTTATAACTAATAAGATATTTATTAGATGGCCATTGGAATAAAAAACTTCAAGAGCTTATAGGTCTTGGTTTATTTTGTAATGCAACAAATATTTCTTGAGTGCTTACATGTACCAGGTAAATGCAATGATGAGAAGATACAAGTTTCTTCATTTCACAGTATCTGGAGTCTAGCCTACTTCTGGACATAGAGGTCAAAACAACACCTGTGCTATGCAGGTAAGTAACATTATAATAAGTACAACACAGAAGAGGCTACTGAAGCAACCTGATATATAATAAATTATACACAGTCTTACCTGAACCTACAAAAATTGCAGTTTAAAGACTTTGTACATTAATAGAAAGAAGAATGCACAAAAACTCCCAAGAGCTTCCTCTGCAGAACTAGCTAACATTTTTTCATTGCTAGACATGTCAGAGTCTTAGAAAGGAGCAACTGGAATTCCATTTAACAAAATAGACATAAAAGGCAAAAAAACAGAGATGGCAGACTAACAGTCTGGTTTGTCCGCTAGTCAGTAATGTGCTGCCCTCATTCAATGCCTGAATTGAGCAATGTTCCCATTGTAAGCTAAGGTTCTTTCAGAGCTGTTGAGGTCTTAATCTTTCACTCCATTAAATCCTATTGTAAATAATAACAGTAAAGCTACCTCATTGCAATACATGGTGTATTTGGCTTTCCTGAATCATCCCTGGGTAGGGAGTTTCCTGTATACACCTAATTCAATCATGAATAGCAATTACTGCAGATAATAAAATGGGGTTTCTGCTGCTGCAGCTTAAATAACATGTTTGGGGTGTATTAAGCAGATATTTGTATATTAAGGGTTTTGCAATCTTGGTTGTAATATTGTGATATTACTAACACTTTGCAAATATTTACTTTAGCAATGTCACTCATTTTGAAGTAGAAATACTCATATAATTTCTGAAACAATGTAAATCATCATAGTTTTCATTTATAAATGTGTTTTCACAGTGTAGGCCCTAAAAATGGTAGTAATACAAATGTGCTTCAGTGCCTCTGTATATATCTTTCTCTTAGATATAAAATTTAAGTTAGAAAAAAGTATATTGCAAGCATTAGAAACAGATGTTTTTATGCATACTGATTAGACCATTAATTGGTTTTCTTTTCAGTTCTTCCATAATTACTCATGACATGTCATTCACTGGCACAATGCTACCCTGCCACTTTCAGTGACCCAAAACTAACCTTTTCCAAAGAAGTGCAGAAAACTCTACTTTTTCCTTTGGGAAAGTTGGAGGTCAACTGAAAAGTTGCTTTGGTAGAAAAGGGTTAAAATTCCACTAGCTAAAATCTCCGGAGGGATTACGTAACTCAAAACAAAGGAAGTTAAATACTCAGCTTACCAAAGTATGCAGAATGACAGAAAAAGCATCTGTCTAGAGAGAACTTCATCCTCATGACTATAATCTACCTCTTTTTTGCTGGCTGGTGCACTGAATACCTTCTTGTAGCCTTTAACCCACCGGGGCTAAGAGTGGCCTTGCTAAGAGCCCAGACTGCACAAAGGTACCTTGAAAGTTGGCTGAGACAGAGTGTAAATCTCCACTTTAGCCCACCAAGATGACACCATACCTTCTTCCAAGTCTCGGAATCCCAAGCCAACATAAGAGATGAGTAGGAATATAAATTAAAACTCCTTCATGCTTAAACTCTTTCCTTTATGGTTCTTATTCCCACATATGGATTAAATTTTTACTTTCGCAGAAGGGCATTCTTTTCTAGAAACATGCTCGTGTAACATAGTTCAAGTCCCATTTCTCTTTCATTTGAGCTTCAGGGTCTCTACTGAATGTCCACTGCTCTCTATTAATGTGACTTTAGCAAGTTTGTCCACTTGAGTAAATTTGGGTTCCAGGAACACCAAGGGGCTCTTTGCCGTTGTGTTTACCTTCAAGGTCGAAGCCATGGAAAGCCTGTCACACAGCTTCTTTCTGAACATGTTGGCTCATTTGTTTCAAGGGTTCCATATTCCCTGGGAAGTTCTTTCCAAAGTCAATTTTAAGGTTAAGCAAATATTAGTTCATCTAGCAGTGTGTCCCAGTGCTTCCTTCTCTGATTTCTTTTACATGCAAAATTCTAAGACAGTGTCATGAGTTCTTTAGAGAAAAGTTTCTCTGCACTTCTAACAGGTCAATTTTTCTTTTAGACATATTTTTCCATATGCCATAGTCAATGGATATTAAAGATGCCTTTAGAAACCTATAATTGATGAAAACAGAATCCCAGGTTTGTGATATCTCTCATAATAACATAAAGATGGAAAGCTCTGTATCTCTCATTTTCTATTAAACACATACACACAGAAATGGTGATGAAGTGTTCATAAAAATAGAAGACTATGGAAAACCTTCTGCCCAGCATTAGCTCCATTGGAATATGTATGAAACTTCATTCCATAAACTTGGTTTGTCTGGCCTCTTATCTGCATTTTGGGCTTTTCAGTTGACAATAAAGGCAAATTAACTTGCATACAAAAAGGGATTTTCTTTACTGAAAGGTAGTTAATACTTTATTTTAAAATGTGTCATAGATCACTGCATTTTGAAATTAAGGTCTCTGAAGAAAACCAGTTGAGATGTTAATGTCTTTGTCCCTTTAATTGTCTGAAATGATAATATCTAGAACAGTATTTAGTAATTCTAAAACATAAAGAATGCTGCTTGCAACAGTAAATATTTTACTTCTTCAGGTCAACAACTTTTACACTAGAAGAACATACATACATATATATGTGTATAGAATATATAGATATATATATCCATATGCATGTACCTATGTATTATTGAAGCACATGTTTCAATTTAATTGATAGTTTAATAAACATGTTTATTCCATTTGATGAATTTATGGTGAATATCACCTTACTAAATATTTTTCCTTATGTAATTTTACACATATAAGATTGCATTCAAAATTGAAATGCTTTCAATATTGAAAGTTAGATGACCAAAGTTGAAGTCTTCATACTGCTATTTATCAGTTTTCCCTTGGCATTCCTGAGCCTCATTTACCAGCATCACATTTTGAAATGTTGTCACTGTTTACCTCCAATACATTAAAAAGGTGCCTACTGTACATGGTTGCTCAAAGCCCCAAATAAGATACCACTTGGAAAAAGAATTAGTAAACTATAATGTTTACAATAACCTCAGGAAAATTAATTAATATACAACATTTGGCAAGCATATTTCATATTTAATTATACTGTTGGTGGGAATGTAAATTAGTACAGCCACTCTGGGAAACAGTATGCAGGTTCTTCAAAAAACTAAAAATAGAACTACATATTACCTAGCAAGCCTACTGCTGGGTATATATCCAAAAGAAAGAAAATCAACATATTGAAGAGAGATCGGCACTCTGATATTTATTGCAGCACCATTCACAATAGCCAAGATATGGAATCAATGTAGGTGTCCATCAGAAGACAAAAGGATTAAAAATGTGATATATTTACTCATACAATGAAGTGAAATCCTGTCATTTGCAGCAACACAGATAGAACTGAAGGACATTATGTTAAGGGAAATAAGCCAGGCACAGAAAGATAAACATTGCATGTTCTCATTCATATATGGAAGCTATTTATAAGGAAGCAGTGAATAGAATGGTGGTTACCCAAGGCTGGAAAGGGAAGTGGGGAGAGGGAGATGCAGAAGGGTTGGTTAATAGGAACATATACACAGTTAGAGAAGAAGAAATAAATTGTAGTGTTCAATAGCACAATAGAGTGACTATAGTTAAAAATGATTCATTGCATATTTCAAAATGGCTAGAAGGTAAGATTTGAAATGTACCCAACATAAAGAAATGCTAAATGTTTGAGATTATAGATTTTTCAATTACTCAGATTTGATCATTACAGATTGTATCCTTGCATCAAAATATTACATGTACCCCATAGATATGTGTAACTATCATGTATAAATAAAAATAACAAAACAAAATAATATAAATAAATTATGTGCACTTGTGATGTGTGTAATATTTGTGTCCCCCTCCAACAGATACATATGTTGAAATCTTAACTCTCAATGTGATGGTATTAGGTGGTGGGATCTTTGTGAGGTGAAAAGGTAATATAAATGGGGCCCTCATTAATGAGATTTGTACCCTTATAGAAGGGACCCCAGAGAGCTCTCTCACCCTCTTTTTTTATTTTTATTTTTTTGAGACAGAGTCTCACTGTATTGCCCGGGCTGGAGTGCAGTGGTGTAATCTTGGCTCACTGCAACCTCCGCCTCCCGGGTTCATTCTTCTGCCTCAGCCTTCCAAGTAGCTAGAATTGCAGGCATGCACCACCATGAACAGCTAATTTTTGTATTTTTGTAGAGACGGGGTTTCTCCATGTTAGCCAGGCTGGTTTCGTAGCCTGACCTCAAATGAACCACCCTCCTCGGCCTCCCATAATGCTGGGGTTACAGGCATGAGCCATGGCGCTCAGCCTTACCTTCTTTTTTGTCATGTGAGAGCACAGCAAGAAAATGGCCATCCATGAACCAGGTGGCAGGTCCTCTTCTGGTGCCTTGATCTTGGAGTCCCCATCATCCAGAATTATGAGAAACAAGTCTTTGTTGTTTAAACCTCCTAGTCTATGGTATCCTGTTGTAGCAAAGTGAACGAAGACACTGACATTTTTTGCATTACTTGTTGAATCTCTCTACTTTGATAGCAGTTCCTGAAGCATTGAAACATTTGTAAAACAACATTTTTCTGAGTACTTTTATAGCCAAAATGTTAGCTCACCATATTTTTATACAAAGGAACAAAATGCAGTTATTAATACCAGTAAACAAATTGGATGTGTTTTGAGGATCTTGAAGGAAAATTAACTAAAAATGATAGAAGGCTTATTGATCCATTGACTCAAGTACATTCTTTTCAGTGAACCCACTGGAAGAGACTGCTTCCAGGTCCTATAGGCCTGTCCACCGAGTAAGTATTATGTATCTTAGATAAACCTACTCTTCTTACTATTGGCCTTTTAGTTCCACACAGCAGTAGGAAGCCATGGGCAATGTGGAAGGTAGAATCGCATATGAAATTCATCTATTAGTAAAGGAGTTTGGAGTACAGAATCAAACTAGACATTGGTTATGGTATATGAACTAATATAAATAAAATTCGTCTGTTACTGGAAGCAGTAAACCATGGGTCAGCTTTCCTTTTACTTTCTCTAGTATTCCTCAGGCCAGTTCATTTTTTTTACCATTTCCTTCTGCAGTAAGCATTGCTATATTATGCCTAAGCATAAAAATGAGAATCAAACTAATTAATTTGCTTAACTTTCCTCAGGTTTTCTCCCAAGTCAATGACTCAACTTAGTTCTCTGCACAATGGCTAGCCAGTCAAGTCTCATTTTGTTTTTACCTCTTTCTGTTGCATTAACAAATGGTAAGGTTTTTACATGAGTATAGTATTATTTTGAAATTTTATGTGACCATATGTGAGGAAATTCAAATTTATGATTCCCTCATCAGTAAGCACAAGCTGACTGTATTCTGACAATCCATATATACCATAACAGCTTCTGTAAAAAGAGACTTCAGAGACTCACATTTTTATACTTTGGAAAATTCCAGAACCAACTCTTGTGCTAAAATGGTAGCTATTATTTTTATTTGTTTTAATCATCATCATCAACAAAATATTGTTCACTCTCCAAAATATTTGGAATGTGACCCATTGCAGACTTACGGTCAAGTTTAAGGGCCATAATGACGAAAGGAACTACTTATTGGTATTAGGTCATTTCATCTGGGTTGGTGATTAGTGTGCTAACCCGGATCTGTCATTGCCTGAACAAATCTCAAAAACAGAGAACCAACATGAGGGCTTTGCTTATGAAGAATCACTATGCTCTTGTGTTCCGGTCATGGATTTATAGCCTCACAAACTGTCTACCCTCTACCGACTTTTGATGAGATACACAGAATAAATGTTTTTTCAGATTCCTTCCTTCTTCCTCAAATCCGTTAATTATTTTTGGAGTTTGTATCCTGCATGGAAGTCCATTTCAGCACTTCTTATTTTTGATGCTGATTGTTGCACATGATGCCAACTTGACCTGCTGTATACCATATATTCCAGATTCGCAGCTGTGAATGGCTGGTTTTCAGATTAGGTCTTACAAAGTTCCTAACCTTGGTATCTCTGTCACTTTGTAGGTGACCTTATCATGCAGAGTAAACACATAAATATGAGGTTCTCATGAGTTTATAAAGCCTTTTCCAAGAGGTCTTAGTTCAACCCTCCCCCTTTCTTCTCTTGGGCTCATACTCTTCTCCCTTTAGCACTCTGCCCTATCAAAACACTTCATGAAAATATGTGCTTAGCCCATCACACTGTGATTTATAAAGCTTGGTGTATTGTCATTCCCAGGTGCATTTGAACTTTAACCCCAGACAAGGAGCCTTAAATCAAAAAAATGGCTCTGTAATTAACGTTAATAATTTATGGTCTCTGTGAGCAAGTGAAAGATGGACTTGGGAAGTTAGGAAGTGGGTTTCTATTTACCCCTGAAATCATATATTAATTGATATGCCATCTCTGTGATAAGGACCATTTAGAGATTAAATCATTTACACATTCTTCTATCTGTTATGGAAATATAGAAATCTTTGCCTGAGAATTCATAAGAGGTGATGAAAGTAATAAAAAAGTTTTATATAATGGTCAAGTCAGAGTGAATCAAAGAGCCAGTTCCCAAATTTGAATATATTCTTGAAACCTCAGAGTCTTAAAGCTCACATGCTCCACTTCACAAAATCCTAGGTGACTATGTTTCTTATTCTACAATCTCCTCCACTAATAAGAAATAGAAAGACATGGAACTAAAGGTGACTATCTTAATACCTATTCCCAGGGAGGCTCCCTGCTGGATCTGTTTTCTGCATGGATGACTAAGTAGAATAACACAGAAGGGGATCTCTTTAAATTGGTTGTTGTGGAGGGTTAGAGAGTCTGGGTATTAATTTCTTAGTGTTTGAATGTGTCTGTTTCGGATAGCTGAATAAAGAGGTTATGGATACTTCACTATAACTTGTTTATAAATCTATGACTGATGTTGCTTCCGTAGATTTGACACTCTAGAGTTGTATGAAGCAATAGTGTTGCCTGTGGCAAAAAGCGATGAAACAGAACATTACAAATTAGGAGGAGCCCTTGGATAGCTGTTATTAGTCCATTCTTGCCTAAAAGCCTCCATTCTAGAGGCAGAAATGTGGTCCAATTTCCATAGAAGGAAACTGAGTTGTCTAATCAGGAAAAGACCAGAATTCTCAGTTTAGCGAAGTTGTCAAGTGGAGGGACTTTCAAATAAATGCATCTTGGCCCCAAATAAACTATGTTAAAATCAGTAATCATCATTTACTGCTTCTGTGACCATGAAGTAGTTATGTAACAGTGTAAAGACTCAGCTTTGTCCGCTATACAATGGGGATAATAATGATATCACCTACCTTAAAAGATGGTTGTGAAAATAAAATGAGGCAATACTTGAAAATTTCCTGACACATTTTAAATGTTCAACATTATTCTGTTGCTGTTGTTGCCATTTTATAATCCTTATCTCCAAGGATAATATATTGGCAAAGCATCACTTATCAACAACAGCCTTGAAGGAGAGAGTTGAAGAGAGTAATTTTTTTTTGACATCACAAGGGTAAATATAAAGCTGTGTCATTAGTTCAAGTTTAAGCTAAGACTGCTCCAAATTTCCACACATTGAATGTTGAAACCATACTTGACTTTGGCATCAGGCAATGTCATTTAATATGTTCATATGGCTTTGCATGCCGTTAAGCATGCACTGTGTATTATTTTATGATGTTTGAGTTGGACTCATACTTTTTGGGTGCACGTATTTGTGTTTTTTCAGATTCTTGTGAAAACCTGGAGAAACCTGTTTCCAATTTCATGACCGTTTATCACTAATCTAAAATGACTGCAGCATTACCTACAGACCTACAGACAGGAAGCTCTAAGAATTGGATCCATCATATATTTGCACAGAAGCTCTGTTAAACCAGTTTTGTGCTTACATAGATGAAAGTGACAGTCTGATGGGGAAGAGGACAAAGTATTATACTTAGCTACAGAATGAAAAAATAATAATTTATGTAATTCAACAAAAGGTAAAGGAACAATGATATTGGTGCTTTCAGTAATTGCTTGATCACTGGAAACTTACTGTCTCTTGAAGTTTCTAATATTCTCTACAGAATCACCCTCACCTGGAGTTTTCATTCATGAACAAATTTAAGAGAAAGAAAGCCAAATCATGGTTTTCCACTTGGGATAGTACCCTTAATCAGGCATAAAGTGCACTTTTCCTGGAAAATCTTCAAACAAGTTTGGAAATATTGCAGCTGTGAAGTAATTAAGGTACTTGGAGCCTGTAAAGCAATTTATGTGACTATAATCACAAATGTCATCATGTTAGGGTACACTTAATGCTCAAAAACAGCTTGTGCTATCCCTTAAAGATTCCTCCTTCTAAACAAATGATCTGTGGTAGTAATGCAAACTTTCCTACTTCAATGATATTTTCATACGCTTGGTCTTTCACAGAGATATTTGATACAAATCTATAAAAATGATGCTATATTTAAAGCAACTCATTTAAGAAAATGATTATATTTACTCTATGTTTAAAGATGTTCTTCATATTGTTTTATAAAGCAGTTTTGCCTTTAAATTCTTAAGGTCTACAATAAGATATTTTTAACAATTTAGCGTTTTGAACGTAAAAAAGGCTTTTGTGCAAAGATGTTCATAGTATCATTATGTAAACCTGCTAATATAGAGAAAGTCAAATAAAACTTTAGAAAATAGTTGAAAAATTTACAGAGAATACACTCATTGGAATACTATGTAACTGAAAAAAATGTTTATAAATATTAGATAGGAAAAATAATTATAATGACAATGAGAAATACCATCACAAATTTTGCTCTACATGATAATAAAATTTAGCATTAAAAATTTAGAAATGAGGCAATTAAATGCTATTTTTTTGTGGTGGAACTGTAAGTCATACAAAATAATTCTCCTATATAAATTGTTTCAATAGCACTCTATATCTCTTAAAACAATTCCATATTACGAACCATTCTTCCCTTATTCTCTGAACTCCAGTCATACTGGCCTTTCAAAAGTTTCTTCTTGCTTGATGATTTCCATTTCAACTCTTTCTTCTGCTTGGAATGCTTTCTCCCCTCCAACTGACCTTGACTTCCTTGAGTATTTAACTTGTGATAACTTTAAAATATTAGTTAATATTTCATTCTCCTGGAAGCCTCTAATTCAACATGGGAAGTAAGGTTGCCCTGGTATGTATTTGCATGCCCCCTTAAAATTCACTTTCTTATCTCTTCTGGCAATTGCAATTAATTATTTGGGTGATTATTTAATGTCTCTCTCCCACAGTGGAATATATCTATATCTATACCTATATCTATATCTATATCTATCTTCTATGAGATCAGAGACCATATCTATTATTATCACATAGCAGAGTATATGACACACAGTAGATACTCAATAATTATTTTTTGTCTGTTTGAATAAAAGTTGTGGTTCTCTTATGTACATTAACTTATATCAGACAAACTCTCCTGCAGAAAAGTTGTAAACATTGGACAAGCTTGTACAAAATATATGCATACATATGTACACACACACACAAACACACACACATCTCTGAAGGCAAATAAGAAGCAAGCAGAAACTGGTGAGCAGTAAACAAGTTGGCAGAAAAGAACCACACCTGTCTACTTTCCTCGGTTTATATTTTTTTTTTTCCTGAGGGAAGTTTCAGTCCCCACTGTGAAGGCCAAATCTTTCATAGAAATCTGATCTCTTACCAGCTTGAGGAATCAGAGGAAAAATTTCTGGGCTCCCACAGCAGCAGGAGAGTAAAGAGGAAAATCCCAGGAGACAGCAACAGAGGCTGAGCCTAAGTTTCTGGCTGTTCTCTGAACCATGCAATTATAGGGCAGACTTGAAACAGTACAGCTAAGGTTAAAGAAGGGAACCTAAGTTTAGTTGCTGCACACTGCAGAGGCGTACAACTTGGAGTTCAAGTTCAGCTAAGTTAATTGCCTGCTAACACAAAAAATCAACACTATTTTGGCCTGGGATTTAAATTCACACAAAAATGTCTCTGAAGAGGCAGTATTTCTGTTCATACGTGAGAGATTTGTAGGAATTAGGAGGAAAATAGAATAAAAATATTTTTGCCACAGAGAAGCAAAGCATGTGTGAATGTCCAATATTGGAAAAGGTGGCACATTTGGAGACACAATAAAGACCAATGTGGCTGATGCATAAAAGTGACAGGGAGAGAGAGCGGTATGAGAAGGCTCTGGTATGAGGCAGAGGGAGAGTAATTTGAAGTCTTATATGTTAGGTTACTTATTCTTCCTTTGTTCTAAACACTCTCAGAAGACTTCAAAGGGTTTTAAACAGTGTAATGATATAATCAGATTTTGTTTTTAAAGATCATTCTGGTTATACAATACAAAAGCAGCTGAGGGCAGAAGTGGATAGAGAAAAAAACAGAATCTCTTGATATTTTCCAGCTAGAATCTAATGTGATGTGGGAGTTGGTTAGGCAGAGGAGAATGTAAAGATTGACACCTAGGTTTCTGTCACAAGCCCTGGTAGTTCTATTTACCAAGATACATAAGATTAGAGCTGAAGAAAATGTGGAGAAAAGATTAAGAATTGAATATATATGATGTTGATGATGTCACTTGAATATAATTGGGCTGGAGTTCAGAAAGGAATTATAGTTTAACAATATAAATTTGGAAGTCTTCAACCTAGAAATGGCATTTGAAGCTATAAAAGTGGAAGAGAGCGTAATGAGAAAGGGTACAATGAGACACAAAGTGGACTGTGAACAATCCCTTAGGAATTTCACTATTTAAAGTTGAGGTAGAGAAGAGCCAACAAGGAAACTGAGAATTAGGAGCTTACAGGGAAAAGAGAATAGAGCCAGCAGGATGTGGTGTCATAATACCCAGGAAAAGACCTGCTTTCATGAAAGAGGAAGGAATGAGAACAGAGTAAGTGGTGAACTAACCCTTCTGGAGATGATGATTATAAAATCTTGAAACATTTTTTTTTTTGCAAATTTGAAGGCACAGACAGTAATGCAAGCGTTCAACCCATGAAAGGTGGGAACTGAACCTGTTGAAGCTGGGTGAGAGGTTCCAGGTTGTCTATTATACTTTCTATATATCTGAAATATTTAGTAATATTCGTGTATGTTTATATATTATTTTTAAAGATAAAATTATCTCAAACATGTTTTAAAGCTGATCAAATCAAGCCCTAGAGTACTGAGTTCAAGATAGAGGATGAAGAATGAATAATGGAGATTCTCTGAATCCAATGCTAACTAACTAAATTTTACCATGCAATGATTACATAATGCTTATTAAACCACTATATTTCTAGTTATATTAAGATTTCAAACTATAGATGCAACATACCAGCTCAGTATCCAAACAGAGACCATAAAATAGAGTTTAGATAATAATAGCAAGACCATAGGCCAGTTTGATGAAGTGTACAATGCAAATGATCAAGATTTCAGAGATTTTCCATATTCCTTTAAATAAATGTTTATTGAAGATCATCAAAGTTCTTAAAAGCACAGACTCCAGACTTAGACTCTAATAGTTCCATCCTTTAGTGTCACTTGGGCAAATTTATTTAATCTCTTTAAGACTGAATTTACTTGTCTCTAAAATGGTGATAATACTACTGCTTATCCTATCTAAATTCCTGACCACAGTGCTTCATACATATTTCAACAATGATGAAGATAGTCAATAATCGTAGTTCTGAAATAAAATTCAGAAACTAAGAATACATTTCAAAAATGTACAGATACACACATGTACACACATATTCACAGAAAGATTGAGAGTAGCAATGTAGTAATAAATAACACTGAAATAAAGAACAGTTAAAGAACCCATTATTTCCCTGATGAGTTTTTAAAAGTATATAACCTTGTCTTGCAGATAAAAGTATTTTATGAATTAGGTGACATTTAATTTGAACAGTATGTTCATAAAAATTAGAAATTTGACCTCTGAAGACAATTTCACTGGCTTTATTTCTTAGCTCTACCTTTTACTCCTCATGAAACCTTGTGATATTTATGAAACTCTTCATGCCTCAGCTCGCTTATCTGCAAAATGGGGATAATAAAGTCCCTGTGTCGTGAGAATTAAACAAATATATATGAATGTGGCACAGGCTAGTGAAATGTTCACCAGTCCCATTGTTTCTTCTCAGTCTTGGAAGATTGCATCTCCTTGTTTCCCTTTCAGTGAGCTTGAGGCAACACCACTGTGTTCCTGCCGGAGGAGTATGGTTTGAAGTGATGTCTGCCCCTTCCATGTCTGCCAACATAATATTTGGCAGAGTCTTTGTTCTCTCAATTTGCTTGTCGGCCATTTGAAGTAGAATTGGAAAGAATCAGCATCCTTGATTAACACGTGGAAGGCTGCCTCTTGAAAATCCAATTAAATGAGACTTGGATCAGAAATAGACCTTCACTGTCTTAAGCCACTGGTTTTTGGTGAGTGCTTTATACAGCACTAGCTATGTTTTTCCTGAGTACTACCACAGCACTTAGAGCAGTGGCTGGCCAGCTAGCTAGTATTCAGTAATTGCTAGCATTTAAAAATATTGCCAGACCACCATGAGGCCCAATTTCAGAAAATACATTGAGTATGGAAAAAGACTCCAAATATCACAAATAAGATTTCTTAATTATAAAAAGAAAACTTGAACTTAAAACCTAGCATGGAAAAGATTACATTCTGTGTTAACATCTAATATCAGTAGCAGATTATATTTATTGAAACAGGGTTCCCACCAAATTTAGAGAGGTAAGCTAACAAGCTAGCATTGTTAGATAAATGGTGTTATTGCCTCTAGCTATTTGATCTCTGCTGAGTACCATATTACCTACTATGTGGATTGTCCTTAATTCAGTGGCACTCTAGATATTGTTCCCAATTCATTAACTAATTTTCTTTTTCTCCAGATAGAAAGAATATGGTTTTCATATTTTTTACAAGTGCTGTAAATTGTATTGACTACATGTATAAGTTAGAAAAATATGAAAATATATCAAAAGCACAGAAAAATGTGCTTCTTTGTGTAACATTTAAACAATATATACCATGGTGGAACATCAGATATTTAAAAATAAAAATAATTACTCCATTTGGTATCATGCAACATCTTTCAAAGCACCATATAAATTTTAAATAAACAGCTGAGCAGAAATTTTCAACCAGCACGGGAATACACAAATACTTATATTTTTTCCATATGGGAAGAAATTATCTACATTACAGTCATTTTATTGTTCATTGCAGAGGGTTATGTGAAGCAGATTGAATTGAACTTTTTTATTTCCTTTAGAAAACCAAACCTGGAGTTTTTTTTTTTTTTTTCTGCAAGAAATTGCGTATAGATTTAGCACATTCACTGAACCCTATTACAGGTATTTTTTAACCAGAGCCAACAACTGCGAACTTCTCTTAATCGCTCACTGACTACAGGGTGTGTGTTAACAGAAGACACACAGAAGCCATAAAGGAAATCGCCCCCAGCTGTCTATGACCTTAATATTCAGATATCCATGTTTCCATATCCTTTCCCAAAGCGGGGGTGCATGAAAAAGCTTCTAGTTCTCATGTGTTTTTATTCTTATTCATGGAAACACCTAAAGTAGTAACAGAATCTTATAGTGATGTTCAGGTAATCACCAGCTTCCTCATTAAAAGGGATCCCTCCTAGTGTTATAAGCATTTCCATTCCCTTTCAGGACTTTTTCCTCTTAGTTGAACATGTTAGAGGTACTCTAAGCACACAGGAAAAACTATTCTGGGTAATTCTACTTCAAAATCTAAGTAAGGCTTTTTTTTTAAATGAAATCCCTTTACCTCAATATGATTTCTTCCAATTCTAAAACAAAAGTTAACAACAATGATAGAACAAAAAACAAAACTCAAGATCAGAACCGAATTTCCCTTATCTTTTTTATCAAATATGTGCTTTGTGCACTGTATAAAACTTGAGTTATTAAGAGAGGAGACCACTCCTCATATTGTCTTATGCCCAATTTCTGCCTCCAAAGAAAGAAAAAGTAAAAAGTAAAAGGCAGAAATGAAATCCACAGGCAGACAGCCCGGCGCCACGCCCTGGGCCTGGTTAAAGATCGACCCCTGACCTAACGGGTTATCTATAGATTCCAGACATTGTATGGAAAAGCACTGTGAAAATCCCTGTCCTGTTCTGTTCCATTCTGATTACCAGCACATGCAGCCCCCAGTCACATACCCCCTGCTTGCTCAATTGATCACAACCGTCTCACACAGACCCCCTTAGAGTTGTAAGCCCTTAAAAGGACAGGAATTGCTCACTCGGAGAGCTCAGTTTTTGGAGACGTGAGTCTTGCCGAAGCTCCCAGCCGAATAAAGCCCTTCCTTCTTTAACTCGGTGTCTGAGGGGTTTTGTCTGTGGCTTGTACTGCTACAGTATTAGTTGTTTAACTTCCTCTCTTATTGAGATTGAATGGCCTTTATATTTGGGCACAGTGGTAGGTTCAAAATACACAAATATGAAGACAGAGTCTGGCCCTTCATGGAGCTCACAATTGAATTAGTAAGAAAACCAATGAGGAAATACATGATTAACAATATTTTGATTAATAATCAGTGATAAATAATATTGTTTGATGAGAATTATAATGAATATATAGACACATAGATGTATTTTGTGTCTACCTTCTGGGAAGACACCTTCCTCTACCTTCTGGGAAGAGGAAATAGGAGGTCAGACAATACTATGATTCTTGAGACCTTGAGATTAAAGTTGGAGAAGAGAAAGGCATTATAGCTACAGGTGAAAATGCATGTACAAATGTGTGGTAATGCAAACAGGATGACCCTCAGAATCCTGAATTCAGGATGGTTGGGTTAGAGTAAACAACGGGTATAGCACATACAAAAGGAGATAGACGGGGTTTTATATGACCTATATATATTCAAATTTGTATAAAAGGTATTCTCCCAAATGATTCATATCCATTTCAGTTTTATATGAAACAAAACAAACAAACAAAAACACACCAAAAACAGCAGGAATGAAACAGAAAAGCAACTGTATTTGATGAAATAATTCAGAGAGGAAACATTGGAGCAAATATCTGAAAAATGGCACCCATTTCTGAGAATAAGTGAGAGAGGCAGCCAATGTCTTTAATTTTTTTCTATTCCTCTATTTCTCTGGGATTATGATACCATAGAGAGAGAATTTGTGTAAGTTGCTTTCAATTTCTAATCAATGGGTTGCAGTTAGGGTTTGTTTTCATAAGTAACTTCCACTACTTAGAGTGCAATTGTGGAGCTATACCTCCTTGAAACTACAAAACAGCTGAATCATTCCTATCCTCATCCAAGTCCTCCTTTGAACCCCAAAATCCAAAGAAGTCCAAAGTTCAAAGAAATATGACCACTAGTATCTTTTCCCACATGGTCAGTTTGTTGACTTTAGTCTTTGTAAAATAAAGCAGCCTCAGGGTAAAATGGTATTCTCAAATCAGCTTTACTATTTCTAGATGAATATATTACTTTGGGTTTATTTTGTAATGAAAAAGAATACAGATTTAATTATGGTCATAGTCAAATGTGTTCTCTGAGAAAGATACGGCAGTGTCCTTGCACATATTTGCTTATAAAGTTACCCAAGCTGACTTCATTTGCAGTCACTCAGCAGCTTCCTTCTAACAGTCAAGTCAAAAATCATGAGGCTCAGTTGCTGTGGCAGTCTGCAGAACAAGTATGGTGGCAGTACGGCTGTAGAAACCACAAAGTATGCTGATAAAACGAGTTATTTGCTCAGTAATCTTTCAGAAGATAAATCTAGAACAGAAGATGTGATACTCTACAAATATTATTCCTTTTCTCCCATTGTATAAGGTCTCAATCCTTAGAAAATTTTTAAAAGGTTTTACTAAAGATGTCTCGTGAAATAGGTATTGTTATATCCATTTTGGGAGAGGGCAAAGCATGCATCCCAAATACATTTACAGAACTGTAAGTTTGGAAAGGATATGAAATACATTGGCTCAACTCTTTTCTATGCACAAAAAAAAAAAAAAACTAGCTGTGAGAGATAAAATGGCTTTCTCAAAGTCACATAGTGAACAAGCAGAGACGATCAGAGAATGCAGGTTCTTCTTCCATGCTCTTTCCTATAGCTTGCAGCTGCATTGTGCTACTAAATATTCAGAAGAAAATTAAAATAATTTTTAAAAACTTATACCTTGGCCAATTTGAATGGTTTCCCACACAGATAAAGCATCCCCCTAGGTCATACACAGTATCCTCTTAGGCATATACTTGCCCGCATATATGCAGTCCTCACAGTAGAGTGCACTGCATAGATGAAGAAATAATTATACCTGCATATGGTTTATCCATGAATAGAAGAGCATTATCTCTAAAATTTTTAAACAAAGACTTTCATTTCTTTTGTACCACAAAAGCATTCTAAAATTTAGATTCCGGCATCAGAGCATGGGACTGAGAAGAATATTTCAGAGTGCACATAGCCAAGTCATCTCACTTTATATATGAAAAAAAGGCTGAGGTCATAAAAATAGAAGTGACTTGCATATGGTCACACTCAGCCAAATTATGCCTGACAAATAATCTTTACAAAGTATTCATGTACTATAGATCTCTTGGATCCTAATCCAGAGATTTATTCCTCCATGGAGTTTTAAATTGTGTTTTCCCTTGCAGAGAATACATAAATATAAAATAAATAAAATTATTCAAGTGGAATTTAATCAAACCTAAATCAATTTTCTAGGTGAAGAAAATTAGTTCCAAACATTTGACCCTTGAAGCTCATTAGACCATGGCTTCTCTGCATGCTACATTTTCTAGACTCAGCATATTTTTATGACAATCAACAGCACTTCTAGAGTTTCCAACATATATGACATTTTAAGAATGCAAAATAAACACACATACACACAAAGCAATTTCAAGAATGGAATTCAATTTTCTTCTAGTTGATAAATAAATTAATCTTTCTGAAATGAAAGTTCTGTAAGAGATAATATTGTAATATCTTAATATTAATATTAATAATATTAATAATTAATATAAATAATATTGTCTATTTTTATTTCTGTCATATACACAGTGTCTAGAACAGTGTTGGCACAAAGTAGTATTCTTAAAAATGATTACTGAATGAAGAATAGAATTATTGGAACAAAATTGCTGTTATTACACAGGAAGTTCACATAAAAAAAATCATAGAGTAGGGAGGTTTGATTTATATTAGCTTTCTCAAAATGTATTGAGAAAAACATAAGATCTACTTATAATATTAATTACTTAACACAATCCTTAAAAAAGTATATGAGCAAACATGCTCCACATTTGATAAACTGTTCTGGACACTCACAATGAATTTGCCTATCTGGGAACCCACATTGATAATAATGATAAGGAAAAAAACTTGTTGAAATTATTTTAACTAACAATTTTCCTAAACTCATTTTACCACAGAATGCTCTTCTTCCCTAAACCTGGTATGAGACACCAATTGTGCTGTGGAAATTGTGATTGATGGAGTACATGGAAATGCCACAGAAAGAAAATGCAATACATTGGAAATTTTACAACTGTCAAAAACTATAAACAATTTAATTTTGTAAAGAATATTTTTCAAGACTCTTTAACTTTTCTCAAATTCTTAAAATATGTATAGAGAACTTTTAACCATAGTTAATCAAATGCCTGAAAGATAGAGTTCTTAACTCACATGAAATGTAAAATAAATTTCCTCAACTTGAACCACAATGAGATACCATCTCACACCAGTTAGAATGGCAATCATTCAAAAGTCAGGAAACAACAGGTGCTGGAGAGGATGTGGAGAAATAGGAACACTTTGACACTGTTGGTGGGACTGTAAACTAGTTCAACCAGTGTGGAAGTCAGTGTGGCGATTCCTCAGGCATCTAGAACTAGAAATACCATTTGACCCAGCCAATCCCATTACTGGGTATATACCCAAAGGACTATAAATCATGCTGCTATAAAGACACATGCACATGTATGTTTATTGCGGCATTATTCACAATAGCAAAGACTTGGAACCAACCCAAATGTCCAACAATGATAGACTGGATTAAGAAAATGTGGCACATATACACCATGGAATACTATGCAGCCATAAAAAATGATGAGTTCATGTCCTTTGTAGGGACATGGATGAAATTGGAAAACATCATTCTCAGTAAACTATCGCAAGAACAAAAAACCAAACACCGCATATTCTCACTCATAGGTGGGAATTGAACGAGATCACATGGACACAGGAAGGGGAATATCACACTCTGGGGACTGTTGTGGGGTGGGGGGAGCGGGGAGGGATAGCATTAGGAGATATACCTAATGCTAGATGACGAGTTAGTGGGTGCAGTGCACCAGCATGGCACATGTATACATATGTAACTAACCTGCACAATGTGCACATGTACCCTAAAACTTAAAGTATAATAATAATAATAAAAAAGAAAATTCAGAAAAAGAGTCAATGAAATAACTGAAGGTGTACGTTTGTTAATATTTGATTTGATTTAAACATTAGGTTATTATTTGAAGGATGGCAAACAAACCACTGTTAAACAGAAGTTATTAAATAAAATTTGAAGTGGCTTATGGCAAAATTCTATACTTCAGGGAGAATTTCAGGTGTGGATCTCATTTAAATTTTAACTATTTTAACTGAATTTGTTATACAGATTCAGATCCAAATAAAAGACCTAATTTCTTAATGAGACAATTTTCTCTTTAATATAACTGTTCTAAATTCCACTATTATTATAAAGACATAACTGTAAAGAATTAAAGTTTCAAAGACATCCAGTTCACTAAATATTGACAAAGAAAAACTATGCATTAACTAGAGTTATAGATAAAAAAAAATGAACCCAGTAAATTGCAAGTCTCTCAATTCTTCTATGGTAAAAGCAGAAGAAGGATTTGAGGAACAGCATCTTAAACATGGCAATGGTAATGCAGTATCTTCTTTACAAACAAGTTTTTAAAAATTACACTTTCCCCTAACACAGATTATTCCTAAACAGGATTGTTTATCAGTACTTATTCTGAGCACTACAGAAAGAAAGACACAAAGATGAAAAAGACAGCATTTGACGTAATTATCTAGTTGACAAGTTAAAAAAAAAGAAGAAATACACTATAAAATGAAACGTAATGGAATAGTTTAAAAGAATAGCAGGTGTACACAGAGCTAGGAGTTACTAATTTGGACTAGGAAGACAGGGAAGCTGCATAGGCACTGATACTTGAAATGAGTGTTGAAGGAAGAAGCTCCAAGCTCCCAAGTGGAGAAATAATAGAAAGGAATTCAATGTAGAGATAATATAATTCCAGGAAAGACTGAAATATAAAATACAAGACAAATTGAGAAAACAGAAAATGATGTGTGTTGCTGGATTCAGGATTACAAAAGTCGAGTACCAGAGGACAAAGCTGCAAATATAGGTTCAAGTCAGATAAGACAGAATCTTACATGCCATGCTAAGGGGATATATATTGAGAAGCTAAGGACGCACTTTATTTATAACCAGTTAACTTGTCCTTCTCTAATTACTTAAGTATATCAGAGACATGGGGAATTCAGTTAGGTTGATGCTCCTTTCCTAAAGTTTCTTACATTCTTCTTTCCCTCCTGGCACCACTCAAAGTCTATTAATCAGTAGGATGGGAGAGGTGCTATATCCTTGCTGTGCTTTTTAGGCATCAGAAAGTCAGAATACCACTCTGAATAGTGTATTGAACTTTTACCTCCGATAAAACATTAGAAAATCAGAATCCTTTTTTTGAAGAAACATAACAATTAAGTAATCAAAATTTAGTACTTTGGTATTAATAATATTAAAAGTTAATAGATAGAGAAAAAAAGATAATGCCTTCCTTCTAGAAAAGCAAAATGTTATAAAGCTAAAAATAGCTTTAGATTTAGATTTCAGAATTCAATTATTGAGTTTCAGAAGTGGAAAAGTTATGATATTTTATCAATATTACTCAAAGACCTTGGAAAAGCTGCAAACGTCTTTAATTTCTCTTGAAATTTCCTCTTTAGCTGCAATAATATAGAGCCCTGAATTTTCCCATTTTAACTATTGCCAGGTCTCCAATCAATTCTTCCGTGCTACTTTAAATTTTACCAAATCTTTTGGGGCTAGATCTGGCTAGAGTCTTGTAAAATGTCTTTATGTGCATTGCATTACTCTTTCACAGCTTTATATTAAGTTATTTTCCTTTAAGTCTGGGCAAGGAGACTGAATTCTTTGAATCATGGGGACAATTGTATAAATCTGGCATTGTATTAACAACAGTGCTGAGCTAGTCCCAATTCTGTAAGTAGCAACATCTCTTCAGCTCAATGGCACAGGGCCTAGGTCTTCAGCCCCAGAATCTTTTCCAGTATATTAATAACTCAGATATTCATACATCTACTTATTTTAATAAAACATATTGAATTAGAGGCAAAAACCCTAACAGCCTTTCAATAAAAGATCTCACAAAGTACCCTAATTGTGGCATGTAATTATTGATAATAAGATGTAGATTCTATTTCATAGGGTATCTGACCATATATACATCAGGAAACTAAAAAGTTTGTTCATTCTTTACAAAGACAGTGTGCAGTTACTTGATGGGCTTCGCTTAACTTGAATTAAATTGAATATTATATTTAACATTTTAAAGAGAAAATGAAAAATTCAAAGCAAATAAAACTAGTTTTTATACTATTGCAATTAGGTATTTACTGCAATGGATAACTCATGTCTCATGAGCTATTCCAAAACTAAAAATGTACAACTCTTTTGTTGTTTCCCTGAATATTAAAAATTTTCCAGTGTTGGAAAGATAATTGGGTTAATGTTTTTGAGAAAACTTTGAATATTATAACTATTCAATTACTCAATTTTGATGACTAATTATACTATTCTGCTGTAGTAGTAGCTATGCTTCAGGAAATTGTAGCTATTTCCCAGTGAGTGATGAAGTGAGATTTTAACAGCAATGAACTCTGTCTGGACATCACACAGAGATTTATAATGCTTCTAGATTCTTAAGTTTGCTTTTCTGCATCTCTGTTTTTGTTTTACAAAGTTCTTTTACCTCCTGTCACTGAAGGTTGATAATATCTACCACAGTCTCCATGGTGCAAGACAGTTCTCTCGGTGGCCTTGGACTGAACCAGTTCTTTCCATTTGTTTTGCTTGTAGTTCTAAAGAATAAGTGTAGAATATGCTGAGAAAATGACATCCAGCGACAGGGAGGGGCTGGTCAGGAAAGCCCAGGTTCTGTTCCTGTACACCCCTAGAAACAGGATGTCCTTCAGTGCTTTAGCCAAGAGAGTAGTGTGTCCTTTGTGTATAAAACTATGATAGGCTGATTTTCAGGTTACCTGAGCTGCAGTGCAAATGGAGCATTCACAGATGAGACTGTGGATAAAATACATGAGGAAAGGTGGAACTGTCACATTTATATTCAAAGAATAATATAATAAAATGACTCTGTGCTCTCTCTCCAAGCCTGCTAATAAAGACTATAAGAAAAGTTACAACCAAAAGTAACAACTCTTCTCTCACCTCCAGCATGTATGAAAGGAACAGAGGGCTTTACACTAATCTTCAGAGAGCCACATTTACGCATACCATGGACCTGATTATTGAGCAATTGATCACAACTTTATTGGATCCTTCTTTTAATTTCTAGCACAGCAGCAACTGCATAGACTTCTGTCAGGTTTTTCCGGTGAGCAAGCTTATACAAAAATATTGTGTTTCATGACCTGAAATAAGTATATTGGCACATTTATTAAGTATATAATTTCTCATGCCTTTAGAGAGAGTCTAGATTGAAACAAAAGGCCTCCAGATGAACAATGGAAAACATATATCTTGTAGGTGAATGCCAATGAATAAAATAAAAATTTCTACTAATTTCCCAAAGCAGGCACGAACAATGATTACGTCCTGTCTTTCAAAAGACCCATATTGAAATAGCAACATTACAAATGGATTTACTATTGGGTTTTGCTGCTGGTGCTTAAATTTGCAGAAGAACAAATTAGTGTTTTATAAAAATTGAACTTAAAGAAACCCCTCAGCATTTAGTGCTATAAATTTCCCTCTACACACTGCTTTAAATGTGTCCCAGAGATTCTGGTACGTTGCGTCTTTGTTCTCACTGGTTTCAAAGAATATTTTTATTTCTGCCTTAATTTCATTATTTATCCAGTGGTCATTCAGGAGCAGGTTGTTCAGTTTCCATGTAGTTGTATGGTTTTGAGTTTCTTAATCCTGAGTTCTAATTTGATGGCCCTGTGGTCTGAGAGACAGTTTGTTGTGATTTCTGTTCTTTCACATTTGCTGAGGAGTGTTTTACTTCAAATTACGTGGTCAATTTTAGAATAAGTGCAATGTGGTGCTGAGAAGAATGTATATTCTGTTGATTTGGGTTGGAGAGTTCTGTTGATGTCCCCACAAGACAAAGCAAGAAAGATCTAAAATTGACACCCTAACATCACAATTAAAAGAACTAGAGAAGCAAGAACAAACAAATTCAAAAGCTAGCAGAAGGCAAGAAATAACTAAGATCAGAGCAGAACTGAAGGAGAAAGAGGCACAAAAACCTTTCAAAAAAATCAATGAATCCAGGAGCTGCTATTTTGGAAAGATCAACAAAATTGATAGACCACTAGCAAGGCTACTAAAGAAGAAAAGAGAGAAGAATCAAATACATGCAATAAAAAATGATAAAGGAGATATCACCACCGATTCCCATAGAAATACAAACTACCATCTGAGAGTACTATGAACACCTCTACTCAAATAAACTAGAAAATCTAGAAGAAATGGATAAATTCCTCGACACATACAACCTCCCAATACTAAACCAGGAAGAAGTTGAATCTCTGGATAGACCAATAACAGGTTCTGAAATTGAGGCAATAATTAATAGCCTACCAACCAAAAAAAAGTCCAGGACAAGACGGATTCATAGCCAAATTCTACCAGAGGTACAAAGAGGAGCTGGTACCATTCCTTCTGAAACTATTCCATTCAATAGAAAAAGAGGGAATCCTCCATAACTAACTTTATGAGGCCAGCATCGTCCTGATACCAAAGCCTGGCACAGACACAACAAAAAAAAGAGAATTTTAGACCAATATCCCTGATGAACATCGATGCAAAAATCCTCAATAAAATACTGGCAAACTGAATCCAGCAGCAAATCAAAAAGCTTATCCACCACGATCAAGTTGGCTTCATCCCTGGGATGCGAGGCTGCTTCAATATATGCAAATTAATAAACATAATCCAACACTTAAACAGAATCAACGACAAAAACCACATGATTATCTCAATAGATATAGAAAAGGCCTTTGACAAAATTCAACAGCGCTTCATGCTAAAAACTCTCAATAAACTAGGTATTGATAGAAAATATATCAAAATAATAAGAGCTATTTATGACAAACTCACAGCCAATATCATACTGAATGGGCAAAAACTGGAAGCATTCCCTTTGAAAACCGGCACAAGACAAGGATGCCCTCTCTCACCACTCCTGTTCAACATAGTGTTGGACAATTAAGCAAGAGAAAGAAATAAAGGGTATTCAACTAGGAAAAGAGGAAGTCAAATTGTCCCTGTTTGCAGATGACATGATTGTATATTTAGAAAACCCCATCGTCTCAGCCCAAAATCTCCTTAAGCTGATAAGCAACTTCAGCAAAGTCTCAGGATACAAAATCAATGTGCAAAAATCATAAGCATTCCTATACACCAATAACAGACAGAGAGCCAAATCATGACGGAACTCCCATTCACAATTGCTACAAAGAGAATAAAATACCTAGGAATCCAACTTACAAGGGATGTGAAAGACCTCTTCAAGGAGAACTACAAAATTGCTCAACGAAATAAAAGAGGACACAAACAAATGGAAGAACATTCCATGCTCATGGATAGAAAGAATCAATATCGTGAATGTGGCCATATTGCCCAAGGTAATTTATAGATTCAGTGCCATCCCCATCAAGCTGCCAATGACTTTCTTCACAGAATTGGAAAAAAATACTCTAAATTTCACATGGAACCAAAAAGGAGCCCACATAGCCAAGACAATCCTAAGCCAAAAGAACAAAGCTGGAGGCATCATGCTACCTGACTTTAAGCTATACTACAAGGCTACAATAACCAAAACAGCATGGTACTGGTACCAAAACAGAGATATAGATCAATGGAACAGAACAGAGCCCTCAGAAATAACACCACACATCTACAACCATCTGATCTTTGACAAACCTGACAAAAACAAGAAATGGGGAAAGGATTCCCTATTTAATAAATAGTGCTGGGAAAACTGGCTAGCCATATGTAGAAAGCTGAAACTGGATCCCTTCCTTACACTTTACATAAAAATTAACTCAAGATGGATTAAAGACTGAAATTTAAGACCTAAAATCATAAAAACCCTAGAAGAAAACCTAGGTAATACCATTCAAAACATAGACATGGGCAAAGACTTCATGACTAAAAAACCAAAAGCAATGGCAACAAAAGCCAAAATAGACAAATGGGATCTAATTAAACTAAAGAGCTTCTGCACAGCAAAAGAAACTATCATCAGAGTGAACAAGCAACCTACAGGATGGGATAAAATTTTTGCAATCTACCCAACTGACAAAGGGCTAATATCCAGAATCTACAAAGAACTTAAACAAATTTACAAGAAAAAAACAAACAACCCCATCAAAAAGTAGGCAAAGGATGTGAACAGACACTTCTCAAAAGAAGACATTTATGCAGCCAACAGAAACATGGAAAAATGCTCATCATCACTGGTCTTCAGAGAAATGCATATCAAAACCACAATGAGATACCATCTCATGCCAGTTAGAATTGCAATCATTAAAAAGTCAGGAAACAACAGATGTTGGAGAGGATGTGGTGGAATAGGAACACTTTTACACTGTTGGTGTGAGTGTAAATTAGTTCAACCATTGTGGAAGACAGTGTGGCGATTCCTCAAGGATCTAGAATTAGAAATACCATTTGACCCAGCGATCCCATTACTGGGTATATACCCAAAGAATTATAAATCATGCTACTATAAAGACACATGCACACATATATTTATTGTGTCACTATTCACAACAGCAAAGACATGGAACCAACCCAAATGTCCATCAGTGATAGACTGGATTAAGAAAATGTGGCACATATACACCATGGAATACTATGCAGCCATAAAAAAAGGATGAATTCTTGTCCTTTGCAGAGACATGGATGAATCTGGAAACCACCATTCTCAGCAAACTGTCACAAGGACAGAAAACCAAACACCACATGTTCTCAGTCATAGGTGGGAACTGAACAATGAGAACACATGGACACAGGGTGGGGAATATCACACACCACGGCCTGTCATGGAGTGGAGGGCTAGGGGAGGGACAGCATTAGGAGAAATACCTAATGTAAATGACGAGTTAATGGGTGCAGCAAGCCAACATGGCACATGTACACCTACGTCACAAAGCTGTACGTTGTGCTCATGTACCCTAGAACTTAAAGTATAATTAAAGAAAAGAAAAGAAACCCCTCAGCGTTATGCATTTAACATGAATATCATGGAAAACAGAACAAGTAGGAGAGGGAAGAAGATAAGAAAAAATAAAGAATTATTGCTGCCCAGATGGTTTCTTCCAACCACAGATAGGCTTAAAGAAATATAGGACAGGAATTTTAATTCTTATCAGACTCAAAATACAATAGAGTAAGGTTTTAAAAGTATTAGGTTAGTGCAAAAGTAATTTCGGTTTTTTGCCATTACTTTTAATGAAAAAAAAAAACACAATTACTTTTGTATCAACCTAAACCATATAAAGCACATAAGAAAGTGCCAGTTATTTTTTGTGCTAAAATGTTTAATGATGTATTTTCAAGAAATAAATATACACACACAGATAAATTATAATGCTTTCACAATCTTTTGGAATAAGCTGTCGGATCAAAACAGACTTGTAAGTAGAAACAACAAGAAATGTAATTATCAGCATTAGCATATTGTCAGGTATAAGGCTAGTTGAACCAACTATTACCAGTGAGAGTTATAGTCAGTCTAGTTGAATTATCAGCAAAACCATATCTTACAGTATAATCATTGATTTAAAAGCAAAGTTCATTGGGGATCAAACCTACAGGTCCTGAACATGTATCCCAGAACTTAAAACTAAATTAAATTAAAACAACAACAACAACAACACAGAGGCAGAGTTACAAACAGGGCCTGAAAATATGAGATCGATTCCAGAAGTAACCTTCTGAAAAGGAAACTATTGCCTTGATAACACATGCAGAGCACAATGGAAGGTAACTGCTATAGTCTGAATGCTTGTGATCCCTTGTAATTTGTATATTGAAACCTAATCCTTAACGTACTGATGTTAAGAGGTGTGGCATCTGGGTAGTGATTAGGTCATGAGGATGGAGCCCACATAAATGGGATTAGTATGTTTATAAAAGAGGCCTGATGTAGCCTCTTTGCCCCTTCCACCATATGAGGACACGGGGATAAGATATCATCTGTGAACCAGAAGAGTGAGCCCTTACCAAACACAGAATCTGCTAGTGCCTTGATCTTGGACTTCCCACCATCTAGAACTGTAAGAATAAAGATCTGTTGTTTGTCAACCACCCAGTTTATGGTAATTTGTTATAGCAGCCCAAGGAAATTAATCCCAGCAGATTGTGGTAGACCAAAAGCCAGACACCAAGGAAAATCAGTAGAATAAGTAGCAGTTTTAGAACAAGACTACTTTTTGGTATAAATAAATAAATCTATACTAAACTATGGGATGCTAAGAAAATTCAGAGTTGGTTTGAAAATGTACATTCTGCCCTCAGAGATAAAATAACTTCTGGTACCCAAAAGAAAAGAGGCATTTGCAATATGAGGATGAAACAACAACTGGAAAAAATAAACATAACCAAACACATGATCAAAGAGGCCATCAACTATTGAGCTGTCTCTTAATGTTGAGAGACAGAGGATTAACAGTTTTATACTTTAATTACCCCTACATGTGCCCAACTCAATTGTTAAACACACACACACACACAAACTCACACAAAGTATTGTTTTAACTCAATTCATTTTTTATCAAGTTTGATATTAAGAGGAGGTTGATATTTTTAATTATACATGTCTAAATTATGCTTGTTAAATGATTAGATCATCTAGTATTTTGTTTAAAAAGAGCCTCTGAGAGTCAAAATAAATCATGAGTTCACACCTCCAAAAAAAGTTTCTTGTTGAGACACATTCAATGCACTAACTTTCTCTTATATCACCTTTAATTTTTCAACTCTTATCAGACTATTTTCCTCAGATCCCTAAATTTACCATCTGGGATCGAGAAACAGATATACTACAGTTAGCTGACCTCAATATCACCCTTTAGATATTATCCTGATAGACTATTTAGTTATAGGGGAGGAGAAGCAGGAAAAACAGATAAAACTCTCAATCCCAAGTCAGTTAGTTAGTAATTTTTTATGTTTCAAAAAGACATTTCAAAAGAATCAACAAATGGTAATATATTCCCTAAATAATGCCTCCTAATTGTGGACTTAAAATTGCAATAGAATCTTATACAATAAAATGTTGGAAACATAAAAAATGAAAAGGCAAGAAACACAGTGCACTGCTTTGGAGATGTTAATGCACTTTTTTAAATCTCTGATAATGATATCATCCAGAAGTATCAAGGATTATACATATAGCCAACTTTTTAAATGCTATGCCCTAGTGCAAAGGAAATGTGTTTTCCATACAAAACCACTACATCCGGATATGTTGAGCCATATTTCCAGATACCCTTTACCAGCACTCCACTTTCGCTTTGCATTAAAACAAAATTTACTTAGAGGCCTCACAAATAATAGCTCTCTAGTGTCCAATTATTGCTTGCAATTCAAGGAAATGTCTACTTATGGAAAGGCATCAGGCCAATCACAAAGTCAAGCAATAGCCTTTGTAACTCAGTCCTACATTTTGATCATTTTCCTATAAAAACTTTCAGCAGGATACTATACATGGGTTAAAAAGTCACACCATTTTGCGCCAAAATAGTAAGCCAGGACAGTATGTTATATAGGTAAAAATCAATGTCAATGCTTCTATATATACAGACATATCTATACACATATACATATATGTGTGTATATATATATGTGTGTGTGTGTGTTATATATATTTGTAAATATAACTAATTGATAATGAGTTATTAGGAGACGTCTAAAAACAAACCTTCTTGGCTTCTGGTTCCTGACAAATAGAGAACTAGCTTAAGTTGCTGCTTTTCCCCTTGAAACAAATTATAGAGAAATGCCAATAACTTAAAACTATGAAGGCAGCCTAGACTTTAGGGACTAATAGGAAAAACTGTGAATGACTACTTGAAAATAAAAGTCTAATTTTGAGCTTATGAGAGCTAAATGCATACATTAAGTAGATTGCCCAAAAATGAAGTGCCAAAGGAGAAATAAAGCAATATATAATCATAAAGAAATATACAATCATAAACATTTAATAAAACACATTAAATGGTAGCACAAGCAGGCATCAAATCATTAGGTATATAGAATACTTAAATAACGTAATTCACATATCTGACCTAGTTGACAGACAATGCAATACTGAAAAGTATGTGTTCCTTTCAAATGCATACAGGATGTACAAAATGATTGAATACATGCTGAGTCATAATGCAGATCTCAAAAAATATTATATTGAAGTTACACAGAAAATGTTTTCTAACCCCAAAGGAATTCTACTAGGAAACAACAACAACAAAAAAGGTAATCAAAAAATCCCCAGACATTTGGAAACTAAGCAAGGCAGTTTTTAAGGCAGAAGCATACTGATCTCAACTCTTCATCTACTTTTAACTGCATCCCCAAAATTTTGATATATTGCATTTTCGTTTTATTTAGTTCTCTCTCTCTCTCTATATATATATGTTTAATATATATTTTTATATATATTAAATATATATATATTATATATATTTTTTTCCCTCGAGGCTTCCTCTTGACCCATGTGTTAGTTAGAAGTACGTTACTTAAACTCCAAATATTGGTGATTGTTTAGGTATTTCCGTTCATCATTTCTAATTTAATTTGGTTATTAGCTGTGAACATACTTTGTATACTTTTCATTCCTTTAAATTTTAGGGTTTTTTATGATTCAGAATATGATGTATCTTGGCAAAAGTTCTCTGTGTTAAAGAATATTATATATATATTTTTTGTTGGGTATAGTGATCTATAAATGTTATTAGTTCAGTTCGTTGATAGTATTAAGTCTTCTACATGCTTAGCAATTTTCTGTACACTTTGTTCTATCCATCAATACTGAGATTAAAGTATCAAAGTCTTCAACTAGAATTGTGCATTTTTCCGTTTTTTTCAGTTCTTTTTTTTTTTTTTTTTTTTTGAGATGGAGCCTCGCTCTGTCGCCCAGGCTGGAGTGCAATGGTGCAATCTTGGCTCACTGCAATCTCCGCCTCCCGGGTTCAAACAATTGTCCTGCCTCGGCCTCCAGAATAACTGGAACTACAGGTGTGCACCACCACACCCAGCTAATTTTTGTATTTTTAGTAGAGACGAGGTTTCACCATGTTGGCCTGGCTGGTCTCAAACCCTGACCTCAGGTGATCCACCCGCCTTGGCCTCCCATAGTGCTGGGATTTCAGTTCTTTTTTATAAATGTATTTTGAAACTCTGTTTTTTGGTGCAAAATGCTTAAAATTGTCACATCTTGGAAAATTGACTGCTTTTTCATTACATAATTACCCTATCTATCTCTGATAATATTCTTTGTTCTTAAGTTTATCTGATATTAATATAGCTACTTAAGTTTTCTTTTAGTTAAGGTTTGTATAGTGACTTAGTCTGCCCAGACTGCCACAACAAAATATCATAGACTGGATGTCTAAAGCACAGAAATTTATTTTCTCATAGTTCTGGAGGCTAGAAATCTGATATGTTGGCAAGTTTGAGTTCTGATGAGAGCCCTCTTCCTGGCTTACAGATGACCATTTTCAAGCCGTGTGCTCGCATGGCCTTTCCGTGCGCATGTGCATGGAAAAGGAGAAAGAGATCTCTCTTCCTGTAAGTCCACCAATCCCACAGGATTAGGACCCTATCCTTATGGCCTCACTTGATCTTATTTACCTCTTAATAGCCCTATCTCCAAATACAGTCATATTGGGAATTAGGGTCTCAACATACATAATTTTGAGAGACACAATTCAGGTATAACACATACAATATCTTTTGCCTTCCTTTTCGCTTGCATCCTTTCCTTAACTTCATATTTGAAAAAGGTTTCTTGTAGATAGCACATAGTTTAATTTGTTTTAATTTTAATTCAATCTAACAATCTCCATCTTTTAATTGGTGAACTTAGGCCATTCACATTTAATATTACTGGTGGTTGGTCAAAATTTACCATTGTGACAGTTGTTTTCTATTTCTTCCATGTGTTCTTTTAAAAATATTGTTCTCTTCTCTTTTTTCTGTTTCTCTTTTAGATTAATTGGGCAATACTTATGAGACCCTTTTATTACCTATATTGACTTCATTATTTTTAAGAAAATTTCGTGGTTGACTTAAGGCTTACAATATACATATTTAATTAATCATAGTCTACATTTAAATAATATTTACACTGTTTCACACACAAAATATCCAAAGAAATGTTAAATCTTGGGAGGCTGAGGCACAAGAATCACTTGAACCCAGGAGGCAGAGGTTGCAGTGAGTTGAAATCGTGCCACTGCACTCCAGTCTTGCTGATAGAGTGAGACCCTGTCTCAAAAAAAAAAAAAAAAGAAATGTTAAATCTTTCTTATAGAGTATGCCTCACGCAGTAAAGCCCCTTAGTATCTGTCTGAAAAAATATATATACACCACACACATATTTTTTCCAGCACTTTATAAATGTCACTTCATTGCCTTCTAGCTTGCTTGTTTTCTGAAAAGAAGATCATGTATTTAAATAGTACATGGATCAATGTGCCAAAAACTGAATATTTAGTTGATGATGTATGAATACTGGCTCACTTTATGGAGAAAATAAAACTGGATTTCTATCTTATGCCATACAAAAAGGTACACTTCAAAAAAAGTTCTCATTGTGAAAGATAAGTATATGAGGTTAACAGAGGGAGGATCAAAGCAGACAGGATGGCGTCGAGCGGCAGGGAGCTAGGGAGTTTATTTGACCACCAGGTCCAGAGAGCAGTATGCAACACGTGGGCCAAATATCGGGAGGGACGACGGCCTCGTGCTGTCAAGATATATACAATCAATTTGGAATCTCAGTACTTATTAATACAAGGAGTTCCCGCTGTAGGAACCATGAAGGAAATAGTTGAGCGATTCGCTTTGCATGGTGCAACTGAACAGTACAATGTTCTAGATGAATACCCTGCAGAAGACTTTACTGAAGTCTATCTTATTAAATTTATAAACTTACAAAGTGCAAGGACAGCCAAGAGAAAAATGGATGAGCAGAGCTTCCTCGGTGGATTGCTTCATGTGTGCTATGCTCCAGCATTTGAAACAGTTGAAGAAACTAGAAAAAAACCAGAAGTGCGGAAGGCATATGTAGTAAGAACTACTGAAAATAAAGGTTTTAAGCCACGTGAATATATTCCCTTCTCAAGGAATAAATTTTTGGAGTAGAATTTGTTAACATTTTTAAGTGATTTTTTAAATTATATGATTCTGAATGATGAAAACAATACATAAGCCACTTCTGTTTTCCTTCCCCTCACCTTTTAAATTGTAATATAAAGACCATTACGTGACAAAGAAATTGGTTACAGAGCATAAAGACACAGAGAATTTTAGACAAGACTTCCACTCAGAGATGTCTGGGTTTTGTACAGCTGCTGTGAACCCTTCTGCAGGGAACTCAAATCCTTATCTTCCATATTCCTGTGAATTGCCTTTATGTTATTTCTTCTCAAAATGTATATGTTCATCCGGGGGGCATGTAGACAGAGCATCAGACTCTTCTAAGGATGATAGAAACCATGGTAAAACAATGGGGCATTATAACCACAATGATTCTTTGCAGAAAACACAAATAAACACTTTCAAAAACTCAGTGGCCTACCCTGGTGCAGAAAAGGCTATTACTCCTTCAGAGGCAGTTGACAGACAGATTTATGCCTAGGACAACAAAACTGCAGGAGCGCCAAAGAGGAAGAGAAGATGATTGTAAAGTTGGAACTTTTCTTGAAACAAACTCAAGTAGTAATGAGGTTATGACTGGACCTCTGTTACCAGATATATCTAAAGTGGATATGCACGATGACTCATTGAATACAACAGCAAATTTAATTTGGAATAAACTTAAACAGGTAATTTCATCTGCCAAAGCCTCCGGGGACAAGCCGGCAGAGGTACATACAAGTCATCCATTAAAACAAAGAAGAAGAATATAGAGTGCCAGCAGCAAATTAGTATTTTCTAAAAAAAAAAAAAATTTTATTTTTAGCCTGTCATTTCAATTATTCAAGAGATTTTACTGCTGGTATTTTTTAATGCACTCCTATTTGTAATTTTATTCAACCTACTTGTCTAAAGTCATTTCTTCTTTTTTTGATCCATACTTAATGGTGCAGAAACTATTCTTATAATTATAACATTACCTCTCATGTATGGTAATTATATGTAAATTAATTAAAGCAAGTATGGAAACTTTACAATATAAATCAAGATAGGCAACCAGGAAAAAACGTAATAAAATAATAATAATAAAGTTAACAGAGGTTAATAAATGTTAACAAAGATAAATTGCTCATAGATTCTATAGCATCTAATACAGGCTTTCTGTCAACAAAAGGACACAATGAACAAAGTTAAGAAACCAGTTTATTATTTCCAGAAATTATTTGCAATATCTAAAACCACAAATATCTAATATCAGAATATACAAATAATTCTTGCTAATCCATAATAAAATGATAGTAAATCAAAATAGGAAAAAATGAGCAAAAGTTGTGAACCATTATTTCACAGAAGTGAAGACTCAAAAGAAGGTTATTACGAAAAAGACGTATTAATTTGCAATTATTACAGTGGCAACAATGAGAAAGTTATATAATGCAAGTGCTGCCTGGGAAGTAGGGATATGAAAAATTGTAGACATCGCTGGTGGGAGTTTAAATTGGCCTAGGTATTCTGAAGAGTAATGTGAAAGTATTAAATTAAAGTTATTTAAACATAGATATATGTTATGACTAGATATAGTCATATTCTGGATGTGTATTCTAGAGCAATTCTTGCACCAGTATGAGAGAAAACACACAAATGTTCATTACAGTGCTGTCTTTAGTAGCAGTGATGTGGATGCAACCCAGGTGTTCATCGTTGGAAGGAAGGGACAAAAGGTAGTGTACGAACACTATATAAACTACATAGCAGTTAGTGAAAAACAGGCCAACTCTAAATACAGGACATGAATAGACCTTTAAAACATGGTGCTGAGTGGAAAAAAAAAGTTTAAAACATAACAGCATTTGTGTAAATTAAAGTTATATGCACATACAAGGAAAGCATGTGCAAATAAATTATAGATATCCAATGTGTCAGAATTAGTACTTCTGTTGGGAGAAAAATATAAGTGGAGAGAGGTTACACAATAAGAAATGCAGGAAAGAAAAAAGGATGGTTTGAAGAAAGGCTGAACAAGAGAGGTGCCCTGCATAAACACTTAATAACAGTGTTCTAGAAATTTGGGATTATGATTAATCCAACATTTTATCTCGAGAAAAAAATAGATGAAGTGATAGATAAATATTTAAATAGGTATGCAAATGAATGAGAGATAGATTAATAAATATATTGGTAAGTAGGTAGGTGGATAGATAGATGAAAAGAGCGGGAAGAGAGAAGAGGGAGATATGGTAGGTAGATGGATATATGAGAGATAGATGATGGATAGAGAGAAAGACAGAAGATAGGTAGATAGATCAGACATAAAGACAAGTAGATAAAAAGCACACAACATACTCCTTGTAACCTAATGCCCAAGTAAAAGGCAGAATGGGAAAGCTTGACGAGCTGTAGCATTTCTTACAATGTAAAGGAAAATTTATTTTAAATATATATTTATTTAGAAAACTATTGGCAAATTTCTCCTGCAAAGACCCAGGAATATGTGTGTCCAATAAGAAGGCAAATTTTGTCTTTTATAAATTTCCTATATTTGACCCTATATTCAACAGAGTAACTCTAGAGCAATTGGCAATAGCTTTTATCTATAAATTGCTAGCATAAACTCCTGAGATGAATGCCAGTGTATTTAAGAATGGCCTGGCAATGTATATTTTTTTTTTTAGAGAACTTACCATTACCTTTATTTTACCATTCTTTGTCATATTCAGGGAGTACAGATAATTAGAGAATGAGTGTTAGAGTTCCAAATCATATAAAAAATAAGTGTCTTATCAGTCATTATGTTTGGAAGAAAATCAGCTAGTTTTTATTCTGTAATAAAATACAACAATTCTGAGTTCTTGCATCTTAGGATACACTTTACTTTTTTCTTATTTTTTTATTTTTTTTTATTGTTTAAACCATCCAGTCTATGATTTTTTTATTATTATTATACTTTAAGTTTTAGGGTACATGTGCACAATGTGCAGGTTAGTTACATATGTATACATGTGCCATGCTGGTGTGCTGCACCCATTAACTCATCATTTAGCATTAGGTATATCTCCTAATGCTATCCCTCCCCCCTCCCCCCACCCGACAACAGGCCCCAGTGTGTGATGTTCCCCTTCCTGTGTCCATGTGTTCTCATTGTTCAATTCCCAACTATGAGTGAGAACATGTGGTGTTTGGTTTTTTGTCCTTGTGATAGTTTACTGAGAATGATGATTTCCAATTTCATCCATGTCCCTACAAAGGACATGAACTCATCATTTTTTGTGGCTGCATAGTATTCCATGGTGTATATGTGCCACATTTTCTTAATCCAGTCTATCATTGTTGGACATTTGGGTTGGTTCCAAGTCTTTGCTATTGTGAATAGTGCTGCAATAAACATACATGTGCATGTGTCTTTATAGCAGCATGATTTATAGTCCTTTGGGTATATACCCAGTAATGGGATGGCTGGGTCAAATGGTATTTCTAGTTCTAGATGCCTGAGGAATCGCCACACTGACTTCCACAATGGTTGAACTAGTTTACAGTCCCACCAACAGTGTCAAAGTGTTCCTATTTCTCCACATCCTCTCCAGCACCTGTTGTTTCCTGACTTTTTAATGATTGCCATTCTAACTGGGGTGAGATGGTATCTCATTGTTGTTTTGATTTGCATTTCTCTGATGGCCAGTGATGATGAGCATTTTTTCATTGTGTCTTTTGGCTGCATACATGTCTTCTTTTGAGAAGTGTCTGTTCATATCCTTTGCCCACTTGTTGATGGGGATGTTTGTTTTTTTCTTGTAAATTTGTTGGAGTTCATTGTAGATTCTGTATATTAGCCCTTTGTCAGATGAGTAGGTTGCGAAAATTTTCTCCCATTTTGTAGGTTGCCTGTTCACTCTGATAGTAGTTTCTTTTGCTGTGCAGAAGCTCTTTAGTTTAATTAGATCCAATTTGTCAATTTTGGCTTTTGCGGCCATTGCTTTTAGTGTTTTAGACATGAAGTCCCTGCCCATGCCTATGTCCTGAATGGTAATGCCTAGGTTTTCTTCTAGGGTTTTTATGGTTTTAGGTCTAACGTTTAAGTCTTTAACCCGTCTTGAATTAATTTTTGTGTAAGGTGTAAGGAAAGGATCCAGTTTCAGCTTTCTACATATGGCTAGCCAGTTTTCCCAGCACCATTTATTAAATAGGGAATCCTTTCCCCATTGCTTGTTTTAATGTACATTTTTAAACATAGAAAAATAATAATCTAATATCTTGAATCTATGTATGTTATCACATATGATACCTTATATATCCCACTGAACTAGAAAGGCTATATTTTTTCATTATGAATACACTGTGTGTAACCAATTGATTTATTGATATGAAGATAGATTATTGTGATATTTATAAGAAATTGTTTTAATTATTATTCTTTACCTTTGTCATATTGTACATATGTATAATTATCAAATATAAGCACTATTGTCTTTATTACTCTTTACCTTTGTCATGTTGTACACATATATAATTATCAAATATTAGCACTATGAGTACATTATAAATTTTTATCATGTGTATACATAATATTATTTATAGGGATGAAGTGGAAAATCCAGATTCACAAATCAAATTCCTTTTATTCTTAATTCAAAAGTCCCAAGTTGACCAAAAGTGTTCTTGGAATAGTCTGGTGAGATTGTTTTAACAGTGACTGTTCCAATTAATGCTATTTGTATGTTCTTTCGATGTATTTTGTTCCTATCTCCTCTGTGGTGGAAAAAAAAAACAAAACAGAATGATCCAATTTGAGCTGCATGCCTGTTTTTCTAAATGAGATTATTCAGTGGTTTAGTTAATCTTGAGTTGCCACAGGGCCACAAATAGAATGAGGTAATATATTCTATCCTCACTAGCTCAGCCTCTTCTATTTTAATTTTTTAAAAGAAAAAAGATTTATGTTGTGGGAGAGGCAGAGGGTTTTAGACGATAACCATGAAGTATTAGGATCACAGGGGAGACAGTCTGTCTGTATGTGTGAATGTGAAATCCTATCTGTGCAGGTCACTGCCAGCATTGAAGGAGAGAGGGGCACGGCGCTTGTCCAGGAACTTCACTTTTTACTCCATCCAAGTGGGGAAAAAAGGAGTAGCCATTATGACCAATGCTACACATGAAATCTTTGGTATTTTATGGATCTTTCTCCTGTGTGGAGGCACTTTTCTGGACCAGCTGACAGGCTTTCAATAGTCATGTCAATTCCCTTCTAATCTCTTTCAAACTGTTAAGACACAACCAGCATCCTGCCTCCTATCATCCTCCCACCCCCTTCCCATACCTTTATTCTTGATGAAAGCTACTCTAAGGCTGTCCCTAGTCAAGGGACAGTGCTTTCAGGGAAAACACATTGGACTGCATACGCATTTGATCAAAAACATTTGAAATGTGCACAAAAGCAGCCAAGTCAGAAAAAGAAAAGGACAGCTGCATAAAGATGTCATAGCTATAAAAGAGCTGGTTGTAAAAGCTCTGGCTAACCGAATGTCTAAGCTAAACAAAGCACAATTAAGGCCATCCTGTCCGTTTTTCCCATTCTATTCTATCTGTGCATATTAAACTCACTAATTAGTGCTGCATTGTTTTTCCAAATTCTAATTTCATTTCCATTTTCTTATGGTCCTGCTTTCATGTTTGCTAACACAGGCAAAAATATATCTTTGTATATTCTACTCTCCAATATATTTTACCCACTCTTCTTCTAAAGGTGCGCATTTTTACTAGGAATAAATATAGGAAAAATTGAATGTCTTGATGATTGACATTTTTATAAACTCAAAATTAAATGTAAGCCTATGATGCTAAGGCAGCATTGTTCAACATTTTCCAGGATTATAACAAGCAAACCAAACAAAACAATAAAAGCTTAGCTAATTTGTCCATGAAATACCCTAAGGTTTTGTTATGTTTCCTATGAGTATGTTCTGATCACTGATACACTCAGGAGAAAGTGGCATTGGGTTATGTAGCCTGTCAGCTCCAAGGCAACTGAAAAAACAAAAGTCTGAGTAGAATATCAGCAATCAAATAAGATAAAATTTAACAAGGCAAATAGCAGTGTACAAAGTAAGATGTGATACAATAAGATAATACAAACATTCATCAACAAGGAAAATCCCTGCACCTCCTGTTACGCCAAACGAAAGCACAACAGCAGCTACGTGGAATTACCTTGAGATTCAGTCTCAAAGGTAATTGACAAATTACCTGAGTCTCAAAGGTGAGTCTCATAGGTAAGTCTCAAATTGACAAATCCAGTCAATTTGTCCTCTAAATTGAAAGTAATGTTGGACCCTTTACCCTCTAGGCAAAAACCAATTCTGAATGACTGTGGCCTTAAGCCTCTATGAGACTAAAGAGAGATGATTGATAAAACAATGGGTTTGGAAAGGTCTGCAGAGGAATTCCTCTAAAAGGGAAATTCATATGCTAGTATCATCCCCAATCTTGAAGTTTGAGAAACTAGAGGGCATAGAGGTTCCCTGACGTTTGGAGATAAAGCATAACTGTAAAAATACTGAGAATAAAATAATAATATATCTATTTGTCAATCTATCAGCTATCACTAAAATGACTGCTAATTGAGATATTTTATTTAAAAAATACTAAATTAATGGAAAAATAGCTCAAGAACATAAAATAACTGACTTTTATTTTATGTTGTGGTGTTATTCCTATCATTAGCTCATATTATTTAAGAGCTAAAAGAGACACGTTCATGTGAACAGACAAGTTACTATTCTTGTACCATTTTTATTCATGAATATTTTATGGTGTGTTCAGTAAGTCAACATGCAAAATATACATCTGTAATTATTTTTCTGTAGTTTTCATTATTCTTTTAAATATATATTAACCGACACTCTAACCAAGTGCATTGTGAAAATATGTTAATATAAATGTTTACATAATTCTTTTGTGTACTTGGTAATGTTGATTCTCCTTTTTTATTCAATTTTTTATAGATACTTTTATTTGCTTTCAGAGTATACATTAATATAAATGAGCTCTTCTACATTTTATTTCATTATTAAGCATAAAATAGCTTGATGACTGGTTAATTAACATAAATATAAAAATATTTTGTTTCTAACAGTTTGATTAGAAAATGAATCTTTTTTTTATAATTGAGGAGAAACAGTGTCAATATTTTAGTAATATTTAATGAAGTCTACAATTAAAAATTCAGAAGGACTTGGATTATATAAATTGTTCCAGGAATTAGGTATTTGGATTAACCACTTGTAACTTAAAATATTTTTATTAAAATATTTAAAATCACAGTTGCATTTTCTTCTACTTGAGAAAGCATACTCCAGTAATTGCAGCTGGCTGGTTTTTCAAATTGTAGCTGTTTTTTTAATTCCCTTTGGAGTCGTGGTCTTAAAGTACTTCAGGATTATCAATTGTCACATTTTACAATCTTGCTTAAGAATATGAGGCTGAGTGCATACTCACCCCTGAACAACATACCAAAAAATCTCTTTGGTACTCTTTCATTTTTCCAAAGTTGTTTCTCTTTCATAAAGAGGAAAGTGTCTGTGTATGTATTAACATATGCATAGCCATCCTTATCCATATTAACAGACAAAGATTGTTTCTATTCTTGTTCATTGGTTTTTAGATAACAAAGGATTTATTTTTAGACATATTTTAATTGCATGTTATATCTCCTAATATCTTTTACATCTTCTAATACTCATACTAATAATCTGATCATTCCTAATTATGCACTAGAGGTCTAATTCTTAGCACTCACTATAATAGACTTTATAGACACCAGTTGCTTTCATTCCAGAACCATAAAATGTTCCCAGTGAATTAATATTGATCAAATTAATGCAACAAAACATCTCATTATTCATTGTATATTCTAAATACTGCATGGTTAAAAATTTCTGTCCAGTCTTCATTGATGGTTACTTCTCTGATGAATACAGGCCTGATTAACTAATCACCCTATTTGAATTTTTTCATTCTTTTGTAATCTATATTTTGAAGTATTTGTGGCTTAAACTGTTGAGTTTACTACCCAATTTTAATGATCTGACTTGCTTTCAATCAAATTGAAAAAAATTGTGAACACATGTATCTACATTTTCTATAAGGTCCATTATGTTATTCATAATTGTTATTTTTAATGACTTCTTATGCATTTCTTTAACAAGAAAAATAACACTCTTGTATTCACTACTCAAGTGATAATCAAAATCTTTAACAGCTTGCTAAATAGCACTAAGGGATGAAAGTCAGAACTACATTGCAAAACCTCTGAATCCTAGGCAAATACTTGGCAGACCTGTTGCTCCTACCCAATGGGCACCTTTCATAGCTATCAACAAGCATTTGCCACAGTCTCCACTGAGCACATACTCTGCCTACCAATCTGTCTCCACGGTTTGCTGCAGAAAGCCACAATCAACTGAAAGCAGCTGGCAAGTAAGATAAAACTCGATGGCCATCCAAGATAGCACATTACAATTTCTGTGATGTGACCCCTTCCTGGCTTTACAAAAGTATCTCTTTTAACATATTTCCATATTTGTTTCACTATACCAATTGTCTCATGGTTTTCTATCAGCCCACCTCATTTTTAATACTCCATTGTAAAAATGAAATATTACTTACAAAGCCTTTAAAGGTAAAGTGGGGCATTTCTTACATTTCTTTATTAATAAGTCAGCCATTTGTTTATCTCACCAACTACACAATGAGACTTGAAAATACGGATAATATTCTATTCACTTGTCAATCATAGGCCAAGAAATCAATAACAGGAGTGCCGGAGGCACATATTAGAGAATTATTCAATATATTAAAAAGTTAATGACTCAGTGACATCTAATTCTCTTAAATTTATATAGGGGCACCAGATTTATAATTTCCTATTAATTAAATTATGATAACTTGAACTGTGCTTGGCTAATTAATTGCATATTAATACATTATAATATAACTATTATAAAATAATATGTATACATAAATACTTTAATCATTTGTTACTAATAAAGTTATATTTTTATTACAAAAGTAATAAATGAAAGCTGTACCAGTTCAAACTAGCAAAAGGTAATGTAAAAGTCAACATTCTCCACTCCTATCTTACTCTGCCTAAAGTAACCATCATTAACATTTTCGTATGTATGATTCTATGCATATATAATATCTTCTTATTCGCCTTACTGTTTTAAAATACAGTATATATTTTTACTATATTGTAGTTCTATTTCCAGACAGCAAATACATGCAGAGAATTTTCCTTCTTTTTAATGGCTACCCTATGAAGAAGTATCACAATGACCTCAATCAATACTCAACTGAATATTTTGGTAAGTTATTTTAAGTTATCTTATTTTGTTTTGTTATTATTACAAACAAAGCTTCAATGATACATTCAAATATTTATTTTATTTCTACTAAATAGATCCTTAGAAGTGAATTTGATCCACCAAAGTTGAATGCATACTGATATTTTGATAATTACTGACAGATCATGGCAATTTATACTCACACTAAAACTTCATGGCTTTAGTTCTGAAACCCTGACATTTCCTGAATGCATCAATATTTTTTGTGTGCAGAGGGTATGTTTAAGTTACTAAGCATTTATCTTATAATGGTTTTAGGTTTACAGGATTATTACAAAGATAGTGCAGAGATTTACCAAATACCCCACACACAGTTTTTTCTAATATTAACTTCTTACATTAGTATTGTACATTTTTTACAATTAATGAACCAATATGAATACATTCTTATTACCTAAAGTCCTCTTTGTAACATTTCCTTAGTTTGTTTTTTCTTTTCTAATTTGCTCTTTCTAGTCTGCAATACTACAAGGCATTTAGTCATCCTATTCATTAGGCTTCTCTTGGCTATAAGAATTGTTCAGACTTTCCTTGTTATGAGTCCACATTGATATAAATAAATGATTGAATAAACAATAAATAGAGATGAATAGTCAAATCTCCTATACAGAAAAACTCCAAATACTTTATGTAGATAAGCTGACCTCAGTTAGGGGGAGTATAACTCCTTACCCCTCCAGCATGGGTTGTACGTAGACACCTTCTTTCAAAAAGTATTATGAAAAGGGAGAAAGCAAAAGAGTAACTTTACAATGGATAAATTTGACAGATGCTACCCCAAACTATATGATCAGTTAATTATGTAAACAGTGATACATTATATTGATACTGTACTCTTCATATGATATGATGAAGATGGCACTTTACCTCTGTAGACTCCCTTTCCCAAAAACCCATCATAATCATGAGAAAAATATCAGAAAATTACAATTGAGGATCATTGTATAAAATGCCTGACCTATAATTCTCAAACTGTGAAGTTTTTAAATGTTTATGAATCTGATTAATTTTAAAAAAACAAATAGTGATGTTTCACTAATTCTATTTCGTAAAGTGCATAAGATCTGAAAATTGAATTACTAATTCCCACAGTATATTGTGCATCTTAGGACTTAAAAACAGTTCAATGCATGAATGAATCAGCTGTTCCTTAGTCCTTGTTAAAGACACTAATCTAATAATTTCAATTTGTTATGTTTCTTTTTTCATGTCCTACTTAAGCATTTCTAGACTCTTGAAGAAACACAGTGCATGGGGAGGTAGGAGATGCTCTGCATTGTAATATTGTAAATTTGATTCCCTTTGAATAGTGGCTGTCATGTTTGGAACACTTTTTTTGTAAACTTCATAATTTTTATATCTATTTGGATATTTACGGACTGTTCTAACTACCAGAATGCAAAATACTTTGCTTAAAATCATGCACACACATTACAAAATCCCATAAACAACGTTTTGTTTTTCAGTTTTAAGCATAAAAGACACAAACAATATCACATATGGGGGAGCAAATGGAAAGAGCATTTGCCAATGCCTGGGGTGTTTGGCAATATTAATGCTTGGTGCAATCTTTTGAAGAATTCCAAAGCGTGTGGCAAACTGTTCCCATGCACGTGTTATAGCCAGGGACACAGCTGTACTGTAATGATGGGTCACCTGGAGTATATGTAACACTGAACTAAAATCTGTAAAGACTGGATTCTCCTCCTTACTCTTCTGATTTGCTAAGCAGCTTGCATTCTTCCTTTATATCTTCACTCAAATATCCCCTTATTAAAAAGAGTGTTATAAGATTAGTAAAATGTATTCTGCAAAGTACTTGGAGATCCCAGGAAACAAGCTTTGCGTAAATACTATGTGTATTGTGACCAAAATCACCAATAATTTCCCTGATAATTTTCACAAATTCTCTTTGGCATAACCCTCATACCACACTTCCTACTAGCATAAACATAAAATAACATTTTTTTCTTGAAAAAATACAAGTATTCAGGATTTGGCACTATCATTTAGTGTTTGTTATTTGTGTTTTTGCATGTGTATGTGTTTCCCCTGAAAACTTTTTGACTATTTTTTTAACCTTTCCGAATGCCATGGGAAATATATAACAGCGAAAACAATACAACTTTTCTAGGTCAATGAAAACCTGTCATATACAATAATGTAAAAATGAAAAACTTATTTCAAACAAATGCAATAATGTGTTGCCAAATTGACCTTCTCTTCAGGAAGAATATTATAAAAATTGTACCAGTAGTTAGATACACATGATATGGGTCATATCTGTCTCAGATATGGAGAAATTTGGCCAAAAGGAAAAATGTTAGGAAAGCATATCCAGCTATATATTAAATAAAGTTGGTTTAGAAAATCGTGCATTAATGGAGAAGTCAGCTATTAATATTATTAAAAAACCAGAGGCATATTAGCACATTAGTAAGAATGAGATAGATTGGCAATAAATTGTGCAATAAATTTCTTTATTGCAGATATCTATGGCTAGCATGACTATTTCATTTGCCGTATACTAAATGACATTTCACTAATCCTTGGCTTTTTTTATATATGAACACTACTAACTTACTAACCTTTCATAGACTGATATGAACACTGATATTTTATACCTCAGTACAGTCTCATGTTATCACAAGTTAATGTCTAGTAATATAATGAAAAAATTTATCTAAAGTCATGAGCAAACTCCTCTTACAATTACTATTTGTTTGTATGAATGCAATACAGCCCTGTAAAGAAAATCGATCAGCCAACATCAACAATCAAGGACTCACAGAAAATATATAACAATCTTTTTAAATGTTATGAATTCAAGCTTGAACTCTGTACTAATTTTTATATGTTCATGAGAACATATCAGGCTTTTTCATAAAACATATCCTAAAGAACTCTGATTGTCACTTTGGCAGTTTCCAAGAGTTGCAGTTGTCTAACTTTCACTAGAACTTAATTGAAAACCTACTCGTTGATCAAGCATTATATGAAACATACACACACACACACACACACACACAACAAATATAAAATGTTTAAACATGCTGCAGAGAGGAATTTTAAGGGAAAAAAAGATGTTTCAAACATTTTCAAGAATTAAGTTAAAAATTACCTGCTTTAACTTGATGAAAACTTCATTAATGGTTTTATAGTTGCAATAAAAACATATCCTACATAGCTGCTTCTCTTTTTTTCTTTTTCAGTTTGAGGAAAGGCCAAAGAAAACCTAGAAGCAGGGAACTAATTATAAGACTTTATTTTTTCTTTTTCTTCAGTTTTTGGATATAATTTAGAAAGAGAGATACTAGAAAATGAAAGCCACAGGCTTCTCAGAAACTTAAGAGTGTTCATCAGTTAAATTTAGTGTAAAGTAAGTGGCAGACATTGTTTTAGGGAGACCAGAAATGTAGAATATATCCAGTTCTTGGACTAGCTGACAATATAAAGGTATTGATGTGAAGTCTAGAAGACTTTATGCCAATTCACCATGAAATTGGAGAAGCTTCTGCAAGTCTTCTTCACACCTTTCCCACAGTACATTTTCAATTTGGAATGATATGGGATATATAAAACATTAATTAATCTATTACTCTTAAGTCCATATGTCTCCCATTGAGTAGTTTAAAAACACCCAGATTGTCTTGAAATTGTCCCCATGGCATATGCAATTTATGGCAGTAAGGCATGGATTTCAGTATCTTTTTTTAGTAGGTTTTCTTTTCAGAGCAGTTTAAATTTCCAGATAAAATGCATAGAAAACACAAAGAGCTGCTCAATAATTGCCTCCACCCCTCCAAACACAGTTTCCCTCATTATCATTAATGTATTGCATGAATGTAGCACATCTGTTACAACTGATAAACCAACCTTGATATATTAATATTATTAACTAAAGTTCATAGTTTACATTGGGCTTCACTCTTTTTGTTGTATGGTTGCATGGGTTTTGACAAATGCATAATTCCATGTATCCACCATTAGAATATCATATCAAATAGTTTTGATTACCCCAAAATGCCCTATACTCCACCTATTCACCCCTTCTCCACCTCTTCCTGAATCCTTAGCAATCCTTAATCTTTTCACTGTCTCTCTGGTTTCCCTTTTTTAGAAAACCATGTTTTCTAGAAAATTGGTTGTGATCATACAGTGGGGAGCCTCTTCACATTGGCTTCTTCCACTTTGCAGTATGCATTTAAGCTTCCTCTATGTCCTTTTGTGGTTCAGTAGTTCATTTTGTTTTATCCCTGAATAAAATTCCACTTTGTAAATGTACCATAATTTGTTTATTCATTCACTTACAGAAAGACATCTTAGCTGCTTCCAAATAAGTGGCAATCAACAGTCAACATCCATGTGCAGGTTTTGTGTAGACCTAAGTTTTCAACTCCTTTGGGTAAATGTCAAGGAGCACAATTGCTGGATTATATGGTAAAAGTGTGTTTAGTTTCATAAGAAACTGACAAACCGTTTCCCAGAGTGATTGTACCATTTTGCATTCCCACCAGCAATTCATGAAAATCCCTGGTGCTTTACATGTTCCTCAGCATTTGGTATTTTCAGTATTTTAGATTTTAGCTATTCTAGTAGGTGCGTAGGCATATCTCATATTGTTTTAATTTGCAATTCTCGAACGAGAGAAGATGGTAAATATTTGCCATCTGTTTATCTCCTTTCTTAAGGTGTCTAGATCATTTGCCCATTTTTAAATTGGGTTTTTCATTTTATTGTTGAGTTTTAAGAGTTCTCTGTATATTTCAGATACAACTCTTAATTAGATATGCTTTTTTCCCAATATCTTCTCCCAGTCTTTGACTTGGGTTTTCATTCCCTTGGCAGCATCTTTTTTGCAGGACAGAACTTTTAAATTTTAGTGTAGTTATCTTATCATTTTCTACTATATTATCTTCTACAAATTATATGGTTTTACATTTTAGATGTAGGTATGTCATCTTTTGAGTTAATTTATTTGAAAGTGGTAATGCTGTATCTAGATTCATTTTTTTTGCATCTAAATGTCCAGTTGTTTCAGCAGCAGTTGTTTAAAAACACTGTCCTTTCTCCATTGATTGTTTTTACATTATTATCAAATTTTTCTTGATTATATTTTCATGAGTATATTTCTGAGATCTTTATTCATTTCCACTGATATATTTGTCTGTTGTTTTACCAATGCCACACTGTCTTGATTTCTACAGCTTTATGGTAAATCTTGAAGTCAGGCAATATTAACCCTCTGACTCTTTTCTGCTACAATTATGTGTTAGCTGTCTTGAGTCTTTTGCCTTTCTATATAAACTTTAAAATGATTATTAAATGACTATTCTTATGATACTATAATGGGATAGAATAGTCTTTTCTCTCCTTAATATCTATTTTCTCTGGGTCATGTCTCTTCTATTTGTTTATCTTGATCATTTTCTTTTAAGTTCTTCCTTTCTTCAAATGGTGGTTTTTCTAGGTTGTCGATTTGTACTTGATAATAAAGCAATGAAAATACTTTGCTGCATCTATATGGGTGTGGCTTATTTGCTAGTGAGCATCTATACTTCTGTGTGTATGTATGTGTAGGAGCTGAATTTTAATTTTTTCAATGCCCCAAATAAGAGAACACTGAACATTTATTTTTGGACCTCAACTTTCACACTAGGTCCCATCAAAGTGTTCATTAAATTTTTCAGAAGCGTCTCTGTCTGTATTTGTTTTCATTAAGTTTAGCTTCACTTGGTTTTGCCTGAGGGGTAGCTGTAAGCAGATGTGGTTGTCACTTATTCTTCATATAGATTTTCCAGTGACCTAATGCCTGTCTCATGCATCATTTCTACTTTTCTTCACACCTGATAGCTCTAATATTTGAAGGGTCTCTGTGTTCTTCAGAAGCAGCTACCTCCCTCCATGACCATATGCATTGTGACTGGGCCATTCGCAGCTGCAGATTCCTCAGTCCTGCTCCACCACTAACAACTCATCCATCCATGTTCTTTTCTTCAGATATACCCTAAATCTCTCTACTATTTTTGTCATTTGTGAATTTTGCCATTCTAGATATTTTCATATATCCTAAATTAATGTTCCCAAAGCCTAAAATTTTTAACCACCGACTCTATCCATGGTTAGACTGTGTCTGAGAGGTGATTAAATGAAGCGGAATATCATTGTACAATATATATGTCATAATTGCAGCTTACATAATACAGATAGAATGGTCCTGGTTTTACCAAGGGAAATGCTCTCTTACTGTTACTGTATTTTCTGGGATCCGATGGTTTGGTATAGGAGACTGCCCCTTCCTGCTATCACTCTATAGGGACTATAAAAAAATTAGCAAATATGTATGAGGGTATGCTACTCTGCTTCATTTCTCAATGGACTACATGGTTAAGCCATGTGGTTTTTCTTTTTTTTTTTTTTTTTTTTTCCAGATGGAGTCTCGCTTCGTTGCCCAGGCTGGAGTGCAGTGGCGCGATCTCGGCTCACTGCAAGCTCCGCCTACCGGGTTCAAGCCATTCTCCTGCCTCAGCCTTCTGAGTACCTGGGACTACAGGTGCCCGCCACCACGCCCGGCTAATTTTTTGTATTTTTTAGTAGAGACAGGGTTTCACCGTGTTAGCTAGGATGGTCTCAGTCTCCTGACCTCGTGATCCGCCCGCCTCAGCCTCCCAAAGTGCTGGGATGTGGTTTTTCTTAATGGTATTCTTACATTTTGTGTTGACATCTCTGGTTATTATGACCCACTGAATAAAATTTAGCCTATTTTGCTCAAATATCTTTCCCTTGTCTAAGATTTCAACATAATATTTTGTTGCACCAACATCAACTGCTTTTAAATGCTACTGTTTACCATTAGTTATGTAATATTTTACACTAACTCATTAACCAGAGCTAGTTTCTAGTTTCTATTATGCTTGTAGTAAACAAACATAGCATTGAAGTATTGTGCTTTGGGAGGAAATTTTATCTTCACTACTTGCAAGGATCCCTTTTTCTTCATTAACAACCTCAGGTTCAAATAACCTATGTTCCAGAGAATATTTTTCACCCACTCTTTGGTCAGTAAACAAGAAATTAGGGTTATGTAATTTTTGGACACTGTGGGTACAGCCTCCAGAGATACTTCAGGTTCTCAGTCACGTTAGCTCCTTTTTTTAAGAGGGTCTGGGTATGTATGTTTCATCCCACATGTCTAACATCCCTAGTAATATGTCAGTGCCTGGTGAGGTGAGATTTCCAGGAAAGCTTTTCAGATACTTAATCTCAATCAACAAATACTAGAATTTTAGAACTAAAGAGATGTTTAAGTCATCCCTTTGGTTTTTGTTAGGATATAGTGAGATTTTTAAAATTAGTCTGCACATTCTCCTTGCATTTAATTCATTACTTTCACAAGGATGTATTGAGCTTCTGCCATATAGGCACTTTTTTAAGTTCTAATGATCCAATGGGAAAATCAAAGTCCCTGCTCTCTGAAGCTGATAGTCTTGTGATGCAGAAAGCAAATTGAAAACAATAAAAAATAATAAAATGTCTAGTTGTGTTATATGTTGTTTAAAAGTAAAATAAGGTAATGTATAGAGAATGATGGGAAAAATTGTTAAAATGGTTGGTTAGTAAAGGAGATGTTTAAGAAAAATTTTAGATGGAATGAAAAGTGAACAGTATGTAGATCTTTGGATCAAGAATGCCAGGCAAAGAGCAGGAAGAGCAAAATTCTGAAGTGAGAACAAACTTAGTATTTGTGAGATGAGCATAAAGGTAATGGTAGCTTCAGCTGAGTGAGAATAAAAGTCATGAGATGATTGTGATAAGATACACATAAGAACATCATAGGCCTGATTGGATCTTACTCTGAATGAGCTATTCCACTAATTAGAAGTTTATGCTCCAAGGGAATGACATATCTAGCTTATGGTTTGTTTTTTTCTTTTTTAAATCAACTTTTAAGTTCCAAAGTACAAGTGCGGGATGTACAGATTTTCTACATAGGTAAACGTGTGCCATGGTAGCTTGCTGCACAGATCAACCCACACCTAGGTATGAAGCTCAGAACCCATTAGCTATGTTTTCTGATGATCTCCTTCCCTCCACCCCCACTTCCACTCTTGTCCTACATCTACAATTTTTTCTCAAGGGAGTCAAATGGATTTTTATGTGCTTAGGCACATGGATTTTTATCCATTTGACTGCCTTGAGCAAAATTGTACATGTAGGGCAAGAGTGGAAGTAGCAAAATCTTTAAAAGTTTTTCTTAGAACTAGAAGAGAAATTATGGTGACTTGGACTAGGGTGCTACAGCTTTGAAGATGATAAAAGTGGCCATATATGGAACATATCTTGGAGGCAGCAATGATAGAAGTTATTTACATGGTTATAATAGAAGGTTATATTATATGGTTATATTATATTATATTATATGGTTATAATAGAAGGAGAGGAAGCAAGGATGGTTTCTTTTGGCCAAGGCAGCAGGTGGTGCCAACATTTGCTAAAATGCAAAAGATTAGAGGTGTAATAGATTTATCAGAGGAGTATAAAGAGTTCCAGTTTGGATGTGTTGGTTTTTTATTAGCCATCTAAATGGACATTTAGAGTAGAAAATGGGCTATGTGAGTGAATCTGTAGTTCAAAGGAGTGGTCAGGGCTAGATGATACATTTGAAAGTCATCAACATATAGATATGATATAAAGACTTACCTCCATTAAAATCATGTGTGTAAACAGAGAATTATAAAAGGCCAATATTTTTTCTGTCTTATTTTTAATATGACTGACTAGAGACATTGAACACCAGTTCTCCTCAGAAAGAAGAACCAAAGTTACAGGTGAATAATCATAACTCGAACAGAATATTAAAGGGAGAGTGCTGGAGCCTATGGAAGAACTCAAGAGAAGAAGCTAGGGCACAGAAAAATAAGGAAGCAAGAATCTGGCAGAGATGGAACCCCAAAGAATTTGGTGTTCCAATGAAAGGGCAGGTGGGTTTGTTTGGTTTTTTGGCTTTGTTTTTTGTTTTTGCTGCCTTCACTCCTGCAGCATACTACTGCTTTCTAAACTATCAGAGAGTTCCTCTACCCTTGCAAGCTCAATCACTAGTGTGGGCAGCAAATTGGGAGCTTCTTGAGGGCATTGCACCAGGCTACCAGCTTGCCCAGGTTCACTCACCACTGGCCCAGAACCCAGCTACAATGATAGGGCACCATACTGAATGCGTACCCATTGTAGGATTCTTACCATGAGATGATTGTGGTAAGAGACACATGAGAACATCATAGGCCTGATTGGATCTATCAGTCCTTGTGTCTCCACATCACGGGATCCCCCACAAACATACCCCAGCACCCACTAGGATTGCAGCAGCCACACAGAGCTTGTTGGACCAAGGGGAGCTGTGGATTCCCGGTAGTCTAGCCCACAGGGCATGCTGCTCCCAGGGAAAGGGAGAGCTGGGAGCTCAGGGCACCTGCCTAGGGGTGTGCCAAAGGAAACCAGAGGAAACCAGAGTATGTGCTTTCTTGTGCCCAAGAGCTCCCACTTGTGGGCAGAGAGTGACTGTGGCTCTTCCAGCAGAGATGTAGGTGCTGTGTTCAACTCAATGAGGGAAGAGTGTGGTTCTGCTCCAGTGGCCAGGCAGCCACAGTGCTCCGGCACAGGCCTGAAGAGTTGGATTTCTCCTCCCCACTAGTCCACTGCTGTAGATGTAGCCATGGATGCCCTGCAAGAGGCTGGCATGGATGCACAAGAGGATGGCCATTCTGAAGGGCACTGCATCCCTACTGGTGGTGTGCCCACTGGGCCTGGGCAGCCTTCCTGCAATAAAGATCGGGAAAGCCACAAAACTTGGTGTCTTGGGCTGAGAGAAAAGATTACACACTGAAGCCATTTCAGCAGAGAGTTGAGGGACAGGCAGCTTCTATGGCACTCAGCTACATTGCAGCCTGGATATAGATAGCGCGTCTGTCTGAACTGAGAATCCCAAGCCCCAGGACAGGATATGAAAGTAGATTACATTCCTACATGCACAGCTGTGGAGTTGGGGTAACCCCTTTACCCCCTGCAGGCTTCAGTGCATTTTACTAGGAGCTCCCGCCACTGCCCACATCAGGACTGGTGCTTATGCTTGCCACTGGGTATGTGAGGACAAGCTTGACAGTCTCCCCATCTGGAGCTGAGCTGGGAGCTCAGGGTACCAGGCATTCCACAGACTAGCCCATCACCTGAGACAATAGAGAGCTCCTCCTGGTAAACAAAGATCAAGCATATACCCTTCTGCTTCTGCTCAGCCAGCTCTTACCCATAAGTGCCACCTATTGGCCTGAAGGTTGACCTGCACAACCCAACACAAAACTTGCTGACAGAGCTGCACTGGAGAATGAGAGAAGCTTCCTGAGACCTCAACAATCCCAACCCGGAAGAAGACAGTGAGACTGACCATACACCCATATATCACTACTATATCCACCATTTTAGAAAGCCACTACTCAAAAGCCACCTATTACCAAGGAACTTATACAGAGTATTTGCCATTGAAAGCACCCAGAACCAAAGCCGAGTGACCATGCACAACATACATTAGAGTCACATCTAAAAAAAAAAAAAATCCCATCCAGCAAAAGTAAAGTAAAAAAATAAAAAATAAAAAGAGATAGCTTATCCAGATGAGAAGGAAGCAGAGAAACAATTCTGGTGATAAGAAAAAGCAAAGTGTTACAACACTCCCAAAAGACCATGCTAACTCTCCAGCAATGGATCCTAATAAAATGAAATATTTGAAATACCAGATAAATAGTTCAAAATATTGAACTGATTCAAAAGACTGATTTTAAAGCAGCTCAGTGAGACCCAAGAGAAAGTTGAAAACCAACAAAAAGAAATCAGAAGAAATTCAGATTATGAATAAAAAATTCACTAAACAGACACACACACACATATATATATATATATATATTTGAGACGAAGTCTTGCTCTTGTTGCCCAGCTGGAGTGCACTGGTGCTATCGCAGCTCACTGGAACCTCCGCCTCCTAGGTTCAGGCGATTCTCCTGCCTCAGCCTCCCAAATAGCTGGGATTACAGGTGCCTGCCATCACACCTGGCTAATTTTTGTATTTTTTTTTTTTTTTTTTTTTTTTTTTTAGTAGAGACGGGGTTTCACCATGTTAGCCAGGCTGGTCTTGAACTCCTGACCTCAGGTGATCCGCCTGCCTCAGCCTCCCAAAGTGCTGGGATTACAGGCATGAGCTACTGCTCCCGGCCTAAATGGATACATATTTAAAGGAAAAATTTCTGGAAATGAAAAATATGTTGAAGAAATTACAAAATGTAGCTAAAAGCTTTAACAAACACTAAGCCAAGTAGAAGAAAGAATTCCAGAGCTTGGAGACAGGTCTTTTGAATTAACCCAGTCAGACAAAAGTAAAGAAAAAGGAATTTTTAAAAATGAACAAAATCTTCCAGAAATATGGGATTATGTAAAATGTCCAAACCTATGAGTTATAGGTATTCCTGAGAGAGAAGATAGAAAGTAAAATGTTTGCAAAATCTCTTTGAGGGAATAATTAAGGAAAAGTTCTCTGATTTTGCTAGAAATTCAGATATACAAGTACAACAAGCATAGAGAAATCCAAGAAGATACATTGCTAGATGGACTTTGGCAAGGTAATACAGTCATTAGACTATCTAAAGTCAAGGTGAAGAAAAAAAATCCTAAAAGGAGCAAGAGAAAATCACTTAATCACTTATATAAAATCCAATTAGACTAAAAGCAGAATTATCAGCAGAAACCCCCAAGCTAGATGAAGGTCCTATTTTTCAGTATTCTTAAAGCAAATAAATAAATAAATAAATATCAGCCAAAGATTTTTGTATCTTGCTAAACTAAATTTCATAAATAAAAGAGAAATAAAGTCTTTACCAGACAAGCAAATGCTAAGGGAATACATGAATTCATCACTAGACCACACCTACAAGAAATATTCAAAGGACTTCTAAACATAGAGTTGAATGATCAATATTCACCCTCATAAACACATACAGAAGTATGTAACTCACATGTCATGTAAAACAATGACACAATTGAGACTCAGAAGCAAGTAGATAACAATTAACATTATGACAGGAACACAACCTCACAAATTTATAGTAACCTTGATGGTAAATGAACTGAATGCTCTACTGAAAAGATATAGATTAGTAGAATGGATTTAAAAAACAGAGTTCTTTCATATGATGCTTACAAGAAATGCACCTAAGTGATAAAAACACTTACAGACTCAAGATAAAAGGATGGAGAAAGACATTTCACACAAATGGAAACCAAAATAAAGCAGGAGTAGCTATATATATATATATATATATCAGATAAAACATATTTTAAAACAACAGTAGTAAAAAGAAAGACAAAGAAGGTAATTATATAATGATAAAGGATTCAATTCAACACGAAGATTTAATTATCCTAAGTCTAAATATGCAACCAACACTAGGCATACAGATTTATAAAACAAATACTATACTACTAGACCTAAGAAAAGAAAAATACAACAATAGCGAAGGACTTCAACAACCCACTGACAGCACTAGGCCAATAATCAAGGCAGAAAATCAATAAAGAAACTTTGAACTTAAACTGGGCTCTAGACCAAACAGACCTAATAGACATTTACAGAATATACACAGAATATACATTTTTCTCATCTGCACTTGGAACATTCTCCAAAATTGACCATATGCGTGGCCACAAAGCAAGTCTCAACAAATTAAAATATTTATATTTTATATATATATATATATATATAAATATATATATATATATATATAATATCTTCTTAGACCACAGTGGAATAAAATTAGAAATCAATACCAAAAGGAACCCTCAATAATATGCAAATACATGGAAATTAAACAACTTGCTGCTGAATGATCGTTGCATAAGTGACAAAATTAAGGCAGAAATTAAAAAAAATAGAAATGAATGACAATAGAGAGAAAACATAGCCAAACCTCTGGGACACAGAAAAAGTAGTGCTAAGAGGAAAGTTTATAGCATTAAATGCTTAAATCAAAACCATAGAGAAATCTCCAATTAAAAATCTAACATCTCACCTCAAGGAACTAGAAAAGTAAGAACAAACCAAACCCGAGACTAGGAGAAGAAAAGAAATTAAAAAGATCAGAGCAGAACTAAATGAGATTGATAATTTAAAAATGGAACAAATTATCAACAAAACAAAAAGCTCGTTCTATGGAAAGATTTAAAAAGTGATAGATCACTAGCTAAACTAACCAAGAAGAAAAGAGAGAAGAGTCAAACACAATCAGAAATAATAAAGGTAACAAAGCAACTGATACCACACAAATACAATAGATCATATGAGACTATTATGAGCAGCTCTATATGCACAAATCAGAAAACCTAGAGTAAATGGACATATCCCTGGAAACATACAACCTCCAAAGATTGAATCAGGAACACATAGAAATCCTGAACAAACCAATACTGAGTAATGAGATTGAATCAGTAATAAAACATCTTAAAACAACAATGACAACAAAAAACGCTGGACCAAATGGATTCATGGTTGAATTCTACCAGTCATACAAAAAAGAACTGGTACCAATCCTACTGAAATTTTCAAAAAGTCAAGAAGGCTGGACACAGTGGCTCACATCTGTAATCCCAGCACTTTGGGAGGCCGAGGTAGGAGGATCACTTGAGCCAAGAGTTTGAGACAAGCCCAGACAACATAGGGAGACCCTGTTTCTACAAAAATTGTTTTCAAAAATTATCCGGGCATGGTGGCCTGTGCCTACAGTCCAAATTACTCAGGAGGCTGAGGTGGGAGGATCAGGTGAGCCAGTGAGGCTAAGGCTGCAGTGATCTGTGATCATGGCACTGCACTCCAGCCTAGACAACAGAGCAAGACACTGTCTCAAAAAATTAAATAAATAAATAAAGTTGGGAAGAAAGAAATCCTACCTAACTCATTCTATAAAGCCAGTATCACCATAATACCAAAGCCAAGTAAGGACACAGGAGAAAAAAACATATCCCTAATGAACGTAGGTACAGAAAATACTAGAAAACCAAATCCAACAGTACATCAAAAATATAATACACCGCAATCAAGTGGGTTTCATTCCAGGGATGAAGGGATGGTTCAACATGTGGAAATTAATAAATGTGATTCAACACATAAACATAACTAAAAGCAAAATCATATGATCGTCTCAATAAATGCAGGAAAGCATCTGAAAATATTCAGCATCACTTCATGACAAAAACCCACAACAAATTAGGCATAGCAGGACATACCTCAAAATAATAAAAGCCATATATGACAAACCCACAGCCAACATCATACTGAATGTGAGAAAGTTGAAAGCATTCTCCCTAAGAATTGAAACAAGATGAGGCTTCCCACTTTCACAATTCCTATTCAACAGAAGTCATAGCTAGAGCAATCAGGCAAGATAAAGAAATAAAAGACATCCAAATTGAAAAAGAGAAAGTTGAATGATTTATAATCCTTTGGGTATATACCCAGTAATAAGATTGCTGGGTCAAATGAAATCATTCTACTGTAAAGACACATGCACACATATGTTTATTGCAGCACTGTTCACAATAGCAAAGAGTTGGAACCAACCAAAATGCCCATCAATGATAGACTGGATAAAGAAAATGTGGCACATAAACACCATGGAATACTGTGAAGCCATAAAAAGGATGAGTTCATGCCCTTTGCAGGGACATGGATGAAGCTGGAAACCATCATTCTCAGAAAACTAACACAAGGGCAGAAAACCAAACACCACATGTTCTCACTTATAAGTGTGAGTTGAATAATGAGAACATATGGACAGGGAGGGGGGAACATCACACACCGGAGCCTGTCAGGGGTTGGGAGGCTAGGGGAGGGATAGCATTAGGAAAAATACCTAATGTAGATGACGGGTTGATGGGTGCAGCAAATCACCATGGCACATGTACACCTATGTAACAAACCTGTATGTTCTGCACATGTACTCCAGAACTTAAAATCTAATAATAAAAATAAATAAATAAATAAATGCAAAGAAAAAGAGAAAGTCAAGTTATCGTTGCTTGCTAATGACATAATGTTATACCTAGAAAACTCTAAAGACTCCTCCAAAAGAATTCTAGATTTGACAAATGACTTCAGTAAAGTTTCAGGATACAAAATTAACATACAAAAATCAGTTGCATTTCTATACACCAATAATTATCAAGCTGAGAACCAAGTCTAGAGCTCAATACTATTTACAATTTCTACAAAAAAGTAAAATACCTAGGAATACATTTAACCTAGCCAAGGAGGTGAAAGATCTCTGCAAGATGAACTAAAAATCACTAATGAAATAAATCATAAAACACACAAACAAATGGAAAAACATTTCATGTTTATGGGTTGGATGAATCAATATTGATAAAATGATCATATTGTCCAAAGCCCTCTACAGATTCAGTGCAATTTTTTGTCAAATTACAAATGTCATTTTTCACAGAATTGGAATAAACAATCCTCAGATTCCTATAGAATCAAAAAATAGTCTGAATAGCCAAAGCAACCCTAAGCAAAAAGAACAAAGCTGGAGGTATCACATTGTCTGGCTGCAAATTATACTACAAGCCTATAGTAACCAAAACAGCATGGTACTGGTATAAAAATAGACACAAAAATCAATGGAACATAATAGAGAACCCAGAAATAAAGCTGCATACCTACAGTCAACTGATCTTTCACAAGGTAGACACAAATATACACTGGGGCAAGGACATTCTATTCAATAAATAGTGCTGGGAAAGTTGGATAGCCATATATAGAAGAATGAAACTGGACCCATATCTCTCACCATATATAAAAATTAACTAAGATGAAAATCACACGTACATGCACACACACACGCACACACACCATTGACTATTACTCAACTATACAAAAGAATAAAATCATGTGGGCTTTTTTTGCAGTAACATGGATGAAATTGGAGTCTATTAAGAGAAATAACTTAGAAACAAATGTCAAATACCGCATATTCTCGCTTATAAATGGTAGCTAAAAAATGTGTACACATGGACATACAGAGTGGAATAACAGACGTTGAAGACTCCAAAAGGTGGGAAGTTGAAAGTGGGGCAAGGGATGAAAAATTACCCATTGGGTACAATGTACATTACTCAGCTGATATTCATATAACAAAACTGCACTTGTACTCCCTAAATTCATTTTTTAAACCTCACAATATCTACAAAGGCCAATAACGAGAAGTGCAATAAAATGAAAAAATAAAAAATAAGGCCAGCTCAAAAGCTTGAAGCATTCTAACATTTAGAAATGAAAAAGAGAAAGTACCAGCAAACATCAAAAAGGTGTAACCAAGAAACTTATTTACTAAAGCTTACTTTCAAGACAACTCAGTATCTTAAAAATTGTCTATATTTTACTTATCAAATAAACTCTGATGATACAGGTCATGGATCTCTATTTCCCACAAATCGAGTATAATTACATGTCTTTTAAGACTTCCCTATTGATATCAATGAATAATACAAAGATTTGTAAGAATTTGCAAAAATCATCACAGGTGTAATCACCAGCTAGGTGTCAAGCATTTTTTTAAAAAAAAGATTTATTCAAGTACAACACACATACATAAAATAAGCAAAAGTATACTAATTTTTTTTTTTTTGAGATGGAGTTTTGCTCTTGTTGCCCAGGCTGGAGTGCAATGGCGCGATATTGGCTCACTGCAACCTCCACCTCCCGGGTTCAAGCGATTCTCCTGCCTCAGTCTCCAGAGTAGCTGGGATTACAGGCACCTGCCACCACACCTGGTTAATGTTTTGTATTTTCAGTAGAGATGGGGTTTCCCCATGCTGGCCGGGCTGGTCTCAAACTCTCAATCACCTCAGGTGATCCCCCTGCCTCGGCCTCCCAAAGTGCTGAGATTACAGGCGTGAGCCACCACGCCCAGTCAAGTATACTAATCTTAAGTGTATATCTCAGTATTTGTTTGTAGATATGGAAGTGACATATCTACATGTCAAGTGACACCAACTCTTACACGAAATTGTGTGATTTTCTGACTCCAACTGCATGTCCAACAGTTCAATTCAATTCTGAAACCAATTCCAAGAGTTTTCATAGACTGCACAGATTAATGATTTAGTCCTGCAAAACTCCCCCTACTTCAGTCATCTGTCCAAATTCCAGGGCAGGACAGGTCAGTGGTTATGGCCTGAAGTTCAGAAATACGGTACCTATATTTCTGAACAACTGGCTGTTAATTAGGAGTTCCACAACCCTCTCCTCAGGCTTGACAATTCACTAGAAGTACTCACAGAACTCTGGAAAACACTTTACCTGCATTTACTTGTTTATTATAAAGGATACAGCTTAGGAATAGGCATATGGAAAATACGCATAGGGCAAGGTATGGGGGAATGAGACTGTAGACCACGCGTGCAACGTTGAGGCATGGCACCCTTGATGTGTTCACTGATGTGAAAACTCCCTGAATCCTATATTTATGGTTTTTATGGAAGTCTCATTATGTAGGTATGATTGATTAAGTCATCACCCATTGGTGATTAAACTCAATTTTTGGTCCTTTTCCCCTCTCTGGAGGTTGGGAGATAGCCCTAAAAATTCCAATTCTCTAAACATGTATTGGTCTTTTTGATGACCAGCCCATATCCTGAAGCTATCATGGGCCCCAGCCATCTGTCATCTAATCAATCAGGATAAAAGACATTCTTATCAATCAGGACATCTCAAGAGTTTTAGATTTGTGTCAGAAACAGGTGAAATAGACCAAATATTTCTTTCTTATTGCACCAGAACTTATATATACCTTGAAGCAAAAGTCAGATCATAATATAGAATATTTTGGAAATTTGCTTCCTGGATGTCTTGATAATTCTTTGAAGTCCACTTCATTCTTAGCTCCAACCTCAACAATCCTAGTGGTCCTGAGAAAGCCAGACTGAGATTCTAGTGACATCTCAGAAACTAGACTGTGAGAGGTTTGATCTATGGGACATTCTGTAATACATATTGAATCCTAAAAAGGTGTTCAGTTGTCTGCAGTTGGCAGGCTAGGGAGAGTGATGGGAAAGATTTCTAAATAGAGTCTACCAGTTGTTGGAAAATAATCTATTCTACATAAATACAACAGCAATGCAAAAGAACATCTTTCTACCAAAGACAACAAGTTATCTCTTTTTAAAATTTTTTTCACAAGACATTTTAATGTTTTTCTGAAGTGCTCTAGAATATTTTCTAAATATGCCAAGATTTCCAGATATATCAGATTTCCTAAGCACTTTATTAGTCACTAGAAAAATATGGAAATCCAATAATGCACTGAGGCATTCTTTCTCTCTAACAGGTCAAATCTAGAGGTCAAAAGACTATTTTCTACTTAGGTTTATCTGGTAATAGTCCCTCCACAGTTTCTAATGTGACTTTTAACATTAAGGGTTATTAAGCCAGAAAAACTCTCAGTTTCCACTTCAGTACATGAGAAGCTGGAAGGAGCCACTCTGTCCTAACTCATAAGAAGCTGAACAAACTGAAAAAATCAACAACTCTTCTTAGATCCATCAGAGAGGTGAATTCAACAGGGCAAATTATTGCCCCAAATGCAAAGGTGAATACAGAGACTCTCAGCTTGCCAAAGCAGAAACTTTCAGGAGAACCAGTGCTGGGTTAGGAAAATCTGAACTGTAATTGATGAATTGCTAGAGACTCAGCATAAACAAGTCTGACATAAAATCTCCAGGGAGACCTAGCTATCAGTGCCCCCACACGTTTATGAGTTTTACCTCCAGCAGCTTAACCAGATCCTTATAGTAAATATGGGGGAAAAAAATTCCTCATGCTTCCAGCAGAGGGAGGGGAAAAGGAACCATTTTTAAATACACCGGAGCACGCTTTTCTACTTAACAAGATCTGCACTCAGGAAAAACTATTTAATGAGAGCATAACTTAATGGAGTTTTATCAGAAATTAAACTACCTGGAGGAAAGGAAATACACAAATTCAGTCCCCCTAGTCTTCCATGTGGAAGAAGGAAAATATTCAACTACAAACCACTCTAAATGTACCAATTAAAAAACAGAGATGGTCAGAGTGGATTAAAAAAATAAACAAAATCAACTATATGTTGCCTAAAGAAATCCACTTTAAATGTTTTTTAAAAATATAGATTAAAAGTAAGTGTATGGAGAAAGAAATATGCTAACACTAATCAAAAACAAGCAGGCATAGCTGTATAAATTTCAGACAGCTCAGACTTCAGACCAAGAAAAGTTATCCGGGATAAAGAAGGGCATTACATAATGGTAATTGCGTCAATTTTCCAAAACACATAACTGTTTTTAATGTGTACGTGCCCAACAACCGAGTGTCAAACTATGTAAGGTAAAAACTGATCTAACTGCAAGGAGAAATAGATGAAGCCACTACAGGACTACCTGTTGTAGGCCTATATAGGGAACCTCCATTATAATCTTAAGGAACCAGTATTTATGTGGTCTGTCATTGACTGAACATCATTATGTGGCACATGAATTCACTGTCAACTGATTTTTGACATAGAAGTAAAAACAATACAATGGAGAAAAAAATTGTCTTTTCAACAAATGGTGCTGGAAAAATTGGACATGCACATGGAAAAAAATTATACCTAGACATAGACCTTACATGCTTCATCAAAGTTAACTCAAAATGGATCACAGACCTAAATGTAAAACAGAAAATTATAAAACTTTTAGAAGGTAACATGGAAGAAAACATAAATGTCCTTAGGTATAGTGGTGACATTTTAGATACAATACCAAAGGCACAATCCAGGAAATATATGTGATAAACTTGACTTCATCATAATTACAAACTACTGTTCTGTGAAAGACAGTATCAAGAGAATAAAAAAAAAGCCACAGATTGGGAGAAAATATTTGCAAAAGACACATAAAAATATGCCTCACATCATATGACATCCATCAGGGAAATGTAAATCAAACAGCAATGAAATAGCCCTATGCACGCATTAAAATGGCCAAAATCCAGAACCCTGACAGTGCCAAGTGTGGGAATGAATGTTCAGTAACAGGAACTCTCATTCTTATTTGAAATACAAAATGGTACAACCATTTTTGAAGACATTTTGGCAGTTTCTCCCAGAACTAAACACACTCTTACATTATGATCCAGTCATCATGCTCCCAGACATTTACTCGAAGGACTAGAAAACATAGGTCCACATTAAAACTTCACACAGATGTTTATAGCAGCTTTATTCATAATTGCCAAAACCTAGAAGTAACCAAGATGTCCTTTAGTAGATGAATGGATAAATAAATGGTGGTATATCCAGAAAATGGAATATTACTTAGTGCTAAAAAGAAATATGCTATCAAGCCATGAAAATACACATGGAAACTTAAAGGCATATTACTGTGTGAAAGGAGTCAATCTGAAATGGCTACATACTATATTACTTCAACTATATGACATTCTGGAAAATATAAAAATACGGAGACAGTAAAAACAATTAGTGTTTTCCAGTGGTTAGGAAGAGGAAAGAATAAACAAGAGGAGCACAGATAAGTTTTTGGACAACTAAACTATCTGTATAATACTTTAATGGTTGAGATATGCCATTATAAATTTGTCCAAACCCATAAAATGTATAATACAATACCAAGAGTGAACCTTAATGTAAATTATGGACTTTGTGTGACGCTGTGTCGAGGTTAGGTCACCAGTTGTATCAAATGTACCACTTTGTTGAGAGATGTTGATAATGGAGGAAGCTCTGGATGAGTGAGGGCAGAGGGTATATGGGAAATCTCTGTAACGTCCACTCAATTTTGTTGTGAAGCCAATACTTCTCTAGAAAAATAAAGCCAATTTAAAAAAAATCACATAAAAAACAAATATTAGTCCACTTGAGGATCATAGAATTTGGAACAAAATATCTTCCTCAATTTTAATCCCTTTTATTCTCTATTATTATAATATTTATTCTTCAGTTTCTCCCCTGCTTCATTCTCCATCCTACATGAGTTTGTCCTGCTCTGTGACTTGAAATGGGGCAAGAAATATTAACTTATTTAGACAGTATCTCCCCAGTTTCACTTAACCTCTGCCTTCCAGTTGGCATCAGCCAATAAAGATTTTGGCAGCACGTAAGAGAAGAGGTAGTAGGAGGTCAGGAGGGTCTCCTTAAATAGTTTGAGCTTTTATTGGCTTTTATAACCCTCTTTCCTTGTATTGTCACTTTAGTCCTTGTTGTAATAATGTTTTCCTATTGTTATTTCCTTGGTGTCTCAACATTCTATATTGGTTCGTATAACCATGCCTACCCCTCTTTAATTAAGGCTAGCTGTGCCTTCTGTATTCTGTCAAGACTTTGACTAATACAATTCTTTAGCATATGTTTGATTTTATTCATTTTTCTAATATACTAATATAACCGGAAATGTTAATGAATCTGGAGACCAAGATAAAAAGTCATTGATTAAGCATTTATTAATATGTTCCCTTATTTCATTGGCTTACAGTGTTCCCTATAGAATTGTTCCCAAATGCTCATTGGTCCTGAAACTCTATCTGCTTCTCATTCTCAAAATCCACATTATACTAATCAGTAGAGAACACTTTCCTCCCTCCTGTGGCTTCTTCTGTAATGTATCTTTCCTTAGTGTGCTGTACCTACTTATTATGGCTCTGTTGAACAGGGGAAGTCTGTGGCCGACTTCCTAGGCGTCCTGGTTTCCACCCCATGGGAAGCATAAACATAGAGAACGTTGCTTTCAATTAGTGAAAGCACCCTGGGCAGAATCCCCTGGATCCTGCACATGCTCACAACAGCAACTATTATTTTTCTTATCCTGACAATTGCCTTTGACAAGTTGGTTTTTGTGTATTTGATTAACTGCTTTATTTTTTCGTCCCTCTCACAGATTCTACACACTTGCATAATATTTGAGTTCTTGGTATGTAAACAATGAGCCCCAGGTTGACTTCTTATCCAATAAATACAACACACCTTGTGTAGGTGCATTTGATTAGCATGTTGAAAGAAATATACCCATCAATTAGAAATATTTCTCATAGACTTTCAAAAATTGTAGAAATCTAACTTTATCTTAAAATTCCAGATTATTTAATGCACATCTAAGAACATTTCTTCATAGACAATAGTCCCTGGATAAATTCAGCTAGAAAATGTTGTGGGTCGCATTATTATAGACTCAAAAAGTAAAGTATCATCCAAACTCTGAGTCAAGCATGCATTTTTGGCTTTAGCTCATATCCACTTATCCCACTACTTCAAGGGCTCTAGTGTGTTTAACACGTCCATCTCTACAGTTTTTTTCCTCCCTGTGAGAATTAATTTATTCCTTCTACCATACTTGCTTATCTTGGACTGACTCCTAGACCTGGACATCATTCCAATGACAGTTTGGTGATATGATGCAGGGTATCTAGCTTGTTTCTCCAGTGTTTGTTGATTTAAGCATGCCAGACAATATCCTAATGTTCAAAACCCTGAAAGGTAGCCTTCACAAATATTGCACATCCATTATGCACTATAAATTCTGGAAGGATATACAGGTATAGTTCCTTTCCAGGAAAGAAACAGAAAAGCAATCTTAACATGAGTGGATCACAAACACACACAGAGCCAGAGAAAGATCTAAACTTTTCCTTCCTGTACATATTGAGTTGCCTTTTATACATAAATAAAACCTTTCAGCCGGGCACAGTGTCTCACGCCTGTAATCCCAACACTTTAGAAAGCTAAGACAGGTGGATTGCTTGAGCCCAAGTATAAAAGACCAGCCTGGGCAATACAATGAAATCCTGTCTCTACAAAAAAAAGTACAATAATTAGCCAGACATGGTGACATGTGCCTGCAGTCCTAGCTACTAGGGAGGCTGAAGTGAGAGAATCATTTGAGCCCAGGAGGCAGAGGTTGCAGTGAGCTGTGATTGCACTCCAGCCTGGCTAATGGAGCAAGACCCTGTCTCAATAAATGAATGAATGAATAAATGAATGAAACCTTTGAATTGATATACAGAAGCCTGCTTCTCCTTGCACAGAGTACAAGTCCAGGCAGACTTGAAACAGGCTCCATTCTGAGAAGCAATTAATAGAGAGCTTTTACTGTTTGTAGACACAGAAGAGAGATGGTGTTTCCCATTTTATGTGGTTAAGACTAATAGTAATACTCCTTGTCATACTCATACTAATGTAATTTTAAAAGAACATGATGAGAAAGCAGTCCTAGATATTCAGCAATTTCTTAGCTAATTTAATATTTGTGTATAAACATTTTGTAAACTAGAAATGTAAATATTTTTAACTTTTAAATGGGATTTACTCCTATGTTTTTACTTATTTTTAAAACTATAGGATGATTCCTTTGATAATTTATATTTAATTTTTTCTTAAATATACCACCAACATCAAAGTATTTGTTTCCACTTATTTTATAGTATGTTTCTAATTTTCAGAGAGAGAAATATACATTCTCATTTTGTCTTCCTATAAACAATACCATGAATTTGCTCTGTACCTAGGCATAGAAGTCAAGTATGTGGTCTCTATGCAGATTTGGTCATTCAATATGTAAAATCAACTGATCCAGTAAAAGTTTCCTTTCATGACCTTGGGCTCATTGGTATTATTTTCTAATCTATATAACTAATTTTATAACTTTTAGACTATCAATGTATAGTATTATAAAATTACTTAGATGCATTTGACATGATTGGACATATTTTGTGTATTATTTCTGTATGTATGATCTGAAGTTTTATTATCTATTTATCCATCTATCTATCTGTTTAAAGTTGGAGATCCACCAGGACAGTTAAGATTTAAAGGGCTGTGATCTTGAAGAGGAATTCACTGCATAAGTGTTAACCTTACATTCAGCATGTCTTTTCCATATATACACACACACCTTACATGCATATATGTGTGTATAAGGGGTGTGTGAAGGGGTGCCTGTGTGTGTGTGGGTTTTATATATATATACACACATATATATATATAAAATACATATATATTATATATATGTAAAGTATATATATTACACACACACATCTTTGATCTCTTTTACTTATCATGGAAAAATGGAAAAATTCTGAAATAAAGCTACTTAAGAAAATAGCAGTTTATTTTATATGCACTCTTTCCAAGGATAAAAAAATAAAAATATACTTTAGGAGCCATATACTGGCTCTTGAAGCTTCACTCAGAAGTGACATGTATCACTTCTAATCACCATTACTGGGCAAAGCAAGTCAATGACTAAATCTTACCTTAGTGCGGTGAGCAAAATGTTTCTTTTCCTGGGAGTAGCATCAGCATAGGTAGCAAACTGTAATATACCCTAAATCAGATTACTGCCATTGAGGTTATCACTTAAAATATCATAGTTGCTTAAATTTAAGGCAAATGATTCTTCAGTTATTTTTTCTATAAATTCAATGTAATAAGTTATGAATCATATTTTTATTTTTTTATCCCTGGAGAAAAAATTCATACGTGTGGAAAAACAAACACAAAAGTAGTGCTTTCAAGATGGGATATGCCTAAGTTTTCCCATTAATGAGCTAAATGATTTTTTTAACAGACACACTTGGAGGCTGAAGTAGCTGGGGACTGATGGATACAGATGGATGGTGAGCTAGGGAATTGGAGCTGTTCTAATTTGCACAGAAGCTAAGTATGAATGAATCTTTTTGTGGCATATTTTTCTAGGGTTCATTTGAATGTTAAATATAAATGAGTGAAAATATGTTTCCAATATAACACTTAGGCTTCTTCCTCTCCCCATTAAAATTTACTTAGATAATTAGTAATGTGTAATGTACCCAAGAACTACAAGAACTTTGTCTTTCCTGTTGCACTTACATTCTAAAGCAGAAGGTCCTGTCAAGAGCAAAAAAAAAAAAAAATAAAAAATAAAAAACCTTCTTATAACTGAAACAGATATCCAAAATGATAAGACCCAATAGAAGGAGAAAAAAACAGAACTACAGTGTAAATATAACTAACAAGTAAATAAAATAGCCACCAAACATATTAGCTTTCTTTGTTAAAATTCTTCAGAATGATTGTCCACACAAATCGAGTCTGAAGTTCCAGTCCAAAGGACATACTGAAGGACAACTCTGGGCATTTGTGGCTCAGATAAATTAAAGAGGCTGTTGGGTCAATGCTGGGTTTCTCCAAAGAAAGGTGAAAGACAGCTGTCCATTTATGTATATTAAATGAGTATGGATTACTCTTGCTAACCAATATAACATGCAATAGTATTTTGTGCACATGGTACCTATTAGTAAGAAGAGTAATATTGAGAGAACTTATCATGAGGACAAGAATTCTGCCTCAGAAAGTGTACTCATAATTAATAGATTTAATAGGTGGGATAAACCTGCATTTTAATGACATTTTATTTTCCATAAAGAATCAAAATAATATTGACATATTTTTAAGAGCATAAAATGCAATATATATGTATTTTAGAAAAACATAATCTATTTTCATACTAAAGTGAACTCTAATAATTTTTAATTCACTCATTAGTTCATATTAGTTATTTCCTCTTTCAGAAAATCATTTCGTTTTTCTCCACATAATTTTCCTACAGATTGCCTCAGAGTGAGGGAAACTAAAGGTTGTAAAAGACACAGTGAAATTAAAGCTCTGTTCCAAAGGGGTGACCAACAACACCACGGATAGGTGTTGGAATTATTTTTGAAAGCTGTGTACTGTCACTCCTTTATGAATCTTTGAAGCAACCTGAAACCAAATTAGCTTTTATTTATTAATTTTCTTAGATCTTCTGGATCCTGTCTTAATACAGTAGTTGCCTTAGTTAGACTAGGCATCAGATTCAGAATTCTGGGTCTTTTTCATGTCCTGATGATCTTTGAATTGTGAAAAGCTTATCATATCAATTTTTTTCCAGCTGTAAGCCTGGGTTTAATAATACTACCTAACATTTGTTGAGTACTGACTATATGTCTGGCTCTATTATAAACGCTTATTTAACCCTAAAAAATACTCTGGGAAACTAGTACCATTATCATCCACATTTTACAGATTTAGAAAAACTAAAGCTGTAGAAATGTTCTTAGCTAGGAAATGTATAGCCAGGACTCAAGCAGGCCATTTTGTCCCAGAGCCCTTAACTATGACCATCTCTACTTACATAAGATTCTATAAGAACAAAAATGTTCATCATAGCTAAGTTTTTCTAGGATATTCAAACAAAAGTAATAAATATGAAAAGATAAGGTTTACATTTTATCGTTATTTCTGACAAAGCATGAGTCATTTCTTTTGGTCATCTCTTTATATGACATAATTCCAGATGGAAAAGTATGTATTACACTGTAGTAACACATTCAGAAATACAGTAAGTAGAATTATTTAACCACATTATGTTCAGGAGAGACTAAAGCATTTACGTGCCAAGAATTTTTCTTCATACAGTTTGGTTTATACTAGCTTTCGGAAGCTGTCTTGTCCATTGAAAAAGTGTTTGTGAATAGTACATAGTGAATAGAAAATATTTTTGCAGATGTTCAGTGGTATTCATGAGTTCCTGCAAACACCCGCAAACACCCACAAATTTTCCCCTGAGTCTTGGCTAATTTTCACTTCATAGATCTGTGAAATATTTTAAAATGAAAGAAGCATGTCAGGAAATCTTTGGTTGTCTGGTTCTTTCTTTCTTGGTTCCTGGTGTTTTATCTCTTACCCTGTTTTGCCACCAGGTTTCTTTTTCTATGCAAGAAACATGTATGTATTTGATCAATTTATTAAACACTTCCTGATGAAAAAATTTTCAACCTACAAGAAACGTAAAGAAATTTTAGAGTAAGTATTCTTAGATTCATCACCAATGTTGTGCCATTAAAATTTACTGTATTTGTTTCATCACATATCTTTTCATGTCTCTGATAGAGCCTTATTTTTTACACATTTCCAAGTAGGCTGCAAATATCTCTAGCTTGCCCCTAAATATTTCTGCATGCATATTATTAACTATAGTTAATCTTGTTAAGAGTGTTGTTTTTATTTTATGTAAAATTTACATGCAATAAATGAAGAAGTCTAAATTGCACATTTGCAGAGTTTTGATATTGGAGTTGAGTATATCTTATCCAAAATGATCTGGAGCAGAAGTGCTTTGGATTTTAATTTCATCAGATTTTGAAATATTTGCATATACATAATGAGATATTTTGGGGATGGGACACAAGTCTAAACACAACATACTTTAAGTTATTACACATATACCTATACCTAAGGCATATATACCTTATACATATAGTCAGAAGGAAATTTTATACAATATTTTTAATAATTTTGTATATTAAAAAATTTTTATATACATTGAACCATCAGAAAGCAAAGGTATGACTATCTCAGTCATCCATGTGGACAATCTGTGGTTATCTGGCATCACCATCATTTCTGACTCTGAATGTATATGCTACCTATAAGAAATCATTTTCTTCTACTTATTCAAATGTAAGTACTTAAAACTAAAATATATGATATAGCATAAATGCAGTGAAACAATAATGTATTCAGGATAACTAAGCAATACAGTAGCATCACCAGAGTCTCTGCATCATCTGTTTAACAGCAGCAGTAAGAAACAATGGCAGGCTTTCAGTCTCCACCTATGATGCTGTGTTTGATTAAAAGGTTACTGTACACTGCATTTTATTTTTTTTTTTTAGGTGAGGAGAAGCATCAGAATGAGCTGAAGGACAAGGAAGTGAGGTCCTTTAGGGATAAGAAGGCATTCTTCTTGGTGGCTTTTGAAAAATGTTTTCTCCAAAGCCATCTGCCTCATTAACAATGCTTTTTGTCTTAGAAGCCTCTCTTTGATTTTATAAGATTTCATCTCATATGTTTAAATATATTTAAACATAATGTATTGTTTAGAATAAAATTAATGAATTCATTATTGTTTAGTTTTTAACACATGAGATGTAAAATCTCTAACAATAAGAGTACAAAGGACATGAAGGGAAAAAAGGAAGGATACAGTTGTAAGTTTCTTAGACCATGTGTGAGGTGGCATCATATTATTTCAAGGTAGATTCTGATAAGTTAAAAATATATTGTGAAGTTAGAATAACCAGTCATATAAAACTATATGACATGAAATAAAATGAAGGGAAAGAAAATGAATTGGAATGGGAAGTTGTCAGCATAGCGATGGTATTAAAGCCATGGGGCTGGGTAAAAACACAAGTCCATGGATGGAGCTATGGGAAACTCTGACATTGATAGTTTAGGAAGGGAAGCAGAAGCTTTTCATAGAGAAAAAAAAAGAACAAGTCAGGGAAAAACTAAAGACTGATTAGGGCAAGACTGGCTTCCTTCAACTACTGGACTTTAAACATTTTGTTGATGCGGGTGAGGCAATTTTATAGAAACTCTCCCACAAATGGAAGTTATGTGCTCTTCTTGAAGCAGATTTTTTTTTTCTGATGTTCTTAGAAGCATATATGTTTATTTTATACATATTAATATGTATATCTAATATTTTACATGTCTGATGCATAATACACTCACATGAGTAAAAATTATTCTTAAAATATAAAAATGTTTGTAAAGACAAGTATGTCCTTATTTCTATTGACAGGTCAATTTCTATTATATGAATAGTAATCTTGGCAACGTCTCTCATGATGATGGATGGATATTTTTTGTTGTTGTTTTTTTTGAGACGGAGTCTCTCTCTGTCACCCAGGCTGGAGGGCAATGGTGCAATCTCGGCTCACTGCAACCTCTGCCTCCCGGGTTCAAGCGATTCTCCTGCCTCAGCCTCCTGAGTAGCTGGGATTACAGGCACCTACCACCACGCCCAGCTAATTTTTGTATTTTTTTTTATTTTTATAGAGACAGAGTTTCACCATGTTGGCCAGCCTGGTCTTGAACTCCTGACCTCAGGTGATCCATCAGCCCCAGCTTCCCAAAGTGCTGGGATTACAGGGGTGAGCCACAACGCCTGGCCAATGGACTGATTTTTAACAAAGCACCGAAGTAATTCAAAATGGGAGAAGTGCTTTTTTTTTTCAAAAAGCCCATTTTTCTGGAAAACTTGTGAGAGAAAACATAAGAGAATATCCTTTTGTGTGGATGAGGCAAATATTTCTTAGACAGATATAGAAAGCAATAATCATAAAATCATAAAAAGGAACACAAGACTTTATCAAATTATAACTGGGATTAGATAGACAGTCCAGAATAATTTTAATAATTCATGTAAATGATTCATGTATTTTCCATGCTTAATCTTGCCTAACAATCAACTATATTTTCAGTTGTTTCCTAAGTATGAATATTTCTCTTGATAAGTAGATGGTACACTATCCATAAAGTTATTGAAACAATTTTATATATGTATTTTTCTTTTTCTTCTATTCATAGTATATTCATAAATCATGTCCACCACATTATCTGGCATTGTACTCCTTAATTTGTCCAGCTTTTCAAATTTCTTTATTACTAAATAATTTTCTTTTCAAGGACATTTTTTCACAGGAACCATATGCATTATGATTTTGAAAGTTACAGAAAAAATTAATTAATTAAATTAGTAAACAATGCTGGCAGCCCCTAAAATGGTCCCCAGTGATTCTTGCCTTCTGGTACAAACGCCATATGTCTTTCCTTTGAGTATAGGTTGTACCCGTTGACTCTCTTCTAAGGAAAATAATACAGCGCAAGTGATGCCATGCCACTTCTAAAATTAGTTTATAAAATGACTGGGACTTCTGCCTTGTCCTTCTGTCTTGTTCTCTAATCTCTTAGAATCCTCTTTCTGGGGAAAGCTGCTACATTGTAAGTAGCCCTACTAAGAACCCACATAGACATCTCTGACCAGTACACATATGGATGTCTGCAGCCCCTGCCAACACCTTGGTTGCAGCCTGAGACCTCCTGAGTCAGAGGCAGCCAGCTAAGCTATGCCCAATGTCCTGATCCATAGAAATGTTAATATAATGTTTATTGCTTTTAAGCAGCTAAGTTTTAGGGTAATTTTTTTTATGCAGCAGTAGATAATTAACATAAAGAACAAGAGAGTTATGTTGATATGCTGACGGTAGCAAGACAATGAGGCTCAGTCACTGGCTGGGTGATTAAGGTCTAACGCTAGTCCCATGGTATCTCACACTGAAAAATAATTTTGAGAAAATTTATGAATTACCTAAATTATTAACCTTCAGAAGACACAGGAACAATACTATTAAAAGGACTAATAATAAATATTTGAATATCAAATGTCTACCTTATTCAAAAAGTATAAATCTTCACATTTATTGCATTGTTCTTCGAGTACTAAATTTGAACAATATAAAAGAGTCACAAATAACCTTTTCATATTTATACATAGCTCCTCAACTTCAGCTATGGTACAGTCTCTAACTGCAATGCTACATGCTGGGAAGAAAATCTTTGTATCTAGATTTATTGGGTGTTAGAATTGCATTATGACATTCTGTTCCACCCCACCTCTCTGTACTTTCCTCAGTCATGGATACTGGTGATCAGGCATTGCTAGCACCCTGCTCTAAGCACCGTGGATTTCTCGGGCACTTGCCTGTAAAGCAGAGCAGCCCCATCACAAGTAAATGTACCATGATTAATAAGGAAAAGACCTTCAATGTTTGCTTTTCTCATACTTTCTTTATCCCTAGAAATTTTACCACATGCAATATTTCATACAAGTGGCCTGAACATGAGAGATGTACTATTTTCTAGGAGGACTATAATCTTGTGATTGTCAACATTAATTTTAAAAATCAAAAAAACGGACATACTACCAAACAATATAAAAGTCTCAGGAGTTTTAATTTTAAGACATTTATTTTAGGGATTGTTGTTGTTGTTGTAAAACAACAACAGGTTTTGGCATAAATGTATTTTTATCTGAGAGATTCTCCCCAGCAAACTTCAAAGACTTTTCTGTATGGGACTGCCATCTAGTGGGCAGTCCAGTGGGGCTAGCTAATAACAGTAGGAAACTTGGTTTGGTATTGGTAAGCAGAGCCATTTTGTTACACAAATATTTATTGAGCACCTGCTACATGCGAAGTACTTCCTTAAAAGCTGTGGGATATTTTTAAAATGATTAAAAACTTAGACCCTAAGTTCAAACGTTTTTTCATTCTTTTCACTAGAATTTTAAAACTACTACCTACTACACAGCTTCTTTTAATCTCATGACTTTAAATTATTTAACAGTACTGTGATATTTAAAAAGCCTCCATTGTCTTCTACACACTGTCCCTCCCTCCTATCCCCTGGCCTATTATGAATTTAAAATAAATTATGGTAGAGTAAATAGAAAGTGGTTTGGAATCAAACAAGAGTTTTGAAGAATCAATATGTAATGAAAATGCTATTAATATTGGAATTTCTCCTGCTGGCTTAGTCAATGACAAATTTCCTCAAGAAAATTTAGGCCGGGCGTGGTGGCTCATGCCTGTAATCCCAGCACTTTGGAAGGCCGAGGTGGGTGGATCACAAAGTCAAGCGTTCAAGACCAGCCTGGCCAACATAGTGAAACCCTATCTCTACTAAAAATACAAAAAATTAGCCGGGCGTGGTGGTGGGTGCCTGTAATACCAGCTACTTGGGAGGCTGAGGCAGGAGAATCGCTTGAACCCGGGAGGTGGAGCTTGCAATGAGCCGAGATCGTGCCACTGCACTCCAGCCCGGAGGATAGTGCAAGACTCTGTCTCAAGAAAAAAAAAAAAAAAAAGAAAAAGGAAATTTAGTTTTCCCTAAACAACAAAATCAGGTGTGACATTTATTGTGAAGGCTCACTATTTATTTTGTCTACTGAGTTTTAAATGATGTTTTATTTAAAAAAAAAAAAGCCAATAAATCACTCTTTATAAAAAAGTATAAACCTTGTAAATTTAATGAAAGCTAAAAAGTGAATTAAATGTATAAATGAATTCAGTGTCTACAATAATAATGCAGAAGAACCTTTCAAATGCTCATATTTAAGCTAAAATTTTAAAGAAAGCAATATCACCAGTGGTTTCAGTAACAGCCTGCTAAATTAAAAAAAAAGAGAGAGAAACACAGACATTTATGAAGAGAAAGTATTAACATAATTATGAAAAGAGTATAACAATTTTTTTTTCATTTCAGTTATACTTGTCCCAGACATTTTGGACTGGCAACTGCAAAAAACGTATCTTAAAGACCAAAAACAAGTACACCCAGCCGACTCAGAACGAATACACGGAAGCTCTTATAATTATTCATGAGATTATAATGATTTATTTGGGAAGGTCATTAGAAAAACTTTATTTCTAATATATTTCCATATCACAGTTCACTAAAAACAATAGTTGTCATTTGTATAGTGCTTTGAAGTTCATAAAATGCTTTTACAAACTGTATTTTATTCACACATGTGTGGGCAGATACTCATTTCCAGTCTAACACATGAAGTATTTAGATTTCACACAGCTGGCAGATCAGTGCTTCTCCTTTAAGTCAATTTGGGCTATTATCTGGAAAAATGTGAGATTTTTCACAGTAAGTAGAAGATGTGATTAATTCTCTTTTTCTAGTGTAGTGAATGGACTTAAGAATTGAGGGCAAAACTTAAATCCAAATTTAAGTGTATTTTTCTACTATATAATTTACTTGGTAGAAAACCATTTTACTGTTTAAAATTGTAACTATTTCACAGAAGATAGCTAGTTTAGGGATTATTTACTTTCTTATTGCAAATTCTTTTTCATCTATCTCTACTTAGCTCAAGGCAAATGTGTTACCCCAAAAATTACAAATTCATTTCACCTGGATTTCCTGAAATTATTTTGTGATCCTACACTTACTGTCTTTCCTTTGAAACACTTTATGCTCAACATTCAAACGCACACACAGTTAAATCCAACTCATTACTTAGCATCAATTTTCTAACATACATTAAATTTGTTTTGTTTGTTTTGGTTTTTATTTATTTTTTGTTGTTGGTTTTTTGTTTTGTCTTGTTTTTTAGTTCTCTGCATGTTTCAACAGGCATCTTAGGCAGCACATGATCCTGGAGTGTTTTTCTAGTATATTACCAGTCAGATTTTCTTCAGCATTATCATTACCACTAGAAGCATTACCAGTTCTATAAAAACATCATAAAAGACTGTGTTTAGTGTTGAACACTTTTCAATACTGATATTGTGATAATAATGCAGTGCCTTCTTTGTGATTTAAAGCACCATCAAATAATTTACTCAAGTTCAATAAATTTGGTGTCTGGAGACTTTTGTACTTACTTTCTGTGTGGCTCTGGTAAGTCATTCCTTTGCTTTCCTAGTCTGAGATTCCTCATTTACGAACAGAGGATAATAAGACAACAGAGGATTTATATGAGATAAAATTGAAACCATTTTTAAACTCACACAGTAAAGCATAAAACAGTATTTAAAATGTGCCCTTAAAAAACAAGTTTATCTAAGATGTATCATATATATTTTAGATAACTTTACTATTTATGCCAGACACACACACACACACACACACACACACACACACACACAAATCATCTTTTATTACCTTTCAAGGAGAAATTTTTAAACAAAAACAAGAAACACTGTATACTTTTAAAAAAATATTTGCGACACTTATATTGGGATTTGGGGAGGAAATTGGGAGTTTTATGCTTATTGTTACGTAGCCATTTTCCTGGTTCTTTTGAATTGTTCTTAAGGTGTAATGTTTTCTTCATAATGGTCAAGCATTTTCTTCTTCTTGCTTAAAAATGATAGTTCACTTTGAAAGCAAAGATCCATATAACACACTCTTCGTTTAAATCTATATAATGAAATAAAATCTTTATGTCCACACATTTTGAGCTCCTACCTTCATGCATTTAGAGTGTGTTACATTTCCCAGTTTTCTCATATTTAATGTTTTATGGCCTGTTCTCCAGATTCAGGTAGTAAAATGTTAGAAGGTACATTTAAATAGACAGAAAGGCTGCAGAAATGTATTTAATTACAGACAGCTTAGAATAAAAACCTTTGCCCAGTTTCAAAATAGGTTGTACCAAAATCTAATGAGCAAATGAGAAATCTGATATGTTCTCTAATGAAGCCTGGTGAACTATGCATGTGCTGTTGGATATTGACCTAAAAATGGCTGCTTGGTATTCAGTCAAATTCAAGCAAGGCCTTTTAATCACTGGTTAGTAGTTTTTCATTTGCATAAATACTAGGTATTTAAATGCCCTTGCCCCATAACCATATACCACTCATTTGCATAATGGAAAATAACAGAGGCAAAATATAATTCAAGCCAGTATGTTTGGAAGAAAAAAGGATGATTGAACATTGAAAAACAATTTACGAAAAAAATCTTTATCAGAAATTACGTATTGAATTAGCCAACTCTCTTCTTTAATATTCAAATCTTCTGTACTCAACTATCTTGTGGAAAGTTTCACAGATGATTGCACAAACAAATTAGAAATATATCTCAGAATGATTATAGGGCCAGATAGCTTATGTACCCTGGCCTACATTTACCTGTATTAGGTGTTTAAAGACCAAAACACTAGGTACATAAATGTCCCAGCCACATACTTATATACCATTCATTCACTGATAAAATATAGTAAGAAGGAGGCTGTAAGCTCAAAATAACCATTTAGGAGTCTCTAGTATATAAAAACACATTTAGGTATGAACTATGCCACAGTTGGGTGATTAGAAGTAACTCCCCACAAGACTTAATTCTGTCCTGAAAGATGGGTTGATAACTCACTCATGGAAGATTCAATAGCTGGCAAGTTCAAGAAGGATATCTAAGGGGAAGACATTTGAATGGTGGAGATATACAAACTCAGGATTTATGGGCAGCCAGTTTCTGCCATGTGAACCAAGTAACAGAAAGCTCATCTCAGAAACATTAATCGACAATGAGAGAGACAGAGGAGAGTTGGAGGGTTTACATTTTACATTTCACATGATTCTTTTTGTTCCTGTTTGTTGCTTCTCTTTCTCTCAATGATGCCCACTTAAATTTCTGCCTCAAATTTCATTTTAAAAACTGCAGACAAAACTTAGTCTACATACAGTCAATTTGTTTGTTGGATTGTCTATATGTTTAGGCTGGCTCGAGTTGATTTCTTATATTCACAACAAAAAAAACCTTCATACACCAAATCATGAGATAAAACTGTGAGGGATTACAGAACGAAATAGGTAATATTAGATTTTAAAGTGATCTTGTAAAAGTAAATCATCTACAACATAAGGAATTTTAGAAAAACAATATTTTCTAAGCAAGTCAAAGCAAGTCAATATAAGTTTTAGAGATCTTCCTTCCAACGATTGTATTTTTTTACCCTACTTTAAAAAGGATCCACTTTCCTCTTGTCCTTATTCCTCCAAAAACCCCTTTAACACTTCCACTTTATAATGAATACATTGTAAATTGTTAAAGATGACCAATAGTTCAATAAATTAGTATTTGGGTTAAACAGAGCAAATTATCCACTTACTCTACTGATAACATTAGCAACATTTTGTGTAACAATAGGCGTGGCCTGTTATTAGCTAGATGAGCTATCAGTTCTTACAAATCCAGGAATACGAACTGACAATATTGCATATTGCAATCATTTATGAACTAATATTGAAAAGTAATTGGGCTTATTTGAACTTAATGCTCAGCTGAGACTAAATACTGAATGTACTCTGCTATTTACATTTTATTTTAATCTGAATGAACATCAATTATACATGTGTCTTATACAGTGTCAAACTTAATTGAAGAGTGTGCATAATTTATTAGCATAACCTTTATATTTCTCAAATGACAAAATATTCCTAATAATATAATTCACACTAAGAAATATAAGGACTTTTATATCTAGTGAGTATAAACTCAGTCTTGTTCTTTATGTAGAATAATATATATGTATTTTTTTAATAATCAAGAATTCTAGAAATATCCTAGAAAACAGTTATATTGCTTAATTTTACTTTCTACTATGCAAGTTTTCTTTATTCTTATCTTTAAATATTTTAATTTTGTCTTCTCAAATTTTCCTATTTGACTGTTAAATCTACACTTGGGAAGTTCAGGTTTAAAATATGTATTTAGTAATACATATTAAGATTTTCACAATGGGGTATTTAGTAACGTGCTTCTGTGTATAGAAACACATACAGATACAAACATATATGTTCTTTATTATTGAAATAAATGTTTTTGTTTTCATCAAACTGTATGTTTCTGAGCAATTACTGATATTAGAAAAATAGGCTGTATAGTCAATAACGAATGCTTTAAGACTGGAACAAAAAATAAGTCTAACATTTTGAGTTAAAATTTACTGTATTTTATTTTTATTTATTTATTTATTTTTTTGAGATGGAGTCTCACCCTGTCGGCAGACTGGAATGCAGTGGCACGATCTCAGCTCACTGCAACCTCTGCCTCCCAGGTTCAAGCGATTCTCCTGTTTCAGCCTCCCGAGTAGCTGGGACTACGGGCATGCACCACCACACTCAGCTAATTTTTGTATTTTTAGTAGAGATGGGGTTTCACCATGTTGGCCAGGATGGTCTCGATCTCTTGACCTCGTGATCTACCCACCTCAGCCTCCCAAAGTGCTGGGATTACAGAAGAGAGCCACCATGCCTGGCCAAAGTTATTCTATTTTCAATAAAATTTTCTTACTTAGTATAATAATTGTTAAATGCTATAACTCCACCACCCTGGCTCAATGATGTGGCCTGAGGAACAATAACTAAGCATGTGAAAATAGACTGAAAAAAGTGATAACATGAAATCAGAGTATAGAACATCACTGAGGCATTTAAAGGGGTGCAGAATGCAAGGGCACAGCTAAGAGATTAAGGGTCTGCTGGACTATGTTGGATCATTATTCAGTACTAATAATTTGTGATGATAACTAAAGAAAAGCTTATAGTAGACTGGATTTTCTAGTGCTCTTTTTTGTCCTTTCTATTTCTCCATATCTCAGACCATATGACCAGTGAGTAGGAGAGCAGGAAGTGCTGTCATCTTGGAAGGAAAACTAACTGAATTTGTTTTTGTTTGGTTAAATCAGTGTTGTTGTATGAAAAGCCATTAAGAATACATAAATAAAAAAGCCATGTAAAAAAACGAAAAAGACATGTATAAAAACAAAAAATATAAAAACTATTACTTATGCCAAGCACTGGAGCTCAAGTCTGTAATCCCAGCACTTTGGGAGGCCAAGGTGGGAGGATTGCTGGAGTCCATGAGTTTTGGTGCACAGCCTATATCCAGTCTACGATCAGTCTATGCTGTAAGCCTTCACCATACTGCTACAAGAATCTGAGGGTTTTTTTTTCTGACAACAGATCTTTGCCTTCACATGAGGTAGGCCACGATACCTGGGAGTATCAGAGAGGAATTCTCAACCAATTACAGGAAAAAAATCTTGTTCTATGAATACCCCAGCTTCCACAACCCCAGGAGGAACAACTCTGAATTGTACTCAGTACAGTCTCAAAGAAGGACTCAGAAGGATGGATCCCTTAATGCCCACAGTAATAATCTGCTCAGTAATGCATCCTGATTGGATTTCAGCCCCAATCTGTCTCACTTCCCCACCCCACCCCCTACGGATGCCTTGTAGGCAAACTGCCAAATAAACTTTTTCACTCAAACTCTTATCTCAAGGCTGGTTTCTGGGGAAACCAAACCTAGGACAATTGTTACCACAAATGGTCCTAGAAAACAGGTTCTAAGGATGGACTTGTGGAACTGGATCACTTATTGCTCACATGACCACAAGTGTCCAATGGCTGGTCATAAGTGGGGTAGTGACAATAGCTGGTGCACTGTGGCATGACAATTACTGTGAGTCTCTCTAGTGCTTGAAAATAACTGAAAGAGTGAATTTGGAATGTTTCACGATGAAATGATAAGTGCTTGAGGTGATGGATTCCCAATCCCCCTGACATTCATTACACATTGTATATCTGTATCAAAACATCACATGTACCCCATAAATATATACAACTATTATACACCCATAATAATTATTTTTGTTAAATATTGGGAATTAGGATGAAAGGGTTCAATGGCTTATGAAATAGTGCTAGTATTTGAAACAGGTATAATTTTGTAATTACAAAGATGTTGGAGTTGGTCCATGGTATAAATTGTGATTGTTTCCCTTAACAAAGAAACCAACAGAGGGTTCAACTCAGAGGGTCTCAATGATAGCATTTAAAGAGCCCTTAATCTCCTGCTACCAAGGTCTGGCTATGCTGGACATCATGTCCAAGGTTTGATTGTAAGGGTGAAGGAATTACAAAAATAGGTTGAATTTATTGCCTGGAAAATATTCTATACTAAAGTCAGGGAAATACAAAATGACAAAAGATCAACAAAGAACTCTGTTTAAAGAGAAACAGTGTGACAATAGCTATAAAGCCTGATAACAATGCCCTCCTTCAACAAGCAGGATCTTTAGTGTGAACTTCTTACAGTAATTTGATATAACAGGTTTCCCATTTTGTGTTGTTTTCTAGAAAACCCAGAGCTCAATTTTCAAATCACTCCTATTAGTCATTGAGGATTCCACACCACGGGTTCTGTGTACAACCTTATATATTAGTCATGTTAGGCTAGATTTTGCAATAGTAATGAACAATCGCAAATCACAGCACCTTAAAACAGCAGTTTATTTTATTTTATTTTCCGAAACAGGGTCTCACTCTGTCATCCAGGCTGGCGTGAAGTGGCACATTCATGGCTCACTGCAGCCTTGACCTTCCTGAACTTAGGTGATCCTCCCACCTCAGCCTCGGGAGTAGCTGGGACAACATGTGTGTAGCTGGGACAACAGGACAAACGCCCTGCTAATTTTTGCAGTTTTGTAGATATGAGGCTTTGCCATGTTGCCCAAGCTGGTCTTGAACTCCTGGGCTCAAGCAATCCATCCGCCTGAGCCTCCCAAAGTGTTGGGATTACAGGCGTGAGCCATCCTGCCCAGCCCAAAAGTTTATTTTCTACTCATGCTATGCATCTACCTTAGCATATTTTTGTTTTGGAAATACGATGATAGAGCATTAAGCATCACAAACGTTGCTGGCCATCATGGCATAAGAAAAGAAAGAATGGAAAAGTATTCAGTGGCTCTCAAACTTCCTCTCAGAAATAACAAACATCACTTGTGCTCACATTTCATTGACCAAATCTATTCACTTGCCCCTACCTAACTTCAAGGAAGCACGAAAATATAATCCTACCATGTGCCCATAGAAGAAGCAAAACTAATTTTTGGATGGCACCGCTGACCATCATGCCTTACTCCTGGCTTCAAGATGTGTTTATTTTACTTAATGCCTCCTTGCTCCTATTTAATCATCCAACCATTATTTCCATCTTTAATCATTTTTAAAATTATTAATGGATTATTTTCCATCATTTTCCAATTACAATTTAATCCTTTTAGAATAAAGCTTGATTTTATATATATATAAAATATTATATATAGTATATATAATATATACTATATATAATATTATATACTTTTAATATGTAATTATATATATTATAACATATTATTTTATATACAATTAATATGTAATTACATGTAATATTACTATAATATATATTATTAGAGAGATATATCAAATATGTCACTTATTCACCTAATTTTTTCATACGTTAAAAATAAACATATGATAGTCACATACTTGTGTTCTTTCTACATACATTTCCAACAACTTTTCCAAGTTCAGTGTTGAGCAGTAAATATAACAGACAATTTTCCTCCTAGCAATGGACGCTCCTAGTGAGAAAATGTCAAGAAGCAATGCTGTTGCTATGGTTATCTGATTGTGGTAGGACTTGTTCATGTAATTTCACAAATTCTTGTCATATGTATTAACTAATAACTTTTCATTTACTAACTTTGCTCAATATTTAAACAAATTTTTAGATGCATGCTCACAAAAGTAGTAACACAATGGTTTGCATTCGTGTCAATAACGAATACATTACTATTAATATATCTATGAGAAAGAGAATAAACATCTCCTTATATGTTTGCTTTGTTTTCTTTTTATTGTTCACTTGGATTTCACTTTATTAATCTTTACTGAAGGAATTCAAATATGAATTTTCACTTCCAGCTATCTCTATTAAAAATGAGCTTTAGCTCTTTCCTAGATGAATAAGAAACTTGTAGTTGTAAATTTAAAAACTGGAAAAATTGCTATGATGGGTATAAGTTGATTATCTCATTTTAAAGACACATGCTGATGGCAGTGGTAAATGTTAGAACCATGATTTAAACCAATTTTATTATCCTTATTCTTCCCAAATTCACAGCATTTTCCCTCACCCATTTATGTAGGTTTCAATGCTGTATAAAGTTTGTTGGCTGCACATTACTGGGTTAATATCATCATACAATTTTCCATTTTTAGTAAAATGTTTATAAGAATAAATAATAGAAGAAAGTGAGGCAACAGCACATTAGAGGAAAGTACAACAGAAATTAGCATAGTTTTCTATATTCTAAGATTTACATGAAAAATTCTTGGAAAACTTTTCTGCAGATGTTTTATCATTTTATTATTGCTATATGCTAACATGCTGATTGAAGTGACCATAGTTGCCATTTAAAGGATAGCCACATGCACACACACATTATACGACTGAATGTATATGGCGACTTAACAAAAAAAAAAAGTGTGTGTTGGGTGGGAGTTGAGTCAAAAAGTCAGAAATAAGCAAATAAAGAACCAGTACATTAAGCTGATCGTAATGGCAAGACTCTGAAGTTCAAAAAGAACACATTTGCCAGAACTTACAAATACATATAAGTACTGATGTTTATCAATCAGCTGATTAAACAATAAGTGCATGAAAACTAGTTACAGAGAAAGGCAAGCTCCTAAACTCTGGTAAGGCCCTTAGACATAAAATACATGACATTTCAGAAAACTCTTTTTAAATTATATTTTGGGTTTTATCCAGTTTTGGTCCCTTGAAACACTTTCTAAACACTGTAAAAAGGATTTTCTGTTCACCAACTATTGGATACAATTATGCTCAGCTGGATCGCAGTGAAAAACAAAAGAGAAAGGTTGCTGGGATTTCACAGGCAAAGTCAAGGTCCCGAGGGAGCCAGCTGTGCAAAAGGCACGTCGATATCCTTAAGAGAATGAAACTCCTGCCCCTTTTAGGTGCCCATGTAGTCTGTGTAAAATTTAAGTAAGCTGGGCACGGTGGCTCACGCCTGTAATCCGAGCACTTTGGGAGGCTGAGGCTGGTGGATCGCCTGAAGTCAGGAGTTCAAGACCAGCCTGACCAACATAGTGAAACCCCATCTCTACTAAAAAATACAAAAAACTAGCCAGGCATGGTGCTGGGCACCTGTAATCCCAGCTACTAGGGAGGCTGAGGCAGGAGAATCGCTTGAACCTGGGAGGCAGAGGTTGTGGTGAGCCAAGATCATGCCATTGCACTCCAGCCTGGGCAACAAGAGCGAAATTCTGTGTCAAAAATAAATAAATGAATAAATAAAATTAAGAAATAACAACAAAATAACAAAAAGAAAATACGTTAAGGTTAAATTTTCAGGATATTTTATCTTGGGTTGGAGATCTCAAGAACTCCATGTCCTCGGACTAATTCCATATAATATTATATCACTGGCAAAAATGAGTCTTCAAAAGAACAAATTATTTATGTAATCATATTTATTTTAATCTCATGGCTTTTACAGCATTCTATCTTCTCCTAGAGAACCAGACACACAAAAAACCCTAATGCAAGTAATTATGTAAATAACATATGCATTATTCATCATTGTCTTTTTAGCTATTATGCATACAATTGTTTCCTGAGCTGATTATACTTCCGCTTGTCTTTTAGACTCAGACACATTTAATATCTATCTAGCAAAGTTGTTTTAAGAGATATGGCAATCTATCTACAATTATTTGAATGGTAACTGTTGTAGTTATTGTAGCTAGTGTCTTTCTCAGCCTCCGCTTCAAAAACACTTTAATAATGGCATTTTAAAATTAAAATTTCTATCAAAATATTTTGTAATTTTTTTAGAAAGACAGGATATCTGCTGAGTTCGTGGATACACTTCTAAAGTCTGAAGTGAGGCAATTACATAAATTCTAATAAATATCAAACAATTTCATATCTGCTCAGTCAAGCCTGTGTTTGTGTGCCTAACTTGTGAAAAATTAATTGAGAATTTTCAATGCATGTATTGAGGACATTAACTCTACTCTGATTTCTTCAATGAATTCCTATGTGTGCATTCCTTAAGTACCTTCAGATACTTTTAAACATGGAGTTCTGATGATAGCTTTGCTACCCACTGAAAACAGTGTGAAGGTTCCCAAAAAATTAAAAATAGAACTACCATACGATCCAGCAGTCCCACTTCTGGGTATAGATCCAAAGGAAACGAAATCAGTATGTTGGAGAGATATCTGCACCTTCATGTTCATTGCAGCATTATTCACAGTAGCCAAGATATGGACACAATCTATGTGTCCATTGTAGAAAAATGGATAAAGGAAATGTTTATGCACACACACAAACACACACACACATATTCGTGTGTCTCTGTGTGTATGTGTATGTTTTTATGACTGAATAATCCACTCTATGTGTGTGGTAATATTCTTCACATAGAGTGGAATATTATTCAGCCATAAAAAGAAGGAAATATTGCCATTTGTAACAGCCTGGATGAACCTGGAAGACATCATGCTAAACTAAACAAGCCAGATGCAGAAAGACAAATACTTCATGATCTCAATGATATGTGGAAACTAAAAAATGTCAAACTTGGAGAAGCAAATAATAGAATGGAGGTTACCAGGGGTCCGAAGGTAGAGGAAATGAAGAGATATGCATCAAAGGGTACAGGCTTTCTTTGTAAGATAAACAAGGAGTCAGGGGCAAGATGACCGACTAGAAGCCACCAGAGGGCCCCTCTTCCATGAAGAGGAACCAAAATATCAAGAAACCTTCATAATTCAAACAGATCTTTGGGGAGAAAATACTGAGGGTCAATAGAGGGGACACAGACACCATGGATTAAAAGGGAAGGAGCAAGGCACCCTGCTAATAGTTGCTGGGATCCCCTGGACCCAGACTGGACCGAAGGAGAGGGTGAGTGAAGGAACTTGGGGTTACTACATCCCTGCAATGGACTCCTGAGATTTTAGCTACAGGAGTTCTCATGACCCCCCATAAAGAGTTGTACTGGCAGGGGGAGCTCTCATGACCCCCACAGACAATTGGATTGATAAGGGGAGCTGCTCGGAGACCAAGCAGAGGCCAGCTTGAACCAGCATGGAGCCCAGAAGGCTTTGCTGTGCTGTGCAGATGCAGCATAGTGTGAACATAGGTGCCCATCTCCAAGGCTTTCCACCTTGTACTGAGCAGCTACAACCCCTGCTGTCTGCCAGCTGGGAGAGGGCAGGGCCCAGGACAGGCCCCACTGCCATTGCTGCAGGGCCGAGGTGCATTTGCTCCATGCTCCCCATTACCTGCAGGTCCCTTCCAAGACTGCCTGCCTGGCTGCTCCCAAGGGAGGGTGCCCACAGCACAGTCTCCACTGCCCCACATACAGGAGTGTGATGCGGGTTTGTGTGCCAGAGGAGGAGCAGGGCACTCCTCCCCTCTCAAGACCAGCCTGGGAAGTATGTGGCCTGATAGCCAAGAATTCTCCCTCAAGGAGTCCCATGGCCTGAAACACCTAAAACAGCTTAGCAATCTGAGTGCAAACGGAACAAGACTTAGCAGGTAGGGCCTGCTGCGGGGCAGGGGCTGGACAGAGACCCACCGGGTCAGGGGAGCACTAGCTAGGCAGGCTCCATGGTTGCCTGCTGGGCTGAAAACCCCAGTCTGTGGGCACCATTCTGGTTGTGCAACTGTGGTGCCACTTCCCTGCCCAGTAGTCTTCCACCCCTAAGCCACTGTGTCACCAGACCACGTGCTAATATACCCTATGACCAGGTTTGACTCTGGCAAGCACAGGGAGCCAGTGGGTCACCATGGAGTTGCAGGTCCTGTGGTGTCCTAACCCTCAATGCAGTTGGCCCCTGAAGTGTGAGGGAGTACAGCTCATCAATGTCAGTCTTGAGACAAAGGAAACATGAACATGGCACTAGTCACTGAAGGAAGCACCACCAAAGCTTCTGAATGGGCTTGGAGTCATCTCTTGCTCCTCCTCTTCCCCCTCCAATGCACTGTTGCAAACAAGGCAGTGGCTCTTCCAATTGGGACCTGATAAGCATGTGCTGAAAGAGGCTACTTACTGAGATTCTCCAGCAGCTCCATTGGGGCTGAAGGTGAGGGTGAGCTGGGGGATGGTGCTTTTCAGGCTTCTCTGGCCCTTCAGTGGGCAGTTATTGCTAAGAGCCTACCTATTGGCTCTTACTATCATGCATCACCTATTGGATTACAGTTGAATTACACCACCAAACAGATACTACAAAAAGCAATGCCTGGGAAACCCCCTGCCTACTGGAACCTATCTCCCTACTGGAACATACCCAGAAATGAACCCAACCCATCATACACAACATACACCACAGTCATATCCTAAAGGGACAAAAGAATAAAAAAATAAAAAGCCCCATTCAAACAACAGCAAATTCAAAAATAAAAATAAGTATCAGCTCCCTCTGATAAGAAGGAATCAGTGCAAGAACTCTGGAAATATAAGAAGTCAGAGTGTTTTATCACCTCCAAAGAGTCACACTAGCTCCCTAGCAATGGATCCTAACCAGACTGAAATGTCTGAAATGACAGATACAGAATTCAGAATATAGATGGCAAGAAAACTCAGCGAAATCCAAGAAAGAGTTGAAATCCAACCCAAAGAAGCCAGAAAAGTGATCCAGGATTTGAAAGACAACATAGTTATAATAAGAAAAAAACAGACTTTTGGAATTGAAAATTTTAATGCAGAAATTTCAAAATACAGTTTGAAGCCTTAAAAACAGACTAGACAAAGCAAAAGAAAGAATTTCAGAGCTCAAAGACCAGTCCTTTGAATCAACCCAGTCAAAGATAAATAAGAAAGAATTTTAAAAAATGAACAAAGCTTCCAAGAAATGTGGGATTATGTAAAGCGACCAAACCAACAACTAATTGAAATCCCTGAGAGAGAAGAGAAAGTAAACAACTTGGAACATATATTTGAGGATAAAATCCATGGAAGTTTCACCAATCTTGCTAGAGAAGTAGACCTGCAGATATAAGAAATACAAAAAAAACTCCTGCAAAATTCTCTGCAAGACAACCATAACCAAGCCACATAATCATCAGATTTTCCAAGGTTAACACAAAAGAAAAAAATGTCTTAAAGGCAGCTGAAGAAAAGGACCATGTTAACCAAAAGGGGAAATCTCATCAGACTAACAGCAGACTATTCCGCAGAAATCTTACAAGCCAGATGAGATTGAAGCCTTTTTTCAGCATTCTTTTTTTTTTTTTTTTTTTTTTTTTTTTTTTTTGAGACAGAGTCTCGCTTTGTTGCTCAGGCTGGAGTGCAGTGGCGGAATTTCGGCTCACTGCACCTCCGCCTCCTGGGTTCAAGTGATTCTCATGCCTCAGCCTCCCAGGTAGCTGTGGTTACAAGCATGTGCCACCACGCCTGGCTCATTTTTGTATTTTTAGTAGAGATGGGGTTTCACCATCTTGGCCAGGCTGGTCTCGAACTCCTGACCTCAAGTGATCCACCTGCCTCGGCCTCCCAAAGTGCTGGGATTACAGGCATGAGCCACTGCGCCTAGCCTGTTTTCAGCATTCTTAAAGAAAAGAAACTCCTGCCAAGAATTTCATATCCCACCAAACCATGCTTCGTAAACTAAAGAGAAATAAACTCTTTCCTAGCCAATCAATCATGCAGTCACTAAGGGAATTCATCCCTACAAGACATGCTTAAGGGAATTCTAAACATGGAAGCAAAGGAACAATACTTGCTATGCAAAAGCACACATAACCAGCACTTTGGGAGGCCAAGGCAGGCAGATCACAAGGCCAAGATATCGAGACCATCCTGGCCGACATGGTGAAAAACATCTCTACTAAAAACACGAAAATTAGCTGGGCGTGGTGGTGCACGCCTGTAGTCCCAGCTACTCGGGAGGCTGAGGCAGGAGAATCGCTTGAATCTGGGAGGCAGAGGTTGCAGAGAGCCGAGATCACACCGTTGCCCTCCAGCCTGGGTGACAGAGTGAGACTCTGCCTCAAAAAAAAAAAAAAAAACACACACACACACATAAGTACATATATCAAAGACCCCATAAAGCAACTATACAATCAAGACTACAAAGTAACTCAGTCAACACCGTGACAGGAACAAACCTTCAGATATCAGTATTAACCTTGAATGTAAGTGGCCTAAAAGATCCAACTAAAAAACATAGAGTGGCAAATTGGATTTTTTAAAAGCCCAACCTTCTGCTGTCTTCAAGAGATCCATCTCTCATGTAATAACATCCATAAGCTCAAAGTAAAGGGATAAAGTTCAATCATGCAAATAGAAAATGAAAAAAAGCAGGGGTCATTATTCTTAGATAAAACCAACTTTAAACCAACAACAGTTAAATTGACAAAGAAAAGAATTACATAATGATAAAGGTTTCAATTTTAAAAGAAGGCTTACTGATGCTAAATACATACATACCCAATATGGGAACACCCAGATTTATAAAACAATTATTCTTAGGCCTAAAAAAAGTTTTAGACAGCCACACTATAATAGTGAAGGACTTCCAATGCCACATTGACAACATTAGACAGCATTAGCATTAGCATTAGACTGAGGCAAAAACTAAAAATGACATCTGTATTTAAATACAAGACTTAATCAATTGGACCAATAGACATTTACAGAATATTCCACCCAACAATTACAGAATATACATTCTCTGTTCTGCACATGGAATATACTCTAAGACTGACCACAAGCTGAGTCATAAAGCAAGTCTTAAAAAGTTCAAAAATATTTAAATCATATCACACATCTTCTTAGCCCACAGTAGAATAAAAATAGAAATCAGTACCAAGAGGAATTCTCAAAACTACACAGTTACCTGGAAACTAAATATCTTGCTCAGAATAACTTGGGTCAACAACCAAATTAAACAAGAAATTTAAAATTATTTGGGATCTGGCAAAAGTAATGTTAAGAGGAAAGCTTACAGTGCTAAGCACCTGCATTAAGAAGAAGAAAGAGCTAAAATTAAAAACATAATGTATTACCTAAAGAAATTAGAAAAACAAGAACAAATTAACCTAAAGGTAGCAATTGAAAAGAAATAACAAAAGACAGAGCAGAACTAAACAAAATGGAGACAAAAAAGTCATACCAAGGATCAACAAAATGAAGTTGACTTTTTGAAAGGATAAAAGATTGGTAGACCCACTAACTAGATTAACAAAGAAAACAAAGAGAGAAAATCCAAACAAATGCAATCAGAAATGACAAAGGTGACATTACAAACAATCCCACAGAATACAAAAGATCCTCTGACACTACTGTGAATCTTTATATGCACAAGCTAGAAAATCTAGAGGAAGTGGATAAATTTCTGGAAACACACAACCTCCCAAGATTGAACCAGAAAGAAATAGCAACCTGAACAGAACAATAATGAGTTATGGTATTGAATCAGTAATAAAAAAAAAAAACCTACCAACCAAGGAAAGCCCTGGACCAAATGGACTCGCAGCGAAATCCTACCAGATGTGCAAAGACGAGCTGGTACCAATTCTACTGAAACAATTATAAGACAATAAGAAAGAGGAATTCCATCATAACTTACTCTATGAATCCAATATAAGTCTGATACCAAAATCTGCAAGTGACACATGAAAAAAAAAAAAGAAAGAAAAGAAAGAAAACTACAGGCCAATATCCCTGATGAACATAGATGCAAAAATATTCAATATTCAACAAAATACTAGGAAACTGAATCCAGCAGCACGTAAAAACATAATCCATCACAGTCAAGTGAGCTTTATTCCTGGGATGCAAGGATGATTCAACCTATGTAAGTCAATAAATGTGACTGACCACCTATGCAGAATTAAAGGCAAATGGATTCACAGCCAAATTCTACCAGACATACAAAGAAGAGCTGGTCCAATTATACTGAAATTATTTCAAAAACTCAAGGAAGAGGAACTCCCCCCTAACTTATTCTACAGAGCCAGATATCCCCTGATACCAAAACCTGGCAAAGATACAATGTAAAGAGAAAACTGCAGGCCAATGTCTCTGATGAAGACAAATGCAAAATTCCTCAAGAAAATACTAGCAAACTGAATTCAACAGCATATCAAACAGTTAATTCACCACGATAAATAGGATTTACTCTTGGGACGCAAGGATAGTTCAACATATGCAAATCAATAAATGTATTTCATCACATAAATGGAATTAAAAACAAAATCATATGACCATCTCAATAGATGTTGAAAAAGCTTTCAATAAAATCCAACATCCCTTCAGGATAAAAACCTTCAAGAAAGTAGGCACTGAAAGAACATACATCAAAATAATAAGGGCCACTATGACAAACCCACAGTCAATATCATACTGAATGGGTAAAAGTTGGAAGTATTCCTCCTAAGAATTGGATCATGACAGGATGTCCATCCTCACCACTGCTATTCAACATAGAATAACCCTAAAGATTCTGCCAAAAGACTCATAGACCTGATAAGTGATTTCAGTAAAGTTTCAGGACACAAAATCAAAATATAAAATAAGCAGCATTTCTATCCATCAATAACATTCAAACTGAGAATGAAATAAATAACACAATCCCATCTACAACAGACACACACACAAAAATATCTAGGAAGTCAAATATCTGTACAAGAAGAACTATGAAACATTGCTAAAAGAAATCATAGATGACACAAAAATTGGCAGACATCCCATGCTTGTGGATTGGAAGAATCAATATTGTTAAAATGTCCATACTTCCCAAAGCAATAAACAGATTCAACACAATTTCCGCCAAATCACCAACATCATTCTTCACAGAATTAGAAAAAGAAAACTATTCTAAAATTTCCAAATGGAACAAAAAATAGCTCAAATAGCCAAAGCAATCCTAGGAAACAAGAGCGAAGCCAGAGATATCGCATTACCCAACTTCATAACATAATACAATAATATAATACAAGCCTATGGTAACCAAAACAGCATGATACTGGTACAAAAATAGCTATATAGGCCAATAAAATGGAATAGAAAACATAGAAACAATGCCATACACACCTAGAAGCAACTGATCTTTGGCAAAGTCAAAGAAAAAATGAGCAAAAGACACCCTATTCAATAAATGGTCCTGGGGAAAATGGCTAACAATATGCAAAAGAATTAAACTCTACTCCTATCTTTTACCATTTAGACAGATTAACTCAAGATGGATTAAAGACTTAAATGTAAGATATCAAACTACAAAAATCCTAGAAGAAAAAAAATCCTAGAAGAAAACTTAGGAAAACCTGGACATTGCCCTTGGCAAATAATTTATGACTAAGTCCTCAACAGCAAACATGACAAAAACTGATAATTGAGACCTGCTTAAACCAAAAAGCTTCTGCACAGCACAAGAGATCAAAAGAACAAACAGACAACCTACAGGAGGAGAGAAAATACATGCAAACTCTGCATCTGGCAAATGACTAATTGTCAGAAACTGCAATTAACTTAAAACAAATCAACAAAAGTAATAATTCCATTAAAAAGTGGGCAAAGTATATGAACAGACACTTCTCAAAAGAAGATAGGCCAGGTGCAGTGGTTCATGCTTGTAATCTCAGCACTTTGGGAGGCCAAGGCAGGTGGATCACCTGAGGTCAGGAGTTTGAGACCAGAATGGCCAACATGGTGAAACCCAGTCTCTACTAAAAATACAAAAAAATTAGCCAGCGTGGTGGCACATGCCTGTAATCCCAACTACTTGGGAGGCTGATGCAGGGGAATCACTTAAACCCAAGAGGTGGAGTTTGTAATAAGCCAAGATCGTACCACTGCACTCCAGCCAGGGCAACAGAGCAACTCTGTCTCAAAAAAAAAAAAAAAAAAAAGACATGCAAACATCACACCCAACAAACATATGAAAAATGTTCATCATTACTAATCATCAGAGTACTATACATCACAACCAAGAGATTTTTATTTGATATCAGTCAGAATGGCCACCATCAAAAAGTCAAACAATAACAGATGTGTTGAGGCTACAGAGAACAGAGAATGCTTATACACTGTTTGTAAGAATATAAATTAGTTCAGATACTATGAAAAGCAGTTTGGCGATTTCTCAAATAACTAAAAATAGACTTACCAACCTATCTAGAAATTTAATTACTGGATATATACCCAATGGAAAATAAATTATTCTGTCAAAACGACACCTGCACCCACATGTTTACCCCAGCACTATTCACAGTAGCAAATACATGGAACCAACAAAAATGCCCATCAAGAGTGGATTGGATGAAACAAATGTGGTACATGTACACCATGGAATACTATTGAACCATAAAAAGAATGAAATCACATCTAATGCAGCAAAGTGGATGCAGCTGGAGGCCATTATCCTAAGAAAATTAATGCAGGAACAGAAAACCAAATACCACATGTTCTCACTTATAAGTGGGAGCTAAATATTGGGCACACATGGATATAAAGATGGGAACAATAGACACTTGGGACTGCAAAAGTGGAGAAGACAGGGAGGGTAGCTAGGGTCGATAAACTATCTATTGGGTACTATGTTCACTATTTGGGTGACAGGATCAATAGAAGCCCAAACTTCAGCACCAGCCAAGACTATGCCATTGCACTCCCGCCTGGGCCATAGAGCGAGACTCCATCTCAAAACAATAACAACAACAATAAATAAATAAATAAATAAATAAATAAATAAAGTGCAGAAATTTATTTCTCACAGTTTGAGAGGCTGGGAAGTTCAAGATCAAGGCACTGGGAGGATTTGTGTCAGGTGAGGGCCCATTTCATAGATGACATCTTCTCTTGGAGTCCTCACATGGTGGAAGCATAAGGGCAAAAAGGGCCTAAGCTAATTCCCACCAGCCCTTTGTATAAGGCACTTATCCATTCTTGAGGTCAGAGCCTTAATCACTTCCCAAAAGGCCATTTCACTTCTTAATACCACTACAACACCTCCCACAAGGTACCTTAAAACCACAAGGTTTTAAGTTCCAACATAAGTTTTGGAGGGGCCACGTTCAAACTGTAGCAAATATAAATAGTGAATTATCCTCAGTACACAGTACACAGTGATAAATAGCGAATTTATCCTCAGTACACAACCACTTCGTTTGAGCCAAGGCTACATGTTACTTATACTACAAGCTATTTTTTCATCAGGGCCTGGTATAGTTCTAACAATTCTCCCATGGATGGTAATGGTGACAATTCATAGTAATATTGTGATTTTTCTCACTTCAGCCTTCAAAAGAAGGTAGTGAGAAGAAATTCATCTGCCACGCTCTAGATGGTCATAATCATGCAGAGTGAAATTGGTAGGTATTTTCACAGGCCTATTCCAAAGTGTATGGCAAGGTCTTAGAAAAGAAAACCTTTACATTATTGTATGATTCCATGTATGAAGTGTCCAAAACCAGAGAAAAGTATATTATTGTTACATATACATATATGTTAAAACTATTAAGGTTCAAAAAAAGTTAGTATAATTGTTGGTTGGGATCCTGGAGACTTCGGAGCTTCTGTCAATATATTACTTAACTTGCGTGGTAGTTCAATATGTGCTTTCTGTATAATTTTTTTAAAATTGTACATATACATATATACATGTTTCATGCAATCTGCAATTTTTGTTTGATATTTTACTGGAAAAAATAATAACAGAGACAAAAAACATATGGCTTAATCATTACTTCTTTCCCAACCCCACTTGCTGTAAAGATTAACTAGATCATACATAAACACCCGTGATTTATCTCCACAAGCCCATTATAATATTCCCACCTTATATTTAAGTCTTCTTCATTAGACTGTGAGCTTTTGTTAGGAAGTAATTGTACTTTGTCACTTTCAAACTCTGTAACCTAGAATACAGCATGCCGTCTTGTAGCCCCCCTGAATAAACGCTTCTTTAGAGATTTAATAAATCAAGCAATCATTCAGTTTAAAGGAAACACAGTAATCATGGGTTAGAGGAAAGATTTTAGAGTAAATCTTTAGAGAAATTATTTATCTTCTCTCAGTGTTAATTTTCTTACAGTTAAAATATATATGATACATTTACCTCATGGGATCTGGCAATTTCAAAGGTTAACATATCAAATACAGTAACTATAGAATTATACAAACTATGACATCTTTGAGGGTAAAAGGGGGCATTTAAAGCAATCAAAATTATATAATTTTGAAATACTGATTAGCAAAATACTGTAATATATCATTGGTCTTGTAAAGTTGTGCTATTTAAAAAACATGTTCAAGAAATTACATGTATTTATGCACATGATATGGTTAGGCTTTGTGTCCCCACCCAAATCTCATCTTGAATTGTAATCCTCATAATCTCCACATGCCAAGGGAGACACCAGGTGGAGATAATATCATGGGGGTGGTTTCCTCCATGCTGTACTTATGATAGTGAGGGAATTCTCACAAAATCTGATGGCTTTATAAAGAGCTCTTCCCCCTTCACTTAGCACTTCTCCTTCCTGCTGCCTTGTGAAGAAGATGCCTTGCTTCCCCTTCACTTTCTGCCATGATTGTAAGTTTTTTGAGGCTTCTCCAGCCATGCTGAACTGTGAGTCAACTAGAGCTTTTATTGCTTGGCAAAAATTATGAATTATGTGCTTCTTCAAACCAGTACCAAGTTTTCCAATTTAGTAAGACATGGTTTTTACTTCATTGCCATGCTCTTTCATATATGTATTTGCATTATCACTGCAAACACATATACCTTATCTTAATATGAAATAATTCATTGAATTTATAATAGCACACATACTAATTTCAGAGGTTTCATTTTCAGTGAATAATTCTTTAAAAGTGAATTCTTGATTCTGTGACTTGGAATGGGAAAAAATTAATTGTTGTTAGAATGTGTTGATTTTCTTTTGGAAGCATCTGATGATGCAGATATAAAAGAGTTTGAAAAATTTTCTGTTAATATAATTCATGGCTATTGCATCCATTTTCATACATCTGTGCGTATACATACACACTTTGAACAAAAGATAAGCAACATTAATTTAGAAAAGTATTTAATACACACCAAAAACCATGCAGACAGAATGCTTTATATATGCTTTCTGCAGTAGGCCATGTTAAATCATTGCTACAATCTTCTAAGAATAATTACTAAACTTTAAATTACTGGTTGATGCTTTGTCAGCATTGTCTTGGTTTTTATTTCATCAGTGCAGCCTTTATATTGGTTGATTCATGTCAACAAATATTTTGTCTTAAGTTTTTCATTAAACATACAATTTTGAAAAAATTTGGGCATGTTAATGAAAGAATTCATTACAACATTAAAAATACTAATTGTATGTACATATTTATATAATTATATATATGATTATAGGTCTACATTGCACAATGTGTAACTAAATGACTGTAGTAAGAACGCTTAAAGTGTTCTTTGTAAACCCTACAGCACAGCTGCTCAACCCTTATTTATCATGCATGTTTCATGTATACTTAACTATATTTTCCCATGTTCCTCAATCACTGTGATTACTGGCAAACTAACACCTTCATGATCTTTTAGGCAATACCACATCCTTTTAATTTGAGGGAATGCCTTTACACTGTACTCTTTAGACATTAAAACCTGACTATCTTGGCAGTGCAAATTCTTTGATCTTGATCCTTGGTTACAATGGAGTATCCTGGTTTCTTCTCCCCAGGCCTCTAGATGGGGCTGCTGATCCCTTGTCAGGACTCTTTATTTTCACCTATATCTTACATATGATTCTCAACCTTAAGACTATGGATCATTTTAATGGACAACAAGGGCCTAACTATTTATTTGACCCAAATAATATGACCCAGTACTGGTGGGAGATTGAGGAATATGATGTCCAGCATGTCTCTGTCTCACCTGGAGTCACACTGGCCTAAAAGCTTGTTGCACCAGCTTCAAGTCTGGTTTCCAAACATCCTATAATAACATAAATCCCAAGCCACAGCAATCTGCCTTGCTTCCTTTTCTCTTCACCTCACTGATGAAGGGCTTCCCTAGGGCTGCCTACTTTCCCCCATCCTGCCAACAAGGTATACATACTCTGTGTAGATATTAGATGACTCTCTCGGGCTCAGTCATCATGAAGGGGAGGGAACATTAGTTCTAGGATCGGTTTTTCTTTGTTTACTCTTATCTCTCCAATATCATATCTTCCTGTTTATAAATGCCTTTTTTTTTAAATAGCAAATCTATCCTCTCCATACTTTATTGGGCTTTCCACAGTAGCAAGGAACTTGAGATTTCCTGCATTTGGGCGTGTGTGAAAGTACTACTTAAGGGTACACTTTGCCTGGCTGTCATATTACAATACATTTTTGGTGATGGTTTGCTAAAAATAAGCAGTAAAATGGGGCTTATTTGTGTGGTCTAAGAAAGAAGGAATCTACATGGGAAGTGGCCTGGATATAATAACTGGATTTTTAGCATTTTCACCCCAGGAGTATCGGTATATGGCTGGGCCCTCAGTTGTTTCCTTCCTAACAAAATAAAAGCAGGTCACCAAACAAACCAAACTAAGACAAAAAAAATCTCCTACCAGCACTGGGCATCAGGAGTTAGCAGTCCCTAGACAGTTCATATATAGCTGAGAGCACTTCACTTCATCAGCAAGCATTTTATGCTTCCTTTTAGAGAGGTTTAGTTAATCTTTGTCTATAAAGCAATGTGGGGGAGAGGATGGTTACTATTATTTTATCATTACTAATCAGCTTATGCTTAGAACCACATGTTAAAATAAGAATCCTTTTTACTGCCCAGGTATCTCACATAGGACTGTTTGAAACCACAACAGAAACTCAAAGTACAGTGTGGGAGATGCCAAACCCATTCAAGCTTATTTTAATATAAATGTTAAAAATGAAAAATTTAGAACAAACGGTAAACTAGACAGAATGCAAGGTTAACTTGCAAAAAAAGGCATTCTCTGAGAAAGCACAGTTGTAAAGCTACCTTAAACATAGAATGTCTAATATTTGCCTGGAAAAAAAGCTAGTGCTCTCTTTCTGTTTTTATTTCTTTTTTAAAAAATGATACATAATATTTATGTGTATCTACAGGATACATGTGATATTTTGATAAATGTGTACAATGTGTAATGATCAAATCAGCATAACTAGGGTATCCATCACCTCAACCATTCATCATTCCTTTGTGTTGGAAACATTCCAAATCATCTCTTCTAGCTATTTTGAAATATACTGTAAATTCTTATTACTTATACTCGCCCTACTGTGCTTTGGAACACTGGAACTTATTCCTCTTATCTAACTGTATTTTCTACCCATTAACTAACCTCTCTTCATCTCCTCTTCCCCCTACCCTTCCCAGTTTCTGGTAACCATCATTCTACTCTATCTCTATGAGATCAGATTTTTCTAGTTCCCACATATGAGAACACACAAAATTTGTCCTTCTGTGTCTGTCTTATTTCACTTCACATAAGGTCCTTTAGTTGCATCCACATTGATGCGAATGACGGGATTGGATTCTTTTTATGGCTGAATAATATTGCATTGTGTATACATAACACATTTCTGTATCCATTTATCCAATGATGGACACTAAAGTTGATTAATTATCTTGGCTATTGTTAATAATGCTGCAGTAAACATTGAAGTGCAGATATCTCTTTGATATACTGATTTCCTTTCTTCTAGATACACATCCAAGAGTGGGATTGCTGGAGCCTATGGTAGTTCAATTTTTAGTCTTTTGAGGAAACTTCATACTGTTTTCCATAGTTGCTGTACTAATTCACACTTCTATAAACAGTATACAGGTATTCCCCTTTCTCCACATTCATGCCATCACTTGTCAGTTTCTCTTTATGTCAATAGCCATATGAGGGCATGCAAACGGCCAACAGGTATATGAAAATACGTTCAGTATCGCTAATTATCAAGGAAATGCAAATCAAAAGCACAGTGAGAGCTCATCTTACATCAGTAAAAGTGGCTACTATCTTTTTCTGCTTTCTGTAGATACATGTACATATAATAGTCTTCATTAATTAAAACTAATTTTGACTAACTCTCATTAATACCCCAAAAATGAATACATCAACATATTAAATGACTTGTTTTAAAATATATAATTTGAATTAATATAACTAGGAAGTGAAAACAAGCCTAAATATACAGTTTGATGGCAGACAATTGTAATGGGTGGATGGGTGGATGGATGGATGGATAAATGGATGGGTGGAAGAATGGAAGGAGAAATTGATTCATGGATGGACAGTCTGAGGGGCAGATTAAAAATTAAAGAAAAATATGTTGCTTAGTTTAAAATTCTTCCAGGTATAGAACATGAAACTGCCAGAAAAAGGAGGCCCACAAAGAATAGAGGTGGAATGATATCTGGCAATTCTCAACCTTAGTAAGGATTGTATAACCCTTTTCTGCTGAACACAGCCATAAAGCAAGGTTTGCCATTTGCCAGAAGTTACACCAGTTAAGAATATCACTTTGAATGTTCTAATGTTGCAACGAATTGGCCGTATTTTTTTAAGTTCTTTTCAGCTAATCCTTTCAGCTAGCCTTGAGATCTGCTATGCATCAGAGCTGCCCCATCATGTTTGGGATGTGCAGACAGCTCTCTGAGAGTCTTTGGCAGCAGCCTGTGAATCTGTGCCGAAGAGGGATTGTTTTAAAGTTGCTTTCTCTTTATTTTTGTTGTTGTTTCTCCAAATACTTAGTTTGCAGCAGCATCTGCTATCTCAGCTCAGACTGTCCAAGCAGATGTCCCATTACCTCATGTGATGAGCGAGTTGCTCGAACAAAGCTCCTGCTCCTCCTTGGCAGGTAGTCCTAGACACTTTTTTCAAACTCAGACTGTAAAAATAGCCTGAATCCACCAAGGGATGAAAACTAATGAGAGGCAGTTTTTCTGCAAACTTGGTGAGGAGGATAATGGGCTCCCTCTGAGTCCTCAGTTTTATTAGTATTTCCATTTCAGCAAAATGTGCTTTTGACACAGCTTTCAAATTATCACTGAATTTATCAAGCCCATTTTACTTGAGCTTGATGCTCTTGGTGAAGCTTGGGAGATGACTTCAATATTTCTAAGTATGTAGTGAGTGTGAAATGTGGGCAAACTGTGGTGTCTTCAGTCTTCGTGTCCTGCTGCATATTGTAAGTAAACAAGCAGTGCCCCCGATGCACACACTAGTCACAAGCAGTGGCTCTGCAGTGATGGTGTGGTCTTGCCTACGGATGCTGCTTCTCTAGAAGAAAGGCACAGTAAATGAACACAACGGTAATTTTTCACTTAAACTGATTGTTGAGGAAATAATTTATTACCAACACTTATCTCCTATTTCGATGTAATCCTTTCCCACATAATTCCTTAGAATACTAGGAAGTTAAATATATTTGCTCGTGCATTTGGAGGCAGAGTACTTGGACTTGGGAAATATGGAAACAAGGTCTACTCTCTGTATGCAATGCACTATATAGTTTTACATACAGTATCTCATTACATTGTATACAACCTAATTAAGTTAGATGTTTCTATCTGAACTTCATTAAGGTAGAAACAGATATTAAGTATGATATTAAATATTTCTTACTTATGCAAGTAAGAAACTGGCACAAGTTTATACCTAGAAGGTGGCAGAGAAATATTTAAATATACCTGAATCCAAATTACATTTTCCTTCTACTGTGCTACCAGTGAGGCAAATAATTTTTGGTACAATTTTTATGATCTCTAAGCCTTATTTTTTCCTCTATAAAGTGAGGTAACTTTACAGACTTAATAAAAATACAATCATACATACATGAACATACACCCACAAATGCAAAAAACACAGACACGCACTCACGAATACACTCATATTGCTTAGCACAACCAGAAACATAATAAGTGTTCAATATATGGTAGCTAATTTTGTTTTTGTAGTATTTGCAAAGTGCAAATAACTATTAACGGCTTAACGCTTGTCTATCTTAATGATTATCTGCACTAGGTGGCCTATATAGCACCATTTACCCCAAGTAATACTATTTATTTATTTGTTTAAGCTCGGGTCTCACTCTGTTGCCCAGACTGGCATGCCGTGGTGCAATCATGGTTCACTGTAACCTCGACCTTCCAGGCTCAAGTGATCCTCCTACCTCAGCCTCTCAAGTAGCTGGGACTACAGACATGAGCCACTCTACATATGGCTAAGTTTTTGTTTGTTTGTTTTTGTTGTTGTTGTTTATCTTTTGTAGAGACAGAGTCTCGCTATGTTTCCCAGGCTCGTCTCAAACTCCTGAGCTCAAGTGATCCTCCCACCTCGACCTCTCAAAGTGCTGGAAGTATAGGCATGAGCCACCATGCCCAGCCTTACCCCAAGTAATACCCTAATGATGGTCTTTCTGGTTAAGTGCATGAGCTCTTCGGAACAGGAATGCTCCCTTCTAGAGGACCCACTGGACAGACCACCACAGTGGCCCCTTCACGCTGGGACACCACCAACAATGGGCTTCACAATGACCTGCACGTCATGACACCACTACCAGTGGTTTTCAGCACCGAGGCTCATTTTGTACATATTAACAGTGGTTCCTAGTATGGCTGATAACTTTTATTTTCTACTTTATGTTTCTCTAGCATAGTGGTTTTGATTATAGACCCTTTTACAACTGAATTGTTATAAAATCTTGAACAAGTTATTTAACCATGCTACACTGCAGCTCTTCTTTTAACCTTGATGAAAAAATTACTTACTTACATAAAATGTTTAACATAATAGTACCTCAAACATAACCAGTATTCAATAAATGTTAGCTATTATTTTTGTTTACTTGTATTATCACCACAAATAATAATATTATAATTTAAATAATATTTGTTCCTCTTATAGCTGTGAAAATTTAAAAGCAGGTCAAATACTTATAATACTTAACTTAAAGTTGCCTTAAAAAGGACAGAGAAAAGTATTTTTATTATAGTAAGCGTAACTGAAACATAATTATTTGTAATATTTTAAAATTATATCTTCTGTGGCAAAAGATTGGATCGAAGGCCTAAACATTGCTAGAAGCAACAGAAAAATTAAATAATAGCACACATACTCAATGACGGACATTTTAAAAATTCATCTTATGTGGGAATTTTTCTCCTTTGTTTAGCTACTCAGGGAGTCCTAGAGAGAAAATGAGAAGAAGCGAATGATGGAAGAAGGAAGGACGAAGGGAGAAAAGAAGGGAGAGGGGAAGAAAGGAAGGAAGGAAGCAGTAATGGATCTACAAATAAACTTTTCCTTCCTGTTTTTTGAAGCCTGATGCCTGCCTAAGTGTTTTGCATGATTTGCAACTCTGCCTTCTAGAACTTTAGACCTGGAAGATGTCTGAGTAATAATTCAGTGTATGACAGTGTTTTTATAAAATATAACACAACTGAAGCTCAAGGAACTAATTGATTTTCCAAAGGTATTTGTTTAGGGAAAGGGAAAGAGACATTTGACAGAGTGAAATGATTTGGGGTGGACCTAAGTTTTAAATTATTTTCAAAGTCATATATGTGCATGTTTGTGTCATTGTTTTCAGAGAAAAGAGTGACACACATAGCCAGTTTAAAAATAAATTGTTACACAGACTCTGCTGAGACCTTTGGAGTTAAATTGAGAAAAATATATTTTTTATTCTCAGAGTAAAATAATAAGATACTTACGTAGCTGCCAATAAATCCGTTCAATGCAGAGAACAGTGGGAAGCCAATGTTTTGTGTATTGTTTTGGAATGTCTCTGGGCAGGTTTTCTTCCACATATAGTAATTAGATATATTGTAAAAATTTGTCAGTGGCCAGCAGGGCAATTTCATACTTCAAGAAGATTTTTCAGTTAAAGAAGAAAACAATAAGAATGTAATAGCATTCTCTGTCATTAAGTACACCCAGATATCCCTTTTTGATCTACAGTGTGCTCTTATTGACATACAGTATAATCACAATTTTTAAAAATGACTGCATAAACTGAAGCAAATCATATGAAGTACTTATTTTCTCTCATTGTGGTATGCAAAGAAAAAAACTCTCATCCCCCTCAAAAATAAATAAAAGAGAAATAATCTACTTAGGAGGGTTTTTTACAAAGAATCCTAAACATAAAGAAGTGATTCCACAAATCTCTGTTTCAAGATAAATTTGCTTGATTTGATTTTTGCATTTGAATTACATCTACAATTAGAGCAGAGTTGTAAAGATGAAAAATTTATCTCAGAAAATAGAGCATTTTGATTTTCAGATTACAATGTGCAAGATTGACAGCCTCTATTTTGGCTCATACTAGCTTTTTCCCTAATGCAGTAACAAAAAACATATTTATTTAATGTATGCATTCATATATGCATAAACAAAACATTCTTCCTGTAAGAAGTACAAATAATTTAAAAACTTAAATAGTTTGGTCATGAATATTACTCATTATGAAGTAAGAATATAGCAAAAATTTAAAAAGCAAAACCTTGCACTCAATTAAAAAAAAAGTAAGGCCTTTAAATATTAAATGGTCTGTATCATCTTCTGTAAGAAAAGTAAAAAGATAACGTGGATTAAATAAACAAAAAGATAAACATAGTAAGGATGTAAAAGAGAACAAGATATTGATGAGAATATTTAAGTCCTATAGTCAAAATTAAGAAAGGGAAAAGGCCTGGTTGATTGTTTCATGGCCAATGCATAGTTACAGGACAAGATTTCTAAATAAGCTACATCACTAAGAATAATAAGTCTTGCAAGAAAGGCAGTTGCAAAGAGTTATTTTCTGGTATTTGGTGATAGCAGAAGGTTTTTGTTTTTTGTTTTTTGTTGTTTTGAGATAGAGTCTCGCTCCGTCGCCCAGGCTGGAGTGCAGTGGCGCAATCTCTGTTCACTGCAACCTCCGCCTCCCGGGTTCAAGCGATTCTCCTGCCTCAGCCTCCCAGGTAGCTGGGATTAGAGGCGCCGCCACCATGCCCAGCTAATTTTTGTATTTTTGGTAGAGATGGGGTTTTATCATATTGGTCAGGCTGGTCTCAAACTCCTGACCTCAGGTGATCCACCTTCCTTGGCCTCCCAAAGTGCTGGGATTAGAGGCGTGAGCCACAGCTCCAGGTAGAAAGTTTTTATTTTTGTAACTTGCTGGTATAGTCATGAAAATATTTTGTAACCAGTTACAATACAGAGGTATTTGTCTGCGTGTGTGTATGTGTGTGTGTGTGTCTGTCTGTCTGTCTGTCCGAAAAGAACATAATACTTGTATTTGTATCTGCATATTTAGAATTTTCTTTCATTGGTCCTCCCTATAGCTCAGTATTTGGCCTTCCTGGCATTAAACTGTTTTTTTTTTTTTTTGTAACACACTGTAATAAGCTACCAAAGTTTACCTTTAAAAGTAAACGTGGGTTAAAATAAATTTGACTTGATATCATAGAAATTTGGCAAGACTTTTGTTCAAATTCCAGTTAAGAACTTGCCATCTGGTTGATTCTGGGCTAGTTATATAACCTCTCTGAACTTCATTTTTCTCATATGAAAAGTAAAGATTCTACATAAAAATATAAAGGTTTAGAGCAGTGTATTTCATAAAGTGTATATCATAACGTAGTTTCTCAATAAACAGTTATTGCTATGAGTATTGCTATTACAGCTACCAACATAAAAACTACCACTAATAACAAAATTTTCTGGTTGATCTATGAGTGACAAAGAATATTTTCCTGGGTAAATGTAAGAATTAAGTGATCTAATTTATGTAATATGCCTGAAACTATTAGTTACACAATAAGTTTTATTTATGCTATATCTACTATTAATATTGCTTTCCAATAGTATTTTTCTAAAATCAACACTTTTTTCTCCATGAAAACTCCTCCTGGGAGAAAAGGAAAAACAGGCAAAGTTGTTTGTAAACGATTGTTGAGTGCTCAATATCAGATATGCAGTGACCCTCACTGCTTCTTATTCAGTGTACAATGTCAGATTTCCAGTGTTTCTTCCTTTCCTGGACAATTAATAAATATTAGCTATATTCATATTTCATATTAATATCCAAAAATAATGGCTTTCATATGCATTGTGCCCTGTGATGGTCTCAACTACTTTGGTGATATAAGCAGGTAAATTAGTTTGCTGAAGTTACTGTAACAAATTACCACAGACTTGGTGGCATAAAACAATGGAAATTTATTCTGTCACACAGTTGCACAAGCCAGAAGTCTGAAACAAAGGTGCTGCCAGAGCCACACTGCCTCTGGAGGTTCTAGAGGAGAATCTGTCCCTTCCTCTTTCAGCTTCTCATGCCTCTAGGCATTCACTTGTTTGTGACTTTAGTCTCTGCTTCTTCTTTCATATAAACTTCTCTATATCTGTCTTCTCTTCTGTCACTTATAAGGCCACTTGTTATGGGCTTTTGGACCCATCAAGGGTAATCCGGTATGATCACATCTCAAGATACGCAGCTTAATTACCTCTAAAAATTTCAAATAAGGTCACATTGACAGATTCTGGGAGTTAAACATAGACATATCTGTTCTGGGGACCATCATTCAGTTCACAACAGCAGGTCAGGTAATGCTGCAGAAGGAGATAACTAATCTCCACAGAGTTTTATGAATTTTCGTAGCTTAAGGTATCATGGTTAGTAAGTTGTGGAAATGGGGTTAGAATTCAGGTTGTGATTACTGGATATGCATATATGCTGGGAAAGCATCTTGATCCAAATCAATAGTTAGATGTTGTTTAACTCAAACTTTTGCCAAAGTGATGAATTTATGACATAGTTCTTCTGTAGAATGTCAGAAAATGTCATGGGGAATGGAATCTAAGATTTAATAAGGCTGTAAAACAGTAGGTCATATAAGGTTAGTTGGCGTTCTTTAATACGGAATGTAGAATCTTTTACATTAAAGTACAGCATGACTTTCTGGGAGAAAAAATACTGGATAACACATTTCCCAAACCTATTTAACTCTGGAATAATTATTTTTTCTTTTCAGAGTATCTTTTAAGGTCATTTTCTATAGCACAAAGTTTTGGGACAAGTTGGTCTAATCTAAAAAGAGAAAAAAACTGGATTGTAATTCCTGAACTTTGGAGCCAGGTAGGAAAGAAGTCCACGGTGAGAAAAGATGTGTGGGGGAAGGGCATCCCACTAGAGGCAATTCAACAAATATCTATTGATTGCCTACTCTATTTAGAAAATGCAACCCTCTGAATACAATTGATATCTTCTTATACCTTACAGTGTAGGTATGGGGTCTAAGAAGGTAAAGGCAAAAAAGAATTAAGTTCTTAGAAGAGAGAATGGTGTTTGCCCAGATTCAGAGCTAAGAAAAGCCTCAGTCTAGACAAGGAGAAAAGAATGTAATATTATTATTGATTTGGGAGATTTTTAACAAACCTTACTGTTACATTTTCAAATTCAATTTTATTTATTCTAAAAGGATGAAAAGGAATCCTCACTCTATCTTTGAGCCATTACCCATTTCGGACTGCTGTGCTGTCTCATTCCATCCTGTGCTCCAGGTCATCCTTTACCACATTCCTAAAACTTGTCCCCTTCTTTCTCAACTTCTATTTCTCTCTGATTGTAGTGGGATAGTGTTGTTTAAGTAAAATGCAAGGTCTTTATAAAAATTACTAAGATTTGAATTACAATTTACACTCAAAGTTATCACTGCAATTTTTATATCTATGCAAATTGTTACAAGTAACAGAAAGAAAAAGCCTACTTTTCTGAGGAAATTACAGTTATAAGCATTTTGTTAATATGTTTTTCTTGGTGGTAGCTGGACTGAGAGAGTGACAGTAAGATATAAAGTACGAAGTATGAAAAGTACTAAGAAGAAAATTAAGTGACTTTTTAAAGTCAAACTGTAAATATATGAGTCAACAATCGTTTCTAGTATTATATTTATTATTTTATAATTTTCCAATTCTAAGATAGTCCAGCATGCCTTCTTTTCACATTATTCCACTTCGCTTTTCTTACTTTATTCTCTATTCTATTATCATAGCAACATGACTTAACATCTCCATTTTCTGCTTCCAAACTCATATATGCTGCCGCGGGGCAATTGTGACTTTCCTAGTTTTAGTGTAAGCCAAGACTTTGACATCAATAAGAAAAACTTTGGGCCAAAAAATATTATTCCCTGATGAAAGTACACATCCAAATAATATTTTCCAAAAATTCTAAGCTTGGAATATGAAAAAAAATGCAGAGTAATTTATGGAAAGAAGAATCTCTAGTACTTGACATTGAACATTTTAATTAGAAATGCATATGGACCATATGTTAAAATTTGACTTCCATGTCTATCCAGAGAAACCACAGTATCTACCAGGATATAAGTTGAAAAGAGGGATAAGTTGTCTTTTCATCTTTTAAAAATTCTTTAGAGTCTCAAGAGAAGGAATATACATCCCATGTAGATTTAGGTTGAATTAGTTGGACTTGAACACTATATATTATTTCAAGCTTTCATGTTGCAAGTAAGATACTTTGATTTGTGTCTTCAAGAGGTTGCTGAAGAATGTATAGAACAAGCGTTTCTCATATGCAAAACTTTTATGGAGATACATAATGATATTTCTGCCTATCAAAGTAACACTTAGAAAATTAATAATCCATGCTAATATGTGTGTCAACATAACCACAGAGTAATCATTTAAAGTGCAAAATAATAAACTTTTTCATGAGTATCATAGCAAAAATTACTGACTTCTATAACACTTTAAAATGTGAATTCTGTCAAATCAACCTTTTATCTATATAATAATGTGCCAATCAGGAAGCAGTGATGGGAAGGGCATCAGCTTGGGTCCTGGCAGAGACTTCAAGGTGGGTGACTTTGATATAATCTTTAAAAACTCTGAGATTCTAATTTGTCATCTTCAAGATTAGGATGTTATTTATAGCCATTTGCCAGGGTTTCTTTCTTCTAAAAATTTAACCAGTTTATGGATATAAAATCATTTGTCATAGCTCTCTATATGATGACTATTGACCACTACTTGCACCAGAATGATCTAGAGTGGGTGTTAAGAATGCCGATTCCTGAGTCCCACAGCAAACCTACTAAATGGAAGTTTTGAGAAGTGGTTTCAGGACATCTGCATTTTATATAGCCACTTCAGTATAGCACTCTTCCCTGTACTAAAGTTTGATAACCACTAATATACAGTGAATTATTTTAATAGTTATGCAGTACTCTATTTTCAGTATTACTTTATAAGTTGAATTAGTAATAAAAAATAGCTTTTATTTGTATAGGGATTCATGATTATAGATTTGAAGTTATTTTCTTCATGCCAGGAACATCTTTCCGTTTCACTCTAGAATAGAAATTTCAAAGAGGAAACAGACTACAGATTCCTGAAGTCCCTTATCAATATTTGCATCATCAAATTAGGAACAAATGTTAGAATAATAGAAATTCAAGCGAGAAAGATTCTGTTTTTGGAATCTTGTAGTAATTGTCAGATAAAATAATATTTTATATGTATTATAAAACTTTTGATGTTGAATGTTGAATGTTCCCATTGTGGTGCAAATCAATATGGATTATGGCACAGTATGAGATTTTTTAAAAAATGAGTGAACATGAAACAAGGAAGTCATACCAAGCAAAAAACAGACTCTCATTCATGTTATTTGAGTAAATGTTTTAGTGAAGCAATAGATCTCCAAAAATTATTTTATATTAATGAGAGTTTGCATTGTATGCATTTTATAGCTAGCATAAGGATAAGGTTGTAAGGTCCTAATCAGGGAAATTAGGCAATGGTTTTCCATAGTGTTTCTGTCTTTGCTCTGGACAAACAAGGATATTTTATGTCAAATACTCTTCAGGGACCTTCTATATTGTCATGAAATATCAAGGAACTCGTTAGTTAGGTAATTGGTCATAGTCTTTGATTTCCAAAGTCCCGTAATAAGAAGATAAACAAGTTGGGGGTTACCTATATAACAAACATGATAAAATATGTTCATATATTAACATACTGGGGAGGAGGTGGGAGAGCAGCTTGCAAAGGAAGACTGCATGTAAAGTTACTACACAAGTGTGGGGTTAGGGGAAGACCAGTGGGAGAAACCTGATAGATTTGGTTAAGTTGCTAGAAGGGTAAGGCCATGATGTCAAAATGAGCTATAGTCATATGGCATGTGACACCTGCTTGGCCCTCACCTACAAACAGGCACAGGAACACATGCCCAAGGACACAGGTATGTACTAGAGTGGAACTCACGCATTTTTGGAGTCAATGTGTTGAGAGGCTGTGATAGATACAAAAGACTCGTGCCTACTGATGATGCCCAATAATCTTTTCTTTTTATTTTCTTCTTTTTTTTTTCCTTTTGAGACTGAGTCTCCCTCTGTCTCCCCAGCTGGAGTGCAGTTGCATAATCTTGGCTCACTGCAACCTCTGCTTCCCGAGTTCAAGCGATTCTCCTGCCTCAGCTCAGCCTCCCCAGTAGCTGGGATTACAGGTGCTGGCCACCACATCTGGCTAACTTTTTTTTTTGTATTTTTAGTAGAGATGGGGTTTCACCATGTTGGCCAGGCTAGTTTTGAACTCTTGACCTTAAGTGATCCACCCGTCTCGGCCTCCCAAAGTGCTGGGATTACAAACAGACATGAGCCACCACACCCCACCCAACAATTTTTTTCTATGCACCTCCCACTTGAAAGACCTGGGACCTAGAGGGGAAAGCTATTTTCCTTCTTGGCAGAAAGAGGTTCAAGAATACTCAAGACTCAGCACAGGGATTAAGATCCTAAAACACACTGGGAGTGGCGTGAACAGTAACCCAAGACCCCTAAATACATACTTTACAAGGAGAGAAGCACCGTGAGTAGAGAGCAGTGAGACTTCTGCGCATGTGTGGTGCCTTCAGAATCCACCTCTTACATCTCCTACTCTGAGGAGAAAAATTAAGCAGTGTCCCCAACCACTGTGCTCTGAAATTCATCATCTGCACCCAGGAAATGTGCCTGTCACAGGAACTTCCGGACGATGACACACTGTACAAGGGATAATCATACAGGCCTCCTGGGAGAAGCAGGGCTCCTCTGAAGGGTGAATTTGACTTAACTCTCTGTTGTCTCTTCTAAAACTGTCTTAGAGCTACCCTGCAGTCTAAGGCTTTCCTTCCTCTCCACTCTCCTTCGCAGGGTTCAGGCCTACAACATGGCCCGACCTGGTCAAACCTCTTCTGGCTCCTTCTCTACTTTCTCTCACAAGCATTTCTCCTCAATAAATACCATAGACATTTAATCGTGTCTTGGCATCTGCCTTTTGAGAACCTGGGCCAACATAGTGCTAGCAAAAGAGATCCAAGAAAGTAGATAGTAAGATGGGGATTTGGAACTGGCACAGTCACTATTCAACTGTCAAGAGGATTCCAATCTGGTTGGTAGGTAGGGCATAGATAGTACTTAGCACCAGGTGCAGCTCAGTGGCTAGAGATCTCACTGGTGGTGACCTGAAAATATGTCCTGGTGATGGGAAATGAAGTGGCTGATGCAATGATTCAGACATTGTAAAGATACAGTGTTTGAGGGGCAAACAATGCCTTCAAAAACACATCAGTTAGCTGGTTATAGCTAAATCGCTCAATTATAGTGATAACCTACAGAGAGATGACAGACCAGGGACTACTAACAAGTAGTTAATGACTGAGTTGGAAAGTCAAGCAACAGAGAGACCTTTATCACCTGTAGTGCAGCGGGAGAAATAGCTGAGAGACAGGCTGAACGAATAATTGTAGCAGTCAGGATCCAAAAAATTTTGAATGCTCAGCCAAGGTGGGTGTTTTATGCAAAGACCAGGGCCTTGGTGAGGAAAATATAGGATCCTCCAACATGAAATGAAGAGATCTAGGTGAATGCACCTAGAGATGTTAGCTCTGCAGACCCCCAAAACCCCTCTGAATTTGAAGAGGTAGCCCACCTTCGCTAATATGAGCTAGAGTTTCTATCACCATAGAAGAGGCTGCAGAATGACACACCCCTCCCCCACCTGCCATGTAACGGGTGAATCTCACAGGAGCTACCCTCATTACCTCTTCCAGCAGCCACCAGGGCCATATCACTGTAGGGTAAATGCCCCTGATGGCAATAACTTAATCATATCCTTAGAATGACCTTGTATGGCAGACGCACCTGAATGTGTGTCCCAAGCTAGGGAATCTGGGTGTGGCCAACCCAGAGATTTGTTCCTCATGTATGAGGAACATCTGACACCCCCCGCCTCCCAGGTTTCTGTGGAACACAAGCTGCACAGGAGAGTGAGGTCCTGAGTTTTGGGTTGGATGAAGGTTGCCAGGTGGAGGTTATTACAGGGAAGGCGTTAAGTGAAAATGTTGTATAAACTGCTTGCTATTGGCAAGCGGTTGCAGCTTTCCTGACCAGTCTGCGGGCACTGGACTGTAGGAAGGTAGATATGTTGTCCAGCCCATGGCCCCTGGACTGGAGGGACAGAGGTGGTTCTCCTGTTCCACCCACTGCCACTGGACTTTCTCCCCTGTATGTAATCCCCCAGTAAAACCCCATGTCTCATTTGCTCGCTCTGGTCTCTTCTTGGGCCTCTTGAACCTGGTACCTTCCCTATTCATGTTAATAAACGTTCAGCACAACAATCTCTCTCCAACCTGGCCAGAGAGGTGCTGGCCTCATAAGTGATAATGAAACAGACTATATGACAAAAGAGTTGCAAGAATTAGCTTGTTTATACAGGTAAGATTCAGAAAACAAAAACAACCCCCAGGTTAGAATTTGAGCAGACTTGACTAAGGGGGCTTGAGTGTAAGACTAGATAAGCAAGAATTTTTTTCAGTTTGGATTATTTCTTGGGGATGCAGAATTTAACAACTTAGTGTTCAGAAGATGAAGCAAACTTCATCTTACGGTAGTTTTTAGCATCTTAGGAAAGCAAAGGCCTACGCTCAGTGAGTGAGAACACCTGAGCTACCCTAACAGCTAACAGAGAAAGGAACAAAGAGGCTGAGGTCATTTGTTATGCTAGAATGGATATATTACCAAAGGCAAGAGACCCACCTGAAGGCTAGGTTCCACAGGAACGGTGCAAGGTTCTATCATTCACCAATGACATTAGGTATGCTCTGTTGAAAGGAGGACCAGTATCATCAAGACGTTCAGTTGTAGCTCCCCTCTTCAGGCCAGTGCTGAAGATAGTCACAGCTGTCACAGAGCTGAGCTCATTAACATCCATGAGGATGATTCCCCCACCAATAGAAGCCAGGTGACAGTGTATAATCACCAGAAGCCAGGAGACTGCAATTACAATAATTACAGGCAAGGCCATGGAACCAGCTAAGGAGGCTTTTTCCTCACAGAGTTATGGAAATGGTTAATAGAGCATAACATCTCCAGGGGCAAAAGAGATGAATAGCTAAGAAGTATGCTGCTTAACATCTATGACCAAAAAAGGAAATAATGGAGGAGCAGAGGGATGAGGGCAATTGCTCCAATAAAAAGTAATGAGATCTTGCTAGTTTCTCAGGCCTGAGCCAGTTTTCAAATCTGGATCCCATTGACTAACAGAGTGGCCTGGTCCCTTGTAAGAGGACTTTGCAGCATCGTGGCAATTACATACTGTAATGACTCCCCCAGTCCTTCCCAAGGGGAGCTGTGTCCATTTACTTGGGTCACTGTACACTGAAGTAAGAGGAATATTAAAACAGCTGGAGAACTGGGGCCTGAGTTGACATTAAGCCATCATCACAGCTTCTTACTGGAGTGGGGGTTTATTGGAACCCTATGATAAATAGAGTCCTGTCTAAAAATCCAACTCACAGTAGACAAGGGGGACTTACTAACTGTTCAGTTATCCAGTGCTCAAGTGTACAATTGGAATTGTTATATTTTGCAGTTAGAACAACCCCTCACATACTTAGCCTACAGGGAAGAGTATTCTTAGGAGGTATGACAAAGTGGAAACCCATAAAATTGCCCTTCCCTAACCAGGATAGTAAATGAAATAAAACATTACATATCTGGAGTGAAGAGGAAGGTAGGATGGCAGAAATTAGCACCACATTTAATAACCTAAAGAATTCAAGGTCAATGATCCCAATGTTATCTCCATTTAATTTGCTACTCGGCCCCCTAGAGAAACTATATGTACCCTTCAGTATCATTTTAGACTACTGCAGGCTTAATCAAGCAGTATCTTGAAACACTGCTATTTTTTAAATATAATTTCCTCGCTAGAACCAAAAAATGAAGTCTCAGTTATATGATATATGACCATCAGCTCACATCCAAGTGGACTGAACAAAAATATTCATTTACAGTTTGCTCAGGGCTGTGTTAATGATCTGCCCTCTGACACAAAACAGTGCCCAAAGATGTGGACCACCTGAATAACCCCAGAGTATCACATTGATCAGTTATATTGATGACATCATGCCAATTGAGCAGAACAATCAAGAGATGGCTAACACACTGGAGAACCTGGCAAGACCTGTGTGCTTCATGAATTGAATGTTAAGACCTATGATGATTCAGGGGCATGCCACTTTAGTAAAAGTCCAAGGGTGCAATAGTCAGAGGCCTGGCTGGATATATCTTCCAAAATAAGAGGCACATTATTGCATCTTATATCCCCTGCAGAAAGAAGGAAGCACTGTCTCATTGGCCTCTTTGAATCCCAAAATATCATATTCCACACCTAAGAATACTGCTCCAGCCCATATACCAGGTGATATGGGAATTTCCAACTTTTAGCTGGTCTAGGAGCAGTGCAGGACTCTTCAGTTGCTCAAAGAGGCACTGCAAGCCATCCTGTTACTTGGACCAAACAATTGAGCAGACTCTTACTGTGTGCAGATTTCGTTAGTGGAAAAGGACACAGTATGGAGCTTATGATGAACAGCAGTGAGAGGACCACAATGCAGATCCCTGGAAATCTGGAGCAAGACCATGCTATCCATTCAAGGAAATGATATGCCTTGTAAGAAACAGGCATGCAATGGATCCTTACTAGAGATGAATGTATGAAAACAGGCAAGCTTTCCCTCCCAAGTCATATATGGTCAGAGGGTCCCAGCAGTTCATCATAAAATGGAAATGCTATATCCATGATTGAATCCAAGCCATATTTAATATTAGATTTTGATTGAGGTTAAAAGTTACCTTTCTAATTTTCTCCTATAGGCAACAAATAACATTACACGATTTTTCTTTTTGATAAAGATCAGCTTATTATCCTTTAGGAGCAAGTGTAAAATGCAACCAAATCAATTAATCTTAGCAAACCTTAAAAACAACTAATAAGGTATTCACATGGTACAAAAGAATGTTATTCTAGCATCAAGAGTTTAAAGTAAGAAATTTCCTCTAAATTTTGAAAATGATATTTTCATGTTTTTAGTTAACTTTTAATCTTATTTTAATATTCTAGAAGTATGCTTATTGATAAATTATTTATGTAAATATTAATGCTTAAACATTTTAATATTTAAAATATTAAATAATTTATCTTTAAGTATGCTTAAGATAAATTATTTTTACAAATTATAAATTATAATATGTAGGGCTTTTTTGTAGTATGCATTGACAAAATATGCTAGAAAAATATTGTCAAAACTTGTATGTTTATTGCAGCACTATTCACAATAGCAAAGACATGGAACCAACCTAAGTTTCTATCAACAGTTGATTGGATAAAGAAAATATGGTATATACACATTATGAAATATTCAGTCATAAAAAAGAATGAAATCATGTCCTTTGCAGCAACATAGATGGAGCTGAAGGCCATTATCCTAACTGAATTAACTCAGAAATAGAAAAATCAAATAGCACATGTTCTCACTTATAAGTGGGAGCTAAACAATACGTACCTATGGGCATAAAGAGAGAAATAATAGACATTGGAGACTCCAAAAGGGGGCGAGAGTTGAAAAATTACTTCTTGGGTAAAGTGTTCAATATTTGGGTGCTGGTTCACAAGAAGCCCGATCCTTGCCATTATGCAGTATAGCCATATCACAAACATTCACATGTACCCCTCGAATTAAAAAAAAAAAACTGCCAAAGTATTTGTCAACACTTACAACACATACTATAATACTAGTATATATAATTCTTACCACATTGTTTTAAATGGACAGATTTGCAAATTTGGTAATTTACACCATCTCACAATAGCTCTATTATGTACTTTTTTAAAGAGAAATAATTCTCCAAGAGTAAAGTAATGTAAACATTCATTTCTTACAACAATATACAATAAAATATTATGCAACTATCTCAAAACATGTTTTCAAATAAATGGCAGGAATAACTCTCATGAAACAATCTCAAATTAGAATAACCTAAATTTACAATGTAATACAATTATATTTTGTTCAAATGCCTCTCTTTTCCATATATTCTACAGTGAGTATAATTTTTTAATGTGAAAAATTCATATACTAGAAATACATGTATTATGTATAAATATATATTATAGATAAATATAAGATGAATAAATTTATTCAAAGCTACTATAGAATTATTCATATGTCATAAGGTTTTATTCCCTATTTAGAACCTGATAAGACAGAAAATGACATGTCTTTCTTCATTGTAGTTGTATCAATTATCCATTTTGTTCAAGTGGTCTTCATATAATAATATAAAATATATACGGTAATAATGATGCTATATATATTTACTCAAACAGAAACCTTGTGCCAAGAACACACAAAGCATCGTGATCACATTAAAGACAGCACTGAGAAACTGAGAACCCATTAGTAAAAATATAGACTTTCTTTTTTTTTTTTTTTTTTTTTTTTTTTGAGACAGAGTCTCGCTCTTTCGCCCAGGCTGGAGTGCAGTGGCGTGATCTCGGCTCACTGCAAGCTCCGCCTTCCGGGTTCACGCCATTCTCCTGCCTCAGCCTCTCGAGTAGCTGAGACTACAGGCGCCTGCCGTCGCGCCCGACTTATTTTTTGTATTTTTAGTTGAGACGGAGTTTCACCGTGTTAGCCAGGATGGTCTCGATCTCCTGACCTCGTGATCCGCCCGCCTCGGCCTCCCAAAGTGCTGGGATTACAGGCGTGAGCCCCGGCGCCCGGCCGTAAAAATGTTGACTTTCTGAAAATTCCTGTTCAAACACAAAACGCCATAAATGGAGCCAATGTCCAGAGAATGAAATGTTATATGTAATTCATTTTTCTCACATATAAGACTATATATATATATATAAAATATATAAAACATATATATATATATCTTGCAGATCTCTGCTTAAAATGTTCAGTACTTTTGACTTTTATACTTATGTAATACAATTGTAATGACTTTTATTACCCTTGTCTATTAATTCTAATATCTTTGTCAGTTTTATATTATTTTGGAGTGATTAATTTTTCTCCTTAGCATAGTTCATATTTTCCTACTTTTTTGCATGCCCAGTAATTTTGTTGGATGCCAGACATTGTAAATTTTACCTTGTTTGGTGCTAAATAGTTTTTATTTTCCAGTAAATATTCTTGAGTTGTATTCTGGGACACAGTTAGCTTACTTGGAACAGTTTGATTCTTTCTGGTATTTCCTTTAAAATTAGTTTGATGGAACTACAGCAGCATTTACTCTTAAGGCTAATTATTTCCCTTTAATGAGGTGTTATGAGTTTGTGTCCCCCTCAAAAAGATTTATTGGAAGTTCTAACACCTAGTACCTCCTAACGTGACCTTATTTGGAAGTAGTGTATTTGCATATTTAACCATGTTAAGATGAAGTCATTAGAGTGGGCCCTAAGCCAGCCTGACTGGTGTCCTTATGAAAAGGGGAAGTGTGGACATAGACATACAAAGGGCTAAGGTGGCCATGTGAAGATGGACGTAGAGATAGGAGTTATGCTGCCACAAGCCAAGGAACGCCTGAGACCACCAGAAGTTATGAAAGAGATATGGAATAGATTCTCCCTCATAACCCTCAAAAGGTTGTCAACACATTCATTCTAGACTTCTGACCTCCAGAACTGTAAAACAATAAATTTCTGTTGTTTAAGCCACCCAGTTTGTGGCACTTTGTTACTGCAGGCCTAGGAAGCTACACGTGAAGCAAGGCTTTCTGAGCATTCTACCCAATGCCCTGTGAACAGTTAGTTTTTTTCAGTCTGACTATGGCAATGGGCCATATCCTTAGCTGTCTGTGAGGTCTGACTACTGTTGCCTCAAATCCTTTGAGGTGGTTCTTTCCATAGCCTTGAGTAGTTTCCTCTCATGCATGCCAAATATTTAGATCAGTATTTGCAAATTGGCAGATCAGTATTCTGCCAAATATTCCAGAGTTCTCTTTGCAGACCTCAAAGTTTTCTCTGTGTAGTTCTTTTCTCTGAGGTACTTTGTTCTGCAAACCGTAGCAATCTTGGTCTCCCACTAAGTCTCACATCTGCATCCTTAACTGATAGAGTCCACTGTTCTCCATCTGGTTCCCCTCAGTACTACAGCCTGGTAAATCTCTCAAGACTGAAAGCTCAAGGTGAGTAATTGTAGGGCTCACCCCATCATCTCTCAATGATTACTGTCTTTCCTTCCCTCATGTCCAGTTTCTTGAAAACTACTGTTTTATATATTTGGTCTAGTTTTCTTCGTTGTTTCAGCTGTGAGGGTAAATCTCACATATGTAGTATTTGTTTTTATTACTGGCATATTTTTATAAGTTTTCTGCAGTAATTTCCCACACAGTGTACAGAATGAAATCGTAAACATATACTTCAGTACACATCACTGCTTTACTTTAGTAGAGTACAAATAAAATCCAAAATCTATCTTATGTATATAAATTATCTTTCATGGTCCGGTCTATGCCTATTTATATTTGACTGTATTTCTTCTTCAGTGGCTATGCATCAGCTCACTGGTCTTTCATTTCCTCACATGCACAAGGATGTTTATCTTTGGAGCATATATGCTTGCAATTCTCTAGGCCTGGAATGCTTCTCCTAGATTTTCCCATGTGTACCTGCCTTTCATTTCACAGGTCTTAGCCCAAATATCTACTCAGAAAAGCTTTCCCTGAGCTTGTCTAACCTAGCATAACTACCTAGCGTCTCTATTACGCTGTTTTGTTTTTTATATAGGTTGGGCATCCCAAATCTGAGAATGTGAAATGTCAAATGCTCCAGAATCTGAAACTTTTTGGGCATTGACTTGATGCCCATTGGAGGAAATGCTCATTAGAGTATTTCTGATTTCAGATTTTTGGATTTGTAAACATAAGTGCACATATTCCAAATCCAAAAAAATCCAAAATATGAAACACTTATGATCCCAAGCATTTTCGATAAGAGATATTCAGCCTGTACCATGTTTCACCATCTGTAGTATTATATTTAGTTAGCTTCCCATGTTCCCTTAAAATATAATTTCACTTTCTTATTTGTAGCTATTTCTCCAGGGTATAGATCAGTGTCTGTTGCATAGTAGTGCTCATTAAATTCTTTTGGACACTGGGTAAAATATTTTTAAAAAAATAATGTATGCAGCTAAAATATAAAATAATGCATTCATCTTCCATTCCCCTGAGTTATTAATAAGTTAATGATGTTTTGCTTTATCCATATTTGTAATTTAGAAAGGTAACCTTCACACTTAGGAGCGTTTGATATTGCACACCCTTACACAAAGTGATATGTTGTTACTGTTAAAATAGTTAAGTTTATGTTATCTGCTTATATGTTAGTGGGAAAAAATAAGTTAGCATCCATGTTCTATAAGAACTAAAAATAAAGTTCTCTTTTGCCCTATCTTAAATTGTGTGTCTGGCATTAAATGAAAGAATGGAATATTCAGAAACTTCAGATTTATATAATAGTATTTACTATTCCCATTATCAATCATTTCTATAACTAAAGTTTCTAGTAGTTCTCTAATAGCAAACCAATCTTCAAATGTGACATTTAAGGAAATATAGTTATATGCTTTAGCTGCAGCTCTAAAAATTATAATTATTGAAAAACCTCAAGCAATTTATTAAATGAAATCATTAGCATTATATAACTATAGCTACACAATATCAGTCTTAGAAAAACATTATTCTCATATAAATAATATAAATAATATAAATATGACACAAGAAAATAAGGAAGAACCGTGTATGTAAAACACATGTAAAAACGTGCTTCTAGACGAAAATTTCAGTTGAAAGAATCTTTTAATATAGAATAATGGTGTTTGTAGTGGTAGAAGGAAAAGGTGCTATATCTCTTTATGCAAATCACATTTCACAATGTGGACAGGCACCAATAAAATAAGTTTTGTTTAAACTCCTAGTATAAAGTAATGCTAATGGGTCATTTTTAAAAACATATGATAATTTCTGACACTACACACTCCAAAAAGCTTTTCATTACAACCACCCAGGGTCTTCTTTGTCCTCAGGCTTTGCCCAGCATCTGAATTGAATGTACGGTGCATAACTTCTATATGTTGAATTTTGCATGTATCATGGTTAGCAATAAGTAGATCTATATCCACTGATAATTTCACTGTATATCTTCACATTTGATTGTTTTCTCAGGAAATAATTTACTTTTTCACAGGAGATGGAAATATTTCTTGTAGACAGATAATAATATTCATAGTTGATAAATATTGCAACTGGAGTTTTAGAAAGGAACAGTCCAGGTGGAAACTTATTAGATGTATGAACATGCATGAATAAAAAGGCATTATATATTTTTTATACATACACACACGTATATATGCAGTATCAATATTTATGCGTTTATCTCACAATATGGGTTTAAATAAATTCTATGATTAATTATGTTCAAAACATAATTATCATTCTTCATTTTCCAACTGCTGCTTATTCCTGTCTAGAATCAATTAATGGCAATTCAAAAACATGTTTAAACATTAAAAAAAATTCTGTTTATAAACATAGTGCCAAGTAAGTACCTTTCTGTGTTAACTTTTACCCAAATATTCAGCTGTTACTAAACTCAATTTAAGGGACTGGGTCTCTAATGTAATCAATTGGCATAAAGAATGCCATCTTTCCATGCTCAAGTTTTGCAGTTATTGAGAAATAAGTCCAGAGTAAGGCAAACGGCAGTCCAAATTATCACAATTACAGGTTAAGTTGATCTTTGTGAAAGAGTCTAATTGCTGTGGGCAAGTGTGTTTCTTAATAGTGACTGCTGAATTAAATATGCTTACTCATATAAGTAAGTGGCTTGAAAACCACTGCCTTCCCTGACTAAATGATCAGGAACAATGAAAAATATTTTCTATGTGGGCAGGCCCATTCCCAAGAAGGACAAAGAGGAAGGAGCTAGGCTACATAAAGGTTTGAGCTGATGAACAGCCTAAGACACAGGACAACCCTCTCCGCTTAGGGACACAGGAACACTTCATCTCTGACTCTTCCGTATCCTAGGATACTTCCTTATCCTCATGGTCAAAGATGGCTTATCAACACCACATTTTCATTTTAACTTACTGGAATGAGAAATGAAGGGCAAGCAGGTTCCTTTGGATGATATGATTCAGAATTTACATACATCATTTTATTAACCTCTTTTTGTTACAGTTTATTCACATGGCCACAAAGAGCCATAAAGGAGGCTGGGTGGGCTTTCCAATTTATTTTATGAGAATTAAGGAATAGAATTTAGTTCTATGTTAATATATACCTCATAATTTAGATTAGCCACTATTCTATCATTATATATATATATGTGTATATATATGTATACATACGTATATATGTGTATATATGTATACATACGTATATATGTGTATATATATGTATATATACATATATATGTGTATATATACGTATATATGTATGTATATGTGTATATATGTGTATATATATGTATATATATAATTTTGGTTATGTTAAAGGTTATCAGATAGAAGTACACTTTTAAAACAATCAATTAGGTTACAACGTGTAAACTTCAAGCTCAGATAGCAAAGGATAACACATTTTCTGAATCAATTGTTTTCCTAAATTTCATTTAACAGATAGTAAGAGTTTAGATATAGAAGAATATCCTCACCAAGGCACTAAAACCTATTACATTTTAGAAAATGAGACTTGGAAGAGAGCGTTTGGATCATGAAGGATACCTGTGATTCGATTCCACAAGAAATTTACAGTCTTAATTTCTAAGGTGCTGGACACTGTATGATTTCTTCCAGGTCTATAGCTTGAGCTCTTTTGTATTTGCCTGCTTCCTTAATGTTGGTTTTCTTGACAGGTTCCATCACCAGGTCACTTCCCATTACTCTGTACATATGCTTCCCTTGGAATGTCTTCCACTTTCCTGTTAGCAGTCACCATCTGTATATTAATATATAGTCATGCACCACATAATGACGTTTCAGTCAACAATGGACCACATATGACAGTGGTACCATAAGATATTATGGAGACCAGGTGTGGTGGCTCACACCTGTAATCCCAGCATTTAGGAAAGCAAAGGCAAAAGGATAACTTGAGCCCAGGAGTTTGAGACCAGCCTGGGCAACATAGTGAGACACAGTTCTCCACAAAAAGGAGGAAAAAAAAAAGATATAATGGAGCTGAAAAATTTCTATCACCTAGTGATACCTTGATAATCTGGGCCCTGTGTAGGCCTAGGCTAATGTGCATCTTTGTGTCTTAGTTTTTAACAGAAATTTTAAAAATTAACAAAAAGTTATAAAAACTTATAGAATAAGGACATAAAGAAAGAAGATATTTTTGTGCAGCTGAACAATGTGTTTGTGTTTTAAGCTAAGGATTATTACAAAGGAGTCAAAAAGAAATTTAATGTTTATATAAAGTAAAAAAATTACAGTAAGCTAAGATTAATTTATTATTGAAGAAATTTTTTCATAAATTTACTGTAACCTAAGTGTGCAGTGTTTATAAGGTTTACTATAGTATACAGTAATATCTAGGCCTCCACATTCCCTTACCACTCACCCACTGACTCACCCACAGCAACTTCCAATTCTGCAAGCTCCATTCATGGCAAGTATTCTGCACAGGTGTACTATTTTTTATGTTTTATGCCATACTTTTACTGTATATTTTTCTCTAGTTTGTATACACAAATACTTACCATTATGTTACAATTGGCTACAGTACAGTACAGTGAGATGCTACACAGGTTTGTAGCCCGGTAGCAATAGGCTATACCATCTAGCTTAGGTGTGTAGTAGGCTATACCATCTCGATGTGTGTAAGTACACTCTGATTTTCCCACAATGACTAAATCACCTAAAGATCTATTTATCAGAATCATTCCCTGATCATTAAACAACGCCTGAGTATATGATGCCTGGTAAAAACTCGAAAAGTAGACCAGAAACTTTTGCTTCCATAGTTAAAGAGATAAAATCACCCAGAATCAGAATGTATATCATTATGTGACATTCGAGTGGTCCTCATTAATTACATAAATATTAGCCAACCAAGAATCTATTGCCTGCATATATGTTTTTTGAATCTACCTGTTTTCCTATGCTTCCTGATATAGCTAAGCTTAGTTTACTTATCATCCCATGTATAATTTATAACTCTATAAAGAGACTTTTTAAATCACCATTTCAATTTTACTAATGATGAAATTAAGGTACAGTAATAACAGTAATCCATGTCACATGCTTAGAGATTAGAAAGGCCTGGATTTCACATCAAGCAGTGATATCCCACAGCCCATATTCTATAGCCTATTCTGTGTTTTATCTCCTGCAACTCCCTAAAGCCCTTCATCATCTGTCACTTCTACCATAGCAACGGATTCCTTCTGTCTTGTCCTTCACCTGTGGTATCAAATAAAACCCAACCAAATTCATGCTAATTACTACCCATGAATAATAATAGAAATTATGATTTCTCAAAAGTCTGAGCTTTCCAGTGTCTATCCCTGACCACATCTCCAGCTCTATCTTTGACAAGTCCATGCCCTAGACTTTTTACTCCAACAGTATCGGACTGCTTGTAATTCTCTCTTCACCACGTTCTTCCTTTTTATTTTTGCTCAGGTTTTATCCTCTGCCTAAAGATTGTTCCTTTCCCGTATTACCACCATTATTTACTTGAATAACTTAGCCATTCTTTGAGGTACAGTTCATTGTTTACCTCCTTCAGGAATTTTCATCGATTAGGCAGGTTAGCCATTCTTCAGGATTTCCATAATGAATTTTGCATATTTCTATCATTTCTCTTACCAAATTAAATTATAATTACATTTAAATGTTTTCTTCTGCTTCAGTGGTTGTGATCACCCAGATATCAGAAGTTACCTTATATTTTTCTCATGAATGTTCAATGACTCAAAATTCACAGAAAATAAAACTAGAATGTCAATATATTGCTTGTTACTTACAACTATAACTAAAAGAGGACCAGTCAAGTCTTCTGACAAGCTACAGGGGAGGATATATTAGTCAAGATAAGCCAGGCTTTGTTGCAGTAACACACAATCCAAAAACTGTAGTGGCTCATGCAATGAAAATGTATCACTCACATATAATTCACTGTAGATCTGAAACTCTCCATAGCAGCTCTCTGCTATGAGTAACCCATTGATCCAGAATACTTTGAACCTATCCTAGTGACTTTGACATCTCCACATGAGGTCAGTACTTTTGTTAGAATAGGGAAAGAGAGAGACCTTAGAATTCTGCAGGGTATTATACTCCCTTATCCAAGAAGTGCCTTGCATCACATTTGCTTATATTTCAATGACCACAAGTAGTCACATTGTCCACCTAACTAGCTATAAGGGGACTGGAAATATAGTCTTCACTTACATCCAGGAAAAAAAAGAAAATTACAAATTATAATAAATTACATACATGGGTGACCCATGCATTGAGGCAAATTTTGAAGTTGGGGTTTTATATTTATATAAACATTTTCATTTGCTGCAGTCACCAAAGAAATGAATTGCCCTTAATTGGAAAGAGTATTTCCTTACTCCAACTAATTTTCAGACAGTATATCTTAAACACTTTTGTTTATAAAAATAATAATTATTGAGAATGAAAGTATATATTTTTCCAGAAATATCAATTTAATCATTTTATGAAACCCTAAAATATCAATTTAATCATTTTATGAAACCCTAAGTATCTGAAAGGGACATATATGGACAACATTGTTTCCAACATTTATAGATTTATTTTACTGTGTTTTAAGTCAACATTATCTCACGGATTTACATTGAGTCATATTACAGAAAGTGTCACATAGACTCACTCAATACAGTACTATTTTAGAGATGTTTAAAAAGTATGTTTCCTAACTTGAGAATTTCCTCTTTATCATAAATCATGAGAGAAATTAACCCCAGGTCACAAAGACAAAAAAAAAATAAACAAAACAAAAGCAGATCTTCCAAACAACCAGTTTGTTATATTCTTTTGAGTCATTTGTATATCAAATGAGTACATTTAGTTCTTTGTTTTGATCACAAGAGCTCCCGATGCCATGATGTTGCACCTTCACTTCTGTCAGCTACATACAGCCATGTGTTTCCATTTTTGTACATTGATATATTCTTTGGTGCTATGCTTTAATGTGTTTCCCAAAGTTTATGTGTTAGAAATTTGATCCCCAATTCATTAGTGTTGGGAGGTGGGGCCTAATGGAGGATGTTTTGGTTATGTGGGCACTCCTCTTATGAATGGATTAATGCTGTTATAGCAGGAGTGAGTTCCTTATCTCAGGAGTGGATTCCTTGGAAAAGAATGACTTTGGCCTCCTTTTGTCTCTCTCCCCACCTCTTTTCCCATCTGCCTTATGCCATGAAATAATGCAGCAATAAGGGTCTTACAAGATGCTACTCTCTCAATCCTGGACTTTCCAGCTTCCAGAACTATGAGGAAATATATTCTTGTTCTTTTTTGTTTTTGTTTTTGTTTTGTTTTTGAGACAGAGTCTCGCTCTGTAACACAGGCTGGAGTGCATTGGTGCAATCTTGGCTCAGTGCAACCTCCACCCGCTGTGTTCAAGCAATTCTCCTGCCTCAGCCTCCCAAGTAGCTGGGATTACAGGTGTCCGCCATCACCCCCAGCTGATTTTTCTTTTGTATTTTTAGAAGAGAGGAGGTTTCACCATGTTGGCTAGTCTGGTTTCAAACTCCTGACCTCAAGTGATCTGGCAGCCTAGATCTCACAAATTGCTGGGATTATAGGCAGGAGCCACCGCGCCTGGCCTCCTGTTCTTTTTTTTATATAAATTTAACAGCTACAACTGGAATTTTGTTACATGAATATATATGCATAGTGGTGAAGTCTGAGCTTTTAGTGTAACCATCACCTGAATAGGGTACATTGTACCTATTAAGTAATTTCTCATCCTTCACCCCCTCCCATCACCCCACTTTTCAGAGACTCCAGTGTCTATTATTCCGCCCTTTATGTCCGTGTATATGCATTATTTAGCTCCTATTTATAAGTGAGAACATGACTTTCTGTTTGAGTTGTTTCCCTTATGAAAATAGCCTCCATTTCCATCACTGTTGCTGCAAAAGACATGATTTCATTCATTTTTATGGGTAACTAGTATTCCACTATGCACGTACACACACACGTGTGTGTGTGTGTGTGTGTGTAATATATACCACATTTTCTTTATTCAGTCATCCATTGATGGACACTTAACATTGATTGCATATTTTTGCTATTGTGAATAGTGCTTCGATACACATTTGATGGCAGGTGTCTTTTTGATATGGTGATTTAGTTCCATTTAGGTTTATACCCTGTAGTGGGATTGCTGAATTGAATAGTAGTCCTATTATCAGTTCTTTGAGAAATATCCAACTAGAGATTTTACAAATTTACCTTCCCACTAACAGTGTATAAGCTTTCTCTTTTCTCTACATCCTTGCCAACATCTGATTTTTTTTTTTTTTTTGTATTTTCAGTCTAACCATTCTGACTGATGTAAAATGATTTCTCACTGTGGTTTTAATTTGCATTTCTTTGATGATTAGTGATGTTGAGCATTTTTTCATATACTTGCTGCATGCTCTTTGTAAATTACCCAGTCTCTGATTTTATGTCATAGCAGCACATAACAGACTAAGACATTGGCTTTATTATTTTTCAGATTATCAGATCATATTGCCTTTTTTTTTTTTTAATGGAGTCTCACTCTGTCACCCAGGCTGGAATGCAATGGCACAATCTTGGCTCACTGCAACCTCTGCCTCCCAGGTTCAAGCGATTATCCTGCCTCAGCCTCCCTAGTAGCTGGGATTACAGGCGCATGCCACCATGCCCAGCTAATCTTCGTATTTTTAGAGGAGATGGGGCATCATCATGTTGGCCAGGCTGATCTCGACAAACTCCTGACCTCAGGTGATCCACCCACCTCGGCCTCCCAAAGTGCTGGGATAACAGGGGTGAGCCACTGCACCTGGCTATTGCCCTTTTCATATGGCTCCTTCAATTATTTATTTTTTATCTTTTAAAGTTTTATATATCTTTTTAATCCTCTGAGCTGACGAAAGTTCATAAGCAGATAATCAAGTTACTCCTGTGTTCATTCTTGGGAATAAATATCTCAAAAAAATACTTTCTCCTTATAGAAAGGTCATATATGCCTGCTTCAGCCACAGGTTATACCCTTTTATATTGCTGTGTGGATTAAAACTCCAAACTCCAGGGAGAAAAGAATCTGATTAGCTCTGCTTGATTCAGATGCTCATTGCTGGGCAAATCAACTTAGACTGTACATGGTCATGTAGCATAAACATGGGTGCTTATTAATCACCCATACGGGTCAGGTGGGAGGAAATTTAGCATAATAATGATAAAGCTGCTTTCTATGATTTGTATCTAATTAATGTATACATTTCTACTAAAGCTAGCCTAGGATCATTTTCACAGTAGTTATATGCCGAATTTATATTGCTTCCATTTTTTTCCTGAAGACCCATAGTGTATCACCCCAACACTACTTAAGCACAGAACTTGGAAACCTTTATTTACTATTCATTTCATTTTCAAAGTTCTTAAAATAAAGGTACATTATTCAAATGCATATTGATGCTGCTGTGACTAAAAGAAGTATTGAGTTTATTTTTCAAGTTAAAGGAAGTTAAAGTTTTAAAGTCTTTTTGAAATTATTAAAATAATACTATGTGAATGACAGGCAGTAACATTTAGTTTAACTATCAGGAAAGAAGTTTGTTCTTTATTTTGTGTTGTGTTTTGAAAAATTCTAATTAACCTGTTCAGTTTTGTTTGTCTGCCCTTTAAAGGAATCTTATAAGTTGTGTGAAAAATTATGGATAAGACCTACAAAATGTTTTATAAAATATACAAATATTAGAAAAGTTTTACAGAAGCTTTATTTATTTAGTTTTCATGCTTTTAAAACTCCAAATTTATTTAAATACCCTTATCTTTCTAAAAACTGGTATGCTATAATATAGTTAGAATTAAATCTAAGGCATGAGCTCATCAGAAAATGTTTATTATAATCTATATTCTGAAGAAAATACAAAAATTATATAGTTTCATATACACCAACTACAATATTATTGCTAAAGATGAATGTGAGACTTATTCTTGCCTTCTCTGTCTTCCCCTACCCACAACACACTATATTTTCAATCTGAAATGGTTTGATTTGAATTGCAAATCTCATCACACATATAGTTTTATTCTTTTCTATCTGGATGAGTGACAGTGGTATATAAGAGTTAACAAACCTTATCCAGTCTTAAATACATTTCTGGTATTGAAAGCTAACAGAGCTGAAAGTTGAATGGGAGAAAGCTCAGCTCCTGTATTCATTCTTTTATTTGTGTTCTGAAAGGGCCTTATGGAGGAAACCTGATAGAAATGTCATGGCATTACTAAATAGATCGAAGTCCAAGGTAGGAAAATAAAAGGTTGGCTTTGCTGCTTCTTTTGTCATTTTACAAGCAGTGGATAGTGCTTTCAAATGAGGGCCTGAGGCTATGTGTGTCCTTTAATTCCCCAGCCCCTGAGAAGAAGTGAGTCCATCCCTCAATGTTCTACTGAAAGAAGCCTTTAAAGAAACTTTATGTTCCAAGAATACAAATCCCTTCTAAGGATGACAACAAAATGGGGGCGGGGTGGGGGGAATCTCAATTAAAGAGGCATGTATTCCTGCACACAGGAATATCCAACACCAACATGAGAACTGGTCTGGGAAGATTATCATCATGACTACATTGAAATGTATATTCTGTGATTGCTTGTACTTGGTTTTACCTGAAGATGGGGTTCAATCTTTAAATTGTATGTGAAGTAGAGTGATAATTTGAGTGTCACAGGAGATTACAGCTACATTGCTAACATATGACAATCAAGTAAGTGAAAACACTACGATGTTTTCTAATAATTTCCTAGAAAAATTAGCAACTTGTTTTTTATTAGAGGTCACAAAGTATTATAGAAAAGCTAAGTGTTTGGAGTTATACAGTCCTGTGTCCATAATCCTGACTCATATCATTTCTAAGTTTCTACCTCGGACATGTTAGTTAATGTCTGAGCTTCAGTTTCTGGCCTTATTAAATGAGGATAGTATTAGGGAGTATACTGAGCCCTCTCAAAGATTAATTGAAATAACATAAGTAAAGCATCAGAACATATCAAACTCTCAGGAATTAATTTCATTCTCCTCATTAAAATTAATTTGGCTCTAATACAGATGGTTGCATTTACTTTGATTTTTTCTAACTGATGACAATTATAGGTTATTCTAGTTCTGCCATTTAGAATAATTAAATATGATTAATCATTTCTTTTACAGAGTATTAATTGTTAGCGATTAAATAAAAATAAAAATCTGGAGCTCAATTTTCAGGCAGAATAAATGGATGCATACTGTACCTCAGTCTCTCTTTAATCAGTGAAGCTTTGAGGGGCAAATTAGAATAATATACATCTGTGCTAGAATATGACTATCTGAAAATAAAGCATTCTTTTGCCTAATAGTGTAACACTGCCATTGATAATAAGATGATAAAATATTTTAGATTGAGAAAACAAAATAGCTATAGATTTAACCTAAAGCTAATTAAGAAAAATGATGTAGATGTTAGCTCTATGGTTTAAATGAGATAATACCTGTAAACAGGTATTTATATGTCCCTCTTCTCCTGAGACAGTTCTGGGTTGCATGTGAAATACTAGTAATATTATTAATATGACCTTCTTCACTTTCAAAAAAGCACCATTATTCCAATTATTAGAAGAAAACATACATTTTTAGCTGATTTGGGGTAAAGCTTTCTAAATATGATTCAAATTTTTTGAATCTAAATAGGATTCATATTTTCTTTTATTCAAATAAAAGAAACTAGTGATAAAGTCAACTCTGTTAAAAAAAAAACTATTGTATGAAAAAACACCATAAACAAAGTCAAAAGAAAATGAAAAACTGGAAAAAATTATTTGCAATATATATCACAGAGAAAGAGATACTGTTGAAAGGATTCTTAAAAATGGAAGAAAAAAGACCAAATCTCAATGGATTAAAAAGAAAAACATGCAGATATTTGTCAACAGATATGCAAAATATTTCTAAGTACATTAAAAGATGTTCCATTTCACTCTTAACAGAAATGCAAATGAAAACTACCCCAAGGTACCAATTTTCACCTATGAAATTTGTAAAACTTCAACAGCCTGATACCACACTCTGTTGGCAAAGCAGTGAGGAAACAGACACTCTCATACACTGCTAGCAAATGTGCCAAATGGTACAATCCCACCTCCAGGGTTTAACTAAAGATACAACTAACTATTGGTCCTAAAGATACAACTTCACAAATGTAAAATAGCATGTGAACAATTTTATTTACTGAGATATTATTTGCCATAACAAATTATTGGAAACATGAATTTCCATGGAAGCATAAAGAAATAAACAAGCGTACAGAATCTCTACAAACTTAACATGGATTGGTTTCCAAGATTTATCGTTTGGTGAAAGAAAAAAGGGTTCAAATAACACTTCATAATCCACAGTTTTGAAAGAAAGAAATAAGAAAGCAATATATCTTCTTACTATTTTTGAGGCAAGAAACTTAGGAAAAATAAATCAGGGTAATAAAAATCATTACCCTGAGTGAGTGGGAAAAACTGGAGTTAATGGGATGGGGTTGACAGTGAGAATTTGCTGAGCGCATTTTTTGCCATGTGCAATTTCTTTAGCAGCGTTTTCTAGTTCCCCTTGTAGATATTTTTCATCTCCTTGGGTAAATGTATTCCTAGGTATTTTATTTTTTGGTTATTGTAAATGGGATTTTGTTTTTGAATTGGCTCTTAGCTTGAATGTGATTAGTGCATAGAAATTATACTGCTTTTTGTCCATTGATTTTGTATCCTGAAACTTTACTGAAGTCATTGATAAGTTTCAGGAGTCTTTTGGAGAATCTTTATGGTTTTCTAGGTATAGAACTATATCATCAGTGAAGAGAGAGAGTTTGACTTCTTCTGTTCCTGTTTGGGTGCCTTTTGTTTCTTTCTCTTGCCTAATTACTCTGTCTATAATTCCCAGTACTATGTTGAATAGGAGTGGTAAGGGTAGGCAGTATTCACTCCTTATCTGCAGTTTTGCTTTCTGCAGTCTCAGTTATCTCCAGTCAACCACATTCCAGAAATAAGCAATTCATAAGTTTCTACTTGCATGCCATTCTGAGTGATGTGATGAAATTTGCACTGGCCTACCCATCCTGCCAAGGACACAGATCCCTTTGTCCAGCAGATCCACACTGCTGACACTACCCACTTTTAGCCACTTGGTAGCCCTTGTAGTTATCAGATCTACTTTCTCATGGCATTGCTTGTGTTCAAGTAAAGCCTTGTTTTACTTAATAGTGGCCCCAAAGCGTTATCAGTAGTGATACTGGCAATTCAGATATGCCAAAGAGAACCCGTAAAGTCCTTTCTTAAGTTAAAAGGTAAAAGTACTCAATTTAATGAGGAAATATAAATCTTATGGGAATGTTGCTAAGATTTAGAGTAAGAACCAGTCTTTTATCTGTAAATTTGTGAAGAAGGAAAAAAAAATCACGTGCTGTTTTTCTGTCACACCTCAAACTGCAAAAGTCATAGCCACAGTGCATGATAAGTGCTTAGTTAAGATGGAGAAGGTATTACATTTGTGGGTGAACATGAACAGAAATGTGTTCTGACAGATCACAATCAGGTTTAGTACTATCCACAGTTGTATGCAACCACTGGGGGTCTTAGAATGTGTTTCCCAAGGATAAGGGGGTTCTACTGTATAATTTTTATATACACTGACTTTTGAATCATGTTAATATTTCATATGTTCAAAAATAAAACAAAATCATAAGAGATAAAATAGTCAACCCCAAATTACATCTGAACAAAAGCAAACCTGACTCTTTTTGAAATTAGTAACACACACAAGAAAAAGAATGAATTCAAGTGACTTTTGGACAGACTACTCTAACAGTATATACTTAGTGGTATCTGCTCTAATTATAAAAATAACCACAAAGGAATTGCTTAGTTGGTTTGTTTATGATTGTGGTATAAATATAGTTAATCTAAAATTCTTTTACTTGTCACATAGGATAGGGCACATAGGTAAATATAGTTGACCCTCCATGTCGATTGGTGGGTTCTGCATCTGTGTGTTCAACCAACCACTGATTGACAATATTCTGCCAGGCATTTTTATAAGATAATATGTTTTGTATTGGCTTCTTACAAGAAAGTTGGTAACATGAAATGCAGAAATTATAAGTTTTTAAATAATATGTTTTATTTATATATTTAAGTATATTATATACATTTTTAAAGTATGTATAACATATGTGACAGATAATATGTTCATTTCTTTATACTTTAAAGAGATTTTGCAAACCAAGAAATTGACATGAATGCCCCAAAAGGAAAAAAGCAAAGGAGATAAAAGAAACATTACATAAAAGCAATTAAAATGACTGAAATAAGTAGGGGGAAAGTTTAAACTGACTAAATATCAAAGGAACACAGTTAAAGAGCAGTTATAATTCCTCACCTTCAGCTTAATAAATATTAAAATAAATAATAAAAACAAAGTAGTTAATATTAATTAAAGTTCACACTCATGACATGTTAGAGATTTAGGTGGGACTGTAAATTGGTATAAACTTCCAAGCAATTCATACGGGGTCTTAAAAAATGTGTATAATCTTGACTAAATAAGTTCATTTCTGAGAAATTATCCTCAATAAATAATCATGCTAATAGATGAAAGAGGCAGATGTAGGAGAGTCCCCAGAGAATCTCCGGCCTGCCCCACAAGTGTTTACATCAGATGCTTTAGTGCAGATGAGGGAACCTGCCCAGGGTCTTATCTGGGGATGCTTGCAACTGACTGGGGCCTGACATGCACACTGGGAGAACACAGTGGAGCCATCAGGAATTTGCACCTTCTGCAGAAGAACCTGGCCTTGTCAGCTCGTGTGTGGTGGCATAGTATTCAATCTGTGGGGTGGGAGCCTATTGGCAGAACCCCTCTTTTTTGCTGAGAGCTTTCTTTTAATAAATTCTGCTCTCCTCAACTTTCAATGTGTCCACGTGCCTAATGTTTTCTGGTCATGAGACAAGAACCAGGATATTAGCTGAGCTAAGAAGCAACAAATCCTGCACCAAGGCTTTGTGCAAAGGTAGAGTTATAATGTTATTTTTCTAGCATTGTTTGTATTATCAAAAAATTGTAAACAACTCAAATGTTCCAAAATGAAAACTAATTAAGTTAATCATTGAACATCTATACAGTGGAATATCATGCAGCTATTACCAATTGCACTAAGGAAACATACCTACATTGTACATTTTTACATTTTAAAACATAATAAATTTTAAAAATATAATCCCAGCCCTGAGCGGTGGCTCACACCTGTAATCCCAGCACTTTGGGAAGCCGAGGCAGGTGGATCACTTGAGGTCAGGAGTTTGAGACCATTCTGACCAACATGGTGAAACACTGTCTCTACTAAAAAAATACAAAATTAGCCAGGCATGGGGTGCATGCCTGAATTCCAGCTACTTGGGAGGCTGAGGCAGGAGAATTGCTTGAATCTGGGAGGCAAAGGTTGCAGTGAGTGGAGATTGCACCACTGCACCCCAGCCTGGGCAACAAGAGTGAAACTCTGTCTCAAAAAAAAAAAAAAAGATATATATATATATATATATGCCCATTTGTGAATATACACATATGTTTTATAATAACAGAAAAACATTAGATATCTGTACATCATAAGGTCAACAGCACTGGTTTCTAGATCATTGTTTTGGTATACTTTCTATTTATTTTTGGGAATATGTAGTTTTAAAACTTTTATGGTGTTACTTTTCTATTGTAACGTGTCTTTTGGACATGAAGCTTAGCTAAATGAGTTTATATTGCTTAACTATGGAAGCTTTCAAAAGAATTTAAAAATTGGAAAGGTAAGTATAAATAAAAAGCATGATAAACAGCAGTGTAACAAACTCGGGTGGAAGTCCTAAAGAGAGACAAAAAAAGATTAGGGGTAAATCTCATATTATTTAGCATCTTCGGTAATTATTTGAAACCAATAAGAAATAAGGAATAACTAAAAGTGTCTAAGAATATACAGAATATACATGAAATGCAGCATTCAAAACTCATTTATGATATATAACATATGTATACATTTATATATACAGACATACTTTGTTTTATTTCTACTTGTTTTATTCCACTTTGGAGATTTTGTGCTCTTTATGAATTGAAGTTTTGTGGCAACCATCCTTCAAGCATTTTTTGGTGCCATTTTTCCAACAGCATGTGCTCACTTGGTGTTTCTGTGTCATATTTTGGTAATTATCACAATATTTCAAACTTCCTTTATCATTATATGTGTTTTGGTAATCTGTGATCAGTAATCTTTGATGTTACTAGTGTCATTGTTTGTGAGCACCACAAATTGAGCCCATATAAGACAACAAACATAATCTATAAATGTTGTGTGTGTTCTGACTGCTCCACCAGCAAGCTCTTCCCCCATCTGTCTCCCTTTTCTCGGGCTTCTCCATTTGCCAAAACATAATATTAAAATTGGTCCAATTAATAACCCTACAATAGCCTCTACATGTTAAAGTAAAAGGAATAGTTGCACTTCTTTCACTTTAAAACAAATGCTAGAAATGATTAATCTTACTGAAGAAATGAGCTTGTTGAAAGCCAAGATAAGCCAAAAGCTGGGCCTCTTGTGCTAAACAGCCTAGTTGTGAGAAGAAAAGTTCTTGAAGGAAATCAAAAGTGCTACTCCAGAGAACACACCAATGCTAAGAAAGTGAAACAGCCTTATTGCTGCTTTGGAGAATATTTGAGTGGCCTGGATAGATCAAACAAGCCACAATACTCTCTTAAGCCCAGGCCTAATCCAGAGGAAGGCCCTAACTTTTCTCGATCCTATGAAAGCCTAGACAGGTGAGGAAGCTACAGGAGAAAAGTCTGAAGCTAGCAGAAGTGGGTTCATGAGGTTTAAGGAAAGAAGCCATCTTCATACATAAAAGTGCAAGGTGCAGCAGCAAGTGCTGACATAGAAGTTGCAGCAAGTTATCCAGAAGATCGAGCTAAGATTACTGATGATGGTGGCTACACTAAACAATAGATTTTCAATGAGACAAAAAAGCCTTCTATTGAAAGAAGATGCCATCCAGGACTATCATAGTTAGAGAGGATAAGTCAATATGGGGCTTCAAAGCTTCAGTGGACAGGCTGACTCTTGTTAGCCTGTAATGTAGCTGGTGACTTTAAGTTAAAGTTGATGCTCATTTACCATCTGAAAATTCTAGCACCCTTAAGAAGTATGGTAACTCTACTTCCCTCTGTTCTATAAATGGAACAGTAAAGCCTGAATGAGAACACATCTGTTTATAAGATGGTTTACTGAGTATTTTAAGCCTTCTGTCAGGACCTACTGCTCAGAAAAAAAAGAAAAAGAAAATTCTTTTCCAAATATTATTGTTCATTGACAATACACCTGGTCACCCAAGGGCTCTGATGGAAGTGCACAAGATTAATGTTGTTTTCATGCCTGCTCACAAAACATCTGTTTTGCAGCCCATAAATCAAGGAGCCATTTCAGCTTTCAAATTCCTTTTTTTTTTTTTCTTGAGACAGAGTCTTGCTCTGTCACCCAAGCTGGAGTGCAGTGGCACAATCTTGGCTCACTGCAAGCTCCGCCTCCAGTGTTCATGTCATCCTCCTGCCTCAGCCTCCCGAGTAGCTGGGACTACAGGCGCCTACCACCACGCCTGGCTAATTTTTTGTATTTTTAGTAGAGATGGGGTTTCACCATGTTAGCCAGGATGGTCTTGATCTCCTAACCTCGTGATCCACCCACCTTGGCCTCCCAAAGTGCTGGGATTACAGGCGTGAGCCACTGTGCCTGGCCAGCTTTCAAATTCTTATTATTTTAGAAATACATTTTGTGCTGAGTGTGGTGGCTCAGGCCTATTATCCCAGGACTTTGGGAGGCTGGAGCAGGAGGACTGCTTGAGGCCAGAAATTTGAGGCTACAGTGAGCTATGATTGCACCACTGCACTTTAGATGGGACAACAGAGTGAGACGATTTCTGAAAAAAAATGAAAGAAAGAAAGAAATACATTCTGTATGGCTTTCTAACTTCCATAGACAGTGACTCCTTTCCTGGATCTGAGCAAAGTAAATTGAAAACCTTCTGGAAAGAATTCACCATCCAAATGCCATCGAGAGCATTCATGATTCATGGGAACACTTTAAGTGTTTCAAAACTTCAGTGGAGGAAGTAACTGCAAATGTACCAGAAACAGCAGGAGTACGAGAATTAGAAGTGGAGCCTGAAGATGTGATTGAACTGGTTTCATTTCACGACAAAACTTTAAGGTACGAGGAGTTGCAAAGAAACTTGCTAATCTATGGATTTCTTGAAATGGAATCTACTCCTGGTGAAGAGGCTGTAAACACCATTGAAACGACAAGAAAGGATTTAGAATATTACATAAACTTAGTTGCTAAAGCAGTAGCAGGATTTGAGAAGATGGACTCCAGTTTTTAAAAGAAGTTTTCTACTGTGGATAAAATGTAATCAAACAGCATCACATGCTACAAGAAAATTTTTATAGAAGAAAGCATCAATGGATGTGGCAAACTTCATTGTTGTCTTATTTTAAGAAATTGTCACAGCCTCCCCAACCTTCAGCAACCACTAATATGGTCAGTCAGCCGCCATCAACATGGAGGCAAGACCCCCTACACACAAAAAGATTACTACTTGCTGAAGACTCAGGTGATTGTTCTCATTCTCTGCCAATAAATAATATTTTAAGTATTTACACTTTTTACATATAATGCTATCACACACTTAATAGACTACAGTATAGTGTAAACATAATTTTATATGCACCAAGAAACCAAAAAATATATTACTTACTTTATTGAGATATTGTGATGGTCTGGAATAGAATCTGAAATATCTCTAAGGTATGTCTGTTTTCACACCCATATATGTGTAAAGGTGTTTGTGCTGAGACATAAAGGAAAGACTTCGAAGCTTTGAAAGAATAGTTTTAAAGTAGAAGACTAGAAACTCAATAAAAATGCCACTTAGTGGATGGAAAATCTTCAAAAGTGGCCAATTTAGTCCTTCTAATTAATATCTTGTCATAAGCAGTTATTTTTTATAAATGTCTTTTTTTCTTCCTTCTCAAAGAATGACTGTTCTTTCTTTCAGAATTTCAGAATTTTTCTCATATTTGAATAAAGTATCATATGAGGCGTCTTGAGTAATGAGATTTTTCCACTGAAAAAAATGACATAGTTCACAGCCAATAATTCTAAATACCTAATAAGATTCCTCCATTGAAAAAAAAATTAGGAATTCTAAGCAGAATTTACTGTATGTGCCAGAACACTAGCTCCATGAGGGCAGGGTTTTTAACTTTTGTTTACTGCTGTATACCTAGCAGTCTTTAACATTCTGTTTTATACAGTATTCCTTTTCATTACATTCTGTTTTAAGTATGGTACATTACTTTTTTTCCAGATTGTAGTATTACTCTCTGGTCCTCTTATCCTATGGCATAACATTTCTTTATAGTCTTCATTATAAAGGAAACGAGAATCAAACAGAGAATAATCAATTTCAATTTCAATGTTTATTTTTTTCTTTTTAAGATACCCCTAAACATATATAATTACAAAGTCACCTAATATTTTAATGCAGAATTTAATTAATATAATAATGCCTACAGGTTTCAAAATACCATAGGGATCGAAACAAAGAGTTGCAGCATTTTCATCAAGTTCAATGAATAACTGCTGATGATGTTTCAAACTGTATCCAACTGGTAATATTTTTTTGATTATTAAGGTTAGGAGGGACTTTTATGTTATCTCAGAGGAAGGAAAAGTTATAGTCTAAAAACTGACCTCTCTTGGTCTCTGAGAAAATAACAAATCTCATCATCAATGAAGATGATGCCAACAGGAATAATAATCACAGCATACACATTTGGAGGAGCTCCTATGTTCTGGGTACTCTGCTCAGAAGTTGTACCATCAATAATCCTCCCAACATTGCTCCAGGTTGAGTACAGTTAATACCAGTTTGGATATGAGTAATCCAGGTAGAGATTATGTAATTTACTCAAGTATGAAACAGAGACAGAAATCAAATTAGGATATTTTTAATTCTAAAGCCCGTATCTTTTTAACTCTGCTATTTTATCCTTCTAGCAGAACTAAGAGAGTTAGATGGTACTTCCAAGTTTTGAAAAATTGATAACAATGCATATAATAAGTAAAAATAAACTAAAGGAAGCTCTCATACTTTCAGTCATGTTACATTGCATTGCATATGTTTTTATTCGTTTTAGGATAGTGTTCAGGAGTGCCTTAGGGAGACAAATTAGAATTGCAGTGCCATGCAGAAAAATCACAAACAGTTTTATTTAGGACTCTTACTTTAGAAACAATGATTAATCCACTTCACCTTATTCACATAATTGTTACTAACTTTCAGTAATTAAATGCATATACCTCTAAAATACAAGTCTTTGTCTAAACTTTTAAAGTTTCTTTGTATAGCCTTATATCCTCTAATCTTGACGCCATAATAGTTTTGCAACTACTGATCAATAGCTACAATGAATAGGAGATAAAATTATCTTTAAAAAATCTCTACACTGTATATATTATATAAAGAACCTCTTCTAGGATAATAAAAATAATATTTTATGTCATTCATGGGTTAGTCTTTGTAAGTATTGAATGCCAGTTTTAAAAAGCTGTCAAAATGAAGATGTTAGTTGTATCTTGAAAAATAAAGTTAAAATTTATGAAATATTCGATAATATTATTCTTTCAAAATTCAATGTTTCTATTATCTTACATGCTCCCATAATCTGGGACTAACTTTGTTATTATAAAACTAGAACTTATTAATTACATCAGAATAAAACAAAGCAAATGATATCGTCTGAGTTTTTAGTTTGTTCTTGTGTCAATTTCTGTAAAACGTTGCTGAGTGAAAACCCTAAAGTCAGTCACACTTATCTCTCCCAAAAAAGTATAATTAGGAAGCATAATAATTCTTTAAAGAACTAGTTCTTGGTAGAAATTTTTATTTTAGGTTTTTGATGTATTGTCAACATTTGGCTCTAATTACAAAATCTTATAATTTACTTTAGATTTTGAATTAACATTTAAATAGTGAACACACACTAAGATTAGTTGGTTAACAATTTTTCAGGCTTAGGAAATTTTGGATAAAATTCCCATTACAAATATATGAACAACATCAACGTTATGCTTTTGATACACCATCAGAAGAAAAACAACTTTTGAGTGTCTCTGTAAACACAGGTGTATGTAGTGCATTGAGGAAGAAGACTCTCCAGAAAGTTCTACCCAACTTTTGATTAGCCTACAAGTAATCATTTGATGCCAGGATAGAACCTCCAGCCACCTTTGCACATTCCTCTGGTTAAGAACAAAGCAGTTTTGGGGTCCATTCCAAGATGGCCAAATAGGAACAGCTCTGGTCTGCAGTTCCCAGCATGATCGATGCAGAAGATGGGTGATTTCTGCATTTCCAACTTATGTACCTGGTTCATCTCATTGGGACTGGTCAGAAAGTGGGTGCAGCCCACAGTGGGTGAGCCAAAGCAGGGCAGGGCATCACCTCACCTGGGAAGTGCAAGAGGTCAGGGGATTTCCCTTTCCTAGCCAAGGGAAGCCATGACAGACTGTACTGGGAAAATCAGGACACTGCCACCTAAACACTGCACTTTTCCAATGGTCTTAGCAAATGGCACACCAGGAAATTACATCCCATGCCTGGTTAGGAGGGTCCCACACCCATGGAGCCTTGCTCACTGATAGTCCGAGATCGAACTGCAAGGTGGCAAGCCTTGCTGGGGGGAGGGGCGTCCACCATTGCTGAGGCTTGAGTAGGTAAACAAAGCAGCCAGGAAGCTCCAACTGGGTGGAGCCCACCACAGCTCAAGGAGGCCCGGCTGCCTCTGTAGACTTCACCTCTGGGGGCAGGGCATAGCTGAACAAAATGCAGCAGAAACTTCTGCAGACTTAAATGTCCCTGTCTGACAGCTCTGAAAAGAGCAGTGGTTCTCCCAGCATGGTGTTTGAGCTCTGAGAATGGACAGACTGCCCCCTCAAGTGGGTCCCGGACCCCCATGTGGCCTAACTTAGAGACACCTCCCATAGGGGCCGAATGACACCTCATACAGCTGGGTGCCCCTCTGAGACGATGCTTCCAGAGGAAGGATCAGGCAGCAATATTTTCTGTTCTGCAATATTTGCTGTTCTGCAGTCTCCGCTGGGGATACCCAGGCAAACAGGGTCTGGAGTGAACCTCCAGCAAACACCAACAGACCTGCAGCTGAGGAACCTGACTGTGAGAAGGAAAACTAACAAACAGAAAGGGATAGCATCAACATCAACAAAAAGGACATCCACACCAAAACCCCATCTGTAGGTCACCATCATCAAAGACCAAAGGTAGATAAAACAACAAAGATGGGGAGAAATCAGAGCAGAAAAGCTGGGAATTATAAAAACCAGAGGGTCCCTTCTCCTCCAAAGGATTGTAGCTCCTCTCCAGCAATGGAACAGAGCAGGACAGAGGATGTCTTTGACAAGTTGACAGAAGTAGGCTTCAGAAAGTCGGTAATAACAAACTTCTCCAAGCTAAAGGAGGATGTTTGAACCCGTCGCAAGGAAGCTAAAAACCTTGAAAAAAGATGAGATGAAGAGCTAACTAGAAGAAACAGTGTAGAGAAGACCATAAGTGACCTGATGGAGCTGAAAACCATGGCCCAAGAACTATGTGACACATGCACAAGCTTCAGTAGCTGATTGGATCAACTGGAAGAAAGGGTATCAATGATTGAAGATCAAATCAATGAAATGAAGCTAGAAGAGAAGTTTAGAGAAAAAAGAGTAAAAAGAAATGAACAAAGCCTACAAGAAATATGGGACTATGTGAAAAGACCAAATCTACATCTGATTGGTGTACCTGAAAGTGACGGGGAGAATGGAACCAAGTTGGAAAACACAGGTTATCCAGGAGAACTTCCCCAACCTAGCAAGGCAGGCCAACATTCAAATTCAGGAAATACAGAGAACACCACAAAGATACTCCTCGAGAAGAGCAACCCCAAGACACCTAATTATCAGATTCACCAAGGATGAAATGAAGAAAAAATACTAAGGGCAGCCAGAGAGAAAGGTTGGGTTACCCACAAAGGGAAGCCCATGAGACTAACAGCTGATCTCTCGGCAGAAACCATACAAGTCACAAGAGAGTGGGGGCTAATATTCAACATTCTTAAAGAAAAGAATTTTCAACCCAGAATTTCATATCCAGCCAAACAAAGCTTCATATGTGAAGGAGAAATAAAATCCTTTACAGGCAAGCCAATACTGAGAGATTTTGTCACCACCAGGCCTGCCTTACAAGAGCTCCTGAAGGAAGCACTAAACATGGAAAGGAACAACCAGTACCAGCCACTGCAAAAACATGCCAAATTGTAAAGACCATTGATGCTAGGAAGAAATTGCATCAATTAATGGGCAAAATAACTAGCTAACATCATAATGACAGGATAAAACTCACACATAACAATATTAACCTTAAATGTAAATGGGCTAAATGCCCCAATTAAAAGACACAGACTGGCAAATTGGATAAAGAGTCAAGACCCATCAGTGTGCTCTATTCAGGAGACCCATCTCACGTGCAGAGACACACATAGGCTCAAAATAAAGGGATGGAGAAAGATCTACAAAGCAAATGGAAAGCAAAAAAAAGCAGGGGTTGCAATCCTAGTCTCTGATAAAACAGACTTTAAACCAACAATGATCAAAAGAGACAAAGAAGGCCATTACATAATGGTAAAGGGATCAATTCAATAAGAAGAGCTAACTATCCTAAATATATATGCACCCAGATTCATAAAGCAAGTCCTAAGAGACCTAAAAAGAGACTTAGACTCCCACACAATAATAATGGGAGACTTTAACACCCCACTGTCAATATTAGACAGATCAACAAGACAGAAAGTTAACAAGGATACCCAGGAATTGAACTCAGCTCTGCACCAAGCGGACCTAATAGACATCTACAGAACTCTGCACCCCAAATCAACAGAATATACATTCTTCTCAGCACCACATAGTACTTATTTCAAAATTGACCAGATAGTTTCAAGTAAAGCACTCCTCAGCAAATGTAAAAGAACAGAAATCACAACAAACTGTCTCTCAGACCACAGTGCAATCAAATTAGAACTCAGGAGTAAGAAACTCACTCAAAACTGCTCAACTACATGGAAACTGAACAACTTGCTCCTGAAAGACTACTGAGTAAATAACAAAATGAAGGCAGAAATAAAGATATTCTTTGAAACCAATGAGAAAAAAGACACAACGTACCATAATCTCTAGGACACATTTATAGCAGTGTGTAGAAGGAAATGTAGAGCAGAACTGAAGGAGATAGAGACACAAAAAACTCTTCAAAAAATCAATGAATCCAGGAGCTGGTTTTTGGAAAAGATCAACAAAATTGATAGACGGCTAGCAAGACTAATAAAGAGGAAAAGAGAGAAGAATCAAATAGATGCAATAAAAAATGATAAGGGGATGTCACCACTGATCCCATAGAAATACAAACTACCATCAGAGAATACTACAAACACCTCTATGCAAATAAGCTAGAAAATCTAGAAGAAATGGGTAAATTCCTGGACACATAGACCCTCCCAAGACTAAACCGGGAAGAAGATGAATCGCTGAATAGACCAATAACAGGCTCTGCAATTGAGGCAATAATTATTAGCCTACCAACCAAAAAAATTCCAGGAGCAGATGGATTCACAGCCAAATTCGACCAGAGGTACAAGGAGGAGCTGCTACCATTCCTTCGGAAACTATTCCAATCAATAGAAAAAGAGGGAATCCTCCCTAACTCATTTTATGAGGCCAGCATCATCCTCATACCAAAGCCTGGCAGAGATACAACAAAAAAAGAGAATTTTAGACCAATATCCCTGATGAACATCGATGCGAAAATCCTCAATAAAATACTGGCAAATGGAAGCCAGCAGCACGTCAAAAAGCTTATCCACCATGATCAAGTTGGCTTCATCCCTGGGATGCAAGGCTGGTTCAACATGCACAAATCAATAAATGTAATCCATCACATAAACAGAACCAATGACAAAAAAACACATGATTATCTCAATAGATGCAGAAAAGGCCTTTGACAAAATTCAACAACCTTTCATGCTAAAAACGCTCAATAAACTAGGTATTGATGGAACGTATCTCAAAATAGTAAGAGCTATTTATGACAAACCCACAGCCAGTATTATACCGAATGGGCAAAACCTGGAAGCATTCCCTTTGAAAACTGGCACAAGACAAGGATGCCCTCTGTCACCACTCCTGTTCAACATAGTGTTGGAAGTTCTGGCCAGGGCAATCAGGCAAGAGAAAGAAATAAAGGGTATTCAATTAGGAAGACAGGAAGTCAAATTGTCCCTGTTTGCAGATGACATGATTGTATATTTAGAAAATCCCATTGTCTCATCCCCAAATCTCCTTAAGCTGATAAGCAACTTCAGCAAAGTCTCAGGATACAAAATCAATGTGCAAAAATCACAAGCATTCTTATGCAAACAGAGAGCCAAATCGTGAGTGAACTCCCATTCACAATTGCTACAAAGAAAATAAAATACCTAGGAATCCAACTTACAAGGGATGTGAAGGACCTCTTCAAGGAGAACTACAAACCACTGCTCAACAAAATAAAAAAGGACACAATCAAATGGAAGAACATTCCATGCTCATGGGTAGGAAGCATCAATATCATGAAAATGGCCATACTGCCCAAGGTAATTTATAGATTCAATGCCATCCCCATCAAGCTATCAATGACTTTCTTCTCAGAATTGGAAAAAACTACTTGAAAGTTCATATGGAACCATAAAAGAGCCCACCTTGCCAAGACAATCCTAAGCAAAAAGAACAAAGCTGGAGGCATCATACTACCTGACTTCGAACTATGCTACAAGGCTACAGTAACCAAAAACAGCATGGTACTCATACCAAAAAAGAGAGATAGACCAATGGAACAGAACAGAGTCCTCAGAAATAACACCACACATCTACAACCATCTGATCTTTGACAAACCTGACAAAAACAAGAAACAGGGAAAGGGTTCCCTATTTAATAAATAGTGCTGGGAAAACTGGCTAGCCATATGTAGAAAGCTGAAACTGGATCCCTTCCTTACACCTTATACAAAAATTAATTCAAGATGGATTAAAGACTTAAACGTTAGACCTAAAACCATAAAAACCCTAGAAGAAAACCTAGGCAATACCATTCAGGACATAGGCATGGGCAAGGACTTCATGTCTAAAACACCAAAACAATGGCAACAAAAGCCAAAATAGACAAATGGGATCTAATTAAAGAGCTTCTGCACAGCAAAAGAAACTACCATCAGAGTGAACAGGCAACCTACAGAATGGGAGAAAATTTTTCAATCTACCCATCTGACAAAGGGCTAATATCCAGAATCTACAAAGAACTCAAACAAATTTACAAGAAAAAATCAAACAACCCCATCAAAAAGTGGGCAAAGGATATGAACAGACGCTTTTCAGTATAAGACATTTGTGCGCCCAACAGACACATGAAAAAATGCTCATCATCACTGGCCATCAGAGAAATGCAAATCAAAACCACAATGAGATACCATCTCACACCAGTTAGAATGGCGATCATTAAAAAGTCAGGAAACAACAGGTGCTGAAGAGGATGTGGAGAAATAGGAACACTTTTACACGTTGGTGGGAGCGTAAACTAGTTCAACTATTGTGGAAGACAGTGTGGCCGATTCCTCAAGGACCTAGAACTAGAAATACCATTTGACCCAGCCATCCCATTACTGGGTATATACCCAAAAGATTATAAATCATTCTACTATAAAGACATATACACACGTATGTTTATTGTGGCACTATTCACAAGTCTTGGAACCAACCCACATGTCCATCAATGATAGACTGGATTAAGAAAATGTGGCACATATACACCATGGAATACTATGCAGCCATAAAAATGGATGAGTTCATGTCCCTTGCAGCGACATGGATGAAGCTGGAAACCATCATTCTGAGCAAACTATTGCAAGGACAGAAAACCAAACACCGCATATTCTCACTCATACGTGGGAGTTGAACAATGAGAACACTTGGACACAGGGTAGGGAACATCACACACTGGGGCCTGTTGTGGGGTCGGGGGATAGGAGAGGGACAGCATTAGGAGAAATACCTAACGTAAATGACGAGTTAATGGGTGCAGCAAACCAACAAGGCACATGTATACATATGTAACAAACCTGCACGTTGTGCACATGTACTCTAGAACTTAAATTAAAAAATAAAAAAAAATAGAACAAAGCAGTTTTAACTAGATAGCCATATGGTGACATATCTTAAATATATAATTTTCCTAGCTCCATTAGCTCTTGAGTGGTTCCATTTTCTAGCTTCACTACCTCTAGAGTAAATATAACATTTCAATTTTCCTTAAGTGCAATAAAAATCTTGCAACCTCTAGAACTGATTTTTCCTTCATAATGTATCTCACATTGATTTTATTGTTAATATTAGTGAATTCTATAAAGGAAAAAAATCCTCGGCATTACAAACTTTTCCTGATCATCATATGATCATATTCTAAATTTTTGATTCTTTTGTTTTGCTCTTCCTACAATTTAAAATTTATAATAACACAGGTTTACATTTCTCTGCTTTCTGATGATGTCCTAAATGATAAGCATATCAGCTTGCTTTGTCCATATCATGTCTTACTCTACAGTGGTGATGCTGACACCACAGTCTCCAAGGAAATGATCTTAAAGTAAGGCAGACCACATGCAGTATTTCTAAAACAATGTTTGTTTCTTCTAACATAAAATATGATGACATTTTATCAATCTTTAATATAAAAATGTTAAAATACATTCTAACATTTCCTTCTCCTTGATATGATTTACACTTTAATTTGTCTCAGTGATCTTGTCTAATGGGTGAAAAATAGAAAAAATCTTTTGGAAATTTAGATCCACAATATAAGATAGAAAACTACCTAGAAATATATTTCCCTGAGAAATGTTAAGAAAAAAAAAACCAAACCCAAAAGTTTATAGTAGGATAGGTCTGGTCAGGGGCATTTGTAGCATGGAAGCTGCCACTTCCTAGCTTGTGACATATTGGGAAAATGACAATCTCTTTACCAACAAAATAGGAATTCCTACTATATTAGTTTTTTACTGGTGCGTAAGAAATTGCCACAAATTTATGATCTTAAAAAAACACCCATTTTACTACATTAATAGGCTCATACTAGGTGATGATTACATGTAGACAGTTTTTATTTATATTATTATTAAAGGTGTATTTGTGTTTAGATACTGATACCGAATAAAGAAGTACAAATAGAGTGAGTCCGTCAAAGTGCTTAACCCACTTATGATTTATGTAATCAAAGATGAAGTATGAGATTTCTTTTCTAGAACAGGGATTGGAAAACTTTTTCTCTACAGGGCCAGATGGCATAGTAAATATTTTAGACTTTGTAGGCCATAGGGTTTTTACCGACACTTTTTACTTCTGCTATGGTCATAGTAAGAAAGCAACCTTAGTAAATAAGTGAAGAGAGATGGCTGTGTTCCAACAAAACTTTATTTACAAAAACAGGTAGCAGGCCAGATTTGGCTCCCAGACTGTAGTTTGTCCATCCCTGTTACAAAAATCAAAAAACAACACACACACACACACACACACACACACACCAAAAAATAGGGATATGTCTTTACTAGTTTCAGATTTTACCTATATTAGTTGATCTTTTTTGGAAAAGACTATCCTGTTGATAAATCTTCACCACATAAACAATTATCTAAAGTACTCTGGGCTTTGTAATCCATGTTTCTATTATAATTAGTTTGGGAAAAATAGTTTTCCTTGAGAAAAAAGAACATGAGAAACTTGAAAATGTTAGCTTTGCTCCTTTTCTGGCCAGAAATAAATTACTGATTTCCACTGAGGCAAAATTTTTCTCCACCTAGAAGCTGTAGATAGAAAGTTGTCTTTTATAAACATTCATTGTTGTGACAATGATTCATTGGAAGTGTTTGACATCCAAAGAAGAATACAAAGTATACCAAAAACAGACCCAAGGCCATTCTCTCATTCAAAGTTAGAACTTTTTTCTGCAAAAAGCATTTTATCGTTCCCAGGCCACTATTCCTTGATGTGAACACGCCTGTTGGCATAAACTCTGATTGGATAATGTGGTTCAAAGTCAAAATTAATAGTTCAGAAATAGTATCACTTCATTTTATTAATTGATTTGTTGTATTTTTTTTATCTGATTTAATGAATTAGCTTCTTTTTTCTTTACTTCTTTCTTAGCAATGAGCAAAGTCAAAGGCAGATGGGGGATAACAAAAAATGAAATGAATATTAAACTTAATTTTGTCCTATGTTTGCCATAATTTTCTGCTTTAGAGCACAGGAAAATTGAGGCTGAATTCCATCATGTTTAAAATGACTAAAAACAGTGTTTCAGTTTGTTTTGAAGGAAGATATAACAATTGAAGGGACATGAAATTCAATAATCTGCCTTAAGATTCCTGAAGTGTATAGCTAACTGTGAAAAAAGGAGATTTTTGTTTAGAAATTGTAGGTTTTTTCATATTCAAATTTTTGTTGATGTATAAATTGCTAAAATGTAATTGGAAGCATTTTAATCATAAACATAGCAAATTTTTCTTGATGTTCTTTACTTATTCTAAAACTGTAACTCTTACAATTGCTTGTATAATTAAAATGCTTCTCCGTTAACCACGTGTAAGACAGTCATCCCGAAACATCACAAGTCTCAAAAAGGGAAATAGTCCTTTGATAGGAGCACTCAAACATCCCCAGAAAAATGAGAGTGGAAAATGAAGCAATAACGCTAGAAAGTGAATCTTGGAAGGCAAAGATCAAAGGTCTATTTTCACTTATTTTTCTAACAAACAGACAGCAAGGATACATGTACAAAGGCACTCTAAAAGATCAGGGGGACAAAGGGAAGACCTAGTATTGTTAATGAAGAACAAACTACAAGCCTTACAGAAATTTTAGGTGTGATTCTTCTACTATTTTTTAACTTTTGACACAAATAAAATGCATACATGCAATCTCTCTAACCCTTTAGCTACATATCCAAATATTGTAGGGATACTTTGAAAAATGATACCTTATGCAACCCACCAACTTGAAAGGGCTTTTATTTGAAAGTGTTTTCTTTTGTTCTAAGCTAAAAATAATAAAATAATGGCTGAGCACAGTTTCAGATTGAAGTGAAGCATCAGGAGACTGTTTCAAATTAAACATGAACCTCTCCAAACGTAGCCAGCATGAAGAGATAAGAGTCATGCACCTCCGTGAGAGCTCACACACACAACAAACCCCTTCTTGTTTACATGCCTATTAAGGGTTCCCAGCAGCTGAAATTATTTCACTCAATTTGATTCCATCCCCATTCTCCATGGCTCATTTACCAATTCCTATACAGGGCTATTCATGCTCCTTGGGAGAAAGTGAAGGTGAATATTGTATTTACAAAGGCTAAACCCAGACAAAAAGGATTTCAACAATTACTGCCACAATTCAGATTCCACAATTCAGATTCCACAATTCCCCTTAAGACTATCTTCTCTATGGAGAAGCAGGAGCTAAGCACTGAGTTCCTTATTTCAAACTCCCAACGACCAATGACGAGGTAGGTTGAGGATAAAGCTTCAAACAAGGCAAAGAGGTCAGATTCCCAGGTCTGAGGTTCTATTATCAGATGTGAGGCCTATGATGAGTAGCATCAGTACTTTCAGTTATATGACAAGAAAATTTAGCATATTGAGCGCTGCTTCCAACTTCTATAACCTAGTTCTTATTTGCTAGCTACTTGCAAAAATAAATTGGCTTTAATTTATGAAGATTTTGCTTATTACTAAAGCACAACTCTCCTTATCATAATAAATAAATGTAGTTAAATCAAGAGCTGCTTTTGCCAAACCAATTTATATTGTTAGAAGTCAGAATAGTGTGTAAAGTTTGGAGTGGGTAGTGACCTGGAGGGAACACCAAGGAGGCTTCTGAGGAGTTGGTCATACTCCTTCATGAGCAGAGTACTGACGTCACAGATGTACGCTAACAAAATGTGTCATTTTGGACATTAGAATTTGTGTATTTTCCACATTTATGTTTTGCCTTAATAAAAAATTTACTTAAAAGCTTATAGCACTTTTGACTTCTGTGAGAACAGGTTATATGATCTCCTGGAGAATCAAAAGCACAATACATGTTATATAACCTGTGCCCCACTGTGAAACTGGGATGGTGAGAGGGGGCATGTCTTTTGCTTCATGAAAGTTCTTTCAATATTTTCCCTTCAAGTAGGACATAGGCGTTTGGATTGTGGTGGATTGATTGCAGAATTACTCTTTTTTCTTCTTTTAAAACTTGAAATACAGTTATAGGATATTACAAATAAATCAAAATATTTTTATACTTTATATAACATATATTTTTATATATCAACATATATATAGTGATACACACACACACACACACACACACACACACACACACGAGGCAGGTCCTGTAACTCTGGTCAAATCTTTATAAGTAGAAAAGTAGTTGCATATTCTTGTCAGCTATACTTGTTGATATCATTGCTTGGAAAAGCTATGAACTGAGAAAAGACACAAGTTCACTGTTCTGATATAAGTTGGCCTGGGGTTGAGAAAACCATTTCACATATTGCTAAAATTCTTCTTGCCATTACTCATGCCAGAAAATCTGGTCTTACCCAGAGGAGAGAGAAGAATAGTAATCAACATTATTAATACATGAATGAAACCATATTAAATATAACATTCACATTTTCTCTGTTCTTGTTATGTATTTTATCTTTTAAACAGTGTCAAATAATGAAGATATGTAAATATTTCAACAGCAATTGTTTGGTTTACTTTCTTTTGATTTCTAACAGTTTTGCATATATATTTTTGATGTGGGATAGCACATTTCTGAATGTGTATAATGACTATATCTGCATTAGAAATTATAAATTTTCTCAAAATAATTATCCATGTGTCTCAATTAAGGCTAAGAGGCTTCAGTTTCACTTAACTCTCACTCAGTCATTCAGGCTTACTTGGAAATTGAGGTATTGAATAAAGCGGATGCCGCTATTAAGATCAAAGTCATGACTAAACTGAGACCGCAGTGTAGAGACAGTTGATGTACAGAAGGCCCTTGAAAGGGACTTCTCTATAAATTTAAAGAACTACACCAACATAGGCAACTTTTCTTCCAGAAAAAAATCGATTATAGAAATATAATTCTTTGTAAAGAATTTCAAACTCCTAAATGACAAATAGTAGTCATACCATTAATTGGGAATGCTGTGTATCCCTCTATTCTATGTAATTTTTCTAACATTTAATATTTCTCTTAAAGATGACATAAAATTGTTTCTGATCATTCTTTTCTGAAATATAACAAAAGAAAATTTGCAATGCATGCCTTGCTAAATAAAACAATTGCTTCAATTTAAAATGAAAAAATGTGTTGTTTATTTTTTAATTCATGTCATCGAATATGGAACATCTAAATCACTGTGACAAAAATGCTGAAAATATACTCACTAATTGAATACATTTATTCTTTTAACATGATAATAAAATGTAATGAAATAATTATGGAAAGAAATGTGAATGAAAAGTTAAATTATAGCTCCAAAATTTTATATATTTAACTTGAAGAAAAAAATAAAATCAGTATTAATCAACCTTGAGCAAAAAGTGCTATTGTACTAAATAAATATTCTACAATGGAAGTTTTCTGCCAAAATGTTCATTTATAATGAAGGTTAATTTGGTATTTTTATGATGGTGACTATGCATCCTCTAAAGTCTGCCAATATTTACTGAGAAAACTCCTAGGCTACCCCAAAGTGTAAAAGTAGCAATGTTTTTCTGAACTAAGAATGGAAAAGCATCCCTTTTTTTTTCTCTTGCATAAAATAATTCATGCAGCAATGGGGGTGCGAGGTAAAATAAACATTTACTGCCATCGAGAGACTTAAACTCAATAAATGATGTTTTAAAATCAGTCTGTAAAGATAGTATAAATTGAACTGTAATTTAACTGAAACATTGTGGACACTTAAAATAACCCAAATTTATTGAGAGCTCACAAGTTGTCAGATATTTTGCACAGATCACAATGTATCCTCACAATGAATTGTGAGTTTAGCACTATTATTTTTCCCATATTCTACATTAGAATACTGAGGGTTAGAATGATTAGGTACTGTATCCAGATTTACAAAGCTATTAATTTTTAGTGTCTGAATTTGAACCCAAGCAGTCTAACTTTACAACTTTTGCTTTCAACTCTCTTCTATTTCTAGATGAACGCAGACTCTATTATAACAATATCAAGTATTTTTCAAAATATCTGACTGTGTAGCAGTAGAAATGCTCTAAGACAATTTTGTCTCATTTTGGTTTTGGCCACAAATTAAAGAATCCAGAGATATAGAATTTAGCAGCTGGCTAATAAAAACTCTGTAAAATAACCAAATCAATTTTTAATTTATGTTTATTTTATTTTTTAAAATAATATGAAAATTTTAAAAATAATAATTGAAAGTAAATAGTTCTAGCTCTTAATTCAGTGGAGAGGAAATAAAGAATAAAGATTATTTTAAAACCTACATTATTCTAAAGTCCATGAGAGCTAAATGAAGAAAAACTTAAAAAAAAAAAAAAGCCAAAAGCACATGGAAACAACTCCTTCTTTAAAAAAAAACAGCAGCTTGAAAAGAACCACTTATAAATATTGCCTAATCTCACCTAATATTTTAGTCAGAGAAAACTGATGTATTGAGGAGAAAAAAAATCAACAAAACACTTGGCATAATGTAGATTTTCCAATTACTAAAATTTTCTCTTTCAACTGCTTCTGGTGTCTTATGCTTGCACCCTAAATGGAATCCTAACCAAATAAAAAAGAAAAATAGAGAGTACCAAAGACAGAGATGATTTGAGACTTTAGCTTATTCAGCAGTATCACATCCCTGCCTTGCCTTACTTGGTAAAATTCCTGTATTTTTATTTGCAAGTCTTAAATTTCTCTGCATTTATTTTTCTACTTTGTAATATTTTGTTCTTAAATAAAACTAACTGTAAGTCACAGCCCCCTCCCATAAACTGAATAACTACAGTTTTTTTTTTTCCAAATCCTAATTAATTTATTAGAAATACTGGAGTAACAATCCTAATAATTAGATGTGGGCAAGTTGAATTTGATACGAAGTTAAGCATGCATGCTATGATTTTTATTCCTGTAAAACACTCCCTGGCAGTTTACAACATTAAAACATTGTGAAAGGGTAAAGCATACTTTGTAGTTCCAACTAGTATAGAAGCCAGCCTCTAGCTCATCAGTAACAATTTCCAGATTACTTTAATAGTATTTTGTTTTCGGGGGAAATTGTATTATGCACTTTTTTCACTTGGTGTTAGCAGTACAATGGCTAAGGTATGAAATAGGACCTTTAGACACATACTAGACACAGATGTACCTGATTTAGTTTAATTAAAAAATAATGACTTACAAATGTAAACATCTGAGAAAAGAAGGCTCCCAGAAGGCAGGCCTCATTAACAGATAATTAATTCTAAAAATTTTATGAATATGTTTTACACACTTTTTACTTTGATTTTTCATAATGTGTACAGTAAAGTTAAGAAATTTTTCAAATAATTTGTCTCTTATCTATTTTCAAATACATAAACTGATAAAAGTAAAATAAAATGTGGTTTGCTGGCTGCCTCTTTCCGAATTTCTAAATACATAAGATGGTTTGATTGTATTTCCAAGTAGGAAAAAAAAAGCATGTATACAGACAGCTTTTCATGTTGATTAGTTTCTTTAATAAAGTACATGAAAATTAGTGTGGTCCAACTGATTTTTAACAAAATAATGAGATTCTGAAAACTAAAGGTGAAAAATGTTAATTTTTAGCAAAGAATGCAACATCAACAAAGTAAGATATATAATGTAGAGATTTTCGTATTTATCCAAATTAGCATGCCGTGGTTTAACCTGAACCAAATCCTTGAATAACTGGGTACAATCACAGACATTGTTATACAGCATCTTAGAAAATCAGGCACTGGGGCTAGCACTTCGATGCATGAGTTTTAGGAAAACACAATTCAACCCATATTTTGTCTAGGGAAAGTTTGCTTATCCTCTTATACTGAAAAAAAAAGCACATATCTGAAGGAAACACTGAATAACACTCAAATATTAGTTCTTTCTTTGGACAACTACAGTTAAATGATATAGATCATATTATATTCTTAGCTTGTGATTAACAATTGGTAATTATTAAGCTCAATCTAAAAATTTTGGATATTCATTTTGTTTTGTAAGCATTGTAAGTTTCAGAGACTGACTGAAAGCAAAACTATTCATTTAAATTGCCCTCTGTGCAAATGATTAAGTCTCAGGCTATTACTCTAATAATGTAAGTGATGCACACTGTGCCTTGAAGAGTTGCACTAATCAGTCCAGCTCATTTAGGCATCTGCTGGTAGCAACACTAAGGTCAAGATATCATGGACTGTTTTTCTTTGTATCCCCCAAAGGGAAGAGAATGCCAGAGATATATTTCTCAAGAATGACATATTTTCAACTCACCCATATTAAAGATGCTCTTTTAATTCAACATTTATTGAGATCATAAAATGAATTATTTTGAACACTGATCAAGATCCATGATGTGAATTATGTGTGTTTTCTGAGACTATTACCAAAGACAAGAAATGATAGATCACATACAACAGTATATAATGTAGGCCTGATAGCAACTTCTAATTATGTTTTTGAGACTAAAACTTGTATGGCTGAGGGAAATGTTTACCTTCGATTTAGACTCCCTTCTTTCATTGTTCTTATTTGTTCTATTTTATCTCTAGAGGCTATTCCACATTTTACTCTATTCATAGGCTGTATCAGTTTGCTATGGCTGCCATAACAAAGTGTCATGGACTGGGTGGCTTTACAACAGCAGTTTATTGTCTCACAGTTTTAGAATTGAAGAGTTCAAAATCAAGGTGCTGTCAGAGTTGATTTCTTCTTAAGGCTGTGAGGGAAGAATCCATTCCCAGCCTCTCTCCTTGGTTTGGGGACAGCTGTCTATTTCCTCTCTTTCTTCATATTGTTTTCCTTGTATGTGTGCACAGTCCAGTCCAAATTCCACCCCCATCCCACCTTTAATTAATTAATTAATTAATCAATTTGAGACAGGATCTCACTCTGTCCCTCAGGCTAGACTGCAGTGGCTCAATCATGGCTCACTGTAGCCTTTACCTCCAGGGTTTAGGTAAGCCTTCCATCTCAGCCTCTGAATAGCTGGGACTACAGGCCTGCGCCACCATGCCTGGCTAATTTTTTAGTAGAATTGGGGTGTCACTGTTGCTCAGGCTGGTCTTGAACCCAGGCTCAAGCAATCTGTGTGCCTCCGCCTCCCTAAGTGCTAGGATTACTGGCGTGAGCCACCTCACCCGGCCCCAAATTTCCCCTTTTTATGAGGATATTAGTCATATTGGATAAGACCTACCATAATGACCTCACTTTAGCTTGATTACCTCTATAAAGACCCTATATCCAAATAAAGTCACACTTGAGACCTGGGTGCTAGCACTTCAATACACGAGTTTTAGGGAAACACAATTCAACCCATAACAAAAAGCAATCATCTAACACTTAAAGAAAATTTCTGTATGAGAAGGTTTACAATGATAATGCAGAAAAATAAAAATCTCCCTGCTTGCAATTGTTTTAAGTTTGTTGTAAATACAAAGATTTCTGGTAACAATTTTTTTTTAACTAGTGAGTCTCCCACCACTCTATTTTGAGCTATGTCCGAAACCCTTTATTCTTTCCTTCCATCTTCCTCTTCTTTCTTTCTTTCTTTTCATCTTTTTAGAGGCAACGTAAAATAAATAAATAAATAAAACAAAAAACTATAACAAAACAAAATTGGATAAAACAACAAAATAAGCTTAAAAAACAGGGACATCATTTTTTCATTCTCTGTAGCTAAGGCCTAGCACAATACATAGCATACAATAGGTGTTAAATAGCCCATTTTAAATGATGAATTAAAGCTAAAATATGAGTCACCAAGTATGAGTTAAATGAAATATTCAGATTTCTACAATGTTAATGTTTATCATACTTTCTGCATATATTACTTATTAGAAATATAATTTAAAATAAATAAATGTTTTCATAGTCTCACTTTCCCTGGGTCATAACAATTACAAAAAAAGTATTTCTTTAGCTTCATGCCTAAGCACTATGAAGATACTCCAGCTCACAAAGTCAAAGGCTGAAAGAACTGATGGCTATGCCTAACTGTCATATTACAGCTTTGTCAAAGTGTGAGGATTCTCCCGCTCCAATGAAAGTAACACCAATAGTGCTCCTGATACCTTTTAAGAAAGAGATGTTATACCAGGCTTCTGGCGGAGGGCCGCCAGGCTTGAATTCTTGGATAGGCTGTGTCACTACCAAATTGTACTGAGTAGCACCTCTTTCTGCTTAACCTTGTGTAGCTTTCTGAACCTAATTTTTGTGCCTCACCCGTATTTCCCCTTAGGCTTGCCAAGTTCCTCAAGAGACAATTTGGTTTCTTTTTATCCTTCAGATATACATGATTGGAAATATTCAAAAGCCCCATGCAAGCCCTATTCTTCTTTACCATAAGCTACATCCCAGTTTCTCTCCTACTTGTTTCATCCTGAAAATTGTGTAGGATCTATGCATAGATATAACAATTTTAATATTTTCACAGACTAATGACAACTGAGTCAATTAATTTGAGTAGTAAAAGAAAAACTACCAGCTTTAATACAGTTTGAAGTATAGGCCTTAACAGTTTTGTTTATGTTTGTCCGTTACAACACCTTCAAATTTTAGAAATCCTTTGACATGTTCTCAAAAGTATTTTTCTCCCTTGTAACCTTCCATTCCAAAAAATTACTTTATTTTAATGAAAAATTATTTCTATCAGGACAGATGAAAAGTATCACAGTTATCATTATTTTTCTTGTCTGAATTGGCAAATAAATGTGCAGTTGTGGTTCCATGATATTTTACAACCTCCTCTCCTCTTTTGTTCTGAAATGTTCTTGGATACAGTTGAAAGAAAATGGCAACATATGGTCCATTAGTTTAAATGAGGTGGGGGAAGAACAGGATGGATTATTAATGATAATAATTTATACTTCCCTTTGCATCTATATGCTGTGGCCTTGATGAGAATTTGGCAGGCCTCACAGTCAAATGAAGTTTAAAGTTAAAGGTTGAAATGTGATGGAGGGGTTTTTGAAGCAAAAAAAAAAAAGGAGCAAAGAAAAACTATCCACATTGGATTTTTACAGGTTTCCCATCTGTACTTCTGTAATATGATTTGTCTGCTAGGAAATAGAATTTCTTATGTGACTTTACAAATATTTAACTAAAATCATTTTTTGAAATGTTTTTACTTTGCTCTATTTTAATTCAATGGTTGCTGCTAGTTGTAGTAATTGAAGATGAAAATCTGGTATTATTCTGTATATTCGAAGGCTAGTAGTTCTTCAGCTATCAAAGGAGCAGTTATGGGTGATTGGCTATATGGGTGTCTGTACTTTTTAGAAAACAACTGTTAAAAATAATGACCAGTTGATGTGCACAGACTGCCTTGCAGAAAAAAAGTTGCCAATGTTCTTACTTCCTCAACATACCTGATATACATAAAATAATCTGTTCCTTTTGTGAACTTTCAGCCATATTATGTTCCTTTATTTTTTGTTCTCTATAACAAGCTCTAAAATTCTATAATTATTACTTTTTATGTTTTTTAATATAGTATATCCCAACATCAGTTGTTTTAAAAAATGTGCAAAATATTACCTGCAAAAAAGTCATGGCCTTCAAACTTGTGCTGCTATTTTAGCAGCAACATTCTTGTTTTTTCTAATGACAAAATGAAATTTTATAAAGAACTTCTACTTGGGTTTAGATGAGAGTGAAAAACCTGTAACTCTACCACTCATTATCCCCCCTTCCACAGCTCTCTCCTTGCCCCTGTCACAGCCCTGAAGCATTTCCCAACAACCCTAGAACTCCCGGGGACTCATTTTGAAGTCTGCTATTGCATAAAATATGAGAATGCATCCATCCATTTGAGAATTGAAAACTGTTCTCCACGATTAATTGGGGGGAAGAAAAACACCACCAAATCTTATAAGGAGATTTTTTGTAAATGTTCTCTTAAGAATTTTCATTGTCAATAGAAATATAAGGCACTGCTTTGTCAGTGCAAAAACGACCTGGCCAGTAACATGCAATTGTGCCCCTTGACTCAGCAAGCCTGAATAACAGTTTAATTTGTTTACAGAGCTACGAGAAATCTCTATTTGTGTACTGTATGTATTTTATACAACTGGGAAAAAGAGTGTGTGTTCTTCAGAAGACTTGGCAGCACAACTGAACATTTTCCTTGTTAAAATCACGAATTCCTCTTTTCTTGGCCTTGTATTTAGGTGATATGGAGAAGGCAAAAATATGACGGTAAATAAGAATACCTAATCACTGGAAAACCCAAAAGATATAAATTGTACTTAGCTAAGTGTGACATTTGGAGAACACACCAGAAGTTTGTCAGCTCCTTTCAAGTGTAATAGAAATGTGACTCATATGACAGAGTCAAAACACAGACATAAGCCCTATTTTCTTCTTGGCTTGCCGATGTGGTTCAGCATTGCTGTTCTTTCTTGATCATGAACAAGTTCTCCTGGGTGCAAAACATTAAATGACCTATTCAGAGTCAATTACTAATTCAAATTTCAATTGCACAGTGTCCTGCTCTAAAAAATATAAAATTGTATAATGATAGAAATAAATAGCTAAACTTTAAAAGTTTATGAAAAAAAGAAATAAATAGATCATGAGCTCTTCTGCAATTTAATAACCTGTTCCTAATTTCATGTAATAATTACTTCCTTTGCCAAGTTGGATAGCCTCAACAGCTGGATACTAACTTATGAATTGATTATAATAAATACAGCAAACATTTGGTAACAAAAACAGGTGTAAAATGTAGAATATTATAAACTGTTGACAATGACATAAGCCCAGAAAATAAGCTGTAATTACAATGCATTACAGCCATGCACTAACGCTAACATAACACTTGTGGAATCTGTATTGATTCTATGTAGTATGTTCAAGTTTAAAATGAAGCAGGAGTTTACACAATCATGCAGTAAATCAGTTTCTTTCAAAATATTCACTCTAATTTTCTCAGGTACTATAAACAGAATGTTGGTTAGACTTCCCTTTTTCATTTGCCAATATTTTGTGAATGTTGAGATTTTTAAGGTGCATTTCAGTAAGAGAAACAAAATAATCAGCCCACAGCATGGCACAGAGAGTGCAGTATTTGCAGGTTAAAAGGAAAATGACTTTTAGTTTACATTTTCACTGTGTTCTCTCAAAGAAAATGGGAGACAAATTAGACTACAACATGAATACCATTAAAAGCTCCTAAAAGTCTGCTGAGTCAGTGGAAGATGTGGAATAGTCACTTAGAGTCAGAAGGCATATACTTAAGTTTTGGTTTAGTGACTTACTGGTGGGATTTTGGCAAGACCCAAAGTCCTTGCAAAAGGAGAAAGACTACTGAATCTATCTCAGAGAATTGGGGAGTTCAGAATTTAAAAATACAGTGATAGATATCACTATAATAATCCTATAAACTTAGAGATTTTACAAAATCAAGATATTGTTTGCTGGTTATTTAATGTAAAGACTTGAAATAAAGTAACCAATAGAAACATATGATAGCTTACTCTCATTGGAGATCACTTATTTAAAATAATACATAATGTCTATAAAGCAATTAACCATCTGCCACACACTATCCTAATTGCATCATATTAATTAACTTATCAATGTGACAAGGATTTACTTTTATCTCCATTTCACAAATGACAGCACTATGACAAAAAGTAGATAAAACTTGCTAAAGGCCAGCTTCTAGTAAGTGACAAAGCTAGATTTCAACATGCAAGTTGCCCACTGAATCTCTTCCCAAAGCCCTCCATACCTTACCGACATTTCTATGAGGTAACTTTTAAAAGAAAACCTGAGAATAAGGAGAGAATGGTGAGGGGAATTAGAGCAGAAGAGAGATGAGAAACACATATGCTGAGATGGACAAGACACTCCTATACTATTTCTGAGCTGTATGAAGTTGTGAACTTTCCCTGTTCTTAAAGGTTTTCTGATATTAAAAAGACGGGACATGTTTTAGCTCCATTATGAAAAGAGGTTGAAAGCCTTCACTCTTGTTGTTATAACAAGTAAAAGCAGGACGGAATGAAAATCAAAGTCTTTTCTTGCACCCATCGTAGAATGAGGTTGTAGAGCAAACTGTCATGCTGAAACCTGGAGAAACAGGCTTATCCAAAGAGATACAGCCTAGATCGACTTACCTGGAATTGAAGTCACTAAGGCCATGAGCTAATAGGAACATTTACCTGGTTACTATGATGAATTGCTGGAGGCCAGGTGTGAACTAGCTTGAAAGCAAAAAACTTTTAGGGATTATAAGATCAGAGAAGTTCCCACAATTTCATTGTCTATGCCTCCAGGAACTCTACCTGTGTCTCTGTCAGGGGTAGAACAGGAATAATCAATGTGAATGTCCACTGACTTCATCATAGCAAAAACCCACTTTCTAAAGAAAAGGACTGTCCTGGAGCCTTTTCCCAGATAAAGGAAGGGCATTTCTCACTCTAGCCACCTCTACACTTCCTGTTTTACCTAAGGGAAACATAAAAAAGAAAACATAAGGAACATAAACAATAGGGGTTAGGACTTCAAAAACATAGATTAGATATGATGAAGTCAGAGAAGGGAGTACGAAGTTATCCTAGTCTATTTTATATTGCTATAACAGAATACCATAGATTATGTAATTTATATAGAAAGTGATCTCTTACAGTTCTGGAACTGGAAGTCCAAGATTAGGTGGCCACATCTTTTTGGCATCTGGTGAGGGCTTTGTTCTGTGTAATGGCATGGTGAAGAAGCAGAAAAAGAACTGGACACATATGAAAGGGACAAAACATGAGGGCAAAGGACAAAACATGAGGGCACCCTCTGTTTATAACAACTCACTCTTTTGGTAACTAATTTAGTCCCACAAGAAGGAGAACTCACTCCTACAAGAATTAGCCCAGTCCCGGCCAGGCAAGGTGGCTCACACCTGAATTCCCAGCACTTTGGGAGGCTGAGGCAGGTGGATCACCTGAGGTCCGGAGTTCAAGACCAGCCTGGCCAACATGGTGAAACCCCATCTCTACCAAAAATACAAAAATTAGCTGGGCATGGTGGCATGCACCTGTAGTCCCAACTACCTGGGAGGCCAAGGCAGGAGAATGCTCGAACTAGGGAGGCAGAGCTTACAGTGAGCCGAGATCGAACGATTGCACTCCAGCCTTCCAGCCTGGGTGACAGAGCAAGACTCTGTCTCAAAAAAAAAAAAAAAAAAAAAAAAAATTTAACCCAGTCCCAGTCCCCTAAGAATCACATTAATCCATTCCTGTGACTGGGATCCCTTCAGCTGAGCCAAGCACATGTTAAAGATCTCAACACCTCTTAATGCTATTATATTGGAAATCAAATTTCCACATGAATTTTGAAGGGTACAAAAATATTCAAACCATAGTAGGGTTCAAGGGGCTATACCAATGAATAAACAATTGTCAAGGTCACAATTCTGAGACACAGGCATACTAAAACACTGAAGTGTAATTGGGAAATTACAGAATGCTCCTGCTCCCCCTAGCCTTATACCGCAATAGGGCTTCAGTATGCAAACATTGGATTAGATCTGAAAGACTGAAATCAAACTGATGAAAAATACTTAAGTCAGCCCAAAGTGAATAGAGAAAACAAAAACAAGGATATTGGAGATATTTGACACTTCTCACACCTGTGGCTATAGCAAACATTGAATATAGTCTAACAGCCAGAGTAACATAAATCCCCATACTAAAACCAAACTTATCTCAGTTCTTATTATCTGATATAACATGTCTGGTTTTGAAAAAAATTGCAAAGCATGTCAAAATGCAAGTTAAAACACAGTCTGAAGAGACAAAGCGATGATCAGAAATAGACTTAGAGAATAACATAGATTTTGGAATCATCAGGGAGAGAATTTAAAAGATGAAACATGTTTAGGGCTCTAATGGAAGAAGTATGCAATATGAAAAAATATATGGGATGTGTAAAGCAGAAATATGGAAACTCTAGGAAGGAATTTTAAAATTTGGTGACAGAGACCAAACCACAGATCCAGGAAGCTCAGAGTGCTCTTAGTGGTATAAATGTTTTGCCTCCAAAAAACCATACCTAAGCATATCATATTAAAACACCAGAAAGACAAAGACAAAAAGAAAATCTTGAAAGCGCTAGAGGGCAGACAAAACCAAAATGCCTTACCTATAGAGGAACAAGGATAAGAATCTGAGTATGCTTCTCATAAATCATGCAAGCAAGAACAGAGCAGAATGAAATATTTAGTGTTGAAAGAAAATCTAGACTTATACATCCAGCAAAATTATTCTTCAGTGAGGAAGAAATAGATTTTCTCAACAAATAAAAATCAAGGGAATTTATTACCAGCAGACATGCTTTTCAAGAAATGTGAAAATAAGAATTATTCAGGAAGATCAGAAATGATAATAGAAATTCAGATATACATAAAGGAATGAAAAACATTAGAGAAGAAATAATGAAGGTAAGCTAAAATCTTTCATTTTTATTATGCTTAATTAATCACAAAATAAGCATTTAAAGTAAAAATAGTAACAATTGCACTGCATGATATAGACGGCCATACAGATAAATGAAATGAGTGACAGTAATGTCACGAGGGACAAGAGAGAGGAATTGAGAATACTCTTTTTAAGATACCTGCAATACATGGAAGTGGCATCAGATTATTTGGAGTTTGACTTAGATTAGTTTAAAAAGTATACTGTAAACTCTGGAGAAACCATTAAAATTTTTAAATAAAAGTATAATTTATATGTAATGAGAGGTGATTGAAATAGTATTGTATAAGGAGCTCAAATGAAGCCAAAGAAAGCAGAAACAGAGAACATATGCAATGAATATATGCAAAAAACATATGCAATGATTAGAAAACAGTTACAAACATGGAAGATGTTAATACAACTATATAGATAATCATTTCAAACCTGAATTATCTACATACAACAATTAAAAAGAACAGACATTGTCAGAGTAGATTAAAAGGAAAGACCCAACTATGCTTTGCCTACAAGAAATCTGCCTTGAATAAGTTAAAAATAAACAAATAAAAAGATATACCATAAGGCTAATCAAAAGAAAGCTGGAATAATTACATTAATTTCAGACAAAGCTGGCTATAAAACCAAGAAGATTATCAGGAATAAATATGGGAATGACATAATGACACCAGGGTCAATACATCAAGAAGCCATAACTACCCTACACCTACATGCATCTAAACAGTATTCATAGTTAACCAGTAAATACTGGGTAGTTACTGAGCCTTAAAATACATGAGTCAAAAACTTAAAGTACTACAATGGGAAGTAGACAAATTTACAGTTACAGTCAGAGACTTCAACATCCCTCTTTTAGTAACTGATAGATCAAGCAGGCAGAAAATAATAAGAGTATAAAGGATCTGAACATCATTACAATCAACTAGGTCTAACTGTCATTTATAAAATAGTCTGTCCATGAACAGCAGAACATACATTCTTCCCAAGCTCATATGCAACCTTCCCCAACATAGGTCACATTCTGGGCCACAAGACACACTTTAACAAAATTTAAAGAATGGAAATTATACAAAATATGTTCTTAGGCCACAAAAGGAAGTAAATCACAATCTTACAAATTATTTCCTTCAATTTTTAGATCATTCTAAATTTACAAATTCCATTTTTAAACTGAAATCCTTTTTCTTTATACTCCCTTTATTCTTACTTTGCTTATCCTATTGGAGCTGTACATAATAAGTCTACTCTCCATTTTAAATGTCAGCTCTCCAGATATTTGAAGGCATGCCTTCATAAGCAGTTTTATTAACAATAAGTGTGTTGATTTCCTTTGATCATTACATACAATCTGGTCTCTAAACTCCTCAACATCTTGGTTGCTACAGATACATTTTCAAACTTGGTATCCTCTTAACATTTCTAACTACCTAGAACTCAAAACACCTGATGAAGGACATTCCCAGTTAAGATGGCAATTGAAACTAAGAGTCTACAACTCTCTATTTAAAGAATAGAAGTAATTTAAAAGAAACACATACTGTCTAAAGAGATTTTTCTTCTGTTAAATTTAAATAGAATAAACCTAGATGGCTTTTCAGAAGATACATGACAATTTAGTACTGAAGCCAAAGGAAAGCATGTTCAATCTTCTATTCAGCCAATTACTCATCACAATTTTTCTCAGTTATTATAGTTTTCATAAAATGTCAAGATTCCATTTAAACATGAGGTTCACAGTAGATCATCAGAACTTATTACATAAAAAAAGAGAACCCACTTTATTAACTTGGCTTTTGTTTGCATATACAAGTTTGAACATTTTGATAAAAGTAATAGGCCAACAAATAGCAAGAACATCCTGAAAAATTAAAAACTAGTTTTTCTAAAGAATATACTTCCTTTTCACCCTGGGTCAGTCAATACAGCCTCATTAGCTATCCACAGACTTATGTGTATAATCTCAATTTTTCTGTCAGAAGTGAGGAATGTTAAGCAAAGAAAAGGCAGTAAGGTGTCTAGCTGCACTTTGTAAACAAAGATTTGATGACAAAGATTTTGGCTACTTATCTAAATGTTCTTAAATTCCAAGCATGTAAGATATTTCTTGGTAATTTAATCATAATATCTTCAGAGAAATTTCCAGTTACTTTGTAATTGCTGAAAATTTCATGCAGATAAAATTCTTAAGACAACTTTAAGAAATTAAATTGTGGATGGAAATGGAATGTGTTTTGCAGGACTACAGATGGAAAAACAAAACTTAAGAACTGATAGGTATTATATTTTAAGTTATGTGTTTTCCCTTAGAGGATCATATTTACCTGGATCATAAAAGATAATTATGGAATTTTAAGAAAGCCAAATTTAAATTAATAAAATAGTCTGAGTTTTTAAGCCCTCCAGTAATTGTCATCAATATCTGTGTGCCAAAATAAACACTCCTCTGAAATATATCTAGCTACTATAAAGTCCAAAGAAGTCTTAGTTATATAATTTGACATTAGGTGTTCTGGGAGAATTAACCAGAATTGGTGTAAAGTATTTGTGTGTTTGCATTTATTTTTCATATTGAAAGAGTATAAAATAATATTACTATTGCTTTGTTGATTCTAACCAATATTCTTTCAGCTCTTTAGCCTGAAAAAGATTAAAAAGAAATTGTTTATATCTCACACACACACACACACACACACACACACACACATTTGTAAGAGTGAAACTGGAATCCCCACTGGCATAATTACTTTGAGGCCATTCATCCTTCTGCACACCACATCCATCCACTTCCCTTTAAGGTCTGAGGATGGAATCTCATACTAAAATGTCCCTGCATTACCTGCTTCTTCCACTCCTGTAACAAACAGCTCAAACTTCAATGCACAGAAAGAACTTCTCTGAACCAGGATACTACTTCAGATCCCTGAAAAACTCACCATTTCTATGTGCTGTGAGGTGCTATTATGTCTCTTCCCATCACACTTATATTCCTGCCTCTTCCTTGCCCACCATGAGCAATTCAGATTCCAGAGTTGGCAGATTTCACATGATGGATCTCTAGCCTTTGATTGGCCCTATGAACAACCTTCACTGTGACTTGGACACTGGATTAGGCAACAGATATTAGTTATTTAAAAACAACAGAATCCCTCATATCTGACACATTTGAAATCAGTCATTGGTTAAGATCATCGTAAAAGGATGTCAAATCTGGAAATTATTTTAAAAAGTGATATAACCATGACAAACATTTAATTTTAACTTAAAATATAGAAATTCTTGCTCATTTTCCATTGTAGGAGTAAGGCTGTTTCTTGAAGAATGGAGCTACTCTTTGCATTTTTTATCATTTTTCTTACATCGTCTATGAGCAATGTGTACAATCTATTATTGACAGTTTGGATTTCTTTAGAGAGAAACTGGGAATTATAAAAATAATTGCAAGGCAATTTAAATGCAGAAGGTTTTTAGCACTTCATAATCCTCTTCCAACAATCTTGTACATTTTCAGTTAATATTATTTCAATTAACCTTTATCTGTATCTTTCAAACTATGTCACTCAGTTTTCATAGATATAATTATTTTCTCATTCACTTTCATCTTTCACTGATACATGCAATATTCAATTAAATTTCATTAATATCACAGATATAATTTGTGTAGGGTTTTGAAATTACCCTACTGACTCACTTTCAGCATACAATTAAAGTGGTAGGAGCAGAGATGCAAAGGTTTCAAGGTGCTATGTTTTATAATCAGCCTGTTTACAGAGAAAATGGAGGGCTTCCATTAATACAGAAGTTGATTAAGCATAAACCATTTAAGCCAACTTCTGTTATACTTATCAAAGTCATCAGTTTATTTAAAGATATGAAAAGAGCTTATATTGTTTGCAACATAATCAGATCTCCTAGGTTAGAATTTAATCCATTCTTTAAACTTTGGATTAAAGTAACTATTATTTTTTGAGTTCTGAATTCAAAGAGAGGGAATGAAATGTAGTAGAAAGAAAACTAGAATAGAAAACAGAGAGAAAAAATAACCTTTAAGTCCCACTTCTATCCCTTTCCAGACTTGGGAACAATAAAATAAAAATAGTGATATATCTCACAAAGTTGCTGAAAAAATATAAAAATATAGTATATACTAAAGAGTTTAATATTCCAGATAACTGTCCACACATTTAAAAATAAAAATATTATTTTTCCTTTTTTCCGTTATTTAAGTTTCCTAGTAGAATATAGTAGATGGCTGCTTTTAAATATGTATTATATCAACATAGCTAATAGACAATTGGAAATACAGTATTCACCAATATGAAAATTTTCCCATAGTACAGCAAAATTTTGAAGCCAATTCTAAAAACATATTTAGCACAAACATTGCCTGAAATATTTTTGATGAGTATCATTGTTACAATCAAATAGAAGAAATAAGCAAAACCCACTACGCCATCACACCATACATCACTACAAGGATCTGACTTACAGTTATATGGAATTTACAATTGGATTAACCACTCTGTATTTCAGTCATAACATTTACATTATTTCTTAGCCAACATTAGATTTATGTTGATTCACCATAAAAGGGAACATTCATTTCCATTACTTTATATATGTTGGTAAATTCTAAGGCACAAAATCAAGTTAACAGTGCTTCTATTGTAATTGTTTTATCACATCTCTGTACATCAGATTTCAAAAACCAAAGACTCATGTTGAAATTGGCTAACAACCAAAACACTCACTGTCAAATTAACCGTTTCCATCTGAGGTGATAAATGGAGAGTTCATAAATGTGAACCATGGCATATGAAAAATAGCTCATTGACATCTGTTCTTAACATCTGGCTTTGTAATCGATGCACCAAAGCAAATGGGATATGCAATTCTGTTTAGACCCTCAAAATTAGGCTTTGTGATTATTTATGTCTGGGTTATATGCCCAGGTAGCATCAACAAAATGAAAGAATTTACTGTTTCATTAATAAAAGACAAGCATTCAGGTCCATGCTTGCTTTACACCTATTCTTTATTCAGCAATAACTCAATACCAGCAACATCATGACAATATTACTACAAGCCTTCTTCCCCCAGGAAAAGAAAAAGCCACACTCTTTCTATACCATATCCCTAGCTCTTCAGGAAAAACACTGCCTCATTAACTTAAAACTTAAGTAAAGGTATATACACACATATACAGTTCCTCAAAGAGTTCTTTATAGGAAGACTCCTTTAAAACCATTAAATATTTATTTCTAACAAACACTAAGAAAAAACTTTTCCTTAAGGATTTTCAAGTTCACCTAATATAAGATTAGCCATTAGATACAAATGTATGGTGGTTGTCTTTACTGCAAAGTTTATTACAAATGCAACAACAATATGACATGGAGACGTGAGAAATAAAAGTAAGTTAAAGAAAGTGCAGAAAATGATGGTATTGGTGATTAATGTGCTTCTACCATGAAAACTTAATGAATTTGGATACAGTCCTTAAAGAATTCAAAACAATTGTTTTGTATGGCTGACTAATAATATGACTAATTCATCCAGGAATAATTTATATAAACTTTTGTAAAAGATTCAATGAATCAAATTGTCCCAGTCTTGCACAATGATGTCTGTATCCTCAGGAAATAAACTATAAATCATTCAAACCATAAGTTTTTGTGGAATTCTTAGGTTTATAAGCATGACTAAATGAGTCAAGTGGCCAATAGCTTGAAGTCTTTACTATTCCTGCTTATTTAGAAACAATGAATGACATTATTCATTTATCAAGAACTTGCAGTACACACAACTTACCAGATCCCATGCAGGTACCCGAGAATGCAACAAGTGAATTTACAGGGCACCTGGTCTGATAGAATTAAGCAGGCTAATAATTTCCTATATTATCATAAACTGATAGGAAGAGGAAGCACAAGACATAATGAACACATGAAAGGACTACTTACCTCAAACTAGAGAAGCAGGGAAGGCTTCCTGAAGAAACCAATTTCTACGCTGAAAATGGAAGAATAAGTATATTAGACAAGGAATGGGGTGGTGCGTGACTAGGCAGAGGGAAGAGTGCATAAAAGCACAGAGATCAGAGGTAGAAAGAAAGAAAAAGAAGTGCACAGTAGCCCCCTCCTGTAGCTGTGGTTTTACTTTTTATGGTTTCAGTTACTCATGGTCAACCATGATTCAAAAATAAGTGAGTAGGGCACAATAAGATATTTCGAGAGAGACAAAGACACATTCACATAGATTTTATCACAATATATTATTGTAATTGTTCTCTTTTATTTTATTTTATTTATTTATTTTGAGATGGAGTTTCACTCTTGTTGCCCAGGCTGGAGTGCGGTGGCAGGATCTCAGCTCACTGCAACCTCCGCCTCCCAGGTTCAAGTGATTCTCCTGCCTCAGCCTCCTGAGTACGTGGGACTACAGGCACCCACCACCACGCCCAGCTAAGTTTTATATTTTTTAGTAGAGATGGGGTTTCGCCATGTTGGCCAGACTGGTCTTGAACTCCTGACCTCAAGTGATCCACCTGCCTCAGCCCCACAAAATGCTGGGATTACAGGCGTGAGCCACCGCGCCTGGCCAATTGTTCTATTTTATTATTCATTACTGTTGTTAGTCTCTTACTGTGCCTAATTTATAAGGTAAACTTTATTATAGATATGTATGTATAGGAAAAGCAAAGTGTATATAGGGTTTGGTACTATCTGTGGTTTCAGGCATCCATTGGGGGTCTTGGAAAGTATCCCCCACATATAAGGGAGGACTACGGTATTATGGCAAAAGAATATAATGGAAAAGAGGAAAAGCATGTTAAGAAATAAAGATAGCAAAGGAAGCAGGATGCAGAAGATTATATAAGGAATTTTACACAATGTTAAGGATTTTGGATTTTATCCAAAGAGCAAATGAATGATTTGGCAGCAAATTGACAAGAAAACATTTGTGATTTAGAATGATTACCATGGCCAATATATGGCAAAGGAATTGGAGAGGAGATTAAAAACTTGAAAGGATGATTTTTGAGACTCTTAATACTTTTAATAACACCATTATTACTGAATATACGTAGTGCTAGTCACTCCCTTGGAACAAAACTAAATTTTGCAAATAAGGTGCCACATCAATCTGTTTTACCTACTTCACTGGTTTCTTTGGAGGAAAAAAATGTGTGTACAGCAAAGTACTGTTTTAAAAGTACTGTTGTATTTTTCCTTCTTAAAATTTCTATGCTAAATTCCTCTCAGGACTTTTATACTAGTTAAGTATTACTGAGGAAAAACCACCCCAAAATTCACTAATTTAAAGCAACAATAATTTATCATTATAGCTTACAAATCACACGACTGGGGCTATAGTGACATAGGCTGGGATCAGACTCATGCATCTGAGAAATCTCATATCCTCTTACTGGGATTACAGAGCTAAAACAGGTATGCCTTTCTCAGGGCAATGGCAGATGTGCAAGATGGAGTAAGACCAATCAAAAAAGCATGTTTCAAGACTCTGATTGAATCATATATGTTAGCATGCCATTGGCCAAAGTAAGTAACATGACTTCACCCAGAGTCAAGGATTAAGAAAGACTACCAGTCCACAGTGGGATGGTGCTACAAAGTTACAAGGTGAAGGGCATAGCTATATGAACCATAAAGAATTAAGTGCAAAACAGAGGTGAATGATGCAATCTACTAAAATTTAGTAGTAGGAAAAGATGTATGTCTTTTTTTTTCTTTTAATGAACACAGTGACTACAATAACTCTTACCCTCTTTGGCCATTAAAAAGCTGAGGTATATTTTTGTAGCCATTATTAGTAATTGTATAAAATTAGACCATGTTTTAATCATGGGTTCCTAGTATGGTATCTGGCATTCAGGAGATAATCTATTTTTTAAGGTTGTTAAATGAATTTTGGGCAATTAATGAAGGTCAATGTAAGTTAATATACGTAAAACTTCAAATCACTGCCAAGGTTTAAAGCAATAATTTAAATGGACGCAATAAAATAATTAATTAATTTTACTATTAGTTACTTCTTAATTGGCTTATTAATTACTCTTAATATCAATATATGGTTATGATTATTAAGATTATGACTATACACTTGGTTATAAAAATAAAAGCGTTGATTATTATGAATATATACTTCTTATTTGAAGCTAATATTTTAACAAAGACCATTTTATTATACATTTATTATTTATTTACTCTAATGTTAGAAGGAGAAAATAAGGAAAGAAACGAATCAAAAACTTTACAATTAAATAAAGAAGGAAAAGCCAACAGCAATAGGACATGAAAATAATTATATTGTAATTTTGCTAACATTTAATTGAATATGCATTGATAAATATGTATTAATTTATCTTATAATATTCATATAGATATGGCAATAATGGAAACTCAGATTATATTGATACTACTTTAAAAAATCAGTTTTGAAATTGTCTAATATATTGTTTTCCAAACCCATGAACAGATTTTGACAGGCATTTTCCTAAAATGGAACTGTTGAAGGAGGCTTAATCTGGAATAAAGACCAAGCAATAAATGTCCTTATTGTGCATATTTGTGGTAGAAAAGATTGGTACCACAATACAAAGTTTAAATCTCATCTTAATTCTTTATTAAAATAAAAATAGTGCAGGTGGTTAATAATATACAAGAAGTGAAGCACCACACACACACACACACACACACACACACACAGATACACTAAAGAGTAATTTCAAAGAAACATAATCCTAAGCACACTGGATGCCTCGCTGACTACAAATATTCTCATCCACAAGTAGTACTCAGCGTCTATACAGAAGTGTTCTTGAAAGAGTAGGTTATAAGAGTGTGGAAGAAAGCCAACCAACAGGCTTCCATGAAATGAGTGGGTTTAGTTCCCAGAATAAACTTGGGACACAATTTTTAAGAATTGATTCCTATTTTCTCTTCTATGCCCTAAATTTTGTTTTTTTTTTTTTACATTTCTTTAGTCCAATTCTCATCTAAACGAGGCTAAATATTCACTGAATAGTTATGTTGAAACATGCAATTGTTCTTTCTGACAGTCAAAACAATTTCATATGGCTCAGTCTAATTCATGACCATTTTTATATTTAATCAAGTAATACTTTACATTTAATTCTTCTTAATACTTAATACTAAACCTATGGTTAAAACTCAATACTGATACTTATCAGATCTTTCATCTCTATTATTCATTTATATAAAATGATTACATAATTACATAATTGGTTACATTAGCAAATAGGCTCCCCAAAGATAATGATAGTGGTACCACTACTGCTACACAATTTCCTAGAAGGCATCGCATCACACCAGGTGATATTTAAAACCATTCCTTCATTAGCCAACATATAAAAGTGTGATTGTGGTATATAAAAAGTCATTTAGGTGTGGAACTTATTAATGCATAGGTACTATGGAAACAATCTATAAATGCCTTGATTATTTTTGAGGGAGCACATTATTTCACACTCACACTGATGTTCCCAGATTTTGTGACTCAGTCTCTGGCTTAGATCATGCGCAGCTGGTCCCATAAGTAGTGAATAGCTTTGGCTTTAGAAAGCCTCAGGCTGCCCTGGCGCTAGGTATTTTGAAGTGGCCAGAGCTCTTCTCTGCCAAAATGTCTCAGCCTGCTGTCTATTTTCAGCAGAATGTGTGAATATTAGTGCCTCAGCCAGGCCCCTTCTGCTTCAGGCATCTCTGTGTGTCATCTGCAGGCACTTTCATATGCTGCTTGAAGAAATGGAAGTCAAAACATTTTTGGAAAGCAATTGGCCATTATTATTAACAACTTTAAGCTTTGGCCTGCACTTTGACCCAAGTAGATTCACTTGCAGGAATCTATCTGGAAGGAGAAATATATGTGTATATACATATACACATATATACATATAAATATGTATTTGTAAAAAGATTTCCTTACAACAATGCTTGTCAAAACCCTATTCCTACTAAGAAAAAAGTGAAAACTAAACCAAATATTTCTCAAAATAAAGAAAATGTTAAATTATATAACACATTTATACATATCATGAAGCCACTGAAAATGAAAAAGTATAACACTTATCGGAAGAAGTATAAATTATAAAGATTAATAGAATAAAAAGTAATTTCAACTACTTAAAAATACATAGAAACTTATTAAAAGAAGTATAAATTACAAAGATTAATAGAATAAAGAGTAATTTCAACTACTTAAAAATACATAGAAAAATATACAGGAAAAATACTTTAAATAATATAAAAGAGATGCCCAGACTCTAGCAGTTTGATGTCTGATGTGTTATTTATTTTTTCATAAGTAACTGACTTTTTTCCAAAGATAGAGAACAGTGACACATGACCAGAGCCCAGCCATGTTTTTTTCTTTTCTTTCTCCCAACTTCTGCCATCAGAAGTAAGGGAATGGGAAAGGCATCTTGTTTCTCACTTGTCTATCTTGCCCACAGAATGTCCACCTGAAGGTGGGTAGTTGAGCCTCACCGGATTATCTGCTCCTAAGGCACCCTACTAGGTGACATGTGGAAGCAAAGTATCTTTAGCACATATGCTTTATCTTGCTCAGTGTGAACAATTACAGTGACACTGGGAACTGAATCATTCTTGCAGTGCCCCAGACAGACCAGGGTAAATTTGCTGTTTATCTTGTAGTACCACAATACTTGCATAAATCATCTTGATCTCTGCTGTCTTTCCAGATTTCAAAGGATGTAAAATCACAAAAGTAACATCCAGAAATCCCTCAGGTAACCATAGGTTACTGTTATAAACAGATATTAAATAGGCATTTAAAACATAAGTTAGTGTCTACTCAACCAGGACTTCACATATCAGGATTTCAGGACATTTCAAGAACACTTTCTGGAATGTATAGGGTTGCTCTACCTTCCACACCTTTGACTTTGTGCCTTGATTTTTCTTAGTTGACTCCAGCAGTGCAATGTCTCTGCATGTGGCATTCAGCTAGTCTGCCTCTTCCCAAGACTGAGGGCTCCTGCAGGTTTTGACTTCCATACTCCAAAAGGACATTCATAGTTAAAAAATGGTTTCTTCGTTACCTTAAGCATTTTGTATGTATTATATTAATATATATTATATATTATAATATATATTATAGATGATATATAATATAAAATGATATTTAATATTATATATATCATAATAGTATATAATTTTATTATTACATAATATAATATCATAATATCTAGTGGATTATTTTAAAGAAGCTGAATTTCTTCATTTCAGTGAACATTTTCAAACTTTAATCTAACATATTTTCTTCCATGCAAAATTTTTCATTGATATAATCAATTAAAATTCACTTAAAAACATAAATGTACAAATCGCCTTGTACGGATGTATGTTTTATGTCAACTTCTCTTTGTTCTGTGGCTATCATGTGCACTCCGTACCCCAGCCATCTTGCATGTGTATGTTCTTCTTCACAACAAGAATGGGATGAAAGGGTGTGGAGGAGTCAGTGTCAATCCGTTACAATTATTTGAAAAACAACTTAAAACCCACGGCCAGCTGATGGCGGTTCAATAAAATCTTCTCCATATGTGCAGGGCATCCAAATTTTAAGTCGATTTTTTTCTCTTTAGTAAAAATACAAGTTATATTTCTATCAGGGTGCATATTCACTAAATTACTTGGGAAATTTTGATGTAATACCTTTTTCCAGCTTTATTAAGGCATAACTGACAAAAATTATACATATTTAAGGTATACCTGTGATGTTTTGCTATACATTGTGAAATGATTACCATAATCAAGCTAATTAACATATCCATCCCCTCTCATATTTACCTTTTGGCATGTGTGCTGAGAACACTTTCAATCTAGCTTTTCAGCATATTTCAAGTGTCCAGTACAATATTATTAATTATAGTCACCATGCTGTACATTAGATCGCCAGAAGTTACTCATCCTGCACAACTGAAACTTTGTATCCCTTGACCATCTCTTTTTCCTCCACCTTTCAGGCTCTGGCAACCACCATTCTACTTACTGCATTTGAGTTCAACTTATTGATTCCACATTAAGATTGGGTGCTATTTCTGTTTCTGTGCCTGGTTTATTTCACGTAGAATAATGTCCTACAGGTTTATTCATGTTTTCACAAATGACGAGTTTTTTTTTTTTTTTTAAGGCTATATTCCATTATGGTATGAGTGTGTGTGCATGTGTATGTGTGTGCAGTCACAATTTACTTGTCCATTCATCCATCAGTGGACACTTAGGTTGATTCCATATCTTGGCTATTATGAATAGTCCTGCAATTAATACTGCAGATATGTCTTCAAGATACTGATTTACTTTCTGTTAAATATATACAGAGAAGTGGGATTGCTGGATCCCATGGTAGTTCCATTTTAATTTTTTGAGAAACCTCTATATTGTTTTCCATAATGGCTGTACTAATTTACATTTCTGCCATCAGTGTACAGGCTTCTTTTGTCTGTTTGTTTACATCCTCACCAACACTTGTTACCTTTTGTCTTTTTGATAATGCCATTCTAACATGTGTGAGGCACTGTTACATTATGGTTATGATTTGCATACCTTCATGATTAGTGACGCCAAACATTTTGTTCATATAGCTGTTGGCATTTGTATGCTTTTTTTTTTTTTTTGAGAAATGTCTATTCATGTCCTTTGCCCATTTTTAAAATCTGATTATTTGTTTTCTTGCCATTGAGTTGTTTGAGTTCTTTCTATATTTGGATATTAATCCCTTATCAGAAGTATGGTATCTCAGTTCATTCAGCTGCAATAACAAAAATACAATAAACTGGATGGATTATAAACAACAGAAATTTATTTCTTACAGTCCTAAAGGCTGGAAAATTTAAGATCAAGGGACTGACACATTTGATGTCTAGTAAGGGCTCATTTTCTGATTCATAGATAATGCCTTCTTACATGGTGGAAGGGGCAATGTGTCTCTCTGGGGCCTCTTTTAGAGGGGACTAACCCCACTTATGAGATTTCTACCCTCATAATCTAGTCACCTCTTAAAGGCCCTTTATGCAAATACAATCACATTGATGATTAGGTTTCAACATCTAAGTTCTGTGGAGACACAAACATTCAGATCATAGCATGTGGTTTGCAAATATTTTCTCCCATTCCATCGTCTGCATTCCATCTCCCATTCCATTGTCTCTACTTTGTTGATTGTTTACTTTCCCATGCAGAAACTTTTTAATTTATATAGTTACGTTTGTCTATTTTTGTCTTCGTTACCTTTGCTTTTGGAGTCATATACAAAAAATTATTTCCCAGACCAATGTCAAGCTTTGCCTTTCTACTTCTTTGTATATAACAATGTTTTGTTATACCATTCATTAAAAACAAATATCAAACAATTAGAGCTTGCAAAGACAAAGTTTTATAAGTATGGTAAAGGAGAAGAAAGGCAATATTATTACATAGAAAGTTGTGATAATGTCTTTTACATACAAAAGTAAATTTTAAAATAATATGTTTGATTTTAATAGTTAGGGAAAAAAGGTTTTAGTCCATTTGAAAATTCATTCTATAATACATGAAAATATAGTCATTATAAATTTTTAGTTCTGGTAACTTCATGTAACTAAAATACCATTAAAGATCATCATCATAGAAATAAGTCACTTATGGTCTTTTTTCGGTTGCATAAAACTTTAGTAGTTTTAAACACGTTTGATCTCATATATGAGTAAACCTACTTGAAACTTCAAAGATTAACCTACCAGGATAGAAAAAAATGAACATGAAATTAGAGGAAAAGTGAAATATATAAAGTACTTCGAGGCTGCAAATAAGTCATGGATTTTTATTCTTGGGAAGGGTAAACTACATAATATAACAGAGGTTGTATTTCAAAATAAAACAACAATGATTTTGTTTGAATATATATCTATAGTCACAAGTTCCAATGAATATTTTGAATGCCCTAGCCATCAAAAAAATAAATGAAAGGAACCAAGAGTAATTAATTTAAGTCCACTGCCTTAAGTCATATAATTGTAGCAATGTGCTTATTGGCATATTTATAACGAAATTGTATCGGTTAAAAACTCCTGAGACCAATTTCTGTTTTTTAAAAACCAACTTAATGGGCCAGGCATGGTGGTTCATGTCTATAATCCCAGTGATTTGCAAGGCCAAGACAAAAGGATCACTTGAGGCCAAGAGTTTGAGATGAGCCTGGTTAACATAGTGAGACCCTGTTTCTACAAAACATTTAAGAAATAAAAAAACAGCTGGGCATGGCATGCACACCTGTAGCCCTAGCTACCCAAGAGGCTGAGGTAGGAAGATCACTTGAGCCCAAGAGTTAGAGACTGCAGTAAGCTATGACCACACCACTGTACTCCAGTCTGGGTGACAAAATGAGACCCTATCTCAGCAAAAAGGAAGAGAAAGAAAGAAAGAAAGAAAGAGAGAGAGAGACAGAAAGAAGGAAAGAAAGAAAGAAAGAAAGAGAGAGAGAGACAGAAAAGAAAAGAAAAGAAAAGAGAAAAGAAAAAGAATGAACAACTTAATGCATCCCAGGTATAATATTAATTATGCATGATTTATTAGTCAATTTGCATTCTATCATTTAGTATTACTTATAACATTATAAAAATAGCTAGTAGAATTAGTAAATTAATAATGCTGTTTTATAATGGTATACTGATGAAAAATAGTGACAAATTTCATGATATCAATGAAGGAATTGCTTTAAAGAAAACAACTTAAACAAGTATGAAAAAACTAGATTTATATTTTATTTAAAAAATAATATACCATCAAAAATTATAGTTCTTAGCCCTATCAAAATATATAGTGATACATATATCAAATCCATATACTATTATGTAGTAATTATCACTATCGAAATTTATTTTACGTATTTACTTTTTTTCTTTCTCCTTCCTTTATTCCTTTATACAAACATATATTTAATGTAAGCTCTATGACAGTATGGAAATATTTTGCTTCCCACTATATTGGTTTATTTTAAACTGCATCCTCTGAACCTAAAAATCAAGCCAGAAATACAGATATCAATAATTACCTCAAAAATTGCAAACATTGTCAAGATCATTTGTGTGTCAATATAAATTTTGACAGACTATTTCTAATCTTCATTTTACAGTAATAGGCTACTTTATAGACTTCAGATTGTAGAGAAATCATTTTCCCTCTAATTCTTAGAATCACTGTATGTTCCATTTTCGTATGTACTTGTCTTTAAACAATTTACCTTTGAATGTGTTGCTCTCTTCTTGGAATGCACAAATGCTCTGGTATTTTACATGGCTTAAAACACCTAACAAATCTATGATTTAGGCATGGCTGGGAAGAAATACTTATTTCCACTCCACAGTGTCTCATACCTCAGTTGAGTTGACTCTAATGGCTGGTGGCTAGAATAGCTAGGGACTGGCTAAGCATCCATTTTTCTGCATGTTTTCTTAGGTCCCCTTTGTGTGCTCACTCAATATTGTCTTTACATCATGGCGGCCTCAGGGTAGCCAAATTTCTAACGTGTTGTCTAGGGCTCCAAGGGCTAGTGTTTCAAGAAGCATGGAGGAAAACTGCAAAGTTTCCAATGACCTCACCTATAAATTTCCAGAAGGTCATTTTGCTTTAGCTTATTGATTATATGAGTCACTACTGCTATCCTTGTTTCAAGGGGAGAAAAACACTACTGCATAACTGGTAGCACAGCAAAATATTGAAACCCTCTTTTATCTACCACAATGATAGACTCTGGCTTATCCCTATTGAGCATTCAATCCAGAATATTCTCATTTCAACCAGAAAAAATCATCTATGATAGGTTTTAAAATATATTTCCTTATTTATATCATCAGATGATCTCCAATGTTAGGCATGCTTTAATTTTTTTATTATTGTTATAGTGCCTAGGAAAGAGTAGTCATTTCAAAATTATGTATTTTTTGAGTGAATGATTTTCAAAGTAGCTGTTTGAGATATCAGAATAAAAGATACCATTGGTTTCCCATGACACATAAAATGAATTTGAAACTTCCTAACCCTCATGGGACTTCATAATTGGGACTCTCATGATTTTTCCTGTCTCAATTTCCATCATCCCTGGCAGGGCCTGCAGCCTAAGTCTAATAAATAAGTCTAATAAATAAGATTCAGTAAAAAAAAGTGTTAAGTTATTCTCCCCCATAATGTAGTGAGGTCAAACTGTCCACAATCACCTGAACAGTGCATTTCCCATTTCTAATTTTTTATGTAGTTTATAACATATACCCAGGATTCCCTTTCTCCTTCGTTTGGTGAAATTTTTATCATTTTTTAACTTTAAAGTCAAATGTCATTTTTCTGTGAAGACTTCACTTAACAGCTCAGTTAACCACTCCTACTTTTTGTTCCAAAATCTCTTATCATTTATGATGGCTCTGCATTTTAGTTGCTTACTTAAGAACTGCCTTGGAGTCACACTTCACTGCAGGTGTAATTCCTTAAAGTATTCACAGGAAGCCCAAAGGCTAAATTGACTTGGCTGTAAAACCTGGCAGAGGAGCCAAGCTCACTAAGCCCTGCCTCTAGTTCTGTCTTGCTCTGGCTAAATTCCAGACTACATTTCCTTTCTAACAAGTCTTGCGGGTTGGGATGGGATGCTCCAGAAGTATAGTAGGTGTAAGACGAGCTAATGACCTGGCAGAAGACTGGATGTCTACAGGTACATCAAAGATTATTACAGGGAGCCCCTGTCACTCAAACTGAGAACACATCATTAGAGACTCATTTGAGAGATTAATACAGGTGGCCTTTATCCTATATCACCCACTGCCTTGGCCTCTCACAGTACTTTAGTCTCACTTGGTAGTAAATCCACAACCCCATCAACAAGCGGGGCACTATTTACTAATCTTCACCTTCATCTTCTGCAAAACACTCATTACTCACTCACCTAGTAACCTATATTAGGCAAAGTTCTACATTCAGGGAATTTCTTAGTGAATTAGATAAATGGATTTCTTGTCTATAGGCTTATATTTAAATAGGAGAGATAGGAAAAAGGTATGTAAACAAATACAGTATAAAAAAGTTCGGCCAGGCGCGGTGGCTCACGCCTGTAATCCCAGCACTTTGGGAGGCCGAGGCGGGCGGATCACGAGGTCAGGAGATCGAGACCATCCTGACTAACACGGTGAAACCCCGTCTCTACTAAAAATACAAAAAATTACCCGGGCGTGGTGGCGCATGCCTGTAGTCCCAGCTACTTGGGAGGCTGAGGCAGGAGAATGGCGTGAACCCGGGAGGCGGAGCTTGCAGTGAGCCGAGACTGCGCCACTGCACTCCAGCCTGGGCGACACAGTGAGACTCCGTATCAAAAAAAAAAAAAAAAAAGTGTTAAGTTATATGAACAAAGAAAACAGAAAATGAGGGGATGGAAAATATATTGGCGAGGTTGGAAAAGGCCCTCATTGAAGAGATGATATCCGAGGTGAAACACAGCCAAGGGACAGCCTGGAGGAATAGCATTCCCAGAAGAGGTAACAGTGAAAGACAGTGGACCAGCAATAGGAAGAAGCTTGATATGTTCTATGAATACCAATGTGGCTGGATATTAGAAAGTGAGATGTACAGTAGTAAAGGCAATCTTCTCAGGGCATAGTAAAAATTTTGACTTTAGACAATACAGTGGGAGTCTCTGCAGGGTTAAGCAAGGGAATGATGTGATCTAACCTATATTTTTAAAAGATCTCTTTGGCAGCTGTGGGGAGAAGGGATCATAGAAGACAAAGTGAAAAAAAAAAGATGTAATTAAAGCCATGAATATAGACAAACTTCCTGGAAGCAGGGCCTGCAGCCTAAGTCTAATAAATAAGATTCTGAATTTGGGGGGAAATATTTAGCTATGGGTTTTTTCTTGAAACCTACCAAGGAATCGATTCAATTTCAAGTAACCCTTGCCCTAGTCAATATGATTTCCTATTCCAGTGAACTCCAGGGCAATGACAATGTCATGGAGTTGCACTGTGTAGTACTCCACCTATTGCATATCACCTTGCAGAACTATACATAACTAAACATTTATAGGTCCTTAAATATCACCAGATCAACATTGTCTTATAGTGTTTTGTGGTACAGAACTATAAGGCCCACACAAATGCTTGTCTCACATTTTAATAAACACTAAATCCATTTAATTTTTTTGTGAAATATGTTTTATCTTCCCATAGACATGATACTACCTCAGGCAGAGGTAGAACAGGTTTCCTTCCAAAAAACATAAAGTGATGATTTAGGAACATATCCCTGATTAACAAGCCAAGCTTCATGAACCAATTGCATTTTCTTTCCCTGTCTCCCCAGCAATAAATCCAACTGACTATATTGTGGTTTTATCTTGGTCATATCTTTTAAGCTTGAAATTGGTTTCTGTTTCTCTCTGGTAAGACCTAGGTTACTAAGCTATTATTATCAGTGAGGATTCTTGGCATTTAGCAACAGAAAGCACTGTGTTTATATCTTAAGCAAGAAATGAAATATTGGAAAAATATCAGGGTATCACAAAAATAATAGGATCCTGAAGTATCAGTTTGGAAATATTTTTTTTAAAAACCAAGAGCTTTTGAGAAGACCAGACAATAATAGGCAAAGCAAGGTCACACAAGTAGAAGCTGGCTACTAGAAAAAATATGACCTTCACCCATCTCCCTGTTCATGCCTTGTCATGAGATTTGGGTGGCTGAGTCTATGCTACCTGTTCACCCTGCATTTATGGGAGTGGAGACAATGAGTATCTGCTCTCTTTCACCTCTATATGGGAAGTGCTCATTACTTCTCACCAAGACTACTCATAATAGAGTCATCCTGAAAAAACAATCAGAATACCAATGGAAAGGAGAGGTAGGATGGTGTACTGCCAAAATATAACAAATTATTCATCAATTCCTTATTTGTTCATTTATTCAACAGATATATATCAAAATATGTGCCTAGTAGTCACAGGGAATAGCTGGAAAAAATACTGAGAGAGATTAAAATAAGGGTAGGTAAGAAAAGTAGACAGGAGAATAAATACTGTTGGAGGTTATAAGCCTGTAAGCCTGGTAAAGAGTTTACATTTTATTTTCAGTGCAATTGTGAGATTTCATCAGAGTAGTAATGTTAACTAACCTTTTTAAAAGACCACTCTGACTGCAAGGGGATAATAGAATGCAAACAGATCAAGAGTGGAAGCTGGACAATTATTAAGGTTCTAGGCTGCAAGCATCAGAAACGTACTTTAAGTATGTGGAAGACAATCAAGTAACCCACAGAATCATCCAGAAAGCTAGAGGATCAGATACAGAAGTCCTACAGGAATCAAGAAGGGGTAGACAATAAGAAACACAGCTGAATTAAGATAAAGACATAAGCTGGTGGGATTCCCTCCCAAATGCCACTGCCACTGGTTACAGTACTCTGCTGATCTCAAATGTTCCCCTGGATTCTAGATGTCTCCACGTTGTCATAGGCGTTTTCCCAATTCTTCCTGCCTTTGTGTATCGTTCTCTTTATATTCATACTCCTGAGTTACCCAAAGTCTGAACCTGTGCCATATGCCCAAACTCAAACTTCCAAAGAATGGGGACAAAAAGAACATGGCTTTTTTTGGTTTCACTAATGAAAGTCAGGGAAGTGCCTCCAACCAATTCTTACATAATAGAGAACTCCCTAAAACTAAAACTCCCTAAACAATGATATTAAGAGGCAGCATTTTCCTAAATAAATATCCACAGATGTAAACTAGTATTGAATTGTCAATGAGACATGGAAGACCTTGGATCTGCAGCCTGAAAAAGTATGTGTTGGAATGGTTGAGTGCAGGCTATCGAATGAGATTGTCTGAGTTGAAACACCTCCTCTTCCACTTAGTTCCTATGTGATATTGAGCAAGTTACAAAACTCCACATTCCAGACTCTTTATCATTTAAAAAGATATAATAGCAATAATTATTAAGAATTGTAGGACAATTGTAAGAATTAGTTTATGAATGTACTTAGTACTGGGTCTGGCACTTAGTAGTAAGCATATTATAAATCTTAGCTATTCTTTGTTAGACTGGTAGGAACAGATATGAAGAGAAATAAATAAATGGAAGGATAAATATTAGAAACAGAATGCATTGGAATTCCTCATTAATTGATATGCAAGGAAGGGGGGACAATCACTGATGACCTCAAAATTATGGCTTAAGGAAGTATTGGATTACAGTGCATTTACTGAGATAAACAAATCTCCATTTGTTTTGAAATGACTTAGTTTCATGACTTTATTAACCCGCCCCAGCATACTTATGAACTATTTTGTTCAAAATCCCTCTCCATTCTTTAGGAATACTCCAATATTTTATCCACATTGTAAGGTCATTTTCACATGTGCTGCAGCACACAGAGAGGACACACAATTAATTATTGATTTTATATTTGTTCATAGTATCTCTATCCATCTAATATTTATAACAATGACTCAGATTATTGGCATTTTGCAAATTTCTGAGAGTTCTATGTTTAAATGACTGTCATTCAGCTCTTTCCAAAACATAAAGGGGTTAATTAATATTTCATAGATACAGCCTAATAGTATCTGTTTCAAGCTTTGAATCTTTCAACTTTTGCCATGTAACGTAATGTAATATATTCACAAGTTCCATAAATTAGGATGTGAACATCTTTGGGAGGACATTCTATCTACCATGCCTTCTAAAGGGCAATATAAATAAGATATAAATAGATAAATCAAAAGTTGCCCTAAAATATTTCAGAGTATTTTAGTTTCTGTAGTAATAAAGCAACATATGCAAGGTAATTTTATTATTACTATTATTTTTATTTATTTTTTTATTTTTTTTGAGATGGAGTCTTGCTCTGTCACCCAGGCTGCGGTGCAGTGGCACGATCTTGGCTCACTGCAACCTCCACCTCCTGGGCTCAAGCGATTCTTCTGCCTCAGCCTCCTAAGTGGCTGGGACTACAGGTGCATGCAACCACACCCGGCTAATTTTTTGTATTTTTAGTAGACACGGTGTTTCACCGTATTGACCAGGCTGGTCTCTATCACCTGACCTTGTGATCTGCCTGCCTTGGCCTCCCAAAGTGCTAGGATTACATACGTGAGCCACCAAGCCCGGCCGGTAATTTTTTTTCTGGTTTTTTTTTTTGTTTTTTTTTTTTTGTAGTTTATCCAATTCCATCTTTAGGATCAAATGTCTTATTTGTTATAAAATTTAATTAAGGAGGAATACATTTCCCAAAACTAAAACAAAGCTTTAAAAAATAGTTGAACAAGTTTATAATGTGAAAAGAAACAAGAATCAAAAATCACCAGAAGAAAACTTTCTTAGAGTATATCCTAAACAAATGGGTTATAAATATGTTCATAGGAAAAAGAAAGAACATCTTTCTTAAAAAACTAAGCCATCAGTAAGAGTAAAAAAATAAAAATAAAAATCAATATATAATCAAAAAATAGTTGAGTTTTTAAATCAAATATGAAGTCTAAACAAAGATAAAATATTGTAAAACCTTTAGAACTTAGAGAAAATATTAAAATTTCAATAAAGCATCTTACACTCATTCCATTGGCTTTTAAAATAAGACATTTGTTTCAGATGCATAAATATCTGCCAAACAAAAACAGGAAAAGCAATGGAAATAGCCCAAACATTCCTGAGCTTCATGATAGGGAAGAGGGCTGATAAAAGTTACTGTAATAACAAGACCAACCAAGAAAACCAAAACTAATCAGGACTCCCTTTTATTTCCCAAAACTACATTTTCTTTTCAGATTTAAGATCTAATGAAAACTTGCATGGAACAAAATTTTGGCATCTATTTATTTCATAAGGACATTTTGTTTAAAAAACTTATATTAAATGCTTAATTCATCCACAGAAGCAGGGAAGGAAATATTGGGCCATCATTAATCATATCAAAGCATTACATTACTCCAAAGCAGAAAACAATGTTCTCATAAAAATAATATAAAGGCAATATTAAAGTGGAAGCCAAATAATTATAATATGCTTTGAAGTATAAAACCTGCAGCAAAGTAGGGTACAATGACCTTGTTGGAGACAGTTTCAAGTACTAAGCTGCACTTTGGATAAGTTAAAGATTTGCTTTGTGAATGTGTGGGTATGAATGTATATGTTAGCACAGGAAGGAACAGGAAGTTCTCAACACAGTCACTTCCATTCATGCTCTGTTACTAAGAAAGTAGTTCTTTAAGTGATCTCACTATACAAATTTACTACTACTTTAGTTCCCAAGAAGTGAACACCAAAAGAATAATGTCTATTCACAAAGACAGATTCATGAATGAATATGGCAATATTTGAATAGGATACATATAGCTGAAGTATCTAGTCATTGCCTTGCAAAAAGAAGTCATCAAAAATGCTTGTTGAACAACAATGTAAGAAAAATCACCAACCAAAAATGATTGTGGGTATTTTGTAATTTACCACCTTTAAATAGCAATGCGACTTATCTGCATCATTAATGTGTATGTTTTCACACAAATGCACTTGCTTATATCTTAGCTTATTATTGGAACGGCTCTGTTGTCTGGGGTATATACCCTGGTTCTTTGTCACAGTTGAGAAATAATTCAGGACACGGACACACACTAGGAGTGAGTTTAGGAGTGGAAAGTTTAATATATAAAAAAGAAGAGAGAACAGCCTTCCTCATGCTGAGAAAACAGGTCGCCCAAAAGAGGGTCTCCGGTTTGCGGCCAAACGCAATCGGTTTTGTACAGAGGCTTAAGGAGGCAGTGACTGATGTATATACGGATCAAGGAATTGGTTTGACCAGGTGTGCCATTTACGTAGCCCAAGAAAAGACTGGCCCTCCCACCCTAGTCTTTTCTTATGCAAAGGCAGCATCCACCTGGAGGCAGCCATGATACCTGTACAGGTGGTTTTACCTGGAGGCTGCCATGATGCTGGCACACATGGTGACAAGGAAAAGAGGGCAGGAGACGCCATACTGAATGTACCTGGCCTCCAGGTACAGCTGCTTGCATTTACACATAAAAGCTTCTAGTTTGCATATCTATGCTTGACTTCTCAGGCTGCTTTCTGTTAGCGAAGAAATGGTTTGGGGCTGCTTTTTATTAAAGGAAAATTCCACCGAGAATTCTTTTACCCTTTCTAGCTGCCTAAAAATAATTTCTTAATAACTCTTATATTATTATGCCCTTCCCCTAACTTTTCATGGCTCACTCCTTGTTTTGCAGGAAAATCAGCCAAGGTCCTAGAAAGAGAGAGAAGCAAAGTCAGAGTAATTGATGAAGGGTTTATTTACAAAGTCTAGACCCTTCAAAGGGAAACCAAAAATGAGAGGTAACAACAATGTGAAAGTCACCACCCCAGGACTAAAAAGAACAGGGGACAGTAGCTGCTCCTGGATTCAGAAAAAGCTTAGCTTAGCTAGAGCTGTAAGAGAGGGCCTCCCATCAAAAGCTATGGCCTTAGGGAGAGGAGCACAACTTTGGCCAACCCATGAGCCAAACTCAACTGCAAGCCTGAGGGGAGCGGAGCCCAGTTAGTACAGTCACTACTCCAGGAGCACAGACCAGGAGAGAGAGGCAATGAGAAGGGAAGAGAAGAGAGGGAGGCAAACCGAATATTCAGCACATTCCTGTTTCCTCTAATATCCTCTTAATGTCACCTCCTCAAAAACTAGCAGAGTTTTTGACATTCACTACGCCTTACCAGAAGGATCTGGCTTTTTAAAACTAAAACATTGAGACTCGCCTGAAGAAACATCTAAATAACGTAATCATTACCTATAGTCAGTGCATTTTTCACAGGATAAGTGATAAGAAGAAAAAACTTAGACATGGAGAAATGAACCAATTCCTTTTCTGTAAGGAATGGTAGAGCATTTTAGGGCCCCTAATACAATCAGGTCAAGGTGAGAATTTGCCCCGAAATAAATCACTCTTCGCGGTGTAGGGAAGGTACCCAAGAAGTTATTGCCATAGGCCTCACTACATGACCAAGACATTCTCTATTGTTGCTGGTCTCTTCAACCCACAGAAATCTGGGTGAGATTACCCTTCCTTCCTCAGTGAGACCCCTCTAATTTTCTGCACTGAGAATTGACTTCTAGGCCTGAACAAACCAGGTGACACCTGCATCAGTTGACTGTGGAGTCTGCAACAACCACAGAGGGTTCTACAGGATTGTTCTTGTAGATGGAGACTCTCTAGGTTCTGGCACTGTTTCCAGGTCTCCACTTAATCAATGACAATGAGGCAGTGTCTGATATAAGTCTATCAGGCAGGGCTGTTCTGGAAGCCAGCAGTTGTCTACATAAGCATCAAAGAGAACGTTGACATTCTCTCCCAGGAGCAGATAAACAAGATAATGAACTACAGTTTTGAATGAGACTTTAAAATCCTGAGGAAATTCATCATCGGAGGTAAGAAAAAAAAATCTAGACTTTCTTCTCATGAGAAAAGATGAGGCTTGAGAATTGCAGAAATTTGCAATTTATAGTATAATGAGAAGCCTGTCTCCATTTTCTGATGTTTGACTGCTCAGAGCATATAAGCCTTACCTCTTCCTCTTCCTCTCGTGTCCCACATCTGGCCAGCCAAGAAGAAAGCCTGGATGCTCCCTCCCTTAGCACCTGAGGCTAGACTCAAACCATGCATATCCCTGCTCATGCATGGGAAGCCTCACTCAGGCCTTACTCCCTTACCATTAAACCCAAGCCAAGTATCCTTTCCATGCTCTCTCAAGCTATTTAGAACCTGCTTAAGAAACTTCCCTGCTCTCCCCAGACATATCCGTAACACCCTGTTTTGTTCCATCTCGGTGTGTATATGTGGTGTCACGTATATGTGGCGTCATTAGTCTTTATACATGAAACAAATTTTGGATGGGAGCCCCCCGCTTTTGCAAAGCAAAAATAACATAAAGGAAAACTTCCTGCTTTTCTATTTCCAGTTGGTGAAGAAGTCATACCGGTTGCCTACAATTCACAATCCTCATTTTCCTAATAGGTGTAACCACCTTTATTCTCATTCAGATCCCTAACCCAGCCTACCTTCTGCTCCTTACCAGCTCCTCAAACACTTTCAACTCTTGTCAATTACACCAGGTTCAACCAGTCTTATGTGGAGAGTGTGGTCACAAAACACAACTTTTAAAAAATTTGAGTAAGGAAAATGAAGTCTCTGTACCCCAAATCAATGTTTCAATGTATAGTTTTAGAACAGCAAGTTGTGAAGTTTTACTAGGTGAATTTGCAAACTTACATGCAAATATCCTCCCAGAACTCCTTTCTCCAACTCTGCCCATTCCAGTTTTTTACCTGTTTCAAGATTCCTATTATTAGCTTAACTGGACATTGCTTAAAAGCTTATTCTATATATTCAGTGATCCTGTGTAACCTATGTTTTAGAATCAATTTGGATATGATAAGCTTGATATAGAATTGAATATTTAGAATATTTGTCAAATAATAGGATAACCTATTGTGATTTATATATTATTATTCACTGAAAAATTTTTGTGTAATTTCAATTTAATTCAAAGTCTCTTGAAGATTTACGCATCTTTAAGGAAAACGGTAATTAAAAAAATATGGGCATCACAGCAACAAGTTTTGCTTTTTTTTGTTCCAGGAATTTTGCAAATAAATGAGGTAGAAGTCTACCATAATGGAATCAAAAAATTAATTAGTTTGGGCCACTCAGTGTATTGAGACATGTATATAAAATAGAAGGGAAAGGAAGAATGTTGGTTTGATGCAATGCAATTCATTCCTTTTAAGTGAAAAGTGGGCTTTTATTTTTAAAGGATGCCTTTGTCAAACGCAACTACAGTAAGCTACACACAAACCTCACTGGTTTCTCACCTCATCACTCTCTCCATAATAAGCCTTCATTGTAGATTTCTTTTAGATACAAACGTTTCCACTTAATTTGGCTCTGCCCCATGGCCCTTATCTGACCCAGAAAAAGCCCTCATGCACTTATGACTCAAAGACGGCATACGTTTCTGCAGAAAGCCAGACCAGCCTACAGCCAGTAATAGGTTGTTAAGATTTAACAAGGAAAAGTAAGGTACCCATTAGGAGGTTTAAAATGGCTTGGCTGGGAGGAGATGGAATCTAAAGTTTAAAGAGATTGGAAATAGCCATGTTAAAAGTCATTTTAACAATCAGGTTTAAAAATAGACTTTATTAAAATGCTTAATAAAGCATTCTGTGAAAGCAAAAATAAAAACCCCAAATCATTAATTTCATACTGTAAAAGTGAAACTGATATAATTTTCTACCACTTGGTTAATGCATATTCCCCTGTATTTAGGTGTCTATGAAAAAGTTTGTGTATACATTCATGGAAAATAATTGATTGTTCATAATATAGAAATAGGACATTCAAATAAAATGTGTAAAAATGTTCATGATAAAGACTGGCAATGTCATCTCATCTGGCTGTTTTTAAAAGTGAAGGTGTATCTAGCTCTAGCTTTTCGGAGGGACATGAAAAATAAAATTCAAGGAAGTTAAATCAAAATGTTCCACTCATATTCCATGCTGTTCAGCTACTTGTATTGCTTTATTTTGATGTAATTTTTTAATAGATGTTCTAGGTCTTAGCATTAATATTTAACATATATTTTACACTATTTAATTTCATAAATTATAAAATTAATATGCTGCAGTGACAAGTAACTGTTGAGATGTTCAGAACAATGATGCATCTCTCTCAGCAGTGTAAAATATATATAGCATTTTTCATTAAGGTCTAGTTTACTATAGTAACCGTCACACTTTTTAGAGTAGTTCTGCAAGTTTTGACAAATTCATGTAGTCAAATAACCACTATCACAATCAAGATGAAGAATACTTCCGGCCGGGCGCGGTGGCTCACGCCTGTAATCCCAGCACTTTGGGAGGCTGAGGCGGGCGGATCACGAGGTCAGGAGATCGAGACCATCCTGGCTAACACGGTGAAACCCCGTCTCTACTAAAAATACAAAAAATTAGCCGGGCGTGGTAGCGGGCGCCTGTAGTCCCAGCTACTCGGGAGGCTGAGGCAGGAGAATGGCGTGAACCCGGCAGGAGGAGCTTGCAGTGAGCCGAGATCGCGCCACTGCACTCCAGCCTGGGCGACAGAGCGAGACTCCGTCTCAAAAAAAAAAAAAAAAAGAAAAAAAAAGAATACTTCCATCACTCCCAAACTTCCCTGTATGTATAGCAATTTAATAACAGCAACTTTTGAAAAGCCTGATCCATGACCAACTTTGTTTCGTTTACTTTAGTTCTGAATCATATAGGACATTCAACTATAGGATTGATAAGTATAAAATCAAATATGATTATTAAACTCAACTCTCTTGTCCTTCACAATAAGGAACATGTATTCTCTCTCTTTCTCTCCCAGACATCTTCCCCACATCCTATTTAACCCCTCCCCAACATATATACCCATTCCTACCTGTTTCCAATATAAATCAGGATGGTATCTTTTTATTTTTGTTTTCTTTTCTTTATACAGAGAGCCAGCCTTCTGATTTGGATTAACAGGAAAGAAAATCTCTCCAAAACGACATTACCTCACAAGGAAGAATGTAGCACTACATTAGTTTTTCAAGATTGGATAAAGCATGTTTAGGCTAAATGCGGACATCAGCAGTTTTAAAACCTAAATCTGATGCATCTGCACTCTTTATTGTCTTAGAGGTTCCATCAGTAAATGCTTAAAGTCTTTCTCCTGGCAGCAAAAGTCTCCAGTGAGGTTTTTATATGATTTGCTAAGAAATGCCTGTTTTCAGAAGTCATTCTTTTCAATCCCCAGGGAAGCGTGTCTGCTGGAGTAACTCTGCCTTCATGCTACCTGCTAAATGACTTGGGAAAATCTCCTTATACAGAAGCAATATTTAAATTAGAAAAGACAGTTTGAAAACCTGTTTTTAGTTTGTTCATGGTAAGACTTGAGACTTCCTCAGTTTTGTTAGCTGATAACTGCTTCTGTTTTTTATTTTGTTATTTTGGTTTTTTGTTAAACTATTTTTAAAATTATGGGTGAGGAAGATAAGATAGAGACCCCTTTGTGGAAGCAATAAAGCATTCCTTTTACCATATTATTCTTAGAATGTCTGCAAAGCTCATTTGCACATACCCATGATCCCTCAGTGGAAGGTGTTATTCATAAATTGATGAAGATTTAATTCAAAAAAGCTTGTCATGGATCAAATGCAGATAGAATAGGAGCTGCCTAAGACTGCACTGTTGTTGGGTTCCATGAATTTTGAAAAGTACTGTAGAACGGAACTGACCTTTCAGGTAATTTGAGCCATATTCATGGCCACACTTTATCCACTTTCACGTGCAACACGTACATAAAAACTAAAATTCTTTACATTAGATCCTTACAATACTTTTTTCTTATGAGCACAAACTTATTTTTTCAGTAACTCAGGTGTCAATCTTTCCACTCTTACACTTACGTTCTGCCAAATTCAAAGTTTAGCTCTTTCATTTTCTTTCAACTTCTCAGCCCCACCCAGACCCCTGAACAGACTCTCAAGTCATTTTAACCTCTAGTAAGAGTTTATAGAGCCTCAAGCATTCTTTACTCTTCCTAGAAGCAAAGTAATATTCATAAAATACCCTTTTCAAGACCTTTATACCAGTAATTCTCAAAATTTCATGTCCATCAGAATTATCCAGAGAGCTTATTAAAACACAGGTTTCTAGACCCCATCCCCAGCGTTTCTAATTCAGTTTTTCAGAACATGGAGTGCAGTCCAAGATTTTCATTTCTAAAATTTCCCAGGTGATGTTGCTGCTACTGAGCCAGTGATCACACTTTAGGAACAATTGATTTGTCTGATTCTTTCTAATAATTGATTATATCAATTAGTGGCATCAGAACACTATTTTTTTTTCTATTTCCCTCCCCAATGCTGGGTAGCCATTCACTGTTCAACATACTTGTCTCCTTACAGATTTCCACTTGTTACCTATACTGGTGCAATTGAGATATACCACATATTGTTTTTGGACACTCAGTTTTATTCCAAACCTGCTAAGCTATTTTCTAGGTGGCAGAACCTTAGAACCCATAGATATGTTTATAGAGTCACTCACTAGCAAGTTTGTTTAGAATTGGCCAATGGGATGTGATCCTGAAATACTTTAAAAGCAAAAGACAAGAAAACATGATTATTTTCTGGTGGCCTTTGTGGAAAGGCACTTTGGTAGTGGCAGGTGGCAGATGGCAGATGGCAGATGTGGGGTCTGGCCCTCAGTTTTTGGATCCTCCCCGCATGTACTTTGGTGCTGAGGATGTGGCTTCTTCGTGATCTTTGCACTTCCAAAGGCATTATGGACAGACTTCATGACCTTTGCTCCCCAAGAATTCTTAAGGTTGGGTATATTGCTTCTAGTTTTGTTTTAAATTTATTCGTATTAGAATACCTAGGTGACTCCGTCTTTACTGAGCTAAACCAGAGTGAAACATTAAAAGTAATGAATCAAGGAGTAAGATAAAATTGTAAGAGAGATAATTCATGATGTGGCTTCTTTATTCCCTTCCATGATGGTAGAGACTAACAAAACGACACCTTACCATTTTTCCTATTCACAAGAAAAACACACACTTATCCCTGTGATTCTATTCTTTGGTACATATAGCAGACCTTTGAAAAACTGTTTAAATTACTCCAGAATTAAGGGTTAATGTTGCCTCAGTATTTTGGAAACTAAAAGCTATATTTGTTATTCTTGTGGATATGAAATGTATCTTTTTAAGTGTTTGGAAAAAATGGGTTCCTGGCATACTAGTAGTTTCTGTTGAAAAATTTAAAAACAAAAACAAAAAGCAAAAGCCAAGACCCTTCTATAGTTAAACAGATTGGGGAAATGCTCAATACCCTCCCTCATCTTAGAGAGTTTTGTTGTATAAAAATCTCTGAAAAGTCCTTCAGTACTGTATTAGTCAGGGTTCTCCAGTGAAGCAAAACCTATAGGAGAGGCATCCATGCAGGGGGGTGGGGGGGGGGGGCGGGAGGGTGGAGGGGGAGAGAGAGAGAGTGAAAGAGAGAGAGACAGAGGGCAGAGAGAGATTTGATTTATTGTAAGGAATCAGCTCATGCTGTTGTGGAGATGAGAAGTTCCAAGATCTGCAGTCAGCAAACTGGAGACCCTGGAGAGCCAATGAGTAGTTTCAGTCTGAATCCTGAGACCTGAGAACCAGGAGAACTGATGGTGTAACTGTCAGTCTGATGGTTGACAGGCTTGAGATCCATGAAGAGCCAATGTTTCAGTCTAAGTCTGAAGGCTAGAAAAGACCAATGTCCAGATGAAGCAAGCAGGAAGTTGGAGTTCTCTCTTACTCAGCCTTTTGTTTGATTCAGGCCTTCAATTGATTGAATAAGGCCCACCCACTTTAGGGAGGGGAATCTGCTTCACTTAGTCCATGGCTTCAAACGTTAACCTCATCCAGAAACACTCTCATAGACACACCTAGAATGATATGTGGCCGGATGTCTGGGTACCCCATGGCCCAGACAAGTTGACACATAAAATTAACCATCATGAGTACCTATGCTGAAGCATTTCCCAACTTGGATGCCCAAATAATCCTTATTTCATGTAACACCCCCTAATGTTTTTCAGACACATTATTATTCAACAAAGCACCTGTGGAAAATTTTGGTCCTTAAAAACAAACAAACAAACAAAAAAAAAGGTTACTAAAGGTGGGCAGGGAGGATTGGGCAATACATCCCCGATTGAATCAAGAGAAATTCTGAGGACACACTCACTGAGATTCTCAGTAATACACATATGACAATGGTATGAAAACTAACAGAACTTAGTTCTCATTATTACATTAGAATAAGAAGTAGGTAGAAGTTTTACTTAAATTCTTTAAAATTTTCATTATGTATCTCCTGATGTTTCCCACAGGATAAATTACTAGAATATCTACAGAAGACTTTGTGCTAATTTTATAATAGGAAGTATAAGGAAGAAGCTGGATTCCATCCCACAATCAATGATGGAACTAAATTGAACTAAACCTTATTTTTCATATCCCATCGTCATCTCACTTTTATTCTCAGTTCAAGGAGTTGTGAATAAGTTTGCAAATCAGCCCTGCAGACACTTTCCCAACAGTTTAAAGGGAAAATTCATAATACAAATCCTTAATCTTTAATTAAGGACTAACCTTATTTTTCATATCCCATCATCATCTCACTTTTTTTCTCAATTCAAGAAGTTGTGAATAAGTTTGCAAATCAACCCTGCAGACACTTTACCAACAGTTTAAAGGGAAAATTCGTAATACAAATCCTTAATCTTTAATTAAGGACTAACCTTATTTTTCATATCCCATCATCATCTTACTTTTTTTCTCAATTCAAGAAGTTGTGAATAAGTTTGCAAATCAACCCTGCAGACATTTTCCCAACAGTTTAAAGGGAGAAAAACACAGAAACAACAAAAAAGAAATTCAAAGGCACTTCATGAAAGAGCTGGTTGACTTTACATGTTGAAATATGTATTCATGGAGAATATACATTCTCTTGTTGCAGTAAATTTAGAGAGCCAAAACAAAAACTAAACAGTGGTCCACAAAATGGTTGGATCCTGGAAGCAATAGTTATATTATCATTTCTTAAAAATAAGATTCTTCCTCTTTAGCTTTGTGCCTCTTTTGGGCTAATTAAATATAGATGCTGTAACCAAAAGGCAGAAAGACGTGTTTTTGTTTTTTGTTTTTTTAAAAAACATGTTAAGTGGACAGTTCATCTCAATTGAGACCCATCTAAGTATAAAATCAATGGTATAAGTTAGAAAAGACAAAGTATATATTAGCTATAATGAAAGGTTTTTGGCAGAAATGTCAACATCATATAAATGCTGTTCAGTTAGTTATTGAGTTAACTTGTCAATGAAGACTTATTAGACTACAGTAAATACCAGACTAGTAGCAGCCCTGTGCATTGCTGAAGTTCATGAAGCAAATGTTTAGAACAACTTGACGCTCCTTTGTTTACACCTCTGCATATTTTTCCTCAAGGAAGTAAGTAAGATATCCAGTCTAAGTTTTTCCCCAATTGACAGAACTTCCACATTGCAGAAGTCCTTTTGTGTCACATGCCTTGGAATTGTTTTATCTCTATCTCAAAATACTCTGTTCATTGTTATTGTCTCCATCCTCCAGGCATCTGTCTAATAAATATTTACTGAGAATCTACAATGTGCTGAATGCTAAGTAAATAATAATAACAAAACTAACAGTAGTAAAGAAACTATCTCTGCCATCAATAGGACAGAAAAGTTAGACAACTATAGGATAGTGTGTCAGTGCTTAGGAAAGAAGTAAGCATATGTTGGCAAGAGAGTGAGTGAGGTCAGGGAATATTTTCTAAAAAAGGTATTTCCTGAGCTGTCTCTTAAAATTGGTATTATGCAAAGGAAGAAATAATAGGGTGAAAGACAACCAGACTTTGGGAAAATATTGCAAGATGCCCAGGCAAGTGGAAGCAAAAATCAGGAGGCTTGTGCTGCTCGCACCAGTCGCCTGCCACCAGTGCCTCAGCCCCACAGAGGAGGTAACCAGACACAGAATGTGGAACCTGGTCACCACACTCCCCATATTGAACTTTTCTTGCCAGTTGCCATAGCCGAACAACGATGGCCTCAAACTCACTCCCATGTTCAAAGTCTCATGCTAGCAGCTCTCACTGACAGAACCTAAATCACATGCAGAAACATAAACACAAAGGAGTTGGGGTAATGTAATTTTATCCCTTTAATCTCCAAAATCCAAGCAAGATACATAGAATGAATTGGGAATAGATGTCATATTCCTAATGGGCTGCACTGTCCAATGTGGTATCTATTAGCCACATGTGGCTACTGAACACTTGAAATGCAGCTACTCCAAATTTAGATGTGCTGTAGTTTTAAATACACACCAGAGTCCAAAGATTTAGTATGAAAAAAAGAATATATAATATCTTATTCATTATTTTATATTAATTATATATTAAAATGGTAAATTTGGCTATATTGTTCAAGTATTATTAACATTAATTTCACTGGTTTCTTTTTACTGTTTCATTAATACAGCTACTGGAACATATAAAATTACATAGGTGGCTCACATTACATGTCTATTGGACTGCACTGCCATAACCATCTCCAGTATAGTGCAGATGTATGAAGGAATGGGTTAGGGATAAAGAGAGACAGAGCATTATGGGTGACAAATGTGGCAAAACATCAATGGCCAAGGGCTTATATTTTAGACTTAGACTCATGAAAACAGGGACGGGAGAAATACTAGATCAACCGTCTTAGAAGAGGGTGGGCTCTGGTCCTGGTGATAGATAATTTGATTTACTCACTGATGAGGACCCAGAAGCTGGAGAATTGACAAGCTGTGATGGTTGATCAGACCCTAGGGGCTGATTGGCAGCAGAGCCTCAGGTCTCACCTAAGGGAGGGACTTGAGTTTTTTCTTTTTAAATCAAAGTTTCTTATGCTACAAAAGAAAATTCAAATATTGTCTTTCTTTCAAGTAAGCTTTAAAATAATTTTCTTTAAGATAGCACATATTAATTTATGTACAAGATAAAATTCTGAGCTGAATCTGGGTCTAAATATCACAGCAACTTGCAAAATTGCAAAATTTTTAAATAACAAAACAGATGTCATTAGAAGACAAATGTAATCTAATTAGCATACTAAAGTTGGAATTAAGCCAGGCTCAGCAACTTACATGGTGGATTTTTCTTCCAAGAAAAGATCCAGAGTTGTCAGAGCAAGCATATTAAAAAAAGAAATGTGCTACAAATGCACTTTTAATCATAATCAGGAATCCAGAAATGTGACAGTTGTTCATTTCTCAATAATGGTAAAACTGAATAATGTTTATTTATCACTTGTTTCACTCTACAATATTATTCTATTAAAGAAAATTAACCAAGGAAAAGGGAAATTGAGAAACATAAAGATAATTTACATTAAGATTAACCATCCAAGCAAAGATCAATTAAAAAAGCAAAAAGAAACAAGGCTGGGCACCATGGCTCTTGCCTGTAATCCCAACACTTTGGGAGGCCAAAGTGGTAGGATTCCTTGAAGTAAGGAGTTGGAGACCAGCCTGGGCAAAAAAAGAAAAAAAAAAAAAAAGAAAAGAAAGGGAAGAAAGAAAATGGGGAGACCCTGATTCTACAAAAACTACAAAAATAAAAATTGGCTGAGTATGGTGGCACATACTTGTAGTCCTAGCTTCTCAGGAGGCTAAGGCGGAAAGACTCTTGAGTCCAGGCTGCAACTATGTCAACTATGATTGTGCCACTGTACTGCAGCCTGGGTAACAGAGCAAGACCCTCTCTCAAAAAAGCAAACAAAAAAGAAACAAACATTGAGGGTGAGTAGGACTAGATACCTGTTCCTTCAGGATTCAGAACAATAAAACTAAGCATAACAATGAGAAGTTGCCTTTAGATTAGGGAGGCTGAACAACAGAATGTTAACAAGATGAGAGATGCTGCAGATTATTTGAGACGAATAGCCTGAGCAACAAGAAATTGCATTTTAAAAATTTTTATCTCTCTAGTTATGTCACTCTCACTCAACTCAATTCCCAGCTACTTTGTTGAATGGTGGAAAAATCAGAATGCATTTTGAAAAGAAGGGATTATTCACATGCTTGGGATTACGCAAATTGTGCTTTACTACATAGGCTGCAACAACCTCAGTGCTGGATAAAATATAGGTGGTCATTTACACTGGACTTAAAACTGGCCAATTAAGGAACTGTAAAACATATACCATTGATTCTTGTTTAAATATGTATCTTATATTCAAATATAAATAATAAATACACTATTTTTTTCAAGTGGAGAGAAATTTTTTTTAAGCCAGAGTTTTATGCTCTAAAATACCAGTCTTAAAAAACACAGAATTTCTTAAATTTCTGTTTAAGTCTCTTTTCCAAAGTTGAGCCTAGGTGTAATTTGAAATAATTTATTAGATTTTACTTGAAACACTATATATTTATTACTGTCCATATAAATAACCTGTAACATTTTCTTATTTCATCTTACCCTTCTACTTTAATATGTCTTCTCACTTTTGAATTTTATCAGTGTCCAAAGAAATAGCTTTCTGTGTTAATTTTATTAATCTTCACCATTTTGAGAAGTTCAGCACCTCATCTTTTCCAAGAATAATATTTCACTCACCATGGTATTTAATTATGACTCAGAGGCTGTATGACTGACATCAATGTGCTTTCCTCATCAGAATGAGTTTGTGTTGCATAAGTTCTCAGTGGAGGCAGGGGTGAAAGTGGTCCTCCTCTCACCTACTCCTACTGTTTATGCCCCCAGGGCACTCACTGTCTAGTACTTGCATCTGTGACTCTACACTCAAGGGCTTTTTCTCAGCAAGGAGCAGGTCAATAGCGCTGGAGATGTAACTACTTCCCAATCCCAGCATCTTTAGCCATTGACAAATGAGATTCGAAGGTTCAACACAGCAGCTTCCTCTTCCCTTGAGTGAGATGATACCAAGAAGGGTTCTACTTCTCAGTCATTCTCTTGGTAGTCCCCAACAGGTCTGTCTCATTTATCTAAAGAGTTAGTGTCTAATTAATAAACCCTGTCATGAATTATTTTCCTTTTCTATCTCATTCTTCTTTCCTGCTGGGGTTCCAGAATTAGCTCCTAAATAAACTACTTGCACTCACATTGCTGGAAAGGAAAACTGAAGGTTAAGATAAAGGAACTAAAGATGTTTCCAATAAATCTATGGTGAAGGACAGTGTGTATGAGGGAAATAGCTGGATGATATAGATTGTCTCCTATGTATAATGACAAATATCAGAGAATATCCTATGGTGGACATAAAGCCCAAAAGAGTGAGACTTTTTTTTTATCTTCAGCCATATTAACAGAGAAAAATATATTAAACTGTTCAAACATTTGTTTCCTTATTATTTCTCTTCTGGTTTCAAAGAAAATTTTAAGAAAATTGTGTTTTAATTGTTAATTTTTATGTAGTTTTCAGATAACTTTATAATATAAAAATATGGAATGTGTGATATGGAGAGGTAAATATCTTCTATATTTACATTATGTATAAATCATTTATTATTAATTATTTATCTCATTTTAGTTAAAAGTATTTTATGTTTTACTAAATATTAACATTAGAGCTTGGTTCAGATTTATTTTTATATTTATTTATAAAAGTATAAAGGATATGAATTTTTTGGAAATATACATTCAATTCTATTTTCAATTGTATTCTTGATTTCAGTTGTATTCTTGATTTCAATTGTATTCTTGTAATTATGCTCAAGGTAATTGTATCACTTTGTGAATTAAAAAGTAGTTCTTGATCTAATATTTATGATGATCCTTAATAGATGGACTGATTAAATTTATTAATTTAACTAATTTTATATTTTCAACAGAAAATGTAACTTTAAATATGTTGCCTTGTTTTATTGGCTTGTCTTAGTTGAAAAAGATAATCGATTTTAATATTAAATAGATACAATTTATTAAGTAGACACATTTACAGATATTAAATTGATACATTTTAAGTATATTTTACATATGCAAAGTGCACAATGTGATCAATTTTATTCCAGCTGTACTCAAATTATCAAAAATGTATTGATTGTGTTGACTACTTGCTGTGCTACACTGATAATAATGCTACACTAATAATAATGTGCTACACTAATAATTTTCTATTGGTTGTTTAAGAATATTTTTTCTTGCTGCTATGCTTTTTATACAAAAATAAGAATAAAAATATTCAGCAAATTTTAATATGTTACAACCAAATGGTTTCCTCTTTTATTTTAGCATTTTTGGCATAAATTTTATATTTTAAGAGTAATACAAAAATATCCCCTTTTATTTGAGTTTAATTTATATGTGGCTTTGTCTTTGTAGTATTTAAAACAATTTCAATTTTTACCACCTCTTATAATTAGTAGATAATTGGATTCTATATTAATACAATATTAGATTATTTTCATTTCAAAAATATAAAAGCATTTCTCATCCCAACTTACTAAACTTGATGAGTACATCTTTAGCCTATCTTTGATCTAGGTTTTGTAACACTGTGTGCTTTCATGTTTTTCACAAAGTTTGTAAAAATATCCATATCTTTTTTTATTTATTGATAAAAAATATTTATCAATGTATATTAAAAAATATTTTTGTATTGTGTTTGATGCAAGATAAATATTCAGCTCTTTGCTTTTCCCACTTTGCCATATATCTTTTATGGCTATTATTTGACCTTTTAAGGGTCTTTTTTATTTATTTATATTTTGAATTATTTTGTTTTCTTAGTTACGGTTATTTAGATTTATCAGTGTTATCCTTTTTCCTTCCAAGGTGTAACATTTTTTTATTTACCAGTCATCATAACCAGTTATTTATTGTAACCTTTTTCTTTTGGATTTTTTTTGTTAAGCAACTATTGCAGAAATGCCCTCCACCGCCCGTGCACTCTCTCTCTCTGTATACACACACACACACATATGTACACACACTAATATATATTTGTGTGTATATCTTCATGGAAAGGTCTAATATCATTGAAATTCCTTTTCTGCTTACAGAATTATGTAGATATATACCACTCTACTGCCTTCTGCCATGTATTATTAAGGATATAATTTTATTTACTTTTATAAATAACGTGATTTTTACCTTGAATTCTTATATAACTTATTTTTTTCAGTAAAAGAAATTTTCTAGGGCCTCTGTTAGCATCATCTTCATTCATTTTATATGCTTGGAAATATTGACTCTAAATCGTCAATCTCGTATCTTATTTTTAAAGTTTGGCAAGTCTCCTACTAAACTTGAATCATTGTTTCTGATCCATTTGCCCTATATATTGAGAAATGATTACCATTTGAAGGTTGGAAATCTGTAGTTTGCCTTCACTGCTTACTTTCTCCTTGTTTTTTGTTTTGTTTTGTTTTCTGTTGTTGTTGTTTCTTTTATTCATATGAAATGAATTCTTAGAGAACTTCTCCACATCTGTTCTACCTAATTGATTGAGTTTCCTATATTATCAAATCTGCTTTGGCTACTCTGGTAAAGCTTTAATTTTGTACACTCAGTTTTCATGTTATTGCTCTCCCTTATTATCTGAATATGCTTTCTCCTTCACTAAAAAAAGTATTATTAATGTACATAATGTCTCCTTATGAAGAAGCAAACATCATTTTCTTAAAACGACTTGGTTCATAAAGTAAGACCTAATCTTCAAATCTTTTTTTTTTTTTTTTTTTTTTTTTGAGACGAAGTCTCGCTCTTGTGCCCCAGGCTGGCGGTGCAATGGCGTGATCTTGGCTCACTGCAACCTCCACCTCCCAGGTTCAAACGATTCTCCTGCCTCATCCTCCCGAGAAGCTGGAATTATGGGCACACGCCACCATGCTCTGCTAATTTTTGTATTTTTAGTAGAGACGGGGTTTCACCATGTTGGCCAGGCTGGTCTTGAACTCCTGACCTCAGGTGATCCGCCCGCCTCGGCCTCCCAAAGTGCTGGGATTACAGGCGTGAGCCACCGCACACGGCCTCCAAAGCTCTTTTTTTTTTTTTTCTCCTATGCATTATTTTCATAGGGCAAATTATACACTTTTCTATTTACTATTTTTCACAATAATTTAATCTTCTTTTGCTGACATTTTGATGTTATGAGCCTTTTCCAAAATTTCTATATTGATTGTGAGGATGAGAAGAGAAGTGACAGTAATATTTTACCCTTAATTGTCAACCTTCTGCCTGAATATTGGCAGATGGCTCCTCCCCAGATCTAAACGCAATGTTTTGTGGTGTTAGGCACTGCAAGACTCTGCTCATAGCTGGCATCCAACAGGTGCCAAATTCACTTGTACAACTAGTTCTCATTCAAAATCCCTGAGCACTTAGCAAGAGATCCAAACCTGGCAAGATCAAAGTTCATAAAACCAAAGAGAAGTAGTTACGGGGAGATTTATATGATTGAAATTTGACTAAAATATAAACTATTAGGTCAGATAGGCACCTTTTCATTGTATATTGGAAAAGTCAGCATGACATTAACCCAGAGTTTTACAAAACCTTATCAACATTTATATTTATGGGAGTTGGTTAATTATGGTACCTTACACATCTGTTTGGGAGAACTTAGCAAAATAATAAGATAATCTCCCAAGACAAGTGATGTATTTCCTGAGAATATAGACTATGCCTTTTCTTTCTTTTCTGTTCAAGTTACACTTAAAATGCTTGTCTTAAAGAATTTTCCTTCTCTTACATGATTTAAGAATGTGAGTGTCTTATATGTAAAACCATATAAGTTACAAGCCATTATAAATGAGAAAGTAGAAATCAGTTATCAATCTCTGATTATTGAATTTTTTTAAGCTACTATGTGCAAGTTAAAAGAAAGGTGAATTTAAAAAAGAAGAAGAAAAAAAAAGAGGCTGGGCGCGGTGGCTCACGCCTGTAATCCCAGCACTTTGGGAGGCCGAGGTGGGCGGATCATGAGATGAGGAGATCGAGATCATCCTGTCTAACACAGTGAAACCCCATCTCTACTAAAAAATACAAAAAATTAGCTGGGCGTAGTGGCGGGCGCCTGTAGTCCCAGCTACTCAGGAGGCTGAGGCAGGAGAATGGCATGAACCCGCGAGGTAGAGCTTGCAGTGAGCCGAGATCGCCGCACCACTGCACTCCAGCCTGGGAGACAGAGCGAGACTCCGTCTCAAAAAAAAAAAAAAAAAAAAAAAATTTAAATTTTTACCTTTAGTTTCTACATAATAATAAATAAATATATATATATATATATTTGTTAAGCAACTATTGCAGAAATGCCCTCCACCCCCCGTGCACTCTCTCTCTCTCTGTATACACACACACACACGTATGTACACATGCTAATATATATTTGTGTGTATATCTTCATGGAAAGGTCTAATATCATTGAAATTCCTTTTCAATGCTATATGTATATATAACTGTTCAGGCTTATCAGGCTTATTAAGGAAAAACTTTGAAAGGGAAAAGAATCCTAAGTTTTTCATGTGTTCCTTTGTCCTTTGCTCAATCATTTTTGGAAATCTATGTGCATGCACCATCTCTATCCTTAGGTTTGCCCAATTTTAAAATCCTCGGTGTCTGCTCAATATTTCCTACTTATAGTACAAATGAAATGTAGTCATAATGTTTACATAATCGGTATAAAGACAATTTTATACCAAACATACATGTAACCATCTAATAAACACAGCTTAAAATATATTACCTATTTAAAAGGAAAATGCTTGCAGATGAGGCAATTCAATTTGAAAAGTATTTTAAGTATAAATGTCTAAAGAGGTAAAAATTAAGAAAAGATGTTAAGCTAATACTGTCTTATAATTGAGTTCTTATTAGTGTATAGACAGCAGTTAATTCAGTCGAGATTAACTAGTACTTAAAGAAAGTGAAAGCAATTTACACTTTGGTGTGAGCAACATCAATTGTCTTTGCTTTTTTGCCTCTAACTAAGGCTATTTTGGGCTGTCTGCCACTTGGGAAATGCTGCTTTTACTGTATTTCACAAAATTATTGAACAGGATACCTTCTAAATTAAATTTCTTCATGGGTAAATTTTCTTAAAATTTGAGTCTAAATCTGCCAGTCCAAGGTAGAGTAAGTGTTGAGAAAGAAAATGTTCTCCACACTATCATGCCATTTGTCCACCAATAATTTGAAATATAATTTTCTTTTTTCTTCCACTCAACCAATACTTACCATTCCACAATTGAGACCCATGAAGAATCATTATTGGTACAGTGATATATCCAGATAAGCAGACATGTACACAGACCCCAAAAATGCAAACATAAAAATAATAAAACTTCAACCTTTCAAAGTACATCTTAGATTAAAAATGCAAAATAATAGCTATTTTGCATATACACTAGAAAATAATTTCAACATTCATCTAAAAATAAAATTTCTTCATCAGTGAATTTCTGAAACCAATGTGGTTTATGAAATATTGATGTATATTTTAGAGATAAGAAGATGGTGAGAACTCAAATTAAGCTGTTTACTCTCTGACTCACCAGCACAGCTCAGAATTGTATGCTTCCAACATACAAACCTGTATTAATCGGGTATCTTATTGAGATCATAGTGGAGAGTCTCAAGTATGTAGCCCATTAGGATAATTCAAATAGACACTATAACACTCTACTGTTATCAGATATCATCGCCTGTGTGGCTAAAGGACACGAACCTTAGGAAAACAAATAAATAAGTAAGTAAATAAATACATAAATTCAAGAGAGTTGTTAAAGGCTTTAAAAATGTTTTAGTGCAAAATTCTTGTTTTAAAGCTTCGTAAACACTCCGGACCTCTAGATATATAATGACCCCTTTAATTTGGCTTTCCTGCTGAGCCTTCTAAATTCAGAGTAAACAATTATTGAAAAAATAATGAGGTTCAGATTAAAAGCCCACAAACAATAGCATAATTGACTATCTTAATAAAATCTTGGAAAAAAGACACTGACCCAGATGCCACAGAGCATAAGGTAAATCTAATGAAGACCCGAGGAAAATCATGCACCTTCTCATGGGAAATGCAAAACTATCCTACCTCTCTTCTCCTATTATCCTTGTTTAATCTTCTTCAGAATTAGGTCCCTAGGGTAATTTCAAGTATGTATTCTAAAGCTAATTGCTCTTCTTTTTATTTTTTTTGACTTAATGATTGGAGCATAGTGGGAAAAATAGAACTAACATTTAAAAATGTGAAGAAAGTATTTAAATTGTCTATATTTAAAGGTTGTTTTCATACACATTTAATGGTCTTAGTAAAACTACATTTGAAGTACTGAACTAATCTATTGAATTCAATTTTACTTGCAGAGCCATTTTCCAATACACTAGCAACAACATTTATTGTTATAGTATGTGCTTCATTTTATAGAATGTTCTAAATTAATACTTCATTTTATCCACGTTAATAATGCAAAACAAGAGAAAGTCTTGGTGAGTATAATGTATATTGTAAATATTCAAATTTCATTTATATGAATAATTTAATTGCATATGGCATATAATGATGTTATAGAACAAGTTTAGTAGCATGAAGAAATCCACTGATCTGAAATCATGGACGTCAACTTTCAGTTTTCTGAATAACATTTTCCCATACAGTTCACAGTAAAATTAGCACTGAATGACTTCAAAAAAGTTTAATTCATAAACAGTACATAAGAAAATTTAGATCAGATTGCTTATTGCAACATATTACAAAGGGGACAAGCTGAATGAGAGTCAAGTATTGGGTTCTAATGCTTTTGGAAAAATCACTTATGTTCCCTAGGACTCATTTTCCTCTTCAAAATAAAGACTTGAAACAGATGATCGTTAAGGTCCTTGCTAGTATTAGAAAGGTTTAAGTATTAAAGGAAAATTCCCATACTACACCTATCAGATTACAGATAACAAAACTCCTGCCAGGTGTTTGGAGAAGATTCCAGAAAATAGATCCCTTATTCTACTTATGAAAATATTTGTCAGACTTCTTGGAGAAGAATTTCTCAATATCTAGAAAACATACTTTATGGATATATCATATATATACATACACACATTTATATGTATATATAATTATATATATGCATAAATGTGTTATATAACTAAGACAATATTTGACTAAATAAACCAAATTAATTATTAAAACTAGATTATCTGGAATAATAGAAGGTACTGTATTAACAATGAGAAAACTTTTCTTAAATGTGAAACATTTTCAGTTTTCTATCACTTTGTGACCCAGTTTCCTCATATGTAAAACAAATATTTGCATGCCTGATATAAAAATAACACATAAAATACCTAGCAAACTAAAGATTCTCTACAGAGAGGCAGCAAGTTGAGAAAAATAAAAAGTTATTTTTTGGAAAGTATGTACATTTTAGAATCACATAAAGTTCTCAACAAAGACCTTAAAACTACCCACCCAGTCTCATCCATCCTTTTCTTTATTCTTACCTTTTATCAAGATAAGTTGTTTCTCATTCTCATCTTAAAGTAGAAATATCACAGCTCATTTTCTGCCAGTTTACACCACTCAACCTGCCATTAAACACTGGTGTCTTATCTCACAGACCAGAAAGACACACAAGAAAACAATACTGTCAGTGTCTGTTGTGATTGGCCAGTGCCTGAGCCCTACTGGCTGTTAAGGATTTAGATATTTTGAAGATCATCCATTCTTAATCATGACTCCTGTAACTTACTTTTTATCATCTTGGGGCAGTTAATTTGTTTGTGGATAAGTCATGTTAAAAAGAAAAAATATTAATAAACCATGCAGTTAACCATTTCTATAATTCTGTGAAAACATCTACACATTTAAAGGCTTTCATTTGGGGGACCCACATGATAAATCACCATATGGAAATAACTCTTTCCTTGTCAAAGGCTTGTAATCTAAAGGATGCCCTCCCACCCTCCCTGTGTCAACCATCCCTTCTGAGAAACAGAACAGTCACCTGCTTCTTAGAAAATGTAAAGGAGAGCTCATGAGACATGGAGCCTATTTGGGGAGGAGAAGGAAGAGAGGTGCCACCCAGTTCAGGATGCTACTCGACCCCATCCGTGTCTTGTTCTAACAACTGTTTGAAGAACAGGGTTCTCCGATGAAGTAGGAAAAGTCAGCTTAGAACAAATAACTGTACTTATTTTTTGTTTTTGTATTTTTAACTTTTTACTCAGAAATGCTCAAATTTTACCTAGAAATTTAAACTTACCAATAAGTTACAAAATAGGAAAAATGGGAAAATAAATACTCATTTACTCTTTACCCGGATTTACCTATTGTTAGTGTTTTATCCCATTCACTTTTTCATTACTTTCCTATCCATCCATCTATACACATGTCTACGTGTTAGGTGAGTATGTGTGGATATTCATGCAGACAATTTTTCTAGAATCATTTAAATGCAATTTCCATATGCTATTGTCCTTTACCTGTGACTACTTCACTGTGTATTTCATAAGAATAATGATATTATTTTACACAACTATAGCACCAAACTGTACTTACTTTTTACAATTTAAATTTTATCTAACAACAACCGTATAATATTTACTATGTACTAGGCATCACTTCAGCTTGGTCCCACCCATTACTGGCTGCATGGCATTGTACAAATGACTTAGCTTGCTGTGCCTCAGTTTGCTCATACGTAAAATCAGAGTAATAATAGTACCAACTTCAAGTGGTACCTAGAACAGAGTAGGTATTATGTAAGTTTTGTTAAATACAATTTAAATTATAAGACTAAATACAGTTTGGACTGTTATTTGGGGTTTTTCTTTTATATATATATATATATTTTATTATACTTTAAGTTCTGGGGTACATGTGCTCATGTATACATATGGGGTTTTTCTTGACCTTCACCTTACTGCATTCCAAATCTTCTCCTTATACTTGTACTCCATGGCAGTGAACATCACTGGAGAAAATATCCAAAATCCATGTTCTAAGGCTGATTCTGCTGTACTATGCTTCTTGCTCTGAATCCTGACAGTTTATTTATACTCTTCTGGCATTCATCTCCATGTTATTATAATTTCATGCAATGAATCACATGCTCCTTTTTAAGTAACTTTGACACAAAATAACACCATATAAATCTGTTAAAAATGTATGTCATTATAAATAGAGAAATCATGATGACAGCAGGATAAGAAGATTGAGAGAGGAACTCTCTAACTTTCCTTTTCTGACCTCTAACATCTGTCAAAATATCACGTATCTCATTCAACATTTTTGTCATTATTATTTATGTTAATATTATTTGTGTATATTATCTCACGATAATAGTTAAAAAGTGTCCAGTAGAGAAGGATGCCTTGTTTATTCTTAAATATATCTGATGTACCTTTATTTAACATTTTTTCAGACAAAGGTGGCAAAGGGATAGACAGCCTGAGGAATAAACCCAGGCTGGGGGTGTCCTTGTAACAAAGGGGGAGGCTTGGATTTTTGTAGAATTCATTAATTCATGGGATAAACAGGGGAGTGAGAGATAGAATGAGACTCCTACTTCATCTGGCTAGGGTTACCGGTGATGCCACCAGTCAGGAATACAAGTCAGATGTGACATTGTTTGAATAGCTGTTGGTCCTTCCAAAGGTCAAGCCCAAGGATCTGGATGTAGATGGAGAAGCCAATGATAGATACATAGATTTAGGAGTCCTCAGCATGTAAGAGTATTACAAATCAAGGAAGAATATACATATATCAGGGCATATCTAAAAGAAAAATGTCCCTCAGATATATATATGAACACAAGCTAATAGAGAAATGAAATCACTGGAGAAAGAAAGGCAAATTGAAGATGAACAAAAGTGAGTGCAAAGGTAAGAAGAAAAGTAAGCCAAGGAGAAAAGCTAGAGCATGGCTGGGCAGAGGACACAGTGCCAGGGCCATGGAGGAACCCATCTACCCAGACACAATGCTCCATTGAAAAAAAATAATGCCACACACGAAATGTGTTTGTGTTTTTATAGTTCAGAGTGTCTGTAAAACCGTTCTCATTACATTAATTTCCAGTGGAAAAAGTAATATACCTTTCAAAACACTAGATTTGTAAATGCCCGGGAATGTCTAATTTCTGCCATCCTCATAATGTCATGTAATAAAAGATGAAAAAGAGGCCTTTACAAGATGTTTAGAAATAGAATAAGCAGTAAGGAGAAAATTTCCTTTTCCTTTTAAACAAATTTGAAAATGGGCATGCTTCCAACTAATAAAAGTATGCTTACTTCCACCAGGCCTATCCAGGAAACCCTGCTTGCAGCCCCCAGCAATCTTACCAAGCAAGCCCTTGTCTCAGGAGTATTTTATGTCAACCAATGCTTCCGATAAGATACACAGGAAAACAGGAAGACAGATAAGCCCATGACACTCAAAAATAGTACCAAGCATGGATATGTGTCTCTTTTCCCAAAAAGAACCACCTCTACTTAAGAGGAAATAAACTAATTAAAAGCAGCCTGATTACTATCAGTGATTAATTGACAAACACAAATTAGTGATACTAGTGACACCATGAAAGAAAAGAGCCAGGGCTTACATTTAATTCATCCACTGTATCAGTTAACATCAGCCATCAATTTATAAAATTGAGAGAGCACAATGATGGAGTAAGCAAAAATGATTGAGTAAGCATGCCTGCTGTACTGCTGCCTAACGTATTTTATTAAAAAAAAAAACACTGTAATACCTATGCGTACTGACTGTATTGTAGGAGTGTACAGTGGAGTCTGGAGTTAAAAGGGCAAGCCATACAGGTTCGAGATCTGGTCTTGCCTCTGATCTGGGTGTAACCCTAAAGCAAGCACTCAAGGCAAAATGAAAAGAATGGACTCATTCCTTTTGTTTCTTATTAAATTTTTTTCAAAAAGTCTTTTATGGAGCCTTTATGACTAAAATAAAGACTCGTCTTCAGGTTGAGAGGTGGAGATCTGCCCCCAGCCTTCCTCTCACTGTCTATCCCACCCAGCCCACATGAGTGGTCCCAAAAGCTCCTCCAGAAAATATGAGGGCTCCTCAGAAATAAATTATTTTATTTGCTCATTTATTCAAGAAATGCTTATGAGCAAGCCATTTGCTAATCGTTGGGAACATAGTGATATATGATTACTCACTCTGACCTTAGAAACTATTGGGTTATATGATCTAATTGGCTGTTGGGCTTCTCAATGTTCCTCAAGTACTGAAACAGTCAGAGGCTGGTGTAAGTGAGAGGTGCAGAGCCTCAGTGTTTTTTTCTTCAATGAGTAAAATTGTTCTACAGGCAAGGAAGTTTTGCTTCTATAAGCTTTAATTATAAAATGTCTCTCATTACAGCTAATTTTAAGATATTGTCCAAACAGATGTCATGTGTTGAAATTCTGTTGATTAAATTTGCACTTAGAATCAGTGTGCAATTCACAGTTTCAAGGTTTTCTTCCAAATGCTCTTCAATATACTTTCAATTATTGATAATCTAGTCCTTTCCTCTTATCCCCAGAGAGTCAGACTTCTGTTATTGCTCTGCACCTAAGCCTGCCTCTCTGAAATCTCCAACTTTTCTAAACCTGCTTTTCCCACATAGAATACATGTGGTCTGATATTTTTTCCTCTCAACCTTGTAATCTCTTGGATAACAGTCAGCTAGGCCAGACTAATGCAGGATAATGAATACATATAAATCTTTCAGATAACTATGAAGGCATTTTAAAATCAACTTCAAAAATCAGAGCCAACTCAAAGAGGTGACTAGAAAAGTGAAAATTCCAGGAATCTTGGAAATTCAGTTGCACAGGTACTTTGAGCCATGAAGGGCTTTGGGACCTCCCTCAAGTTTTGTTTAATCACCACTTGTCCTTAAGAATATTTTTCCTCTGGGTCTAGATAATGTTTATAATATGAATTTTTTCTGGATTTTTTTTGTTAGATAATTTGACCAACACTACAACAGGTTCTCCTATTTTCTTAATACTAATAAATACATAGAAACTGAATCTTCACTCTTAAGTGGATCTTTATACATCTATAGTGCTCTTTTATCTTCTTTAGAACGACTTACCACTGCCTAAGTTTGTCTAAATTCTTTTTTTTTTTTTTTGGAGACGGAGTCTCATTCTGTCGCCCAGGTTGGAGTGCAGTGGCACGATCTCTGCTCACTGCAACCTCCACCTCCTGGGTTCAAGGAATTCCCCTGCCTCAGCCTTCTGAGTAACTGGGACTACAGGCATGTGCCACCACGCCTGGCTAATTTTTGTATTTTCAGTAGAGACGAGGTTTCTCCATGTTGGCCAGGCTGGTCTCAAACTCCTGGCCTCAAGTGATCTTCCGGACTCGTCCTCCCAGAGTGCTGGGATTACAGGCCTGAGCCACTGTGCCTGGCCAGTTTGCCTAAATTCAATTCATATTGAACTAAGAGTGGAGGCAATTAAGAAGAGAAAACCATTAACATGAACACTGTCTGTAACCCGTAATAATTATCTATAGCAAGATTAACCAGGAATTTTAAGTGATCTTCACTATCACATATTACAGAAATTTACAAAATAAAGCAAGTAGATCAGCCATACTGGTGTCTAATTATTACAGACCCACAGAGTTTACCAAAAAATAGTTATTAAATATTAATATGTTTTTAAATTTTCTGGGTGGCTATATTCTTCTAAGATTTCCGATCTTGTTATTGTACCATTCTTTGCCATATGCTTGAAAGCAATCATCTCATTCTCTTACTTAAAGGCCATTAACATGAATTACGAGAGTCTCTGTGGCCTGGATCTTACCTATTTCTCCAGCCATATCATTTGCTACACCCTCCTCTGCTTCCTCCAGCCATTTGCTCTCTAGTCTCTGCGCCCTCAGATATATGGTGTTCCTTCTGCTCTAATTTACCGCTTCATCTACTCCTCACCACTCACTCCCTTTGTCTAACTAAGGAGTGACTCAGTCTCACAGGTCTCAGTAGATAGCATTTCCTCAAGGAAGTCTTCCGTGTCCTGTCAAGGGGGTTAGATTCCTCTTCTAGCATCCTCTGCTTGCCCTATCAGCAGTATTCGCAGACTCTCGCAATTGCCTATTCACCTGTGTGTAGCCTCCCCTGTATTGCACTCAATCAGAAAATAAGGCCATGTTTATACAGGACACTTTGTAACTCAGCACTGAGCATTATGCCTAGCATGCATTACACCATCAAAAATAAATATTGAATAAATAAAACTGATTAGGCAAATTACATTCTACTTTTCTTTTTCTAAATGTTAGTTATTTTTAGGAACATACACACATACAGACACACATATCTACACAAATATATAGATACAAAATATACATTCATACACATACGTATACATACATACATGTATGCATATATATATGCATACATATATATGCATATATACATGCATATACGATCAATAAAAATATGTAAGCACTGATGAATATTTCATATATATGTGTGTATATACACCCACCCACATATACAAACACACACACACATATGTATGAATGAGGAGAAATGCCAACTTATTACCCTAGGTTTTACAAAAGTTTTGGCTACTTTGCATATAGCTCTAGCTTTTTTGTTTAATACTCTATGTTATAACCAAATGAAACTGAAACAGCCTTGGATATACTTTTATGGGGGGGAAGTTTTAATTAAAAACCACAACTGGCCTCAAAGAAGTACAATTTTGTTAAAATTTTGCCCCATGATATATTCTAAATTAAAAATTAGTTTGCATGCATCTTTTACAAAGAGTTAGATCCTCCTAATGTAGAAAAGAGAGGGCAGAAAAAGGTCTACTAGGTAGAGAAGAAAATGACCAGCAGCCTGCTCAAATTGCCTTAGTTTGGAGCTCTTCGTGAGGTAGCTGGAGAAAAAGGCACTGCTCATGAAGTGGGCAGAGTGAAGGTTTTCATCATGTTACACGGTTTCCTTGTGTAGATCACCAGATCACAAGAGAGTCAGCTTTGGAAATTACTAATCAGTGCCAAAAGAGCACTGTTCCAAAATTAATATAAATTGCTTTAATATTTCTCCCTTCTATAAATTTATATTCATGCTGTAGGTTTGGACCTACTTTTGAAATATTCTTACAAAGGAAAGTTACCAACTCCACAAACTGTTTGTGAGAGTATTAGAAGTGCCAATTGAAACAGGAATGTAATAACACTGTGAAATTGCATTATCTGTCAAGTTTCTAAAGCTTATTCAGGTGCTTATTTAAACCCTTGGAACCTGGAGGGAAATGAACATGGGATGACTTTTCATTCAGGTTGCCATAACATTTCAGTACTGAAACTTCATAGTGGTCTACCAGACACCGAAAATAAGGTTTCGGCAGTAAAACAAGTGTCAACAAACCTCATGCTTCTGTGCAGAAATAGCAGCTACTAATAAGGTAACATCAGTACATTATAAATAATCCCTGAGACAGTCTCAAAAGGGGTCTACAGTATCAAACACGTGGAACAGAAATAGAGTAAAGACACCTTCGAGGCCATCCAGAAATGCCAAAACAAGGTAGTTTATAGCACAGGCAGTCTGAAATATGCCAGTCAGCTCCAGGTGCCAACATCCACACTTTGGAGGAAATCACCAGGACGTTTCATTATTTGATGGAACAAGCAGACAACAGGAATGTCTCAGTGTCAGTGCTTTTATTAAAAGAAATTCATATTCATCAACACATCTTAACTCAGTCAACAGTTTAAAAGTTGGAATGAAGCATGTCATTCAGGCCAGGAGGTCTTTGGTCCAAGTTAAACAAACTCAGAGAGAATGTCTGGTTACAAGAATGTGTGTTCTATAACCTAATAGGATTATGCTTTCTACATTAGAAATATCCAGGTGCTAAATTAATCTTGTAATTGTATTTTGAATAACTTAATAAGTAAATTTATTCAGATTAGAAAAATACGGCATCAATATTTAAAAGCAAAACTGTATAACTGATTATGCTATTTAGAGGTTTATTTGTCCCACTAGACTTTGAGTTACTTAATTGTATATACTATGTCTGGTAAAATATATGCCTCACATATAGTATATATTCAACCAATATTTGGTGAATAAATACAGATTGGACAAACACATTTACAAATCTTTTCATCAGAATAGCTGATATTGCAATACACTGTCAAAAATATTTATCAGTTAACAAAAAAATAGGAAAATAAACCATCGATTTGTCAACCAATAAAAGGGTAAGGTTTTTCTGTAATAAAAATTAGCATATGGTGACAACAGTACATCAGCAAAAATGACAGAGTAAGAAATTAAAAATTCTGTCCCTCTATAAAATAATGAAAAAAATGAGCAAAAAATATCAGAATCAACTTTTTTGGAACTCTGGAAATCAACTAATGGCTTGTGGCAACCCAAAGAATATCTATTAAAAGAAAAAAAGCAGTTGATTTATTTGCATTCCCAGTGCTAGAAGGAGCAAAATGATAACAATGGGGGTAAATTATAGCTTAGGCAAAAAACTTGGGAAGAAAGGCTGGAAAGTAAGATATCCTTAAGAGCTAGGAAAAGCTTCCACATTTTTCAGGGAATCTAAAAGGTCATGTACATGTTCAGCCTTGTGCACATTATCAGGAAAGACCTGATAAAGTCCTAGCTTCCCACCTCCTGATGACCTTGAGGCTCTATAAAATCAGAAAGTACTATCTGGAGGAGTGTTGAAGGTGTGCCCACCACACACTCAGGGCTCCTTGGCAACTAATGGAAGATATTTTGTTTCCAAGTATTTAAAAAAAATCCCTGCTCTAACATTAGCTGACCACTAAGCTATATGATAGAGACTTCAGGGCCAAACCAAAGGGTAAAGACTTAGTAAGATTCGTTTAGAAAAGTCATCAAGTCAACAAACAATGGCTGCAATAAGCAGAAAGAACAACAAATCCTGGGGAAGCAAGAGAATCCAGTTTCCAGAGTTGCTACATTATAATATTGAAAAGGTACAATTTGCAACAACAACAGCCAAAAATGGGAATGCATGCAAAAGACAAGAAAGTGTGACCTATATATAGGCAAGGAGATAAATAAAACTGTGCCTAAGAAAGCCCAGAGATTGGACTTTCCAGACAAAGATTTTAAATCAGCTAGTTTAAATGTGTTCACTGAGTTCAGTGAAACTATGTTTAAAGAACGTTTTAAAAGTATGAGAATGATGTCTCACCAAATTGAAATTACCAATAAAGAGATAAAAGTGGCTGGGTGCTGTGGCTCATGCCTGTAATCTCAGCACTCTGGGAGGCTGAGGAGGCAGATCACTTGAGGGCAGGAGTTTGAGACCAGCCTAGCCAACATGGTGAATCTCTGTCTCTACTAAAAATGTGAAAAATTAGCCAGGCATGGCAGTGCAAGGCTGTAATCCTAGCTACTCAGGAGGCTGAGGAAAGAGAATCTCTTGAACCTGAGAGGCAGAGGATACAGTGAGTCAAGATCATGCCACTGCACTCCAGCCTGGGCAACAGAGCGAGACTTTGTCTCAAAAAAAAAAAAAAAAAAAAAAAAAAAAAGAGAGAGAGAGAGAAAATTTATGAAAGGAGACTTTATAAATTTGGGGGTTCCAAAGTAAAATAACTAAAATGAAACATTCAGTCTAAAAAGCCGTAACAGCAGACTTGAGCAGTCCAAAGAAATAATCAGCAAACTTGAAGACAGGTCAATTCAGTCTGAAAAGAAGAAATAAATAAGAATAAAGAAAAATAAACAAGGCCAAAAAGCCCCACGGGACACCATCAAGCATACCTACATATACATAATGAGAGTCCCAAAAGGAGAAAAAAAGGCAAACGTCATTAAAGAAATGATGACCTAAAACTTCCTAAATTTGTTAAAAATATTGCTTCTATCCAAATATTTTTATAAACTCCAAGTAGAATAAATTCAAAAAATCCATACCTAGACACATCACAATCAAACTGTCAAAAGTTAACGAATCTTAGAAGTAGCAATAAAGAAGCAACTTAACATATACAACAATACGACTAACAGTTGATTTCTCATCAAAAACCATGAAGTTTCAAAGGCAGTGCTACAATATATTCAAAATGCTAAAAGAAAACAAAACAAAAAATACCACCAGCCAATAATTCAATTCTGTAACTGGCAACACTATTTTTCAAAATGAAAGAGAAATTAAGATCTTCTCAGGTAAACTAAAACTGAGGAAGTTCACTGCTTACATAACTTTACAGAAAGAAATGCTAAGGTCCTTCAAGCTTAAATGAAAAAGTAACTGACAGTAATTCAACTCAAGAAGAAATATAAAATGCTATTAAAAGTAACTACAAAAGTAAATATACAGAACAATATAAATGTATTTTTGTTCATAACTCCTTTTCTCTGTCTGACTGGAAAGACAACTGTATGAAGCAACAATTATAAATTAATTTAATGGGCCCATAATATATAAAGATGTAATATGTGATAATAACAGCATAAAAGTCAGGCATATATTGGAGCAAAGTTATTCTATACTATTGAAATTAAGTTGGTATTTATCCAAAGTAGATTGCTATAAATTAATATGTTAATTATAATCTTCAAGGAACAATGACTCAAAATAGTATGGCAAAAGAAATGACAAGGTACACTAGAAGATATCTTTTTTAATATAAAGAGAAGACTGTAATGGAGGAATTGAGGGAAAAAAATAAAACAACATATATAGAAAACAGATATCAAGTGGCAGAAGTAAATCTTTCCTTACCAATAATTATATGAAATATAAATGGGTTAAACTCTCCAATTGAAAGGCAAAGATTGGAAGAATGGATTAAAAAACATGATTCAAATATATGTTGTCTTAGATGCAGCTGGAGGCCATTATGCTTAATAAATTAACATAGGAACAGAAAACCAAATACTGCATGTTCTCACTTATAAGTGGGAGCTAAACACTGGGTACTCATGGACATAAAGATGGCAACAATAGACATTAAGAAGGGGGAAAGGATTGAAAAACTAACTATTGGATCCTGTATTCACTACCTGGGTGACAAGATCAGTCATACTCCAAACCTCAGCGTCATGCAATATACCCACATAGAAAACCTGCACATGTAACCCCTGAATCTAAAATAAAAGTTGAAATTATATTTAAGAAAACAAATATATGTTATCTACAAGAAACTCAATTAAGATTAAAATACACAAATTAGTTGCACGTAAAACAAGTAAAATAATGGAAACTTATATTCCATGAAAGCAGTGCTCAAAAGAGAGCTGGAGTGACATACTAGTGTTGAACAAAATACAAGAAAAAAAATGTTGTTAGAATAAAGGAAGACACTACATAATAAAAGCATACATTAATCCAGAAGATGTAAAAATTATAAATATATGTGGACCTCAAATCATAGCCCCAAGATATATGAAGCAAAAACTAAAATAATTGAAAGGAAAAACTGCCAATTCAACCATAATGATTAATACTTCAATACCCCATTTTCAATAACATATAGAGCAACTATACATAAAATCAGCCAAAAAAAAAAGACTTGAAAACACTATGTATCAACTAGGCCTAAAAGACATCTCTAGAACCCACCAAAAAAACAACAGCAGATACACAGTCTTCTCAAATACACATAGAACATTCAGTAAGACAGACTATATGTTAGGATGCAAAAAAAGTCTCAAAAAACTTAAAAAGATTTAAATCCTACAAGTATGTTCTGTGACCACAATGGAGTAAAATTAGAAATTAAAACAGAAGAAAATTTGGAAAATTCACAAATATGTGAAAATTAAACAAGAAGAAATAAAAACGAAAATGAAAATAAAAAATACTGAGGAGGATGAAAACCAAACACATCATATCAAAATGCATGGGATTAAATAAAAACAATGCTCAGAGGGAAATATACAGCTGCAAATGCCTTTCTTAAAAAGAAAATAATCCCAAATCAATTGCCCATCCTTCCACGTTAAGACACTTGGAAGGAAAAACTAAATCTGAAGGAAGTGTAAGAATAAAATTTAAAAAGATTAAACCATCAATGAATGAAATAGGGAACAGGAAAAAAGCATCAATATTAAAAGTTGTTTATTTGAAAATGTCAACAAAATTGACAAACACACTGGAAAAACACAAAAATATCTAGATCGACAAAGAAGACTCAAATTACTAAAATTAGGAATTAAAACATTATTACTTATGTTACAGAAATAAACATGATTATAAGAACATACTAAGAACAATGATATTCCAAAAAATTATGTAACCTAGATAGAGAAATTTCTAGAAATATTTCAACTACCAAATCTGACTGAAGAAGAAATAGAAAGTCTTAATATGCCTAAAATAAGTAAAGAGATTGAGTTAGCATTCAAAATAATTCCTTAAGAAAAGATTATACACAACAACCAAGTCAGATTTATCCCAGAAATGCCAGATTGATTCAACATACAAAAATGAAACAATATAATATACCTTATTAATATAATAACAGAATAGCATACTCATCTCAATTGTACAGAAAAAACATCTGACAAAACCTAACACTTCTTCAAAAACACCAATGCTATGAACAAAAAGGAACCTTCTCAATACGATAAACATTATCTATACAAAAATCACAGCTAATATCATACTTAATAGTGAAAGACCGAAAGTGTTTTCTCTTCTAATATCAGAAACAAACAAGCATATCCACTCTTGCCATGGTACTAGAGATAGCAAATTAAGTCAATTTGGCAAAGAAATCAATGTGGCCATAGTAGAAAGGTAGTAAATAAAACTAACTCTATATGCAGATGAGTGATACCTACCTATCTATTCAGATAGATAGCTATGCATTTAGATAGATATATTTATACATATCAATCTATATCTATCTGTTGATTGATCAGTAAATATATCCCTGAAGAATTTCCTAAAATATATATTACAGCTAATAAGGTGAGTTTAACAAAATTGCAAGATACATGATCAACACAAGGAAAATTAGTAGCATTTCTATATATTAGTTATGAACAATGTGAACAGTGAAATTATGAAAATCATCCCATGGCATCAAAAATAAAAAAATGCTTAGAAATAAAATCAACCTAAAAAGTGCAAAAAATATGCATTAAAATTACAGAATATGGTTGACAGAAATTAAAGATCTAAATTAAGAAGATATTTCATATTCATGGAAGACCTAATATTGTTAACATGGTGATACTCCTTAAACTGATCTGCAGATTCAAGGAGAGTCATATCAAAATTTCAGCCACTTTTATTGATAAATGAATGAGTTGATCCTAAAATTCATATGGAAATGGACACAGAATAGCCACAACAATTCATTGAAAAGAAAAACAAAACGAAGATCTCACACATCCTGATTTCAAAACTTACTAGTACAAAGCAATGATAATTAAGACAATATGGTGCTCACATAAACATATATCTATAAAATAGAATTGAGAGTATATTTTTTGACAGTGATACAAAGACCATTCAACTGGAAAATAATAGTCTTTTCAACAAATGGTACTAGGACAATTCATATGCAAAATAATAAATTTAGTCCCCTACTAAACATCATATGTAAAAGTTGACTCAAATGGATCAAAGATTTGAATGTAAGGGTAAAACTGTAAAACTCTTAGAAGAAAACGCAGGTAAAACTCTGTGTTACTTGGATTGCACAATGATTTTTTTTTAAATATGACACTAAAAGCAAAGACATAAAAAATAAATTAGATTGTATAAAAATTAGACTTTCATTTTTCAAAGGACATTATAAGAAAGTGAAAAGACAATTCACATTCTGGGAGAAAATATTTGCAAATCATATCTCTGGCAAGGGCCTAGTGTCCACGCTATATAAAGAACTATTACAACTCAACAATAAAAAGACAACCCAATTTTAAAATTGGCAAAAGGTTTGAATACACATTTCTCCAGAGAACATATACAAATGACCAGTAAGCACAAGGAAAGATGTTCCACACTGTGAGTCATTAAAGAAATGCAAATCAAACCACAATAAGCTCCCACTTCATGCTTACTAAGAGGGCTATCTTTCAAAAAAGTAATGTGTTGGTAAGGATGCGAAAAAATTGGAACTCTCATACATCACTGGTGGGTATGTGTAAAATGGTGCAGCCACTTTGGAAAACAATTTGGCAGTTCCTCAAAACTCAAAAAGCTAAACGCAAAATTACCATGTGACCCAGAACTCCTAAGTATATATCCATGAGAATTACAAGTATATGTTCACATAAAAACTTGCAAGTGAATATTCATAATGACATTAATACTAGTAGCCAAATGTGACAGAAGCCCAAATTTCCATCAGTTGATGAATGAGTACATAAAAGATGATATCTATACAATGGAATATCTTTCAACTATAGAAAGAAATGAAATGGTGTTACGTGCTACAGCATGAATGAATCTTGACATTATGCTAAGTGAAAGAAGCTACACAGAGTAAAACATATTGTATGATTTCATTTACATGAAATGCCCAGTATAGGCAAATTCTTTCTTTCATAACTTTATCTTTCAGAGCAGTTTCAGGCTCATAGAAAAATTGAACAGAAGGTACAGATTTCTCATACACCTTCTGCCCCCACAAATGCATAACTTCCCCATTATCAACACCTTCCACTAGACCCCACCTCCTAACACCTCCAAGTTGAGAATCAAATTTCTTTTTTTTTTTTTCTTTTTTGAGACAGAATCTCGCTCTGTCACCCAGGCTGGTGGTGTGATCTTAGCTCACTGCAACCTCCACCTCCTGGGTTCAAGCAGTTCTCCTGTCTCAGCCTCCCAAGTAGCTGGGATTACAGGCGCATGCCACCACGCCCGGCTAATTTTTGTATTTTTAGTAGAGACAGGGTTTCTCCATGTTGGTCAAGCTGGTCTGGAACTCCTGACCTTAGGTGGTCTGCCTGCCTCGCCCTCCCAAAGTGCTGGGATTACAGGTGTGAGCCACTATGCCCAGCCGAGGATCAAATTTCAACATGACTTTTAGTGGGGATAAACAAACCGTTTCCTAACCATAGTCACTTTATATGATACTTAGCTTTGTATTGAGTGTTAAAAAATATCCTACCTGAGTCAGCTAATCATAAGAATAACATGAGATAGCTAAAAAATCTTTTTCTTTTAAATGGAAAAGTGCTATGAAATTATAAGCTTAAATTCTATTGTGTAAAGTTAATCAGTTCAATAATCTCATTTATCCCCTTTTTTACTTCTGACAATACTATATTATATTGTGTATGTTATATATTCCTCCCCAGCATTGTGCTGATTGGTGCTTTCTTAGTTTTTCTTATAAAAAGATAACTAATAATAGGTTATTGAGATGAACATGTAAAGAATAATTAATTCCAATCATTAAACTGGCCAAACTTAAAAGTAAGAATTTTATATATCTATGTTTTCAAACTACAATTAGATAATTTTCTGTCAATTTTTTGCTTTTTTCTCCTATGGGAGCAAAGCAGCATGAAACATGGTTGTTTACTCTGACACTTGGAAAGGCAACTGTGCCTATCTATAAAACTACTTCAATGTTTAAATATTGGTATTTTACAACTAAATTAAAAGAAAATTAGAATCACTGTGAAACTAATGCCTATTTATTTTAAAAGTTAGGGCAAGTGAGCAATATATTTTTACAATCCAATGGCAATGTCATACTATTATAGTGCAAAGAAACTTTTATAAAATTAAATGCTTAAAATTTAGGGAAACCAATTATTAACTCAATGTGCCTGTATATATTTATTTGTCCCATGGTTGGGGCCTTAAAAATCAGCTAAAAACAAGCTCAGTCCTCTATATCCTCACTATTCCAGGTTGTTTTTTCACAGAACTGAGATTTCCTATCCCTGTGAACCACTCAGCTCCCATTTTGAGGAGTCATTTTGCACTACCTTTTGTATATTGCTGTCATCTAAAATAGCACATACTCTGGGAGCTGATAACATTTCACTGGTCATAGTTAATGTTTGCTATGCCTACCAAGCTAAACACAACACATAATTATAAAATCACGGGTTAGGTAGGCAGGAATTTCTATTTTAAGCACATTATCTAAAAGCTTTCAAAATCGGCCTCTTGAATACCTCTATCTGAGTTCTCCTTGTTTTCCCACTCCCATTCATAGATCTCCTGGCAGATAAGATGAAATGGAAGTAGGGAAAACTGAGTAGTGAGAGTTAGCAAAAATCACGTGAAAATACATCATATTTCTGTCTCAAATCCAATTTTCTGCTCTTCCCGCCACCTCCCTTCATCTCACCCTCCAACATCACTAGGCTCATTTTATACAGGAGAAGCTTCCTCTTTTTGAAGTCTGTTTTTTGTCTTCCTAATTAAATGGAATTTTGCTGAAACCTTGGAAAGTAAGTACAATATGAATATTCTAATTAAAATGTCCAGAATAATTTTCTCGAAGTTATTTATTTATTTATTTGAGAAAGAGTTTTGCTCTTGTTGCCCAGGCTGGAGTGCAATGGCAGGATCTCAGCTCACTTGACTCCCGGGTTCAAGTGAGTCTCCTGCCTCAGCCTCCCGAGTAGCTGGGATTACAGGCGCCCCACCACACCTCGCTAACTTTCTGTATTTTTAGTAGTTACGGGGTTTCACCATGTTAGCCAGGGTAGTCTCGAACTCATGACCATAGGTGATCCGCCTACCTCAGCCTCCCAAAGTGCTGGGATTATAAGTGTGAGCCACCGCGCCTGGCCTCTCGAAGTTATTTCTAATAGTCCATGATAATAGCTACAATAATTATGGAAAATTCAAATATTTATTGCATTAACTTTTGAAATAAATCTTTCAGTCTTCATTGAATCTTTTAAAATTTTTGTTTGTTTAAAAACATCTGGTGAGTGAAGTCAAGTGTTTCGTAGGTTTCAAATGAATTGTGCCTGTTTCATACATTTTCGTGGCAAAGTTAGTTTTTGGTGTGTTATTTTTCCCTCAAAATGTGAATATAAGCAATGGTCACATATCAATTTAACTATTAACATAACAGAGCTTTCCAACTTGTCTGCTAAGTTTAGATACTTGTTGCCTCATTTACTCTTCTTGGAGACACAGGCGTAGGAAGCCTTGGATACATGTTTCCCAGGCCGTCCTTGACAGGATTCTGATTTAGATTCAGCAAGTGAGGAGAACATGAGCAAAGTTTTGAAAATGGAATGGAAGCCTAAGCTATTGTTAGCTGTGGTGAATCCATACGGGTCTGTAGCAACCTCAATTCTTGCCTCCTCAGAAGGAAGAATTCGACTGAGGAGCATAAGGCAGAGTGAGAGACCACAGCACATTTTAGAGCAGGAGTGGAAGTTTATTAAAAAGCTTTAGAGCAAGAATGAAAGGAAGTAAAGTACACTTGAAAGAGAGCCAAGAGGGCAACTTGAGAGATTCAAGTGCGTGGTTTGATCTTTGACTAGAGGTTTTATGTGTTGGCGTGCTTCTGGGGTCTTGTGTCCCTTTTCCCCCGATTCTTCTCTTGGGGTGGGCTGTCTGCATGTGCAGTGGCCTGCCAGCACTTGTGAGGGACTGCATGCACAGTTTGTTTACTGAGGTTGTACACATGCTCACTTGAGGCGTTCTTCCCTTACCAGTGGAATGTTTCTAGAAGGTCATATACCAGTTAAGCTCTGCCATTTTGTCTCTTAGTGCACATGCTTGAGCCCACTTGCCCAACTTCTGAGATCTTATCAGGAAGCTGCTGATCACCAGTTTCAGGTTTTTTCTATCTATTGGGAGACTGTCTTTCTCTGGTGCTGGCTACAACCAATCACTATTTTAGAGACGGTTTAACAACCGCCTGACCATCACTTGATGGTTGCCTAACATTCCTGGTGGGGGTAGTGGGGCCTCTCCTGTCCTGCTCATGTCTGACTAGTTACCTACTGTAACACTATCACTTCTTCATTTTCTGCCTGAAGCAAATCTGGAAGTCTCATGGTATTCAGCACACTTAGGGCTGTGCCTTGAGTGGCCTCTGGGTGTTTCCCTAGAAACCATCTACCCGATGACTTACTTCAGAATACTGTGGGCAACAGCAGCTGTTTCCTGCAGTAACCGATTGGGGTAGCTCTGCCACCTTTCTTTTTTATTTATTTGTTTATTTATTTTTTATTATACTTTAAGTTCTGGGATACATGTGCAGAATGTGCAGGTTTGTTACAAAGGTATACATGTGCTGTGGTGGTTTGCTGCACCCATCAACCTGTCATCTAGGCCAAAAAAACATAAGAAAAAAAGCTCATCACCACTGGTCATTAGAGAAATGCTCTGCCACCTTTCTAATCACCCAAAACCTGAGAAAGCCTGAGAGCTAACTGCTGTCCTTCCTTATATTTGGTTCTCCACCCCTCCCATTACCTTTAGAAGCATCTAACTCCCCATACCCTTTGCTTCTTGAAATAACTAGCGTGTTTTCTGTTTTTATGACTGAACCTTGAGTAATGAAAATAGATACATGTTCTAATAATTACTATCTTGAGAGATTTTTGCTTTTATTCTAGAGATAGCATTGCTTAAAATATTTTTTTAAATAATAGCTTAAACAAATATCTCAGTCTTTGAATAATCTTGATGGAGTTGTCAGAATTCCCTCAGAGTGTGCGTTTGATATATGAAAACAGGTAGGAGCTGCTTAACGTAAATTGCTAAATAAAGTAGGTCATTGTTGGGTGCTGAATTGAGCCACCCCACTCCCCAAAATTCAAATGGTGACCTCCTAACCTCCAGTACTTCAGAATGTGACTGTATCTGGAGACAGATCTTTAAAGTGGTAATTAAGTTAAAATGAAGTCACTATGGTGAGCCCAAGTCTGATATGACTGGTGCCCTTATCAGAGATTTTTACACACACACACACAGAGGGAGACAGCTGTCTACAAGCCACAGAGAGAAACCAATCCTTCAGACACCTCAGTCTCAAACTCTCAAACTTCCAGCCTCCAGAACTGTCAGAAAAAAAAGTTTCTGTTGCTTAAGCCACCCAGTCTGTGGTACTTTGTTATGGCAGCCCTAGCAAGAAAATATAGTCATCAGCCGAATAATTCTATTTTGGATATAAAACTATATGTGACTTTAAGGCATTAAACTTCATTTATAAAATATCTCTAAGGATAATTCTACAAGAGATGTATGGGCATAGATTACAGAAAGACCATTATGTAAGGAAAACCTCCCAAGATAAACTATGGTGGCAGAAACAACATTTATTTAAATGCCATTATAGAAAGGTTATTTTAAAATTTCATATAGGGAATATATCTATATTCTTTATAGATAATATGTTACATTTATATATAGATGTAACTATATAAATACATATACATATATATAAATATAAATATATGTTACATCTATATATGCATAACATAAATTACTATATCTTCATCCATGGAATACAGGGACCAGAAACAGAGCAATATTTAAAACTCAGCCAATCACAAGGGGATTGGATGAAAAAGAATGTCCAGAAGCCTGAGAGCTTCTGGCTCTTAAGGGTGATATCTATCTCTGCTTTCTTATTCCATGATTCAAGAAAAATGAGGGCATGGCTTTTTTATTCCATGTCCTGAGTCTTGTCTCTGCCTCCATGGGGTGCCCCTCTCCTGAATTTCTAATTCTCCTTTTGTAGTTTCCCTATAAATACATAAACTGACACACATATAGAATGCTTAATACATATAAGGTAGTGTATCATTACATTTTAAGGTAATTTCTTCTTAGTACATAAAAATCTGCCTTTTCATGGAGATGCTTTATAGATATACCATAACTGTTTAACTAATGAACTATTGCTGGACATTTTTACTTTTTCTACTCTTTTACTATCATCAATAAAGCTTTAATAAATAATTTTTATAATTGTCACTTTTAAAGTAAATGAGAATATCTGTAGATTAAATTCGAAAAGATGATGGACCAATGAGTATGTATATAGAGAGAGGGTAGAGGAAAGAGAGAGAGAGAGAGAGATGATGATGATGATAGATAGATAGATAGATAGACGTGTCTGTTTTGATAAATATAGTAAATTCCTATAAAACTATAGCATCTAAAAATCAACTGTATGAAATATAGTATTATATTTTTACAAGAGAATAAAAACCAATATTTTTCATTTAGTCTTTATGCTAGCATAAGTAAACAAAGGCAAAAAAATTCCCATGTAATTGTTTTCTACATGTGGGAAAAAGAACAATTACTGCAAAAAGCATGCATTTTTACTTCACTGTGATAGTCCCAAGTGATCATCATGTTTTAAACTCTTAGCCTCACCCTATTCTTCATGCAGAAGATAAAATTATTTTATCCACTGTCACTTGAGAACAGAGCCACTTGTCAAAAGCATTATGTTTCATTTCATAGAATTTTCCAGGTGTTATGGGGATGGATTATTTCATTGCCAAATTGCTGTTTGTTGGGTTGTACAACTTTATTCTTCAAGCAGCACTATCTGAGAGTTCATGTTTTCCTAGTTTTGCCAACAGAGTTGCAACTGCACTTTAACACACTCTTAGTGTTACACCAAAGAGAAGACTAGAGAATCTTATGAATGTATTTGTACTTAACTTTTAATGTAACAGGTCTTCCTAGACATACACAATGATTAGCCCCTCTTTTAGATCACTGTTGGCCTACTTGCAGCTCCCCTCCTTCCCTTTGTAAATCACTACTTGATGAAGTAACTATGGGACTTAAACCTCACCAGACAGAGGAATTTCCAGTGAGGAAAGCTTATGTCTCTGCTCCAATGCAGTTAATCTAAAAGTCCCTCAAGTCTTAGGTGTTAGTGATGGCAAAGCCCCTTATGAGGTCATCCAGACCATCCCTTGGCAAGGTTTGTCTCAGCAGTGTTTGATGTTTGCTTTTCTCTAGTTAGTCCAGTCCTATTCACTGACTTAAACATTTTAAAATTTAAAAAGTTCACTAGGGAATCCCAAAATTTTCTTCTCAAAGCAAATCAGCAGATAATAAAACCTTGAAAAATGTGAGAACCTTATTTTTCTAAAGCTCAAGAGGCAAAAATGTTCTGCTTTAAGGAAGAAAGAATATTTGTTTATTTTTCTCCTAGAGACTTCAACCTACTATATTTAATTTCTGTATATTTTTGGGACTAGTTGAAATATTTGTTACTTGTTGCATGTATTAATTGACATCAGTGTTCTAAGAATTGTCATGCTGAAACACTTATTTGAAATAGCTCTCTTGATGTTACATGGAGAAAATGATCAACATAATGAGGCATGGGAAAATAAGACCACAGCCATTAAATGCAAGCCACAGGACTACACTGCTCAGAACAGCCACACACAATAGCAGTAACACTCTCAGAGGTCAGAGACACACCATCAGGTGGATACTGTAAACTAATCACACTTGATAAAGGTTGACTTGGAATTGCTAAGAAAGCTGAATATTCTGACCACCCCAGTTTCTATTGGTATTGATATTATATAAAAGGCACATGTAAATAAGGGAGGATTTAAGGGGTTCTGTGTTTATAGATTTACATCAATAAAAGCCACTTTATTTCTGACTTTAATGATCCCATTTGACAATTTTGGTCTAGATATATTCAATGACATACATAATATCACTTTCTGCTTCTCGTAATGGCTGAATACTGTGTTGCAAGCTAGTCTCTGCCAACAGTAACTAGGAAAGCTGGAAAATATTTTTGATCTGTTTGCGAGTATTGGAGCACTACTTATACAGTTGCTATTTGAAGGGCTATAATTGAACAAAAGAAAAAGCTCAGAGAAGTGTGGCTGACAAGTGGGCTCTTCTAAACAGTTTTTATACACTCTTTGGTGAAACTATGTCTACGGTATTTTTTTGGTCTTTTTTTTTCATTTTGGATGATACTGTTGTCCAAAGGAGTTTAATGATTTATATTCCTAGCAACAATAGAATTTCTGTTACATCACATCACCTGTACTCAGTGCTATCTATCAGGTATATATTTATTTATTTTTCCTGCTTTGTTGATGTACAATTAACAAGAATCGTATGTATTTATGGTGTAGAAAGTATGTACTTAAAATAGTGAGATCTATAAGTTTAGAGAAAGAAGAACTTTATTTTTTAAAGGGTTGCAAGCTGTATGCTGGGAAGTGTAGCCTCTGGTCAAAACTGAAGACAAGTACTTCAGAGACAAAAGGAAGAGGCTGAGATTTATGCCCAATGACATTAGCTATACATACATGTTCAGTAGATTATATGAGAATCTTATGAATATTTATGAGGGAGTCCAAACTTATACATAGTGAATAAACATATACGTTACATATGATCATGTATACTTTGGGGGGTGAGACTTAACATTAAAATGTATTAAAATTAGGCTCTCTATGTCAAAAAGTGAAACAGATCACAAAGGCACTTTGTACACAATCTCTGCAAACTGGATACAACCATTTTGTGGTCAGTGGTCAGTTATCAGGAAGGAATGCTTTATAAAGCTGGTCAGCTGTCATGGTGAACCCACTAAAAGGGATGTGAGTCTGGCCTCAGTGTCAGGTGGTCTGTTGAAGTCAGTGGAGGGATCTTTCAAGTGTTTGTTTCTCACATGCTGGTTTCTGTTTATCTTTTAGAATAGAAAGTCAGTTAGCCAAAGGGAGGATGGGTACTGAGGTGTGTCTAACCTCCTGTCTCCTGAAATCCAGGAAACTTACTTAAAGTTTTGCTGAAGTATTTGTAGCTAAGAGGGTTCCATTCTGTCTCTTGGGGGCATCAGGTTTTATTTTTATTCCACCAAAGCGATGTTTTAATAGATGTATACATTGTGAAATGATCACCACAATCCAGCTAACTAATATATACACTGCCTCATACAGTTATCTTTTTTGTGTATACTAAGAACATTTAAGGTCTACTCTCTTAATAAATTTCAAATATACACTGCAGTATCATTAACTATAGTCACCATGCTGTACACTGCATCTCCAGAATTTATTCATCTTGCTTAACTTGATTCATTCATTCATACATTGATGAACATTTAGGTTGGTTCTATCTTTTGGCTATTGTGAATACTGCTGTAACCATTACTGGGGTGAAGATATCTCTTTGAGATACTGATTTTATTTTCTTTGGATATGTGATTTTATCTCTTTGTTCAACCTCTTACTTTGCTCATGTATTGTCTTCCTGATTACATTTAGTCATCTATCTGTGTTCTCTTATAGCTCAATGAGCTTCTTCAGATAATTAGAGTTATCTTTTGGGCAACTTACAGATTGCCATTTTTTTAGTGTCCATTACTAGTGATTTATTTTTTTTTCCTTTGGTGGTGTTTTTCCAATTATTTTTAATTCTTGTGGACTTGCTTCATTGTGCATTTAAAGAACTAAGATCTTCAATTCTATAAAAACTGGCTTCGGTAAGGAAAGCTCTTCATCCAACTGTCCATCCAGAATTCTGAGTGGGCTAGGTGTCAGGGTCTGTGAGCAGGTTTGCTGCTGGAGTGTTTGGGTGGGCTGGCCTGGTTCCTGGGTCAGCAGATGTGTAGACTTGAAGCCTGGGTCCACAGGGATGGGCTTAATTCTGCAACCTTAGGGGCCAGCCTGACTCCTGGGTCCACTGGGGTGGGCCTGGAGCCTATAGTCCTTGAGTCTAAGTCAGCAGGAGGCAACCCAGTTCGAGGTTCTACTGGGGTAGGCCTGACCCTGGGTTTTCTGGCACGGCCCTGGATCCTGGGTTCACTGGAGCCTGTGGCAATGAGCATCAGCCTGGAGCCTGGGACTGTTGACCTTGGCCCAGCACCAGGCTCTACTGGGATAAACTTGTACCCTGGATCTTCTGGAGCAGGCCTGGACCCTATGGCTTCTGGATCCTGTGGCCACAGGGACTGGACTGGAGCCTGGGGCTGCAGTGGGTGTCCTGGCACTGGGGTAGACCTGGAGCATGAGTCTGTGGAAACCAGTCTGGAGCCTGGGACAGAGTGGCTAGACTCATGCTGTGGTGGTTCTGAAGGCCCTGTCTATAGGTGCTGACCTACAGCCTCAGGCCCTGAGAGCTGACCTGATGACAGGGCCTGTGATGGACCTGGTGCTGGGGTCCATGGTGAAGTCAAGTGTTCAGTGCACTCTCCTTCTGTCATGCAGATGCTGTCGGGGCATGAGAAAGGAGTAACATGGGTAATGTGACGCTATTCTTCCTGCCCTCTTCAGTGTGTCTTACTTATTTCTGCTATGCAATTGCTGATCTTGATTTCTTAATTATTATAAAGATATTTTGTGTATGGATAGTTGTTCTACTTGATGTTTTTGTGAGGAGGCGAGCACTGGAAGGTCCTATTCTGCCGTCTTTCTGACATCACTCTGGTGTTTATACTTTGTATGCATTCCTGTTTAGTTTATACCTAGAATAAAAATGATGCATCACAGAGCATTTACATCTTCATTTTGGAAAATACTGCCAAAGTTTTCAAAAAATTATTGAATATATTTACGCTCCCCTCAGCAATGCAAGATTATGTTTGTTATATTCTAAGCTATATTACTGAATAAATGTTAAGCATTGAAATAATATTCTTGAGTTATTCCTCTAATACCATTATGTAGGATAATGTCCTTCTTCTTAGGACATGCAAGTTGAATTATTTCAGGGAGAAATGTTATGATGTCTCAAACTTAATTTCAAATAGTTCAACAAGAAGAACAAAAAGGATGGATGGATAGAGGTATGTGTAGATAAGTAGAGACAGCAAACAGGGCAAATGTTAAAAATAGGTCAACCTAGACAACATATATATTTCAAGCCATGTAAAGACAAGGAGGGAATTGAATGTTTATTACTAAGTGAAAGGAGACAATCTGAAAAAGCTATGAACTATATGATTCCAACTACATGACATTCAGGAAAAGTCAAAATACAAAAAAATTCAGTTGTTTCCCAGGGGTTACGGTAGAGGGAGGGATAAATAGGTGGAGGACTGGGGGCTTTTAGGACAGTTAAACTATTTGTGTGATACTATGATGATGTTTACAAGTCACTAAATTATCCAAGCCCATAGAAAATACAGCAATAAGAATGAACCTTAATATGGACCTTGAGTGATTATGATGTGTCAATACAGATTCATCAAATGTGATAAATATACCTCTCTGGCAGGGGAAGTTGATTATGGCAGAAGCTATGCATGTGTGATGTATGGGGGCGGTGAGTATGCAGGAACTCTCTGTACCTTCCACTCAATTTTACTGTGAACCTAAAACTGATTTAAAAGTTAGAGTCTATTTTTTTAAAAAGGAGAAAAAAATTGTATAGACCAGACAGGACAAATAAAAAACAAATAATTATAGTTAAAACCTAAACATTTTTAATGTAAGCAAAGTAAATACTGCATATAAAAGGCAAAGATTGTCAGACTGGGGGATAACATCAGTTTCAGGAAGTCTTATGTAGAAAACCAAAGCCTAATTTACAGACTTGTACTATAATATTCAGAATACCAGTAAGAGAAGGGAGATGAGATGGGCAGAAGAGACAGAAATCATATGGTATTTAATATGTCTTATAATAGATTTTGCAATGACAATTGTACAATTTTATAACTTTTTGAAATAATGAATATGTTTACTTACGTACCATAAGTTATAATAAACAACAGAAGGGCAATTTATTTTAATCCCCTTGTTGTATATTTGGAAATGTCACACATTCCTTTTTAGAAGTCTGAGGACTTCAGATAGGAATGTAGGCAGGATTTTTAAAGTATAAAATAAGCAACAGGTTTCATTTGAAATGCTCAATACTTTTCATAGCTTTATACTGATAACATTCTAGTTCTATGAAAATAGTACAAAAATGGTGAGGTTGAATAGAATATCCCTAAAATTACACTCTCTACCAATTATACCAAGGAAAATTAGATACATATAACATTTTTGGAATAGGGGTTTTATGACTATTATTAAGTCACAGCCAAAAATTCATACTTTTCTTTATATTTGTCAATAGAAAAAATCAAATATTCTCATTAATAACCATCTTTCTTCCATTAAAAATATAATAATACTCAGATAGACTTTTAAATTACAATTATACCATGTAGAGAAAATATTAGTATTTTTAAGTTTAATTTACAGTCACAGAAAATGCTACCTCATTAATCCAAGAAGACCAAGAGTCCAAAGAAAACTTAAATTAGTAAGTCTTTTTCTTAGTCAACAGTGTCTTTAACCAAATTTTACATTTTGTTCCAATTTTCTTTGTCTCCTTTGTTGCAATTTAATATGTTTTATGAGCATCATTCATCTAGAAAATTGCTGTTAGAGTAGAAAATAATATAACCTGGAGTAACATTGCTGTTTACCACAATTATATAAAAAATAAAGTTTTTAAACAATTTTTGATACTGTGATCATCTGGCCTAGAAAATGAAAAGTTATTTTGCTTTTCTCAAAACTTACAGAATTACTCTAATGTTATAAACAGTTTCAAATGTTGAAATAGTTTTATTCAAACTATTTTTATTATACATTTTTGAACTTTAGATTTAAATTACTACAGATTAGAAAGCATCAAGAATTAAAATACATTCTTTTGTCTTGTTTTCAAATTAGGCAAAGTATTACCTACTCAGGCACTTGTGGGCCTACAGTGAATAGATACAAATTTTTCTTAGCTTTATGTAACACAGGGCAATTTTCAAAATGTTTCTCACTATTTTATTTGGTGCTCACAACAACTTTGTAATTAAGAAACAAAAAAGGACAATTCTCCCAATTTTAGAGTTAAGGAAATAAAGCTCCACAAAGTTTAAGTTAACCCACATTGGATGACAAGTGATGGATTAAATAGATCTTTGAGAAATTACTTATTATCCAACATTTATTAAGTAACTCCAAATTTCCGAGCTCCTTCTATACCTTGTTCAGAAACACTTCCTATAGGCCTTGTGTCTCATTGTTGCAATGGTTGATAGTGATAGTGATGGTAAGGATGAAGTGAGTGTATGCACACACAGAAGTAGGAAGGGAAAGGAGGACAACAGAAATTAGAGAGGAATGATAAAATTAAAGATTAGTTAAGAAAAGATTTCCAAAGAGTAGAAATACAATTATCACAGCCAAGAATAGCTAGTTCTGTTAAAAGAAATAAAAGGAGAAAATAGAAATCAAATAAAATTAGAATGAAGTTAATTTACATTTTTGCTAACAAGGTACATATAATGAATAAATGCTTTGCTGAATCATGAAAAAATAATATTTGACTAAATGAGAATTTTACTACCAATAAACATATTTTTCTAGGTAATCAATTACTATTAACAGGGAACACATAACTGAGAAGTTTAACATTTTAAGTGGAATGTGCCCAGGACATTATGGTTTTAATTTCCTCTTACTTTCCATTGCTCTTACAAAATTTTCTGTATCTCCTTCTTGGAAGTTTTAAGGTAATATTCAAATTCACTTTGCTCTGTTGCAGATAATACATACACTAAGGCTATTTTTTTGCACATGTATGGACTTGTATCTAAATATTCAACATTTTTATTACTTTTTGACTCAGAAGCTGCTGATTCTAACCGCCCACATCACAAGTTCTTAATTCCTAGCATCTTCCTCACAATTCCTTAGGCTCTGCCTCCATACATCCCATATAATACATCTCAGTTTTTTCCTATTTCACAAACTGGGGTTAACATTTCCTAATTGTTCATATTTCATAAGGCCTGATTCCAAACAACCCTCTACTTCTGTCATTTTCTTATGTACTTTTTTACCTCCATTTCCTCTCTTGCTAATTATTTCCAATGTATTAGCCTGTTTTCATATTGCTGTAAGAACTGCCTAAGACTGAGTCATTTAAAAAGGAAAGAGGTTTAATTGACTCACAGTTTAGCATGGCTAGGGATGCCTCAGGAAACTTACAATCATGTGGAAGGCAAAGGGGAATGATATGGTTTGGCTGTGTCTCCACCCAAATCTCATCTTGAATTGTAACTCCCACAACTGCCACGTGCTGCGGGAGGAACCCAGTGGGAGGTAATTGAATCTTGGGGGCAGGTCTTTCCCTCGCTGTTCTTGTGATAGTGAATACACCTCATGAGAGCTGATGGTTTTAAAAAGTAGGAGTTTCCCTGCACAAGCTCTCTCTCTTTGCCTGCTGTCATCCATGTACGATGTCACTTGCCCCTTTTTGCCTTCTGTCATGATTGTGAGGCCTCACCAGCCATGTGGAATCATAAGTCCATTAAACCTTTTTTTTCTTTTTTTTGTAAATTTCCCAGTCTCGGGTATGTATTTATCAGCAGTGTGAAAATGGACTAATGCAGGGAAGCAAGGCACCTTCTTCACAAGGTGGCAGGAAGAAGAAGTGCTAAGTGAAGAGGAAAGAGCCTCTTATAAAACCATTAGATCTCATGAGAACTCACTATCAGGAGAACAGCCTGGGGGAAACCATCCCCATGATTCAATTACCTCTACCTGGTCTCTCCCTTGACATGTGGGGATTATGGAGATTGCAGGGATTACAATTCAAGATGAGATTTGGGTGGGGACACAAAACCTTACCATATCAACTCCTATAATGTGATTATAATACAGCAATGGAATACGGAACGAAGAGTGAGGAGCTGTTGCAAAGCTTCGCAGGAAGAAATAATTATTCTTTGGCTTAGAAAAGCAAAGATGAAGCAGTGTAAGAAAACAAAAACAGAATGATATAGTAACCATCAGCAAAATGTAGCTTCCTTCTTTTAGTGGTATCACAAATTGATTTGGCAATGAGTCCAACTCAGAGACTAGGCTGGAGAGAAAAGACTACTGTGTACTTAATTTCTGTGAAGAAAGAAGGTAGTAAAGAGGTGAGGAAACTACAGAGAATGTGAACCATCTGAGCTAGTTCTAGGCTAAAAGAAAAGGTGATAGATTGACAGAGGACTTTAAAACTCCAGCCAGGCCAGGTGCAGTGGCTCATGTTTGTAATATCAGCATTTGGGAGGACAAGCTGGGAGGACCACTTGAGCCCAGGAGTTCAAGACCAGCTGTGCAACATAATGAGACTTTGTCTCTACAAAAAATTTTAAAAATTAGCCAGGCATAGTGACATGAACCTGTAGTCCCAGCTATTCAGTGGGCTGAAGCAGGAGGATCACTTGGGATTGAGAGTTCAAGGCTGCAGTGAGCCATTATGGTGCAACTACACTCCATCCTGGGCAACACTGTGAAAACCTGTCTCAAAACAAAAACAAAAACAAAAACAAAAAAAGCCGCATAGTCAAGGTGTGGCAGAGAAGCTCACCACAAAAGTAAATATTCTATATAAAAGCTTCTTACACCAAAACCTGGTTTTAGTAATTATAAACGAAACTAATGGGTTGTAGGCACTGAAACTATATAATGTTATATCTTTATACAACCTATTGATTATACAGCATATTGGTTTGATTGTTCATATATAAACTATTTAATATTTTATGCTACATAAAATGTTATCACAAGTCTATGACAAGAATGCATTTGCCATGTTCTATTTCCAGAAGTACCAAAAATGGGTGACCTGTAGGAAAAATTCAATGAAAAATTCCAATGAAGAAGTTACATTATAATTATATTTAGAATTCATATTATTTACTTATGGTAGAATAAAAATTCACATATAAAAATACAAACAGAAAAATATACATAATGTGAAATTTTTATAACAGTACAGAAACAATGCTATTGTCCTGATAAAGAGCAAAGAAAATACACTAAGTCGAAAATTTAACTACTTTCTCAGGTGATTTGGTTTTACCTTTTGCTCTACTGTATATGTGCTTGTGTCTCTCAAATCCTGTAGTAGTGTGTTTTAAAGAAGGATATTGTCACTAAATGTTTTATCTTGAATAAGAGAAAAAACTTGAGGTCTCCCAAGTCCAAAAATAAAATTCTAGTTTGAGAAAAATCTACAGATAAATATTTTTAAAGAAGTTTTTCAATTTTCTCTCTTTTCAAACTGGATCATTTTTGTTGCTCAATCTTCTATCTTCAGGTTTGCTTTTCTCTTCTCAACCAATCTCTATTCCACCTTTAAGCCCATACAGTAAAAACACTTTTTTTTCAGGTGTTGCATTTTCTTCTTTTTTTTTTTTTTCCTGAGATGGTGTTTCACTCTTGTTGCCCAGGCTGGAATGCAATGGCACAATCTCGGTTTGCTGCAACCTCTGCCTCCTGGGTTCAAGCAATTCTTCTGCCTCAGCCTCCCGAGTAGCTGGGATTACAGGCATGCACCACCATGTCCAGCTACTTTTGTATTTTTAGCAGAGACAGCGTTTCTCCATGTTGGTCAGGCTGGTCTCAAACTCCCGACCCCAGGTGATCTGCCTGCCTCAGCCTCCCAAAGTGTTGGGATTATAAGCGTGAGCCACCACACCCAGCCATCAGGTATTGTCTTTTTTGTTCTAAATTTTTCTTTTGGTTCTTATTGTAGTTTCTAGTTCTCTACTGAGATTTTCTATCATTTCAGTTATTATGAATGTACTTTTCCTTGCCATATTAAGTATAGTTATAATAGCAGCTTTAAGTTCTTCATCTGACAATTCCAACTCTGTAGGACACACTGAGAAGAGCCCTGCACATCATTTCTGTGATATTCTTTCCAAGAATGGAAAGCCTGGGTGTGGACATGAGAAAACAGACAGACCCAGGTTGGGGGCATTGATACAATGAAATGGCTGCATTCTCAAGACTCTTCAGAACATGAGAGACAGGGAAAGAATGAAGAACAATTCAAAGATGAGGAGACCTGACAGCTAAGTGCAGCATGTGTTTCTGAACAGGATCCCAGTCAAGAAAGAAAAAAGATGTTGTTATGATAATTGATGAAATTTAAATGATATCTGTGGTGTGAATGATAATGTTATATCAATATTAATTTCTTGATTGGGAGAAATGTATAACACCATGAAGGACAATTTTGTTTTGGGGAAGAAAAAGAGAGATAGAACAAGTGCAATGAAGTGTTAACAGAGACTCCGGAATCTGGGATTACTTTGGAAGAGGAACCTGGGAGTCCTTTGGCAAACTGTATGTACATTTGAAGCTATTTCATAATACAGACAAATAAAAATAATGATGCAAATTGAAAATAATAAATGAAAATAAAGAAAAATTCAGCTACATGTTCTGTGAGATTTAGAATATGGTAACACTATTGTTGATCTGGATATTTAAGCAAATATGATAAAATGGTAACACTATTATTGATCTGGATATTCGGCAAATATTAAAATGTCTTTGAACTTTGTTTCATATTTTTATCTTCCCCATGCAGGTGAAAACAACATAATTTTTTGCCACATATGTAATGCTCTTCAGAATCTGGCTCCAGAACACAGTGATTAGTTGGAAGGCCCTCTGGAATTTAGGGAAGAGTCAGATCATCCCTTTCCCAAGATGGGACTCAGAAGAAGGAAGCTGACTGAAGCTCAGTAGCTGCGTTCATTTGTTTATCAAATATTGGCTGACTGATGCCTGACCTCTTGGAACTAGCTGAGTTCCCCTGGCTGGCTGGTTGGCTGAACTTCTGATCTTTCCTTCCTGAACCTTCCCCATCAACTCCTGTTTCTGCCTTTGCTCTTTTTGCTGGTTGGCTGCCCTCCCTGAGACTACCAAAATGTTGCCAAAAGATTGAGTGTACCCGTAATGATAATAAAATTGACTCAATACAGGCAGAGACTTCAGATAAAAACAACAGGAAAACCCACAGTAAAAAATCATTCTGTACATTGAAATGTGTAGCAGTAAATTTTTTGAGTATTTGAACTAGTTGACCATGTTCCACTTACATGAAGTAGGAAAGCAGTAGCATAATGTCATGCATAAATCTTTTTAGACAATGACATTATTACTTTCAACTAGTAGTAAATTAACAAAATATAGTGAGAGTAGAATAGAGATCAGAAAAAATCTAAGATATAGTAAATGGTTTCTAGATCTAGGCACTACGCTAAGCTTTTAAAATAATCTTAGCCTTAAATCTTCTTGATATAGTGAGAAAACTAAAAACAATGGGAGTAGAGCTTAAATTGTGCCTAGGCTGTGTCAGACTGCAAAAGCCTATACCCAGCTACACAGCTTCACAAACTGAACTCTGGTGAATGAATCAACTGTGGTTCATTTCATAATGGACCAAATTGTTGCTACCAATCAGTCAATCCTAGGCACATTTACCTTCCCAGTTGAACAATCAATTATTTACACTTCCTACTTCACTGTATCTTTAGATTATCAATATTTTCTTCAATCTTTTAGTTATTTAATGTCATATGACTACCCTCAATAATAGTATATATGAATGTTTGTTTTGGTGATGGGAGGTCAATCAGATTGTTCCAGATAACCACTGCCTTCCTACCTTGCCTAAATAGGTATTTCACATATTCTTTCCCTTAAAAACTGACATAGGTCAGGCACGGTGGCTGACGCCTGTAATCCCAGCACTTTGGGAGGCCGAGGCAGGTGGATCACTTGAGGTCGGGAGTTTGAGACCAGCCCGACCAACATGGAGAAACCCCGTCTCTACTAAAAATACAAAATTAGCCAGGTGTGGTGGCACATGCCTGTAATCCCAGCTACTGGGGAGGCTGAGACAGGAGAATTGCTTGAACTCAGGAGGCAGAGGTTGCAGTGAGCCAAGATCAAGCCATTGCACTCAAGCTTGGGCAACAAGAGCAAAACTCCATCTCAAGAAACAAAAAAAAAACAAGACAAAACCAAAAGAACCTGACATAGTTGTTTATCTGCTGAGAGTACAAGTTATTGTGATAACAAATGGCATTGCAATTGGTCATCCTTTTCTAATGGTATATTTGCATTTTAATAACTGTATTGAAAAACTCAAGGAGATTGCTATTATTCTACCTATTTGGGTTAAAATGATAAACAACAGAAGTGTTTTTCAGATGGAGAACCCCCTTAAATCAAAATATGTTAGCCATGCCAGCTACTTTAGTGTGTGAGAACAGTTCAGACACTAGCTTGGCAAATTGGTCTGCTGAAGCACCATTAGTAATGATAAGAGAAGTTTCTTCTGAAGTGGACTAAGTTAGCAAACTTTTTTGAATTCACAAATTGATATATTATGACTGGAATTTTGCATTAGATCTATGTCAATGGTTAAAATTAAAATTGTTTACTGTTATAAAATTAACTCCCTAGAAGATTAAGTCATGGTTACCTAGTACTTCTACTATTTCATGGTACATTGTGTCTCCAGTTAAGTTTGTGTTTCACTTTGAGAAGAGGAGCTTTATACAAGAGAGGAGTTAAAATAATTCGGAAAATTTTGTAGAGCTAATATAATTTAACACCTATCGAGTTACATTAAATAGGTGTCTACCTTTTTGATTCCACATACTAAAGTTTTGACTTTTGCTGATCCATGCTCAGAAGATCATAAAATCTTCTGAGTTTGTATATTTGAGTATGTGTATATGTTTATGTATGTGTCCCATAAGTGATTTTGAGTTGATCCACCCAAATCCCCATCCAATTCAATTTGATCCCAAAGACTTCAGTTTGTCAGACCTTGAAAAAGTTAGATAATTAACTTAGGCCATGAAACAGAAAAATAAGTTGTGTCATCAATATTGAGGATATTTTAAATATTAAATTTCCTTAGAATGAAGAATGGTTTACAGTTTTGTAGTAGCCTTGTCTTTTGATATTATTCATAAATACTGGATAAAGGTATGCTCAATTGAAGAATCATTCAGTGGATCTCAGTAGAAGTCTAAATCAAATCATGGAAAACACATCATTCAACCAAAATAGCAAGTTTAGAAAACTACAACTAAAGCTTTCAGTATTGATTTTTATATAACAATGTATGCTATACACAAATAACCATTTTCAACAATCAGTTATAAAAAACATAATGAACTAATCCAAAAGAAAGTACTATTTTATGTAATTCAAGCTGTTGAAAGATACAATATTCTACAAAAATGATTTCCAGTGATCTTTTTTTTACAGCAAATATGAACAGATAATCCAGTAATCTCTTAATTGTTGCAAAACAAAAAAAAAATTTCTTAAGTTTGTACAGTTTTTCTAAGATTTTACAGCCAATATTGTTTGATATAAATTTCCCTATTTATCCTCAAAAAGGATACTGAGTAGTTTGGATAGCTGATGCTTAAAATTGAGCAGTATGAGGCCAACTAAAGGGAATAACTTGTGACGAAGGTGTAATGCCTATTTCTACCTTGTTCAACAAAGCTATTGTACAAGACTCTTTAAACCAATCAGATGAACTAAACTGTCTGATAAACTGAAAGGCTATGGGCAAAATTATTTGATTCAAATTGCATTATAAAACTGCTTTATGAGAACTATATTGGGTAATCACTCTAAATGTCCCAATTAATAATTTATAGTGGCGAGTAGATTGCCCATAAGAAAGGACTGCCTCTGGATGTGTATGGAGAAAATAACTGGAGATACATTGAGAGTTCCTGGCTACCTCCGATTCAGTTTGCAAAGGGTTTTGATAAAAATGAAATAATGAATGCAACAGCAAGGTCAAGACATGCACAGAAGTTAAGAAGGAGTTTGTTCCAGCCTAGAGAAAGAAATAAAATATGTGTCGTTAGTCAAGTAAATGGATTTTTCAAACTGAGTTCAATTTCTATACAACTTAGCCATATGCTGTTTGATAGCATTTTGATTTTTAATACTATCCAATATTTCAGATATTTCTAGGAAAACTATGAAAAGAAAATATGCTATTGGACACTCTTTATGTGATTTCCTGGTTTCACACCTGATTTACTAGTATTGCATTGATACCATGCCTGAAAGAGAATCTGAAACATTATGAGTGCTTTTTTTTTTATTTTTATTTTTTATTATACTTTAAGTTTTAGGGTACATGTGCACATTGTGCAGGTTAGTTACATATGTATACATGTGCCATGCTGGTGTGCTGCACCCATTAACTCGTCATCTAGCATTAGGTATATCTCCCAATGCTATCCCTCCCCCCTCCCCCCACCCCACCACAGTCCCCAGAGTGTGATATTCCCCTTCCTGTGTCCATGTGATCTCATTGTTCAATTCCCACCTATGAGTGAGAATATGCGGTGTTTGGTTTTTGTTCTTGCAATAGTTTACTGAGAATGATGGTTTCCAATTTCATCCATGTCCCTACAAAGGACATGAACTCATCATTTTTTATGGCTGCATAGTATTCCATGGTGTATATGTGCCACATTTTCTTAATCCAGTCTATCATTGTTGGACATTTGGGTTGGTTCCAAGTCTTTGCTATTGTGAATAATGCCGCAATAAACATACGTCTGCATGTGTCTTTATAGCAGCATGATTTATAGTCCTTTGGGTATATACCCAGTAATGGGATGGCTGGGTCAAATGGTATTTCTAGTTCTAGATCCCTGAGGAATCGCCACACTGACTTCCACAATGGTTGAACTAGTTTACAGTCCCACCAACAGTGTAAGAGTGTTCCTATTTCTCCACATCCTCTCCAGCACCTGTTGTTTCCTGACTTTTTAATGCTTATTTTTTTAAGTGAGACATTTGATAAGTCAAAAGAATTTTCTTGTTGTATTGTCTGCTTCACTAACAGGAGAAGCTTTGATACCCAGGATCACAATACGTTGAATGACAAAAAGAGCTCCCCCTCCCCCTCTCCCCTTTGCACGGTCCTCGTCTCCCCTTTGCACGGTCTCCCTCTGATGCCGAGCCGAGGCTGGACTACTGCCGCCATCTTGGCTCACTGCAGCCTCCCTGCCTGATTCTCCTGCCTCAGCCTGCCGAGTGCCTGGGATTGCAGGCGCGCGCCGCCACACCTGACTGGTTTTCATATTTTTTGGTGGAGATGGGGTTTCACCGTGTTGGCCGGGCTGGTCTCCAGCTCCTGACCGCGAGTGGTCTGCCAGCCTTGGCCTCCCGAGGTGCCGGGATTGCAGACGGAGTCTTGCTCACTCAGTGCTCAATGTTGCCCAGGCTGGAGTGCAGTGGCATGATCTCGGATCGCTACAACCTACACCTCCCAGCCTCCTGCCTTGGCCTCCCAAAGTGCTGAGATTGCAGCCTCTGCCCGGCCGCCACCCCGTATGGGAGGTGAGGAGCATCTCTGCCTGGCCGCCCATCCTCTGGGATGTGAGGAGCCCCTCTGCCCGGCCGCCCAGTCTGGGAAGTGAGGAGCGCCTCTTCCTGGCCGTCATCCCGTCTAGGAAGTGAGGAGCGTCTCTGCCCGCCCGCCCATCATCTGGGATGTGGGGAGCGCCTCTGCCCCACCGCCCCGTCTGAGATATGAAGAGCACCTCTGCCCGGCCGCGACCCCGTCTGGGAACTGAGGAGTGTCTCTGCCCCACCGCCACCCCGTCTGGGAGGTGAGGAGCGTCTCTGACTGGCCGCCCCGTCTGGGAAGTGGGGAGCCCCTCTGCCCGGCAGCCACCCCGTCTGGGAAGTGAGGAGCGTCTATGCCCGGCCGCCGCCCCGTCTGGGAGGTGGGGGGCGCCTCTGCCCGGCCCCCCGGTCTGGGAAGTGGGGAGCCCCTCTGCCCGGCCGCCACCTCGTCTGGGAGGTGGGGGGCCCTCTGCCCAGCAGCCCCGTCTGGGAGGTGAGGAGCCCCTCTGCCCAGCCGCCACCCTGTCTGGGAGGTGGGGGGGCCCCTCTGCCCGGCAGCCCCGTCTAGGAAGTGAGGAGCCCCTCTGCCCAGCCGCCACCCCGTCTGGGAGGTGTACCCAACAGCTCATTGAGAAGGGGCCATGATGACAATGGCGGTTTTGTCTAATAGAAAAGGGGAAAATGTGGGGAAAAGAAAGAGAGATCAGATTGTTATTGTTTCTGTGTAGAAAGAAGTAGACATAGGAGACTCCATTTTGTTCTGTACTAGGAAAAATTCTTCTGCCTTGGGCTGCTGTTAATCTATAACCTTACCCCCAACTCCGTGCTCTCTGAAACATGTGCTGTGTCCACTAAGGGTTAAATGGATTAAGGGCGGTGCAAGTTGTGCTTTGTTAAACAGATGCTTGAATGCAGCATACTCCTTAAGAGTCATCACCACTCCCTAATCTCAACTACCCAGGGACACAAACACTGCGGAAGGCAGCAGGGCCCTCTGCCTAGGAAAACCAGAGACCTTTGTTCACATGTTTATCTGCTGACCTCCCCTCCACTATTGTCCTGTGACCCTGCCAAATCCCCCTCTCCGAGAAACACCCAAGAATGACCAATAGATACTAAAAAATAAATAAATAAATAAATAAAATCAAAAAGAGAGGCAGAAAAGTATAATAGTATTAGTACTCTTTCAGATGTAAAGTTAAATTTAAACTAGTTTTTCGACAAAATAGAATTGGAATGATAAATACATTTTAAAAAGGCATGTATTTTATTATTTAACTGAAAATTCTGGGGTATAACTGGATCCAGGTGCTTGTAAGATGTCATTCACAGCTCAGTTTCTCCATCTATCAGGCAGGTTTTCATTAAGTAGTGGGCAAGTAGCTGATTAAAACTCAAGATATATACATATATTTATATATTATGTATTATATATATATTTATATATTATGTATTATATATATATATACTAACAGCTTTGCAACATTAGAAATAAAAGTCAGTCTTATAAAAGAAAGATTTTCTCAATAGCTTAAAAAAAATAAGCCTCCCTAGACTCATGAATCTAGACCTGAAGCACATTGCAGAAAATGCATGCTTTAGAAGAATGGAGGCTTTGTTACCAGCAGAAAAATAAAACAATAATAATAATAAAAACCACTGCCACTCTAGCAGCTCGAGTTCAATATAAACTTAGGCCCTGAGTGTATTCCCCTGGACCACAAAAGGGATTTTTTTTAACTGCTTAAAGGAGGGGGTCAGGTGCAACAAAGTGTATCTGAATACTGAAAGAGTTACAAGTGTTGTGGGATAGGGAATGGTATCCCAAAAACGTAAATCAAGTGGCCAAGAATGTGTTTTAATACTATTAATAGCCCTGGGCTTTGTAGTAAATCTTTGCAGGGTGAGAGTTTGAGTTTTTTAAAAATATATACATGACTTTCTCGTTATAACCAAAATCATTCACTGTAATTTAATTTTTAGTGGCTCTGGATTATAAGTGGTAGGGCTTGCAAATTAATTGATTATATTTCATGGTCTTTGGGGAATAAATTTTCAATTATTAGTGGACAATATTGTCTACTCTTTCATATAATTGCATTCCACCAAGAATGCAAAATAAAGATTCTTATTAAAGTCTAATGAGATAAACTGAAAATTGTCCATAATCAATCACCAGGGTACCAGGATTTTTAGAACCTGATTAAAATGAAAATACCAAACTTAAATATATTGAGGAACAAAAAGTTGATATTTCTATTTTAATTAAAACTAAAATTGGCCAGGCATGGTGGCTCATGCCTGTAATCCCAGCACTTTGGGAGGCCGAGACAGGGGGATCACCTGAGGTCAGGAGTTCGAGATCAGCCTGGCCAATGTGGTGAAACCCCTGTCTGCACTAAAAATACAAAAATTAGCCAGGCATGATGGCAGGTGCCTGTAATCCCAGCTACTCGGGAGGCTGAGGCAGGAGAACCGCTTAAACCTGGGAGGCAGAGGTTGCAGTGAGACAAGATCGCGCCATTGCATTCCAGCCTGAGCAACAGAGCTAGACACCATCTCAAAAAAATCTCAAAAAAAAAAAAAAAGCTAAAATTATTCCAGCACTCTAAAATAAGTCTTTTGAGATCTTCTACATTACTCTAATAGAGATATGTGACCCCTTGTAATCCACTGAAATTTTTATTCTTTATTATTTTTATGTGAAATGAGAATTAAAAGAGTACTCAACAGTCATAAAACTACTTTGCAAATACAAACCAATAAATTAAGTACTATTTTTAAAAGTTATATTTTCAAGTCAGGTTTTAGTTTTAAAAATACTTGTTTAATCCACCTATGAGAAGCTTCAAACTCATAATCTTTACTTCAAAGTTTATTAAATTCCTACTTTCTAATACATGAATTAATTCAAACCAATACATACATGTTTAATGTTGATTTGTAACATAAGCATCTATTAATAACTGCTTGATTTCAAACACCTAAAATTCTAGAACCTTAAAATGAAATTATTTTTTGTATTGGTTTACACTGTCCACGAGAGAAAAGAAGAATAAAATATCTTAATTATTGTAGAGATTATAAATATGCCTTCAATATAATGGCCAAATGTTATTTTTCTATAGTGCTCTAGAATATGCCTATAATTCACTTTTGCTTTCCTTTCAGCTTTATTAAGGTACAACTGACAAATAAAATTGTATATATTTAAGGTATACGGTATACAGTGTGATGTTTTACTATACATATACATTGTGAAATGATTACCAAAATCATGCTAAATAACATCTACATCATTTCACGTGGTTTTTGACGTGTGTATATATGAGTGGTAAGAATACTTAAAATCTATTTTATTAGCAAATTTCAAGTCCACTTTCTTTTTAATTAAAATGTTATTTCATTCTCCTTTGCACATTCCCATTAGTCATGTTTATACATTCTCCTCCAAGTTTAGCTTTGTAGCATTTAGAAAATCCAAAGTCAAATTAAAAGCACTGAAAAAAGCTTCAATTTTAAGAATACATAATACATATTGTTATCACACCATGTCACTTGTCCATCAGAATTAATTATCTCTGAAGCAATAAAATGAGGTGTTGCTGACTTCTTCTGAAGAATCAGGTCTGTAAGCAAGAGACATATGCTAACCAGAGAGCTCTTTTCTCTTTATTTTTCTAAAATTTGTAGTCCAACTGATTACTTCTCCTAAGTGAGCATCAAAACTGCATGGCAGCCAGGTGCAGTGGCTCACGCCTGTAATGCCAGTAGTTTTGGAGGCTGAGGCAGGACAATCGCTTGAGGTCAGGATTTCAAAACCAGCATGGGCAACAAGTGAGACCCCTATTTCTACAAAAAAATAAAAAATATTAGCTGTATATGGTGGTACAATCCTGTAGTCCTAGCTACTTGGATGCTGAGGCTATAGGACCCCATGAGTACAGAAGTTCAAGGCTACAGTGAGCTATGAATGACCCACTACACTCCAGCCTGGGCAACAGAGTGAGACTCTGTCTCTAGGAAAATAAAAACAAAAACTGCATGGCTTATGGGTACAATTAAAACTAATTTCAAATAAACAATTTCTTGACTACCCAGAAGGTTTTAGTAGAGTGAAGGACACTCAATATCTGGTAGTGAGGATCAAATGAGTGAGATCTTGCAAAGACTATCAGGAAGAAATGGCTATAGAAGCTTTCTTTTCTTTTAGTTTTTCATCTTTTTCTCAAATGAATCACAAACATTTCAGTGTTGATAGCAAAGAACCAAGCAAATGATCCAATAATCCAATATCACTTTCAGTGTTTTGTTACCAAAAATAAGGCTAAGCATAGAATGTATAATAATAATATAGTAAATTGTATGGTCAGTGGAACACCTAATAAAAATTCCTTCATGAAAAATCTAACGTGGCTGTGTTAGGCAGAATAATGGCCCCTTAAAGATATTCCAACGATTTGACATTCAACCTGCAGTTGCTGGCTTTCGAGAGGAAAGAAAGGAAGCATGAATCAAGGAATATGGGCAACCTCCTGTAACGGCAAAGAGCAAGGAAATGGATTGTCTCCTAGAGCCTCCAGAAGCAACACAGTCATGCTGACACCTTGATTTTAGTCCAGTGAAACCCATTTTGAACTTCTGACCTCCAGGTCTGTAAGATAATAAATTTGTGATGCTTTCAGCCACAAGTTTGTGGTAATTTTTAATGGCAGCAATAGGAAGCTAACACAATGCTCAAGCACCATAAACAAGAATGAAATGTTGAGGAAGAAAGTGGATGTGTGAAAACTCAATTGGGCTGTAAGATAAAAAATTAACGACAAAAATATGACTTATTGTCCTATGAGATATTTGAGACTTGATTAATCATCTAACTCAGCAGTTTTGTCCTAATGTTTATTAAATTGACATCACACACATACTCACACACCCTACCCTTTACAAAGCTTTTTGAACAAGATTTAGCATCTCTCTCCTTCATTAATGAGTTGAATAAAATTCTTTATGTGTCCATTTTATACTTACGTCAGAGTTATGTTTTTACCTTTTGAAAAGTATCATTTAACAGAAGAAAAGCCAGCAAAGAAGTCTTAGGAAAAACAAGTATAAAAATAATAAGAAGCCCAGGAGAGAATGCTATCTGGAAGCCAGAAAACAAGAATTGCAAGAAGTGTTAAGAGTGGGAATGTGCAAATATGACAAGCAGGCTGAAGATTCAGATGAGTGACTGGAAGATGGCTAGTTGGAAGAGGGACAAATAAGTCTATAAACTTTAAAACAAACAAATAAAAAAGTAAATCAGTAAGCGATAAGAAAAAAGAGACAGTAGGACCATTGCTTTTTAAAAGAATCTAGGTAACAAGAGAAAGAAACACAGTGTAGCTAGTAAAGAAAAGCAGTCATATGAGAAAGTATCTGTTTAGGGTGAGGAAGTTTTGACGAAAAACGAGCTAGCAAAAAAGATAAGGGTTCAAAAATACATGCAATGTGGCAGAGGCGAGGGGGTGGGGTGGGGACACGTATTGAAAAAATGTCCTGAGGACGTGGCTTCAAACACTGCTAATTCTCCCTAGTGAAGGAGAATGGAAATTTCTCTGCAGCAGGGAAGAAAGAAGACAAAAAAAAAAAAAATGTGTAGAATGACTTCACACCCAGTGGAAATTGTTTTCTTAATGGCTTCAGAGGCAAGGAGATTTTACTTAGGTTTGTGGTAATAAAAGGGCTCAAGTTGGAAATGGGTGAGATTTTTAATAGCAATTATAGGAAATGTAAGGAAGGTTGAGTAAAATAACCACCAAGCATTGCTGGAAAAAGCTGGGGCTGGAAATCTGTACTAGAACCAGGCCAACGCAGATATCCTCCTCGCATTCTTAAGTGTCTTTTCAAAACCTCCTAAGCACACAGTGTTCTTCGGCACTTCTTTATTTCAAATATTTATTCCAGATTTGATCTTTACTCTCTTTAGATTTTAGCGTTTTTAAAGGCAAAATTATTGCTAAAATACTCTTTCCTTGACGGATCATGGGAATCCCTCCCTTCTCCCTCAATCCGATTAAACTGGAAAACTCAGGTCAGATAAATGGCCTGGGAAGTACCAGATGCATCTTTGTCAGAGAAGTACGAAAAACACACTCTACCCCAACAGAATTTTATACAAGAAGTCCAGAATTATAAAACTATTTCCTGTGGTTATAAATTCTGATTAACCACCAATATGATACACTATAACAATTTCACTCCCACAGGCAGCCTCTAAAGTTCATTAGCAAATAGTAGACAGAGCTCCAGTCCTGGAGAATCTTTAGGTTCAATCTCCTTTTCCATCACCATGGGCTGTGGCACAAACTCACAATGCAGTTTAATTCTGTGATCGGGTATGTGCCATCATCACAGCAATTGTCTGGCCAAATATTAAGAAAATGTTAGAGAACATATTTATAATTATAAACATAATGTATATGGATTTAAGTATACCAAAACATATAAAGTACTTTTATTACACCTTTCTTTTCCTCTTAACTTCTAAAATACATACATATATATATATGTGTGTGGATTTTGAAAAAGTTATAAAATGAATCCCCCATATATATATGTGTATCTATATATATATCCATATATATGTGTATATCTATATCTATATCTATATCTATATCTATATCTATATCTATATCTATATATGCTTTCTCATGCAGTAATATGGAACTCACATGCCTACTTCTAGTCTATGATGTTTCCATGGTATTTTTTCAGCTGTCATGTGATTCATCCCTGAAAATCGTTAGCATCTGAAACTACTTACTGTCCACAGAATTTTTCAGTATGACTTCAGAATATTGAGTTACATTTTAAGATAAATAAACCTATCTGTGGATCTCTTCTACACAAAACCTATCACCATAGTTCAGAATTTTAAAAGATTCTACTTGGACATGGACAACAAGTGGGCAGAAAAGGCATTCCAGAAAGTTCAAATATGAAAAATTAGCATGGAGGGTTTGAAAATTTTGTATTATTTAATGCTTTCAAATACTGAATTCTTATGCAAATGGCTAAACGTTCTTAAATGCTAACTTAATGTACAAAAATGTAAATAACACTCCTGTTTATAACTTCAGATTTCATTCTTTGAAAATATATTTATTTTATTTTAAATTACTACTCCAAACAAAACTAGTCCAAATAAAAACTTATTGATAATAATTATTTAAGTATAAAGAAATCCAACATTTGGAAATCTGAAATCTTAGCCCATTTCTCCAGCTATAAGTCTCTAAATGACAGAGAAAGTATGCACTTACACATTTTAGAGGACACGAATCAAGTTCACAAATATCACTGAGTCTTTGGCTCAAACTTCTTTGCTATCTTCCCCCTGCCAAACTAGAACTAACATAACAGTTTGGAAGGAACACTCCACGTTCTTTATGTGTTACAACAATCGTTAAAAGTATTTCCTGTGAGTCAGATCCTGTTCTAAGCCCTTTTCATGCTCTGAGTAATCTAATTTTCAAAACCTTAAGAGGCCCATTTCACAGATGATTAAAGCTAAAGTTCAGAGAAGTACAGTAATTTGCCCAAGGCCACTTAGCTGGTATGATGAAGCTAGGATTTGGATCTGGGCAGTTTAATTCCAGAAGACTGCACTCTTAATCTTTGTACCCTACTGTTCCTCTCATGGTAATAAAGAAGTCTAAGGGTGGGGAAAGGAGGAACACAAAGAAATTCAAAAGGAAGAAGAGTCAATACTGCATTCCATAAAGAAGGTGATGCTTACCACTCATGGCTCCTTTCTCTGAAAGCCCTGTTCTCTACCACCAGGGCCCAACTATAGCATATCAGAGCTACTACTCTTTGGGAATAGAGCGGGGAATTGAAGGAGGAGATGGTCCATTACTCTATCTATAAAATGTAATTAAATCCAACACTCCATTGTGTTTTCTCCAGCTACCCAAAATGTGTTTAGAATACTAGCTCTTTGGCCATCTAGAACTGGCTACTTCAAGGAATAAAACTAGCAGAAGTTCAAAATAGTTTTCTTTTCTATTTACCACTGTTTCTATGAACCTACACAAGACCAAAAGTTGAGAAGTTCACATTCTCAAAGACATTTCTAAATATTCTTTTGATCTTGTTCTTAGAAGCCTCTAAAATCAGTGCTTGGCAGAGCCACATTGGAGCATGTGGCAAAATGAAAAATCAGAAATACTGATTTTGTGTTTAATTTTTTTGATATTTTGTTTGTCAGGGCTTTTTTCTCATTAATTTTTATTTTTTAAATATTGCATGAAAATATTATTTGTCTTGTTTACCGCGGTCGGTGGCGGGGGGGGTACTTATTGAGCAGTGTGTTTTTATTTATTTGTTTTTGGTGCCACCTTAAATTTTGTGCCCTAGTGATACAGAAGGGCTGGGCTCTCAGCTAAACTCCACCCTTAAGCCTGGAACCAAGGCTCTAAGTGAAAACAGCCGGCCACATTTTTCCGCCCAAATGTTGCCTTTTTGGCCTGCCCCGTCCCTATCCTGTGCCCATAAAAGACTTCATCTGGCAGAACAACACAAGTGGCTGAGCGTTGAAGATACAAGCGGCTGAGCAGCGAGCAGAGAGAAGCAACTGAGTATTGGAGACTACAGACAGACATAGCTAACTTAAGATGGTGCCGCTTCAGAGAGGGGCCCCGCCCCAGACAGCCAGGCTTCAGGGAAAGATCAACTTTCCATCCGCTTTCCAGCCTCCCTTTCCGTTGAGAGCCACCCACCACTCAATAGAGTCTTCCGCATTCATCACCTTTGAACCAGTTCGTATGACTTAATTCTTCCTGATGCAGAACAAGAACCCAGGTGCCGAAAGAACCCTGCCACCCTGACCCTCCACTGAGCTGGCTGGCACTTGGCTGTCCCTGGACAGCAGAGCTGAAAGAGCATTGGTTTTAACACGCTTGGATGCTGCTGCGGGGCCTGCAAAGAGCCTGCTCCCACCAAAGAGGAGTGACTGGCAGCTTCCAGCATTAGTTCGCTACAGTTCCTGCGCTGGCTCACTGGCATGCGCCGCGCTGCAAGGAGTGGCCAGCAGCGAGATGAGTGAAAAGAGCCACTTCAGTTCCTGCCTGCGAAGGGGGTCAAGGAAACTATCCCGTCTCACTAAGCTAGTGCCTCACACCTCAATCTAGTCCCAGCTCTCTATTAAAGGTGTGAGATGCTACCTCAAAAAACATGTATTCCATTAGGCTGATGCTAGATTACATCCATGAGTATCAGATAAAAGTAACAAAATATTATTGATAATATAGTGTCACCACATCGTATACACAGACCATACAAAGTCTGACACCTGTCAAAGTCAACACTGGAGTAAAGTTGTAGAAATCAAAGTCTACATACTACATGTCCTATTGCATATTCTCTCAAATAGACATTTAATTTTTTAACAGGAAGATATTCACAACATTCTGACTTAACAATCAATGTGTAATAGGCACTTGCAAAGCTGGCCGTATGCAATTCTTAAAATATTTTGTGTTTTAATTTTTGTCCAATATTTGATATTCGACAAAATTTTGCCCAATATTTGATAAAAATCACTGTATGATTTTTAATTTACAAGAGAAACAGAAGCGATCTAGTACTCTGTGCTAAATAAAATGCATGTATATATTTAAGCTTCTAGTATTTCATTGCATAAGTAATATGTATTCATCACAGGAAATATAGACAGCAAAGATAAAAACAAAAATTATCCCTAAACCTATGATCCCAAAAATTATTCCAGGTCTTTCCCTCTAAGTATATGAAAAAATAAAATTATACAATACTTGTAATTAACATGACTTTTTAAACTTAAAATTTGTTGTGAAAATATTTCTGCATCATTATTTTAAAAAGCTAATAATAAAAATACTTAATATTTTATTATATAAATGTTAAGTACTTTATTTTCCTTTAGATTTTAGTGTTGCTTTCTTGTTATTCAACAACAATTGTGAAAAGATCTTATCTCCACATACTTAAGTCTGTCCTTACTGTAATTCCATAGAAGTAGAACAACTGGATGAAATGGTATAAATATCCTAAAGTTTCTTTATGCAAATAGCAAACTTTCTCTCCAGAGAACTGTACCAATTTGTCAGTAGTGAATGAAATATCCCATTTCCTTTTACTTCAAACAATCATGCCTCTTACTGTTCTTAATGATTTTAAACTGAGAGGCAAAAACCACTGCTTTGCCTTAATTTGCATATTTTGTTAATCTAGAAAACGTTTTTGATTTGTTTATTTGTAGTTCTCCTGTAGTGAGTTATTTACACTTGCTCTATGCTTATTTTTATATTATCATATTCATACTTTTCTTATGAATTGATAAGATTACTATTATCAACATTATTAGTCCTATGTTTGTCGATTATCTTTTTAATTTGAATTATGGTAATTAGGCCATATTAAATTTTAACATGTTTGTATACTCCCATTTATTAACCTTTTTTCTTTGGTATTAGGCCTTAGGAAATTGTTTCTCTGGGTATACAAATATTCACTTATATTTTTTTCCAGTAGATTTGTAAGTTCAGTTTTTCCATATAAATATTTAACTCATCTGGAATTTAGGTTGGTATAAGGTGTGAGGTTGTTCCCAGTTGCTTCCAACACCACTTATTCAATAATCCACTCTTTCCTAACTGGTTTGAAATGTTATCTCTATTATATATTAAATTCCAATACAGTTGACCTGTTTCTGCATTTCTGTTCTGTTTCACATATCTTTCTAGTCTGGCACAATGCTACTGCATATTATTTTTACGGTTTAACAGTACATTTAACAATCTGGTAAGGGCATTGCTCTTCTTTAAAAATAAAAAAAAATTATGGCTATTCATTAACTTATTTTCCAGATAAACTTTAGAATCTTTTGGACAAGTTCTAAAAAAAGTCCCACTGGGATTTTGATTAGAAAAGTGTGAAGTTTATAGGTTAATTTGGAGAAAGTTGACTTCTTCCTCTCCAAAAACATCTTTCTCACCACTTATTCAAAGTTTTTCTATGTCTGTCAGTAAAATCTGGCCATTTTCTTCAAATAGGCCTGCACATTTATTGTTAAATTTATTCATATATATCATATATGTTGTTATTATTCTGAAAGGACTATTTATTATATTCCTAAACTTAAATATTTATGTTGTATATTTTGTAATTAACATATTAAAGTAGAAACAATACAGTTTCCTAGTAGTGCTTGTTTCTCTTCTTGCCCCTGCTGTTTACTGACCCCATAAACTTGGGCAAATTTCTAAATAATTTTGGCCCTTCCTTTAAGAGTGAGGAAGGAAACTAGCCTGCCCATGCAAGGGTACCATGAAGTTCAAATAAGATAAGGTGTTTAATAGCACCCTAAGCTATAAGCCATATAAATAACAGGGTTGTGTATAAAGAAACACCGATTGAGTCTCCACAAAACAAAATGCAAAATCAAGGTTTAAAACATCTGAATAATTGAAATAAACTCTTTTTATTGGGATTATCCAGATGAATGTTTATGCACTCCACTTTTCTCTCTCTCTGTCTCTCTTTCTATATATATGTAACTATATATACACACACAATATTTTAAAATGAACAATCTAAGAACCACAAAATAATGGAAAATAATCTGCTCTACATTTTTTATATTTTCTAGCCATATTGGGCTAAAATCACATAATGAGAACATAAAACCTGGCTGGGCACGGTGGCTCATGCCTGTAATCCCAGCACTTTGGGAGGCCCAGGCAGGCAGATCATTTGAGGTCAGGAATTTGAGACCATCCTGATGAACATGGAGAAACCCTGTCTCTACAGAAAATACGAAAATTATCCTGGCGTGTTGGCACACACCTGTAGTCCCAGCTACTTGGGAGGCTGAAGCAAGAGAATCGCTTGAACCCGGGAAGTGGAGGTTGTGGTGAGCCAAGACTGCGCCACTGCACTCCAGCCTGGGTGACAGACCAAGATTCCATCTTAAAAAAAAAAAAAAAAAAGAGAGAGAGAGATTTAAAAATCTATGAATTCTGCAGCTCTTCCTAATAACCAAAGTTGACATCAAAGATACAAATCTTTTGTTTTTATTTAATTTGAAAATTCATATATTAGCTTGGTTTTTTGTTTAATTTATATTACATATAGGACATATAACGATAAAGGAGAAATGTATCTCATCATTAAAAGTGGCATTTTGTCATATACACAATGCCATGAAAGTTAATTATGTAGTAACTTAAATGGATATGATGAACCATGCTTTGATATATCTATGATGGCTACTCTGATTACATAAGTGGTATAAACATATGACTGTGAATACATACTGTATATACATAAATAAAAATATCTCATAAAGACCCTAAACAACCATATGGTAAGTTTCTAGAACAAACTAAATACTAAAGGATTTTTGGACACATTTCAATGGTGCAAACATGTAGAGGTTGTCGGTTCAAACTAGTTTAAAACTGCCACAAAGTTTATTAGGACTAAGGGCCAATCTATATAAAGGAAATTGGCTCACAAACCTGAAAAATATATAGTTCTGCATTTAATCTTATAAATTGTATCAAATCATAAAGTTTTTTCTATCTGCTTGAAACCAAAATACCTAATATATCTCTCAGTACACATGAAAAAATATTGTATGCATAATATACTTTTGCTCTCATTTCCATTAATAAAAAGAATGTTAAATTCCCTCTTCTTGTTATTCAGGCTTCTTCAATAACAAGAAAGCCACCAATTACACAACAAGGCCATAAAACTAGTATGTATTCTAATTGGCAACCTCACCTTGACTATACAATGTCTGCCATGGCCATACTTTTTAAATAGTAATCAGACTCTTTTATTGGCAATGGTGATTACCATTAATTTTCCAAGGATAGAATGATAAGAGGTTCTTTCCTCTTTACTCTTCAGCACAAAGACAGGCAAGATGGCATTGATTTGTGGAGCTCTAATGACCTGCCATAAAAAAATGAACTATGAGAAAAATAAGGTAAGTTTGAAAAGCAACGGTATCTTCCAAAAATATCTACCTACTGATTTCAATTCCAACACACACTTACTTCAAACAGATTGCTGCTCTAAAGCCTTTCCCATATAAATGTTTAAGACTTACCAAATTAGATTGGAAGGAATATTTGCCCATTTTTTTCAGGTAATTGAATTAACGAGGAAAATTAGTCCAAATCAGGGTAGAATATATTTTATTTATACTTAGTAAACAGAAATATTCCAAACATCCACAGACTTTTCCCTTTCATCTGGCCGTAGAAATATGTACTTATTAGCCATTACTACTCATTGTCCTCTAAATGTATAAGCAATTACAACAGTGATTTCAATAATCTTATATAATTGAATCTATCTTAAAGTACATTCAATTTTTCAGATAAATATAAATTGCGTTCATGTCTTACCACATAACTTTCCACATAAATCAATGTGTTTCTGTCCTGTATAAAATTTTACCAGGATGTCTTCAAAGGAGTCACTAAGCTTGGCATAATAATAAAAGTATATATGATATTCATTGTGGGAATTTCTATTGAAATGTTCTCTGGTCTTAGCTGGGCTGAAAGAATGATTATACTTATTGAATTTTTACTCTAAGAGTTACCAAATTTTAGTGTCTTACGAATCCATTCTTATACATTTAAGTCACCGAAAATTTTTAAGAAAGAAAAGGTAAAATAAAAGCCCCTGCAAGCAGTATGCAATAATACATCTAATTTAAAAGGGATTAATCATTACCAATTTAGCATCAAAAGAATTGTCAAAAAAAAAAAAAAAAGGAGTTCCATATGGGCCATGTCATGAAAGGCTAAAAGAGATGAGCCATTTACCTCCTCCCTTCTCCAACTACAGAGGAAAAGAAGAATAAGTAAATCAATTTGAGTCTCTAAAGAACATGTGGATTTCTTTAAGACTCATGCTTCTCCAAGTAGAATCCACACTATCAGAGTCACTAAGAAACATGGGCAATCATCTATAAACCATGTTTTCACCATAGAGCATTGAAAAAACCACTTTCAAACATGCCCATTCTGGTATCCACATGTGCCTCTCTTTTGGAATTTACAGGACTATTTGATCTACTCCAGCACTGCCTCGGGCCATGGGAAAGCTCTATTCCTCCTTACTTTCTTTCTGCTTTCCTCTTTCCTTCCCCAACAAAGAATATTCTGGGCTAGAGTTAAAACACTTTTTTTTTTTTTTTTTTTTTACATACAAGTGGGCAAGCACAAAAGGGAAAAGACAAAGGAAGGGAGAATTACAGACCCTGGAAATGTGAATGACTAAGTTAAGTGACTAGAGTCAGACATGCCTGGGTTTCAAATACCCTCTGAGTCACTTAGTAGCTGTGTGATGTTGGGTAGATGATTGAATATAGCTGAATCTCAATTGTCTAGTCTACAAAGTGGGTTAGTATAACTACCTGTTATAGTCGCTAAAAGGTTCAGGAGTGACCAATCTTTTGGCCTCCCTAGGCCACACTGGAAAAATTGTCATGGGCCACACATAAAATATATTAACACTAATAATACCTGATGAGCTTAAAAAAAAAAAAGAAAAAGAAAAAAGAAAAAGGTCCATGCATAAATTTCATAATGTTTTAAGAAAATTTACAAATTTGTGTTGGGCCACATTCAAAGCTATACTGGGTCATATACAAAGTCATCTTGTGCTGCATGTGACCCGCAAGCCCCAGGTTGGACAAGCTTGGTTTAGATTATAATAAAATCCCCGAACATAGTAGGTTTTCATAGTAGATTTTAATATTAGTCTACTATGAACAATCTTGTGGAAGGGGTAGTAAAACAGAAGGATAAAGATTTATCTACGTATAACACAAAGCACAGCTATAGCTTAATTGTAATACAAAACAAAATGTTACATAATAAAACTAAACTCACCCATATTATTTGCTTAAGAGTTAAATACAATGTTTGAAGTTCTTAATTTATTATAGTGGGTACACAGTAGAAAGTAGTTATTCTTGTATTTGTAAAACATTTTCATGTCTAGGAAATACAAAATAATCATACTAAAGAATAATAATAGAAGTAAATAATTTAAAATCATTGCTTTATTGATATTTTTTTCATTTTATGCCACAGCTCTTTGCTAATAAAGTCCTTAGAAAACTTTATTTCATGGAAGTTTTAATTCTCTCACGAATTAAACAGGTTGTCTAGATGTGGCAGGTAAAAGTGTTCTGTAATGATTTGTGACCACGGAAAGCTGAGAAAGGGAGAAGAGCAGACAAAGGAGGATTAAAATAGACATGCTGCAATGTTACCGTACTGAATTATAAACAGCCTGAAGCTTCATTATTCTCAATTATAATTGTCATTTTGATTAGTTTGGATTGCTGATAGAAAACTCAACTCAAAGCAACTTAATCAAATAAGTTGCTGAAATAAGTACATTACTGAAAACTCCTGAGACAGATTTCAAATGAGATGAGATAAAGGTTCTAGGTCCATATTGCTGACATTACTCTCTTCTTGCCTTCATATATGAGCTATGTCTTCAGGTTGGTTTCAATCATATTCACAATATGGCTGCCATCAACAATTGGGGTCATGGCTCCTCATTTACATCCAAGAGACACAGAGAAGATGTATTATCTCATAGCAATCTAAAAAAGTCTCGAGGGTTGTATTGATTGTACTAGCACTGTGATAATTCCTATGGCCGAGGGAATTGCAATATACTGGTTGGTTTAAGTCTGTGTTGCTCAAACTAACCCTTAGGGTAAGAAAAATCAAAATTCATCTCTATAGAGTTTGGGATGGGATCAATTGCTACCAAATTACATGTCTGATACACATAAAAGAAATGGCAACAAGAAGTTGGCAATACAACTAGAGTATCTACTATGTGTAATTGCCACAGCTGATATATTTTTGATGAAAACTGTTAATTTTATGATATAACTAAGAAATCATTTATCACATGGTATGTTTCAACTTTTTTTGAGCGTACCAAATCCACGGCTGGCTTTTAACATTAGGCACAAATAAGGGGATATCTTTTACTATGATGACAAAACTGATTTACTATAAACAAGTAATATGAAAAGTATTTGTTTAATTAAATAGCAAAGTCATTGATGATCCTGTTCCAAGGTGTTTCTGGACAGAATTTACACAATAGAAAACAATATCTATCTAGGAAGACAAAATATGTGGCTACGGACTCACCTCAAATGAAAATAGAGAAACCAGCTTTATAGATCTAAAAATTTTAGATCTCAGGGTTAATGTTTTAAAAGAATATAAAGAAACTCATAATTGATTAAATAATAATAATTCAAAGAGAATAAATGAAACACAAGTATCTCTAGGCTAGAAAATTTCATCTTTGTCGTATAAATTTATATAGCTAACAGAATGTTGTGTGAGGAGAAAGGGGAAAGTGGAATAGGTGAAGCACAAATAATGAAACTTTATGTATATCAGTTTTTGGAAAATCATTGAGGAAGTTGGGGGATTCCAGAATGAAAAGAGGGTAGAGGAAAAAGTTGCTGACCTAAAATTTTGGCACCAATGATTGGAGTCTATAAGAGTAAAGGGAATTGCATATAGCACTATGTTCTAATTAATAAAGAATATGGATTATCAATTCAGAAACCACTACATATGTACATTGGAATTAGATAATTAAGTAAAATGGATGGACTATGGTGGGAGCCAGTTTTCTCATTGTTGGAGTGGGATGTTATGAATAATCAAGAGGAAATAACTAGAGTGACCCATGTGGTAATGGATTTCAGTTGGAGACATCAGTGTGGATTGATGTTTAGCTTATTACAGACAAAAGTAGATTACATATAGAACTATGTATAGATATATGTATACATATGATTTAAATATACACCATATCTTTACTTGCTTTGTCCACTGAGAGGGTTTAGAAACAATGACATCTCAGTAGCAACAAGTGCATCTAGTGCTTAGATCTTGGTTTCTAAAATGATTTTCTAAGAAAAAGAACCAGGAATTCCTGGAGAAATGGCTGATTCTTGGAATGTAGAGGAGCTACATCAAATGAACCTGGATGATTGTGCTGTTACAGAAAATAAGAAGGTACTCAAATAAATGTGAAATTATGGTTATGTCAAAGGGACACAAGAGCCAACCAAAAGAGCTCCCAGTGGTCAAAGCTAGAAAAATTTGATCAACAACATAAGTTAAGCAGTACTGAATTGTAACCCAAAGTATTATCAAACTGATATAAATAAATGATTGAGTGAAAAATACATAAGAAAGAATGGACAAAGGAGAAGAATTTCTAAGAATTTATGTAGATACTCTGCTCTCAGTGAGGTGGAGAATAGTTCTCTAGACCTGAAGTGGGGCCTGCACATAATGACTTCCTTCCAAAGAGTCTAGTAAGGAAAGAAAAGAGTACCATTACAGTGGAAAAACCTTAACAACACTACCTCCACCAGGTTATCAAGATTAATAACAATAAGTCATGTTGATAGTATGTACCCTTAATATGATGTAACAAAAATGATACTTTATCTCCATGACCTCTTTCCCAAAATTTATAACTACAGTCTAATGAAGAGGAAAATAAGAGACAGATTCCAATAGAAGGAATCCATAGAGGAATACCTCTCTAATACGCTCTCCCTCAAACTGTCAAGGTCAGGGTAAACAAAGAAGTTTAGGAAACTGCACAGTCAGGAGAAGCCAAGGGTGACATTATGACTAAATGTAACATGGGATGGGATCCTGGCACAGAAAAAGTACATGAGGTAGAAAGTATAGATATCTGAATGAGGTATGAATTGTAATTAATGATAATGTATTAATATTGGTTCACTAATTGTGACAAGTGGACCATAATAATATAAAATGTTAATAATAAGGGCAAATGAGTGTGTGAAATATATATATTCATACACATATATAGTATTTCTGCATTTTTCTATAAATCTAAAACTTTCAAGATTAAAAGTTCACCAATTTTTAAAAAGTGCTAGTGAACTAGGAATAGAACAGAACTTCATTAAGTTTATGAACGCTATCAAGTAAAAGCCTCCATAGCATATATTGGTAAAATGTCAGATTAATTGCATTTAAAACCAGTAATGAGGCAAAAGTGCCCCCTGGTTTAAACCTGCTTCAAGATTGTCCTGAAAGCCCTAGTCAACATACGGCAACAAGATTTTAAAAAATAGATTACATATGATTCACAAAGAAAGAGTAAAAATCTTTATTCTCTAAAAAAAATATACTATTGTTATCAGGAGCCATGTTTAATATTGGAAAAGCCAGTTAAGGATTATATCATAAACAGTAGTTAAAAGAGTCATTTTGATTTAGAGTAGCATAAGCCAGCAAATAATCACTTGAATTACCTGTGTTTCAATTGCACGGGGAAATGAAACTTTTCACATTTAGCAATAATATGTATATTATATACAGATATATAGTGTGTGTATGTGTATATATATTTCACAATATTTCAAAATTAATCAGAGCTGTCAATATTTTCACTCCCCTTAAATGACTAAATTCTATAGTAAGGAAAACTAGTCAGGCAAACCCTGGAAAAGCAAGTCCTCAATTTTATTGTCATTTTAATTACATTTTATTATCAGATAAGTTATTTTCAATAGAATAGTATATTTCAAATTTGACTGAATATTTGAGATAAGAAACATTGTCATAATTATTGTGTATTTAAAATTAACACACAAAAAACACTAACATTTGATTTATCAGTGTTGTTGAAATGTACTTAACAAAAGTAAATTTTCCAGAAATAGAAATGTGCTGCTTCAATCACTGATTATTATATTCTAATCACTTTTGAATTTGTTTCTAAAAGGCGAAAAGTCTTCCATGTTTTATTAATGAAAGTATTTAGCATGATTATTTGTTTCGTTTTTTATTTTTCTTATATTTTCTTTCATTTTTAGCATGACTTAACCTTTTCTTTTATATTCAGGACCTTCAGAGTATCACATTATATATTTTTTCATATATTAAAACTTTTCTACATACAGATTTTTTTTTGCCACCAATTATTCTAAATGACCCCCAGTAGCTATGTTTTTATATTAGTGCTGTTTATATGCTTTCCTTGTGGCAAGTTGTTATTTCATTCAACAACATTCAACAAATAATTATTTTGTGCCCAGAGTTTGCCAGGAATGTTCTATCACTGAGGATACAGCAGTGAATAAAACAGACAAAATCCCTGTTCTTATAAAGCTTAGATCCAGCAATTTCATAGCAGTGTCATAATTTCTATTTCTGCTGATTCTCCTTCTCCTCAACTGCAATATTTTCTACTCATGCAAAATTTATGACTTTTTTAATGTTGATAAGAAAATCAAATTATTAACTCCATTTGATCAGTAACCTTAAACTGATACATAAGAAATTCTAAATCAATGGTCTCTGCATAGCAGAAAACTATGTTTTCTTGAAGATAAATATTGTGTTCACTAATTACTGGGCAGTGTCACTGTGTTTTAGATAGAAAAATAAAATAGAATACTATCAGTAGGCCAATATTAAACCTTAAATTGCCAAGTAGTCAGGAAAATATGAAGCAACCCAGCTTCCAGGTCAAGTAAAATGCTTTTCTAAAATTTATACCTGCAAGACTTCCCATATTCTGCTTTCTCATCTGAGGGCTTCTCCTTACAATTTCATCTGGAAATGTTCTCCTGTTCCTTTAAGATCCAGCACAGCTATCACTTGCTCTGAAATGCCTTTTCTTGCCTCACCAGGCAAATGCACTTGCTCCTTCCTCTGGCCTTCCCTGGACATTGCTATGTACAGTTATTGTAACACATGCCTCACCAGCAGCATTTTATGAATTCCAAGAGAATGGGATGATGTGATATTCATGCTTCTATTATCTGGGCATTAAAAAGTCAAGACATAGAATGAATACGTTTCCTATACCTTTGTGGTAGTAATGCAGCCTGTTGGTGAGGAATATGAGTTCTGAGTGGCTGTGCAGCCTTGCGTAAGCCCTTAATATTACTTTACCTCAGTCTTAGATTCTGTAAAGCTGAGGTTCCAACCTCAAGGAGTATTCTAATGGAAATGATTGATCTAACATATCTAATAGTGCTTGGGAAACCTTATAAATTTATGAACAACATATATAAGCTATACAATCTTATCAAGTCTTATAAACAAACATTCTATTTATATCATGTTCAAATATTTTGTGGATGTGTTTAAATTAGAAGCATCTGTTTTGACAGGGAGAATTGGGAAATGACATTCTTTCTCTTCCAAATTTACTCACTTAACAGGTAAGATTTACATTCACTCTAAGGCAAATATATTAAGAAAGATAAATTTCAAAAAATTCCCCACCTTCAGATCATATCTTATTTACTAGAGTGAAGCGAATAACTTAGGACATTTACCCCTATATAAAATAAAACACAAAGAATTAATGTAAACATGTTTTTGTTATCAGAAAACTGATACATCTCTAGACATCATTTTGCTTATGAAAGACCTAATGAAGAGGCAAGCCCTTCAATACAGTCGATCATGTTGGCTAATTGAGCAAATTTTAAAAACCAAAGACTTTTAGTCATGAAATTAATGCTTAAATATTGGGTATGGAGGCTTCGATATTCTTGTACCAAAACTTCTCTACAAATACTGTGTAACTGTGTTGCTGAAGTGTTGAAAGCTCTTCATTTTAAAATCATAAATTATAAAAGCTTTTAATTTATTGTTGAATTCAGTGTGCCAGCTAAATTTATCATAAACTCTCAAAAACATGAAATAATGGTTTGCAGTTGCACCTTCCCAGATAATGAAGTGGATTTTACGGCAAGAACCAGAAGTTGATATCCCATCCATCCTGATCAGGCTGAATCAGCCAGGGATGAGCAAAGGTTGTCTGGAACTCAGCTTTTAAAACAATGTGTCAATATAATAATTTCTTCCATCATGATGTTTCATATCAGAATAAAAACCTGATTTCCAAAGAATAATTGATCCTAGCATTGCAAGGTGCAAGTCAGCCAAAACTTATCTGATCTTTTTAATACAAAAATCACTATATATCAAGAACTCAAGTCCAGTTGTATGGGGCTTTAAAATAATGTGCAAAACATGCTGTAGCAGTTGTTTTATGGTCTTATCCTCTGATTGGCTGGCTGAGAATTTGGAACTCCCTCATCATGTTTATCTGCTCCTAGTATCCCATTGGGAGCTCAATAATCTGGAGCTCTCTGCAACTTGCCAGCCAATTAGCTCTCAGGGAGATTCACGCATTCGATGAAATTTGTGTAGAGAAAACCCTAGCTCCACATCTCCCTCCTCAAAATACCCAGGAGTGTCAATACTTTTCAACAATTGCCTTTTTCTCAATAGGCAGTTCGGGCAAACACATGTAGGAACACCAATGATGAACAAGCATTGCCCTTCTGGGGTGGAGAGACTCGAGGATGGGTATGGGGCTCTCATGAACAGCCAAGGTGGCAGCTTCACTACTCAGTTGCAGGAACATTTAAAGAATATTGGAAGAAGACAGAAAAAACCATCTTAGAATAAGTAACAAATGAAGAATGAAAGATTAACCAAGTTGTTTCTCCAATATTAAAATAAATTATCATTTACAATTAATACTTACATTGCCTTTACAGTTTCATTTTTCCCCCTGAACAATAGAACTATTGCGGCATAAAAACCCCACTTGAATCCAACTTTTTTCTCTTTTCATTAATTTGGCAACAGCTGAAAAACCACCTTTATTTTCCACACTGTACCAGAGTATGTGTTGTATGTACAAATTAACCATTTCAAATTATTTTAAGCTGACAGAATAAATTCTGAACCCTAATATAAAGAGTAGTTTTAAATGCTATTAGCATTCAAATGTATATCACATGTTATTTATGAATCAAGAACACATCTTTTCTATGTTGTAATCTGTATTTTTAAAATAACATTTTTCAAGTTTTTCCTATTGCTACAATATTCCTAATAAAATAAACTGGATAATTTCCCTCCTGGGGCTTAGGTTATTATAGTAAATTTATCAAGTGAAAATACTTCTGAAAACACACTTATAATATAACAAAGAGATATACATATAAAATAGGGCATTTGAATTACATTAAAAAACAAACAGGATAACTCTAGTCTAGAAATTATTTTTGTAAGGGGAATCATGGACTTCTTGAAAACCTCAGAAAGGTGCAGACAAGAGTTTTGATTGTCTTGGACATTTGCTGTACACTCTCCAAAATGTACTTAGATAGCATCACCACCCAGTTGTATTTACATATCATTGTAAATCTTATTTTTCCCATTACTCAGAAAAAAACTGGAATATTTATGAACACACAGCATGCCATTTGAAATTTTAAAAATACAGTATGTACACATTCACAATGATCCATCCACTAGAGAAATGATTTCAAATTGTCAAATATCTATGGAGTCTCCCATATGTGTGAAGCACAGTACAAGTCATCGCCTTCTGTGGAGCTTATCTGGCACTAGCTGGTTTTGGTGGTTCAGTCAAATCATCCAAGGCATTTGGTTTGGCACTATAAGAAAATCCTTATATCAAGGCTTATCAATGAAACAAATACATCACGAGGAGGGAGTTTTAAAATACATATGCTAAATATAGCACGATATACTTTCCCTAAAGCAGCAGTCAAGAAAAACTTTCAACTTAATGCATATTATTAAGTCAACCAGACTTGAATATATATATATACACACATATATATACATACATATATACATATATGCTTATATACATATATACACACATATATACATATATACACGTATATATGTACATATATATATATATATATATATATATTTTTTTTTTTTTTTTTTTTTTTTTTTTTTTGAGGCAGGGTATCACTCTGTCACCCAGATGGGATCAAGCTATGCCCATGATCGAGCTACTGCAGGATCATGGCTCACCGCAGCCCCAACCTCTCAGACTCAAGCAATTTTCCCACCTCAGCCCCTGGAGTAGCTGGGACTACAGGTACACACCACCAGCTCTGGCTATTTTTTTATTTTTTGTAGAGGTGAGGGTCTCACTATGTTATCCGAGCTGGCCTTGAACTCCTGTACTCAACTGATTCTCATGCCTCAGCCTCCTGAAATGCTGGGATTAGAGGAGTGAGCAACCACACCTGGATAAATATAAGATTTGTATTTGTATCATTTTGATTTGGGACTATACTGCAATAATAATTTTTTTCTTAATTTATTTCCTTCATCAAATGTGAAAATCCAACTTAATTGATTAGCTTTGCAGTTAGAGGCTAGAAAATGCATGCTCCAGTTGTACTGGGATTGAGGCAAGGAAGTGAAAATGAGCACTTTCTCAGAAGATCAGCTGCAGAGTACTATGATTACAGATAAATGTTGTTCAGACTAACTGACTCACCTCTAAAGTATGGCTAAGAGACACTTCAAATGCTCCCTTTCTAATAGATAGCTCAATCTTGTTCATAGCAAGAGCAAATACGAAAGGTCATCATCAGTTTTTTGCAAAACTCAACATGCTCTTAACCATATGATGCAACAATTGCACTCCCTGTTATTTACCGAAAGGAGCAGGAAATTTATGCCTATACTAAAACCTACACATGGATGTTTATAGCAGTTTCATTCATAACTGCCAAACCCTGGACTCAACCAAGATGTTATTCAGTAGGTGAATGAATAAATAAACTGTGGTACATCCAGAAAATTGAATATTGTTTAGTGCTAAAAAAAAATGAGCTCTCAAGCCATAAAAATACATGAGGAAACTCAAATGTATATTACTATATGAAAGAAATCAATCTCAAAGGCTACATACTGTATGATTCCAACTATATGACATTCTTGAAAAGGCAAAATTACTGGGACAATAAAAAGATCAGTGGTTGCCAGGGCGGAGGGAGGGAGGAATAGGTGGAACATAGATTATTTTGAAGTCAATAAAACTACCTGTATGATACCATAATGGTAGATATGTTGTTATACATTTGTTCAAATCCATAGAATGTACAACATCATAATTTAAACTATGGACTCTGGGTGATAAGAATGTGTCAATGCAGGTTCATCTATTGATAACTGATAATGGGGGAGGCTATGCATGTCACAGGGAGGGGATATCTGGGAAATCTCTGTACCTTCCTCTCAATTTTGTTGTGAGCCTAAAACTACTATTTAAAAAATAAAGCTTATTGAAAAAAATAAAGTATTAATAGTTTTTAATAGTAATTTAAAACATTTTTCTAAGTAATAATGTAGTAAACTACTTAAATAGAACAGATGAAGTCCATGGAATCATTCAGGTTTAGAGATCCTGGTTTTTCGTTTAGAGCTTCCATTTTGCATCCTTGCTGTTGTTCTTATTTTAATGATGAAATATCATTATTAGTAATAATAATATTGATTTGTATAATATTTCACAATTTTCAAAGTGATCCTAGAAAGAGTATTCTATCAGAATAAGAAAATAAATTTGGACATATTAAAGTGCATTAATTTTATAAATGTATAAATTTTTATGATAGGAACTCACATATCTTGAGCTCTCTGAGTTAATTCAGTTGAATAATAGTAAAAGAGGGAAAAGCTTGAGAAAAACTTACGTCTACATATTCTAATATTGTTGTGTTCTACTGCTCTTATTTTACTTTTTGTATATAAGATGTAAAACATAGTGTTTTGATACACATATATGTATAATAAAATGATTACTACAACCCAGCAAATTAATATCTCTATCATCTCACATAATTACTTTTTTAAATTGTAAGAGCACCTGAAATCTATTCTCTTAGCAAATTTTCAGTATACATTATTATTAACTGTAGTCATCATGTTGTATATTAGACCTCTAGACATGCTATTTAACTGCATTTTTTACCCCTTGACCAACATCTCTCCATTTTCTCCATCTCCCAGCTATGGATAACCACCATTCTACTCTTTGTTCGTAGGTATTTGACTTTTTTAGATTTTACATATAATTAAGATCACGTACTATATATATTTCTGTGCCTGGTTTATTTCATGAAGCGTAATGTCCTCCAGGTTTATTTATATTGTTGCAAATGACAGAATCTTTCTCTTTTTTAGATCTGAATGATAGTCCATTGTATATATACATCTATCATTTCTTTATCCATTCATCCATTTATGAACACCTAGGTGTTTCCATAGCTGGCTATTGTGAATAATGCTGAAATAAACAGGTGTGCAGGCATCTATTCTAGGTGCATACACTTAGAAGAGACATTGCTGATCATATGGTAGTTCTATTTTTAATTTTTTGAGGAACCACCGTATCGTTTTCCATAATGGGTCTATCAATTACATTCCTACCAACAATGTATAAATAGTTCCCTTTTCTCCACACCCTATTCAACACTTACCTCCTGTCTTTTTGATAATAGCCAAGTGTGAGGTGATAACTCATTGTGGTTTTAATATGCATTTCTCTGATGATTAGTGATGTTGAGCACTGTTTCATATACCTGTTGGCCATTTGTATGTCTTCTATGGAAAAATGTCTGTTCAAATATTTTGCCAATTTTTTAATAGGGTAATTTGTTTGTGTGTGTGTGTTTTTTTTGTTATGGTTTTCACTTTTTGCTATTGAGTCGAATTGCTTATATATTACAAGTATTAACACTATCAGATATATGGCTTGCAAATATTTTCTCTCCATACATAGATTGCCTTTTTATTTCATTAATTGCTTCCTTTGCTGTGCAGAAGATTCTGATGAATGCAGTTAATCCTTGAACAAGGGGGAAGTTAGGGATGCTGCCCCATATACAACCAAATGTCTGCATATAACTTTTGACTCCCTCAAAACTTACCCATTAGTAGCCTTCTGTTGACTAGAAGCCTTACTGACAACACAGTCAATTAACACATATTTTGTATGTTATATACATTATATACTATAGATTTACAAGAAAGTAAGCTGGAGAAAAAGTTATTGGGAAAATCATATGGAAGATAAAATTATAGTACTATACTGTATTTATTGATACTGTAACTTTATGTCTTCTGATTACAAGACAAATTGTCTGCCTGAAATAGCTGGTAACCATAGCCACAGACTTCAATCTGTGGTAGGTATCAAGCAACTCAACTTTTTTGTAGTGTTATGAGTTCGCTCTGCTTCTTGGGAGAACTTCCAACATCACGAGGGGCACTTCACATGAATCTCATGGTGTTATTCAAGTTTATTGCATTAAACATGATGAAGACTATATGAGAACCTCGAAATCATTTTTTCCTGTGACACAAAATTTGCTAGAGAGATGAACTGTTCATGCAGACTCACAGTGTGTTAAATGGATATTTGCAACACCTGAGCTCAGCACACTAGTAACAGGTACAACAACAGTAGTACAGTACGTACTACAGTGAATTTTATGTGATTATGATTTAATATTTTGTTTTTGTTTGTTTCCATTTCTCTCCACTGTGAATGGTGTCATGTACAGTGCATACGTTCTGATACATTTTAACTTGTTAAAGTAGATTTGTGTATATTTATAGTACTAGATGATAAAATAGACTAGTATCTACCTATATTTTATGCATTCATGACACACCTAATTTTCTTTGAATTTTTTTATATTTCTGGCCTATGTGGTTTGTTGGTAAGTTTCTTATTATTGTTGCAAATATTCAAAAAATTCTAATATTTATTGAAAAAATGCGTATATATGCAGACCTGTGAAGTTCAAACTCATGTTGTTCAAGGGTCAGCTGCATATACGGTGAAAGTAACCTTGATCAGAAATATCAAAGTCATGAATTAAAGATTACAACTTTGGAATTTGTGAGTATAATTTAGGCCAGAATTTTCCTACGTATTTAGTTTTTACTCTACATTACTAGTAAATTACATTACTAGTAAATGGTTTCAACAAAATCTTCCAGTTGGTGGACGGCAGAAAATATGATGAAATAAAGAGTACAAGGAATTTCCAATTCTACTGGTTCTAAGAATTCAATTTTGTGCCTACCAAAGAATACTTGCAGATGTATATAAGGGTACTTTTTTGGAAAAGATGAGTTTCAGAGCAATATTACAAAATTTCAGTTGTAAATTAGAGTTCATGCAGGAAATTATTGACTTTTTCCCTCCAAAGTCTCAGTATATTATTAATCTAGCAACCATAGAAAATACAATCCCTAAAGTTGGCTGTATAACATAAAAGAAAACCTAAGGAATTAAATATCAATAAAATAGCTTTTATGTCTTTACTCTGTATTTTGCAATAGTAGCACATACAACATATTTATTAAATTTGTGATATTTCACTCAAAGAAAAATGTATAGTAAGCACTATTTATGTACCATATACTGCCCTAAACACTAAGACAATGTTAATAAAAAGAAAAACATCAACAGTACATAACAATTATCCAAAGGCTGTTATCTGTCATGTACTGCTTAAAACCATTTATGTAGATTATATTACACAGTTTTCGTTAGAGCTCTTGCAGTTAATCTCTTGAGCTTCACTTTAAGTGAAGAACATGAGCCATCAAAAAGATACACAATTTGCTGGAGATAATTTACAAGTGATGAAGTCAAAGTAAAAATTAAAATCTTACACTAAAGTATTCTTTCTTATCCTATTCATTGCTACTTTAGGAAAATAAGATGATGTATATCTTGACAACACCCTTACAAAGAAGAATTAACAAAGAAAAATAATAAAATGTGTTAAGTGCTGCTAGATAGATTTAAACAAATTGTCTTGTGAGTGCCTAGGAAGTTGCAAAGTTATAAAAGGCTTCACAAAGGAGCCATTTTTTTTTTAAATTTGAGACAGTGTCTTACTTGTTATCCAGGCTAGAGTGCAGTGGTGCGATCTCGGCTCACTACAGCCTCCGCCTCCTGGGTTCAAGTGATTCTCCTGCCTCAGCCTCCTGAGTAGCTGGGATTACAGGCACACCCCACCATACCCGGCTAATTTTTGTATTTTTTTTTAATAGAGATGACGTTCCCATGTTGGCCAGGCTGGTCACAAACTTGGGAAGCCAATTCTTGAAGCAAGTTTTGAAAGATGTATCAAGTATACCAAAGAAACATGATGTACATTCCATGATTTGAATATATAAGGAGGAATGAAAGAGCATTAATGGTAAATAGACAGTAGGTTATAAAATGTTATTACAAGTTCAAGCAGATGTGTCTTAATACCCAAGTAGTCTTTTGTTAAAAAAATTATGAAGAAATTTGTATAAATCATATTCATTTATTCTATCCGGAACTCACTTCCTGGATAAAAACTTGAAATGTAACACAACTATACTGTACTTTTTAAACATAGACATTTTCTCACTTTATTTCACAACAACTTTTTGGCATGTAAATTACTATTAAATCATTTTACAGATGATAAAAATGAAGATTTGAAAATTCGCCACTTTCCCAAGACCACAGAGCTTGCAGCTTGACTGTCACCACTATGCCAGGAAGCACAAGAACACGTGTCTAAGTCAATGCAAAGTTTGGGGTTCATAGTCCTCCCACTAAGTCTAAAAGCAAATCAGAGGAATTCTCTATCCCCATCTGAGCAGTCTTGTGGTTCATGGGTCAGCAAGCTATAAGCCAAGGGCCAAATCCACCCAGCAGCTGTTTTAGTAAATAAAGATTTTTTAGAACACAGCCATCCTCACTCTTTCACATAAGGCCTATGGCTGCTTTTACACTACAAAAGCAGAGTTAAGTAGTTGCAACACACACTGTCTGGCTCACAAATTCTAAAATACTACCTGGCTCTTTGCAGAAAATATTAACCCACTTCTAAATTGGTTGATTGACAAATACAGAGAAGTGGTCCAATAAAAGTGCTTTGGAAGAAGACACGAGGGCATCTTTTGCCATGTAACACTTACAAACAGAAAGCATGACAGGAAGAATGCGATTAATACAACAGATATGCATGAGCAAGGGAATTAGGAAGGATGGAAAGTGAGGCACAGCTCACACAGAGCACTCACAAGAACACCTTAAATGGGCCACACTGTCTGTTGGCCTGTAATCTACTGAATTTAATGAGGATTTTCATGTGATTTTATTGCCCAGCTATGTGCATGTAAACCTATGAGATCCTTCTGCAAAGAGCCATACAGTTATTGCTCTGAAAAGTGAGTCACACTTTCCATATAGACTTCAGCTGCAGAGGGCATCAGGAAGGCAAAAGTCCCATCTCACTAGAAAGCTGATTATTTTCCAATTTTAAATGAGAGAGCAGACTTGTCTGAGAATTTTTCAAGTAGGTTTATAATTACGTCACTCTTCATTGTTAATGCAATCAGGTGCTTTTTGATCATCTAATCATTCGTTTGCACAGCAGTTAGGCCCTAGAAGTAACTCTAAAGGTGAAAGCCCACTGGAACATCGATTTGCCCTAATGCAGTGTATTTGCATAATAGAGTTTAAACGTTTCCAGCCCAAGAGAGGACTTCAGCTTAGATAATGAGTCTGCATGTGCATGGATTTCCCACACACACTCACACACACTATCACACTTACCAAGAAGCTCCTCAGAAATTGTTGGCAACCTACATTACTGGCATATTTCCAGTGAATTAACAAAAGCAGAAACATTTCTGGTTGATGATATAGTTTCTTACAAATCACTTTCCAGCCTTTCTTTCAGCCACTAGTTCTTAAAACATGAAAGAAGAAAAGGTACTTTTAATTTGAAAAGTGGTCTATAAACTTCATATGGTAGGGAGGGAGAATTTGCCAACGTGATTAAGTCCATGTGTGAAGGACTAAGTGAAAGCTTCGGGCATTCTGTCTCACGTTATTTTCACATTTTTTTTTTCCCCCCAATTTACACAACTATGTGGGTGGCCACATGTCTATTTGTTTGCCTTGTTTTTCAACAAGTGAAACTAGAGGTTGGAAAAGGGAGGCTATAGAGGCATGTCTTTTAACTCATAGAAGTCATGGTTTTATTATTTTCAGATTGAGTCAATGTGCAACTGAACAAGTTTTCTCATTAGCAGAGCCCAGAAACAGATGGTAGTTGTGCATATGAAGTTACGTTTGTGCCACGTACATACTTGAGAACATTCTTATATTTCATTTTGCTTATACAGTGGTACACCCTCCACTTACACAGCTGGCATAATAAGACACTGTTGGAATACCAATCTTTATATAAGAATTTAAAAAGAGAAAAACATGCAGAATCCTTACCATATCGATGCTAAAAAGAAGTCAATCCTCCTTAATATACCCTGCTAACTTTCTATGATTTATTTGGTAATAGAAACTGACCCTAAGAACTCTACAATTGGATCAAAATGTGTGCTATTCTTAATCAAGTATTCAAAGCTAGTGTGTTCCTTATTTTAAAGATTATATTTTAATAGAATTTTTACATGACTTTAATAATACATTCTGGCAAGGAACTCCAACCATGCATCTCCCCTCTTTCACTCAGCCCAGCTTCACTTATTGTATAACAAGGTGACTAAAGTTAATGACAATACATTATATCTTAAAAACTATAAAGAGAATGAATGTTAAGTGCTCTCATCATAAAAATGATAACTATGTGAGGTAATGCATTTGTTAATTGGCTAGATTTAACCACTTCACAATGTGTCTATATATGTGTGTGTGTGTGTAATATATATTTCAAAACATTATAGTATAAAATGTTATCTGCTCATTACCAAAATAATAAGATAATAAAGTGGTATAGAGAAAACAATCCAAAAATAAAAGCCTGACCTCCCACAATATAAAAATGGTGGAAAATGATTTATCGCAGTACAGTATTTTCTTTTGCAGATATGATTTTTCATATCCTAGTTGGCAGTAGTTCTCACAACTTCTCCACAGGTACAGCATCATGACCAGTTCTACCAAGAGCACCCTTTTCTTACATTTCCTTTCATTTCTCCTTCATTTTGCATCGTAACTTTCATCTCCCTTCATGCATACATAAATTTCAAATATGCCTTATCTATTTTCTTGCCTATTCATGTAGCCTTATAAAACATAGGTTTCTTATATGTGTAGTATATATTTTAGTATATTCATATGGTACTTTGCTACATTATACTTTTTTTCAAATTTCTACTTAAAAGTCAGTTTTGAATGTCAACCCAAATTCCTATATGTGGTTATATTTCAGTTGTTCATAACATTTTTTGTATATATACCCACTATATATAATCTATGTGTTCACATAATAGTAAACACTTGGTTACCACTAGCTTCTCACTATCACAAAAATGCTCCGTGAGCATGCTTATGCTTTTGACTTCACGGACCTGTACAAGAAATGTTTAATAATATATATTTAGTATTTCCATATAAATACATAATTTCATTAAGTACTCTCAATTGCTTCCCAAAATGACTATACTGACTCTGCTTCCAGTAGTTCATGAAGCTTCCTGTTTCCACACGTCCACATATGTCCATGTTTGCCAATCTGATGAATTTAAGCTGGCAAGAAAAAAAAATTTTTTGCTTCTCTTCTGATTACTAGTGGAATTGATAATCTGCCAATTTGTATGATTAGGTAATTTGTATTGTCTTCTGTGAATTCAACATTCATTCATATACTTTGCCTATTTTATTTTGGAATTTCTTATGTGTTATCAGAAATCAGAATATGAATGGTCATATTATTTGACCCAACATTTCTAGATATTAAATTTATACTCATTTTGAATAGTCTCTAAATCTGTCATCTATGTCCTTGAACATACATGTAACGTGGTCAAATCCATCAGTTTTCTTGTAAATTACTGTTGAGGAGTTTGAGGCTACAGTGAGGTATGTTCATGTCACTGCACTTCAGATTAAACAACCAAAGAGACTCTGTCTCTAAACAAAAATAATAAATAAATTATTGCTAGACCAATGTATCTTAAAAATATTTTCTTCCCTCACAGTTATAGACATTCTCCTATCTGTATACTTATATTTGTGTGTATTCATACATACACAAACATGTATCTCATTGTATTACTTTAACATGTAAAACTTAGTTATTTGGATTTCATTTTTCTATATGCTCTGAGGTATGGATTCGACTTTATTTTTACTTAATAGGCTATTTTTTTCCCAAGACAATTACACAGCTCATCATTGTCTATTGTTGCTCATTGATTTATGGTGCTATCTTTACCATAAATCAATTTATCCTATACTTATAACTCAGTGTGCCAGCTCTGTAATATTTTTATTGGTCTATTAATCTATATCTATTTTTATCTCCACAGTATTTTATTTTATTGAAGTTTAGCGAATATACAAAAGATATATAAAACATGAGACTACAGCTCAATAAATAAACTTGATTATGATTAAGAAATAAAATATTACTAGCATCCATCCTAATCAATACACCTTGCCTTCTGTCCAAAGAAAATGACTCTCCTGATCTTTAACACTATAATTATTTAGATTTGCATTAGTTAACTATCAGACATCTGATAAGCTTTAGAAACTGTTTAGTTATCTATTTATAGCTTAATTATTTTATAGTAGAGAACATGCTGTGTATGATTTCATTCTTTTGAAATTTGTAGACACATGCTCTATTCCATACTCCAAGGTCAATTTTTGTAAAGGTTTTATGTGTATTTTAAAATGTCTTCTACTGTTTGTCTCTCTGGTGATTCAATCTTCTGTATGCTTATTTTGCTTATTTTTTTCTTGTTTTATAAATTTCCAGAAGTGTATTAAAATCTCTGATTAAATATACAGTATTGTCTTTTTCTCATTAAATTTCTCATTAAATATATGGTATTGTCTTTGAAATAGGGGGATTTCAAATCCTCCTATTTTTGCAAAATTAAAGGATAAATTATTATTGTTATATATAGTTTGAATTTATACATCTTCCTGGAAACCTATCCTTTAATCTCACTGCTAAATATTTATCTCACTGCTAAAATTTGGGTTAGGTCTTCCATCTTATTATTGCTTTCTATTTCTCTTCCTGTCCTGTGTTTGCTATTCCCTCTTTTCATATAATAGTTTATTTTGGATTGAATGAGCATTCTCTGTTACTCTATTATTATTCTCCTTTGTTTCTTTCACAGTTACTCTAGAGAGCATAATGCGCATCCATCTACGTATGCATTCATAAGTGAACATCCATGACTACTAAAAACAGCACCCTATTTTCTCCAGGAAAATGTGAGGATCTTAGCATGCCTTAGCTCTATTATTGCCCCCTCCTGTTGACTTATGTGCCATTGTTGCCATGTGCTTTAATTGCAAAAACATTTTAAATCTGTGAGCCATTATTATTGTTTTTAGTGTGGTCAAAATTCATCGAGATTTATCCATACATTTATCTTTCTGTCGTTCATCATTATGTCCTAATTTTTGAGGTTCCATCTAGGATTCTTGTTGAAAGACCACATTCTATTATTTTCTTCCCTGCAGATCTAATAATATTAATTCCCTTATTTTCTGTTTGTTTAAAAAGAAAAAAGCTTTTGGAAGGTGGGAGCGCGTGCGTCACTTGAGCCCAGGAGTTCAACATCAGCCTGAGCAACATGGTGGAACCCCGTCTGTACCAAAAATACAAAAATTAGCTAGGCATGGTGGCGCATGCCTGTAATCTCAGCTACTCTGGAGGCTGAGGCAGGAGGATCACATGAACCCAGAAGGCAGAGGTTGCAGTGAGCCAAGATCGTGCCACTGGACTCCAGTGTGGGTGACAGAGCAAGACCCTGTCTCAAAAAGAAAAAAGAAAAAAAAGAAAGAAAAGGAAAAAAGGAAAAAAAAGAAAAAGAAAAAGCTGAAAGAACATCAATCTCACTCCAAAAATCCACTACAAGATCATTTCTCTTGACTTTATCAGAAAGATGAGTCACAGAAATCAATAGTCAAGAAGGGTAGGTTCCTCCAACAAGAGGCAGAAAGAAAAGACTGGCTCAACTGTGGTAAAGCATAGGAAGAAGAGCTGAGGCTGCCATACAAATGGGTAAGGAAAGGAGGAGATCCAAGAAACTCTCAGTGGTACAAGTATGCAAGAGAGGAATGATCACTACTGTGGGAAGAGGCACATCACTTGCTCTTACTCAAGCTCACTACTTACAGGGAACAAAAGTCCCAAACTGCTGGGAGAGGGCGGCAATCCCTCTCACTCCCATGGCACAGGTTCATGTTAATTTTCTTGAATGATTTTTAAAATGACTAGTTGACAGTTACTTTCTTTGATTCCTTTAATAATATAATTCTGTTATTTCTGTCTTATTTTTGCTGTCTTATTTCTGTCTTATTTATGCTTCTTTGAAAGGAGTCTTTCTTTTAAATCTTTTAAATTTTATTGTTGTCTTTGGTTTTTAACAGTTTCAGTACAATGTTGAGGTCTCATTTTATCTATAATTATTATGTTTGAAATGTGTATTGCTTTTGAACTTATAGTTTTATGGCTTTTATCAATTTTTGAAAATTCTCAGACATTTCATTTCAAATGTTGCTTCTGTCCCATTCCATAGTTCTTTAACCTCTGAAAGCCCAAATACAAATATATTAGAGCTTATTGTTCTGTCTTTATTTCTCTTGTCTGTCTTCTGTCTTTCCTGAATTTATGTCTCTCTATGCTTTTTCCTGAATATTTTCTTCTCTGGTGTTTTGCAATTTTGCATTCTTTCTTTATCTACATGTACTTTGTTTTAAAGTCCATCCAGTGGGCCCTTAAATTTGGTTCAGAGAATAGAAACTCTTTTTGTCAGGGTCATCAGACTTTTACCTTTGCTAAATCCAATGCTCACTCTCTATTTATCATCATATTGGACCTATAATCAGCAAGTTCTGTGCTTGATCACCCAATCCCAATAGAAAATATTTTTTTTTCACATAACCTCCTTGATATCCTATTTTTCTTGTTTTTTAAAAATGGAATTCTAGTAAAACTTGACAGAGTTTAGCGGCAATTTCCATTCTGCTAGAACCCTGCGAATAAGATATTATTTTCACTACCTCCAATTGCACTGAAATCTGATTTGACTGTAAAAAAGTTCAAATCCATGGGGCATTTCTACTATATTTATATATTTTTTAAAAAACCAAAATATTTATGTTAAAAGGTTATGGAGTTGACTTCTGTGTATTTCATGAAGAGCCAAATTTCCTACCAAATTCTCATGATATGAACTCAAAGTTTAAAAACTACTTAACTACTGAACTACTTAATGAAAAAAACAAAATTTTGTATTTTGTGGCTTTCGCCACATGGAACAAATCAGGATTCAAACATAAACTAAAAAATCTGTTAATCTTCTCAGCATTTCCAAATATCTATAAATTTTGTGCTTTTTAGATGTTTGAGTTTTTAAATCATGTGTTTTGTGTCACATAACATACAATAACTAAGTATTGACTCGCTTGGACTACTTTAGGCCTGAAAATCATTTGCACTAATTCTATTTGTTATTTATTTCCAGAATAGGATTTGTCATTGCATAATGTAGAACCTCAACATTTGAAAAAAATGTAAAAAGTGTAAAAAAACAAGAAATGTCTGTAGTACTTTGGAATCATTAAATGTAATATCTCAAAAAGAGGCTGGAAAAACAAATTATTAAATCTAAAGTAATAGTACCATTTCCAAATACAAATAAAAATACAATTGATACTCAATTTTTTAAATGATAGTATTATACAGGCATGCTTGTTTTTGCTTAGTTACAGCACATCAGGAATCACCTAATGCACTACTTACTTCTCTGAATACCTTCAGGTACTTTCAATCTTTTTGATAAAAGCATATTGAATCTAGTACTCCTCTAAACTGACAAGGGAGAAGCAGAACAGATAAGGAAAGAGAAAAATAATATGAAAGGAATTGACAGCCAGAAAGATATTGACGAGATGATGAAGGGAACAGAGATAGTTTACTATATGTAAATGTGGGCTTTTAATATTTTAAAAAAAATACCTGTTGAATTTCTGGAATCTAATTTTGACTTCTTCCTCTTTGATTATGTGAATCATTAGTGTGTTGCTGTTCAATATCTTTTGATGAACACTGTATTTCCTTTGGAAATTTTAACTACTCAGTTTCACATATGCTGCACAGTGTGATTTGATACAGACTCATGAAATTATAGCAACGTATTGACTGATTCCATGGTCCCTGCCTCTTTGCATGCCTGAGGATATGCTACAGAACAAATCAACAACACACTCATGACAGTCTCAGGGACAGATGCTCAGTGGGAAAAACTGTTCACCATTCATGGCTTCCAAGCCCTTTGCTGTGCCCTGAGGCACTGCTATGTAAAAGAATGTGCCAAGTGATTGGTGAAAGAAATGGATCAGCAAGTTTCCACCAGCTGTGACACACAGCATTGGGAGATGACTATTTATTGCTGTTGTGTTAGGCTTCTCACACCATTTTCTGCTTGAGCTTGATAAATTTGATCTCTATAAATGCTAGATTTTGCCAACAAGCCAAGAAGTTTTCAGAAACCTCCCTCATACTTTTATTGTGAGAAAATGCAAATGATCTTGTCGTTAGGGAAAACTGATCTAAGAAAACCTTTTGTAAATTATTCCATGGAGGAAAAACAACTGTCAAGGAAAGATGTGATTTTTGATTATCCTTGGATCCATTGTTATAGTGACAGATTTTTCTCGGTGACACTGTCTTCAGCATAGGTTAGACTCATAAGGATCTTTGGAGAAAAGTTTGAACTATATTATTTTTGAAGCAAATGAGAATTGTTTCTTTATTTGCTGGATATTTTATTGAGATTTATAATTATCATTATAATAAGTTTAAATATGAGTGATTCTTTTATGAGTGCTTATATGTTTATGTTAATACGTGGAATCTCTTGAGATTGCTCTAGACCTACTACATAATATGATTTTTGCTGTAATATGATTGCCTTAAATTTAAAATAGTATAATAGTTGATCCTTAGACATAACATTTCTACAAATGAAAGATTGTGTTTAATTCACAATTAATTTGGGTTTTCATTGCCAATTAGGTGGCACTGAATCAAAAACAAATAACATATTATCAGTTAGACAGGGCATTTTATACACTTTCTAGTTCATCACTTTTCCTCCATTTATCTTACATATTTTAATAAACTATTTGAAATCAAAGTAGTTTGAAAGACCAAATAAATAATAGTGAAAGAAGATGAGGTCTGATAAATTAAGAAAGTGCACATCCAAACACAGGAGGGCAAATCTGGAGTTCAAAATAATATTAAGCAACAAACAAAAACTCTAGATCCAAGATGGTATATCATTCCCATGTGGCCTCTAGATAGCTCAAAAAAGTGATTGTTGATAGCACATATGCACACCCTTAAAGCATTACACTGAAAAAAATTAAACTCTTGTATTCTAATCAACTGCTGATTTTAAAACACTATACAAGATGATATTTGCCCCATGAAACAAATTGAATTTTTTTTATGATTAAGTATAGAGTTTGTTTGAGTGCAAACTTGAGGATAGCCACCTGGAAAACACAGACTGCAAATGAAGATCAGTGTTCCAAAGTAAAGAAGTTGAAGATTCACTTAATAGGCAGAGACAGAGAAGTGTTATCAGGATTATAACATCAATTGAATATTTTTAATTTTCATCAAAAAACAGAAATATAAATACTAGAATTTATAGCGCTCAATAATGTATAATGAATAATTTCACATAAATGAATAGAAAAGCACATATTACTTTTAGCCTGATGGAGACAAAAATTTTCTCAAAGATAATTGTAGTTAGAAACATATGGATATCATTAAAGAAAATATGCATTTTTAAACAATATGCTAAATAAATATTACACAATAATTTACATGCACTGATAAACATTTATGCTTCAACTATAATCATAAATTATATCCAAAGTAAAGTAATGTGAGCTCAGATCGTCAGTGTGATAGGAACTCAAAGAGTAACAGTAAAATATACAAAATCAAAGTTCAAATCAAAATAAGTCTTGACAGAAAATTATACCATAATCTACAATCTCTTCCTTAGACCTTGTTGATATTTTACAAGTTAAGAAATAAAACAAAGCATGTATGTATATTCTACATAGATGGAAGAAAAGGGTGGAAAGAGAAAAATGACAATTTGTTATAGAACTTAACCAAGGTTTAACTCACACATGCTTTCTTAATGAAATCACAGATGCTAAAATTGTGCTGTATCAAATTATACAGAAATATACCAAAATCAGAGATCCTTCAGCTCAATCTAATACTTGGTTCTTGTAGTACTCTGACAAAGTTCATTTGAGATCATCTTACATAATTTGTCTTTATTGAATTAAGTAATTTAAAAGAACATATCATTTTATTATTTATTATATAACAAATGTAGTGCTCAAAGACCCAACATTTAACATGCTAGGATTCGTCAAAAGTTGCAATTACAATTGCTTAACTTTCAGATAGAGAAAAAATAACTCAGCAAAAATCTAGGTTACAACATTTCTGTTGTTTGAGATTTAAAAAAAATATTTCCACAAACTTTTAAACCTTATCAAAACAGTTATATCAAAAGGTTAAAACTCACAGTGTAAAAAACAATTTGAAATTTTTGTATTTTCTTTAATGATTATTTCTGGTAATCAGAAATAATGATGAAGGTATAAGAGTGATGAATTTACGTTAGAAAACCTTGAAGAATTATAAAAAAGAGACCTAGAAAAGGGGGTATGGTGTCTGCTTCATAACACATGGAAACTTTCCTTTAATTTTGTTGTTGTTGTTGTTATTGAAAACAAGCATGTATAAAATCATAAGACATAATTAGAGATACCAGCTTAACATCCTGTCTTTATTGCTTATAAAGCTAAAATCCAAGCAGGAGCATGAAGGTACAAGAGTAATGAATTTACCGTTAGAAAATCTTGGACCAAATCCCACCTCCAATTATTAGAGAAAAAGTTAACTTAACAAGGCTGGGGCTTTGTTTATCACTATGTAAAATGAGAATAATAATATCTGCCATACTTCCTTGAGAACTTCACTGAGAATTACATAAATTGCTTCTGTGGAAGTGCTGTGTGAAATGCCGTATCATAAATATGCTATTATTTTATTATCACATTCACTAATAATGTAATAAAAGTCTTATGTTAACATAAACTCTGGCACTCACACATATCAAATTTATTTTTGCAAATTTTCAGTGCCTGGAGCCACAGATCATTTAAAATGTCATTCTAATACTATAATTATTTTAGTAAGACTTCCCCTGAAAATTGTATAACATAGTATTTGCAAGTAAATATTTTAATGAATACTTCAGCATGTTACATGAGTATGTATGGTAATTTAAACTTTAATAAATATTTTCTGATGTTATTCAGAATTCTTAAATAACCAATCTAGTTTTTTTTTTTTTAAAAAAGAAAGAGCAATACACAATTTTTACAGTTTATCAGTACAGTGCTTCCACCCGACCCCCTACCCCCATAGGCCACTTTATTGTAAAACACTGAATACAGGATACAGAAAATGTTTTATCATGGATCTACTCTGATATATGATAGATTTTAAATTTCACATTATTTTTGAATAGGACCACTGCAAGTTAAGAAATTAATAATAAAATATGTCCCTGGTAGAAGTAAATCAAATCTTTTCTCAAGCTTCACAGGATATCCCAAGCTAAAGGTATGCTGAAAAGAAGTTCACAATTCCAAAATTATTAAACACTGTAAGCAAAATTCAGCAGTCATAATACCAATAGAATCAGGCAATAAAGAACTTCAACAAGTAATCCTATCAGATAAAAATATAAAATAACTATTTGAAATAAATAACAAAATATAATAATCAGTTACAATTTTTTAAACTCTCAAAATAGAATATTGGAGAAATATGAGGATAAAATGAAATTATGAAGACAAATAAACAAAAAATATGAGAGAATAGTTAAGTGGTATCAAGGATAGAATGAAGAAATTTGTTTTGACTAATAGGATTTCCAAATTGGAAGATCAGATAGAATGCAGAGAGGCAAAATTTGGAAAGACAATGGTTGAGACATTTACCCATGTAAGAACTTGCTTGAATCTTTATTTTGTGATGCAACAAGAACTGAATGAAATAAGTGAAAATGAATCTACACCTAATTTTATAGTAATAAAAATTACTATAACCCCAAGAGGAAGGAAAACTTAAAAAGCAAATGGAGAGAAAAGAAAAATTATTAAACAAAATTATACAAACTAAAAAGATTCTGACAACAGCCTTTGCAAAGGAACAGTAGAAACTGAAATAAATGGAATAATGCATGTATAATGTTGAAAAAAATTCTCAAAAATTAATATATACTCAGAAAAATGATCAATCAAGATGAGAATGAAATTAAGGTACTTTCAGGCAACAAAAATGGAAACAATTTCCCATTTACATACTATTACTCAAAGAACTACTAAAGGATCTACTTAGGAATAAGGAACCAGAAAAGAGCAATATTAAATAATGAAAATTATAAATCTATATCAATCACTAATGTAAATGAAAAATCTGAAGATAGCAATTTAATTTCATATTATCTTAAAAACTATCATTTAAAATAACTAAAAAATCTCTATCCTAGGAATACAGAGAGTGGCTTTAATTAATAAGTCTATAAATGACCTTTACCATATTGTCAGATTAAAGAAGGGAAACATGACTATCCATTAAAATATAGTTTAATGACTTTGATAAAATTAAACCCTATTCATGGTAACTTTTAGTGAACTAGTAAGAATAAAAAAATTCAAACTTGAAATGCTTATATTTAGTAAACTAGTATTTTAAAAACTTCAGCTTGATTAATTTATCATAATAACATTATTCAAAGTAACAAAACATTAGATATTATTAGATAATATTCATTTAAATTAGAATAAGAAGAGTGGCCAAACTCACCATTTCTATTCAACATTGTATTTAGAATTCTAGCAAAAGCAATTAAATAAGAAAAAGGTAAAAAAGAAAAGAATGAAATGATACTGTCATTATTAACAGGTGATATAACTACAGATCTAGAAACTGAAATAATTTTTAGAAGAAACATTAGAGATTAGCTGATAATCTAATGAGACAGCTGAAATATGATTAATACATGAAGTTTATTATGAGTCACCAAGGAACAAATAGAAAAAATAATATTAAAAAATAAAAATAAAAACTGAGCAAAGTTGAACCCAGGAAAATAATACCACTAGGGGGACTGAAACAAACAGAGAAAGAAAGTCAGTAAAGGTGAATTATTGAGTGTGGTGGGCAGAATAATGGCCTCCCAAAAATGCCCATGTCCCAAAACCCAGAACCTATGAAAATATTAGATTATATGGCAAAGGGAAATTAAAGTTGCAAATGAAATCACCATTTTGCTTATCATCTAACAAGAAGGATTATCCTGGACTATAGGGGTGGGTCAAATGTAATCACAAGGGTCCTTAAAAGTAGAAGAGGGAATAAGAATCACAAAAAGAGATTTGATGACAAAATCAGGTTTAGAGTCATGTAGTGTGAGAAGGAATCAACCTGTCATTGCTGGACAGATGAAAATGGATGAGTGGGCCATGAGTTGAGGAATGTAATCTTCTTTTCTAGAAGCTGGGAAAGGCAACAAAACAAATTCTCCCCTAGACTTTTCAAAAAGGAACACAATCCTGCTGATAATTTGATTTCAGAACAGGGGAAGCCAATTTGAAATTCTGACCTTCAGAAATTAGGGCATTACATAATGGTAAAGGGATCAAGGCCACAAGAAGAGCTAACTATCCTAAATATATATGCACCCAATATAGGAGCATCCAGATTCAAAAAGCAAGTTCTTGGAGACCTACAAAGAGACTTACAGTCCCACACAATAATACTGGGAGACTTTAACACCCCACTGTCATTATTAAATCAAGGAGACAGAAAATTAACAAGGATATTCAGGACTTGAACTCAGCTCTAGACCAACCAGACCTAATAGACATCTACAGAACTCTCAACCCCAAATCAACAGAATATACATTCTTCTCAGCACTTATTCTAAAATTGACCACATAATTGGAAGTAAAACATTCCTCAGCAAATGCAAAAGAATGGAAATCATAACAAACAGTCTCTCAGACCACAGTGCAATCAATTAGAACTCAGGATTAAGAAACTCACTCAAAACCACACAACTACATGGAAACTGAACAACCTGCTCCTGAATGATATTGGGGAAATAATGAAATTAAGGCAAAAATAAATAAGTTATTTGAAACCAATGAGAACAAAGACACAACAAACAAGAATCTCTGGGACACAGCTGAAGTAGTGTTTAGCGGGAAATTTATAGCACTAAATGCCCACAGGAAAAAGGGAGAAAAATCTAAAACCGGACACACTAATGTCACAATTAAAAGAACTACACACACAAGAGCAAAAAAATTCCAAAGCTAGCAGAAGACAAGAAATAACTATGATCAGAGCAGAACTGAAGGAGAAACAGACACAAAAAACCCTTCAAAAAAATCAATTAATCCAGAAGCGGGTTTTTTGAAAAGATTAACAAAATAGATAGACCACTAGCCAGACTAATAAAGAAGAAGACAGAAGAATCAAATAGACACAATAAAAAATGATAAAGGGGTTATCACCACTGATCCCACAGAAATACAAACTACCATCAGAGAATAATACTATGAACACTTCTATGCAAATAAACTAGAAAATCTAAAAGAAATGGATCAATTCCTGGACACATACACCCTCCCAAGACAAAACCAGGAAGAAGTCGAATCCCTGAATAGACCAATAACAAGTTCTGAAATTGAGGCAGTAATTAGTAGCCTACGAAACAAAAAAAGCCCAGGAGCAGACAGATTCACAGCCAAATTCTACCAGATGTACACAGAGGAGTTGGTACTATTCCGTCTGAAATTACTGCAAACAATAGAAAAAAGAGGAACTCCTCCCTAACTCATTTTATGAGGCCAACATCATCCTGATACCAAAGCGTGGCAGAGACACAACAAAAAAGGAAAATTTCAGGCCAATATTGCTGATGAACATCAATGCGAAAATCCTCAACAAAATATTAGCAAACCAAATCCAGCAGCACATCAAAAAGCTTATCCACAATGATCAAGTTGGCTTCATCCCTGGGATGCAAGGCTGGTTCTACATACATAAACGAATAAATGTAATCCATCACATGAGCAGAAACAATGACAAAAAACACATGATTATCTCAATAGATGCAGAAAAGGCCCTCGATAAAATTCAACAGCACTTCGTGCTAAAAAACTCTCAATAAACTAGGTATTGATGGAATGTATCTCAAAATAATAAGAGCTATTTATGACAAACCCACTGCCAATTATCATACTGAATGGGCAAAAGCTGGAAGCATTTCCTTTGAAACCCAGCATAAGACAACGATGCCCTCTCTCACCACTCCTATTCAACACAGTATTGCAAGTTCAGCAAAGGCTCAGGATACAAAATCCATGTGCAAAAATCACAAGCATTCTATTTACACCAATAATAAACAGAGAGCCAAATCACGAGTGAACCCCAATTCACAATTGCTACAAAGAGAATAAAATACCTAGGAATACAACTTACACGTGATGAAGGACCTCTTCAAGGAGAACTACAAATCACTGCTCAATGAAACAAGAGAGGACACAAACAATGGAAAATCACTCCATGCTCATGGATAGGAAGAATCAATATCGTGAAAGTGGTCATACTGCCCAAAGTAATTTATAGATTCAATGCTATCCCCATCAACCTACCATTGACTTTCTTCACAGAATTAGAAAAAACTAGTTTAAATTTCATATGGAACCAAAAAGAGCCCGTATACACAAGATAATCCTAAGCAAAAAGAACAAAGCTGGAGGCATCACAGTACCTGATGTCAAACTATACTACAAGTCTACAGTAATCAAAACAGCATGTTACTGGTACCAAAACAGATATATAGACCAATGGAACAGAACAGAGGCCTCAGAAACAACACCACATGTCTACAACCATCCGATCTTTGACCAACCTGACAAAAACAAGCAATGGGGAAAAGATTCCTTATTTAATAAATGGTGTTGCGAAAACTGGCTTGCCATATACAGAAAACTGAAACGGGACCCCTTCCTTACATCTTATACAAAAATTAATTCAAGATGGATTAAAGACTTAAACATAAGACATAAAACCATAAAAACCCTAGAAGAAAACCTAGGCAATACCATTCAGGACATAGGCATGAGCAAAGACTTCATGACTAAAACACCAAAAACAATGGCAACAAAAGCCAAAATTGACAAATGGGATCTGATTAAACTAAAGAGCTTCTGCACAGCAAAAGAACTATCAGAGTGAACAGGCAACCTACAGAATGGGAGAAAATTTTTGCAATCTATCCATCTGACAAAGGGCTAATATCCAGAATCTACAAAGAACTTAAAAAAATTTACAAGAAAAAAAAAACCCAATCAAAAAGTAGATATCAAAAAGAAGGATATGAACAGAAACTTCTCAAAAGGCATTTATGCAGCCAACAAATATATGAAAAAAAAAGCTAATCATCACTGGTCATTAGAGAAATGCACAATGAGATACCATCTCACGCCAGTTAGAAAGGCGATCATTAAAAAGTCAGGAAACAACAGATGCTGGAAAGGATGTGGAGAAATAGGAATGCTTTTACACTGTTGGTGGGAGTGTAAATTAGTTCAACCATTGTGGAAGACAGTGTGGCGATTCCTCAAGGGCCTAGAACTAGAAATACCATTTGACCCAGCAATCCCATTACTGGGTATACACCCAGAGGATTATAAATCATTCTATTATAAAGACACATGCACACGTATGTTCATTGCGGCACTATTCACAATAGCAAAGACTTGGAACCTACCCAAATGCCAGTCAATGTTAGACTGGATAAGGAAAATGTGGCACATATACACCAGGGGATACTATAAAAAAGGATGAGTTCATGTCCTTTGCAGGGACATGGATGAAGCTGGAAACCATCATTCTCAGCAAACTAACAGAGGAACAGAAAACCAAACACCGCATGTTCTCACTCATAAGTGGGAGCTGAACAATGAGAACACATGGACACAGGGAGGGGAACATCACACACTGGGGCCTGTTGGGGAGTGGGGGGCTAGGGGAGGCATATGATTAGGAGAAATACCTAATGTAGATGACTGGTTGATGGGTGCAGCAAACCACCATGGCACGTATATACCTATGTAACAAACATGCACATTCTGCACATGTATCCCAGAACTTAAAGTATAATTTTTAAAAAAAAGAAGAAATTCTGACCTTCAGAACATTAAATTAATATATTTTGTTGTTTTAAGTCATTAAGTTTGTGCTAATTTGTTACAGCAGCAATAGAAAATGAAAACACTGGCCATGTGTGGTGGCTCACACCTGTAATCCCAGCACTTTGGGAGGACGAGGCAGGTGAATCACAAGGTCAGGAGTTCAAGACCAGCCTGACCAATAGGGTGAACCCCATCTCTCCTAAAAATACAAAAAAATTAGCCGGGTGTGGTGGCAGGCGCCTGTAGTACCAGCTACTTGGGATGCTGAGACAGGAGAATAGCTTGAACCCAGAGGCAAAGGTTGTAGTGAGCCAAGATAGCACCACTGCACTCCAGTGAGCAAGTCAAAGCAGGGGACAGTGTTAATTGATGAAGCTTAATCTCATTGTGGAAACCAAAGGAAATACATGGTGAAGAGCACATATCACAGTTATTCCTTCTTTTAATGGGTTGGATGGCATGGGTTTTTATTCATCAATTACTGTTAGTTGTTGTCTGAGGGCTGGTATAGGATGGGATGTTAACTTCCCAGAACTTTTAGCCTATCCCACACTCTTGGAGAGAGCAGGCTCCAGTGGCCAATGAAGACCTTAGGACACAGACACATATGCTGGCAGCCTGACGTCAGGACAGTGTGCAGAAAAGGTTAGTGCTGAAGGAATACGGATAGGGCACTGGCAGCATCAGTTACAGAAACCATTTGCAATGGCAGCAAAGGGTATGAGCTACCTAGAAATAAACCTGAAAAAACTTCGATTTGTACACGTAGATATTTACTATTAATAAAAGACGGAAACATCTATATAAATTATACCATATTCTGGCAAATGACAAATCACTAGCCAGGGTAAAATGTAGATATTCTGTGAAAAGCATGACTGAAAGTTTGTTCACAAAATGAACTCCATTTCTAATATTACAAAAGAATGTAAAACTTAGAAAAAAAGAAAGTGAAACCATATAGAAAGAGTGAGATATAAGAATAAATGAATGAGGAAAATTATAAAAATAGGATATGCCTATAAAATCGACATTACAATTTTAAGAATAATCCTTATTAGAAGCAGAAGTGCCACGTATTAATTATGGAAGTCAAGGGAAAAATATTGAGAGAAAATTATAAATCCAATAGAATACAGGAAGGGAGAATAAAAGGAAGATAAAAGTGGAACAAATAAAACAACGAATTATAATAGTAAAATCCAAATATATTATAATAAATATCAGTTGTTTAAAAATTGGTGATTATCATATTATAATAAAAAGGTAGAGTTATCTTTTGCTGCATAACAAATTAACATCATTTTAGCAAATTAACATAGAAGAAAATGTGGCCTTTGATTAAAGGGTTAAAAGACAAAAATTAGTGAAGTACAAAAAAAGTGTTAGAAGGTTTCAAACATCTAAATGCTGATAGTATGAAATGATAGAATAAATTTTATGGGTGTACAATTTATGGATAACTAAATACCAGCTAACATAACATTAAAAAGGGAGGATGGATAACTACATATATATATATATATATATATATATATATATATTCCTTACTCTTTTGTGAGAGCAATTAGATATGGAGTCACATTAAACATTGAAAAGCTAATATTGACATTAACATTTTAGAGTGGCCACCAAAAATTAGAAAATGTATATAATTTTCAAATATCAGAAACAAAAAAAATTAGAAAAATAAACAATCTAAAAGAAGGAACGAGCAAAGAGAAGTATAAAACAGGCATGCCAAGTATAAGAATATACAGGTAAAAATAGATGGTATAAGTATTTCCAGATGTATCAATAATTTTAATAAATAAAACACCCTTTAAAGGAAGATCGCTGGTTACAGATGCCCTATAATATTTTATATACAATCCTGAATATAAATAAAAGTATTAGATACAAATAAGCAGAAAAATGTAATACATATTCAAGAGAAAAAATAGTGAGTAGAAACCAAATTTGATGCCGGAATTAGTGGACAAAAATTTTGATTATATTCAAGTACTTGAAGAAAATATGATCATAACAAATGAACAGATGGGGAATACCAAGAGATTAATAGAAAAATTTCAAAAACTAAATGGAAGTTAGAGTTACAGAAAAGTAAAATATTTTAAGAGAAAAATTTACTGGGTAAGATTTATAGCAGATTAGATGAATCTAAAATAGTCAGTGAACTTGATGATAAAACAATAGAAATTGTCTTTTATAAAGAACAGGCAGAAATACATACTTTCTAATGAACAGAATTTTAGTTACTTTTATGACAATGCCAAGAAGCTCAACCTCTGTGCATTTAGAGTCTCATATGGATAGGAGAGATAGAATACAGCAGAAAAAAAATTGAAAACACAATGTCATAACATTTTGCAAATTTAATGAAGAAGATTCAATAAGCCCACTGAATTCCAAGTAGGAAAAACAAGTAAAACCACACCTAAATATCTATACATAATTCAACCACCTAAATTCAATTTCTGAAAAGCAAAGGTAAAGAAAGAATCTTTAAAGTAAAACAAAATGAAAAAAATTTTGTACAGGGAAATACCAAAAATATAATCAGAAATGGAAAAATAAAGACATTTTTAGGTACACAAAGACTTTAAGGATGTGTTACCACAAAGGACACAATAAAAAAAAGAAAACTACAGGCCAATATCCCTGATGAACACAAATGCAGAAATTTTCAACAAACTACTAAGCAAATCAAATTCAACAACATATAAAAAGATCATTCACCATAATCAGAGATGGAAGGATGTTTTAACATATGCAAATTAATGAACTGAACATGCTAAATCACATTAAAATAATATATTCCACATAATAGATATTATTCCAATATTCCACATAATGGATTACTATTCAGCCATAAAACAAAATGATAATTTCAATAGGTACCATAAACGCACTGAATAAAATTCAATGTGATGTTGAATGAGTTTTCTTCATGATAAAAACTCACAACAAATTGAGTATAGAAGAAAACATACCTCACCACAATGAAGGCCACATATGACAAACCCACAGCTAAGTATACTGAACAGAAAAAAAAATGCAAAGTGTTTACAATCTGGAATTAGACAAGGATGCACACTTTCACTAGTTTTATTCAACATAGTATTGGAAGTTCTAGAGCAATTAGGCAAGAGAAAGAAGAAAATTGCATCCAAATTGAGAAGTCAAATTGTCTGTTTGCAGACAGTGTGATCATATACGTAGAAAACCCTAAAGGCTCCACCAAAATACTGTTAGAACTAATAAATGAATTTAGTAAAGTTTCAGGATACAAAATCAACATTACAAACCAGTAGCATTTTTATATGCCAATAGCAAACTGTCTGAAAAACAAACCAAGAAAGCAATTCCATTTACAACAGCTACAAAAAAATAGAATATCTAGAAATAAACCTAACCAATGAGTGAGAGATTTCGATAATAAAAACTATAAAACGCTGATGAAAGAAATGGAGAAGGCAAAAAAAAAATGTGAGGATAGCACATCTTCATGGATGGAAAATTTGATGTTGTTAAAATGTCCATATTACCCTAAGCAACCTATAGATTCAATGCAACTTTTATGAAAATACCAATGACATTCTTCACAGAAATAAAAAGAAATCTTAAAATTCATATGGAAATACAAAAATACCTAGATAGTCAAAGCAATTATGAGAAAAAAAAACATAGCTGGACACACCACATTACCTAACTTCAAAATATACTACAAACTATAGTAATCAAAACAGCACAGTGCTAGCATAAACGCAGACACATAGATCAATGGAACACAGAATAGAAAACCCAGAAATAAATCTGTGCATTACAACCAACTAATTTTTGACAAAGGCTCCAAAAACACACACTGGGTAATAGTCAACAAAATATTTTACACACACACACACACACACACACACACACAAATAGAATCCTACTCAGCCATAAAACAGAACAAAATCCTGTCATTTGTGGCAACATGGATGAACTGGTAGGACACTATGTTACATGAAATAAGCCAGGCACAGAAATACAAATATTGCATTATCTCACTCATGTGAAATCTTAAAAAAGTTGATTTTATAGAAATAGAGAGTAGAATAATGGTCCTCCCCAGAGGCTACAGAGAACAGGGAAGGGAGGACAAGGACAGGCTGGTAAAGAGGTACAGGGTTACAATGAGAGAAGAAGAATAACTTCCAATGTTCTATTCCACAGTAGAATGACTACGGCAAATAAAAATGTACTGTATATTTCAAGACAGCTAGAAGAGATTTTGAATGTTATCACCACAAAGAAATGCTAAACATTTAAAGTGATGAATATGGTAATTATCCTGATTTGATCATTATACAATGTATACATTCATGGAAACATCACATTGTACTCTATAAATATGCATAATTATTATGTGTCCATCATAAATTTTAAAATTAATAAGAAAAAGTGCATCATCAGCAAACATGCACTGTAAGATATGTTGAATATTCATTAGGCTGATGGTATATCAGATGGAAACTTGAATTTACAGGAAGGAATAAATCAAGAAAAATGACAAATATATGGATGAATATAGATATATCGTTTTTCATTTACTTAATATTTTGCAAATACAAATAACTGTGTAAAGCAAAATCATAACACTGGAATTTATTACAGATATAGATCTAATATATATGGATGGCGACAAAGGTTGGGAAGGGATGTTAGATGCAATAATACTGTTACAGTCTGCTCACACTATACATAAAATAACACTAATTGGACTATGATAACTTAGATGTATTTTATAATGTCTAGATTAAAATAATGTAGTTATAGCTAAAATATACAATATGAAGTGGACTATTAAAAATATTTAATTAACTTAAATCAAGATAGGAAAGGAGAAACATACACTTAAAGAGGACAAACAAAAATATTGTAAAATGATAAACAGTTTACATTAAATATAAATGTACTAAATACATTTTTAAAAAGGCAGATTATCAGACTGAATTTAAAAAGCAATACCTAACCAAAACTGAAGTTCTGTTTTTTATTTTTATTTTTATTTTTTATTTGTGTGTGTGTGTAAACTTTTTTTTATTATTATACTTTAAGTTTTAGGGTACATGTGCACAACGTGCAGGTTTGTTACATATGTATACATGTGCCATGTTGGTGTGCTGCACCAATTAACTCGTCATTTACATTAGGTATATCTCCTAACGCTATCCCTCCCCCCTCCCCCCTCCCCCCACCCCACAACAGGCCCCAGTGTGTGATGTTCCCCTTCCTGTGTCCATGTGTTTTCATTGTTCAATTCCCACCTATGAGTGAGAACATGTGGTGTTTGGTTTTTTGTCTTTTCTTAAAACTTTCTTATGGATACAAAGTATAGAAAGGTTTTAATTCTTCTATGACAAAACTATTTCTATACATATTTAATTTTAAACACTCTATTTGTCAAATCTGTATGTGACTATATAAATAAATGCATATATATGTCAAATATTTAAAAATAAAAATAAATTAAAAAGCACAACAGCAAGCCTTTCAATATAAAGGCACAGATATGTTGAAAGCAAAACGATGGGAAACATATAAGCAGTAAAACTAAGACAGGAGAGGCTGAATAAACTCGGAAAAACAAGACAAAAAAATATTACCAGAGATAAAAGGTATATTTCATAATGACAAAAAGGCAAAATTCACATAAAATATGCAAACACAAATAAACAACGTACTATTCATAGGTACACATATAAAGGTACAAAATGACTTGAAACCACATTTATGATAATGTTTGTCTTCACAATGAACACCAAGGGATGGCACTTGGAGGGTAGGAAGATAAAAGGTTTCTACTTTATTTGTAATAGTTAATTTATGGATCAAAAAAGATTTTATTTAGGCTAATACAACTTCTTTTTCAACTTGGCTAAATCTCAAAGCAATACTGGGTCAAAATTAAACAGCAAGTTTTAAAAGTACACATAAAGTATGATATTATTAACGTGGAGTTATAAAATTTAGAAAATAATATGTATCTAATCTTAATGAAATTCACATATGTACTGCAATTATGAAATATATCTAGGAAGATAAATTCCAAATTAAAGATAGTGTTTCCCTCTGAATAGGATAAATTTTCAATAAGAAACTGCACAAAAGTGATTTCAACCAATAATACAATAGTTTATTCTTTAACAATTTTTTTAAAAAAGCAAACAGTGCCAACTATACAGATGTCACAGACTTAGATAAAGATGCATGGTTATTCACTATATTATCCTGTATACTTTTCCATTTGCTTGAAGTGTGCATGTGTGTTTATACATGTATCAGAAAGAAGAGCAAAAACTGAGTTTCACATTTTGGCTGTCAGGTCTTCATAGGAATAGTAAACGCTAAATGAGCCATTATTTTCTAGTTTCTGAGGGACTCTGCATTTATCTTTGACTAGCCTCATGAACAAAACATCATTAAAATTAAGAATAAAATATAAAAATTACTCTCTCAAAATCCATTGTTTGTCTAGATGAAAACTTTGATCATCAAACAACACAAGACATCAGGCTGAATATACTCAGAAAAACAAAGACAAAAAAATAAAACCAGGGATAAAAGGTTTATTTCATAGTGACAGAAAGGCAAAATTCACATAAAATATGCAAACACAAATAAACAATGTATTATTCATAGGTACACATATAAAGGTACAAAATGACTTAAAACCACATTTATGATAATGTTTATCTTCACAGGGAACACCAAGGGATGTTCCAAGTCATCTGGTATCACTATTATATCTAATACAGTTATTATTAACTTTGAAGTAATTTCACCTAGAGGAAAGTACAAGCATGACTTACTCAGAAAATAAATTAAACAATGCCATCCTTGTTTTAAAGCAAAAATAGTTTGTTGATCAGTTCATGCTACTAATTGTTATCCTCATGGGGATGAAATAATTCCATTGGGAGAAAGGAAATTCTAGAACTACCGTCATCAAATGTGCTGGCAAATCAAGAAAAACTTTGACCAAAATATTATTAAATGACTCAAATTTTTTAACACGACATAAATTTTATTCTTATTTTCCTATTTCATCATCTAGAGGTAAATGCAAATGTTCCAATCTGTGAGCAATCACTGACAGGAGTGGTACTTATGCCTTTGCTCAACTCCACCATCATTCTCACTACATTTTTTAATTAAACAAAGAGAGTGTAGGATCACATACGCCTATATGATAAACTAGCTATTTAAAGTTCTGTATCTTGAAGTGGGTGGTGGTTTTATGGGTGAATACATAGGTTAAAAAAAAATCACTGAGCAGGGTGCTAAAATTTCATATACTTCACTGTATAGGTGTTGTACCTCAGAGCATTTTTAAATTACTGTGTCATTTGGAGAAAAGTAATTCACTTACTCATTTTTTCATTAATAAATAATCTTTTACTGTTTTCTATAGGCCAAATACTGTAGTTTTCATTGGCGATACATAGGGGAAAAAAGACATTTCTTTTCCTCAAAAAGCTCATGGTCAAGTGGGGAAGAAAAAGATGAAAATAATAAATTATGAAAAGTGTGATAAATTCTGTAAGAAACAAACTATATGCCCTAAGAGAGGAAAAAGGATTCTTAAAAAAAAAAAAAAAAAGAGGTGTTTAAGCACCTGAACTACATAATGGTCAAATTAAAATGTGAAATCATGAAAGAAAACATGTGAAAATATGCTCCTCATTTTATCTCCTTATAAAAAAATTATATTTTCAGAAAGTGTTTTTCATTTAAATATTTTACTAATATTCACTACTCAAGTGATGCATGAAAATACAAAAGAAATAAGAAACTAGATAACACAAGTAAAGAAAAAGTCATTCCCATCAACTGCCAACCCAAATTTGTCTCTCAGAGGTAACCAGTGGTTACCAATTTATCACGTGTACTTCGAGATCATTTTGTACATACCTATGTCTCTCTCTCTCTCTGTCTCTCTCTCTCTCTCATTAAATAAGTATCATGCTGTGGATACCAGCCTGAATCACATTTCAAGTTTTATTTAATAGCCACTCCTGTCTGACTATCTTGGTTATATGATGTTACATAACAAGTAACATTTTAATAAATGTTGTAGTACATGGCTTCTTGGTAAAATAGGAAGTATTTCTCTAGAGTAAACATGAAGAACATTACTGGATCTTTAACTACATAAATAGTAAATTTTAATAGATGCTGACAAATTGCCCTCGCAAGTGGCTATATCAAATTACACCCTCCGAAGAGTATGTGTATGGAATTGCCTGCTTCCCTATGCTATCAGACACTCAATATTTATTTATTTATTATAAATTTATTTATTTACTGCACTTTAGGAAGTTATTTCTACTGAGATTGAGTATGACTTTGTTATTTGTGTTTTGTATTTCTTATGTAAGTTACTTGTTCATATATTTTATTCATATTAGCTTGGTTCTGTTGTTGTTGTTGTTGTTGTTGTTGTTGTTGTTGTTGGTTGGGAGTCAATTTTTTATTCTTAACAGTAGTCTTTGCCAGTTATTAAAGATGTATGTAATTTATCCATATCTGTCATTTTGTTGATATTCTGCTCTATAATTCTAAAATGGCTGTGTACTTATATTTATCAATATTTTCTTTCTTTTCATTGTTGGTGGCAGTATAAATTAATTCATCCATTGTGGAAGATTCCTTAAAAACTTAGAGGCAGAAATACAATTCAACCCACCAATCCCATTACTGGGTATATGAGCAAAGGAATATAAAGTGTTTTTTAATAAAGAAACATGCGCACATATGTTCATTGCAGCACTATTCATAATAGCAAATACTTGGAATCAACCTAAATGCCCATCAGTGATAAACTGGATAAAGAAATTGTGGTACATATACACCATGGAATACTATGCAGCCATAAAAAAGAATGAAATCATGTCCTTTGCAGGGACATGGATGGATCTGGAGGTCATTATGCTCATAAACTAAGGCAGGAACAGAAAACCAAATGCTGCATATTCTCACTTACAAGCGGAAGCTAAATTATGAGAACACATGGACACCTGGTAGGGGAACAACACATACCCGGTCCTGTCAGAGGGTGGAGGGTGGGAAGAGGGAGAGGATCAGGAAGAATAGCTAATGGATGCTGGGCTTACTGCCTGGGTGATGGGATGATATGTGCAGCAAACCACCATGACACATGTTTACCTATGTAACAAACCTGCACATCCTGCACGCATACCCCTGATCTTAAATTAAAAGTTGGAAATTAAAAAAATAAAATAAAACTTGTCACTTGGTTAAGACTGTCCTTACCATAGGTCAAAAATAATTTTGCTTTATTTTCTTCCAAACATTTACAATATTGCTTACTCATTACCTTATTTATTTATTTTCACATTTTGATATTTAATTCATCTAGAGTTTATTTTGTGTTATGTGTGAATGGCTTGGTGGGGGGTTGTTAGGACACCATTCTTCACAGGTCTTTCTTATCTGCATCTCTTACAGGAAAGGAAAAACTTGTTTTTGTTTCAGAGTATTTTCAAAATAGTAATATACTAAACAGTATAGGAATATGAAGATAATATTTTCCTCTATAGCAAAGGACAAGCATGCTTACTGCCCATTATATAAGAATTGAATCCCATAAGAAAAAGCTGCCTCTCTGTAATGCAACCACTTTACAGCAAGAGGCCTCTGGACCTCAAAACCTGTGGGAATTGAGCAATGGGGAACTGATTCATTGATTATACAAATTGTGATTGTTAATACTCAGTGTCAACTTGATTGGATTGAAGGATGCAAAGTACTGATCCTGAGTGTGTCTGTGAGGATATTGCCAAAGGAGATTAATATTTGAGTCAGTGGGCTGGGAAAGGCAGACCTACCCTTAATCTGGGTGGACACCATCTAACTAGCTGCCAACACGGCTAGAATATAAAACAGGCAGAAAAACATGAAAAGACTAGACTGGCCTAGCCTCCAAGCCTACATCTTTCTCCAATGCTGGACCCTTCCTGCCCTTGAACACTGGCTCCAAGTTCTCCAGTTTGGGGACTCAGACTGGCTTTCCTTGCTCTTCAGCTTGCAGATGGCCTATTGTGGGACCTTGTGATCATGAGAGTTAATATTTAATAAACTTCTCTTTATATATATGTGTATATATATATATCTATGTGTATGTATATATATATATATATATATCTGTGTATATATATATATATATATATATATATATATATATATATATCTCCTATTAGTTCTGTCCCTCTAGAGAACCCGAATACACAAAGGTTGACTAATTTATTTTTATTTAAAGGAGATTAGCTTTCTTGTTTCTACCATGTTCCAATATTTGTTTTGATTCTGTCTTTGAAATTTGAAAATGCTCAGAAGAACAGAAATTGGACATCATCTGAGACCAAACATTCAAATCTCCAACCCAATAAGACAGATCTTGAGAAAGTTCTGAGTAAAGACAGCATATAGTAATGGGAAAAAAAAGAGCAATAACATTAATTCTAGTGTGTGCTACCACAAATGCAAGAGTTTGTAAAACACACATAACTAATCTTGTTTTTTAAAAGAGAGAGCCAAAAGACCATTTTAAGTCATCAAATATTGGTGGCCATGAACTATGAAGCCAAGCAGAAAACATGGCAAAAACTGACCTAATTTTCTTCAAAGAAGAAATGAGATTCCTAGAGGTTTCTTTTTAATCCTTTAATAACTGACTTCCTGCACATCCCACTTCATGGGAGTTGAGGAAGTTGAAACTTATTTTAACTGGGCGATGGAGTCAGGAGGGAAATTTTATAGAAAGCTAATTAAAATTATAAACTTACAGGAGAGAGCTGGGTATGGCCAATTTTATACATCATAGCCAAACACAACAAGGAAAGCTAAAGAATTTTTTTTTTTAATTTAGGAGAGGGGAATGAAGAAAGTTGAGACAAAGAAACCTCATGGAGGCAAAAACAAGCATATGGAAAAAGTTACTTAAAACATAATGCTAAACTATACCAGAATGTTTGACAAGCAACTTACTTTTGCAGACAAAGGCATGAGAAATAGGAATGTAAAGGAAGCAAAAAATGAAAATGAGAAAAACAAAATCAATTCAAATATGCTTTTTGGATGCTTGTCTAAGTTCTACATTTACGTTTTAAAAAAGAATTTATTTTCCTTAATTAAAATAAAAGAAATTATATTTTCAATGATTTAAAAGTGTCTTCACCATCATGGAATCCAGTACACTGACATCGTTTGAAGTGTGGTTGCAAATATAGTCTTAAAGATTTGCATGGCTTACCAGATGAATTAAAAATAAACACAGCTTTGATCCCTAAATCTTCTTAAGAGTTCGTAAAGTATTTTAGAAACCAAATGCTATTTAGAGCATTTAAAGTCAGCTATCCTCTTGATGAAAACATTCTACTGCAAACACCTAGGTATAAAGCATTTTTTTAAAAAGGATTCATATAATGCACACTAAAAGCTTTCATTGTGACCTGAGTACAATGTAGTAGTACTTTTCACATAGATTGCTCATGGTTTTCATGAATAGACTATAATCCTCTTTTTGCCAATAAATACTATGCCGTGTCTGGCATTTTATCTTCCTTGACAGAAGGTACAGCAAATATAAAGGCTAAAATAGAAACTGGATAAAATGAATCAATAAGTATAATTAAATCATCAAAATGTAGGAACCTAGAGAAATCACTTAGTTTATTCTCCTCTAAACAATAAAAATATTGAGTTAGTCAACAACTTTTGGAAGCTTCTTCTAAACATAAAATATAATACTAGAATTGACGTGCCTTCAGATTTTGACACAAGTAATTGCATTCTCATCAAGAATAACATCAGGTATTTAAATAATGATTATTTCTTCTTTTGCTGAAGAATATTAATATAAAAGTAATTACCCCCTCACACATTAAAAACAACTTTATGTATTAAATCCAGTAAACCCAAAGCAATAAATTTTAATTAGTTTTTCTCCTTTGAATGCATCATTCATTGAATATTATGTTTTACTAATATTCAGCGAGGACATTTTTATTTCTTCTTGCTTCTTTCATACCCAACGCCATAAAATTCATCTGCTTCATTAAAAAAAAAAACTGGTCCTTTCTCTGTATTATATTATTCCACTCTTCACGAGTACATTATAGAGATCATTTTTCTTCAGTGATACAGAAGGCATAAACAGTGCATTTCAGTTTGGGTTATCCCCACATCTTGGGTGATTTTTGACATTTACACCAGTAAAATGCACACATTTTGGTATATAGTTCTACAGCCTTCAGCAAATGCATAGAGTTGGGTATCCACCACCACAGTGATGATACGGAACATTTCCATTATTCCAAAATTCCTTCATGCCACACTTTTATAATCAACCTGGGAGTGTTTTATGAACTCCTATACCATCCCAGTCTTATAGGTGGTCTAATATCTGTATATGTAGAAAAATTAATCCTTGTTAAAGTTTTGGTTAGGCTTTGTCACTTTAATCTAAAAGATCCCTAATTGATTCAAAATCCTAAAAGAAAGATTAATAGAACTAAGATTTTTTTTAGCTTAGAAAAGGGAAATTATATTAGGAATGTAAAATTTATATTTGAGAAGTAGAAGAAGAAGCATTAGATAGCTCCGGGTGGCAGAACTAGGGTCAAAAATTTGAATGGGATATTCAATAAAAAGTAAAACATGCCCAGAATTTATGAAAATAATTCAAACATTCATTGGGATTTGGACTACGTATGTCTTCCAAGATTAATAACTTTTGAATTTATAATTCTGTGAAAAGATGGTTAAAAGTTACACACGATGAATGTAAAAGAGTCAGTGATTAAGATGTTACCATACAGGAGGAGGTAGAGCAAGATAGTCAAATAGAATCCTCCAGTGTTTGTCCTTCCTCCAGAAACACCAAATTGAACAACTATCCAAACAAAAAGCACCTTCGAAAGAATCAAAAATCAGGTAAGCAATCCCAGTATCTGGTTTTAACTTCATATCACTGAAAAAGGCACCAAAAAAGGTAGGAAAGATAGCCTTGAATTGTGGATGTGATCCCTCCCTCATTTCCCCAGCAGCAGCCACATGGCACAGAGAGAATCTGTGTGCTTGGGGCAGGGAAAGCACAGTGATTGCGGGACTTTGCATTGGAACCGAGTACTGCCCTGTCACAATGGAAAGCAACACTAGGCATAAATCAGCCAGTGGCCACAGAGGAAGCATTGAGACCAGCCCTTGAGAGAGGAGAATTGCCTATCTCAGTGGTTGGAAACTGAGTTCTAGCTAGCCTCGTCACTGTGGGCTAAAGGGCTCGGGAGTCCTAAATAAACTTGAAAGGAAGTCCAGGCCACAAGGACTGCAATTTCTGAGCAAGTCTTGGTGCTGTGCTGGGCTCAGAGGCAGTGGATTTGAGGTGCATGTGCCTAGTGAGGCACCAGTCAAGAGAGTGCTTGTACTTCTCCTCCCACAACCCCAGGCAGCGCAGCACATAGCTCTGGAAGAGACTCCTTCCTTCTTCTTGAGAAGAGAGGGAAGAGTAAAGAGGACTCTATCTTGCAACTTGGATAGTTCAGCCACAGTAGGATAGCACCAGGAAGAGTCCTGAGGCCCCCATTCCAGGCCCTAGCCCCAAGACGACATTTCCGGACACACCTTGGACCAAAATAGAATCTGCTGCCTTGAAGAGAAGGACTAGTCCTGGCAGAATTTACCACCCGCTTACTAAATAGTGTTGGGCTCTGAATACTCATCAGTGGTAGCCAGGCAGTATTCATCATGAGCCTTGGGTGAGACTCAGAGACATGTTGGCTTCAGGTGTGACCCAGAATATTTCCAGCTGTGGTGGCTATGGGGAGAAACTCCTGCTTGAGAAAAGTGGAGAGGAGAGTAAAAGGGATTTCATCTTGCAGCTTAGGTACCAGCTTGACAACAGTGGGGTAGAGCACCAAGGGGGCTCTTGGTATCCCTGATTCCAAGCCTGGGCTCTTGGATAGCACTTTTGAACCTGCCCTAGGCTAGAAGTGAGCCCACTGCCCTGAAGGGAGAGTCCCAGGCCAGGAAGCATTCACCGCAAGCTGACTGCAGAGCCCTTGATCCATGAGTGAATATTAGCAGTAACCAGGCAATACTCACTGCGCGCCTGGGATGGTGATGGCCAGAGGGAAAGACTCATCTGTGCATGGAAAGGGGAGGAAATAGTGGGAAGGACTTTTTCTTGTGGCTTGAGTGCCAACTCAGCCACAGTAGAATAGGGTACCAGGTAGATTCCTAAGGTTTCTGACTCCAAGCCCTGCCTGACTCCAGAACAGTATCTCTGGACCCACCAAGGCTCAGGGAGAACTTGCTGCCCTGAAGGGAAGGACACAGCCTAGCTTGCTTTGCCCCCTGCTGATTGTAGACCCCCTGGGGCCTTGGGTGAACATAGGTGTGATAGCCAGGCAATGGATACTGTGACCCTTGGGTGAGACCCAGTGCTGTGCTGGCTTCAGGTCTGACCCAGCACAGTCCCAGTGGTGGTAGCCACTGGGGTGCTTGGGACATGTCTATCCCAGTTCCAGGCAGAGCAACAGAGAGAGAGAGATTAAGACTCTACCTGTTCAGGAGAAAGTAAATAAAGAGGACAAGAGTCTCTGCCTGTTAATCCAGAGAATTCTTCCAGATCTTATATAAAACCAGCAAGGTAGTACCTCTACAAGTATGCAAAAGCCACAGCATTACTGAGTTTAAGGTGTCCCCTAATACAGACATGGCTGCAGTGACCAAAAACTTTGATCATAACGCCCAAGTCCCATTGAATATCTGAGAAACATTCCCAATAAGGACTGGTATAAATAAGCCCAGACTGCAAAGACTACAATCAATACTTAACTTTTCAATGCTAAAACACCAAAGAACATCAACAAGCATCATGACCCTCAACAAACAAAACAAATAAGGTACCATTGACCAATCCTAGAGAGATAAAGATATGTATCTTTTCAAAAAGAAAATTTAAAATAGCTGTTCTGAGGAAACTCAAAGAACTTCAAGATAACACGGAGAAGAAATTCAGAATCCTATTAGATGAATTTAGCAAAGAGATTGAAATAATTTAAAAGAATCAAGCAGAAATTCTGGAGTTCAAAAATGCAATTGACAGACTGAAAAATGCATCAGAGTCTCCTAACAGCCAAATTGATCAAGCAGAAGAAAGAATTAGTGAGCTTGAAGACAGGCTATTTGAAAATACAGTCAGAGGAGACAAATGAAAAAGAAAATAAAAAACAATGAGGCATGTCTACAAGATTTAGAAAATAGCCTCAAAAGGCCAAAGCTAAGAGTTATTGGCCTTAAAGAGGAGATAGAGAGAGAGGTATGGGTAGAAAGTTTATTCAAAGGGATAATAATGAAGGACTTCCAAAACCTAGAGAAAGATATCAATGTTCACATACAAGAAGGTTGTAGAACACCAGGATTTTTTTTTCTTTTGAGACAGGGTTTCGCTCTTGATGCCCAGGCTGGACCGTAATGACACAATCTTGGCTCACCACAACCTCCGCCTCCTGGGTTTGAGCAATTCTCCCGCCTCAGCCTCCCAAGTAGCTGAGATTACAGGCATGCACCACCATGCCTGGCTAATTTTGTATTTTTAGTAGACATAGGGTTCTCCATGTTGGTCAGGTTGGTCTTGAACTCCCAACCTCAGGCCTGTCTTGGCCTCCCAAAGTGCTGGGATTACAGGTGTAAGCCACCATGCCCGGCAGAACACCAAGCAAATTTAACTCAAATAAGACTGCTTCAAGGCATTTAATCATCAAATTATCAAAGGCCAAGGACAAAAAAGGATCCTAAAGCAGCAAGAGAAAAGAAATAAATAACATACAATGGAGCTACAGTATGTCTGGCAGCAGTGTTTTTAGTGGAAACCTTCTAGTTCAGGAGAGAGTGGCATGACATATTTAAAATGCTGAAGGAAAAAAAAAAAAACTTGTATCCTAGAATACTGTATCCAATAAAAATATCCTTCAAATATGAAGGTGAAATATTTTTCCAGACAAACAAAAGCTAAGGAATTTCATCAACACAAGAACTGTCATACAAGAATTGCTAAAAGGAGTTCTTTGGTCTGAAAGAAAAGAACATTAATGAGCAATAAGAAACATTATAAAGGTACAAAACTCACTGGTAATAGTAAGCACACAGAAAAGCACAGAATCGTATAACACTGTAATTATAATGTGTAAACTACACATATTTTGAGTAAAAAGACTACAACATGAACCAATCAAAAATAGTAACTCTAAAAACTTTCATAGACAGTACAATAAGATAAAAATTGAAACAACAATTTCCAGTTAAAAAATAGGAAAACAAAGTTTACATGTAGAATCCTTATTAGTTTTTTCTTTACTGCTTTGTTAGTTTGCATGAAATCAGTGTTAAGTTGTTATCGGTTTAAAATAATGGGTTATATTATCAACAAGTCTCATAGCAACCTCATATCAGAAAACATACAACAGATACACACACATGCAAAAGCAAGCAATTAAAACATACCACCAAAGAAAATCATCTTCACTAAAAGAAAACAAGAAGGAAGGAAACAAGGAAGAGAGACCACAAAACAACCAAAAAATAAACCACAAAATGACAAGAGTAAGTTCTTACTTAACAATAATAACATTGAATGCAAATGGACTAAACTCTCCAATCAAAAGACAAAGCGTGGCTGAATAAATTATAAAAACAAGACCCAATGATCTGTTGCCTACAAGAAACACACTTCATCTATAAAGAGACACATAGACTAAAAATAAATGAATGGAAAATGATATTCCATGCAAATAGAAACCAAAAATAGTAGAAATAGCTATGCTCATATCATATAAAATAGATCTCCAAAAAAAACTATAAAAAGAGACAAAAAAGGTCTTTACATGATTATAAAGCAGTCAATTCAGCATGATAATATAGCAATTGTAAATATCTATGCATCCAACACTGGAGCACCCAGATATATACAACAAATATTATTAAAGCTAAAGAGAGAGATAGACCCCAATACAATAACTGCCGGAGACTTCCCAACTCCACTTTCAGCATTGGAAAGATTATCCAAACAGAAAATCAACAAGAAAACATCAGACTTCAATCTGCACTATAGACCAAATGAACCAAATAGATATTTACAGAATATTTCATCCAATGGCTGCAGAATACACATTCTTCTCAGAATATGAATCAGTCTCAAGGATATACTATACATTAGGCCACAAAAACATTAAGATGTTTTTTAAAAAAAATTGGAGCTGGGAATGGTGGCTGACATCTGTAATCTCAGCACTTTGGGAAGTCGAGGCAGGTGGATTACCTGAGGTTGGGAGTTCAAGACCAGCCTAGCAAATGTGGCAAAACAACACCTCTATTAAAAATACAAAAAATAGCCAGGCAAGATGATGTGCACCTGTAATCCCACCTACTCAGGAGGCTGAGGCAGGAGAATCACTTGAACCCAGGAGACAGAGGTTGCAACGAGATGAGATCACACCACTGCACTCCAGCCTGGGCAACAGAGCGAGACTCAGCGCCCCCTCCCTGCCATGAAGAAAAGGAAAAAGATAAATAAAAAAATTTAAAAATCAAATATTAATATCCTCTGACAAAAATGAAATAAAACTAGAAATCAATAATAAGAGGAATTTTGGAAACTGTAAAAATACATAGAAATAAACAATATGCTCCTGAATGACCAGTGGATCAATGAAGAAATTTTAATTTCATCTAAAAAGGAAATCAACTTTTTAAAAAACAAATGATAAAGAAAATAAAACATACACAACCTATGGGACACAGCATAAGCAGTACTAAGAGGGATTTATAGTTATAAGTGCCTACATCAAAAAAGTAAAAATATTTTCAGTAAACAACCTAATGATACATTTTAAAGAACTAGAAAAGCAAGTGCAATCTCAACTCAAAAATAGAAGAAAAGAAATAATAAAGATCAGAGCAGAAATAAATAAAACTAAAAACAAAAATATTCAAAAATCAATGAAACAAAAAGCTGAATCTCTGAAAAGATAAAATTGACAAACCTTTAGCCAGACTAAGAAAAAAAGAGAGAAGACCTAAATAAATAAATCGGAGATGGAAAAGGAGACATTGCAACTTATACCACAGAAATTCAAAGGATCATTAGAGGCTAGTATGAGCAACTATATACCAATGCAATGAAAAACCTAGAAGAAATCAATAAATTCCTAGACACACAACTGTACAAGATTAAACCATGAAGAAATCCAAAACCTGAACAGAACAATAACAAGTAACGAGACCAAAGCCATAATAAATCTCCCAGTAAAGAAAGGCCCCAGATTCACTGCTGAATTTTACCAAACATTTAAAGAACTAACACCAATCCTACTCAGAGGAGGAAATATTTCCAAACCCATTTTTTGAGTCTAGTATTACCCTAATATCAAAACCACATAAAGACTTATAAAAAAAGAAAACTGCAGGCCTATATTTCTGATGAACATTGAAATAGCCTCACAAAACACTATCAAACTGAATTCAATAGCCCATTAAAAAGATTATTCATCATGACCAAGTGTGATTTATCCTAGGAATGCAAGGATGGTTCAACAACATATACAAATCAATCATGTCAATAGAATGAAGGACAAAATCATATGATCATTTCAATTGATGCTATAAAAGCATTTGGTAAAATTCAATATCCCTAAATGGTAAAAACCCTCAAAAAACTGGGTATAGAAGGAACCTACCTTAACAAAATAAAAGCCATATACAATAGACCCACAGCTAGTATCATATGGAATGGGGACAAACTGAAAGCCTTTCCTTTAAAATCTGGAACATGACAAGGATGTTCACTTTACCACTGTTATTCAACACAGTGCTGAAAGTCCTAGCTAGAGCAATCAGATAAGAGAAAGAAATAAAGGACATTCAAATCAGAAAGGAAGAAATCAAATTGTCACTGTTTGTAGATAATAAGATCTTATATTTGGAAAAACATAATGACTCCAACAAGAAAACTGCTATAACTGATAAACAAATTCAGTAAAGTTGCAGGATATAATACTAACATACAAAAATCAGTAGCATTTTTATATTCCAACATGTAACAATTTGAAAAAGAAAAAAGTAATCCAATTTAAAATAGCTACAAATAAAATCAAGTACCTAGAAATTAATTTAACCAAAGAAGTGAAAGATCTCTACAATGAAAACTATAAAACATTGCTGAAAGAAACTGAAGATAACACAGAATAATGGAAAGTCATTCCATGTTCATGGATTGGAAGAATCAGTTTTGTTTAAAATGTTTGTACTACCCAAAGCAATCTACGGATTCAACTCAATATCTATCAAAATGCCAGTGGCATTTTTCACAAACATAGAAAGAACAATCCTACAAGTTATATGGAGCCACAAAAGACCTGGAATACCAAAGCTATACTGAGCAAAGAGAACAAAACTGAAGGAATCACATTACCTGATTTCAAATTAAACTCAGAGCTATAGGAAACAAAACAGTATGATGCTGGCATAAAATCAGATACTTAGACCAATGGAACAGAATAGAGAACTCAGAAAACAATCTGTACATCTACAGCGAACTTATTTTCAACAAATATGCTAAGAATGTATATTTGGGAAAAGTGTCTCTTCAATAAATGGTGCTGGGAAAACTGGATATCCATATGCATAAGAATGAAACCAAACTTCTATCTCTCACCATATACAAACATCAAATCAAAATAGATTAAAGAATTAAATCGAAGACCACAACCTATAAAACTGCTGCAAGAAAACATTGGAAAAACTGTCCATAACTTTGGATTGGGCAAAGATTTCTTAAGTAATACCCCACAAGCCCAGACAAACAAAGCAAAATGGACAAATGAGATCACATCAAGTTAAAAAGCTGCTGCACAGCAAAGGAAAGAATTACCAAAGTTAACAGACAAGAAACAGAATGGGAGGAAATATTTGGAAACTACCCATCTGCCAGGGGATTAATAATCAAAATATTTAAGTATCTCAAACAACTCTATAGGAAAATGTCTAAAACTCCAATTAAAAATGGGCAGAATATTTTCATACACATTTCTTAAAAGAAGACATACAAATGGCAAACATGTATATGAAAAGATACCCAACAAAATTGATTATCCAAGAAATACAAATCAAAACTACAATGGGATATCATCTTACCCAGTTAAAATGTCTTTTATTCAAAAGACAGACAATAACAAATGTTGGCAAGTTTGCGGAGAAAAGGAAACCCTGGTACACTGTTGATGGGAATGTAAATTAGCACCACCACTATGGAGAACAATAAAGAGTTCCTCAAAAAACTGAAAATAGAGCTACCATATGATCCAGCAATCCCACTGCTAGGTACATACCCAAAAGAAAGAAAATCAGCATATCGAAGGTATCTGCACCCCAAAGTTTATTGCAACACTATTCAAAATAGCCAAGATTTGGAAGCAACCTAAGCATTCATCAGCAGATGTATGGAATGTGGTACATATACACAATGCAGTACTATTAAGCTATAAAAGGAACGAGATCCTGTCATTTCAAACAACATGGATGAAACCAGAGGTCATTATGTTAAATGAAATTAGCCAGGAACAGAAAGACAAACTTTGCATGCTCTGACTTATTTATGAGAGCTAAAAATTAAAACTAATGAATTCATGAAGATAGAGAGTAGAAGGATGGTTTTGAATACAGAGGAAAATAAAAGAGAGAGAGAGTAGAATGATGGTTATTAGAGGCTGAGAAGGGAGAGAGTAGAATGATGGTTATTAGAGGCTGAGAAGGGTAGTCGGCAGGGGGAAGTGGGAATAATTAATGGGTACAAAAATATAATTATGTAGAATAAATAATATATAGTATTTGATAGCATGACGGTGAATACAGTCAACAATAAATTATTGTACATTTTAAAATAAAGAGTATAATTGAATTGTTTATAACACAAAGAAAGGATAAATGCTTGAGGTGATGGATACGCCATGAACTATGGTGTGATTAATATGCATTGTATGCCTGTATTAAAATATTTCACATACCCCATAAATATGAACACCTACTATGTACCCACAAAAATTGAAAATCAAAAAAAAATTAAAAAATCAAAAAAGTAAAAAACTATAAAAAAGTTACTAAATAGCAAGTAACTAAAAAAAGTTACTAAACAGCACGTTCCTTGCTATTTAGCAAGGATATAGGTGACTGAGTACTATAAAAATATGTAGACAATAACAGAAAAAAGAGAAATTAAGAGAAATATATCAATATGGTAAGAGTATGCAGCATGGCATGGTTGAAATAGTCCTGGTATTTGTAGTTGTAAGATGTTTCATTTTTCCTATAGCCTGTTAATATGTGTTTGTATGATCATGACTAAATCATTTAAATTCACTCATATCCAGACCTGAAAATTAATAATGATAATAATAAAATCCCTATTTATTACAATATTTGTTTTAAAAATCAAATAAGATAATTCATCTGAAAAAATTCTTTGGAAAGCTTTATGTAAACATTATTATTTGTCCTTTTACAAATATTATCATATGTGGCATTTAAATAATGGTTAAATATAAATATATATTATAGAAACAAACATTTATTCTAAGAGCTTAGAATAACTGTCAGGATAGAAGACATAGTTTTGGCAGTTGTGTATAGGAAGAAGGCAAAGGCTGCTTTTTTATATCTGAGGTTATCTATACACATAATGATTATTTCATACCCTTCAGGTTTCAGTGAATTTATATCATAGGGTTCAGTTCACTAGGACTAGGACTAATGGAGATTTGGGGACTACTCTTAGGACTAATAGAGACTTGGGGAGAATAGTTCCAAAATCTCCATTAGTCCTAGGAATAATAGATGGTGTCAACTATCTCAGTGGTTTGTTCATATCCATCTTTCTCAAAAGCTTGGGTAGATTTTTGTGCAAGAACAATGAACTTTTAAGTTGGATAGAAAATCCTCTAGTAGTGAGAAAATGTGCACAGATGGTTGATGAGGTCCAGAGGTGTACTCCAAAGGCAGCTTATTCTACTTAGGGGCACGGAAAACTTAGACATTAGAAAGAATTTTTTTTTTTTTTTTTTTTGAGATGGAGTCTCACTCTGTAGCCCAAGCTGAAGTGCAGTGGCATGTTCTCAGCTCACTGTAATCTTCACCTCCCAGGTTCAAGCGATTCTCCTGCCTCAGCCTCCTGAGTAGCTGGCATTACAGGCACCCAGCACCACACTCAGCTAATTTTTGTAATGTTAGTAGAGTTGGGGTTTCACCATGTTGGACAAGCTGGTCTCGAATTCCTGACCTCAGCTGATCTGCTCACTCTGGCCTTCCCAAATGCCGAGATTGCAGGCATGAGCCACCGCGACCAGCCACGAAGGAGAATTCTTAACAAGGATCTTAATTGTCTAAAATGATGTTAATAAAACCCTACTAGCAAACCTGAGAGGAGTTTGAATATTCTTTATCTTGGATCATTTCTTATTCAGTGGCAAAATGAATAGGGTGTTTTGCTTGAATTGGAGTTGCATGAAACATGAAAATCAGGAAAATTCATTAAAACTCTAAGTTTGACAGTGCGTGTAGCACTATAACTAAGCAACCAAAAAATATATTTATCCAGGAAAAGGGAAATTGAGTTAAAAGACACGTGTGTCCTAAATAGTTGTATACAGAAACACTAGCAGACACACACACAAAAAAACAAGGGTAGCCTGGAATATATTTAGAAGAATAAATGATGTTATAAAAGGCAACCATCCAAAAGAACTATAAAAGGAATTTTATGACTCATGCATCTCTCTAATTGTGACTTTGGAGTTACAGACACAGTTTCTGATGAGGAAAATATATAAGAAATCTACCACTAAATGGCATAGAAGGTCAAATGATGAGGCACTAGCAAAATATAACTAGACACATTAAAAAGAAAAGTCAAAAACTTAAATGCAGTCACCTCACTCCTTTCTACCCTATGTTCCCAACACTATTCCTATATGTCACATTCATGCTCACACAGGCAGATAGAGGTACAAGGGTCATTAACTTCACTTTGAGAGAGTAAAATAACAATGTGTTGATAACATATAGGACAGCACATTAAGAAACAAGTTTTGTTTTGCTTTGTTTTGTTTCGCCATAGAGATTGTGTGGTATACTCATTTGCAATCATAATACATTTGGATGACTTCTCTGATTTACACAGATTTTACTGATTTACTCAGTTACTGCTTATTGAAATCCTACTAGACAGGCCAAGTCAACCTTGAAACCAAAGAACAGCATATCCAATCTCTATATGGCTCTATAAGAAGGACAGTTCAGAAGAGTACAGTTTTTAGGCTATTCTTTCCTGGTCTCCCTAACACCTAGCAAAATCTTCAAAACAGTTCATAAAATGGCCAGAACTTAAGTTGTCTCAATGTCAACAATCTGTATGTATTTGGGGGTTGCTCAGGTATATAACAAATGTGCTCATGATCAAGTTTTTTCTAGCTGCTACCACTGGTCATCTTTGCCAATGTTCCACCATAAAGAGCAATGAAAAAGCTCTGGTCTCTGCTGGCATCACCTATGAGTGCTGAAGGACTCGTGGCCAAAGCTGTGTGCTTCTGTGGAAATGTCTGGTGGCAGAATGGGGTTAGTGTACCCCATGTTTTACTCAGCTTAGTGAAATGCATCTTTTAGGTTTTATGCCAACTCACTGGGACATAGACCTAGCATAGACCCTAGCCAAGGAGAGACTCTATTCATTGTTCCTTTACCCATCTAAAACCTAAGTTTCTCTGTACAGTTCAAGCCCATGATGCCTAGCAAATTATTTTATTACAATTAGGTTGTCATTATCTGCATTGTCAACATTGTCATTGTTATTGTTTTGTTGACTGATTCCTCAAAACTACCTTCCTGCCACTTTTAGGGTTGGCCAGATGTGACCAAAAGCATGAGGTCTTTTCAAGGAGGCTCTTCAACCCAGTGTAAATGAACTTCTTTGCAGCCTTTCCCACTAGTTCATCAAATGTGCCCAGATATACCTGAGCACTGGCAATGAAATGAAGGCTCAAACATGGTTTAAGATCCCCATTGTGCACATTTGTGTTTTGGAGCAGATGACTGGACTCAACTTCTACAAAGGCTAATCTCTTCATGCCTATCAATACTAAAAACTCTCCCTTGGCTACCTATATTTGCATTAGTGTTTCAGAAAGTGCATTTCTTGGAACCTATGTCAATAAGGGGTTCCATGAAAAAAAGTTTGATATGATTGGAAAGAACTACATTTTGTATTTCCCTACTGGAATGTTTGAATTAGCATATTAAAGACCTTTGCTCATCTGGAGAGTTTTTTTTTTTCCAAAACCAATTAACTTTTACCTTCCTTCATGTATCTTTCTCTGCAAGCCTCTTCACTAAATTATTCTCATGTGCATATATATTAATTTTTAATATATAATTTTATAATTATTACACAAACAACAATGTATTTTTTAAAAATTTTTAGCTTTTTACTTTTAAATAATTATAGAAGGATATAAACATAGTACAAAGAGTTTCTATTTATCTTCACTAAGCTTCCCTAAAAGGTAGCATGATACATAATTGTAGTAAAGTATCAGAATCAGATAGTAACAGTGATAGTATGCTGTTAAATAATCTACAGAAACCATTTGTCCCACTAATACCTTTATGATCCAGGATAAAATTGAGGATCTCATTTGCATTTATATGCCAAATCTCCTCGTTTTTTTCTAATCTAGTACGGTGTTTCTTTTATTGTTTGTTTCAAGACCTTGACCCTTTTGAAGAGGTTATTTTATAGATAGAAGCCAGTTATTTTATAGATTAGCTCTTCTTTTATATGTCTGTTTCCTCATTATTTAATTGAGGTTTTGCATTTTTGGTAAGAATTTCACATAAGTGATGTTTTTAGTACAGCAAATCAGGAGACAGATGATAGCAATGTATCTGTTACTAGTAATGTTAACTGATGACTTTAGCATTTTTTCTGTATAACTAATAAGTATCTTTTAGATAGCTATTTTGAGACTATGAAAATATCCTACATCTCATACTTTTGCCCACTAATTCTAGCATTCACTGATACCACAATTAGTACTGTGCTGTCTGCCATATATTGATTTTTATTTCCATCATTATTTTCAATTTATTATTCAGGATTCTACTCTGAGAGTGCCCCTTCTTTATCTACTTCCTGATCATCTACATCACTAATTGAACTCACAGATTTTCAGATTTTCAGTTGATTCTATCAGTTACATCCATTATAGTAATTATCCATTTTGTTGCTCTAATTATCCCAGATGTAACTATTGGGAGCTCTATCAAATTGGTTTCTGTGTTCTTTCAACATGCAGGCGTATCTTGAATTTCTTCTGCCCAGACCTAGAATCTACCACGTCTCCAAGTTAGTCTCATTTCTTTAATTGGAGAATGGTATTTAGAAACCAAGATATGGAAGCTAGCTTAGCTAATTACTATTAAGGCAACACTGCTTCTCAGTGAGCAACGCTAGGAAATAATAAGTATATGCGTATATGTAATATACGATGTCTGTATATATTTTATTCCATTCTAACACCACAGAGTTCATCCTAGTATTCCCCATGTCCATATTTTTAACTCTTTTCCCTAACAATGAGAAACCTGTATCTCATCATGAACAATATGTTTACACAAAAATTAGCTTTAGAATTGCTAACCCATAACCTTGTGAAGAAAAACTTACTAACTGCAACAGGATATTGGTGTATGTTTTTTTCTGGGTTTTGGCTTTTCAATATCAAGTCAAAATGCTGTTTTCCAACATTAATTAGTTCAATTTTGTCTTCCCTACTTTGTTAAGACAGTTACGCTAATTGTCTTTGTTTATTTCTTACTTACTATTCTTATTTTGTCTAGGTTATCCCCAGGTCCTAGTTGCTTTTAGTTACTTATTTATATTTTGTATATGTTAAATGTCACTAAGGTACTGAAAGTCAAACTAAGTAAACAGGTATACTCAGAGTGTCACTCCTTCCTCATTTCTTCTATACCATTCTTTTATTTTCATGTTCAACATATTTTCATCCATCCTCTATAGATAAGCAATTTCATAAGTTTCTGGTTTACCCTTTATAGCTTTATATTTGCTCAAATTAGTAGATACTTCTTAATTTAAAAAAAAAGAATTTTGAAAATAATCAGACCTACTCTTTTTCTATTCTCCATCTCATTTATTTCAGCTTTTACCTCTAGTGTTTGCTTTTTGTGCTTTCTTTTTATTTACATTGGGTTTTTTTTTAGTTTTTTTGTGTACTGCTAGACTGAATGTTTGTATTTTCTCAAAATTCACACGTTGAAATTCTAATGATAGCAGCAGGAGGCAGACAAATTCTAGGCAGATAGGGGCAGGTCCCTGGTGAGACCCCCACCTTCAAGCCAAAGACAGCCTGCAGCCTGAAAACCAGGGTGCCAGTCCTGGATACAGTCCACCACCTGGAGTGAGAATTACCTCTACACCTTTTAGCAAACTGAATGGTGCTTTTTCCAGGCTTGCCCATGGACCAATCAGCACACACTCCCCCATTCTGACTCCATAAAAACCCCAGAATCAGCCACACATGGGGACTACCAGCCTTCAGGTAGGAGCTACCCACTTCAGGTACCCTCTCATGTCGAGAGCTGTTCTACCATTCAATGAAACTCTTCTCCACCTTGCTCACTCTTCAGTTGTCCATATAACCTCATTCTTCTTGGATGCGGGACAAGAACCCGGAACCCACCAAATAGTGGGTGCAAAAGGAGGTGTAACACTGTAGCCCTCCCTCCCTCTTCCAGTGCTGGGCAGGTTCTCCATGTGATGGGAAGTGGTAGCGGGTGGGGGGTGGGTGGGGGCGGCAGCCCAGAAGCTGCAGGCTGGAGTGAAGCAGTGGAATAGAAGGAGCTGTAACACAAATGAGCTGAAACACATTCCTGGCTGGCCCTTGAGCTGGGGTGGTGACACATTTCCATTCATCAGACTATGAGACAAGCGCTGCAACCCTTCTGGAGGCCCAGACTTTGAGACTTCCCAAGCCAGAGATGTGGCATGCTGTAATACCCCCTTGGGGCTCTGAGGTTACTGGCATCTCCAAGTTTTTGGGCACCACCCGGTTCCCCTTGTCCAGACACTGACACGCAAGGCAGAAGCCGATTGAGGCATGCCAGGTCCAGCTGCAGCCTCACATGGAGCTCATGCATGTGTTGCCTCCTGGAGCTTCCTGCCCTGCCACAGCACAGTCTGCCTGGCTGTGCACTGTGGCTGGACACCTCACTCGCTTGCTCATGTACCCCTCACCTCTCCACACCTGGCCTGCCTGTGATGGTCATGGAATCCAAGCCAGTAGCATGAGCTGAACTCAGCCTACCAGGCTGAGTGGGCAGAGTTAGCCCAGTGGTCACAAGTGAAACCCAGGCAGAGGCTCCACCAGCCACAGAGGTTTCCAGCTGGCAAAGTGGCACCAAAAGAATCCTGTGTCACTAACCCTCAGTGAGATGATATAATACTACCTCACCAATAAAGGAAGGGGCTTTAGGAGGTGATTAGGTCATGAGTATGGCGCTCTCATGAATAGGATTGATGCCCTTACAAAACAGGCCCCAGAGAGCTCCTTTGCCCCCCAGGTGAGGACCCGGCAAGAAGATTCACTCTATGAACCAGAAAAGGGGTCCTCACCAGACACTGAATCTGCCAGTGCCTTGATTGTGAATTTCTCACTTTCCAGAACTATAAGAAATAAATTTGTGTTATTTATAGGCCACGTAGTCTATGATAGTTTTGTTATAGCGGCCCAAACATACTAAGACAAGTACTTAACTCATCTTTATTATTCAATGTTTACTATTAAAAATGTTTGGTGATAGAACTTTTAAAATGCACTCTGTATATTCTGACACTTTAAAAAAATTCTATAGTTACAATTTACATCTCTTTTTATAAAAAAATTTAATAGAGATTTTTAAGTTTTCAAGTAAAAGACATTTTGGTTTATGATTTTGTTGAAAATTTCTAGTTTTGCTGCATTGTGATTAAAGATTACTATTTACAATATCTCTATTTTATGGAATTACTATAGTTTCTGTGTGTAAATGAGAGTGCCACTTAATATGTATACATTTTGGTAATGTAATATGGGCATATGAGAGGAAGATATATGCCCTTTTATAAAGGTGTGAAGTTTGGTATATATCCATATAATTTGCTTTATTTGTTATGTTTTTAGTTCTTCTACCTTATTACTGATTTTGTGCCCACTTTTTGTCTGTCTGAGAAAAAAGGAATGCAGTCCCTGACATTCAGGAACAAGGCTTCAGTGTTGTTATAGCTGGCCTAAGTGCTCACATTCAGGCCACATTTTTCTCCTTTTGGAATAACAGCCTGATGTCTGACAGATTGCTCTGTGACCGTGATAAAGGGAGACCAAAAACAAGGTCACTTCCTAATGTTGTCTAAGCACACGATTAGTAACAAAGTCACTAGGTAAACCATAAAATACAAATTTTTTGCTATCCAGCTGATGTGAGTGGCTCCTACTTCGTCACAAATTACAGCTTTATCCTCACTCTAGTTGCCTCCCTTCTGAATAAGATTTATTAAGATGCAAATAGAATTGTCCCCACATTCTGACAGCACTCTTCTGTAAACTCTCCCCAAATATCCTAAGTACAAATTGAATAAGTCTTCTCTAATACCTTTCTATTGACATCCCTTATGATTCCCCACAGTGCGCAGTTTTCCTCATTGCAATGAACATTAAGCCTAACCTGTTTACCTACTGGTGTGATACTGCTGGTCTTGGGCTGGAGAGCTTGACATATCTTATACTGAGAGTGGCATATTAAAGTCTTCTATTATCTGTACGTTACTATCCAGGTACTGTTTTTCACAGAAGGAGTTACTTTGTTATTTATTCGTAAATGTTTTACGAGTATTCGTAAGTGTTTTAGTGTTATTTTGACTCGTGGATTTTAGCACAGGTACCCTTCGTCATCTTAACGCTTTTTAGCTTGTATTCTATGTTGAGTGATACGATTTCTACTTTAGTATCTTTGTCCATGCCTTTATTTTCAGCCTTTCTGAATGACTTTGCTTTAGTTGTGTTCCATGAGCCAAGTTAAAAATATTTTTTTAGGCCGGGCGCGGTGGCTCATGCCTGTAATCCCAGCACTTTGGGAGGCCCAAGTGGGCAGATCATGAGGTCAGGAGATTGAGACCATCCTGGCTAACACGGTGAAACCCTGTCTCTACTAAAAATACAAAAACAAAATTAGTCAGGCGTGGTGGCGAGCACCTGTAGTCCCAGCTACTCGGGAGGCTGAGGCGGCAGAATGGCATGAACCCGGGAGGCGGAGTTTGCAGTGAGTCGAGATCGTGCCACTGAACTCCAGCCTGGCAGCCTGGGCAACAGAGCCAGACTCCGTCTCAAAAAAAAAAAAAAAAATTTTTTTTTTTTAGTGAGTTAAGCCATTCTTATTTATTGATGTGGTGGATATATTTGTGTTAACTCTATCATAATGTTTTATAATCGTGTGCTATGTTTATCTACAAGATGTATATTGTTTACTCTTTAATTTATAAGCATATATAAGTGTATACTTGTATTTAGGAAGGTTTGACTTTTTATTGTAGTGAACATAGTTGTACTTTTATCTTTAATGTCCTTAGTCCACTGTTTTATAATTTTATCTTTTACTCTCTGGTTTGTCAGCTTTTAATGGGGTCCTTAGTTCCCACCCATTGTTTATATAGCAATGAATGAGCTTATTCTACTTTCATTTGGCCGCTCCTTTCTCCTCCATTTTGAAGCTGTACTTTTCTACTTTGTCATGAATAAAGTTAGGTCATTATTATTTCACCTCCTCTCTAATGTTGTTTTAAATTTTGACTTAAAAACAAAGAGTGTTTTTCTTACCATTAGCACCTTAACAGAAGCATTCTCAGTTATCTTTTGGAAGGTGAAATTATTCTTGTAGTGTATTAAAGAAAAACTTATGGATGTGGAATTTTCTACATTTTGTATATTAGCTTTTATTTTCTAAAGCATTGATGCCTGAAGGATAGCTTGGTTAGATATAATATCCTTGGTTTACATTTCTTTGTTTGTTTTCCAAAACCACTGCTCTATCACTGCCTTGCTTTGCATGATGTCTTCGAAAATTATGATGCCAATCTAATTATTTGACTCTCTTTAGTATTTGATTTCTACTTTATCTTTGAAATCTAATAGTTTTATAAGACTATGTCTTATAGTTGATTTTTACAAGTTAACTTGTTCCAGGTGTCTCATGGGATGTTCTAATATGCAGATTTCAGTCTTATTTTTATTTCTGGAAATTTTTCTGAAGTTATACCATTAAATATGAATATGTCATATTGTTATTTTGTTCAAGGACATCAATTTTATAAATGTTATTCTTCCATTGCTTATGTTTTATTTCTGCCACTTTTTCTCTTTTAACTTCTTTCTGCCACATTTACATTGCCTTGATTATTTTCTTAATTTTCTTCAATGCTTTTTCTTGAATTTTTATTTGAGTCTATTCTTCATTGCATACTTTCTAACTTAGAAATCCTATTACATCGGATAATTTTTTCTAATCTAATCCTCTTCCTTTCTTCCAATTTTGGGTTTATTTCTGGGCTCAGTTTTTAGATTTCTAATTCAAAACATTTTTTATATTCCCAAATGTTTACTTGTAGCAAAGTAAAGAGTCCTGATGGTTTGCCTTTTTCTTCTAGTACCTATGCAAATACTTGCCATTCTGTAATGACTTGCACAAATATAGGAATCTTTGAGAAAGTATAAGACGTATTTACAATTATAATTTATTAATATTTCAAAGGTACACTTAATTAATGGCCAATTAAAACGAAATAAAGTACATTCTGATGGGTTTATTTTAAGTGTATTGTATTTAACTTAAGATGTAAGAAGATTATTTTTATTAAGTAGACTAATTTCTTTGGCACATGGTTTCATTCCTACCAGCAACATTCCCTGTGGGTTGCCTATTCAACAGCTCTTTTTCTTCTTCCTTCGCATCTGTAGAGTCCTCATTTTTTGTCTGGTCTTCATCCCTTCTTCATTTGATTTGTGTAAATAACGATTGACTTGTGCTAAACAGGATTGTCACATTCTGTTTGACTAAAGTGATTTAAAAAGAATTCTACTGGAGAGATCCCGTGAAAGTTTCTTTTTCCCATTAAATATTGATAAAAGGAAAAAAAAGTTTCTCTGCATATGCATGTTATTTTTTAAAGATGGGATATTTAAATTTCCTCTGATAATGTTGCAACCATAAAGGTAACTAATACTTCTAGTGCTGAGTGAAAACAGCCTGGGTTGTTAATGAGGTCATGGAAATAGCAACTGTGAGTATTAACCAACCTTGATTAACTAACCTTGAGTTTGCCTTACCTTCAAGCTTTTTATTACATCAGGTAATAAATTATTTGACGTTTAAGCTAAGTCGAGCTAGTGTTTAGCATTATTTGAAGGAGGCATTGCTAATAAAGTTAAATGGACATTATATTTGTGTTTCACTTCTCCAGGCCTCTTTGTTTTACTAGTACAACGTTATAAGGGGAAATCAGATCATTTATTGAGACTCATTTGGGTAGATGTTACAAAAAATAACGCAAACTAAGGTTGAGATGAATGCTCAGTTTAAAAAAAGTGGTGGCTTGCACTTATAATCCTATCATTTTGGGAGTCCAAGATGGAAGGGTCACTTGAAGCTAAGATTTTGAGACCAGCCTGGGTAACGTAGTGAGACCCTGTCACTACAAAAGAATATGTTTTAAATCAATCAATAAATAAAAGGAATAATGTAATAAATATATATTTCAAAATATCTTTTGAAAATTTAGAGTTTTGCCAGCAAAGCAATAGTAATTTTGATAGCCAGGCACAGAAAGATAACTTAAAATGTTATCTTTTATTCTTGAAGAAAAACAGCTCCCCTCAAAGTTCAATTACATTATTATCATTATTTTGGCAAGCTACTTTTTTTTTTACAAATGATCCAAATTCTAAATTAGTATCATATGAATTTATCATTTTTCCACATCCTAAATTGTTAATGATATCACTAGTAGCATGTGTAACATTTTTTATATTCCTCACTTCAACTTTCACTTAAAATACCTGAATTAATTTTGTGATTCTTTGTCACAAGGTATATTTTACAAACTTTTAAAACTCAATGTTATAAAAACAAAAGCCATCAGGAAAAAAAAAACAGGATATAAAATAATACCACCCTTTTTTTCTAAAGTTCATCAAATAGAAACTAAAGTTTAATATTTGAAATTTTGATTAAAGTTAAGTAAGCACATGGTGACTTTATTGCAAATGTTTGCAATTTAGGTTTGTTAATAATGACATTCTTTCGTATAATCAAAAGAATTGAAATGAACTGTGTGGAAAATTTCTGAGCTTTTTTCTTCTTCCTTTGTTTTTCTGAAAATTTGACTGAGGAGGGCTCAGTGAGGTAGAAGGCAAAGTAGAGTGCATGTGAAAATGAACTTCCAAACAGGAGAAAGAATTCACTGGGTCCAATGTTAAGAGAAGTCAAAGGAGAAGGGGACCGAGAACCAACCATGGGGTCCTTTGCTGAATCCCATTAATCCCATTAATGTTTAATGCTACTAGACATTAATGGCTTTGACAAGAGAGCAATTTCTACGGAGTGGATAGGTAAGTAGAAAGCCTTATTGGAATAATCCATAAGAGAATGAGAGTAATTACTAACTGTGAATGCAGATTTCCATGCTGTCAAATATGCTTTAAAAGAGAGCAAGGAAATTAGAGAATAGCTAGATGGAAATGGGAAGAGAGGTCAAAGAAGATTTTGAGTTTTCTTCTTTGTTTTTAATTTGAGGGTATTATTGCTTTTTTTAAAAAAAAAAAAGTATCCAGTAATAAAAAGAAAATTAATGAAGCAAGAAAGGAGAGGATTGCTGGAATGTGGTCTTTGAGTAGGTAAGAGGGAAAGGATTCAGTGCAAAAGTATAAATAGTAGCTTGAATATGAAGAATACATCCACAGTAAGAGGCAAAGTAGCAGAGTGTATAGTCATAGATGATGAGACACTAAGTAACCTGGTGCGAGATTATAGGAGATCTGGCTTCCTCTTTTATTTCTGTTAAATTGAGAATAAATCAGGAGGTACCAAAAGTTTGATTAAAGGGGAGAAGTTATGAAAAAGGCATCCAGAAAAAAAAAAATGTCCCAGGGAAATATACTATGTCTGCTGGGAAGAAGAAAAGGCACATTAGAGTTTGGTGTTCACAATGGTTGAATACATTACAATTGAAATGGAAAAGTATGAAAAGATATAGGTTCAGCAAATGAGGCTAAGAATGTTTCAGTGTATCTTACAGTATTTATATGGATATTGTTATATTTTCTTATTTTAAAAAAATAGAATCCTGTTTTTTAAAAATCCATTTCCTATAACTTCTTACATAAAGTGATGGTTCATGCAGAGAATTGATTTATTCTCTGAAGTGGACATGCCATTTTATGTCTAGCTTCCACTTTACCTATAAATATACCAGTCTTTTTCTTTTACCTAAGCAGTCAATTTTCATAACATATTAGAGCTTACAGATTAATTTCTTATATCCTTTGTTTTAATGCCATAATTGTTCAATCACCATGCCACAATTTTAGGCCACAAACTCCTGTGTAAAAGAGAAAATATTTTTAAAATTTCCATAATTCAATCCAATTTCTTGAGCTCACATTCTACAAGATTGTACAAAATTACGTATCATTTCATAATGGTCTTTTGGTAATGGGTAAAAGAAAAAAAATTATATATCACTCAGGAAACCCTCTCCTGATTCCCCAGGCATGCATCTAAGTTGTTGAGAGATGACTAATTGTCAAGATGTCATTTATCATCTAACCATACTGGCTTGAGGTATATCACCATGCCTTCCACTTCCTGCTCATGACTCATTGAGGCTGATGCTTAGTCACTCTTCTTCCCTAACCACAGAATCCTTCAGGACTGCAACCTTGAGATACATCTGTCACCTCGTGCCATGCTAGACTGAGATTCCCAGTGGCTTGGAGTAGCAGGGCTGGGGGTAGGGCAGAGTGTCAGGGATGGAAAGGAGAGGTGAGGGCAGGTAGACATTAAAGCACTCCATCTTGCTTTCTCTCTCATTCTTCAGGTTGTTCCCCAATCCTAGAGAATCTACCTAAACTTCATAATGGAAATAATTTCTCTGCCTCAACATACAGTTTTCACTGTTATACTTGAATCTACTCTGTTATTCTCTGTTTCCCTCAGGGACTAATTTTTTAATGGACAAATCATAGTTGTATACATTTATGGGGTACAGAATGATCTTTTGATATATGTATACAATATGGTATGATTAAATCAAGGTAATTAACATATCCATTACCTTGCTTAAAATTTTGATACTCAAAAACCAGAAGAGATTTTTTTCTTCCTCTGTTTTCTATATAACTGATTCCAATATGTCCCTTTTCTCAGGCCCTCAGGTAGTTCAGAACTACCAAGCTGCTATCCACACAACTATTATTGTCACCAATTTTAAAGAGCAGAGTGCCCAAGTGTTACAGAAAATAAGGGGAAAGAGAGAGAACATTAAATGTTTCAAAACCCTTTTCCTGACTCACTAATTGTGATAATGATGGCTCCACATCCACTGAGCTAAGAGGTGAGATGCAGAATATCACAATAGAAATAGAAATTTTAACACTGGGGATGACTTCCTCATGAAAACTTTATTAAAGGAAGCGGCACAAACACAGGGCATATTTACACTTTCAGCATTTATCACTTAAAATTAGCCCAATTATATTGTGGGAATGCCAATAAAAAGAAATTTTCTCAAAAAAGCAGAAAGAAATCTATTTCTATGTATACTTAAGAAAATCTGGCCACTTAACCGAAGTATGCTTCACAATAAAATCAAGTCAGAAAAACTAGAGTGTTTTCAGAATTTCAATCCCTGCTCTCAGTTCCAGCACATCTGCAGGAGTAATAAGTTTTCTGATTTCTAAGAGGCTTGTGGTTAACCTCACAGCATGGAATGAATTATTTACAATTCTATCCTTCATTAAAACACCCTTTCCATGAAATGTGTCAATGAAGTCAGAACCTGGCTGGCCACTGATCAACCAGAGCACTGACCATCCCCTTTTTCTGTTTCCATTGTATTGCTTAATTACAACAAAATGTAGTCATTTATTCCCAAAAGTTTTAAACTGTTTATGTTGTGCCCTCACTAAAAACACCTATAATGTTTTAATTTGAACAAGGTGTATATGTACATGTATAAAAGTTAAATCCATACATGTGTAAACACAAGTATCTTTGACCTCAAATGAGACAGAATCATGAAATTTAATCATTCCTTACTCAAACTGCGCAAATATATTCCTTTGAAGTATACTTAATAACATTTAGAAAAGTCTTTAACTCCTAACCTTACCCACAAAATATATAATCCTCAAAGAGTGCTTAAGTTTGAGAAAAAAACAAAAGAGAATGTCACTCCAAAAGTTGCTTTGGCAACGTTAACTCCACATTTTCAGTTCTGAGCACACACAGATTACTCTTCTGCCATTTCCAATACCTCCCTTTTCACCTCGAGTTCTTCATGAGCTCCATAGAAGTGAGTGAATTTACATAAATGGTATTGTTCATTATTTTTTTAAATTCATGTATTTACTACTATGACATAATCAACATAAATCTCCCAAAATTAAAACCAAAGTATCTCCTCAATTGAGTACTTGGGGAAATTTGCCAAAGGCCATTGGCTAGACTCTGGCTGAGGACTGTAGTTAGGAGTCATTACCTTCCAACAGCTGCTTGAGATGAACAGGTAGGTTCACTGGGTAATAAAATAACAATATTTGCACCTGATTTGAAATATATAGAAATCCAAAACTGAACTGCATACTCTTATAAGTAAGAATTCCATGAGGGGTCAGTGACTATATTACCCTTCAAAACCTTTACATTTGTTCATATACCAGTGTCAGAAAAAACAGAAAATAGTTAAATATTTAAATCTCATTTCAAGAAGACAACATACAATTGGCTGGGTGAGGCGGTTCACACCTGTAATCCTAGCACTTTTGGGGGCCGAGGCAGGTGAATCAAAGGTCAGGAGTTCAAGACCAGCCTGACCAATATTAGCAAAACACCATCTCTACTAAAAATTCAAAAATTAGCTGGGTATGGTGGCATACTCCTGTAGTCCCAGCTACTCAGGAGGCTGAGGCAGGAGAATTGCTTGAACCTAGGAGGCAGAGGTTGCAGTGAACCATGATCACGCCACTGCACTCCAGCCTGGGTGACAGACCGAGACTCCATCTCAAAAAAAAAAAAAAAAAAAAAGCACGCATACAATCTAGTTTCCCTTCCTCAAAAATTTAACAAACTTTATTTTCAGGCACTTTAAAGGCCATTAGCAAATAACCTTGTTCAATTTACACAAAGGATCTTAAAAGGAAACATATTTTTTAAGTTTGAATGATTCACTACTTTAAACACTTAAATATTTATGTTGATACATGTGCCAGAAATAATTATTAGAGTGCCAAACCACACATCAAAATCAGGTGTTTTGTTTTTAAATTAATATATACTACTTGTCTTTTTTATCCATATATATCATATAACTTATTAATGTGGAGTTTTATAATATTTATTATGAAATTTCTCGTTATTAAATGCACATTTTTCTCAACTTCTTATGATTTCTACAGCTGTATTTGGAGGTGTAGCTTGATGAAGAAAAATATTGGCATTGTTGTAATGAGAAATAAGAATACTTACTACTTAATAAGATTTACTACCACCCTGTGGGAAGGATGTCTAACACAAGCTAGCATAATCAAATTGTGTCACGAACTATTTTTATACAGATTATAAGACTTTCTAGAATTGATCCTGACCCTCCTAACCAAAAGAGTCAAGGGATCATTTTTTATTTTTTCTTTTGGCACCAAGAGAAGTCCTAGCTAACGAGTACTATAACTTCACTCCCTTCTCCTGTTCCAAAAGAATTCTTGTCACTGATATATAAAACAATCCTTGGAAACATATTCTCTTCAGAGTGGGGATTATAAGTTATCTGCATTGATAACAGATTTATGCATTACATGCAACTTTCTTTACAAAGCCTTCCTTTTAAATGATGGAAAAATTTATAATAATATTTTGGTTAATTGTCCTTATGTTCAAGTAAATTCTTTTCCATATCTGTAGTTTTTTTTTTTTTTTTCTCAAAGAATCCCTCCATTATGATGTTGGAACTGAAATAGCTACATGAATGTTCTCTTTAATGCAAATGAGTTATTACCAGGTTCAGGGAAAATAAAAAGATAATTTTTAACAATGATGGCTAAAATGGTAGGGTTTCCTTGTTTCATTTCCTCTTTTTGACAAAGTTTTATACAAAAGTAGTGAAGATGCAGATTCAGAAAGTTCTGAATTAAGATTCTAAATCAAGGCCAATTTATTTCAAGTACCAAGTAAATTCTAAGTTCTTTATATATACATAAATACAGAACTCTCTCTCTCCCTCTCTCTATATATAATAGGTGGTAGTTTCTACATGAGCTTTGTAGGGGGATTAGGTAGGGTCTTTGTACCCAAATCATTTCTGCCATGACCCATGTGCATAGCACCTATATGCTATGTTAAATGCTATTTCCCCTTTTCTCCCTTCTAGTTTTTCAGTATTTTCACCCAAGCATTTGATTAAACTACATGTAAGCCTTTAAAAATCAAGAAGAAAAAGACTCCAGGAGTTTCGGTGTCTTTGGGATTTCATCAACAAAAGCTACATTACTACTTTCCTGAGAGCCATCTCTGTCGTGTCCTCTTTTGATCAGCCGCTGGATCACTTCTCTATGCTTCTTAGGACAATTTTTCATGGCCCCACTGCTTCACATTTATTTAAGTATAGGTATTATGGAGGCCGTTGAATCACAAGCTCCTTGAAGTCAGGAGAATTTATCTTATTCGTCTTTCTATATCACACATCATTTATTTAATATTATATTTTAGATGATCAATGTAGGTTGAATATTATTTTAAACTCAAACAGATTTTATGTTTTCTCATAAGAAAAAAATTATAATACATTCTGATAATCAAAAAAATCTAATGCAAAGGAACTGAGAAAGTCATCACCACCTAGTATAAATGCAGTTGATACTCCTATGCCTTTTAAAGGGGAACTTTTAAAAACATTGTTCTCAGAGATGCCTCAAATGTCCATCAGAAACCAATGATTCAGGACAAAATATTTCAAAACTGTAAGCTTCTTCAGTTATCCTTAAATAAGAACACCTAAGCTATTTTAACATAGCACACTTTTTAGATTGGCCACAAATCATTATTTATCTTCACTCAAATAGCTTAAATGTGTTTCCCTCTAAACATACTGCTACAATTTAGTTTTAGCTCTCCCAGGAAAAACATAATGACTGTACTCGTTGTATGAAGTGCAAATTAAACCCAGAAAAAAGGTACTACAAAGAACATTTCCACACATGCCCTCCATCCCAGGTCCCTAGAAGATTCATAAGGGCATTCAGTACCAAGAGGAGAGAGGCACATTAACAATTTAATTTAAAATCCTTTGGTAATTTGCAATGGAAACTTATGAGAACTGGATTTAATCTAAACTGTGTCTAAGCTCTATGATGTATAAATACTGTTTTCATCTTGTATTTCAGGCAAAAATACTGAATAGTGAATACCAAAGAGTTTGAAGATTGGGGTTAAACATGAATAGAAAATGCCTTTTGTGTAATCATCACTGAAATGTATCTTTATGTTACTAAATTCATTCTCCTTAGCTTTACTAGGATTCCTTAAAGCATATGCCTCAAATTCCACAAGGAACTATTTATTTCTTCTATAATTATGGAGTTGCCCATCAGATGAAAGTTTCAGAGGGCTGTCCAGTAAGATTAATGGAGGCACTTTGACGGAAGTATTTGCTCCACGCTCTCAAGAATACAGCTGCCTCCGTAATTCTTCTGAATGAAAGGTGAACCTGCCCTTGCTCACGTGTCTTGGCTGAGGTTTTTATTATTATTATTATTATTATCATTATTATTCCTGAAAGGCTTCAAGGACTTGTACTCTCAAGAAGTTACAGTACTCATATATAATGTTTGAGTCATCCCTGTATTTGATCTTGGATAAGATTTTACCGTTTTACCCAGGCTCTGTTAGCACCAGAACCTAGACTATTCGTGGTGGCAGCACATAGTGGGTGAACCATTCCACAAGATAAAATAACTTGCCTATGCAAAGGGTTATCTAGTGTTTTCTTCTAGTGTTGTGAGTGTACATTTCAGGTTGAATGAAAATCACTTATCATGATATTTAAGACTCAGATCGTGGAGTCATACTCAAAGAGACTCTGATTTAATAAGTTTACTCAGTCAGAATAATTCTTTCTTTATTTTTAAAGAAGCCTTAGATAATTCTGATTAATATAGACTATGGAGTCATCAATGCTTTGAGCTGCATATGGGAAGCACAGTATTTGAAAGCACAGCTTTCAGAACATAAAAGCTCATGTCTCCATCATTACACCATTTAGAGAAACACTGGTGTTCATGTTTCTAATACAGCATTTCTATCCTAGTCCATTAAGCTCCCTAACTCTATACTATTTTGGCTTAGAAAGTTGAGAATTAATTCAAGAGTATTTGAAAAGGATTTGGCATGTTTTATCAAATATTTCTTATTATGAAATATTTCTAATTTATGACACAATGATGTCTCTAGCACTTAACAAGCTGGAGAAGGGAAGAATCATTCCAATTATTGTAATCATCATAATGATAAGTGAATTATAAAATTATGTCTATTTATTTGAAAGAACAATTTCTGCTCCACAAACTATAGAGTTCCTGAGGTTATAGTGATCTCTAAACTGTTACCATAGTTGATCTTTTTTGTGTGGTTTAAACACCAGCACTTTTCTTAAAATCACACTAAGTATTTTGTCTTAATAGTACTTAAAAGGCTTTCATTTGACATGATGCTATTCTCTTTTAGGATGTTTCTCACTTTAGAGCTTAAATGTTTAATCCCTTCAAGTGAATATAGCTACAAGAAAACATATATGAAGAACTCTGGTGGGAGAGTAGAAAAACCAAGGCTTTAAGTATGATTCAGTAAGTTGGTTAGCAATTCCATGTCTCCTTTTCATTGGTAAATAGGAAAAGTAAAGAACAATAGTAATTGAGCTATTTAAAAACAAGGACCGAGCATGAAGATTCATTTAAGACAAGGAATTATACAAGTATCATATCACCAAATGTGTAACTACAGAGCAATTTGGATACAGTACATAGAAATGTTCAACAGTTAAGCCAGTGGCTTGCAAATGTTTTGGTATTAGAAATCTATTATATTATACTTGCAAAACAAATTGAGAACCATAAATAGATTTATTTGTGTGGAAATATACCAAATTAGAAATGAAAATTGAAGCATTTTAATTATTTATTTACTCATTCATTTAAAATGCCCTCCCAGGATGTGGCACTTAATCCTCATCTCTACCCCGTCCGGAGTCTGGTCTGGACTTGGGAACTCTTAGTCACTCACTTGCAAAGAACAGAATATAGAAAGGGAAAAAAAATGGTAACTTTGTAGTTAAAATTCGTAGAAACTACCTTAAAGAAGTAATCATGGTTAACATAACAAGTGATAAGTCATATCAATTTCCTGATAATATAATGAGAAGGGAACTTCATTTCTGTATTATTCCTCCCCAAAACCCATAACTCCGGTCTAACAAGGAGAAAATTCAAATTGAAAAACATTCGTCAAAATAGCTCACCATTTTCTTCAAAACTGTCAAGATCACACACTCAAAATAAAGACTGAGCAATTGTGGCCAGAAATACAATTAAATGCAAAGTGGAATCCCAGATCGGACCCTGGAACATAAATAGGCAATAGTGGGAAAACCCTTAAAATGGAATAAAGTCTGAAATTTACGTAGCACTATGCACCAACATTAATCTCTTAGTATGATGAATGTACTATAGCTGTAAGGTATTAATTCAGGGGAAAACTCGGTGAAGAATATACAGAAATTTTCTGTACTATCTTTGCAACTCTTCTATACATCTAAAATTATTTCGAAATTAAGTTTATTTTTAAAAGATTAAAGACCCCAAGGAATTTTTGTTTATGTAGGTTCTATTTATAGATACATACAATATTAAAAAGCAGAACAAAAATATTATCTATTTATTAACTCATTGAAACCAAATAACAAACCTATAATACGTTAACATACATTTTATATTTTCATGAAAATAGGCAAAAGGAAGAGTGTTTTACATTTTGAATTTTTTAAATATTTGGCTTAATAGAAGACAGTTGGATTCTCATTTCTGCCTATAAATATAATATGTTGTTTTCATTGAATTATGTGAAGAAAGTTATTCTTCACACAGATACAGACTTGAAAAAAGGAGAAATATTTTAGTAGCCTTTTGGACAGTAGTGGATATTTTATTGTGTGTGACTACACCAAAACTTTACAATTTGTTTATGCTTAAAAATTAGTTTCTTGGGGAAAGTACATTCTCCTCAATAAATGTTGCCGGTAAAACTTGATATACACATGCAAAAGAGTGGCTAGACTATTATGTTACACTAATAATACAAAAATACTAATACAAAAATTAATTCAAAATGCATTAAAGACCTAAACATAATACCTCAAACTATAAGTCTCCTAGAAGAAAACATAATGGAAAAACTTCACGATATTGGTCTTGGTAATAATGTCTTGGACATGACACAAAAAGCACAGGCAACAAAAGTAATAATAGATTTTTAAAAATAGGGCTAGATCAACCTTAAAAATGTTTGTACATCAAAGGAAACAGCCAATAGAATAAAGGGTAACTTACAGAATTGAAGAAAATATTTACAAATTATATATATCTGATAAGGACTTGATATCCAGAATAAATAAAGACTCTTACAACTCCAAAACAAAAATCTAATAACCCCATTATAAAACGGGCAAAGTGCTTGAATAAATATTTCTCCAAAGAAAATATGCAAATGGCCAACAAGCATATGAAAAGATGCTCAACATGACTAACAGATAAATGAAAATCAAAACCATAAAGAGATATTATCACACCCTCATTAGGATGGCTCCTATTTTAAAAAAGGTGAGGGTGTGGAGAAATTGGAATAATTGTGCTCTGTTGGAATTGTAAAATGGTACAACCACAATGGAAGCAATATAGAGGTTTCTCAAAAGAATTTTTAAGTAGAACTACCATATGATCTGCCAATCTGAATCTGAGCATACATCCAAAAGTATAAAAAGCAGGGTCTCAAAAAGATATTTTCACACCCATGTTCATAGCAGCACTAGTCACAATATCCCATGGTGGAATCAATCTAAATGTCCATCGACAGATGAATGGATAAATAAAATGTGATACATACATAAAATGGAATATTATTTGGCCCTAGAAAGGAAGGAAATCTTGTTACATGCTACAGTATGAATAAACCTTGAGGAAATATTGCTAAGTGAAATAAGTCAGTCAAAAAAGACAAATACTGTATGACTCCCTTAAATGACGTATCTAAAAAAAGTCAGATTATTAGAAACAGAACATAGAATGGTGTTGACCAAGAGCAGGGAGGAAAAAGAAAAGGGGAGTTATTTAATGGGTACTAAGTTTCAGATTTATAAGTTGAAAAAGTTTTGGATATCTGTTTCATAATAATGTGAATATAATTATATTAGTTCATTCTCACATTGCTATAAAGTTCTTCCTGAGAATGGGTAATTTATGAAGAAAAGAGTTTTAACTGACTCACAGTTCCACATGGCTGGGGAGGCCTCAGGAAACTCACAATCAGGGCAGAAGGCAAAGGAGAGGCAAAGCATAGCTTCCCGTGGTAGAGGAAAAGGGAGAGAAGAGTGAAGGAGGAAGTGCCACACACATTTAAACCATCAGATCTTGTGAGAATTCACTCACTACCACAAGAACAGAAAGGGGGAACTCCACCTCCACGATCCACTCACCTCCCAGCAGGACCCTCCTCCAATTCCACATGAGATTTGGTGGGGACACAAATCCAAACCAAATAATTCTGTCCCTGGTCCCTCCCAAATCTCATATGCTTCTCACATTTCAAAACCAATCATGCCTTCCAACAGTCCCCCAAAGTCTTAACTCATCCCAGCATTAACTCAAAAGTCCAAGTTCAAAGTCTCATCTGAAACAATGCAAGTCCCATTTGCCTATGAGACTGCAAAATAAAAAACAAGATACAATCAGGGTACTGGCATAGGGTAAATGTTCCCATTCCAAATGGGAGAAATTGGCCAAAACAAAGGGCCCCATGCAGGTCCAAAACCCAGACGGATTGTCATTAAATCTTAAAGCTCCAAAATAATCTCCCTTGACTCCATGTCTCACATCCAGGGCATGCTGATGAAAGGGGTGGGATCCCACAGTCTTGGGCAGCCCCATCTCTGTGGCTCTACAGGGTATGGCTCCTTTGGCGGCTTTCACTGGCTGACATTGAGTGTCTGTGGCTTATCCAGGTACATTGTGCAAGCAGTTAGTGGATCTTCCATTTTGGAGTCTGGAGGACAGTGGCCCTCTTCTCACAGGTCTGCTAGGCAGTGCCCCAGTAGGGACTTTATGTTGGGGCTCCAACTTCACATTTCTACCTCAACACTGCCCTAGTAGAGGTTCCCCATCAGGGTTCTGCCCCTGCAGCAGACTTCTACCTGAACATCCAGGTGTTTCCACACATTCTCTGAAATCTAGGAGGGGGTTCTCAAACCTCAACTCTTACCTTCTGCATACCTGTAGGCCCACAACCACATGGAAGTCACCAAAGCCTAGTGCTTGCAACCTTGGAAGTAACAGCTCCAGTTGTAAATTGGCCCCCTTTAGCCACGGCTGCAGCTGGAGCAGCTGGGATGCAGCACACCAAGTCCTGAGGCTGCACAGAGCATTGGGGCCCAAGGCCTGAGCCACAAAACAATTTTTGCCTCCTAGGCCTCTGTGCCTGTGATTGGAGAGGCTTCTGTGAAGGTCTCTGACAATGGAGACATTTTCCTCATTGTCTTGGCTATTAACATTGACTTCCCCTTTAGTTATTCTGCAGACTAATGCAGTCTTTATGTATACAGGTAAATAGTTAATTTAGTGATCTACAGCATCACCATTCAGTGGCCATAATTTACATTACTTGCCATTTATTCAGCAGATATTTAGCATGGTCAAATATACAATATGTCATTATTTTCTTTTTTTTATTTATTATTATTATACTTTAAGTTCTAGGGTTCATGTGTACAATGTGCAGGTTACATATGTATACATGTGCCACGCTGGTGTGCTGCACCCACTAACTCGTCATCTAGCATTAGGTATATCTCCCAATGCTATCCCTCCCCCCTCCCCCCACCACAGAACAGTCCCCAGAGTGTGATGTTCCCCTTCCTGTGTCCATGTGTTCTCATTGTTCAATTCCCACCTATGAGTAACAATATGTGGTGTTTGGTTTTTTGTTCTTGCGATAGTTTACTGAGAATGATGATTTCCAAGTACATCCATGTCCCTGCAAAGGACATGAACTCATCCTTTTTTATGGCTGCATAGTATTCCATGGTGTATATGTGCCACAATTTCTTAATCCAGTCTATCATTGTTGGACATTTGGGTTGGTTCCAAGTCTTTGCTATTGTGAATAATGCCGCAATAAACATACGTCTGCATGTGTCTTTACAGCAGCATGATTTATAGTCCTTTGGGTATATACCCAGTAATGGGATGGCTGGGTCAAATGGTATTTCTAGTTCTAGATCCCTGAGGAATCACCACACTGACTTCCACAATGGTTGAACTAGTTTACAGTCCCACCAACAGTGTAAAAGTGTTCCTATTTCTCCACATCCTCACCAGCACCTGTTGTTTCCTGACTTTTTAATGATTGCCATTCTAACTGGGGTGAGATGGTAACTCATTGTAGTTTTGATTTGCATTTTTCTGATGGCCAGTGATGGTGAGCATTTTTTCATGTGTTTTTTGGCTGCATAAATGTCTTCTTTTGAGAAGTATCTGTTTATGTCCTTCGCCCACTTTTTGATGGGGTTGTTTGTTTTTTTCTTGTAAATTTGTTTGAGTTCATTGTAGATTCTGGGTATAAGCCCTTTGTGATGAGTAGGTTGCGAAAATGTTCTCCCATTTTGTAGGTTGCCTGTTCACTCTGATGGTAGTTTCTTTTGCTGTGCAGAAGTTCTTTAGTTTATTTAGATCCCATTTGTCAACTTTGGCTTTTGTTGCCATTGCTATTGGTGTTTTAGACATGAAGTCCTTGCCCATGCCTATGTCCTGAATGGTAATGCCTAGATTTTATTCTAGGGTTTTTATGGTTTTAGGTCTAACGTTTAAGTCTTTAATCCATCTTGAATTGATTTTTGTATAAGGTGTAAGGAAGGGATCCAGTTTCAGCTTTCTACATATGGCTAGCCAGTTTTCCCAGCACCATTTATTAAATAGGGAATCCTTTCCCCATTGCTTGTTTTTCTCAGGTTTGTCAAAGATCAGATAGTTGTAGGTATGCGGCGTTATTTCTGAGAGCTCTGTTCTGCTCCATTGATCTATATCTCTATTTTGGTACCAGTACCATGCTGTTTTGGTTACTGTAGCCTTGTAGTATAGTTTGAAGTCAGGTAGTGTGATGCCTCCAGCTTTGTTCTTTTGGCTTAGGATTGACTTGGTGACGTGGGCTCTTTTTTGATTCCATATGAACTTTCAAGTAGTTTTTTCCAATTCTGTGAAGAAAGTCATTGGTAGCTTGATGGGGATGGAATTGAATCTGTAAATTACCTTGGGCAGTATGGCCATTTTCACGATATTGATTCTTCCTACCCATGAGCATGGAATGTTCTTCCATTTGTTTGTATCCTCTTTTATTTCATTGAGCAGTGGTTTGTAGTTCTCCTTGAAGAGGTCCTTCACGTCCCTTGTAAGTTGGATTCCTAGGTATTTTATTGTCTTTGAAGCAATTGTGAATGGGAGTTCACTCATGATTTGGCTCTCTGTTTGTCTGTTATTGGTGTATAAGAATGCTTGTGATTTTTGTACATTGATTTTGTATCCTGAGACTTTGCTGAAGTTGCTTATCAGCTTAAGGAGATTTTGGGCTGAGACAATGGGGTTTTCTAGATATACAATCATGTCACCTGCAAACAGGGACAATTTGACTTCCTCTTTTCCTAGTTGAATACCCTTTATTTCCTTCTCCTGCCTAATTGCCCTGGGCAGAACTTCCAACACTATGTTGAATAGGAGTGGTGAGAGAGGGCATCCCTGTCTTGTGCAAGTTTTCAAAGGGAATGCTTCCAGTTTTTGCCCATTCAGTATGATATTGGCTGTGGGTTTGTCATAGATAGTTCTTATTATTTTGAGATATGTCCCATCAATACCTAATTTATTGAGAGTTTTTAGCATGAAGCGTTGTTGAATTTTGTCAAAGGCCTTTTCTGCATCTATTGAGATAATCATGTGGTTTTTGTCTTTGGCTCTGTTTATATGCTGGATTACATTTATTGATTTGCGTATATTGAACCAGCCTTGCATCCCAGGGATGAAGCCCACTTGATCATGGTGGATAAGCTTTTTGATGTACTGCTGGATTCGGTTTGCCAGTATTTTATTGAGGATTTTTGCATCAATGTTCATCAAGGGTATTGGTCTAAAATTCTCTTTCTTGGTTGTGTCTCTGCCCAGCTTTGGTATCAGGATGATGCTGGCCTCATAAAATGAGTTAGGGAGGATTCCCTCTTTTTCTATTGATTGGAATAGTTTCAGAAGGAATGGTACCAGTTCCTCCTTGTACCTCTGGTAGAATTCAGCTGCGAATCCATCTGGTCCTGGACTCTTTTTGGTTGGTAAACTATTGATTATTGCCACAATTTCAGCTCCTGTTATTGGTCTATTCAGAGATTCAACTTCTTCCTGGTTTAGTCTTGGGAGAGTGTATGTGTCAAGGAATTTATCCATTTCTTCTAGATTTTCTAGTTTATTTGCGTAGAGGTGTTTGTAGTATTCTCTGATGGTAGTTTGTATTTCTGTGGGATCGGTGGTGATATGCCCTTTATCATTTTTTATTGTGTCTATTTGATTCTTCTCTCTTTTTTTCTTTATTAGTCTTGCTAGTGGTCTATCAATTTTGTTGATCCTTTCAAAAAACCAGCTCCTGGATTCATTAATTTTTTGAAGGGTTTTTTGTGTCTCTATTTCCTTCAGTTCTGCTCTGATTTTAGTTATTTCTTGCCTTCTCCTAGCTTTTGAATGTGTTTGCTCTTGTTTTTCTTGTTCTTTTAATTGTGATGTTAGGGTGTCAATTTTGGATCTTTCCTGCTTTCTCTTGTGGGCATTTAGTGCTATAAATTTCCCTCTACACACTGCTTTGAATGTGTCCCAGAGATTCTGGTATGTTGTGTCTTTGTTCTTGTTGGGTTCAAAGAACATCTTTATTTCTGCCTTCATTTCGTTATGTACCCAGTAGTCATTCAGGAGCAGGTTGTTCAGTTTCCATGTAGTTCAGCAGTTTTGAGTGAGATTCTTAATCCTGAGTTCTAGTTTGATTACGCTGAGGTCTGAGAGGTAGTTTGTTATAATTTCTGATCTTTTACATTTGCTGAGGAGAACTTTACTTCCAAGTATGTGGTCAATTTTGGAATAGGTGTGGTGTGGTGCTGAAAAAAATGTATATTCTGTTGATTTGGAGTGGAGAGTTCTGTAGATGTCTATTAGGTCCGCTTGGTGCAGAACTGGGTTCAATTCTTGGGTATCCTTGTTGACTTTCTGTCTCCTTGATCTGTCTAATGTTGACAGTGGGGTGTTAAAGTCTCCCATTATTAATGTGTGGGAGTCTAAGTCTCTTTGTAGGTCACTCAGGACTTGCTTTATGAATCTGGGTGCTCCTGTATTGGGTGCATATATATTTAGGATAGTTAGCTCTTCTTGTTGAATTGATCCCTTTACCATTATGTAATGGCCTTCTTTGTCTCTTTTGATCTTTGTTGGTTTAAAGTCTGTTTTATCAGAGACTAGGATTGCAACCCCTGCCTTTTTTGTTTTCCATTTGCTTGGTAGTAGATCTTCCTCCATCCTTTTATTTTGAGCCTATCTGTGTCTCTGCACATGAGATGGGTTTCCTGAATACAGCACACTGATGGGTCTTGACTCTTTATCCAGTTTGCCAGTCTGTGTCTTTTAATTGGAGCATTTAGTCCATTTACATTTAAAGTTAATAGTGTTATGTGTGAATTTGATCCTGTCATTATGATGTTAGTTGGTTATTTTGCTCGTTAGTTGATGCAGTTTCTTCCCAGTCTTGATGGTCTTTACATTTTGGCATGATTTTGCAGTGGCTGGTACCGGTTGTTCCTTTCCATGTTTAGTGCTTCCTTCAGCAGCTCTTTTAGGGCAGGCCTGGTGGTGATAAAATCTCTCAGCATTTGCTTGTCTGTAAAGTATTTTATTTCTCCATCAGTTAGGAAGCTTAGTTGGGCTGGATATGAAGTGCTGGGTTGAAAATTCTTTTCTTTAAGAATGTTGAATATTGGCCCCCACTCTCTTCTGGCTTGTAGAGTTTCTGCCAAGAGATCCGCTGTTAGTCTGATGGGCTTCCCTTTGAGGGTAACCCGACCTTTCTCTCTGGCTGCCCTTAACATTTTTTCCTTCATTTCCACTTTGGTGAATCTGACAATTATGTGTCTTAGAGTTGCTCTTCTTGAGGAGTATCTTTGTGGTGTTCTCTGTATTTCCTGAATTTGAATATTGGCCTGCCTTGCTAGATTGGGGAAGTTCTGGATAATATCCTGCAGAGTGTCTTCCAACTTGGTTCCATTCTCCCTGTCACTTTCAGGTACACCAATCAGACGTAGATTTGGTGTTTTCACATAGTCCCATATTTCTTGGGGGCTTTGTTCATTTCTTTTTATTCTTTTTTCTCTAAACTTCCCTTCTCACTTCATTTCATTCATTTCATCTTCCATTGCTGATACCCTTTCTTCCAGTTGATCGCATCGGCTCCTGAGGCTTCTGCATTCTTCACGTAGTTCTCGAGCCTTGGCTTTCAGCTCCATCAGCTCCTTTAAGCACTTCTCTGTATTGGTTATTCTAGTTATACATTTGTCTAAATTTTTTTCAAAGTTTTCAACTTCTTTGCCTTTGGTTTGAATTTCCTCCTGTAGCTCGGAGTAGTTTGATCGTCTGAAACCTTCTTCTCTCAGCTCGTCAAAGTCATTCTCCGTCCAGCTTTGTTCTGTTGCTGGTGAGGAACTGCGTTCCTTTGGAGGAGGAGAGGCCCTCTGCTTTTTAGAGTTCCAGTTTTTCTGCTCTGTTTTTTCCCTGTCTTTGTGGTTTTATCTACTTTTGGTCTTTGATGATGGTGATGTACAGATGGGTTTTTGATGTGGATGTCCTTTCTGTTTGTTAGTTTTCCTTCTAACAGACAGGACCCTCAGCTGCAGGTCTGTTGGATTTTGCTAGAGGTCCACTCCAGAACCTGTTTGCCTGGTTATCAGCAGCAGTGTCTGCAGAACAGTGGTTTTTCGTGAACCGCGAATGCTGCTGTCTGATCGTTCCTCTGGAAGTTTTGTCTCAGAGGAGTACCCGGCCATGTGAGGTTTCAGTCTGCCCCTGCTGGGGGGTGCCTCCCAGTTAGGCTGCTTGGGGGTCAGGGGTCAGGGACCCACTTGAGGAGGCAGTCTGCCCATTCTCAGATCTCCAGCTGCGTGCTGGGAGAACAACTGCTCTCTTCAAAGCTGTCAGACAGAGACATTTAAGTCTGCAGTGGTTACTGCTGTCTTTTTGTTTGTCTGTGCCCTGCCCCCAGAGGTGGAGCCTACAGAGGCAGGCAGGCCTCCTTGAGCTGTGGTGGGCTCCACCAAGTTCCAGCTTCTGGGCTGCTTTGTTTACCTAAGCAAGCCTGGGCAATGGCGGGCGCCACTCCCCCAGCCTCGCTGCCGCCTTGCAGTTTGATCTCAGACTGCTGTGCTAGCAATCAGCGAGACTCTGTAGGAGTAGGACCCTCTGAGCCATCTGCGGGATATAATCTCCTGGTGTGCCGTTTTTTAAGGCCATCGGAAAAGCGCAGTATTTGGGTGGGAGTGACCCGATTTTCCAGATGCTGTCTGTCACTCCTTTCTTTGACTAGGAAAGGGAACTCCCTGACCCCTTGCACTTCCCGAGTGAGGCAATGCCTCACCCTGCTTTGGCTCGAGCATGGTGCGCGCACCCACTCACCTACACCCACTGTCTGGCACTCCCTAGTGAGATGAACCCAGTACCTCAGATGGAAATGCAGAAATCACCCGTCTTCTGCGTCGCTCACGCTGGGAGCTGTAGACCGGAGCTGTTCCTATTCGGCCATCTTGGCATTATTTTCTAAACTATTGTATATGCTTCTCTGGGCCATATACTATAATATCTTAACCTATAAAATACAAATGTCTGCAGCCTGCTTGGGCTTGAATTCCTCCCCAGAAAATAAGTTTTCCTTCTCTACCACATGATTGGGCTGCAAATTTTCCAAACTTTTATGCTCTGCTTCCCTTTTAAATACAAGTTCCAATTTCAGACCATCTCTTTCTTTACGCAAATGAGCATAGGCTTTTAGGAGCCACCAGGCCACATCTTCGAGGCTTTGCTGCTTAGAAAATTCTTCCACGAGCTACCCTAAATCATCTCTCTCAAGTTCAAAGTTCCACAGATCTCTAGGGCAGAGGCAAAATGCCACCAGTCTTTTTGCTGAAGCATAGCAAGGGTGATTTTTACTCCAGTTCCTAATAAGTTCCTCATCTCCTTCTGGGACCACCTCAGCCTGGACTTCATTGTCCATATCACTATCAGCATTTTGATCAAAACCATTTAACAAGTCTCTAGGAAGTTCCAAACTTTCGCACATCTTCCAGTCTTCTTCGGAGCCCTCCAAACTGATCCAACCTCTGCTCATTACCCAGTTCCAAAGTCACTTCCACATTTTCAGGTATCTTAGTAGCAGTGCCCCACTCCCAGTACCAATTTTCTGTGTTAATCCATTCTCACATTGTTATAAAGAACGGCCTGAGACTGGGTAGTTGATACGGTTTTACTGTGTCCCTACCCAAGTCTCATATTGAATTGTAGCTCCAATAATTCCCACATGTTGTAGGAGGCACTTGGTGGGAGGTAATTGAATCATGGTAGCGGGTCTTTCCCATGCTGTTCTCATGATAGTGAATAAGTCTCACAAGATCTGACGGTTTTATAAAGGGGAGTTCCCCTCCACACATTCTCTTGCCTGCCACCAAGTAAGATGTGACTTTGTTTCTCATTCACCTTCTGCCATGATTGTGAGGCCTCCCAGCCATGTGGAACTGTGAGTCAATTAAATCTCTTTCCTTTATAAATTACCCAGTCTTAGCTAAGTCCTTATTAGCATCATGAGAACAGACTCATACAGTAGTTTATGTAGAAAAGAGGCTTAATTGACTCACAGTCCTGCATGGCTGGGGAGGCCTCAGGAAACTTACAATCATGGCAGAAGATGAACGGGAAACAAAGCATATCCTCAGAGTGAGAGAGAGAGAGAGTGAAGGGGAAAGTGCCACACACTTTTAAACTGTCACAGCTCATAAGAACTCATTCATTATCATGAAAACAGCAAGGGGGAAATCCACCCCCATGATCCAATCACCTCACACCATGCCCCCTCCTCCAATTCGACAGATTTGGGTGGGGATACAAATCCAAACCATATCAATAATTAATACTACTAAACTGTACATTTAAAAATAGTTAATATGGTAAATTTTATGTTTTGTTTTTTACTACTACCACCAAAACAAAATAATTGCTTAAAAGTTAATGGAAATGAAGATCTGTAACAAGACCAATAAACTTTTCATACTCTGTGAAAATTTCATTGGTCTATCATGCCCTTTGAGTGGATTCTTTACCTATGCATAATTTTGTAACAGCATACATTGGTCTTTTAAAAAATATGAGTTCACATATATATGCAGATGTTCCAAATGTTGATAGGTCAAGGAATCACATTAGTTAATATCACCAACAATCTTTCAGAAAAATCTTTTTCTTAAGTATTAGGAAGCTGTCAAGATCACAGTAGCAGGATAATTTTCCCCAAACTCTAATATTTTATTTAAAGCTCAAATTTTTACATCAGTGACAATGTCAGTTGTTTCCCTGTAGTGGCAGCCTCATTTTGCTCATTCCCAAGGAAATATATGCCAAGTACCTTCATCTAAAAAATCACAGCTTGTTTATTAGTTATTGTTTCAGTAAAAGTCTAATTCCATAAAAATGTGACTAGTTCAGCACGCTACCTAAAAAGTGTCACAAATGCTTTTCTTCAAACAATCATTTCATTTTGGTTTACAGTTGAAGTCTTTTATGCATAATTTGCATTTTATTCTGCAGAATATTATAAAAATTGGACACAAGTGTCAAACTTTAATAAAATGAATAATTTTTACTTTATTTTCAGGGACATTCAAAATGAAACCAGCATTTGTTTTTACTGAGTGTATGGCAAAGATGGGCCAAATGCCAACTAGTACAATTTGGTGCCACTATCTTGGTTCATACCAAGCATTACGAGTTTTGCTCACAATTAATTTTGCACTTTTAGTGCAAGTTATGCAGGAAAAATCACCAGAATTAAAAATGTTATTCAAAAAATTTGAATACTCGATTATCACCAATATTTGTTTCCAAGCCTTCACATAAAGAAAATCTGAAGACTAATTGGGCCTAATATCAGACAAATACAGTCAGTTCATTCATGCCTATAGACTTGCCCATTTAAAAGACAAAAAGTACAGTTCTGCTGACAAAATAGTAATTCAATCTTTATGTTTACAGCTAAATAGGTAATTTAGTGATTTACTGTATTGTCATACAGTGGCCATAACTTACATTGCTTACCATTTATTCAGCAGATATTCAGCCGAATATCTCAAATATACAAGATGTCATTATTTTCTAAGCTATTGTATATGCTTCTCCAGGCAATATACTATAATATCTTAACCTATAAAATGTGTAAGTGGGTTTTTCATTATGAGTTTGAAAAGTTGTAACAAATTTTGGCTTTTAAAGAGATCACATCTATATTTCAAATACTCAATTCTTAATTCTTTGCTCTGAATAATTGATCTCAAAATGATACCACCATTCAAGTAATGACAAACCATATGTCATATAGAGTAATGACAAATCATATAGCCACTGAAAAACTCACTGTATAATTTTGAGCAGATAAGAGTGAGTGATAACTATCAGTGAAAATGGTGGTATAGGTCACTCCAAGGGCCTGTCCCTCAACAGAAACATCAAAAAATCAACTAAAACTGTCAGAACAAACTTTGTTAGAATTCTAGAAAACAATCAATGCATATGCTAAATCAAAAAAAAGCAACTTAAAATAGTGGGAATATATAATTATGTACATAGCAGCATTAGTCACAATAGCCAAAAGGTAGAAGCAACCCAAATAACCTTTGATGAATAAATGCATAAATGAATGTAGTATATGCAACCAATAGTGTATGAGTCAGCCATATAAAGGAAGTTCTGAAACATGTTACAACATGGATAAACCATAAAGACATTATGCTAAGTGAAATAAGACAGTCACAAATTCATAGAGACGTGAATAGAGACAAAAAGTAGAATGCTGGTTTCCAGGGATTAGCAGGGAAAAATAAATGAGAAATTACTGTTTAACGGATACAGACTTTTAGCTTTGCAAGACGAAAACAATTTTGGAGATGGATGGTGGTGGTATATAACTATGGGAATGTAATTAATGCTACTGGAATATACACTTTAAAGTGATTATAATGGTAAATTTTATGGTGTGTCCATTTTGCCATGACTAAAAATTTTTTAAAAAACAAAACTTTGAGAAGATTATGTTCCAAAATAATAAAACAAGTAACCAAATTTCTCAAACATTGAATCATCATAAAAATTAAAGATATTAAGAAGAAAAATACACATTCAGAATCACTTCAAAAAGCATTTAATTATAATATTACATTGGCTATATGACAAGATTGTGGAATTTGTCTAAGAAATTCAATAATTATTAAAATTATAATGTTTCTTCAGTTTATTTTTTTACAAAAATTACATTTGCAAAAACATTACTTAAAATATGGAATTGTTTGGTAAGAAAGATTATCCTAAGAAAATAATAGAAACTCTTTGTGGCATTTCAATTTGCCTTTGCACTTCCATTTTTCTAGCTTTGCAGTGGTCTTTTAAATGGCCAACCACATTCCCAGTGAGGAACTTTAGCTCCTGGTTCGAAAGGGAGCAGAGTAAACCTTATTTGAAAAGAATCATGTTTGTCTTCTATAACCTAATTAAAGACTACCTGAAGGACGTGACTAAAGGCACTTGTCTTTGTTTCACCTGACTCAAACTCACTCATGTTGGAAAGCAGCAAACATTTAAATATATATGACAAATAAGCAACCTGCAGCTACCTACAGCAAAAAAAAGGTACAGTTAGAACAAACAGTAAAGCACATAATACCTCAAAAGAAAATCCGGAGAGATTATTTCAAAATTAGTGCATTCAAAATCAACCACATATGCTGGGAATACAGGATATCACACAAATGACCCAGGAAGGACACATGCTAGAAATAAGTAAAGAAAATTCTAAGCTTTTAGTTCTAACTGATCTCTACGTTCAGTAAAAGCAGGAAGTAAAACCAAGGCTGAGTTGTAAACAACCTGGCTATTCATTGGAGGAGTGTCTGCATGGAGAAAATCTGCAAAACCTCTAAGAAGCTTTTTATTTTTTTTTCTCCCCCCTCTCTCTCTCTCTCTCTCTCTGTCTTCCTCTCTTGTCTTCAGGCTTTCAAGGAAATTGTCATGAAATCACTGGCTAAATAAACACAACCTATAGAAACAGAGACTTTACAGAACACATGACCAAGAATACAAACTCGACAAAAATATATAAAAAGCTGCTAAGTACACAAACAGCTACCACCACAGCAAACACAAAAATATAATTTCCATAGTTACCATATTGTATGTAATTTGTCCAATTTTCAATGAAAAATTATAAAGTGTGCAAATAAACAAGAAAGTATGATCCATTTACAGATTTAAAAAACAAAAATCTATTCTTCCTGAGGAGACACAAGCACTGTACTTACTGAAGAAAGGACTTAGGTAAACTGTCTTAAATATGCTCAAAGAACTAAGGGAATACATGGAAAATAAGCTAAAAGAAACAAGGAAAACAATATCTGACCAATAGATAATACTAATAGAGAGATAGAAATTACAAAAAGAAACCAAACAAATTCTGGAGATAAGAAATACACTAGACTGAAATAAAAAATTCACTAGAAAGTTTCAAAAGTAGCTTTATACAAGCAGAATAAACAACCAGCAAACTTGAAGTCAGGTAAATTTAAATTATTTAGTCTGCAGGCAAAAAGAATAAAAGGTGAATATAGTTGCAAAATTATAAATGAAGTGTTAGCAAACTTATTCCAGTAATATATAAAATGGATAACATAATTTTCAGGTTGGGTTTATTTGAGATTGCAAAGTTTGACTTAATATTAGAAAATCAACCAATGTAATTCACCACAGTAACAGATTAAAAGAGAGAAATAATATGACCATCCCAATAGATGTCAAAAAAACATGTAATTAAAAAAATATGAACAGAGCATAAGACCTGTGGGACAACATCCATCACTCCATCATACCCATGAGAATCCCAGAAGGAGAAGATACAGAAAGAGTAAGTGGCAAAAAGAATATTTGAAGAAATAATGGCCAGAACCTTCCCGAAGTAGACACTACATATTCAAGAAATTCAATGAACTCCAAGTAAAAGAAACACAAAGATATTCATACCAAGACATATTATGATTTTAAGTTGTTCAAAGACAAAGATAAAGAAGAATGTTGAGAGAAGCAAGAGAGTAGCAACTGTCCTTCATAATCCTCAATAAAATTAACAGCATACTTCTTATCAGAAACCATCAAGACCAGAAGGAAATGGGAAGACATTTGTATAGTGCAGAAGGAAAAGAAAGTCGTCAACAAAGATTTCTGTATCCAGAAAAACTATTTTCTCAAAATGAAAGAGAAATTAAGATACTCCCAGATAAACAAAAGCTGAGGGAGTTCATTACCAGTAGACCTGACCCAAAGAAATGCTAAAGAGAGTCCACCTGGCTAAAATGACAGAATGCTAGACAGTATCTAGAAGCTATAAAAAACATAACTCCAGTAAATGCAACTACAAAGGTAAACATAAAAGTCTGTACTATTGTATTTTGAATTTTTAATGCACCTTTTAATGTCCTATATAATTTTAAAAGACAAATGCATAAAATCATAATTATAATTTTTTTCTTTTTTATTTTTTTGAGATGGAGTTTTGCTCTGTCACCCAGGCTGGAGTGCAGTGGCACAATCTCAGCTGACTGCAACCTACACCTCCCAGATTCAAGTGATTCTCTTGTTTCAGCCTCCCGAGCAGCTGGGATTACAGGCATGTGTTACTACACCCAGCAAAATTTTTGTATTTTTAGTAGAGATGGGGTTTCACCATACTGGTGAGGGTAGTCTCAAACTCCTGATCTCAAGTGATCTGCCTGCTTCAGCCTCCCAAAGTGCTGGAATTACAGGTTTGAGCCACCACACCCGGCTTATGGTTATATATCTTTTAGTAGGCACACAATTTATAAAGACTTAAGTTGGGACAATATGAAACAGAGTGTTTTTATGCTATTGAGGCTATGTTGGTATCAATTTAAACATTCTTCAGGACAGATCATTTTGTGTCCGGAATTGGTAGGTTCTTGGGCTCACTGACTTCAAGAATGAAGCTGTGGACCCTCACGGTGAGTGTTACAGTTCTTAAAGGCGGCGTGCCTGGAGTTTGTTCATTCCTCCCGTCTGGAGTTGTTCATTCCTCCTGGTGGGTTCGTGGTCTCGCTGGGTCAGGAGTGAAGCTGCAGACTCACGGTGAGTGTTACAACTCATAAAGGCAGTGTGGACCCAAAGAGTGAGCAGCAGCATGATTTATTGCAAAGAGTGAAAGAACAAAGCTTCCACAGTGTGGAAAGGGACCCAAGTAGGTTGCCACTGCTGGCTTAGGCAGCCTGCTTTTATTCCCTTATCTGGCCCCACCCACATCCTGCTGATTGGTCCATTTTACAGAGAGCTGAGTGGTCTGTTTTACAGAGAGCTGATTGGTCCGTTTTGACAGGGTGCTGATTTGTGTGTTTATAATCCCTGAGCTAGACACAAAAGTTCTCCAAGTCCCCACAGAGCACTGATTGGTGCATTTACAAACCTTGAGCTAGACACAGAGTGCTGATTGGTGTGTTTGCAAACCTTGAGCTAGACACAGAGTGCTGATTGGTGCATTTACAATCCCTTAGCTAGACCAAAAGGTTCTCTAAGTCCCCACTAGATTAGCTAGACACAGAGCAGTGAATGGTGCATTTACAAACCTTGAGCTAGACACAGGGTGCTGATTGGTGCATTTACAAACCTTGATCTAGACCCAGAGTGCTGATTGGTGTATTTACAATCCCTTAGCTAGACATAAAGATTTCCCAAGTCCCCACCAGATTAGCTAGATACAGAGTGCTGATTGGTACATTTACAAACCTTGAGCTAGACACAAAGTGCTGATTGGTGTATCTACAATCTCTTAGCTAGACATAAAGTTTCTCCAAGTGCCCACTAGACTCAGGAACCCAGCTGGCTTCACCTAGTGGATCCTGCACCAGGGCTGCAGGCGCAGCTGCCTGCCAGTCACACGCGGTGTGCCAGCACTCCTCAGCCATTGGGTGGTCGATGGAACCAGGCTCTGTGGAGCAGGGGGTGGTGCTTGTAGGGGAGGCTTGGGCATGCAGGAGCCCAAGGGGTGGGGGGTGGCGGCTCAGGCATGGCGGGCTGCAGGTCCCGAGCCCTGCCCTGCGGGAGGCAGCTGAGGCCCGGCAAGAATTTGAGAGCAGCGCGCCAGCGGGCCAGTCGCACCCTCTGCAGCTGCTGGCCCGGGTGCTAAGACCCTCACTGCTTGGGCCGGGGCACCAACCAGCCACTCCGAGTGCAGGGCCAACGGAGCCCATGCCCACCTGGAGCTCAAGCTGGCCTGCAAGCGCGGCACACAGCCCGGGTTCCCTCCGGCACCTCTCCCTCCACACCTCCCTGCAAGCAGAGGGAGCTGGCTCCGACCTGACCAGCCCAGAAAGGGGCTCCCATAGTGCAGCGGCAGGCTGAAGGGCTCCTCAAGCATGGCCAGAGTGGGCGCCGAGGCCGAGGAGGTGCCGAGAGTAAGCAAGGGCTGCCAGCACGCTGTCACTTCTCAATATGTTAGGCAACACAGCAAATCTCACTAAACAGATTTTAAAAGTATACAAATTTTCATCTCCAGACACTATTGAATGAAGCTAGAAATCAAAACTAGAAACTATTTCCCAAATATGAGAAAATTGAATAAACCATTCTTAACCCATTGGACAAAGAAGAAATTGTAAAGAAATTTGGAAAATACTAGGGAAAAATGAAAATAAAAATACAATACATCGAAACATATGAGACAGCAAAAGCAGTGTTTAGAGGGAAATTTGTAGAAATAAACACATCTTAAAAAAAAGAAAGATCTCAAACCACTACCCTAACTTTATACCTTAAAAAACTAGAAAAAGTAGAACAAATAAAACTCAAAGCTAATAGAAGGAATGAAATAATAAATATTGAAACATAAAAAAGTAGTATAGACTAGAAAAATAGAAAAGATCAACAAAACCAAACAATGGCTCATTGAAAAGATGGAGAAAGTTAACAAACCTTCAGCTAGACTGACAAGAGGGAGAATGCAAATAACTAAAATTAGAAATGAAAGCAGAGGCATTACTATCAACCTTAGAGACTTATAACAGGTAGAAAAATTGAATCAGTAGTCAAAATGTCCCCACAAAGAAAGCCACTATCAGATGGCCTCACTGGCAAATTCTAGCAAACATTTAAAGAAGAACTAGCACCAATTCTTCTCAAACTATTCCAAAAAAATAGAAGAGGAAAAACCATTTTCTATTTCATTATATCAGGTCAGCATTACTCTGATAATAAAACCACATGAATATACCATAAGAAACAAAAATTACAGGCCAGGCATGGTGGCACATTCCTGTAATCACAGTATTTTAGAAGGCTAGGTTGGGAGGATCACTTGAGCCCAGGACTTCAAGACCAGCTTGGGCAACATAGCAAGATCCTGTTACTAAAAACTGAAGAAAAAATAGCGGGGTGTGGTAGTGTGCACCTGTTGTCCTAGCTCTTCGGGAGGTTGAGTTAGGGTAATTGTTTGAGCTCAGGAGTTCGAGGCTACAGTGAGCTAAGATTCTGTCACTGCACTGTAGCCTAGGCTGCAGACTGAGACTGTCTTAAAAAAAGAAAAAATAAAAAGAAACAGACCATTATTCTCTGTGAATATTATTATACTCAATAACCAAGTAGGACTTACCCCAGGAATGCAAGGGTAGTTCAAAGCTCAATATAAAAAATATCAATCGATATATAGCACATTAATAGAACAAGGGGAATGATACATGACCATCTCAACTGACACAGTAAGAAGTATTTCACAAAATGCAAAACATTTTCATGATTAAAAAAACACTACAAAAATTAGGAATAGAAAATAATTTTACCAACATGAAAAACGGTATTTGTGAAAACTCACGGCTAACACCCTCATAGTAAAAAACTGAAAGCTTTTCCCTTAGGAAAAGTGAAAACTGAAAATTTTTCCCTTTGTCTTCTTTCCTTTCAACATTGTACTGAAAGTTCCAAGCAGCAATTAGGCAAGAAAAATAAATGAAAGTAATCCAGATTGGAGATGAAATCTATCTCTATTCATAGAAAAATCCCAAAGAATCCTTACACCCACAGGAAACTACTAGAGCTAACAAATGAATTCAGCAAAGTTGTAGGATACATGAATGCACACACACAAGTTTTGTTTCTGCACACTGTCAATGATCAATCTGAAAATAAAATTAAGAAAACAATTCCACTTACAATAGTCCAAAATAATAAAATACCAAGGAATAAATTTGACCAAGGAGGGAGAAACTTGTACACTGAAAACTTCAAAACATTCCTGAAGTTTAAAGACTTAACTAAATAGAAATATATTCTGTGTTTGTAGACTAAAAGACAATTTTTGGATGGCAATATTATGCAAAGCAATCTATATATCAATGCAATCCCTATTAAAATTCAATAGCTTTTTTTGACAAATAAACAAATTGATTCTCAAACTCACATGGAATTGCAAGGGGCCTTGAACGTTATAGCCTAATTATACTGGGAAAAAAAACACAACAATGTTGGAGCACTCACAATTTCCAATTTCAAAACTTCCTACAAAGCTACAACAATAAAATTACAAAGGGCCTAAAGTGCGGTGGTTGCACACTATTGTGAATGTACTAAGTGACACTGAAATGTTCACTTCAAAACGGTGGATTTTATGTTAGGTAAATTTCATTTCAATTATAAAATTGATATTGACAAAGACAATAACTTCTTAATATTATTATTAAATAGGTTTGACCTCATGGACACCTAAAAATTATCTTAGGGGCTCCAGAGTTCCCTAGATCCCAAGTTGCAAACCACAGATTGTTCCTTATATAACCAGTTTATTGATGGATTTTAAATAGTTGGGTATCAAATAATTTTTTATTATTTTCATCATGCTTATGATGTTTGATAACCCTTTTCTTCTAGGTAATAAGTCTCAACATTTTTGGCCAGATTCCATATTTACCATGTCACATTCAATTACTAGCACAGTTTGATTTTGGTATTTAAGAATCAGTCCTGTTAAGTTTTAAATAAATTCAAACCTTTCTGTCACCCCCATCCTTAGCTGCCCAGGACAGATAAGGGAGCTGCAGCTGATTAGCACAGAGGAGACAGGTGTCTTTTATTTCAGGAGCATCTCTCCCTTTTGTACATGGTAGCTTCTTGGTGGCAGAAGAAAGAAGGGCTCGTTGGTGGAGGCAAAAGTCTAACTTGGCTGCCTACCTTTTAAAATACTGATTAATTTACTCTGCAAGCATTTATTATCTACTCTGTGCCAGTCACTGTCCAAGGAGTTAAAATATAACTATGAACAGAACTTTCAAAAAATCCTGTCTTTATGCATCTTACATTCTATTAAGGAAGCCAGACAATAAACAAGGTGAATACATATATAGCAAGTTAGTTATAAGTGATTAAAATAAAACATGCAGTAGGTAGCAGACACACAGAGTTCTTGGGGGTTGTGACACTAGCTGGAGTAACCTTGGAATGACTTAGATAGTAATATTGGCATAAGTTTTAAAGGAGGATAAAAAGAGAAATAGGTCAATATTTGGAGGAATAGTGTGAAACGGAAAGGGTCCCAGTAAATTTTTTTACTCTGTTTTTTTTCTGTTGCAAGGAGCAGCTGATGTGGTGATCTGAACTGTTTTCTTGGGGTGATGATCAGTTTTTCTCCCCATGTTCTCTGATACTAATGACTCAATTAAGAAGAGCCATCACATCTCCACGTAGCCCCTCCATCATGCACCCTCAGCTCCCTGGTTCTAGAGTAACATCATTAACCTCTGTGCTCCTTCACATGGAGCCTTGAAAAATGCTAGAGTTCTCCTCTGAGCTTTCTGAGTTATAGAGAACTGGAATCTGGTAGAGATGGCCTCTTCTTCCAGTCATTCCCATGCCAAGGTTTCTTTAAGCCTGCTCCTGCTAACAAGGACAACTGCAATGAGCCCCCTATAGAAATCTCTAGACCTGATTCAAGAACCAGTACTTAAGTTCAAGTATACCCCCAAGTTACAAGGGACACATATTATGCTCCTCTCTCATCTCCTCAACAGCAGGGCTACCACACCCCTAGACTTCCAGAATACTCTCCTGAGAGTATTCTCCTTACATTCCCCTTCAAAAAATATAGTACCATTTTGGCCCTGTGGGTTCTGTAGCTCAGCAAGAGTGTCACCAGGCAGCTGGGGGGAAAAAAGCTTGTCTCCTCTTCTTGGAGACATCTTCAATCTTCAAGTTGTTCTCTAAGAGGCCTTATCACAGAGCAATTGAGGGAAAGATCACTTTCTTATCTCCACCCCATAGGAAAGGATGAGAATCAGTTCTCATCATGAATATCTTCCTCTGCAAAGTTAACTACTTGAGCTGACAGATATATTGACTGGGTGATATATACTGATAGTGACACTGGTGGGCAGTGGTGGTAAGCTGGATTTACACTGGCATTTTCTAGGGAAATAGTTGACCTTAATTACTATTGGTTTCTTAAAAATGTGGGTCATTAACAACCTTTTGTCTTCAGCCAGAATTACAATTTCTTGGCATGATATTAAAATTATTTTATAGGTGTCTGCAAAAAGTGACCGCAACTATAATAATTATGCCAATATAAATATCAGAGAATATCTCCAATATTCTTATGCAGGAATGGAAATTCCAAATTATAATTTTTTCTGCAAAAACTTAATGTATTTTAATCTAATCAATATTTTATCTAAGTCAAGTTTATGTGAAATTTTTATCTTTTAATTACAAGCCTAGATTATTTTAAAACCTAAAATATGACAAAAGATTAGTAGTGCAGTTATCTGGCTTTCCTACAAAATAAAATATATTTCAAAAAATTTAAATAGCATCTCTTCAATGATTTTCACTTACTGTAGTCACTAATATCTGTATAACCCTTACACATATCTAGCTTTATTTAAGGGTAAAAGTAGATACAGTGCTTTATTTGCATAACCATTCTATTTGGCCATAATTTCTAAGAACTAAAGTAAATCCCTAAAATCATAATTTCGTATTTTTGCTTTACAACTAATAATGTTATTGATTAACATATTTGAACTTAAAAAATTATTGACTGATATCCTAATCATGGAAAATACATTTTAATTACTGTAATCAAGTTAGAAATTAGACACATTATCCCTAAATTCCATTCCCAAATGTAGAGAAACTATAAGAGAAACTAATAATAGACAAGACTAGCATGCTTTTTCTCACATGTAATACTTGTTACCAGTGCCTAATGGCCCAAGTCTAGGAGATACCATTCAAACTGTATTCTATGTCAATGGAATTGTGCTGTAGAAGCTGCCATTCTCATATATTCTATGACATAAAATACAATGTGAATGGTGTACCCTGGTGTTGGGCAACTTGGCAGCCATGCTCATAAAATGTTATTTTTAATATTTAATATTTAATTCCATTAAGGCTAAAAAAAGGAACACAAAGAAATAGAAATTTAAGTTTGAAAGAAATAAATGTGAAACCAGTAATAAAGTTACTGATAAATTATAAAGTTAATGGAAAGTTGTAGTAGTCCATATTCACGCTGCTATAAAGAACTGCCTCAGTCTGGATAAATTATAAAGAAAAGAGGTTTAATTGACCACAGTTCCTCATGGGTGGGGAGACCTCAGGAAACTTACAATTATGGTGGAAGGGGAAGCAGGCATGTCTTATATGGCAGGAGGTGAGAGACAGAGGGTACAATAACAGAGAAAACTGCCTTATAAAACCATCACATCTCATAAGAACTCACTCATTATCATGAGAACAGCATGGGGGAGACCGCCCCCATGTTCCAATCACCTCACACCAATTTGCTCCTTCAACATTTCGGGATTACAATTCAAGACTAAATTTGGGTGAGGAAACAAAGCCTAACCATATCATAAGTGAATTATTTCTTTATTTTTGCATAATCATGTATCATTTAGAATATAATGTATAGATAGAATCTTACTGCATCACACAAAGAACCACCTCCAACTTACTGTCTCCAAATAATCAAATCAGGCCTATCACCCCAATTTCCATACCTTTCCTGAGCCTTTGCAGGCAAAAGTAAAAATAGAAAATAAAGACAAACAGGGAAATGTTGGAAAAGAAACTTGGAACAGTTTGTCAGTTCAAGACAGAGAGATTTATGGTGCAGATACCAGAAGACAGAGCAAAGTCTCATGACCAAAATGGCTCTAAAAAGGAAGGTCTTTACTGCTTTTATACATGCCATTAGTTCTCACCAAATACCAGTTCTGGTTAATAAAATAACAATAGCACAGTGAGAATTGCCCTACCTGCCAGACACTGAGCTTAAGTATTTATGCACATGTCAGTAATCTATTTCTTCATAATAAACTTTGATGTAGACATGTTTCTTGGCTTAAGGAGAAAAAAGCTAAGGTTTGTAGAGGTTTGAATACACAGTACTTCAACCCTGGTGAGTGAAGTACTCAAGAATCCATCTAACATCTAACTCCAAAAGCCATAGGCTCCTAATCACGATCTTATTCTGCCTACCAATACTACCCTCCTTCTCTTACTCCACATACATATTTCCATTTCGTTCATTCAGTCAATCATTCATTCACTTTTTTGAACATTCTCAGTCTGGTTATTGTGTGGAAGAGACACAAAATTGAATAAGGTACAGCCCTCCATTCTGCAGGAGTTTAAAATCAAGAAGAAGGAAAAAACAAGGCATAACATGGTAAAAAAAAGTTACGTGTTATAGGTAGGAGAAAGAGAAATGGGTATAGGAGGAAGCAGCAAGAAGTCTCAAGATCCAAGGGCAACAAATGTTTCCAGAAGATTGAAGATTTCAGTGATTTTTGTAATACTTCCTAAGGTCTATTCTAAGTCTTACTATAATCTATGCATACCAAAGTTTAACCTCGGCCATTCAGAATATCCAGATGATCAAACCCAAAGCTCATGAAGCTGGTAAGTAGGCTTCTTTAACCTGGAAAATGGCTATTGCTTCCAGCTCTAGAGATAATGTAAATGTAGCTCAGTAAAATATGAAGGATAGTGATGTATTTTATTTGTCCAAACTTCTGTCCTTTGGATGGATGATACATGTGACCACTTCGATGCCACTGTCTTCCTCACTCCTACCACATTTGTGATATCCTCTGAGGCTGTAATGATGACCAGTCATCCCAGACATTCACAGATGTCCTTACTGCAACATATAGCAACTGCACCATGCTTTCTTCTCTTAAGAGAAAATTGATGGAGTAAATTGTACAACAAACTCAAACTAAACAACAGATAAGTAGCTGTACTTTATTTTGAGTGGCAGCCAACAATTCTTATGTGGAAGAAACATAAAACAGAACTACGTTAAGAAACTAAAATCACAAACTGAATCTATTTACTAACTCACATGTGGAATAGACTCCCTTTTCTTGGCTATATTCTGGGGACTGATGCTTGACCTAGCATCAATGAGCAACAGTATGGACCTTTCCTAAATTAGACACTGAATATGCCTGGTGTACAAGCTTTCTTTTTTTAAGTAATAATTCTACTGTTACTTAAGAATATCAGATGGTTACTTTTGCTTTTATCAAACTTAAATAGGAAAAGTTAATCAGTACTATATAGAGAGGAGGGAAGAAATAAACCAATAAGGATAAGAACCTAAGCTATTATCTGCATAGTAAGTAAGACTCAGGAGAAAAGTGTTGCAAATTTGGATAGTGACAACTTTGGACCCCTAAATGAATACAATATTAAGGAAATAATAGGAATTCACCAAAAAGTAGATAAATTTCATTCATGCATAGAAAATATTATATAATGGTACTAAGGTAAGAAAAAGAATGGCTGAATCAGGAAAGTTTTATATTTTGTTGTGACTAAAGACTAGAGACTGTGTAGTAGAAATGTAAAAAGTGACATTAAAACAAAAGTAAGGAGAATATGTTTTAAAGTATCTCCTTCAAAAAGTCAGTGCCTAGTTTTCCAGCTTTGCAATTTCCGAACACTGTTCCATAACTTTTAATCTACATGTGCCCATTGTGAATTTCCAAGAAACAATTGTAGAGTTACCTAATTCACTATGTTGAACCCATCTTAAACTAGGTAGTATCTTAAAACTGATAGGTATATTTAGTGCAGTTGTGTTTCTTTTAAATCCTTCCCTCGCCCCCAAAAAAAGTGTTGTGTTTTTTTTGTAAATAGGTTATGTGTCATAAGATCTACGGATTTGTATAAAATAGAAAGAATACAATATTTGGCTATGCAACATTTCCCATTTAACACTATTAAAAACTTACTGAACAAGTGGTCCTTGGTACATTTTGGAACACAGTAATGCAAGTATTAGTTCAAAGTTTTGTTTAGGGATTTTCCAACTTTTACCTCCTAAAGCTAACTTTGACATTGATATTTAGTGGAATAAAATGATGAAGTTGAACAGCAGAACCCTCAATAATTTTCCTAAATTCCAACACCCTCCTCAGAAAGACTAACTTAACAGCTTATGAATTTTTATTTCACAAGTGCTACCATATTATGGAAATAGTACAATTAGAATACCAAATTTCGGGCTTTTATTTTCTACACCTTACTGGAAGGAAATAATTTCTTTCAGGTCCAACTTTTCCACTCTATAGGGATTTAGAAAGTAATGTATGTGTGCATATTGGGGTTGTGGTAAGGAGAGGAGAAGATTAAGGAAGGAAATCAGAATAGTTGAAGTTGTTTAAATTATATTACTTTTAAGTTGAAATTAATGATCCCAATACAAGATTATTATACACATTTTATACATCAATTACATATATTATGTCCCAGGATATGCAGAAGAATAACCCTAATGCTAGGAAGACCCTAAAAAATTTCACATCACCATCTCTAAATGAATCTATAACCATTCCTACACTGACATTAATAACATGAAACCCAGGCAATGCAAAGATATGGCATTGTGATAAAATGGTATCCTTGGAAAATTTATTCTTTTATGGAAACAATCAATCTGGGATTGGTTTTGTATGGTACAACCAGTGTTTATCAGGGGAAATAAGAGTTAAGAATATAAAAACAAGATTGTAAACCCAACGAAGTAATTTTAATTATCATAGTGCTTGTCATTAAGACAAAAAAGTGTGGGTGTTCTTTTACTTATAAAGATCCTTTCAGTGTGAAACTAATCTAACTTTTTCTGTGTTGATCCGTATTTTACTGCATCAGAAAATCATACTCTCTTTCACAATTTGAACATTTTAATTGAGTACTCTGAGGAACCATTAGCATGGAGACCCACAAAGCAGTGGAATGACACACCTAGCTACCAATCATTTTACAGTGATATAAAGTAGCATAGGAATTTATGAAAATTAGAAGAGTGGATATAAAGCAATGGTTAACACAGTATTATGGAATAGTCATATAGGTTTGCTGAATATGAGGCAGATAAAATCTGATAATATGATGAGCAAAGGGAAAATATGAAGATTACAACTTGTGATTACAAAGGAGAAAAATGCAAGACTGAAAAATGGAAAATGATCATATTATTGATAACAAAGGACTTAGAACAATAGGGTAGTTTGAAATTTTCAATCAATGGAACTAAAGATAATTCCCTTTTGAATATGGCATATTTAAGGTAAAGCTAGTTCTACTCTGAAACAAGTGCTATTCTCATCTACATAGAGACATTGCATGAGAAGAAAGGCTGGAAACTTTCTTCACATTCAGGTGCTATAAACTCTCTAAAAGCATACCTAGGTATAATGAGAGAAGAGAGGAGGGGCAATGGGATGGTTAATGGATTATCTTTCAACAGATTTGAAATATATGGCAAATGTCTTTAAATTCATATTTGAAAGTAAAATATAATACACAAGAAAGTATATATTCAAATTAATTATTGAAATTCTCTTTTTTCTGTCATTATCTTAGAACCAATTTTTACCAGCAACATACACACGAAAATAATTATCTTGGCCTTATTTCTGTGTAACGTTTTTAAATAAAAATGTATATTATCCACCTTGTAAATGCTCTAGTCTGATAAAACATGTATTCCAAGGACTTTAAATATATAAAAATATAAACAATCCACAAAAGACTAATAATTGCCATCATTGGACTTATCCTAAACAATATGCGGTAAAATCCAGAAAAAAAATTTAAGGAAGCACAACCCTATAATTAAGCATGTAACACCAACAAGCACCTATTTTGAAGGTGAAAATATATTTGGATAAATAAGTTCCAACAGAATAGTTAAAAAATTACTTACTTCACTTGGTATTTCTACCTTGAATTTTTTAAGTAGAAAAAAAATAACTCTTGCTCTCCAACTCAAATCCTTTTTGGAAGAAGGTAAGATAACAATGAAGTTTAATTTTTAGATGATATACATTTTTGGTAATTCTGTGAATTAATTTTTGGGGTTAAAAGTCTGCCTACAGCTCTTTTACTTTGTATTTCTTTTTCTTCTTACTTTCCTTAGCTTTATGTGGTCAAGATCAGGCTTTTCTTGCAAGTAGCATGAGAGAAGTAAGTTTTGTCATGGTTCATGAAACTAAAAAGCTAATATAAAAATCTCCTTACCCTAAACAGATTACATACAGGTTAGGTACTTTAAACATCATAATCAGCAATATGCTTTCAATTCTGGAAGGGCTGCAATGAAGTCTGCAGTCAATGACACAGTCTTGTCTAGTCTGTTGCTGTGGGTAATGGTGCAGAAAAAAACAATATACAATGCATGACAGATGAAGAGTAAGGACTAAGAATCAAAACAGACAGAGCACTATGTTCACAGAGCTGCTGAGCTATGGTAATCAATTTACCTATGACCAAGTAAGTGTTAGGATGGTAAAAATTTCGGGGGCTGATTGAATTCCCATCTTGGGAATCCCAGGACCCTGCTAACAAATGTAAGAAAACAGGAGAATGTATATCACCCTCAGCCAGGAGGATCTAGACTTCGTCAACAAGCAGCTGGACCCCCTAAATATAAAAGGTTTTCTCTGGACACTGGAGAAAACATTTAAACATTTTCTTTATCCAGTGTCAGATTGCAATAAGGCTCAACATTTCCAGACTTTATGGAGATTGAGTCCACATACACCCTCTCTATAGGTGAAACCTTAGCTAAAACATAAATACACCTCTCCCTGCTAAAACCCAAGATGCTATCACCCACCCTCACACTCCCATGCTGAGAGAGGGGTGGCAAAAAGATTGTAAATTTTCTCATTCTCATCAACTTTCCAAACCATTATTAGAAGCTTCCTAGCCTACAGGGTGTAAAAAAAAAAGTATGCAAATATTGCTCCAGTTTAAGAATTTAAACTCTAAAAGTGTGACAAAGTTATTAGCAATCTTAGAGTAAAAGAACACTACGTGAAGGGCTGTCTTCCACGTTTTCAGATTGATTTTTTTTTCAATTAGGGGGGTATGGGAATAATTATGAGATTATGGAAAATCCCATACTCTTTTAGCAAATCTCCTTAATTATTATGATGGCTAATTTTATGTGTTAATTTCACTAGGCTAAAGATGCCCAGATAGCTGATAAAATATTATTTCTGGGTGTATCTGTGAAGGTGTTTCTGGAAGAGATTAGCATTTGAAGTAGTGGACCGCATAATGAAGACCTGCCTTCACCAATGTAGGCTGGCACCGTGGAATCACTTGAGGGTCCAAATAGAACAAAAAGGTAAGGGTGGCATAAATTATCTCTTTCTCCCCCTTTTCTTAGTCAGGAACATTCATATTCTTTTGCCTTGGAATTCTAGGACTCAGTGTGCCAGCAGCATCACAGACCCCCACTCCCAGCTAGTTCTCAGGCCTTCAGAGACTTAGACTAGGAGTTATGACATCACTTCCCCTGGTTCTTATGCCTTTGGATTGAAATGAATTATGACCCTGGCTTTTCTGGTTCTCCAGTTTACAGATGGCAGATAATGGGACTTCTTGGCTCCCAAAATCATGTGATCCAATCCCATAATTTTATATATATATTATACATATCAAATATATAATATATATAATTATATATCATATATATCTTATATATGTATTTATATATAAAATATGTATTATATATCTTTTATATGTATTTATATATAAAATATGCATTATATATATATTTCTTATGTGTCTATTTCCCTAGAAAAACTCTAATACAAATCAAGGCCCCTAATTTGTTAAATAATTTGCCAACATTAGAAAAGAGCTCTTAGCTGGGTGCGGTGGCTCACACCTGTACTGTCAGCACTTCAGGAGGCCAGGACAGGCAGATCACATGAGGTCAGGAGTTCAAGACCAGCTTGGCCAACATGGTAAAACTCCGTCTCTATTAAAAGTAAAAAATTTGGCATGGTGGCATGCACCTGTAATCCCAGCTACTCAGGAGGCTAAGGCAGGAGAATCGCTTGAACCCAAGCGGCAGAGGTTGCAGTGAGCCGAGATCATGCCACTGCACTCCAGCCTGGGTGACAGAGGAAGACAATGTCTCAAAAAAATAATAAAAAGAAAAAAAGAAAAGAGTTTTTTACTTGGGTGATTTTTATGTTCATTGGTCTTCACAGTGGTCTCTAAATGACCACGTTAAGATTGATATCATAATCTCTCCAACAAAAATAAAATAAATTCAACAGACAAAAGGTGAAAGTCAAAATATTTCTGCTTTAGATAAAATACTAGTTATCACAAATTGACTGTTAAAATACATGGCTTATAATGGAGTAAGACAAATTGGTGATCATGAAACATCTCCAACTTCGCTTTTTAAAATCCTCTTCATTATATCAAACATATATAGAAAGTATCTATTCTGCCTTAGTTCCTGAAAAAAGAAAAGATAGGTAAGATATGAATTAATTACACGGTCTCTGCCTTCTCCTTCTCTCGCTTACCCCACAACCACTTCAAGAATTTATCATCTAATATGAGAGAGACTTAGATTCATAAGCAGATACTTTCAGTGAAACAAAGATATGCATAGGGTTCGATAACTTAGAAACTAAAAAAGTCTTCCTGGAAGAGATGCCATTTGACATAAATCACGAGCCTAGAAGAGAACCAAGGAATAGGCTGTTGGGTTAGGGAGAATATATCTCACAAAATAAATGTTTCATTGTTAATGATGAGTTTGACTGCATGGCATGTAATAATTTAAAACTTTAATATAATATTAAGCCAGAACATTCATAATACAAGAGACTTAAAAGCAATATTCAATATTCTATGGCTAGCAGTGAGTGCTCTGGGGAGGGAAGGAGGTGCATAATTTCGCTATCTTCTACCTTAAATCATCATTTCATTGAAAACACACTTTATAAACAAATTAAAAATCAAATAATTAAAATACTACACATCTCAAGTCAGTGAACTCTGACTTTTATGTACTCTATTAGTGATCCCTTTCATCTCAAATCTCAGAAAATTCAACTTTCATCCTCTCATAGCTCGTAAACTCTTCAATCACTTTAATTTGGTTGGTTAACAATTAATGCTAGATACATGGAAAAAAGCTGTTGTTTTGTTGATTTTTTTTATTTATTATATTATTTATTTATTTAGAGACAGGGTCTTGCTCTGTTGCCCAAACTGGAGAGCAGTTGAGCAATCATAGTTACTGCAACTTCAAACCCCTGGGCTCAAGTAATCTTCCCACCTTAGCCTTCTAAGTAGCTAAGACTAGAAGTGCAAGCCACCACACCTGGCTAATTTTGTAATTCTTTGTAGAGACAGCATTGTTGCCTAGTCTTGTCTCAGACTCCTGGCCTCAAGCAATCCTTGCACTTTGGCCTTCCAAAGTCCTGGGACTACAAGGCTTGAGCCACCATGCCCAGTGATTTTTTAATATAGGATGAGATGTAACAAATTGCAAGCAAAACCAATAACTTAGTCTTCTATTGGCTTCAAAGGGACAAAAATCAACAGATATTATATTGTAAAACCTTTTCCAGACTTTATGCATTGCAGTTTCCGCACTTAAACTGCAATTAAAATTTAAAACCCATAAATGTAATTAAAAATGAAGGACAAACTGTTGTATTTTATTGAAATTATTTTTAGATAGAGCTGATAGAAATATATAGCAACAAATTTATTGGTATGATTAAAGTAAAACTATCTTTGAAGTTGAAGAAAAATGGTGTAAAAAATTTATTTAACTTGATTCTGAAAAATGCACATGCAAGATAGTGTAATTATCCACTGAATATTTCTTTTTATGTATAATCGTATTCCTTTTTAACTATTCCCTTTTATCATTAGTTTCTGCTCATATCATAGCAATTCATCATTCATGTGTATCTATTTATTCTAATGGCTATTAAATTAAATAATACATTTCTCAATGGTCTTTTGTATATTATGATAAGATGAATTCTAGGATAAATACAGCTTCACACTAGAAGGCGTGAAGCTTTGTAGAAACTTTAGATAACATTTTTTCACACTATAAGATTATAAAGAATCTCTCACATGCAAATAGACTAGGAAAAAAACACAAGGGCATTCATACTTGCAGAAAAACTATATTAGACTGAAGGGCCTTAATCATCAGAGAGTTATGTTTTTGATTTAAAAAATGACATATTTTGTAGTCTAAAGGAGTCAATTTTATATTAATTCATTAAAAATGACATAGGACTTACTCATTCCAGTGAAGTCATTCTTTGAAGATTTGTTAATCTTTCCAGTCACATGGGTCTATTTTATGTTTTTTATGACTTTTCTAAATTCCAATACCATTTCTCAGTTACTAAATAGAACTTTATTGAAAAAGTCAAGCCCTTCTAAAAGGTGAGAAATGAGTCCCTTATGAACTAAGCAGAACATTCACAAATAGTATATAACCTATTTGAGCCATAAATATGTCACAACATAAATGTATTAATATTAAAAATCTTAAAAATAAAATGTCACTTGAAGAACATTTTAAGATATTTTGAGAAGCTTAATTAAAATAGTAACATTTTATGTTTATAAATCCATTCGATATTAATCTTATTTCTCGAACCAAGCTTTAATCCCTCACAAATTTAAATCATTGTCCTCATAGACAGGTGTCTATATATAAGGTGTCCTCCACCTTATTCTTTATTGTAGCCCTGGGATAATATCAGAAACTTACAAGGCTCTCAATAAGTGCTGTTAATTTGGAGTGTAGCATGTTTATCATTGTTAGTTTCTTTACATATGATACTTATAAAACATTTAAAATAAATATTTATTCTTTTTGTTTTTTTTGGTTTGAGACGGAGTGTCACTCTGTCGCCTAGGCTGGAGTGCAGTGGCACGATCTTGGCTCACTGCAACCTCCGCCTCCTGGGTTCAAGCAATTCTCCTGCCTCAGCCTCTAGAGTAGCTGGAATTACAGGCGCCCGCCACCACACCCAGTTAATTTTTGTATTTTTAGTAAAGACGGGGTTTCGCCATGTTGGCCAGGCTGGTCTTGAACTCTTGACTTCAAGTGATCCACCCGCCTCGGCCTCCCAAAGTGCTGGGATTATAGGCATGAGCCACTGTGCCCAGCCTTAAAATAAATATTTTTTTGTATAAAACTTACTTTGCATGTATTTTTACATATTATTAATTACAACATTCAGAAATAGCGGAAGTAAACAGATTGAATTTAGGCCATTGGGTTGTTTTGGGGACCATAACATTTACTTTTAGCTTGAGTCTACCTTAGTTATTCAGACTGCTGTTTTGGCTTTGAGTAAATACAGCCCCCAAAAAAATTCATTTGAGAACATTTCTGGAATTTAAGATCTCCACACCTACACCCATAGGCTTATTTTCTGAAGCCTTACATTTTAAAGGAGTTGCGTGGTTATATTTTAATTACAATGGAAAATCAGGTTGAAAGAGAGTTGTAAAAGATGCTTTAAGATTTGATTATAAATTATTATTTTACAATACTAATTAATTTCTAATGTCTGAAATGATATTTGCAGCTGATTACAGAGCTTCACTTTTCTTGGGTGAAAAAAAAAAAAGAGGAAAGAGACTTTCCCTGTTTAAGCAACATACCCTTACAAGGATTATAAAACTAAACTTCAAGTTCCCACAAAAATCAAAATCCAAGCAGGAGAATGTATACAAATTCCAAGACTTTAACATTTTGAACTTTTGCATCTGCTACTCAAACTAAACTGAAAATCTTTTCATTTAAAATTGCAGTGTCCTTCCTGAAGATGATTTTAAGCCCAACTTTGTAATAGTAGATTGGCATGTTGACAAATTAGTCTTTTTGGCTGAGAATAAAATAGAACATATGGATAAAAGCAGAATTTTTCTAACATCCCAATTTGTTCCACATTGTTTTAGCCTAGATGTCTAGAGACCAGGCTATAAGTTCTACTTCTATCACTTTATTGCCTTGTGACTTTTTAAAGCCTTTTAATCTACCTATGCCCCAATTTCAACATCTTTGTAAACAAAGCATTTTGAAGAATAATACCTGTGCATCAGAGGACTGCATCATCAAATGGTTTTTAACCTGTGAATGCTGTGAGAGAGGCAGGATGGTTTTCCCAACTAAGAAAGATGACCCTGAGGTGTTGCAGAGCCTGCTTCAATTACTCCTGCAGGCAGCTCAGAGGCAGGGGAAGCAGAGCATGTGAGTGTGTCATGGGGGCACAAGGCACGCAGAACTTGTGAGACAGGCAGAGCAGTGAGAACATCTGGAGGAACAGGCCTGTGGGAGTCAGGAAAAACACAACCTGCACTGTGTTCTCCTTGTTTCTGCCAAGGATCTGGTAAGTTTCAGCTATCATCTGTAATCAGGACCATCGAGAAGAGGAATTACAGGACAGAGATAAAGAAGTGGTGCAGGAGGAATGAAAGAAGGGAGCAAAGAAAGGTGAAAAAGGAAAGAAATCATGACTTTCGGGCTATCCATTTAGTCATCTGCAAGACTATTGGATGGAATTAAAGAGAAGACTGAAAGTCGGAAAGTCTAAGGGACTTCTGGAAGGAAAGGAAGACCACGTAGAGCATCTTCAGGAAGCTGTACTTCAAAGAGAATGAGAGCAGCTGCTTAGCAAGGGTAATGTGACAGAATTCATTAACATTGTGTGAATTCAAAGATAAGACAAGATTAATAGCAGCCGATATAAACATAAGCTCCCAACATTTTGGCAAGTATTGATAATTTGTTATAATTCAAATATGAGAGATGTTAGATGAGAACTTCAAAGTGCAAAAAGAAGTTACCTTAATTATGAAATTGGGAGAAAACATCTAAGTCACATTGTGAACATTATGATGAATGTATTAATCATATCTCAGATTAGGAGTTTATTTTCTTCAGGAATATGACAGTAAAGATACAGAAACTTCAACTTTATTACAGAATCTGAATGAAAATGCAGGCAGATTGAGATTTTTATTGAAAAGGAGGAAGACAAACCATAGCAACAGGCTGATGGATTACTCACTGCCAAATATTGTCTAGCATAGTGATAGCTCACACCTGTAATCCCAGAACTTTGGGAGGCCAAGGCGGGTGGATCACGAGGTCAGGAGATCGAGACTATCCTGGCTAACACAGTGAAACCCCGTCTCTACTAAAAATACAAAAAAAAAAAAAATTAGCCGGGCGTGGCGGCGGGCGCCTGTAGTCCCAGCTACTAAGGAGGCTGAGGCAGGAGAATGGCATGAACCTGGGCGGTGGACCTTGCAGTGAGCCGAGATCGTGCCACTGCACTCAAGCCTGGGCATCAGAGCGAGATTCCATCTCAAAGAAAAAAAAAAAAAGAAACATAATAAATGTTTGTTGCCTCACCCTATCAATGTATGAAATGTAATATTTTATCATAGATAATTTGATATAACTCCCATTCCATCTCATTCTAGAGACACAAGGAGATATGGTCCAATTTTTTTTCAGCTTTTATTTTAGATACCAGGGGGTACATGTGCAGGTTTTTTACATGGATATATTGTACCCAAGTAGTGAGCACAATATCCAAGAGGTAGTCTTTTAACTCATATCCCCCTCCTTACTTCCACCCTCAAATAGTCCACAGTGTCTATTGTACACATGTTGATGTCCATGGTTGCTCAACATTTAGGTCCCACTTATAAGTGAGAACATGCAGTATTTAATTTTATGTTCCTGTGTTAATTTGCTTAGGATTATGGCCTCCAGCTTCATTCACGTTGCTACAAATGACAATATTTCATTCTTTTTTTTATGGCTGCATAGTATTTCATGGTGTATATGTACCATATTTTCTTTATCCAATCCACCATTGTTGGACCCCTCGGTTGATTCCATGCCTTTGTTATTGTTAATAACATGGTGATGAACATATGAGGGTATGTGTCTTTTTGGTGTAATGATATATGTTCCTTTGGGTACTCAGTAATGGGATTGCCATGTTGAATGGTAGTTCCCTTTTCCGTTCTCTGAGAAATCTCCAAACTGCTTCCCACAGTGGCTGAACTAATTTACATTCCCACTAACAGTGTATAACTGTTCACTTTTCTCTGCAGCCTTGCCAGCATCTGTTGTTTTTTGACTTTTGAATAATAGCCATTCTGACTAGTGTGAGATGGTGTATCACTATGGTTTTATTTGCATTTCTCTGATGATTAGTGATGACAAACATTTTTCATATGTTTGTTGGCTTGTTTGTATGTTTTCTTTTGAGAACTATCTATTCATGTTCTTTGCCCTTTTTAAAATGGGGCTATTTATTTTTTGCTTGTAGATTTGTTAAAGTTCCTTAATAGATTCTATATATTAGACCTTTTTTGGATGCATAGTTTGTGAATATTTTCTCCCATTTTATAGGTTTTATGTTTATTGGTAGTGTTTTTTGCTGTGCAGAAGATCTTTAGTTTAATTAGGTTCCACTTGTCAATTTTTGTTTTTGTTGCAATTTATTTCGGGGACTCAGCCAAAAATTCTTTGCCAAAGCTCATGTTGAGATGTGTATTTCCTTTGTCTTCCTCTGGGTTTTTTGTTGTTTGAGATTTTATATTTAAATCTTAATCCATATCAAGTTAAATTTTTTATATGATGAAAGGTAAGGGTCTAGTTTCATTGTTCTGCATATGGCTAGCCAGTTATCCTAGCACCATTTATTGAACAGGAAGACCCTTCCCTGTTGCTTATCTTTGTCGTCCTTGCCAAAAATCAGGTGGTTGTAACTGTGTGGCTTTAATTCCGATTTTTCTATTCTGTTCCATTGGTCTATGCATCAGTTTGTTTAACCACTATCATGCTGTTTTGATTACTGTAGCGTTATACTATAGTTTGAAGTTAGGTAGCATTATGTCTCTGGCTTTTTTCTTTTTGTTGGGATCGATTTAGCTATTGGGGCTCTTTTTTAGTTTCATATGAATTTTAGAGTTTTTGTTCTAATTCTGTGAAAAATGGCATTGGTAGTTTGAAAGGAATAGCATTGAATCTGTAAATAGCTTTGAGTAGTATGGCAATTTTAACGATATTGATTCTTCCAATCCATGAGCATGGAATGTTTTTCTATTCATTTGTGTTGTCTCTGATTTCTTTGAGCAGTGTTTTGTAATTCTCCTCGCACAGATCTTTCACTTCCTTGGTTAGATGTATTCCTAGGTAGAGTGCGTGTGTGTGTGTGTGTGTCTGTTTTAAATGGGACTGTGGTCTTGATTTGGCTCTCAGCCTGAACATTATTGTTGTATACAAATGCTACTGATTTTTTCACATTGATTTTGTAATCTGAAACCTTTCCAAGATTGTTTATCAGTTGTAGCCTCCTTTTAGCAGAGTCTTTAGGGTTTTCTAGATATATAATCATATCATCAGTGAAGACAGAGAGATTGACTTCTTTTCCTAGTTGGATGCCTTTTATTTCTTTCTCTTGCTAGAACTTCCTGGTCCAGTTTTCTACAGAGAGCCAGAGGTCTAAAATAGATGCTCACTAGCTGTGTGCAGGCACTAGAAGAAATTAAGCTACACATACTGAAAAGTGGAAACAAAACAGTATTCAAATGGCAGTTGTCATCTAGAGGCAGGACAAAGGAGTGTCCTGGATATAACAATATGGGGAGCAGTATCTGGATATTCTACCAACAAGTAATAGGTCCACAGACTCTGCAGTCAAGATTAAGAAAATGTCATAATAGGTGTTAGATTAGGCCCCAAACCCTAAATGCACCCATCTAGACAAAGATTTACATACAAGAGATTGTTTGCTTAAACAGGACAAGACGGAGTTGCAATAATGAGAACTGTGCAAGTGTCAGAGGTGGATAAGCAGCAGAGTTTTCTGTTCAGTCTAACAGAGTCAAGATAAAACTATTTTAAATCCTTCTTTTAAAGCCAGAATTGCCTCTTGTGACAGAAGTGGGAATGAGCTTGCAAGTTGCAATCAACTGGTACCAGCTGTGAAATACCTGGGTTCTAGGAAGTAGACCTAACAAACTAGATATTAATGCCTTGATGAGAACCTTTATAAATGAATCCTTGGAAATACAGAGAAATGTAGCTCATTTCTGATAATGGATAAATAAGGTTACTGCCAATCAAAAGTACCTTATGGTGCAAATTTAGTTGGTTTTTGAAGTAAGAGAGCAGACAAAGATGGCCAGTGAGAGTCAGGCCTAAAATGGACTTGCTACCACAGTAAGACTAGTGGAAGAAAGTATGCTATTGGAATCTGATTATGTTTTGTTGATCAAAAGAAGAAACTTATGAAAATGACTTGATGAAAGAGTTGAATGACTGTTGAATAAGAGACAAAGTCTCACTTCCACTTTTCAATTCTCAATCCCAGAAACCCAGAGAAAATAGAAAAATTAACATACCAATTAGAGCTAGTAACTAACATCTCTCAAACACTGACTTGTAGGAGGAATAGAACCGAGGATGTATATGTATTTTTTATTAAATTTTCTCAGCAAAACTTTGGGACAAACGCTCTTATTAACACTATTCAACATATAATTTTGTTGTAGAGAAATTAAGCAATTTGCCTAGAGTTACAAGATTTGTACAATTTCAGATTTAGAATTCAAATCAGATTTGTTTTCCAACAGAGTTCATGCTCTTAGGCAATATATAATGTAGTAAAGTCTCAAAAATATTTTTAATTCATCTGTTAAAAGATAAAAACATTACATAGCCCTTCAAGAAATGAAACAAGACAAAACAGAGATGCCACAAAGACAGATTTGCTTGTTTGTTTGTTGTTTGTTGATTGGTTATCAAAATGAAAAAAAAAATTGATCAGCAAAAAAAAGCATCCCTTGGTCTCCATATCACAACAAAACATTTCAGGGGCTATTTACTCAAGTTTGTAGGAAGAGAGGAATGGAGGTTAGTTGGCATGTTTTAGCACAGTGAATTTACCAAGACTTATTGGAAGAAGTAATTAATGAACACTTATAATCTGAAAAATTTAGGCTAACATTCTGAAGACTCAAATCTCAGAAAAAGAAGATGGCCACCAACTGTGGTTAATACATTTGTGGAAACACCTTTTGAACATATTTTGTATGCTACCCGGTTGCCACAGGCTTGGGATACCAGTTAGGATTAGACCTGGGAGAACAGTAATGAGTGAAATGGAAAAGGAGATTTACCTCACAGGAGCTGTGAGCAGGTGAAGAAGACAGGAAACGCTGTTGCTCTGCTTCTATAGTAAGAGTCTGAAGGTCACTGTGGGCCAACAGCACTAGTAATCATGACAAAACCCTAGGTATGAACCAGTGAAAGGCAAAACCAAACTGAAACCTACTGTATTAGTCCATTTTCATGCTGCTATAAAGATACTACATGAGACTGGGCAATTTACAAACAAAGGTGGTTTAATTGACTCACAGTTCTGTATGGCTGGAGAGGCCTCAGGAAATGTATACAATCACAGCAGAAAGCTAAGGAGAAGCATATTCTTCACAAGCCAGCAAAGAGAGAGAGAGATAGCAAGTAGGGGAAATGCCAGACACTTATGAAACAACCACATCTCAAGAGAACTCCCTCACTATCATGAGAACAGCATAGGGGAAACCACCCCTGAGATCCAATCACCTCCAACCAGGTCCCTGCCTCAATATGTGAGGATTACAATTTGATATGAGATTTGGGTGGAGACAGAGTCAAACCATAACATTCAACCCCGAACTCTCCCAAATTTCATGTCCTTTTCACATTTCAAAGCAAATAATGCCTTCCCAACAGTCCCCCAAAGTATTAGCTCAGTCCAGCATTAACTCAAAAGTCTAACTCCAAAGTCTCATGTGAGACAAGGGAAGTCCCTTTTGCCTATGAGCCTGTAAAATAAAAATCAAGTTAGTTACTTCCAAGATTCAATGGGGGTACAGGCATTGGGTAAATGTTCCCATTCTAAATAGGAGAAATTGGCCAAAATAAAGGGGCTATAGGCCCCATGCAAGGCCAAACCCCACCAAGGTAATCATTAACTCTAAAAGCTTCAAAATCTCCTTTGAGTCCATGTCTCACATCCAGAGCACACTGACGCAAGGGTTCGGCTCCCATGGTCTTGGGCAGCTTTATCCCTGTGGCTCACCAGGGTACAGCCCCTGTGGCTATTTTCACAGGCTGGCATTGAGTGCCTATGGCTTTTCCAGGTGCACGGTGCAAGCTGTCAGTGTATCTACCTTTCTGGGGTCTGGAAGACAGTGGTCTTCTCACAGGTACACTTGGCAGTGTCCCAGTGGGGACTCTGTATGGGGGCTCCAACCCCACATTTCCCCTTTGCGTTACCCTAGTAGAGGTTGTCCATTAGGGCTCCACCTCTTGCAGCAGACTTCTACCTGGACATCCAGGTGTTTCCATACATCCTCTGAAATCCAGGCAGAGGATCCCAAGGCTGAACTCTTGTCTTCTTTGCACCCACAGGCCCAACACCACATGAAAGCTGCCAAGCTTGAGGCTTGGCACCCTCTGAAGCATCGGTCTGAGCTGTACCTTGGTCTCTTTAGCCATGGCTAAAGCGCCTGGGACACAGGGCACCAAGTACTGAAGCTGCACAGAGCAGTGGGGCCCTGAGCCTGGCCCATGAAGCCATGTTTCGCTCCTAGGCCTCTGAACCTGTGATAGGAGTGGCTCCTGTGAAGGTCTCTGACATTCCCTAGAGACATTTTCCCCCTTGTCTTTGCTATTAACATTCAACTCCTCATTACTTATGCAAATTTCTGTAGCTGGCTTGAATTCTTCCCCAGAAAATGGATACTTTCTTTTTTACCATATGGTCAGGCTACAAATTTTCCAAACCTTTGTGCTCTGCTGTCCTTTTAAACATAAGTTCCAATTTCAAACCATCTCTGTTTGAATGCATGTACCTAAAGGCTTTCAGAATAAGACAGGTCACATCTTGAATGCTTTGCTGTTTAGAAATTTCTTCTGCCAGATACACTAAATTATCTCAAGTTTGCAGTCCCACAGATCTGTAAAGCAGGGGTAAAATGCCACTAGTCTCATTGCTAAAGTATAGAATGAATGACCTTTACTCCAGTTCCCAGTAAGTTCTTCATCTCCATCTGAGACTACCTCCGCCCAGACTTCATTGTCCATATCAGTATCAGCATTTTGGTCAAAACCATTCAACAATTCCCTAGGAAATTCCAAACATTCTCACACCTTCCTGTCTTCTTCTGAGCCCTCCAAACTGTTCAAACCTCTGCCCATTACCCAATTCCAAAGTTGCTTCCACATTCTCAGTTCTCTTATAGCAATGTCCCACTACCTCAGTGCCATTTCTCTGCATTAGTTCGTTTTCACACTGGTATAAAGATTCCACCTGAGACTGAGTAATATATACACAAAAGATGCTTAATTGACTCACAGTTCTGTATGGCTGGGGAGACCACAGGAAACTTACAATCATGGCAGAAGGCAAAAAAGAAGCAAGTACCTTCTTCACAAAGTGGAAGGAGAGAGAGAGAGAGTGAGCAGGGGAAATGTCAAACAACCAGATCTCATGAGAACTCCCTCCCTATCACAAGAACAGTATGTGACAAACCTCCCCCATAATACAATCAACTCCTACCAGGCCCCTCCCTCGACCTGTGGGGATTACAAATCGAGAGGAGATTTGGGTGAAGACACAGAGCCAAACCATATCACCTACAAAGGGAATGGCAGCCCACAACGACAAAATGACACCTGTGTCTGTCTTTCAGTACATTCAAACTCAATGATTCAAGAAGCTGATACCCTCCACTCTGGAATGAATAAATGATTGAATGATTGGCTCAGAACTTAGAGAATTTGTTAAGAGAAGTCCCATGGGGACTGAGTAGCTGCAGACTTGACTACTGCCCCACAACTAAAAGATAAGCCAGTAAATCAGCAATAATGTCAACTGCAGCTATACCTGACACCTTACACCAACATTCCCAGCATAATGGCTCTTCTGAATTTTACCCTAATTTTTTATGGTGAACTCTAACACAGAACCAGACAGGGATGGGAATTCTGGGAAATGTTCTTGCAGCTTAGCTAAATTGACAGAACATAAAACACCACACTGCATTGCCTCTCACTAGGACTATTGCAGCAGTCCCCTAGCTGATTTGCCTGCCACCATCTCCCTCCCTCCCTACACATTCTTCACACTCTCTTTAGTGTTATCTCCAAAAACTCCAAACAATATTTCCATTTCAAGATGAGTTAAACTTCTCTGCTTCCCATCTTCCAAAGCAAAGAAATATGAGAAGTTTTTAAAAGTACATTTCTGATGTCACTAGGCCGGACATCTATAGGATATCACACGAGACACAGTGCAAATGAATTTGTACTCTGGGAAGTATCCATGTGCTTATAGCTCAAAAAAATCCAAGGAAGAAGTCTTCTAGGAACAGAATGGACACAATTTCACAGTTGCAGAAACTGAGAGAGATGGATTGACTGTGGAAGTGTCAGAAGAGGCTGGGTTTGGAAAAGAAAATTGATCAGTGCCAGCAGGGCCTTGAGATGAAAGCAGCTGGTTAACTGGGCTCACCTCCAAGTCCGGGCAAATGGCTAAGAATAGTGCAGCAAGTGCTGTTAAGTTATAAAGGAGCACTATTGTAGGTGACTCCAAATGATTGACTTTTCTCTCTGAATGAGTCAGTACCACCCTAAGTTACTACTACAAATACAAGGAAAAAAATTCTGTACTTTGATGACTTTCTCATCTGCGGCTCCAGGCATAATGGCCTCTTCTTTTAGACAACTAAAGTTCAAACCTTATATGGTAATCACTGAGCTCCAACAGAGGAGATCATACTGGAACAGAGGGGAGGGGCAGGACAATGGCACAAGGAATGAGTCCAAAAGCACATGCAATGATCCTGGTATGTTCAGAATCTTAAGTCAAGTGCTGGATTCATGTTTTAAAAGTTTTTATGGTTCATAATTTTATAAATATGTGGCATGCATTTCTTGCATGATTCAAATGTTATATAAAAAACAAATTTGAAAATAAAAAAGAATAAAAAGGAGTTGGAAAGTAAATGTGAACTTAGAGATAATAAAAGTCAAAATAAAGGAAAATCATCATGCAAACATGATCTTGTATTTTTCCAAGATAGTTCCAGTTTTCACCTCTCAATGTAATTATTAATAGTATAATACTGCCCGTTTCACCTCAAAAGTATTCCCTTTTGAATATTTTTGTCCCACAATATTTCTGCTCCCTGAGAACTATGACTATGATGGATTTCCCTTTCATACTTGGGTTACATTGTATGGAACAACTGGCTTTAAGAAAGAAAGACATCGGGCACTGTGACTCACCCCTGTAATCCCAGCACTTTGGGAGGCCAAGGTAGGTCAGGAGTTTGAGACCAGCCTGACCAACATGGTGAAAACCCATCTCTACTAAAAATACAAAAATTAGCCAAGGGTGGTGGCATGTGCCTCTAATCCCAGCTACTCCGGAGGCTGAGGCAGGAGAACTGCTTGATCCTGGAAGGTGGAGGTTGCTGTGAACGGAAATCATGCCATTGCACTCCAGCCTGGGCTATAGAGTGAGATTCCATCTCAAAAAAAATAAATAAACTATCCTCGGTGGACATGACTTAATCAGGCAAGCCCTTAAAAACGACATGGCTCAGCCAGGTATGGTAGCTCTCACCTGTAATCCCAGCACTTTGGGAGCCCAAGGCAGGAGGATCACTTAAGGTCAGGGGTTCAAGACCAGTCTGGCCAACACAGTGAAACCCCGTCTCTAGTAAAAATACAAAAATTACCTAGGCATAGTGGCACACACCTGTAGTCCCAGTTACTGAGGAGGCTGAGGCAGGAGAATCGCTTGAACCTGGGAGGCGGAAGTTGCAGTGAGCCAAGATCGTGCCACTGCACTCTAGCCTAGGCAACAGAGCAAGACTCCGTCTCAAAAAAAAAGAAAAAGAAAAAGAAAGGTCATAGCACTCTTCTTGGAGAAAAGATTTGAAATGTGACAAGGACTTGATGAAAGAGAGATATCCCACTGCTTGTTTGAAGACAGAGAGCCATGTGGTAAGTAATGCAATCACACATTAGCCCCTGTCTGACAGCCAGCAAAAAACTGCAACTTCAGTCTTACAACTACAAAGAACAGTATTTTGTCACCACCATGTTATCTTGGAAGAGAACCCTAAACTCCAGACGAGATTGCAGCACAAAACAACAACTTGATTTCAGCCTTGTAAGACCCAGAGCGTGCTACGCTTCTGACCTACAAGAGCTGTGAGCTAGCAAGTAAGTATCTATAGCCGCTATGTTTATGGTGATTTGTTACACAGCAATTGAAAACAAATGCATTTACTCTAGCAATAATTGAATATTCAAATGTTAGTTTGAAGCACTACGGTATGAGAAAAAGTGGCAAGAAATAAACTTTAAGGTAAATAGAAAAGTACCAATTTTTAAATTATCATCAATCAAGTTGCTAAGGCAAACTTGAGTCTGGCAAAATATTAGGGTATATACAAGAAGCAAAGATCTTTCTGAGAACTAAAAACTCTTAAACCAAAGTTGGTGATAAACAACCACAATGATTTACTTGCAAATATGACAACATCACTTGTTTCTTTCTTTTCACTCCTTTACCACTTGGTTGCTATCTCTCCTGAAGTAACTATTACATAGTATTTATATTAACTTTTTGAATGACCATTTTCCTCATGGAACTATAAGACCTTCAAAAGCAGGAACTATTTTATATACCTGGTGCTTGTGCTGTCGAAAGGAACACATAAAATAGATGCTTCTTAAGTGCTTATTGATGTATTGAAATATAAAGTACATTAAGAGAATAAAGAAATGAGAGAAGAGACAACAATAATGACTTGATTGTACTATTGACATGGCCATTACTTTTGTCTGCCCAGAGTTTTTCCTCATGGGTTCTTCCTTCTGTTTGTGACATTCCATTGTCTTGCACGTGCAAAACCAGGCTGGTCTAATTACAAACCAGTAGCCCTACCTGTGATCACAGGCCAAGGGATGGACTCCTGACTCAAGGTTAATTGAGCTTCACAGACTGTTTCTCTTGGGTATTTGGAACCTGAGTGGAGACAACACAACTGAGGGTTGTTAGAGACTAGTTACTATAAGTCAGTTCCTTAGTTCATGAGTCAAAACAAGTTTTCTGTAAAGGCCCAGATAGTAAATATATTCAGCTTTGCATGTCACAGAATCTCTGTCACTAGAACTCTACTGTTGTAGCACAAAAGCAGCCATAGAAAATACATAAATGGGCTGGGCACGGTGGCTCATGCCTATAATCCCAGCACTTTGGGAGGCCGAGGTGGGTGGATCAAGAGGTCAGAAGATCGAGTCCATCCTGGCTAACATGGTGAAACCCTATCTCTACTAAAAATACAAAAAATTATCTGGGCGTGTTGGTGGCATGTGACTGTAATCCCAGCTACTTGGGAGGCTGAGGCAGGAGAATCTCTTGAACCCATGAGGCAGAGGTTGCAGTGAGCCAAGATGGCGCCACTGCACTCCAGCCTGGTGGACAGGGCAAGACTCCTTCTCAAACAAAAGAAAAAAAAATACATAAATGAATAAGTGGGACTGTGTTCCAATAAAACTTTATTTATAACCCTAAAACTTAAATTTTACATGCCACAAAATAGAATTATGTTGTTTTTTTAAAAACATTCAAAACTTTTTTAAAAACCGTGCACATATTGTTAGCTTTTAGGCTGCACAGAACAAGCAGTTGGTGGTGTTTGGCATTTGGCGTGCAGGCTGTAGTTCACAAACATAAAGATTTCAAGAAAAGCTCCACAGGGTCCTGCCACTGAGTCCCCCCAGCTGTCTGATGCTTCTCCTCCAAGTGCTTTGATTTCTACCAATCCCTCAGGAATGTTTTCAGCTAATCCCTTTTTTGAACATTTTTTTTTATTATTACTAAAATTAACCAAAGTTGCTTGTGTATAACTATGCCTGAAAGATACCAATGTACACTCAACTCGACAAGTGCAAACATTTTATCTTTGACTTAGTATAAAGAAAAGAACTATAAATTTGTAGTTAGAATATGACTTTTCTAGTTTAAAAGAAAATCATGTCTCAAGATAAAGTATGTAAAAATAGTTTAAAGAACACAATTCACCATTGATTTTGGTATTGCACATAACTGTAAAAATACTAAAAGTAGCAACTGTGTCCAACAACTTTTACCTCCAAGATTTCATGACATTTTGAATAGATATATTTTGGAAGTAAAAGGTTTATAAAGAAATGAAAGAAAAATCTCCTCAGGCTGTCAGAGCAAGTTTTCAGGTACAAATAAGTTCACTAGGTTCCTATGTTATTTTATGCAGCTCCAAGTTGAAAAATAATTCTAGATGATAAAGATAATTTGAACCTAATACTAACTTTAATACCACACTAACTAATTGCATACAATTTTTTTAGTCAACTTGATTTTGGAGGTGCATTACTGAAAGCACCTGTACAATTCAGTCAGGTATATGGCTATTTTAGCTTGTCTATCTCTTGGTTCCACTAGGTATGTGTAGACCAGAAATAAGCTCTCCAGCTGCAGATAAACATCAGTGACAGGGCATAAGAATCAATCCTGTTAATGTTGTCTCCCGAAATAAGTATTCATATCTATCCATACATACATCAGTTTTGGGGGTGAGAGAGGGTTTCTTAATATCACCCAAATAATAACATAAATGCTTCAGCATATCTATAGTAATTATGAAAAGCTTATAGTATTAAAATTACTTTTAATATTTTAATTTTGTGAAAACCATCAACTGGTAACTGCACACTATCTAAATGACAAATATCAGGGAGCTGTTTACCACTGACAATGTCAGTGATCTGTTATTCACTTTGAGTCACAGATGGATGATTTGATGTGTCATTTGAACCTTTGTCTTTCTGTAACTGATTTTAAGTCAAAAAACAAACAACAGTAAATATATATTAGCAACATGAGGAATACTTGAGTATACTCAATTCTTTTAGGTCAATCCACTGACTGTTAGCATCTAGGATTATTATTTTTTTTTCCATCTGTGAGGTTTTCATGCTCATGACTTCTCCATTCTTATACTTTTGCATAAGTAGATTTACTCTCCCGGAAGCTAAGAATTATCCTTCCAGCTTAAATTTTTCCAAAGGCCTTTGATTCGGTTCATCCTTTTCTTCACAGCTATGAGATGGCTGAATCTAAGGCAACACTCTGATGCCTTAGCTTTAATTACAAAATGGATGTATGCCTGGATACACACACACCGAGCTGCCTTGAAGAAAAAAAATAAGATTGTGAGGTCCCCTTTAAGCACCTCTGGAAGATCATTTAAATGGCTGTCATTTCTACTTTTTCAGCTTGTTCATCAAATTAGGAAAATATTTGAGTGAGAGAATTAAATCCGTATTTATCTTCATACTTTCAAAATGACCATAGGCAGCATTAAATGACTTTTAATTTTTTCAGGAAAATATGCATATGGATATTTTCATCTGAAATTTTCTGTTGTTGTTGGCAAATTTCAAAATTAGACCATGTATATTTATTTAGACAAGTTTTGGTTGTTTCACATCAAATCATGTTAAAGGGATTAAAATTTAAAAAAGCATAGCTGTGCTTGGCAATGCCCACATTATGAGCGACTCACACATAATAATTGTGTATATACAAATAACTATTTCCAAAATTCCTCTTACTTCTTCAGTCACTCAAAGGTCACTCTACTTCCAGTCTCGCTGTGCCTGGGGACTCTTGGAGCACAGTGATGCCACTTTCTTGGCCTGCCTTGCAAACTCTCTGACCAACCATTTAAAGTTTTCTTTTTCAGCCTTTTCTTTCATCAAAGAAATAGATGGTTTATACAGAAATTTGTTGAGTTTCCCATTCTGCCTATTATCATTTACAACTTAGTAATGTCTACCTTAAACAGGAATTTAGCATGGACAGAGTCATTCATTCTAGTTAACTTGATTTTTGTGGTTCATTAGTGAAAATACCTACACATTCAGTCAAGCATTTGGCTATTCTATCCAGCTTTTCTGCAACATATAGACCTGGGATATGCTCTCTGGTTGCATATATTCTATTTATAGTTATGTAATATATAGATATTTATACATTTATATAAAGCCTATAATGATTTGAAGGTTAAGTGGGTACACTCTGAAGCTAGATTACCAACATTTAAATTGTGATATAACCAATTCCTAAGAGTGTAAAATTGAGAAAGTTATTTAATTGCTTTTGTCCTCACTTTCCTCTTTTGTGAAATGAAGTACCTATCTTATGGTACAGTTATTTTACACATGGAGAGAACCTAGAACAGGGCCTGGCAGATAGTTTGTACTCAATAATTATTTCACTATTATTGTCCTTTTTAGCACCTTAATTTCTTCCCTGAGATTTCCTATTAGGTATCTCATATATGCGTGTGTGTGTTTGTGTGCGTATATTTATGTATATATGTAATGATTTTATGTATATATATGATTCATATGTATACACATATATGCATATATATGTGATGACATATATATGTGTATATATATATATGTGATGATTCGATGGTTAAGTGGGTAGACTCTTGAGCTAGATGTGTGTGTGTGTGTGTATCTATATATACACACATATATATGAGATCTATAATAGAAGAAATAAATGGTTCACCCTTTGCGGAAAATAATTTTAAAAAACAGGCCATAAACCAATTGAAAGCCCTCAAATATGCCCTTTTAGAAATGTTGCCATAGTATCCATCTACCTCTTTATCTTTCTACATCTTCTCTCAAATTCAAAATAGCAATATTATTTAATTCATTTATTTTTGTTTATTTGTATTAAAACACTTTGTTTTTCTACTTTTTTTTAAAAAAAGTGTTGTATTTATACTGTGGGTATAAAGTTGCCCAAGTAGTTTTTGATCCTTAATGAAAAAAAAAAAAAAGTTTCAGCCCCCTCACATAAAAGGCAACCCAGCTAAGACTCTTAACACAATGGCCCTGGACCTCACCCCCACACCTCAGTAAATTTACCAGCTTTTCTTTGCTGATCCTGGATTCAGCTAAGTTCAAGGTTTCCCACTTAAGGAATCATTGGCACCTGCACCTTCCTTGCACACCCGCTGCTATTCCAGCCTTCACTCAACTCTAAGACAGCACAGCCTGAGGGTCATCTTTGAATCCTTCCTTCTCATCATTTCTCATGTTCAACAGGTTCCACTGAGTCTGCAATCAAATCCTTTCACTTGTCTTCATCATCACTGACATCATCCTAGAACAGGATTCCCACATGTGCCTCCTGGAGTTTCCCTAACTCAACTCCACATACCCAAGCTCTTCACCATCCAATGGATTCTTCATAATATCAGCAGAGTAATCATTCTGAAATACTTCTTATTACTCCACAGATTATAAGCTTTCAATGACTTGGAATAAGAGTAAAAACTTTTAACAAAACTGATTGCATTCATGGGGCCCTTTACCTTTCTAGTCTCATAGCACTATAGCCTTGCCAACAAATTTTTTGTGTAGTTCTTCTAATATACAATAATCTCTCAGACCTTTCCTTCTTTTGCTGGCAAAACTGTTGTCTTCTACCCCCTTTTCTATTGAATCCTTTTTTAAGAAACCACCCGGCTCTTACTCATCTTTCCCTTCTTAATTTAAAAGGTTTGTCCTCTACACCAGGGGTCCCCAGCCCCTAAGCTGCAGAATGGCCACACAGAAGGAGGTGAGTGGCTGGGCAAGGGAGCCTTACTGCCTGAGCTCCGCCTCCTGTCAGTTCAGCCAAGGCACTTGATTTTCATAGGAGCAGGAACCCTATTGTGAACAGCACGTGGGAGGGATCTATGTTGCCTGCACCTTAGGAGAATCTCACTAATGCCTGATGATCTGATGGTAACACTGAAGCACTTTGCTTTTCCTCATTCAGACAACTTGTTACTCCATCTTGTAATTTTTTTTTGCTTAAAAATACCGTTCATACTCCCCTCCTCAATGTAAGCTCTGTGAGGCTAAGACATATTTAGAAATAAATGCATAGTTTACTCCCTTGTGTATTGAGTAGTGTTTAAGAATGAAGAACAATAATTATCTATTACATTGAGCATATTTATTAGCCTTCCAAGATTTCATAGAATAACAGTATACAACTGCAAAAAGTAAGGAAAATAGGAAGGGGATTCATCAGCAAATACATCTCAATACATTTTTTTGAAGAAAGAAAGACAATTGAAGTGTGCTCTCTGATAAAATAAAGAGAAAGAAATTGCATCCCAGAATATGCTTTTAGGGGCCTGCATCTGAGGTAAAAGTAAACTTGTCCATTGGAACCCAGGAGAAGATCCCACCTCAGAATCAGCTAGTATTATAGAAGGTGGGATTGACTGAACATCTATAAGGCACTGCTGGTTCAGCCACATTTTGTGCTGAGAACATCAACCCCAGCAGTATCTATACCTAGGCAAAAAAAAAAAAAAAAAAAGCGTATATCTCTTCTATAAATTAATTTTTTGAAGATGGAGGAATCTCTCTGACTTTTCAAATGGGCATTGTCACCCCAGATTCATATGTTGGGCCCAGCTATAGGAGGCTGTCACCACATCCTCCTATCCAAAATAGAATCTGACAGTGGACTTAATTTGCTTGAGAATACAGGGATCCTCATCAATCATCTTCTACTCAACTGTCCTTATCAGGAAACAGAGAGCAGAAGAAGAAACATTTGGAAAAAATAATCCTGTTCCTCAACCTTCAACATAAATGGACAACTAGTATATTCAAAAATGGAACAGTTTGAAAGAGAAAGCCAAAAATAAACAGATAATTGATCTCAGGAAAATAGGAATAATGCAGAGAACAAAAAAGACTATTTCCAAATCCTTAACGGATTTTTCATAAAAATTCAAGAAAATATTGCACTTGTTTTTTGTTTTGTTTTGAGACAGGGTTTTACTCTGTCACCTAGGCTGGAGTGCAGTGGCAAAATCTTGGCTCACTACAACCTCTGCCTCTCAGGCTCAAGCAATCCTCCCACCCCAGCCTCCCGAGTAGCTGGGATTACAGGCACCTGCCACCATGCCTGGCTAATTTTTGTATTTTCAGTAAAGACAGGGTTTGTCCATATTAACCAGGTTGGTCTCGAACCCCTGAGCTTAGGCAATCTGCCCGCCTTGGCCTCCCAAAGTGCTGAGATTACAGGTGTGAGCCAGCACGCCTGGGTAATTTTTGTATTTTTAGTAGAGAAGGGGTTTTGCCATGTTGGTCAGGCTGGTCTCAAACTCCTGACCTCAGGTGATCCACCGACCTCAGCTTCCCAAAGTGCTGGGATTACAGGTGTTAGCCAGCACACCCAGCCGAAATATTGCACTTGTAAAGTAAGATCATGATATTATGAAAAAGGAAAACATGGAAACAAAAAATTACAATATATCTTAATTGGAAATTAAAACATATAAAACTGCTAAAATAATTTTAATATAAGTAATCGTAGCTACAAATTCTGTCAAATTGTTTTTCCATTCCCAAGGGCTCTCCCATCAGCAAACATTTCACCCTTTCCCATTATGGAGAAGCTCTGGGTGTTCTAGTTCAGGACACCATGAGAAACTCTATTTCATTACATGTCAACTCATGTCAACCCATTGGCTCAGAGGTTGACTCATAAAATGCTGTTTACTACATCCATTTAATTGTTTTCAATGATTCATTTTAAGAATTCCATTTTTGCTATTTGTGGATTTACAAGTCTACTATTACATAGATGTGGTTGTCTTACCTGAATTTAAATGTCCATGATTGCTTTCAAGAAATCTGCCTATGTATCTGAGTCCTTTAATATGGAGTCTAAGAGAACTTCTAGAGAAGAGATTTAAAATGCAAATAGCCCTAGAGGTAGTACAAATATTAATACATTCTCAATAAGATATAAAAAAAAGAATTCCATTTTTGTTACCTGCCTGCTTTTGTGATTCCATGTTTATTTAAATATTTCATATACAGCTTTTTCCATATTCTGATCCTAACATGTCCAATATCTAAAGTACTTACAGGACTAAATCTGTTGCTAAAGGTTTCTGTTGATTGTCATTAATAGCAGCTTGTCTCCTCCAGTGCTTGGTGATCGTTGTGAGTTCTTTGAGATTGAAAATGTGCTGGACTCTTGAAGAACTAGAGTTGAGATGCTTTTTCTGTATCTGCACATAGCTAGAGGTTGCCATAAACCTGGCATAATTTCAGTCACCCACTAGAGTGGACAAGAAAGTCTCAGGCTCAGATCATTCACTGTTAACTGGTCCATTTCTGGATGCCAGTATTTCTTTGAGCAACTATTGGAGCACTTCTGCCTCCCATTTCCCAGTGGATACTATTCTCAGCTCTGGACCTGTGCACTTCGTTTGGTTGGTTAGTTGGTTGATTGTATTTGGAGGTAGTATTAGGAATTGTCCTGAGAGAGGAGAATGTGATCTATGCAGGATCTAGTTGTTTGTAGGAGAAGAGTACTCCAGAGCCTCCAGTCCACCATATTGTCAGAAGTAGATGTTTATTCAGCTCAATTCTTAGTATATTCAACATTTCACATCCTAGATGTGCTGTTCCTTGTCCATATCATGTCATTCTGCTGGATGGAGTTATTCCCCTTCTCTTTCCTTAGTATCACCAACTCTAAGCCAAAAGGAAGTAATGAAGAGGATTTCTCATCATAAGGTAGGACCACAAACCATTCCTTCATCCTAAGGAGTGAAGCACCTCTCTCTTCAACTTGAACCACCTTCTTATCTGGCTTGACATATCCCCAAATAGCTCTGTTCTTTCTGTTGCAAATCAGCTTACCTTCTCTTTTCCAGGGCATAGGTCAATAACATGCTTTGTCTTTGAATATAATTATATAGAAATATCCATCAGAGATTTATGAGACATCCAAAATGTCCAAGAAAAAAAGAGAAATGAACCAACAGTGCTATTTTGGGGGCTGGGGTGGGGTCACGTTTATGTTGAATATTTAATTCTATACAGCTTTCAGACTGATAAAGCATGTGTCCTTTTCAATTCAGATTTACAGTGGGTCTATTCACATTTTTTCAATGAAGATACAATTTCAAAGCTCAGCTTATTCTTAAAGAAAAATGACATTATTCCTTTAAGTTCCACTGGTTTATTAGACTGATACCTCCTGACTTGATATATCAAATGATAAAAGACCACAAGAAAAAGATCTGTGACATCAGGAATTTCCCAGGCTCTGTTTATTACCTAAAATATTTTGGCTAACAAAGCTGAATAGATTCCCTAAGTTCATTGTGTTTCAAAAACCTATAAAGATACCTTGAGAAAAATATGTGCACACATTATGTTTATATGAGCTAGAGTATTTAATATCTCAAGCAAAGGGTATTTATGAATGATAAAGATAACCAAAAAGAAATGCTGAAATCATCCAATATATTATATATTTTTCCTATAGAATAACAGCTGTTAGAAAATACACTTAAAAGAAAAGTATTAATCACGGTGAAAGTGTACAAGCATAGATGAAAAAGGTTAACATATTATTCATCATATCATTTTACATATGATATATTATTTCACACTTGATTGAACTTTTCTTCAACAAAAATTTTCACTGAAATCTCTCAAAATAAGATTATTTGATCAGATTTTAAGATTATTTAAATTAACATGTATGCTTTACCTTATCATGCCAAGATTAGGAAATAGTTTAATATCTTTCAAGCCAAAACCAAAATACAGACAAATATTAAAGGTTTGCTGAAACATGGATGGAACTGGAGGCCATTATTTTAAGTGAAACAACTCAGAAAAGAGAAAATACCACATGTTCACACTTATAAGTAAAAGCTAAATAACGTATATGCATAAAACATCAGAGACTTGGATGGGAGGGAAGCTGGGAAGGAGGTAAGGGGTAAATAATTACTTAATGCAAAAAATATACATTATTTGGATGATGGTTACATTAAAAGCCCACACTTCATCGCATGCAATATATCTATATAACAAAACTGAACTCATACCCCTTAATTTATACAAATAAGTAAGATAAAAATAAAAGAATAGAAATCATGCAATGACTGCTGTCAGACTACTAAGGAATTCTACTAGAAATTAATAACAGAAAGATACCTGAAAACATCTCCAAATACTTGGAGATTAAGCAACATATTTCTAAATAACACATGGGTCACAAAAGAATTACCAAGATAAATTTTAAAATGTTTTCAAGGAAATGAAGTTGAAAATGTAACTTACCAAAGGTAAATCTGTAGACTGAATTCGTGAATTGGAAAAGAATGAAGACCTAAAATCAATTTTCTAAGCTTCCACTTTAGAAAACTAAAAAAAGAAGAGCAAATTAAACCCCAAAAAATAGTCAAATAAAAAATAAATAAATAATTTAGACAATAAATCAACGAAACTGATAAAAGACATCAATAGAGAAAATAAAATGAAATGCTGTTTTTTTAAAAAAAGATAATATAAATAAGCCTCTACCAAGCTAAGAAAAAAGATATGCATTACTAATATCAGAAATAAAAGAAGGAATATCATTGTAGCTCACATAAACATTGAAAGGATAATAAAGGAATATTATGAACAACTCTATGCTCACAAATTTGATAAACTAGATGAAATGAACCACTACATTGAAACAATCAGCAAAAACTCATACAAGAACAAATAGACAACTTGGATAAGTCTATATCTATTAAATAAATTGAAACAATAACTAATAACCTTCCAAACAGAAAGTGCAAGGCCTCGATGGGTTCAATGGTAAATTCTAACAGTTTAGGAAGAAATTATACCAATTCTCTACATTCTCTTCCAGAAGATAGAAGCAGAGGGGTTGCTTCCTAATTCATTTTATGAAGCTGGCTTTATTCTAATACCAAAACCAGACAAATACATTACAAGAAAAGAGAGAAAACTACATATCAATATCTCTATGAAAACAGACACAAACATCCTCAATAAAATATTACCAAATTGATTCCATTGTTGTATGAAAATAACTATTGACTAAGTGGGATTCATCCTGATATGCAAGGCTGGTTCAACATTTTAAGTCAATTCACGTAATCCATCACATTAGTAACCTAAAGAAGAAAAATCACATGACCAGAGCAAGAGATGCAGAAAAATCATTTGACAATATCCAAAACCCATTCATGATGAAAACTCATAACGGACAAGAAAAAGAAAAGAGCTTCCTAAACTTGATGAAGAACATGTACAAATAAGCTACATGTAACATCATATTTAATGGTGAGAAACTTGAGGCCTTAGCCCTAGATTAGGAACAAGGCAAGGTGGTCACCTCTCACCACCAATTTATAACATTGTAATAGAAGTTCTAGCTAATAGACAAAAATAATAATAATAAAAAGTATGCAAACTAGGGGGGGAAAAAGAAGCAAAACTGTCCTTATTCACAGATAGCATAATCATCTATGTAGAAGATCTGAAAGAATCAACAACAAACTTCCAGAACTTATAAGTGATTATAGCAAGTTTGCAGATTATGAGGTTAGTGTGCAAAAGTCAATCATTTTCCTGTATTAGCAATGGATAACTGAAATTTGAAATTAAAAGCAAATTATCATTTATATTATCATCTAAAAATTGAATTGCTTAAATATCTAACAAAACTTTCACAAGATTTATCTGAGGAAAACTACAAAACTCTGATGTAAGATTTCAAAGAAGACCTAAATAAATGAAGATCCATTTTATGTTAATTTATAAGAAGACTCAATGTTGATTTTCAAGATGTCAGTTCTTCCCAACTTGATTTATAGATTCAATGCAATTCCAGTCAAAATCCCAGGAAATTATATCGTGGGTATTGACAAACAGATTCTGAAGTTTGCATGGAAAGGCAAAAGACTCAAAAGAGCCATTTCAATATTGAAGGAGAACCAAGGTAGAGAACTGACACTATCCAACTTCAAGACATATTGTAAAACTACAGTCATCTAGACAATGTGCTATTGGACAAAAATATGTACATATATTAATTGATCAGTGGAACAGAACACAGAACAAAGAAATAGATCCATATAAATATGGTCAACTGATTTTTGACAAAAGAGCAAAGGCAATATAATAGAAAAAAAAGATAATCCTTTTAACAAATAGTGCTAGAACAACTAGACAGCCACATGGGAAAAAATGAATCTAGACACAGACTTTTCTTCCTTCACAAAAATTATAATCAAAATAGATTATAGACCTAAATGTAAAATTCAAAACTGTAAAACTCCTACAACATATCAGGAGAAAACCTAGATAACCTTGGGCATGGCAATGACTTTTTAGATACAATACCAAAGGCACAGTCCATGAAGAAATAATTAATAAGGCGGGGTTCTTTAAAAGTGAAAACATCTGCTCTGCAAAAGACATTGTCAAGAGAATAATTAGACAAGCCATAGAGAGGAAATTTTTGCAAAAGACACATCTAATAAAGGACTATTATTATTCAAAGAATACAATGAGCTCTTAAAACTCAACAATAAGAAAATAAAACATCTGATGAAAAAATAGGCAAAAATCTGAATAGACAGCTCATTAAAGAAGATATACAGATGGAAAGTGAGCATATGAAAAGGTATTGTATTAGTCAGTTCTCGTGCTGCTTATAAAGACATACCTGAGGCTGGGTAATTTATAAGGAAAGAGGTTTAGTTGACTTACAGTTCCACATGGCTCGAGAGGCCTCAGGAAACTTACAATCGTTGTGGAAGGCGAAGCAAACACATCCTTCTTTACATGGAAGGAGAAGTGCCAAGAAAAAGGGGAAAGCCCCTTGTAAAACCATCAGATTTCATGAGAACCTCACTATCACAAGAATAGCATGAGGGTAACTGCAACCATAATTAAATTACCTCCCATTGTGTCCCTCCAATGACATGTGGGGATTATGGGAACTACAATTCAAGGTGAGATTTGAGTGGGGCACAGCCAAGTCATATCAGATGTTTAACATTATATGTCACTAGGGAATTGCAAAATAAAACAAAAATGAATTATCACTAACCAGTTGTTAGATTGGGTAAAATTCTAAGCACAGGTCACACCAAATAAATGCTGGTGAGGATGTAAGGCAACAGAAACTCTCGTACATTGCCAGCAGGAATGCAAAAAGGTACAGCTATTTTGGAAGACAGTTTTTTTTTTTTTAAGAAAAAACAACTAAACATACTATTATAATGTGCTCCTTGGTATTTACCCAAATAAATTGAAAATTTATATCCATTCAAGAAAACATGCATATGGATGCTATAGCAGCTTTATTATAATTGCCAAAAGTTCAAAGCAACCAAGATGTCATTTTGTAAGTGAATGGATAAAATAAACTGTGGTACATCAAGACAATAGAATAGTATTCAGCACTAAAAAAAATGAGCTATTAAGGCATGAAAAACATAGGGGAAACTTACATGCATATTACTATGCAAAGGAACTCAACCTGAAAAGGCTACACACTATATAAATCCAAATATATTAAATTCTTGAAAAAAAAATATAGAGACACCGAAAAGATCAGTGGTTCCAAGGGTAAGCAGGAAGTGGGGAACAAATAACAGAGCACAGAGGATTTTTAGGGCAGTGAAACTATTCTGTATGACTCTTTTTATAAGTCTCTTTGTTAAAATCAATACGATATGCAACAAACACCAAGAGGGAACTCTAAAGTAAATTTTTGGATTTTGAGTAATAACAATGTATCAAGGTAGAGCCATTGATTGTAACAAATGTCCCACCTTGGTGCTGGATATCCATAATTGGAGAAGTTGTGCCCGTGTGGGGACAGGAAAACATGGGAACTCTTTGTACCTTCCACTCAATTTTGCTGTAAACCTAAAATTATCCTAAAACATAAAGTTTATTTTTTTTAAAAAAAGAGAATATTGCCAATACTTTGCAAATTAGCTGTCCTTGCCAGTGTGTATATCATTCCTTAATAGGAAGTTAGGCAGTGAGGATAATGGACTATTTGTTAGGAAGAAATTGAACAATTATTGGTGAAACTAAGCATTTTCCAAAGTACTCTTCAAAAGAAAGTTTCTTTTAGGAAATAATTTTGAGAAATGCTGTCTATTATATTCTCTCTTGGAAAGCAACACGGCATATCTGCTAATATGCCCTGGAGTAAAGAAATCTACTTAACCTTGTTTAATGCAGGACTTATTTATTCAGCAAAACCTTATCTAACATGTCCTTTGTGGGAGGCACTCTTCTAGGCATTTGCTCAAGTTTTAACTCTTTTAATCTTCATGAGAATCCTTTGAGGGAGCCATTATTATTATTATCATCTTACAAATTTTAAAACTAAAATCTACATTGTAAATAAATTAAATAAATTGCCCAAAGTCAGTAACTGGTAAATTGTGGAGCTGGGATTCAAATACATGTATGTGATCATGAAACCACCTCTTCATAAAACAATGACAATAAAATTGAATTGGTGTTCTGACACACCTTGGGAATCATTAGTACACCACATTACAGTTTTAAAATGTTTTCTATGCCTTTTCTTTTCATTTGTAAGTACAATCACTCTAGAGCTAGATGGCACAGGGACATTTTATAAATAATTATTTTTCTTGGTTTTCAGAGCTAATAAGTTGAAGCTTCAGTTTTGATATACTGAACTCCAACGTGTATTCTCTGCAATACATTCTGCTGAAAAAGCAAGGTGTTCTAATGTACAAATAAAGATGGGAAAAGGGCAGGTAGTGAGAGGATACTGGGCTGTAAGACAGAAAAGGGATTTGGAGGACAAATGTAAAATTATAAGGGGCCTTTAATTCCTGGCTAAAGAACTTGGAAGTGATTGAAAATGCTGATTCGGTGAGAGATGTTGAGCTGATCAGGGAAACATTCAAATCAGTTATGTAAAGGCAAGTTCATACAATACAAACAATACATGTGATGGAAAAATAATGGAAGCTGGGAGACCCACAAATTATTAAATTAGTGGTATGATCTAAATTAAAGGTTGTTTGATCGGATAACCAGAATTTTATGCTCCTAAATAATACAGAAGAAGGTTTATATTACAGTAATGTAACATTAGAGTTAAAACAAATTTACATAAAATTGAGTAATCTTCTATTTACTCCTTTTTATAAGTCTCTATTTCATCTGCAGGCAGAGTGAAGTTCTTTCCTGGCTTCTCTTTAGGAGGAGAGTACTGATTGCTCTTTTGAACTGGAAAAATTATTGCATTGCTACTCTGTTGCACAAAATGAGGGAAGCATGTGCTGTGAATCTGCAAGAAACCCCTTGCCAACTGCTCCGTGTCCTTTATCTGCATTTTACAATAAGGCCTCCTTTTTCTTAAAGGCACCTGGGCTGTTTTCAACTTAACATTCTAAAGACAACAAATATAGAAGAACAGTTCTTAAGGTAATTATATAGTGCTGTTTCCGTGTGATTAGGTCAACCTGACAAATACTCAAAACTGAAACAGAACTCTAAACTATGCTGCTCACAAGGACGTAAGCACAGCCTCAATAGATTTTTCAAGATTGGGACAAAAACATGATGTAAGACTCCCTCCTTTAAAAAAAAAAAATCACCAAACCTGAGGAATGGAAAATCAATTGTGACCATGAAATATATATGCATATAGTTTTTAATGTGATTTCCAAGATTGGATCACTAACTCAAAACTTCTACATATGTTCCCATCTTCAGTCTTAGACAAAATGACCTCATGAGCTGACACACTTGCTCTGAGACTTGCAGACCGCTAGGACTGTTTTCAGGCAGGCTATTGAGGAAACAGGGTCAGGCCCTACAAGCATCCTGATCTGGGCTTCGTTGTAGATTGCACGTTCCGAACCCGTTTCTGCCTGCACTGTCATTACATTATGCTGCAGGCTGCATGCGGTTTCTATTCTCGTTTCCATTCTGTTGCTTTCAATGTTTTTGGAATCAGTTGAAGCTGAAACATCTTGGAAGAAAAGTTTGGTTTTTTTTGAACCCCCTGGTTTCAATTATTTCTAAATCTGACGCACAAACACTGCTTTTAAAGATATGCGACTGAAGTGCCAAATAAGGATCTTTTGATTTTTTGAAATACATGTGGTTGAAATTTGAGACCTGGCTGCTGCCAAGCTGCAGTTCAGGGAATAGAATACTGGCACAAGAAAATGAGCCGTTGTTCAGAGGATAATGTTAGAAGGAACTGTCCTACAGAAGGAAAATGTAAATTTTCATGATTTAGCTTATGCTTGTGGGACAATTCCATAATCCTTTGTTAAACACGTAAAAGTTGAAATGCTGACTCTCCTGTTGTTTATTCAGGTTCTCAGCTATAAATTTCTCACATACATAAGCCTGATTTAGACTAAATCCTTATAATATTAATTTTTTAAAAATGCATTCGCAAGATATCATGCCACACTCAGACTAATCCAAACAATTCCACATTTTTCAGTGAAACCTGAAGATAATAATATGTACTGATTTCTCTAAAAGTATAGTAGTTTAATAGACTCTTCTGGTGCAACTGGAATTGCAGTAAGATCTTTTAGGCTAAAGCATTATTCAGAAGGAAAGCATCAAAGTATAATTTACCTGTTTGTGACAAGTGCTAGAAGTTCCTCCAATAAATTACAGTAGAGAAATCATAGTAAAGTCACCGTACTTCAATATCTAGCATTTTAGCCAATGGTACACATAAAAAGTAAGATCAATAGTACTATCATTTTGACTTGATTTGCCAAGGGTAGACGCCACATTTGGCAAAATATACCAAGAACTATTATATCAACTAAGACAATATAAAGGTTGAAACGATATTATGTTGCCAAAGAGGACCATGAAGAAATAGCAAAATCATAAAGGAAAATCAACATGCAGTACAAGCAAATATGGGCAATTTTAAGGATCACAACAGGAAAAGAAAAGGCACTATTTAAGTATTTCCAGAGTGTATTACCCTAACCTTAGAATTGGGTATCTCAGACAGGTAAGAGGAAGAAAGTGAGACTCAAAGTATTTTTCATAAGATTCTGTATGATTTGAATTATTTGTGCAATAAGTGAACATATATTAATTTAATACAACTGGTTTGTAAAGTTTACTTTTTAAAAATTCAACATAAATTCCCAGAATCACTATACTTTTCTAAAAGTATCTACTGTGCACTGTGTACCTTTCAGTAACAAAATATATACAAAGATAACAAGTCCCTTTAGAAATTTATACTAAAACTGCCATTATGTTACATCAAATCTACAGATTAAATGTGAAAGTATGTCAGCTAAGCCTATGGTTGGTTTTATACAGGCTGAACATCCAGATAAATTAATGCAACTTTTACTATTTTTTGTTTAATAGTGTAAGGCACAACCATAAAAAAAGTTATCTACAAGTTTGAAAGACAAAATAGATATGACTCATTCATAATATGGTAATCACAGGGCAATAATTGGAGAAAATATTTGAAGGTAATAGAAACATTTTGTGAGTATTATATATTTATAAGAGAATCTAGAATAGAAAGTGTTATTTGTTTCTATTTTGTCTTAAAGGTATTCCAGAAAAATACTTAAGATATCAGAAGTGTTTATTTTGAAACTAGAGAAAGGTTTGTTGAGCTTAAAAGAATGGCGGATTCAAATTGCAGGCTTGAAAAGAAACATGGAGGCAATCAAAGATTAGTGGTTAAAAAAATATTCTGAAGATTGATACATAATACCACAAGAACATGAACAAATTAAAATTTTTTGAATAAAAAGATAGTAGAGTCAATATGGGAATTTTAAAAATTCTTTCAAATTATATGCAAAACTTTAGGTTAAAGAAATTTAAAGACCAAATTAATGAATTAATGAATCGAAAGACAGAACTAAGGGAAACTCTCAGAAACTAAGAGGGAAAGAGAGAATTTGAGATTAAGAGATGTGCAGAAAAATTTGAGGACCTCGAATACCTGCCTAATTCCATAAAGAAAACATATAGGAATGCCCCAAAGAGGCCATGTTTGAAGATATAAGAGCTGAGATTTTCCTGAAAACTTACGACATAAAAATATTTTTAAAATCCACCAAATACCTGATACACATCTATATACACCATAACGTAGTTTGGTATTTTGGTAGCAAATAAAAATATTCGAAAATTCCAGAAATCAACAAATGGACATACTGCTGGGCAGAGTAATAGAGAAGAAAAGAGAGAAGACTCAAATAGACGCAATAAAAAATGATAAAAGAGATATGACCACCAATCCCACAGAAATACAAACTACCATCAGAAAATACTATAAACACCTCTACGCAAATAAACTAGAAAATCTAGAAGAAATGGATAAATTCCTGGACACATACACCCTCCCAAGACTAAACCAGGAAGAAGATGAATTCCTCAATAGACCAAATAATAACTTCAGAAATTGAGGTAGTAATTAATAGCCTATCAACCAAAAAAAAGTCCAGGACCAGACGGATTCATAGCCAAATCCTACCAGAGGTGCAAAGAGGAGCTGGCACCATTCCTTATGAAACAATTCCAAACAATAGAATCCATCCTAACTCATTTTAGGAAGCAGTATCATCCTGATTCCAAAACCCAGCAGAGACACAACAAAAAAAGAAAATTTCAGGCTAATATCCCTCATGAACATCGCTGATAAAATCCTCAATAAAATACTGGCAAACCAAATCCAGCAGCACATCAAAAAGCTTATCAACCACAATCAAGTTGGCTTCATCCCTGGGATGCAAGGCTGTTTCAACATATGCAAATTAATAAACGTCAGCCATCACACAAACAGAACCAATGCAAAAACCACATGATTATCTCAATAGATGCAGAAAAGGCCTTCGACAAAATTCAACAGCCTTCATGCTAAAAACTCTCAATAAACTAGGTATTGATGGAACGTATCTGAAAATAATAGATATTTATGAGAAACCCATAGCCAATGTATTACTGAATAGGCAAAAACTGGAAGCATTCCCTTTGAAAACCAGCACAAGACAAGGATTCCCTCTCTCACCACTCCTATTCAACATAGTAGTGGAAGTTCTGGCCAGGGCAATCAGGCAAGAGAAAGAAATAAGGGATATTCAATTAGGAAAAGAGGAAGTCAAATTGTCTCTGTTTGCAGATGACATAATTGTATATTTAGAAAGCCCCATCATCTCAGCCCGAAATCTTAAGCAGATAAGCAACTTCAGCAAAGTCTCAGGATACAAAATCAATGTGCAAAAATCACAAGTATTCCTATACACCAATAACAGAAAAACAGAGAGCCAAATCATGAGTGAATTCCCATTCACAATTGCTACAAAGAGAATAAAATACCTAGGAATACAACTTGCAAGGGATGTGAAGGACCTCTTCAAGGAGAACTACAAACCACTGCTCAAGAAAATAAGAGAGGACACAAACAAATGGAAAAACATTCCATGCTCATGGATAGGAAAAATCAATATTCTCAAAATGGCCATGCTTCCCAAAGTAATTTATAGATTCAATGCTATTCCCATCAAGCTACAATTGACTTTCTTCACAGAACTGGAAAAACCTACTTTAAATTTCATATGGAACCAAAAAAGAGCCCACATAGCCAATATAATCCTAAGCAAAAAGAACAAAGCTGGAGGCATTATGCTACCTGACTTCAAATTATACTACAAGGCTACAGTAATAAAAACAGCATGTTACTGGTACCAAAACAGTTATATAGACCAATGGAACATAACAGAGCCCTCAGAAATAACACTACATATCTACAACCATCTTATCTTTGACAAACCTGCCAAAAACAAGCAATGGGGAAAGGATTCCCTATTTAATAAATGGTGTTGGGAAAACTGACGAGCCATATGCAGAAAACTGAAACTGGATCCCTTCCTTACACCATATACAAAAATTAACTCAAGATGGATTAAAAACTTAAATGTAAGATCTAAAACTATAAAAACCGTAGAAGAAAACCTAGACAATGCCATTCAGGACATAGGCATGGGTAAAGATTTCATGACTAAGACACCAAAAGCAATGGCAACGAAAGCCAAAATTGACAAATGGGATCTAATTAAACTAAAGAGCTTCTGCACAGCAAAAGAAACTATCATCAGAGTGAACAGGCAACCTACAGAATGGGAGAAAATGTTTACAATCTACCCATCTGACAAAGAGCTAATATTCAGAATCTACAAACAACTTAAACAAATTTACAAGAAAAAAAAAACATCAAAAAGTGGGCAAAGGATATGAGCAGCCAGTTCTCAAAGAAGACATTTATGCAGCCAACAAACATATGAAAAACAAGCTCATCATTACTGGTCATTAGAGAAATGCAAATCAAAACCAGAATGAGATAACTTCTCATGCCAGTTAGAATGGCAGTCGTTAAAATGTCAGGAAACAACAGATGCTGGAGAGGATGTGAAGAAATAGGAGCTCTTTTATACTCTTGGTGGGAGTGTAAATTAGTTCAACCATTGTAGAAGACAGTGTGGCAATTCCTCAAGGATCTAGAACTAGAAATACCATTTGACCCAGCAATCCCATTACTGGGTATACACCCAAAGGATTATAAATCATTCTACTATAAACATACATGCACATGTATGTTTACTGTGGCACTGTTCACAATAGCAAAGACTTGGAACCCACCCAAATAACCCATCAATAATGGACTGGATAAAGAAAATGTGGCACATATACACCACAGAATACTATGCAGACATAAAAAAGGATGAGTTCATGTCCTTTGCAGGAACATGGATGAAGCTGGAAACCATTATTCTCAGCAAACTATCACAAGAACAGAAAACCAAACACCGCATATTGTCACTCATAAGTGGGAGTTGAACAATGAGAACACATGGACACAGGGAGGGGAACATCACATACTGGGGCCTGCTGGGCAGTGGGGTCTAGGGGAGGGATAGCATTAGGAGAAATACCTAATGTAGATGACGGATTGATGGGTGCAGCAAACCACCATGGCACATCAAACCTGCATGTTCTGCACATGTACCCCAGAACTTAAAGTCCAATAAAAAAAAATCCAGAAAAACAGAATAATTTTCTACAAGCTAACTTTACCAATTAACTTAATGACAGACTTCTTATTCACAGAAATATGTGATAGAAGTTAGTCAATTCATATATTAATATGGCTGTGGGAAAATTACTTTGTACATCATTAAATGCCTGGTCAGACTATCACTCAAAAGTTAAGTTAAATCAATTAAATTATGAATGAAAACATTTCTCTAAACCAGAAACACAATAAGTTGAGTCAACCCCTCACTGAAAAATATAATTAAAGGTCAGGTTTCAGCAAGAAAAAATTGACCATATGGTAAGCCTCAGAAATAAAGTTTCCACAGATTCTTAATAACTGATATTGTAAGGCTGCCTTTTTCATCACAGACTTATAAAGTTAGAAGACAGACATCAACAAAACTGAAACTGAGAGGTGAAGCTGGCTGGGCTTCTGGGTCAGGTGGGGACTTGGAGAACTTTTCTGTCTAGCTAAAGGATTTTAAATGCACCAATCAGCGCTCTGTGTCTAGCTAAAGGTTTGTAAATGCACCAATCAGCACTTTGTGTCTAGCTAATTGGGTAGGGAACTTGGACAATTTTTCTGTCTAGCTAAAGGACTGTAAATGCACCAATCAGTGCTCTGTGTCTAGCTAAAGGTTTGTAAATGCACCAATCAGCTCTCTATGTCTAGTTAATTGGGTGGGGACTTGGATAACTTTTCTGTCTAGCTAAAGTATTGTAAATGCACCAATCAGCACTCCATATCTAGCTAAAAGTTTGTAAACACACAATAAGCACTCTGTAAAAATGGACCAATCAGCACTCTGTAAAATGGACCAATCAGATCTCTGTAAAATGGACCAATCAGCTCTCTGTAAAATGGACCAATCAGCAGGATGTGGGTGGAGCCAAATAAGGGAATAAAAGCAGCCCACCTGCGCCAGCAGTGGAAACCCACTTGGGTCCCCTTCCACGCTGTGGAAGCTTTGTTCTTTCACTCTTCACAATAAATCTTGCTACTGCTCACTCTTTAGGTCTGCACTACTTTTATGAACTGTAACACTCACTGAGAAGGTCTGCAGCTTCACTCCTGAAGCCAGTGAGACCACAAACCCACTGGAAGGAACAAACAACCGTGGACGCACCACCTTTGTGAGCTGTAACACTCACCACAAAGGTCTGCAGCTTCACTCCTGAAGCCAGCGAGACCACGAACCCACTGGGCGGAACGAACAACTCCAGACGTGCCATCTTTAAGAACTGTAACACTCACTTCAAGGGTCCACAGCTTCATTCTTGAAGTCAGCGAGACCAAGAACCCACCAGAAGGAACCAATTCCGGACACAAAACAACCAAACAGGACAAAAGCACACATATTTGAAGACCATAAAAATCACTTCCAAGTAATCAGTAATCCAAGAGTTGAGGAAATAAAATCACATTGCATTGACCAAAACCTCCAAAATGACTAATTATTTGAGCAATGATGGTGATTGTGGCATTACTTTTTAAAATGCTTTTGAAGTTAAAAAATTAAGTACAGTGTGTTGCAATGAGCTTTGTTATATACACACAAAACAGGCTAAGTAAAGTTCTCTTCTACTCTTAACAAACATACACAAACACATACATGCATACATAATGTGTGTAAGATAGTGAATGTTATTGAATGTCTCTTCTGTGTCTTTTGAGATGATCAAGAATTCTGCTAATAGAGTGACAAAATATTGGTAGTAAGGTAGTATATAAAGTATTGATATCAAACCTTCCTTGCATAAATACTGTTAGTCTTGATGTATTTTTAAAATATTTCACATATTTCCTCAAATGCAGCAGAATGAGATTGCAAGATATCTCAATGAGATGTCTGGCATTAGTATTTGTAAAATGCCATTTATTCTCTTATTTTTACTAGCTTTTTATTCACCAAAAGAGTTAATAAAAACTCATGTTAAACATTCAAATAGCATAGTTAATGCAGTAAAAAGATGTTCTTTACTCCTCACTTTCCTGCCCAGGAAATCTACTCTTTACAGCTACTCTACATCATTTCAGAAAGTGTTCATATAATCTACATATTTATCACTTTAACATAACTTCGCATATATTTTAATACTGTTCTAAGAATTGATTTTAGAGGAATATGCTAATTACCCTAATCTGATCACTATACATTATATGTATCGTATGTCTGTGTACCCCATGAATATGTAGAATTATTATTCATCAATTTAAAAAATCGAAATATATTTAAAAGATCCTTATTATGTAAACATATGGAACTACTCTTCTTTCTTTTTTAATGATTGTTTGGTATTACCTGGTATGGCTATAGCATCATTACATGAAAAATATTAGGTGGCTTCCAGTTTTTTGGTATCATAACCAGGACTTCAGCAAATATATTTGTAGAAATATTCTTTAATACATGTGCAAATATATCCACATGATAAACTTCTAGAAGTTAAAATTGCTGAGTCAAAGTAAAATATTTATATTTTTATAGATCCTGCCAAACTGCCATCAAAACAGATTAAAATAATTCTAATTAGACCCCCTTTGAATAAGAATGATTGTTTCTTCATTCTCTACAGGTTCCTCCTTCCTCCTGTATATTAACAGATATTTTATTATTTGAGAAAATAAGAAAAATTGAAGTTATTATTATTTTAATTTTCACTTCTTCAAAATATGGGCACAATCATGCAGTTTCATGGGAAGGTAGTCTACTTGCATTTCTTTTGGGTGGGTTGGTTATCCAATATTAAAAATCACACTGGAAACTACATGAATATACATTTCATGGTCACAGTTGATTTTCCATTCCTCAGATTTGCCATTTTAGGGGAAGGAGTCTTGCATCATGTTCTTGTCACAACCTTGAAAAATCTATCCAGGCTGTGCTTATGTCCTTGTGAGCAGCATTGGTTTGGAGTTCTGTTTCAGTTTTGAGTATTTGTCAGGTTGATTCAATCACATGAAATCAGCATTATATAATTGCCTTAAGACCTGTTCTTTGTGTTTGTTGGCTTTAAAATGTTAAACTGAAAAGAGCTCAGGAGGTCTTTAAGTAAAAAAGAGGTTGCCTGTTCACTCTGATGATAGTTTTTTTTGCTGTGCTAAAGCTCTTTAGTTTTATTAGATCACAATTGTCAATTTTGGTTTTTGTTGCAATTGCTTTTGGTGTTTTTGTCATGAAGTCTTTGCCCACACCTATGTCCTGAATGGTATTGCCTAGGTTTTCTTATAGGGTTTTTATGGTTTTTGGTTTTACATTTAAGTCTTTAATCCATCTTGAGTTAATTTTAGTATAAGGTGTAAGGAAGGGGTCCTGTTTCAGTTTTCTGCACATGGTTAGCCAGTTTTCCCAGCTACCAAATAGAAGATCCTTTCACTGTTGCTTGTTTTTGTCAGGTATGTTGAAGATCAGATAGTTGTAGATGTGTGGTGTTATTTCTGAGGTCTCTGTTATGCTCCATTTGTGTATATGTCAGTTTTGGTACCAGTAACATGCTGTTTTGGTTACGGTAGCTTTGTAGTATAGTTTGAAGTCAGGTACCATAATGCCTCCAGCTTTGTTCTTTTTGCTTAGAATTGTCTTGGCTATATGGGGTCATCTTTGATTCCATATGAAATTTAAAATAGTTTATTCTAATTCTGTGAGGAATGTCAATGGTAGTTTGATGGGAATAGCATTGAATCTATAAATTATTTTGGGTAGTGTGGCCATTTTCACAATATTGATTCTTCCTATCCATGAGGATGGAATGTTTTTCCATTTGTTTGTGTCCTCTCTTATTTCCTTGAGCAGTGGTTTGTAGTTCTCCTTGAAGAGGTCCTTCACATCCCTCGTTAGCTGTATTCCTAGTTATTTTACTCTCTTTGTAGCAATTGTGAATGGGAGTTCATTCATGATTTGGCTTTCTGAACATGCAACCTACAGAATGGGAGAAAATTTTGCCAATCTACCCATCTGACAAATATCTAATATCCAGAATTTAAAAGAAACTTAAACATATTTACAACAAAAAAAAAAAGTTTTCATCAAAACGTGGGCAAAGGATATGAACAGACACTTCTCAAAAGAAAATATTTATATGGCCAACAAACATATGAAAAAAAGCTCAACATCACTGATCATCAGAGAAATGCAAATCAAAACCACAATGAGATACCATCTCATGCCAGTCGGAATGGTGATTATTAAAAAGTCAGGAAACAATAGATGCTGGTGAGTCTGCAGAGAAACAGGAATACTTTTGCACTGTTGGTGGGAGTGTAAATTAGTTCAACCATTGTGGAAGACAGTGTGGTGATTCCTCAAGGATCTAGAACCAGAAATACCATTTGACCCAGCAATCCCATTACTAGGTATATACCCGAAGGAATATAAATCATTCTACTATAAACATACATGCACACATATGTTTATTACAGCACTGTTTACAATAGCAAAGACGTGGAACCAGCCCAAATGGCCATCAATGATAGACTGGATAAAGAAAATGTGATACATATACACCATGGAATACTATGCAGCCATAAAAAGAAATGTGATCATGTCTTTTGCAGAGACGTGGATGAAGCTGGAAGCCATCATCCTCAGCAAACTAACACAGAACAGAAAACCAAACACCGCATGTTCTCACTCATAAGTGGGAGTTGAATATTGACAACACATGAACACAGAGAGGGGGACAACACATACCAGGGCCTGTTGGGGGTCGGTGGGTAAGGCAAGGGAACTTAGAGGATGGGTCAATAGATGCGGCAAACTATTATGGCACATGTATACCTATGTAATAAACCTGCACATTCTACACATATATTCCATTTTATATTTTTAGAAGAAATAAAGGAAAAAAGAAAAAGAAAAAAGAGGACTATTCATAAAGTTCAGATAGCGGACATAGAGTAGCTGGCAAAAGATTCCTTGTAGAGTCACAGCACTAGCTTCCCTCATTTTATGCAACAAAGTAGCAATAGTTCCCTTTTCCTGAAGAGAAGCCAAGGGGAAACTTCACTGCCTGTTCATGACTTTTATAAATTTTTTGTTACTGACCTTTTTCTTACTGATTTGTTACACACGTAACCAATCAATAAGAATGGATAGATACCTACATATTTAGATATCTATGTGTTGATCAACCTTTCATAATAATTTGTTAAAATTAAAGGAATGTGAAAGAGAGGAAGAAAACAGAAACAGAAGTGAAAGAGGAGGAGAAAAAAGAGAAGGTAAAGAAGCCACCTTTCATAAGAATGAACATCTTTCCATTGACTCTCCTAAATACTGGATCCCTGGTGTTTACTGATCTCTTAAACTAACTCTTTCTGTACATTGCCTTTAGAATGGGGATGAAGTTTGATCTTTACCACTTTAACAAAGGGGAATCTTTTCTTATTCCAAAATTATAAACCAGAAATTTAATTATATGGCCTGATTCTTTCAAAGTAGGAAGATTCTTAAGCACTTTTAAAAATGGAGTAATTACTGATATAAAATACAAGAGAGAATCAATTAATTTTTGTTTTATGTTTCATTTACTTAGAATTTGGTGGCTATTAGGCAACATCTAGGGTCAGTACTAAACCCTCTAACCTAACAACTCAGTTGGCCATTGTGGGAAGCATTTTACACCACTTCTTGTTGTGTTTCATCAGAATTTGATTATTTCTAGAATTAAATTTTCCACAGGGACTATACCTAATTTTTTTTTTTTTCTGAGATGGAGTTTCGCTCGTCACCCAGGCTGGAAGGCAGTGGTATGATCTCAGCTCACTGCAACCTCCGCCTCCCAGGTTCAAGTGATTCTCCTGCCTCAGCCTCGCAAGTAGTTGGGATTACAGGTGCCCACAACCACGCCTGGCTAATTTTTTGTATTTTTAGTAGAGACGGGGTTTCACAATGTTGGGCAGACTGGTCTCCAACTCTTGACCTCAGGTGATCCGCCCACTTCGGCCTCCTAATTCTTTTAAAGGGGTTGACAGATTATACTTATATTGAAGATGGATGCAACACACAGATGGTAGTCCCATGGCTGCCTTCTTGGTCTTATGTCTATGAGGATACACAAGCCAGCCCTTAGGCCTTTACTCTTCTAAATTATACAGCTAGATGACATCATAAGAGGGCTTTTTAAAATACACATTCTTGAAGCTTTGGAAACTTACAATGTACTGATTATATTGTCATATATCTCTATTAACTATACATACAATAATATAGTTTAAGCTATAAAGTTGGCATCTTCAGTATGTGTGTTTTATTTTAGTATTATAAACACAAAGTGGGGGGGAGGAGCCAAGATGGCCGAATAGGAACAGCTCCGGTCTACAGCTCCCAGCGTGAGCCACACAGAAGACGGGTGATTTCTGCATTTCCATCTGAGGTACCGGGTTCATCTCACTAGGGAGTGCCAGACAGTGGGCGCAGGCCAGTGGGTGCGCGCACCGTGCACGAGCCGAAGCAGGGCGAGGCATTGCCTCACCTGGGAAGCGCAAGGGGTCAGGGAATTCCCTTTCCGAGTCAAAGAAAGGGGTGACAGACGCACCTGGAAAATCGGGTCACTCCCACCCGAATATTGCGCTTTTCAGACCGGCTTAAAAAACGGCACACCACGAGACTATATCCCACTCCTGGCTCGGAGGGTCCTACGCCCACGGAATCTCGCTGATTGCTAGCACAGCAGTCTGAGATCAAACTGCAAGGCGGCAGCGAGGCTGGGGGAGGGGCGCCCGCCATTGCCCAGGCTTGCTTAGGTAAACAAAGCAGCCCCGAAGCTCGAACTGGGTGGAGCCCACCACAGCTCAAGGAGGCCTGCCTGCCTCTGTAGGCTCCACCTCTGGGGGCAGGGCACAGACAAACAAAAAGACAGCAGTAACCTCTGCAGACTTAAATGTCCCTGTCTGACAGCTTTGAAGAGAGCAGTGGTTCTCCCAGCACGCAGCTGGAGATCTGAGAACAGGCAGACTGCCTCCTCAAGTGGGTCCCTGACCCCTGACCCCCGAGCAGCCTAACTGGGAGGCACCCCCCAGCAGGGGCACACTGACACCTCACACGGCAGGGTATTCCAACAGACCTGCAGCTGAGGGTCCTGTCTGTTAGAAGGAAAACTAACAAACAGAAAGGACATCCACACCGAAAACCCATCTGTACATCACCATCATCAAAGACCAAAAGTAGATAAAACCACAAAGATGGGGAAAAAACAGAACAGAAAAACTGGAAACTCTAAAACGCAGAGCGCCTCTCCTCTTCCAAAGGAACGCAGTTCCTCACCAGCAACAGAACAAAGCTGGATGGAGAATGACTTTGACGAGCTGAGAGAAGAAGGCTTCAGACGATCAAATTACTCTGAGCTACGGGAAGACATTCAAACCAAAGGCAAAGAAGTTGAAAACTTTGAAAAAAATTTAGAAGAATGTATAACTAGAATAACCAATACAGAGAAGTGCTTAAAGGAGCTGATGGAGCTGAAAACCAAGGCTCGAGAACTACGTGAAGAATGCAGAAGCCTCAGGAGCCGATGCCATCAACTGGAAGAAAGGGTATCAGCAATGGAAGATGAAATGAATGAAATGAAGTGAGAAGGGAAGTTTAGAGAAAAAAGAATAAAAAGAAATGAGCAAAGCCTCCAAGAAATATGGGACTATGTGAAAAGACCAAATCTACGTCTGATTGGTGTACCTGAAAGTGATGGGGAGAATGGAACCAAGTTGGAAAACACTCTGCAGGATATTATCCAGGAGAACTTCCCCAATCTAGCAAGGCAGGCCAACGTTCAGATTCAGGAAATACAGAGAAGGCCACAAAGATACTCCTCGAGAAGAGCAACTCCAAGACACATAATTGTCAGATTCACCAAAGTTGAAATGAAGGAAAAAATGTTAAGGGCAGCCAGAGAGAAAGGTCGGGTTACCCTCAAAGGGAAGCCCATCAGACTAAGAGCAGATCTCTCAGCAGAAACCCTACAAGCCAGAAGAGAGTGGGGGCCAATATTCAACATTCTTAAAGAAAAGAGTTTTCAACCCAGAATTTCATATCCAGCCAAACTAAGCTTCATAAGTGAAGGAGAAATAAAATACTTTACAGACAAGCAAATGCTGAGAGATTTTGTCACCACCAGGCCTGCCCTAAAAGAGCTCCTGAAGGAAGCGCTAAACATGGAAAGGAACAACTGGTACCAGCCACTGCAAAATCATGCCAAAATGTAAAGACCATTGAGACTACGAAGAAACTGCATCAACTAACGAGCAAAATCACCAGCTAACATCATAATGACAGGATCAAATTCACACATAACAATATTAACTTTAAATGTAAATGGACTAAAATCTCCAATTAAAAGACACAGACTGGCAAATTGGATAAAGAGTCAAGACCCATCAGTGTGCTGTATTCAGGAAACCCATCTCACGTGCAGAGACACACATAGGCTCAAAATAAAAGGATGGAGGAAGATCTACCAAGCAAATGGAAAACAAAAAAAGGCAGGGGTTGCAATCCTAGTCTCTGATAAAACAGACTTTAAACCAACAAAGATCAAAAGAGACAAAGAAGGCCATTACATAATGGTAAAGGGATCAATTCAACAAGAAGAGCTAACTATCCTAAATATATATGCACCCAATACAGGAGCACCCAGATTCATAAAGCAAGTCCTGAGTGACCTACAAAGAGACTTAGACTCCCACACATTAATAATGGGAGACTTTAACACCCCACTGTCAACATTAGACAGATCAACGAGACAGAAAGTCAACAAGGATACCCAGGAATTGAACTCAGCTCTGCACCAAGCGGACCTAATAGACATCTACAGAACTCTCCACCCCAAATCAACAGAATATACATTCTTTTCAGCACCACACCAAACCTATTCCAAAATTGACCACATACTTGGAAGTAAAGCTCTCCTCAGCAAATGTAAAAGAACAGAAATTATAACAAACTATCTCTCAGACCACGGTGCAATCAAACTAGAACTCAGGATTAAGAATCTCACTCAAAGCCGCTCAACTACATGGAAACTGAACAACCTGCTCCTGAATGACTACTGGGTACATAACGAAATGAAGGCAGAAATAAAGATGTTCTTTGAAACCAACGAGAACAAAGACACAACATACCAGAATCTCTGGGACACATTCAAAGCAGTGTGTAGAGGGAAATTTATAGCACTAAATGCCCACAAGAGAAAGCAGGAAAGATCCAAAATTGACACCCTAACATCACGATTAAAAGAACTAGAAAAGCAAGAGCAAACACATTCAAAAGCTAGCAGAAGGCAAGAAATAACTAAAATCAGAGCAGAACTGAAGGAAATAGAGACACAAAAAACCCTTCAAAAAATTAATGAATCCAGGAGCTGGTTTTTTGAAAGGATCAACAAAATTGATAGACCGCTAGCAAGACTAATAAAGAAAAAAAGAGAGAAGAATCAAATAGACACAATAAAAAATGATAAAGGGGATATCACCACCAATCCCACAGAAATACAAACTACCATCAGAGAATACTACAAACACCTCTACGCAAATAAACTAGAAAATCTAGAAGATATGGATACATTCCTCGACATATACACTCTCCCAAGACTAAACCAGGAAGAAGTTGAATCTCTGAATAGACCAATAACAGGAGCTGAAATTGTGGCAATAATCAATAGTTTACCAACCAAAAAGAGTCCAGGACCAGATGGATTCACAGCCGAATTCTACCAGAGGTACAAGGAGGAACTGGTACCATTCCTTCTGAAACTATTCCAATCAATAGAAAAAGAGGGAATCCTCCCTAACTCATTTTATGAGGCCGGCATCATTCTGATACCAAAGCCGGGCAGAGACATAACCAAAAAAGAGAATTTTAGACCAATATCCTTGATGAACATTGATGCAAAAATCCTCAATAAAATACTGGCAAACCGAATCCAGCAGCACATCAAAAAGCTTATCCACCATGATCAAGTGGGCTTCATCCCTGGGATGCAAGGCTGGTTCAATATACGCAAATCAATAAATGTAATCCAGCATATAAACAGAGCCAAAGACAAAAACCACACGATTATCTCAATAGATGCAGAAAAAGCCTTTGACAAAATTCAACAACCCTTCATGCTAAAAACTCTCAATAAATTAGGTATTGATGGGACGTATTTCAAAATAATAAGAGCTATCTATGACAAACCCACAGCCAATATCATACAGAATGGGCAAAAACTGGAAGCATTCCCTTTGAAAACTGGCACAAGACAGGGATGCCCTCTCTCACCGCTCCTATTCAACATAGTGTTGGAAGTTCTGGCCAGGGCAATTAGGCAGGAGAAGGAAATAAAGGGTATTCAATTAGGAAAAGAGGAAGTCAAATTGTCCCTGCTTGCAGACGACATGATTGTATATCTAGAAAACCCCATTGTCTCAGCCCAAAATCTCCTTAAGCTGATAAGCGACTTCAGCAAAGTCTCAGGATACAAAATCAATGTACAAAAATCACAAGCATTCTTATACACCAACAACAGACAAACAGAGAGCCAAATCATGAGTGAACTCCCATTCACAATTGCTTCAAAGAGAACAAAATACCTAGGAATCCAACTTACAAGGGATGTGAAGGACCTCTTCAAGGAGAACTACAAACCACTGCTCAAGGAAATAAAAGAGGATACAAACAAATGGAAGAACATTCCATGCTCATGGGTAGGAAGAATCAATATCGTGAAAATGGCCATACTGCCCAAGGTAATTTACAGATTCAATGCCATCCCCATCAAGCTACCAATGACTTTCTTCACAGAATTGGAAAAAACTACTTTAAAGTTCATATGGAACCAAAAAAGAGCCCGCATCGCCAAGTCAATCCTAAGCCAAAAGAACAAAGCTGGAGGCATCACACTACCTGACTTCAAACCATACTACAAGGCTACAGTAACCAAAACAGCATGGTACTGGCACCAAAACAGAGATATAGATCAATGGAACAGAACAGAGCACTCAGAAATAACGCCGCATACCTACAACTATCTGATCTTTGACAAACCTGAGAAAAACAAGCAATGGGGAAAGGATTCCCTATTTAATAAATGGTGCTGGGAAAACTGGCTAGCCATATGTAGAAAGCTGAAACTGGATCCCTTCCTTACACCTTATACAAAAATCAATTCAAGATGGATTAAAGATTTAAACATTAGACCTAAAACCATAAAAACCCTAGAAGAAAACCTAGGCATTACCATTCAGGACATAGGCATGGGCAAGGACTTCATGTCCAAAACACCAAAAGCAATGGCAACAAAAGCCAAAATTGACAAATGGGATCTAATTAAACTAAAGAGCTTCTGTACAGCAAAAGAAACTACCATCAGAGTGAACAGGCAACCTACAACATGGGAGAACATTTTCGCAACCTACTCATCTGACAAAGGGCTAATATCCAGAATCTACAATGAACTCAAACAAATTTACAAGAAAAAAACAAACAACCCCATCAAAAAGTGGGCGAAGGACATGAACAGACACTTCTCAAAAGAAGACATTTATGCAGCCAAAAAACACATGAAAAAATGCTCATCATCACTAGCCATCAGAGAAATGCAAATCAAAACCACTATGAGATAGCATCTCACACCAGTTAGAATGGCAATCATTAAAAAGTCAGGAAACAACAGGTGCTGGAGAGGATGTGGAGAAATAGGAACACTTTTACACTGTTGGTGGGACTGTAAACTAGTTCAACCAGTGTGGAAGTCAGTGTGGCGATTCCTCAGGGATCTAGAACTAGACATACCATTTGACCCAGCCATCCCATTACTGGGTATATACCCAAAGGACTATAAATCATGCTGCTATAAAGACACATGCACACGTATGTTTATTGCGGCATTATTCACAATAGCAAAGACTTGGAACCAACCCAAATGTCCAACAATGATAGACTGGATTAAGAAAATGTGGCACATATACACCATGGAATACTATGCAGCCATAAAAAATGATGAGTTCGTGTCCTTTGTAGGGACATGGATGAAATTGGAAATCATCATTCTCAGTAAACTATCGCAAGAACAAAAAACCAAACACCGCATATTCTCACCCATAGGTGGGAATTGAACAATGAGATCACATGGACACAGGAAGGGGAATATCACACTCTGGGGACTGTGGTGGGGTGGGGGGAGGGGGGAGGGATAGCATTGGGAGATATACCTAATGCTAGATGACGAGTTGGTGGGTGCAGCGCACCAGCATGGCACATGTATACATATGTAACTAACCTGCACAATGTGCACATGTACCCTAAAACTTAAAGTATAATAAAAAAAAAACACAAAATGGAGAAAAATCACTAAAGAACAAGCATAATTAAAATACTATGGTCAAACAAACTATCCTGCAAAGTTTGCAGTCAATGCAGCATAAATTTAGAAATATTGATCCATAATCTCCAAAAAAGGCAACACAGACTATTCCTCGGAGAAAGTAATAATATGATGGTCTATACGGCTAAAGCAAAGGGTAGTACAAAGGGATTTTATTTACAAGTTAGTTTTCTTGCCTGCAAACATATGACAGGGCTAAAATTTTTTAAATATATGAAAACTTTTAATGAGATGCTATAAATAAAGTAATGCACTTTGAAGAATAAGTCAAGGAAATTTAATTACATAGTTAACAAACATTTATTTGAAAAAGGTTAGATCAAAAGAGGAGAAATTATTTCAAAGATATAGCTTGCAGATATTTATGTAAAAACAGTTTTCCAGTCATTAAATTATCTTTAATGAAAACGTAAGAGATAACAAACTATATCAAGGTCAAATTTTTTTGAAGAAATATAATTCCCTGACAGCCTTGATTTAATTCTGTACCATGGAATAGCTCCCAAAAACGAAGCAGAGGTGCAGACACGTGAGGCTGTCAACCACACTCAAGTAACCACACTTACTACTGAGAAAGTTAACACCTAAGATAATAGCAACTGGTGAATTAAATTACAACCTGCTAAGAGGGACACTCGCATACACAATAATTTAGCCCCATTGTAGATGTACATATTCAGTATAGGTGTTTGAGTCTTTTCCTGCTCTCCCTCTCAATTTCCTCAAAAATAGTTCAGCTGGGATGATGTGATCATTTTACTCAAAGAGGAAGCCAAGCCTGGCCCAGTGGCCTGTAACCCCAGCACTTTGGGAGGCTGAGATGGGCAGATCACTTGAGGTCAGGAGTTCAAGACCAGGCTGGCCAACATGGTGAAACCTCGTCTCTACTAAAAATACAAAAATTAGCCGGGCATGGTGGTGTGGTGGGTGCCTGTAATCCCAGCTACTCAGGAGGCTGAGGCAGGAGAATCACTTGAACCTGGGAGGTGGAAGTTGCAGTGAGCCAAGGTTGCACCACGGCACTATATCCTGGGCAATAGTGCGAGACTCAGTCTCAGAAAAGAAGAAGAAAAAAGAAAGAGGAAGCCTTTAATCATCATGAGAAAGTTGACAATGAGGATAACAAGAGGTAGTAATTTGTAAGCATTTCTTCTGCAGCATGAAACAACAAAGAGGGGTAAGAGACGGTGTGCTCCCCGTGCAGGCTACAAGGGAGTGGACTGCAGCTAGAGGAATTAAAAATGATAATGAGGACAACTAAAACTCAGGAAGCTTTTTATTACGATGATCATATACCAGCAAGTAAAAACAATGTAAATGATAAAATTCTTCTCTCCGCCTCCCATCCCCCCCACAAAATGTTGTTGGTCTAAGTCATGGATTGGCAAACTTTTCCTGCAAAGTTCAAGATAATAAATATTTTTAATTTTGCAGACTGTTATGGGTTGAATCGTTTCCCCAAAATAAGAAACGTTGAAGTCCTAACTCCCAGTATCTCAAAATGTAACCTTATTTGGAAATAGGGCCATTGCACATGCAATTAGTTAAGATGATATCATACTGGAATAGAGTGAGACTTTAATTCATTATGACTGGCATCCACATAAGACGATGATATGAAGACACAGAGGGAGAGCGCCATGTGCTGCTGCAGGCAGAGATTGTACTGATGCATCTACAAGGTAAGGAATGCCAAAGATTGCTGGCAGCAACCAGAAGCTGAGAGGAAAGCATGGAACAGAAGCTCCCTGGACCTTTCCAGAAGGAACCATCCCTGCTGACAACTCGATTTCAGATTCAAGCCTCCAGAACTATGAAAGAATGAATTTCTACTGTGTGAAGCCACCCAGTTTGTGGTACTTGGTCATGGCTGCCCAAGTTAACTAACACACGGGCCATACAGTCTCTGTCACACTAATCAATTCTGCTCTTAGCAGCCATGGATATACACAAATGAATGGATGTTTATGTGTTCCAATAAAAGTTCTTTTGTGGACACTGAAACTTAAATTTCATATGATTTTATGTGTTAATAAATATTCCTCTTTTGATGTTTGCCCACCCTTGAAAAATATAAAACCATTGTTTAGCTGGCTGGCAAGTCAGAAAAACAGGTGCAAGACTAGATTTGGCCCAACAGCTACCACTTGCAAATTCCCGCTCTAAGTTCTAAACATTGTTCTTGTTACTGTTGAGTTTTAATAATATATATGTATGTTCCAAATTAGCATATGTTCGTTTTTTACCTTTAGCAAAAATAGTACTCTATGGGCAAGTTAATTTGAGAAACTGAGTTACCCAGTTGGCCCTGGCACAAACCAAATCAGCTACCTCTGTTATCTGCCTTTGTTTCAATAGTAAATTTATAATGGTTTGAAAAAATGTGAGCTCAGTTTGGGTGCAGTTCACAACTCCATCCCTTGTGGTTCAACATATTACTGCATTTGTAAATTCAAAATAAACTATAATAACACAGTGATTGTAAAGATGAAGAAACAGTACCTGAATTACTTTAGTATTGTCCTTCTAGGTAAAAATTATTCTCTGAATCTTGCAGACTTTATTCCCTTGGATGCATTTCATCATGTTTCTTATTTTTCAAAATATATTAATGAAATTGAAAAGTATTAGTTTTTTTTACTGGTGTGATTAAATATACAAAATTTAATAAAAGAAAGTTTCCTTTTCTGCATTTCTTTTTTCTGTTATTATTACTGTTAGTATTTGTTTCATTTCAATTATTATTACCCAAAAAAATGTGTCATATAGAGAAGGGAGTATTCTATAATTATCCACTTTTGGGGTCATTTACACTATACAAAACATTGCTCTATGGGTTTATCAAGCAAATATATGCATTTTAAGCATTTATTTACTTTGTAAAACTTTTAAATGTTTTAATAAATGTAAAAAGTTAATTTAAGATTAAAGTAATCTAAGGAATCAATGAAAACCTAATAACATATTAGAGAAAGTTCAGAGCACACAAAGATTAAAATTCCACAGGGCTAATCAGATAAAATAACAGTAAATAATAAGCAAGCTGCAATCAAGATAAAAGGTCAGAGCTTAGGAAATGTATGTCATAACTGTGAGGATGCAATAAACTTAAGTACAGGCTTCATCACTAATTATGTCTGACATAAAGATGCCTTTCCACAAAATAATTTGGTTATCATACACATCTAGACTTTCTCAAACATCATTATAAAGTCAGAGGAAGGATTTTTGTCAAAATCTTATACCTTTATTATCAATTATGTGTTAGTTTCTCAAGAGATGAATCACTGGACTCATTAAGTATTATATCTAAGAAAAATATTATTAATTTGTTTGAAATGAAACATAAAAATAAGTAAATACCTTTAATATAACATTCTTTGCCATTTGAACCTATTATGTGGTTTTAGGGTGTTTATAAAAAGGAGATGGGGGACGAATTGATAGAGCGAGAAGAGAAAAGAATATTAGATTACCTCACTGGCTCTCAACTGCAAAATATGCAGTCTGCAGAACTTAATTAAATTCCATTGTCAGAGCAAGACACCTAATTTTTAAAGAAAATCTTGGCTTTGCAAATATAATGTCCTTGATAGAAAATCTTTATTGTTTCTGATCTGTTTATTCTTTAACAAGGTTTATGAGCCTTTTCCATTATAAAACAGCTGTCTTACATATGCCATTCACTAATTAAACACAAATCCAAAGAATTCCCATAGCAAGAGGTTTGTGTGTCACCAAGGCTGGGCTAACATGTTAAGATTATTATAGAGTTTGTTTATCATTGAGAAGAAAATAAATGTACAACATATGTATTTCTCCAAAATATTTTAATATGTATTTTGGGTGATTTTGCAAGATCCCCACAGTCATGAATCACTGGTGTAGTGAGAAAAGCACTAAACTGATTACGAACCTTGACCCAAAATCCGAGTAAGTCACCTAACCTCATAGCCACAGATTCTTAAAATAAGCAAATGAACCTACATCCCTAGATTGTTAGGAGAACATGAATTTTAAAACAGAATGAGTGGGTAAGAAAAAGTTGCTTTGTAAAGATAAAATCTCAGTTTAGCTAGGTTTCATTCGGTTAGTGTATCTCCAAAACTCATTTTAAAACATAAAAGATTTTTCTATCTATACTTGCTCAAGTGGTGCTTAAACATTCATCAGAGTAAAGTGGCCAAACTTCTTTTCCAAAAATCATTTAAAATTAAATAAAAATCTCCACAATGACTTAGAAGACTGTCTTTGGAAAGATACTCCACATATGACCTATATTCCAATTATGAAATTCTGTGATTATAAATCTGAAATATCACAAAGTAAGTATGATTTCTGAAGTGGTACTTCAGGAAAAATTTTGGAAAAATTTTTAAGTCAAAAGGATAAAGAAGTCTCAAATTTTTGGAATTATGGATAAACCTCCTATGAAAGGAAAATATATACAATCTGGAGAATTCAACAATGATATAGTAATTCTATCTTTGGAATTGTTTCTAATGTTGAACATAATATTTTTCTTACTTTATTTTTAACGCAAATAATACATGTACAAGTTAACATAAAATTTGTAGTGAAAAGCAACAGCTTCTTCCCCACTCTACACACTTCTTCCATACCCCAACAGAAGGCCAAGTCCCAGAGATAATAACTCTTAAATATTTCCTGTTTATGTGCTTTTGTTTGTTGCTTCCACAACTAAGTATGAGGTTCCTTCCTGATTCTGTTATTTAGGCAATATATACAAGTTCCCTGCTAATTAGTAACTTGTTGGTCCTCCTTTGTAAATGTTTCTCTACTGTTTTCATCTTCTTGCTTTTCCACTTCATGTTCTAGAAGTTATTCTCAAAATTTATATGCTAGATTTTCTAAAATAAAGGACTTTGTTTTGTCCTCTTAATGTTTCTTTTCCCCTCATTAATTTTCTTTCTTTATGGACACAATTCTTCTTGTACCTGTGATTTTATTAACAAAAATGTTTAAGTTACTGTCTCATTCCTTTACTGTCTATTTCTTGGAGTCAGTTGTTATTTTTGTGTATCTTGGTCTTTCTGATTCAGGCTGCAAATTCTCCTACAGGGCTGGTGACTGTGATTCCCTTTTCATGTTTGAGAAAAGGATTGTGTTAATTCTTGTTGTACCTGTGATGCTATTAACAAAAATGTTCAAGTTACTGTCTCATTCCTTTACTGTCTATTTCTGGGAGTCAGTTGTTATTTTTGTGTATCTTGGTTTTTCTGACTCATGCTGCAAATTCTCGTACAGGCCTGGTGACTGTGATTCCCTTTTCATGTTTGAGAAAAGGATTGTGTTAATTGTGGAGGGATCTGGCTTGTTTTGCTCTATGGCAGGCAGTCATTCCCACCAAGACTTCCTCTCAACTGGGAAATTTACAGGGAACTCTATATCCATGACTTGGAGGTACTGACTGACCCGTTTGAGGGTAGAGCCCTGGTGGAGGCTCCACAATTGTCAGGATATAGACAATTTTATTTTGGAATGCCAACATCCACTTTAGAAGCCTTGGCTCTCCCTAGGAATGTTATTAATTTTCTTCATAGAAGAGCCTGATTTTCTTACCTGAAAGTAAACACCAAAAAGTTCTTCTGTGCTTAGAGTGCAAGGCGCTGGGGATGAGGAAAGTCTGGCACAGGGGTAACTTGACAAGTTTTTCATCAGCCCTATCCCTGCTTCTCTTGTCATATCTCCCCTTTGTACCTGCCTCTCTGGATCCCACCTGACAGCCATATGCTAACATTTCTGTAAACTTCTCAGGAACTTACGCCTCTTAAATAGTCTTTTTTTTTTTTTGATACAGATTCTTGCTCTGTTGCCCAGGCTGGAGTGCAGGGGTGCAATCTCGGCTCACTGCAACCTCCGCCTCCCAGATTCAAGCGATTCTCCTGCCTCAGCCACCTGAGTAGCTGAGGTTACAGGCGCGCGCCACCATGCCCGGCTAATTTTGTATTTTTAGTAGAGATGAGGTTTCACCATGTTGGTCAGGCTGGTCTCAAACTCCTGAACTCATGATCCACCCACCTCGGCCTCCCAAAGTGCTGAGATTACAGGCATGATCCCCCACACCTGGCCTTAAACAGTCTTTTATACATTGTTGAATTCACTCCTCCCAGCTCATACTCACTTTCTAACTTCTAGAGACTTGAAACCTCTCTGTTTAAGATGCTTCCCCTCCATTTTGCTACACTGCCATGGTCTTATTCCCACTTACAGACCATTTCTATTCACTCAATTCAATATCCTTGAATACCATTTTGAATAATTTTATCCACAGATAAGTACATTAACAATCATCAAAATCATCTTCTATCTGCTTAACCTCCACCTTCCTAGAACAATGCCCTTTTTCTTCTCACTTATTCATCTTTCAAGTCTCTATTCAGGCATCACCTCTCCTCCAAGTGTCTTCCCTATCTCCCAATGGCAGGTGTCCCCCAGTGTCCTCCCATAGCCCCTTGTGGTTCTATCACAGAACTTTTCACAGTGTGCCTGACTAGTCTCTTTCCTCTCCAGGTCAGGAGGTCCTCCGTAACAGAGGTAGAAATGTTTCTACACCACATAAAACAACACTGAATATTATTTGCTATCTGAAATGTTATTTGAATTAATGAAAAAAATGACTCAGGAAAATTGTCTAAGCAGTGTTTTCCAGAGAATGTTCTCTAGGATGAATTCTAGCCTCAAAAACTATTAAAATGGGGTTTGTTGCTCAAAAAAGTTTGGGAAATAATGCTATATATTATTTCTGTAAATATACAGTTCACATTTTGGCATACTAAAACTGTGAAACAAACTAAAGAAAAAAATTACCAAATGTTCTTAACTTGGTTTTTCCTAAACTTATTTAACTATAACATTTTTTATGAAATAACAACTCACGTCCTCTAGTCTAGTGCTTTAAGAAATTTTGGAAAATTTTGACTTAGTGTATAAAAATCTATAGAGTTCATACAAATCTCTGGAGAGAGCGAGAGAGGGAGAAACACATCTTTAATCTGTTTTACAGCAGATGTCAGAAAAAAACATTAGGAACAATAGAGAACTCTGAAATCTGGAACAAAATGAGACACTCTGGAAAGGCAGACCACCTATGATCAAGGACGACTTTGAGGATGAGGACTCACCTTGGATTCCTGTGCTTAAGAAAATGGACATTGGAAACATTTTTGATTTATACCTCTCCTCGGGAGACAAGTTCAGGGCTTCCACAGGAATCTCACGTGTGCTTGCTACGGCCAGAGTATCCTGAATAGATTTTACCCTTTCACAGGCCAAGGCCAACCTGAAAAGAGCTGTTAGGCAGGTCTCTTCAGTTTTTACCAAAAGAAAAAGAATTCAGTCAAATACACCTTAAATTAGTCCAAGCTGAAAGTGACTTTCTAAAAAAAAAAAAAAAAAAAAATCACTTTTGACCCCTTCTAAGGGTAAATGCATAGACAAGTAAAAAAAAATCAGTTCCCAGAATGGTGTTCTGATGACACTTCCAATCAACTGAGGCCAGCGGAGGGATTTAAAGCATGTATTTGGAACATTCACACATTTGTTTGTATGCTTATGCTAGTGTAAGTTCTTTCAGTAGGTTGCCAAAAATAGAGATATATGCAATCAGATAATTCAACAGAGAATAGAGAGAGATTTTAAATGATTACAATTTACTTATAAGTTTGTGGGTGTGACTTTTTGTACATTATCATATGATTAAGGATTCTTTTCAAATTCCATGCCATGACATAAGTTTGGGCTAAATTTAGTCTAATTGTGATGTTTTCACTCATTCTTGACTTAGAAGTCTAGAACACTTCCTTCTGTAAGTGGTAAAATGGGTAATTCAGCATGTTGCAGTACAAAGAACACAGATCTTGGAGGAAAGAAACGGTCTTTCTTTCCAGAGTAAGTGGACCATCAGTGTGTTATGTGTCTATGCACACTCACTTTCATCCTTCTGAGCCTTAGTTTCTTCCAACTCTAATATATGAAGGCAGTAAATTAAACAGGTATGATACATTAAATTCTTGCAGCACCCAAAAGGACAAATATTGTATGATTCTACTTATATGAGCTACTTAAAGAAATTAAATCTGTAGAGACAGAACAAAGAGCGGTGATTGACAGAGTCTGGTGGGAAAGGGCAATGGAGAGTTATTTGTTAATCGGTGCTGAGTTTCAGTTTGGAAAGATGAAAAAGTTCTGGAGATGGATAGTGGTGACAACCGCACAACATTGTAAGTATACTTAGTCTCACTGCATTGTACACTAAAAATGCTAAAAATGATAAACTTTATGTATATTTTACCACAATTTTTTAAATAAAAATTTTAAATGCCTATGAGGCCAGAGAAATAACGTAAATAAGAGAGAGGTAATTTGAGTATAATAAAATAAGGACTACTGGGTGTCAGATTGGAGAACCTATGCCTTGTTAATTTAACAAATGTTTACTGAGAAACTACAGGGTGATTCATGTGATAAATATGTATTGAGCATCAGCTCTTCCAGGTGTTCAGGTTGCATCAAGCAACAAAATGGTTCTTCATGAATCTTCACGGAATTTATATTTTAGCAAATGTACATAGAGGGCAATCTCTGTAGCTCTTGTCAACCATGGCCATGTGGGAAGGCTTGCTCAATGCTGCCAGATCTTCAAACTCTTAAAAAGAAGCCAGAAACGTGGTATTTTAGGTAAAGTATTTCCATATTTGAATGTTGGAAACAAATTCAATTATTTAAAAACACAGTGTGGGCCAAACATCTGTGGGCCAAATCCAGCCTTTGGGCTACCATTTGCAATTTCTAAAGGGAATTCTATTTAACATTCAATGATTTCACTTAAATCTAACGTGGTATAATTAGTCTGAAGTGCTTGTAGCTTTTTAAGATAATTTTTCAGGACAGCTCTTTTGTTAATATATTAACAATATTTTGCTTATTCTGTATTAAAGTAAAATTATATCCAAAAGGCAGGTCAAATGATGCTAGAATGCTACAAACAACTTTTCCCAAAATACAACATCACATCTATGTTTCTGGAACAACATAGCTTACTTCTATCTGACAGCACAATGACCAAGACCACCCCAGGCACGCATTATACAAACCTAATCTGTGTTTGTTGAGAAAAGAAACAGAATAAAATTTATAACCTTCACTCTAGTAACTTCCGGTGATTCATACTGATATATTTCAAATACCAGAACACTTTTTCATTATGCAGGTGGTGCTTTAAAACTTGTAATATAGATTTAAAATACTATGCATAAGAATCTTAAGCCCCTAAGACCCATTCATTAACTTTGTATTATCAAATATTTTAAAACCAATAATTTACCTCTCTGTGTGAGCTGAAGAAAATGCTAAGTACCTTCACCTTAATAAATTAAGAACTGATCCAACAGTTAAGACGGGTGTGTGTTCAAACTGTGTTATGTATTTTGTCAGGGTGATTTGGGTTATGAGAAATTCTTTATTGTACATTTTAAAGAATTACCTTTCCATAGGGAATCCAGTAATTTCTTTCTGTCATCCTCCCCCCTCTTCTCCAAGCCACCTACTAATCTAAGGCATTCTTGAACAAGAACCTTATGTGTTTTTTCATGCATGGTAGTATATTGGATAAATAAATGAAATGCATCTGGGGAATATGAAGTGGAAATTGAAGTGACTTATTAGGCAGCTGCATAGAATAGACAGAAAAGAAGTGGCAGGAAAATCTACCATGAAGATGCCTACGGTCATGCATACCATTTCCACTAGATAACTAGAGACAATGTAAAATAAAGCTCTGGGGAAGAATATAGAGCTTTAAGTTCTCAACTCTAGACACTAATAGAAGCAAAAAATGCTAAAAACATAGATGCACAGATAAAATTGATACTAAAAACCATAGAATCTGAGACTGTGATCAATGGTCAGAACTAAAGCTGGGTGTATGAATGATTAAAACAAAAATGCTAGTAATATTATGGAAAAGTCACTGATTAACAGGGGTTTGGGGCCACAAATCTTCTGTGTTTTACTTCGTTTCTTAGTCCTAAAATTTATGAGGAAGGTAGTATAACATGAAGTTTATGAAATATGGAGCTGACAACTATGGGTTTAAATCTTAGCTTAGCCCTCTTCTATCTGGATGAATGAGTCTGTTTCCTAATCTAAAACTAAATGGGAATAATAATATGGACTGCATAAAGGTATTTTTGCCAGGATTCAATTATATTAATTTATGCAGTAGCATTATTTGAAACTAATATAGTTATGGTACTCACTTTATCACTTATTAGCTGTCTAGCATATGGAAAATATTTACTGTCTCTAAACCTCAATGTATTCTTCTGAGAGATGGGCAAGATAATAACAGTATTTTGAGAAATTCATGATAGCTAAATATTTTACTTAAGAAAGAGAGGAAAGGCATTATGATATAGGAGACCATTAGCAAAATTAAGAGAAAGAGTATTCTAGATTTTCCAGCAAATGTAAAGCTAGCCTACGAGAATCCAGAAAATAAAAATAATGATAATTCGAGAAACACAGCATAGACTGTACTTGAATGGACTGGTATGCATCATCAGGCAGACTCCCTTTTGAAAACCTGCAGTTGACTTGGTAAACACTGCCATCCGATTACGCTTTCTAATTGCATAATCTTTCCAATCAAAGCATTTCCAAGGTGTGCCCACTTTCTAACAATTTAAGTAAAAATGTAGTTTGTATTAAAATCTTTTAAAATGAGACATCAACTCACACTTCTAGGCTTAGTTCCCATTTCTAAACCACCTCAAACTCCAAGCTATGTAGCCAGCAACAGAAACAAATGCTTGAGAAATTCAAGCTTTTGTACGTATGCTGATAGATACCTTGCTTCAGTTAACAAAATGCTCCCATCTCCTCACTCATTCTCCAAATACTGAGGTCAATCGAGTGCCAAGTATGCAATAGGCAGTAGGAGAGATACTGCAGATATAAGAGTAAAGTGCTAATAAATATTTGCTGAATTTAATGACATCTTCAGCTCTAAAGATAATGTGCTTTAGTTATGCATTAAAAACAAGAGTAGTGAGATTTGAGTTTCATTTAAGCACATGTACTTGTTTTAAATGTACAGATGTATATTATTTAGAATTCCCCAAAGGGTCTTTGATGCTGTAACTTCTCTCTAGCAACAGTTGTTTTCTACTTTGAAAAGAAATAATATTTTATTTTTATTTTATTTTTTTAATATTTTAAAATTAATATATAAGGTGACAGTAAAATGTCTACACTATTTCTACACTGGCTTTCATTTTTAAAAAAAACAAGAGATAATTATTTGTTTTTTGAAATACACTCCTCCAGAAAAGAACATAAGATAAACCTAGTACAAACAATGCTGTGTATAGAGACTAGAGTGCAGGTAAATTCAGTGAAACTTTGCTTTGCAACAGATAAGACAATCTTTTTGACTTAATGTAACTTTTTCATACATATTTTGTAATAAATCAAGTATACAAAATTACCTTGATTTTTGCCAACAGGTTTAATCAATGTTTCTTTGCAATGTAATATATTTCATCTCTCCATTTAAATTTTTCTAAGTCTAACACAAAACTCCCATATTATTAATAAAATGAGAAGTGCCTTAATATACTTTCATTTTTCCCTAAATTGTCTCACTGGAAGCTATCTATCTTTTGCCTAACATGGAATTTATAAATTTTTACACATAACAAAATGTAAGCAAGAAAATTTGTGTAAAAAAATACAACGAATACACTACAAAGTATCAAAAAATCTAGAAAAATGGGGTATTATGTTTGTGTTTTCTTAGATTAACAATTGAACCCATTGCTTCAAACTTAGAGATACTTCACCTTAAATAAGTGTCTAGAGTTTGAACAAAAACCATATTGAGCATATCACTGAAAATGTAACAAATATACATTAAAAAATAAGTTTATGCCGCCTGTAATCCCAGCACTTTGGGAGGCTGAGGCAGGCAGATCACTTGAGGTCAGAAGTTCCAGACCAGCCTGGCCAACATGGTGAAACTCCGTCTCTACTAAAAATACAAAAATTAGCCCAGCATGGTGGCATGTGCCTGTAATCCTGGCTACTCAGGAGGCTGAGGCACGAGAATCATTTGAACCCAGGAGGCAGAGGCTGTAGTGAGCTGAGATCACGCCACTGCACTCCAGCCTGGGTGACTCCAAAAAAAAAAAAGAAAACAAAAAAAAAAAACAGTTTATGCAATGTTTCCCAACATTGGACACTTTTTCTTGCTTTAGAGAGGTATAATTGACAAATGAAAGTTGTATATATCCTGAAGATTACTTTTAAATTCTTGAGTTATAATTGTTGATTTTTCTCCACATCTCCTTTACCTGAGCCCCAGAGAGCACTGTCACCATAAACAGCAACAGAGTGAGTGAGTAGCTATGAATACTAGACTTCTTTGAAAGATGACCTATTTCAATATGACATGCAAATGTGTAACACCATGGTCTGTGTCTCTCTTCACTCCTGGTAATAAATAAGCAACAATTTCAAATGTTATCTGGCAAAACAAAAGCATGCTGCTTTTCAAAATATGCAAATATTTAGCAATGATGTTTAAAAATATTATATTAAATAAATGGAAAAATCAATATTTTCATCATTACTAAAAATATTTATCATTTTTAAATTATTGTTAAAAAGTATACTTACATTTTACACATTATTATTTTAAAATTGTACTTTTCCATTATATGGTAAGTAAATGAAAACTACAAAAATTTTATTTTCATTTTATGAAAAGTACATATTTTCACCTCGGAGATCATAGTTATTAAAATATTTATATTTAATTAAAAGTTTCAATGAGAACTTATTTAAATGGAGTAATTGGATGACTAAATAGGATTCCAATTCGTATAATTGAATTTATTGACTTTACTTATCAATAACTGGAAACTATAAGTAGTAACTATATAAAATCAATCAATGATCTGGTGATAAAATTAAAGAATTTAGTTTAGTATTCTGATTCTTTTGTCTATAAGGAATCAACTGTATCATTTCTTTTTTGTCACAGAAGCTTTGGCTCTTACCATAAAGTTACAATCTACTTGGCTGTATTGGTGACTGTGAGGCACTGAGCCCATTCACATGTATAGCACTTAAGACATTTTTCAAAATATTCATAACATAGGCAGGTTTCTAAGTTCTAAAAAATTCAGTCTCCAAAAAGCAGAAGACATGGCAAGAGAAAACATGTAACATCTCTTGTCTCTTTGCCCCATAAGAAACAGTAATACACGACTGGCCCTTTTAATAAATGGCCTCTATACTTCTGCTGATCTAGCAATGGGCTCAGGATGAAGACTGCCACAGTGCTCTGTCAGGTGCTGTCTGTTTCCTTTACACTCTCCCTACCGGCAATCTACTTAGATCTCTATCTCTGTACCTAGAAACTTGAAACTGCCTCTTCCAAGTTTGGTGAAACCATCTCTTTATTTACAAATAACTGCAGAACAAAAGAGCGACAGAAATATTTCTAAAAAGCACTTCTATCTACATCAATAATGGGAATAACTAGGAGAGAAAATAGGAAGCAGTGGTGCTTTAATTTCAAAATACAAAGAAGGAGAGAAAGGAATTTTTTTCTTTCAGAAGACATCTAGAGATGCCCATTGCCAAAAAGCAACCCATCAGAGTGTGTTTCCTGGACATTAGTTCCTCAGGATACTTTGTAGAAAAAGGAGTTCTACAGTTGAGTCACTCAGGAAAACAGTGCCTACAAAATACTCCCACTCTTCTGTCATACAATGCATATAAAAGCCAAAATCCTGCTTTAAATACAGCAGTATTTCAAACGCTCATCTAGCTAACCTGACATTTTGAAAACTCATTTGACTATGGGGCTTATTATGGACTCTGCTTGTGTCCCTCCAAAATTCATATATTGTATTCCTGTCCTTCAAAGTGATGGTGTTAGGAGGTAGGGCCTTCAGACGGTAATTAGATTTAGATTATGAGGGTGGGAGCCCCCATTATGGGATTAGTGCCTTTATAAGATGAGGAAGAGACGCTAGAGCTTCCCCTCTCCACTATTTGAGGAAAAAGGAAGAAGGTAGCAGTCTACAAGCCAAGGAAGAGGACCCTCATCAGAACTCGACCATGCAGCACCTTGATCTTGAAACTCCTGACTCTGAAATTTGAAAAACAAACATCTGTTATTTAAGCCACCCAGTCTATGGTGTTTTGATATAGCAGCCTGAGTAGACTAAGACTGGGCTTTTTTTCCCCACATAATGCCTATTACATAGTAACAGAGAACATACTTCGGCAATATTAACATAGGCTTCCAAAAGGCTTTACATAGGACAGAAGCATAAATGTGTGCACTTTGAAAATTCATCACTCTGGCTATATTCTTAAAGAATTCTGGAAGGAAATCCTACAAGTTGTGGAGGTAGAATATACTAATGGAATAGATGATGGAGCAAGACGCATCAAAGACATTTCCAGGCTTTTTGGGTTGAACACCTAGGTAGGTGGCAATTGTCATTGACTAAGACAGGGAGAACTAGAGAAGGAAAGAGTTATAGGGGAAGATCAAGGTACAGTTCTAAGCAATAATAATAGTATTACACGCTATGTATACATATATCTTAATCAACAATGCCAAACCTGTCTCATCATTTTACTTACCTTGGAATATTTTTTAATATAATGTTCTGGGACCAATACACATATTTTTTCATGAGAACTAACGTGGGGCCAGATAATTTATATTTCTCCAGAGCTTCTAAATTATTTCTGATGAGGAAAAAACCAGGCTTACCTCGCCTGATCTGGACTTAGTAAGTGCTTAATTAATATTGATTGAAAGGACCCTGTAATCCTCGCCTGATCTGGACTTAGTAAGTGCTTAATTAATATTGATTGAAAGGACCCTGTAATCCAAAGGAAGACAGGGTTAGAACCTTGCATTTTAAGAACTGGGAAGTAGGAAAACTATAGAGAGAGGAGGAAAGCCCACACAGACAGGATGCCTGAGATCTAATAGCTAATAAAACAATAGTTGAGCAGATCTTCATTTGCTTCCTCTGTAAAATAACCCCAAATGACCCTTCTGAGTCCAAAATTATATGTTTTCAAGATATTGCATGGGGACTGTTTGTGATGGGTAATTTTGGAGGGCTATGACCTCTTATTTTATCAGTGCAGTCAGTACATTAAGGGGTAATTAGTGTTTAGTATAGGAGGAATATAGTTGAGGATGCATAACCACTCAGATGTATTCTATCTGACATCAATTTATAGAGTTCAAAATACTACCCATGCAAGAGATATTTTAATTGTTCTCACTACCATAATGTTCCAAATGTTCCACCATGTTTGCCAAAACAATTTGTATGACAAGGGTCTCTAACTTCTAGGAGAGAAGCAATTTACTTCAAGATTTTGCTGGATCCATGGTGAAAGCCACTTATACTACTTGGATGCCTCTTCAGTAAATTCAAGATCCAAGATGCCTTTGATCATCAAGTTGCTGTGAATAGTTCAAAGGAAACTGGAGGAAGAGAAGATTCCCTCAGTCCTAAGGGCACTCTATCTACAATAAAGGCCAAGAAAGGGAATATTGAAGTTGAGTCAGGCCAAGGTGGAGGTTCACATTGTCACCATAGCCCTGGCTCAAGCAGGAATTATCTTTCAAGTTGTATTCATTTATTCAACATATTTTGTGAACTTACTCTATCAAAGATACTAGGTTAAATGTCTCTAAAATCTCCTGTCTTTAAGTATATCAACACCCTATCCTCTAAAAATATGTAGACTTTCAAAACAGAACAACAAAAACAAACTACTGAGCCAGGAGGATATGGTAAGAATAGTACTCACCACTCCATTTTGAATTTTGTGTTCAAAGCAATGCTTTTATTTTTCTTCTTAATTTGCTTTGGGTAAGCTATGCCTAAGTTCTTTCTCATCTCCTGCAGGATGAAAATGTTTACAGCAATGTACCCAGTCACTACAAAACAATTTAGCTGTCTCATGGAATTCATTAAAATGTGACTTTTACCTGCTCTTGATTATTTCAAGACCCTCCCCTACTTTCCAAATCTTTTCTTTTCTTTTCTTTTTTTTGCCAATAGTCAGATGAATTCAACATGAAGCGCCTGCTACGCAGCTGTGTCTTGATTTACGCATAACTATATATCTCATTTGGTTCCTTCTGCTGAAATTATTTGTTCTTACCTATGATATCAGCACAGACCCTATTCCAGACCTTTTTTCTCCTCTACCAATACATTCCTAACATTTATAGTATTAGAATTTGTCACACTTCCAAATTGGATTACCCACTCCTAATTATTTAAAAATACTCTGTACTTTGAAACATGACATTTTACTAAATTATGAGCCTTACAAAACCAATGCTAACTAGGAAAACATCAGATATTAAAATATATATTTTTCAATACTGGATTATGATCTTCTGGGAAACAAATTTATAAGGATCATCTGGCTGCAAAATGTGATTTTAGGTTTGGAACACTGGAGGCATTTAGCATATTTTTGGTATATGCACTATGAAAATTAACATGGAGAGAGTTCTCAGGACCTCAGATCATCCCAAATGTCAGAAAATCAATCAGAGCTCTACGGTGTTGGAAAAGCTAGTCTAAAATTACCTATATTGCTCCTGATAATAAAAGTGACACTGTGGCAAAAATTATTTCAAAATAGTATTTATTCATTATTACACACCACTACTAATTACTAAAAGTTCACTGTAGCTCTTCAACTCCTAGAATTTTACAAATCACTGTTGTAACTATATCCGTTTCTGAGCTATCTCTTCCATATTGTGTTACAGTTTACAGGTGTTATTCTTTTCTTATTAATGTATTCAAAACATCTTTAAATACCTTATAAAGTAGCATCCGATGAACTTTAATACCACTAAGTTAACTTTTTTTTTTCTTTTGAGACGGAGTCTCGCTCTGTCGCCCAGGCTGGAGTGCAGTGGCGTGATCTCAGCTCACTGCAAGCTCCGCCTCCTGGGTTCACGCCATTCTCCTGCCTCAGCCTCCCAAGTAGCTGGGACTACAGGCACCCGCCACCACGCCCGGCTAATTTTGTTTTTGTATTTTTAGTAGAGACGGGGTTTCACCATGTTAGCCAGGCTGGTCTCAATTTCCTGACCTCCTGATCCGCCCGCCTCGGCCTCCCAAAGTGCTGGGATTACCGGCGTGGGCCACCGCGCCCGGACCCACTAGGTTAACTTTAACATTGTTATACCTAAAAGAAACAAAACGCTTCTGGCCATCTTAAAACTATAAAAATAAATGGGAAAAAAGGTGTTTTCAAGTACCAGCAGTGGGGGCGAGGGTGCTTTCTGGGGATCAAGAGTAAAAGCAGTCAGTAATAAGAGGAATCAAATAATAATTCTAGTACAAACGTTCTTAGGAGACAGAGCCATGATAAATTTTATAAGACTAACTTAAAAGGTTACTATTTTCATCTATTCTCTGTCACTGTTTTCTGTAAATAAAAATAACATTGTTACTGTTGATCAAAATCCAATTTGGTGAAACAGTCACTGAAAATCCAAAGTGGATACCACCTATAACTTTGTTAAAGAAAGGAAGCTAGTGCAAGTATATTAAAAGCCATACAAATTTCTAGCAACTTTAACAAAAACTAATTGTTCAAAAAAACGGACAGAAGGAAGGGAGGAAAGAAAGAAGGAAGGAAGGAAGAAAGGAAGAAAAGAAGGAAGGAAAAAAGTAAGGAAGGAAACAACTAGTTATTGAATCTTTCTGTAACACACAACCATACTCATTTTGATTCATCCACAAACGCCAAGTTCATATTTGACCTTCTGCAGTGATAAACACCTCTAAACTTTAGGTTTCTTTGATATAAAATCGTCAAAATAGCAAAAAAAAATCTTATTTATAAATTGTGTATAACTGATCAATATTTTAATATAGCACATCAAGAAATCTCTAGAATGTGGAAAAATAATAAAAAGAAAACAATTTTGTCTTTTTATCAGAAAGAAAGATTTATCTACTTTTGCAACATATTTATAATCTTTATTTAGAGACAAATACCAATTTTTTTTTTTTTTTTTTTTTTGAGACAGACTCTCGCTCTCTTGCCCAGGCTGGAGTTCAGTGGCATGATCTCCATTCACTGCAAGCTCCTCCTCCTGGGTTCACACCATTCTCCTGTCTCAGTCTCCTGAGTAGCTGGGACTACAGGCATGTGCCACCATGCCCAGCTAATCTTTTGTATTTTTAGTAGAGACAGGGTTTCACCGTGTTAGCCAGGATGGTCTCCATCTCCTGACCTCATGATCCGCCCGCCTCGGCCTCCCACAATGCTGGGATTACAGGTGTGAGCCACCGCACCCGGCCCAAAATATTTTTTAAAGCCAAATACTTTATGGAATTATTGTTCTGTGGTCTATTCTTGATACTATAAAATGCACCTTTGTGTTTCAGTTTACATGTAATAAACATTCAGTTCCTAATCCAAACATGAAATATGTCATCTGAGAACGTGTGTTTTGACAAGTTGAGCCTTTTTTAAAATTAATGTAGAGTTAATCAAACAGTACATGGCATTTACTAAATGGGAAAATCAGAAATTCTGCCTATGGATAATATAAACTTTATGCTGAAAATATAATAGTATATAATCTAAAGTAAGCTTTTATATATCACACACAACTACACATTATTATTGATATTCTAAAACAGAGTTTCCCAGATTATATACCATTGTGGAAGTGGTTTCCCAGTTTTTCCCTTCCAACTATTGGCAGGCGTTGCCTTAGACAGTCACTGTCTTTTTAAGGTACTTCATGACCTTTGAAAATTTGACTACTGAACTCATAAACTATATAAACTATCCCAAACAAATGGAGAGTAAAGAGTTATCTTCAACTTGTTATATCTAAGAAAACTATCAATACCCAAATAATTCAGCCAATCAATGCCCACTTTTGTATACTACATACTTTCAGATTTCTTAGGACCTAGATTTCTGTAGTTTGGCCCCAAGTTATTGATATTTTACCAAGTACATGCAGAAAATAGCAACCAGTATGATGACTTTTCTATAAGAAAATTAGTATATTACATAAATATCAAGTAGAAAAGTTTAAATTCCCCAGAGAGTTTTAAGAAAAAAAAATTAATATCCTAAAGTTAGAAGAATTATTCACATTAATAAAACTCAAACTGTTTAAAACACCCTTTATTGTGACAGAAGAAAGCAATTCCACACTGACCAGGGACATCGCTAACAGAAACATTTAATTACTAGCCCAATTCTTCCCATTTTTAAACTATTCCTCCGAAGTCCACCTCTTTACAAGTTTTAATATGTTTATGTTACTCTCATCCTCTCATCTATACTCTCATCCTCTCATCTACAACAGTGCCAGGGAGATAGTAGCAACTCAACAAATATTTGCTGAAGGAAAACAATGAATACAGTAAACAAAATTATCACATACAGACTGTTCTTCAAATGTTGAGAAGAGGTACTATTTTTGTCACAAAGACCTAGATTTGAGGCAAGAATTTTATAGTCTTGGAAGCTACTCTGTATGACATTGGCATTGTCCCTAAGGATGCCTCTCCTAATATCCAACCTGTGGGAAAGGATCACAGGATCAGGCATGATGCACCCTGCCACTTCCACTGTATGAGACAAGGTTATGGGAATTTTTCCAGGCCTCTGAGTCTTGTCAGATCTCGAAGAGAGCATCCATCCTCACCTGTAGGCTAAACCCCATCTTATTTAGTAATAACCATCATTTATTAAGTGGTAACTTTGAACCAAGGACTGCTATAGTATATTATATCCAGATATAGTGATTATTACCTCATGCAACAGAAAAGAAGCTGGCCTTAGAGTTCTGAATAACATTTTCCAAAGTCACAATATTACTATTAAATAGTGGAACGAAGTTTCAAACTCAAGTCTGGTTATCCTGCTTATTCCATGCTGCATCTTATTTATTTTCTAATTATAAGTGCGAAAGGGAAAAACACTTTTGGCTTCCAAAATATAGCACATATAGAAATGTGTAAAGTCACAGTATCGAAAGACCAAAAAATGAAAAGGAATTTTGAGTTATATTAATTATCACATATTATAACTATACATGCATACACATAAAAACATTATCATGGACAGTTTTACAGGCTAGCCAGGCTTGGCTAGGCTATAGTTCCCAGTTATTCAATAAACATTAAGCATTGTTATAAAGGTATTTAGGACATGTGATTAAAGTCTGTAATCAGTTGATTCTTAAGCAAGGAGATTATCCTAGAGAATCTGCATGGGTCTGATTCAGTCAGCTGTAAGCCCTTAAGAGCAGGGCTGCGGCCTCTCTAACGAGGAAGAAATTCTGGTGTGGATTGATGCGTCAGCCTGAACCTGATAATTCAGCCTTCCCTTTCTGATGGCCTGCCCTAAGGATTTTGGACTTGGCTACCAACCCTCACAATCATGCAAACCAATTCCTTGCAAAAGCTCACTTAGTATTTCCCTCCTACCTGTTCTGTTTCTCTGGTTGAAGCCAGACTGATACGTGAATCTCCTCCAGTAACTATTAGCAGCTGTGATTCTTAATATTGCCTTAGTAATAATTTACTTTAAATGCCATAGACACTAGCTAGCTGATCACCAAACTCATTTACTCTTCCTCCTGGACACACATACAGACCACATTTCCCAGCAGCCTCTTAAGTTAGATTGACCACGTGAGTTCTGGCCAATGGTATGTGAATAAAAGTGGTAGCCACTATTTCCAGGCTTTGCCTATACAATCTAACATTTGTAATTCCCACTTTCTTCCCTTTCTGTTGTAATTTTACAAGCCAGGTGTTGAGAGGCAGATTTGATATTAGGAAATTGGTTACTGAATCAGTATTTTCAAGAAACTTACTTGCCAGTCAGGAATTCTTGTTTTGGACTTCTGATGGCAGTGGCTGCCCATCTTGAGAAGCTGCTCTGAAGACGCTGGCTGCAGCAGGGAAGGCAAGGCCAGAGCTGCGTGCTCCGTAGAGTGGGCAGGAGCCAGGAACAGGAAGGAGCCCCAACCCATTCCGAGTTGGTAGGCTGGAAGCCCCTCCCTACTATGCACAGCTGTAGCTCCAGACCCAGGCATTTCCTGCGCTCTTGGGAGCCACAGAAAGCTCCCCTGCCGCTGCAGGCTTCAAAGTGCCTGCTCCCACTGCCTGGCCTCTCCCTGCTCCCGGTGCCTGTTCCAGGTGCAGAGCAAAGTTGAGGCCAAGCCCAAGTGCTGTTGCAACCCAGCTGGGTGTGTGAGCGCTTGGGGTGGCACTGACATGTCAGCCCCCTGCCACCGTGGCCCCCTCTGGACTTTGGGTGCCAACGAGCATGGGGGCACTGAGCCAGCTCGCTGCAGGCCTTCAGGCGCTCCTCAGCACAAACAGCCTGGGCGCCATGAATATGATTGATGGTGGCAAGCGGCAGACAGGCTTCTGGGCAGAAAGGGGTGGGTCCTCAGTGAAGCCCTACCTTCAAGCGAGGAACTGCCCAAAGCATGGGGGCTGGGCTGTCAGTTCAGGGTGGAATCCACAGACCAGAGTGAGAACTTAAGGTGTTTTTTCCAGGCCCACCCATGGCTGCCCATAGACCAATCAGCACATACTTCCTCCCCTCTGAACCCTTAAAAACCCTGACTCAGCCAGACTCCAACAGATGTGCGGACAACCTGCCTGTGGGTAGGAGTTACACACTCTGGGTCTGCTCTCTGCGGAGGGCTGCACGGACATCGGAAGACGTGCCTGTGGAAAGGAACTACTTACTTCCGGTTTCCTGAGAGCTGTTCTGTCGCTCAAGGAAGCTCCTCTTCGCCTTGCTCACCCTCCAATTGTCTGCATACTTCATTCTTCCTGCACACAGCGACAAGAACTCAGGACATGCCAAATGGCACGACTGAAAGAGCTGTAACACAAACAAAGCTGAAACACCACCCCCTTCCACCCACTCATCATGTCGTGGGCAAGGAGAAGATCTGTGGGCCTTCAGAGATCTCAGACACGGGGCTCCCCAAAGCCAGGGCTGTGACACCCCCTTTGGGGCTCTGCCGTTCCTGGCATCTCCAAGCTTCCAGGCACCACTGCGTCGCCACGTTTCCCTCATCTAGACACAGATGCCCACAGAGGAAGCCATGTGTTGTATATCTAGCACAGCCGCAGCCTTGCATGGAACCGGCACCTGTGCCTGCGCGTGGAGGTGCCCACCCGCCGCAGCAGCCAGCATGCCTGGCTCTGCGCAGTGGCTGGACCCCGCTCTCACTCACCCACACACCTCTGTCGCTCTGCATCTGGCTCGCCCTTGGCAGGTATGGGATCCAGGCTGGTAATGTGAGCTGAGCGCAGCCTGCCGGTCCGAGTGAAAGGAACAAACCCAGTGGGCTGGAGTAATACTCAGGCAGAAGGCGCCGCTGGCCACAGAGGTTTCCGGCTGGCGAAGCCACAACCCCAAGGATCCCGTGACACTTCCATTGTGTTAAGTCACTAAAATTGTGGTATTTATATTTTATATAAGTTATATTACCTTAACTGGCACAAGCACTTTACATTTTTTCCCATAATATGAATATTCCAGTTTATTACCAACAAAAGCTTGAAGTATCTATCACCGTTTTATATATCCTTTGACTGAATAGTGTAAAGTTCAGTGATATTAAGCCTATCTTATCACTTACCAAGATGCCAATAATTTTCAAAGAACTAAAACACTCTGAAATGTAATGAAGACCAAGATTATTGAAATAATCTAGATCCTTGAAAAATACATAATTTTATCCTACAGAATAGTTTTTAAAGGATTTTTTTAATTAAAGTGCAGCTTATGCCATACAGAGCTAAGAAAAATAATGCAACAGACTTCAGATAATTTACCATGTCAGGAATGTCTGCTTGCTGTCCTTATGTATTTTAACCTAATAAATCTAAGATCTATTGTGTTTCAAGAGAAATTAGTGATTTGCTATTGGTGAAGAAAATAATATAGTATGTAAAATTTGAATAAAAAAATGTACTTCACGGGGAATTTAAGGCTATTCATATCTTAAACTATCTTGAATGTGAACCCTGACAATAGAAACTATATTTTTTAATTGACACATTGTAATTGTACATATTTATAGAGTCCAATTTGAGGGTTTGATACACATATCTGTTGTGTAATGATCTAATTATGGTAGTTAGTATATCCATCACCTCTTGCATTTATCATTTCTTTGTGGTGAGAATATTCAAAAGCTTCTCCCTCTCTATTTTGTAATATACAACACTTTACTGTTAACCACAGTCATATTACTGTGCAATAAACACCAGATAATACAATTAGAAGTAACATTATTTCTGCTGTGGCCCTGCCACCTTGTGTTCTCTTCTTAAGCACACAAGTAATTTCAGCTTCTTCATCTTCTTATTTTTTTAATGAGACATGTTATAAAAGCTTATGAATCAAGGATTTCATATATTTTGCTTTAATAAAAAGAAAACTCAAAAATTACTTCTTGCCTTTGGCTGCATCTCAGTATGTACAAAGAAGTAGAAATTTAATGCAAGCGTCAAGACCCGAATAATCCTGTTATTGAAGGGGAAAAATAGAGATGAAATGATCCAGATTTGCTGTGCATATTGGTCACATTTTTCAGATAATTCCTCAACTCCACTTTTACTGGCTCCCATTGTTTAACTCTGTAGTCTTTATAAAGTGCCTAGAAACTCAGGAGATAAGTTAACTCAGCACTCTTAAGATCTCTGACTCCAGACAATGTATTTTGGTGGAAAGCCAGGTTTTAAGTCCTTAGGGCAGGCTTTAGGGATAAAATGACAGAAGAGGAGACAGAAAAAAAAGAGGGTTATAATCACTCATACAAAAAAGAGAAATGAGGAGAAGTATTGGCTCTCAAAATAAAAGGTGGATTCAATCAAGTGTATTCAAAACTATGGTGAGGGAAAATGAGCTCAATTCGAGGGAATACAATCAGTCCTGTAGATGACAAGCGTTGATTTGAAGAAAACATTCTTAAACTATATCATTTCTTGTTAAATAGCATATTGAAAAACTGATAAAAAAAAAAAAGGAAAGGATTCCATCAGGGTCAGAGTTTTTAACTACCTGATACAGTCCAATTCTAAAAATACAAATGTAGCTATAAATAAGGAGCAATGGATTTCTAAATATATAATTGATGTTGGAAGATTCAGTGTTTGCTGATCAAAAACATATCCACACACATCTCTGCAACATAACTGTAAACCTCAGTTGCAGATACAAATACTTTAACTGCCACATACAATTTTATCTTAGTAAAATAGTCATAATATTAATTCTGAAGAGCTATATCTCTCTACAGAAGAATCTGAAAACCAGCTAAATGCCAAACTCAGATTAAAAACATATTTTTGTACCTTGTTGGTAAACCTCAATAAATATGTTTCTCATAATCCATCAGTATTTAATTAACATATGATAACTGTCCTATTAAAGCTAAATGAAATCCTTATTTGAAAGATAAAGTGCAACTGCACTGCAGCTTCTTTTCATGTAAATTATAACTATTGACAAAGACTGAAAAGAAATCTCAAATGCAAACTATCTCAAGTGATTATATAGTTTGATTTAGGAGAATGGAAACTTGGAAACCAAAAGAAAGCAAAACTTGAAGGGTGGGAGTTGACACGCATCAATAATTTCTTTTTGGCCTATAAATTTTTTCCTGTTTTATTTTACACTTACTCCATGAATTCAACTGTATTCATTCAGATATCCAAATAGAATTTAGTATCTAAAAATGTTTATGTGCTTTCCTCCTCCTTAGCAACCCAACTGCTTTTGATTGCCTCCCAGAAAATGTGCCATTTTTCCTTCTGTTTATTTCTCTGGTATATCAGCATTCATCTGTGTGAGTCTGCTTTCATGGAAGTCTTTCAGTATTCCACACAAGGTTTTGCTGGGGGAAGGAAGGGTTCTCACTGACAATCATGTGTAGTAGACCAAAGCTGAAGGTTTGTAGTAAGAACCAAACATTAGGACCGTCTCTTGTCGGGGAGCTCTGAGAATGTTTATAGTATATTCTGTTAGGAAATGTCTGCAGGAAGGAAAGTCCCCAATAAAGTTTGTTTGGAATTAGTTGTAACCTCCTGGTTTGAGGATATTGTGCTATTTGAGGATGACATCAGGTAGGAATAAAAGACAGAAATAAGACCAAAAATGTGTTTTACTTTCTTTATAGGCAGCCAAGAATAACTTGCTCTGCATGATCATGGAACCACTTCAATAAAATGTTTAAATCTCAGGATTTTATGCATAATAAACCCACAGGAGCATTTAAGCCCTGAACAACCTCCTTTTCTTAAGCCAACCACATAAATCACCACTGCACAAATCATAGATTATGTGTACCTGAAAAATATGTTCAAACAAGTATTAACAGGTATGATATATTACATATCATTTATTCTTTTGAATGGGCTTGATAAGAATAACCGGGTACTTGAATCCCTCCTATAATATCAGAGCCCTTTATTATTGACATCATCCTGTGCCAAAGAAACAAGAAACAAAATGATTGGCTTGAACAGTATGTGTTCTTTGATATAATTGTGATATAATTGTCAGAAATAGCTTTAAAACAGAAAAATCACCAAAAAATTAAAAAGAATCAACATACTGTTTCAAAATTAATTATAAAGCTACCACATGATAGTAAATGGAACCAGTTATTTTATAAGTAAAATGTGACATGGGTGATTAAGACGGTCCTACGAACGATACTATCTGTACTTCCCATTACCCAAAGAATCTCTTTAGTTCAACTGAAGAAATATACTAAACCAACATACACTATGAGAATTAGATATAATTTAATAAACACTACAGTCAAAACCAATTCTTACCCTCCAAACAGATAAACCAGAGTACGCTGAAGTAGATTTGAGATACATCTGCAGATTTCTTGACATAATGTAGCTCAACTCCACTATATAAAGAAAATAATGATGTCGGATTATATAAAATTTGGCTGGCCTCATGCGTTCTGCATGAAAAGGCCTCATTCATACTTTGGGAGGCTGAGGTGGCAGGTCACCTGAGGTCAGGAGTTCGAGACCAGCCTGGCCAACATGGTGAAACCCCGTCTCTACTAAAAATACAAAAATTAGCCTGGTGTGGTGGTGGGTGCCTGTAATCCCCCCAGCTACTCAGGAGGCTGAGGTGGGAGAATAGCTGAAACCCAGGAGGCAGAGGTTGCAGTGAGTGGAGATCTCACCATTGCCCTCCAGCCTGGAGGACAGAGCAAGACTCTGTCTCAAAAAAAAAAAAGAAGAGAAGAGAGACAAGAAAAGAAAAGAAGGAAAAGGAAAGACAGGAAAGGAAGGAAGGAAGGAAGAGAGAGAGAGAAAAAAAGAAAAAGAAAGAGAGAGAGAAAAGAAAGAGGGAAGGAAGGAAGGAAGGAAGGAAGGAAGGAAGGAAGGAAGGAAGGAAGGAAGGAAGGAAGGAAGGAAGGAAGGGCAGGCCTTATTTTGAAGAAAGCAAGCACCTTATCCAGCCAGTCAAACATTAAGTTGCAGGGGAAATGGAATAACCAGGGGCAGGAGAGTTCATAAAGTTATCAAACAGCCAGAAAGGAGCTACAGGATTCCCTGGGCATTCAAGAGACTGCAGGAGAACTCTGCCTTGGAGTAAGAAATACTGAAAGACACAGGGAAGCCATGAATAGGACAAAGATGGCCCAAAGGAAACTTCCTCCCTCTCATTTTGGGGTAGAGCCCATGCTATTCCAGATCAATCTAATTTTAGGTTATTTTCTACTGCTTACACTAGTCTTAAATTTTTTTTTTTCTAAATTACCTCCACTTACCCTGTCTCTTTTATAAAGATGAAGGAGGGAAAAGATGTCAATGTATTTTCAATTCCTTAGAATGAAGACTCTCAATAAAGAACATTATTTTTGGTTCTGCTATTATAATTCCACTGATTCTTTTGAGAATATCTTGAATATATTCATCTAATTATCACAGAGAAAAACATATCATGACTTGGATAGCTTCTTCTGCCTAAGCCAATCTTTAATTTTCAAAATCAATGCAAGTCCTTCAGAAGGTCATATATTCAAGGCAGCCGTGGTATCACGACAGGAAATTCACAGAGTAAGCCTGATATCTGAAGTGTACTCTATGCTTTGCCCTTGAAGATGTGATCTATAAATAATAGTTCTCTCTGGGTATAGCTTAACACAAAGACTTCCAGCCCTATCCTATGTTTGAGAGCTGTTGCACTTCCTTAAGCAAGTGCATATACTCATCTTCCCATTGTTGCTACAACAACAACAACAAAAAAAGGCGTAAACATGAAAGGAAGACTCCATATGACTATACATGTGCCAAATTGAACTCCAGGAAAATCCAAGCCTCTACACATAAAGCCTCACCCAGCTGCTCACTTTGCTAGTTCTTATGTAGTAAGGAACAACCTCACCACTTTCCTCACACCCACCCAAATTCAAACCCACTCACAAACTTCACAGGGTGTGCTTAAAAGACTCATTTCAATTCTCAGATTATAAGTAGGAAAACTAATTAGACTGTATCTATCCTCTTCACTACAGTTTTGTTCCTGAGAACAGACAGAGGCCCAGAGTCAAACATTCATATCATTTATCTTTACTCAAGCACATTCACAGTATTCCCTTTACTCTTTCTGCAGTTTACATGCTTAATTTCTTAAACATAGTATTAGAAAACCATTTCAACTAAAGATAGAATATTTAAAAGAAGGAAGCCCCATTCATAAAATTGTTATTTCCTCCTAGAAACAGCCACAGCAATTCCCAATAGGGACAGCGACAAACCCCATCTTTTGAGTGTGGTGGTAGTTGTCTTTTTCTTAATTATTATTATCAGTCTGAGGTTGTTCTGATGGTTGTTGTTGTTGATTTTAGGTGAAGAGTCCATATTATGCCTATAGACAAAAATTATGATTCTTTAGACATTAAACATATCCCAGGCATATATAAAAAGAAGTGAAGAGTTTCTAAGCTGAGGAGACATTGACGCTTTGTTTATTTGGAAGATAGTTTATAGGAAAGAAGAAAATATGATTTCTATCTAGATTAGGCCCAATCTATTCAGTACTCCGGGCTCATCATATCTGGCTGGAATCTGAGAATTGCAAGGAAGGAAGGCAAAATGCGAGGAATAGATGGATATATTTAGAAACGGGAAAGGAAGGATAAGAGGGCAGAATGGAAAGGAAGATAGCATTGGGGATATTTTGGAAAAGAAAACATTAAGAGCTTTCACACAGGAAGGTAGTAAAATGGTTAAAAAAAAAAGTTACCTTCTCCCATTCTCATTCATCTCAAACATTGTGTCCCACTGAATATTGTTCATTATTATAAACAAAGTATGGCAATGTCTGAAACACAGTCTATTAGGTTATTGAATTAGCAGATGCAATCCCTCTCAGGACAAAATATGGATTCTGCCATTTAGACATGGTAAACACTCTTTTATTTCTTCTTAAATCATTTTGTTTTAATACTGGAATAACTGTTCTTTAGAGAAAATATAATGAAGAAAATAGTTATTTAAAATGTGGGTTTTATTGTCTTTCCCTCTTGTGCTAACTAAATAATTTGCTCTTTGTTCTATAGGTCTTATTATATCAAAGCAAAATTATTTGTTTATATGGCTGACTCCAACTTTTTTTTGAGACCTCAAATAACAGATTTCATGTCCTATTAACCTGTATACCCTCTAGCTTACTATTAGTGAATAAATGAGCTCAAAAATATTAACCTTTCTAGGCAGAACTTTGACTTCTGCCGAGGCTTCATTCTGCCTAATAAGGATCTATAATTACAAGAAAAGATAAATGTATTAACACGAATTTCAGGAGTAGCTAGTACTATATATCTGCATTTCCATTATGTATAAGAATTTCTGAATCTTATTTTTATTGCTTACTTTAAATATACAGTAACTTTTTTTAAAGTCAGGAATATAGTCTGTGTTTATACCAACACCACACTTTACATACTTATAATGTTTCACAATTGTGAAGATACTTTCATACAGATCATCTCTTTTATGCTTCACAATCTATGAGGAAGTTAAGAAAGATGAGGAAACTGGAACTCAAAGGCCTTAATGACTTGGGCAACTTTGCATGTTTAGAGTGTGGAAGAGTCAGGATGAGGTTTTCTCAGTCATAATCTAACACACTACCTACTACCCCACACTCCCTCTGAATTGGTAACTGAAAAGACAAGTCATAGAACAGGAACATGCTATCTTGAATAAAAGATTTCTATGGACCTCAATCCCAAATGCAATAATTTATACTTAGTTTGATTGGTCCGCTAATTTAACAGTATAATCCCAGAAAGTTCTCTGAAGAAAAACAAGAAAATCACATCCAAGCATGTCATACTGTATTCTTTAGTGTAGAAAGAAGGCTCTTCTATTATCAACAATATTCAGGAGAAAGAATTCAATGTGATTGGAAGGCATTTGGCTTATAGATGCACAGCCATAGTTAGTATTTTCTGTTATCTTTACAGTTCTATGCCAGTCATGCTCAGTTAGAGAACTTGAAACCCAAGGAGACAGTCCCATCAGAACAAAGATGTCTAGCTAAAAAAAACAAACTACATTTGGCTCATTTAAATAGATAAATGTGGTTATGGACACTAACCACTCCACGCTTCCCCACCCACTTCACTCAGCTACTTTGAATGTTATGCATCTCATGAAAGCAGACTATAACTAATATTTTCTAACAATCTCTTCCAGCTTCTTGACCCCACCACACTAACTGGTTGCATAGCAATCAATATTCAGACTTCTTCAATTATATAAAAAATATTTATGTATCTTAGAGATGTTAAGATAAGGAGGAAAATGGGTTGATGCCTTGTTTTTTGCCTTTCAGTACTCAAATACTTCTTTTCTCTCCCAGTAAGAGGAAACCTTATCTCATCATGCTAAAACTTCAAAATGTCAAAGGTTTATATCTGAGGGGTATGTTAAAGATTATTCAATCAATGTTACATCCATTTGGGTAAAAATGATTTCAGCCTTAATCACCATTATATTACTAGTATCTACCCAAGTGCCTGGAATTGGTTAGCTGCCCAATAAATAGGAAAGGAGAAAGGAAGGAGGGAGGAAAAAAGAGAAAAAGAAAAAAGAAAAAGAAAGGAGGGAGGGAGCAAGGGAAGGAGGGAATAATTTGCCCTAGGAACTCAGTAATTCATTTATTTCAAGGTGTTTGGGGCATGAAACACACAATAGAATAAAAGCAATTAGCAGAATAAAGTACTTTGCTCTTTATTCCTCTATTCCATAGTAAAATATTCATGTTTGCCCCCAAAATTTGTGCTTTACTTCCTTCTTTACATTTTGGTCATTAGCCATTTAATGGAAGTTGATTGTACTAAGAAATAAAATCTGGGTAACTAACGTAAACATTGTCTATAGCAGATCCTAATGTGATAATTCTTGTATTTTATCTTACCATCTAATTCTTTTACATCATTACTAAAAGTCAGAATATAATATTTGAGTATGCTTGCTGTTTGTTAACATAATTTAAATTTGTATTCTGTATTTATGATGTCCGGTCTACATATGTCCAAACCAAGGAAGCAATGTGCATGCAGGATCAGCGGCTCCTAGAAATTGCAAGCAAATAAAGGATTTGCATAGTAAGTTCACAGTTTCCTGTGATTCTGCTCTGCATTCTATTTTTGTGTGCTTTATAGAAAATATATTCTAGTATCTAAAATGTGGTTTGTTTCTTCATTTGTCAAATTCAAAGTTTGCTCAGCGGGATAATGTGAGTAAGTATGAAAGAACAGTTTACATGATAAAATACCAATCTTCTAACCATGAGACTCCTTTGGAACCCCAAAAAGGTAAAATCAAATTGTATTTTCAGAAAATTAACCCAATACGTTTCAGATTCTTCTCAGTCACCTCTCTTACCACCACCATATCCAATTCTAACAGATTCTTTGATTTCTCATTCTCTACTTTTTCACAATAGACAATTCTCCTTTTGTGAGACTGACCAGCAATCGCAAATCACCAAGTCATTTTCCCACAGTCATTTGGAGCTCCTTGCTTTTCACTGACGGACTAATTAACATGAGCCAGTATGTTACGTGCATTGTATTTAATGATGATACTTTGGCCTGTACCATCTTCTCTCATGTTAACACTAAACATTATTCCATAATTGCATTTTATCTTTTTAGAGAGAGCTTCATCCAAAGTAGATCAGGGCAATACGAAAGACTCACTCTCCCAATTTTGAAAGCACTAGTGAAATGTGAGAATCAATATTTATCCTCCTTCAACATATATCTGTCAATGCAGAAGACCAAGTGTATATTCACTATTTTTAGTCAACTCTTATCTAATGATGCTCTTATCATCTGAGTAACTAGAACCATGAATTTTCTGGGGTTTTTGATGACATCGACCGCTGAATTTATGCCAGATTTCTCTCTTGTTCATAACTATCATACAGGCAAAGCATCAACCACATTTGTTCAGCTCTATCCTAGACAGTAGCTCCACTAAAAAAATAATTAGATATATCTGTTTCCTATTTTACAAAGCTGGCATTTTGCTTCCGGCACTCTTCACTGCATTAACGCCTCTCTCAATTAGGCAGTGAAAACAGAGAGGGAAAATATGCACAGACTGTGCTCTGGCATTTCAACAGCAGGGCCTCCAGTCAATTTCTGCAGAGCTCCTTGCCTCCTGATTTAATCCCTCTTGTCAGTTGCTCATCATAACTGTATAAGTATGTTGCATTTACTTTACAATTCAATAGTTCTCCAACAGGAAAGAGTATATCTACTGATGTATAATCCCTGAGCAAAGCTTGAGCTATAAGAAAGCAATTACCGAGTCTATTTTGTTTTGAAATCAGGCCATGTATGTTCACTCTAATTGTCAAGGTATAATAACTTATGATAAATTTTATATCATATATGTAGAAAGAGAGAAAAAGAAAGAGAGAAGAGTGGTCATCTCTAAGTTTACTTAATGATACCTAAGCTCATAAAATGAGAACACGAGCAACAGATTTACAAAGCCCAGACTTGGGATTCCCCATCGTTATCTGAGAAAAATCAGATCTTGCCTTAACAAATATAACCAGCACTATAGAACTGAGCATGAAAAGCGGCATTCGTTCTTTACATGAAATCTTTCTCTATCAGGATAGAAATGAGACTAAAGGCTTGAGATAATTGCCCTTCAATATGATATATATTTTGTATCTACTACTTGTCTTTTTGTTAAAAACAAAATGAGTGGAAACCTAAGATTCCATACACAAATTCATATTGAGGGCATATGTATCCTGCCATTTAATATTCCATTCTCACTCACTTTCTCTATCTCCTTCATTCTGCTTACATCTCTAACTTATATTATCAGCTTTAACTCTTTTCTTTCACTTCCAATTGAAACATCATTTTTTTCCATTTTCACTAAAACTTTATTTTATTGCCAACTCCTCTCATTTTTATTTTTCTCCTTTTCACTCAAAATAATGAAAAAAAAGGAAAACATTAGTTCACGGCATTCTGGATTAGTAAACAAAGTTTGAACCCACAGCTGTGGTCATCTTTCTTAATGCATTTACTTAAGTATTACCTCAGGATTTAAACCAGAGACTAGGGACTTTTTTACTCTATAGCATAAATTATTTGAAAGAATAAATTATTTATTAATAAACTCAAATGTAACTAATATGAATTCACATCTCCTAGTCATCAGAAACCAGAATTTAAAAGAAAAAATGTCTTATATTAATGAAGAAGGACATCGATCTTAGCAAAATCCACCATTCAGTACATGAGGCAAAGGAAGTAAAGAGAGATTCTGTGTACAGCAACTCCAGACGTTTTCATATGCCTTTTGTCAATAACAGCAGCAGAGTATAGACTCATTAATGGAAATGAAGCACTTTGGATATAAAAACCAAATACGTGACACAGCTTTCACCATCCAAGAGCCAAAAATTCAATGAGGAGATAAAACACACAATCAACAAAAGTAGAGAAAATAATGAGAAATTGCAAGATAGACATGGAGAGATGTGAAGCTTGCACTGTGATTGTGCTGACAGGTGAATAAATAAGAAAAAAACATACCCAATGTCCCTTTGTCTTCCACCAAGGAAAAGGTGCCAGGCAGAACTGGACCTCCAGCAACCCAGAAAACTGAAAGCTTTGTAAGTGTTCTCCCGGTCTAATTTTTGGTTTAAGCACAATAGAATATGTACCGGCTTATTCATTAATTTCACAGTTATTTGTGTCTCTCAGTCACTAGCCACTGTCCTAGCAACAGGGAGCTTACATATCACTTGACCTTGTTGGTTTCAGCCTACTAAGGAAAATGAACACCTAAAGAGACAATTACAACATAAATAGTTAGAGGGATGCTGAGACTGTGTGGGATGATGCAAGAAGGCCCCCTAAACTTAAATTTGGGAAGGATTCTCTGAAAAGGAAGAAAAAGAAAGCTGAGGGCCAACATGGCCCAAACCACAGCCCTTCCAAAGGATCTGGGACATCAGAACAATTGTAAACTGAGGTCGTGCGTGTCACCCCTTTTGCCTTCTCTCCTCTCTCTCTCTCTCTCTCTCTCTCTCCATCATCCCACACCCCACCCCGTCTCACTCACGTTCCATGTTTCCCATATTACAAAACCCTAAAGTAAGTGACAGGGCTCCCAGGTTTGGCCTTATCTCTGTCCTTTGGTGGGGTTCCAGTGTGTCTTAGGTATGATGGATTGGTGGGGTACCTGCCAAGACACACTGGAACCCCACCAGAGGACTGAGATGATTTATGTGAAAGTTTTGGAATAGGTAGAGGAAACCATGGGAAAATACAGAATTGTGTAAGTCATGGATATTGGTTCTTCACCAAGGCTCATAGACTCGTATCTGGGCTCAAAGAAAGAAAAGGCTGTAAACTGAAGCTCAGGGAGCTCTTTCCTGAAAATCTCTTACACTCAGAAGCACACAAGAAGAGCCACTCTGATGTCCAGCTAACAACAAAAGGCTTGTTTACTACTCAAGAACAAGGATATTAGTGACAGACAGATATACTCCAACTTCTTCAAAGAAAATAAAGAACTTTTTAAAGTTGTTATTTATATTATCATATCCTGACAGAATTTTGCAAAACAAAGGCCTTTGTACCTGTTGGGGTCTCTCGCTCTCTCTTGATATTTCTACATCAGTGTTTCTCAACCTCAGCATTATCATTATTATTATTATTATTATTACTATTATTATTGTTCTGATACAAGGTCTTTCTCTGTCACCCAGGCTAGAGTGCAGTGGCAGGATCTCCCTTCACTGAAACCTCTGCCTCCTGGGCTCAAGCGATCCTCTCACCTCAGCCTCCCGAGTAGCTGGGACCACAGCATGCACCACCATGCCTCGCTACTTTTAGTATTTTTTGTAGAGATGGGGTTTTGCCATGTTGCCCAGGCTGGTCTGAAACTCTTGTGCTCAAGCAATCCACCCATCTCAGCTTTCCAAAGTACTTGAATTACAGGCATGAGACACTGCACATGGCCCACGACCTCAGCATTATTTTTAATCAGCATTGTGGGACCAGACAATTCATCATTATAAGGACTGTGCTATGCATTGTGGGATACTACTAACAATTTTACAAAGGCTACAACTTACTAGATGCCAGCGACACCTCCACTCTAGCTGTGACAATCAAAAATGTCTTCAGATATTGCCAAATGCCACTGGGGGACAAAAATCACCCAGTTGAGAACCACCGTTCTACAGTAATATGTGGTCATTTGGTACTTTTATATCTGTTGTCCCTGTCACTGTCTAATTTTTCCATGTGCCTGCCTCCCTAATAACCTCCTACTCAGTGATGATTACATAGTAGGAACTCAATAAATACCAGTTGACTGAAATGAATGAACCTTCACAGCAATGCGTGTTTTTACTTTTTCTAAATTCTTTAAAGTTGAGGCAACTGCACGCTTTCCCATGTGGACCTCCCTCTGTGAGCAAACAGAACAGGCCAACAACCAAAGGCAGAATTTGGCTCAAAGGGAGAAAATGTGTTGAACAGAGTTATTTATTAAGAACAATCCAATCTGAGAAACATACTTAAAGATAATTTATCTTCCCTTCTGTTGCATCCATTTTCCTCCAGGGAAGCTTTATAACTGTGTATAAATGTTTGTAAACTCTTGCTTTCTCCATGGTTACAAGCTATGAGATCCTATTTATTTATACTAAGAGGTTAAAACTGAGGCTATTATCAACCAGAGATATACTAAGATAATGGTACTCCACTGATATTATTTGGGGCAAATATTTGTCAAAAATATAAATTGAAGCCTATCTAAATGAGTTGGACTTTATATTTCCTTCAACAACCTTAAATACTGACAGAAAAAAAGGTCTTAAAGCAGAAGAAAAACCACAGGCAAAATAACTATGACAATATACAGCAGAGCAGGATAGGAAGTAAGAAGGAACACAAACAGCAGGGAATGAGATACTCTGAATGGCTTGCAGCATCCAAGAAGAAAAGTCCAGCTTGGAAAGTTTGTACTCTACAAATCAGGGTCTGGCAAACGGCACAACGAAGGAGGCTGGCATCATGTCCCTGGACTAAGTCTATTGCCCAAATGCTTTACATTTGAAGGTCCTGAGGTATTTGTGAGAATCTGAACGAACGTTCATGGTCAGCTCAGAAATGTTGGTGTGTTGAGGCCAGAATGCATTCAATCTCCTCATTTCCTAACTTGAAGACAGGAAACTGGAAAAGCTTCATAAAGTATAGGGGAGACAGATTTCTTGTTTAAATGTAACAGTATGTTTCTCAAAATATTTAAATGAGCTAGAGAATAAATCTCTTAACTAGAAAGTTAATAAACCAAATGTGAGTGTTTTATCCATTTCTGAATTTAGTGTAGTATTTTCCCTAAATACTTTACAGTTTTAAAAGGGTAGAAAATAACAACAACAAAAAATAAATAAAAGAATTTTCTTTTTTCTTTTACCCACACATGGTGGAAGTTTCCAGAAGAAAAGAGAACCTCACATTTGATGAGCATTTACTACATGACGCTTGTGGGATCCTTCAAAAATGATATTTCATTTAATCAGAGTAATCCTGTGAGATAAGTACTGATAACTCCTTTATGCAAATTAAAAAACAGATCCCCAACACACATAGCTAGCGAGTACCAGAATTTGAAGCCAAATTTCTGTACTTACTTCCGTATACTATGCTCGCAGTTCAAAAAAAAAAAAAGGAAAAAGCATTTTCCTGATTTGTTTTCATTTTCAATGTTTTTTTCTCAGAGAAGTCCAAAGTAAAAAGAAGTACTGTGTTAGAACTTTTCAAAGATTCTGGCATTTCTTCTTCTTTTTAAATGCAGACTAAGCGAACAAACCTCCTTCAATATATTTGCAGTCCTTCTCATATTCTACACAATTAAATTCAGGCTAAGATAGCAAAATGTATTATTTTAGATGTACATTATTTAACAATGAAATAGAAAATAAAACATCTAACTGGTCTCAGATGTAACTAAATATAATAACTTCTGGCAAAAGTATGCACAACATTTACTATAGTTTTGGAGGTTTTATATTTTTAGTTTCTTAATCATAGTTTAGGGAATGTTTCTGAAGTACAAATCAAGAGATATTCTTTCCCTTTTTTGCCTAATGATTTCTGACTTTGAGGCTATCATGATGATACTAGGAAAAGAAACAAGGTTGTACAAACTCTTCTGCATTGAAATTTAAGGTGGTTGTACATAATTTTCCTGTTAGGTGACCATGACTGTTCATACTGATAGGTTGCTAGGTCTACATAGCTGATGTAAAGTATACCTGACACGTGAGGATGAAAAAAAAATGCAAGTATTCTTATTCCAGCAGGAATAGGAATGGGAGTCAGCCAATATTACTTCTCCAAAAGCATTGGCCCATACCCAGAATCTCCATCCATATCCCAAAGTCTTCTTTAGAAAAATCTCAAAGATGTTCTTTCCTATTCATTGAGTGCCACTGCAGGAGGATCCATTCCTTAGTTCTCTGCAATGCTGAAACTCTGATTTCCTCTGGGGAAAAAAAAAACGCCAAGGGAGGGAAGAGGTGAAACAATTGCTACAAAAAAATTTTACTTAAGGTAAAATCATATGTTTTCCTCCATTGGTCATATTAACGTATGGTGCATTAAAATTTAATCTCATAAGTCTTTATTATTCAGTCATTTAATCACACGGAAAGTGTGGTAATTTAATTAAAACAAGTAACATAGGTTAGCTATCCCTTGGGATACAAACCTAGGAAAATGATCTAATCCATTGGGTTTCCATTGTAAAAATGTATTAATATTAGGCCACAAGACCACAGCAGAAAAAAATGCTGCTCATTTGCAAAGCAGTGATGTGGTGCAGAAACAACTTGAGTTCAGGGAGCCAAAATGTACACCATTCTTTCTGGAATGAGTAGAGAGTTTCTAAGGGATTCTGCCACCTCTGCTCTCATAGTGGCTAGGCAAATGCTGCAGGAGATGCATTTTCAGAGATAAGAATCGCACTCTGATTAGAATATATTTGCTGACAGTTCGCATTATGATAGAGGGCCTACTGAATGAACTGCCAACACAGGAAGCCATTTCTTCAGGGCATAATAGCTCATCTTTTAAAACGTGATATTGTCTTCCTTTATAAGAAACAATACTTACCAGTATTATTTTAAAATAAAATTAATGTTATTTACACCTGAATGTCTGATTGCCAAGACTATTGTTGCAGATATAGAAGTTCCCCTTTTTAAATTCCAAAGTCAAGTTTATTTCCATATACTAGTCAACCGTTGTAGTTCTCTTGCTTTGGGGAAACTAAAAAGAGAAAGAAAATTGTAAGAAAAGGAAGTTTAGACTCAAAGGGCCACATAGTAAAGAATAAAAACTAAAAATTACAAAATATCTCCTCCACCAGCCTCACCACAATGAATTAAATCCTGACATTGTTTGCTCCCTGCTCCCTGTGGATAAGTTTCCTTGTTGCTAATAGGTATTAGCATATAAAACAATTTTATATGAAATTGAAATATGAAAACTGAAAGCATATAAACAATTTTAAGATTATTACCTGGTTAGATGAGTTAATGTTAATATATTTAACCGTGATTGAACCTGTGATATCTTAGTTTGAACTATTTTACTCAATTGTATAGCCTTTGAAAGCTTGTAGAAGTAATAATAGATTTTATTGAGAAGGGAGGACATGAGAATTTGCCTGATGCATAGGGCACTAATTTGAAAGAATAAGAATATCATAAGAGCTCCAGGTATATTTCTTGGGCTATATTCTGTCAATTACAAATGGTTCTGGAATAGGAAATCACTGAAGAGTTCTGGTGATTTCTTGAGCTTGCTAAATATTATACTATTTCTACCCTAACTAATTCAAACTAAACAAATATAGATGGGACAGAGTATTCACAATATCAAAATAGTTTAAGATCTCATTTACTGTTATATCTTTCCTCACCCAATCCAATCTCACCATGTCAAAGTAATGCCTCCAGTACTAACAAAGGGTCTACCTTGTGGAATATGGAACCAGTTTCAGTTATCTTTTGTACTTAGCCCACTAGAGACACACTCAATAGAATAGGAGAAGATATTTTAGAAATATGGCCAAAAACAATAGGTAGAAACTGGAAGAAATGGCATCCCAGAATCCAAAGAAAGAAATAATTTCAAGAAGAATGGGTTGATCAAGAGTATCAAAATTCAAGAGAGATTAAAAACCAAAATATAATAATGACTTTGATGTGTTTGAGGAGCAAGAAGTAGTTCAAGATGGTAGGAGCCAAGCAAAAAAGAGAGTAATAGGAGTATCCTCTCCAAGAGGCAGGAAAAGGGAAGATTATGTAAGATTATGTTCTTGTGTAAGCCAGAATAAGTATGATGAAAATCCACTGGAAGATTTCGAGTACAAGAATGAAATGAACTACTGTCCATTTTCAAAAGCACATTCCTATTGTGTGATAGAGAAAAGAATATGAGGGGCAGAGGGAAAACAGGACAACATTTGAGAAGGCTGTTACAGGGATCTAGTTGAAAGTTGGTACTGGTTTGTATTGGGGTGGTATAAGAAAAGGTAGTGAGAAATTATCAGGTTAAAATAAATATTTTTTAAATAGAGCTGGCAGGATTGGTTATGAAGGGTAAGGGGAGTAGAGAAACTAAAGATGACATGGACATTTTTGGTCTTATAATTGTGTTGTTTGATTATGGAGGACAATTTGGGGAGTATCGGATTTAAGAAAGGTTGTAAAGCAGTTTTCTTGGACTGGCCAAGTTTGAGATGTCTATTAGGCACTGAGGTAGTGGTATCAAGAAAGAACCAATATGAACAAGTCTAGTTTAGAGACGAGGTCATGGCTAACAATATAAATGTGGGTGTCTTCAGTATATACATATTATTTAAACAACAGTAATTGGTAAGTTGACCTGAAGAATGAAGCTGGTAGAAAACAAACATGGAGGATGGGGATTCAACAAGCTATAAGGCACTCAAGCATATAGAGGTTAAGAAGAGAAGTCTGCCAAGGAGAATGAAGAGGACTAGACCACGAGGAAGCAGAAAATACAGGAAAGACTCTATGTCCCTGATACAAGATGGGAAATTATTTCAAGAGCTGCATCAAATAAAGTTTAAAGGTTAATCAACACATTGTTTAAGAAATTATCGCTGAATTTTATGACATGGATTCATAAGTCAATTTTACAAGAACTGATGTAATGACATTGGGATAAAATTCCGACATGAATGAACTCAAGCACAATGGAAAGTGAGAAAGTTGATACAGTGAATATGGTGGTACTTTTGCACTGTGGTGATTGGAGTAAGCTGGAACTATGTGTTATAAAACCACTTCTCTGGATGGTTCTAGATTAGAGCTGAACAAAAGATATATCTGCATGCAGAACTGAAGCAGTAGTTGTTACTCTCTGAAAGTTATCAGAATTAGATATAGTGAGAGGCAGACATAGAATCTGTCAGCCTGTACCAGCTTGTCCTCATTCTCTTCCAATTCCGCTTGCAGATCTTCTTCCTGAATGCACTGTGGACCAACAACAATTCCAGACACACCACCAGGTGCATAGGCAGCAGCCTTTCATAGACTTATTTTGCAGCTGGACATGCCTGGCTTTGCAGATTCCCCTGTAGGCTCTGACTTTTCACCCACACCAGTGCTTCTGGAGAGTGATTGGTGACTTTCCCTGATCCTTTAACTCCCTTTTTGTAGCCTTATTTCCTATATTCTCCCCCTATATTTCCAATAATTAATCTCTTATTCTATACTTGTTCTACTTCCTTGAATACAAGTATAAAACTGGTGCAAGTATAAAGCTTGTTAAGGAAATTTGTTCTAAAGGGAAAGAGAGAAACATGGAACAGCTGGATGGTGGTGTAGATTCAATGACAGGTCTCTTCAATTTTTAAAATAAGAATTATTAAGGCATATCACTATGCTAAGGGGATAAACCTAGAAAAAATGAGAAATTGATTATGAGAACAGAGAGGAGATAATTCAGAAGTAAAATCTTTGAGAAAGAAGATGGGGGATCCAACAAAGTGTTGGTCTTAAGTAAAGTCAGAGGCAGTTTATCCATTATACTGAAAGAATAAGGAAATGAGCACAAATACAGTGGAACTGATAAATTTGGGAACTGTAATAAATAGGAAAAGGTTTTTTATTCTGCTTGTCTTATCAGCTGAGAGTGAAGAATAAGAAATGGATGGTGAAGGTTTGAAGAGACGGAAAAAGTCTAATATAGATATTTTGAGCATAAGGAAAAAATTTGACTAGAGAAATTAGTGGAACATTTGTACAGAGCTGAGTGGAAAGCTTGAAACTTATAAAAAATGGGACAAGCCCACTGTGTTTTCTGTTTTCCAGCTGGTTGGTTTTATTCAGTCTGTTCATCTGTTGGTTTCAGGTGTGCAGCAGACCTCTTGGGTTTAAATGGGATCTGAGTTTTGGTAAATTTAGACGATAGAGAAATATAGATGCATGCAGGGGAAAGATTTTAATAATGGGTTCTAAACATGTAAAGTGAAAAGAATGTAAGAGGGAGCATGATGGGGAAAGAACATTAGATTTTTCAACTGGGCATAAGAATTGGTCAAGTGATGGTGCTAGAGAGACTGAGCTGTGAAGTTAGTAGAGGTATCAAAAAGTAGGAAGCTTAATATGCCTTGGAAATGGTGTAGTCTTTGGTAGTAACAAGATCTATGGTGTAAACATAGAAACAAATGGCTGAAGAGAAAGATGATTGATTAGAAAGGGCATCAAGTTAAGGAATTGAGATGTCTTCGTATTAAATCAGCCATCTTTGAGGAAGTTGATCTCCCAAATAAGTGTGATAGTGTCACGAAGGAGAGAAAGACACAGCAAAACACCCACATGCAGAATTTAAGGAGGCACTCACACTCAGGTGCTAACTCTGCGTTGGCATTACAGTGGGAACCTTAACTTGGACATTAAACAGAATGCAGAGTTACAAAAATGGGTACCATCCATTGAAATAATAGAATCACATAATTTTTCATAATGAAAATTTATATTCTCTGAAGGACATAATTTTATAAGATCTACAAGGAGGCTGCTCATAATCAACATGCTACTAATATGAAGAATATTAAATCAGTAAATCAAAGTTACTCCAGCATGACATGACCACATTGTTGACATGTGGGTGGAAACACTGTCTCACTTCCTTACCATCTCTCATTGCTTAGGGAAGGTTAAGTGGTTACAAACTAAGAGTTAGAAAGTATTGCCATTCTCTCTTCTACCATGTAGTAGACTTCATTTTGCTATTTCCTATTCCTGGATAATGCTTAATTTTATCAACAGCTACTTAGTTAAGACTTAGAATTTGATTTTAGATAACTACAAAACTAAAACTGACTTCATAAATTCTTATCAATGGTATTCTCTTTCTTAAATCTAATGAATCTCTAAATATTTTTCTCACCTTACATGCCCTGAAATATCCATTTACCCTCTCACTTAGATTCATCCCAGTATTTCTGACATTTATATTAATAAAAAAGAAAGGGGAAATGAGTATATCCCACTGACACTGAGGAAAATGTAAGTATCATCATGGAAAAAAAAAGATTGGAACAGGGTATTTGGTTTCTAAAATGTGCTCTAAATTCTTCCAAGAACTCTGAACATACTAATACAAATGGAAATTATTTTAATTTCCCAATTGAAGAGAAAATAATTTTATTTGTAAATATATCTACCTCATTGAGGACTTTGTTTATAGCTAAATCCACATTGATGTTTCCTGGTATCTCGTTAGATAGTGTTATGCTGGCATTGCTTTGAAAAGAATAATGAGCATTATTTCAGAGCAATCATTGTATAAACTAATACCCCTCAATGTAATTTAAAACTGTGTAAACTACAGTATATGTAATGAATGGTGATGATGACTTAGTAGCAAACTGGAAAAGACATTGCCCCCTACTTTTAGAAAGGACATAAAAATAGAATCTACTACACTGAGCCAAAAAAAAAACATGTAATCATGAGTGATATTTGCCATCCCAGGAATGTAATTAGATTCCTTTAGAGAATGAGCAAAGGCTTAAAACTACCAGTTGAAATAATTACTTTAAAGGTCAAAGAAATTAAAAATACTCAAAAATCCTTTTTGTGTTAGACATTTATGAGACAACTCTAATCTGCAATTTAATTGATATAACGGGAAATATTCAATCAGGTCCTCCTAAAAATAGAGCCAAGATAGAATTAAACGTAAACGAATTTTGTTAAGGAAAATGCCTGTGTGAGGAAATAGAAAGAGAGCCAGGGAAAGCTGGGAGAAACAACAAAACCTGATGCAAGACTGGCTCCAAGCACAGGAGATACAGAAAAAGTTAGACAGAAGCTTGTTCAACTGCCATGCAGCTCAAGGAAGCTTCAGCAAAACTGTCAGGGAGTCCTGGAGCCACAGTCACTCATCAAAGGAGTCGTGCGTCTGTCAGGAACTGGCCTGCCTTAGTGCTCCTGCTGCACTCAGTTACAGGCTAAAAGTATCCCACAGGAAGTGTGGCCTCAGTGCAAATACCTTGATAAATTTCAGGGCAGAGCAGCTACACCTTCTGTCAATTATATTCTCTGTAGTTGGGAGTCCGTGAGGCACATTCTCATGGCTGCCAAAGGAGGGGAAAACAAACAATATTCTACAATACATATTTGGCATATGCATATGATTATTTTAATCAGGAATTCAAACTGATCTCAGTCTTATCTGTACTCAAAGAAAGAACTTTATTCCTGGTTTATGATGATTTCCTATGTTTTTTCTTTAATCTCTGATTTTTAAAGTTTTTTTAGGCTTCTTTCAGGTTAGTATGTTTTATTCAGTTTAGTCCTTGGTTCTATTTTTTTCAACTGTCCCATTTACATTCCAACCTAAAAAATTTTAAACTAATCCAGGTGCCTACTTGTTCTTATAAATATTTACTAATGCCTCCTTCACTATCCTGAAATTAAATGTTATGAATATTTTGCCATTTTGAAATTAAATTCATAGATAATATCAACTACCCACATATATAATGTCATAATGCAATATAAAGGGGAAAATAAAAAGAAAATATTTCTAATAAATTTAGTATATGAATATGAAAAGGTTTGAGAATGACTATATTAGACAGCACCATGAAGTAGTTATGTGCTTGCACCTACTTAAAGTGAATAATATTGTAATTAATACAAAAAAAAGAAACGTCATTCTGTACAAGTTAGGAAAAATTACAGAGCGGTGATATAGATGAACAATAGAATAAAACTAAAGATTAATTGTATTATTCTATTTATTTGTACATGCATACCTCAGAGATAGTGTGGATTCCATTCAGACTACTGCAATAAAGTTAATATTGCAGTACAGCAAGTCACACTACTGTTTCAGCTTCCCAATGTACATAAAGGTTATGTTTACACTATACTGAGGTCTATTAAGTGTGCAATAGCATTATGTCTAAAAATAACAAGGGACATATTAAAAATACTTTATTGCTAAAAATGCTAACAATTATCTGAGCCTTTAGTGAGTTATAATCTTTTGGCTGGTGGAAGATTTTGCCTTGATGTTGATGGCTGCTGACTGATTAGGATGGTGAAACGTACTGAGATGGTGGCTGTGGCAATTTCTTAAAATAAGACAACAATGAAGTTTGACATATTGATCGACTCTTTCTTTCACAAGATATTTCTCAGCAGCACATGATGCTGTTTGATAGCATTTTACCTACAGTAGAGCTTGTTTCACATTTGGAATCAATCCTCTTAAACCCTGCTACTGCTTTATCAATTGTGTAATATTCCAAACACTTTGTTGTCATCTCAACAATGTTCAGAATAGTAGATTCCATCACAAGAAACCACTTTCTTTATTCATTAATAGATGACCAAGTTTCTTTGCAACTCCTCATCTGTAAAAGTTGTATCATGAGGCGAAGCAGTTCAGTCACATCTTCAGGCTCCACTTATAATTCTAGTTCTGTTGTTATTTCCACCTATAACTGCAGAGGAGGAGGAAGTAATGGCAGAGTTACTGTTATTTCTGGTAGCAACTTAGAATCAACTTCTTCTTAACTTCTGTTAGCTCTGATATTTTGACTTCCTTCCACAAATCACTAATGTTCTAAATGACATACTTTCTAGAAAGTTTTCAATTTACTTTGCCCAGGTCCATCAGAGGAATGACTATCTATGAGAGCTATCAGCTTACAAAAGGTATTTTTTAAATAATAACACTTGAAAGTCAAAATCACTCCTTGATACATGGGCTGCAGAATGCACATTGTGCACATGTACCCTAAAACTTAAAGTATAGTAAAAAAAAAAAAAAAAGAATAGCTAGAGAAAAGGCACTAAGGTAAGAGACTATCAGGTCTGTTAGAGAAACAGCAGAAAGGCTAGTGTGGCTGCACTGGAGTGAGCAAGAGGAGGGCATAGGACGGAAGGTGAGAGAATTAACATAGAGGGCCCAGATCACATAAGGTCAAGTGGATTTTTGGATTTTTCCTTGAGTGAAATTTGAATTTTTCTTTGGGTGAAATTAAAAGCCACTGCAGAGCTTTGCACAGAAGAGAGGTATGATCTGATTTACATGACTTACCACAGGGTAATTTTGACTTCTATATTAAGAATAGAGAGAGTCAACAAGGCAACAGGGTAAAAGAAGGGACAACAGTTATTATCCAGTAATTACTTCTAATGGCAAAAACCATGATTTTAATGGCAAAAACCACAATTACCTTTGCACCAAGCTAGTAGAAGTCTATTGCAAAAATCCAAGCAAACCAAAACAGCAGTGGTGGTGGAGGTGATGAGAAGTGGTCATATTCTAGACATAGAGCTGATAAGATTTCCTAAAGTATCAACTATAAGATTTGAAAGAAAGAGAGGTGTCAAGAATGACTCCAAAGTTATTGGCTTGAGCAACTGGAAGGGTGGAATTGTTATCAACTGATTTGGGAAAGGCTAAGGTGGAGATTTGTTAACCTGACTACACCTTTTTAAAGAATATGCAAGTGAAAGCAACATTTTGCAAATCTAAATCTGTTTTTTTTTGTTTTTTTGGTTTTTTTTTTCCAAGACAGAGTCTCGCTCTGTCACCCAGGCCGAAGTGCAGTGGCATGATCTCAGCTCACTGCAACCTACACCTCCTGGGTTCAAGCGATTTTTGTGTTTCAGCTTCCCAAGAAGCTGGGATTACTGGCGCCCGCCACCACACCCGGCTAATTTTTGAATTTTTGGTAGAGACGGGGTTTCACCATGTTGGCCAGGCTGGTTTCAAACTCCTGACCTCAGGTGATCTGCCTGCCTTGGCCTCTCAAAGTGCTGGGATTACAGCTGTGAGCCCCTGTACCCGGCCTGCAAATCTAAATCTTTAAATCTATCCTTATATAATTGCTAGAATATGAAAATGGAAAATTCTTGGTAAGCAAGTTTGCTTGCTTAATATTTCATAAGTCATAAAATGTCCTTCATTTAGAGAAATTAGTCTCATTTCCTTGCAGCTTTCCAAATACATTCAAAAGCTTTCAAATTATTTTCACAATTTCACCAAAGTAGCAATTACGATGTTCACTTTCTTGTCATCAGTTGAATACAAACAGAAAGTATTAACAAACTTTAAAATGTTTTTAAGATTTACTGTAAAGAGCCATCTACTGTGTCCAGAATGAGAGTCATTGTACAGTATACAAAATAATCTATCAATTAAGGGGTTAATCATATATTTTTAAAATATAATTGAGAATTTAATTGATTTTAGACTCTTGCACTTTGATTCCTTAGATTAAGTGTTGTCAAAGTATAAAGTAATGAATTCCTAAAGCATCTAGTGTTAACATTTTTAAAGGACAAAAAAATGATGCAAAGAATCCAACATCATAAATGGTGATGTGACTTCCAATATGGTGAACAATTTTTAGAAGCTTCTGAACAGAAAACACACCTTTGCTTTGAATCACAAAATGGCCACATTCTCAGAAAATCAAGCATATATTAAATCAGTGCAAGCAATATTTTGTGCTCTGTTTGTAAAATGGAGGTTAGCCATAGGTTTGGGTTATTATAAGCAAATATTTCATATAAGAATATCCAGGCTGGGCATGGTGGCTCACACCTGTAATCTCAGCACTTTGGGAGGCCGAAGTGGGTGGATCACGAGGTCAGGAGTTCAAGACCAGCCTGGCCTAGATGGTGAAACCCCATCTTTAATAAAAATACAAAAATTAGCTGGGGATGGTGGTGGGTGCCTGTAATCCCAGCTACTCAGGAGGCTGAGGCAGAGAATTGCCTGAACTTGGGAGGCAGAGGTTGCAGTGAGCCAAGATCGTGCCACTGCATTCTAGCCTAGGTGACAGAGTGAGACTCCATCTCAAAAAAAAAAGAAAAAAAAAAAAAAGTAAATCCAGCAGGTTGAGGTTGTTCATAATTATGTCCAACAATGGATAGTTTTTCAGGCCTGCATTACAGGAAATGTATTGTCCCTAGCCCATGCCCATTAACTGACAGGAACTTCTATGTACTAGAAAAACAACTGTTTCCCCTACTATAATCTCAACACCCAACACTTCTATGACCAGATGTGTGGATTTTTTTTTTTCACATGGACCAATTCTACAACACCAGCTAGGTGTTCTACAATTTAATTCAATTCTGACTCTCTCTGCCTAGAGACAGCATCAGATTCCACAGGTTAAGGGCTCAGTTCCACAAGTCTGCCCCCGACTTCAAGTGTCACTCACACGAAGTGATCCCAGAAAACCCACAATTTTTGTCCAACATGGCTAAAGATTGGAGGTTCCCTTGATCCCCTCCTTAGGTTTGATAATCTGCTAGAGCAGCTTACAGAACCCAAGAAAACAGTTTATTTACTATTGCTGATTTATTACAAAGGATACAGATGAATGGCCAGAGGAAGAGATATATATGGTGAGATTTAGAAGAGCCCAGAGCACGGGAGCTTCTGTCTCCATGGAGTTGGGATGGACACCTTCCTGGTATGTGAATGTGCAGAATTTCAACTCTATGACATCCTTAAAAAGGCAAAACTGAAGGTAAAAAGATCCGTGATTCTAGAGAGAGTGAAGAGATTTGAGGAAAGATGACCAAAGAGAACACAGAGGATTTTAGGGGAAGTAAAAATGCTTCACATAATATTATAATGATGCATACCTATCATTATCCATTTGTCTAAACCCACAGAATGTACAACATCAAGCATGAACCTTAATGTAAATTAAGGACTTTGGTCCTAATGATGATATATGTTCATTAATTGAAACAACTGTACTGCTCTGATAACAGACTTTGATAATGGGAAAGGCTATGCAAATGTAGAGACGGGGGTATATGGGAAATTGCTGCACCTTCCTCTCAATTTTATTGTGGCCTAAAACTGCTGTAAAAAAATTGTCTTTGAAAAAAAAGTCAGTTGCAAGTCTACATGACCCTAAAACATAGAGATACAAACAAAAATACAGTAATCTAACTACTTCTCAAATCCAGAAACACATATCAATATTCCAAGCACATAAAGAAGTTTGTCTTTTATGTTGCTGTTGTTAATCGTCTACCACTCCAACTTCAATTTTCATCATGCTCAGGTGCAAACACTCTATCTTTATCCTCTCACACCTGATGATGATCAAACATATACAAGCATAAGTGCACGTAACTCTGAAAACTGCACTCCTCAGGTAACATAAAACAAGGCAAAAAAGATACCTTCCAGGTTGGAAGATACAGGTCTAATTCATAAATTATTGTTTGTTTTATAGTAGCTCTGCAGCATTTCCCTATTGACATCCAAGTTAGTTCCAGTTTTTATGTACTGCAAGTAACATTGAACACTCTCATCATTAGTATTACCAGCCTAATACTTTTATTTTTATTTAGAAGATAGATTCCCAAAGTCAGATTGCAGGCACAAAGATCCTGTGTAATTGTAATTTAAATCATCTTTAGAAGTTTATTTCTCAAGACAGTATTCATTAAATCATACTTGTACCCCAAAATTAATGAGGAAGCCCATTTCTCCACATTCTGGGATGTAAACATTCTTTTAAATTTTGTCAGTCAGATTGAAGGTAAACAGTATCACACTGATGGCTTAATTAAACTTCTCTTCTATTAATGAGAAGAATGACATTTTTGTAATTTTTTTGATCTTTGAATTTCCTTTCTCTAAATTACATACACATATTGCATCTTTTTAAAATTATGATTTTTATCTTTTCATTTACAAGCTATTTACATATTATGCATATTAACTATCAGACTGTCATAGATAATTCAATTTTTTCTAGACAATAGTTTGTCTTTTAACTTTGCTTACGGTCTTGTCATTCAAATTTTTTACTCTTACTTTTTATTCTCAAATATGCTTATTTTTTATGCCTCAGAGTTTTCTATCTTGCTTAAAATGGTTTCCTATAAGTTGGGGTAACAGTTATACAATTTATTATTTTGTTAGATTTAACTTTAGTCATCTGAAATCCTAGCTTTGTTAAAGTCTTTTCCAGATGGATAACCAACTATGTCAGCACATTTATTGAATAAACTATTCTTTTTCTACTACATTGTAATATCATTTTTTGATTATTTTAACAATCTTTGTATCCTGGTTTTATGTCTAGATTCATATGTGTTAAACTAATCTGCTTTTCTATTCCTGTACCTGTGCCATGCTGATTTCATTACAATGGTTTCGTAGTTTCAGTATTGGGCAAGGCAAGTGTCCATTTAACATTTTTTTCATTTGTTTCTTGAATATTCTAAGACATTTTTTCTTTAGAAAAATGTTTCTTGTTCATCAATAGTTCTATCCATTATTTGAAACCATTGATATTCTCCATGGAATTGCTTTAAATATATAAATTAATTTAAAAGGATTGCTATTTTAATGATGCTAAGTCTTCTGATCCAGGACCATCAGCATCTCTCAGTTTGGCTGGTTTTTGTTTTATATCCTTTATTAAGATTACAATTTTGCTTTCTTTTCTAAATTAAGAAGAACTAAGACATGAAGGCAAAAGTAAACAATATTTAAATATATAATGTCATAAATAACTAAAGCTTCATCACCTTTGTAACTACCATTTAGGTCAAGAAACAGTACGTTACCATTACACCAAAGTTCTCCCTCCAATGTGTCTCTTTCCAGTCATATCCTACCTTCTTCCCCTAGAGGTTAACTAGAGTTAACAACCATACCAAAGTTTTGCTTTGCTTTAATGCCACAATTTGTTGAATGTAGAGGATTATATCCTTTTCATTGTCAGAAACCAATTTCAACATTAGAAAAATAGATGTTTTTACTTACCCCCAAATTTCCCAATGTGGTCAAAAAAGATACCTGATATGATTTCAATATTCTTAAATTTGTTTAGTCTTGTTTTGTGGCCTAACATATGATCTATCCTGGAGAACGTTCTGTGTGTACATGAGAAGAATGTGTATTCTGCTGCTGTTGGATGGAATGTTCTTATGTCTGATAGGTCCAGTTGATCTAACACATAGTTTAAATCTGGTGTTTCCTTATTGATTTTCTGTCTGAATTATCTCCATTGCTAGAAGTGGAGTATTGAAGTCAAATACTATTGTATTACAGTCTATCTCTTTCTTCAGATATATTACTATTTGCTTGATATATTTAAGTGCTGTAATATGAGGTGCTTATGTATTTACAACTGTTATATCTTCTTGCTGAATTGACCCCTTTATCATTATATAAGTACCTTCTTAGTCTCATTTTACAGTTTTTGACTTAAAGTCTATTTTATTTGATATAAGTATGCCACTACTTCTCTCTTTTGGTTTCCATTTGCATGGAATATATTTTTCCATGCTTTCATTTTCAGTTTATGTGTGCCCTTACGGGTGAAGTGAGCCTCTTATGGGCAATATATAGTTGTGTCTTGTTTTTGTTGTCTGTTTGTCTGTTTGTTTTATTCATTCAGCCACTCTGTCTTTTGACTGGAGAGTTTAATCCATCTACATTCAAGGTAATTATTAATAAAGACTTGCTGCTGTAATTTGTTCATTGTTTTCTGGTTATTTTGTAGATTCTTTGTTCCTTTCTTCGTCTCTTGCTGTCTTCCTTTTTGACTAAATTATTTTCTCCAGTGGTATGCTTTCTATGGCAGTATGATTCCTTAATTTTTAGCTTGTGTATATCTACTGCAGGATTTTGCTTTGTGATTACCATGAGACTTACAAAAAGCAGCTTATAATTATAATAGGCTATTTTAAGCTGATAACAGCTTAACCTATGATTTTACTCCAAACTCTCCAAAAGCATTTTATTTTTTGTGTGTCACAATTGACAATTTTGTATTGTATCTCCCTTAAAAATTATTGTAGCTATGATTATTTTAATAGTTTTATCTTTTATCATAATAAAGATATAAATTATTTACACACCAATATTAAAACATGAAAGTATTTTCAATATGAACATGTACTTACTTTGACCAGTGAGTTTTGTATGTTCATGTTTTTGTGTTACAAAGTAGCATCATTTTTTTAAGCTTGAAGAACTCCCTTAGCATTCCCTGTAAGGCAGATTTGGTGCTGATGAATTCATTCAGCTTTGGTTTGTCTGGGAGTTTATATCTCTTCTTTATTTCTGAAGAATAGCTTTGTCACATGCAGTATTATTGGTCACCATTTTTTCCCTTCAGCACTTTGAATATATCATCACATTCTCTCCTGGCCTCTCTCTTTTTAAAAGGTCCTTGCTGAGAAATCTGCCAATATTGGAACTGTCTTATATGCTATTTGCTTCATTTCTCTTGCTGCTTACAGGATCCTCTCTTTGTCTTTGATTTTTAAGAGTTTGCTTATAATATGGCTTGCTGTAGTCTTATTTGGATTGAATCTGATTGGAGATCTTTGAGCTCACAATACCTGGATATGTATATCTTTCTCCAATTTGGAAAGATTTTTACCATTTTTTGTAATAATAAAAATACTCTATTGTCTTCTCTTCTCCTTCCCAAATGTCTATAACTCAAACATTTGCTCTTTTGATGGCAAACTGTAAATTTTGTAAACTTTCTTCATTTCTTTTCATTTTTTTTCTTTTTTCTCCTCTGACTGCATATTTTCAAATAATCTGTCTTCGAGTTTACAGATTCTTCTGCTTGATCAGTTCTACTGTTGATGCTAGCTAATGCACTTTTCATTTCACTCATTGTATTTTTCAGCTCAGAATTTCTATTTGCTTTTTATATAATTTCCATCTCTCTGTTAAATTTCTAGTTTTTGTTATGTATTGTTTTCATGATTTCATTGAATTATTTCTCTGTATTTTTTGAAGTTCACTTAGCACCTTTAAAACAATTATTTTAATTTTGTCAAGCATTTTGTGTATCTCCATTTCTTTGGGGTCAGTAACTAGGAGATTATTGTGTTATTTTTGTGTAGTTATATCTCCTTGGGTTTTTTTGTTTGTTTGTTTCTTGAAAGACATATTTCAAGATACAAAGACATAATTTTGTTATGAGGGAAAAAAATCAATGTATTCTTTCTATCTATGTATAAACATCCTGGACGTGGAATGTTTAAAATATTCAAAGGGGTTGCAATGTCAGCTTAAAAAGCCAAGAGTTTTACTTTTCAGGGGACCAAAGTCAAGAATTGGAGGCAGGAGGAAAACATAATATAAACAAATTGTTTCTTTCAACACTCTAATAAGTTTTGCTAGCAAAAATGACTGAGCTACCTAACTTCAAGGCAGTGAGCAAGTCTTCTAGGTTCCATGAACACATCCCACCCACACCACCAGGACATAGATACTCAGTTTTTATTAACATGAAAGGAAAGTTGAAGGGAGCAGAAATAAGAAATACATCTTACATTTTTAAAAGAAAAGCTTTAGTCAAAATAAATTTAACAGTGTTTGAGTATTAAAGGATTCATGAATCAGGCAGCAGTCAGAATAGGAAGAGCTGCATTCCAACAGCATGAGTAGCAGGTTTTTTTAGGTTGAACATGGAAGTAAAGTAAAGAAACTACTTTCCTGGTAAAAGCTAGGTATTTGCCTCATTTGAGTACAGACCAATGGGAGGTCCCTTGTCATATAATCAATCAGCTGGCTGGATGTTTGTGATTGGTTAAGAATTTTTGTTTTGTTTTTATAATCAGTTATAGAAAATGCCTCCAAACTATATTTTAGTTTGCTTATGTAAGGTGCCGTAGGTACAAAGACAAACTTAGGCTAACAGCCTCCTCCTTATTCTGTTTTAACACTTTAATCCCCTCCTAAAGTTTTACTATTTAACACATGGAGAAGGAAGCTTAAGTACAATATTTCTAAAGCACTTTCTATTTGATTTATAGCTTTAAGATAATTTTAATTCATTTCTTTTCATACTAATAGTTAAATGCAGTACCATATAATATAAAAATATTTTCATATATAGAAGGATTGATAATAAATAAATAAATAAAAATATTATTCAGAATAATTGGGCCAAACAGGTAAAAAGAATGGAAAAAAATAGACAATATAATAAAAAATACTTTTCTTAAATTATTCAGGTAATTATCTTAATTATTCACTTCAGTTTACATGTGCCAATCCCAGCTTAATAATCACAAAATATCTTCAGAGATTCTTGACACACATTAGATAAAATTGGTGATTTCTTTTAAATGTCCATTTAATGGCCAAATTTCTCAATGCCAACACTGAGCAATTACCCAAATTCTAACTAAACATATTATCTTAAAAAATGAACTCATTAGTCAAATATTTATAATAATCACTGTCACACATGACTACTGTATTCACATTGAAAAGAAGCCCCAATCTCATATGAAAGCACAAAATTTGAGAATGTACATAACATTGACCCATATTCTTACATATAATTTATTATATAATTATTTAAATATAGTATGGCTTTATTTTCAAGTTTTTCTGTCATAAATTTCACATTAAGCTCCTGTAGAGATGCAAAGGCAACTATATATGTTTGTCTTGCCTGAAAACCAGTTTCTCTTCAATGTATTTTTGTGTATGTTTGTATGTTTGTAAGTCAAAACTAGTAGATTATACTAATTCAAAAAGGAATTTGGGGTTATAGAAGAACAAAAACAGAATTTGGGGCCTCAGTAATTTTAAACTGGCAAGTGAAAGAAAACATAAATAGAAATGAAATGATTTTATCTAGGCAATTAACATTTAGGAATCTTCAATACAAAAATGTTCTGGTAAGAATCTCAAAATTGTAAAATCTCAATTTTTAAAATTTCATTTATTTATTTATTTGATTTTTATTTATTTATTTTTTTGAGACAGAGTCCCGCTCTATTGCCCAGGCTGGAATACAGTGGTGTGATCTCAGCTCACTGCAACCTCCAACTCCTGAGTTAAAGTGATTCTTCTGCCTCAGGCTCTTGAGTAGCTGGGACTACAGGTGCACCCCACCACACTCGGCTATTTTTTTTTTTTTTTTTTTTTTTTTTTTGCATTTTTTAGTACAGACAGGGTTTCACCATGTTGCTCAGGCTGGTCTCGAACTTCTGACCTCAAATGATCCACCCAGCTCAGCCTCCCAAAATGGTAAAATCCCATTTAAATTTAGATAGAACCAGGCATGGTATCTCATGCCTGTAATCCTAGCACTTTGGGAGGCAGAGACTGGCAGATTGCCTGAGTTCAGGAGTTCAAGACCAGCCTGGTCAACATGGTGAAATCCCGTCTTTACTAAAATACAAAAAATTAGCCCAGCTTGGTGGTGCATGCCTGTAGTCCCAGTTGCTCCGGGAAGCTGAGGCACGAGAATCGCTTGAACCCAGGAGGTGGAGGTTGCAGCGAGCTGAGATCATGCCACTGCGCTCCAACCTGGGTGACAGCACAAGACTCTGTTTCTTTAAAAAATAGGCAAGGCGCAGTGGCTCACGACTGTAATCCCAGCACTTTGGGAGGCCGAGGCAGGTGGATCACGAGGTCAGGAGATCGAGACCATTCTGGCTAACACGGTGAAACCCCGTCTCTACCAAAAAAAAAAAAAAAAAAAAAGCCGGGCATGGTGGCGAGCGTCTGTAGTCCCAGCTACTCGGAAGGCTGAGGCAGGAGAATGGCATGAACCCGGGAGGCAGAGCTTGCAGTGAGTAGGGATCGCGTCACTGCACTCCAGCCAGCCTGGGCAACAGAGCAAGACTCCCGTCTCAAAAATAAATAAATAAGTAAATAAATAAATAAATAAAATATAAAAATAAATTTAGATAGCTATAGATTTTTATAATGAAAATGATTAAAATAATAGAACATGAAAATGTAAACAACAAAAAAAGTTTTACCAGTTTTATGCATTTATTTTATTTTTCTAGTCTCACTGAATTGTTTTTCTCCTTTCAGCTTCCCTTTTTGGCTCTTGATGCCTCTTTCCTACAGACATGAGTGCACAGAAAAAGCCAAGCCCAGGATGTTCTTCTCAGTGAGTGAGTGTTTTGGAAGAGTCTGGAACTGAGAAGAGCCCCTGGGGCACTGCCCCAGGGAATCTGTCCCCACCCTTGTTGGTCCACAGTTACAGTTGCCCTTGCCCTGACATGAAGTAAAACAATTCTATCTATTCAGAAGTGTATCCCCAGTACTTTGCCCAGTATTTGACACATAATAGGTCCTCTATAAATATCACTCATAAATGAATTGATACCAAATCCCATGTATCCAATTATATTCTAATTACAATAATGTCTGAGAGTGAGCATCATCTGTGATGCCTCACATTGAGACATAATCACAATTGATGAATGGATTATATTTAGTGATGTAGGACAAGTGTAGGGAATGCTGGGATTACTACCGGCTCTGGTAATGACTACTTATGTAATTGTCACAATTTATATGAACTTTCCATGCCTCAGTTTCCTCATCAGTAGTAAATGGAATACTAGTGCCTGCATCATGAACACTTTGTCTCAATTAAAAAGAGTATAGACACATTTTTAGTGCTTAATTATTGCTACTCTAATGAAAAGTAGCAAGCATTTGGATGATAATCAAAGGACAAACAATTTTGTCATCATAATAATTCCTGAGTCCAAGATATAGATATGACCTAAAATATCACCAGGTAGGTTGCTTAACCTAGCAATGCTATGTACATCAGTGTCTTATTAGGGTTATCAGCAACCATCCCAGCTTTCTTAGTCACATTTTATACTGAATGGAAGCAAACATTTGGATGATAATCAAAGAACAAACAATTTTCATTTAATCAAAAGACTAAGATAATTCCTTTCCATATGGCTTATCACTGAAGAACTATTTAAAATTCATTGATATGAAAATGATTTTAAAATATGTTACTTCAGTATATTATGTAGCAGGATAAAAATATGCATGAAATTTCTAAATTAAAATAGTAAAATGAATTCTATGATTCAGATATATATATATATATATATATATATATATATATATATCTCGATATAGATTTCTATGTATGAAAGTTCTAATCAGCCACAATGCAATTACAAGACTAACTTTTTGGAGTTAAGTCAAATTTTACAGGTTAATGGCACAGTCCTCCACAAGTCTCCTCTCACTTCAGACACTGGCTGCAAGGTCTAGGGTTCCCAAGGTACCTTCACTTCTGACCAACTGAATATAGATCTGGAGATTCCAACTACACCCTTTAGATTCAATAATTTGCTGGAATGACTCACAGAACTCAGGAAAACACTATACTTATGATTACAGTTGTCTTATAATGGATACAAATCAGGGCCAGGCAAAGGAAGTAATGCATAGGGTGAGATCCAAGAGGATCCCAAATGTAAAGCTTCAGTGTCTTCAGGAGATGTCATCATACCGGTACAACCACGCATATCACCAACTAGGAAGCTGACCCAAGCTTCAGATGTCCAGAGTTTTATTGAAGTTCCATTATGTAGGCATAATTGATAGAATAACTGGCCATAAGATTGAACTAAATCTCCAGCTCTGCTCCCCTCCACTCCTCAGAGGTAAGGATATCAGGCCTGCAGCACCTGGTTCAGGGTCAAATCCTTAGGCTGGATATAGTGGTTCATGCCTGTAATCCTAACAATTTGGGAGGCCAAGCCAGGAGGATTACTTGAAGCCAAGAGTTTGAGACCACTCTGAGCAACATGACGAGACCCTGTCTGTCTGTCTTTAAAAAATAAATAAATAAACAAACAAACAAATTAGCCTGGCATGGTGGTACATGCTTATAGTCCTAGCTATTCAGGAGGCTGAAGGATGAAGATCACTTAAGCCCTGAAGTTCAACGTGGCAGTGAACTATGACGGTACCATTGCACTCCAGCCTGGGTGACAGAGTGAGACTCTGTGTCTCTAAAAAATAAATAAATAAATAAATAAATAAATAAATAAATAAATAAGTCAAAACCTTTTACTTGCATGGTTGGTCAGTCTTAGCATGGCCATGCCAACCCCCATATGAAACTATCTGGGGTCCACCATGAATCACCTTGTTAGTATAAACTCAATTGTGGTCCCAGGTGTCCACCATTCATAACAAAGACATTCCTATCACTGGGGAAATTCCAAGAACCAGGGACAAAGGTCAGCAAAATACTTTAGTATTCAACATTGGCATTAACTAAAATTGTCCAACATACCTTTGAAACACATTTAAATCAAGTAAATTATTGACATATTAAATAATATAATTTCCTAGCCATCAATAAATTTAGATTTTTTAAATGCATAATATCATATGTTCATGAGTCAACTGTTACTGAGACTACTATCAGTTGTAAATCTAACCATTAACATGAGAGTAATGAGTAGAGTAATGAGTCTCTACTGATTTTAAGGTTTTTGTCTCTCTTGTCAGATACAAAAGAAAGGCAGGTATCTTTGACCGAAATTTAGACTCAATTTTAAAAGTGCGCCATATTACTTCAAAGACAAAAAGCTCCAAATCTAAGCACCACTGGGTGGTTAACCCTCAGTCTAGTGACACCATTTGGCATGACTCCTGGAAGAAAACTAATCAGCCATTGTGAAGGGCTAATAACTAGATACCGTGTTGTATGATGTTGGCCTGTTTTCCAGCTGTGCCAGCTTACTCACCCTCTTGCCTGAGCCTGAATAAGATCCTTGTTTATCAGATACAGACTTTGCTAAAGTCCATGTGACAATGTTCCCAGGAACCCTTCCAAGAAATCAAATATGCCTGGTCTTAAAACTGCTTTCAGCATGACTGCTGAGAGGGACCCAGGAAACAAAGAATGGAAGCTATTATAGCCACAGTGAAATTGGGAGGTCACAACCACAGTTCTTTAGCTGTCATGAAAATAGCAGTGAACCCAAATAATTCCAAGTAAAGCAAATTTAATTTTGTGAACAAAAACAAAGAAAAAGAAAACAATGTAGGCCTTGAAAACCAGTTTGTCAATGAACAAGATCAAAGCATCAGGAATTTCTTTTAGACTAGCTCTCTTTAGTTGTAGAAAATAAACATGAAAAGGAATGCTTTTACCACATTAAGTCTTCAAAGAGAAAAATCCCAGTCTTGTCTAGGGCATGAGCAGCATCACTCCCATTTCACAGATTAAAAAGAAAAAGAAATAAAGTCCTTAAGGCAAAACCATGAGCTGATAGAAACTAATATTTATTTAACAAATCACACCACACTGCTTCTAAAGGAATCTTCAAGGAGATTACACAAAAATTTGTGCTGATGTCCAATTGCGGATACAAATCTTCCCTGTGGATGATGCACACTGATCTGAAAGAACTTCTGAGAGAGAAAACAAACTCGTTGGTGAATTCCAAAGGAAAGAGTCTACATATGTCCTTTATATTGTCAGCTTTTCTTTACCAAGATCCTTCATTCCTAAAATATAAAAATCAATCACTTCCGCTTACAATTTAAAATGTTATACCTCTGTTTCTAACTTGTATTAGCTTCCTATTGCTGCTGTAACAAATTGCCATACACTTAGTGCCCTAAAGCAATACAAATTTAGTAGCTTACACTGCTGGAGGTCAGAGGTCTGAAATAGGCCTCTGGGCTAACATCAAGTGTATGCAGGACTGCATTCTTCCTGAGGCTCTGGGGAGCATCTGTTTTCTTGGCTTCTCCTGCTTTTGGAGGGCCACTGCATTTCTTGGCTCATTGCCCCATTTGTCCATATTCAAAGCCAGCAATGGCCAGTGGAGTCCTTCTCACATGCAATCACTCTGACACTGACTCTTCTGCTTCCTTCTTCCACATTTAAGAAAAGGCTTGTAATTATATTGGGCACACCTAGGTAAACCAGAATACTCTCCCTATTTTAAGTTCAATTGATTAGCGACCTTAATTTCATTTGCTACCTTAATTCACCTTGCCATGTCACCTAATATATTCAAAGGTTCCCAGAATTGAGATACAGGCATCTTTGGAGGCCAAAGTATACATACATTAAAATTCTATAGTCTAGTTTGATGTAAGAACACAATAGTAAAAATATTCAAACTCCCATTTTGTTTCTGCTCTGCAATAAACAAACTTTATGCTGGTTCATCAAAAAAACCATGTGGCCCCTCTGAGTCTCAGTTTCCTCATTTGGCAATGTTAATAGTCATTAATTCTGAAAACAATTAAACTGAATTCATTGGCGTTATTTGTATTATTCAATGATATATTTTAAATAAATCACCAGACTGACCAACAAGAAGAAACCCCATCTCTACAAAAAATACAAAATTAGCTGGGTGTGGTGACGCATGTCTGTAATCTCAGCTACTCAGGAGGCTGAGGCAGGAGAATCGCTTGAAGCCGGGAGGCGTAGGTTGCAGTGAGCCGAGTTCGCACCATTGCACTCCAGCCTGGGCAACAAGAGCAAAATTCTGTCTCAAAAAATAAAAAATAAATAAAATACATAAATAAAAAATAAAATAATAAACTTTTGTAGCTTTGTATTTTTCTAAACAGATGTGGAGGCTTTTAAACAAACATATTCAAATTCTATTTCAACTGCAGATTCAAAATTTGTACACATACATGTATATATAATTCAAAAGATTTTCAGACTATTTATTAACTAATGATTTTAAAAATACAATTTGAGTAAACAAGCCCTAATGTTAAATTTTGTTTTGTTGATCTCAACTATTAGTTTTACCAAGATCAAACAAAACAAAAAGTAATTACTTGAGATTAAATGACAGATTAAGTATGTTTTCATGACTTTTATTTAAAACATTGTTGGTTCTTTAATTAAATATTTTGTTTCCCAGATTAAAAATATTTTTCTCTCTTAACATGTCTGTAGTTTACAATAATTTGGTAAAGTATACTTTTGTAAACAAAGATAAAAACACTTTTTCTCCCTACTTAGTATCTCCAAAATTCAAAAATTATTCAAGTGTATTCCCATTTTTTATAACAATATGGTTATTTATATAAATTTATTAATAATCTGCTCTCTTTATAACAATATACAATTTAAAATATTGGTTATATTATCAAGGCTTCGACTAAAATATTATATTTAAATATGTACATAGAATGGCTGGGTTCAAAGTTTCCTTTTTAATTTAACAATGCAACATTATCACTGAAATTTTATAATCAGTAGCTTCTGCTGGTAACTTGACAAAACCTAACCTAAGAGATCCTTTAGTCTACCTAAGAATGAAAACATATTTAACACAATTGGATTGAAACCTTTAATTCAACTCAGTCATTGGATGCTAGATGATAAAATTACTGATTAGTTAAAATTTCTAATTAGTTAAATAAGAAAATGTCTGTACTATTGCTAATACTACATACTATATCTGGCTAAATTCCTCTGGGAAAAGTGAGACCCATATACACATTTTTTTTTTGTAAAGGCCATATGTTTATACTAAGTCTCACCTAATTCCCCAAGGTCATTTAAATTATTGGATTAGTTGCCTGCAAGCCTAGGGTCATGGCTCAAAACTATTATACAAACTGAGGTTATTATTTTACTTTATATTTTCCTTTAAAAACTTTATACCTGTTACTTCTTAAATTTGTACAAAAATACAATTCCCAACAAAATAATACTCCCTCAACACTTTAAAATTAAGGACAAAGCCTACGGAACAAACAGATTAAACTTAAAAATAAACTCCAAGTAGACTTAGCCTGAAAGTCACTTCCTTCCACCCTCCCTTGTTGTTCAAATGTGGCTAAAAGCGTTTTTGATAATGACTCTTAGTCACCAATCACTTCCCTCCAATGTGAGACCACACTAGACTAAACTTGGACAGGTATATCCTGACATAAAGGGACAACAGAAACTTCAGTAAGAGATAATTAATTGATCAGCAATGCTTTCAGAGAAGATCTTAATCAAAAGAGGGAAATGTGCAAATTGTCAGAATCAAAATGGAGTCACTTATGTTCAAAACTCTGACAAATAGAGCTAGGGGAGGCCTAAAGGAAGGGTTCTCATGCATGAATGCCTGATAACAAGAACTACTACTAAAGACTGCAAAAATATAACCCTGCACAAAGGCCATCAAAACCTTGCACACACACAAAAACACTTCTGTGAGGACATCTGTCCAGCAACTGCCTGAGCAAATTCAAGCTGGCATCATCCTTGTTATTGATCCTTGTAGCCAAGGATAACTATTTCAAAACAATTATGTAATTCTCTTCATGTTTTCTTTAAAATTTTTATCTTCTTTTTACTCCCTGAATATGCATATAGTTTATTATGACACATGTATTCCCTCTGCAATGTTTATTCCTAAATAAACATCATTTTCTTTTATGGAGTCTCCCTCTCTGTTTGTTATTTAGGTTGACAATACTGACACAATTACATTAATTTCAACATTTTGGAGGGGACATTGAAACCATAGTAGTGACTAACTCACATTCACCTTTATCATTATTATTATTATTTAAGAAATAGAAGGGGGAGGTGGAATTGAATATCTAGGTTTGGCTGATACTTAGCAAGCAGAATATTTATTTTACCCTGAAAATGCAAGGAGAAACAGAAACAGGATATCATAGATTTAATCAAGAATTTTAAGATGAGAAAAGTTTGGAAGTATGTCAGACTATAGTTCTGAATCACATTCTTTAGGCTTCAATATGATGTATCAATACCGTGTGATGCAAAGATACTAATTTAAAAGGCACCTATGTTTTCAAAAGGAAAACTTTTCCCAACTGAATCTAGTGAAAACTATTCCAGCTGGATATTTTTTTCTTTTCTTTCCAATTGCCAATCACTGTTAGACCAAAACAGATAAAAGTGACTTAAAATAATTAAAAACAGGCTTGATTTAGCAAACAGTACATATAGTAAAATTTCAGGCATATTCAAACCTAGCACTCTCATGAATACTTTACTAGGGAAAACTTTGTGCTATAGAAAAATGTTATTTTTCTATACGACAAGAAACACAGAATCCTTCTGTTAATGTCAATTCCTCCTTTCTTATTGTGAGAAACTGAGAAAATAAGATACAGGAGAATCTTAAAAAGCATTTTGAATGAAAAAAACATTAATTCAGTTGTTAAACTGAAAAGACTTAAAAGGCTGAAACTATTTTGAGGTGCTCATGAACAATTTCAGATTAAAGCAAGATATACACCTTCTTAATTTTATGCTATTGCTATCTTAAGAATAACAATACTGTTTCCTCTATTTTTAAAAAAATTAGTACACTTCAAATTAAAATATTTGAGTGTCTTCCAAAATACTTCAATTTATGAATTAAATAAAACTTAACCAAATAATTGGGAGGATAAAACTTTTTTTAATTTTTAGTTTTAATTCACAAGCAAAATTTTTATTTTTCCAAGCAAACTTAATATACAAGGTATTGTACTTTGGTAGGTATTTACATATCAATACATACCTAAGACAGAGCATGACATATAGCAAGCACTCCAAAAAATTTATCACTAATAAATAATATGTATAAGTGTGAACATAAGTTCATTAACTTGTTTTATAAACTTGAAATATGTTTATTCCCCTGCAGAAAATATTCAAATTAGCATCCAAAAATGTATTTTACTCCTCATTCACTACTTTGATGGAATTTGGAGTTGAAAACACTGCTTCTGTGAAATAGATTTGTGATTTGCTAAAACATATTGTTAAAAGCCCAGGTTTTGTTTCTTGGTGCCAGTAGGCGAAAGTGCCACTAGTAGTTTTCAACAGAACTTTATCTTGCACATCTGAATTAAATTATATTTCTCTTGGTTTCAGATGAATAAACACATTCCACAATAGCATTGTGCCAGTAGAATTATGCACCTGGAGTATGTTAATTTTCTTAATGACATCACGGTATTTTCCTAATAGGCTAATCATATTCAGATAAGATTATCAGGATTCCTACATTTAGAAACAGTACTTTATTCAAGCTAAATTATTAATTAATTTTTTTCCTAACTTATCCACTTAAGGTCCAATTTTGTATAACATTATTTTCTACTAGTCTTCTAATTAAAATTGTTCCTTATTTTTTGATACTATTTAATCATGAGGTTGGTATGCAGTGTACTCTACATACCTAAAATAACCTTTATAATTGCATGCTCCTATTTAAAATTTTGGAAGAAAGAGCTTATATGCATGTTCAAATCAAGCTAATAGTGCCACATATGTTTTCTGTTATGATATGGTTACAATTTTACATGTAGAATATGTGGAATACATATTTTTCAACTCTGTTTATCCACATTCCCTACAGTTTGTACCCCCGATGCAATCTTATACTTAGTACTACCTAAAGAGTTGAGCCAAAACAATCAATTATCTTATTTTTCTCACATCATAGCTACTGGATTTCACTGAACCCATAAATAAGTTAGAATTTGTTATATAAATCAGTAAACAAAGCATCTGTTCCTCAATGTTTTATTTATTTTCATCTAATACACTTTATATTACCATAAGTAAGAAATTAATAATTGTATTTCTTGTGATCATGGTTATTTGACATCTATATGCAAAAAGAGAAATTATAATTAAAATAGTTTGGGATCATAATTCAATACATTTATCCATTTCAATACCCAAGCTGTGCATATATGCAAATTAAATTCCATTCAAATATTTATAAAACAGTTTATAATTGCCTCTGGGTATAAATCAGTGAGCCAAGTTAAAGCTATATAAAGCTATATCAGGACAAAAGATGACAAAAGAGACACTCCACAGATATGTTATCCCTGAAAATTTCACAATTCTTAGAGAAGTTAATTTCATTTTCAGTTAAACAGATCCAATGACTTGTACCAAAATAACTAAAACATTCCAAATATCATTACAAATCTGAGGTTCTTGTATAGCTGTCAATTATTTTACAAATGAAGTTAGTTTCAAGGAGTGGAGTAACAATAATTACTCTAGCAGGAGTTGGCCATTGTAAGGAACCCAAAGGAACCAACATCAAAGGATATGGCAGGCTAAGGAGTCTATTCAGCATTCCATTAGGGCCTATAATAAACCCGCAAACTTCTTGACTGTTCTTCTAGCTTACTAATAATATCATACCTTGCTTTCATGTTATTATCTACTACGGCCTTTGTCATTGCATATTATTAGCTTTATAAGAAAGAGTGGCCTAGACAGAAGAACTTGGGAGGGAAATGAACATTTTCCCACATTTGCCAAAGAAATAGGATGAATGGCAGACACAGTTGAGATTGTTTTTAGCTCCAGGCAGACTTTTGCTGTAAAACCGTTGGTTTTTTGAAGTGCACATGATTTTAGTATTTCACTTTCCCCCTACACAGATGAGATTGCATCAGACCTACTTAATTCCTTTTTACCTGTTTAGTTAATAAGATTCTGCAAGTAGCTGATAACTTTTGAGAAAGATCCTGGTGGTATTTTGAAAAAAAAAAAAAAAGTCCACAACTCTCAAGTAGATGTTTCTGAAGACACTGAGTCTCGATGTAGTATACTAGGCAGTAGAGTTTTGCCAAGAAGCAATGGCTTTGGAACCGTGCAGACCTACAATCAAATGCTAGCTTAACCCCTTACAACAATTTCTAGTATTTTAGTATTTTTACTTTTTTTTTTTTTTTTTTTTTTTTTGAAAGAGAGTCTCACTCTGTCGCCCAGGCTGGAGTGCGCTGGCACAATTTCGGCTCACCACAACCTCCGCCTCCCAGGTTCAAGCGATTCTCCTGCCTCAGCCTCCCAAGTAGCTGGGACTACAGGCGCCAGCCACCATGCGTGGCTAATTTTTGTACTTTTAGTAGAGATGGGGTTTCACCATGTTGGCCAGGATGGTCTTGAATTCCTGACCTTGTGATCCACCCACCTCGGCCTCCCAAAGTGCTGGGATTACAGGCCTGAGCCACCACACCCGGCCTAAAAATTTCTAGTTTTAATCAGGCAATTTAGCCATAATGAACTTAATGTTCCTATCAGTAAAATGAGATTTGGGCAAGAGAGTGTATGAGAAGCTAAATGTTTCTTTTGGAGCATGGGCAACATTGTTCTCCAGGTTGTTAATGTACTACTTTCTGGAATTAAGCTGCCACCTGGATGCAGGAAACTAGCATAGAGACTAATCATAGGAGGTACTCTACTGATTTTACTTCCATTCCTGGGGAAGTCATTAAAATGAATGATTTAATTACATCATTATATCATTACCTACTAAGAGTATCAAAATACCAAATCAGTCGAGAGATGGCCATCTTTTCACAGCAGGCTATAATGAGTTTAATATATATTCATTTAGGGCCAGGTATGGTGGCTCACACCTACAGTCTCAGTGCTTTGGGAGGCTAAGTTGGGAAGAACACTTGAGGCCAGGAGTTCAAGACCAGCTGGGTCTTGAAAAAAACTCCTGGCTAACTAAAGAACGAGTTTTGTTTTTTAGTTAGCCAGGAGTGGTGGCACACACCTGTAATCCTATAGCTACTCAGGTGGCTGAGGCAGGAGGATCACTTGAGTCCAGGACTTTAAGTCTGTAGTGAGCTATGACTGTGTCACTATACTCTGGCTTGGGCAACACAGCAAGACTCTGTCACTAAAAAATGTTTTTTAGTTAAATCAAATATATTCATTCAAATGAAATAATTGACTTTGTAAACCACATTGGGAGATTTTCTTATGTCCTAATTTACTCAAGACAATTAAGTGGTCAGGTGTGGTTAAGAGAAAAAAAAAAATGAACTCTGCCTTTACCATTGCATTGGGAAATTACATAGTGATACACTGAGCCATCTCAAGACCAGGGATCGGCTAACTTTTTCTGCAAAGACCAGACAGTAACTATTTTAGGCTTTTCATGACATATGGTCTTTGTTGAAACAACTCAACTCTGCCCTCATAACACAAATAAGCAATAGGAATAGATAAACAAATGAATGTGGATGTGTTACAATAAAACTATATTTACAAAAATTGATGGTGAGCCAGATTTGGCTCAAAGGCTGTAGTTTTCCAGCTCCTGCTGATCTTTATACTGATCATCTCTTAATACTTCACCAATTATCACTTGCATGATTCCTATATTCCTGATATTTCTTACCTGTTAGCAAGATAACCAAGACTATATGTAGATGTTTAGAGAATATATTAAAAGAACAATTGCATATTTAAAATTATATATAAATTCTAATCATATTTTTCCTTAAAAAGTTTAATAGAAAAATATAGAAGAGTAGACTAAGAGCAGGAGATGGCAACATTTATAATCAATGGCGTGACTCCTCACTAATATACAGACCTAATATAAATGCATCTTCCAATCCCAAAGACCATAGATTAAGGCTCCATTCAATCAAAAAAACATTTCATATCATCAATACCACTGTTATTAACTGTAATGCCAGTTACAAGTCATGCCGATAACCAGTCAAGAACAGGAGAAATTGTCACTAGGTAACTATAGTAGCTGAAGACAACATGAGAAACCAAAACAAAATATTTTAAATTTATCCACACACTTGCAATAAGATTAAGCCCAAGAATTAAATATCACTCATCCTACAAACACAAAGGAATTTTTAGATGTTTGAACAAATGGAGAGATCAAAGATATTACAAAACATTTGGTAAGCGTCCTCCACAAAGCATGTTACAAACCACAGAACTTGAAAACAAAGCTAAAAGAAATAAAAGATTATTATGTGAAGATGGCTAAATAGTTTTCTCCATTTTACTTAGGTCTTTTTAAAAATCAACATGAATACAATCAATTCATATTATTTTTCAAATTGGTCAATTAGCTCTCTGTTATTAAATTATAAACTCAGAGGTATGAATGATGTATTATTCATCTTCATAAGTACATGAATAATATATGAATACTGGCCAAAATTAGTTGGCCTTAATTATTAATCAGTTACATTTACTAGCCCTAATGGAGTATAGAAATCACATAGTAGGCCAGGCATGGTGTCTTACTCCTACAATCTCAGCACTTTGGGGGCTGAGGCGGGAGGATTGCTTGAAGCCAGGAGTTTGAGACAAGCCTGGGAAACATAGTAAGACCTCATCTCTACAAAATATGTAAAAATAAGCTGGATATGGTGACATGTGCCTGTAGTCTCAGCTACTCGGGTGGCTGAGGCTGGAGGATCATTTGAGTCCAGGAGCTTGAGCCTGCAGTGAGCTATAATCATCACTGCACTCTAGCCTGGGTGACAAAACCAGACCCTGTCTCAAAAGAAGGAAGGAAGGAAGGAAGGAAGGAAGGAAGGAAGGAAGGAAGGAAGGAAGGAAGGAAGGAAGGAAAGAAGGGAGGGAGGGAGGGAGGGAGGTGGGGATGGGGGAGGGAATGAGGGAGGGGAGACAGAGAGAGAAAGAAAAAGAAAGGAAGGAAAGGAAAGGAAAGGAGAAAGGAAAGGAAAGGAAAGAAAAAGGAGAAGGAAAGAAAGGAAAGGAAAGAAGAGGAAAGGAGAGGAGAGGAAAGGAAAGAAAAGGATAGGACAGGAAAGGAAAGGACACAAAGTTGTTCATTGTTATCTCAAAACTCACTCATACAAATTAGCAGAATATTCCCAGAAAGTGTAATACTCTATCTTCTATCTCTAAGTGAGATGCTGCAAAGACCAGAGTTCTTATGAGAAGACTGGAGAATTCAGAGCTCCGCCCTTAGGCAATTCAAAGCAGACTCCTGTCCCTCTTAATTAAACGAATCCCTGAGCACTGCATGAGCAGGCTGCTTTCCAGAATAGAAGAGATGTCACACAGATGTTTCCAACAAAATTTCCACAAGGTTTACCTTGTTGAGAAAGAATGACTCCATTCAAAGCAAGAATTTTACCAAACCTATGAGAATGAACAAGAGCAGAAGAGTTGGAATTCCTCTCTTTTTGAAAGAACAACATACACAATGTACAACCAGACACATATTCAGAAAGTCCAGATGTCTTCACCATGTAGGGGAATAATTTTTATAACTCCACAGAAATAAGAAAAGGCACTAAGAGAATCATGAGAAGGTGTTGCAAATCTGAGAAGTGAGAATACACAGACCTCTCTTGCATTGCCAACTTGATTAGCTCTTCTCCTTTACAAAAAGATGCTTTAACCATTGACCTGCCAAAAGAAAGACCCAAAACTATGCCTGATTTCAGGTCAAAGGTGAAAGAAAGAAATGCCAAGAAGACAATGCTTACAAAAGAAACCTTCAAAACAAGGCAGTAATGATAAGTTTTATAGATCTGCAATACAGAAGAAGAAACCGGTATGGAATAGATCATGTCTGCTTTTGAATTTTAATGCAGACGATGGAAAAAGAGGGCATACATAAAAATTAGGGAAAATGTGATTTGAAACAGATGTCAGGCAGCCTTTCATCCCAAAGGGTCATAAATGAATGTATGGAATATCAGGCAGACAAAACTGTTCAAGTGAATATTAAACTTGTTTTAAAAAAACTTTGTATCATCCCTCATTAGAAGTTATTATAAAAAGCTATGAAGCTTTATTGAATAACTTCAACAAATTTCCTAAATTATGAATGCTAATTAATTTTTATTCCTATTTATAACAACACACACAAAAAAAAGTGCTAACTAGTAAGAAATGATGAGAATAAAGTCAAGAATTAACACGTAGATAGGATTTTAGGGTTCTGATTTAGAGTGCTCGATCACTCTACTACCTCAGCATCACAGCCTCACATGGTGAATGTGATTTCCAAGTTGCAAAAAAATGACATTATTTTGAAGACTAGAGTTCCAGTCTTTTATTTTAGAAAAAAAAAAGTAAGGAAGAAGAGTACTTCCATTGTTGCTATATTGTAAGTCTGACATTATAACTCCCTCAAGCAATCTTTATGATTTATTTAATGGATACTTAAAAATGAGTACTTTTCTTTTTAAAATATATCCTTAAAAGAAAATCATAGGTATTATTATTTCTAAACGTTTGCTTTGTGAGAATTATACTTTTCTTAATGGCCAATAGAAACTGTAGAGACACACTTAGCACTCAAGCAGAGCAACCGATTAACTTTTGATAGAATTGTTTCTGCCCCGTGCCTACACTCTCTTTATTTTATATCATTTTCTGCATTTGCTTAACTTCCTTCTTTTGCAAACATTTTTATTGTATTCTAATTGGCTCAATTTTATGTAACCTTCAAAATCATACAAAATTACCTTAAATCATTTAGAACTAAAGAAAGTATAATTAATTACTTGAATCCTTCCTGTAGAATTGCACCATGTAACATAAAAGCCCTGATCACCCTTTTAGTTTATCTCAGTTCAGTTAGTATTGTTCTTACACATGTCATCCAGAAAACATAATTTGTTGCGTAGCCAACACTGTCCTCTTATTTCCAATGATACTATACAAAGAGATTCAATGAAACCTCAAAATAAATCAAACATTGAATCTACAGAAGGAATACAGAAACAGAATTCTCTGAAAAAAATCCATATGATATAATGCCCCTGGTTCCTGAGGATTTAGAGAATATCTCTACCCCAGCAGCACCCAGCCCAAACTCTCAGCAATGAATCCTGCTTTCAATATCATGGTGCTAACCCCTAATCCTTGTCAGAGTCCTCATTTCATGACATAGTCTTGTTGAAATTGGCATAGGTATACCGTATACCATCTGTCATGGGATGAAGAGAAAAAAAAAAGCCTCTGGCTTCTTCCCCATAGTACTACCATTGTTTCTTCCTCCATTTTTATTCTTCCAGTTCTAGAAGCTCTTTTCTAAACCTCACAATAAAAAAACTTAGCCCTAACGGTCCTGGTGGTACCCAGTGACTTATCTGCTGAAACACTACTTGCTTTTTGCTTGCAAGTATTTAGGAATGGAGGGAAATAAAGGCACAGTGGAATTTCATGACTTCTAACGCTGTCATACATAATATCTTGATAAAATTCATATTTTTTATCTTACTGAATAAGCTTTTTTTAGCATAGCCCAGGCATTACTGTTTCTCATCATTGACCTTATCTCAGCAAATAAGAACTACAAATATAGTTTCACAGAAGGAGCATATTTACCTGCTGTGTATCTCTCCAGTAAACAAAGTTTTCAACAATTTCCAGTTAATTAACACATGTCAAATTTCTCACTTGAGAAAATGTCATTTTCTAATGATACAAACTTGTTTTTTATAAACTTCTTGCTAAAAATAATCTAGTAAGCTAGTAACTCATTGGAACTCAGTCATTTTTAGGCTATGTCTAAAATGACTGTGTCATTTTAGACAATGACTATGTCTAAAATAAAAGAGTTATGTCTTTCTTAACCTAATAGATACAAACTCAACATTATTTAGTACTTCATAGTTCATAATGTACTTTAAAAAGATTATCTGATATGATCCTCAAAAAAACTATTTTATTATCCCAAGTTACAGTTAGGAAATATGAAGTTCAGAGAGACTAGGTGACTTTCCTTGGGTCATTAATGACACTGTCAGATCTCTGGTTCCTAGTTTAATATTCTTCTCTCTACCTCATGCTGGGGGTTAATGTTAATTTCATTAAGTCAATATAATATCAACAAGGTGACTCTGACAATATGACTCTGACAATTTCTCTACAGGCTGTTTTCTTCATCTAAACATTATCTTCTTCCTGATATCTCTGTGACAATAAATTATAGAAGAACTTTAAAGTCATAGTTAGGCTGTTCATCAAAACTTGCAAGAGGGGTGTGGGAGTCACAAGGCAGGTTCTCAGAATCATGTGTTTTGGCCTTCTGAGTGTCAGAAAGAAATGCGGAGATTCTTATGAAGAAAGAAGAATTTACAGATGCTTTTATGGTTTGCATCTAGATTAGCTCAAGCTATGTCTGTGCTGGAAAAATAAAATTACCATATTATTTTTAATGTAAAATATAATTAAATACTTTCAAAATATTGATAAGAAACTAAAAAGAAAAGTAAATGGCCAATATTGTAAATGTAACAAACAGAGACCCAGTTGTAAGGTGGATCAGATGTAAGTTATGGAGTTTGCCAGAGCTCTGAAAGACTGTATTCTCCTCAGGAGCATCAACAATTTATTTTTAAGAGCAGTTATTCACAAGAGGGTCAGGCATCATTTAAACTAAATGTAAAGCTCTGGAAGGGACTTCTCTGGCACATGCTATATTCATCCTCAGAAATGATGGTTTAAACAAATCTGCAAAACTCTGTTTCAAAATATATTACTTCAAATTAACATACTCTTTCATAGAAGACACAAATGTCTGTGCTTACCCACCATTACTTTGAAATAAGTGAAGATTTTGGTGTTATTTCAACTTTCTATGTATATTGAACTGTAATCAGTATCACCTTACTCTTGAGAAAAATGAAGAAATTGGTCATTAAGAAATTAAAATCATTGTTTAAAATTCTTAGTCAACAATAAGATGAAAATTAGAAGAACATCACTAGCCCATGCCATTACAAAATTCAACAAAGCTGTTTCTTAAATGTGTACATTTAAAAGAAGAAAAGGAGGGAAGGAGAGAGGGGAGAAGAAGAGGAGGAGAAGGGGAAAGGAAAAGATAGGAAGAGAGGAAGGAAAGAAGGCAGGGAGGAAGGCATCTGAGACTACAACTTGATGAGCTACATTTCTTCTAAATATTTACTAGACAATTATTCAAAGAATAAAGCATTTAGGAAAAATAATGACAGCTCTTCAACCACAAAACAATAGTATATGTCTCCAGACTGCTTATTAGTAATTCAGATATTATCACCAAATTTGCCTAAGGATTTCAAGTGCGAAACTCACAAAATGTCATTTTAATTCATTCTAAGAGTGTCATCTTGGCAATCAGTGGAGAAAATTATAGTATTAAGTGGTCTGGCTATATATAAAACAAAGGCATAAACATAAATCCCTTCTTCAAATACTTGACTGATGTAATGATTTTAATGACTTGCATATTGTAGTTCTTCATTCTTAGGAATGGATTATAGTTCTGGAAACTGACTTGACTGATTAAGTTTCATCCAGTCTCACTCTGGATTTTGCTGCTGAATATGATCATTTCTACCACATGAACAGCAGGAGCCAAGCATCTGCCTCTTTATTGTAGCTTCCATGGTATTATTGTTGAATGTGTAAGCCAGTGGGGCCTTGCTGAATGAAATCTGCAATTCAAATCATAAAATTTTTCATACACAAGAGAACACTTTGGAGGCAACCCAAAGTGAAACACAACATCTACTGCAATGAGCTATCTGCTGCAGACCCATAAGGCACAATTGAAGTAAGCTTTAAGAGCAGTGCTTCTCAAAGTGAAGTCCAACTGCCTTGTGAAACAACTGCCTTGGAATTAACTGCAGTGATGAATAAAAGATGAAGATTCCTGGGCACCTCTTGAGAGTTACACAATCATAATTTCTAGAGGCAAGTACCAAGCATCTGCACAAGCTCACATGGTGATTTTTATATACCCTAAAATTTTAAAAGCCACCGTTTCAATTTTTTTCTCACTGTATTGAAGTCTTCAGTATACATAACTCTCAGATGCCGATGTATTAGGTTGGTTGAAAGTAATGGCAAAACTGCAATTACTTTTGCACCAATCTAATAGTTCCCCTGAAGAAGAATTACAGAATCTTTTTTGAAGTAGAACAGTTTCTTATTATAGGCTGTCATGGAACCCAAATGGGTAGAGTAAGGGAATGGATAGAGGCTGGAGAAATGCCCTGCCAGGCATAGAACTTGAAAAAAAAATTAAATTCTTGTTGTATCAAGAAATAAACATCATGGGGTAGGGTTTTTTGAAAATATGTTGCAACATAAAATATGAATTTAGTTTAAGAATTATTATTGACATTTCTTCCCAAACAAGATAATAGTGCTGATGACACAGTATTGACACATTTACATATATAGCACATGGGCAGACACATATGGTAGAAAAAGTTTCTTTCTTTGCCACATCCACATGCCACATATGCTGGAACTTATTAACATTCTGTTGAAGTGGTCAGACTGTTCTTAGTGTGGTTGTTTTTTCTTGGGGAAATCTATTTCCCTCTCAATGAGGAAGCATTCAGTTACCAAACTATTCCTGGTTTTAAGTAATTTGCAAACTTTGTCTTGTAAACACTTACAGATATACCACAGAAGTCCCTAGAGTTACCTTGGAAGTAGCCCAAATTTATCTCAAACATATCGTGCTCATGCAAAATAAATATTGAAACCATTATTTCAGAGAAACTATTTTTCTAAGCCAGTTTCTTTTCAAATTGAACGTCAAGGGCATCGCCTTGGAAGTTGGAAATGCAAAGCCGTGTTTGGTGAGATCGCCTGCGCTGAATGGGAATTATAGGCACAATTGCCTTCCCTCCTTCCCACGATGTAGGACTTGCTGTTCACATTTACCTGCTCTTTATAAAAGAAGAATAATGACTGGAAATATACAGCAGAGCTCTAATTTAGGCTTGCTCTCAAAACTTTCACCTCCCTTTAATATTTCCTTTACAGCTGGTATTGGCAAACTATGGTCCATGGGCCAATGTATCCTGCAGGTAGCTTTTGTAAACAAATTTTATTGGAACACAACCACACCCACTTACTTACATATCGTCTATGGCTGCTTTCCCACAGCAAAATTTGAGTAGCGGCAAAGAGATGCTGGGGCCTGCAAAACTAAAAAAATATTTACTATCTGATCCTTTGCAGATAAGGTTTGCCTACCACGGATCCAGATAATATTTACAGTTGCCTCAGTAGTAATCCCTGTCAAACAGAGGTAGGTAGAGGCAGAGGTGGTGCATGCCTAGCATGATGAAGGAAGAAATTTTATATAAATATTATTGCAAGAAAAAAGGGACAGCTTGATCATAAAAAGTGAAAAATGTCTATTCTTACATAAAATAACTTCTTTCAAAAGTGAGACTTTCACTAAGTTGCTATTTTGAAAAGGAGGTCAGTAATAAACAAGTTATTGCTGTATGTTTGATTTTTATAAATATATAGTAATCCACATAATTTCCCCAGATAAATATTAACACAATTATTTTGTTTTCCTCTCCTACATTATCTCATTCATTCACTCACTCAACACTTATTTAATAAGTACCCATGCTAGACACTTGGTACACAAAAATAAACAAATGGACATTGATCTATTTTCAGGAAAAGTTTGCCAAATGCAAATTTTGAACTCATATTTGAATTTATAGATAAAGAAAAAATATCAGACTATAAGAGTTTCTCTCCCCAGATAAAGTATACTATATGATGATATACAATCAGGCAATGCAAACTAATGCAAAACACAGATATAATATAGATTATTGTCAATGAATTTCCTATAGAATGACATTTTTTAAAGTAGTTTAAACTGTAGTGTTATTATTTTTGTTAAAAAAAAATTGCAATCCTACTCACAGAGCTAAATGAAGAGGAGATTCAGACGAGTAAACTTCTAACAACAACAGGGTTCTAGGATAAAGGAAACATAGCATGTTAGGGAAGCAACATGATATGACGATGGAGTGGAGATGGAGACTGTCTCCTGGAAAGCCTACCATGGAAGGTGATATCTACTATGGTCAGACCTGACGATCATGGTAGGAAATTTTATAAAGGGGAAATAAAGAGAGAATGGAAAGAGGAGACAATGCCAGGTCATGCATGGCCGTGTTGGCCATGTAAAAAGTTTCATTACTCTTTGTGTTTTTTTAATTGAGATAAACAGGGAGAAATTATATGTTTTAAATAAAAAATGAGAAAATAATGCTTTTCTGTATAAAGACTACTCTGGCTGCACAGAAGAAAAGTAGACTGGAGGTACTGAGACTACTTAGGAAGCTGGTATAGAAATTCAGGGAGGAGATGATGGAGGCTGATCTACGGTAATGTTAGTGGAAATGAAATGAAATGAAACGAAATGAATGTGGTGGCATTTGCTCTGACTGGGACCATGGAGTGGTAACGGGTTAGGGAGAAAAAAGTGATGAGTTCAGTGTAGAACATACTGACTGTCTAGTACCTGAGGATCATCCAGGTGACATGTAGAACATGCAGCTGGATAGGCCCACCTGAGGCCAGGAGACTGGAGATAAAGATGACTTTTCAGTCTGCTGATAGTGGTTGCTAGAATTGGAGTGGATGAGATTCCCCAGGTTGCATATTTAGAGTCAGAGAGGAAGGGCCTAAAATGGAATCCACTAGGTAGAGCATGAGAATTTTGCGAAACAACAACAAAAGTTTAAGAAGATGTGGCTTAAGTAGATTGGATACAGTGTGTTGAGTGTTTGATCATGAGAGAGCAAAGAGAAGGTTTCATAAACAAAAGAATGGTCAATTATATCGTACTAAGAAAAAATACATATAACCTAAAATGTGTTCCATAGATTTATTGTCATTGCCAATTGTGGTGATGGCAGCTGGGGTGGGGGCAGAAGCCATACTGCAGAAGGTTGAGAAATTAGTGAAGAAACAAAGTGAAGTAGCAGATTTAGGCAATGCTTTTCATATGTTTAACTATGAAGGAGAAGAGAGAGAGCGGGTGGTAGCTGGAAGGAAACACCAGCTAGGAAAACACAAGGCTAGGAAAACACATAAACAGGGCTTCTAGAAAGCTACCAATGTTCTATTTTTTAACCTGGTATATAGCTACATGGTTGTTTGTATTTCAACTAATAAAATGAAGCTTTTCAAATAAAAAGCTAAACTTTATGTTTTGTGCACTTTTTGTTTGTTGGTTGGTGTATAGTATTTTCCAATTAAAAAATATGTACGAAGGTATCACTTTAAGGCCACAAAAGAAATGTAAAAGAATAAGTCTAACAAAAAATATGTGTGAAGAAAATTATAAATCTTCTTTGAAAGATATTTTTGAAAATCTTCTCTATTTGGAAAGGTATATGATGCTTTCATATAGGAACACCAAGAATCACTTAAATGCACATTCTGTTAAATCAACCTATACATTAAATGCGATTCCAGCAAAATCTGAATAGAGCTTTTCTATGAATATAAAAAGGTAATTCTAAAATCCACATGGCATTCCTAAGGCTTAAAAACAGCAGAAATATGCCTAAAATATAAAAAGGTCAGATGTCATGCCTTGTCAAATATTAAGACATTATATCATAAATAGAATAGATAAGAGGTGTAAGTATATAGAAATAATATGAGTGGATAGACATAGAAATAATAGAGATAAAGCCAAGCATATATAAATGAGTCTTAACAAAGCTGACATTGCAGATTGGTAAGGAAAGGATTAACTATTCAATAAAAATGTTGGGAGAGTTATTATTCATATGAAAAAAGAAGATATGAACTTTACCTCACACTCTATAGTAATCTTAAATTCTAGATACATGAAGTACTTTCTTTTTATAAAGAAAAATCTATAAACCTCTAATTTGTCAAATAGAATAGTATCTTAATGAACTTCAGGTAAGAAAAGATTTGTTAACAAGACACAAACGATATGAACATAAAGAAAAAGATTGATATATTTAGCTACATTAAAATTAAGAACTTCTGTTTCTTAAAATACACCATGAAGAGAATAAAAAGACAAGCTACCACCTGAATGAAAATATTTGCTGTATCTATAAATAACAAGGATTAGCATTTAGGATACATAAAAGTTATTTTTAATCAGTAAGAAAAAGACACATAACCTCAAGTAAAAATTGCAATAGACATAAACAAGCATTACACAAAAGAGGAAAGCCAAATGAACCATAAACTTGTTAAAACCTGCATCCTCATCAGTAATTAGGAAATACAATTTCAAACCTCAATGAGATACAATTTCATGCAAAATTTTAAAGTAAGTCAGTGTCAATTTTAGTAAAAATATGGGACAAGAAGAACTCTTAGTCACTGCCAGTGTACATGTAAATTGGTGCAACCCCTTCAAAAACTATTTGTCACATAAAGTTGAACATGTGTGTATGCTGCAGCCTTGTAATTCTACTACTAAAATATTTTATATTTATATATTAGAAGATTTATGTAAGAAAATGCATAGCAACATTGTTCCGAACAACAACAATCACAAATGTTTACCAAAACAAATGCTCAACAAAGTGTGTTGTACTATTGTTTTCATACAGTTATGTGTGATATGAGAAGTGAGAAAATAACTTACTGTATATTAATATACTGAAATCATCTAAAGTGATGAAAAGAAATGACATAGTACTTTATAAATCAATAAAAATGAATCTCAATATTAAGCAACATATGCAAGGCATAGAATACATATATCATGTGTTATTATTTGATTTTCATAAAATTCAATATCAATAAATTAATCCTACTCTTAGGTTATATACATGTGGTTGGACATAAAATATAGAAAGGGAAAGGAATGTGATCTCAGAGGGATACACTGCTATCACGATCATGTTTTATTTCTTAAGCTAGATAGTGGACACATGGATGTTAATTTTATTTGTTGTAATTTTACAGTACATGTATGCATTTCACGTACTCCTTTGTATGTATAGTGTATTTTCCAAATCTCTTTAAAGAAAATATCATATGCCTTAAAAATAGGAAATCGTTGATGAAAAAAATTAACCAATGAATTTTATCTGATCATTTGAACATTATGATTTCAATACCTCAACATAAGGTAGGGAAGTGGTAAATAATCACTGAGCCAGGAAGAAAAGAAAAAAAATCTAACAAAACTATTATGAGGGCGAAAATTACCAAAAAAAAGGGCTCTAAATAGGCAAAAAGCAGAGGAGTAGGTGGAAAGGATTAAGAAATTATTCAACGAAGTGTTAAAAAAATTGGCACACTGCTTTCTACATGCCAGTTTATGTTGCCTCCAAAAATATAATACATTAAAGATTCCAAAAAACACAGATAGAGGGAAAAATAGGTATTTTTCTTAAAAAAGCAAATAAAAATAACTAACTTCAGTTTGCAAGTACTCATGAGGGAAAAAGTTTACCCTGTGTTTTCATAAATGATGTTTCATTTGTGTGAAAAATAGAGAAGAAAATAATATTCTAACATAAATGCACTTAAAAATGTACTAATCTTTTACTGCTGTCATGTAATAAACACATACATAGAGATGTGTTATAATAAAAGAACAATTCTTTATGTAAGTGTGTACAATAATAAAAAAAAATCATCCAAAAGACCCAAATTCCAGAGGGTTAAAGAGTTACTTTTTTTGGTGGTAGTATGGATTTTATTCAGAGAAGGCAGCTGGACATTTGATGAAACTAGAAATGGATATAAGGTCTCTTACATTTGAGTTTTCCTCACTTTGAACCTTGTCCAAGTGGTGAATGAGTCATGACCAAATATTTTCACAACTTACTACACATTTGGTGATCATTGAGCCATGAGCTGATGGCCTTCCATCATTCCTTGGTGGGCAGGTGTCACCACTACTAATTAGGCTTTTGCTTAAAATCTGCTAGGGAGCCAGAAAGCAAGAGGGTCTGGAGACTGAACAGCCCATTCATGGCCTGCAGTGGCCCTATCCAGGTAGGAACAGAAGGCTCCAGGCCAAGGCCAGCTGGTAAATATCATTACATCCAGTATAACAGAGTGGTTTTACCTTGGATTGCTGTCAGTCTGGCTCCTCTACCAGCATTTAGTTGAGAGGACGAAATTTCACAAATGTAGGTGCTTTGAGGAACAAAACTTTGTCTGAATCAGTCCCATAAATTTTACAGCTGACATTTCACATGATATGTCGTGGTATATTCTGGTCAAAAGTCTATCAGCCACAGATCAGCAGAATCTTAGAATAGGTAGACGAGTAGGATGTGCTCCATAGGCAACTGGTTTACACTACAGATGTAGTTCTAGAAATGAGGCGGAAAATAACGTTCTCAAAATAATAATATTCTTCATTTATACAAAATATTACAATTTTCAAATGATTTCACATACCCTTAGAGGTAGAAAATTTTAATTTCAGAAATAAAAAAAAAATTGAGCTCACAAAGATAGTACAGGACTGAGCCAGGACATATTCTGAGCATAAGTTAAAGTCTAATGTTGCAACACCAAAGACATGGAATCAACCCACGGTGCCCATCTATAGTGGATTGGATAAAGAAAATGTGGTACATATACACCATGGAATACTGCACAGCCATAAAGAGAATGAGATCATGTCCTTTGCAGAAGCAATGACTGCAGCTGGAGCCCATTATCCTAAGCAAATTGATGCAGGAACAGAAAACCAAGCACCGCATGTTCTCACTTATAAATGGGAGCTAAACACTGGGTACTCATGGACATAGAAATGGCAACAACAGACACTGGGGACTACTAGAGAGGAAAGGGAAGGAGTGGTTGAAAACCTATTGTGTACTATACTATCTGAGTGACAGGATCAATCATACCCCAAACCACAGCATCATGCAATATACCCATTTAACAAACTTGCACATGTACCCCATGAATCTAAAATAAAAGTGGAATTTTTTTTAATAATCTATTGTAGGATCTTCTCCATGACAGATGCTTAAACATAGTAACAAGGATACTGATTGGCCAGGGACCTTGACTCATACCTGTAGTCCTGGCTACTTGGAAGGCTGGGGCAGGTAGATCGCTTGAGCTCAGGAGTTCAAGGTTACAGTGAGTTGCACTCCAGACTAGGCAACAGAGCGAGAGCAGACTCAACTTAAAGAAAATAGTGGTAGTAGCTGTCATTTTTATTAAGCAGTTAGTATGTATGAAGCATTGTATTATACATTTGGTACTTCTGTGTCTGAATTGAAAATATTAAATTATATTAAAACACATAGCAAGAACTTTCTCTATTTAATCCATTGATTACAATAAAGATTTCTTATCAGTTTCTAAACTTAAATGTCCTTGTTTTGCTCTCTAACTGGAGCATAACTGTATTGATTTTATATACATATATAAATTAAATATTAAATATATGTGCTTATATATTTTTACATTATACTAATTTCATCATATTTTGCAACTCATTTTTAATAATTTTATATATTTATATATTTAAAATATGTTATAACTGTATTATAATTAATCATAATGTATAATTATATATTCCATATATAAAAGATAGTTTACATGTGTATATATTTTATATAGTGAACATATATTTTATAATTTTGTTATAATCAATTAAATTATTATATAATTACACATAATCATGTAATAATTATTTCTGTTATTTCACACATGAATGAAATTAGCTACAAAAACAGTATTATATATTAAGAGATGATAATTTTACTAAACCTTAAAAAAATTGCATGGTCAATATTTAAAACAAAAATTTTTCTTAGCCATTATTTACATTTTATTTTTTACCCTTAGTCTCACAAAAACAATTTACTTTGGAGGGTTCTATTTAACAGATATTTATTGAAAGTTGGCTGTGCTAAGAAAGCAGGAGCTATACAGAAGTGAGATCAGACAGTACCCTTAAGGACTTTATTATCTACTAAGAAGAATAAAAACACACAAATAGAAGATACTGAGAATTGACCAGAATTTTTTTCTTTAAGTTCTAAATAGAAAAGGTAGTGTATTTAAAATTAATCTAAAATATATTTAAATTGATATTTCAGCAATGGTAAACTAATATTTCTAAGTTCTCAAAAGTCAACTCAAATTCAGAGTGGTTTCAAATATTGAGTCACTAAACTGACCCCTAAGAATAAAGCGAGGACACAAACGGTGTCTCTTTATTTTCATTGATTTATTTCAGCACAATTCATCAAATTGGGTTTTTTCATTGGCAGAAAACTTTTTATTCTTGTATTTTTCATTTAATACAAGAGCCAGCAAAAATGCATTGAAAGGCAAAGTTAATAAACTAAAATCTCTAGCTCCAAATGCAATACCTAAAAAGGAAAATCTCAAATCGTTAGCCCACATAAATATTCCCCTTCCTCATTCCTCATCCCAATCTCCCTGTGTCCTCCTGAGAAAACACACACACACCCTTCACCACACACCTGAATCAGTTATTCTAACATACAGCAACCTGATTCTATATCCAGTCCTTTTATGTCTACTTTCAGTTTAACCTAAGCCAGAACACTATCACTGAATAATATAATACAATGCATGACAAGTATGAATCTTTTTAATATGGCCCCATATGCTAGAGAAGTAAAGAAAATAATATGATGCAGATTTCTGAATCTCCTTTTAACTCAGAAATCATATGCAATAATTAGAGACATACTAAAAATCCAAACAAAGAGACCACTCGCTGTATAGATCTATAAACTGGATATTGGCGTTACAGATGCCAAAACACAGTCAGAAAGATTAGCTTTCAGCTCCAGCCCTGCTGAGGAAGTTCCCTGAAGGATGAAAGAGGCCTCGAACAAAGTGAGATGCTTTAGCTGATCAAGCCCTATTTGGTCACTTTCATCTTTGCGATGCATGGAAAAGGAGCTGCTTTCCTGCCAGCTCTTGGCACTGTGACCAGGCAGAGACATAAAGGGAGGCAAGGCAAGGCCAGCACAAAAGGGGAAGTGGTTAAAGGCAGCAGCCCATTCCAAAGAAACAAAGGTGCTGGCAGGAGACGTTAACAAGGAAGACGCTTGAGCCTCCATGGTAAATAGAATGGCAATGGCCTAATAATAAACCTGAAAGACACAAGTGAGGATGGTTGCATGCAAAGTGGAGGGAAACCTTCCAATTACTGCTGTAGACAGCCCTATTAATCCTTAGGAGCACTCCCGACAAAAAGTCTATTCAATTTTCCCTCGATGTGTTCCATCTAATGGGAGCAGTATTATGTCTGACACTGAGGGTAATTACCTCATGAGAATTTCACATACAGAGAAGTAAAGTCTTTAATTTTCTGCAGGTGTCTTGAGCACATTCTGCATAATTCTTTGCCCCAAAATGAGGTGCGCATTCCTCTTCTGCAGAGCTGCTTTCGGATTGGGATGGCTTGCATTTGAGGACTATAAGTAATAGTCATTTATCTTAGCCATTATGGAAAGCAGCGCATAGTATATTCTCCCTTCATCACATTACAAATGTCATTAGTAACTTCAGCAAAGCTGAAAAAATAAATATAATATATATCATATATGTACCGTATATATATATACACACACGTACTCATATATGTACAAATCTTGTTATAACACTCCTCTAGCTCACAACCATTAGCAGTATATAAGTACTTAGGAGCCCTTCTATATACATTAGTTATGAGAGTTCCAATAAGACTATAACCCTGTAGGCAGACACTTAACTGTTTATGCCTCCCAGTTTATGAAACTTAGAAACAGTTGAAATTGTACAGGAAAGAGAATAGAGAGAACAATATTAAGGCTGTTTTATTTTCTGAAATAATTACACATGTAGCATGTCTTGTTGATTTATTCTAAAGACACCTAAGCCAAACACAAATAGATAAATTTTTTGCTGAATTACATAAAGCAGTTTTATCATTTTAGCATTCAATCCCTTTTGCATAACAAAGAAAGCATCCTGTAACAGCAGAGGTGTGACAAAATGTATGTTTAATATGCTAAGCAAATTATGCACAGGGAGGAAAAACTCATTTTTTTAAAAAAAGTGTTTTTCAATGATGGAGCAGTCAAGAGTATAGAAATAGGTTATAATGTGGCACATTTCATTAAAATTAATGCAGAAATAATTAAACATTTCTTAGAGTTGATGGCTTTACTACTGAGAAATTCTTACATTATACAAGAACAAAGATAATCTTATTTTTTCTACTAGGAAATAGGTTTCATGAACAAGACCACACTGCTTGGTGTCATATATGCTCTTAATGAATGTGTTTTCTTAAAAATCCACATTGTTAACTAGAAAACAATGACACTTCAGATATCACAATATAGTTAATTGAAACAGAGGTGGCTGAATCCCTTTGTTTCTAAATTGGTTCTACTTCCAAAATGGCCATGATTTTAGGTTACAGAAGCTATGCCTGCATGGGACAATCAGATTGTTGCCCTGGGTTCACCAGCACTCTCTGCTGTTCAGGGGCTCATAAACAGTCCAAACTGACTGTTCAGGTTTCCTTCTTATCCAGGTGTCTTAAACATTGTAGAACATTTTGAATGTGTTCAGAAAATTCCCAAAAAACCTGACTATAGCTAATAAAAATTTTTTATTACAGTTCAACTTTAGCAAAAAATTAACATGTCCTTGAGTGTAAGTTATCTTTAATTTTCTTTTGAAATTAGGATGTAAAACTTAAATTAATTACTCTGAGGAAGTGTCGTCTTCTACTCAAAAGTCTGAGGCATCCTTTCAGAGAGAGAAGACTAAGGATGTGCTCGCATCCTTCTCACTCCTCTCTCCTCCTGAAAATCCCAGTATATCCAGCAATCAGTGCTTCTGGTAATTGCAAAGGACATGCTGTCCTTGGCTTTCATTATTTCCCAATTTACTCAGGCAGACAAAGACATCCATCGAGTCTTCAAGCCATAAACTTACTGGCATCCTGTAAAACTTCCCCAAAAGTCTCCTGAAGCTGAACAGACTGCAAAAAACTGACCTGGAAACTTCTATAACTAGTGTGCTAACCTATAACTCAGTAAGAAGTATAGACTTGCTAATGCCCAGTTACCCTTCATGCTCATGGCTAATCACTAAGGTTGGTCTCATTTCTTGATAAAAATGCCACAGGCAAAGGTGAAGAAACTACCAGTCATCTATTACTCCTCTCTGCTTATAAGCAGATACCACAATATGTTGTGTTTTTCTCTTAGAGGGAGGGTGAAGAAAACCTTGGTTATCAGCTTTTTTTTCCCATTAATAGATATAAAATGGTTCTTTATGAAACATCTGAGTATAAGTTCCAAATTTCCCTCTGTGAACTCACCATGGCTATGAAATATTGCAATCATGTAATTCTCCTGTATATTCTTAAACAGACATTGACTTTCAAATTAGGTCAATGTTAGTAAACACTGTCTAAAACCAAGTGAACATAAATCTGAAAGATAATTCAGCATAAAATAGTCAATGTAGAATAATTTTAACTAATAGTCACAGTGCTCACTATTTTCTTTTCTTTTCTCTCTTTTTTTTTTTAACATAAGAAGTTTTTCAAATACCCAACCCCCTGGCAATTCAGAACAGATTCAGGAAAGGACATTACTTCTTACTCAAGAATTAGTTCCAAACTAATACAGATGATGGAACAAGAAAGCATACATGGGAAATAAAATCTGAAACAGATGGCAGGAAGTCCTATACGAAGAATTATACATGCATAGTTGATCTGGCCAAAGAAAATTATTCCGGCATAAACACTGGGTCCATTCAAGAGATGGTCAAGAAGAAGGATGAAGTGAAATTGTCAGACCAATAAGTGGTCATCATGGGGCAAAATATACTTTTTAAATGTACTATTGGTGATGTAATTCACATTAGGGTATTCTGGCCTTATAGGTCCTTAGTAAGAAATGAAAACAGAACATAGCATTATTCACCCTCATTTGCATGCAGTAATTTCTGCAAAAATGTACAGAAACAAAAATGCATTCTAAATACATGAGGATTCTGATATGAAAGGATGAACGAAGGTTCATAAATACAGTGTGTGTTGAGTATAAAGAGAGAAATATATTAACACCTAGATTATGTTTCTATCTCCAAACAGATTTATTTACTATTTTTATTTTCTGAGACAGGGTCTCACTCTGTCACCCAAGCTGTAGTGCAGTGGCACAATCATAGCTCACTGCAGCCTTGACCTCCTGGGCTCAAGCAATCCTCTTGCCTCAGCCTCCCAAGCAGTTAGGACTACAGCTGCACACCACCACACCTGGCTAATTGTTTCCTCAATTTTTTATAGAGCTGGGGTCTCACTATGTTGCCCAGGCTGGCCTCAAGTAGTCCTTCCATCTTAGCCTCCCAAAGTCTTGAGATTAACATGTATGACACCACACCCAGCCTGAACAAATTTATTTTTAATGTCTCTGAGTTCCAATGCATTTTGAGAATTGTACTCAATCTCCTTTATTTTTATTTCAGTCTTCCTTATAGCAGCTGTGCATATTTAGCATTTCATAAACAATTAAAACAACATGGATTAGGATTCCAAAATGGAATTATAAAATTTTAACAGTTTAAAAAATCAGATTTAAAGGCTTATGAAGAAAGATTTATGCAATACAATTTGATACTTCCATTTCTAGTTCTAGACAATGTAGCACAAATATGACTTTCACAGAGTATGTCAGGACTGTCAGCTTTAGCTAAACATTTTTAAAATATTCAGACTAAATTAAAATAACCTGTTTCCAGCCTTTGAATTTTTTTATTTTGTGTTAAAAGCTGTACAAAGATGTAAGGAGAACCATTATTTTACTGAACATTTAGTATGTGCTAGCCAATATTCTATTGTCTTCACACATGGTGATCCATTTAATATTCAAGATCCTCTAGTATTACTTACCGTACTTATCCTTGCTTTGTAGATGAGAAGGTTAAGTAAACTTATGATGCTCAATACTGTCAAGTAGCATAGCTAGAATCCAAACCTAGCTCCCAAATTCACTCACTTAACTGTTTGCTACAGTATTGTTTTTATATCTTATACATCCATAAATATTTATTTACCTCTTACTCTCCATTATCTAAAAACAAAATCTTTTTTTACAAAATTTCTCTCACTAAACCTGAATTAACTATAGTCCAATACTCATAAAACTATTCTTTTTAAATTTATACATACAATTGAATAAATGAATGTGTGTGTTCTTTACCCCTCTAGCTGAAATGAATAAATGCAAATCAAAACCACAATGAGATACCATCTCACCCCAGTTAGAATGGCAATCATTAAAAAGTCAGGAAACAACAGGTGCTGGAGAGGATGTGGAGAAATAGGAACACTTTAACACTGTTGGTGGGACTGTAAACTAGTTCAACCATTGTGGAAGTCAGTGTGGCGATTCCTCAGGGATTTAGAACTAGAAATACCATTTGACCCAGCCATCCCATTACTAGGTATATACCCAAAGGACTATAAATCATGCTGCTATAAAGACACATGCAGACGTATGTTTATTGTGGCACTATTCACAATAGCAAAGACTTGGAACCAACCCAAATGTCCAACAATGATAGACTGGATTAAGAAAATGTGGCACATATACACCACGGAATACTATGCAGCCATAAAAAATGAGTTCGGGGAGGAGACAAGATGGCCGAATAGGAACAGCTCCGGTCTACAGCTCCCAGCGTGAGCGACGCAGAAGACGGGTGATTTCTGCATTTCCATCTGAGGTACCGGGTTCATCTCACTAGGGAGTGCCAGACAGTGGGTGCAGGCCAGTGTGTGCGCGCACCGTGTGCAAGCCGAAGCAGGGCGAGGCATTGCCTCACCTGGGAAGCGCAAGGGGTCAGGGAGTTCCCTTTCCGAGTCAAAGAAAGGGGTGATGGACTCACCTGGAAAATCGGGTCACTCCCACCCGAATATTGCGCTTTTCAGACCGGCTTAAAAAACGGTGCACCACGAGACTATATCCCACACCTGGCTCAGAGGGTCCTACGCCCACGGAATCTCGCTGATTGCTAGCACAGCAGTCTGAGATCAAACTGCAAGGCGGCAGCGAGGCTGGGGGACGGGCGCCCGCCATTGCCCAGGCCTGCTTAGGTAAACAAAGCAGCCAGGAAGCTCGAACTGGGTGGAGCCCACCACAGCTCAAGGAGGCCTGCCTGTCTCTGTAGGCTCCACCTCTGGGGGCAGGGCACACACAAACAAAAAGACAGCAGTAACCTCTGCAGACTTAAATGTCCCTGTCTGACAGCTTTGAAGAGAGCAGTGGTTCTCCCAGCAGGCAGCTGGAGATCTGAGAACCGGCAGACTGCCTCAAGTGGGTCCCTGACCCCTGACCCCCGAGCAGCCTTACTGGGAGGCACCCCCCAGCAGGGGCAGACTGACACCTCACACGGCACGGCATTCCAACAGACCTGCAGCTGAGGGTCCTGTCTGTTAGAAGGAAAACTAACAACCAGAAAGGACATCCATACCGAAAACCCATCTGTACATCACCATCATCAAAGACCAAAAGTAGATAAAACCACAAAGATGGGGAAAAAACAGAACAGAAAAACTGGAAACTCTAAAATGCAGAGCGCCTCTCCTCCTCCAGAGGAACGCAGTTCCTCACCAGCAACGGAACAAAGCTGGATGGAGAATGATTTTGACGAGCTGAGAGAAGAAGGCTTCAGACGATCAAATTACTCTGAGCTACGGGAGGACATTCAAACCAAAGGAAAAGAAGTTGAAAACTTTGAAAAAAATTTAGAAGAATGTATAACTAGAATAACCAATACAGAGAAGTGCTTAAAGGAGCTGATGGAGCTGAAAACCAAGGCTCGAGCACTACGTGCAGAATGCAGAAGCCTCAGGAGCTGATGAGATCAACTGGAAGAAAGGGTATCAGCAATGGAAGATGAAATGAATGAAATGAAGCAAGAAGGAAAGTTTAGAGAAAAAAGAATAAAAAGAAATGAGCAAAGCCTACAAGAAATATGGGACTATGTGAAAAGACCAAATCGACGTCTGATTGGTGTACCTGAAACTGATGTGGAGAATGAAACCAAGTTGGAAAACACTCTGCAGGATATTATCCAGGAGAACTTCCCCAATCTACCAAGGCAGGCCAACGTTCAGATTCAGGAAATACAGAGAACGCCACAAAGATACTCCTCGAGAAGAGCAACTCCAAGACACATAATTGTCAGATTCACCAAAGTTGAAATGAAGGAAAAAATGTTAAGGGCAGACAGAGAGAAAGGTCGGGTTACCCTCAAAGGGAAGCCCATCAGACTAACAGCGGATCTCTCGGCAGAAACCCTACAAGCAAGAAGAGAGTAGGGGCCAATATTCAACATTCTTAAAGGAAAGAATTTTCAACCCAGAATTTCATATCCAGCCAAACTAAGCTTCATAAGTGAAGGAGAAATAAAATACTTTACAGACAAGCAAATGCTGAGAGATTTTGTCACCACCAGGCCTGCCCTAAAAGAGCTCCTGAAGGAAGCGCTAAACATGGAAAGGAACAACCGGTACCAGCCGCTGCAAAATCATGCCAAAATGTAAAGACCATCGAGACTAGGAAGAAACTGCATCAACTAACGAGCAAAATCACCAGCTAACATCATAATGACAGGATCAAATTCACACATAACAATATTAACTTTAAATATAAATGGACTAAATTCTCCAATTAAAAGACACAGACTGGCAAGTTGGATAAAGAGTCAAGACCCATCAGTGTGCTGTATTCAGGAAACCCATCTCACGTGCAGAGACACACATAGGCTCAAAATAAAAGGATGGAGGAAGATCTACCAAGCAAATGGAAAACAAAAAAAGACAGGGGTTGCAATCCTAGTCTCTGATAAAACAGACTTTAAACCAACAAAGATCAAAAGAGACAAAGAAGGCCATTACATAATGGTAAAGGGATCAATTCAACAAGAGGAGCTAACTATCCTAAATATTTATGCACCCAATACAGGAGCACCCAGATTCATAAAGCAAGTCCTGAGTGACCTACAAAGAGACTTAGACTCCCACACATTAATAATGGGAGACTTTAACACCCCACTGTCAACATTAGACAGATCAACGAGACAGAAAGTCAACAAGGATACCCAGGAATTGAACTCAGCTCTGCACCAAGCGGACCTAATAGACATCTACAGAACTCTCCACCCCAAATCAACAGAATATACATTTTTTTCAGCACCACACCACACCTATTCCAAAATTGACCACATACTTGGAAGTAAAGTTCTCCTCAGCAAATGTAAAAGAACAGAAATTATAACAAACTATCTCTCAGACCACAGTGCAATCAAACTAGAACTCAGGATTAAGAATCTCACTCAAAGCCGCTCAACTACATGGAAACTGAACAACCTGCTCCTGAATGACTACTGGGTACACAACGAAATGAAGGCAGAAATAAAGATGTTCTTTGAAACCAACGAGAACAAAGACACAACATACCAGAATCTCTGGGACGCATTCAAAGCAGTGTGTAGAGGGAAATTTATAGCACTAAATGCCTACAAGAGAAAGCAGGAAAGATCCAAAATTGACACCCTAACATCACAATTAAAAGAACTAGAAAAGCAAGAGCAAACACATTCAAAACCTAGCAGAAGGCAAGAAATAACTAAAATCAGAGCAGAACTGAAGGAAATAGAGACACAAAAAACCCTTCAAAAAATCAATGAATCCAGGAGCTGGTTTTTTGAAAGGATCAACAAAATTGATAGACGGCTAGCAAGACTAATAAAGAAAAAAAGAGAGAAGAATCAAATAGACACAATAAAAAATGATAAAGGGGATATCACCACCAATCCCACAGAAATACAAACTACCATCAGAGAATACTACAAACACCTCTACGCAAATAAACTAGAAAATCTAGAAGAAATGGATACATTCCTCGACACATACACTCTCCCAAGACTAAACCAGGAAGAAGTTGAATCTCTGAATAGACCAATAACAGGAGCTGAAATTGTGGCAATAATCAATAGTTTACCAACCAAAAAGAGTCCAGGACCAGATGGATTCACAGCCGAATTCTACCAGAGGTACAAGGAGGAACTGGTACCATTCCTTCTGAAACTATTCCAATCAATAGAAAAAGAGGGAATCCTCCCTAACTCATTTTATGAGGCCAGCATCATCCTCATACCAAAGCCGGGCAGAGACACAACCAAAAAGGAGAATTTTAGACCAATATCCTTGATGAACATTGATGCAAAAATCCTCAATAAAATACTGGCAAACCGAATCCAGCAGCACATCAAAAAGCTTATCCACCATGATCAAGTGGGCTTCATCCCTGGGATGCAAGGCTGGTTCAATATACGCAAATCAATAAATGTAATCCAGCATATAAACAGAGCCAAAGACAAAAACCACATGATTATCTCAATAGATGCAGAAAAAGCTTTTGACAAAATTCAACAACCCTTCATGCTAAAAACTCTCAATAAATTAGGTATTGATGGGACGTATTTCAAAATAATAAGAGCTATCTATGACAAACCCACAGCCAATATCATACTGAATGGGCAAAAACTGGAAGCATTCCCTTTGAAAACTGGCACAAGACAGGGATGCCCTCTCTCACCACTCCTATTCAACATAGTGTTGGAAGTTCTGGCCAGGGCAATCAGGCAGGAGAAGGAAATAAAGGGTATTCAATTAGGAAAAGAGGAAGTCAAATTGTCCCTGTTGGCAGATGACATGATTGTATATCTAGAAAACCCCATTGTCTCAGCCCAAAATCTCCTTAAGCTGATAAGCAACTTCAGCAAAGTCTCAGGATACAAAATCAACGTACAAAAATCACAAGCATTCTTATACACCAACAACAGACAAACAGAGAGCCAAATCATAAGTGAACTCCCATTCACAATTGCTTCAAAGAGAATAAAATACCTAGGGATCCAACTTACAAGGGATGTGAAGGACCTCTTCAAGGAGAACTACAAACCACTGCTCAAGGAAATAAAAGAGGACACAAACAAATGGAAGAACATTCCATGCTCATGGGTAGGAAGAATCAATATCGTGAAAATGGCCATACTGCCCAAGGTAATTTACAGATTCAATGCCATCCCCATCAAGCTACCAATGCCTTTCTTCACAGAATTGGAAAAAACTACTTTAAAGTTCATATGGAACCAAAAAAGAGCCCGCATCGCCAAGTCAATCCTAAGCCAAAAGAACAAAGCTGCAGGCATCACACTACCTGACTTCAAACTATACTACAAGGCTACAGTAACCAAAACAGCATGGTACTGGTACCAAAACAGAGATATAGATCAATGGAACAGAACAGAGCCCTCAGAAATAATGCCGCATACCTACAACTATCTGATCTTTGACAAACCTGAGAAAAACAAGCAATGGGGAAAGGATTCCCTATTTAATAAATGGTGCTGGGAAAACTGGCTAGCCATATGTAGAAAGCTGAAACTGGATCCCTTCCTTACACCTTATACAAAAATCAATTCAGGATGGATTAAAGATTTAAACGTTAGACCTAAAACCATAAAAACCCTAGAAGAAAACCTAGGCATTACCATTCAGGACATAGGCATGGGCAAGGACTTCATGTCCAAAACACCAAAAGCAATGGCAACAAAAGACAAAATTGACAAATGGGATCTAATTAAACTAAAGAGCTTCTGCATAGCAAAAGAAACTACCATCAGAGTGAACAGGCAACCTACAACATTGGAGAAAATTTTCGCAACCTACTCATCTGACAAAGGGCTAATATCCAGAATCTACAATGCACTCAAACAAATTTACAAGAAAAAAACAAACAACCCCATCAAAAAGTGGGCGAAGGACATGAACAGACACTTCTCAAAAGAAGACATTTATGCAGCCAAAAAACACATGAAAAAATGCTCATCATCACTGGCCGTCAGAGAAATGCAAATCAAAACCACTATGAGATATCATCTCACACCAGTTAGAATGGCAATCATTAAAAAGTCAGGAAACAACAGGTGCTGGAGAGGATGTGGAGAAATAGGAACACTTTGACACTGTTGGTGGGACTGTAAACTAGTTCAACCATTGTGGAAGTCAGTGTGGCGATTCCTCAGGGATCTAGAACTAGAAATACCATTTGACCCAGCCATCCCATTACTGGGTATATACCCAAAGGACTATAAATCATGCTGCTATAAAGACACATGCAGACGTATGTTTATTGCGGCATTATTCACAATACCAAAGACTTGGAACCAACCCAAATGTCCAACAATGATAGACTGGATTAAGAAAATGTGGCACATATACACCATGGAATACTATGCAGCCATAAAAAATGATGAGTTCATATCCTTTGTAGGGACATGGATGAAATTGGAAACCATCATTCTCAGTAAACTATCGCAAGAACAAAAAACCAAACACCGCATATTCTCACTCATAGGTGGGAATTGAACAATGAGATCACATGGACACAGGAAGGGGAATATCACACTCTGGGGACTGTGGTGGGGTGGGGGGAGGGGGGAGGGATAGCACTGGGAGATATACCTAATGCTAGATGACGCGTTAGTGGGTGCAGCGCACCAGCATGGCACATGTACCCTAAAACTTAAAGTATAATAAAAAAAAAAAAAATGATGAGTTCATGTCCTTTGTAGGGACATGGATGAAATTGGAAATCATCATTCTCAGTAAACTATCACAAGAACAAAAAGCCAAACACCCGCATATTGTTACTCATAGGTGGGAATTGAACAATGAGAACACATGGACACAGGAAGGGGAACATCATACTCTGGGGACTGTTTCGGGGTGGGGGAGGGGGAGGGATAGCTTTAGGAGATATACCTAATGCTAAATGATGAGTTAATGGGTGCAGCACACCAGCATGGCACATGTATACATATGTAACTAACCTGCACATTGTGCACATGTACCCTAAAACTTAAAGTATAATAATAATAAAATAAAAAAAAATTGTTTTGGAAAAAAACTAATATAATACTTAATTTCTCCACTACAGCTATACAGTAGCACATTTACAGCATTTCACAGTAGTATCTTGGAAAGTCATCTTATTGCCAGATACTATAATATTTAACTCTCTGATATTCGATTCCCATTACTTTTTTGTGTACATTCAAAAATTTTTAACCTGTATGCATTATCCAGCCAAAATATTAAATTAAAAAGTAGAAATTTGGCCAGGTGCGGTGGCTCATGCCTGTAATCCCAGCACTTTAGGAGGCCGAGGCTGGCCGATCACGAGGTCAGGAGATCAAGACCATCCTGGCTAACATGGTGAAACCCCGTCTCTATTAAAATATACAAAAAATTAGCCAGGTGTGGTAGTGGACGCCTGTAGTCCCAGCTACTCAGGAGGCTGAGGCAGGAGAATGGCATGAACCCGGGAGGCGGAGCTTGCTGTGAGCCGAGATTGCACCACTGCACTACAGCCTGGGCGACAGAGCGAGACTCCGTCTCAAAAACTGCCCTGTTCTCCCTTTCTGCCTTACCCTGCTTGGTGGATTCTCTTAGTCTGTCGGTTGTTGTATTATTCAGAGTTCCCAGGGAAACAAAAGAGAGAGAGAGAGAAATTTATTTTAAGGAATCGACTCAGATGATTGACGTCTGGCAAGTCCGAAGTCTGCAAGTCAGGCCAGGGCTGGAGACACAGGGAAAAGTTGATGTTGCAGTCTTGAGTCTTAAGGCAGTCTGAAGCTAGAATTCCATCGTTCTCAGAGGAATCTCAGTTTTCTCTCTTAAGGCCTTGACCTGATTATACAAGGCCCACCTACATTACAGAGTGTGATCTGCTTTACTCAAAGTCTACTGATTTAAATGTAAATCACATCTAAAAACTACCCTTAAAGTGACATCTAGACTGGTGTTTAACCAAACAACTAGGTACCATAACCTCCCCAAGATGACACAAGAAAATTAACCATCACAGCAGCTCGTACGTAAATTTTAAATTTTAGAAACTGTGAAAATTACAGAAGGCCAATTAGTGAATTGGTTTTGCCATCTTAAATCCTAAGTAGTGTGTCTTAAAGTTTCAATGATTCTGTAAAGCTGAACATATCATATCTTGAATAATTGCAAACAAAAACATTTTTCCCATAATAAACACAATTCCACTGAGCAACCAACACCACTAATGTAAAATGAAGCCCCTATTTTAGACTAGTGAATTGCAGTAGTGACAGGAGGGGAAAGGGTAGAACAAGGAGTTCGATTAATAACTGATTGTGAAAAATCAATTTCGATAACGCACTACTTTCACACCAGCTGTGAGATATTAAGGCTTGAATTTGAATTTGTGGCCCACACAAAATATTGCAGTGTCCTACAACAGATGCCATTTGAGCTTTGGGAAAGAGAGCCTTGGCCTAATGTCATGGTGCTGTGATGGCTTCCTTCCTACAGACAAGGAGCAGGAAAATTGGGAAAGTCACTAGTGTAACCAGAAACAACATATGAATGTCAAATATAAATTTGATAGTACTGCATCCATTGCAGCAGTCTTCACATTCACACCCGATTTCATTACAAAATTAGGATTGGAAACTGCTAGTATTCTGGCAGGTAGTTTCAGGGCATAATCAAAACCTCATGTCACCTGAGGCACTCTGAGCAAAATTCCAAACTGCCAAGAGCACCACCTAATTTGCCAATACAGTTGCATATTTTTGCTACAAAGATAAAGAGTGCAACAGTGATATTTGCTTGCATTTTTGCATGTTACCCGATAAGTGGCTTCAAACTTCAAAGGACTTGTATTTTTTTCAGTGCTCACACAATAAAATTCTGAGATCATCAGCTCTGTATTTGCTTTCTCGTCTCAGGGAAAAGTTGACCTTGGGTGATTTCGAACTGCTCTGCCCACAGCACTTAGGGGTTAATTGCAGCTCACATACTTTAAAAAAAATACTTCTTGTGACACATTGATCCAAAATATTACCACCAAAACATTTAAAACAATTGCAATATGATACTGATTGTCACATCTTTGCTGTGTAGGGGTTTATATGCAAAAAGATTCATGATTGACCCTTTCAATAGTTACAGATTGAATAATATCCGAGTTAATAACTATCCTTTAAGTATTCTTCTATGTGCTTAGCCTTCTCTCATGTGCATATGAATTGTCAGCAACGCCATCAGTCAAGAGAAAGTAGGAAATATTACTTTTTCATGTGCATATGAGACACACACAGATAAACAGGACATGGCTCCTCAAGAATCTTGTAGTCTTCTAAGGGAGAAAGAGAAGTAATCAGTTAAAATACAGCACAGTAAGGGCTGGCATTAAGTATCATGAGCATCTGGGAAACTACAAATCTCTTAGTATGACCAGGGTACAGGGCTTAACATGAAGTATTATTAGGGCTGTCCATGATTATAGTAGCTTAACATGAAGTATTATTAGAGCTGTCCATGATTACAGTACAGGATTAAGAGGCATTATTGAAGGCCCAATTCTAAAGCATGAATTTGTAATGATACAAATCTAAATACTACATAGAGATGGTTCTTGTTTTATCTTACCATAGTCATGCCATTCTGATTGTAATCATTCTGGTTTTAATAGATAATGTAATTGGGACCTAGAGACATTTATCAAGCCAACTTTGTTGAGCACTTTGTTTCACACAGAACAATGGCTCCCCAAACATATCTATATCATAATTCCTGGAACCTGTAAATATGTTGCCTCGCATGGCAAAGAAGACTTTGGAGATTAAATATATTTCTTGAGATGGGAAGATTATTCAGGTGGGCCCAATAAGAGGGAGGCAGAAGACTCAAGAGTCAGAGAAGGAGACGTAACAAGAGAAGCAGAGTTCAGTGTTGCAGGGAAGGATCCCCAAGGCAAAGAATGTGGGCAATACCAGAAGCTAGGAGAAGCAAGGAAGTGAGTTCATCCTAGAACCTCCAGAAGGAAGACAGCCCTATCAACACCTTGACCTCCATACTGTACGATAATAAATGTGCACTCTCTTAAGCCAGTAGTATGCCAGCATTATCATAAGTGCTTCGCATGAATGAAATAATTTTAGCCTCACTAACGTGAGTCAGGGACTACTTTATATTATATGTAGTCCTCACGACAACACTTATAATGTAGGTACTAGCTTTCTACCCATTTTGGAAGTGTGGAAACCAAGATACGAAGAATTAAAGTAATTTGTCTAAGGTCATACATTTAATCGTTGACAAAGCCTGAGTTTGATCCCAGGCAATCTAGGGTGCATCTTGACTTGAAGTGTCTTCTTTTCCACATTCGCACACTTATTAAATGTCAAAAATAGTGTCTTAATCTGTGTTTCCCCCAATAAAAACAGAGCCTAAGAAAAACGTTTGTGTGCAAGTAGTTCATTTTGAGTATTGATCCTAAGAAGCAGGAACAGGGGACTTGGAATAATGAAAACAGAAGGAGGAGCCAGTCCAAGGATTTATGATCAAGCTGTACTCACTGAAAAGAACTAGGATCTTATCCCACGGGATAATGTCTAAGGAATGTGGAGAAGGCATCTCAGAATTGTCTATTCAAGGAACAGAAGAGGGAATTATTTATTTGCCAGCTTTTGTCCCCCATTAATCCAAGGTTCAGAACTCAGTGTTAACTTTTCACACTTTCAGGGCTATGCACACACCAGATGAGATGAGTGGGTTACTAAGGTCTTCGACTTGGAGGCAGCTAAGAAGCCTCATGGTGACAGGTACTCAATTCAGCCAGAGTGAGGATCTGTCAGGTTACACCTGCCCCAGTTGAGTGCTGTGGCAACAGCTGGAGAAATAAACGTGAGCTGTAAAAATGTAACAGCATAAAAGGAGTCTAATGCAGCTGGTCTTTGGATTTCAAATTCCAGATTCTTTCCATTGTATCATGATGCATCTCCTCAAGTAATCACTTGTTTTTGCTTTGATAAGATCTGATGTTTTGAAAGATTAGGCTTCTGCCATAATAGTGAACAATTTTCTTATATATCCCACGAAAGGTGGATTATGCTGTTTTATATGGATTACTTTTGTCTCACTAAATGGATATCAAATTCCTAGAAAGTGGATATGGTAACATTTACCACTTTTTTTCTTTTCACAATATCCAAATCAACAATGGACTTAAAATAGGAACGCAAAAAATATGCACTGATTAGTATTCATTTGAATTTCAACTTCTCAGATATTAGTTTTATTAGTAATTACTGTCAAAATGTAAATAGCCCCACTACGGATTTTAGAAAATGCTTTCTTCATGTTTTAATGCTCCTTTCAAATCTGTTGCTGTTCTTTCTTCTTTTAATTTTAATAGCTTAATGTTTTTCATCCAAATATAGCACAAAATTTGACTTCTGTCATTAGACGGGAGAATCACCAAGGACCAAACCTGGAAATCCTGAAAAATGTTTCTTTTCAGATGGATCATAATTCAAATTGAACAAAGTTTTAAGAAATCCTAAGTATAATTCTATATTAATATATTTGTCATTTTTATAGAGAACATTTTTTATCAATTGGACAACATGTACAGTACAACAAACCATCCAAAGAATAGACAGCATTAGAATGTAGGTTAATATGGTTATGACTATATGTCACTAATTTGAGGCCAATTACATAGACATAATAAAAACTAAATAGATTGTGATATATTATTATTTTATATATCTGGCCAGTAAGTGAAAGACAGCCAAATATTTTGTACCTTAGCAGCACAGGGAAATTTCTCAGAACATAGCACTCTTTATTTACCTCATTTCAAAAACAAAAACATTTCCATAAAGAAATATTCATGCCAAAATAAATACAGAAATTAAACTTTGTTGGATATAATTATTTGAATTTGCTTGACCTTTTTCTGTCTTTTCTTGGTTATTACACCTGTGAAAATGGTGTTTTAGTTTTAGTAGAAAATAAGCCAAAAAAGGTTCCACTGGGAATCACTATCATTTATCACAAAAATTAAAATTAAGTAATACACTAAAAATGTTTACCATTTGAGAGACAGTAATCTACAAAATTTACTCTAGCCACATTGAAACTTTATTCTTGAATATGGTTTTATTTAATGGATAATTGCATATAAGTAATTTTCTACACACATGTATCATACAGTAATTACTTTTGATAATCATTATTTTAAAATCATTTAAAGTTATAAATAACATAAAAGAAAAGATTATTTTTCACTTTATCTGTATTTAATAGAAAAGTTTCTTAGGGTATAATTCTAGAAAAGTATTACAAATTAAGGTTTATTCAGTTTTTTTTTATGTAATTAACGCTTGGTAAGGATAAATCACATACTTATGATTTTGGAGGTTTAGGATTCTGTGAGACTAATTAATCATGATCAAATGCACCTTGAAAAAAATATTCTATGCCAATGAAAAGAACTATTCAACTATGGTAATAAATCATCAATTCACAAGGAAATGTGGGGCCTCAGTTTTTATGGGCTCATCAGAAAGACCTGCATGCCATAAACACATGTATTTGGTATTTGGGGTTACTGCTTTTAAAAATATGGAGAAAAGACAAAAAAAATCTGTCAAATCAAAAAGCTAATATAAGTTTCCAAATTTTTTAAATCATAGATTCATAACCTTCTTAAGAAAAGGCGTGAATCTTTAAAGAAGATCTTTGGAGGCCTGATACAAATGATAGAGAACAGAAATTTAAAACCTGTTTTTTCAAAGTTAACAACCCTATATTTGAAAAGTGATATATTTTAAAAATTAAGCAAATATTTTGTTCATATTTCATTAGGAGAAAAGAGGCTATCACATTGCAGTTTCAAGTTGCAATTTATATGTAGAAGCTTTCTGTTCATACTAATGCTATTTTTTTCACTCCTTAGCGTCTTCTATAGTTTGAATATATCCCCCAAAAAGCAGGTGTTGGAAACCCCATTGCAACAGTATTGGAAGGGAAGGCCTAATGAGATGGGATTGGGCTGGGAGGGTTCCATCCTCATCAACAGATTAATGTCATTATGGCGAAAGTGTGTTCATTATAAATGGGCAAGTTTTGTCCTCTATTCACTCTCTTGCCCTCTCTCATCTTCTCTCTTACTCTTTTGTCTTTTCCATAGGATGCCACCACAAGAAAGGCCTCACCACAGGCTAGCCCCTCTATCTCAGACTTCCCTGAATTCAGGACTATGAGCCAATAAATATCTGTTCATTATCAATCGCCCCACCTCACACATTCAGTTATAGTCACAGAAAACAGACGAAAATAACATCCCATATTTTCCATGTTCCTACAGTGCACTTTCAGAGAATTGCTTCCAGTTTCCGAATACCACTGAGCATGTACTAGAATGTAAGACTCAGTCGAGCTTCTGGAATGCTGGGAACACCAGGTAAAATGTGTGAAACACAACATACAGCAACTTACCCTGTACTGGCCCATCTCTAGCTGGCTGAAATTACAACATGTAATTTATCTTGCAGGAATATTGTTTCTACCATCTGTATCAAATAATCCAATTACCTAACAGCAGTAAAATGTATGCAAGTAATATCAGGAACCATATTAGACTATGAACAACCTGAGGTCTGTCGTATTGGGAAACTAGACCAAAAGAGGAGATCAAAACCCAAAGAAATGTAAAACAGAAACCTTCACACACAACATGAAGACTTAGCCATCCAACATCCCATCCAATAACTAAAATAAACAAAGCATCCATTTATCATGTTACAGTGTCTGGAATTCTTACTGGCCTAGTTTCTGACAGTTTTCTGAGATATTTCCTTTGTTCGCTCACACTAAATAATCTCAAACCAGATGTATGATGATCAGCCAGGTTTAGGTGGAAGAAGTATTTATTCCCATTAACCTGTTAACAGATAAATATGTCAGTAATGCCATGTAGTACCATCTGATTCAAGGGAATAGAAAGGCATATTTCTTCAGTTTAAAAAAAAAATTCCCAGTACATGTTATTTGTTCCTTTTAAAACATCTTTTCTTTTCAGTATAGATATACTTTCATCACATACTTTTCTTCCAGAATGTACTTGAGTATTCTTTGTTTTTCAAACTTCCTATTACATGCGGGTTCTCAGCTGAGTGGTGTGCTGAAATCCCAGAAGGAAAAAAATATAGGCAAAAGGGAAGAAAGTGGGGACAGAGCCAAGTATAAGAGATAAACCCTGCTTTAATGCTAACCCCAGTTAACTTGGCCAACAGCTCAAATCAAAATGTACAAAGTAGTTTTGTAAGCTAAGCTCAAACTGGCCCTTCACTGGCCAATGGACACTGTTGCATGAGGGTAACCCAGGCTTTTACACTGACTACAGTTGTTTAGGGGAAACTGGAAGGGAGGGCTGTATCTCAGGAAATGTAGGGGAAAAGGCCAAATCTACAATGGTCTCTGCAAACAAAAAGCAGGGTTAATGGGTCAAATCCATAATGTGTCTGTGTGTATACTCAACATGAAAACTGGACATCAAAGACCTAATTTTAGATGAAGAGTCTAAAATTTTGGTTAAGCCCACAGAGTGAAAAAGGTCCAGCATTTAGAGAGTCCCTAAGGCCATTGTAGGCCCAGAGTGCTTTGTGGAAGATGTCAGTCGGGAGCGGAAGAGCAAATTCAGTTGATTTCTTAGACGGAAATAACAGAAAAGTGACAAAGATCCAGAAGTAGGTTTATTAGGGTTTACCTTGAATCTTATGACATTCAGGGACCCCTCACCTGCACAGACCCCTTCTAAAGATACGGGAGGAAGCCTAGCAATATGTTCCTGTGATCACAGGTTTCTGGAATTTTTATCAGTATAAAATAAAATTATTATGACATCAGAAGAAACTTGGAAAGACCCTTAGATTAGGAATGTCTGATTAAATCACGTGAGGAAAAAAAGACTCCTGGTATGAAGAGTGCTTTCTTGTATTTATTTATTTATTTAATAAAAATAATAAAGGACCTCACTCTTGTTACTCAGGCTGCAGTGCACTGTTGTAATCATGGCTCACTGCAGCCTCGACCTCCCAGGCTCAAGCAATTCTGTCACCTAGGCCTCCTGAGAAGCTGGGACCACAGGTAGATGCCATTATGCCAGGCTTTTTTGTGGATGTTGCAGAAATTGGGTCCCACTGTGATGTCCAGGCTGGTCTCAAACTCCTAGACTCAAGCAAATCTCCCATCTCGGCCTCCCAAAGTGCTAGAATTACAGGCATGAACCACTATGCCCAGCCTAGAGTACTTTTTTTGTCATCTCTAAATTTATCTTTTAAAAATTCTCTATTGTTTTTATATGCACAAACCTATGATAGTATTTCTCCCAGTTTTACAGTGATCTTAAAAACTGATGACAAATAACAAATAATGAATTGTTTAGATAAAATAGTTTTTTCAAAACTTTTGGTAATGTATATTTTCTAAACTATCAATATACGTTATTGGCAGTTTAGAAAAACCTCTTTCAGATATATATATATTATATATATATATTATACACACACACATATATATGTACTTTTCACATATATAATCAACCATGCTAGAGGAAGTATTGAGTTATCCTTTCATTCTCTCTGTTGCAAACATAACAAAAATTGTTTTCATTTGAAGCATATGCAGGTCAAAAAATGTAAGAAACAGTGTGTGTGTGTGTATATATATATATATATATATATAGGTATGTCAGGTAGTTAATAAAATATTATGTTATATTCATGAATTTGTGATGATTATGATTTGTCAGTTTTTTTAAGTTAGTAATTTTTGTAGTTTCTTTTTTATTCTAAATAATTACTTTATACCTAACTTTTAAATATATGACTTAGAGGAAAGGGGTTTGAGGGGGAAGGACAGATATCTAAATTGTATAAGCTTTAGCCTCCGCAGAATCTAGAATCACTCCCATTTTGAAATTGAACGTCAGTTTTGTTTGCTCTTTTTTGTTGTTGTTTCAAGATGGCAGATTAGAGGCTTTTAGCATGCTTCAACCACTTGGAAATAGCAAGACAGTGCATAAAGACCAACTCCATGAGCTTTATGTCAAGAAGGAAAATAGGAGTACACTGGAATCAGGAAGGACACCCAGATCCTGGGAAGGAGAACATGGGAAAACAGACCCCATGACAGTGTCTGACTGATAGAGGTGAGTGAAGCCCCAGTACATCAGAGAGACAGAGAGCTTGCCTCTGTGACTCACCTTTCCACTGAGGATCCAAGCAATCCAGGCTGAGGGAAAGCACTTTGTTTCTCCCAAGCCCTGGAGCTTACCTGGGGAGAGGCTTGAAGATGCTGTGAGGGGAAGACACTCGGAAAAGCTGCAGACATTTTCCTAGACCAGGACCAAGAGAAGGACACCATTTGTAATCCAGGTGCAAATAAAGTCAACCCGGCACCGTGGCTGCACAGGCATTTCAGTCTTGGGCAGGAGATTGGAGCACCTGCTCTGAAGCAGATTAGAGGCTTCCACATCCAGAACCGTGGAAAGTGACTCAGCAATGGCAGTGGAATTGTATTCTTCTCCATCACAGGCCTGGGGCAGGAAGAGAGCTGCTACAACTACAGTCTCTCCTGGATGACACGACTGGCAGCCAGGGCCAGGTTAGTGACCTGGAACTGGTTTGTGTGTGTCATTGTTGAGTGCTTCAGCCTGCTCCCCTGAGATGGTATAGAGAAACCCTCTCTGCCCCACTCCAGGCAGAACCTCAGGCATTTAGAGCATCTACTTGCCTGGAACAGCAGCTTAAGCTAACCCACCCTCATGGACATAGATTGTGGTGCAATGGGGCCCTCTTTGCTCCACTCCCAGACACATCTTCAGGCATTCAGAGCACCCATTCACACAGGCTAGCAGCCTGAGTCATCCTACTCATCCTGTGCAGAGATCCTCTGCATAGGGGCCACTCTATAGCCAGACAGATCTCCAGGAATTAGGAGCACCTGCTCACCTGGTTCGACAGCCTGAGCTAACCCCCACTACCTGGGTATAGATTTTGGTGCAATAAGACCCTCTTCACTCCACAGTCAGGTAGATCTCCAAGCATTTGGAGCACCCACTCACCTGGATTAGTCATTTAGGCCACCCCCTGTTCCTCATGCAGCAAACTTGGGGCCAAGGAGGTTTTCCAGCTCCATGCCAAGGAACAATTCTGGGCTCTTGGTGGCTGTCCACTGGATTCGTCCTCAGGCCTGGTGTTTGTACCTGCAACCAGGGCCTTGTAGGTGGACCTGTATAGTCCAACTCTACACATCTTCCCCCTTATCCCACTGGGGCTGAGCAGGGAGCTCAGACCACTGTGAACTCCACAAATAAGCCTCTTGCCTGAAGCAACAGAGAGCTTCTCCTGGTAAACAAGGATTAAGTATATACCCAGCCATGTGTTGGCCACAGTCAGCTCTCACCCATAGCACTATCTATTGATTGTAGGTCAAACTGCACAGTCCAATATAAAACCTGCCAGCAGAAGTCCATTGGCTGTGGAAGAAAAGTCAAAAGACGCTACCCAGCATTTTCTAGAGTCATACCCTCTAAGGAGTGGGGGAAAGGGAAAGGGAAAAAAGAAAAAATAGTAATATTATAGGGAAAGAAAGAAAAAAATAATCCTACCCACAAGAGAATAATTCAAAAATTAAAAAATACCAGTCTCTCCAGGTGAGAAGGAACCTGGGCAAGAATTCTAGTACCATGAAAAATCTTGATGACGTGATACCTCAAAGGATCACAGTAGCTCTCCAGCACTGGTCCCTAACCAAGATGGAAACTCAGAAATGACAGATAAAGAATTCAAATCATGGATGCAAGGAAGCTCAGTGCGATCCAAGATAAGGTTGAAAATTAACATAAAGAAACTTCTAAGGCAATCCAGGAAATGAAGGAAGAAATAAACATCTTCAAAAGAAATCAGAGATTTTGGAATGGAAAAAAATCACTTAAGAGATTTTAAAATACAAAGGAAAGCTTTGTCAATAGACTGGACCAAGCAGAAGAAAGAATTTCAGAGCTTGAAGACCAGTCTTTTGAATTAACCCCATCAGACAAAAATTTTTTTAAAAGAAATTTAAGACATGTCCAAAGTCTTCAAGAAATATAGGATTATGTAAAGCAACCAAAATTATGAAATATTGGCATTCCTGAAAGAAAAGAGAAAAAGAAAACAACCTAGAGAACATATTTGAGGGAATAATTCAAGAACATTTTCCTTATCTTGCTAGAGAGGTAGGCATCCAGATATAAGAAATGTAGAGGACACCTGGAAAATACTATTCAAAACAAACATCACCAAGACGTAGATTCACCAGAACTGCTCAGGGTCAATGCTAAAGAAAAAAATCTTAAAGGAACCTAGATAAAAAGTCAGATCACATACAAAGGGAACCTCATCAGGCTAACAGCAAGACTTCTCAGCAGAAATCTTACAATCCAGGAGAGATTGGAGGCCTATTTTCAGTATTCTTAAAGGTAAGAAATTCCAACCAAGAATTTTATATTCCACCAAACTAAGCTCTATAAGTGAAGGAGAAATAAAATCTTTTTCAGGGAAACAAGTGCTAAAGGAAATAGTTACCACTCTTGGGGTAACCACTAGACCACCAGACCACCTTACAAGAGATCCTTACAGGAATTCTAAACACAGACACAACAGAACAATACTTATTACCATCAAAATATGCTAGCCCACGGACCCTATAAAGTAACCACACAATAGGAACTACAAAGCAACCAGCAAACAACTTCATGATAGGATTAAGACTTCACTTACCAATATTAACCTTGAATGTATATTATCTAAACACACCACTTAAAAGGCACAGAGTGGCAAGTTGAATTAGAAAAACAAGATCCATTCAACTGCTGTCTTTAATAGACTCATCTCACACATAACGACACCCATAGGCTCAAAGTAAAGGGTTGGAGAAAGATTTATCACATAAATGGAACCCTAAAAAAGAGCAAGGGTCACTATTCTTATAAAAGATAAAACAGACTTTAAACCAACAAGAGTGAAAAAGGAAAAAGGAGAACATTACATAATGATAAAGGGTTCAATTCAACAAGAAGATTTAACTATCCCAAATATATACACACCCAACAGTGGAGCACTGAAATTCATAAAATAATTTCTTCTAGACCTATGAAAAGGCTTAGCCTCATAATACTAGTGGGAGATTTCGATACTCCACTGACACCGTTAGACAGATCACAGAGGCATAAAACTAAGAAAGACATTTTGGATTTAAAATAACACTTGACTAATTGGACCTAATAGACATCCACAGAATACTCCACCTCTTAATCACAGAATATAAATTTTTCTCATCTGTACACAGAACATACTCCAAGACTGACCACTAAGTCAGCCATCAGGCAAGTCTCAGTAACTTCAAAAAAATCAAAATCATACCAACCATAATCTCAGACCACAAAGGAATAAAAATAGAAATCAATACCAAGAAGATCTATCAAGGCCACACAATTACATGGAAATTAAACAACTGTGTCCCGAATGACTCATCAACAACTTTTGTTGTTTTGGGTAAACAACAAAAGTAACACAGAAATCAAAAACTCTTTGAAAGCAATAAAACAGAGACACAACATACTAGAATCTGTAAGACATAGCAAAAGCAGCGTTAACAGGAATGTTTATGCCACCAAACACATACCTCAAAAAGTCAGAAAGATTTCAAATTAACAATCTAATATCATACCTACAGGAACTAGAAAAGCAACAGCAAACTAATCCCAAAGCTAGCAGAAGAAAAAAAAAATAACTAAAATTAAATGAGAACTGGTTAACTGAAACGCAAAAATTAATACAAATAACTTTAAAAAACAAGAGTTTATTTTGTTAAAGAATTAACAAGATTAATAGACTCTTAGGTAGATTCACAAAGCAAAAAAGGGAAGATCCAAATAAGCACAATCAGAAATGACAAAGATGACATTAAAACCAATCCCACAGAAATATAAAAATACTCAGAGATAATTTTTAAAACTTCTATGCACACAAACTAGAAAATCTAGAGAAAAATGAATAAATTCCTTGGAACACACAATCTCTATCTCCTAACATTGAATCAGGAATAACTTGAAGTCCTAAACAGTTTAATATCAAGTTCCAAATTGAATCAGTAATAAAAACTCTACTGGCCAAGCAAGATCAATCATACCCCAAATCCCAGCATTTTGGGAGGCCGAGGCAGAAGGATCACAAGGTCAGGAGTTCAAGACCAGCCAGGCCAACATGATGAAACTCTGTCTCTACTGAAAATACAAAAAATTAGCTAGGCATGGTGGTGGATGCCTGTAGTCTCAGCTACTCAGGAGGCTGAGGCAGGAGAATTGCTTGAACCAGGACCCTGGAGCCAGAGGTTGCCAATGAGCCAAGATCATGCCACTGCACTCCAGTCTGGGCTACAGAGCTAGACTCTGTCTCAAAATAAATAAATAAATAAATAAATAAATAAATAAATAAATAAATAAATAAATAAATAAAACAAATAAAATGAAATAAAAAATCTACCAGCCAAAAAAAGCCATGAACGAGATGGAGTCACAGCTAAATTATATGAGATGTATAAAGAAGAGCTGGTACAAGTTTTATTGAGACTATTCAGCAAAATCAAGGAAGAGGGATTTCTCCCTAACTCGTTCCACAAAGCCAACATCTCTCTGATACCAAAATCTGGCAAAGATGGGATGATTAAAAAAACTACCAGCCAATATCCCTGATGAACATAGACACAAAAATCTTCAACAAAATACTAGCAAAGTGAATCCAGCAGCACATCAAAAAGTTAATTCACGATGGTCAGGTAGGCTTCATTCCTGGGATGCAAGGTTGGTTCAACATTTGCAAATCAATAAAGGTGATTCACCACATAAACAGAATTTAAAACAAAAACCATGTAATCATCTCAACAGATGCAGAAAAAGCTTTTGATAAGATTCAACATCCTTCATGATAAAAACTCCCAAGAAACTAGGCATAAAAGGAGTATATCTCAAAATAATAAGATCTATTTATGACAAAACTACAGCCCAACATTATACTGAATGGGCAAAAACTGGAAGCATTCCCCTTGAGATCTGGAACAAGACAAGGAAGCTCATTCTCAACACTCCTATTTGACATAACACTGAAAGTCCTTACCACAGCACTCAATCAAGAAAAAGAAATAAAATGTATATGAATAGGAAAAGAATTCAAAGTATCTCTCTTTACTGGTGATATGATTCTATACTTAGGAAACCCTAAAAATTCCACCAAAAGGCTCACAGAACTATTATACAACTTCAGTAAAGTTTCAGAATACAAAAACGATGTATAAAAATTAGTAGCAGTTCTATACACCAATAATGTTCAAGCTGAGAGCCGAATCAAGAACACAATCCCATTTACAATAGCCACAATAAAATTCCTAGAAAGACAGCTAACCAATGAGGTGAAAGATCTCTACAAGGAGAAATACGGAACACTGCTGAAAGAAATCATAAATGACACAAACAAGTGGAAAAATATTCCATGCTCATGGGTTGGAAAAATCATGGCCATACTGTCCAAAGCAATCTATAGATTCAACACTATTCCTATTAAGCCACTAATGCCATTTTTTTACTAGAATAAAACTATTCTAAAATTTATATGCAACCAAAAAAGAGGCTGAATGGACAAAGCAATCCTAAACAAAAACAACAAAGCCAGAAGCATCACATTATCCACCTTCAAATCATACTATAAGGCTACAGTAACCAAAACAGCATGGTACTGGTAGAGAAACAGACACATAGACCAATGGAACAGAATAGAGAACTCAGAAATAAAGCCACACACCTATGTCCATCTGATCTTTGACACAGTCAACAAAAACAAGCAATGAGGAAAGGACTCCCTATTCTAATAAACAGTGCCAAGATAGCTACCTAACTATATGTAGAAGAATGAAACTGGACCCTTATCTTTCATCATATACAAAAATTAACTCAAGATGAATTAAAGATTTAAATGTAAGACCTCAAAATATAAGACTCATTGAAGAAAACCTAGGAAACACCATCCCAGTCATTGGCTTAGGAAAAGAGTTTGTGACTAAGTCCTCAAAAGCAATTGCAACAAAAACAAAAATTGGCAAGTGGGACCTGATTAGACTAAAGAATTTTTGCACAGCAAAAGAAACTCTCAACAGAGTAAAAGACAACCTATGGAATAGGAGAAAATATTACCAAACTATGCATCTGATAAAGATCTAATATTCAGAATATATAAGGACCTTAAATAATTGAACAATAAAAAAACCCATTTAAAAAATAGACAAAAGACATGAACAAGGTCTTCTCAAAAGACCTACAAGTGGCCAAGAAACATATGAAAAAATATTCAGCATCACTAATCATCAGAGAAACATAAATCAAAACCAAAATGTGATAGTATCCCACATTAGTCAGAATGGCTATTATTGAAAAGTTAAAAAAAAAATGCTGGTGAGGATGCAGAGGAAAGGGAATGCTTACACACAGTTGGTGGGAGTGTAAATTAGTTCAATCACTGCAGAATACAGTTGGGAGATTTCTAGAAAACTTAAAACAGAACTGCCATTCAACACAGTAATCCCAGTACTATATATATATCCAAAAGAAAATAAGTTATTCTACCAAAAAGAAACATGCACTTGTATGTTCATCACAGCACTATTCATTAAAGCAAGGATATGGAATCAACCTAGGTGACCGTCAATTGTGGATTGGACTAAAAAAAAAAATGTTGTACCTATACACCATGGAATACTATGCAGCCATTAAAAAAGAATGAAATCATTCTTTGAAGCAGCATGAATTCAGCTGGAACCCATTATCCTAAGTGAATTAACACAGGAACAGAAAACCAAATACCACATGTTCTCACTTATAAGTGGAAGCAGACAATGGGTACTCATAGACATAAAGATGGCAAAAATAGACAATGGGGACTATTGGGGGAAAGAGAAGGGAGAGAGGAAAGAGTTGAAAACTATTGGGTACTATTCTCAGTATCTAGGTGATGAGATCAATCATACCCCAAACCTCAGCACTGTGCAATATACTCAGGTATATTGCACATTTCTATAATAAAATGTGAAATTACTTTAAAAAATAAATTGAGCAAGAACCAGCAACTTGGAAGGAATAAAAAAATGTCACAAGCACCACAAAGAAGCAGTCAACAAAAAAAGTGAGAGTTACCAGATTTTAGCCAATGACTGATGCTTACAATGGTAGAAAGCTGGAGTGTGTGACTCAGGAACTAGAATTCCTTTCTAGTTCCCCGACTGTCTTTCAACACAGAGAGATGGCTGAATGCTCTTGTATAAAGGCACCTAAGTCATCCCAGCAAAAGATATCCCATTGTTAGGGCAGGAATATAAATTCTAAACCCCACCAGAGACTTTGCACTGCAGAAGCCCTCTTTTTATCAACAAGATTATAAATCGCAATTGGTTGGTTAATAAAAATAAAATAAAATAAATTGGTGATCCATAAATATGAGACATGTTTTCAACATTTTATTATAACTTGCAATGTCTAAATATGCATTTCATGACCAGATCTTTGATACAGTGTCAAAGGATTTCCTCTGAGTATAAGTCACTGATTATATTCCCATATATAATAGTGAGTTCCATACAAAATTGACAAATTTCAGCCATTTATGATTTTAAAAGATGGGAATTTCATAAAGTTCATTTGGACCTACAGAACAGCAATTTTTTATACCTTGCATCTAATTTAATTTTTGACACCTTGATTTTGTAGTCTTTATACCACAATAAAGTTACTTTTCTTAAAAAAAACTGACCTTAGGTTTTCCTTTAGAGGTTACCTGGTACTTCTGTCTCACAGCTCTTAAGATTCTTTCCCTGTCTTAACTTTGGATAACCTGATGACAATGTGCCCATGCAAAGATGTTTTTGCGGTGAATTTCCCAGGTGTTCTTGGTGCTTCTTGTATTTGGATGAAGAATACAAATAGACAATCTAAGGTCACACCTCAAGGAACTGGAGAAACAAGAACAAACCAAACCCAAATCAAGCAGAAGAAAGGAAATAACCAAGATCAGAAACAAACAAACAAACAAACAAAATACGAACGATAAATGAATCTGCTCCCCAAGGACTTTAACTGTGAATAAAACAACTGATTTTTTAAAAATAAGTACATAACATAAAAATTTACAGGAGAAAAGGTGCACAAGTGTATCAAAGAGGAGTCGGCTTGCAGGAAGCTTGCATGTTCTCTGGGCCATCAACAATATGTTTTACAGACAACACTGATTAATTGACAGTTCAGTTAGGAGATCAGTGAAGAGATCTCTTGCCAGACTTGGTCAATATTATCTCCAGCACTGAAGGAAATTGAGCCTGGGTGGCAAAGGTTTCCGTTTACAATTTATTTGGAGTAGGGAAGCTAAGGATTGGCAGTTTCACATGAATACAAAGGCCAAACAATGGAATCAATTAATTTGAATCTCTCATTCAATGAGTAACATCATCCACATGGTAATCTAGTTCACCAGTGAGGCATGTCCACAGTGTGAGAGGCAAACTCCTAAGTAGCCCGAGGATAGCCTATCTTGTGATGACATGAATCTCACCATAAACTGTGTGAGCAAAGAGTGTTTCCAATTTACTATATCTTTTACCTTTTTATTTTCCTTAGTTTTTCTTCTTATAAGTTAATTGAAAAGTATAAAGCATATATTAAGGTAGAAAACCATTATGATTCAAAAAAGTGAGAAACTTCAGGACACTTAGACATATATATTGTATTCACAAAGAAATGTACATAATTTTCATGATCGATCCAATTAGTTATGTGTGTACTAAGTTTTCTTAGTAAGAAGAAACCTGAGTTACGGCTGAGTTTTGCTATTTCCACAGAGTTCTAGGCCTAGCCCCATCTCCATGCTGTTTGAATAGATGGCACAACCCCAACAGAATATCTTGGCTGTCTATCTGAGAGGGCGAGGGGAATCTTAAGGCTGAAACCTCATCTCATGACAGACACTGTGCAATGAACAAATCAGTTCAATATATATTTTGCTGTAGGATCAAAGTTGGAAGTCACTGACTTCAAAATCCTCATATCAGTCCTTTCTGCTTTTGCCAGCAAGCAAATATATCCCTGGAGTCCAGCCCCTCAGGTGTGAGCACATTATAATATAAAAATCTGTCAAAATCTCTAGTTTTCTATATGAAAAAATAAACCCCAGAAGCCAAATAAATATCCCTATAGTGTTACATCATAACTTTGACTTTGGTACAGACTGTAGGCATTACCAGCAGTCTCTATTCCTACCAAATTAAAGTAGGAATCCTAAAGAAACCAGTTCACTTCCATGTATCTTTATTTAGTTGAACAAGACAGCCTACCTAAGCAAAATAATGAGACACATAAGAACTAGCATGTATTTTGAAAAGAAATTCCCCCAGGGTTCAGCTAATTACTATCTTAAAACAACTGCCTATATTCAGATGCCAATCGAAAGATTAAATCAGTGGCTATGACCATATTATTTGCCTCTTAACACTACAGACAATGTGTCTGCGGTTACTGTACTAACAGCAGGGTACCAAGCATCCTGTGGAGCATTCTGTACAGGATGATGCTTTGAGGGAACACAGCTGCTTTCAGGGGGAGAAAAACTGCAGATTTAAATTTCAGAATGTTTTCCTTTGGGTCATTTTGTACTTGTGAGCAGAAAGTTCACTCTCTTATGCTCTCCTTCAACACACACACACACACACACACACACACACACACACACTTCATACTGATGCAATCATTACCAACCATGATGAGTGTGGTTTCTGCAAGTCAGATGTTGTCTTGACTCATGACTAATTTAAATAACTGAAATAAATCCAGACAACCACTTTACACTATAAAGGGGAAAAAGAAAAAGCTTGTATATGTGTTTCTCCAGCATGCACAAGCAAAGTGTATGTATGGACTATGCACGGACCAGGTGAGAAACTTTTCTACATAGTAATCTTTAATGTTTATTTTACATCAAAATAAGAATAAGACTTTCTCATGTAGATAAAGGGAAGAAGGCATATGAACTGAGTGCATAGAAAGGCAAAAGAGCAATAAACAACTGGGGAACAGCACATCAGCTCCTCCAAAAGGCTATGGCTGTTGGAGCAGCCACATGCATTCTCATTCATCCTATATAATCCACAACATAGACAAGCAGCCCACAGGCACACCTGCACTTGGCATGGATCCTGGAAATGCCCACACCTACCTTTCACCAAAGCCAACCTGTCAGCCACAGCAGTTGAGAACACATTCTCAGAGGGAAGTTTTAAGGATTAAGTAATCTAAAGCACCAAACATTCTAAATATAGGCCATAACAAAATGGGACAGCTTTACCACATTCTGTGTATCCCCATTTGCAGTTCCCCAACAAAACCCTGCTCTGTCGTACCGTGATGCCTTTCTGCATCCCATTCCCACTGGGGGAGTGTTCCTCTTCATGCTTCTACCCAGACAGGTCCTGTCTTCCTTGTGTTACCTGCTGTGGTAAAACCATTCTTCGCTACTGCTCTTTAATCCTTGGGCAACCTAGACATACCATTTTTTATATTGCATTGTAATTTCTAATACTAATTTTTAATTTTTCTCTAGTCCTGCCCCCTCCACCCCCCAGATTATGAGGTGTTGAAGGACAGTGATATTTATTCTTTTTCTATCCCTGGTGATTAGTACAGTACCTGGCAGACAACAGATTCCCAGTAGATGTGTGACAGATGAATAATCTCTAGGCTTGTGTTGGTTGTTCTTTGTTTCTTTTTCTCTTATTGTGATTTCGGTAAACAAGTTTCTTACTTTATGAGGATGATATTTATTGATATATAAAACTTCATCTCCTTCTATTTCTGCTCCAACAAGGGTTGATTTGTGAGTGACCAGGTTCACTTCTCTGATGCACAGCTGGCAGAAACCTCTGAAATTCACCCCCCATCCCCCAACAAGGAGTGCCCTTGGAATCACTTTTTTGTACAGAATCAAATTTTGCTCTCACTTCTAATTCTTACCATCCATCTTGATGATGGGAGGGATTTGTAACCTTAATTTCACCATATATTACTTCAGAAAATACATCTCTTGTCTCAATGGTCCTAATATCCTTCCCAAAGAAGCATGAACACACACAAACACACACATACACACACACACACACACACACTCACACACACACACACACACACTCTTGCCCTTTGAGTTATTTAAAGAGTAACCAATATCAATAGCAATTCAGTCCCAGAACACAAGTTTGGCTTCATAAATTAGTCTCATAGTGACAAGGAGTCTTTTCCCTCTCAGGTGAGAAACCTGTTCCTTATAGCAAGAAAAGAAGTCCAGGGATTGTTTTCTTTATATTATATATTTTCCTGGCAGTTTTAAATATATTCCTTCTTTTAACTTTATAACACGTGCATTATTTTATCTTCATTCATCCACTTCACAATTTAATTTTAACAAATAACTAATAGAAAGAAACCGTGATTAAAAGGAATTCTAAACCAACTACCTGACCTACTGGCCTTCATTCATGTTTTCACAAGCACCACATTTACACTTGTTTTAAAATGTTCCAGCAATCTTAGTTCTAACTTTGACTATAATATATTACTATACTCACTTAGAGTGAACCTCCCTATCCAAATTAAATCTTCTTCTGAGTTTTGCAAAATCAGTAGTAAGATCTCACATAAAAGGCTTGCCAGAAAAATTCTCAGAATGTCTGGTGCTGAAGTTTGGAAACTGAAGAACACTGTACCCAACAAAAGGTAGGAAGGCAGAGCGAGAACCCAATGGCAGTGTAACAGGCAGAATAGAATCATGGTTCAGAGCACAGATCCCTAGAGCCAGACTGCCGAGATCCAAATTCTACAACTGCAGGCAAGTTACTTAACACTCAGGTTCCTTATCTATAAAATGGTCATAACAATATTACGTACTTCATATGGTTGTTTGTGAGGATTAAATGAGAGTACACATGCTTAAAATGTTTGGACTGGTAACAAGGTAAGCACTAAGTATTTACTATTAAAAATATTATTATTATCAATAATATTCTCACCAAATGTATCAAGCCTCTGAGTTAAAAATCATTTTAACTGAAATGCATTAGTTTACATTTCTGTGGTTGATGGCATCCCTGAAGAGTCAATTAATCAAAAGCAGGACATGTAGCTTGCTTTATCTTTAAGGCAAGCTGCCACGGGTTTTAAATTTAAAGGAAAAACAATCATGGATAGATGCATATCTAAAATAAACTTATCCTTCTTAGTTTCATAATTCTTAAATTACAGCTAGTCTATCTAACAAATACATATTATATGTCTGCTATTATATTAAGAGGTGTAGATAAAAAGAAATGCAGTATAATACATGATTACTTTTCTCAAAAAATTTTGGAGAAAACAGCTTATAGGCAAGAACTGGTACAATGCAAATTCTGAAGAAAGATCTGGAGGGAAAGACTCTAAGGATAATAGAATGGGCCTGAATTCATCTTTGAAAGGTAGAGAAAGTTTAAGTCAGAAAAGAAAAGGAGGAGGCCTCCCAGGCAGAGTGGATAGTTTAGGCAATAAGTAAGCATGCTGGGAGACATTCTCATTGGTTAGGAATGAGCGACCCAGTTAAATGAGACATTGAAGGGACTGGCGGTGTGAGTGCACACCCAGGCCCTGGGACTGAGGTTAGATTTTATGTGCCTCCATGTTTCTCTTCAAATTGGAAATGTGTTTTCACTGTATATGAAAGGGAAGGAGATGCTTTGATAGATGGCACTCTTAAAGAGATGTCAAGGCTTCATGGATCAACCTCAAATACCATCCAGTTCTCTTGATACCTTGTGCCCTGGTTTCTTTTCTTCCTTGATGTTAAATCACTATGGAAATTTGCATGAGAAGGGGATCTTTGTTTCTCAGAGTTCATCTGCTCCAGTAGCCATTTACTCCTCACTTCATTGTCACTCATCTCCTCAGCAAAGAGAGGGTGAGGACTCCAAGGAGAGAATAGCGGCAGGAGCAGACAAGCTCCTGAGGACCAGAGACTTTGTTGTCATGTAAATCAGCACAGAAATAAAAGGGAAGAGATGTACAGAGAATAGGCTTTAGAAGCAAATAAATAAAATGATTTCCATGGGGGCAACAGTAGCTCTTTAATATTTATCAGTGCCACTGAGTTCTTTTTGCAACAGTAATTCATCATCATAAAGCCCATTTCCACATAGCTTGTTGGGTATTGCAATCACAGTGAGGGTACTCCCGTAAGAAAACATTACTAATGGCTATCTTGGTTTCAAAATGCTAGACTCATGCTAATGGAGAAGATGACCAAAACAAAAGAGAATAGATGCAAACAGAAACATCACATTTTCACCAGGGAAACTTAAGTTGAGCTGTGGATCATAGGACTTTGAATCTTTAAAATGGAAACTTACTATCACACTAACCCTATACGTCATTGACTTATGGGAGTCCAAACACATATGGACAAAATGGTAAAGAATGAAATCTGATCCATTTTACCGGAATTCTTTTTGTAAAACATGAATTTCATTATATTGAAATGGGCAGCAAGGAAAAATACGTAACAGACTGTGAGAAAACGTTTGCTTATCTGTTTTCAAAGTGTTTAATGTGTTATGGTTGAGAAAAAAGAGTCTTAAAAAGTTGTTGTCAGCAGCAACTCATTTGACTGACAGATTCCTTAGCAAAAGCTAAAGGAGTGAGTAACCCTGGAAGCAATTCATGCATGCATGCAGCATCAGTTTTAAGGGAGCCCTGGGTAAATTTCACCCGATGAACTTCTTCTAGTGGTAAACAACTTCACCATTGTATAGTAAAAGAAACACTAAGGGAACCTTGAAACTACTGAGGCATCAAAGGAAGCTGAGCGGACAAGAGTGGAAGCTTGAAATTTATCCTGTGTAAGCCACCCTTTGCTTCAGAATCCAGCTCAACTTCCCCTGAGATAGACTCTAGACAATATGTAAAACAAAGGCCATTCTTACCTTTAGAGGCAGTGAAAAAGCAACGAGAGGAAATAAAAAACAAAGAGAGGTTTTTGTATTCTGTTATTTTGATTTGGGAGCTCCCTTACCCCCAGCCCCCAACCATTGTCCATCCTTGCACAGTGCCTGATGGCGTTCATTAGGGAGATATAGCTTAAAATGGGTGTGCCCTAACCAGTTGTCTCCCAGGGTAACCTTGAAGGCAAAGAACATAACTTAAGGAGGCATCTGTCAAGGAATTCTCAGCTACTGTAAATTTAAGCTGTGAGAGCCCAACAATTAGAGAATTGTAATTAAGAAAAAGTAGAGCAATGTCAGATTCATAAAGAACCTAGAATAATTTCTATATTACCTTGCTTTATACAGTTTCTTCCATTATTAGTTTAGACCTCATAATAAAAACGCAGTCACACATCTTTGTGCCACAATTCCAAAGGAACTATCTTCAAATTTGTTTCTTTCCCATGTTCTCTCGCTCAAGAATTGTTACCTTCATCAGCCCCTTCACCCACGCCAGAAACCCTGGGAATCATCCCTGAGTCTTTCCTCACACCCAATCAGTTGCCAAATCTTGCTCATCCTACTGCCTTACAATCTCTTTTATAATTTCCACACACACACGGCTTCTACCCTAGTTAAGGCCCTTAGAACTCACCTACACCTAGTTAAGGCCCTAAAAGACTCACTCACTTATCTTTTACTCTCCAAATTTAATCTTAGCTAATAAACCTTTTGTATTGCTGACAAGGTACTTGTTTGAAAATTCTTACAGTTGCTCCTGCCTATCTGTGGTACAAAATGCAAAATCTTCATGATCTGGTCATTATTTGACCGTCCATCCTCATATCTTACCCCTACACATAGCTCCTCTGTGCAGTAGTGATTCTTTTTGAACTTGGCTTATTCTCTCCTGCTTCCCTGCACTTGCACAACTGGTCCTCTGTCCTCTCCGTGGCCCACGCTATGTGCCCTTCAAGTCTCAGGTGAACCATGTTCTCTATGACACAGTCAGGACTCCCTCTTTAATCATCTCATAGTACCTCTGTGTTCAGCACTTCACATTGCCAAAATCAGAAACTCACTCAGGCTACAGATAAGTGCGTGTTTGTTGTAAGGATAGGAGTACAAGTGAGGAAGAGCGGCCCCAGACAAGTATCAGAATATACCCCCAGCCAGGCACCAGGAAAATGGAGCATGGTTCAGGAAATAGAATAGCATTCAGGACCCCAGGCAGCTTTTGTGGTTTATCTCACCACTCTCCTCAGAAAAGAGAATATGTAAAGCCCTTTTCTCAGGCCCTGTCATTGTTACCCCACAACATCTTCCAGCTTCTGTTCCAATTATCAACTGTCTGACTTCCTCTATATGTTGAATTCAAACCGTTTAGAAGAGATTTTACCAAGGCAATGACGTACCATGAATCTCTATTGAGGTGTTCTTTCCTACCACCACACCCCACAGGACACTGGCTTGTAGCTGTGCTATGTGTTGGCATATCAAGCCAGCTGTGGCCAGAGCAATTCCACTGGGCAGCAGCATGGTAATCTATGGTTAACAAATGCCATAAAGGGACTATCGGGTGTCAGCATTCTGAGATTTGGCATAACCGATAAAAATTTCATTGTGTATAACTGACAAAGAAATTCTCACACTGTATTATATTTGCTTACATGATCACATGACTATCTTTTTAAAAGTCTGTGAGCATTTTGTGAAAAATTTTATCCCTCAAGCTCTAGATCTACTATGTAAGTATATAGTAGGTATGCAATAAATATTTGCTAAATAAATGAATGAATGGATGGATGGATGTATTAAGAGTACACACGTATATGTTAAATAATTTTATTTTGGCATCAAAGAGTTTATTACTAAAGGTGTTCTAAGTATCTTACTTTTATATCCCATTTAGCTGAAACACCTTATCTAAATCTGTACTGTAAGTCTCCTGGAGAACTATGGAGTGGAAACTCCCTCAAACCATAAACACAGAAACCCTAAGCCCAGAAATGGTCGTTCTAGTATGTTAAAAGATTATGAAATCATAGAATATCAGGGCTGAAGGGGACCTGAGGACCATTTTCCTAACCCTCTGTCCATCAGGATACACACAATAGGCAATATTTACGTGAGTAACAGTTGAGGTGGTCTAACACACTTCTCCATCGGTAAAGGGGACCATGAGCTCTGCTCAGTTACATGCACCATGCACTTTAACTTCTTCCTTTCCCAGAGATGCATTTCAATTGAGATATTTGATAACATGTTTAGATGAGGAAACCTAAGCCTATAGAAGATAAGTTGCTTGTTCAAGGTCACACAGCTCCCTAATTAAAAAGCCAGATTCTAGGCCTCCTTCTCAGTCCAATGTTCTTTTCTAGTTCTCTGTTTGGCATTTCTCAGTAAATGAATAATTTAACCTAAAAGTTCACTTTAACCATTTTGCTACCAGAGGCAAGAATGAACATAAGGCCCATAAATGGAGAATTGAGCAAACCGTATTTAAGGGAAAAGATCCACGTGCAGATAATGTGGTAAAGGAGAAGGCAAGAGCAGGGACACAGGAAAAACTACAACTCTAAGAAATGCTTCTGTAACACAGTGAACTGGTCATTCAGTAAATTGGTTCTTAGGTAAATTAATTTTCCGCAAATTGGCCTTGGCATATTGCAACTGGCATTTAAATACATAGCTCCATGAACACATATAGTTGTGAGCTAACTCAGAAGTCTCATGTAAGCCATTATCCCTTCATATAATCTGTTCATATAGAGTACAATAATTGTTCTTTCTCAGCCTAGTTAATGTTTGGTTGTTTCGTAATTTTTAAAAATACCAGATACTTAATTAATTTAAGCTCATTGTTTTCCAGTCTTTTAAGTTACAAATTAGCAAGTTTCTGCTATGCATACATTTAGCATATCTGTGGTAATTGAGAACAGAATTTGGAGGCTTACTAACAGCAACCACATGAAGGAGAATATGAAATGCTGATTACCCTCAGGGATTGCAACAAGATTCTGTTGGTGTATGAATTGCCTGGCATTTAAACTAAGAGCTGATGAAGATCAACATCAAAAGAAAATTTACATTAAATGCTAAGGATTATATGTTTTCAGGGTCCAGAGTAAGAGAACAAGGAAATGCACTGAAAAATAAAAATAGTCAAGGTATTGGCCTACATTCCCTTTAAAATGCATATTATATTTTTCACTAATATTAGTTATTACTTTCTTAAGTCACCAAGCTAAAAGCCAAATTTATACCACGTATCACTTTGTGAGTATGCATAGATATTAAGTAGAAATATACATGATTGAAAATAAAATAATTAAATCATCAAGACATTTTTTTAAAAAAAAAGAAACTCTTGACCGTCTCCCAAACACTCTTACTTGCAAAGTTTTAAGAAATTTAGTCCTACCCAATCTCCCCCCTTGATTCTCCTGGAGATCAAATAGGATGGAAGGTAGAGAAGAAGATTGAGTAAAAACTAGCCTGGGCATTTTCACTATTTCAGCTTCATTCTTTCACTTCAGGTTATCACTCCAAATTCTCTGATATTTGTTTTTGTTTTTTCTTTCCCTTGTAAAATCGTCATTTCCACGAACCAGTTTCCATTTTTCTTCTCCTAACCTACTGACTTATTTGCCTCTCAAAACAATCCAGAGTAATTTCTTCACACTAAAAAACCCCAAGGATACTGGGCCTCACCCACACCCCTCCACAGGCTGGAGGTAGGATTTTCTTGACTTCAATTGAGACTATCACATGATTTCTGGATCCAGAATCTGACTTCTCAGAGTGGCCAGTTATACTTCGCCCCTCGAGACAAAATGATCCAGGAAGCATGACTACTCGTACTACAATTTCCAGATAAAATTCAAGTTTCCCATTAAATGTGAATTTCAGATATACAATGAATAACTTTTAAGCATAAGTATATCCCATGCAATATTTTTTATATATTTTAACTATTTATTTATCTGTAATTCAAATTTAACTGAGAAACTTATATTTTTATTTGATAAATCTGTCATTCCTAACTTGTACCTCTCCCTCCTTTTGAAAACTTTCATTTCATTTTCTCTAGAGTTTAATCCTTCTGAAGTAATAGTTTAGTCTTAATAATGTTCCTTATTGTTTCAAGTTTCTTTGCAGGAGTTCCTATGCTGATACAAATGTATATGCACAAGTACATATGGGCATGTACCTGTACTCAGAAAAGTTTAATGTCAATAATGACAATAACAAAAGGCTGAAGAATAAAACTTCCAGCCTTCCCCTGAGGATCTTCTGATACTTTTCAATGTCATCCAACATAAATTCTTCAAAAATGGCCAAAATTGAAAAATTTTTGAAAAATTTATGTTGGATGACATGGAAATTTTCAATTTTTGAAATTTTCAATTTCAAAAATTGAAATTATGCCACCACAGCTCTTGAGAAGGTGGAGCTAAGGAGAAGGCCTTCTTTGGCAAAGCTTACTGTACAATCTGAATTGGTAGCTAGATCCAAACATACATTGTCATCTACTGAATAGAAATCACCCAGATTTTGAATTGGCATAAAAGATTCCCAAACTAAATACTCTGTTATAAATATTTTGACCTGTCTAAAACTATACATTTTGTCAACACTAAGGGTAAGAAAGAAGAGAAGCCAATAATTCCTGTCTCTCTCAATAATTTTTATTTTTTACTTATGCTTTCTCCATTTGCACTGAAGCTAAAAGAACAGAGAAAAACCAGAAAGAAAATGCTGTGTTATACACACACACACCCCCATCATTTCAGCTTTATATACTTATATGCATATATATACATATATAATTTTTATATTTATATTTACATATGTATGTGTGTATATACATATATAATATGTATATAGGAAAGTATACATTGAAACGTAAGTTCATTTAAAATAATCAGTAAACCCTTGGTTCTCTTAGTGAATATCTGGATGGAAATTATTTCTTCAAAAAATTGTATTTATCAGTCATCCTGATGACATGTCCTGAAAGCCAGAAGCCAAAATGGCCTAGAAAGAATGCCTGAATTATTCTGTTTTTCCTCTGTAGATCCAGGATGCTCTGAGATGATGGCTCCTGTAATCAGAGCTGTATCCATTGTTCAATTTCCCAAAGCCAGAATTGTGGGAAAGTTATGTGAGAAAAGAAAATAAGGTGATTGTCTTTTCTCTTTTCTCCTAAGGAAAACTAAAATACCAAAGTGCCTAATGTGTAAAGAAGACACACTTGCACTATGTCACAGATAGTGATGTCCTTTAAGATTCCAGGACTTGGATTTCTTAGATTTAAATTATTATGTCACCAAGATGGCAGAATAGAAGGTCATGCATTCACATCCCTCTACCACAACAATAATTCTGTACCAAATCACAGTTAAAACTCTTCCTGCAGAAGCCTCAGGATTCAGGTAGGAATTTGTGAAACCCCAGTGGAGTCAAAGACCTAGGTAACACCCAAGTGGCTGATCTGCTCCACTGAGCTTGCTTTTGGGTGCAAGCCCAGAAACAGCTCAGTCCCTCAAGGGGTTTGGCTACAGCCCCATTTGGCCATGAGCCTACAACCAAAACCAGCTGCCAAGGGGTCCAGAAGAAATAGCACACACTAGTGCATTGTTAGAAAGGCTCTCTGCCCACTGACATTGGTCTTGGCAATGGACCTGAAAATTGCCCTGTGGTGATGCTCCAGCTTTTCTCTGCTGTGGTCTCAGCTCAGAGCTGCTCACACGAGGATTCAGAGGGAAATTTGCCCCATCTCTCCCAGCTCAAGAGACTAAGCTTCCCACTTGGGCTCACCAACCTTCATCCCACAGAAGATCCTGTAGGGGTCCAGTCTCAGCTCTGACCCCTATTGCTGCAATTCGGCACTATTACATCTGTGCAGAAACCTGCTGGCAGATGTGTAATAGTCTGTGCAAAAGAGATGAATAAGCTCTCCAGGCTTCACCCCACAGCAGATCCCAGGTGGAGACAGTCTTAGCTCTGGCCTCTCTCACTGCAGATAAAGAATTACCCTATTTGCAAAGACATGCTGGGACATGCATACCTGTCTAGGCCAATAAGATGGACATTCCAGTCTCTAATCCATAGCAGATCCAGACGGAACCCACTCTCAACTCCAGAACCCAGGCTCTGGGAGGCATGCTCACGAGGGACACCAAGATAGTCTTCTGGACTCGGGACCCCAGCTAGTGTTCCCACACAGCTCCAGTAGCTTCCTTGAGTCTTCCCCAGGCCTATCTGGGCTGAAAAGCTGCATCAATCTCAGAGGCCTAGTGAGACTTGCAGGAAGTTTGGACACTTGAAGCCTCCTCCAGTGCTGAGGTAGGTGAAATGGTCACAAGCTCAAGGAATACAACAGTCAGCCAGCATAGAATCCCTGGAAGGACCTCTGAAGAACAGGCACAAGCAAAGCCAGACTGTGAAGACTGAAATAAATACCTAATCCTTCAGTAAGCAGATGTTGTCACACTTCCTTAAGCATCATTTGGTGAGGTCATATTCCCCTCACCAAACAGACAAAATAAAGTACCAGAGACTGACCCTAAAGTGATGGAGACGTGTGATCTCTCAGACAATGAATTTAAAATAGTTGTTTTAAGGATGATCAATGAATTTCAGGAAAACACAGAGAAGCAATTTACAAATTCATCAAAGAAAATTAACAGAGAGATTAAGACAATTTAAAAATCAGATAGAAATTCTGGAGCTGAAAAATACAATGAATAAAATGAAAAATGAAATGAGCATCATCAACAGCAGAATTGATCAAACAGAAAAATGAATCAGTGAGCTTGAAAACAGATTATTTGAAAATACAATATCAGAGGACAAAAAAGAATGAAAAAGAGTGAACAAAGCTTATGGGATCTATGGGACAAGAACAAAAAAGCAAATATTCAGGTTATTAGAGTTAAAAAGGAAAGTGAAAAAGACAAAAGGGTAGGAAATTTACTCAAAGAAACAGTAACAAAACTTTTCAAATCTGGAGAAAGATATAAATATCCAGGTATAGGAAGGTCAAAGGTCACCAAACTCATTCAACCCATAAAAGAATACCTTAAGTTATATTATAATCAAACTCTCAAAGGTCAAAGACAAAAGATAGATACTGTAAGTAGTGAGAGGAAAGAACCAAATAACATATAAAGGAGATCCAAAATGCCTGGCAGCAAACTTCTCAGCAGAAACCTTAGAAATCAGGAAGCAGTGGAATGATATATTCAGAGTTCTAAAGGTTAAAAAAAGTTGTCAACCAATAATTCTGTACCCCAAACAGCTATCCTTCAGAAAGGAAGGAGAGATTAACACTTTCCCATACAAATAAAAGCTGGGAGAGTTTATCACTATCGACCTGTTATACAAGAAATTCTAAAGGAAGTATTTCCAACTGGAAGAAAAGAACACATATGTGATTGTTGTATTTATAGTGTAATTACAATGTCTAATTGATTTACATCATTAGTAAGAAGACTAAAAGACAAAATGTTAGAAATAATAGTTAACTAAGAAAATTTGTTAAGAGATAGGCAATATAAAAATATAAATTGTGACATCAAAAATCCAAAATGTGTGAGAAGAAGGAAGTTAATGCTTTTGGGGGCTTTGTTTCTTTCTTTCTCACTTCGATGATCGAAACAAGTTGGTCATTTTTAAATACTTATTACAATGTTAGGATGTGTTTTGTAAGCGTCATAGTAACCACATAGCAAAAATTTATAACAGGTACACTAAACATAAAAAGCAATGAATTTGGGGGAAGTTTTTTTTTCTTTTTCATTTCTATGATTAAAATAAGTTGGTCACTTTTAAATACTTGTTATAACTGTAGGATTTTTTTGTAAACCTCATGGTAACCACAGAGCAAAAATTTATAATAGATACACTAAACATAAAAAGCAATGAATTAAAGCATACCATCAGAGAAAAACCACATAACCAGAAAGGATGAAAGAAAGGAAGAGAGGGGTTACACAATGGCTAGAAAACAAATAACAAAATGGCAATAGTAAGGCATTGCCTATCAATAATTGAACATAAATGAACTAAATTCTCCAATTAAAAAACATAGAAGGGTAGAACATATTAAAAAAACTATATGCTACCTACAAGAAATTCACTTTGTCTATAAAGACATGCACAACCTGAAAGTAAAGAAATGTAAAAAGAAACTCCATACCAATGAAAACCAAAAAAGAACAAGAGTAGCTATACTTATATCAGATACAATAGACTTTAATAAAAACTGTAAAAAGAGACAAATATGGTCATTATATAATAACAAAGAAATCAATTCATCAAGAGAATATAACAATTATATCTATGCACCCAACACTGGAGTACCCAAGTATATAAAGCAAACATTAATAGATCTAAAGGGAGAGAAAGACTGTAATACAATGATAGTAGGAGATATCAACATTGCACTTTGAGCAATGGACAGACCATCCAGACAGAAAACTAACAAAGAAACATTGTAGTTAAACTATACTCTAAATCAAATGGACCTAACAAATATTTACAGAACATTTCATTAACTGCTGAAAAATACACATTTTTCTCATCAGCACATGGCACATTCTCCAGGATAGACCATATGTTAGGACACAAAACAAATCTCAACAAATTCAAAAACAGTGAAATCATATCAAGTATGTTTTATGACTATAAAGGCCAAAACTAGAAATCAATAACCAGAGGGACACTGGAAACCGTACAAACACATGGAAATTAGACAACATGCTTCTAAACAACCAATGGATCAATGAATAAACTAAGGAAAAAGAGTTTAATCTTTTGGAACAAATGAAAATGGAAGCACAATATAATAAAGCAACTTAATTTCCCAAACATATGTAATACAGCAAAAGCAGTACTAAGAGAGAAGCTAATAGCCACAAATGCCTACATTAAAAAAATAGAAAGACTCCAAATAAACAACCTAATGATGTGCCACAAGAAACTAGAAAAGCAGGAACAAGCTAATGCCAAAATTAGTAAAATAAATAAATAATAAAGATCAGAGCATAAATAAATAAAATTGTGACTATAAAAAATATGAAAGGCTGGGTGGGGTGGCTAATGCCTGTAATCCCAGCACTTTGGGAGGCCAAGGCAGGCAGATCACTTAAGATCAGAAGTTCAAGACCAGCCTGGACAACATGATGAAACCCTGTCTCTACTAAAAATACAAAACTAGCCAGGCATGGTGGCGTGTGCCTGTAATCCCAGCTACTTGGGTGGCTGAGGTAGGAGAACTGCTTGAACCTGGGCGGCAGAGGCTGCAGTGAGCTGAGATCGTGCCACTGCACTCCAGCCTGGGCAACAGAGTGAGGCTCTGTTGCAAAAAAAAGAAGAAGAATACAAAAGATCAACAAACAGAAAGTTGGCTTTTGAAAGGATAAACAAAATCAATAAACATTTAGCTAGTATAAATACAAATAAAAGATAGAAGACCCAAATAAATAAAATCAGAAATGGAAAAAGAAACATTATAACTGATACTACAGAAATACAAAGGATCATTAAAACCATTATGAACAATGATATGTTAACAAATTAGAAAACCTAGAAGAAATCGGTAAATTCCTAGACACACACAACCTACCAAGATAGAATCATGAATAAATAAAAAGCAATAACAAATAATGAGATTAAAGCAGTAGGAAAAATTCTCTCATCAAAGAAAACCCCAGGACCTGATCTAGTCACTTCTGAATTCTACAAAACATTTAAGGAATTAATAACAATTCTACTCCAAATATTTCAAAAAACTGAAGAAGAGGGAATGCTTGTTAACTTTTTCTATGAGGCCAACATTACCGTGATCTCCAAACCAAAACAACACAACAACAAAAACAACAAGCCAATATCGCTGATGAAATACATATAAAAATCCTCAACAAAATACTAGCAAACCAAATTTAACAACACATTAAAAAGATCATTTGCCATTGTAAGTGAGATTTATTCCAGGGATGCAAGGATGGTTCAGCATGAACAAACCAGTAAATGATATATCACATCAACAGAATAAAGGATTAAAACCATATGATCATTTCCTTAGATGCTGAAAAACATTCAATAAAACTCAATATCCTTCATGATATAAAACCCTTAAAAAATTGGGTATAGAAGGAACATACTTCAACTTAATTACAACTATATAAAAAAGCCCACAGCTAACATGCTGAATGGGGGAAAATTGAAAGCCTTTCCACTAAGATCTGGAACAAGACAAAGATCCACTCTCACTTTTATTCAACGTAGTTCTGGAAGTCCTAGGTAGAACAATTAGGCAAGAGAAAGAAATAAAAGGCATCCAAACTGGAAAGGAAGAAATCAAATTATCCTTGTTTGCAGATGACATTATCTTACACTTTGAAAAACCTGAAGACTCTGCCAAAAAACTCTTAAGACTGATAAACAAATTTAGTAAAGTTGCAGGATGCAAAATCAACATAGATTTAATTGAATTCACCTCATGCAAGTACTGACTTAGGAGAACACTATTCATATGTACAGAATATAAATTCTGGGCCACAAATTCAAGCACGTGAGAAATAATCAAGACTTCTATACAGTCACTTAATTTCCATTTCAAGCTGTCATCCCCATAAACCAGTAGGAAACTTGGGCTCAGGCATAAGGAGTTCCCCCACTTCATACCAAAGTTCAGGAATACTATTAGCAGCACCAAGGTGTTGGGAGCTCTGGTTACCTGTACAGTTGATTCTTGAACACCATTGGATTGAATTGTATGGTTCTACTTATACATGGATTTTTTTCAACCAAACACAGATCAAATATACAGTATTCATCGGATGTAAAACCCACATATATGGTGGGCTCTTTGAATATGCAGGTTCCACAAGGCCAACTTCAGGTCTTGAGTATGCATGGATTTTGGTATATTCAGGGGTCCTGGAACCAATCCCCATGTGTACCAAAAGACAACTGCAGAACCTATTAAACAACAGGAAGTGTTTAGTGGGTCTGCACACAGGTTACCACTGAGATGTCTAGTAACTCTTTTACCCTAACCTCTCCAGGTCCAGAAGCCGTCTAATGATTTCTGCCATGCATAAAACACTTTTACAAGGTTGCTTTTTAGTTTTGCCAGTCTAGATGTCCCGTGAAGCCACTACTCAAAGTTGCAAATGTAAGAAGCCATGTTTGCTCATTTCTGCTTGCCAACACAATTTCATAAAGCCCCTGACTCTATGACAATATGCCACTCTCCAGAAAGATGCTCTGAAGACAAAATAGAGCACACAGCCCCCAGTGTCTCTTGCCTTAGGTGCTATGTTTCTTAAAAGATAAACGACCTCGGTTTTTGCCTTTTCCTGCATATAAGATAATGTCTGATGGGGTTAGTGACTATGCTTCTGTAATCCATAACCACCTGTACTCTTAGACAGAACCTTGATCTGGTTCTGCTTTAATGTAACTTCAGAGAGAGTTTGATGCACCCATTACCCCCTACCTGTACATAAGCAGTGGGTTCAAATACTGTACCTGAGCAGTCTAATAGAACCTCTCTAAAGGGCTGCTCCTGGGACACAAGCCTTGGTCTGTAGTCCTCAGTAAGAATTCTGAATAAAACTAACTTGAATTCTTAATAAAGGCTTGATTTTTTTTTTTTAGTAAACATATTTAGTCAGTATGCTGCCAATAATCAGGGCCAGGTCCTGTGTGCTCTTGGGGCCATATGACCCACCCCTTCCACCTCTCTGAGGAAACATTAAAGATATGTCCAAGGGAAATCCTTTCCATCTCATGATTCTTTGAAATAATTACTTTATAGCCAGTAACTTCCATCTTTTAAGCCCTTAAGACTTGCAGACTATTTCTATTTTCTCTCCTGCAAAAGGCCTCCCTGAGGTTAGGCATTATACAACCACTATCTACTAGAAGGAATAGGTAATTTGATGAAGGGAGAAAATGCAGAGGAAAAACACTCACAGACTAATATCCCAGAATCAGATAACTACACCCAAGCTCAGTTAAGAATTCCTAGTTTTAAAAGAGACCAAACAACCTATTAATGGTCTACAATCAAGGTTTTAGTTTCCATATCTTCTTAAAAGGTATAACCTCAATACAGTCTACAGTAGTTTTCACTAATCCACAGGGGATATGTTCCAAGACTGAAACCAATAGTACCAAACCCTCTATATACTATATTTTTATCCCATATATATGTACCTATGATAAAGTTTGATTTATAAATTATGTACAGAAAAAGATTAACAATAATAATAAAATAATTATAACAATATATCGGCATGACTGCCTTTGCACTTTGGGGCCATTATTAAGTGAAATAAGGGCTACTTGAACACAAATATTGTGATACCGTGACAGTCAATCTCATAACTGAGACAGATACTAACGGTCTAATGGGCAATAGCGCATACAGTGTGGATGTACTAGACAAAGGGATGATTTCACACACCAGGTAGGATAGAGCAGGACTGCAGGAGATTGCGTTATACTACTCAGAAAGGAGTGCAATTTAAATCTTATGAATTGTTTATTTTTGGAATTTTTCTTTTTTTTTCTTTTTTTTTATTATTATACTTTAAGTTTTAGGGTACATGTGCACATTGTGCAGGTTAGTTACATATGTATACATTTGCCATGCTGGTGTGCTGCACCCACTAACTCGTCATCTAGCATTAGGTATATCTCCTAATGCTATCCCTCCCCCGTCCCCCCACCCCACAACAGTCCCCAGAGTGTGATGTTCCCCTTCCTGTGTCCATGTGATCTCATTGTTCAATTCCCACCTATGAGTGAGAATATGTGGTGTTTGGTTTTTTGTTCTTGCGATAGTTTACTGAGAATGATGATTTCCAATTTCATCCATGTCCCTACAAAGGACATGAACTCATCCTTTTTTATGGCTGCATAATATTCCATGGTGTATATGTGCCACATTTTCTTAATCCAGTCTATCATTGTTGGACATTTGGGTTGGTTCCAAGTCTTTCCTATTGTGAATAATGCCGCAATAAACATACGTGTGCATGTGTCTTTATAGCAGCATGATTTATAGTCCTTTGGGTATATACCCAGTAATGGGATGGCTGGGTCAAATGGTATTTCTAGTTCTAGATCCCTAAGGAATCGCCACACTGACTTCCACAATGGTTGAACTAGTTTACAGTCCCACCAACAGTGTCAAAGTGTTCCTATTTCTCCACATCCTCTCCAGCACCTGTTGTTTCCTGACTTTTTAATGATTGCCATTCTAACTGGGGTGAGATGGTATCTCATTGTGGTTTTGATTTGCATTTCTCTGATGGCCAGTGATGATGAGCATTTTTTCATGTGTTTTTTGGCTGCATAAATGTCTTCTTTTGAGAAGTGTCTGTTCATGTCCTTCGCCCACTTTTTGAAGGGGTTGTTTGTTTTTTTCTTGTAAATTTGTTTGAGTTCATTGTAGATTCTGGATATTAGCCCTTTGTCAGATGAGTAGGTTGCGAAAATTTTCTCCAATTTTGTAGGTTGCCTGTTCACTCTGATGGTAGTTTCTTTTGCTGTGCAGAAGCTCTTTAGTTTATTTAGATCCCATTTGTCAATTTTGTCTTTTGTTGCCATTGCTTTTGGTGTTTTAGACACGCCCACGTGCTTTTGGTGTTTTAGACATTGCCCACGCCTATGTCCTGAATGGTAATGCCTAGGTTTTCTTCTAGGGTTTTTATGGTTTTAGGTCTAAGGTTTAAGGCTTTAATCCATCCTGAATTGATTTTTGTATAAGGTGTAAGGAAGGGATCCAGTTTCAGCTTTCTACATATGGCTAGCCAGTTTTCCCAGCACCATTTATTAAATAGGGAATCCTTTCCCCATTTCTTGTTTTTCTCAGGTTTGTCAAAGATCAGATAGTTGAAGATATGCGGCGTTATTTCTGAGAGCTCTGTTCTGTTCCATTGATGTATATCTCTGTTTTGGTACCAGTACCATGCTGTTTTGGTTACTGTAGCCTTGTAATATAGTTTGAAGTCAGGTAGTGTGATGCCTCCAGCTTTGTTCTTTTGGCTTAGGATTGACTTGGCGATGCGGGCTCTTTTTTGGTTCCATATGAACTTTAAAGTAGTTTTTTCCAATTCTGTGAAGAAAGGCATTGGTAGCTTGATGGGGATGGCATTGAATCTGTAAATTACCTTGGGCAGTATGGCCATTTTCACGATATTGATTCTTCCTACCCATGAGCATGGAATGTTCTTCCATTTGTTTGTATCCTCTTTTATTTCATTGAGCGGCAGTTTGTAGTTCTCCTTGAAGAGGTCCTTCACATCCCTTGTAAGTTGGATTCCTAGGTATTTTATTCTCTTTGAAGCAATTGTGAATGGGAGTTCACTCATGATTTGGCTCTCTGTTTGTCTGTTGTTGGTGTATAGGAATGCTTGTGATTTTTGCACATTGATTTTGTATCCTGAGACTTTGCTGAAGTCGCTTATCAGCTTAAGGAGATTTTGGGCTGAGACAATGGGGTTTTCTAGATATACAATCATGTCATCTGCAAACAGGGACAATTTGACTTCCTCTTTTCCTAATTGAATACCCTTTATTTCCTTCTCCTGCCTGATTGCCCTGGCCAGAACTTCCAACACTATGTTGAATAGGAGTGGTGAGAGAGGGCATCCCTGTCTTGTGCCAGTTTTCAAAGGGAATGCTTCCAGTTTTTGCCCATTCAGTATGATATTGGCTGTGGGTTTGTCATAGATAGCTCTTATTATTTTGAAATACGTCCCATCAATACCTAATTTATTGAGAGTTTTTAGCATGAAGGTTGTTGAATTTTGTCAAAGGCCTTTTCTGCATCTATTGAGATAATCATGTGGTTTTTGTCTTTCGTTCTCTTTATATGCTGGATTACATTTATTGATTTGCGTATATTGAACCAGCCTTGCATCCCAGGGATGAAGCCCACTTGATCATGGTGGATAAGCTTTTTGATGTGCTGCTGGATTCGTTTTGCCATTATTTTATTGAGGATTTTTGCATCAATGTTCATCAAGGATATTGGTCTAAAATTCTCCTTTTCGGTTGTGTCTTTGCCTGGCTTTGGTATCAGAATGATGCTGGCCTCATAAAATGAGTTAGGGAGGATTCCCTCTTTTTCTATTGATTGGAATAGTTTCAGAAGGAATGGTACCAGTTCCTCCTTGTACCTCTGGTAGAATTCAGTTGTGAATCCATCTGGTCCTGCACTCTTTTTGGTTGGTAAGCTATTGATTATTGCCACAATTTCAGATCCTGTTATTGGTCTATTCAGAGATTCAACTTCTTCCTGGTTTAGTCTTGGGAGAGTGTATGTGTCAAGTAATTTATCCATTTCTTCTACATTTTCTAGTTTATTTGCGTAGAGGTAGTATTCTCTGATGGTAGTTTGCATTTCTGTGGGATTGGTGGTGATATCCCCTTTATCATTTTTTATTGTGTCTATTTGATTCTTCTCTCTTTTATTCTTTATTAGTCTTGCTAGCAGTCTATCAATTTTGTTGATCCTTTCAAAAAACCAGCTCCTGGATTCATTAATTTTTTGAAGGGTTTTTTGTGTCTCTATTTCCTTCAGTTCTGCTCTGATTTTAGTTATTTCTTGCCTTCTGCTAGCTTTTGAATGTGTTTGCTCTTGCTTTTCTAATTCTTTTAATTGTGATGTTAGGGTGTCAATTTTGGATCTTTCCTGCTTTCTCTTGTGGGCATTTAGTGCTATAAATTTCCCTCTACACACTGCTTTGAATGTGTCCCAGAGATTCTGGTATGTTGTGCCTTTGTTCTTGTTGGTTTCAAAGAACATCTTTATTTCTGCCTTCATTTCGTTGTGTACCCAGTAGTCATTCAGGAGCAGGTTGTTCAGTTTCCATGTAGTTGAGTGGCTTTGAGTGAGATTCTTAATCCTGAGTTCTAGTTTGATTGCACTGTGGTCTGAGAGATAGTTTGTTACAATTTCTGATCTTTTACATTTGCTGAGGAGAGCTTTACTTCCAAGTATGTGGTCAATTTTGGAATAGGTGTGGTGTGGTGCTGAAAAAAATGTATATTCTGTTGATTTGGGGTGGAGAGTTCTGTAGATGTCTATTAGGTCCGCTTGGTGCAGAGCTGAGTTCAATTCCTGGGTATCCTTGTTGACTTTCTGTCTCGTTGATCTGTCTAATGTTGACAGTGGGGTGTTAAAGTCTCCCATTATCAATGTGTGGGAGTCTAAGTCTCTTTGTAGGTCACTCAGGACTTGCTTTATGAATCTGGGTGCTCCTATATTGGGTGCATATATATTTAAGATAGTTAGCGCTTCTTGTTGAATTGATCCCTTTACCATTATGTAATGGCCTTCTTTGTCTCTTTCGATCTTTGTTGGTTTAAAGTCTGTTTTATCAGAGACTAGGATTGCAACCCCTGCCTTTTTTTGTTTTCCATTTGCTTGGTAGATCTTCCTCCATCCTTTTATTTTGAGCCTATGTGTATCTCTGCACGTTAGATGGGTTTCCTGAATACAGCACACTGATGGGTCTTGACTCTTTATCCAATTTGCCAGTCTGTGTCTTTTAATTGGAGCATTCAGTCCATTTACATTTAAAGTTAATAGTGTTATGTGTGAATTTGATCCTGTCATTATGATGTTAGCTGGTTATTTTGCTCGTTAGTTGATGCAGTTTCTTCCTAGTCTCGATGGTCTTTACATTTTGGCATGATTTTGCAGTGGCTGGTACCGGTTGTTCCTTTCCATGTTGAGCGCTTCCTTCAGGAGCTCTTTTAGGGCAGGCCTGGTGGTGACAAAATCTCTCAGCATTTGCTTGTCTGTGAAGTATTTTATTTCTCCTTCACTTATGAAGCTTAGTTTGGCTGGATATGAAATTCTGGGTTGAAAACTCTTTTCTTTAAGAATGTTGAATATTGGCCCCCACTCTCATCTGGCTTGTAGGGTTTCTGCCGAGAGATCCACTGTTAGTCTGATGGGCTTCCCTTTGAGGGTAACCCGACCTTTCTCTCTGGCTGCCCTTAACATTTTTTCCTTCATTTCAACTTTGGTGAATCTGACAATTATGTGTCTTGGAGTTGCTCTTCTCGAGGAGTATCTTTGTGGCGTTCTCTGTATTTCCTGAATCCGAATGTTGGCCTGCCTTGGTACATTGGGGAAGTTCTCCTGGATAATATCCTGCAGAGTGTTTTCCAACTTGGTTCCATTCTCCCCATCACTTTCAGGTACATCAATTAGACGTAGATTTGGTCTTTTCACATAGTCCCATATTTCTTGGAGGCTTTGCTCATTTCTTTTTATTCTTTTTTCTCTAAACTTTCCTTCTTGCTTCATTTCATTCATTTCATCTTCCATTGCTGATGCCCTTTCTTCCAGTTGATCGCATCGGCTCCTGAGGCTTCTGCATTCTTCACGTAGTTCTCGAGCCTTGGCTTTCAGCTCCATCAGCTCCTTTAAGCACTTCTCTGTATTGGTTATTCTAGTTATATATTCTTCTAAATTTTTTTCAAAGTTTTCAACTTCTTTGCCTTTGGTTTGAATGTCCTCCCGTAGCTCAGAGTAATTTGATCGTCTGAAGCCTTCTTCTCTCAGCTCGTCAAAGTCATTCTCCATCCAGCTTTGTTCCGTTGCTGGTGAGGAACTGTGTTCCTTTGGAGGAGGAGAGGCACTCTGCTTTTTAGAGTTTCCAGTTTTTCTGTTCTGTTTTTTCCCCATCTTTGTGGTTTTATCCACTTTTGGTCTTTGATGACGGTGACGTAGAGATGGGTTTTTGGTGTGGATGTCCTTTCTGTTTGTTAGTTTTCCTTCTAACAGACAGGACCCTCAGCTGCAGGTCTGTTGGAATACCCTGCCGTGTGAGTGTCAGTGTGCCCCTGCTGGAGGGTGCCTCCCAGTTAGGCTGCTCGGGGGTCAGGGGTCAGGGACCCACTTGAGGAGGCAGTCTGCCCATTTTCAGATCTCCAGCTGCATACTGGGAGAACCACTGCTCTCTTCAAAGCTGTCAGACAGGGACATTTAAGTCTGCAGAGGTTACTGCTGTCTTTTTGTTTGTCTGTGCCCTGCCCCCAGAGGTGGAGCCTACAGAGGCAGGCAGGCCTCCTTGAGCTGTGGTGTGCTCCACCCAGTTTGAGCTTCTGGCTGCTTTGTTTACCTAAGCAAGCCTGGGCAATGGCGGGCGCCCCTCCCCCAGCCTGGCTGCCACCTTGCAGTTTGATCTCAGACTGCTGTGCTAGCAATCAGCGAGACTCCGTGGGCGTAGGACCCTCCGAGCCAGGTGCGGGATATAATCTCGTGGTGCGCTGTTTTTTAAGCCCGTCAGAAAAGTACAGTATTTGGGTGAGAGTGATCCGATTTTCCAGGTGCCGTCCGTCACCCCTTTCTTTGATTAGGAAAGGGAACTCCCTGACCCCTTGCACTTCCCGAGTGAGGCAATGCCTCGCCCTGCTTCGGCTCGCGCACGGTGCGCGCACCCACTGACCTGCGCCCACTGTCTGGCACTCCCTAGTGAGATGAACCCGGTACCTCAGATGGAAATGCAGAAATCACCCGTCTTCTGCGTCGCTCAGGCTGGGAGCTATAGACAGGAGCTGTTCCCATTCGGCCATCTTGGCTCCTCCCCCTAGAGCAATGTAATTATAATAAGATATTTTAATACTTCAATTTCATTTCTCTGCTTCCAGGAAATCCTGGCGTCTTAGCTACGGGTCTGCCAGTCCCTGCAGGTCGCACAGCCACAGCAGCTGGGCCTGTAGGAGCAGAGTACAGAGGAGCAGTTGGGGGTCAGTTCTCTGTGAATGAAGACTAGATCGGAATTTTTCACTTATTATTTCAGAGTACAGTTGACCATGGGTAACTAGAACTGCAGAAAGCAAAACAGCAGATAAGGGGGGACTACTGTACTGCAGATGTGACTTGAGCATCTAAGAGAATATTTTCAGAGAGTCTGTGGTTGATCAAAAGATACATTTCAGAAATACGTAAGAATAGGAAGTTTGTGTTCTTTTAATAAACGGATGATATTGATATACAAAAGACTCATACCAAAATATAGTCCTATATAATTAATTCAAATTAAATATAGAATTGCCTGTTGTTATAGGCACTGGTGGGTAGAACTAAAATTTTCCTTTCTGTTAATGACAGAAAGGGTGGTCAATATGAAAGCAGTACCTCATTCTTTACTTTCTGGCAGATTTACAAACCAGTAAACATCACACCACTATTCCTTTAGCACACACGTCCTGGCAGATTTTATTCCAAGAGACATATCTCATTTGAATCGAATATAAAAATTGTCCAAGCACATCAAATAGGGCAGGATGAAACTGTAGATTTTGAAGTGTGAGGTGAAGTGCAGTGTTTTAGACTTACATAAAAATAGAGAACTAGACCCTACTTTTATAAATAGCTTTATTTTGGCTAGAACAGCTTTCCAAAGAGTAGTTCCAGGGGACACATTTGCAGAGGGAGAAATGTGACTGTGCAATTCTGATCTAGGTGTGCAGGTGAACAGCAGGGACACCCAAGGTTTCCAAATGGCATTGAAGGACTACCTAGGGTAAGACACCAACCACCTAGAAAATGGAACATTTCAAAGGCTAACTCCCTGACCTGCTTTACTGAAAATATCAATAGCTGTTTTTGCCTAAACCTCAGCTGTGCCAGAATATATAAGGATGAGATTAAATTCTACATAAGGAGCAGAAAAATGAAAAGTGAGAAAGAAAAATCTCAACAGTGAAGAATAGGAAAAAAAAAAGAATTCACAGACCTCAAGTAAGTTGAAGAGTGAGTCTGAACAAAAAGAAGAGAGCTATTTAGCATGAGCTGTTTAAATCTCAATGAGACAATGAGTTTATAGCTCTTTAGTATGGAGCAATGCAACCCTGGCAGCAGGATACTCAAGAAGACCTAATGGGCCTCTCGGATTACTCCATGATTCAGAAGTCCTGTGTATCTGGTGTGTGTCCACAAGGGCTGGAACACATATGATGGGACAACCCAGCACAGCATTGCCTGGTCCCACATGTGAGTGAGGAAGAATGTGCCTGAAGATAATGAATCTCTATTTTTAAAATGTGAGATTTACTATTTGACTCCTAATTCTACTTTAGAAGTCTGCTTTTTTATTCTAGCCAGCATGTTTATTTTAATTCCTGGTATATTTTAGAAACATGACATTATTCTGAGGTAATAAATAAAGAGAGAGAGAGAGGGTGTGAAAAGACTGAGTTAGAAGAGTTTTCTGATGATTTGGTGAAGCTTCTGGAGAGGAGAATAGGGACTCCAAATATTGTCAAGATGCCTTTTGTATTGGACTACTCAATAGGGCAATTGGTCATTTTCTTAGTGTCCTGCAGATTAATTCATACCGCTCTAGGTCCCAGGAAAGTAGGATCAAGTAGGCACTGCACTCTGCCTTTTGGTGTAACCACCCCCCTGACACACAGACACATACCTATAGTGGCATTCCAACCACTCTTCCTGAATCTGATTTTATCTTCTTGCAAGCATTTCTTCACATTGCAACCATAACACTGTTTAAAGAATGCACACCCAAACAGATCACCCATTGCTAGCTTAAGAAACGTTCTTTTCCATGGCTCTAAGTATGAAATCCACTATCAGTAACATGAATCTGGCCAAGGCTTACCTCCTCAGCCACATGCTGCCCTTCTCTGCTCACTGTGCCTCAAATATAACTTCTTTTAGTGCTACAAACTTCATCATAATTTTAAATATGTATTTATTTGAGAATGTATTATTTTAATATTTGTGTTTGCCACTAGGATCATAACATAACAATCCACTAGGATTCATAACAATAAAGATCCTATATGTCTTATTCATTATGCTACTTGGAGGCAAAACAAAAATTTGATCCTAGGTTCCCTGCCTTCAACACCGTTGCACCTCTCTCCTCCCTCAGTTTCGAGAAATCAATTCTTTAAACTTGACTTTCAAGACATATTATCTGATGAATTCCCCTAGAATCCCAGCCCTCTGTTCTGGCTACCCCAATCTGATTGCCTTTTCACAAAGCAGGTTCTTCCCTATTTCCTTGTTCTTGCCTATGATCTTCTCATAACTTGGAATATTATGGATTGTTCAGGACTAAGATGATACTTTACTTCCCTTCCAAGCCTTCGCTATAAATTTTGATGAATTTTTATAGCACATTTGCTCAATTTGATATAGTATCATGTCATAGTTTTTCATATTTATTATCTATCTTAACTTCTCATCTCAATTGGAAGCTACTTAAAGGTGAAATCCATGAAGTCTTATCATTTGTAAACCTGATGATTCCTAGTACAATGCTGAGTAGTACATGATTGGCTGGTTTCATGAGAAACCTTCCCAGAGATGACCAAGTTCCTATCATTTCTCAACCCAAGGAGTGAAGCCTCATAGATCTCAGGCAAATCTGCCTTCCTGAAAAATAGATGTTTCTTTTTACACTGAGTTGTCCATGTGAACCTCCCCCTGAGTTCAAAGGAGAACACATCCAGCATGCTGGGCGTCCAGAAGTTTCTTTTGAGCAAAAACATTTTGGATTTTTAGTTTCATAGTATATCTTGCCTAAAGCTCAAATAATAGAAAAAGGAGAAAAAACACTGTTAAGGTATCTGACAAAATTTTACTCAGGCCAGCTGTAAAAACAGTACATGCTGCTTTCTAAGGGACACACATCTGAGTGCATGCCTAGGAATAATGCTGCATAATTCTAAGAACATAATCTCATGACTGGTCCAAATATATCAGAGGGCTCTGTTCTATAAATGTTTAAAAATGTAAACTCAGATGCCTCTAATTCTCATCAACAATGATAATGTAGTTTCCAAACAATTGCCTCTTGTAAGAATTATTCTAGTTGAGAAGCATTTTGAATTTCTTTTATTTCCCTAACAATAACTGGATTGACAGTTCAAGACTTCAAGTCTCAGACTGTCATTATATGGGACTTTCGTTCTACCATGCTAAAGAAGACTCATGTTTCTGTTGCCTATTTGAATAGTATGCATTCCATAACTAACCAAATATTGATCTTAAAACAGCTATTTGTCAAGAAATTTTCCATACAGGAACAACAAGAAGAAAAGCAACAGGAGCAGCAGTTTCTGCTTATTCAGCAATCCTCTATGTAGACATTTTAAACAAATGATTTTTTAATCCTAATGGATTAAAGTATAGAAAATATTCTCATTTTACTGTTTTTTTTTTTTTTTTTTAAAAAAAGTTTGGCTGGGCACAGTGGCTCACGCCTGTAATCCCAGCACTTTGGGAGGCCGAGGCGGGGGGATCACCTGAGGTTGGGAGTTCGAGACCAGCCTGACCAACATGGAGAAACCCCATCTCTACTAAAATTGCAAAATTAACCGGGCGAGGTGGTTTATGCCTGTAATCCCAGCTACTTGGCAGGCCGAGGCAGCAGAATCACTTGAACCCAGGAAGCGGAGGTTGTGGTAAGCAGAGATTGCACCATTGCACTCCAGCCTGGGCAACAAGAGCAAAGCTCCATCTCAAAAACAAACAAACAAACAAACAAAAAAGCAAAAAAAACAGGTTCAAGGAGGCCAAATAAAAAGACAGGAAAAAAAGCAGTGAGAATTTGAATACTCAAAAACCAGTGTTCTTTCTACCATAAAAAGCAAGCAATTAATAGCTTCTGAGAATTCAGAAAGCTTTTAAAGGCCAAGTGGGTATTCTTGGGGGTCTTGCTATCAGGGCAAAAGTCCAACATAATGTAGAACATGCCACAAAATATATATATTGCAATTACATGAAGGACACTGAATGTTGAAGTTGTTTCACTGTAAGAAAATATTTTCTCTTTTAATCACAATAATAACTAACATATTTTTACATCAACTGACAGAGTATATGCAAAGGCAAATAAAATGCTTTTAGCATAGCAATCCAGTTTTTAAAAAAATTTGTTATTAATCTGTTATGGAGGATTATACATTTCCATCCTCTTGACGTTAGGAGTAACTATGTGACTTATTAACAGCAATGAAATTGAATAGAATTGTCATTGGCTACTTTTGGCTGGAAACTGCAAGAACTAGCATGCGCTTTGTCATCCTGATTTCCTCCTTATCTATGGAACTACCAGTATTCTTGACTTAAGCTGCTTCATCAGCCTGGCTGCTGATGTAAATACACTGTGAAGCAAAGCCACATTTGATCTTCAACAGACATGTGGCATGGGTAAAATACAAACCTTTGTGATTATAAGCCACTGAGATGTTGTGATTGTTGTCCTAGCATAACCCAGCCCATTCTGAATGATAGGTCTGTAAATCACCCTTCCTAGATAACTCCCATTGTGTTTGTTTTCTGTTGTAAAGTGTCACATAGTAATCAAGCCCCAAAACAGTACCTTACAACAAGCTCTCATTTGTCACTTATGAGTCCGAAGGTCATCTAAGGCTCTCTGCTCTTGGCTGGGATATTCTGGATGCAAGAGATTATGGCTTGAAATCAAACATCATTCTATTCTGTGTGTTTTCTTCAAGACCACTATCTACCCGAGACATTTTCTTCTCGTGGTAGATGGTAGAAACATAAGAAGCCATCAAAACAAGCAAATTTAAATCTTCTTCTTGCAGCACACTACAATAAGGTATGCTCCATCACCAAGCCCAAAGCTAATGATTACTTCACTGAGAGGTAATGCAAGATAGCATGGTACGGAGATGGAGTTAAAATTGAGAATAATTACACAATCTACCACATGCCACTCCCTTGGCCACAAATATTCACCCTCTCACACAGGAAGAACTTACCCCTTCAGGACATCCCCAAAAGGCTCATCTGATAACAACATTAGGCACAAACTTCCAGATCTTGTGATCTACCATGGATCCACATGGGGTTGCTCTTGATCTCAAGACCTACGAACTAAAAAGACAAGTTATCTACCCCCAACTCCCTTTGGTTTAGTATGCCCGACATAAATGGTGGGATAGGGAAAGGATAACTGCAATAAGCAAGACTCTTTTAAAAACAAAAGAACAGGAGGCAAACAGCAGTCTGGTCTATAGCTATTCTAATCACTCTGTACAGATCCCTCTATGCTGTAATCAAAAGCATCTCTTGATTAGACCCGACTCTCATTTCCTAGCAGAAACATCCTAGTCCATAGTTCTCCTTGGCTACTGGCTCCATTATCTATGTCTTTTCCATTAGCCTCCCCAGCCATATCTTAAGAGGGCATTGGAGAAAATGCCATCAGTGGTTGATGAGCAGCTTCCTCTCAGCCTGCTTCCTGGCTGTAGAAAGTTGGTCTATTAAAACATCCTTTTGGGTATTGAATTACCACTGACTTTTTTAAATATATGCTTATGGTACTTTGTAGCCCTCTCAGAAATATTTTGTCTTTCATGTATCAGATTGCACTCAACTACATCTGGCAAATGCCATACAATTCTTTGTGAGACATGTCTCTCTTGACTCCACATTGGCAGTGTCAGCGATTTCATAAAGAGTTAAGTGGTATATTCAGAGGAAAGGAAACAACTGAGGCACTCTGAGGAAGCTTACAAGACTTGAGTCAGATACATCAAATAATCTGATCTGATTTTTTAACTTAATCTGGATTCCTTGCCTTTTCCTGAAAGAATTTAATCCTTTTACTTATGATTATGACTATATATTTTAATATATTTGGCTTGTCTGCTCCGTCTGTTTTAGTTTTTTAATAAGCCATGTCTCTGATTACTTCCCATGTCTTTTTCTTGCTTTTGTTGTATTGATCAAATTCTTTCATTTCATTCTTTTCATTTGGTGGTTTGGGAGCTAGACATACATGTTTAGTCTTTCAATGTTTCTCCTTACATTTGCAACATGAATGTTTAAACTTTCTGTCAATGTATAGTTCCCAAAGCAGTGCCTGAAAAATAGCACTGCTAAATAAATATGTGTCTATGTAATTAAGACTACAATTTTAACATTATGTAAGTAATTTATTAGTATTTATTATTATCATTTGTTATACTCACTTCTTTTCTTTGCCTTTGTTTTTTTCTTTAATTTTATTTAAACAATATTGTAGTAGAATGTATCTGTGGTGAGTAAATATCCTGAGCTTTTGCAAATGTGAAAAATATATAAAATTTTAAAACCCTATTCTACAAATTGTAAGCAAACTTAGGAGTATATAAAATTACAAATGTGAAATTATTCCTCCCATAAACTCTAAAGATATTTCTCTACTTTCTTCTAGTCACCAATGTTGCCATCGAGAAGTCTAATTTTAATCTGATTTCTACTCTCACAAGAAATATGTTTTCTGCAATTTGCCCGTCTGTGTCTTTTAATTGGGGCATTTAGCCTGTTTACAGTTAAAGTTAATATTATTATGTGTGAATTTGATCCTGTCATTATAGTGCTAGCTAGTTATTTTGCCCGTTAGTTGATGCAGTTTCTTCATAGTGTAAATGATCTTTACAATTTGGCATGTTTTTCCTGTGGCTGGTACCAGTTTTTCCTTTCCACGTTTAGTGCTTCCTTCAGGAGTTCTTGTAAGGCAGGCCTGGTGGTGACAAAATCTCTCAGCATGTGCTTGTCTGTAAAGATTTTATTTCTCCTTCGCTGATGAAGCTTAGTTTGGCTGGATATGAAATTCTGGGTTGAAAATTCTTTTCTTTAAGAATGTTAAATATTGGCCCCCACACTCTTCTGGCTTGTAGGGTTTCTGCCGAGAGATCCTCTGTTAGTCTGATGGGCTTTCCTTTGTGGGTAACCCGACCTTTCTCTCTGGCTGCCCTTAACATTTTTTCCTTCATTTCAAACTTGGTGAATCTGACTATTATGTGTCTTGGGGTTGGTTTTCTTGAGGAGTATCTTCGTGGTGTTCTCTGTATTTCCTGAATTTGAATGTTGGCCTGTCTTGCTAGGTTGGGGAAGTTCTCCTGGTTAATATCCTGAAGAGTGTTTTCCAACTTGGTTTCATTCTCCCCGTCACTTTCAGGTACACCAATCAAACGTAGGTGTGGCCTTTTCACATAGTCCCATATTTCTTGGAGGCTTTGTTCATTCTTTTTCATTCTTTTTTCTCTAATCTTGTCTTCATGCTTTATTTCATTAAGTTGATCTTCAATCTCTGATATCCTTTCTTCTGGTTGATCGATTAGGCTGTTGATACTTGTGTATGCTTCACAAAGTTCTGATGCTGTGTTTCTCAGCTCCATCAGGCCATTTATGTTGTTTTCTAAACTGGTTATTCTAGTTAGCAATTCCACTAACCTTTTTTCAATGTTCTTAGCTTCCTTGCATTGGGTTAGAACCCGTTCCTTTAGCTTGGAGGAGTTTGTTATTACCCACCTTCTGAAGCCTACTTCTGTCAATTCGTCAAACTCATTCTCTGTCTAGTTTTGTTCCTTTGCTTGTAAGTAGTTGTGATCCGTTGGAGGAGAAGAGGCCTTCTGGTTCTGGAATTTTCAGGCTTTTTGCGCTGGTTTTTCCTCATCTTCATGGATTTCTCTACCTTTGTTCTTTGATGCTGGTGACCTTCAGATGGGCTTTTTGTGTCGATGTCCTGTTTGTTGATGTTGATGCTATTCCTTTCTGTTTGTTAGTTTTCCTTCTAACAATCAGGCCTCTCAGCTGCAGGTCTGCTGGAGTTTGCTGGAGGTCCACTCCAGACCCTGTTTGCCTGGGTATCACCAGCAGAGGCTGCAGAACAGCAAAGACTGCTGCCTGTACCTTCCTCTGGAAGCTTCATCCCAGAGGGGCACCCGCCAGATGCCAGCCAGATCTCTCCTGTATGAGGTGTTTTTCAACCCCTGTTGGGAGGTGTCTCCCCATCAGGAGGCACGGGGCTCAGGAACCCATTTGAGGATGCAGTCTGTCCCTTAGCAGAGCTCGAGCACTGTGCTGGGAGATTTGCTTCTCTCTTCAGAGCCAACAGGCAGGAATGTTTAAGTCTGCTGATGCTGTGCCCATCAGCCGCCCCTTCCCCCAGGTGCTCTGTCCCAGGGAGATGAGAGTTTTATCTATAAGCCCCTGACTGGGGCTGCTGCCTTTTTTTCAGAGATGCCCTGCCCAGAGAAGAGGAAATCTAGAGAGGCAGTCTGGCTACAGCAGCTTTGCCAAGCTGCAGTGGGTTCTGCCCAGTCCAAACTTCCCAGCAGCTTTGTTTACACTGTGAGGGGAAAACCACCTACTCAAGCCTCAGTAATGGTGGACACCCCTCCCACCCACCAAGCTGGAGCAACCCAGGTCGACTTCAGACTTCGGTGTTGGCAGTGAGAATTTCAAGCCAGTGGATCTTAGCTTGATGGGCTCTGTGGCGGGTGGGATCTGCTGAGCTAGACCACTTGGCTCCCTGGCTCCAGCCCCCTTTCCTGGGGAGTGAATGGTTCCATCACACTGGTGTTCCAGACACCACTGGGGTATGAAAAAAAACTCCTGCAGCTAGCTTGGTGTCTGCCCAAATGGCTGCCCAGTTTTGTGCTTGAAACCCAGGGCCCTAGTGGTGTAGTCACCAGGGGAATCTCCTGGTCTGCGGGTTGCAAAGACTGTAGGAAAAGCATAGTATCTAGGCCAAAATGCACCATTCCTCACGGCCCAGTCCCTCATGGCTTCCCCTGGAGAGGGGAGGGAGTTCCCTGACCCCTTGTGCTTCCCGGGTGAGCTGAGGCCCCACCCTGCTTCAGCTTGCCCTCCATGGGCTGCACCCACTGTCTAACCCCCACAATGAGATAAGCCAAGCACCTCAGTTGGAAATGCAGAAATCACCTACCTTCTGCATTGATCAACTGGGAGCTGCAGAACGGAGCTGTTTCTATTCAGCCGTGTTGCGCTTTCCATGTATATTTTCATGGCTTGATAGCACATTTCTTTTTAGCACTAAGTAATATTCTGTTTTCTGGATGTACCACCCATTGTGGAAGACAGTGTGGTGATTCCTCAAGGATCTAGAACCAGAAATACCATTTGACCCAGCAATCCCATTACTGGATATATAGCCAAAGGATTATAAATCACTCTACTATAAAGACACATCCACATGTATGTTTATTGCAGCACTGTTCACATTAGTAAGGACTTGGAACCAACCCAAATGCCCAACAATGATAGACTGAATAAAGAAAATGTGGCACATATACACCATGGAATACTATGCAGCCATAAAAAGGGTTAGTTCATGTCCTTTGCAGGGACATGGATGAAGCTGGAAACCGTCATTCTCAGCAAACTAACACAGGAACAGAAAACCAAACACTGCATGTTCTCACTCATAAGTGGGAATTGAACAATGAGAACACATGGACACATGGAAGGGAACATCACACACTGGTGCCTGTCAGGGGTTTGGGAGCTAGGGGAGGGATAGCATTAGGAGAAATACCTAATGTAGATAACGGGTTGATGGGTGCAGCCAACCACCATGTCATGTGTATACCTATGAAACAAACCTGCAGGTTCTGTACATGTATCCCAGAACTTTAACTATAATAAAAAAAAATTTTAAAAAGAAATATGTTTTTTGCTTTCTGGGTCTTTAGAAACATATATATTCAAAACAAATATATAATATATATTTGTTCAATTCACCTACCTTGTCACTTAGAGGCCACCTGAAAGTTCATGTCTATCTTCATCTTTAGGAAAGTTTTTCTATCATTTCTTTCATTATTTCTCACTCTCAGAACCTTCTATAGCATTGATGATTAAACTTCTGTTTATCGCTTAACTTCTTTCATGCTTTCCATCTATTTGTCTTTTGGTACTATATTCTAGAGCTATTTTGCTTATGCTTGCAGCTCATTAGTTTATGCTTGAGTAATGTCAATCTGATATTAAATCTATCCAATTCTTGGCCAGGCGCAGTGGCTCATGCCTGTAATCCCAGCACTTTGGGAAGCTGAGGCAGGCAGATCACCCGAGGTCATGAGTTCGAGACCAGCCTGCCCAACATGGAGAAACCCCGTCTCTACTAAAAATACAAAATTTAGCTGGGCGTGGTGGCACATGCCTGTAATCCCAGCTACTCGGGAGGCTGAGGCAGGAGAATCACTTGAGCCCAGGAGATGGAGGTTGTGGTGAGCCGAGATCACACCACTGCACCCCAGCCTGGGCAACAAGAGCAAAACTCCATCTCAAAAAAAAAAAAAAGAAAAAAAAAAAACTTTCCATTTCTTTTTCAATTATATCATTTTATCTCAAAGATTTCTTGTTTCATGGATGAGATACAGTTTCTCATCCCACTGGGAATATTATCTATACTTATATTCTAGCCTTTCTCTTCATGCTCCATCTCTCTCTTTTTTCAGATGGTATATTGATCAGTTCACTATCCCTAATGCATGATGATTCTCAGTTGTGTGCTTATAATTGTATTTTGTAATCTTTATTCACCTATTTATGAATACTACTTCTATTTACTATGGACTATATCTTTTCACTATGGGAAAGGGATTGCACAATGTACCAACAGGAAGTACCAGCAAATGGTTTTACAGCAGTGACAGTTTTCTGTCTCACCTGAGTAGCATAAGCCACTAAGGGCCAGCCCTCCTCTCTGACTCAAATCCCCACACTCACTATTCCAGGCGGTGGGGGAAAACAGTGGCTTGGAATTTTTAAGTTCACTGTGGAGCTGTCCACCTGTTTGTCCCAGTATGGCATGCCAATTAACTGCTAGACTTTGCTTTGGGGATTACTTCTGTTGTGGTATCTATATTCCTAAGTTTACAGGTCCCCTAAAGATCCTTCCATATTTTTGCACTTTCCTATTGTACATTTTGGGAGCTGTAGTTTTCTCCTCAACTGATGCCATATGTTTTATTATAATCATTCTTTTTGCTTTACAATGTTATTATGAACTTATAATTTTTAAATATAAAAATATTTTTTCTGTTTAAGGGTTTGGGGTGGAAGGAAAAGTAGGGTTCTGCATTCATTTCTCCATCTTGATCCAATCTCCTCTACAGTCTTGTTTAGTTTACACTATTAGTATACTAATTTTATTCATTGTCTTTAACAGATTGTACTAAGATAAATTTTAGATCCACCTAAGTCAAAATACACAAATTATGAATTAGTAGTTTAAATGAATGAGGTTTTACTGCTGATAAATGAAGCTTTGTCTATACAACACCAAACAAACCTGTCAACTCAAGGGAAAAACAAAATCAGTTGAACTGATTTTAAGAGGGAATGCTTTGATTTTAAAGAGTTGCAATAACGCCATGTAGACAGTCTGGGTTGCATTTGACCTATGAAGTAATTCAAGCAATTAGAAATTATGTGATGTTCTCTAGATAACACAGCCAAGTAGCCATTTGGTCAGGAATAGCCCCCAATGAGTACTTGCCCTCTGCAAATCCTTTTGGAGTTATTTTTCAGCTCATTCAATCGATTTATGACTTTGTGAGGACAGCCAAGAAAATGCATCATGCACCACCCTGTGAACTAAGGAACATTTAGTTCACGTACCCTCCAGCTCTTGCACTAATAAGCAATAGTAACACCATAGCGCAAATTATCTGCAATCGCATTAATTCTCCTTAATATATAACATGTGGCCAAGCAATGTGACCCTTCCAAAGTTGTGTTTTCTAGAACACTGTGCTTATTAAATTCTTCTTTAAGAACATATTATAAATAATCAGTGACATCTGCTTTGCATCCCCCCCGCCAAAAAAAAGCTCAAAATGTAGAGTACCATCTTACCCAGACTATTACACAAAAAAGAGTTCTTACTATTTGTGATCATATCTTCAGTTTTGGTGCAAGAAGGTAAGAAACTATTTGAAAAATAATGTTTCTGATCTGGTGTGGTGGACATCTGTGGTTTCAACATCTGTGCTGGAGGCAGAATCTCAGCATGGACACAAAGGTAATATTCTCAGAGTCAATTAGATGCATCAGGATTTTTGATGAAAAGAAGCAGTTTCTTCAATAACAAAGGCTGTTATTCTTCTTTCAAATAATAGCATGAAAGCAATTCTTTTCATGGAGATTCTGGCCATATTGCTGTCATACTCACAAAATCTATTATTATCCAGTATCCGAAGAAGAGAACTGCTTCCCCACCAAATAGTAAAACAATATATGGATTTCTTCTACAAAGGTTTCCAAATTAGAAATGATTTCTTCAGAGGAAATATAGGAAGGAATTTTGGAAGGCAAGGGAACACATTTTAGAGAAATGAGACAGATCTATACCACATGGGAAGAATCTTGTGGCACTAATAGCATCAAGCTTGTTTGCTGTAGAGGGAGTATGCTGCCACCCGACAAGATAGCAAAGCTAGGGGAAAATTTCAGCATGTTGTTTCATGGGCATTTTATTGTTTTTAATGCTCCTATATTGAAACTTTAATCAAGTCTTATAGCCCAATTTTCTCATTTGTATCCCTGTGCAGCAATAGAAAACATGTGTGAACTAAATCTCTTTTTTGTACATATCAGCAGTATGAGTTTGCACAGACACATGCTCCTACTTGAAATGACTTTCCTTTTGTGAATGAACGAGGCCCCTCTGATTGGAAACCTATTTATTTTAAATGCTAAATTCAGTGGAAAGGGACCACATCTAATTGAGTGGTAAACTACACCGTCTCTACAGAAACAAGAGAAAACCGTGAACCAGAGTTTCCTGCACCTGAGTTACCCCCTCATTATAAGTTAAGTAACCTTATAAGTTCAGTTCTACAGAGATATTTTCCACTGTCTACCAGATCAACTAGAAAAACACCAAGCTTTAGAAGTATTTATATCTTCATAAATGTCAAGCAACATCTACAGCTATCTAGCTTACCCACTGACTAGGATAGAAAGAGAAATTATATCGATAAATAGTATTCAACATTCAGGTTTCCAGAAATTCTAACTTCAAATTTTGCTTCTTATTCAACATCTCCTAACATTCCCTTGTGGAAGATGAAGTAGTGGGACATTATTTTGCCTTCTTGAACCCAGCCTTCTCCAGTCCATCACTTTTCTGTTCATTCAAATTGCTTCTTCACGTGAAAGCTTTCTTTGGAGTTTGTATTTCTTCCTATGCATGGACAGTTGAAACCTAATAGCATGGCCTCTGGGCCTACAAGTGCTTACAGTTGATATAACTTGTACTTTGCAGAGTCTTAGAGTATTCTCAACTAAAATCAAAGAAACATAAAAATCTATGGAAAATAACATTCGTTGACCAATATATACATATATTTGATTTAAAATCTGATGCCAAATCCATATGTAAGTTTTCATTGTATTCTCCCCAATGCTGAAGACAGTTAATAGTCCATTCTTAGCAGTATGCTTTTTATTAATAAAGACTCTTGTTACTGCCGAGATCACTCCTAGATAGGAGGAAATCCAGTGCTTAGGAGTTTCAAGACAAATCCTGTAATTGGGACTTTAGTGTTCCTAAATTCACCCAAAGATAAAAATCGAATTGAAATGAATACAAAAAATTAACAAGTAAACATATCAAATACCATAAGCATAAATAACATTGACAGCTTATTTTTTGAAAGAGCTGTATATCATAGGAGGTAAAGTCATCACTATTTTGTCAGCTAGAGTTAAGAGGAATAGAATTTAAGAATCAATCTAATTTTAAAATGATGTACAGAAGAATAATGAGAGACCCAAGATCAAGAAAAAAAGAAGAATAAAAGAAATCAGAATAGGGAGTTTATGAAAAAACCTGGCCTACAGGTGAGTTTTTCTACAAATTGGCCAAGTTCACCCTAATGTCTGAACACTTGGCAGACACAACAGGCAGCTGCAGCTTTCTTCTCAATTTTTAAAACACACCAGATTAACAATAGATTTTAACACTCAGTTGAGGACAATGTTTTTGCTATATACTTTGTCATTACTACTATGTACTAAATTCTATCAGCAAATGCAAGAAAAAGAGCCTGACTTTTATTCTTATGATATATATTCTACTGATTATTTGAAATTACTGGCTTCTAGATATGATGCTTCCAAAGTCATTCTTTATACATTATTCACAGTGAAAAGAAGCAGCTAGATTTGGCTCCATGTCTACCTTATGCTATGGTATCTATGTATTCTTATCTAAAAGATATGTTTAAATTATTGATTAATCACATTTTTCCTGCCCATTACATACTACATGACTTCATTTTAAAAATGTAAAACACTAACATCACTTCCCAAGACAAAACATAGCAGCATAGTAGTGGGGATCAGATCAGTCCTCGGGGCATACAATGCTGACAGAGCTAGCAATTATAAAGCTGGCTATGAGGGTGCCTTTGTCAGATGCACATGTTTTCCAGCTAAGATAAATATAAAGCAAAAGATTTGCAAACTTCTTCACTGTGCATGAATACATCTCAAAGCACAGGGACCCAAGTGGCCAGAAAAATAAACTGAAACAAGGCTATGCCCCAGAACATTACTAGGTGTTCATTAATTCCAAGATCTAAAAAGGAAATTTCATCAATTAGACAGCAAAACCCATGCTCAGGAAACAAGAAGCAGGTCATGGTCATTCTCACTGCAGTCTAGCTTTAAACTCTATAGGGTATGGACAGAACAGAGGAGAGAGAGGACACTTAAACTGTTGAAAATATGTTTGTCTCTCACACAAGAAAGCAAGCTTGGAAAAGCACCAAATTTTTATTTTTCAATGAATATAAACACAACTATGTCCACACTTTGCCTCTGTGTTTGCCAGCTGATGAAGATTTTGAAAAACTTACCCTTGAGCTCTGATTAGCAAAGTAGTAAAAATAAAACTCAATCTCATAATAGGTCCTAGATTCAAAATTAGGAAAACACCAGGGATAGCCACCTCATGACTACTAAGTCTTTCAAGTTCCAGGAGAAAGAGCAGACCACACAAAACTCCTTTCCTGTTTTTATTTAGTAAATCAGGAGGCTATTTCTTGAGTCTCGAAATGCAGGAAAGTATCTCTCTAGAACTCTCTCTCCTTCCCCTCATACTCTGCCATGGAGAAAGTATGAACCCTATTGCACATCTCAGTAAAAAATGGAAATCCTGACAAAGTGACTGTCCCATGATAGCTACCTCTATATTAATATAGAAACATGCATATTTTCCAGATGCCCCAAAAGGGGATTCACCTACAAAACTGCCAGGGAAGGTTTCTCCTAAAAGATTCTGTCTTCTCTGTTGATTATGCCCAACCACACATCAAATTCATCTCTACAATTATCCCATTTTTGTTTTTTCCTTTCTATTTGCTCTATTACAAACTTAGATGACTTCCCTGATCTCAACAGACTAGTGGGAAATCTTCCTAACCATTCTTTCCATTATTGGTACCTCCTCCTCTTCAGTCTAGTCCTCCCTATTCCATTGCTGGATTTACATTCTATGGCCCAGTTCTGGTCACTTCATTCCTCTGCTCACAAACCTTCCAAAGTTACCCCACTGCTTTCAAAATAAAATTCAATCACTTTTTTTTTTTTTGAGATGCAGTCTCACTCTATTGGCCAGGTTGGAGTACAGTGGTGCCATCTCAGCTCACTGCAACCTCCACCTCCCGGGTTCAAGCAATTCTCCTGCCTTAGCCTCCCAAGTAGCTGGGACTACAGGCATGTACCACCACTCCTGGCTAATGTTTGTATTTTTAGAGAGACAGGGTTTCACCATGTTGGCCAGGTTGGTCCTGAACTCCTGACCTCAAGTGATCTGTCCACCCTGGCCTCCCAAAGTGCTCAGATTATGGGCATGAGCCAATGTGTCCAGCCAAAGTTCAATCACTTTTGCTTGTCACTGAAAGTCTCCATAATCTGGACCACTATTTTTCCAATATACTGGAACAAGGCTATGCCCCGGCTTCCTTGCTTTTGTTGTACCCAACATTCCAATCACCTTGGAATGTACATATATCATGAGCATGTATCATTTTTTCCTATGATTTTTCCACAGTAGTGGGGCAAGGGAACAGGATGAATCATCCACCAAGTCTTAAAGATTTTTGTTCAGAAATGTTCTATTGGCAAAAGACAAACATATGGACATGCTGATTTTCAAGGAGGTAGAGAAGGGCAGAGTTGCCAGATGCACAATAAAAAGAGAATTAGCATATTGGTGAGCATCCCAAATGCCTACCACACACTAAAATCCTCAGGCATTACATGAAACAGTTTATACTAAATAGTTAGACATGAATCTAATAAAATACTTTCAAGATTCATATACATAATACTATAAAACATTCCTAAGATACATTTTAAAAGCCTAAATAAATGGAAAGACTTGCTGTGCTCATTCATTGAAGAGTCAATATTGTTAACAGGTCAATCCTATTCACTTTTTCTATAGATTTACCACATTCCCCCCAAAATTGCAACATTTATTTTGTGGAAATTTATGAGCTGATTCCAAAACTTTTATAGAACAGTAAAGTAATTAGTATAGCCAAAACTATTTTTAAAAGGAATATCAAAGTTGGATGACCTATACTACCTGATTTTAATATGTATATAAAGCTACAGAAATCAAAGTTGGTATGGTTTGGCTGTGTCCCCATAAAAATCTCATCTTGAATTGTAGTTTCCATAATCCCCACACGTTGTAGGAGGGACCCAGTGGGAGGTAATTAAATGGGGTAGTTACCTTCATGCTGTTCTCATGATAGTGAGTGAGTTCTTGTGAGAACTGACAGTCTTATAAGGGGCTTTCTCCTCCCTTTGCACATATTTCTCCTTGCTGCCACCATGTGAAGAAGGAAATGTGTGCTTCCCCTTCTGCCATAATTGTAAGTTTCCTGAGGCCTCCCCAGCCATGCTGAACTGGGAGTCAATTAAATCTCTTTCCTTTATAAATTACCCAGTCTCAGGCAGTGCTTTATAGCAGCATGAGAATGGACTAATACAGTAAATTGGTACCACAGCCAGTGGGGTGCTACTGTAAAGATACCTGAAAATGTGGAAGTGATTTTGGAACTGGATAACAGGCAGAGGTTAGAACAGTTTAGAGGGCTCAGAAGAAAACAGGAAAATGTGGGGAAGTTTGGAACTTCCTAGAGACTTGTTGAATGACTTTGACCAAAATACTGATAGTGATATGAACAATGAAGTCCAGGTTGAGGTGGTCTCAGATGGAGATGAGGAACTTGTTGGGAACTGGAATACAAGTGATTCTTGCTATGCTTTAGAAAAGAGACTAGTGGCATTTTGCCCCACCCTAGAGATCTGTGGAACTTTGAACTTGAGAGAGATGAATTAGGGTATCTGGTGGAAGAAATTTCTAAGCAGTAAAGTGTTCAAGAGAAAACAAATCATAAAAGTTTGGAAAATTTGCAGCCTCATGATGTGATAGCAAAAAAAAAAAATTCTAATTTTTCTGGGGACAAATTCAAGTCTGCTGCAGAAATTTGCATAATTAATGAGGAATCCAATGTTAATCACCAAGACAATGGGGAACATGTCTCCAGGGCATGTCAGAGACCTTTACAGCAGCCCCTCCCATCATAGGCCCTGAGGCCTAGGAGGGAAAAATAGCTTTGAGGGCCAGGCCCAGGATCCCCCAACTCTATGCAGCCTCGGGACATGGTGCCCTTAGTCCCAGCTGCTACAGCTCCAGCCATGGCTAAAAGGGGCCAAGATACAGCTCAGGCCATTGCTTTAGATGGTGCAAGCCCCAATCCTTGGTGTCTTACACAAGGTGGTGGGACTGCGGGTGCACAGAAGTCAAGGATTGAGGTTTGAGAATCTCCACCTAGATTCAGAGGATGTATGGAAACACCTGGATGTCCAGGCAGAAGTCTGTTGGAGGAGTGGAGCCCTCATTGAGAACCTCTGCTAGGGAAGGGCAGAAGAGAAATGTGAGATTGGAGCCCCCACACAGAGTCCCCACTGGGGTACTGCCTAGAGGAGCTGTGAGAAGAAGGCCACCTTCCTCCAGATCCCAGAATGGTAGATCCACCAAGAGCTAGCACCATATGCCTAGAAAAGCCACAGACACCCAACGCCAGCCCATGAAAGCAGCTGGGAGGAGGGCTGTACCCTACAAAGCCATAGGGGTGGAGCTTCCCAAGTCTGTGGGAGCCCACCTTCTGCATCAGCATGACCTGGATGTGACACATGGAGTTAGAGAAGATTATTTTGGAACTTTAACGTTTAATGACTACCCTATTGAATTTCAGACTTTCATGGGGCCTATAGCCCCTTTGTTTTGGCCAATTTCTCCCATTTGGAAAGGTTTTTTAAAGGCATTATTTACCCAATGCCTGTACCTCCATTGTAAATACAAAATAACCAACTTGCTTCTGATTTTACAGGCTCATAGGCAGAAGGGACTTGCCTCTTGTTAGATGAGACTTTGGACTTGGACTTTTGTATTAATGAGTTAACAAATTGGGGGACTGATGAAAGGGCATGATTGTGTTATGAAATGTGAGGATATGAGATTTGGGAGGGTGCAGGGTCAGAATGATATGATTTGGCTGTGTCCCCTCCCAAATCTCATCTTCACTTGCAGTTCCCATAATTCTCACATATTGTGGGAGGGACACAGTGGAAGGTAATTGAATCATGGGGGGGGGGGGGTTACCCTCATTCTGTTCTCATGACAGTAAGTGAGTTCTCATGAGACATGATAATTTTATAAGGGGTTTCCCTCACTTCACTCATACTTCTTGCCCTAGTGTGAAGAAGTACATGTTTGCTTCTACTTCTGCCATAATGGTAAGTTTCCTGAGGCCTCCAAAGCCATGCTGAAGTGTGAGTCAATTAAACTTATTTTCTTTATAAATTGCCCAGTCATGGGCAGTTCTTTATAGCAGCATGAGAACAGACTAATACAAAAGTAGTATGTATATTTGTCATAAAAATTAGACATATAGATCAACAAAATGGAATGAAGCAACCAGGCATGGTGGCTTATGCCTATAATCTCCACACTTTAGGAGGCCATAGCAGGCCGATTGCTTGAGTCCAGGAGTTCAACACCAATCTGGGCAACATGGTAAACCCCGTCTCTATGAAAAAATACAAAAAAATTGGCTGAGCATGCTGGTGCACATCTTTAGTCCCAGCTACCTAGAAGACTGAGGTGGCAGGATCACCTGAGCTGAGGAGGTTGAAGCTGCAGTGAGGCATGATGATGCCACTGCACCCAAGCCTGGAAAACAGAGTAAGACCCTGTCTCAAAAAAAAATGAGGAATCTAGATATAGACACACACAGACATGACAATTTCATTTTAGACAAATGATGCCAAGATAATCCAATAAGGAAGGAATACTCTTTCTACAAATAGTGCTGGAGTAATTGGACATTTATATGCCAAAGAGGTAAAAAAAAAAAAAAAAAAAAAAAAACCATGACACTTACTTCCCACTTTATACAAAATTTGACTTGAAATGAACTCATAGACCTACAGGCAAGAGCTAAAGTCAGTTTTAAGTAAACTGAAAAAGGAAGAAAAGTGCTAAATCAGACCTCACACATGTTATATATGTTTGCTCCAAAGGCAGTTAAAAATTGAGATATAGAGAAGAAAAAAATTGCAATTCATATATCTGATAAAAAATTGAATGTAGAATGTATAAAAACCCTCTTACTACTACAAAAAAAATGAATAAGCAAATGATTTGAACCAACATTTCACAAAAGTAGATATATAGAGGGAAAGGAAACACATAAGAAAAGATGCACACTGCTTCTTTAAGCAGGACCCTGATCCACTCCTCGTAGGGCAAGTCCTCCCAGCCAGGTCCTCCCAGCTGGGGCCTCTGGCCACCCCTGCCCATGTTCTCCCTGGGACAGAGTGCCTGAGGGGTGGAGCAGGCCACCATGTTGGTTGTTCAGGCTTCTCAGCCAATCCAGACTGTGGGCCTTGGAGAATCCAAACCGATTGGAGACTGAAGAGATCTTCAACACAGCACAGCTGCTCTATCAAAAAGCAGCTGGACTGCTTCTTTAAGCAGGTCCCTGACCCCATTCCTCTTGACTGGGTAAGACCTCCCAACCAAGGTCTCCAGCCACCTCCAACAGTCATGTTCAGGCCGGCAATAGGTCAGTAATCCCCTGAGGTGGAGCTTCCAGAGAAAGGGGCAGGCTGTCATTCTCACTTTTTTGCAGCTTCACTGGTGATACCTCCAGGTACAGGAAACCTGAGGCAACTAGGGTCTGGAGCAGACCCTCAGCAAATCGCAGCAGCCCTATGAAAGAGTGGCCAGACTATTAAAAGAAAAACAAACCAACAGAAAATCATAACAACAACAAACCACAAAAACCCCATCCAAATGTCAGAAACCTAGAAGATCAAAGGTAGATAAGCCCACAAAGATAAGAATTAACACAAAAAATGCTGAAAACTCAAAAATCCAGTGTGCCCCTTTTCTTCCAAATGACTGCAACATCTCTCCAGCAAGGGCTCAGAAGTGGGCTGAGGCTAAGATGGATGAAATGACAGAAGTAGGCTCAAGAAGGTGGATAATAACAAAATTCACAGAGCATGTTGTAAACCAATTCAAAGAAGTTAAGAATTATGATAAAACAATATAGGAGCTGATGGCCAAAACAGCCAGTTCAGAGAGGAACACAACCAACCTCTGAGAGCTGAAAAACACACAAGAATTTCACAATGCAATCATAAGAATTAATAGCAGAATAAGTTAAGCAGAGGAAAGAATCAGAGCTTGAAGACTATCTTTCTGAAATAAGACAGGCAGACAAGAATAGAGAAAAAAGAATGAAAGGGAAGGAACAAAACCTCTGAGAAATATGAGATTATGCAAAGAGACCAAATCTATTGCTGATTAGGATACCTGAAAGGGACAGTATGAAAACAAGTTGGAAAACACTTCAGTATATCAACCTGGGGAACTTCCCCAACCTAGCAAGACAGGCCAATATTTAAATTTAGGAAATCCAGAGAACCCCTGTAAGATACTCCAATGAGAAGATCAACCCAAAGACACATAATTATCAGATTCTCCAAAATCAAAATGTAAAAAATAAAAATGTTAAGAGCAACCAGAGAGAAAGGCCAGGTCACCTACAAAGGGAAGCCCATCAGACTAACAGTGGATCTCTCAGTGGAAACTCTACAAGCTAGAAGAGATTAGGGGCCAATATTCACCATTCTTAAAGAGAAGAATTTCCAACCCAAAATTGCATATCCAGTCAAACTAAGCTTCATAAGTGAAGGATAAATAAGATGCTTTTCAAACAAGCAAATGCTGAGGAAATTTGCTACCATGAGACTGCCTTGCAAGAGCTTCTGAAGGAAGTACTAAACGTGGAAAGGCAAGATTATTACTAGCCACTACAAAATATACTAAAAAAACAGCCACTACAAAAACACAGTGTATACCCAAAAAACACACAGACCAGTGACACTATGAAGGAATCACATAAACAAGTCCGCACAATAATCAGCTAGCATCATGATGACAGGATCACATCCACACATAACAATACTAACCTTAAATGTAAATGGGATAAATGCCCTCAATTAAAAGACACATTAGTATGCTGTTTTTAAGAAACCCATCTCACATCCAAAGACACACATAGGCTCAAAATAAAGGAATGGAGGAAAATCTACTAAGCAAATGGAAAACAGAAAAAAGCAAGAGTTGCAATCCTAGTTTCTGAGAAAACAGACTTTAAACCAACAAAGATCAAAAAAGACAAGATGATTATATAAGGGTAAAGGGATCAATTCAACAAGAAGAGCTAACTATCCTAAATATATATACACCCAATACAGGAGCACCCAGATTCATAAAGAAAGTTCTTAGACATCTTCAAAGAGATCTTGACTCCCACACAATAATGGGAGAGTTTAACCCTTCACTGACAACATTAGACAGATCATCAAGACAGAAAATCAACAAAGACATTCAGGACTTGAACTCAGCTCTGGATCAAGTGGACCTGATAGATGTCTACGAACTCTCCACCCAAAACAACAGAATATACATTCTTCTCTTCACCACATGGCACTTACTCTAAAATTGGTAGCATAATCAGAAGTAAAACACTCTTCAGCAAATGCAAAAGAAATGAACTCATAACAAACAGTCTCAGACCACAAAACAATCAAATTAGAACTCAAGATTAAGAAATGTACTCAAAACCATACAACTACATGGAAGCTGAACAACCTGCTCCTGAGTGGCTCTTGGGTAAATAATGAAATTAAGGCAGAAATCAAGAAGTTATTTGAAACTAATGAGAACAAAGACATGATGTACCAGAACCTCCGGGAAACAGCTAAGGTCATGTTAAGAAGGACATTTATAGCACTAAATGCCCACATCAAAAAGAAAGATCTCAAGTTAACAAGCTAACATCACAACTAAAATAGAGAACCAACAGCAAACAAATCCCAAAGCTAGAAGAAGGCAAGAAATAACCAAGAGTAGAGCAGAACTAAAGGATTTAGAGAACCAAAAAGCCCGTTGATTCAAAAAAAACCAACGAATCCAAGAGCTGGTTGTTTGAAAATAATAATAATAAAATAGACTACTGGTTAGACTAACAAGAAGAAAAGAGAGAAGATTCAAAGAAACACAATAAAAACTGATAGGAGGATATCACCACTGATCCCACAGAAAAGCAAGCAACTGTCAGAAAATACTATAAACACCTCTATGTACATAAACTAGAAAATCTAGAAGAAATGGATAAATTCCTGGACACACACACCCTCCCAAGACTAATCTGGGAAGAAACTGAATCCCTGAATAGACCAATAACAAGTTCTGAAATTGAGGCAGTAATGAATAGCCTACCAACCAAAAAAAGCCCAGGACCAGACTGATTCACAGCTGAACTCTACCAGAAGTACAAAGAAAAGCTGATACCATTCCTACTGAAACTATTCCAAAAAATCGAAAAGGAGGGAGTCCTCCCTAACTCATTCTATGAGGCCAACATCATCCTGATACCAGAACCTAGCAGAGATACCACAAAAAAGAAAACTTCAGGCCAATATCCTTGATGAACATTGATGCAAAAATCCTCAACAAAATGCTGGCAAGCTGAATCTAGCAGCACATCATATAGCTTATCCACCACAATCAAGTGGACTTCATCCCTGGGATGCAAGGTTTGTTTAACATATGCAAAACAATAAATGTGATTCATAACATAAACAGATCTAAAGACAAAAACCACATGATTATCTCAATAGATGCTTCCCTTCATGTTAAAAACTCTCAATAAACTAGATATCGAAGGAACATACCTCAAAATAATAAGAACCACATGGGACAAACCCACAGCCATTATTATACTGAATGGGCAAAAGTTAGAAACATTCTCTTTGAAAACTGGTATGAGACAAGGATGCCCTCTCTCACCACTCATATTCAACATAGTATTGGAAGTTCTCGACAGGGCAATCAGGAAAGAGAAAGAAATACAGCATATTCAAATAGGAAAGGAGGAAGTCAAACTACCTTTGTTTGCAGAAGACATGATCCTATATCTAGAAAACACTATCATCTCACCCCAAAAGCTTCTTAAGTTGGTAAGCAACTTTAGCAAAGTCTTAGGACACAAAATCAATGTGCAAAAATCACTAGCATTCCTATACATAAACAACAGTTAAGCCAAGTGCCAAATCATGAATGAGGTCCCACTCAAAATTGCCACAAAAAGAATAAAATACCTAGGAATACAGCTCACAGGGGAAGTGAAAGATCTCTACAAGGAGAACTACAAACCACTGCTCAAAGAAATCAGAGAAGACACAAACAAATGGGGAAATATTTCATGCTCATTGAATTAATATCGTGAAAATGGCTACACATTGCTCAAAGTAATTTACAGATTCGATGCTATTCCCATTAAACTACCATTGACATTCTTCACAGAATTAGAAAAAACTATTTTAAAATTCATATGGAACCAAAAATGAGCCCAAAGAGCCAAGACAACCCTAAGCAAAAAGAACAAATCTGGAGGCATCACGCTACCTGACTCCAAACTATACTACAGGGCTACAGTAACCAAAACAGCATAGTACTGGTACCAGAACAGACACATAGACGAATGGAACAGAATAGAGTACCCAAAAATAAGACTGTATACATACAAACATCTGATTTTTGACAAACCTGACAAAAACAAGAAATGGGGAAAGGATTACCCATTCAATAAATGGTGATGGGATAACTGGTTAGCTATATGCAGAAAATTGAAACTGGACCCCTTCCTTACACCTTATACAAAAATCTACTCAAAATGGACTAAAGACTTAAATGTAAAACCCAGAACAATAAAAACCCTAGAAGAAAATGTAGGCAATACCATTCAGGACATAGGCATGGGCAAAGATTTCATGACAAACACACCAAAAGCAATTTCAACAAAAGCAAAAATTGACAAATGAGATTTAATTAAACTAAAGAGCTTCTGCACAGCAAAATAAACTATCATCACAGTGAACAAACAACCTACTGAATAGGAATCAATGTTTGCAATTTATCCATCTGAAAAAGATCTAATGTCCAGCCTCTATAAGGAACTCAAACAAATTTACAAGAAAAAACAAACAATCCATTTAAAAATGGGCAAAGGACATGAATAGATACTTCTCAAAAGAAGACATGCAGCCAATACACATGAAAAAAACCTCAGCATCACTGATCATTAGAGAAATGCAAATCAAAACCACAATGAGATACCATCTCACACCTGTCAGAATAGCTATCATTAAAAAGTCAAAACACAACAGATGCTGGTGAGGTTATAGAGAAAAAGGAATGCTTTTACACTGTTGGTGGTAGTGTAAGTTAATTCACCCATTGTGGAAGATAGTGTGGCAATTCCTCAAAAACCCATAGGCAGAAATACCATTTGACCCAGCAATCCTGTTACTGGGTATATACACAAAGGAATATAAATCATTTTATTATAAAGATACATGCACACGTATGCTCATTGCAGCACTATTCACAATAGCAAAGACATTGAATCAATCTAAACATCCATTGATGATAGACTTGGTAAAGGAAATGTGCTACATATACACCATGGAATACTATGCAGCCATAAAAAGGAATGAGATCATGTCCTTTGCAGGGACATAGATGGAGATAGAGGCCATTATCTTCAGCAAACTAATATAGGAACAGAAAACCAAGTATTTATAAGTGAGAGCTGAATAATGAGAACACGTAAACACATGAGGGGAACCACACACACTGGGGCCTGTTAGAGGGTCAGAGGGGGACAAGCGAGAGCATCAGGAAGAACAGCTCATGGATGCTGAGCTTAATACATAGGTGATGTGATGATCTGTGCAGCAAACTACCATGGCACACGTTTACCTATGTAACAAACCTGCACATCCTGCACATGCACCCCTAAACTTAAATTTAAAAAAAGAAAGTGAAAAAAAGACACTCAACATAGTCTTTAGAGAAATGCTAATTGAAACCACAATGAGATCACTGCCTTTCTACTACAATATCTTTTTTAAAAATCTGACAATACCAACCTCTGACGTGGATGTGGAGCAACAGCATTATATGTCTGGTTATAGTGCAAAATGATAACAGCCACTCTGTAAAACAATTTGACAGTTTCTTATTAATTGCAACATATACTTACCTTATGACCCAGCAATCCTGCTATTAGGTATTTACCCAAAGTAAATATAAATATATGTCCACACAAATACCCATATGTGATTTCTCAGAATCATAAAAAATTGGTTACAACCCACTGGTCCATATCTGGTAAAGGGGTACACAAACTATGGCATATCCAGATAATGGAATACTACTAGGCAATAAAAAGGAAAAATCCTACATGGTTGTATGAGTCCAATTATATAATATTCATGAAAAGCAAAACATTAGGAACAGACATCAGATTAGTAGTTTCCTGGGAATGACAAGGAGAGGTGGGATTATCTACAAAGATCAGAAGGGATATTTGGAGGATGATAGGAATGGTCTGTAAACTTGACTGAAATGGTAACAACATGATGGTGTACATTTGTCAGAACTTATCAAATTGTACAGTTAATAGGGGTAAGTTTTATAATATGTAATTTATACTTCAACAAAGCTTTAGATATATAAAAGTCTGAAAAATCCAAAGAGCAAAGAACAATTAATTATTAAATCTTAACTTCCCCCCATTCTTCCACAATTTGGGATTTTCACCTTAGAGCAAAATACTTAACTCTTTTGCCTATGTATTGGAGAAAATTCCGTAATGAGTTTCTTCACAATGATTAGCATTCGTATCTTGTCCTCCGCCTTGATAACAGACTGGTTAATTTCACAAAAACAAGCAATTTCCTTTGCTTTAAAGTTCTGCCTGCCCTCTTAAAATCCTGATAGAAGCTGCAAGAGAGAAAAGGATGTCTTTACAAAAACTCTCTTCCTTCTAATTTTTCAGAAATAAGGTGTACCCAATCCAAAGTTACATTGTTTCTCACACTGTGTTTTCTTTATCCATACTTACTCTTTGATTCACTAGTTTATTATAGTAGCTTTTCTGTAGAGTGGGACATATCTAACATTTCTGGGGGATGAAAGAAGATAATGGGAATTGTAAGGGCGCTTCCAAATCTTGTATTATGTTACTAAGAATATAAACAATGCACCCAAAGATGCTCACCAAAAGTGTTCAATTGAATGAAACCTGAGTTTCATGGTATTGCCAATAAATATTTATTTGTAAATTAAATGAGCAACTTACCCTCACTCCAACCTATTCCCATAACCTCCCTTATTGGTTTATGTTTAGAGTTTTCTATATCACATTATGTTAAAGGAAACTTACACTTGCAATCTTACAAAATGTGTTTTAATGGTTCATAAGGCAAGAATAATAGTTCACATTTTTGAATGTTTATGCGTTAGACAAGCATTGTTCCAAGTACTTTAATTTAACCTTCACAAAAAGCTATGAGGCAGATTTTATTATCTTTGTTTTAGAGATTAGGGAATGGAAACACAGAGAAGTTAGGCCATTTGCCCAAGATCACAGTGCTGTTAAATAGAGGAGTCAGAATTTGAACCTAAACAGTTATGGCTCCTGAATCACCACCTATAACTTCAATTCAATATTGTCCTTCAATGAGAAAGCTGTTAATTATACATGAACACACTTGTTTAAAAACAAATACTTCATGAATACATACCATGTCTTGAATGCCTCTCTAGGGACTGGGAAAATAACAGTATAACGTTAAATAATACATCTTTTAACTTGCCAATTTCTAAATAAAAAGTTTAAATAATTCGGAAATAAAAGTATGTTTTCAGTATAGATATGCCCACAACTAGTTTATTAGCCCATTTTTGAGTTACTATAAAGGAATAACTGAGGATGGGAAATTTAGAAAGAAAAGAAGTTTAATTGGCTAACAGTTCTGCAGGCTTTGCAGGAAGCATGGTACTCACAACTGCTTCTGGTGAGGCCTCAGGAAGCTTATAATCACGGTGTAAGGTGAAGAGGCAGCAGGCATATCACACCGCAAGAGCAGGAGCAAGGCTGGTGGGGAGGTGCCACAAATTTTTAAACAACCAGATTTCATGAGAACTCACTCACTATCACAAGGATAGCACCAAGCAGCTCATAAGGATAATGGATCTGCCCCATGACACAAACACCTCCCACCAGGCCCCACCTCCAACACTGGGGATTCCATTTCAACATGAGATTTGGAGGGGACAAACATCCAAACTAAATCAACTAGTTTGTGTCCTGAAGTAAATCACTTTACTTATGAGAGCTTTAGGGTTTTTCATCCATGAAATGGGGAGGTTATGTCAGAAAGTTATTTAAGGTCAATTTGTTTTATCTTCTAACATTAGACTTAAGCCTATGTGGATTGCAAATTCTCATAATTCATAGAAAACTTCTTAGTTTTCAGTATACTGTCTGTATTTCCAAATCCACATAAATTATGGAGGTGTAAAAGAAACTATAAACTCAGCTAATTTTATATTATTTTATTCTATCGGTTGTTATTTTTATCATGACTGTTTCACCCTTTAAGGGGAAGCTATTTCAGTATAATTTTTGAAGTTTTAAGTCTGATTTCTAAATATAGATTGAATTATTCTCTTAAACTAGTAAAAATGATTTGAAAGAAGGAAGGAATGGAGGAGAAAAGGCATGAAGAGAGAGAAAAAGTGAAAGGAAGAAACTCAGAGCTACTGCTAATGTTTTATTTGTTTGGCTTTTATTTTTATTGGGGGTGGTAAGGAGGAGGCGGGTTTGGACAGAAGGACAAGATACTTCCTTCTAAAGCTTTCCACATGATGAAGTTAATTATCATTTCTTCTCTTCAGACATGGATGGCTCCTTCCTAAGAAGTGCCAACATCTGTTGAGAGAGAGAGAACATCTGTTAGGCAAGTGGAGATATTGGGAGATAAGCTGCTTACTCAGACAGTTTGGGCATGATGAAGAAATCATAATAAACTGGAAAATTAAGATTAAAATATGGGCATAATTAGTAGTTTTTAATGTGCCAAATACTGTATTGCTGAACACATAATTAACGGGGTCAGAAACTCCCAGTGATTGTCAGCAACTCCAGCTCATAGTAGCTCAACATTCTATTCAGAAACATCTACTAGGTGGTGGGTCACAGGTTTACTCAGGGTAAATGCTTACAAGTGAGCACACACTAAAATGTTGTCAGCTTGTATAAACTCCAGGCACAGTCCCCTATAACCCAGGTCACTGTGTGTAGACCTGGTCTCAATGTATGGTGCCACTACTTTAAGTTCATATAAATGCGTGCACGTGTGTGTGTGTGTGTGTGTGTGTGTGTACTGTAAGTGCAAAGACAATAATTGTAAGGAACACATAATTATTTGGATCTTTATCGTTTTTTAAAATTTCACACATGTGATCTTCCCTGTTTCCAACAATCCTGTGAGACGGATTGGCCAAACAATCTCTCCATTTTAAAATTGAGGAAACAATCTCCAAGTGGCTAAATGGTTTGAGTCAGGCTATATAGGACTTGTAAATAATAAATTCATACATTTAATTCCATATAAAGCCTTGAATAAACTCATTACAATATGAAATGGGTATCCTAAAATTCAAATTTCAACACTGAATCATACATTAGTAGTATAATCCAAAATATCTCCCAACCACATTCCCACCTGATACACACACATTCACTCCTCTCTTTCTCTCTCTCTCTCTCTTATTTAAAGCCTACAACTCTTAACTTCAGTTTCTAGAAAACCTTAAGTTAGAATTTTGATCTTTCTACTATGCCAGCACTATAATTTTCTTCTTTCCTTCTTTCAATCAGCCAGAAGAGGGAGAAATTTAACCTAGCATACATTATTCTTTTCAAATAGTTTGTGTGGTTTTCAAGTTTCAGTATTTAAAAAGATATTTTCTTAAAATATTAATAATTTCAGATTTTTATGTTGATAAAAGAAGTTTGTGTATAAAAGGGATTGAGTAAATACCAAGAGAAGAGACCCTAAGGCTGATTAAAGCTAAAAAAGTCTAGGTTTTCAATTCTAAGAAACTGTTCCTCTCATTCTTTCCAGCAAAAGGCCTAAAATACAGAGAAGTCCAAATGTCACCAGAAAAATACCTACTTTTTTCCCAAGGTGTGGCCAATGTCAGCACATGAGAGCAGGCTATCTGGTCTAGCCTTATGCATTGCTTCTTGCATTGATAGTCAAGATGTTATTGTGGAAACTGAAGCCAGTGTCACCTGATAACTCTTCTACTTAAAATGATAGCAAACACCAGCAAAATAATTTTGATTAGTCAACAGGTCTATTAACAACTTAAAAGGGGTCCTAAACTGTTAAAAAATGTCAGGAATACAAAGGAAGACTAAGATGTGGTAACGCTTCTCAGGAAGAAAACTGGCATATGTAAATCAAGACATCTAGAATAATTAAGTCCTAAACGGAATGAAACTAACCGTAAGTGCAATCTAAGTTCATATCTGTGTAATAACCCTCACTGCCACAAAAGAATGAATCTGTTTACTGAGCCCCATGTGTAAACCTCATATCAGTTTCTCCCTTAACATTTTCAGAGTATATCTGGGTTTAAAGACCAATCTTTACAAGGAGAGGAAGGAAACTTCAAACATAGCTACTCCAATCTTAATTGTATTACACTTACTGTCATGTCTCACAATTGATTCAAAATTATATAAGAGAATTTGACAGTTTTATTGCTTTCTCCTCAACTTTGGACTCAGTGAACTGGATTATTTGTAGGTTATCCTTTTGGGACAGGGGGTAGTCTGGCTCTGTTGCCCAGGCTGGAGTGCAGTGCCGCAATCACTGCTCACTGTAGCCTCGACTTCCTGGGCTCAAGCAATCCTCACAAAACAGCCTCTGGAGTAGCTGGGACTACAGGCTCACACCACCATGCCTAGCTGATTTTTGTATTTTTTGTACAGACGGGCTTGTGCCATTTTGCCCAAGCTGGTCTCAAACTTCTGAGCTCAAGTGATCTGTCTGCCTTGGCCTCCCAAAGTGCTGGAATTACAGGTGTGAGCCACCACCCCCAGCCTATTTGTAGGATATTCTGCATGAAGTCAATAAAGGTTTTTGGTTACTGATGTTCAAACCAACCTGCTATTTAATACCACTGCCAGAGGAAAAGCAGGTCACAAATTTTCCTGAGGAATCAGAAACAATTTATAGAGGCACATATTTCTTAGTAGCTTTGGAATGATGTAGATACTTGGTTCATACCATAGAAAATAAAATAGATATTTTTGAAAATTCTAACAATATGATGTAATTGTCCATAAATTAGGAATGGCATCAAAAGAAAATTGACCTTAGTCTTGAAATATTATAAGAAAAAAACTTATTCTCAAGAATTAAATTAACTAATATCAATCTTTTAGCATAATTATCCAAGTTAATCTCTTCATATGAAATAGATAGGTCAATATGTTATACTTAGCCCCAGAAGATATATTTTGCAATGAATTCTTCTGAGAACCTGTACTAAGAAGCCATGTGATGCAAAACAATCTTTAATATGAGGAAATGGAGCTTTTTATTTCTAGTGAAGGTGTGAAATGGTTTATCATGTCTTTGAAATATTTTCAGACCAAAATCATCTTAGCCCTAATTTTACAAGTGGAACTTCGGAGATTTGAGCAAACCTTCATTCAAATTCTGAAACACATTCAGAAATATTTCTTGAGCAAAATCCTTACTATGCTCACAAGTCTTGGTGCAGTTTCTCCATCTCACAAACAAATAAATATATGTGGAGCCTTGTCTGGGGCCTTAATTTTCACAGAGGAATGTCAACATCACCACATGTGTGTTGGATTCAAGTATTTGTAGCCAAGCATTTGTCTGTCTCTGGCTGTGTGAATATAAATGGACTTGACTCACACAAATAAAAAGTCTAAAAAATTAGAATGCAAGTGAGATACTAGAATAATATTTATACCATATATGACAATGAGTTTGCATCTTTGCTGTATGAAGAATTTTCAAGATGTGTTCTGAGATAGAAATGATAATAGTTTTAAGTGACACAACATTTCCAAAGGGCAATGTTGAGACATAATGATTATATTAGGTTTGGTACAAAAGTAATTACAGTTTTCACCATTAAAAGTAATAACATTACTGTGTGTGTGTGTCTGTCTGTCTGTCTGTTCCATATGCTTAGTATGCACTAAATACACATTTTAGCTAAGTTCTATTGGCATCACAAACTAGACACACACATACACACGAGTAGATGATGTACGTGTGCTTCCAGAATTTTTTTCAAATCTTAGTTTATGGTTATAATGAGCAATTCCGATTTGGAACAAACCCAAATTCTGGTGGTCCCCTAAGTGCTTTGCTGAAAACACTGATTACTATTACTGATTACTATTAAAGTAATAGTTTAATTAATAGTAACTTCTAACATTCATTGGATGCCAAGAAGAGTGCTTACTACACCTGTTTAATATCAAAGTAACGCTCACAGCAAACCCATGAAGAAGTTATCATTGTAATCTCTAATTTCAGATCAACTGAAGCTCAGAGATATTAACTTGTTCAAAATCACAGAGACATGAAGTGGGAGAGCCAATATTCACATTCACAGAGTTGAACCCCAGAGCTTTCAAACTCTTTGTGACTTTTGACTCAGTCAAAATTTCTGTCATTTTCTAGAAAAATTTTCCAAGTAAATAATTAGGTATTCATACACAAATATGATAAGAGCAGTAACCCTGATAACAGCAAAATCTTGGAGACAACATATGTCTAATATTAGATATTGTTTGAGTAAATTATGGTTACACATACAAGAATATGCAACCATTTAAAATTATTTCTCAAATAGTTTTTAAGGTCATGGAAAACAGTCACATATATTGCAATGTGAAAAGAAATACGTGACTAACGGCTCACTTTTGTATATAAAGTTTTGTATTCATAGATAACAAAATGGTTAGAACAATAAGTATCAAAATGTTTATAGTTACTTCTAGCTAGAGAAATTATAGATTTTCTTTTCTCTTTTTATAGATTTCTGTGTTTTCAACATTTTCTATAAACAACATTTATTGTATTTACTTTGTAAGTTGAAAAATTACATAAATTTGTGATTTAGTCATAACCCTGTAAGCCCTTATTGTCCATCTATATTCATTCTATTTTTATCCTTTTGTTTCTACTATTTATTTTTTCTTATAATGCTTTATATGTATTATAAGAAGGTTATAATGCTTTAAATGTATTATATTTATTTATTATATGTAGTTTACATATAATAGCTATATATTTATTTATTATATGTAGTGTATGTATAATCATTTATTTGTGTTTTTATTGTTAAATTTCTTAAATTCTAATGGAATCCAATATATGTATGGTAGCCTCTTCCGGAACCCCCATTACATCCACTGCCAGATCTCAAACATATGAATAAACTAACCTACAAAATTGGATAGATGGTCCTTTTAAACCAAAACATAAACCCATTATACTGTGTTTTCATGTTTAATCCTGAATCAGCTGACCATTTTACATAAATTTTTACTAAAAAATTCATTTGATCTGAGAACATCTCCCAGAGCCTGGGACACATTTTCCCAATTCCTGCCTTGAAGTTTAGTATCAATATCATATATATGCTCTCTCAGAGACTTTGACATATCATAATATCTTTATACACAACTCATATATGTGCCATGCATTTGCATAGAAATGTCATACTTCTAAGAGCACTTTCACATGCATTGACTCAACTAATCCTCCTAAGACTACAACACAAGTATCACTGGACCAACTTAGATAAAAATGTCATGATGGCTACTTATAGCTAATCCTTGAGGCTATTACCTTTTCTAACAGAAGCATGATACTTTACTTGCCAGCACTAATAGATGTGTCAATATTGAATCCATGTTATATGTTAAGAATCAATGTTTTCAGCAAAGCACCCCACCAGAATTTTGGTTTGTTCCAAATCAGCATTGTTCATCACAACCATGAACTAAGCTTTAAAAAAAATTCTGGAAGTACACATACATCATCTACTTGTGTGTGTGTGTGTGTGTGTGTGTGTGTGTGTGTCTAGTTTGTCATGCCAATAGAACTTTGCTAAAATGTGTGTTTAGTGCATACTAAGCATATGGAACACACGCAACACACACAGACAGACACAGATTTTTCTTGTGGAGAATAATTAAGCTGAAGATGTGTTCTTTCTGGGGGATAAAAATGCAATTAAATGTCAAATCTTTCCTTTCAAAAGACAGAATAAATGTTCCTTTTTTAAAAAACTCCAGATGGTTAAATGTATGCTTTTGAAATTTTTCTGTTTGAAGATAATCTTTTTGCCTCACAATTCCCCTGAGACTCTTCTCTCCTTCAGTACTCTTTAACAGTTTTTTTCTCAGCCCTCAAACACTGTTCCAACTAAAGAGGATGTCCATTTCCTTTTCCTTCAAATTTCCTCTTCCATTGGTTTCCTCAATGACCCGCCCTTCTCTCTAATGGCTCCCTGGCCAGCTTACATTCTAGAACTCCAACTGATTCAGCCCCTGTCATCTCTCTCTGCACTTGCACCATACACATATCTTTGAAAACACTAGTGACACAGCTTCTAGCAATACCTATCAGCCATGGAGGCATTTTTCTGAATTAGATTTTAGCTTCCCTCTTAATTTCTTCAGCTCTTACGTGCAATTAGGAATCACAAATACAAAAATGAATTATACTTATTCCCTAACCCTAATCTACCTCACAAAGGTAGGTGCTACCTCACTTCATGGAGGTAATTCACAAACAATGACCAAAGAACCAGAGAGCTATTTCAGCAGCAGGCTAATCAATATTATGAAAAATGGAGTGTTTGTGAAGAGGGAAAGACCTAGCTTAGTGTGATAGTAATCTAGTTAAAAATCCTCAAACTTGCAACAAAAGAGATTCCTCTACATTCTTCTAGCCATTTTTTTTCAGAAGGATATTCCACAAATCATTTTATGATAGGCTTTCTACTACAGACATCAAATGAAAGATTCTTGAATAAATATATGAACTCGAAGGTGTTGGCATTATGGATGTGTTTGATGCATCACATTTTAAGCTCGAGTTTCTGAAACATGTAAAAACGTCTAAGCCTGCCTGTGAAGGTGTCTATCTTATGAAAGTGGTCAGAAGTGTTGAAGCTCTCAACTCTTACTTTGAATTTGTACAAAGCATTAACCATCACATTGAAAGATCCATAATTTAGCCTTTTTTTCTCTCACATGAGCTTAGCTTTGACTTTGCCAAAAAAGTGGGCCTTTTGCCTCTAAAAACAACAAGTGGTTGTATTCTGCATATTCTCTTCTTTCCTTGATGACACCCCTGATTGCATCTAACCTGCCAGCAGAGCTGGACTGGAAACAAGAGCTTTCATTTGGCCATGAGAACAAAGAACAATTGTTTCTGTTAAGCAGTGAAGTTTCTAATGCAGCCAGAGATTACAGAATAGAATCCTCATAAGGGAAGAAGAAAAAAATTCCCCATCACGTCAGCACTGTCAGTGACCAAAGCCATACGCCAATGTATGACCTATGGCCCTCAAAGCAGAGGAATATTTCTTCCTCTATAAAGTGAGTGTTATTTGATTAAATGAATGTTTCTCTAATAAATAGCATACTTAAGGTCTTTCAAAAACCTCAGAACAACCGTCTTATCTGGAGCCAAATAAAAGATATATTGGCAAAAACAAAACTTTCATCCAAATTAATAATGTCTTTATATATCCCTGTCCAGATCTGCATTGGCTCAAGAATTGGGAGGCATTTCCCCAGTAATCGTTCTGTAACCACTGAGTTTTCTAGCAAAACCAGCAGCCTCTGCATCGAGTGAGGTTCACAGGACCTATTTCTGAGGTTGTCTTTGTCTTCCTGTCCATTACCACTGTGTGATATTCATTAGTCAATCACAAAAGAGCAGATTATTTCACATGTCAGTACAAAGGCACTTTGGATCACACTTCAAATTAAAAAATAAAATACAACCTAACTTCCATAGAGGATATACACTTTCCCCTCCCCACTCTTTGCTTTGTATTGTTTTGTTTTTAATCTTCACCGTTCTTTTCTTTTTGAAATTGAATTTGTTGGCAGGGATAGACTATCTGCCTATTTTGAAAATGGCATTAGTAAAAAGCAAAACCCTAGTGATAGTTCAGAAGCTTGAATGAGTTGATCATCTTGGGCCATCACCTTCTGGGCACCATCCCAGATATAAAGTCATTGCTCATTTGGACACTAATTGCTATCCTTCTTGGTGGTTATTGGAGAATTAACCAAGCAGATTACTCTTTCATCTTCCTATCTGAAACTTCCCCATATTACACCATCTCTGGTAAGGTAGTAAATGGGAAATTTTACTCCTTCTTGTCTTATAATATATGCCATAACAACTTGAAAGATTAACACTAATTAAACAGCAGTTACACTTCCACAATCTTTTAGTCTTCAATTTGAGCTAATTTATCTCTGAATTAAATAATAATTTGAAAAATAACAGCTATTTTTTATTCGACACTGACTCTGTTTACCTGCCTTTTCTAAGTGCTGTAAATATATAATTTAATCATACAAAAACTTCATGAGGATTTATTTTTAGGGCATATTAATTAGGGTATAAGAAAGGTAGCAGTAATGAGACAGCCAAAGCGCAATGGCTCAGACAAGGCAAAGGTTAATTTGTCTTTTATAATGGACCCTGATTCCTGAGGTTGTCCAGGGACTCTGTGGTGGAGGCAGCTCTATCTCAACTGTGGTTTCCACTTCTGTATCTAAAGTGACTGCTGCAGTTGTCACCATGATCCAGACAGGATGAAGTGGGAAATAGAAAGTACTGGGAAAGCAGTAGGCCTCTAAGAAGTACCTAGAAAGTTAACAAACATCACTTCCTGCAAACAAGCAGGATCTGGAGAGATTCACTAAGGCATTTTTGCACAAAGAGACTCCTTATTAATAGGGATGCTATGGATTGCAATGTATGGAAAATGCATGGTTGAGATAATTGCCATTTATCTGTGTAATCATGAGTAAAACACTGACCTCCTCTGGATTTCCATTTCTTTTGAAGTAAAATTTAAAAGTTCAATGACATCATTTCCAAGGTGTCCTAAAGCTCTAAATTTCATGATTATGTTTAGAAACATGTGCATATAAAATAAAACTGATAATGTGCTATAGATTAGGAATTCAGAAGAACCAGAATTTTGTCCAGTTTGTCACAGAATGAGATTGGGAGAAGCTGTCCCTTTTGTTTGATTTTTACCATTTAATAGCCAACATTATCCAAAATGAGTTTCATATAACATTAATTCCATAAAATTCTCAGAGAAAAACAAAGGCAGTTCTATGATATTTTAATTGAAATACTTTTGGTTAAAAATGAAAAATAAAGAACTAGATTAAAAAAAGGGATAATGTCTATAAGGAATATAGAACGTCAGGCCACCATTTATGCTGTTTGGGCAACTTAGCCATTCCAGCCTGTGGGTTTTGGAAGCAGTACCCCAGCACAGCACAGCTACTCTGTAAAAGTGTGGCCACACTGCTTTTTTTAATCAGGTCCCCAATCCCATTCCTCCTCACTGGGCAGAACCTCCCAACTGGGGTCTCCAGCCACCCCCACCAGTGTTCTCCATCCTATAGAAATTTGAAAACTCCCTGGGATGAAACTCCCAGAGGGAGGGGTGGGCCTCCATATTTGCTGTTTGGGCAACTTAGCAATTCCAGCCTTTGGGCTTGGAGAGCTCAAGCTGACAGGAAATGGAGGTGGTACCCCAGCATGGCACAGCACCTCCATGAAAATGTGACCAGACTACTTCTTTAAGTGGGTCCCCAACCCTGTTCCTCATCACTGGGTAGACTCTCCCAACAAATGTCTCTGGTCACCCCCACTGGTGTTCAGCTGACAGAGGTTTCAGGTATCCCCAGGAAGGAGCTCACAGCAGAAGGGGTGGGCCTTCATCTTTGCTGTTTCAGTAACTTAGCTGTTCCAGCCTTGGGTTTCAGAGTGTCCAAGGTGACGGGCAGGGGAGGGGGGTGGGGGCTGAAGTGGACCCCCAGAACAGTACAGCTGCTCTAAGAAAACGTGGCCAAACTACTTTTTTAAAGCAGGTCGCTGATCCCATTCCTCCTGACTGGGTAAGACTTCCCATCTAGGGTCTCCAGCCACCTCCTACAGGTCCACTCAGGTTGGCAAAACTTCCATACCTTCTTGGGATGGAGCTCCCAGAGGAGGGTGCAGGCTGCCATTTTTGCTGTTTCACAACCTTCACTGGTGAGACATCCAGGGACTGGAAAATTCGAGGTAACCAGGGACTGGAGTAGACCCCTAGGATACTACAGCAGCCCTATGGAAAAGGAGTCAGACTGTTAAAAGAAAAAAAAATCCATCCAAAGGTCAGCAACATCAAAGATTGAAGGTAGATAAGCCCACAAAGATGAGAAAGAATCAGCACAAGAACGCTGAAAACACAAAAAGCCAGAGTGCCTTCTTTCCTTCAAATGACCACATCACCTCTCCAGCAAGGGTTCCAGACTGGGATGAGGCTGAGATGGCTGAAATGACAGACATAGAATTCAGAATATGGATAGGAACAAAATTTACTGAGCTAAAAGAGTACATTGTAACCCAATGCAAGGAAGCTAAAAGTCATGATAAAACATTGCAGAAGCTGACGGACAACATAGTCAGTATAGAGAAGACTGTAACCAAACAGATAGAGCTGAAAAACACAATACAAGAATTTCATAATGCAATCACAAGTATTGATAGCAGAATAGACTAAGCAGAGGAAAGAATCTCAGAGCTTGAAGACTATCTTTTTGAAATAAGACAGGCAGACAAGAATAGAGAAAAAGAGAATAAAATTGAATGAATAAAACCTCCAGGAAATATGGGATTATATAAAGAGACTGAATCTATGACAGATTAGTGTACCTGAAAGAGATAAGGAGGATGGAACCAATTTGGAAAACATATTTCAGGATATCATCCATGAAAAATTCCCCAACCTAGCTAGCAGGGCCAACATTCAAATTCAGGAAATGTGGAGAATGCCAAAGAGATACTTCATGAGAAGATTATCCCCAACACACACAGTCATCACATTCTCCAAGGTGAAAGGGAAAGAAAAAAATATTAAACGCAGCTAAAGAGAAAGGCCAGGTCACCTACAAAGGGAAGCCCATGAGATTAACAGTAAGCCTCTCAGCTTAATTCCTACAAGCCAGAGCAGATTGGGGGGCCAATACTCAACATTCTTAAAGCAAAGAAATTCCAACCCAGAATTACATATCCGGCTAGATTAAGTATTATAAGTGAAAGAGAAATAAGATCATTTTCAGACAAGCAAATGCTAAGGGAATTTGTTACCAACAGACCTGACTTACAAGAACTCCTGAAGGAAGCACAAAATATAGAAAGGAAAGACCATTATCAGCTGCTACAAAAACACACTGAAGTATACAAACCAGTGAAACTATAAAGCAACCACATAAACAAGTCTGCAAAATAACCAACTAACATCATGGTGACAGGATCAAATCCACATATAATAATACAATTTTAAATGTAAATAAGATAAATCCCCCAAATTAAAAGACACAGAGTGGCAACCTGGCTAAAGAACCAAGAACCATCAGTATGCTGTCTTCAAGAGACTCATCTCATATGCAAAGACACATATAGGCTCACAATAAAGGGATGGAGGAAAATCTACCAAGCAAATGGAAAACAGAAAAAAGCAGGGGTTGCAATCTAAGTTCCTGACAAAACAGATTTTAAACCAACAAAGATTATAAAAGACAAAGAAGGGCATTATATAATGATAAAGGCTTTAATTCAACAAGAATATCTAACTATCCTAAATAAACATGCACCCAATAAAGGAGCATCCAAATTCATAAAGCAAGTTCTTAGAGACCTTCAAAGAGACTTTGACTCCTACACAATAATAATGGGAAACTTTAACACCCCACTGACAATATTAGACAGATCATTGAGACACAAAACTAATAAAGATATTCAGCAACTGAACTCAGCACTAGATCAAATTGACCTGATAGATATCTACAGAACTCTCCACTCAAAAACAACAGATTATACATTCTTCTCATCACCACATGGCACTTACTCTAAAACCAATCACATAATTGGAAGTAAAACACTCTTCAGCAAATGCAAAAGAACTGAAATCATAACAGTCTCTCAGACCACAGCACAATCAAATTTGAAATAAAGACTAAGAGATTCACTCAAAACCATACAATTACATGAAAATTGAATAACCCACTCCTGAATGAATTTTGGGTAAATAATGAAATTAAGGCAGAAATCAAGTTCCTCAAAACTAATGAGAACAAAGATACAACATACCAGCCTAACATCACAACTAAAAGAACCAGACAACCAAGAGCAAACAAACCCCAAAGATAGCAGGAGACAAGAAATAACCAAAATCAGAACCATGAACAACCATTCATAGGATCAATGAATCCAGGAGCTGATTTTTTGAAAATATTAATAAGATAGAACACTAGCTAGACTAATAAAGAAGAAAAGAGAGAAGATTCAAATAAATCAAATCAGAAATGACAAGTGGATATTACCATTGACCCCACAGAAATATGAACAATCATCAGAGAATATTTTGAACACCTCTGTGCACATAAACTAGAAAATCTAGAAAAATAGATAAATTCCTGGACACATACACCCTCGCAACACTGAGCCAGGAAGAAATTGAATGCCTGAACTGACCAATAATGAGTTCTGAATTTGAGACAGTAATAAATAGCCAATCAGAAACACCCCAGGACCAGATGGATTCACAGCTGAATTCCACCAGAGGTACAAAGAAGAGCTGTTACCATTCCTACTAAAACTATTCCAAAACATTGAAAAGTGGGGAATCCTCCCCAGCTCATTCTACTAGGCCAGCATCATTCTGATACCCAAACCTGGCAGGGATACAGCAAAAATAAAAGAAAACTTCAGGCCAAAATCCTTTATAAACATTGATGCAAAAATCTTCAACAAAATACTGACAGACCGAATTCAGCAGCACATCAAACAGCTTATCCACCACAATTAGGGAGGCTTCATTCCCAGGATGCAAGGTTGGTTCAACATACACAAATCAAGAGATGTGATTCATCACAAAAACAGAACTAAAGACAAAAACCACGTGATTATCTCAATCAATGTAGAAAAGGTTTTCAATAAAATTCAACATCCCTTCATGTTGCAAACTCTCAATAAGCTAGGTATTGAAAAAACATACCACAAAATAGTAAAAGCCTTATATGACAAACCAACAGCCAACATTACACTGAATGGGCAAAAGCTAGAGGCATTCCTTGCAAACTGGCACAGAACAAGGATACCCTCTCTCACCACTCCTATTCAACATAGTATTGGTAGTTCTGGCCAGGGTAATCAGGCGAGATAAAGAAATAAAGGGCATCCAAAGAAGAAGAGAAGAAGTCAAACTATCCCTGTTTGTTGAAGACATGATCCTATATCTAGAAAACTGATTAGTCTCAGCCCCAAAGCTTCTGAAGCTGATAAACAACTTCAGTGAAGTCTCAGGATACAAAATCAATGTGCAAATATCACTAGCATTCCTATAAACCAACAACAGTCAAGCCAAGAGCCAAATCAGGAACAAACTCCCATTCACAATTGCCACAAAAAGAATAAAATACCTAGGAATACAGCTAACTATGGAGGCAAAAGGTCTCTATAAGGAAAATTACAAACTACTGTTCAAAGAAGTCAGAGGACACCAATGGAAAAACATTCCATGCTCATGGATAGGAAGAATCAATATTATTACAATGACCATACTGCCAAAGCAATTTATAGATTCAATGCTATTCCCATTAAACTACCATTGACATTCTTCACAGAACTAGAAAAAACTATTATTTTAAAATTCATTTGAAATCAAAGAGGAGTCCAAATAGCAAGGCAATCCTAAGTAAAAGGAACAAATCTGGAGGCATCATGCTATCTGACTTTAAACTATACTAAAGGGCTGCAGTAACCAAAACAGCATGGTATGGGCACAAAAACAGACATACAGACCAACGGAACAGAATAGAGAACCCAAAAATAAGACCACACACCTACAACTATCTGATCTTTGACAAATCTGATGAAAACAAGAAATGGGGAAGGGATTCTCCATTCAATAAATGATGCAGGGATAACTGACTAGCCATATGCAGAAGATTGAAACTGGGTCCCTTCCTTACACCATATACAAAAATCAACTCAAGGTGGATTAAAGACTTAAATGTAAAACCCAAAACTATAAGACAATCTAGGCAATATGATTCAGGATATAGGCACAGGCAAAGATTTTATGACGAAGATGCCAACAGCAACTGCAACAAAAGCAAAAGTTGACAAGCAGGATTTAATTAAACAAAAGAGCTTCTGCACAGCAAAATAAACTATTATCAGAGTAAACAGACAACCTACAGAATGAGAATCCATTTTTGCAGCAAAATATGCATCTGACAAAGGTCTAACATCCAGCATCTATAAGGAACTTAAATAAATTATAAGAAAAAAACATAAAAATAAGCAAATGGCATGAACACACGCTTTTCAAAATAAGACATACATGTGGCCAACAATCATATTTTTAAAAGCTCACATCAGTGATCATTAGAAAAATGCAAATAAAAACCACAATGAGATATCATCTCACATCAGTCAGAATGCCTGTTATTAAAAAGTTAGAAAATAAGATACTGGCAAGGTTGTAGAGAAAATGAGATGCTTATACACTGTTGGTGGGAGTATAAGTTAGTTTACCCATTGTGGAAGATAGTGTGGCAATTCCTCAAACACCTAAAGACAGAAATACCATTTGATCCAGGAATCCCATGACTGGGTATATACCCACCTACTACAAAGACACATGATGCACATATACATTCATTGCAGTATTATTCACAATAGTGAAGACATGAAATCAACCTAAATGCCCATCAATTATCATTGGTTAACTGCTTACAGAAAATGTGGTATTAATATATATACACCATGGAATACTATGTAGCCATAAAAAAGAACAAGATCATGTCCTGTGTAGGCACATGGATGGAGTGGAGGCCATTATCCCTAGCAAATTAACACAGGAACAGAAAACCAAGTACTGCATGTCTCACTTAGAAGTGGGAGCTAAATAATGAGAACACATGGACACATAGAGGGGAACAACACACTCTGTGGCCTTTCAGAGGGTGGAGGGTGAGAGGAGGAAAAGGGTCAGGAAAAATAAATAATGGGTACTAGGCTTAATACCTGAGTGATAAAATTATGTATACAACAAACTCCCATGACACAAGTTTACCTATGTAACAAACCTACACTTGTACCTCTGAACCTAAAATAATTTTTAAAAAAAGGGGGGAATATAGAATGTCTTACAGAACCTAAATTCAGGAATATGATTGGATTTGAGATGGCAAGACCCAAGGAGAAAAATGTTCTAAGGACTTTTTCTCTCTCTCTCTCCTTCCCACTTTATTCTTCTTTTTCTTGGTTAAAAAAAAAACAGCCTCCTTTCACTCCTATATGGCAAGAAAGGCTATTAACAGTTCTTGCATGTTATAATTCACCCAAAAACCAGGCACCCAAGCAAGATTGGCCCAATTTTCTTTCAGTTTCAAATTCAAAAATCTTGGAGAAAAGACTCATTGGCTCTTCTGGGTCAAGTTCTTTCTCAGGCAAAGTAGCAGAAGCAGGGTCACACTGTAACATGGCTGCCCTCTGCAAGCAAGAAGTAATCCGACAAACTTAGAGACTACTATGCAAACATAGAAAATGCTGCTTTACTATAAGCCTTTCTTAGAGAGGAACAAAGCATACTGGCAAAATTAAAGCAATCAAAATCCTAAGATTAACTGTTTAAATTCATGTTCCACAACAAATTTAATAAATTTTCAAAAAACTACTCACACACACACACACATACACATGTGTGCACAGATAGTTATATATATATATTTATTTATTTATATTTTTATATATAATACATTTGAATGGATAATATATACAATGCATTTTAAAAGCTTTCCCTGGAAATTAATTTGTGTCACTATTCCAACTGAATTTACTTTATAACAGTCACTCAGTGGATCATTAACATTATCAAATAGCTTGTATGCTTTCATATTAACAGTTTGCATACCCTGGGAACCCAATAAAAAGTGAGTTAACCCTCTGAACATTTTGAAATCTGGAACAACTAGAACACACCACAATCAGGTTTGTTAGATAGAGTCATACCATGAAGAATAACTACTTCACACAAGCAATAAGGTTAGAAAAAGTTAAGATCTCTCCTCTAAAATTTGCTGTGGGAAGATATCCTCTGCATTGAAAATAGTATTTACTAACAAACAAATTATGATAAAGCATTGCCTCTTCCTAAAATAACGTGTAGTTCAGAACACTGTGATAAACGACATGATTGGTACTTAATTGGTGCTGTAGTAGGCTTGAAAGCAGAAAGGAGGGATCACTACCTGGTTGGGCATGAAGGAAAAGCCTTAAGGACTTTATTAGGCAAACAGTGGAAGCACTCTATGGTGGAATTCTGAGATTAGGAAAAAATACATATGAAGGCAAAAAGCTTGAGGACACATCCTGGCATAGATATATTATATAAATAAACAATAAGTTACAGTATATGATATGGTTTGAATCTGTGTGCCCACCCAAATCTCATGTCAAACTGCAATCCCCAACGCTGGAGATGAGGCCTTCTGCTCAAACCCTGTGATGTCCTGGCTTCCCCTTCACCTTCCACCATGACTGTAGGTTTCCCAAGGTCTCCCCGGAAGCCACTATGCTTTCTGCACAGCTTGCAGAACCATAAGCCCATGAAACCTCTTTTCTTTATAAATTAACCAGTCTCAAGTATTTCTTGGTAGCAATGCAAGAAGGGACTAATACAGAAAACTGGTACCAAAGAGCGGGGCATTGCTATAAGGAAACCTGAAAATGGGGAAGCAGCTTTGGATCTGGGTAACAAGCAGAGGTTAGAACAATTTGGAGGGCTCAAAAGAACAAAGCAAGATGAGGGAAAGTTCGGAACTTCTTAGATACTTGTTAAATAATTGTGACCAAAATGCTGAGAGTGATATGAACAGTGAAGTCCAGGCTGATGAGGTCTCAGATGGAAATGAGGAACTTATTGGGAACTGGAGTAAAGGTCACTTTTGCTATGCTTTAGCAGAGACTAGCAGTATTGTGCCCCTGTTCCAAGGATCTGTAGAATTTGAACTTGAGAGATGATTTAGGTTATCTGGTGGAAGGAATTTCTAAGCAATAAAGTATTCACGAGGTGGCCTGGGATGCTTCTAACAACCTATGCTCATATGTGTGAACAAATAAATGACCTGAAACTAGAACTTATATTTAAAAGGAAGCAGAATGTAAAAGTTTGGAAAATTTACAGCCTGGCCTTGCAGTAGAAAAGAAAAGCCCACTTTCTGGGGAGGACTTCAAGCAGGATGTAGAAATTTGCATAAGTAAAGAGGTGCCAAGAGCTGACAGCCAATACAATGAAAAATGGCCTCCAAGGCATTTCAGAGACCTTTGAGGTCACCCCTCCCATCACAGGCCCAGAGGCCTCAGAGGGAAGAATATTTCCTGGGCCAGACTCAGGATCCTGCTGCCCTGCCCAGTCTTGAGACATTGTTCCCTACATCCTAGCCACTCCAGCTCCACCCATGGCTCATAGGGGTGCAGGTACAGCTCAAGCCACTGCTTCAGAGGGTGCCAGTCCTAAGCCTTGGTGGTTTCCACATGGTGTTAAGCCTTCAGGTGCACAGAGTGCAAGATTTGGGGCTTGGGAGCCTCTACCTAGATTTCTGAGGATGTATGGAAAATCCTAGATGTAAAGGCAGAAGCCTGCTGCAGGGGCAGAGCCCTCACAGAGAACCTCTACTAGGGCAGTGCAGAGGGAAAACATTGGTTCGGAATTCCCACACAGAGTTCCCACTGGGGCACTGCCTAGTGGAGCTGTGAGAAGAGGGCCACCATCCTCCATACCCCAGAATGGTAGATCCACTGGTAGCTGGAACTCTTAGCCTGGAAGAGCTGCAGGCACTCAATGTCACCCCAGGAGAGTAGCTGTGGGGGCTGAATCCTGCAAAGTCACAGGGTTGGAGCTGCACAAGGAGCTGCACAAGCTGCACAGGGTTGGAGGCCCACCCCTTGCATCAGTGTGCCCTGGATGTGAGACAAGGAGTCAAAGGAGATTATTTTTGGGCTTTAGGATTTAATGGCTACCCTGCTGGGTTTCAGACTTTCATGGGGCCTGTAGCCCCTTTCTTTTGGCCAATTTCTCTCTTTTGGAACGGGAATATTTACTCAATGCCTATACTTCTATTGTGTCTTGTAAGTAACTAACTTGTTTCTGATTTTACATGGTCATAGGTGGAGGGGACTTGCCTTGTCTCAGATGAAACTTTGGACTTTTGACTTTTTAGTTAACACTGGGATAAGTTAAGACTTTGGTGTACTGTTGGGAAAGCATGATTGTATATTGCAAAATGAGAAGGACATGAGATTTTTGAGGGACTAGAGGCTGAATGATACAATTTGGATCTGTGCCTCTGCCCAAATCTCATGTTGAATTGTAATCCCCAATGTTAGAGGTGGGATCTGGTGGGAGGTGACTGGATATCAAGGGTGGATTTCCCTCCCAGTTCTGCTCTCATAATAGTGAGGGAGTGCTCACAAGATCTGGTTGTTTAAAAGTGTATGGTACCTCCCCACTCTCTTCCTTCTGCTCTGGCCATGTGAAATCCTCACTTCCCCTTCACCTTCCACCATGATTATAAGTTTCTGAAGCCTCCCCAGAAGCCACTATGCTTCCTGTATTGCCTGCAGAACCATGAGCTAATTAAACCTCTTTTTTTAAAATAAATTACTCAGTGTCAGGTATTTCTTTATAGCAATGGGAATGAACTAACACAGTATATGACTGGAAGTAATATCAAGTTGAGGGTAAAAGGCAATTATGTCTGAATGCTAATTTAAGAATTTAAACTTTATCTTACATGCAGCTAGAAGACTTCGATATTTTTTATCTCCTTTGTTTTCTGCTTTTATTTTTGACAAAGAAATGTTTTCTTCAAAGTACTTCAAAACATTAAGGAATCAGTGATGTACTGAAAAATGTATGATGCACAAGCAAGAGAAAAGCAGTTAGTCTCCTCCTCCTTGATGTGGCAGATTACATTTTCCAAAGATGACTACAACAATATCCCCCACTCCACACCGTGTTTCTACAATGTGACATTGACATTCCTCCCATCAATTGGTGGGGTCTATCCCCTTACCCTTGAAGCAGAGTGGATTTTTGTGACTGCATAGTGTGATAGAGTACAACAGAATTGATAGTACCTGACTTCCAAAACTAGATCATAAAATGCTAAGTACTTCTATCTTGCTGTGTTGGGAAGGTAGCTCTAGAAATCTAATTACCATGCTGTGAAATGCAGTCTGAGAGCTCACTTGAAAAGGCCACTGTACATGTAGGTCTTCCAGCTGACAGCCCAACTAAGGTGTCAGCCAACAGCCAGCATCAACTCTCAGACATGTAAGAGTAGATACCTCCAGATGTCCCAAGATTCTAGCCATAAAAATATCCTCTGTCTTCAAGTCTTCCCAGCTGAGGCCACAAACACTGTAAACTAGAAACAAACCGAATCTTCTGAACAATTGCTTGAACTAGGAAGTTCTCTGGGGCCAAACGATGTTTCCAGTGAGGGACAGAGTTGTGAAACATCAGCTTGGGAATCTGGGTGGAGAATTCACTGCAGTCTAGACCTTGAACTCAGATTGACTCCTTTTCATGGTAAGTCACCCTATCTGAAAAGAGTTTCCACCATATTCTGATTGGTCTTGTTTTCTGGAGAAACTTACAAGAGAAATATTAGTGGAATGAACTATAGCCTCCGCTGCTGCAGTTGTTCTTTAGGCCATAACTGTTCCTTAGCATCCTCCTTTCCACTGCCAATTCAAATTGCCTTCATCCTTGTCTATGACATTTAACTCATCCTAATTCTAATGGCAAACACACAATCCTCTGCTTTCCAAAGAATACAAGCATGAAACAAACATTTTATCTTCCAGCTTCTGAAACTTAAAATCACATTTCTCCTCCTTATTCCCCTTGCGATTTCCATTGAGATATTAGGAGAATAAGCTAGACAGATTGTCTGGTAGCATGACCTAGACCTTCAATCTATTGGTCTGAATCTCTAACTACCATGCTTTTCTCCAGTTTTGGCTGAGGAGCATGGGATTGACAAGAGATGTCCAAATGTATCACCTAGATACAAAACATATTCTTCCCTTCCCAAGTTGTCTAGCAGTAGCCCTACCTCTTGCTAATGATCAGGGTCAAATATTTACCCCTGCCAACTTGCTGACTCCATTCTTGCCTACTGCTGCCTTACCACAAGAACCCTGGAGTAATCAAAGGGTCTACTAAGCATTGCAGTTTTCTTTATGGGTAGAAAAGACACAATGATTTGGCCTTTATTTTGGAGTGAATGTCGCAGCATGCCCCAGTGTGTAATATTCCCAAAAACGTCACTGATGTTGTATGTACTTGAATCTTCACAGTGCTCCTCTGTTTTCTTCTATCTCACCAAGTCTTCAAAAAAAACTGCCACTTCTTATTAATTTGATACAATTATATCATGGATATAGTAGATGAATAAGGTGTTCTCTGAAATATCCAGACAATACAGATCTTTGGACTATATTACAACAAAGATTGGGAGAGTTAACATGGCCCTGGGGAAAGCTTGGAAATATATGCTGTTGTCCATGAATGCAAACGATCTCTGATCATCCTTCTTGTTTATGATCTTGAGAAAGTAATGTACTTTAGTTTTATCTTCTATAAAATAAGAACTTAAAATAGTACCATTTCCTGATTTGCTGTACATATTAACAAAATTTCATTGATATAAAATAGGAGGTAATTTTTTCCTCTTTATGCAGGAATTTGTTGTGTGATATAAAATGTCTAGCAGGGCTTCTGATAAAGAGTAAGCACCCCAATATTAACTTTGAAAATTAGATAATACCAAACATTGTCAATGTTCTTTATTGTCTTATTTATAAACATGTTTGTTTTTTTAATTTCCAAACAAATTGAAGAGATTGGTGTCAGTCCAAAGAGAGGCTTTCTCTCTGTTTGAAGTAATCAAAACAAAGGGCTCTGAACAGAAGGGAGCTATGCCTCTTAACAGTCAAAAAGCCTGAGAGGATATTCAATGAACACTCATACCCACTCTTTCCATCCAGTAGGCCATCTTAACTCTGGAACTTTTTGAAGGAACACTTTTCAAAAGCACAAATCATTACTCATATATTTCACACTCAGAGTTTACTGACAGTTTAGGTGCCCAATAGAGTTATATGATCTGCCTCAATTTTGAAATGATGAGGTTTAAGAATTTTATCATAATCTTCCAACATCATTTCTCTACTAAATACATTTGACAAGTCAAGGCCCTACTTAATACATTACAAAGACCATAGAAATTAAGTGATCACCTTCTAATACAAATGCAGAGCATTCAGTCTTTCTCACATATTGTAACTGCTAACATGGAGTCATCTGTTAATGTCACGTCCTCCAGAAGAACATTTAAAAATTTACAAAAACTTGTCCAGTCCTTGTTCAGAAAAGGATATTATCTAAATGGAAAGTAATATCATGAGTGTTTGGTTACGTCTCAACTCCACCAGTTAGATACGAGGTCTTGAGAAAGTTAATCACTACTGTCTTTAGTTTCTGCAAATGTAAAGTGAAAGGATATTTATAGAGTTGCTTTCATTGAATAAAAAACTTATGTAAAGTTACAAACAATACCAAATCTATGGTAACTATGATCATAAATATTAGCTATCATTATGACAGTATAGACTGTTAAAGTTCTATTTTCATTTCTACCATTATAAACTACCTGGATTTTGTGTCTTTCCCATATTTAAATGATGGTTTGTTGAAGATCTGTTCTCCTTATTAGTTTATATAACTTAACACAACAAATTCCTACATAAGGAAGAAAAAATTTTAACTCCTATTTTATAAATTGAGACAAACATGATACACCATTTTTCAAACACCATTAAAAAAAGAAAACAGCTAATCATTTCAATTTACACAGGAAACCGCACACTCTGTTCATAAAGAATTTTCCCTCCCTGTGTTTCTCAGCATAGAAACTACGACAACCAAACTACACATTGGCAGTGGTAAAAAAAAATCTCCCTCATTCTGTTAGGCTTTGGTGTTTGATTCTTGTTTACATTTTTCAAACAATAGGTCTATAGGTCCTCTGGAGTATTTACCCATCTTTCCTGGGACTAAGTTTGGCCTGCCCTGTCTTTATATCACAAGTGCTCCAGTGGGAGGTAAGCAACACTAATTCATGTTAATATTAATGACAAACAGACCATCCTCTGCTTTCCAAAGAGTGAACACATGGGACAAACATTCCCTCCTCCTGCCTTTAAAACTCAGAACGAAATCTCATTTTTCCTCCATTTTCCCGTGGCCATCCCATTGAGATGCTGTTAGGTGAATTGAGCACATTTGTGGAAACTCTAAAGCTGGTTAAGAAATATTTTAACTTCTTTTGTAGCATTCTTGATCTTGGAAGGCTTATCTAAAGCTGATGCATACCCAGGAAAAAAAACCCATTGTATTTTCTCTTCATGCAAAACAAAAGCAAGCTCTTTAATCTCCTGCCTAGTTCCTATGAAACCAAGCCAAGAAAATACTCCAGTCAGTAAAAATTAGTGTGTGAAGGTAGTGTACAGAAAAAAAATAACCTTGTTTCCAATTATACTTTTCAAGGTCTGATCGACAATTAGTGGAAAAGTCAGAATTTCTTTATAGGAACTTTTAACTAAAAGGTAAGTTAAATTTTTAATAGATCTGAAAAATTTTTGGAGCAAAAATCATTGCCGGGTGAGGACATTTTACTAAAATTCTTGAAGAATTTTTCAACTGTGGAAATACTGTGTTCAAAAATAAAGTTTTACTGGATCTATTAAAAATAATAAAACCAAAGTAAAACATGGATGCAACATATTCATGATAAGGATACACACAGTAGCATAACAAGGAAGGACTCGCTTCATTATAAGCATCCTTTCTTTGATAAATTTCTTTGTATGATTTCCTAGAACCAGTCATATGCATGGTAGATGAATGCCAGAATTAATTTAAAATATAATTGCAGGTCCATTCTTACAAAAGGAGTAAATATACCTAAATATATATGAAGATTGAATCATCCTAGGATTTTTCATATTAGACCAATATTTGGTCTTATTTATATCCAGCCAATTTTTGAATATATATATATATATCTTAATAGGTATTTCTCAAATAAATTATCTTATTTAACCTAAATGCTATTGAAAGGCTGTGTTTAAAAGCATGATATCAAGAACCAGATGGCCTGATTTCATCATCTCAGGCCTCTTAATTGCTCATTGTATGACCTTGAACACACAAGCTATTTATCCTCACTATGCCTCAGTTTTCTCATCTGAAAAATTGGAATAATAGTAATGGGAATAATAATAACAATAAACTACTTTGTAAGATGTGATTATTAAATGTTAAATTATAAGGTATACATGTAAATTCTCAGTGTAGGGTTCAGAAAATATTAACTATTATTACACATGAGGTGAATATTATTTTTGAACTATTATACAAAAGAATTAAAGCTTAATCATTAAGTTACAAAAATTTCTCAGGTATCTATAAAGAAATAAGCATTTTTATTTTCTCCAGTTCAGAGGAATGAGTGTCAGATGGTAGCAAACTGACCCAATTTGGTAGTTTACAATTATTGGGTTATTCTGAGTACATATTGTTAGCTTTGGCAGGTATTCTTAACTGCAACCTTGCTGTTGAGTAGAATAATGCTGTAAGTAAATGTTCAAACCACATCCGGCCACACACATAAACGTTTAACAGTTAAAATGCCACAAAAATACTAATACAAACAGTTCTATAAGCTCGATGAACTACTAGCTCTCTATATTTTAGGTATTCAACAGCATCCTGCATAAAAGGTTAATAGAAGACAGAAGAAGCAAACTGTAGGGGCAGAATTCAGCTATCCCAGTAGGAGTCAGGGAAAAAAAAAGCCCTAAGATAAACACACTCATACCAGATGGGTCTGGAATCCTAAACCGAGGAATTAGTCTCAAGAAATGCAGGCTATCAAGTTCACTAAATTCTGAAATCCTGTGCATGCAGGAGCCCCAGATCAATATATCTAGCCAATCCCAGATCCACACCTTGAACATAACTAATTTTGCCAATGCAAGAAACATTTCTACATCCAATGCGCTAATTACCATGCCATCTGGCGTTGATCTGAGATGAAGAGAACTGAACGCTTGCTTGGATTAGACACCTCCAAAGTGTAGGATTTTGATTAGCGTCTTTCAAGTGCTAGCCAACCACCCCTCCCCTCCAGCATGTGCATTCCATATTTGGTTATTGTGAGTTTTAAGTAACCACACCCCACCCCCACTCCACAAATTAAAACTGAGCGCACACATACACGCACGACCCTGCCTAGGCTGAAGTATTTTAAATTACATGCACTGCCATTAAAAGACAGAGAAGGAAGAACAGATCATACATTTTGGTAATACCACAATATCCAATAGACTTTGATACTAAAATATGATAGAATTATTTTTTGAACCTTGACTAAAATTAGTATTAGGCACAGGGATATTGCCTGACTAGAAGTCGGGAATTTGAAGATCTGTGCCCATATAAACTGAAACTCTTAAGTAAACTCATAAGATGTCAGTTTTGAAAAATTTCTAAGGAATGAAAGAATAATATGTTTTATAGTATGTAATTTAAAATACTCATTTAGACCTATAGTCTCTGACACCTTTTTCTACCTTCTCCTAAAGCATAGGAAGTGATGGAGCATACAGAAGCTAGAGAAAGAGTAGCCCCAACTAAAAGTACTGAAAATTAAAATTATTGAAAAACACTACTCATATTTTGTTCCCAAAACCCCATCACCTGTAAGCCAACTATGATCTCTCATTCAAAGTGTCCTTATAAGCGTGAATGAAGTCAGTTCAATGGGGAGTCTTCCTCTTATCTTCTCTTGCAACTTTTCGTTTTTTTGGTTTCTCTGACTCCACTCTTTCATGAATATCTACTGTCTCTTCTATGGTTATCCTTCTCAGTCTACTTTTGGAGCTCTGTTTTTTTTTAATTCACCTTAAATATTCATGTCACCCATTCTTTGTCCTCAGTTCAAGTCATTTTCATGCAAGTATATTATATATTTTACCTCTGACCCAGTAGTTCTCAACTGGGATCAATTTTGCCCTTTAGGGTATATTAGTCAATGTCTGGAGACACTTTTGGTTGTCACAACTGTGGAAGAGGTACTACTGGCATTCAGTAGGTAAAGGTCAGGGATGTTGCTAAATATCTTACAGGGCATAGAACAGCCCCCACAATAGCTTCTGAATTATTTGGCCCAAGTGTCACCAGTGCTGAATTCGAAAAATCCTGTTTAACCCATAGCAACCTTGTATCATGAAATAGTATTTACCCCATGTTACAAACAAGAAAATAAGACCTGCAGAACTCAGTACCCAAGATCACCTAGTTAATCAGTGGTGAGACCAGAATTTAAACCCATGTCTAATGCCTAAGGGCATGGAACCTTTAAATTCATGTACTTTCCAATATGGCATGATGTCTCTACCCAAATATTTTATAACTATAATTTTTTAGCTATACAGATACCTAAATTGTATATGATTTTATTATGTATTGTAGAATTATACCCTCCAAAATAAAATATAGAAAAGTTGAAAGTAATATAAAGTAATTAAAGGTCTGTTTTTTTTGGTTTTTTGAGATGGGGTCTCACCCTGTTACCCAGGCTGGAGTGCAGTGGCATCATCACAGTTCACTGCAACCTCAAACTCCTGGACTCAAGCAATCCTCTTGCCTCAGCCTCCTGGGTAGCTGGGACTACAGGCATGTACTATCATGCCCAGCTAATTTTTTTTTAAGTTTTTTAAAGGTGGAGTCTCACAATGCCCAGGCTGGTCTGGAACTCCTGGCCTCAAGCTATCCTCCCATCTCAGCCTCTGGAGTAGCTTGGATTATAGGAGTAAGCCACTGAGTCAGATCAGTTCTTTACAGATGACTATCATAAATATGTGGCCTCTATTATTTTCTTTTAAACTTTGTTTGGAGATGATATTGTGGTTCTGTATTTCTAGTTAGTTTTATTTATTTCTCATTTACCTAATTCAGCAATAAATTTGTTAATCTACTCAGATTAAGGTTATTTAAATATATATACATTTACTTGCATTATCTTTAATTCTCAAAACAATTACTTAAGGTATTATTTCTCCCAGATCACAAATAATAAAACAATTTTTGTTCCAGTGAACTTTATTAGTCTATTGAAAATATTGGGGAGCAAAATATTAAAACTACTTCTCTAGATCTTACTGTATCACTAATTGTCCAAGAAGTTTCAAAACAAAAACTCAAATAATACAGATCTATTTTTTAAAAATGAGAATCTATCATTCTTTGATAGTCATGCCTGTGCAAGGATTTTTTTTTTTATCATGAACAACTGTAAGCTTCCGATTTGCAGTTTTAGTTCGACTAAATTTCAGAGATTATTCAATGGCAAACCACTGATTACCCTGTGACGTTATGTGTACAATGTGCCCTATAAATGAGTACAATTTCTGTAATTAAGGTTAACAGTACTCTTGCTGTAATCAGTACCACTTTTGAGTCCCAACATTCACTATTTGCTTAATATACTTTCCTGTTCATAGCTTATAATTTTTCCATTAAAGAAAATAATAAAATAAACTCATGTTTAATAAACACAATATATATGAAACTTCCTGGAATACATGTACTCATTATAAGCTGAGAAAAACTAGAAATTACATAACATTGCCTTCTATGTTTAGATGCTTTTTCTTAGAAAAGTATTTCTCAGTATTTAACTCTAGTTAGTTGCATAATTAGAAAAATAAATAGAATCATGTGCTACTGGGGAACCTGCCCCCGATAGTCACGTAGGTTCTTTTCTATTTTCCCTAAGCATCGGCCTGTTTGAGAAATAAAGGGACAGAGTACAAAAGACAGAAATTTTAAAGCTGGGCATCCGGGGGAGACATCACATGTCAGTAGGTTCTGTGATGTCCCCCAAGCTGCAAAACCAGTAAGTTTTTATTAGGGATTTTCAAAGGGGAGGGAGTGTACGAATAGGGTGTGGGTCACAAAGATCACGTACTTCACAAGATAATAGAATATCACAAGGCAAATGGAGGCAGGGTGAGATCACAAGACCACAGGACTGGGGCGAAATTAAAATTGCTAATGAAGTTTCAGGCAACATTGTCATTGATAACATCTTATCAGGGGACAGGGTTTGAGAGCAACCGGTCTGACAAAAATTTATTAGGCAGGAATTTCCTCTTCCTAATAAGCCTGGGAGCGCTATGGGAGACTGGGGTTTATTTCATCCCTACATTTTCGACCATAGAAGATGGCCACACCCAAGGGGGCCATTTTAGAGACCCACCCTCAGGGGCATATTCTCTTTCTCAGGGATGTTCCTTGCTGAGAAAAATAATTCAGCGATATTTCTCCCATTTGCTTTTGAAAGAAGAGAAATATGGCTCTGTTCCACCCGGCTCACCAGCGGTCAGAGTTTAAGGTTATCTCTCTTATTCCCTGAACATTGCTGTTATCTTGTTCTTTTTTCAAGGAGCCCAGATTTCACATTGTTCAAACACACATGCTCTACAATTTGTGCAGTTAACGCAATCATCACAGTGTCCTGAGGTGACATACATCCTCCTCAGCTGACAGGATTAAGAGATTAAAGTAAAGACAGGCATAGGAAATCATAAGGGTATTGATTGGGGAAGTGATAAGTGTCCATGAAATCTTTACAATTTGTGTTTAGAGATTACAGTAAAGACAAGCATAAGAAATTATAAAAGTATTAATTTGGGGAACTAATAAATGTCCATGAAATCTTCACAATCCACTTTCTTCTGCCATGGCTTCAGCCAGTCCCTCCGTTCGGGGTCCCTGACTTCCCACAACAATGTGCACATTTACACATACCATTGTGTGCATTATCTCTAAGTGCCCTGATACAGAGTGTTTCATTTATCATAAATATAACATGCACATATATAACCAACCATATATATATATATAGAGAGAGAGAGAGAGTATGTATTACTATATAAGTATGCAGATGTGTGTGTATTTGTGAGTGTGGGTGTTTTCTGTAATTAATTAAAAAGAATAAATAAAGGCACTACTCAATTAAGAATTGTCTTAAGTGTTTGCTTTCAAGTGAGATATGAGAATTTTAACTTACGTCAACCATTTCTGAAAAATCTCAAGGATAAAGCTCAAGACAACAATAGGAAGTAAATAGGAAAGAACATACAAGAATATCCTAAATTATTGCTCTTTTAAACCTTAAACATTTTTTAAAAATATTTCAGCTTTGAAGGCTGGGATCTTCTTGTTGCATTCATACCTCTCCTGTGCCATCTAGTGTTTTTAGGTGATTACTATGAATCCAGAGTGTAGAATAACCTGTTAACACTTTACCTGACCATTCAGCTTGTCTGCACATTCGGCCTCAGGCAAGCAAGCAAGTAACTTAAACTTGGGCTGAAAAAGGGTGGTTTTATTGGGTTATGAAAAACTGCAAATGAATAGGACTTTAATAGCAAAGAAGAAAGCTTTAAAGTTAAGTTCAGGAACTGTGGCTAACAGATGTTGAGAAAATAACGCATAATGGAGCTATTGAGTCTCATTAGGTTCATCTACAGTATAATAGAAGTAGAATTTTGATCTGAGGCCGCACAGCTGGATGGGACAAAGTAATAGGAAAAGGATAGAGTGAAATAGAACTATCCTTCCTTATTCATGGTGAAACATTTTTGCCTCTCTTGTGGTCTGGCTACTGTACCAGATTGGGTCATAATACCTACTATTAGAAGTGGCTGCCTTGGCTACTTCACTCTCTCAGGGTGAAATTCTACTTTTTATTTTCTAAATCCAAACCTTCCATTAAGAACATAGGATCTTTGCATGAAGCCAGGCAGAAATCTTTTCCTGCAAGATCTTGGATTTTAATTTTTTCTCTGAAATACTGTTCTACCAGACATAAATTACCCAATATATCAATATATGGAAATATTTGACTCTCAATTTATGCCTGAAATGCCTGATTTGAGAAACAACTTGAATGATTAAAATCTAATATATTATAGAATTTAATATATTAGATAATATATCCTTATTCAAATAAAAATTAAATAGGATGAATACATAAAACTTAGTGAATTTACTTCATCTTGACTCAGTTTAAGATTACACACATAAGTAAGGTTTATTCTGTATGTTTAGGTCTAATTAAAACATACTTAGCCAAAATTAATTAATTGTTTCCCCCAAAAAGGTGAATGTCTACTGCTGCTTCTCATTTGCATTTCACTTCAGGCTCTTTTTGTATTTTATTATTACTGGAAAAGATAGAAAATCTACACATATCTACTGTTGTTCCCTGTTGTTCTGAGACAGTAGTCAAAGTCATGAATAATTATTAGTAGGAGGAAAGAGAAAGTTAGGTATCACAATTCAGTGATGCAGTTTGTGGAATAAAACTGGGCTTGCTAGTGATGTTTAAACTCTTTCCAAGCATGAACAGTCAGTCACTGCAATGATGAATTACCAGTCTGATAAGAGCTATCATTCTTAGAGCTTTAAAATGTACCAAGTAAGCACAGCTCTTTCTAAACATTATCTCATCCAGTCCTTATAAGCACCAAGCTAGGAAACTAAGGCCTAATTTGATAAGTTAATATAACTTGCCCAAGGTCACACTCAGTCATAAATGGCACAGCCCAATTCATTCCTGTCTGACACTAAGGTTCACGCTCTGCACCACTCTCTCCCCAGTAATGGGGACACTGTTAGAAAGTCAAAACCCCTGATTTGCATTTCTTAGGCTGGTGCATCCACAATTTTATAAAGAAATATATTCACAGAAGAGAAATGCTTGAATTCTATCAGAATTTAAGACCATTCTTTCAAGATGCAAATGAACATCTCACTTTGGTCAGCCCACTGTTCTTTCTAGTCTGCCATTATCTTGAGATCATTTTTTGTCAACACCCTCTTAATAATAAGCAAAAAATATTGTCAAAATAACAACATCCCAGCTCAAAAAACATCTCAGCTTTTTAGCAGCACAAACTCTCCCAGCTATCCAGTGAAGTCCAAGACCCACACAGGGTTGAGTTCAAGGAAACTCAATAAACAAAGCTACTCAGAATGTAATTCCAAGCACTAAGTATACCCTGTTAAAGGAAATTACAAGCAAATTCCATTTTGGTAGATTGACTCAGATTTAAACTATAAACAAACCTTTTCAGGCATCACTTGTCTTCACTACTCCGTTAGTTCAATAGCACTCAAGACCAATGTTTGGAATTGTTCTACTTTTTACTCTAAATCCAAAACCAAGTTATTTTGCTAAAATAAAATATATATTTTTTTATCTTTGGAGGAACAAAGTCTTGTTCTGTTTGGGTCCCCAATATGTCCACTTTGAATTCTGATAAAGATTATTCTTAAGACCAATGTAAGTATCCAATAAACTTCTACCCCTAGAAATTTCGTTTCCTTTCCTTGTTACTCTCCTTCTATCTGTGATTTTGACCTGCCCCTCCTTTCCCTACTTCCTCAGCACATAAACCACAGCTGAAGAACTCATACTTCTTGAAGTGTTGGTCACCATAAGCCTTTCACTGTATTCTTCATACAGAGATGCTGCTATGGACTGAATTACGTCCCCACAAAATTCATATTCAAAATGTATACCCCCAATGTGATGGTATTTGGAGATAATGCCTTTGGGAGAAAATTAGGTTTAGATGAGGTCATGGGGTAGCAACTCTCATGATGGGATTAGTGACCATTTAATAAGAAACACCAGAAAGTATACTGTCCTTCTTTCCCTGTTGTGTGAGGACACAAAAGAAGGCGGCTGTCTGTAAGCCAGGAAAAGAGGCTTCTTCAGAACCCAACCATGCTGTCACCCTGATCTCAGACATCCAGCCTCCAGAACTATGAAAAAGTAAATTTCTGTTCTTTGAGCCACAGTATTTTGTTGCAGCAGCCTAAGCAGACTGATCAGATGCACAATGTGATTTAATGTATTAAATACACCCACTGTCTGGTTGTAGGAAGTCACATTATCCACCGATGCATATATTTTTAAAAATTAAGACCTGTGGCCAGGCGCGGTGGCTCATGCCTGTAATCCCAGCACTTTGGGAGGCCGACGTGGGTGGATCACCTGAGGTCAGGAGTTCAAGTACAGCCTAGCCAACATGGTGAAACCCCATCTCTACTAAAATTACAAAAATTAGCCAGGCATGGTGGCAGGCACCTGTAATCCCAGCTACTTGGGAGGCTGAGGCAAGAGGATCACCTGAACCTAGGAGGCAGAGGTTGCAGTGAGGTGAGATTGTGCCACTGCACTATAGCCTGGGCAACAAGCAAGACTCTGTTTCAAAAAAAAAAAATTAAGACCTATTTTTAAAATTATTATCAGATAAACTCCTGTCCCTATCTGGGATCTACTTTAATCCACAATCATTTTGGTAAAGAGGAATGTTTTCCTGCAAACAAGAATGATGGAGAGACTAAAGAAATCACATGAATATCAATCCAGCAATGCAATCAAGATAGTTATAGGGAACAGTCAAAATCAAAAACCAAAGCTGCAAGAGAAAAAGGACAATCAAGTAAGTGAAGGGAATTAGTACTTACAAAGAAGGTTGTAGTATTTTTCTTCCTTTAACAGTCAACTGAGCTATCATCCAGCCTTCTGAGCAAAAGCCTAATTATGTAAATCTAGACAAGCCACCAAGAAAGGCCCACTCCTGACCACTTGAGGGCCCCCAATTTTCATCTGAAGATTAAGAGAATACATCACATAATTCTTGACTTGAGTTTCAAAGACTTCTGTGAGATCTATCCATGGAACTCAGAGGGCTATCAGAGTGCTACGCACCTTTCGAAATCTGAATTAAAACTCTATAGATATATGTACTATTGCTTACCAAAGTTCATTCTCTGTCCTTCTTTCTCTCTCTCTGTCTCTCTCTCTGTGTGTCTCTGTCTCTTTCTCTCTGTAATTATTCTTTGAAGAGAATCCAGAGCTTACATTAGCTTCTGAAAAAAATTCCTTATAAAAAATGTTTAAGAAAAAAAGTAGCGAACTAGGAAGTGGTATTACAGCTACATGATTTAAGGGAAAAATAACAATAATAGGTGTTATATTGGTGGGAGATGATTATATGAATTAAGTATAGGGTAGGAGGAATATTTTATTGTTAATTTTTGATATTAAAATTTTTCTGAACAAAGCAAATTTATTACCAACGAAGATTACATTTAAATATGCTTTATTTTTATTGGTATGAATACAACCTATAGAATTTAAAAGAAAATTGTTATTTTACTCTAATGAGTTTTTATATAAACAAATAAGGTAGTCTTTTCCATTCTATTCAAGTTTTCTTTCATATTTATCACTAGGTTTTCAAATCCTTCTTGGCATCGACCTTAAACATTTCTTATTACATTTATTACTGAACAACTTATTTTTTGGTTTTGTTACAAATTGTAATTTTTCTCATTATATTTTCTAAAGGATTATTATTCGAATAAACACTATTAATTTCATTATACTAATTTTATACTCAGACCTCTTTCTAAATTCTGTTATTTTTACCAAAATTTTTCATTTGAACTTTTTGGATTTTTTTTTTCTTTTTCAATTGCATCAGTTTGTACTCTGGAACAGAAAACATCAAATTCTTAAAGTGATAGTGGACTTCCTTGCTTTGTTCACAACCTTAATAAGGATGTTTCTTAAGTTTCACCAAAAAAATGTCATTTGAATAAGCTTTTATAGCAAAGAACAAGACTTTGGAGATATATGGCCAGGATACGATAGATCAAGCATTGACAAACTGTATCCTTAGGCCAAATCCAGCTTGTTGTCTGTTTTATAAATAAAGATGTATTGGAATGCAAAAAAAAAAAAAAATTCTCCTTATGAGATGCAGAGTAAGGCTCCAATCCCAGGTGAAGGAACAAAAAAGGCAAAATTGGGAGATGGACACTGGCCATCAGAGAAATGCAAATCAAAACCACAATGAGATACCATCTCACACCAGTTAGAATGGCAATCATTAAAAAGTCAGGAAACAACAGGTGCTGGAGAGGATGTGGAGAAATAGGAACACTTTTACACGTTGGTGGGACTGTAAACTAGTTCAACCAGTGTGGAAGTCAGTGTGGCGATTCCTCAGGGATCTAGAACTGGAAATACCATTTGACCCAGCCATCCCATTACTGGGTATATACCCAAAGGACTATAAATCATGCTGCTATAAAGACACATGCACATGTATGTTTATTGTGGCACTATTCACAATAGCAAAGACTTGGAACCAACCCAAATGTCCAACAATGATAGACTGGATTCAGAAAATGTGGCACATATACACCATGGAATACTATGCAGCCATAAAAAATGATGAGTTCATGTCCTTTGTAGGGACATGGATGAAATTGGAAAACATCATTCTCAGTAAACTATCGCAAGAACAAAAAACCAAACACCGCATATTCTCACTCATAGGTGGGAACTGAACAATGAGATCACATGGACACAGGAAGGGAAATATCACACTCTGGGGACTGTTGTGGGGTGGGGGGAGGGGGGGAGGGATAGCATTGGGAGATATACCTAATGCTAGATGACGAGTTAGTGGGTGCAGTGGACCAGCATGGCACATGTATACATATGTAACTAACCTGCACAATATGCACATGTACCCTAAAACTTAAAGTATAATTAAAAAAATAAAATAAAATAAAATAAAATAAAAAATTGGGAGATGGAACTCCTGAAATGTCTACATTAAGTGTCTGAACAACATTCTCAGAAGTAGGAAACAGGGCGGAAGCCCAGTCCCTATAACTGGGCCAATATGGGGAAGTGAAGGGACAAATTACAGCTGAGTAGCACAGAACCCAGGATTCAACCAAGGGAACCAGGTCCCAAGTCTCAGGAGCTCTATAGCTAAACATCTACTCCACACTTCATGTCCATGAGGGTTTATACATTCTAATCCACTCTGGACTGGAAGAAGGCAGCTAAAATCATTGATAAATGTCCTGCAGGAGGCAATGTGAATGGCCGAGCCTGCAGGTGGAGGCGATGAGGACCTGTGGTGGATGAGTGGGTGAGGCAAGTTTAGGAAATGAGGTAGAGCTAGCACAACGGAAGCGAAAATTTCAAGACCTCAAGGCTTAAGTTCTTGTGCTTTAGTCCTCTTAGCATTTTCTAAGGAAATAACATCCTCCTTGGTATATTTCTAGTTCATACATCCTCCTAGACCTTTACCATCTAGATCTAGCAGTAAATTTCAGGTCTTCAAAAATAAACCTTAGTCCAGTTGATCGGTGAGATGATAATACTAAAATAGGTTTAATCAACAGTATCTCAGGCAGTCCTTTCTGCCTAATAGTGAAAAGAGGAGAATTTTTAATTATGTAATAACTAAACCAACATTCTCATTCAAACAAAAAAAAATCTTTTTAATTCAACAGGGACAAAAGAAGGGGAAAAAATCCAACATGCAGCTTTTATGATTGACTTCTCACAATTTCTCTGCTATTAACAATTTCCCTTTATAGATGGTCTTCATTACCCTAGAAATAAAGGGTAGCAGCAGAAAACACAAAGCTTTATTTTGAGGGTAGCCCAAAACCCATTAGTTTAAAAGTGTTAACGTTTTATGGTTTCAAGGAACAGTATAAATTGCAGTTGTTTGTGTAAGTTCATTTTTCAAATGTGTGAACACAAATGTCTATTGTCTATGAGGAAAGTTCATGCTGAGCTACAAGTGAATTGTACAATTGAGCTCCCAGCTAAGCAGCCGCCTCTGCCAAGCTAGCCATTTTCATAAGTGGTCCTAAATTTGATACAGGGGCAAATAATTTTTTATTGTTTTCCCAGAGGGAGAAGGCTCTTTTTACAGACCACAGACCAGTAACGCTTTATATGTATATTCTTGCTGACATTGCATTTTTTCTTTTTTTAAAATATAAAAGAATCTGAGTCTGTAATTTTTACCTTCCTTTTGTTAAAACTGTGCAAAAGGCCTACTAACCTCTACCTTAAAGCCCTGACTTTATTCTTTGCTGCAGATATCATTAAAATCTTTCTCTACTTTCTGCTCAGCAATTTCTTTCTTATAAAGAAGCATGGTCATTCATTGTATTCCCAGAGAACTCCACAGAGAGATCAGCTCACCCAACTTCAGCCTATGTCTTGAAATTAGTGAGGAGTTTATCTTCTGTCTTCTTAGTCACTTGGTGTCTTTTCAAACCATTTTAGATACAAATAACCTCAGAAAATCTATTCAAATTGGTAAATAAATCTTTTGAGCATATCCTTCATTAATAGTTTAGCATAAGCAATCTTTGTGATGTAACTGTTTTGTATCTTAACTTTGGTTGTGGTCACACAAATCTGCACTTATAAGAAAACTGAATAAAACTAAATACTAAACACACACACACACACACACACACACAAATAAGTCCATGTAAACTGATGATTATAAATAAGGCTGATGGATTGCCACATATTCATTACCGATGGATTCACCCAGTACGCTGGGTGTGGTATTATAGTTATGCAAGATGTTACCACTGGGGAAAACTGAGTGAAAGGTATATGAATCTTTCTGTGTTAATTCTTACAACCGCATGCAAATCTAAAATTATCTAAAAATAAAACATTTATAAAAATCGTTAGCAAATCACACATTTTGGGGTGTTTTTAATTTTACCACCTAAAGAAAGTTATCCCTGAAATATCTAGAAGACAATGAAAACGTGTAATATAGTGAACAACAGTGACCTTTGTGCTGCCCCTTCCTCATCCATGATTATGAATTGCCACTGCCTGCAAGGGGAGCCCGACCCCCTCAGCAAAGCCAGTATATGTCATTTTTAATTTTCTGACTTAGAAGTGGTAACCTGGTTTCGATTATGTGCTTGAGTGTGGCTGCAACAGGATCTCCAGTTGGCTTCTGAGTTTTCCAAGGTAGACTCACCGGTCATTTTTATTTCAGTTGTATATTCAGACATGCCAGATCACAGCCATGAAGGAAGGAGAGCCTACATTAATGTCATTGACTCTGCCTCTCACAAATGCAGTCACAGAAAACTATCCTTAGGGGTGGATGTCTTCATAAGGTATCAAAAGAGAAATTTCCTTTTACGTTTCCTCTTGCCTTTTTCTAAAACTAATTATTGTGGCCTGCAACATATGAATAGGGAAAATAGATGAATTGTACTACAGAAATGAAGTTGTCATCTAAACTTTCTGGCATTACAGTTAGATTCCAATTTAATACTGTGAAATGAAATTGCTTTAAAAATTCAATATCCTAGTCAATTGCTATCCTGTCTCTAAAGTCTCTAAAGTTCTGTAAATTAATAGATACAACCCATTGCATCTTCAAACCTGAAAAATATGCAAGCTTAGTTTCATTAAAAATAATCCCCCCTACCACACATCTCGACACCTTTCAAAAGGAGGGTTGTGAAGGTTTAGATTCAAACTTCTAAACTGAGTTAATAAGACTTACTCAATCAGAATTGTCTAGGACTTCAAAAAAATTGCAGGCTGTATCTAAATTTTAAAATCGTGCATGCCAGAAAACATCAAAGAGCTACAAATTCAAACAAAATAGCCAGCACTTGCAGCTGCAAGAGAGCTAGCAATTTATTCAAGTACGGTTCATAGATAATGTGACCCAAACAGACACCTATGCAGAGGACCAACTCTAATATGGGAAAAAAGAAAAATGAGGCTAGAATATAGCTATTTGTTTTCTGCAGTGGAGTCTACTTTCAAAGACTTACTATTTTTCTTCAATTGTTCAAAGTAGCCCTTGTGACTCCAGAAATAATGATAAAGAATAGTATTTTGAGTCCCCAGAAGCTCATGAATCATTGGCTCTGCCTTCTCCATTGATAACCTACAAGTAACAAGTTTCTTACCCACCCACCCTGAAGTTACATGTAAGAATAAAAACTGCAGCAATGCTTGAAGCATTATAAATGTCTAAGATAAAAAAGTATCAGTCTAGTAACATTTTTATAATGTTAACTAACTGGAGGGAAAATTTACATAAATTACTGGAAATCTAATATGCAATCTACTTTAAAATAAATTCAGTATTAATACTTTTATTCATATAAAACTTACATTTACATTTTAGCTTACATGTATATGTGCATGTACACATATGTTCCAGGAAAACATATAATATGGGCAGTGTGAAAAATCCTTAGCCAATTCCTAGCAACTTTTTTGCAATCATTCTACATTACTGAGGCATTGTATCAAATGCCTGATTCAACACTGAAGGATATGGGTAAACTAAAAGCATAATCTGTCTTAATAACTGCTTCAAAGTGACTTTACATTACCATAACTTTTTATACTATGTAAGTTTCTTTCCTTTAATATAAATGGAAAGAGGCACTATAGAAATTTTGGCAACGAAAAACATGAAACACAAAAAGATTTTGCTCCCTTAAGTAGTCTTAATATTCTTCTCTGAAATTTTGTTTACACTACTAGTTTTGAAAACTCTTACTTTAACAGGGCGTCCTCTACAAAAAAGCCTATTTTCATTCCTATGTCCCCCAAGTTTTTTAACTATAAAATATCAACAAGTTTGCAGCCTAAACAAGAGAATAATGCTGTTTTTCCCACAATTGCCATTAACTAGGACATTAAAGAAAGGCCCTCGGTTTCTTAGCCCCTTGAATTAGTCTTGATGTCATTTCCTGGAGAAGTTCAGTGGCTGTACATTCACACGTCAAGGCCTAGATCAGAAAAAAATTGGCTCATCTCCAGCCTCATTTAGAGAGATGTGCAAGAAGGTGTGGTCAACATCTGCCCACAAGATGGTTTGTTTGGAAAGGGTTAAAGGCAGGCTATCAGTCGGCTGCCACTGTTTCCAGCATTCACATCAGTTATGGGAAGTGATGTCACACACCTGCAAAGCACATGCAAACTGTAAACACTTCACCAACATTGAATTTGAGTCCCCCATCCAAAATCATGCCCAGCTGCCTCACACTGAGTTCCTTGGCTGCCAAATTTGCTAGTCTGCATAGCATTGAGAAAATGAATGGGTCTTACACTAACAACAGTTAACTAGGTTCAAGTTTTATACCACCAGGCTGTGTACAGTTTCGTTTTTCGTTGATTACTTCTTGCTGTTTCTAGAATCACAGTGGCGGAATTGAAAGAAATATTAAAGATTAGGCAACACAGCACTCTCATTTTACAAATAACAAAATTACACCTCTACTATAGCTTTTATCAGTTGTTCTCTTAAATTTCCTTCTCATCAGACTCAAGGGCAGGTACTAGGATTTTAGGCACTTTTTTTAATCCTCAGAGCTTAATACCTAGAAGACACTCAAGGTTGTTAAGCAAATGGATGAATGAATGGATGAAGGGACAGATAGATAGATGGATGAAGGATGGGTGAATTCTTTGAAAACCATTTCACATAGCTATATTGGTGACTTGAAATAGTTGTGTGGACTTAGGCAATTTATTCAATTTTTCTAAAACTCAGTTAACTCATTCATAACATGGGAAAAATAATAGTGTCTTTTTCAAAGGATTATTGTGAGAATTCCTTGAGATAATGCTTTTCAAAAGTACCATAAATATTAATATGGATTTCATAAATATTCACTTGCCATTATTTTAACAGTGGTAGCAGTAGTATCACCCTTCACTTCTTGTTACTGTCACTCACCAGCCTTTTGGTGCGTGCCATGTGCTTGTCAAAGCTTTATTTCCTGACTTGAGGGCTCCCTCTCTTTTCCTAGCTCTACAGCCAGAGACCCACTGTTAGTCTGAGTGACATCCACATCCATGTGGACAGCTCATCAATCTCTACCTTCACATCTCACTGATCTTTTCATCCTCAATGATGCAGTTTTTCCTTTCAGCCATGTGTTCTAGAACCATACACAAACATGCTCTCTGGAATCAGTCTTCTGGCTTCAAATGTTAGCTACACCAGTAGTTATAGCTATGTCACCTGCTACACATTTTCTTTAGCCTCTCTAAAGATTTTAATCACCTCATTTGTAAAATAGGAGTGATAAAATTACTGTCATCATAGCGCTTGGTATACAGTAATACCAATAAGTTGGTATATAGTAATAGCTCTTATTGACACCCAAACTATGCTACTTCTGAAGGACTAAACCCCAACATTAATGTGTAATGTGTGGACACTTAAGTTATTTCAACTCTTTTACTGTTATAAATAATCCACAGCAGAAGTAATAGGCTAAAATAAACTAGAAATAAAAAGGAAGAAAGAGTAGGAAAACACAGAAGTGCTTAAAGGTAATAAAATAGTTGCAAAATAAAATCACAGGGACCAAAACAATAAAAATGGCAATAATAATAATAGTTTATACTTATTGATAATATATATAGTATAGTTAGAATAATAACTGGGCCAAAAGTGTACCATTCTCAGTACATTATGTGAACTATGAGTGCTTCCTGTGGACAGGTACAATACTAAGTGCTTTACATGGTGTGTTTTACACATACAGATGACAAAAAATTGAAGTTCAGAGAAACTTAGGAATTTACTCAATTTCCACATTTAGTAAATGACAGAGCTGGAATTCACACCCAGAGACTCAAGGTCAAGTTGACAGTTTATACATACATGGTGTAGCTGGGTCTTGGACCCAAGCAATCTAATACCAGAGCCTGGGCTCTTAATTATTTTCTCTCCCCATAAATTACTAATACCCATGAATATAGTGATAATAGCTTATCTTAAAAACAAAATGTACATGTACATTAGTTTAACCTAATCTTTATATCAATTTATTTCATTTCAATCAATTTGCTTTCAATTACAGCTTATGCTACTTGCAATCCCAATAGTCCTGCTCTTCGGGACTAGTGTCAGTCTTCAGATACAGGGCCCTGCCAGGTTTGCTCCAGCCTTCACAGACGAGGACTGGTCCCTTAGCCTCGGCATGTCTCTCCTGTCCTCCAGAGTTTTTCACTTAACTAATGGATTAAGTCCTGCACCCAGAGGTAATCGAGGGCATGTGATGTAAAAAAGCATGTTTTCTGGGCTTTATTCTGCCTCCACTGAGTCAAGCTTATTTGTACTACAAGGATTAGTCCAATGACAACTGTGGAAAAATAGGTTTCCTCCCACCATGCAGTGGTGACCCGGGCTATCCAAGGTCCAGCTTGCAAAGGATTGATTTCAAAGGCATTTCTTCTAGAATTTCTGGACAACAGTAGACCCCAAGTACATCTCTTCTACAGCCATCTGGCACTTACTTTTGAGGTTCCACTCGTAAGCTCTTACCAAGGCCACAAAGTAAAGGAAGCAATAATTCTTCTCTGGCCACCACACTTTCCAAAGTAGAGTTCACCTGATAGTTCCATACCCACTCTCAGAGAAAAATACGAGCTTCCTGTACAGGTTAAACGTCTGTTGGCTACAGTATGTTTGGGGCTTCAGAGGTGAGAAGTCAGGCTACATAAGATGCAGGGGAGGAGAGGGAGCAATTCGGTAGTGCTGTTTTTGGTCTTCTGAGTTCCTGGAGTAGGGATTTGGAAGTTGGGATAGAGGGAGAAAAAAATAATATGCTTCACCTGTAACTTAGCAGTAACCATCAATGATAATCTTATTGAACATATGGTCATTCATTCTTTATCAGATTTATACTCTATTTCAGCACAGCACTGTTATAGAGACAATGACTCAAGCAAAACATTTATTCTTGCTAAAGCTGTGTTCTCAAAGTTTTTCCTAACAATTACAGATCATTAAGAAGAAAAAATACCTCCTATGTAAATAGAATCCTCTAATCTACAGATGAATTAAAGAAAACCATAAAGTTCCATTTTGAAATCCTAAACTTGCTGCTGAAAATAGCATCAAAAATTTTAAAATATTTATACAAATCATTGAGGAAATTTTTTTGTCTTTAGATATATAAGAATGTGATCTAACTTCTTCACAAGTAAAAGGAATTATCAGCACACACAGCTTGATGAGCAACAAAACATCACTGGAAAGTAATTTTTGTCAATGACACTCATTCATTCCTGTCCCAAGCATTTTCCTCCTTGGATAGATTCCTCTCCTCTGTGTTTGAGGGAATTTTGAATGCTTATCCAAAGTAGGACTCTAATGACAATGATAATAATGACAAAAAGCAATAAAAGAGATAAGAAAGTAGTAAAAAGTATACGTGATTTTCAAGATAGCATAGACATAACAAGTATAAATCTTCGTTCTTCACCACAATATTTCAATGAACACTATGAATTGGATTCATGGTGTATTTTTCTTATTAAAGTATGATTTTCTGTCATTAACTAGCTCAGAATTTTTTTAGCAATTATCTCAATCTTTTCAGATTTCAGTTTTCTCATTTGTACAATAGGAGAATTGTCATCAGCCCTCTGGGTAATATTCAATAAGTGTCTCTTCACTTCTCCTTGCCTCAAGTGAATCCCAAATCTGTTTGGATGACTTGGAATCAAATGTTAAATCAAACAAATCAAAACTTTTATCAGGTCATGCCAAAACACTGGAGACCAATAGGATATTAGAATACCAAAGTAATTATTTCACTGGATGGCACTTTGCTTTATGGAGAATGATTGTCATTAATCTAAAAAAAACTAAGACCCTTTGGCTCTTTTTCTTTCAGTGTTTGAGATGTCCTGCTGTTACTACCAAACCTAAAACCCAGCTCTGCCTACCATATTTAAGCCTGCCCAGAGAAAACACACTATAGTCTCGCCTGTCTCAAAACAAATAGAAAAACAAAGTCTGTTTTTACTTCTTTTGCAATATCTTGCTTTACAGAGCATAGCACCAAAAAAAAAAAAAAAATCATGCATCAACATCAATTTCTGACAGTTTGTTATGTGCCAGCCTAAGGCACATGTTCAGATAAAGGACATTTCACAAATTCCCTGAGTTGAATATTCTACTTTTGGCTCTTCTACCATAGTCACTATTTCTAATTCTTCTCGGTCCACAGGTCTGCTAGAGTGCAACACAAAACCACAGAAATGTCGAAAACAAGTGTTGGAAGTAAGGACTGTAAAGTCCCAACTGCACGTATGAAAGACAAAAAAAAAAAAAAAAGACCATGTGTATAAAGTTGTCTTCCAAGCATTTAAAATATATTTATCCTCAATTCGTAACATTTGGATTCCAGAGAAATTAAAGACTGTGAATTTAAATAATGCATCAACCAGAGGGCAAAAGTGAATCATTTTGGCTTAGTCTATCATCTGTGGTGAATCAATTTTTTTTCAGTTTAAACTAATTTAAGCATAAAAATTAAATAGCTCAGAAAAGCAGAAGACCATAATAGACTCCTTAACTATTATTAGGACACACAGCCTCCTTTAATTCTACACAATCATCCTAACAATTTTCAAAAAGTTAATATCCTCACTTAGCTCTTACATGTAAAAAGTTTAAGTATCTCCATTTCTAAAATACTGTCTTATAAACTGTACCTTGACCTGTAATCCCAGTACTTTGGGGGCTGAGGCAGGCAGATCATCTAAGGTCAGGAGTTTGAGACCAGCCTGGCCAACATGGTGAAATCCCATCTCTACTAAAAATACAAAAATTAGCCAGGCATAGTGGCAGGTGCCTGTAAACCCAGCTACTGGGAAGGCTGAGGCAGGAGAATTGCTTGAACCCGGGAGGTGGAGGTTGCAGTGAGCAGAGATTGTGCCACTGTAGTCCAGCCTGAGCAACAGTCAGACTCTGTCTCAGAAAAATAAATTAATTAAATTAAATTAAAATAAGTAAACCATACATTGAGAAGAATTCAAATTTATATTAACAGGCAACTGATGATAGCTGCATTTGATACTTTATATTTTGGTTGTATTTCTAGAGCAGCGGTCCCCAACCTTTTTGGTGCCAGAAACCAGTTTCATGGAAGACAATTTTTCCAAGGACAGGGGTCTGGGGGGTGGTTTTGGGATGATTCAAGAGCATTACATTTATTGTGCACTTTATTTCTATTATTATTACATTGTAATATACAATGAAATAATTAAACAGCTCACCATAATGTAGAATTATGGGAGCCCTAAGCTCGTTTTCCTGCAACTAGATGGTCCCATCTCGGGGTGATGGGAGATAGTGTCAGACCATCAGGCATTAGATTCTCACAAGGAGTGTGCAACCTAGATCCCTCACATGCGCAGTTGACAATAGGGTTCGTGCTCCTGTGAGAATCTGATGCTGCTGCTGCCCTGACAGGGGGCAGAGCTCAAGCAGTAATGCAAATGATGGGGAGGGGCTGTAAATACAGATGAAGCTTCACTCGTTCACTGGCCACTCACGTTTGCAGCCTAGTTCCTAAGGCCACAGACTGCCATGGCTCTGTGACCAAGGTGTTGGAGACCTCTGTGCTAGAGGAATAAGAACTACCTTTCCTTCTTATTATTTAATGATCTACATATTTCTCTACTTTTTTCTTCTCATACCCACTTCAATTTCACTTAATCTTCACAGCAATAAGGAGAAGTATTGTTATTTTCAGTTTACAACTGGAAGAAAAACAGCACAGTTTAAGGGAGGTTAGTTAACTTGTTCAAATTCCTACTACTGGTACCCAGCAGAATTAATAACCAAACACAGGCCAATATGACTCCAACATCTGGTAGACTACACTGAAGAAAACAATGAGTCACCTAAGAATCCCCACTACCTAAACAAATAAACCTGATCCAATTACATAGGCCCTTTATCCATTCAGAAAGAGTGACCAGCGTCAGGGCCTGTATCACAGGATATGTTATTAAATGTCCCCTGTGAAGTTTCAGACTGGAAACAAATCTAAGCAAACAGTATAAGACATCAACACAGCAGATTCTGAAAACGTTTTTCCGTGTCACATTCAACATCTCTCAAAACTTAATTTTCATTATTTACCAATTTCTTCCAAAATCTTAAGTTTCATTCAATATAAAATTTGGAAATAAAAGGACAGACTTTTCTCAATGGTTTATTCCTTGTTCATTCCTCCTCCTTTTTCCTATCTCTATAATGCCTATTTTTCATGGCTTATCAGTACTGGCCACTGAAACTCACTAAAAACTATTAAGTTTTATGTAACAGAAAATATTAGTCACTGAGTTTAAATATTTTATTATTTATGGTAAGGGTAGGTAAGCAAAAATAAAAGTCCTTCAGGCTAGGCATGGCGCTCGGGCCTGTAATCCCAGTGCTTTGGGAGACTGAGTGGGGAGGATCACTTGAATCCAGCAGTTCGAGGTTATAGTGAGCTACAATCACACCACTGCATTCCAGCCTGGGCAATGGAGTAAGACTGTGTCTCAAAACAAACAAACAAAAATCAAATAAATAAAAAATAAAGACCTTCAGAGTTACTAAGCATATTTACATAATCCTTTGTAAGTGGCAATATTAGCTACCAATTGTCCAGTAACTATTTTGTTCCAGGCACTATACTGAATGTTTTATGTATTAATATCTGGTCTTTTTATCCCGGCAGCAAACTTTTGGGCTATTATCGTAAATAAGTGTAAAGAAATAAAAATAGCTTCAGATGGGTTAAATAACTTGACCAATCTGATACAATTGGCTAGAGATAGGACAGGGTCTCAGCCCAAATCTATCTGACTTGTAGATGTTATTTATTTAGTCTGCTAAAGTCAGAATGGCCTAGGTTCAAATCCCAGTTCCGTCACCTAAAGCAGTGCTCAAATTGTTTGGAAAAGAAATAAATTAACTCAAAAATGTTTGCCATAGATGAGAATGAGCATAGCCTGTTCAGAGACACTCATGCCTGCGATACCTGTCCTGCTGGCACAGAGGCTTCTCACTGGAAGGTACCTGTCCATTTGCTGAGGTACAGTTGGGTTGGGAGAAGACAAATTGAACTAATGCCAATTTAGGAAACTATATGTAGTAAATCACTGTTCAACGTAGCAATTATAAAATGGCCAGAAAAAGACAATTAAAACATTCAAAGCTGTGCAAACTCCACTTGTAATAATTTCTAAAAAGATAGGCTATATGTTTTTCTAAAACGGAGTGGCTCTCCTCTGTTAATCCTGTAGAGGCCTTCTTCACTTAGTATCTGTGGAATCACTGAATTGTCAGGGAATCAATAAAACTATCACCATAAAGTAAAAATGGCTGGTGCCCTGCTCTGAAACCCTGACTAATTAAAATTGCATGTGCAGAGGATCTATGTTTGTCCCAGGGGGTGACCACACTGACCTTTCATGTCTGCAGATTTAGAAATACATCTTGGGTTGGGCCATACTGGAAAGTATGTTTGGTGTCTCCAGCCAAGCACTGATTCATCTGTTCCAGGACACCAGAATGTCAATACAGTCTCCTCTTCACTGCATTTTCTTTTTCATTTTCTTCCTAAGGTGTTATTAGTAAGTTGCCTGATACATAGATGATAAACCTCGTGTGTGTGTGTGTGTGTGTGTGTGTGTGTGTGTGTGTGTGTGTGTGTGTGTACTCTTTTCTAATGACCAGCTCTTTGGCAGTGTCTTCTCTTTTCTAATGACCAGCTCTTTGGCAGTGCCTTCTCAAGAGAGAACTGGGAGCGGGGGAACAGAGGTACTGATGTCACAGCCCAGGTACACTGGCAGGGACAGACAGAAAATCTTACATAGCACCTACACAGATGGTGGTTCAAATCAGTTAATTATTATTCTCTAACTTTCCAAAAACAAAAGTGTGTGTTCTGTTTTCCTCTTTTAATTTACTAGGGATGTTTTGGTTTTGTTATACGTAAAAATTGTATTTTCAGATAAAGAGATGGATCTTTGTTAACATAAATCACTGAATTTTGTGTTTCTCATTATCGCACCCAGCCCTCTCCAACTTATTCTAAGAGCTAACAGCTATTACATATACTGAGAAAAGCGCCATTGGATCTACCTATATCTCCCTGCCCTCGTGGCAGCTTAACACCAAGCAGGCTTAAACAAAGTTAGTTTTACCTTTTAGTGATTCAAATATTCCTCTCACCTAACAAATGAGTCTCATCTTTATCATTATATCACATGTAAATCCATAAATGAGGGAAAATATTGGTGTTATTCTGGAAAAAAAATAGGCTTTCTCATCTAGCTCACCACAATGCAGACATGTTTCAAAGCCATCCTTTCAGGTTTCTTTGTATAAATAAAACTTTACTTATATATGACTTTGGTGTGGCTAAAAGGGATATAATCAACAATGACTCAATAATCAATCAATTGACCTAAGATTGAGAAAGGACTAAAAAAAGCCTCAATCTGGGCCAGGCGCAGTGGCTCACGCTTGTAATCCCAGTACTTTGGGAGGCCAAAGCAGGTGGATCGCCTGAGGTCAGGAGTTTGAGACCAGCCCGGCCAACACAGTGAAACCCCATCTCTATTACAACTACAAAAAATTAGCCAGGCATGGTGGTGGGCACCTGTAATCCCAGCTACTGAGGAGCCTGAGGCAGGAGAATCGCTTGAGGCTGGGAGGCAGAGGTTGCAGTGAGCCAAGATTACACCATTGCACTCCAGACTGGGCGACAGAGTGACACTGTGTCTCAAAAAATAATAATAATAAAAGCCTCAATCTGTATTTGGGTGCCATAAGACTGTGCCTTTATTTTCTGATTTAGAATGGAAGGGGGAAATGGATAGAATGAACTATTCTTATTTAAGAAAGTTATATAAGAATATTACAAAAATAAATGTTCAAAAAATATTCCACAGTATGACTTTGAAGAGGTGCCCAGAGCATTAATTCAACATAAAAATGGCAGAGACGAATGGCTGATTATATAAGTCTGTATTATGTTTCTAGGTCCTGTCACGCCTGTCAGTGGGCTTGATAACTACCAGAATTAGGGCTCGAAAGCTGCCTGATGTATGAAAATGTCTCCATGGCACAACCTAGAGTAATTCTGTGGCTTAAGGGAAAAAAAAATATTCCAATCCAAAAGAAAGCCACCGTGACAGATTTTCAAAGATCTCTCGCCAATCTCAGAATCTCTCAGTGGAATTTGGGAAAAAGGTTACCTATGTAAAAATATCAACAAGAATAGAATAAATAAATATGAGACTTATATTCATCTCTCATTATGAAAAACCTCAGATTGTGAGGCAGCAGCAGCCATTCTATTTACAAGGAAGTGCAAATAATCAAGTCCCTAATACCACAGATATTTAGAGTATTTGGCAAGAGGTACTCACTAGGATTTAATCATAACATTGGAATTCTCCCCAACTCAAAAAGACTTCTTCAAACTCAAGGATTCTTGATTCATGGCCTGGGGTCCATGAATAGGCTCCAGGGAAGTACATAAATTTATATAATAAATAGTGTGGGGACATGGATTTTATATCTTGCAAAGAATGTATATAGATTTTAAGATTTATCAGTTTTGCAAAGGGACTCGTGAATTTCTTCTTAAAAAGAAACAACAACTGTTTTGGGTTCTGACACAATGAAATCTTTTTATTTGTTCTAGTTTTTCTGCTTTAAGGGTCTCCCTTTAATAAGTTTAACAAGGCCATATGAGATACTTAAGATGTTTCAACATTGCCATCCACCTAGTCACCAGTGACTTTCTCTTTCACTTATAAATGACCCTCAACAGAGTATAGTTCATAATATCCCATCTCCACTCTTAATCAATGTTGGATGTGATTATTTGTATCTTTTGCAGTGACTACATCTCAGTATTTTATTAGAGGGGGTCATTCCACAGCTGCCCAGAATTCTCATTCATTTAGCAGTCATCAAACTGACTACAAAATACTTTTCTAAAAAGAATCTTTTTCTCATGTTCTCCCTTTTTATTGTATCCATCTTCCTTTCAGACACAGTATAATGTCAAAAAAAAGGAGCATCTCAGTAATGTTTCTGACGGAAATGATGAGTTTTAATGCAAATAAGAATAGTTTGCCTTTACAAAGCAACTGTGTCTCAAATTATTCTACATGTTCTCTCTTACATTATTTCTTTTATCACCAACATATAGCATAATATTTAATATCTCAGCTTTTGGAGTTACCAGCTTTGAATCCCAGTTACCAGCTGTGTGACTTTGAGAAATTTTCTTAATTTCATCAGAAAACTGAGCCTAACAATATAGTATCTACGTCATAGTTTATTTGGAAAAAATAAAATAAGAAAATGGGCACAAAGCACTGGCACTGATATATAGAAATGTTTAGTACGTGGTAACTTTTTTAAAAGATTAAAACATCATATGTGTTATACCTAAAGAAATGTTTCATCTGCAGTAGGGCAGGTCTCATTTACAGGGCCAGGCCCAAGGGACCAAGTAGAACAAAAGGATTAGACCAGCTAAACCATACAGTTCTAATGAGTAAACAACAGGGGCAGTCCTGTCGGTGGAGTGGGTTGGACAGCAGGCAGCAGGCAGAGCTCCAGGACAGAGCAGGTGCAGAGTTCCACTTCAGAGTCGTGCAGCTTTAGGCGCTAGACATGCAGCTTCAGTAAGCAGAGTTCAGGTTTAGCATCCACTCTGACCTCTTTTAAGAAAATTTATGAAATCTCAAGTAACTAACACACTGAAGGACTTTGTTTAGTAAACAAGGCGCAGCATCAGATTGTGTCCACCTAGAAAGATGATTTGATACTCGATGACTAATTACTGGACTCCTAGGATCTCCCTGTCAAAGGCCATAATTGGCACAGAAATGGGAGATAAGATTGGACAGGCAGGTGTTAAGTGGTCCCAGCTGCCAGTGGTAGAAGCCAAGTAGATCATTATTCCACAAACATTTACAATTGGCTTTCCATTGCCAAAAATTAACAATAATAAAATATCTACACCATTGCCTTGGGGATTTCTACTAGTCTCACTTCACAAACCTACTATTGTTATCCTACCTGATCTCCATTATGGAGCATACATCTCAGAGCTGCTTCATATTCTCTGCCCTCTGGCTCTCTAAGCCTCATGTTTTTGGACTGTTTCTTGCTAACCTAGATCAACTGACTTGGAAGTTGGATCACACTTCATCTTTGCACCAGTTCTTTTTAAACTGACCTCTCACATTTTGGCCCCAACTCTCAAGGCCTCAAATTTGGACCGGAGACCCAAACTCTAACTCCCCCTAGGGAACAGGTAAAAAAAAAAGTGTCCAGAAAAGGGCACCAAATTTAGAGGCAGAAAAATTTGATTTGAGTCTAAGCTGTGCCACTAACAAGCAATATAGCTTTGGATAATAACAGCTAACATGGACTGAGCTGTTAATAATTAAATAACATTTAATCCTCACAAAACTCTGAGGTAAATTATATTATTATCTCCAGTTTACAGTTGAGGAGACTGAGACACAGAGAGGCTAAATATGTCGCCTAAGGTAACGAGGCTAGGATGCAGCAGGATTATTACTTAATGTCAGGCAGTTCAGGCTACCAAACAATAGCAACATGTCTTTATGTCCCTTAATTTCTTTCAGAGATGGAAATGCTTATAAAGCCAGCCTTCTGGGGTGAGGGGTTGTGAGCCTAGAACCCCACAGAGTGTTAAAAGTGAAAATGGGATATGGTCTCTGTGCGTCATATATACATAGAGCATTTCTCTTTATTATTGTTTTCTCTTTATCAGTTTTAACTTTTTCAGTATTTTTACTACCCAGAAATCATGGTTTTGTTATTCTTCCTTTTTCTACCTTTAAAGAAATAGTTTCTTTGTAATAAAAAATTATATATCTTCCTCCCTAATCACTTGCTTTGGCACATTTAGAGACAGAATTTTACTGTGTCTGATCTTCCCTACATCTTCTGCTGAGGGAATATTCTTTCCTGATTCATAATTTTATGATCATTCAAAAGAGCAATCTGTTATAACAGGACATCTCATACCACAGCTCTGCTTTAAACCATTATTTAATTTTTCCAGGCTTCTAAAACTTTCACTTAATGTCTTTAGCCTTATGCTAATAGTTGTTCTTATTGTATAAATTGCCACCCTCTGTTGACATTTTTCTGGCTGTACACTCCTGCTTTCCAGCATTAGACCTTTAAATACAACCTTTGCTGCTTCATCCTCTTCATTTCATTCTTCTCATTGATGGATTTTGTTTTGTTTTGTTTTTGCAGCCCTTTTCACTTTAATGGATCATTTCCCTCCCACTAGTTTGGAAAAGTAGACCAGTAGAATTCAAAATTACTACTGTAGAGAGATTCCCTAAAGGAACAACTCCTGTTGAGATGAGATTTATACAATTTGACAGTTCTCAAAATTGCAAAATAGCCAGTAGCAACCAATGGACCCCAAAATGGACTGAGCATATTCGTGGGAAGAGAGGAGAGAGGAGCATAAGAGAGGGCAGATCCAAACAGCTTACAAGGATCAGTGTTCTGAGGGAAATGGCAAGTTCAGGGATACAAACGGGGCTAACAGTCTTATAAATTTGAATCACTATTAGCAGGGGCCAGAAAGATGCCCGAAGACAGAATCACCTATTCTAATGGTTAGGCTCACATTGCACCATAAAAGAATTAGCCTTAGGTTAATGTTCTTAACACTCTTTCCTGAATGAATACACCAAATATTCTTACTATTCTAACCTCTACTTTATGTTTTTAATATTACAATATTCTTCCCTTTCTGGAATAAACTCTTTTAACTTTTTGCATTTTCACATGAATTCTGGAATCAAACTGTCAACGTTTACCCAATTCTGGCAGAACTAATAACATTGATTCATAATGTTTTATGTTCTTCAGCAGATAATCACGCACAGCATTTATTCATGGCATGTCTCAACCAAAACTTTTTCTTATATACAACCAAGTATCCATTCAGCTTCTTTCTCTGTGTTCATCGCTCACAGAGCACCTGTTCACAAGTCCCTCCCTGATGTTTCTTGGGCCCTAATCTTCCCATTTGTTTCCTTTTTTCTTTTTTTTTTTTTTTGAGACAAAGTCTCATTCTGTCATCAGGCTGGAGTGCTGTGGGACGATCTCGGCTCACTGCAAAATCCGACTCCCTGGTTCAAGCAATTCTCCTGCCTCAGCCTCCCAAGTAGCTGGGATTACAGGCATGCGCTACCACACCCAGCTAATTTTTGTATTTTTAGTAGAGACAGGGTTTCACCACGTTGGCCAGGATGGTCTTCATCACCTGACCTTAAGATCCACCCATCTCAGCCTCCCAAAGTGCTGGGATTACAGGTGTGAGCCACCGCGCCCAGACCCCCATTTGTTTCTAAAACCAGATTTGTAGAGAAGTAAGGCAATAGGTGTTTGATGATGATATCGTCCTCTAGCATCTAATCCTCTCCCCTTCTTTCCCTTTAATAAACATTTTTGGTTAAACTCCTGGCTTCATTTTGCAGGTTATTTCACCTTTTCCCCATGTCAATGAAACAGCTGCCAAAAGATTGTTTAGACAAACCTCAAAAGTCTTTCTGAACTCAGAAATAAGAACCTCAGAGCCAGAATCATTTCCCCTCTTCAACAACATGATTGTGCTCCTCATTTCTTGAGCTAAAATGCCTGCTCTTAATTCACTTTTATCCTTAGCCTTTGACTGAAATTTCAGCATAAGTCAGCATTCTTTCTCCAAGGGAGGGAGAGGGAAACATTGGCTTTGGAGTCAGAACAACTTGGATTCAAATCCAGCTTTGATATTTAGTAGCTCTGCTTAGTGCAAATAGTTTGATGAGAGGATTTCATGAAATCATATATTTCAAGCTTCTAACACAGTGCCTGCTGCTTAGGAGTTTCTTGTCAACTGCTACCTTTTCCTGTATTTCACTCCAGTGCTCTTTCTTAAAAACATTTATAGAAACTATAATCTCTGTCTTTTTGTGCACTTTCAACTGTCTATCTTTATTCTTATCCCCATCATCATTCCCTACTGACACACTATAAAATGTTACTATAGAATGTTTTATTAGTGCTTAACGATCTTTCTCACATACCCTTAGTTCTAACTTTATGTGCTTTTATCATTTGTTAATAAATATTTGGGTTTTTAACCTTTGTTATTATCTCTGTTCATAATTTGTTCCTCTTTTTTGGCAGTTGGATATCTTTGTTGACTCTTATGTTTGAAGCATTGGATTCACTTCCCCCAGTGTCCTTAGGACAGCCAATGTCGTCTGGACACTGCAGCCCTGCTTGTCAGTCACCTGAACTGACGTTCACTGCCCCTACTGGACTTCTCACTCCCACAGGTACCTCTGCATGTGCTCGTCACCTCCACCATGCTGCAGTGTCTCTAGCTCCTGCACCTCACCTACTGAAGCCACGGAGAGGCAAGAGTCACATTCTATTTGAAGCTACTTTGGGAGAATGTGTCTCCTCCCCTTTACTGAAACAACTCATCTGATGCAACCCACTCCATCCTTCATTGGACATTTATATCATAAACAGTTTTTAGTGAAAACAGCTCTTTCCTTTTTTATTCTGCATCCAGGAACATATCTCTGAAACAAGTATCAAGACAAACATAAAAGAACCCCATCCCTCTGATGACTGAGGCCGTTGTTGGGTTACCTCATCTGGCTGACTTTTTCTTCCCTTAGGATGTGCTAGTTCCAAAAAGAATCCTAAATTTATCTTACAAACAAGCACCTGGAAAGCAAATTCCACCAGATTCCCAGTGAGGCTCAGATACGTCTAAATTAGCTACGACTAAGAATGAGCTTCAGCTAGAACTCCATAACACTGTCAAAGGTACCAAAAAAAAACTATCTTTCTATATTATATTTATACACACTGAGTCTAGGAATGTGGCTTTATGTTTTTTTCTTCATAATATACAATTGGAATCCCCTCCCAGTCTATTCTTCTGATAATATATGGGGAAGATGACTTGACTTTGAATAAATTTTTTCTTTCACATTTTATTTAGGGTCATACACATGTACTTAACTGATCTTATGTCTTCACCAAAATATAAATCTTCCAAACATGATTGCATTTTTCAGACATTCATACTGTGGTTTGAATACAGAAAATTCTTACCCTTTAAGACGTTTCTCCCTTACTGACCAGGAAAAATTGCCACAAATCCAGGTCTTTCATGCACAGCACATTTCCCTTTTGGTATTCAGTCTTGTTCCTCGCACCAAGTCACACACTGATGTCTCTGGTCTCAAATCCTCAAGGTCTCTTAAAGCTCTCTGTGCTCTACAGCCCAGAATTACAGCATGTTCAGATCAGAGGGGACTATACTAATCAGGAAATTCAAACACTTCAGAATGCACATGAGGAAATTGAGACAAAAAGCTTAAGAGACTTACCCAAGTCCACACAGGTGGAAATACCTTCATCAGCACCATTTTATTTTATTTATTTATTCACTGATTCTCAGAAGTGCTATCATATTCTTAAATAATTTGTTGCTATCATAGAAGAGTACTCTTTTTGTTTTTTTTTCAAAATTTTGTTCGCTAGAGTACCCTCCCCTTACTATAATTTGGTAGTTTGTTTTTTGCTCCAGATGTGGTTAAAGCAAGCACTTTTATAAGGCAAATCTGGTAACTGACATCAAAGCATTACAAAGCCAAACATTAAGGAGCCTTAAGGAACCTTGAGGGAAGACACAAATATTTCTCCCACTTGGCTCCACCCTATCTGGCTAGAATTCTAAGGCAGTGATACAAGAAGTGAGTCTTCTCATCTTTCTATTAGGATGAGACTAGGAATCCAGGTTGATGTATAAGAGATGTAAAATGTTTCTCATCCTTCACCACTAAGAAATACCACTGAAATCCACAATCTCTTCCAATTTTCCAGTTCTTTCACTACACAAATGAAACAAAGCAGTAAGAGTTCCACTAAAAACTATTTAGAGTTATCCATATTACCATTTTCTTCCTTTATACACATAGTTGTAGACTTATTTATATGAAGACTTGATTTTCATAATAATACTTTTCATTTGTAAAAACCGTTTGTTAAATAAATTTATTAAATTGAAAGTCACACTCTTTATTATCATTTAATACATAGTTGGGAACTTGAGAAAAGCATGATCATGGTATTAAAGTAAGATGAGGACAGAGACCCCAAATCTTGTCCTTGTTTCATTAAAACCAACTATTTCTATTTAGTTGACACGTGATTAAACAAAAACAAGGACAGAGATCTCAAAATCACACCTTAATTATTTGTTTCATTAGAACCAATTATTTCTATTTATTTGTTTATCCCAAGTTTATTTATTGTCAATCAACCTATGTTATTCAAGGACTATGTGAAAATTCATGCTGATAAAAGACATGCATTCACAGTTTTCAAATCAAGGACTTTGCTGGGTTTCTGAATCAAGAATTACTGCATGGCAATTCTGACTTGATATAGTTAGCACATCATTGTTATATATTCACCCAAGCATCACCTACTTCACTGTTAGCTAAAAGAGAACAGAAAAAAATTAACATATTCAGAGCATGCCATAAAATAAAGACAGGATCATCCTTTCTTCTGCTCTAACACTGAAGAAAAACTACCAAGAGTGACGGAAAGAACAGTGCCACGCATGCCATCACTAAGCTAGAAAGTTGTTCAAAGCCAAATCCCAGATGCGGACTAAATAAGCTCAACTTTTTAGTTGATTCTAACAGTATGAGGAAGGAAGTAAATATTTGTATTCATCCAGTGACACTGAGTTCTGATTTTAGCAAATCATACATTTACCGTTCCTGCCATTGAATCATGGGTCTCCAGAACAAAGTATGGAATCATTATAAAGAGTCTTTTAAATCATTTAAAAATCAAGGACTTCAACTTTATCCAAGTGAGCACAGTACTCCTGATTATTTATTCTGAGAGTTGAACTTCTTTGGAAAATAGGTTATATGAGGTAATACACACACAGCAAAGTTCACTTAAAAACGCAGCAGGTGTAAGTCTAGTTAAAAAATGCAGCTTTTTAAAAATCAAACACTTAAACATCTTCAAAAATCTAGACATTATTTAATATAAGCAAAAACAAGCAAATGCTTAACTCATATTAGGTAGCCTGTAGATTGGAAGATGGCATAACATAATGGAATGAGCTGCAAGTTCAGCATTTATAAACTATCTCCATAGTAATTAATTTTGTCACTGTGAGCAATTCAAATAATCTTATAAATTGGTAGAGAACCCTGAAATTCAGCAGTATTAAAAAAAAAAACAATAGCTTGATTGAATCTAGCTGACAAGTGGAATCAATGAAAATAGTTACAAGATAATTTAAGAAATTGTGGCAGATATAGTAACCCAGAATCCAGAAGATGGAAGCACAGGGGTAAACAAGCAATAAACCTCTAAGTAATGAGTTAGAAAGCAGAAGAAGAGAGGTTCTCTGAATTCCTTTGAGCTTTGCTATTTGTCATGTGGTTCATGACAAATGGACATCATATGCTGTAGGCCCAGATGGTTTCACTAGTAAAATCTATCAAACACTTAAGGAAGAAATAATACCAATTCTGCATGTTGTCAAGGACAGACAGAAAATAAAGAAAAATGTAGGACATTCCAAGTAATTTGAAGAGGCAACATCACCCTGACCAAAATCAGGCAAAGACAAAGAAATTACAAGAAAACTACTGACCACTATGCATTGTAATCATGAACAAACATACAAAAAGAACTCAACAAAATATTAGCAAATCAAATTCAGCAACATATAAAAATAATAATCCATCATGACTGGAGTAATAAGACGTAATGACCCATATAAACATCATGGAGTTTAAATGGGGAAAGCAAGGTTGGTTCAATATTTTGAAAATATATCAATGTCATTATCACATGAACAGACTAAAAAATGATCTCAACAGAGGCAGAAAAATTATTTTTACAAAATACAGCATTTATTCGTGATTAAAACTCTACGAAAATTAGGCATAAAAGAGTACGTTTTGAACTTGATAAAGGGCATCTGCATAAAACCTGAGCTGAAGTCAGACTTAATGGGAAAAGTTAAATCTTTCTCCTTAAGATTAAAAACAAGGCAAAAATGTCCTCTCCTCCCATCCGTAACCAATATCATACTATAGGTCCTAGCTAGAATAATAGACCAAACAAAAGAATAAAAGGAATATATTATAAAAATAAATAAAATTTTCTCCATTCTTAGAAAACATGATTATCTATGTAGAATTTCACAAAGTTTACCCAAAAAAGCTACTAGATGTAAGAAGTCTATTTAGCAAGACTGTAGGATACAAGATCAATATAAAAATAAAAACTATGTATCTACATGCTAGCAATGAACCATTTGAAATTATAATTTTAAAAGTTCCATTTACAATAGCAATATAAAATATAAAATACTTAGATATAAATATAACATACAAAATTTGTAAGCTAAAAACTATAAAAGTTTAATGAAAGGGCAAAATTGAAAGACTTATGCATACTACCTGATTTTAAGATTTATTATAAAGCTACAATAATAGTAACAATGTGGTCTTTGCAAATAAATAGACACATAGATCAATTAATTAGAACAGAGGGTCCAGAAACAGGCCCACCCAAATGTCAGCCGATTTTTTGTAATGTCCCAAGAAATTCAGTGGAAAGATGGTAACCTTATTGAAAAGTTGTGCTGGACCTAAATGTAAACCCTAGAAGAAAACATTGGAGAAAATCTTTGCAATCTTGTGTTTCACAAAATTTTTTTAGAAGACTGAAAATACAAATTATAGAAGAAAATTAATAAATTGGACTTCTTCAAATTTGAAAGCTTCTACTATTCTAAATATAACTATAAGAAAATTAAGAAACAAACCACAGACTGCAAAAATATTTGCAAAACACATTTCTGAGAAGGACAGGTATCCAGAATATTTTTTTAACTCTCACGACTCAGTAGTAAGAAAACTTATAATTCAGTAAAGAATATTTTAACAGATACTTCAACAAAGAAGATACAGAGGTATAAGATAAGCACGTAGGCAATCCACATACTAATAATTTTAAAATTGCAAATTACAATCACAATAGGACACCAATATACAACTATTATCATGGCTAATTTAAAAAAAAAAAGTAGCAGGTACCGTCAAGAATGAAGAGAAATTGGGACTCTTATACTTTGCTGGTATGAATGCAAAAATGATACAACCACTTTGAAAAGCAGTTTGATAATTTCTTATAAAATTAAACACACACATACCATGTGACCAGAAATACCACTCCTAAGCACTTACCCAAGGGAAGTGCAGACATATGTCCTTGAAGTCAATAAAAAATGTGTATACAAATAATATTTTGTTTATAATTGCTAAAACAATTTTGCTGGAAACAACCCAAATAACCATCAACTGGTGAATAAACTGTAGTATGTTCATGTAATGAAATACTACTCGCTAATAAATAGAACAAACTACTGATACATGCAACAACATGGATAAATCTCAAATGCAACATGCAGAGTCAAAGAAAACTGACTCAAAAGGACACATACTATATGATTCCATTCCTATGACATTCTGAAAAAGGCAAAACCATCGCAACTGAAAACAAATCAGTAGATGCCAAAACACAAGGTAGGGGTGAGAAGGGGTGACTACAAATGAGCTTGAGAGAATTTTCAGGAGTGATTGAAATATTCTATGTCTTGATGGTGGTAGTGGCTACATGACTCATGGTTAGACCAGAACATCTTCTTATGCCAGAAAGGAAGTATCAATCAATTACAAAGATCCATCAGAAGGACTCAGAAGCCAGCTTCAAGAGGTTTCCATTGGTCAAATCTGGAACATTCTGAGTATTGCAATTAATTAGATCATAGCCCATTGATTATAATAGGAATCTAAAGCTCATACCGAAGAAAGGAGAAGAAAGTGGGAAAAAAAGAGAGAATGCTCTACTTTCTATCAAATTCCATCTAATAATTATAGAAGGAATGGTAGAATTTAAAAAAATCACCATTTGGCAACCATCTTATAATAACTAATTCAGACTAAAATCAACATCTAAAACATGTGAAAACTTTAGTCACTAAAATATATCACATAAAACAGGGACCCCAACACAGTGTCCCCATTCTGTTAGGAACCAGGCTGCACAGGAGGTGAGCAGAAGGTGAGTGAGTACTACCACCTGAGCTCTGCCTCCTGTCAGATCAGCGATGATATTAGATTCTCATAGGAGCTCAAACTCTATTGTGAACTGCGCATGCGAGGGATCTAGATTGCATGCTCCTTATGAGAATCTAACTAATGCCTCATGATCCAAGGTGGAACAGTTTCATCCTGAAACCATCCCCTCTCTACATCCATGGAAAAATTGTCTTCCACAAAACCAGTCCCTGGTGCCAAAAATGTTGGGGACCGCTGATCTAAAAGACTACTACTGGGTGAAAGTTTTATAAGAAACAAAATATTTAATCAGGCTCAAAGTATCACCCACAAAACTCATATTAATTATTTTTAATAAGTACAAAAAAATTGGTTAATGAACTATAGAGTAGAAAAACCAAGTTGACACTAAGTTAACATGACTAGCAATGACACAAATGGAAATAATGCGTTTCCTAGTACAACACACTGTGAAGAAAACAGCATCCCTTCTGTAATATATCTGCCAAAAATTTATATTCTGAATCATAGCATGAGGAAACATTAGACAAAGCCAAACTGAAGGGCATTTTACAAAATAATTGACTTGTACAGTTTTAAAATATCTACATGAAGAAGCAAAGAAAGGCTGAAGAGTCACTACAGATTGAAGGACAATGAAGATACATGGCTATCGAATGAAACTCTTGATCCTGGTTTCTGGACCAAAAGGGAAAGAGAGGAAAATAAAAGTTTTGTTTTTGTTTTTTCCCTGTATGTTTTTTTTTCTCCTTCTTCTTCTCCTTTTTGTCTGTTTCTACAAAGGACATTATTGGAACAAATACTGAAATTTTCATGGGGTTTGTGAGTTATATGTTAATATTGTATCAATGTTAATTTTCTGATTTTGAGATACATACATTATGGATGAATAGGAAGTACACACTGCTTTATTTAGGAGTAACAGGGCATCACACATGCAACGTATTTGCAAATGGAAATTAACAATAAACATTAGAAATGGAAGATACATGGTAAATAGGTAAAAAGAAAAAGCAAATGTGCTAAATATGTTAATAGTTGCAGAATTAGGATGAAGGTTGAACAAGATTTCTGTGTACTGTCCTTGCAACTTTTCTGTAAGTTTGAAAGTATTTCAAAATAAAAGGTTTATAAGGCAACAGTATTATATTCCCCCTCTCTTCCTTTTTTTTAATGTCTCGAATTCCACAGAAATATAAATGACCAGTTAGAAGTATTCATTACTGTATTCTTCCTTTATATTTTCCTATAGTTTTTCAAATTTTAAATGGGTTAAACATTGCAATGTTAGGCAAAAAAAAATCATTTTTATGAAAGCCATGAAGATTGTACAATCATGTTTTTTCATTTATGTGATCATTACAGTCTCTTTAGCTTGGTCACAGTTCAGAGTTGTAAATACATACGGCCTTGTGACTCTCTCATAAAATCTATTTAGTAAGGTTTTCCTTGAATAAAATGTACTCTGAAGAAAGTATTTTGACCTGACACCATAGAGCACTGGAATAAAAAATACTTTTCTGGTGAAATATTTCAAAACCCACAGTCATTTAGTGATAGATATGTGTATACTTGAACTAAAAGTATGAGCCTAGTTTGTATGAGGTTTGTGGGTATATAATTACTAGTATTAAATTATGTGTTCCATGTTGACTTACCATCATATTTATTATTGCTGTTAAAAATGCTGACTGCAATAGGTGACATGGTCTTCTTATAATACATAGCCTTTATCTAAAATAAAGCACTCTTATTTTCTCTTTCCATGACCTTTGTGAAAGAGGTCTAATAAACTTTATAGACTTTTCAGTTGTGGATACATGTTGAGAAGGAAACCTCAGTACTGATTTCTTCTAAAATGAACATAGAGACAGAAGGTTGCAATGTGATTTTAAATCCACAGAAACTAATTAAAGAGGAACAAATATTGGTCTAGCTATAAAATTCAAAGTGTTGCTTTATTCTGAATTACTGGACATACCCACAACTGGTACAATAAATGACAAAAAATAGAAGAAATTGAGAAAGTTAAGTTGTTTTTTAACTTTTGTTGTTTTGCATTTTCCTTTGTTGTTGTTTAGTTTACCAGATCCATTCAAGTGTGAAACTTCTCACACGATAGGCAATAAATATAAAATATCAATGTTCACAATGTAGAAAGAGATGAGCTATGCTTGTAGATGCCCTCCTTTATACTCAGTCACAGACTGTCAGGCAAATGGTGTGTACAATCTTAGAGAGAGAGAGGGAGTTGCAGATCACACTGAGCATTTTCCAATGCCAGTCAGACCTGCAGCAGGCCATCGTCCCCCCACAACCACCACATTGTCACCTCTACAAAGGCCGTGATGTGCCTTTTAAAGAACAAGATAGACATTGGGTAGTTTTGGGGGAAATTATTTCAACATATATTCTAATTTTGCTTTTGTTCCCTAAGTAAACCTATGAATAAGTGAGGCTATGTCACTTACCTTCCTTTGCTCTTCAGTCCACAAGAGTAAAAAAAAATTTGAAAGGCAACGTGTACTTGAGAAGGCATCAACAATCAGACCAACAGGCAGAACAATCCCTAGTGAGTTTGTAGAAAGAGGAATTATACATTTCCACAATAAGATTAAAACCTTTCAGTCAACAGAATGTTGCTCAAAGGCCAGCAAGCACAATCTTTTTTATTTCCAGTCTAGCCTGAAGCAGGCCTCTGTGAGTACCTAGGCTGTATTTCATGAAGGAGCCCTTGCCATCCATTACAAACTGAGTTTTCATTCATTTGGAAAATATGTCAACTTTCTAACTGCAAATCAAAAGAAAAGGCATAGTCATAACAGAGAGGGGGGATATGTGTCTTACTTAAAATTTTTAAAAAATTAAAAGCAATGCCTCATCTCCCAGGACCCTGTCAGACCAATCAATGTTACTGGGCAATAATCAGCCTCAATGCACACAGTTTTAAATAAAATCTTGCTCTAAGAATGAGTTTTCAGAGTACTGCCTATTCCATGAACTGATGCATTCAAAGACCACATGCTCTATTTAAAAACACAATCCAAACTCCTACTACCATTTCCAATTTCACTGTATACAGAGATAATGTGCACTGGAGTAAAGGGACAGAATGACAAATTCTAGTTTTTAGCAAAATAAGTAAAACAATAATTAATTTTTATCATCTGGTTTCAGTTTCCTGATAGCACAAGTAACTGCCTGTATTTTAACCATCTAACACAACTTTCTGTACCAAAATTTTAAAAAGTTCCATATCCTGAGTTTTATTTCTCTGTGCCGTGATAAACTATGTAGTCCTTAAAACCTAGATGGCACTGCTGTGAACTGATCCAAGCCAATTTGGTTTTGTACAACTCTTTGTTGTAAAAACTGGAAGTCAGCAAAGGCACTGATGGTTAGCTATTCCCCACAACTTAATTGGTTCTAACTGAAACAAGTTTCAAACCCGATTTTACCCGATATATGGGCATTGGTTTAATAAACAGGCACAAGAGTTCCTTCACAAACTCAGTGAAGTCTCAGCTCTGTCCTTTCCAATGTCCTTGCATGAAAAGTTAATGCAGCCAATTCTGGCTGATTTACATGGCCCAGTGCAAAACAAAAACATGGGGCTCCTTGTTTCAAATTATTAAGAATTTCAAGAATGCAACAACAAAGCATTAAACCAAGCACAGATCCCTTGATTAAAAAGGATCCCTTTAAACCAAAGACACCTTGGTTCATATGGGCATATGAAGCCAGCCCTCCTCTCAGCAGAGACATGAGAATACAAAGGCCAGATTCTGTTCCCTTATAGTCAGAATCAGAGTCAGGCAACAACAACTTGCCTAAATCAGTGACTGGAGAAAGAACTGAAATCCAGCCTGAGGTTCCATCCCTCACTGTAAAAACTTCCAGTATCACTAGATTATTATATCCTATTAGGACAAGTATGAGAAATATTTCTAAAACATTTTAGCCAATCCATATATACTAATTACCTTTAATGTTATCACTGACAATCTACTTCTAAGATTCATCTTGTTGTTATCAAGCCACTATGTACAAGGAAAACCCCATTTCTGATATTTAATATGCTCATTAGCAAAGTCAAAGTCAGATATTCATACAAATTACTGAAGCACTTAAAATACCCACCGCTGGGTAATAGAATTCTCACTTAAAATATAGAAAATAATCCCCAAACAGAGCCTTCCTGATTAGGGCATCAGACTGTCTTTAGAGCGAGGCTTAACCTAACTGGTACATACACAGTCACTCTGTCTAGAAGCCTGCATACATCACAGCCATCACGAAAAACAATGACTTCCAAAGCACATGGGCTGCAAAGAAAAGCAGATACTAGAAGGCCTTTAACTCAAACTGACAATTCCCAAACAGGTAAGTGTTTCTGTCTTTTCCAGTCCTATCAGAATAAAGTTTGGCATATCTGTCAAAACATCACACCAGCTGTTAGGATGCAGTTGTGGGAAGAGGAAGAAAGTACCAAGGAAAGAATGGGAGGGAAGATTCTTTTTAAGCTTATTTTCTGATTGGATTAAACATACCCTCTTACCTTCAAAAAATTTATAGAAGATGAATGAAACTTCTTGTCATTTTAGAGTTAATATTCAACATTTAATTTAATCGAGAGTGCTTTGTTTCTAACTATTAGTAGTCACAGGAAAGACAAATGTGAATATGTAACCTGTCTGAAATCTCACCTCTAGTCAAGAGCTGCCAAATAACAGTGATAATTCAGAGGAAAGGGACAGGGGGAAAGGAGATGGAGGAAGGAAATAGAAGAGGGAATAGGTAAAGAAGTTCTAGGAAAAGGGATAAAGGAGAAAAAGGGGAAGGAAAGAGAGGAAGGAGAAGAGAATAGCTAAGAGTGGGAGATGTTCTTTAAGAACTCAGAAAAAAAATTAAAATTTCTTAAATTGAGAAGCAAGCATAACATTAGCTATTAAATTAAGACTAGAATAAGAGAAACATATAGTCAATAAAACTTCAGCGAATAATCTTGCTCCTCTTTGAAATGTCCTTCATTAAAGAAAACTTTCCCATTCTTCCCCCTATTTCTATCTCTGCCCCAATTTGTGTTTGAATCTGACAGATTTGGGAATCTGACATTGGGCTATCACTGTAAGTATAACCTACTCACATTTTTTAACTCCAAAAGCTATTGTTGCTAGAATCCCTAAAGGTAGCTTTCCTGTGGGCCCTAATACACATTCAAAATTAGAATAACCTGGCCAGGAGCAGTGACTCATGCCTGTAATCCCAGCACTTTCAGAGGCTGAGGTGGGCGGATCACAAAGTCAGGGGATTGAGACCATCCTGGCCAAAATGGTGAAACGCTGTCTCTACTAAAAATACAAAAATTAGCTGGGCGTGATAGTGTGTGCCTGTAATCCCAGCTACTCAGGAGGCTGAGGCAGGAGAATCACTTGAACCAGGGAGTCAGAGGTTACGGTGAGCCGAGATCGTGCCACTGCACTCCAGCCTGGCGACAGAGCAAGACTCCATCTCAAAAAAAAACAAAAACAAAAACAAAAACAAACAAAAAAAAGAATAACCTATGTCCTTTAAATTCTTTTTTTATTAATTTTAAAAATTTATATATGTTAATCACTGTTTTAATTGCTATACAATGTAAACATGCAATGAAACACCACAGTGTATCACATAAATTCTTGAGACGGTAATTTAGTTAATATTTTTCCATTTCAACTCACTGTTCTATACTCTGCTTTGTGCTGCTGGGATATGTGTCTGCAAACCACATTTCAACTTTGCTGGCTAATTCTCAGTTAGGCTTTGTTAACGGGAGCATTAGATGGAGGATTCAAGGTTGGAGCTATAGCAAAACATCACATTGTACTCCATAAATATATACAATTATTATTTGTCAATTCAAAATAAAATTTTTAAGAAGAGAGAAGAAACTGTTTCTTCCTGTTTGTGTGTTGTTCCTGCCAGCTTAACCCTGGCAATGACTGTTCACTCTGGCAGTAGCAGTTCATTCCAGAGGCATCAGTCAATTACACTTCTAGCTTTTCCCACATTTCCCACAGCAGCCCGCTCAGAAATGCCAGCAGCTGACAGCCAGAGGTTTGAGTCCCAGCTCCATAGCTTCTTCCCTTGATTCCCCAAGTTCTGGGAATAGTAGCTGCTTCTTGCAATTAACAACTCTGTGATACCTCAGTTTTCCTTTTTTGCCTTTTCAGTGCTCTAATACCTATTTAACACTTTTTATATTAATCTTCTGTTAGAATTACTAGTGTGGTTTTTATCTCCTCACCAGACCTTGACTTATACAGTTCCTTCTCATCAAAGAAAGCCAAGAACATTTTTGTATATGATAATCATTTTTGAAATTTAGCAATCTCTCTACCCCATAGAACCATTTATACCATGACAGACAGTGCTTACTCAGCTAGGACAAAGGCAGATATTTTAAATAGCTAGATTAAAATTAAACAAGAATGTAAAGTTTTAACATTAATACAGATAGAGAAATAAATGTAATTATGGTGAGAAAAATGATGGAGTGGCACCTACATTTGTGGTGTTTGTCCCTAGTTGATGAAACATGACATCGTTTTGTCCTAGGACTGAAGCAAGTTATTACCTGTGCATGAGGCTATATAACTTGCTTCTGATCTTCAGGACTTAACAGGTGTCAGCATAACCCTCCTCTGCAATGCTAGACCCAAAATTTAAAGAAAAATTTTCCCTGTTTTTCTCCTGCCTCCTCCTCTGTCTCCCATATATATGTCCCTCTGACCAGAGATTTCTTATAAGATTTGGCAATTAAACAAATCTTCCAGAAGCCCCAAGCCAAGAGCAAGAGGATAAAGAAAGTGAAAATTCTAAAGATTGAGATTTGAAACCTTAGCCTTGGAAAAAGGGGAGAAGTGGTTCACCCAGAACAAAAATAAAACCCCAGAGTCAGTCAGTTAGATTTACAGAGAGCTCTGGAAAGTGCAGGTTGAAGGACTGGCTCAAAAAAAAAAAATCAGACTGTTCACCCTTTACATCTTTGTGGGTCAAGTTTTTATACACATTTCTCTACTTAACCCTCATTACAACCTGCAGAAGCACTTACTGACCAATTTATGCATGATCACACAGCAAATAAACAGTAGCGCTCGATTAAAACTCAGGTCTGTCTAACTCCATAATCTCTGCTCTTGACACTATTCAATACTGCATTCTGTTGGGAGGAGATAAAGGCAATTACAAGGGATGATGTAGGAGTGGGACACTGATCATCAGCATGATGGAGAGAGGGGCTGCAGGGATAGACGGTAGGTAAACAGACAGACAGACAGATAGATAGTTACATCTTACTTACCTCTCTGTTCCTGATCTTAGACCAGCTTAAATGCACCTTCTGCTCCCCTCAATGGACAGCACAATAAAAGATCCAACCCAACATTTCCGGATGTAGGAAATATTGAATGTGTCAGTGCACCAAGGTTGGTGTCTTTTCATGATGCTCAAAACCAGGGAGCTCTAGCAGAAACTGAATTCTATTGTCACAGGCCTATTATAAATTTACAGAGTTAAGCTCTTACATAATATTCAATCATTCTTTCCGAAAAGTTCATAAAATATTTCACAGTTCTTTGGCATATGGATAAATCTTTCATAGCTGACAGAAACAGATAGAAATAAGCCACAAGACAAAAGGAAATAGACTACAATAAAATGGTCAATATTTCCCAGGTGCCATTTTAAGAGAAAGTGTGATGCAAGGAAACTCTAAGCTGTGAGAATTCTTTCTATACTTTTAAAATCACCCTTTTAAAATGCACATTTGGTCAGAAAGTCAAAATAGAACCATTTAAAATTAGTAGTATGAAATATAAAATGAGAATGGGGAAATATCGTAAATGTCTTTCAGGGAAATACTACAAGTTAGCAAAATAAGCACGTAAAGCAAGTATATAAATGAGGTTTTCATTCTAAGCTAATGGCTTGAGTGAGGTTACAAGTGGTTGGCTGTGAGTGAAAGAAAAACAGAAAAGAGAACTGTGTCTCTTGTTATATGTGGTAATCCAGGGTGCATATGACTCTACAGAGAGGAATTACTTGATGTTATTGCATAACCAAATAACCCTCACAGAGATGTCCCAAGGCTACACCACAGCTTCCCATTTTCCTGCCCTGGGATCTTCTGATCCGTAAATTCTCCCCAAGCTAATTTTGCCTGTGTTGACATGACGTGAGCACTTTGTTTTGTTTTATTTTTGCATTCCAAACTATACATCTGTCTTTGGATTTTTTTTTTTTTTTGAGGCCTCCTTTTAACGCACTGGTCTCACACTAAATGCCCCACTACAGGAAGGGAATACAATGTCTCTACTTTGCATGTTTCCTATTTGGTCCATCAGATGTCACATGAGGCATAAATCTTGGCAGAATTAAGTGGGTTTCATATAAACTTTAAAAGTATATCTCAAATAAAAGAATATAGACTTATTCTTCAGAAATCAGGGAATCCATCATATGACACAATGCAACAACAGCCGAGACATTAAAAGAATTTGAGTGAAGGTGGTAGCACTTAGAATGAAAATAATAATAGTAGACAAGCTTTATTGAGCTAAACTTTCTATGCTGGGCAGTCATCCGAGGTCATAACATACATTATGTTTTAATCATCAGAATGATTCTGTGAGATCATATGCTAATAATATTACCTTCCCCAATTTACAAATGAGGGAACCAAGGATCAGAAGCTTAAAAACATTGCCCAAAGTCACAGAGCTAGATCATAGCAAACTTAAGCAGTTTGTCTCCAGAGGCCACACCCTTAACCACTCTGCACATTGCCTCTCAGTATGGGTAGAAAGAGCAAGAAATGCCACTTAGGTGTATTGCACCTAATGGCAACTATTAATAGATACAGGAAAATGGAGGAGGAGTAAGTATGACTCCAAAGTTAGAGGACAAGAAGAATGCTGTCACCAGAGGAAATGAAGAGTGTTTGGGAAATGCTGAGTTTAAGTTCCAGCACAACTACCAGGTTGAACTCTCAAGCAAACATCTAGACATACTTACTCAGAGCTCAGAGGGAAGGCCTGAAATAGATATTTGGGAGTAATCTTCACAGAGGTGATATGTGAAGATAAGAAATGGGAAAGATACCCAAGGAAAATAATGAAAAACAAGATATATAACCTTAGTGAACGTTTCCACTGAGATGGTAGAAATAATGGTAGAAAACTGGGACAGGGCTGTAGTCCAGTAGAAAGAAAATTTGAAGGGGCAGAGGTCAAATACTCTATAAGACAGAAAAATGAGAACTGAGATAGTCTTCCGCATTTGACATTTAGAAGGTACATCAAGAACTTCAAGACTGGTTTCATTTAGTGGTAAATATTTTTATTATATATGCAATGTAGATAAAGGCAAAGTAAAAGATATATTCATCAAATCTATAGATGTCATAAGGAAATAAACATTAATGTCAAATGACTAAACATTGAAAAAAATATTTAATGTACTATAAGGAAAGCCAAAGTTCACATAATAAAATTTAGCAGGGGAAGGAAAATATTGTGTATAGTCCAGAAAATAAATTTCCCACAAAATCTATCAGAAAGTGAATTATCAGTAATTCATTTAAAAATTTTTTAATTAAAAATTTTTTTTATTATAAAGCGACTATAATCACATTATGAAATATCTATTCAAATAGATTTTTTAAACCAAGAAAAATAACCTTATATAATTTCAACACCCTAAGAAGATCAGGGTCAGCATTGGTAGGTTTACATATAAGTCTTTGGTTTCCTCTATATGTTTTATGCAGGGAAGCAATGTAGGGTAGATACAATTTTATATACGACTTTTTTCACTTAACATTATATCACTTGAAACTTATATACTATAATATTATATTCATATTTATATGTCTTAATGGTTATATAATAATTTTCCAACTAGTTAATACACCAAAATGTTATTACCCAATCCTCTAATCTTCTTTTTTTTTTTTTTTTTTTTGAGACAGTTTCACTCTTGTTGACCAGGCTGGAGTGCAATGGTACAGTCTCCACTCATCACAACCTCTGCCTCCTGGGTTCAAGTGATTCTCCTGCCTCAGCCTCCCCAGTAGCTGGGATTACAGGCATGTGCCACCACACCTGGCTAATTTTTATATTTTTAGTAGAGATGGGGTTTCTCCATGTTGGTCAAGCTGGTCTTGAACTCCCGACCTCAGGTAATCCACCCGCCTTGGCCTCCCAAAGTGCTGGGATTATAGGTGTGAGCCACCGTGCCCAGCCCCAATCCTCTAATTTTTTAGAGGATTTTTAACATTATTTTTAATATCATTTAACATTATTTGTTTTCAATTTTTCATTTGGGATGCAAAATTATACTGACTTTGTGAATCCAGTTGGGATAATTTTAATATTTTTTATTTGCAAATGTTACATGGAGTCACCTATAAAAACAACATATATCCACAATCTCAAGAAAAAATTCCTTAACAGCACTTCTAAATTTGTTCACCATTTGTTGAATTTTTTTTCAAGTCTCTAACTTATTATTTAACTTTTGGTGTTTCATATTATCCCAGGATTTTTCCCATTTAATTTTGATTCTATAGATTTATTAGCCTAGAATTGTATTTTGCAGGACGCAATAATTTTTTTCTATAGAGGGGCAAATGGCAAGTATTTCAGGTTTTATGATCTATATCATCTCTGTCCGACTAATCAACTCTGCTGTTATGTACAGAAATAGATTATGTAATCAAATGAGAATGGCTGTGTTTCAATAAAATATTATTTGACATAAATTTAAATTTTTTATTATTTTTGATGCCATTTTTTGACATACAAATCTGTAAAATCATTCTAAGTTCATATTCCTTCCAAGGTGAAGGTCATACTGCTGTCTGACTCCCTCTACCACTCAGAAAGAAATAGTCTCTAATGGCCCTGTTTAGATTGTAGAGATAACATGTACCTTTTCCGGGCATGCGACTCTGACCTTTTTCCAAGTAACCCAAAAAGCCGTCAGTTTTGAGTGGCACTCAGAACAAGATACAGCACTGCATCTTTTCAAGGATGACCTGCAAGCTGCTCTGAGACTTGAGTTATATGATCCAGTTAAAGCACTGGTGCTTCAAGTCTCTTTGGCAGATAGGAATGCTGTACAGAGCTTTTATCAGGCCCTTACAGGTAAATCACAGCACAGACCTGTTAGATCTTAAGCAATGCTCTGCCTTCCTCTGGAGATCATGATTCTCCTTTTGTCATACCATAAGGCCTTAGTAGACGTGAATACTTGATCATCAACCATGAAGTTACCATGTGACCTGAGATTCCTATCATGGATTGAGTGTTGTCTGAATCATCACACCATAAATTTGGGCCTGTGCTGTAGTTTCATCATCAAATAGAAGTAGAATATACAAAATCAGGCTTGAGAGGTCCTGAACCTACAAGTAAGCTGCATGAGCAAGTGACTCAGATATCCATGGACCCTATTCTTGCTACATTATCTCCTCTCCTCTCCTCTCCTCTCCTGCAACCTGCATCTGTGTTCTCATGGGAAGTGCCTGTGACCAGCTGACTAAGGAAGAAAAAAATTGGCTAGGTTTAGAGATGGTTCTACATGATATGCTTGTAATACCCAAAATAGACAACTACAATCCTACAGCTCACTCTGAAGAGACCATGAAAGAAAATCAGGAAGTTGCATCTTCTCTATAAACATGATTTCAAGCAGATATGATTGTTTGCATTGCCTGGAAAGAGAGATTGCCAGTGATGTGTCCCATTTCATGAATGGAGGCTGATAGCTTTCCCAGCCACCCAGGAACTTTCTGCAACTCAAAAAATGCAGAGCACCAGAGGCTGCTCCTCACACTATCCATTCTTAGAATGGATTATACCTTCCAGAACCCCATGCCCCACTGCCTGTCCCCTTCACCAGAGGCCATGCTTCATATACTAGAAATTATAGTCCCTGAATAAATATAGAAAGATAATATTGCAAGGATGGTCTGGAAAGAAGTCAGTTGGCCTTGTTCAACTTATAAAACAATTCTTATACAACGAAACATTTGCTACTGGCTTTCTACTTGATGGAAGTTTGTATCTCTGAACAGTAGATAAGTTTGTATCTCTGAATAGTAGATAAGTTTGTATCTCTGAACAGTAGAAGAAATAGAAAGTTACGCTTTTTATATCTGAAATTCCTGTTTTGATTCAGGCCTCATTCACTTTTAGCAAGTCAAGACCTCGTCTATAGTCTAAAATAAAATTGGTTAATTTTTTATATTAAGGCATTTTCAAAATTATTTTGATTGAAATATGGGGGAAAAATTAAATGATGCTGGCTAAATGATATTGTAACGAAGTAATAGCTACTTCTTCAATAACAGGGACTTTAATAAAATAATTTATCTAGAAGAGTACATCCTGGATGCCGAAAGAACTGGAAGCCATTCTACGTGAACAGTAGTAGAGATAACACTTTACACCCAACAAAGAGCAGACAAACATCTGAGGCACCATGACAGAATGGCTGCCTTCAAAGACTTAAAGATATTTGAGATAAGAGATAGATCAAAGTATCAAAAAGTAGACCTATCAATTGATACAACTGATTAAATTAAAATGTACGTTTTGATTCAATACAAAAAAAAAGAGCTGCTCTAAAGAATTATTCAAGCAGAGGCTGGATATCAACTATCATGGATTCTATAAAAGGGATCCTTGCACTGAGTAGAAGGTTGGTCTATTCTACGTAATAATCTAAGGTCTCATCAATGTTTTAATTTCAAGAGAAAAACAATTCCTCTGAACTACAAAAGAGGGAGTTTATTCTATTCTAGCCTGTAACACTGGTGTTTTGGTTTTTTTAAAAAAATGAGATATTGAATGAGGATTTTGTGACTGCAAAATAGCAAGTGACATATTAGAAGGCTTGTTTGCTAATTGGCAGGCAAATAAGTATTCCTATAAATTCGTCTAGACCAAATGACAAGTAGAAAGATGTTTCCCGGAATATCCCCCCTAAGCCACCTAATATATAACTAAGTTCTGATGCATATGGTAAAAGTGAGTCTCACTTGGCAGAGAAACTCAACACACCATGGGAAGAATCACAAGACTTAACCATATTGTGGATTAAAATTTTCTTTTAAAACTTGCTAAAAGAAATATTTTTGAAGCACTGACTTTCTGGATATTGAATGCTTAGACACTGGAAATACTTAGAAATGTGATACACCTGCTTTTCTTCAAAGACTTCCAGACTCAAGGGTCCAGTTATGGTCATTTGGAAGAACTATGGTTTCTAATCATTAATTCTGCACACATTGTTTTGTTCTGTAGGTTTTATATATGAACGTAAGCAAAGTGAAGCAAAAGAGAAATGAATCAGTGGTTCAAAATTCTCTTACATTCAGTCTATCCAAGTGGCAGGAGATATGTCCACTGTGTGAGTTGACTCTCAGGGTCTCACACATAGACTCCTAAAATGTACCTTCTTTTGAATTATCCAAGTTTATCAAGCTCCTAGTAACTTTACTTGATGGTACTAAAGAAAAAAATAATCTCTAACCTCTAACACTATCATTCATACTTGGTGTGATGGTTAATATTAACTGCCAACTTGACTGAAGGATACAAAGTATTGTTTCTGGGTGTATCCCAGTGTTTCTGGGTGTTGCCAGAAGAGATTAACATTTGAGTCAGAGGACTTGGAGAGGAAGACTCATTCTCAGGAAGACCACCCACAATGTGGGTAGACACCATCCAATCTGCTGCCAGGGTAGCTAGAAAAAGGCAGAAGGTGGAAGAAGCTGACTTGCTGAGTCTTCCGGCTTTCATCATTCTCCCGTGCTGGATGCTTCCTGCCCTTGAACATCAGACTACAAGTTCTTTAGCTTTTGGACTCTTGGACTTACATCAATGTTTGCCAAGGGCTCTCCAGCCTTCGCCACAGACTGAAGGTTACACTTTCGGCTTCCCTACTTTTGAGGGACTTGGGCTAGCTTCATTGCTCCTCACTTTGCACATGGTCTATTGTGGGACTCCACCTTGTGATCATCTGAGTCAATTCTCCTTAATAAACTCCCCTTCATATAGACATCTATCCTATATATAGGATATATGGACTTGTATCCTATATATAAGATATATGGACATGTATCCTATATATAAGATATATGGACATCTATCCTATAGACATCTGTCCCTCTAGGGAACCCTAATATACTTGGTAACTTTGGCACAAACCCTTTTATGGATATCTTTTTCCAAGCTCCCATTCCTTTCTAATTGACTCCCTCTCTCCACCCTACTTCTCTACTAGGTCCTTCACTGACCTCAAGAGTATCTCTGTTCTGAGTAAATTGTCAACGTCCTCCATTTTTACTGGTACACTTTTCCAATTCTTCTCCTTCATCTCAGCCAGCCTCTTCGATAAACATTAGTCTTCACATTAAGTTCAATATAATTGTCAAAGAGGAAGAGTTTTACTTAATATATTGTCTTTATCAATCAGTAACCACATTTTTTTGACAATTATCTAATGTGTTTCTAGTATATACTTGCCCTGAATTTCTTTCCTCCAGCCAATACCTTCTTCTCCATTCCTTTTCATTTGTTTTCTCCTGATCACCTGGGTAAAGTAATCCAAGGCTGATGTTTCATTAGCCCTCTTTCCCTCTCCAACCACTAATCAAGTTCTATTCATCCATTCTTCACTAATATCACTCACATCTGTTCTTTCTTTGCATTTCTAAAACATCTCCATAGTTTCACTTACTGCCTGTCACTATGGCCATTGCTTCCTATTCAGGATCCCCTCTTGAAGTTTATCTCAAATCCCTTTAACCCTACATATCACTTCTAAATGAATCACTTTTTGATCAGTAACATGGATGCCTCTCTGCTCCTAGTAACTTTACTTGATGGTACTAAAGTAAATTCATTTAAAACCTTTGGCTTAACATTCAAGGCCCCACGTGCTGTACATCTACCTACCAAGCCACACATACAACCATCAAACGGATATGCCTCGAGTTCCTGCTTAAAGTTCTTCAGTCATTTTCCAATGCCTAAAGAATTCAATCCTGGGGAAGATGTAGGTGCAATGTTTCTTCTCCACTCCTCTTGTCTTCTGAACACTAGGTCTTTTAACCTACTTCTTAATCCTCTTCATTGAAGTAGCATTCATTTTCTGATGGAGAAGTTTGAGAAAGACTAATTCCTTTCTCTTCTTTCTCAGTGGAACTCTTAGAGGCAGATATTCTGTCCTGCTCCTCTTTACAATACTCCATATGTGGTGGTATGTGGCTGTTTGGTGCTGCCTTTGACAAAGTGAATAAATCTACCTAATTCTGGGCTTCAGTCCAAGGAAGCCCACCATTGCCACATATCTATGCTATTTTCTATCATGTGAGCCTTGTTGTCAAGAAAGCGGATATTTAGTTTTGCTGACTCCATTGTATCATGTCATTTACAGGCCCCCTCAAAGTCCAAGACACTTAATGTTTCTTATTCTGCTCACCTTTGGCATCATCTCTATCACTGTCTCTGTGTATCCTGTGCACCTGCCACGCTATTTGTCACTTCCCAGATGTGCTTGCTTGTGCTCATCAACATAGCTGTGAATATGTCATTTCTTCTATTTGTGAAACTCTTGCCCAGTATTCAAAAGCATCAAGACAATTAGTATTTTATTACAGTCACAGCTTATTTTACAATGCTTCCCAGTTATTGTATTTTTTACAAATTGAAGGTTTGTGACAACCTGGTGTCAAGCAAGCCTATTGACACCACTTTTCCAACAATGTGGGCTCACTTCATGTCTCTGTCACATTTTGGTAATTCTTGAAATATTTCAAACTTTTTAATTATTATATCGGTTATGTTAATCTGTGATCAGGGATCTTTGATGGTACCATCATAACTGTTTTGGGGCACCATGAATTGTGTCCACATAAGATGACAAACTTAGTAAATGTATGTGTTCTGACTGCTCACTGACCAATCGTTCCCTCATTTCTCTCCCTCTCCTCAGGCCTTCTTGTTCCCTGAGACACAATAATATTAAATTTAGGCCAATAAATAACCCTACAATGACCTCTAAGTCTTCAATTGACAGAAAGTGTCGCATGTTTCCCACTTTAAGTCAAAAGCTAGAAATAATTAAGCTTAGTGAAGAAGGCATATTGAAAGCTGAGAAAGGCTGAAAGTTAGGCCTCTTGTATCAAATAATTAGCTAAGTTGTAGATACACAGAAAAAGTTCTTGAAGAAAATTAAAAGTGCTATTCCATGAAGTATAAGAAAGTGAAACAAACAGCCTTATTGCTCATATGGAGAAAGTTTCGGTAGTCCAAATAGAAGATCAAACCAGCCATAATATTCCCTTCAGCCAAAGCTTAATTCAGAGCACCCCCTAACTCTCTCCAATTCCATGAAGGCTGAGAGAAGTGAGAAAGCTGCAGAAGAAAAGTTGAAAGCTAACAGAGGTTGGTTCATGAGGTTGAAGGAAAGAAATCATTTCCATAAAATAAAAGTCCAAGATGAAACAGCAAATGCTGACAGAAAAGCTTCAGCAAATTATGCAGAAGTTCTAGCTAAGATAACTGATGAGGGTGGCTACACAGCCACCATTGTAGATTTTCAAATCATTAAACATTCTTAATGTAGACAAAAAAAAGCCTTATTGGGAAAAAGATACTTTCTAGGACATTCAGAGCTAAGGAGGAGAAGTCAATGCCTTGCTTCAAATCTCCAAAAGACAAGCCTACTCTCTTGTTAGGGGCTAATTCAGCTGGTAAATAAGTTAAAGCCAATGCTTATTTATTATTCTGAAAATCCCAGGGGCCTTAAGAATTATATTAAATCTACTCTGCCTGTGCTCTTTAAATGGAACAACAAAGACTGGATAACAGTACAACTGTTTACAGCATGTTTTCTCAATATTTTAAGCCCAATGTTGAGAACTAATGCTCATAATAAATATCTTTTCAAAATATTATTGCTCCTTGACAATGCACTTGGTCACTCAAGAGCTCTAATAGAGATGTACAAGGAGATAAATGTTGTTTTCATACCTGCTAACACACACCCATTCTGCAGTCCATCGGTCAAGGAGTAATTTTGACTTTAAAATCTTACTATTTAAGAAATATATTTTGTAAGGCTATAAGTGTCATGGATAGTGATTTATCTGATGAATCTGGGTGAAGTAAATTGAAAACCTTCTGGAAAGAATTCACCATTCTAGATTCCATTAAGAACATTCGTGATTCATGAGAGAAGGTTAAAATATCAACATTAACAGGAATTTAAAAGAAGTTGATTCCAACCCTCATGGATGACTTGGAGGGGTTCAAGACAAGAGGAGAAAGTAACTGCTTGTATGGTGGAAATAGAAAGATAATTAGAATTAGAAGTGAAGCCTAAAGATGTGACTGAATTACTGAAATCTCATGATAAAACTTGAATGAATGAGGAGTTGCTTCTTATGGATAAGCAAAAGAAAAGTGGTTTCTTGAGATGGAATCTATTTGTGGTGAAGATGCTGTGGATATTGTTGAAATGACAAAAATGATTTAGAATATGACATAAATTTAGTTAATAAAGCAGCAGCAGGGTTTGAGAGGATTGACTCCAATTTTGGAAAATATTCTATTGTGGGTAAAATACTATCAAACAGCATCACATGCTACAGAGAAATCTTTTGTGAAAAAAAAGAGTCAATTGATATGCCAAACATTATTGTTGGCATACAACTTCAAGACTTCAAACCTGTTGGTTTACTTCAAGAAGCTGCCACAGCCAACCAAACCTTTAGCAACCATCACCCTGATAGTTAGCAGTCATTGACATTGAGGAAAGACCCTCCACCAGCAAAAAAAAAAAAATACGGCTTGCTGAAGGCTCAGATGATAGCACTTTTTAGCAATAAATTATTTTTAACTAAGGTATATACATTTTTAGACATAATGCTATTGCACACTTAATAGACCTCAGTATAATGTAAAAATAACTTTTATATACACTAAGAAACTAAAAAAATCATGTGACTTGCTTTTTGTGATAGTTCACCTTACTATGGTGGTCTGGAACCAAACCCACAGTATCTCTGAGGTATGCCTATACTTCCTACAAAGTGTATAATATATATCATATCATATCTTAGTATGTCATATCATATAGGAGTAATTCAAATTCCACCAAAAAGCCATCATCTAAAAACACCACTATACACACTCGAGATTCAATACAACTACAGTTACCCTCAAAAAGTGTAATAATGGGCAAGTTGAACAGTTAAAAGTTGAGATGGAATTTAGATTTAATGCATGAATTCTGCCCCAGACCATAGCTGTCCCTTGCCATATGGCTCCTAAGGGAAGCAGAACACAGGGAATACTGGAAGAGGGTCAAAAAACTAACTTTATTTTTAGCTGGGTTTGGAGCCCTAAACTCAAGTGAAGCCTCCTCTAGGAAGCTGAAATTTGCTGTGTATTACACTAAAGACCTAAGGGGCCTCTAAGTCCACACTGGAACTTCAGGTCTTATTCTCTGTAGCCAACTAAAGAGGGAGAGACAGAAAATAGCTAACTCTAGAGGAGACCCTGAGTCTGGAGGAGACCATACTAGAGATGTACCTGAGGAGTCATTTGCCTAGAGCTGGTATTGCATGTTTTGAAACTACCAGATGAAATCATCCCGTCTGTGCATGAATGGGAAAGAAAGATCAAAACTGAGCCCTGAGGAGATGAGGAAGCACCATCTAAGATTGAAGGAGTATCCAGAATGAATAAAATAGTGAGTTTATGCTATCCCTGGAGCCAAGAGAGAAAAAAATACTTCGAGTGTATATTCTATTATTCAAATTCTACTAATGGTCAAACAAGAAGAGGACTGAGAAATGGCCACTAGGTTTAGCAACATTGAGAATTGGTGACTTTGCATACTCAATAGTGATGATGGAAGTCCCTGTTTCACCACTGACTAGCTATGTCATCATGGGCAATCTTTGATTTTTTATCTCTTAAAACTGTAGTCTGGAAGTCATAATAACAATAATAATAATAATTCCTAATTCTGTGGGTAGTTTTGCATATTAAATGAGATGACACATAAAATGCTCAACATAAGGCCTGTCACAACACAAGCATTCAAATATTAGCTGGCTATTAGGCCTGGAAGGGTAGCAGAGGTCAAGGGCAAATCAATCTCCCTTGCCCTTATTTCTCACATGGGCACCATGAGATATTTCATAGTTGTTTCCCCACTTACATCAAACTAGTGCTTCGGCTTTCTAACTCTTTTATTCTCTCCTCCCTAGGATAAATCTTAGGAGTTATCCTTTCCCATACAGTTATGCATTTGCAAAATTAAATTTCACAGCATTTCCATGAGGCAAAGCAGCATAATGTGTCCTAAGTAGCTCCAGTTGCTTTTTAAGCAAATGTATTTTTGTACAAGAAACAAAAAAGCTGAACATCTCTTTTTCATCTGAAACTCAAACCCCAAGGTACTACTGCCATCCTAAGCAGTTTTCAGTTACTGCTGAATACATATGCACACAGTAAATATGCATATGCAGTAACTGTGGAACATGTAAACTTCAAATTTATTGTACCTAATAAAATTGTGTGCTGAAATGGTCCTATCTGCCCACAATATGTCTATGGTAGAATGCTGGTGACCTAATAAAAAAAAACTTTAATTCCCCTTTGACATTCTTCATAGTAGTAATCTCTGCGCTGACAGGTGGCTAGTAATTTCAAAAGTAATTATGGAGATACTATCTGCAGATGTTTGGGAATTTATTACAAAGTCTTGTAAATGGGTGCCATAGGAATATGTGGAAAATGATGGCTGATATAACTTTTATTTTAAAGAGACACATTCTCCTTAGGAACATCTGGAAGACCTTGTGTGTGAAAGAATTAGAGGTGGGTAACAGGGACCATGCAGAGAACCTTGGCATTTCATAAGTACACACAGCTTCACAATGTCAGCAAGACATTCATTTCGTGCAGAGATTCTAAGTCTTTACCCTACATCACCTCCCTCTTGGGCTCAACTTCAGGACAGGAGCCAGATGGATAATTTCTCTCTATTCTTTTTCCAACAAAAGAACAAACCAGGACAATATATCAAGTTTATAACCGCTAGCAAAAGTCCATGGGTGTGCATAGATATATTTTCTTCCTACAAGTATTCTGTAAATGAAATGTTCTGCATGTAACTGGAATATAACTGCTGGTTATTCAGCTTCTCAAATGATAACAATTTTGAAAAAGTACAAGTATTATTTTTCTGGACCTCCATTTTGCTAAACAAATTAAACTAATGCCTATATACCCAAGGCGTACAGGGTCTTATCCAAAGGCAGCTTTCTACTAGTTAACTATGAATTATATTTGACATTATTATTTACAATATAAAATGTATTAGCATAATATATCCCTGCCATGGTTAAATATTTCACTGTTAATAATAACACGAGCCCTATAAGATGTGTAGGTCAATGCATTATATGAATAATTTGTCCCCTAGTGATATCATGTTTCTGGGATTATTTCTCTTTAAAGCTCACGCTTTTTTACTTTAGCAGAGTAAAAAAGCTTTATCTATAAAAATGCCCTCTTCTCTATGCTGGTAATTACATATCTGAAGTAAAATATTTAAACATTTATTCTTTATATTGCAGCCCTAAATTTTACTTAAAACAGTCATGTCCCTTGCTGACAATATTCTTCAAAATTTCAATTCAAAAATTAATAACTCAAATAGTTTGATAACTTGTAACTGCAAGCTCTTCTTCAGAGATATTAAATATTATAAAGTACATTTGTATGGTACTTTGTGAGGCAATTTTACCTTTTATTATTTAGGTTTCACTACAATCTAGAGAAATAGGCAAAGTTGATTATTCTAGTTTCATCATCCTTGAAAGTGAAGCTAAGAAAATAAAACAGCTTTTTGGATTACATGCCTAGCAGACATACAAACCAGAGAACATAAACTGAGATCTGATTCCTAATTGATCACTTTTGACTACTTATGTAGCTTCTGCAGCAAAAAAAATAAAAAATAAAGAATTAAAAAATTAAAAAATAAAAATTCACATTCTGAAAAGGAGACTTCACTTTCAAAATATCCAGCTCTTTCCTCCAGTTATCCACACTGGTTTTTGTGTATTAAAGAGTTAATCTTACCCAAAGAAAGGCCTGACTTTTGCCCTCATTACCTGGGAGGTGATCTCCAGGAAGAGTGTCTTTGTTTACTTGGGGCCTTGGCCACCAAACAGTCAAACAATGTGATTTATGACGGGGGCTCTGAGACATGTGGCATCTATGCTTAGGGAGATGAAGGCTAAGGGGCAGCCATTCAGGCAGTCAACCATGGAGCCCCAGTAAAACTCTGGACATCAACGCTCAGATGAGCTTCTCTGGTTGGCAATACTGTGTACATGCTGTCACAGTTGTCACACATCCTTGCTGGTAAGGTAATGTTGGCCATGACTCCACAGGGAGAGAATAATGGAAACTCCACATTTGGTACTTTTCTGGGCTCCTCCCTATGCACTTCTTCCCTTGGCAGATTTTAATTGGTATTCTTCACTATAATAAACCATAACTCTTGAATATAACAGTTTCCAGTGAGTTCTGTGAGTCTTCATAGCAAATTATCAAACCTGAAGGCAGTCTTGAGAACCCCGAAACTTGCAACTGGGGTCAGAAGTGAGAGTAGTCTTGTGAACTGTACTTTCTAACTTAACAGTTGATTAATGTCTCACCTTCAGATGAATGCAATATTTCCTTGTAGTATCAATTAGTTAGTCCTTACCTTAAAAAGAGCCCCATTTTCATTTCATCAGGAAAAATGTGTTTTCTTATAAAAATTATGTGAGAACTACCAAGATTTTTACTCTCAATACACAAAGGAACTACTCAGATGTAGTATACCTTGTCTCTCAGCAGTAGTCTACAGATGTTCCTTGACGTACGATGGGATTATGTCCTCATAAACTCATTGTGACTTGAAAATATCATTACGTTAATAATGCTTTTAACACATCTAACCTACCAGTCATTGTAACTTAGCTTAACCTACCTTACCCTTGCTCAGAGCACTTACATTAGCCTAAAGATGAGAAAAATCATCCAATATAAAGCCTATTTTAAGATAAAATGTTGAATATGTCATATAATGTATAGAATACTGTACTAAAAGTAAAAAATAGAATTGCTGTATGGATACTTGAAATATGGTTTCTACTAGTTGTGTATGGCTTTTGCACCATCATAAAGTCAAAAAATTGTAAGTTGAACCATCATTAAATCAGGGTCTGTTTGTACTTTCCTTGCTGTGATGGAAGAAACCAAACTAAAGTTTAATTTTCAATGTCCTAGATGTTATATGATAGTTCTTTTCTTCCTGTTATAACTAAATAAAACCAACAAGAACATGCATCATTTTCACTTGCAAAACATTAAATCATTTTTTCAGAAAATTTTGAGCAACACAAGTCAATCAAATTATGAAAAGAATATCCTGTATTAAAGCTCCTAAAAACACTAAGAAAACTAAGAAACTGATACCTGTACGTAAAACAAATCCAACTTGGAAAGTGCATAACTCAGTTCATAAAATTTTACGTATTCCTTAGGCACAAAACTCTGGGATCTAGGTTGTACATGCATCACTTAATTCCTCTTTTTCCAATAAGAAGGGGTGAAATAAGATCCTTAATCCCTGAAGAAGCTGTGGGCTCTAAACATCTTTGTAAATAGGGTTTCTCCCTACAGTGACCATTGAATATCTTTTTAGGCTTTAAAGTGTGCCAAAATTTAAGCTTTTCTATTGGAAAGAAATCTAAAATCAAGAAATTGAGTGAGAAATGTAAATCTCCTGGAAGATACCACTGAGCTTCCTAACATTTTCTCATTGCTATTTAAATTAAAGAAAACACCATTTTAAAAAAAATACTTTCCCAATGTCCTAACTTTATGATGATAGAGGCAAAGTGTCTCTAATTATTATTAATCTCAACAAAGATTAATTTAAGACCTAAAACATATTCAACTTACTAGAGATGGTGCAGTGATCTAAACAGTATCATTTGGTTTAATTTTCCCATGTCATCAGAGAGCATGTGGTACACATTCTTAAGAAAGTTTTGATAACTGTTAATAAACAATGTATTATATCCCAATCACCTTTTTAAATATTTTGATTTTGATTTTCTTCAAAGAACATTGAATTGATAATATTGACTAATAAGGTATAAAATCATGTTGAAAGGGGAACATCAAAGTTATAATTTAATCTTGAAGAGCCCAGAGACAACTGAAAAATATACCCACACTTAAAGATTTCTTTTCAAGTTTTAGTTGGTCAAATTGATTTTTCTCTTATTCTGCAAATTAAAGGGACATAATCCTCCCAAATTAATTAACTGTGTGTTTAATATCACCTGGAGTGAATAAGAAAATACCAAATAGGCATAACTCCCTAACCAAAAAAGGAAGGGCTGCATTGATATTATTTACACTCCCTTGTTATATAGAGGTTCAAGTCAACCTGCTATAATCACAGCAGAGGGTATGAGATTTTAGATTCATGAGAACAAATGTTTTTCTTTATAGGCCTTTTGCTTTACAGGGTCACGAATCTGTGAGAAACAGCAGACTTTATGAGGATTTTTCCACGGGAAAATGTTCATGAATCTTAGTAATGGCCCAGTTATCATTTCATCAACATCACACCAAATTTCACTGTAAAACCAAGGTTAGTGACTTCCTATTGGAAATGCAAATAAGGAAATTGGCACAAAAGTCCTCTGTATCTTTGATTAGAAAATGATTTCTCCCAAATTCCTTCCTCTAAACTTTGTTATCCTCTGCTCTCTTCTTTTCCCAACTTAGCAAATTCCTGCTCTTTGTACAAGACTCAGGTCAAATCATCTCTGAAGCTTTCCCTGAGAAAATCTCACCTCTCCACATGAGGTCATAACACCATCCCTGTGCTCCTTTAATACTTGGTACTTAGCTCCATTAACACTTACCTCTCTATATTGTAGTTCTTTGCTGAACCTTTTCAATTTTTGCGTCACCAGTACGTAGCCTCTGCAATGCCACATAGTAGGTATTCGGTCAATATTTATGTCATAAATGGATAAATAGTTGAAAGGAAGAAAAATGCCCCTGAAATTTTGGTTAGTTTTATTTATACTTATGTCCATAAAACACTGATAACCATGAACAGTGATATTTATTGCAAAAATCTTCATGAATCCAGAAAAGAAGTAAATAGAATGTCAAGTAATTTGTTATACCAAAACCAAATAGCAGCATGACATTTCTACTTATAATAAAACAAAAATAACCACATATTTTTCTTCTGTCCTCAAGTTGTTCAATATCTATCATAATTTTAATAGTCCTGAATGCAATCCAAATGGTACACTTATCTAATCACCTGAAAATAATATGACCAGCATATAAGCAATAAAAGTGGGTAAAATATTCAGTGGAAATGTTCATCTCACACAAGAATTCTTATCCAACTCAAGTTTTTGGTTTCCTAGGTTACATAAATATTGAAAACACATTTAAAAAAATCAGTCTTGTTCACAGACTCTTAGAATCATTGAACCTTTAACTTTCCTAGCGGGAAGAGACCAGAAAGAGGGAAAAGTAGAGAAGCCAAAACACATAAAAATATTTACAAAGTGAGTTAAGCCTTCTTTATCTTACAGGTAAAGAAACCGAAACCCAGAGAGACTGAACAGTCTACAGAAGATCACCCTTCTTGTTGGCTTCAGTTTAAAATGAAAGGCAACCTAACATAGTTCAGAATATCCATTTAACAGTGTTATTCTGCTATCTGCCACTGATGCCTCTGAGCTTTATGAGTGCTTTATGAGAAGAACTGAGAGCCTTTATGAGATAAAAATGCAAAGTTTGGATGCTGGTAATTTACCCCAGTTTTTCTCTAAACCAATTCTACCCCTACACTAAGATCTTATTTATATGTTTGCTTAGCATCATTCTGAGTCATTACTACAGACTGCACTGCTTGCCCTTTTCAGTCATGGGACAAATACATGCAATTTGTTATCAGATTTACTAAATAAGAGGTTTTGCTTAGTTAAAACTCTCCTATTGAAAAAGTCATTTCAAAGACTAAATCCTACTGATAATGACTGAGAAACAGCAATGTGTGCTTGTGGAGTTTGTTTGTTAATGACTGCTGATTTCCCTAGAGGTTACCCTTCAGTATCTAGAGAGATGTGTCTTATATTTGAATATTAATGAAAGTCACCTGTGAAACTATCAAAGTAAAGTTGCAACAAACAGCTTAAACAGGACAGGAAGACTTTATTCAAGACTATTCCAAGATGGGAGAGAGATTTAATGCAATGTGATGAAACAAAAGGCAGGGGAGTTTTTAAGTGCTAGCAAGGCCTAGTAGAAAAGCACTGGAGGATGTCAAGGGGAGGCTGGTCAATGTGATTAGACCATCTGTGTTTTCTAGTTGGTACTTATTGAAGTTACACTCTTACCCTCCTCAGAGGGTGAGCAATAGAGGCACTCTCTTGATGACTACATTTCAAAGTAATGACACTCAGGTCCTTTCTTTTTCTTTTTAATGAATTGTATTGTGTATATTTAAAGTATACAACGTGATGTTATGAGATACATAGATAGTAAAATGGTTACTATAGTGAAGCCAATTAACATATCCAACAATTCACATAGTTACCCATTTTTTTAAATGTGGCAAGAACATGTACAATCTACTCATTTAGCAAAAATCCCAAATATAAAACACTACTATTACCTTCTCATGCTGCATATTAGACCTCTAGACTTGTTCATCCTATGTATCTGCTATTTTGTATCCTTTGACCTACGTCTCCCATTTCCTCCCATTTGATTTTTTAAGATTCTACAAATAAATGAGATCATGTGATATTTTTCTTTTTGTATCTGGCTTACTTCACTTAGCATAATGTTCTCCGGCTTCATCCATATTGTGGCAAATGGTACAACACTTGTTATTTCTTGTATTTTTGATAATGGCAATCCTAATGGGTATGAAGTGGCATTTCACAGTAGTTTTTATTTGCATTCCCCTGCTGATTAGTGATGTTGAGCATATTTTCATAAACCTCCTGGCCATTTTTATGTTTTCTTTGAGAAAGATATTCTTGGGTTTTAAAACTGGCAAGAGGCTGGGAGTATTTACATCTCAAAGGGGAAGAGAAAGAAGTTATAATAGAAAGTTTTCTAAAGTTAAATACCATAAGAAAAGGTAGGTCAGGGCCTTGGGTCATAAAGAAACCTATCTATAAAGTTTAACAAAGCTGATGGGAAAATTAAAGCTGTCTTTTTAAATACCTGTTAAATAAAGTCCTGAGCCCAACCATTCTTATTCAATAGGCTCTGTTGTGAGCCCAGGAAATTTGCATTTTTAACAAACACATCAGTGATTCTCATGCAGAAGTTTCATGTAATAGCAAACAGATTTCAACTCTTATCAATTGATTGGCTTGTTTAAGGCCTGTATTAAGAATACTGAGACAATATTCAGGCTCAGAAAGAGGGCTATGATCAATGAGTGACATCTTCAATGAGCAAAGGATAGGAGAGGGACAATGAGTGACATCTTCAATGAGCAAAGGATGAGAGAGGGACAGGGTGTATAGGCATGCTATGTAATTGCCATCTGCCCTGGGTATTTCCATGATGGTGCAACTCCCACCTATGGTCAGTTAACCATTTCATCCAAAAAAAGAAAAACAGAGATAAAAGAAAAGTTAAATCCTTAAAGTCTATTTACTGAGTGCCCAAGGACTTTAGTGAGCCTTGAAATATCACAACTTTAAAGAGAAGCTACATGGCTTAAATAATTTGAACAGCAGAGCAAATTTTCCATTTGTGAGTGAAAATTTAGAGGCCTATTATCTTGAAGTCATTTCAGAGGGTCCAGTGATCTGAAGCATGGTAGTGGTACCTTCCTTCCAAAGTTCAAGATAAGTTGTTAAGCCATGAACTCACCTATCATTAAAAAAGAGGTACAATGCTTGGTAGGTCTTCTTGGAATTAGGAGGTAACATACATCATATTTGAATACACTGCTCAGACCCATTTATTGAATAACCCCAAAGGCTGCCAGTTTTAGGCAGGGCCTAGAGCAATGGAAAGCTCTGCAGCAGGACTAAGCTGAAATACAGGTAGTCACTTCAGATTTAGGATCCGGCAGATTCAATGATAGTCAAAGTGTCTGTGGCAAACACAGGTGCTGGATGAAGACTTTGGCAAGATCCTAAAGGAGAACAGAATCACCAAATTTTAGAAAAATAAATGTGCCTTCTTCTGTAGATAACTTGTGGGTAACTATTTTCCTTTTGAAAAATAGCTTCTAGCTTATCAGTGGGTCCTAATGGAGACTGTACCCTCTGAGTATGAGACATTAAGGAACCATATGACCTGAGATATCCATTTTGAGATGATGTTACATGATACTTACAAACTACAATGTTGGCTGATGGAAGCAAATCATCATCAAGTGAAAATAGTATATATGTGACTAGGCTTGTAGAGACGTGGATGGCAGAAATAAGTTACATGAGCAGGTGGTCACACTCCTATGCCACCTACTCCTGCTTTATTGTCCCCTCTCCCCTAATCCACACTCAGGACTTCATGGATAATTACCTTTGATAATTTGAGCAAGGAAGAAAAAGTCTTAGTTTATAGATGGTTTAGCATAATGTTTTTACAACCTAAAAGGAGCCTGCAATTACACACCCACTGAGCAAAGCCAACTATGAAATGCCACTGGAAAAAAAATGTGGTGAAGGAATCCTCCCAGTGGGTAGCACTTCATACAGTTTACCTGGTTTTCTACTTTGTCTATGCTGAGAAATTCAGAAGTACAGACCTAAAGTAACTTGTGGTGATGGACCTAATAGATATTTACAGAACATTTCATCCAATGGCTCCAGAATACACATTCTTTTCCTCAGTGCATGAATCATTCTGAAGCATAGACCATATGTTAGGTCACAAAACAAGTCTTAAAACATTTAAAAATTGGAATAATATCAAGCTTCTTCTCTGATCACAATGGAATAAAACGAGAAGTCAATAATAAGAGGAATTTTGGAAACTATACAAGCACATGGAAATTAAACAATATGCTCCTGAATGACCAATGGGTAAATAAAGAAATTAAGAGGGAAATTGAAAATTTTCTTGAAACAAATAATAATGGAAACACAATATACCAAAAATTATGATACAGTGAAAACAGTACTGAGAGGAAAATTTCTAGCAGTAAGTGCCCACATCCCAAAAGAAAAAGAACTCCAGATAAGTAAACTAACAAGGAATATTAAAAAACTAAAAGCAAGCACAAACAAAACCCAAAATTAGTAGAAGAAAACAAATAAAAGTCAGAGCAGACATCAATGAAATTGAAATGAAGAAAACAGTACAAAAAATCAATGAAATGGAAAGTTGGTGTTTTGAAAAGATAAAGAAAATTAAGAAATCTTTAGCCAGAGCAACTAAGAATAAAAGAGATGAGACCCAAATCACTAAAATGAGAGCTGAAAAAGAAGACACTACAACTGAAACTGCAGAAATTCAAAGGATCATTAGTGGCTACTTGATATGGTTTGGCTGTGTCCCCACCCAAATCTCATCTTTAATTTCCACATGTTGTGGGAGGGACCTGGTGGGAGGTAACTGAATCATGAGGGTGGGTCTTCCCCATGCAGTTCTCATGATAGTGGATAAGTCTCACAAGATCTGATGGTTTTAATAAGGGGAGTTTCCCTGCACAGGCTCTCTTGTCTTGCCAGCCGCCATGTGAGACATGACTTTCACCTTCTACCATGACTGTGAGGCCTTCCCAGCCACATGGAACTATAAGTCCAATAAACCTCTTTCTTTTGTAAATTGTCCAGTCTCAGGTATGACTTTATCAGCAGCGTGAAAATGGACTAATACAGTAAATTGGTACCAGTAGAGTGGGTTAATGCTGAAAAGATATCTGAAAATGTGGAAGCGACTTTGGAACTGGGTAACAGGCAGAAGTTGGAACAGTTTGGAGAGCTCAGGAGAAGAAAGTATAATGTAAGAACGTTTGGAACTTCCTAGAGACTTGTTGAATGGCTTTGACAAAAATGCTGATAGTGATATGAACAGTAAGGTCCAGGCTGAGGTGGTCACAGATGTTGGGAACTGGAGCAAAGGTGATTCTTGTTATGTTTTAGCAAAGAAACTGGTGGCATTTTGCCCCTGCCCTGGAGATTTGTGGAACTTTGAACTTGAGAGAGATAATTTAGGGTATCTGGCAGAAGAAATTTCTAAGCAGCAAAGCATTCAAGAGGTGACTTAGGTGCTGCTAAAGGCATTCAGTGTTATAAGGGAAGGAGAGCATGAAAGTGTGGAAAATTTGCAGCCTGACAGTATGATAGAAAAGAAAAAACTCCATTTTCTGAGGAGAAATTCAAGCCTGCTGCAGAAATTTGCATAAGTAACAAGGAGCCAAATGTTAATCCCCAAGACAATGGTGAAAATGTCTCCAGGGCATGTCAGAGGTCTTTATGGCAGCCCTTCCCATCACAGGCCCAGAGGCCTAGGAGGAAAAATGGCTTCATGGGCCAGGCCCAGGGTCCCTGTGCTATCTGCAGTCTATGGACTTGGTGCCCTACATCTCAGCTGCTCCAGCCATGACTAAAAGGGGCCATGGTACAGCTTGGGCTGTGGCTTCAAAAAGTGCAAGCCCAAAGCCTTGGCAGCTTCCACATAGTGTTGAGCCTGTGGGCACAGAGAAGTCAAGAATTGAGGTTTGGGAACCTCTGCCTAGATTTCAGAGGATGTATGGAAACACTTGGATGTCAGGCAGCAGTTTGCTACAGGGGTAAGTCTCTCATGGAGAACCTCTGCTAGGGCAGTGCGGAAGGGAAATGTGGGGTTAGAGCCCCACACAGGGTCACCACTGGGGCACTGTCTAGTGCAGCTGTGAGAAGAGGGCCAACCATCCTGCAGATCCCAGAATGGTAGATCCACCAACAGCTTGCACCATGAGCCTGAAAAAGCCACAGACACTCAACACCAGCCTGTGAAAGCAGCCAGGAGAGAGGAAGTACCCTGCAAAGCCACAGGGGCGGAGCTGCTCAAGACCATGAAAACATACCTCTTCCATCAGTGTGACCTGGATGTGAGACATAGAGTCAAAGGAGATCATTTTGGAGCTTTAAGATTTGACTGCCCCACTGGATTTTGGACTTGCAAGGGGCCTGTAGGCCCTCTATTTTGGCCATTTTCTCCCATTTGGCATGGCTGTATTTACACAATGCCTGTATCCCCATTGTATCTATGAAGTAACTAACTGGTTTTTGATTTTACAGGTTCATAAGCGGAAGGGATTTGCCTTGTCTCAGGTGACACTTTGGACTGTGGACTTTTGAGTTAATGCTGACATGAGTTAAGACTTTGGGGGACCGTTGGGAAGGCATGATTGGTTTTGAAATGTGAGGACATTAGATTTGGGAGGGGCCAGGGATAGAATAATATGGTTTAGCTATGTCCCCACCCAAATCTCATATTGAATTTCGATGTGCTGTGGGAGGTACCCAGTGGGAAGTAACTGAATCATGGGGGCAGGTCTTTCCCATGCTGTTCTCTTGACAGTGAATAAGTCTCACAAGAGCTGATGGTTTTAAAAAGGGGAGTATCCCTGCACAAGTGTTCTTCTCTTGTCTGCCACCATGTAAGATGTGCCTTTCACCTTCTGCCATGATTGTGAGGTCTTCCAGCCACGTGGAACTGTAAGCCCAATAAACCTCTTTCTTTTGTAAATCGTCCAGTGTCGGGTACGTCTTTATCAGCAGCATGAAAATGGACTAATACACTACTATGAGCAACTGTATACCAATAAATTAGAAAATCTGGAGGAAATAGATAAATTGCTAGATGCATAAAACCTAACAAGATTTAACCATGAAGAAATCCAAAACCTGAACAGACTAACAACAAGTAATGGGATTGAAGCTGTAGTAAAAAGTCTTCCAGCAAAGAAAATCCCAGGAGCTGATGGTTTCACTGCTGAATTCTACCAACCATTTAAAGAAGAACTAATATCAATGCTACTCAAGCTATCCCCCTAAAAAGAAAAGAATACTTCTGAACTCATTTCTACAAGGCCAGTGTCACCCTGATACCAAAACCAGGGAAAGACATGTCAAGAAAAGAAAACTACAGGCCAATATCCCTAATATGGATGCAAAAATACTAAAAATATACTAGCAAACTGAATGCAGCAATACCTTGAAAAGATCATTTATCATGACCAAATGGGATTTATCCTTGGGATGCAAGGATGGTTCAACATACGCAAATCATCAATGTGATGTATCATATCAACAGAGTGAAGGATAAAAACTATATAATCATTTATATTGATGTTGAAAAAGCATTTGATAAATTTCAACAATAGATCATGATAAAAACCCTCAAAAAAACTGGGCAGAGAAGGAATGTATCTCAACGTAATAACAGCCCCACAGTTGTATCATACTGAATGAGGAAAAACTGAAAGCCTTTCCCCTAAGTTCTTGAATAAGAAAAGGCTGCCCACCTTCACCACTGTTATTCAGCATACTACTGGAAGTCCCAGCTAGAGCAATCAGACAAGTGAAATAAATAAAGGGCATCCAAACTGGAAAGGAAAAGGTGAAATTATTTTTGTTTTGAGATGATACAATCTTATATTTGGAAAAACCTAACGACTCCACCAAAATACTATGAAAACTGAAAAACAAATTCAGTAAAGTTGCAGGATACAAAGTCAACATACAAAAAGTGGTAGCATTTCTATATGATTTCTATTTGCCAACAGTGAACAATCTGAAAAAGAAATAAAAAAGTAATCCCATTATAGTAGCAACATATATACCTAGGAATTAACCAAAGAAATGAAAAATATCTACAATGAAAACATATATGACATATAAACATACAAAGCATTGATGAAATAAATTGAAGAGGACCAAAAAAAGGGAAAGATATTCCACGTTCATGGATTGGAAGAATTTATATTGTTAAAATATCAATACTACCTGAAGCAATCTATGGATTCAATGCAATCCCTATCAAAATTAAAATGACATTCTTCACAGAAATAGAAAAATCAATCCTAAAATGTATATGGAATCACAAAAGACCCAGAATAGCCAAAGCCATCCTGAGCAAAAAGAACAAAACTGGAGTAATCACATTACCTGACTTCAAATTATATTAAAGAGCTATAGTAATCAAAAAAGAATGGTACTAGCATAAAAACAGATACACAGAAAAATGGGGAAAAACAGAGAACTCAGAAACAAATCCATACATCTACAGTGAACTCATTTTTGACAAAGGTGCCAAGAGCATATATTGGGGAAAAGACAGTCTCTCCAATAAATGATGCTGGGAAAAGTGGATATCTATAGGAAGAAGAATGAATCTAAACCCCCTTTCTCTTGCCATTTACTAAAATAAAATCAAAACAGATTAAAGACTTAAATCTAATAATTCAAACTATGAAACTACTACATCAGGGAAACTCTCTAGGACATCAGTCTGGGCAAAGACGTCTTGAGTAAAACCTTACAAGCATAGGCAACCAAAGAAAAAATGGACAAATGGGATCACATAAAGTTAAAAGCTTCTTCACAGCAACAGAAACAATAGAAAAAGTGAAGTGACAACTCACAAAATGGAAGAAAGTATTTGCAAACTACCTTTCTGACAAAGGATTAATAACCAGAATATATAAGGAGCTCAAACAACTCTATAGGGAAAATTCTAATAATTTAATTTAAAAATGGGCAAAAGATCTGAATACACATTTCTCAAAAGAAGACATGCAAATGGCAAACAGGCATAAGAAAAAGTGCTCAATATCACTGATCACTAGAGAAATGCAAATCAAAACTACATTGAAATATCATCTAACCCCAGTTAAAATGGTCTTTATCCAAAAGACAGGCAACAACAAATGCTGAAGAGGATGTAGCAAAAAGGGAACCCTTGTACAGTGTTGGTGGGAATCAAAACTAGTATAACCACTGTGGATAACAGTTTGGAAATTCCCCAAAAATTGAAAAATAGAGCTATTATGTGATCCAACAACCCCACTCCTGGGTATATACCCAAAAGAAAGAGAACAGTTTGGAAGTTCCCCAAAAAATGAAAAATAGAGACATTATATGATCCAGCAACTCCACTCCTGGGTATATACCCAAAAGAAAGGAAATCAGAATATTGAAAAGACATTTGCACTCCCATGTTTGTTATAGCACTGTTCATAAGACCCATGATTTGGAAGCAACCTAAGCATCCATCAATAGATGAATGGATAAAGACAATGTGATACATATACACAATGGAGTGCTATTCAGCCATTAAAAAAGAATGAGATCCCATCATCTGCAACAACATGGATGAAACTGGAGGTCATTATGTTAAGTGAAATAAGCCAGGCACAGAAAGACAAATTTGATGTGTCCTCACTGATTTGTAGGAGCTAAAAATTAAAACAGTCAAACTCAAGGAGATAAAGACTAGAAGAATGATTACCAGAGGCTGGAAAGGGTAACTGGGGGGCTGAAGAAAAAGTGGGGATGGTTAATGGGCACAAAAAAAATAGTTAGAAAAAAACAGCAAGCCCTAGTATAGCAGAACAGGGTGACTACAGTCAATAATAATTTGATTGTATATTTTAAAATAACTAAAAGTATAATTGGATTGTTTGTAACACAAATGATAAATGCTTGAGTGGATGGTTACCCCATTTACCCTGATGTGGTTATTATGCATTACATGTCTGTATCCTCACATACTCTATAAATATATATACCTATTATAGACCCACAACAATTAAAAATTAAAAAAAATATATAAAGTGACTTGTGGTCAGTAGCTAACTCTACTTTGTAGAGAATATCTTTGCCACACGTGAATGCTTACCAAAGAGCATTAAATGCAGAGGAAGCTCTCACTAATTAGATACACAGATAATATGTTCTACATATGTCATTCAGCATCTCTACTCAACCATTCAAGTACTTGCTCAGAAGGCTACTGACTTTCTGTATCTACCTTGCCAACAACAGAAACAGTGTTGAGACCCCAAGATGGCACTATTCCCTAAGGAAACCAGTCAGCTACTGGATGTGAGGTTTATACATTAGACCCTTTCTATCAGGAAGAGTATGGTTTGTCCTCACAAGTAGACACAGATTCTGTATGTGGCTTTGCCTCCATAGTCTATAATACTTCTGCCAGCACTAATGTCATTAGATATATGGAATGCTTATTGATCATCATGGTACTCTACACATCATTGCTATTTACTGTGAACTAATTTTAACACCAAAGGAAGCATGAAAATGGGTTTATACTCAGGAATTCACAGGTCTTAATAGTTACCTAATTAACTGGAAGCATCTTGCCTGACAGAATGGCGGACTAGCAAACTGAAGCCTGAGTTATAGCACCAGTTGCCAGACAAAGCCCAGAAACAACTGGGTTCTGTCTTACAGAATGCAGTATATATTTGAGTCATTTTTTTCTCCCATAGTTAGAATACATGGGTCTGAGATTCAAGGGGAAGTCGTGAGAGTGACTCCTACTATTACACTAAAAGACTCACTTGAAAGTTGAGATTTCTATCAGTCATTTTGGGCTCCTCCTGCCACTAAACCGACAGGCAAAGATGTGGATTGCTCTACTGGCTAGGATGATAGATTCTGATATCAAGAGAATAGTAGATTGTTGCTACAAAAATGGGAAGAGGAAAGACAATTTTCAGAACCCAGAGGATTCTCTGGAACACCTGTTAGAAGTTCCACATCCAATAGTAAAAGTTAATGTAAAACTACAGTAGCAACAACAGCAAAGGCTGGGCCACTGAAAATTCAGACACTTCAGAAATGAAGATTGGGGTCACTCCACAAGGTAAAGAATATTGAACAGTATGTCGAAGCTAAAGAAGGATATATGGGTAGTGGAAGAAGGACATCATGAATACCAACTATGGCCTTGTGACCACCTACAGAAATTAGAATTGTACTATTATTTTTCCTTTCTTCCCCTTTCCTTTTATTCTTTTATATAAGAATTGTTGTGGCTGGTTAACTTTCAAGTTAGTTTTTTATTACAGATATTGAAATGGAACAATGACTAAACTTAAGGAGTAATTAACATCATGTAGGGATGGATAGCGTGGCTTCCCTGAGATGGATGCTGTAACCTTTGGGACATTGAGCCTTCTATTTGGAGACAGAGCAAGAGAGATGGAGAGAGAGAGAGAGAGAGAATGAATCTTCCTTTTTATGAAGGTTATTTGCACCTTGTTAAGCTAGGACTTAGGATGATTATTGTTGTTTATGGAAGTTCAAATATGCAGATGTGTATGGATGGTAAGTAGTCAATGGGTGAACTACAGCCAGTTGTTAAGCTCTGCACTTACACACTCTGGTTTGTAATGCTGGGGCTGGGACTCAGCAAACCGCATTTCTCCTTTGCCAGCTGCCTCTATATTAACTTCTACTAGTAGAGACACTAGATCAAGACCGGAAGACCAGAGAGGGAAAGAACTGACATGCTCCTTTCTCTTTGCTTGCTCTTTCTGATGTTATCACTCCAGGAACTGCCCTTCAGTCCTGGCAGTAGAACTTGGTTCCAGAAAGAGTTGGCTCTAGCCATTGTGATTCTCCCAGAATCTGCCTTATCACACCATCCTAAATGTACCAGCATCAGCTGGCAGCACCTTTCCATTAGCAGTCTGCGTCCCAGTTCCACAAGGCCCTTCCTTTGTTCTCCTGCAGTAGCAGCAGCAGCTGGGCACCCTTCTCTTCTCGATGTTTAGTTTCTGGTTCTGGGTTCCTGGGTTCTGAGATTCTAGCATCTGATAACACTCACTTCTTCCCTTGGTTCCCCCATCAAGAAGCATGGAGGCCACTTTTTGTGGTTATGACTTTTATGTTCCCTTAGTGTCTTCTTTCTGCCTTAGAATGTTCTCCCAACTCCTGTTGAACAATTGCATATATTTCGATCACTCTGCTAAAATAATTACCCTGGTTCTGTTTTCTGATCTTGATACATTAGAATATTATTTATATATCATACATAATATATGTATATATGTATATAATAAGAATCAAATACATTTTCTTTCCAAAGTGTATATGAAAGTACATGTTATAGAAGATGGTGCCATCCATCACAATTTTGAGTAAATTTGACAACTATGTGAAAACGAGAGATTTGTTTCGGATTTTTTTTTAAGTTTTCTCATCTAACTATTTGCCAGTTGCCCAGGCCAAAAATTTTTGAATAATCCTTTGCTGGTTTTGTTTGCTCATGTCACACATCTAACCAATAAGAAAATCCTGTTGAACACATGATTTGATATAGCTAGAATCCAATCACTTTCTATTCGCATCCATGGTCATTACCTCAATTATTACACTTGTTCTCAACCTTGCTTGCTCATTGAAAATCACTTGGGGAGATTTAAAATTATCGATGCTGGGTCCTGCCTATATGTATCTTTATGTAGATATATAGGTATTTCTATCTATGAGAGATATACATATTTAGAGATAGGGTCTCACTCTGTTGCCCATGCTGGAGTGCAGTGGTGCGATCATACCGCACTGCAACCTCGAAATTCTGGGCCATATAGTTTTATTTACTTGCTCTGGGTTTGAAATTCGTAATTTTTAGAAGTTCTTTAAGAGGAGCCAACGTTGCAAAGCACTGACTTGAAACAAAGCCACCATCTCTCTAACCTATAGCATTATAATATTCTACTACCTAGTTTCACTGCTTGGATCTTCTCTCTCCCTAACCCTACAGTCTACTCTGCAATGTAGCCAGAATGATATATATATATATATATATTTTTTTTTTTTTTTGAAATTTACATAATAGTCCAATGGCATCCCTTCACAGAGTAAAATATAACTGCTGACCATGGCCTACAGGCATTATATGATCTGACTCCAGTGACCATGTTCCCCTCTCTCCCTCTCAGCATCCATCAGCACTGGCCTCCATTTTCTTGAACACACCAGTCGTTCTTCAGCCTCAGGGACTTTGCATTTGTTCTTTTCAGTTATTCACATGACTCTTTTCTTATCTTTTTCAGGTTTCTGTTTTAATGTCACCTTTTTTCAGAGAGGACTTCCCTGAACACCCTACATACAACAGCTCTCCCAGTCTGTCACTGTTTTCTTTGCTGCTCTACTTTGCTTTCCCCAATAGGATGTAAATTCCATGAAGGTAGAAACAGTGCTGCATTCACCTCTGTATCCCTAGTGTCTAGAACAGTGCCCAATACAAAAGAGACGCTCAGTGAATACTTAATGAGGGCATCAGTAAATGAATTCTGCTTCAGTGTATCTGTTAGTGACAGACAGATGAACTAATCCACTCAAAATTTTTAATCCTTGCATTGCAAGGATTAAATGAAATGATTCATTTCTTTTTAATAATTCAACAAACAGGTATTCACACCCTCTTAGCTATCACCACTAAAACTCATTCTACAACAGTATTACCTATTTAATATGCACGAACTTGAGGAAATGAAAAACATAACTAACATTAAAACTTAAATTCCAGCAATGTAAAATTGAAATTAATTTTTCTAGATTCTGGGAGTTTAAAAACTCAACCTTCCTCTTTTTGGTGCTACTTTAAATCTGTAGCACTCTTTTATATCAAATGACGTTTTTTACCACTAGTATGAGAATTAGACACCCTTCTGAGGATCAACGAAATCCTCAAAGGCAGCCTGATGCAATGAAAAGATCACTGAACTTGTTCTTCTTGGCTCCACACTCCCTTATGAAGTGATCTGGGGCAAATCTCTGACCCAGTTGGGGTCTCAATTTCCTTATTGATCAAGGAAACGAATGAAGAAAGTATTTTCTAAGTCTGTTCCCCAACTCAAAGATCTTATGACTCTAAGAAAGATGAATTCATTTCCAAGTGCAACCCACAGTTAATTATCTCATGTTAATTTTTAAAAGAATAAAAAATAGGAATTACTCTGTCTCTGACCTTATATTTTTATCAATCCATATTTCTACATTTATTTATCTTTGAATACAAAATACTTGGAATAAGGAAAAATTGCAAAAAGAGTTTAAACTTCAAGTCCAGTGGTACGCTGGGCCTGCTTGCACCAGCTCATGAAAGCAGATCATTAAATTTTCAAGAATTTTGCATGCCTGTTATTAAATACAACTAATATTAAAAATTAAATTATATACTTACCATTAAACAGACTATATTAAAAAAATGAAACTCAAAGTTTGTCACTTTGTTATTATTTTGGAGTTTGCAATTTTCTATGCCCCTATTTTATCAATATGGTGAAATGGTTAGCCACTACACATCTTTTCCCAAATCCCCAAATCTGTGTTCAGTGACATGTGGGTAACTTGAAATCATTCATGCTATGGGAGTATTTGTGCTATGGAAATAGGCAAATGCTACATATCAAGGCCTTTTTTTTTCCCCTAGGAAGTCTATTGTTAAACATGTACATCACAGAGTCTCTTTACGTGCCTTGCTTTAGAGGTTAGAAATTAATGGACCATATGGGCCTGAATTTTTCAAACTCAAAGACAAAACATTCAGGTTTTTTTTTTAATTATGGGAAGCCTTTCCTAATCTTGCCAAATTGGTTATCAATCTGTCCCTATGAGGCAATGAAAGGAAACAGCATATCTAGCTGAGATTAGCTGATGGTACAACAACCAATCAGTGCTTTAAATCCAAAGGAAGAAAATCACTTCTATAATTTCTCCCAAGTAACTGCAAGAAAAAAAAAGATAATTGTTGAATCTGAAATGTTGTGGAGTATGGTTATGACTGCCATATTCCAAAATTCCAGACCAAGGCTAGACAATATTTCGTTTTCTATAAAGAGCTAGATGGCAAATATTTTGGGCTTTATGGTCCACACAATCTCTGTTGTACTCAACTGTGCCATTGTATCATGAAAGCAGTCATGGACAATATGTAAAAAATTAGGTGTAGCAGTGTTCCAATAACATTTTGTTTATAAGCCTAGCACGGTGGTATGTTCCTGTAGTTCCAACTGCTTAGAAAGCTAAGGCAGAAGGATCACTTAAGGCCAGGAGTTGGAGGATATAGTCTGCTATGATCGTGCCTGTGAATAGCCACTGCACTTCACTCTGAACAACATAGCAAGACCTCATCTCTAAAAAATAAATAAATGAGTAAATAAAATGAAAATTTTATTTACAAGGAACAGGAAGCGGGCCAAATTTGGCTCATGAGCTCTAGTTTGCTGACCACTGTCCTAAACAGTTCCTAGAACACTGTAGATTCTAAGCAAATATTTATTAAATGAACTTATAATAATTAGTTCAGGCTGCCATAACAAAATACCATAGATCAAGTGACTTAACAGAAATTTTTATTTTCTCACATTTCTGGAGACAAGGAGTCCAAGATCAAGTCTTCAGCCAATTTGATTACTGGTCAGGGCTCTCTTCCTGGCTGGCAGACAGCTAGCTTCTTGGTGTGTGGTCACATGGCCTTTCCTAAGTATGCATAGAAAGAGAAAGCTCTGGTGTCTCTTTTCTTCTTATAAGGGCACCAGCCCTATCAGATTATGCCCTACCCTTAGGACCTCATTTAATTTTTACCATCTCCCAACAGGCCTCTTCTTCAAATGCAATCTCATTGGGGGTTAGGGCTTCAGCATAAAATATACGAATAGGGGTGAGGGTGCCACAACTCATTCCATAGCAGAGTTGAATATTAGTATCAAGGAATCTGCCTTATTGTTTTTCACTCCTAACATATATTTGCGAAGCACTTCATAGTTTACAAAACTTTTTCCTGGGTCTTACCATACTTTGTATAATGTATACAAAAACTTGGACCATATAAAAGAGAAAGCTGTGGAAAACACTATAACAAAGGAATATCTCTCCACCCCATTCCTCTCACGGACTTAGTTTTTAAACATAAGCATGAATAGGATAAAGAACTGATTTATCTGATGAATTACTTTATCTGTCTGTCCCATGCAACCACTTCATTATGGTGTCTTAAACTTGTCAAAGATAAGCTTAATACATTGCAGCAAACTCATTCTTTGCTGACAGTGGGGTAAAATTTAGCTCCACAGGTCTTGCTATTGATAATTGTGGTATTCTTGTTAGATGCAGGTCCAAGAGATATCTAAACTTCTTTTCATCAGCATAAAACTCAAGTGAGCCTTTTTTCTTTTTTCTTTTTATTTATTATTATTATTATTTCAGCATCCTGCAAGAAACTTAAAATTCCATAGTTTTTCAAAGAGATCATCAGAAAGGTTTTCAAGTCGGGATTTTCTTTTTCTGAAAAATTTTAGTACAGATAGCCAGCTGGAAACTATTGATGGTTTCTCTGTATGCAAGTTAGGGAGGGAAAAAGCAGGGGCTTAAAGGAGAGGAATGTAGTATCAGGACCTCAACCTCCATATGTTTTTCCCCAAATGTAATTGTTTTACTATGCAGTAACATTTGCAAATGAATGTAAAATTGCCTACAAGACAGAATAGGTCAGAGAAGGCAATTTTATGGTTCTTTTTTCATTGGCATCTAAAGCAAGCTAAAACTCTTTATGACTTCATCCCAAATTTGTTCTCATAACGAGGTATTTTTTTATTTTATTTTGCTACCTTGGAAAATACATCTTAAGACAATTGATGTTGCAATATTCCATCCATTGCAAATTATTGCTAGATCAAGCAATACTTCTGTCAACCTAAACACCAGATAAGACGAATTACACATAAGAGTTTTGAAATGTATACTTTGAAGAAGACTCAAAAAAGATCGTAACTTCAATTATTACTCTCCTGCTAAAGAAAACTGATGCATTTTTTTTGTTTGGTTTGTTTTTTACCTTCTAAATCATTTTCAAATGCTATAGCCATGAAGGATCACAACAAGGCTTGCTGAAACCTCTACATCAGATAAAATGGAAATACATGAAAGATTGAAGATGGTGGGACAAGAATTTTGGAAACCGGGCTGTGGGGCTAACCTCAGGAAAGACAGCCAGAAGTCCAAATAAAAGTGATCAGTGTATCATAGCAAATTGGGTCAATCTAAGTCAACATCTTTATTCATTAGGATCTAGTCTTTATTATGAAGATCTAGTCTTGCAATTGGGTTGTGAAAACAAGAATTTCCAACAGCGGCAAAACTCTGGGTTAGGTGAATGGGTAGTGGTATTTTAATTCCAAGTTATCCTCTCAGTTTCCAAAAAGAAACAACAAGCTTCCATCACCAGGGGGACATGGGGAGTTGGGAATCAGGTCTGAGGCAAAGAACTTTCAAGGTAAGGTTTCAATCTTAACAATTAAGGCCTTTATTTCACCAATTAAGATGCTTATTTTATTTGCTAAAAAAATTTCCTAACTTTTCAGTTCACAGTGAGGTCACTTTGACATTTAAAAATTTGTTCTTGGAGAAGGATTTAAGATGGCTGACTAGATGCAGCTGGGATGCACCTCTTTCACTGAGAGGATCCAAAATATCAAGTAAATCTCCACACTTCAAACAAATCTTTTGAGAAAAAACACCAAAATTTAATACAGAGGTGACAGAAAACATGGTGATTGAAGAGGGAAGAAGTGGGGCTGCCTGCTTCATGTTGCCAGTGCTGGGAATAACTCCTAAACCCAGACTAGACCCAAGTCAGGGGTGAGTAAAGGAACCCCCAGGCACCACATTACCACTGTGGACCTCTGAGATCTTAGCTACAGGAGTCCCCACGATCCCCTCAGATCTTTGGACTGGCAGGGGCAGCTGCTGGGAGAACACACGGGCACTGCTTGAACTCTAATGGAGCCCAAAAGGCTTCAGTGCACTGGGCAGCTGCCTGAAAATGCGACTCTGGGCACCCATCCCAGCAAAGGCTCTGTGTCCTTCCCTAAGTGTTCCTGTTCTCTGTCTGGCACGATAGAGCTGCCCCAGACATGTTCATGCCTCTAAGACAGACCGCACTGCCATTGTCACAGGAACAAAGTGCATCTGAGCCACAAACCCCCATGCCTGCCATTCCCTCCCAAGACTGCCTGTCTGATCATTCCACAGGAGGTCCACAGCATAATCTCCATTGCCCTGACCTGAGCGATTTGTTGGTGGATTGAGAGCAGTTCACCCCCAACTCTGGCTCCATCACAGCTGGTGCTTGACCTCAAGGGGTCAGGGGAAATATCTGCTGGCCTGTCCCACTTCCCCAGAGCCGGAGCTGAGCAGGACCCACAGCTGCCTGCTTTGCTGAAAACCCCAGGCAGATCCTTCCCCTGAGCAGATTCTGGCAAAGAAGAGGCACCTCCACCCTGCCCTGAAGGCTTGTCCCAAAAGCCTGAGAACTGGGACCCCAGACCCTCATGAAGGTCAATGCATACACTCCCCCTCCAGAGCCTGATTAAGGACTGGACTGACTCAGCACCACCCAGCTTTGTCCCATCCATCCCTCTTACACTTGAATGACTTTTGGGTAGACAATGAAATTAAGGTAGAAATCAAATATTTTTTGAAACAAATGAAAATAAAGACATAACATATCCTAACCTCTGGGATACAGCAAAAGCACTGCTACGAGGAAAGTTTATAGCATTAAATGCCTAAATAAAAAATATAGAAATTTATAATATAAATTAAAAAGATAGAAACTTAATGTCATACCTCAGAGGACTAGGAAAGCAAGAATAAACCAAACCCAAGGATAGCAGAAGAAAAGAAATAAAAAAATCAGAGCAGAACTAAATAAGTTTGAGACCAATAAAATGATACAAAGGATCAACAAAAATTGGTTCTTTGAAAGGATAAACAAAATTGATAGACTGCTAGCCAGTATAACCAGGAAAAAAGAGAAGATTCAAACAAGCACAATCATAAATGATAAAGATGACATTATAAATGATACCACAGAAATACAAAAGATAAGGAGAGATTACTGTGAACGTCTCCATGTGCACAAACTAGAAAACCTAGAGGAAACGGATAAATTCCTGGAACATACAATGTCCCAAGATTGAACGAGGAGGAAACAGAAATCCTGAACAGACCAAGGATGAGTAATAAAACTAAATTAGAAATAAAAAATTTTCAAAGCAAAATGCCTGGGACCAGATAGATTCACAGCCAAATTTTACCATATGTACAAAGAAGAGCTGATACCCATCTTACTGAAAATATTCCACAAACCTAGGAGGAGGGACTCCTCCTTAACCCATTCAATGAAGCCAGCATCACCTTGATACCAAAATCAGGCAAGGAAACAACAAAAATGGAAAACTACAAGTCAATATTGCTGATGAACATAGATGCAAAAATCCTCAACAAAATTCTATCAAACTGTATCCAACAGCACATCAACAAAATAATTTGTCATATTCAAGTGGCTTTTATCCCAGGAATGCAAAGATGATTCAACATTTGCAAATCAATAAATGCAATTCCCCACATGAACAGAGTTAAAAACAAAAACCATATGATCATTTCAATAGACCTAGAAAAAGCATTTGATGAGACCCAACATGGTTTCACGATAAAAACCCTCCACAAACTGAGCATTGAAGTAACACCTCAAAATAATAAGAACCATTTATGACAAACCCACAGCTAACATCATACTGAATGGGCAATAACTGGAAGCATTCTCCTCGAGAACTGAAACAAGACAAGAATGCCCACTCTTACCACTCTTATTCATTGTGGTCCTGGAATTTCTAGCCAGAGTAATCAGACAAGAGAAAGAAATACAAAATCCAAATGGAAAAAGCGGAAGTCAAATTATCTCTTTTTACTGATAACATGATCTTACACATAAAAAACCCTAAAGATTCCTCCAAAAGACTCCTAGACCTGATAAACAACTTCGGTGAAGTTTCAGGATACAAAATCAATTTATAAAAAGTAGCATTTCTATACACCAACAATGTTAAAGCTGAGAACCAAACCAAGAACTTAATATCATTTACAATAACCACACACACAAAAAAAAATCTAGAAATACATTTAGTCAAGCAGTGAAAAATCTCCACAAGGAGAACTACAAAACATTGATGAAAGAAATCATACCTGACACAAACAAATGGGAAAACATTTCATGCTCATGAATTGGAAGAATCAATGCCATTAAAATGAACTTACCGCCAAAAGCAATCTATAAATTCAGTGCAATTCCTATCAAAAAGTACCAATGTCATTCTTCACTGAATTATAAAAAGCAATCCTAGAATTTGTATGGAACCACAGAACTGCTGAATAGCCAAAGCAATCCTTAACACAAAGAACAAAACCAGAGGCACAACACTACCTGAATTTTTTTAGCATTAAATGCCTAAATGAAAAAGATAGAAATTTATGTGAGTGCATTGACTATATAGGATGGAAAGGGGCGAAGTAGAAAAAGAAATTATAATCTGTTCTTTAAAAAAATTTATAACATTTTTTGAGGATAAAATATCCAGAGGTTTTTTTTTTTTTTCAGTTGGAAGAAATTACCTGACTTCAAATTATACCACAAGGCTATAGTAACTAAAACAGCATGGTACTGGCATAAAAAGAGACACATAGATTAATGGAATAGAATAGAGAACCTAGAAATAAAGCCACACCTGTACAACCAGCTGATCTTTGGCAAAGTTGTCAAAAATAAACAATGGCGAAAGAACACCCTATTCAATAAGTGGTGCTGGGAAGATTGGCTAGCCATATGCTGTAAAATGAAACGGGCTTTTATCTCTCACCATCTAAACAATTAACTCAAGGTGAATTAAAGACCTAAATATAAGACCTGAAATGACTGAAGTCTTAAAGAAAAGCCCAGGAGAAACTCTTCTGGATATTGGCCTAGGTAAAGAATTTATGACTAAGACCCCAAATGCAAATGCAACAAAACAACAATACATAAATGATACTTATTAAACTAAAAATTTTCTGCACAGCAAAACTAATATTCAACAGAGTAAACAGACAACCTACAGAATGGGAGAAAATGTTTGGAAATTATATGTCAGGCAAAGGATTAATATCCAGAATCTACAAGGAACTCAAACAGCTCAACAAGACAAAAATAAAATAAAACCATTACAAAATGGGCAAAAGACAGGAATAGACATTTCTCAGAAGAAGACTTACAAGCAACCAACAAACAAAAATGTGCAACATCACTAATCATCAGAGAAATGCAAATGAAATTCACCTTGAGGTATCATCTTAAACCTCAGAAGGGGTATTATTAAAAGGTCAAAAAACAACATGTGTTAGAGTGTATGTGGAGAAAAGGAAATAATTATAAAACGTTGGAGGAAATGTAAATTGTTATGACATCTATGGAAAAGAGTATGGAGATTTCTCAAAGAACTTAAAATAGAACTACCACTTGACCCTGCTACACCACTACTGGGCATCTACCCAAAGCAAAAGAAATTATTATATTAAATAAAGATAGCTGCACTAGTATGTTTACTGCAGCACTATTAACAACAGCAAGTCATGGATGCCACCGGAGTGTCCCTCAAAGGTTGACTGGATAAAGAAAACTCTTCACCCCAAATCAACAGAATATACATTCTTTTCAGCACCACACCACACCTATTCCAAAATTGACCACATAGTTGGAAGTAAAGCACTCCCCAGCAAATGTAAAAGAACAGAAATTATAACAAACTGTCTCTCAGATCACAGTGCAATCAAACTAGAACTCAGGATTAAGAAACTCACTCAAAACTGCTCAACTACATGGAAACTGAACAACCTGCTCCTGAATGACTACTGGGTACATAACGAAATGAAGGCAGAAATAAAGATGTTCTTTGAAACCAACGAGAACAAAAACACAATAAACCAGAATCTCTGGGACACATTCAAAGCAGTGTGTAGAGGGAAATTTATAGCACTAAACATCCACAGGAGAAAGCAGGAAAGATCTAAAATTGACACCCTAACATCACAATTAAAGGAAATAGAGAAGCAAGAGCAAACACATTCAAAAGCTAGCAGAAGGCAAGAAATAACTAAGAGCAGAACTGAAGGAGATAGAGACACAAAAAACCCTTCAAAAAATCAATGAATTCAGGAGCTGGTTTTTTGAAAAGATCAACAAAATTGATAGACTGCTAGCAAGACTAATAAAGAAGAAAAAAGAGAAGAATCAAATAGATGCAATAAAAAATAATAAAGGGGATATCACCACCGATCCCACAGAAATACAAACTATCATCAGAGAATACTATAAACACGTCTATGCAAATAAACTAGAAAATCTAGAAGAAATGGATAAATTCCTCGACACATACACCCTCCCAAGACTAGACCAAGAAGAAGTTGAATCTCTGAATAGACCAATAACAGGCTCTGAAGTTGAGGCAATAATTAATAGCTTACCAACCAAAAAAAGTCCAGGACCAGACGGATTCACAGCCAGATTCTACCAGAGGTACAAGGAGGAGCTGGTACCATTCCTTCTGAAACTATTCCAATCAATAGAAAAAGAGGGAATCCTCCCTAACTCATTTTATGAGGCCAGCATCATCCTCATACCAAAGCCGGGCAGAGACACAACAAAAAAAGAGAATTTTAGACCAATACCCCTGATGAACATCGATGCAAAAATCCTCAATAAAATACTGGCAAACTGAATCCAGCAGCATATCAAAAAGCTTATCCACAATGATCAAGTAGGCTTCATCCCTGGGATGCAAGGCTGGTTCAACATACACAAATCAATGAACATAATCCAGCATATAAATAGAACCAAAGACAAAAACCACATGATTATCTCAATAGATGCAGAAAAGGCCTTTGACAAAATTCAGCAGCCCTTCATGCTAAAAACTCTCAATTAATTAGGTATTGATGGGACGTATCTCAAAATAATAAGAGCTATTTATGACAAACCCACAGCCAATATCATACTGAATGGGCAGAAACTGGAAGCATTCCCTTTGAAAACTGGCACAAGACAGGGATGCCCTCTCTCACCACTCCTATTCAACATGGTGTTGGAAGTTCTGGCCAAGGCAATCAGGCAGGAGAAGGAAATAAAGGGTATTCAATTAGGAAAAGAGGAAGTCAAATTGTCCGTGTTTGCAGACGACATGATTGTATATCTAGAAAACCCCATCGTCTCAGCCCAAAATCTTAAGCTGATAAGCAACTTCAGCAAAGTCTCAGGATACAAAATCAATGTGCAAAAATCACAAGCATTCTTATACACCAATAACAGACCAACAGAGAGCCAAATCATGAGTGAACTCCCATTCATAAAATTTTCAACACTGTATTAATGAGAAGAAATATCCCAAGATCTTTTAAAAAATTATTCTTTAGCTATACTCAACTTGTGTATAGTACTTTTCAGCTTTCAAAGGACTTGCACATACATAATTTATTCTTCATAGCATACCTGAAATAGAAATGTAACAGATATTTTCACGCTCACTTTATCAAGAAAAGACCAAATTGTGTCACAAAAGCCCAGAGACCATGCAAGTCTCTCCAGTCCTTCTCCAGTGTGCTGTATCAGGATGCCTTTAAGGAAGCAGGTAATGTAAATCTTCTCCTTCCTGATCTTGTCCATATGTATGTGAGAGAATGTGAATGGACGCAACACACTGTCTTGGCTGTAGACTGGTCCTTGTCATCACCCAGTTCCTCCTGTGAAATCTTATATGTCGATATTCTACTCATAACAAAATCTGTCATTCTTTCTGTTGTTTCACTCCTACTAAATTCACTTGAACTTTACTGAGATCCCAGTTCCTTGTATTCTTCATTTTGACTTTCTCAGGATCATTTATCCGTCCTTGTTTTATTCCTCCTTTGCCTTGATTCTCATTTTCTACCAAATTTCCTCAGCTAGTCCTCAATACACAATAGCCTTCATTTCCACTGTCATCAATCTATCCTTTGGTGCCAGCCATGTCCCTTAATTTTTTTGTTAAAAAGGAGCAAATTTATTCCAACTTAAAAAAAAAACTCTGGATATTTCATCCTCAAAAAATGTTATAAATTTGTTTAAAGAACAGATTGTAATTTCTTTTTCTACTTTCCATCCTATATAGTCAATCCACTCACATAAATTTCTAGTGTCTGCAATGTAATAGGTCATAGAGTAATCAATAAAGTAAAATGCGTTCATTTAAAAACTGTTTACTTCAGCTTTACTTTGTCAAGACCCATCTGTAATGTGAAACATGACCTTTTTATAGACTTCTGTTATATATATAATGTTTTGGCAAGGAAGCCTTGCAAGAAAAAATATTACTTCCATCTTTAATTTGGTCGTTTATAAATATACTCTCTATTATTCCGGTTACACATGAAATTATTATATTTTCAAAGAAACGTTGATGGAATAGAAACATATGCATTAATCAGGCATTTTTTGAAGATAGTTTGTATTCTATTACAATTCACAAAAATAAAACATGTTTTATAACCAGAGCATTTTTCTCATGGTTCAATTTTTAACAAGAAAGTCAGCCTTTAATGGGCATATATAGGAGTATATGTATGTGAATATGTGTACACATGTTTACTTATAAACCTAAAAAAATTAGCCCTTTCTTCAAGGTTTTGTGATCCTTCCACTCAAGTCACCAATGTACTGATTATACACTGAATGGCTGTGAGCAGTTTCAAGATTCAGACTTTACTTTTCCATGTCAAAAATGTCTATGTCTCTTACATGCTTGAATTCTGAGTTCATTCAGACATGGTCTAGCTTCTATCAAGCTGTAGGCCAAAGACCTGAGAAAACTGCATGACTGTTTCAGGAATGTTTTCATAGTTACTCATCCAGTTTAAGACAGAGAGAAAAGGAGGGCATGTCAGGGTGTTCCATGGGGATATTATCTGTATGTTCAAGCATGGATATATTATGTGGGAATGGGGCATTTACATTTAATTATGGAGCAGTTGTTCAAATGGGAAAAATGCTTATTTTAATGTACATAGATTATGCAGTCATGTCCTTGTCCTCAAATGCAAAACATCTCTTTCTTGCTCTCTGTGGTATTTTGGAATTTCACCCTGTTTTAATGCAAAAACAATGTTTAACTGCCAATATACATGCACGGGAAAGGCTTTCAGGCGCCAGGCATTTCCCAGGAGGGAATCCCTACACAGTAAATTGCATCATTTATTCTTATTGTGGTGATGTTGGGGTATCGAAACCATACCAAACCAGCCATGATGTGGGCTGCTGACACAGGAAGGTGCAGAATCCCAGTGCAGTGAACTTCTAAAAGTAAGTTGCTATTCCAATTAAGCATAGCACTACAGATCTATTACTAGTTATCAACTCACTGGGATACATAGAATACATGTTTCTAATGAAAAGATTGTGGGAAGAGGGCAGTTTTTTTTTAACAATCAAATATTCACAAGGGATAATATTTGTCTCCTTCTTTTTAATTGACATATAGTCAACTCTGTATTATTCTGAGGCTGATTATCCAATTGTGGACTCTACCAGCAACTGATTTCCCCTCATTTTCTCTCTGGCTCATGGCCTTTTGGACAGCATATTGCTCATTAGCAACCCCACCCAAAGCTGAGCAGGAGAAATAGTCTGCTGGAACAGAAATCAGCCGATTCTGCTCCTTGTTGGTAGTTCACGAAGAGGATGTGGAAACCGTTCATTAAACTGAGGCTTTTGGACTAGGAGTAGATGTCAATTATTCATGTATCTCTGGCTTCCAATACCATGGATAATTGAGAGCTGGCCACACTACCAGACACTTATGCCACAACAATCTGTTAATTTGTTGTTTAGGTTTATTTCTACTCTTTCCACTCCTTTAGACTATAATACTATTTCCTAAATCCCAGATTTTATGATCATCAAGTCTGGATCCTTCCTGAAAATATTTCAAAGGTAGTAGTCATCTCCCTCAGCCACTGAAGTAGCAACAAAATACTAGATACCAATCCATTCTACACTTGTGCTGTTGGTAAATAAACAAATAAATAAAATCCTTGAGTCTATATTTAGGGTGGCTTCTATGTGTCATTTACTTTCTTCACATAGAACACATTGAGTTATAGAGTCTGAGGAAGAGAGAAAAAATGTAAACTTGTCAGATATTTAAAATTTAATAGACTATAACCACTCTGATTTTGATGTGGCTGTTTTGAGACTATTAAGTTGGATTATTTTTCGTCTTTGTTATATATGAGAAATATTGGGTTTTAATTTTAATTTTAAACATGAGGAATTCAAAGTAAGTGAGACGAAACTGAAACCTTATCTGTAGGCCAGGCTGGAGTTTGATATATACATATATTAGACCATTATGCTTCATCATGATTTTTTAATTAAGGAGAATAAAAGAGATTTGAGAGGAATTTAGAGTGGTATATAAAGAGAGCAAAAGTTCAACTGAGGAAAAAAAGAAAAGGGAAAGAAAATATGTTTCTATGAACATGAAAGACATGGATCTAAAAATCTACTATAGTTGCTAAGAGTAACTAGTAATGAACTGACACTATAAGGTTAGCAAGTCAGATGCAACCTGGCCAGCAACATCTGTTTCATCCTTATAACACTGACTAAAAAGAAAAAACACCTAAGAATTAAAACAAAGAGTATAATTATTATTTATCATTCATTCAACAGCTATCAATTTTAAATCTAAACACTAGAACTAAAGAAGAATGCTCTCCCTGCTTGCAAAGAGCTCCAGAGAAATAATTTTTAAAATGAGATGTAGGTAACATGGAAATACATACCATATATACATACAATTTTTGAGTTAGAAGATGACAACTAGAGATCATCAAAACTCTCCCAAGAGATTTCAATTATTCCTTCTAAAATTACTGGTGGCAACTCTTGATGAAATAAAATCTACTTTTTATCTGTTTTATACCCATTACAACTTAACCACTAAAGAGTCTTATTAAAAAATGAATTTCTTTTAAAATCCTCAAGTCTTCACTATAACCAGGGTAAACAGCTGACTTCCAAGATGATTAACTTTAAGTTCATTCAATTCCTTTCAATAATGTTTTACTGAGCATTTACCTATACAAATTAAATTCCTTAACTAAAGTACTCCCTCTCAAATCAAAGTGGTTATGGTTCTAAAAACTCCGATTGGAGAATTTACAGGATAGGAGGAACTGAAAAGTGGCAGAACATGCCACTCCAAAATATACCTCTTTGGCATAAGGGAAGGCCATTAAGAAGAAGCAGATAAAAGGAAATCTCTCTGCCCTCCCTCATTTGCCTAAAAAGGGGATATAAAAGTGTCCTTCCTCACTCTCTATAAGGAAAGACAGACGTTAACCATAAGAAAAACCCTATCCCCTTATCAGCCCAGAGAAGGCACGAGAGAAATCCACATAACAAATTTTACCAACCAGCCCTTACCCACCATTAGTTTCCACATATATTTGCCTTCCCACAATCCACCCCTGGATGCTCAAAGTCCTTTTCCTTTGCCTTGTCATTTCTTTATGAATTTACTGTTCATTGTTAAGATGTTCTACAAATCCATGTTCTAAACACTCCTTTGAGTTACTCATCACTGAATACTCCCACGTGCATGCAAAATGCCCTTGTTAATAAACTTGTATCTGTTTTGTTAATCCATTTTTTGTCAGTAAATGAGCCTACGATGGATAGAAGAAAAAGAAAGATTTTCCTCCCGTGCAGAAATTAAGACATTGTGGAAAAATTAAATCAGGAAGATACAGTCACAACAGAACCTATGAAGACACTGTTGTGTCTTCTAAAGATATCACGGTTCTCCCATTCTTGGCAAGATTTGGAGCATCTTTATTCCCTGCTGACCCACATGTTTACAATTTCAAAATAAAATATTTATTAGTTTAAGAACTTAACAATATTTATGTAGAGTACACTTTTACTAAATAGCACATATTTTTACTATTGGCTATGAAACACCATGTGGGAAGGCAGTAAATACAGGCTGATGAAAATGGTAGCCCCTGCCCACCTGTGCTTATCAAGCAATTGAAATTAGGCTATTTCAAACTGAAATATGCTTTAAGTATAAAATACACATGGTTTTTAAATATTTAGTATAAAAATACAAAAGATCTCAATAAATTTTCATTTATTACACATTAAAATGATATTTTTATATATTCAGTTAAATAAAACATATTTTAAAAATTAATTTTACTTATTTTTTTAAATTTTAAGTTCCAGGGTACATGTGCAGAACATACAGGTTTTTTAAATAGGTATATATGTGTCATGCTAGTTTGCTGAACCTATCAAACCATTATCTAGGTTTAAGCCCCAAAATCATTATGTATTTGTCCTAATGTTCTCCCTCCCCTTGCCCCCACCCCTTGATAGGCCTCAGTGTGTGTTGTTCCCCTCCCTGTGTCCATCTGTTCTCAATGTTCAACTCCAACTTATGAGTGGAACATGTGGTGTTTGGTTTTCTGCTCCTGCGTTAGTTTGATGGGGATGATGGCTTCCAGCTTCATCCATGTTCCTGCAAAGGACATGATCTCATTCATTTTTATGGCTGCATAGTATTCCATGGTGTATATGTGCCACATTTTCTTTATCCAGTCTAACATTGATGGACATTTGGGAAGGTTCCATGTCTTTGCTATTGTGAATAGTGCCACAATAAACATACGTGTGCATGTGTCTTTATAGTAGAATCATTTATAATATTCGGGTATATACCCAGTAATGGGATTTCTGGGTCAAATGGCATTTCTGGTTTTAGATCCTTGAGGAATCACCACACTGTCTTCCACAATGGTTGAACTGATTTACATTCCCACCAACAGTGTAAAAGTGTTTCTATTTCTCCACAGCATCAAAAGCATCTATTGTTTCCTGACTTTTCAATAATTGCCATTCTGACTGGCTTGAGATGGTATCTCATTGTGGTTTTGATTTGCATTTCTGTAATGACCAGTGCTGACAAGCCTTTTTTTCATATGTGTGTTGGCCGCACAAACGTCTTCTTTTGAGAAATGCCTGTTTATATCCTTTGCCCACTTTTTGATGGGGTTCTTTGTTTTTTTTTCTTGTAAATTTGTTTAAATTCCTTGTAGATTCCAGACATTAGACCTTTGTCAGATGGGTAGATTGCAAAAATTTTCTCCCATTCTCTAGGTTGCCTGTTCACTCTGATGATAGTTTCTTTTGCCATGCAGAAGCTCTGTAGTTTAATTAGATCCTATTTGTCAATTTTGGCTATTGCTGCAATTGCTTTTGGTGTTTTAGTCATGAAGTCCTTGCCCATGCTTATGTCCTGAATGGTATTGCCTAGGTTTTCTTCTAGGGTTTTTATGGTTTGGGGTTATACATTTAGGTCTTTAATCTATCTTGAGTGAATCTTTGTATAAGATGTAAGGAAGGGGTCCAGTTTCTGTTTTCTGCATATAGCTACCCAGTTTTCACAGCACCATTTATTCAATAGGGAATCCTGTCCCCATTGCTTGTTTTTGTCAACTTTGTCAAAGATCAGATGGTTATAGATGTGTAGTGTTATTTCTGAGGTCTCTGTTCTGTTCCATTGGTCTATATATCTGTTTTGGTACCAGTACCATGCTGCTTTGGTTACTGTAGCCTTGTAGTATAGTTTGAAGTCAGGTAGCGTGATGCCTCCAGCTTTGTTCTATTTGCTTAGGATTGTCTTGGCTATATGGGCTCTCTTTTGGTTCCATATGAAATTTAAAGTAGTTTTTTCTATTTCTATGAAGACTGTCAATGGTAGCTTGATGAGAATAGCATTGAATCTATAAATTACTTTGGGTAGTATGGCTATTTTCATGATATTGATTCTTCCTATCCATGAGGATGGAATGTTTTTCCATTTGTTTGTGTCCTCTCTTATTTCCTTGAGCAGTGGTTTGTAGTTCTCCTTGAAGAGGTCCTTCACGTCCCTTATAAGTTTTATTCCTAGGTATTTTATTTTCTTTGTAGCAATTGTGAATGGGAGTTCATTCATGATTTGGTTGCTTGTCTATTGTTGGTGTATAGGAATGCTTGTGATTTTTGCACATTGATTTTGTATTCTGAGACTGCTGAATTTGCTTATCAGCTTAAAGAGATTTGGGGCTGAGAAGATGGGGTTTTCTAAATATACTATCATGTCATCTGCAAACAGAGACAATTTGACTTCTTCTTTTCTTATTTGAATACATTTTATTTATTTCTCTTGCCTGATTGCCCTGGCCAGAACTTCCAATACTATGTTGAACATCAGTGGTGAGAGAAGGCATCCTGGTCCCTTGCCGGTTTTCAAAGGGAATGCTTCCAGCTTTTGCCCATTCAGTGTGATACTGGCTATGGGTTTGTCTTAAATAGCTCTTGTTATTTTGAGATATGGTCCATCAAGACCTAGTTTATTGAGAGTTTTTAACATGAAGAGATGATGAATTTTATTGAAGGCATTTTCTGCATCTATTGAAATAATCATGTGGTTTATGTCATTAGTTGTCTTTATGTGATGGATTACACCTATTGATTTGCATATGTTGAACCAGCCTTGCATCCCAGGGATTAAGCTGACTTGATTGTGGTGGGTAAGCTTTCTGATGTGCTGTTGGATTCAGTTTCGAGTATTTTCCCCTAGTTCCTGTGGATGCGTATTAGCTAGATAGAGCAGTTTTTTTCTTGAGTAATTCTTTTTATCTCATAGCAGAGTAATACTTCCCTACTCCGCCCATGTTGAATCTTGACTCTTATTATTAATCTAAGCAATGAGGAGAGGCAGGGGGCCTCTTGTGAATGACAACAAGCATCCTGCAAAATATCTACATTATGTCCTCTGTAAGTGGTTTCTAGGCAATGAAAGGCTATTATCTTCTAACATGGGGGAGAGAGCATAATTTCCTCTAGCCCAGAGGCATAAAAGAATCTAAGTCATCAAATTCTCAAGTCCTTGGCCATGCAAATGTGCTTATCTCAGATCTCAAGATTCTATTCCTTATAGGAGAGTTTCCAGAGCTATGAGTTCAACTTCCTTTGTAACTTCTCCATCCTTATCATCAAGTGTTGGGCCTGGTTCTTAGCACAGTCTGTTGTCTGGCTCCTGGAGAAGTGGTTCCTAAAGACTGTCTGAAGAACTTCTGGCTCTCACACCACCTCTGAAGGCACTATTTGGCTGACAAGAACCTGTTATTTTCTTCCTCCTCCAGGACTTCTATGACCATTAATGATAGCCATCCAACTAGACAGTTTTTATGAATAGAATTGGTCCTACATATTTCAAGTATAGAGTTATTGCATGAACCACTACATATCCTTTCCACTTGCATCTCACCCCAATCCACCAGAGGGAACAGTGTTAGTATTTGTGATATTACAACTTTTCAAGAGGTCTTACCAGCTCACATCCTCAGAAATGAATTTCTTTGCCTCTAGTTGCTAGGTTAGTGATCTAATCCGGGGTCTGCTTCCTAGTACTCCATTTCTAGTACAAACTGTCTAATTTAGATTCTTCCAGGGTCAACCCTGAGATAAGGATTTGAATGTATGTAATTAATGTGAGAGATGATCCTAAAATGACCATTTGGGGATATAAACTAAGACACTCATCTTTGTGCGATGACTATAGATGAGTCTAGATGGTCTGGGCCTTATTTTCTCTGCTAACCCAACACTGCCTTCGGGACTGGACATAGTGCTGAATAGGCAGACCACACACATGCTTAGGACATGGCAAGGTAGGGACACACAAAAACAAAGTTCATCCTCAATAATTTTATCAGAAAAAAAATGTAAAGAAAATCTCTTTTATTTTCAGTAATCATGTAAATTCTGTGCTATATGCTGCCGTAAATTGTTTATTATACACTGCTGTTTTATTTTTAAATAACTTGGGTGTGGGAAGCACAAATATTTTCAGTGCTTTAGGTATCTAAAAACATCTTAACCTCAGACACCCACTGCTGACATATTCTGCCTACTCATTGAAGCCAGAAAATCAGATCCTACCCTGCTGGGCTCCTGGCTAGTCTTTTCATTAACAATTTTAGCACCAGCATTGAGTCAACTCTAACCTGACTTCAAGCAAGCTCTCCTCTGAATATCATAGCTGGTTTCCTACTAGTCTGCTCTTGAGTGTCCTCAGCCAGCCAAACGTACCCAGGCTCAGGTCCAATAAGCTGCTCTCCTTCCAGAGATCTCCTTTCCCTGACCTTGTGCATTTCCCAAAACAGGAAATTCCCATCTCTCATTTTCCTTTTAATCAGGGAGATTTATGACCAAAAAGAGGGAGACAGAGAGAAGATACACATATTTTTAGAGAGAACTTCAGTCAAAATAATTATCACATTAATTTTTACCCCTCCCTTTCTCTCCCCCGCAATTTAAAAATCACTTCTAGGGGAAATCATCCTGAAGACTAGTAATATAATTTTAATTAACTATGTGATTTACTGCTAAGTGTCTGGATTTCATCATGGAGAAATTTTTTAATTAGAGAAATGAATGACATACTGTACTAAGTGCTTAACAGAGATCATGTCATTCAATCTTGACTATAATCATTGCTATAAATACTATTTTTGTCCTTGTTTTAGTGATGAGAAAACTGAAGCTTAAGAAATTTACATTTGGATCTAATGGGAATACTTGCTCTTAACCACTGTGCTGAGTCTCATAGGAAATATTAAATAAATATTTGTTGAATGAAGTGAAATGTGGAAAGAACAAGAAAGAGAAAATGAGAAGAAAAAAAGCTGGAGGAATTCTCTTGAGTGGTTTGGATCCATTCCATTCTCCACTTTGGAAAATTCTATGACAGCTTCCAAAAGAAGAACTTCGATATTATTCCCTCTTGCCACTCTGACCTCAAATACTCCTTGTAAACCTAGGCCTAGACACAAGTGCATAGGTAGAAAAACATGTACACATTTCACACTCGTAAAAAGTTCCAGTTGAGTAAGTAAAAATCAGGTTGATTCTGTGAAATAGAGCTGAAGCCACCACTTCACTGCTCCACCATTTTCTCTGCTCTCCTTCAGTTTGGATTCATCTTCAGGCCTTACCTCTGAGCCCAAAGTCCCTGCTTCTCAGACTAAACATGCTGATTGCCAATCAAAACAAACATCTTTACTGACAACCAAGTTTTGCCTGGATAATTCTCTCCTTAAAAAAAAAAAAATTAAAAAGATACAAAGCATGCTGTGTCCCCAAAGGAATTCTTTCCTTCTCTGCTATTTTTTCATGTCAAGGACAGAATCGGATGATATGTGATAGCTGGTTGTGCTCTGACTCAAGCACTTAACAGGGATAACAGGGATGTCTGCATGGCCTAAATTTAAGAAGAAAAACTTTCAAATTAGAATAAAAATCAAAGTTAAAATTCTGCTTCAACTTTTTGCTGACCTGTCTTTCAAAAGAACTGCTAGAGAACAAGTATTTTGTTGCTCTCTAGTCACGTGGATCTGAAATTACTAACAGATACATAACTCCAGACTTGATCTCATTTCTTGCCTGGCTTTGCTTTTAACTCTGTACATCCATGCTGAGGATTCAAGCTGCTTCCCCAGTTCATAACAAGCTCTTTTCAGAGACAAGTCTCCCAGCTTCCAGTTGCCTGTATTAATGAGAAGCATGAGTTTCAAATCAAAGCTTCAAAAGAATAATTTTCTTGGAACATTATCCTGTAATGGGTTTCTAATACAGCCTTCCTCTGGGGTATCTCTATAGAAAGTAGTTAATCTGGTGAGAGAAATACCCAGGGTCTTGGTAAAAAGAGGGCAAAGGAGACTAAAGGTGGGCTGGATTTGGTATTGCCCTCATGCCGGCTGGTGGGGGAAGGGAGAATGGAATCCTGGGTGTGCTAAGACACATACGGGTCTGATTCTAAAGGCAGGAGTTTAATCTCACTCACCTTTGGAAAACTAAGCTAGTGCCTTAGTGACTTAAGTTCCCTGATGTATGAGGGTATGACCAGTTCAATATGATTCCACATAGCTCGAGCAACATGAACCCTAAGTAAACACTCCAAAACCACAATTGATTGGAACTCAGAGAAGGAGATGCTCTAGGTCATTGAATTTTCTGGTCAACTCAGAAGTGAAGAAGAGAAAAAATCCTTCCTATTTCAATCTTCAGGACCTAAAATGTTTATAAATATATTAGTCTATTTTTCGGATTTATTCAGTACAGCATGGAGAATATAATTTAATTTCTATTTGATGGTTCAGATATCTAAGGTCCCTAAGGTCATACTTTTGGAGATCAGTTACTTTGATCCCATAACCATGAAGTCAGAGGTTAAGAAATAGAGGCAGAGCTGCACTGATGTTAGGTTATAATCTATAAGAGTTTAGTATAAATTCATCACTGACATTTATTGTCCTATTGTTTATCTATTTCTTATAAAATTCAAAGGTTAAAAGAATTCTGATTAATGGGTGATTCTGATTGTTTGAGAATTTGCATGATTACTCTAGTTCTCTGTAGCTTTTGCTGTGAGGGAGGAGACTTTTCATCTTGAGCTAAAAAAGAGCCTATTTCTAATTGGCTTCATGGTTCACATAGTTCCATAACTATCACAAAACCCATTAAAATGTAAAGGGACTATGGGACACAGTCATTCACACCTGTAATCCCAGCACTTTGGGAGGCCAAGGCAGGTGGATCACGAAGTCAAGAGATCAAGACCATCCTGGCCAACATGGTGAAACCCCTTCTCTACTAAAAATACAAAAATTAGCTGGGCATGGTGGCACATGCCTGTCATCCCAGCTACTTGGGAAGCTGAGGCAGGAGAATCGCTTGAACCCGGGAGGCAGAGGTTGCAGTGAGCCGAAATTGTTCCATTGCATTCCAGCCTGGCAACAGAGCAAGACTCCGTCTCAAAAAAAAAAGAAAAAAAAAAAAAAGTAAAGGGACACAACAAAAATTGAATAGAAACCAATCTAAACTTATGTCTCCTGACCTAATGTTCTTGTCACTGTTGTTGCTGCTGTTTTTGTTGTTGTTTTGGTAAAAAGAAGGCTGCTCTTACACAGTGGGAGTACCACTTAAATGCAAAGGACATCAAACGTACTTTCAGCTTCAGTTCAAGAGGAAAAGACCATTTTAGTAATCTCAAGATTAAGTTTTTTTACTGAAATCCTCCAGAACTGCACAGCCCTTGGGTAATTAAAGATAAATCAGGCCCAAGTCATGCACAGTGAGACCAAGAATGAGCAAAACTAACCACAGCAATAGTGACTTCAAGTGCCAGCAGGCACAGAAAGGCCTTACACCAGCAGTTTCTTATGCCCCTATTCTCCAAAGGTTGTGTTTTTCCTGGCAAAAGAGGAGGAGAGGAGGTGCATTTCCTAAGTTGTCAATGGCTGTATGCTTCCTGAGTGAGAAGAGCCCTACTGAACTCACAGGGCCCCCCTCCTTTCCGTCAGCTCCATATTTGCCAGCAAGCTAATGTTTATGGCTTCTCATGTTTGCTAACAAATATCCTCACTGTCAGCAATTCCAACTTGACGTATTCCTCCCTGATGATTGTCTAGAATTCTGTGCCAGGCAGGAGGGTTAGGGAAAAAAGGAGGGGCATGGAAAACTGCAAGGGAAGAAAGGGAAGGAGAAAAAGGGCACCAAGCAAGGAGAAGCCTGTCATGCACAATCAAACAATTGATTCATGTCAACTATTCTAAACCTATGCTCCTTTCCCAGCCTTTCCTACCTATTTTGTATTAGAGTTTCGCCAAGTACAAGGCCAAAAAGAAATTGTTGCCATTTGATTCTGTCCATATGCCATCCACAAAGTCTTTAAGTAATACCTGCTTATTTGTCTGATATAAACATTATGTGCAAGTAATGCTCTTCTACTTAAGAGTAAGATTAATAATAAGTAAATTTAATTTTTGACCTAATGCTCTAATTAATTTCGATGTGTACCCACAAGGACCTAAACTTTCAGCAGGTCAATAAAGTGATCCCTCTGTCTAAAAGTTGAAAGTCTTTTTGATTTCTAGATCTTATCCAAGTAGTCAGCTACTTAGGACTTTATTGACAGAACCTTGGAAAGTCAAGGAAGGAGGAGATGCAGCCAAGACAGAAATGTAGAGTTTCAGACATTCTGTGTATACTAATAGTGATACTTAAACCACTAAGATTTCCATTCCATTGATACTAATGTATTTCAGATTGCTCCATGGTGCTGCTAATCAAAGCCAGCAAGTACTCACCAAGACAAGCCAAAGGCGGAAATGACCTCCCTATACCCACGTCAGTATGTCAAGAGGGTGGTAAATAGTCAGAATGAATAAACACATAGTTGCTGATGCTTTAATCCCATGATTAGAAAAATATACAGTTAAATGCCAGACAGAAATTTACAGCGTATTTGTTAAATACCGTCCAAATATGCCCTAAAATCAGATTCAGATATGAATAGTGGGATTCCTGAGTTCAGTGTGCCACTGCTGTTGATCCTTTTCAAACATTTGCTTAGTCAGAAATGGTTAAATGAAGAGTCTTAAGCAGTAGATTTCTTAGAAATAAAGAATAACTATCCTTCAATGACAGGAATGGAATTAAAAGATGAGTACAAAATGAGCACCTTTGAAAAGAGAAGGAGATTGATACTCTTTCAAGCTATGGTAAACTGCAATCAAATTTATAATTAAAATATAAGTAAAACTAGATTTGAGAAACAATACACCTATACTTTTAATTTGTGAAAAAAAGAATAGTTGAGGCTAAGTCAAAAGAAACTTTTTAAAACTACTTTATAAAATTGAAGCATTGGACTAGATATCTGAATGTATTTTTAAAACATAGTTCTAAGAGAACTTCTGTAAGAAACAGAATAAGATCTATAGATGAATATCATTTATGTAAATGTAAAAGACAAATACATAGAAACAAAGCAGTAATAAGCATTTAATAAGAGTATAATCAAAGCAGAAAACTATACAGTGAACACATTAGAATAGCTACCTATGGGAGTAGGTGGGACAAGTATAAGTGGAGAATGCAGATAAAGAGAATAAATTTTTAGAAAATAAACCTTACATAAATCCATGACGGCACTATCCATGAGCTAAGAAATATGATTATATCAACCTTCTGTACCCCGGTCCAAAAAATTATAACAATCAACAAAGCTTATGTGTGAATCTGACAAAGTTAAAAACTCCAGGCACAATAAGAAAAATAATGGTTAATTAGTTCAATATGAAATGCAATTATATCAGTCCAATAATTACTATGTCTGTCTGTGGTTCAGGACCCTAAGGAGTTTGTTGGAAAACTGCTCTCTTTTCATGATTTCTCTCATTGATTTTAATCCAAAAATGAGCAATTAAAATCAAATTGGCTTTCATCTCTTGCAGTGCACAACCATCTCCAGGTATATGTGTAAAGAACGGTATAGATTTGAAATAGTAAGAATAGGTGATGAATTGGATATGAAGTAAAGGGTGAACTTAAGGAAAACACACAGGTTTCTAACTAGGGAAGTGAGTGGACAACATGCTACTGGCTGAGAAGAGAAATATTGGTGCAAGAGGGAGTGGTATGAATTAAACATCTCTGTATTTGGTGCATTAGTGACTTTTACATGGCCACTTCACATAGCTTCTCCCAATGCATGACAAAGGTCAAGTCAGGTCAAGTATTTCTACAAGGATCCAAAAAGCTGTCTGATGATCTGATTTGATCTAGGGACAAAACTAGAATACTTAAAACATCCTCTCTGAATACTATTTCTCACAACTGAGGTTTCAATGAGCAAAGAGCAGCAGAAAATTCGAGGCCGTATTATTTAACTAGCCTCTTAAAAGTCAGTCATCAATGTTAGACAACCATCTAAGTACCGGGAGGCACCAATGCATATCCCACTCCACCTTCTCTTTTATAGTGTGATATCACCACTTCTCCATCAAGAAGTGTGGTCTGTACTCCCTCACTTTGAACCTGCCAGACCTTCATAATGGCATCAACCAATAGATTATGTTGAAAGGGACACTGATTTACCAGGCATGGTCATGAAGGATGATATGGTTTCCATTTTCTTTCTGTCTCCTATGACACACACCTTGAGATCTCAGAGCCAACATCTACCAAGTCCCCCTGTCATGAAGCTCCCATACTGGAAAAATAGCATGAAGCAACCACATAGATAGAGAAATATGTAGGGAGGCTCCGATATTCCAGCCCCAAGCTGTTGGAGTCCTTAGCCCTCACAACCTAATCTGTAAGTGAAGAAGTTTTAGTGAGGTCCTTGGGTCTTGAAACAAGCTTATTTCAAGACATGAGAGACCCAAGTCAAAACTGGCTGGTTCAGCCTTTCCTGAATTCTTGACCAAAGAAGCCACCTGAGATTTTTAAAAATCATTTGTATTGTTTTAAATCACTAAAGTTTGTAGAGACCTGTTATACAGCAATAGATAACTGATACAGCCATCTTTCATGAAAATCAAAGGACTTAACCAGGATGTTACACAATGTAACAAATATCGAGCGTTCAAGAAATGCCAATATTGACACATAGAATGTTATCCTAACTAAAACAAAGAGAATGGAAAAAGAATCAGGAAAAAAATATTTAATTTTTATCTCAATCCTCAAAAAGCACTATATTTAAATCAACCACTTTAGAATGAAAATACTGGCAGAAATTCAACATAACTCATTATGTCTCCTGAGGCATCATTACAGAGTGTTTTCCTTTTTTAGAAAAATCACACTTAAACACTTTCTCTCTTACAAACTGTTAAGAAGTATCACTGTTACTATTTCATGATGAAGTAAGAGGTCTCAGCATGTGTGTGGTTAGTTGTGGGTGGGATTGGAGTGGGAAGTCCTTCTCCAAATATACACCATCATGACCATCCAAAGCATTTCTCACAAAAACTAGTTCTATTACAACATGGTGGGTGCCATATTTTGGCTCGCTCACTGCCAAACACATAACCTGCCAGCAGTCCATAAAGCATTACTCTAGTCCATAAACTCTAAGAGACTTTTTAAAATATTTGGCATAAGTTGTTTAAATATGAATTCTAACTGTCTGAAGCATAATTTCCCTGAAGCTAAGAAATGCCTAGAGCATAATTTCCCTGAGCTAAATTTTAAACTACATTTCCCTAAGGCTCGGTAACATTGCATGCAACACTGTTGTTTGAGTCCTGGAAATACCCTTTAAAGATTCAACAGTAGACTCAAATTCCTGGCTGTATATCCCTAGGCTAAATCAAGATAAATAAATGGACAGAGTTTTTCCCAGCAATGGTGGGAAGTGAGAAAAACTTAGCTGGAATAAAGAACTAGGCAGAGATTGACTCTAGTTCAGGGGTCCCCAAATCCCAGACCACAGACCAGTACCAGTCCGTGGCCTGTTAGGAACTGGGCCACACAGCAGGAGGTGAGTGGTGGGCAATCAAGCATTACCACCTAAGCTCTGCCTCTTGTCAGATCAGCAGTGGCATTACATTCTCATAGGAGTGCAAATCTTATTGTGAACTGCACATTCGAGGGATCCAGGTTGCATGCTCCTATGAGAATCTAATGCCGACGATCTGAGGTGAAACAGTTTCATCCAGAAACCACACCCACCCCTCCATCCATGAAAAATTGTCTTTCATGAAATGGTCCCTGGTGCCAAAAATGTTGGGGACCACTGCTCTAGTTCATCTACCAACTTGGAAAATGATGACTATCACAACAAGAACAGGATTCTCAATCATTCTACCCCTGAATTATCTTTAAAAATACCATGAATGGCCCCTGAAATGGTCATCCATATCTCTCAGCTTGAACTATAATTTATGTGGGGGAAAGTCTCCCAAATACATGCCTCCACCACTCCTCTGCAGCCCACCATAAATCCCCCACCCCAGTTCTACACCCTACTCTTCTTACCCGTCCATATTTCACTGGAAACTTTTACCTCTAACTTCTTTCCAATGTTCCCCTTTTATGTGTTCATATGGCCATCTAAAATTCATGGGAAATTGAATCAAGGTGCAAACATTTACCTAGACACAAAATATTCCAGAAAGACAGGTGAATGCACTTAAATTTCAACATGTCTAAATCCCACTCATTCTCATTCTCATTTTCTCTCCCCAAAATGTACCTCCTGACTTTTCTGTTAATATTAATCATACCACATATCTAGCCTCTCAAGCTAAAAAAGTACAACTGAATTTCTCCTTTCAGTCCTATAGGGGAAAACCAAAATAAAACAAGTCTCATTAACTATTTCTTTACACTCTTTTTTTGCATCTTCCCTTCTTTTCCATTTTCACTCACATTCCACCAGTTCAGACATTTACCTTCTCATGTCTGGACTATTTCAGTGCCATCTAAGCTAGCTTCCTAAATCACTTCATATGCCTTGTCCCTCCCTCATTTGAAATCTTTAATGGATCTCTGTTGCTTTCAAATTACATTTCAAATCCCTTTGGTAGGCATATGTGTCTCTATCTGCTTTCTACCTCCCTTTCAATCTATGACCATGCCAAGTGGAAATGGAACTCACACACTGCTGCTAGAAATGTAGAATTATGCAACCACTTAGAAAAACAGTTTGGCATTTAAAAAAAATCAGACATTCTCATACCATATGATTTAGCCATTCTATTCCTAGGTGTTTACTCAAGAGAAGTGAAAGAGTAGGTCCATACAAAGATTTGTATCTGAACACTTATAGTAGCTTTATTTCTAATGGCCAAAAACTGGAAGCTACCTAAATGTCCATCAACAGGTGAATGGACTGGAATACCACTTAGCAACAAAAAGAATGAAAGAATGAACTATAAATGCATACTGCAACATAGATGAACCTCAGAATAATTATCCTGAGTCAAAGAAGCCAGACAACATATGTATAAAGTTCTAGAAAATACATACTAATATATAGTGACAGAAGTAAATACTTACAATGCTGTTAATTTATTAAAAAGAAATAAAGCATACTAATGGTTGCCTGGGAACCAGAAAGTAAAAAAGTAGAAGGGCTGGAAAAGAAGAATTACAAAGACACTCAAACTTTTTTTATTGATACAAAATATTGCATTTATTATGGATGATACAGTTTGGATGCTTGTTCCCTCCAAATCTCATGTTGAAATGTAATCCCCAATGTTGAAGGTGGGGCCTGGTGGAAGGTGTTTTGATCACGGGGGCAGATCCCTCACGAATGGCTTAGTGCCATCTTCTTGGTAATCAGTGAGTTCTCGCTCTGAGTTCATGTGAGATCTGGTTGTTTAAAAGAGTGTGACGCATTCCCCCCACCCCACCCCCGCACCACTCTTGCTTCCTCTCGCACCATGTGATGTGCCAGTTCACCCTTCACCTTCGCCATGATTGGAAGTTTCCCGAGGCCCTCACCAGAAGCAGATGCCAGCACTATGCTTCCCATACAGCCTGCAGAACCATAAACCAATCAAATCTCTTTTCTTTATAAATTACTGAGTCTCAGGGATTTTTTTATAGTGATGCAAAAACTAATACATCTGTCTTTGTGTGACTGGCTTATTTCACTTAACTTAATGACTCCAGTTCCATCCATGTTGCTGCAAATGGCATGATTTTATTCTTTTTTATTGTAGAATAGTATTTCATTGTATATATATATATATATATATACACACACACACACACATATATATATACACATATATATATATCACATTTCCTATATCCATTTGTCCATCAATAAGCACTTAAGTTAATTCCATATCTTTGCTATTGTAAATAGTGCTGTGATAAACATGCTGGTTCAAGTATTCCTTTGACATATCGATTTCTTAGCCTTTGGATAAACGCACAGTAGTGGGATTATTGGATCATATGGCGTGAGCCACTGTGCCTAGCCAGAGCCCACTTTTTAATGAGATTATTTGGTTTCATTATTGAGTTATTTGAGTTTCTTGTACATTACGGATATTAGTAACTTGTCAGATGAATAGTTTGCAAATATTTTGTCAAAGAAACTTTTGACAATGATGGATGTGTTTATTATCTTGATAGTGGTGATAATTTCACAGTTATGCACATATATCAAAACTTATCTGCTGGGTGCAGTGGCTCACACCTGTAATCCCAGCACCTTGGAATGCCAAGGCAGGCAGATCACTTGCGGTCAGGAGTTTGAGACCAGCCTAGCCAACATGGTGAAACCCTGTCTCTACTAAAAAAGCACAAAAATTAGCCAGGCATGGTGGTGCACACCTGTATTCCAAGCTATTCATGAGGCTAAGGAAGGAGAATTGCTTGAACCTAGGAGGCAGAGGTTTCAGTGAGCCAAGATCGTGCAACTGTACTCCAGCCTGGGCAACAGAGCAAGACTCCATCTCAAAAACAAACAAACAAAAAAAGCCTTATCAAATTGTACACATTAGATATTCAATGTGTATTACATGTCAACCATACCTCAATAAAGCTTTTTTAAAATTTCTTCTAAAAAATAAAAAACGGGATACATGTGCAGAATGTTCAGGTTTGTTACATAGATGTACCTGTGCAATAGTGGTTTGCTGCATCTATTGACCCGTCCTCTAAGGTCCTTTCCTTCACTCCCCAGCCCCCAACAGGCCCTGGTGTGTGTTTTTTCCCCTCCCTGTGTCCATGTGTTCTGAATGTTCAACTCCCACTATAAGTGAGGACATGTGGTGTTTGGTTTTCTGTTCCTGTGTTAGTTTGCTGAGGATGACGGATTTCAGCTTCATCCATGTCCCTGCAAAGGACATGATCTCATTCCTTTTTATGGCTGCATAGTATTCCATGGTGTATACATACAACATTTTCTTTATCCAGTCTATCACTGATGGGCATTTGGGTTGGTTTCATGTCTTTGCTATAGTAAATAGTGCTGCAGTAAACATACATGTGCATGTGTCTTTATAACAGAATGATTTATATTCCTTTGGGTATATACCTAGTAATGGGATTCCTGGATTAAAAGGTGTTTTTGGTTCTAGATCCTTGAGGAATCGCCATACTGTCTTCCACAATGGTTGAACTAATTTACATCCCCACCATCAGTGTAAAAGCATTCCTATTTCTCCACAGCCTCACCAGCATCTATTGCTTCCTGACTTTTTAACAATCACCATTCTGACTGGTGTGAGATGGTATCTCATTGTGGTTTTGATTTGCATTTCTCTGACGATCAGTGATGTTGAGCTTTTTTTCATATGTTTATTGGCCGCATAAATGTCTTCTTTTGAGAAGTGTCTGTTCATATCCTTTGCCCACCTTTTGATGGGGTTGTTTATTTCTTGTAAATATGTTTAAGTTCCTTGTAAATTCTGGATATTAGACCTTTGTCAGATGCGTAGATTGCAAACATTTTCTCCCATTCTGTAGGTTGCCTGTTCACTCTGATGCTAGCATCTTTTGCTGTGCAGAAGCTCTGTAATTTAATTACATCCCATTTGTCAATTTTGACTTTTGCTGTAATTGCTTTTGGCATTTTGGTCATGAAGTCTTTGTCCATGCCTATGTCCTGAATGGCATTGCCTAGGTTTTTTCCTAGGGTTTTTATGGTTTGGGGTTTTACATTTAAGTCTTCAATGCACCTTGAGTTAATTTTTTTATAAGGTGTAAGTAAGAAAGGGATCCACTTTCTGTTTTCTGCATATGGCTAGCCAGTTTTCCCAGCACCATTTACTGAATAGGAGATCCTTTCCCTCATTGCTTGTTTTTGTCAGGTTTGTTGAAAATCAGATGGTTGTAGATGTGTGGTACTATTTCTGAGGTCTCTGTTCTGCTCCACTGGTCTATATGTCTGTTTTGGTACCAGTACCATGCTGTTTTGGTTACTATAATCTTGCAGTATAGTTTGAAGTCAGGTATCATGATGCCTGCAGCTTTGTTCTTTTTTGCCTAGGATTGTCTTGGCTATACAGGGTCTTCTTTGATTCCATATGAAATTTAAAATAGTTTTTTCTAATTCTGTGAAGAATGTCAATGATAGTTTGATAGGAATAGCACTGAATCTATAAATTACATTGGGCAGTAAGGCCATTTTCATGGTATCGATTCTTCCTATCCATGAGGGTGGAATGTTTTTCCACTTGTTTGTGTCCTCTTATTTCCTTGAGCAGTGGTTTGTAGTTCTCCTTGAAGAGGTCCTTCACATCCCTTGTTAGCTGTATTCCTAGGTATTTTATTCTCTTTGTAGCACTTGTGATTGGTATTCATTCATGATTTGGCTCTCTGCTTGCCTATTACTGGTGTATAGGAATGCTTGTGATTTTTGCACATTGATTTTGTATCCTGAAAATTTGCTTAAGTTGCTTATCAGTTCAAGGAGTTTTGGAGCTGAGATGATGGGGTTTTCTAAATATAAAATCATGTTGTCTGCAAACAGAGTCAACTTGATTTCCTCTATTCCTATTTGAATACGCTTTCTTTCTCTTGCCTGACTGCCCTGGCCAGAACTTCCAATATTATGTTAAATAGCAGTAGTGAAAGAGGGCATCCTCGTCTTGTACCAGTTTTCAAAGAGAATGCTTCCAGCTTTTGCCCATTCACTATGATATTGGCTTTGAGTGTGTCATAAGTAGCTCTTATTATTTTGAGATATATTCCATCAATATCTAGTTTATTGAGAGTTTTTAACATGAAGCGATGTTGAATTTTATCAAACGCCTTTTCTGCATCCATTGAGGTAATCGTGTGGTTTTTTTTTTTTTTGTGTTTGGTTCTGTTCATGTGATGGATTATGTTTATTGATTTGCATATGTTGAACCAGTCTTGCTTCCCAGGGGGATGAAGCCAGCTTGATAGTGGTGGATAAACTTTTTGATGTGCTGCTGGATTAGGATTGCCAGTATTTTATTGAGGATTTTCGCATCGATGTTCATCAGAAATATTGTCCGAAGTTTTCTTTTTTTGTTGTGTCTCTTCCCGGTTTTGATATCAGGATGATGCTGGCTTCATAAAATGAATTAGCAGGAGTCCCTCCTTTTCAATTGTTTGGAATAATTTCAGAACAAAGAGTACCAGCTCCTCTTTGTATTTCTGGTAGAATTCAGCTGTGAATTCATCTGGTCCTGGGCCTTTTTTGGCTGGTAGGCTATTAATTACTGCTCCAATTTCAGAGCTTGTTATTGATTTATTCAGGGTTTCAACTTCTTCTTGGCTTAGTCTTTGTAGAGTCTGTCTGTCTAGGAATTTATTCATTTCTTCTAGATGTTCTAGTTTATTTGCGTAGAGGTGTTTATAGTATTCCCTGATGGTAGTTTGTATTTCTGTGAAATCAGTGGTGATATCCCCTTCATCATTTTGTATTGTGTCTATTTGATTCTTCTCTCTCTTCTTATTAGTCTAGCTAGTGTTCTATCTATTTTGTTAGTTTTTTCAAAACACTGGCTCCTGGATTCACTGATTTTTTGGAGGGTTTTTTGTGTCTCTATCTCCTTCTTCTCTGATCTTAGTTATTTCTTCTCTGATCTTAGTTAATTCTTCTCTGATCTTATTTCTTCAATTCTTCTCTGATCTTAATTATTTCTTATCTTCTGCTAGCTTTTGGATTAGTTTGCTGTTGCCTCTCTAGCTCTTTTAATTGTTATCATCCAGGGGCTCAGGCCCAGGGATATCCAAATTCATCCAGCCTCTGGCTGGAGTTACTGGAGATCCTGCAGGGAAGGCCACCCAATGAGGAAATATGGGTCAGGTTTAAGCCTTCAGAGGCACTCTGCCCACGACTGCCACAACAGCTGTGTTGGGCTACAGGGACAAGTGTTGGGACCAGGCCATTCAGCCTCCCTGGCTCCAGCAGGGGAAAAAGTACAGCCTAGAGCTATAGAAATGGGTGCCGCCCTTCCGCCTGCCCAGGGAGCTTAGTGTGTTCCACAGTTTCCAGTCCCTGTGCTGGCTCCTGCCCCTCCCTACAGGAGCTCAAAAGGCTTAGACAGTTGGCAGTGGCAGCCAGCACTGTTCACCCCTTCCCCTGGGAGTTCGGTAGGCTTAAGCAGATGCCAGCTGAGAAGCTGTAAGAATCTGCACATTCCAGGGTTGGGACTCTGCACCGGTGTGGTGTGGGTTCATGAGTGGGACCTTCCAATCCATCGGTTGCACAGTCCATGGAAAAAGCACAGTTTCCCCAGCTGGGTAGCACGCTCACCACCTCCCTTGGCTGGGAGGAGGGAGTTCCCCTACCCCTGTGGCTCTCAGGTGGGCTGCTGCACCACACTGTTCCTTCTCTCCGTGGGTCATGCCAGCCTTCTAGTCAATTTTGATGAAAGAACCTGGATGCCTTGGTTGCTGGTGAAGGATTCACATGCTTATTATGTTTCTTTTTAAAATGGTAGCCTCCGAACACCGCTGCTTCTAGTAAACGCCAATGCTTCTAGTTGGACATCTTTGCCCCACCCCCAGTAATAAAGCTATTTAAAAGAAAATCTTATCTTTGAATGATCACCTTAGAGAATAATCTCTTTGAGTCAAACTGGTCAACTAATTAATGCAAGAATGTATTGTGAAGCTTCACACATCTGTATTTATCCTGCTGCCATCCTCCCACTTGAAATACCCTCCTACTTGCTTTTCAGAACACAGATAACTTCATGCCTCCTCCATTGAGACTTACCAAATCACTTCAACCTGTAGATTTCTTTTCTTTGAATACCTAAAATTTGAGTACACAATAACCATCATTTGGCATACCTAAATATAGCAGAGTCAAACCTAGGTTTGAATCCTAATTCTGTAGTTTACTAGCTCCGTAAGCCTAGAAATTTAATTACTCTGAGACTTTGTTTCTTCATCTATTATACATTGCTAATAGTAGTATCCATTCAATAAAGTCACTAAATGTAAATTACTTGGTATAACAGCTAGTGCATAGTAAAAAAAACCAATCTTTATTTTTGTAGATTTACTATATGTTTTCTTGTGATGTTTCTTATATGAAATATTTTGGAAGGGGTAGTAGAATCATCTGGTCTTCTTGATGGTGCCTATCAGAAATAATTCCATCTAAGCCCTTTAACAATAGGCATAGACAACCCTTCATTGGCTTGATTTTCCTATTCCTGACAATACCCTTTCCTGGAAGAAAGAGGAGACTAGAAAGTTTTGGATTTAAAATGCTGCCTTTATAGCAGCATGATTTATAATCCTTTGGGTATATACCCAGTAATGGGATGGCTGGGTCAAATGGTATTTCTAGTTCTAGATCCCTGAGGGATCGCCACACTGACTTCCACAATGGTTGAACTACTTTACAGTCCCACCAACAGTGTAAAAGTGTTCCTATTTCTCCACATCCTCTCCAGCACCTGTTGTTTCCTGACTTTTTAATGATTGCCATTTTAACTGGTGTGAGATGGTATCTCATTGTGGTTTTGATTTGCATTTCTCTGATGGCCAGTGATGATGAGCATTTTTTCATGTGTCTTTTGGCTGCATAAATGTCTTCTTTTGAGAAGTGTCTGTTCATATCCTTTGCCCACTTGTTGATGGGGATGTTTGTTTTTTTCTTGTAAATTTGTTTGAGTTCTTTGTAGATTCTGGATATTAGCCCTTTGTCAGATGAGTAGATTGCAACAATTTTCTCCCATTCTGTAGGTTGCCTGTTCACTCTGATGGTAGTTTCTTTTGCTGTGCAGAAGCTCTTTAGTTTAATTAGATCCCATTTGTCAATTTTGGCTTTTGTGGACATTGTTTTTGGTGTTTTAGACATGAAGTCCTTGCCCATGCCTATGTCCTGAATGGTATTGCCTAGGTTTTCTTCCAGGGTTTTTATGGTTTTAGGTCTAACATTTAAGTCTTTAATCCATCTTGAATTAATTTTTGTATAAGGTCTAAGGAAGGGATCCAGTTTCAGCTTTCTACATATGGCTAGCCAGTTTTCCCAGCACCATTTATTAAATAGGGAATCCTTTCCCCATTGCTTGTTTTTCTCAGGTTTGTCAAAGATCAGATAGTTGTAGATATGTGGCATTATTTCTGAGGGCTCTGTTCTGTTCCATTGGTCTATATCTCTGTTTTAGTACCAGTACCATGCTGTTTTGGTTACTGTAGCCTTGTAGTATAGTTTGAAGTCACGTAGCATGATGCCTCCAGCTTTGTTCTTTTTGCTTAGGATTGTCTTGGCAATGCGGGCTCTTTTTTGGTTCCATATGAACTTTAAAGTAGTTTTTTCCAATTCTGTGAAGAAAGGCATTGGTAGCTTGATGGGGATGGCACTGGGCCATTTTCACGATATTGATTCTTCCTATCCGTGAGCATGGAATGTTATGTTCTTCCATTTGTTTGTATCCTCTTTTATTTCATTGAGCAGTTGTTTGTAGTTCTCCTTGAAGAGGTCCTTCACATCCCTTGTAAGTTGGATTCCTAGGTATTTTATTCTCTTTGAAGCAATTGTGAATGGGAGTTCACTCATGATTTGGCTCTCTGTCTGTCTGTTATTGGTGTATAAGAATGCTTGTGATTTTTGCACATTGATTTTGTATCCTGAGACTTTGCTGAAGTTGCTTATCAGCTTAAGGAGATTTTGGGCTGAGACGATGGGGTTTTCTAGATATACAATCATGTCATCTGCAAACAGGGACAATTTGACTTCCTCTTTTCCTAATTGAATACCCTTTATTTCCTTCTCCTGCCTGATTGCCCTGGCCAGAACTTCCAACACTATGTTGAATAGGAGTGGTGAGAGAGGGCATCCCTGTCTTGTGCCAGTTTTCAAAGGGAATGCTTCCAGTTTTTGCCCATTCAGTATGATATTGGCTGTGGGTTTGTCATAGATAGCTTATTTTGAGAGACGTCCCAGACACATGCACACATATGTTTATTGCGGCACTATTCACAATAGCAAAGACTTGGAACCAACCCAAATGTCCCACAATGATAGACTAGATTAAGAAAATGTGGTACATATACACCATGGAATACTATGCAGCCATAAAAAGGATGAGTTCATGTCCTTTGTAGGGACATGGATGAAGCTGGAAACCATCATTCTCAGCAAACTATCGCAAGGACAAAAAACCAAACACCGCATGTTCTCACTCACAGGTGGGAATTGAACAATGAGAACGCATGGACACAGGAAGGGGAACATCACACACAGGGGCCTGTTGTGGGGCGGGGGGAGGGGGAAGGGATAGCATTAGGAGATATACCTAATGTTAAATGACGAGTTAATGGGTGCAGCACACCAACATGGCACATGTATACATATGTAACTAACCTGCACATTGTGCACATGTACCCTAAAACTTAAAGTATAATAAAACAAAAATGCCGCCTTGACTGCTCCAAATATTATGGTTTTTCTGCTCGAGTAAACTTAAGCTGAGCCCAGACATTGTATTTAAATAATAAAATGCACTTAGTCATATTCTCAGAATTTGACTTTGCTTCACTCCAAATAATACAGTAATCCCTACCAAATATATATTATCTACATGATGAGGTACAAAGACATTTGTAATAAGCCCAGAGACACAAGTATAAAAACTGACTAAACACAATTTGAACCAACGCCTGTCTGATTATGTCATGATACTCCTAACAATTACATCACGTTTTCATTTTTATTAGTTATATTTTGAATGATAAAATTCAGATTATAAACTTTTAATAGTCCATAATTAATTTATTTTATTAATTGACTCACATAATGATACATCTCACTTAATACAAGATACTTTCTTTCTTCTGGGAAGTGGGTCTCCAGATGCCTTGGTTCCTTAAAATATTTATTGTCCAATATATTTCATAAGATTTTCCCTTCACTGAAACTTTTCTTTGAGGAAAGTGAAAGAAGACGGAGAGTCAGCTGTCATTTTGTATTTTCCCTTTAGAACTTACAGTATCTAGCTTAGCAGTGCTGACAATGCCCCTCATTGTTAACCTAGTTCATTGTCAAAAGTTTTTACTTGACTCTTCTTCCAATGAGGCCATGTAAATTAATTAAGAGAGATGGTCACTACCTTTAAGCAATAAGAAGGCAAATAAAAAAGATATCACCAATCCAAATAATTAGTTGCCTAATTGGTGCTTTGGAAGCTTATGCTATCATGAGAGTTTCATCTCATAAATTCAGTGCCTGAATGAAACCCAGTATCATGGCAACTTCAACTACAAAACCCACTTGCAAGTGGAAATATCAATACGCATAAACTATACATTTGTAATCTCATCATACAATTTGACCCATCATAGATGATCTCTCCTAAACATTGTTTAAAAGACTAGGCATGTGAACCTCTGAACAACAGCAAATGATGTTTTTGGCTAACCTACACCTTAGCAGCTAATGGAGAAGCTTATTAGGTACTTGATCAGCAATATTTATAGCATTACCCCCACACTGTTATGATTTGTCATTGTAATAACACTTTTAAAGCATTAATTATGAAACAAGCATTATTCTAAGCACTTTGCCTGGGTTAACTCATTTTATCTTTACAAGTCCATGAGGTAAGTACCAACATGGGATGTAAGGCACAAAGAGCTAAAGTTGCATAGCCAATAGGTGGTATTATTAACAGCATTATTAGCATTGTTAATATCAATAATGTGCTCAAAGATGGACTTAGATATCAGAATAAAATTTAAAAATTGAATTTCAAACAGCTGCCTCATTTACCATCTCAAGAATCTATCCAAGCAAAAGGCCTCACCATGTCTTTCTTAAAATGTAGATGCTTGTAATTTGTCAAAATACAGAGAATAATTTCATGAACTCGAAACAGTTCCTTCTTCAGAAAGTACATAATTCAAACTTTGAAGCTGTGAAGATTTTATACATACATAAAATCTTGGATATATATCTCTATCCTTTGTGCTATTTACTATTAAAAGTCCAATGAGAAGCAAACAAAAGGTGAAGAGGGCACCTACAGCCTTAGAAGGTATTAGAACAGCTCACAAAGTAGAATGAAGCTTGAACTATTTTAACTTTTTGTGTGTTCTAATGGATATTTGTGTTTCAAATACTTTCAGAATCATATTAGTTTTATAAAACTCTATTTTCTCCACCTCCAAATCTTCCTTTCCCCACCTTAAATCAATCCACTCCAGGTCTTTGGGGACTGCCAATTTGGAACATCCTCTGGCTTTGACAATTGGCAGCTGGGATCAATCAGTTCATAAAATCCATCTTGTCAGCTAAAACAAGTCATATTTCTTAAGCAAGACAATCTGTTAAACAGCTTAGGTCTTAAATCCATGAAAAACATTTGCAAAAACACATTTTATGCTTGCTCTTCTTAAGTTCTGAGGCTACAGATGTTACAAAAACCACCATTCTGGAAACTTTCCCAGTCATCTCTTCTTTCCTGAAAATTTGAAGGTATCTTCTGGGCTCAACAGCAAGCAGAAGACCAGCTTCTGAGAGCCATGGGTGGAAATAGATTTCCTCAATGTGAGATGAATCCTTGCTTCACCCTGGGCAGTTACATAGTAGTTTCTATCTGCTGTGCAATCAATCCAGTTCATCATAAGCCAGTGTCATCAGAGTGCAGTTAGACTGGCTTCCTGTTCTGGCTGTCCCTAATAAGAAAAATGTACATCGAATTATATAGATTTGAAAGTGATTGCAAAGCTTATATAGCTAAGTGATCTCAAGCAAGGCATATCTCAAGCTTCAATCTCCTTCTCAGTAAAATGAGAGGGCTGGAATGACAAAACGCATTTCTTTCCAATTTTATAATTCGTGATTCTACTTCTTCCTATTGCTTTCACAAGCAAGGAAGCCTACTCCATCATCATTGCCAACTCTTGAAATTCTCCAGGACCATAGTGGGTTGGTCCCCATACAACATCATTCCATGAATGGTGATGGGTTAGATAAACCTATTTGCAGACTTAATCATACTTAACAAAGTACTGGAACGTTTCATAAGAAATAAAAGTTGGTGTTCCCCATGGTACCTCCACTTGATTATCATTACTTCAAAATAGAATCAGTTCTTAACACCTCATACCATAACATCAAAGTGGGAAAATGCACATTAGACAAATGATCACATTACTTGGCCTGGCTCCAGACAAACATCAGTCACTGATAATTCCTCTTCCTCCCATCAAGCCAAGACCACCCTGAGAATCCTCAGCTCAACCTTCCAGACAGCCACCAGCAATTGTTCAGAATTGGCATCAACGAGAGAATACATTTCATATTGTGACCTATGCATTAAGTAGTCCCAATCAAAACCCAACTGTTGTCTATATATCTAACTGAATGTGTTCTGAAACATACTCATTTTCTTCCCACGAAGCATCTCCCTCTCTTCCTATGTTCCCTATTTTGATAAATGACAATACTGGCCGGGCGCAGCGGCTCATGCCTGTAATTCCAACACTTTGGGGGCCGAGGCGGGCAGATCCCTTGAGGTCAGGAGTTCGAGACCAGCCTGGCCAACACAGTGAAACCCAGTCTTTACTAAAAATACAAAAATTAGCTGGGTGTGGTGACACATGCCTGTAATCCCAGCTACTCCAGAGGCTGAGGCATGAGAATCACTTGAACCTGGGAGACTGAGATTGCAGTGAGCCAAGATCACACTACTGCACTCCAGCCTGGGTGACAGAGTGAGACTCTGTCCCAAAAATAAATAAATAAATAAATAAATAAATAAGTAAATAAATAAATAAAAAATACCCATGATCCATACATCCAAATAAAATAATATTTTGCCTTAACCTCAAGTCCTGCAAATTTTACTTCCTAAGTCAATTTTCACATTTACTCTCTTCATTCAAACGAACACTTCCTTAGTTCAAAGGCTTATAATTAATTTCTCTCTAACATACTGAAATAGCTTTTTAACTAATTTACTTTGCCAATTGTCTTGCAAATATCCTATTTCCCTATTTAAATGCTTCAGTGAATTCTAATGCATATGATCATAACAGTCTCAGTTTATTTAAACATCTGACGTGGCAGCACAGGGTTCTATCAGCAAGTGAAAACTGCATGGCCTTTTACAGTTTAGCTTTGGAAGTAATATCACTTCTACCACATTCTATTGGACAAGGCAGTCACAAGCCCATCCAGATTCATGGGGCCCTTGATTAGAGGAGTGTCAAAGAATTTGCAAGCATGTTTTAAAATCACTATGCGCACTTCTCTCTTTCACATGTTATGCTACAGACAAAAAAAATGGAACTAATAGTTCCCCAATTATGCCTTTGCACGTACTATTTTCCCAGCATAAAATTTCTCCTTCATCTCCTTGGAAAACCCCTATTCATTCCTCTAGAATCATTGAAATACTACTTCCACTGTGAGAGCTTCACTGACAGCGCCAAGTGAACATGAACTACCTCTAATCTCCAGTAAGATCTCACCTCCTAGCCCAGTGCCTCTCAAGGATACAAATCTCCTGGGATCTTACTGAGATTCAGACTCATTAGTAGGTCTAAGGTGAGGCCAAAGATTCTGCATTTCTTACAAGCTCCCAGAGGATAACTATGATGTTGGTCCATTACTCTGAGAAGCAACAGCCCAGTCAGAAAGCTTACTCAAATTGCTGTCCCAGGGTGGAGTGTTTCATCCAAGGAGGGGGTATAGCACAGGGGAAGGCTACAGAGCATCTGGGGAGAGGCCAGAGAGGGAGAGAAAAGTTGCAGCAGGCTCCTAAGAGCAGGCAGATTGTTAAAGTACGTGTATTTCTGAGACACAGGCAAAGAGTGAAATTTGGGTACAAACCAATATGAGAACCAGACAAACCAAGCCAAAAGCTGGCCAAAGCTTTAAGTGAAGTGTGGGAGACAGAACACAGAGGAATCCTAGAGCTGGTTAAAGGGTATCTGTAAAAGTTTTTCATGGGTTAAAGATAAGGAGAGAGCCATTAGGGCACTAAGCTAAGATTAACATTTTCTAAAATTTTTGCCTACACTTCCATTGAGGATATTGTCTTTCTACGATGAAATTTTAATTTGCATCTCTATATCTAAACTAGACCTACCATAAGCTTCCTGAGAACATGGACTATTCTTATTTGTTAAAGAATCATATTTAAGAGCATATATATGCTTTTGGGGTTTATATCTTAACTCTGCCACTACCTGAAGTGTGAACTTAGCGAGATTATTTTTTGTTTGCTTCAGTTTCCTTAAACATAAAATTGGGGGTAATGACAATAATGTCAGCACAAAAGAATACTGAGAGAATTAAAAGAATATATATAAGAGTGTATATATTATGTATATAATATATACTATGTATATAATATGTATATAATATATACTATGTATATAATATGTATATAATATATACTATTCCTGGAGCATAGTAAGCCTTTAATCAGTGTTTGATATTATAGGGAGCATAATGTCTAAGAGTTTGGGATTAGAATCAAACTACTAGAGTAAAAATCTCCAGCTCTCTGATTTACTACTCATGGGACCTCGAACACAGTACTTAACTCCTCTAAGCCTTAGTTATTTCGTCTGTAAAATTAAGATGCTAATAGTGCTTCTATAATAGGATTAAGAGAATTGAGATTATTCACCCCTGATAAATGCAATAAATTTTCAATGATTATTTATTACTATGCTATCATCATCTTCAGAATGAGTCTGGCACATAGTGGGCTTTCAATATATACTTGTTAAATGATTAAATAATATTGTAAACATAAGTAATGTTTTCTACTTAATCATAAGTAAACAAGTAATATTGTTAACATTAACCTCAGCAATTTCACTTCCTTTCAAGACACTGTGATTTACTTAGGAAAAAATTTTTCTTAGGACAACACAAGGAAAGAAAGTCAAGTAGACATAGCAGGCCCCTCTATATCCTTGGATCTAATAGCACAGCTTCACTTTTACCTTTTTTTATATGTTAAGCTTCTATGTAAGTTTCACTTGAAAAACTGTTCCCACCACTAGGGCACAAAGAATTATATCATATTTTCCATAACTATGTGTTCTCCTGTAGACCATAAAAGAATAGCACAGCATCCAATGTCCAATTACATATTCTGGGGACCACACATGCTAATGGATGTAAATACCTAACAATAATAAAAATTAAATGAAAGGCAGCTATCTCACCGCTCTTCTCCAGTTGCCCATTTGTCTACTGCCTGAGAATCAAAGAATTCAGTTGGCTAGAAACAAATATGACCCTGACCAGCCTGTCAGAATTAACATAGCACTACTGTACTAGCAAAAGAATTAATAAGAATAACAGGCCTAGTTCCAATACACATGGTGGGAAACCTCTTGCTGACAGAAAGATACAGGATAGGATTCACCTCAGCATTCCCCTGGACATTTAAAGTAAAAACCACAACTCAACTGTACCCCAAAGAATTTGAGAATTTGCAATACATCTGATTACCCTATTTTACAATAAGTGTCTGGACTAGAATCCTAGAAGGGTCACATTCTCTCCCAACTAGTGTTTGTTACAGAAATGCATTTCAGGGGACATACGGATGTTTTCTTTTACCTAATATTTATGTTGTTAGACATGGGATAGATAAATTCAAACATACTTTGTTTCATAAATTTATATGCTCTTTCTTGTCTTCCATGGGATTTAGGAGTGTCACAAAATTTTAAATTCCAAAAGGAAAGTTTTCCACAATTTCTTTCACATGCAATTCAATGCTGCTCCTTCTGAGAATAAGCACGTGGCAGGCACTCCAGACACTCCCCAAGAGAGGCAATGCACATTTCCATGGCTAGTTGTTGCAGACATTTCCATTTTAATAAAAATCCTCCTGACTGGTTTGTTTCTTTGTGGGTTCAAATACACAATGTTCTTTGCATAAGTAATAAGCCCCATGGTCTATGCAGATAGAGATTATAGAAATCAAATGATATGACCACCCACTTTTGGCATAATATTGAGCAAGAGAAAATAATAATTACCAGTGAATTTTAGTCTTATGTTCCCAAACAGTGGCATTGAAAAAAACCTGATCGACCCTACTCAAGTAGGAGTTGAAGTTCATTATTGAAATAGCAATAGACGAGGATATGTGGGTTAGATTAAGAGATGGTATTTGGCTATGGGCCGTGGAATATCCCAATTCTGCTCATCACCAGCCACATCTTAATGAAAGATTCTTAAAGGACTATGACCAGGGCCAGTGAAATCTTTACTACTAAAAAGCATTCAAATTCCATTATAGAATTCCAGTGAGATGGCCTACACCCACAGTGGAACACAATTTCCCAGGTGGATCTAAGGAAGTTAACTTCAATGCAATGCCCAGAACCACATACCAAATCTGAAATCTGTTCATCTAGGGTAAGGGCCAAGAGGTGAAATGAGTCAAGAGGAGGAAGTGTCATAGAATCTCATCCTTAACATCTAGAGCATGCATTCCCATACTACACACCCTAGAGCTATCTCTGGAGTGAGGGAAGGGGAGAGATTTAAAAGAAGCTGCTTCCAGACCTACTTTATCTACACTCCCAAGAAAAGAAAGAGCCTTCTTTTTCTATGTGGGCTGCCATTTTGGTCAATCCAGAGCAGCACTCTCTCCTCCTGAGTGGGGAATGTGGTGTGTTGGTGATTGAGTAATCCTTTGGGTGAGAACAGAAAAGGGCCCGAAGCTCCCTTGGGGGTTCAAAGGGCTGACAAAATCTATCTAAGTCAATTCCACCCAACTTTGTATAGGGGAAGAAAGAACAAGTTAACTTCATACCCCAGTAAAATCCTAATGCCACCTGGTAGGAAATCATAGAATTTTCAGGAGATATTACTGATGTAAGTAGACTACGTATTTTAATGATGTGGAAGAAAATAGAACTACTGCTATACAAACAAAAATATGTTCACTTAATAAGTGAACAACCAGATAAGCACTATTTTCTCTTTTTAAATGAATATTTTGGAGTTAAGTAAATAAAGACACAATTATCCAATTAATTTTTTCCTTTTTAATGTGTCATGTTGAAATAGAATCTTATAACCAGGTTACTAGAAAAACCAAAAGATAAGTAACAATGGCATGAATGCTGTGATGATACACACTCCTTTCATCTTCCCACTGACACTACCAGATCAACCACAGACTGTAGACTTTGTCTTAGGACTGGCTCAATTTCCATGAAGTCCTCTAGAGCTGAGATGGCTGAAACAGACGTGTATCCCCTGCAGAGACAAAATGGAGCTATAGGGGAAACACTGGGACTAGAAGTGGCTTCTGCCTCCGAATACAATAAATGTCTCACAGTATAAAATGAAGGTCTTCCAAAGTTTCTCACTCATTACCATATTCCCCATAGCCCCAAATTATCATTTTATGAAACTGACTCCTATTGTTGAGCAATTAATGGAATACTTTCTCTTATATATAAAATATCTATCTCTTCTGGGATAGACAGGGATGATGCAAATGGCTGAGAAGGGTGATAAGCACAGCTCACCCATGCTGTGTGGTCCAGAGATTTTGTGCTTCTGTTTTGGCAACACCATAATCAACACTGAGAAAATCCTCATGTCCATTAGCTCATTGTATGTTGGTAGTACCACAATGAGTTTCTCCAGAAACGTTCATCAACATTCATTAGTCAGGCAAAACGTTTCAACAGTGGAAGCATGTTACTTCTATTTTAATGTGAGTTATAGGGTCCAAAAACTAGTCACTTAGGCATCCTCCAAGCCAGTTAACTTTCTAATTATAAATACCACGAAAACCTACAACCAATATTTATTGAGCTCTTTCTACGTGCCACTTCTTGAGAGACACCTTGTACACACTGTCTCATTAAACCCACACAACAATCCAGTGAATTAGGTACTATTTTATTTCCATTTTACATATGAGAAATCTTTGAAAAATCTGGATGTAAATCAAGCACAGATGACTTCATATGTGTGCATCTAACCAGACTATTACCCTCCAATCACTATAACTTGAGGTCTGACACAAACAAAAAGCAGTCTTTAATTTTTGTTGTCCTGGATCTTTTGAGGGAGGAAGAGTAAGGCATAACTTGAGCAATGTTTTCATATTTTTCTTCACACTACCTCACAACTAGGTAGGTCAAATAACATGTCCTTGTTGGAGCTTCCATCCATTCTCCATTTCACCAGCAAGAGAAAGGTATTTTGTACAGACTCACTTCCCCTCCCAGTACATCAACAATTTACATTTCTCCTTTAAAGCCCAGTTGCATGGTCCATCTGTTCAAGCTGGCCCTTATCCTGATTCATGGTGGCTGCAGGAGGGGGGTGAGGAAATCCACTTGCTGGGGAAAACCAAGCAATGTTGTATTAATTAAGAATTTGCATCACTGTTGTAAATACACCCAGAGGCCAGGGTGACGAGTACATTTTATAAATCAAATAAATGAATAATAACTTCTAGAGGTTACCAAATGTAAAATGTTTGAAGAACAGAAACCAGATGAATCCAAACCGTGGCCAAGGGTTACCCTTGCTAATTAAAACATAGACTGAAAACATTAACCTGATTCATAATCTAAATAAAACTCCATTTCTGGATAACTTTCCATCTTTATGAATTTTTTATTACAACAGAAGGTAACCACATGAAAGTCATTCTTAATGAACTCAATATTTTTAACTTTCTGAAATAAAAAGACAAAAAGGAAGAAACATGAAGAGAAACATAAAAAACGCCACACTTATAATTATTTCCCTGCACATACCACATCTCAAACACTTGGCCTTTCCATTTCTCTCATCTTTTAGGGCTGCCTTAAAAATTCAGAAACTCTGGAAAAAGAAAGAAAAGGAGGGAGGAAGGAAGAAGAGGAGGGAAGGAATTGGGGAGGAAAGGAGAAGATAAAAAAGAAATAAAAAAGGAAAGAAAAGAAAGGATTTCAAATATCTATAAGAGCTAACACATAGGAACTAATATATATAATAAAATACAAAGTTTAAGGTCACCCAGCTTTGAACCTTGGCTGAGAATGAATTGTTTATGCTTATGATTCAAAATAGCAAAAAAATACAACATCCGTTGAAATTTGGGCAAGTGTAGCTGAAGTTCACTGTAGACTTTTCAGCACATTACTGTCATTTCCAACTTTGGGGTTATTAGTGTTGTTTTCAACATCAGTTACTATCATGTGAATACTGATCAGGCCAATGGTATTCTGCTAGGCATGCTGGGCTCACCAAAGCATATTTAGATCTGGTTTTAAAGAAGGCCTGTTCTTCTTTAAATTTAAATTTTATCCAACAAAAGACCTGTTGATAGAAACACAAGGTCTGAAATTAAGAATATTTAGCCTGACTGGGCGCAGTGGCTCACGCCTGTAATCCCAGCACTTTGGGAGGCCGAGGCAGGTGAATCACCTGAGGTCAGGAGTTTGAGACCAGCCTGGCCAACATGGCGAAACCCCGTCTCTACTAAAAATATGAAAATTAGCCGGGCGTGGTGGCAGGCGCCTGTAATCCCAGCTACTCAGGAAGCTGAGGCAGGAGAATTGCTTGAACCTGAGAGGCAGAGGTTGCCATGAGCCAAGATTGGGCCATTGCACTCCAGCCTGGGCCAGAAGACTGAAACTCCATCTCAAATTAAAAAAAAAAAAAAAAAAAAAAAAAAACCTAAATTTATACTCCTGGAAATCAAAGGAAAATCCAAGAATAAAAGGTATATCTTTTTTTTCCTACTGATCTTCTGAAATAAATTATGATAAGGGAAGAAAGGAGGGAAGGAAAGAAAGAAATCCACAGCCTAAAAGCATACACAGATTATCAGTCCCCTCAACTCTTAGGATAGGGGCAGCCAAACACCCCAGCTTTTGATCTCAGTTGCCTTGTCTGTTTATTCTAGTGTAGCAGAGAAATATGACAATTGTTTTTTTCCTTTCTATTTGTACAAATTTATGGATAACATTTGCAATATTGTTATATTCATAGATCACAAAGAAGTTAAGCCAGGGTTCTTAGGGTACCCCTCACCTGAATAATGTACATTGTACCCATTAACTGATTTTGCATCATTCTGTCATTTTATGTTTGATCCATGACATGAAATATGTAAGGAAACACTGATCCAAGGACTTGTAAATTTTTGCTGGACACATCAGTTCCACAAATTTAGTCATCTTGTGAATTCCCCCAAATTTTCCTAAGAAACACTTACATTTATAAATTATATTTATTCTCTATTATAACTAAATTATATGCACATCCTCTTTTTTAGCCACAGTGTGAGTTAATCTTTAAGGAAGCTTTTGTCATTTAGCCTAATTTCATATAGGTTAAAACAATGCATCATCAAGCATTTGGAAAAATATAGTATTTTAGTTATTGAATGCCAACAATTCTGAAGTCATTTTCTATATTTAAAAAGCAAAAAGCCTTCTGCTTGGTTAGAAGAGACTTTTTCTGGCTCGTGCTGTCTAGCCCCGGAATGGAGAGTGAGAGGGCAGGGAATAAGGACTCCTTTGCATAAGGTGGTTTGGTCAGCTGGCACAAATATGTCCTCTGAGCAAAGGCACATGACATTTGTGATCCTGGCACTGATCGTGAAGGAACCACACCCATTGTCTTCCACATAATTTCCAGCATGCCAGTAAACTCGATCATCTATATTACTATTAGAAAGGTCCCCACTGTGCCTCCCTACAGCACAGAGCACCAATGTTAGAGACAGGGCTTCCACAAGGCATCGCAGACTTGCTGGAATTCTACATGAGCCTTCCATAAAAACAAATACAGCTCCAAAAGCAGAAGTTTTTAACTTCTGTAGTGAGAACTATAGAATTCAAACAAAAAGTGAAATAAATAAAAATGCTTAAATGTGAATTTTTTTACACAGTCTCACCAATCTAAGAATTTATAATTCAAAAAAGAGAAAGCAGAATCACTTTTATATAAATGCAAAACATATATTTCAGTTTTTACTACTCATTATTAGTAGATGTTTTTTCACTTAAAATAATTTCATTGGGTATTGCTTAGCAGTACATTTGTACATGAAGGAAAACTAACAATAACCATAGTAAATGATCATCAATAAACTTTAAAAACTCATGCTCCAAGCCAAGTAACCACTACAGAATTTGGTGTTTGTTTGTAACAAACTTTTCTTGAACATAACCAGACCACATGTTCACAAATAATGGCCTCTAAATGAAGGTAAATAGAGAAACAAGTGCAAGTTTTTCACTGAAAATTCACAAATTAGTTCAGACGTATCTGCAAAATTAAAATGTAAATAAACTAAATGCATGTGACTGATAAGAGACTCTGGTTTATGTATGTCATATTTGGCGACTGGTTTTGCCATGCAGATGACTGAAGTGAGCCGTTTTTACTCCATAATTTTTATCTCATCTATTTAGTACTAAGGTTGCCCTCCTAAAACCTCTCAGCCTTAGCCTAAGGTTTGATTTTCAAATCTAGCAACAAGCTAGTATCAGCACAGACCAAATATATCTCAAATAAGAGAACAACATTTCATTGAGCTTCCTTTGATATTGTATTGCATGGTGCATCTCTCCTGGCAGAGTGGAGGAAGGCTATTGATATATGGTATCCAGTCAAAGACATGTGCTTCCAATTATAACCTTCAAAATAAAGACAGGATACATAACCATATCCCTGGGGGTATGGAAATTACACCACTAGAGAAGCATGGCCAGAGGCCAGTGATTTGTAATGGTATACCTAATGAACATTGTATTTTCATCTAAACGTGCATTCTATTTATAATAATATAAAGCTACGTTTTAGATGAACAGAAAAAAATAGGCGTAACTGGCACAGCCACATAACTATAGACTGAAGAATATTAAATTCATAGAGTATACTAGTGTCTGGCACAAGGAGACGCATGCCTAGATGAGGGCATGCTGAGAAAAGGTGCTGGCATATACCACAAGAGAAACTACACCCTGGTGTGTAAGAGAGAGCACACAAGACAGGATTTAGGAGATAAGGTTTCTACATTACACTCTGAATTGTTACCAAATAGCTTCAGAATCAATAAGCAAACTCCTCCAGTGACCTCAATAATAAGCAATTTCCAAGTTTCAAGGGTAGAGTTGTAGTGTAAATTCTATGATGTCAAGGCCAGTGATAGAGAGAAGGGTGGACTCCACATAAGATCCTGAGCTCATAAAATTTGGAAGAAACTTAAGGGCTGCCACATGTCCTGGCTCTTGCTCAATTTCCTTGCCTGCACTGAATCAGGAGAAAGAAAAGTGAAAACTAAACACCACGCGGGTCATCCCCCCAGTGCTGATCTATGGGCACCAATGCTGGTATCCATTGGTGTATCTTTACAAGTTGTGAAGCAAGAAGAATATAAAAGTGTCTAAAAGGGATACAGACAAGATAATCTGGCAAGAGAATCTCAGCTTCACTGAACAATGGAACCTGAGGGAGGCTGATAACTTGCCATATGTTATTCATTGTGCCAGAAAGAGAACAAGAAAATGATATAAGGAGCAACCCTGTGGTCCAGAAAGGAAGGGGGAAGAAGTAATGGACAATGTCCTGGAAATGGGTATTTTACAGCGAATGCTGCCTATCACAGTTCAGTGCATGTTTATGACTTTTCAAGGTGTCACCTAAAAAGTCCAAAGTGTCATTGTCCTGATTTGATCATCACACAATGTATACATGAATTGAAACATCACACTGCACCTCATAAATATGTAGTTATTGTGTTAATTAAAAACAAAAAAATTAAAGGCATCATTGTCTTAATTTTACAAGTAAAGCCATTATCTATAATTCTTGCCAGTATGTTATAGGAACCAACAGAAGAACACTACAGACTTTTGATTGTAAATGCTAATGAATGTATTCTTATAACCTTTATTAACTCATCCATTCTTAAAAGCTGCATTGATTCTGAACTGACAGTTTACTTCACATTTAGCCAGGGACATAGGAGTTCAAAAACAGACAAAAAGGAAAACTGAAATTTTGAAAAACAAAATAGAAGCTGAATTGTCATTTATTAAATTAATATAAAATATAAAGAATCAGAACTTCAACAATATATTTTAATACTGTAAGGTGAACTATATATCTTAATAGAGCATGACAAGAATAACCAACAAAAGGAGCATTTACTATATTTTTTGAAAGAGCTTTGAGACTTTTTTAAAGTATAGCTAATAGCAATGTGTTCAAAGGCACTTAACCTTGGGCATAAGCAAGACTTCCTGACCTTAGGATTGATGAAGAATGGGGCATGTTGCCAGGAAGAGCTAAAAAGCCCCCACTGAAACACAATTTTCCGTATAGGATATAACCCAAGAGTCCAAGGTTGTGTAGATATCAACACACTCTGGGCCAAAAAGGAGATATCAGATATAAAAACCACTTCAAGCTCTGTCATTCTATGAGTGTAAAGTGAAAATGCTGTGATTTCCATCACAGTTGTTTCATTTCTCTAATTACTTCACAAGTTAGAGAATCATGGAATTATAGCAGCACCTTAAACCTGAATCCAAAGATTTTCTAATCTCCCACATTTTATAGGTATGCAATGTTACATTAAGCAATAGGCAACTGAAATAATAACAAGCTGTGAGCAGAGAAATCTAAATTTACTCTCAATTCCTACATTCCCAGTAAAATTATTGGGCAGATCTTAAACCATCTTACACTTGAATTTAATTTGACCCATCTCCATAACATTCAGATTCTATCTGTCCAAACATCACTGCTGCATAAGACAGAGGTACAACATTACACAACTGAATTCCTGTTTGTTTGTTTGTTTTGTTTTGAGACAAGGTCTCTATCACTCAGGCTGGAGTGCAGTGGGGCAATCACGGCTCACTGCAGCCTTGACATCCCAGGCTCAAATGATCCTCCCACCTCTACCTCTCAAGCAGCTGGGACTACAGGCAGTTGCCACCACACCTGGCTAATTTTTGTTTACTTTTTATAGAGATGGGGTCTCTGTCTGTTGCTCAGGCTGGTCTCAAACTCCTGTGCTCCAGCAATCCTCCCACCTTGGCCTCCCAAAGTGCTGGGATCACAGGCATGAGCCACTGCCCCCAGCCACAACTGTATCCTTTAATTGAATAGATTTATTGAAGTGCTTCTTAATAGAATTGTATGCATTCCATCAAATAGCATACAGAAACTGATTTTTTTTCTCCTTTCATCTGGGCCCTCATAGTCACCAAAATAGATTTTGAAATAATTTTTCCTTGTGGTAATGACCCTAAAAATTCTCAACGTTAGTGGCATGAAAAAATAAAACTTGAGAGAAAAATCTTTTTTCTAGTTTACCATTAAAAAAAATTAGATAGATTCAAATAAAACTGAATGAAACTATTGTTTACTTATGCTCAGTCAAGACAATGTCCTGAAAATAAAGTCTTAGTGAGTATCCGATTACTTGTTTGGAAGGTAGGTAGGTAAGAATCACCTTCTGTTGATTAGGAATTGACCAACCTGGGAGATTACACAGAGGATCTAGGTTGCTTCCTTTGCATCTAGCAGAAGTCATCCATTTTATAAAAGTTTGAAAAAAACAATTGGAACCCAATGTAGCTATAGCCCTGCAAGCACTTAGGTAAATCCTGGTGGCATGAAAGGAGAGAGGCTTCCCAGCCACTGGTCAGTGCAAATCCATTTTATGTAGCATAGGCCCTCACCAAAAGCAGAGGGGTATGCTTAAGCATGTGCACAAATGAAATCAGTGCCCATTCTTGGATATCAAGGAATCAGTCCCAAGTCCTCCTGGGACAACAAACTCATGTTTGCATAGTGAAGGTTTTGAAAATTGTGTGCCTAATCCATCTCTTCTAAAGAACGCCAGGGTCAGCTAAAGAAAAGAAAACGTGGGACATTTTATTAGGGGACATCATAGTGTCCTAGGTTTCTGTTACATTAAAGACTATTTCAAGATTTCCTGAAAATATTGACCCTCAGCACTTTAAGAATTCTCAGGATTTGGGTGAAATGGTGAGAAGTGAAACAAAAAGAGGATTAAAGTGGTATCTCCAGGTTAGTAAATAAGAATATCGCTTCTTCATGGTTTGGAAGAATTAATATTGTTAAAATAACCATATTCCTCATTCCCAAAATGAGCTACAAATTCAGTACAATTCGTATCAAAATACCAATGATATTCTTCACAGAAATAGAAAAAAAATACTAAAATTCACATGGAACCAGAAAAGATCCTAATAGCTAAAGCAATCCTGAGCAAAAGAAATAAAGCTGAAGGTGTTAAACTAACTGATTTCAAATTATAGCACAAATCGATAGTAACCAAAACAACATGGTACGGGCATAAAAACAGACAAAATAGGCCAATGGAACAGAACAGAGAGCCCAGAAATAAATTTACATATTTATAGACAACTCATTTTTTACAAAGGCACCAAGTACATACATTGAGGAAAGGACAGCCTTTTTAATAAACGGTGCTAGGAAAACTGGATATCCACATGCCAAAGAAAAAAACTAGATCCCCATCCTTTACCATATACAAAAACAAATTCAAGATGGACTAAAGATTTCAATGTAAGTCCTGAAATTATAAAGATACTAAAAGAAAACACTAGGTAAATGTAACAAGACATTGGTCTGGGCAAAGTTTTTTTGGGTAAGGCCTTTAAAGCACAAGCAACAAAAGCAAGAATAGACAAATGAGATTATTTCAAGCTAAAAGCTTCTGCACAGCAAAGGAAACAATCAACAAAATGAAGAGACAAGCCACAAAGTGGGAGAAAATATTTACAAAACTATCCATATGACAAGAGACGAATAACCAGAATACATAAGGAACTCAAATAACTCAATAGTTAAAAAAACTAATTTTAAAATGGGTAAAATATTTGAATAGACATTTCTCCATAGAAGATAAACAAATGGACAAGAGGTATGTTTTTTAAAATGCTCAGCATTAACAGTCATCAGGGAAATGCCCATTAAAACCACAATGAGATTTTTTTGTCTTTTTGATAAAAGCCATTGTAACCAGTTATGACGGCTTTTATCAGAAAGACAAAAGATAACAAATGCTAGCGAGCAAGCACAGAAAGAGGAATACGTGTACACTATTGGTGGGAATATAAATTAGTCCAGCCGTTATAGAAAACAGTATAGAGTTTCCTCAAAAAGCTGAAAATAGAACTCTCATATGATCCAGCAATCCCATTACTGGATAAATATCCAAAGGAAATCATTATATTCAAGAAATATCTACACTTCCAGGTTTATTGCAGCCCTATTCACCATAGCCAAGATATGGAATCAACCTATGTGTACATGAATGGATAAATTAATAAAGAAAATATTGTATATATATATATATATATATATATATATATATATATATATACACACACACACACACATACCCACAATGGAATATTATTCAGTCATTAAAAATAAAATTCTGTTATTTGCAGCAACATGCATGGAACTGGAGGTTATTATACTAAGTAGAACAAGCCAGGCAGAGAAAGATAAATATCACATGTTCTCACTTATGTGTGAAAGGAGAGCTAAATAAAAGTGGATCCCTTGGAGGTAGAGAGTAGATTGGTGGTTATCAGAGTCTGGGAAAGGAAGAGGGAAGGGGGGATAAAGAGAAGTTAGCCAAGGGGCACAATACAGTTAAATATAAGAAATAAGTCCTAGTATTCGATATGACAGTAGGAATATTATAGTTAATAAGTTATTGTATATTTCAAAATAGCTAGAAGAATTGTAATGTTCCAAACATGAAAAACTGTTTGATGTAATAGATATTCCAATTACCCTGATGTGATCACTACATATTGTATGTATGTATCAAAATATCACATGTACCCCCAAAATATTTACAACTATTATAGATCAGTTTTTCAAAGTAAAAAAAAAATTAAAAGAGAATTGAACTTCTTTATATAGCCATTTCTATCAGCGTTTCATAGGAAAACTTTGGAAAGTTTTACTCAAAAACAGAAAAAAATGAGAGAATATGGATAAAACATAAATAATTACACACAGTAAGCTAAAATAGAGGGAAATACCCACTTCTGTGAAGCCACATACACACACACATTCCATCCCATGTTAACATAAAACTATGTTATAAAACTTTTGGCACTGCCCCGAAGTGTGTCATAAGCAAGTGAGCTTCTCAGAGGACACCATGCCCTTTTCCTTTTAATACATCCAGAGCCTACATTAGAATTAAACACAATGCCTGACAAACTAGTAGGTGCTCAGTGGTGCTCATTAAACTGAACAATCTCCCTCCATGTCTTTTCACTTAGCCAGAAGATGATGACTTTAGGACAAGACACAATAGCACTGAATATCATGGTGGATGTGAGAAATAAAAGCAGATCATCAAACACATGTTTAATAGACATCTTCTAACAAGAGTTCATGGTAAAACTTTAAGAAATTCTGTTGTTCTTGGATTTCCAATTCTGCATCTAGGTTTTGTTTTTCCAGATAGGCATAAATCAGTAGGAGAAGATTAACTAGAAATCTGGCCAGTTGCATCCACAGTTACCTCTATCACATTTACTTCACACAGGAAGAGCACTGACCTCTGGAAAGAATGTTTAGCCCTTGGTGAGTGGAAATTGGACTAATCAATTTTTTTCTTGGTTCAGAAAATTTGTTGTGACTGAGACTTTCGCCATCCTTCTACAAAACATTTTCCAAAATGTCTTTGGGGTAACCTGACAATGAGTATTTACCATGTGCCAGGCACTGTTCTGAAAATTTCATGACAATAATGTATTTAATCCTCAAATCAAGTGAGAAAATTGAGGCACAGAGAAATAGTCTTCTGCAAAATTGCACAGCTAGTAAGGACAGACGTGGGACTTGAGCCCAGTCAAACTGGCTCCAGAACCAATATCTTAATCATTATGCTATACAAGGCAGTCCCTTCACTTTTGGTTTGGTGTGCCAGTTAATTCAGGACAAAAACTCAACCACTTCAAAGTTTAAACTTCCAATGAGGGCTATATTTCCCTGCTGTGGGTTCTCTCCTCCCTGCTCTTCTTTTCTGGGATAGTATCAAGGTAAAAAGAGAACACCAAATAGCATCCAAGCAATAAAGAAAGGGGTTCTTCTCTGCATCTGTGCTGGCTTCAGCTGTGTCGTCTCATACTACTTCGTCTTTGGGTGTTGGCTTCTGATCGCTCTGTTGTTCTGCTGGTATCGTAACTGTGCCTCAAAGACTTAAAGAAACCAATGACTAAATTCTTGAGTTTGCAGGATAACGGATAAGAAAAGAAACAACTTGCCAAAATGCTAAAACTCCCCCTGCTTATGAGATTTAAAAAAACAACAACAACAACTGGCTGAAACCGCTTGGAACAAAGATGGCCAACTGGAGTTTGCACAGAACAAGTTGCTGACATCACAACCTGAATTTCCAGTGTGTGTTTCAGACCACTGCCTGTGAATTTGCATATGCAAACCATGAGGAAGCATGAAAACATAACCATGCATGCCCAAGGACTTTCCAGGCCTTCCATTTTCTTCCACCAATTACCTAATAATCTCAGAAGCCACCCCAGAACCTTTTCTAATAAAAATACTGCCTTGAAGCCAACACAGGAGACAGATTTGAGCTTGACTCCTGTTTCCTTGTGAGTCTACTTTCAACATAAAACTTTTCTTTTCTCCAAATCCTGGTGTCATAGTATTGGCTTCTATTGCATCAGGTAGTGAGCCCCCTTTGCTTGATAACAGTATAACCGAGTTACCCGTTTCCTTAGGACAAGTGCTAGCATCTGATGTTGTAATCCTTGCCCAGGCTTCGGACTATGATGTCTACCACACGCTGTGCCCTCCAAACTTAACCTTGGTCTCTTCCAGTCCATCAGGTTAAGCTTCCTTAACTTCCACTAGGACATAGGTGAACTTCTGGGCCTCCTATTTGCCATTCTTGACCACAGAAGGCTTGGGGTGTATCTCAGTTCCACCATCCCTGCTCTACTATGGCCACTCTATCTTGGTATGAGGTCCTCATCCCAGAGTTTATACAGGAAGTTGTCACAACTTCCTCTGCTTTGGGACTCCAAGATATGCTTGCTGATCCCTATCCAGCCCCTTGAGTTATAACAACAAAAGGAGAAGTGTGCAAGTCCAGGTGAAGCCTGGGTCAGGAAGCAGGCACCCCATCTCTCTTGTTCTAGCCTCCTCTCTCCAGGATTCTTTCTTCCCACTGTTTAGGAAGGGCTGTCCTCATTCCTGGGTAATAGAGAAGTGCCCTCATATCACCTCCTGTGCTTTCCTCACTATCAGTTTCTAATACTTCCATCCTACCTCTGCAGCTTTAGTTTCTTTTCTCTCAACACATTTTGACTTTTCCAAATTAAATATTTGGGTTTCTCAATGTTTTTTTCCACTGGAATTCCACTGGAAAAATGTTTTTTTCCAAGGGAATTGGCCTCAAAATCCTATTTTGGATGCCAAAATCTGAAAATTTACTCCTTTGTTCTTGTCTGGGTGTTTCCTTTGAAGCACTGAAGCACTGGATGTCTCAATCTCAAAGGACAGCAGAAGCAGTAAAGAGCAGAAATGAAAAATAATTCACACAATCACCTTAGTGAATGGAGAACACTTTTGTCAGGCAAAGATCTCACATAAAGCCACCTCATGTGCTTTGGCTGGCATAAAAATGAAAATTTTAAAAAATAGAATGAACTGCTGTAAATGTTAATTTGTTAGGCTTTTCCCATCATCTCCTTTTTCTTGAGTTGTTTGAAAAGCATTAGAACTATGAGAAATCTTTTTCTTGATACAATATCACTGAGTAGATTTAGTGAATTCTGGGACTTAAACAGGAATCAGGCTGGGCACGGTGGCTCAAGCCTGTAATCCCAGCACTTTGGGAGGCCAAGGCGGGTGAATCACCTGAGGTCAGGAATTAGAGACCAGCCTGGCCAACATGGTGAAACCTCATCTCTACTAAAAATACAAAAATTAGCTGGGTCTGGTGGGGGGTGCCTGTAATCCCAGCTACTTGGGAGGCTGAGGCACGAGAATGACTTGAACCTGGGAGGTGGAGGTTGCAGTGAGATCACAACACTGCACTCCACCCTGGGCAACAGAGTGACACTTTGTCTCAAAAATAAAACAAAACAAAAACAGGAATCACTTGCTAAGAAACAGAAATCTGAATATTTAACGCTAATTTATTTATTCATTCAGCAGATACCTATCACACAGTTGCTGTGTGCCAGGAGCTATACTAGTGCTGGATATACGGTGGTAAGTAAAATAGTCAAGAATACTGCTGTCATGGAGATTACAGTATTTCAGAGGAAAGACACTGAATGAACAGTATTAGGATTCTTCCCTGAGGATAAGTGAGAGTTACTCTGCTAGAAGCAAGGACCAGTGAGCAGTTAGCTTCCCAAGCAGAAGAAATGACACCCAGCAGGGTGCCCTCAAGGAGCAAAAAGAACACCCATGTGGTTGTATCGTAGAGAGGGAAGGCAGAGTAGTAGAAGATAAAAGTAGAGAGGGAAGCAGTGGCTAAGTCACGCATGGCATGATGAGTCATGTTAAGGATTTTTATGCTATCTTCTAACCAGAAGCCCTTTCATCATGTTTAACCAGAGAATTATGTTATAAGGACTGCATTTAAAGCATTTTCATCATGATTACAGTAGGAGGAATTGATAGAATAGAGGTTAACAATGGGAACAACAGAATCACTTTAAGAGGATGTTATGGAAGTTCAGCTGACAAATAATGCTAGCTTGGACTTGGATCATGGTGGTAGCCATGGAGGGAAGGGGGATGACTGGAAATAAGTTTTCCCGTAGAATGATAGGACTAAGTAAGAGATTAGATATGAGAGGTAAAGAAGAACAAAAAGATGTGAAAAATCAGTGGAAGAAGTTACCATGACTTTCCTATTCATCACTGCATTCCAGCACAGTTCCTTACAGATTGCAGACACACAACTGATATGAATAGGCTGCAAATGGATTGAGATGCTATTCTTTTACTGACCTGGGAAATAATGGAGAAGCAGCACAATTAGAGAGGCTAATATTATTAATTCAATTTTGAACATAGGGAATTTGAGATCTCTGTATCATTCAAGTATTAATAAAAGAATTATAAGCACTGAATAGATGAGTCTGCAACTCAAAAGAGGATGTGGCTTGGACTTACTCATTTGGGCGTTGGTGGCATATGCAAGGTAATAAAGAAGAAGAATAGAGAAGATTACTTAGGAAAAAGGTATTAAAACGAGAAAGAAAGAAGGCCAAGAAACCAGGCCTGAGGGACAGTAACATTTAAATCTCAGGCAGAAATTATTTTAAAATATACAATAAAGTATTGTTCACTATAGTCACCTCGTTGTGCTGATGTGATTATTACACATTGTATGTCTGTATTAAAACATCATATGTACCCCATAAATATGTACACCAATTATGTACTCATAATAATTAAAAATAAAAGTTAAATACAAAAGGAAATGGGGACAATAAACAAAACAGTGGCCATTATATTAAAAAAAAAAAAAACTTAGGCAGAAGGATTTGCCTGCTGTCCCCAGCAAATTTTTCTAATGGTAAGTTAATATGTCTCACTGGCTATCCTTAAAAACTTAAAATTGAAGGGATATTTCTGTGTTATTAATAAATATTTATTTAAAATCTTCCTTTTCTCAGATAATTTCCTAGGTGCTGGAGACACAGACCTAAGGAATAGTCTCTATCCTGGAAGAGCTTAGGGACCCAACCTGCCATGTGATTGTGCTACAATTTGTTCTACATTGTGAGTAACAGAAAGTGGCAAGATTAAGCACTTTCCACCTTCATCATAGAGTGCTCTGGGCTCAGCTGCATAAACGTAGATATATTTCTGCACATCTAAGTCATAGGTTTTCTAACTGTCACACCAGAGGTAGTAACTAATTAAGTATTGCACATTCTCTTTTAAAGACACAAAAAAGGAGACACAGGAGCGTGATGGTGGTAGTATGACACCACTAGTATGATAGTGATAGCATGACACGGAGAGATGGCAGTATGAAAAACCACAAGGAAGTGCAAGCCATATGAAAGCAGAAGTCAAGAGTCAAACGGAATAAACAGTAGAGTAAGAAAAGCAACCGGATGTAGAGTAAACCTCTGGAAGCAGGTAGGGAGAACAAAATGATAGGGAGCTGAGTTAAAGAGGGGCAGACTGCCCAAGGTTCTGATATATCATTGGTTTCATTGTAATTCTCCATGTGCCTGAAGGTTCAATTGCTGACAATTTTCTTACATCTATGCATATCCTTACAATAAACCCCAATTTACAAAAATAACTCAGCAGCATCTCTGCATATCTTATGCTTAAAAACTCTGATTAACACTCAAAGAGCAAACATTTGCACTAGAGGTAATCAATATGATTTTCAGCATTACTCTACGCAAGTCCAAACTTGGGTTTGTAATATCTCTCTCCCTGATATATCTTATAAAATGTCTGGAAAGTCTTTGATGATGCTGTATTTGTGTTTAATCAATGCACATACAAGATGAATTATATACCTAAATAAATCTTTTGGATACTCTATAAGCAGTCTAAAATTAACCAAATAGTTAACATTTTCTGTAACTTTATGCTTAATATATCACACTCTTTATGAGCTCTAAATGCTCTTAACATCCAGATATAATCTAAGAATTATATTATTTCACAGTTTAATACACAGTACTTATGAAGAGTATAAAAAAGAAAGTGTTAAGAATGCACTTTAGCAATTCCCAAAAGGTCCCATAAGAGGAGAAAGGGGATTTAATGAAAAATGTAAGATTGTATCTGCAAAAATGATTTCCTGAATGACTCATTCATAGAATGAACAGCCTGTGTGAAATGCCTCACAAATCTCTCCTCTTCTGAGAGTAGTTAGAAGCTGTATATGATGTGGTCAGAGCAGGTCTCTGGAAGTCATGCAACTCCTCATTTGAGCAGAAACCAATAGAGGCTTTTAGGTCTACAAATCTGAATCCTGAAAAGTATAGTGTTTAGGTTTAGAAAGAGAGTCTTCACCCAAGTTCTCAGCTGAATTTCCCTTCTAGATAATGATTTCCAAAAAAGTATCAACAGGATACATATATATGTATATATACTATGTAATATATAATAATGAAATATGTAGAATATATTACTATATTAATTTGTAATATACTATTAATAATGTAATATTAATAAGAGAATATATACATATATTATAGAAATATATATATTACTCTATATATATGTATTTCTGTGTATATGTATTTCTATATATATGTATGTATGTGTGTGTGTGTGTGTGTATATATATATATGTCTGTGTGTGTATTTCTGTATGCTGGGCTAGGTCCTGATAGTGGGGCCGTCCAGGGATCATTTAGGAGAAATTAGGCACTCCTTTGATCTCAGTTAGTCCATCTCAAACAAACATAACAACTTAAGTAAAAATAAGAGTGCTTGCTCTGTCAGTACAGCTCCAACATAAGCCCGAGGGGCCCCTCCTCCAAACAAATTTTGATACCTAGCCTCCTCCTACTTAGAAACTCTGGGGCTGACATTGGGCACTAAGATAACAGATGCTATGATCCCCACCTTACCAATGAGGATGGAGAATCAAATTTACTAATTTACTCATATTGGAAAGACAGTAAATGATACAGCTAGTCCTCAAACCCAGATGTGCTGATTCTGAAGTCATTTCTCTTTGAAACTATTTCCCACTGCCATCCAAACGACTGTGTTAAACAAACTACTTTGAACAGTAAATATGAGCATTTGGGAGAATGAAGGTGGAAAGAATATATCTGTCTGAAACTCTTCCAACTCTAAATCACATGAGGACAGGGAATATATTTTATTTATCACTATATACTTAGTAGAGTACTGATTATGTGGTTGATGTTCAATATGTAGTTGCTGAATGAATAAAAATCAATCAATTAATTAGATGCTAATTAATCTTTTTGGGTTTGTTTTTTTTTTTTGAGATGGAGTCTGGCTCCATTGCCAGGCTGGAGTGCACTGGCACAACCTCGCACCCTCCGACTCCCGGGTTCAAGCTATTTCCCTGCCTGAGCCTCCCAAGTAGCTGGGACTACAGGCGCGCACCATCACACCCAGCTAATTTTTCGTATTTTTAGTAGAGACAAGGTTTCACCATGTTGGCCAGGATGGTCTCCAACTCCTGACCTCGTCACCCGTCCGCCTCAGCCTCCCAGAGTGCTGGGATTACAGGCATAAGCCACCACGCCTGGCCTTAATTAATCATGCTTAATGATACAGTCTACTCTGTTAGTGAGTACATTTTAAAATTGGTTCTACAGAATGTCTGACATTTTCAGTTTAAAAACTATATTACAATAATTATTTAAGTTACACAGATTTTGTGAAAATGTATTCTACTCAGCAAACGCTTTAATTTTAGTGTTCCATGGCTTTCAGGTGACAATATATATATCACTTTTTCAGAGCAGTGATAGCATTTGCTCCACCTAATTTATAAAGGTAGTATTTTCTTAATCAAAAATGAGAGAAAAAATGATCTCTCAAAAAAGTATTGCATTATCCACTTTTGTGAGGATATACAGCAAAAAACACAAATAAATATCAAATAACACTGTGTTTTTGAACTCCATAGTCATTAAAAGTTGTATAAATCTAGTCATGTGAAATTATTTGTTTCATAAAAACTAAGATCATTTTTTTTTATAACATCCCAGGGAAAAAAGTTTCTCTTGATGATGAACCAGCTCCTGGAAAATTCTAAATTCTAAAATTGAGTTCCTTTTGGGTACTTTGTACAAACAAGGAAAAGAACAAATATATACATTTAATTGTTTTTAAAATGGAAAACATGTAATCTTTCTACATTTACATAAATCAAAACGAAGTAAACATTGTTTCAAATTTTTCCATAATTCTTGCGGAATTACTAAAGTAGGGGTGTGCATCAATTATAAGTCATAATTTTAAAATTATAACTAAATGAGTATTCAGGTAACAGCTTCTACATTCCTGTCTTCATAATGCAGTTTTCTTCCAAGGAATGCAAGGAGATTTCAAAACAACATTCATTCACAGAACTTATTTTCACCAAATCCTATCAAAGTTTGTCATATGAAACTTAAAAATAACAAAAGCAAATATTTATTTTTATTATACTTTAAGTTCTGGGATACATGTGCACAACATGCAGGTTCGTTACATACGTACCATGGTGGTTTGCTGCACCCATCAACCCATCATCTACATTAGGTATTTCTCCTAATGCTATCCCTCCCCTAGCCCTCCACCCTGAGACAGGCCCTGGTGTGTGATGTTCCCCTCCTTGTGTGCATGTGTTCTCATTGTTCTATTCCCACTTATGAGTGAGAACATGCGGTGTTTGGTTTTCTGTTTCTGTGTTAGTTTGCTGAGAATGATGGTTTCCAGCTTCATCCATGTCCCTGTAAAGGACATGAACTCACCCTTTTAATGTCTGCATAGTATTCCACGGTGTATATGTGCCATGTTTTCTTTATTTAGTCTATCATTGATGGGCATTTGGGTTGGTTCCAAGTCTTTGCTATTGTGAATAGTGCTGCAATGAACATACATGTGCATGTGTCTTTAGAGTAGAATGACTTATAATTCTTTGGGTATATACCCAGTAATGGGATTGCTGGGTCAAGTGGTATTTCTGGTTCTTGATCCTTGAGGAATCGCCATATTGTCTTCCACAATGGCTGAACTGATTTACACTCCCACCAACAGTGTAAAAGCATTCCTATTTTTCCACATCCTCTCCAGCATCTGTTATTTCCTGACTTTTTAATGATCGCCATTCTAACCGGCATGAGATGGTATCTCATTGTAGTTTTGATTTGTATCTCTCTAATGACCAGTGATGATGAGCTTTTTTCATGTTTGTTGGCTGCATAAATGTCTTCTTTTGAGAAATGTCTGTTCATATCTTTTGCCCACTTTTTGATGGAGTTGTTTGTTTTTTTCTTATAAATTTCAGTTCCTTGTAGATTCTGGATATTAGCCCTTTGTCAGATGGATAGATTGCAAAAATTTTCTCCCATTCTGTAGGTTGACTGTTCACTTTGATGATAGTTTCTTTTGCTGTGCAGAAGCTCTTTAATTAGATCCCATTTGTCAAGGCAAATACTTATTATAAATGTCCAAAACTCAGTTTCCATTTATCCAATTCAAAGTAATAATTACTTTATGTGTAAGCAATATAAACCACCCATAAGCCATAAGTAATCACTGTTATAATATTATTTTTAAAATCTGGATTCATGTCTTATTTTTCCTACCATTATCCAAACCAGAAAAGAACTCTGTTTAGTTTTCATTTGTTCTTCATTTGCTGGCCATAACCTTCCTACACCCTCATCTTTTTTTCCTTTTGGATGCCTTGCACCTCCTTGAATGCCATTGAAACTATCCATTACATTGCCTATTAGCCAATAACTCAAATAATAAGAAAATTATTCCAAAACAATAATATATAATGTTACATTTTTAGATCGTTTTGCATAGTGTTAAGTCCTCACACAAGGCAAATCCTTTCCTGAATGCTGATTTCTTTCAGAGGAAAAAAAAAGTACTAGCTCAAGCAAATTAAAGATGTTTGAATTTCCACAAGAAGTTTGTTTGCACGTGTACTCTTAATCTCTTAATCTAGGACTTCTAACAAGAATTTGCTATGCAACACAATCCACAGTGTATTAAAGAACTGTCATTTCAGAGCAAGAGCTGTAAAGTGGTCCCACAAAAGAGAACAGAACTCCATTAGAGACATAACAATATATTAGCATTCCAAGGGCTTTGCCTAGTGGAGGAGCATTTTTCCACTGGGTATAAATTACCCACTCAGCACTTCCAAGGCACAGCCCATTGAATTCAGCAAAGGCACAAAGAGAGTAAACTCAAAAATCTCTTAAAGTTCCCAAACTCAAAGTCTGCATGCTATGTAGGAGTGTCCTTTATATTTTGATGTAGAGAACCATAAAGTAAAATAACAACTTACTCTTTCCTAGGCAAACTGCTCATGCCCTCATGGTACTACAAAACCATATAGCCTACAACTTATATTTCACATTTTCAAGTAATAATAATGCAGAAAGGGTAAAGATAATTCTCTAACTCAAGAAAATATCCAAAACCTCTTTTTTGTGTAGTCATAATTCAAAACCACTAGAGGCATAAAAAGCATTCTTGGCAAAATCAACCAATATCAAGCCCAACTTGAGTAATTTTTTTTCCACACAGAGGTGGATTGAAATTATGTCTGGAGTAGCTGGGCATGTTGGCTGATGCCTGTAATTTCAGCACTTTGGGAGGGCAGGGCAGGCAGATTGCTTGAGCTCAGGAATTGGAGACCAGCCTGGGCAACATGGCAAAACCCCACCTCCACAAAACATACAATGATTAGACAGCATGGTAGCATGTGCCTGTAGTCCCAGCTACTTGGAAGGCTAAGGTGGGAGGATCCCTTGAGCCCAGGAAGTCGGTGAGGCCAATGTTGCTGTGGACCGTGATAGAGCCACTGTACTCTAGTTAGGGTGATGAAGTGAGACTCTGTCAAAAAAAGAAAAAAAGAAGAAAGAAAGAAAGAGGGAGGGAGGGAAAGAGAAGGGGAGCTGTGTCTAAGTAAGCACAGTAGGAAATATTTCTCTTTTTTTGTTGTTTTTCTTACAGACTTGCTATGAATATTATCAAATATTTGTCCCTTCTGCTCTCTTGTCCCTACCACTCCTTTGTAAAATTTGTTCCAACTTCTTACCATCAGGGTTTTTTATGTTTTACTCAGAAGCCAAGAAAGTCAATGTTAGCATAAAGAATGCACTTAGAAAATCTATTATTTTCATTAAGAAAGTTTCTTTAGGACATAATTTTCTCTGCAATCCACTGTTCATTTTCTATTGCGTAAGAAACAACCCTAGGATTTTGCACATTCAGGTTGCTCCATAAGACTTCGTCCATTCCTCCAGAACTCACAAGCGGGATGATTTGCCTGGTGGTCTTTTGGCCTAGCAACTAAACAAGACTATCACACTTACCGAGTTTCTAATAAAAGGATGATATTTATCACATTAAGTGGATAATGTGAGATGTTAGAAGTTTGTAAGTATAAGTAATCACAGGTCTTACCCTAGGGGTTCCATCCAACATGTGAGATAGACATAGAGTGTGAATGGGGATAAAAGATTACTCATCCAAATACATGATTTCTGGTATGCTTAGTTCTTCCACTATGTTCCCCCAAATCATTGCCTTGGAGTCATTTGTTTGCCACCTGGAGAGATAGAGAAACAATGCTTGCATCTTATAAGCACCATAACCACAGCCAAAGGGAGGACCATAGCAGTGGGCTTTCCCCTAGAGAAATGACTGCAGATGGAAGCTGGAAGGATTACACCAATACTACTTCCCCCTTGCGAGTGGAATGCAAATCGCTATAGAGAAATATGAGGAGAGAAAAATATTTTCTCTCCTGTATAGAAAAGCACAATGAACAGTAAGAAAATATTTTAATTTTCTCCAGTAACCTGGTGGAAAATTTTGACATCAATCCAGACTTAATTCTTTGCAGTACATTTTGTTGCCCAAAACTCCATTCTCTACCACGTATAAATGTTTGTGAAGTAACATGGCAGCTTTTATCCAATGGGAAATATAGCTGAACGCTGATATCCATTACATATAGTTTCTCTCTCTTAGTGAACAAAACACCTTTTCTATCATAGCCATGCAGTTATTTTCAAAATGAAAAAGAGACCTGGTTACTGATATATATAGGAGGTAATAAAGCACAAAGAAATGAAGAGCTTGGTTAGGAACCCAGCTGAAGGACCTAGTAACAAATATTAATTTGGGGTGATATTTCCAAATGGCTAATTTTCAGATCCATGTTATATTGATGCCATTATAACATGGATCTGAAATATTTCAACAGCATATTTTGCTTTCAAATCATTCTTATCTTTGTTACATAAAACTCATATATTCCCTCAAGTGTTAAAAACTCCAAGAGGGATTAAAAGCATAAAGAAGAAATCACACTATTAGCAAAGCCTTCTACACTGTGGCCTTGAGAAAGATCTTCCTGGGATTTAATTTCCTTAACTATAAAACAATTACCTCCAAAGTCACTCTAAAATTCCATAATTCTAAAATTGCTTAATATAGCTAAACTTTAATGTTCATCTTAAATGGAGATAATGGGAGGAATATTAATTTTTGATAAGGAGCCAATTGTGTTTCATAGCATATGATTTTTGCCAATTGTTTAGTTGATAAAGACACACACACAGAGAGAGAGAAAGAGAGAGAGAGAGAGAGAATGTTCTTGGACTTCTAAGTCTTCAGGTGATCTCATCCAGACCCATGCCTTTAAATACCATCTGCATGTGAATGTTCTCCAGTCCAGACCTCTCCCCAAACTTCAACTCATTTCATTTTCTAATTAACATCTCCTATGATATCTAATAAACATTCAAAGTATAATGTGCATGTTCAAGACCAAACACTTACTTTCCTTCCCCAACACCACAAACATGCCATTTTGGATGATTTCCTCATTCCAATAAATGGCAAATCCATTCTTTGAATTAGTTAACACTTTCCCCAAAATGGTGGAATTATTCCTGACACCTTTTTTTCTCTCATACCCACATCCAAACCATGAACAAATCCCTTCAGCTCTGCCTTTGAAATATACAAAATCTGACACTTTTTTTTTTTCTTTAGAGATGACGGTTTTGCTATGCTGCCCAGTGCAGTGGTTATTCACAGGCACAATCATAACACACCACGGCCTCAAATCCTGGACTAAAGCAATCCTTCTGCCTCAGCCTCCCAAGTAGCTAGGGCTATTGGTTCACACTGCCATGCCCAGCTTGAACACTTATTACCTCCATGGCTACTACCCTGGACCAAGGTAACATCTCTTCTTCTGGACTATTGAAATAGCCTCCTATTGGTCTCCTTGCTCCTACCTTTGACTCCCCTGAAGTCTAAGCCAAAATGATCCTTTTGTCATGCAAGAAAAATTACATGATTCCTCTGCTCAGAACCCTCTGGTGGCTTCTGCTCTTAAGTATAATCAATTCTTGCCTATAAGGCTCTAACTCGTTTAGTTTGCCCTCCTGCTTCCTCTTTGAACTCATCACCTTCCATTATCCCCTTACTCACTGCTCCAGCCACATAACCCCATATTCTGATTACATTTTTCTTTATGATATTTATCACCACATGACATATTATGTATTTATTTTTGTTTTTTTGTTCTTGCGCTCTTCCTCTCTCTCTCAACTAGAATGTAAGCACTTCAAAGTGAGAAATTTTGTTTGGTTTGTGTATTCCTATATCCTCACAGACAAGAATATTGTCCAGAAATAATACATCTTCGAAAAGTATTACATAATAAATACATAAAATGACTTCTCTTTCTCATGATATTTTGTTGGGCCCATAAATCATTTGTGAAAAATAAAAGAATACACTGGAAGATTGTGCAGTAGCTAAGATTAAAGTATTAACATATTTGTTACATAAAGAGTTTCTACAAATCAATAAGACACACAAATGACCAAAAAAGATATAAAAAAGTTCAACATCACTAAATATCAGGGAAATGCAAATCAAAATGACAATGACATCATCTTATCCATTACAACAGCTTTTATCAAAAAGATAAAATATAACAAATGCTGGTGAGGATGCAGAGAAAAGGAAACTCTTATATGCTGTTGGTAGAAATGTAAACTAGTACACCTGCTTATATATAAAAAACAATATGGAGGTTCCTTAAAATCTACTGATAGAAAGACCATACAATCCAGAAATCCCACTATTGGGCATTTATACAAAGGGAAAGAAATCATTATATTGAAAAGATATCTTTACCTCTATGTTTACTGAAGCACTATTCACAATAACCAAGATAAAAAATCAACCTAGATGTCAAACAACAGATTAATAGATAAAGAAAATATGGTATATATACACAATGGAATACTATTCAGCAATAAAAAAGAACGAAATACTGTCATTCAATGCAATGTGAATGGAAATGGGAGAAAGTTAAACACATGTTCTCATTCATAGGTGGAAGCTTAAAAAAAGTTGGTCTCAGACTGAAAAAGTAGAACAGAGGGTACTAGAAGTTGGGAAGGGTAGGGAGAAGACAGGGAAAGGGTGAGATTTGTTAAAGAATACAAAATCATAGCTATGTAGAAAGAATAAGTTCTAGTGTTTCATACCATTGTAGAATTACTATAATTAACAAGAATACATAGTTTCAAGTAGCTAGAAGGAGGGTATTGAATGTTCCTAACATAAAGAAATGATAAATATTTGAGATGATAGATACGCTGATCACACAGATCTGATAACTATACATTATATGTATCAAAACATCACTATGTACCACATGAATATATATAATTATTACTTGTCAATTATAAAATTAAATTTTAAGAATAAAAATAAATGTTTTTAAAAGAAAACACACAAAGACCAAGATATTATCTAAGATATTATATTCCGCACCACTGTTCCTTACGTTTTATGCACATCTATGGACTTTCTAAGGGATTCACTCTCTGCCAAGAATGTCCTTTCTCCCTTATTCATCTTGTAAATTCTAAACCACTCTTCTATATCTATTTTTTTTATTATTATTATACATTAAGTTTTAGGGTACATGTGCACATTGTGCAGGTTAGTTACATATGTATACATGTGCCATGCTGGTGCACTGCACCCACTAACTCGTAAATAATACCTACGCAGCAACTATCTGCACAAAAGAAGAAATATAAGTGATAAGCAAAAATAAATATGCATAAACTTCCTAGTAATAAAAATGTAAAATAAAACAAATTTTATTAATTAAATTAAAACATGTATTTAAAAGCTGTTGTTTATCATGGTGTATCATATCTGATAGTTTTATATGTTGTCTGCTAGCAGAACGGAAAATTGTAAAACACTTTTGGTAAACAATTTAATATGTTTTAATGTACTTATCAGATTTTTGAAAAGAGAAAAATATTAGAAAGTCAAATAGGGAGATGGTATGTACTTACTATATTATGGTATGTATATAAAATATTCTATATTTGAAATATGCATATGCATATAATAATGTAAAGTGAAAAAAATCTCTCCCTGGACACAGACTGTATTTGGAGTTTGTAAACGATCTTGTTTCTACCTCTGACCCCATGACCTTGTGGGCCCACTCACTGGCACTCCTCCCCAAACCCTAACTCCTATTGCAATAGGTCCCAATAGCATTATAGCCTACCAGACGGACAGCATATATGTCTCCCTCTCTAAAAGACAATGATATCATGGTTATTATTAATGTATGATGGTAGATATACAACCTGATGAAAGATGTACATCTGTATTTACATCGTGGAATCTCAAGCCAGGGAAATAACTTCTATTACTGGTAGCTTAGCATTTAAGGGAAACATGTCCCAAAAGATTACTTATAGATAATGCTGAAGGTTTAATAGAAGCCAAAAAAATTTAGATTCAGTGCACCGATCAAAATTCCCTTTTGGTGTTAAGACTTGACTTGATGAAAAAAGGACTAGTGAAAAGCAGTTTGCAGCTATTAATGCAGAAGATCCTACACTCACAAGATCATCAGGAAATTCTAATTAGATCTGATGCATCTTCTAGTTTCACATACTTTATACCATATTTCTAAATCATATGGTAGGAGATGTAGGAAGTCAAGCTGTTCTACAGTTCTGGTCCTTATTAAACCCTTCTGTTCTTTGCTTTGGAAAACACACTTTGAGTTATAGTTCTTTGGATGCCTAGAGGCCACAGGGCACCACATCAATTACAGTGTATTATTATTAAACACATTATTTCAGAACCACATCTGTAGACAGATTTGTTTACACTGTGAAGGCATGCCCAAACCTGTTCTGCCTGATTCCTTTATAGCCTGTGGAGTCCTTTTCTCTCTATGTGCATAAGATGAAAAAAATCAATCATACTCTTTCTCGAAAGGAAAGTATCAGCAGTTTTCTACTGAGGAACAACATCATGGAGCAATATATTTTTTCAAGATGCAGAAAGATCAGTTGGAAGAGTAAATGTGAAATGATAGCCAAAAAATTTTTGAAAAAGAGGAATATTTAAGGATTTTCTCTACCATAAATCAGAGCCAGAGTAATGTACATGGAACCAGCATATTAGTGCAGGAAATTGGTTCAGCACTAGAAAACACTAGAAAAGCAGAGCAACAGGACAAAATTGACAGCCTAAAAACAGAAATACATGTACTTTATGTGAGTGTCTGTATATTGTGTGAGGTGTGTGTGATATATATATATATATATGTTTGTTTAGGGTGATATTTCAAATCAGAGAGGAAAAGTAATCTTCAATTAGTGGCAATCAACAATTCGATATACATTTAGAGAAAACAGAGTTACAGTCTCATATTACACTATAGATAAATAAGATTTCCAGAAAGATTAAAGAGATAAACATTTTTAAGCTATGAAAGTAAACTCTCTAATTTTCTTCTTATACTTTGACAGTTAAAAAGGTAATTTGCTAAATAGGGAATCCTTTCCCCATTTCTTGTTTTTGTCAGCTTTGTCAAAGATCAGATGGTTGTAGATGTGTGGCATTATTTCTGAGAGCTCTGTTCTGTTCCATTAGTCTATACCTCTGTTTGATACCAGTACCATGGTGTTTTGGTTACTGTAGCCTTGTAACATAGTTTGAAGTCAGGTAACGTGATGCCTCCAGCTTTGTTCTTTTGGCTTAGGATTGTCTTGGCAACGCGGGCTCTTTTTTCATTACATATGAACTTTAAAGTAGTTTTTTCCAATTCTGTGAAGAAAGTCATCGGTAGCTTCATGGGGATGGCACTGAATCTATAAATTACCTTGGGCAGTATGGCCATTTTCACAATATTGATTCTTCCTATCCATAACATGGAATGTTCTTCCATTTGTTTGTGTCCTCTATTATCTCATTGAGCAGTGGTTTGCAGTTCTCCTTGAAGAGGTCCTTCACATCCCTTGTAAGTTGGATTCCTAGGTATTTTATTCTCTTTGAAGCAATTGTGAATGGGAGTTCACTCATGATTCGGCTCTCTGTTTGTCTGCTATTGGTGTACAAGAATGCTTGTGATTTTTGCACATTGATTTTGTATCCTGAGACTTTGCTGAAGTTGCCTATCAGCTTAAAGAGATTTTTGGCTGAGACGATGGAGTTTTCTAAATATTCAATCATGTCATCTGCAAACAGGGACGATTTGACTTCCTCCTTTCCTAATTGAATACCCTTTATTTCTTTCTCCTGCCTGATTACCCTGGCCAGAACTTCCAACACTATGTTGAATAGGAGTGGTGAGAGAGGGCATCCCTGTCTTGTGCCAGTTTTCAAAGGGAATGCTTCCAGTTTTTGCCCATTCAGTATGATATTGGCCGTGGGTTTGTCATAGACAGCTCTTATTATTTTGAGATACATCCCATCAATACCTAATTTATTGAGAGTTTTTAGCATGAAGGACTGCTGAATTTTGTCAGCGGCCTTTTCTGCATCTATTGAGATAATCAAGTGGTTTTGTCTTTGGTTCTGTTTATATGCTGGATTATGTTCATTGATTTGTGTATGTTGAACCAGCCTTGCATCCCAGGGATGAAGCCTACTTGATCATGGTGGATAAGCTTTTTGATGTGCTGCTGGATTCGGTTTGCCAGTATTTTATTGAGGATTTTTGCATTGATGTTCATCAGGGATATTGGTCTAAAATTCTCTTTTTTGGTTGTGTCTCTGCCAGGCTTTGGTATCAGGATGATGCTGGTCTCATAAAATGAGTTAGGGAGGATTCCCTCCTTTTCTATTGGTTGGAATAGTTTCAGAAGGAATGGTACCAGCTCCTCCTTGTACCTCTGGTTGAATTTGGCTGTGAATCCATCTGGTCCTGGACTTTTTTTGGTTGGTAAGCTATTAATTATTGCCTCAATTTCAGAGCCTGTTATTGGTCTATTCAGAGATTCAACTTCTTCCTGGTTTAGTCTTGGGAGGGTGTATGTGTCAAGGAATTTATCCATTTCTTCTAGATTTTCTAGTTTATTTGCATAGAGGTGTTTATAGTATTCTCTGATGATAGTTTGTATTTCTGTGGGATCAGTGGTGATACCCCTTTATCATTTCTTATTGTGACTATTTGAGTCTTCTTTCTTTTCTTCTTTATTACTCTTGCTAGTGGTCTATCAATTTTGTTGATCTTTTCAAAAAAACCGTCTCCTGGATTCACTGATTTTTTGAAGGGTTTTTTGTGTCTCTATCTCCTTCAGTTCTGCTCTGATCTTAGTTATTTCTTGCCTTCTGCTAGCTTTTGAATGTGTTTACTCTTGCTTCTCTAGTTCTTTTAATTGTGATGTTAGGGTGTCAATTTTAGATCTTTCCTGCTTTCTCTTGTGGACATTTAGTGCTATAAATTTCCCTCTACACACTGTTTTAAATGTGTCCCAGAGATTCTGGTATGTTGCGTCTTTGTTCTCATTGGTTTCAAAGAACATCTTTATTTCTGCCTTCATTTCGTTATGTACCCAGTAGTCATTCAGGAGCAGGTTGTTCAGTTTCCATGTAGTTGAGTGGTTTTGAGTGAGTTTCTTAATCCTGAGTTCTAATTTGATTGCACTGTGGTCTAAGAGACAGTTTGTTATAATTTCTGTTCTTTTACATTTGCTGAGGAGTGCTTTACTTCCAACTATGTGGTCAATTTTGGAATAAGTGTGATGCGGTGCTGGGAAGAATGTATATTCTGTTGATTTGGGGTGGAGAGTTCTGTAGATGTCTATTAGGTCCACTTGGTGCAGAGCTGAGTTCAATTCCTGGATATCCTTGTTAACTTTCTGTCTCGTTGATCTGTCTAATGTTGACAGTGGGATGTTCAAGTCTCCCATTATTATTGTGTGGGAGTCTAAGTCTCTTTGTAGGTCACTCAGGACTTGCTTTATGAATCTGGGTGCTCCTGTATTGGGTGCATATATATTTAAGATAGTTAGCTCTTCTTGTTGAATTGATCCCTTTACCATTATGTAAAGGTCTTCTTTGTCTCTTTTGATCTTTGTTGGTTTAAAGTCTGTTTTATCAGAGACTAGGATTGCAACCCCTGCCTTTTTTTGTTTTCCATTTGCTTGTTAGTTCTTCCTCCATCCCTTTATTTTGAGTCTATGTATGTCTCTGAACGTGAGATGGGTCTCCTGAATACAGCACACTGATAGGTCTTGACTCTATCCAATTTGCCAGTCTGTGTCTTTTAATTGGAGCATTTAGCCCATTTACATTTAAGGTTAATATTGTTATGTGTGAATTTGATCCTGTCATTATGATGTTAGCTGGTTATTTTGCTCGTTAGTTGATGCAGTTTCTTCCTAGCATTGATGGTCTTTACAATTTGGCAAGTTTTTGCAGTGGCTGGTACCGGTTGTTCCTTGGGAAACAACAGGTGCTGGAGAGGATGTAGAGAAACAGGAACACTTTTACACTGTTGGTGGGACTGTAAACTAGTTCAACCATTGTGGAAGACAGTGTGGCAATTCCTCAAGGATCTATAACTACAAATACCATTTGACCCAGCCATCCCATTACTGGGTACATACCCAAAGATTATAAATCATGCTGCTATAAAGACACATGCACACATATGTTTATTGTGGCACTATTCACAATAGCAAAGACTTGGAACCAACCCAAATGTCCATCAGTGATAGACTGGATTCAGAAAATGTGGCACATATACACCATGGAATACTATGCAGTCATAAAAAAGGATGAGATCATGTCCTTTGTAGGGACATGGATGAAACTGGAAACCATCATTCTCAGCAAACTATCACATGGACAAAAAACCAAACTGCATGTTCTCACTCATAGGTGGGAATTGAACAATGAGAACACATGGCACAGGAAGGGGAACATTACACACCAGGGCCTGTCATGGGGTGGCGGGAGGGGGGAGGGATAGCATTAGGAGATATACCTAATGTAAATGATGAGTTAATGGGTGCAGCACACCAACATGGCACATGTATACATATGTAACAAACCTGCACGTTGTGCACATGTACCCTAGAACTTAAAGTATAATTAAAAAAAAAAAAAAAGTAATTTGTTGGCCAGGCACGGTGGCTCATGCCTGTAATCCCAGCACTTTGGGAGACCAAGGTGGATGGATCATGAGGTCAGGAGATTGAGACTATCCTGGCTAACACAGTGAAACCCCATCACTACTAAAAATACAAAAAATTAGCTGGGCATGGTCATGGGCGCCTGTAGTCCCAGCTACTCAGGAGGCTGAGGCAGGAGAATGGCATGAACCTGGGAGGCAGGGCTTGCAGTGAGCAGAGATCACACCACTGCACTCCAGCCTGGGTGACAGAGCGAGACTCCATCTCCAAAAAAAAAAAAAAAAAATGGTAAATTATCTCATACCAATGAAGCAGAATAGAAAGTCCAAAAATTGACCCACACCTCTATGGTAATTCATTTTTGATAAATATTAATGCAATTCAAAGGAGAAGTAAGTCTTTTCAACAAATGGCGCTTGCACAAGTATCCAAATGCAAAAAAATAGCTCTTTGAGCTGTACCTCACACCATATACAAAAATTCACTTGAAATGGAATACAGACCTAAAGGTAACCAAAATTATAAAAGTTCCAGAATAAGACACATGAGAAATCTTAGCAAGCTTGAATTAGTCAAAGATTTCTTACATAGGATACAAATAGCACAATTACAAAAGAGTCATAAATACATGATATCAAAATTAAATGTTTTGCTCTTTAAAAGATACTATTAAAACACTGTTAATAAAATAAAAAATTAAGCCACAGGCTGGGAGAAATATTTGCAAAGCATATATTTGATGAAAGACTTGTAAAAATAAAATGTAAGAACCTCTTGCAACTAAATAATAAGAACATATGCAACTCAATTTTTAAATGGCAATAGTTTTAAGTAGATACTGTGCCAACAAAAAAAAAAATGTATGGCAAATTAGCCAAGAAAAAAACTCAACATTATTGGTCATTAGGGAAATGCAAATAAAACCACAATGAGACAACCCTACATATCCATTAGAGTTGATAAAATTCAAACTGATAAAACCAAAGTTTGGCAAGGATGTTGGAACACCTGCAACTAAAATAAACTGTTGGTGGGAATACAAAGTGGTACAACCATTTGGGGAAAAGTTTGGCAGTGTTTTATAAAGCAAAACATGTATTACCATTTGACTCAAGAAACATGAAAATATATGTCCATGCAAAGACTTGAATTTAAATCATCATGGGGGCATTATTTTTATCAATCACCATCTGAAAACAATTCAAATATCAATCTTCTATGGATAAACAGATTGTAGTATGTCCATATAATGGAATATTAATCAGCAATAAAGAGAACCATCTACTGAAATACTTAGTAAGTCAGGAATCTCAAAACACTAGGCTAAGTCAAATAAGTCAGACAAAAAGACTACACATTTTATATACATATATATAATTATATATAATTTATATATTATAACAAAAACTCTACACATTATATATTATAATATACTATATATTAATATATAATATATCAATACACAATTTATATATTATAATATATATTATATATAGTTTAAAATTTTATATATATATTTAAAATTATATAGCATATATAACTATATATTATATATAAACTATGTATATAGTTTATACATATAAAAACAGAAATACATGTACTTTATGTGAGTGTGTGTATATTGTGTGAAGTGTGTATGTGTGATATATATATATATATATGTTTGTTTTGGGTGATATTTCAAATCAGAGGGAAAAAGTAATCATCAGTAAGTAACAATCAACAATTAGATATACATTTAGAGAAAATAAAGTTATAGTCTCACATTACACTATAGATAAATAAGATACGTTTATATCTTATATTATATATGTTTAATATATATTATATATGTTTATATATACATCTTTTATATAAATATATATATTTACATGAAATATTTTTAGAGTTCAAACTATAGCATTAAAAAAGTCATCCCTGTTTATGGATTGGAAGTCAATATTGTTACAATGTCTATACCACTCACAATGATCTAGAGATTCAATTAAATCCCTACAATTTCCCTACAATGAAATCCCTACAAAAGTCCCCATGGCATTTTTTACAGAAATAGAAAGAATAGAAATAGAAAAAACCATCCTAAATGTATATGAAACCACAAAAGAAATAGAAAAAACAATCCTAAAATATATATGAAACCACAAAAGACCCCAAGTAGCCAAAGTAATCTTGAGAAAGAAGAATAAAGTTGGAGGCATAGCATTCCCTGATTTTAAAATATATCAAAAAGCTACTAATCAAAACAGTATGTTACTATCTTAAAGACAGACATACAGACAAATAGAACAGAATATAGAACCCAGAAATAAACTGCAGAATACATGGTGAACTGATCTTCCACAAGGTGACAAGAATACACAATAAGGAAAGAATAGTCTCAACAAACGGTGTTGGGAAAACTGGATATACACATGCAAAACAATGAAAATGGAACACTGTCTTACAACATACACAAAAATCAACTTAAAATGAATTAAACAAATAAATATAAAAACTGAGACTGTAAAACTTTTAGAAGAAAACATAGGGGAAAAGCTTTACGACATTGGCCTTGGTAATGATTTAATGGATATGACATCAAAAGCAGAGACAAAATCAAAAATAACTCAGTGGGACTACATCAAACTAAAAAGTGTTTACACAGCAATAAAAACAATCAGTGAAGTGAAAAGGAAAACTATGGAATGCAAGAAAATATTTGCAAACCATATATCTGATAAGGTGGGGGTGATAATGTCTAAAATATATAGTGCAGGAAATATATAGAGAAGTCCTATAATTTATAGCAAAACAAAATCAAACAACCTCATTAATATATGGGTAAAAGACATACAAATGGCCATGAGTATATGAAAAAATGCTCAGTATCACTAATTATCAGGAAAATGCAGATCAAAACTGCAACAAGATACAATTTTATGGTATCTTGATACCATAGGATGGCTATCATCAAAAAAAACAATCAGGATGGCTATCATCAAAAAACTCAGAATGGCTATCATCAAAAAAACAAAAGACAAGTAGTGCTGGTGAGGATATGGAGAAATTGGAACCCTTGCATACTCTCAGCGGGAATGTGAAATGCTTCAGCTGCTATGAAAAACAATGTGGAGGTTTCTCAAAAAAATTAAAATAAAATTACTGTATGATCCAGAATCCCACTTCTGAGTATTTCCACAAAAGAACAAAAATCAGAAACTTGAAGAGCTATTAGCACTACTATGTTCATTGCAACATTATTACATTTATGTAATAGCCAAGATGTAGGAACAACCTCAATGCCTATTGGGAAATAAATGAATATAGAATGTGTGGAATATATATGCAATGGAATACTATTCAGCCTTACAAAAGAAGAAAACTCTGTAACACATGACAACATGGATGAACCTTGGGGACATTATGCTAAGTAAAATAAACCAGTCACACAAACACTGAATGATTCCACTTATATAAGGTATCTAAAATAATCAAATCCATAGATTCAAAGAGTGAAATGGTGGTTGCCAGGGGCTGAATAGATAGGGAAATGGGAAGTTACTAATCAACGGGCATAACATTTCCATTAAACCAGATGAAAAAGCTCTGCTGTACATCATTGTACCTATAGTGAACAATACTGCATTATACACTTAAAAAAAATTGAGGGAAGATCTCATGCTTAGTGTTCATTCTTACCACAAGAAAATAAAAATTTTTAAAAAGAAGAAGAAAACAAAAAGTTATAGTGTTATAATAGTGTTAAAAAGTAGATTGGTGGTTGCCTGGGGCCAACAGCATGGGGAAGGAATTGAGTACAAAAGGGGATGAAGGATTTGGGGGGGTGGTGGAAACATTCATATCATGATTGTAGTGGTAATAACACACAATACATATACATCAAAATCCATTAAAACTTTAAAACTGATTAATTTTTTGAACATAAATCATATCCCAATAAAGCAGATTTTAAAAACATATCAGAATGGCAGACATGAAATGGTCATTATTTGCTGATGACATTTGTTTACATAAGAACTCCAAGAAGTCAATAAGATATTAAAATAAATAAGTAAATTCAACATTGTTGTTGATATTTCAACAAGATTATCTGACAAAAATATAAAACCTTGTTATACCATAATCAATTTGAAAGTGCAACAAAACAAAGGAATACATGAGAAAAAGCTTCCGAAGACTCACAATAGCAAAGACATGGAATCAACCTAAATGCCCCTCAGTGGAAGACCGAAGAAAATGTGGTCCATATACACATGGCCCATATACACCATGGAACACTATGCAGCCATAAAAAAGAACAAGATCACATCCTTAGCAGGAATATGATAAAACATACTGTATTAGTTATCTATTGCTGCTTAACACATCATCCCCAAAATTTTCCTGCTTAAAACACAAACATTTATTATCTCTCACTGTTTCTGAGAGTCAGGAATCTGAAAAGGTGTAGCTCCAGATTCTGGCTTAGGGTTTCCTGTAAGTTTGCAGTCAAAGTGTTGGCCAGGCTACAGTTGCTGAAGACTTAGCTGGGGCTGAATGATCTGCTTCCATGTTCATTCATGTGGCTGTTTGGCAAAAGACTTCAGTTTCTCACAATATGGGTCTCTGAATAAAGCTACTTATTACATAGCTTCCACCAGAGCAAGTAAAATGTGCATGCATAAGATTGAGAAAGAGAGAACCCAAGATGGAATCCACAGTTGTTTCATAACCTACTCTCAGAAGTGACATGCCATCACTTTTGTTATGGTCTATTTGTTTAGAAGTGAATTATTTAGTATAGCCCACATTCAAGGAAGAAGAGATTACACAAGGTAATCAATACCAAAAGGTAGGGATCACTGGGAGCCCTCTCAAAGGCTGACTACCAAAGACACCCTTAAAAATTAAAAGAGGAGACACTAACAAGGGGAAAATACTTGCAACACATGTGATAAACAAAGAATGTATCCAGAATACATAAAGAATTCCAAGAAAGCAAAAAGAAAAAGGCAAATAATTCAGATAAAAATAAGCAAATTAACAGAACAGCCCAAATATATGTCTGGTAAATATCTATCTGGAAAGTTGCCTGATCTCACTTATAATCAGAAATAATGTGAAATAAAAATAAACCACACAAATTATTTCATACCCATTCTATTAGCAAAAACTAACAAGCCTACCAATACTTGGCAAGGATGTGAGGACATAAAGAGTCTCATATCCTTCAAATAGAAATGTAAATCAGTAAAATCATTTTGGAGAACAATCTGGCAATTTCTAATAAAGTTGACAATGGAAATACTCTATGGCTCAGCAGTTCTAATCATTGATACATACCTTGGAGAAACTCCTATACATGTGTCCCAGACAAGAGTCTTTTCCAAACAAGTAAATAATGTTCCCTGCAGCCTTATTTGTTTGTACAAAATTCTGGAAACATTCTAAATATTCATCAGTAAGGGAACAGATGAATAAGCAATTCATAAAAATGAATACCATATATCCAATACAACAAATAAACTAAATGCTGAGGCCAGCTCGGTCATGGAGACCCTAACCCAGCGGTGCTAGAGGAATTAAAGACACACACATAGAAATACAGAGTGTGGAGTGGGAAATCAGGGGGCTGACAGCCTTCAGAACTCAGAGCAACAAACAGAGTTTTACCTACATGTTTATTGATAGCAAGCCAGTGATCAGCATTGTTTGTATAGATTATAGATAAACTAAAATGGGAAACAAAGAGATGGGCTGAAACAAAGGCTGGGGCTCTGACTAGTTATCTGTAGCAGGAACATGTCCTTGAAGCACAGATCACTCACGCTATTGTTTCTGGCTTAGGAACACCTTAAGTGGTTTTCTGCCCTCAGTGAGCCAGGTGTTCCTTGCCCTCATTCTGGTAACCCACAACCTTCAGTGTGGGCATTATGGCCATCACAAACATGTCACAGTGCTGCAGAGATTTTGTTTATGGCCAGTTTTGGGGCCAGTTTATGGCCAGATTTGGGGGCCTGTTCCCAACATGTTCCCTTTTTGTTTTTGCAAGATGATAAAAGCAACTCACAGGAGTTGGGATCTGCATCTGCAGACTATACAAAGGCAAACAACACAGATTAAAAGCACAATCATCATTGAAATCACAGAGCCTCCAAGTGTTTTTATCTATTTTAATGGGTTACTAGCTGCTAATCTGTCTGCAGCTCCTTCAAGCACTCCAGTTCCTGGCATTAAAGTCAGGTGTGCCCAGGAGGCTTTATATATTTGTTCTTTTAATTGTGCAATATCCAAAGGCAAGTTTGCAGAGTGTCCTTCTAGATGCTTTTTTATTCTTTCCCAAATTTTGATATTATTAAGAGCCATTAATAGTTTCCACAAATCCTTATGCTTAGCTCCTACAGCAGGCCATACCATTTGTGGTTGAGGTGCCACTATACCGCCATGTTTCCAGATAATAGGAACTCTTGTCGTACTTCTTATCATTTCTACCATCTGACCATTTTGTTTAGACCAGCTGAACATAGTGTGGCCATGGCACGCAGACTGAGAGGTGCAATTTAAGCTAACATCCCCTTAGGGGACCAATCAATAATGATTCCATAGGAATCATTGCACAGCACCTCTGCCTGTTCTGCAATGCAATCTTCCTAAACAAGTACATTCATTATTTCCGGCCACGTCCACTTCTGTTTACAAATAGGTTTTTGAGGGTGGTATGCCTCAATTATAGGAGCAGATTTATTATGGTAAATACTGAGATCAGAAAGCATGTATAACTGTTTCACAGAGTGATAACATCCAGGCATTATTGCCAGCCAAGATTGATAAATATGCCCAATAAGTATAATTGTTCTCTGTGCCAGTCCTTGTTGAAGGAACACTCATGGCAATGGTGATCACCACTATCATAGCTATCATTAAATTACTCATTGTGACTGGTTGTCCCACTTTCCTTAGATTTTCTTCTGCCATCTGTGACAGCTTCTTGATCTGTCCCCAGGTAGGTGGCTGTGTTTGACAGGTGTTGCTTGTGACAGTTGGGGTCTTCCTCAGCATTAGTCTCAACATGGCTGCAACTGGGGGGTCCTCAGGATCCTCCTGGAATCTCTTCCTCGGCATCTGGCTCATGATAAGGTTTCAGGTGTCTTGATGGTATCCAAATCAGCTACTGGTTCTGGCCTGGAGAAACACAAGCATAACCTCTACCCCAAGTTATTATTTTACCTACTTCCCAACTTTCTGTTATCGGATCTCTCCACCTAACCAGTTGTTCTGCTTCTGTCTTTGCAGCTGGTTTCTGTAGATGCTGTTCAGCTGCTGATAGCATCTGGCCTGTAGGCAGGCTCAAAAAATTTAAAGTCGATAATGCTAGATTCAATTGCATATGGGTTGTCCCATAGTCCCTATTTCCCCCTTTTTGCTTTTGCAACTGCTGTTTCAGGGAGAGATTCATTCTTTCCACTATGGCTTGTCCTTGAGAATTACATGGGATACCAGTAATGTGTTTAATATTCCATATAGAGAAAAATGTAGCTACAGCTTGGCTAGTATAGCCTGGGGCATTGTCCGTTTTAGTAGAAGCTGGAATGCGCATCACTGGAAAACACTGCAAAAGGTGACGTTTAACACGGACACAAGACTCTCCTGATGGCATGTAGCCCAGACAAAGTGGGAAAATGTATCTACACATACATGTACATAAGCTAATCTCCCAGATGAGGGAACATGTGTGACATCCATTTGCCAGAGAGAATTAGGTTCCAATCCTTGAGGATTAACTCCTCCTGTAAAAGATGAGGAATGCACCATTTGGCAAGTTGGGCATCGCTAGATAATAGCTTTAGCTTCCTTCTAGGTAATGCTGTATCTGCTTTTGAGACCAGAGGCATTAACATGGGTTAAATTGTGAAAGTGTCTGGCATTAGACATTGCAGTAGCAACTAGGCCATCAGCCATTTGATTCCCTGCACTCAAAGGTCCTGGGAGAGGTGTATGAGCCCTAATATGAGTAATGTAAAAAGGGTGCACTCTACTCCTAACTGTTGCTTGCAATTGGATAAATAAAAACATCAGTTATTCATCTGTATGAAATTGTAACTGAGCATTTTCAACTAACTGTGTAGAATGAACCATGTATGAAGAATCAGAAATCACATTAATAGGCATATCAAAAACAGTCAATACCTCAATTACAGCTACAAGCTCCGCTTTTTGAGCTGAAGTATAGGGCGTTGGAAAAACTTTACCTTTCGAGGCAGAATAAGTAGCTTTACCATTACTAGACCCATCTGTGAAGGCATTTTCAGCACCTTCAATTGGTTTAAATTTAGTTATTTTAGGGAGAATCCAATTAATTTCAAAAATTGAAACAACTTTGTTTTAGGAAAATGGTTATCGAGAATACCCACACAGTCAGCTAAATGGGTTGGCCAAGTAAGACTATTTACAAAAGCTTGATGTATTTGTGCCTTTGTGAGAGGGACAATAATTTTTCCAGGATCATATCCATGTAATTTAACAATCTGAGTTCTCCCAGTTCCTATCACAGTAGCGATTTGATCCAAATAAGGAGTTAAGAGTCCGTGAATTGGTAAGTGGAAGAAAAAGCCATGCTACTAAGTCCTGCTCTTGGACAATAACAACAGTAGGTGAATGCTGAGTTGAAAAAATTAGCAAATCTAGAGTCTTTTCTTGACCTATTCTATTTATTTGAGTCTTATGCACTTGTTTCTCCATTAGCTGTAACTCTGCCTCAGCCTCCTTTGTTAATTGTTGAGAGCTAGTGAGACTAGGATCTCCTCTAAGGACAGAAAATAGATTACTCATGGCATAGGTAGGAATGCCTAGAGCAGATCGTATCCAGTTGATGTTCCCTAGTAATTTCTGAAAGTCATTTAATGTTTTTAATTGATCCCTATGTACGGTTACTTTCTGTGGCACTATTGTAGTGTCACTTACTAAGGTCCCCAAGTAGGAGTAAGGAGTAGTAGTCTGAATTTTGTCAGGAGCTATAATTAAACCAGCATGAGAAACCAAGTTTTGCGAGTGATCATAACATTGGAGTAATATTTCTCGAGTGGGGCAGCACAAAGTATATGGTCCATATAATGAATAATGTAACATTGTGAAAATTTTTTATCAGCAGGTTCAATTGCTTGCCCTACATAAGTCTGGCAAATTGTTGGACCATTTAACATGCCTTGTGGCAACACTTTCCAATGAAAACACTTAGCAGGCTGCAGGTTGTTTACTGCAGGAATTGTAAATGCAAACCATTCACAGTCTTGCTCAGCTAAGGGGATAGTAAAGAAACAGTCTTTTAAATCTATGACTATTAAAGACCAATTTTTTGGAATCATAGCAAGAGAAGGCAGTCCTGGCTGTAATGCCCCCATAGGGTGTATAACTGAATTAATGCCTCTTAAGTCAGTTAACATTCTCCATTTACCTGATTTTTTCTTAATAACAAAGACTGGAAAATTCTAGGGGGAAAAATGTTGGAGCTATGTGTCCTTTTTCTAATTGTTCAGTAACTAAGTCCTCTAAAGCCTCCAGTTTCTCTTTTACTCAGTGGCCATTGTTCTATCCAAATCGGCTTACCCTTTAACCATTTTAAAGGTATAGGTTCTGGAGGCTTAACAATGGCCGCCATCAAAAATGATACCCTAAACCCTGGCAGGAACTTTGTCTTTCCGCTTGAAGTGGTTCCTTCAAACCTCACAAATTGTTTCCTAGTCCCATACCAGGGACATACCCCATTTCATGCATCATATGTTGACTTTGAGGGCTGTATAATTGCTCTGGAATAAGAACTTGTGCTCCCCGTTGTTGCAATAAATATCTTCCCCATAAATTTATAGGTACAGAGTTATAATTGGTTGAATAGTCCCAGGCTGTCCATCAGGTCCTTCACAATGCAAAATACAACTACTCTGATAAAATATAACTACTTGGATATACTTCAGGGGCTTTACCAACTCCAACTATGTTAAATTGAGCGGGTTGAATTGGCCATGCGGATGGCCAGTGCTGTAGAGAAATGATTGAAATGTCCACTCCTGTATCTACCAAACCTTTAAATTTCTTTCCCTGAATAGTTATTTCACAGGTAGGACGTTTATCAGTACTTTGATTTACCCAATAAGCTGCTTTGCCTTGTTTATTTGTGCTTCCAAATCGCTGTTCGTTTAATTTCACTTTTCCCCCATTTCCACATACAGCATAATCAGGAGCTGTGCTATACGCTCTCCTAGCTCTGCTTTCCAGGGAACAGAAGTAGATATAACAGTTTGAATTTCCCCATTGTAATCTGAATCAATGACTCCTGTATGTACTTGCACTCCTTTTAAATTTAAACTAGATCTACCTAGAAGTAATCCTGCTGTCCCCACTGGCATCATCTGACTGGAGACAGCAACATTCTTTAACAGTCCCATTACAAAAAGAAAACCTGGTCCATATTGATTAATAGCTTGTTTAAATTCTTGGAGTAGTTTAAAAGGAAAAGGCTCAAATGTAGCTATAATATTTCCCTATTGATCTAGGGGGTGTATTCTAACAGGGAACTGCCAAGCCTCTGTATCACCCTCTCTTCTAGCTTGCTGGATTCCTGCCTGAAAAGAACTGAGAGCAGTCGCTTGAGGCACTGCCCGAACAGTCACTGGGGCAACTACTTTTCACCCAGTGTCCTCCAGAAAAGAAAGATCTGGAGGGTCAAGCTACTCTTTTTTCTTCAAAATAATGAGAGGGTGCAGAAGGGTTGGGACAAACCTCTCCCTCCTTTGCCACTTTAGCTTTAGCTGGCAAACAAACCTGCTCTGTCACCTCTTATATTACCTCATTATACTCTCCTTCCTCCTCATCATTAGTGTGAAAAGGTTCCAAGGTAGAACGAACCAGAGCCCACGCTTGTCCCATTGTTACCCTGATGCTTCTGAGCTCTGCTTCTTACTCACCACAGGGATTGCTTAAGAGTACTTGGGTGTCCCCCAGCATAGTTCCACATTCTCCAACCATCACTCCGGTGACCCTTTGACCTGGGTTTGAGCCCCACATATGGGCATCACTTGCCAAGGCCAGCTCAGTCATGGAGACCCTAACCCAGTGGCGCTACAGGAATTAAAGACACACACATAGAAATATGGAGTGTAGAGTGGGAAATCAGGCAGCTGACAGCCTTCAGAACTGAGAGCCATGAACAGTTTTACCCACGTTTACTGACAGCAAGCCAGTGATAATCATTGTTTCTACAGATTATAGGTTAACTAAAATGGGAAACAAAGGGATGGGCCGAAACAAAGGGATGGGCTCCAGCTAGTTATCTGCAGCAGGAACATGTCCTTAAGGCACAGATGGCTCATGCTATTGTTGGTGGCTTAGGAATGCCTTAAGCAGTTTTCCACCCTGGGTGGGCCAGGTGTTCCTTGCCCTCATTCCAGTAAACCCACAACCTTCAGCGTGGGTGTCATAGCCAGCACAAACATGTCACAGTGCTGCAGAAATTTTGTTTATGGCCAGTTTTGGGGCCAGTTTATCGCCAGATTTGGGGGCCTGTTCCCAACACTAAAACTATGAATATCATCATATATAGATCACAAAACAATACTGAATTAAAAAGCAGATTGTAGAATAATATGTGAACCAAATGCATATACATACAAATATTTCTAATATGCACAAAGCACAATTATACTATTTATAAATGCATTAAGATAGTTAAAGTATCAAAACATGAATCATAAAGATACATCCTAAATTCATGATAGTGACTGACTCTGGGGAAGAAAACAAAAGAGCATTCTTTTAATAATAAAATTGAAAGAAAAAATGAAAACAATTTATCTTTGTTGGTTCCAGATGATATTATTTTGTTCTTTGTAACTTTCTGTATCGATTACATTTTTCACAAAATATGCCACTTGAGTACCTGGTCACCATACCCTGACAACCTAAATATGAGTAAGACATGCTCCTTATTCAAAAGAAACTTACAGTGAGTTCTTGATGCATAAACACCTTAAAATTCAGTGGATTAAAAGAGCACTCATTTATTCTTCTGGATTTGGGCTATGGAAAAACAGTAATGCATGAGGCCTTTTGAAGCCCAGGTTTGTAACTGGCATGAAGTCACTTTACCGAATTTTGTTGGACAAAGCAAGTTACAATGACCATGCCCAGCTTCAAGGAGTGGGAAAGATGGACCTGCACCCTAGTTTCTGCACCCACTTCTTCCATTGTACTTCCATTGTGTTCTCCTAGTCCATCTTCACTCTCCCTTTTTGGTTTTAAGCTTTCTATTGGCGTATCATTTCTTTCTAAAGTAGAATTGCAGTATCTTTCAGCATGAAGATTTTGGTTTCTAAAAATTATAAAGAGATTCCTGAGAGGGCAGTTAATACTGAAAGTAGCTCAAAAAGAGTCACTTTTTTCAAAGTTAGATATTTCCGAAGGAAAATGCATAAAAGCAGCCTTATTTCCTTTCTTCATTCAGCTTTAAATGAAACAAAATTAAATTTATTTTAAATTTCATAATGTTTCCAATTAAAGTATCATGTTAACTTAGAATAAAAGCAGTGAGGATCCTGTAAATGTCGCTCCACTGATTCTTGTTCTTGCTATAAAAAGTTTAAGTAAACAAATGAGGGAAATGGCTATAATAAAGGAAAGAAACAACAAAATCTTAGGTTTGTATGGCTTCTTAGGTGGACAGTTATTGGTTTATTGCCACTTTATAGATGAGGTACAAAGAGATTATAAACAAAATATCTTCAGAATTAAGATATTAAGGTAGAAAAATATCCTTAAGTATTAAGGAACAGAGAGATTAAGTGACATGCCTATTTAAGTGGAAATACCAGTCTTTGACTTGAGTGTTTTGACTTCTCTCCCAGAATTCTTTGCACACTACCAAGCTGTAACAATAGATGAATTTGCATTTTTCTTCCTGAGTTGAAGAAAACAGTAGTAAAGAAGGATTGCCATCTATCTGAACAAGCACGACTGAAAAGACCAATGAATTTGGTAATTTTCCAAAACTCTTAGCTTGAGAAAGATTATTTTAATCAATACATAATTTTTTCGACTTAACATTTATTTTTACCAAAATTTTCATCTCACTCATATCTGTCTCTAATTTTTATTTAATCATCTTATTTCCATAAATATTTGTATTCTCATTAGCTGTTGCTTTTCTCATAAGCCATACTGTTATCTGAGACCATCCTAAGGGGTCTATTTCAGTATGTTTGGCAATACTATGATTTCCAATAACTCACCAAAAAAAGTAAAAGAGCTCATCAATTTTAGTCATCTAGTGAAGAAGATAATTTCGAAGACGTCTTTTCTAAGTTCTTCTTATAGTTGAGCCTTCCAATCCTATGATGATTAGTTTTATGTGTCAGTTTGACTGGGCCACAGGGTCCCCAGATAACTGATTAAATATTATTTCTGGGTGTGTCTGTGAAGGTGTTTCTGAATGAAATTAACATCTGAATCAGTAAACTGAGTAAAGCAGATTGCTGTCCCCAGTGTGGGTGTGCCTTATCCAATCCGTTGAAGGCCTGAATAAAATAAAAGGCTAAAAAAGCAAGAATTCTTTCCCTCTGTCTGACTGTCTCTGAGCTGGGACATTGGTCTTCAGACTTAGATTCAAACTGGAACTTATACTGACTCTCCTGTTCTCAGGCCTTTGGACTCAAACTGAAACTATATCATTAGTTCTCCTGAGTCTAGACCTCTCCATAACCAGTTGATCCAATTGCTTAATTTATATGTGTGAATATTGTGTGTGTGTGTGTGTGTGTGTGTGTGTTTGTGTGTGTATCCTATTGGCACTGTTTCTCCTAAGAACCCTAATACAAGTCCCAAAACGGAATCCTGCACAATTCCATAACTGACTACTCAAGTAACCAATCAGCCAATATCCTGGGCTATCATTTTACTTGCATAAAACTTTTGAGTATTTCAATAACTGTCAAAAAGCTGATAATTTGGTAGTTAGTAGTAATATAGGATGATAGAATATTAGGACTAGAAAAACCTAGAACCTCTTGAAACCTCTTACAGGTTATCTAAATTGAACCCCTTCATTGTAAACATAAGGAAAAAAATTATAAAAGTTAAGTGACTTACCTGGCCAAAGTCAATTAAAGACAAAACTGTCAACCAGACATGTCTTCAGACTGTCTTTATCCAGTCTTCTTTCCACTCCACTAAATTGTTGTTTTTATAGCTGTAACTACAGTTTGCCCTGAAGTCTCTGCACTTTATCTCATGGTCTCTCATTATGAACATAAGACACTAGAAGATGGCTAGCTGAACGCAGGCAGGGGTGTAACCTACTCCCCTGCAGAATGGAATAAAGTTTAACCATATGTCCTCCCAAGTAGCGGTCAGCCAGTGGTACATAGGTACTAATCACTAATATTGAATGATCACACTCATAAGACCAACTTCCCAGAACAAAATTATGGTAACTATAGGTAAAGAACAGAATATATTGTACTGCCTCTACATTTATCTAGCCTCAAAAAATTTTTCCAAATATTTAAGGGACAAAGTCCTTCTTATTGGGGTAATTTTACAGTAAGTCATAAAAGGAAGTATTAAGAAAATTAATTAATTCCATAATTCAAAATCGGAAGCAAGTGCTTGGGATGGATAATTAAGAGCCATTTACACAGGCAAACTCCCTGAAAGACAAAACATGCAGAAACTGAGGAATATGAAGGAACTATTCACATACTGAACACCAAAAGAGACTTCATGCTATTCAGAGAGGGGATCTGGATCTGAGAATACATCACAGATTACCAACTGGATACTGTCTATTTGATACTCTAGATTCAAATACTATTAGGTTGGTGCAAAAGTACTTGTGGTTTTTGCAAGCTCATTTACCCAGAATTTCCAGGACTTAACCTACTTAAAATTATCAGATACCCAGAATTTAGATACTAACTTCAAAAGATATCAACAATTTAAAAAATATGACCCTTCTCCAGCATCTTCCAGATGCATTCTCTTAATTTAGATTCCATTAAATGAAGTAATGAGCAAATACACACACACTCACATATACACACACACAAACATATATACACAATAACAGTTCATCATAAGGTCACTGAGATAATGTCATCAGCACACACTCCAAATTATACTTCAACTATTATTATAGATTTTCATTTAAAAATTATTTATAGCAATTTCCTTTGTTTGCATGCTTCTGATGTATGGTGTCTGAGTCAAAAGATAAAAGAATCCCACTACTTCTACATTAAATTTGAAAAGTAGTATTAATTTCCTGTAAATTTGTGTTCATCATATTGTTGTCTTACAAAGCATTGGCAACAACCAATGATCAAAAAGAAACGGGATTTTTTTGCTGGAGAAATAGAATTAGGCCCTGAATCTTACCACCTCCACACAACACACATACATCTGTCCTCCACACACACATCTACACATATCCTAACACTCTCTAAGGCTAACCCTCACTCCAATTTCCTCTTGTAAATGCCAAGATGGAGGCAGAGTTCAGTGTGATTTCTGTGGTATTTGTTTTTAATAACTGAACTCAAACCTACCTTAATTATGGCCACCATAAATGAATTAAATTAGAAGAATTTGCTGAGAAAACCAATTTTCTGATAGTCCTAAATGTGAGTATTACTAAGCCCACTAAAAAGCCTTCATGTTGGTATAATCTTCTACTTGCATCGTCTAGAAAGGAACACAGAATAAAGAACTCATTTTAAAAATAGTTGATCCAGTGTAGTTTACAACATATCCTGAGTAGATGAGTGTGGCGAGGGGGCATACTGGACACTGGGACCAACTACATCCAGAAGTGAAAAATGGCCACAGATTATACCTAAGTAGATAATCCACAGATGAACGACAGATAATTAGTTATACTGATAATAATGTAGCAACTACTTATTTCTCTAGTTTAATAATATTTGTACATAAAACTCACCAGCAAAGGAGAACATACACGTTGAGTGCAGCTACAAGCGACCATTTCACAAAAATGCTTTCAATGATTAAAAAAAAAACCTATCTTCACTTACCTACTCTCACTCTTCTCAAGATACTTCCCCACAACTTCAGATTCTCACTCACCAAATGCCCTTCGTATCACACGTATTCATCCTACTTAAACTGGCTGAGTAAGGCCGTATTTTATGTGTATTAGGTAATTCTTTCCTATTATACGTGCCAAAAAATATGTTTTCTTTTGTCTTAGGTTAAATTTCTTCAGGTTAGATTCTAGTTGGGAGAGATCACTCAAACTGCTATATTTATTTATTCTGACAACTCAAAAATAATTTTACTTGCTACAAAGTGGAAATATAATTTAAACATCTGCTGTTGAAACACCCATCTTTGATACAAGGCATACTCATTGGCGCAGTAATAAGCACTCCCAAAAATAAATACATAACACACACTCTAAACACATTTGTACCACACGTTGACAAACAAAAGGAACAGATTTCCTTTTGGATCATGGATAAATGTATCATTTCCGTGGAAAACAAGGCTCAGCCAATTTGTCAAAATTATTGAGTTCAAAGTAGAAAGTTTTTTTTTTTTAGCCTACTGGATTTTTGATATTTGAACTTAATATAATAAAGAGGCCTTAAATAGCCTTCTTGTTCATGTTGTCACTCTGAAAATAAGAACTATAAGCACCTGCTTTTAAATTGCTCCCCAAATGTTCCCAGAAAGCCAGAGAGATCTAAGCCAAAGAGCTCACCCCTTGCCTTCTATCTCATTCATGAATTTCTAGAGCTCCAACTAAAATTGAAAGTAATTTACATCTGCAATATTCAGACTGAATTAAATTTCATGTTCAATCTACACCCCCCAGAAATGTTGAAGTTATGAAGGCATTATGAACTTATAATACCAGGCAAATTCCAGGCAGCCCTGTGACCTCATTTCAGGTGGAATTCTTAAGTTAATGAAGCTAAGAGTACTTGCTCTCTACCATGTTGCAAATAACTAGATCCAAGCCCTGGACTCTACTATGGCTTCATCTGTAGCTCTGCCACTTATCTTCGAAAATCAGCAAGAGATAAAATTCCTTTTTTAACATTTAATAAGCAGCAAGCATACATTCAAAAGAACTGTCTTCTATACATTATCCTGGAAAGTCTTCATATCTTTTAAAAGAAAAGTGATTTCACAGATGCGCTTGAATAAATAAAGGAAATTTTCAGTTGCCTGAAAACAACATCTCTTTAGTCAATGAACCAGAAACAATGACTGCTTGAAAAAAACATGGCCTGTTCAGTTTTGAAAGTCCTGTTAACCACTCCACTGAGCTCTACTCTAGAATCAAAATCTTAAGTCTTTCCTCTTCCTGTCATGTATGGTCGAAACAAAAATATTCATAAAAACACTTTATCTTTTTTTATATGAATGGGGTTCATATTTAAATTTTTATATGAATGGGGTTCATATTTAAATTTAAATAACACTCATTTTGTTTTAACATTTTATTGTCATTTTAACTTTTACATTAATCCATAGATTTACCCTTTGCTTATTATTATTAGCTTATGTGTTCAGATTTCTTAGGGGTGTCATGTGACTTTTTAAATTTAATATAAATTAGAAATATTCCATATTCTCCACCACAGTCAGAAGTCCACATTGTTACTTAGACGTCTCCATCTCTCCTGTCAAACAACCAAATCAAGTCTACAGGTGTGAGCTTGAGAAGCAGCCTTAGTGATCCCAAACTGCACTCCCCTATCTGCTTGGTGCTCAGAGCTCTACTCCCCTTTAGTTTCCCCCAATTCAGCTTTGACCCCTGGTCTTCTTACTGTGTGGTTCTTGGTCATTGCTAAATGACTTAAAGCTATTTATTCGTCGATCTTCTCCTTCATCCTGAGTGAGTCTAAACTCTCACTCCTTCTGCTGGCTCCTCCATTTCCAGTTTGAAGAGATCTTGTTATTTTACATGATTTTTAGATAACTAGGATGACTAATAGTTACTTCAGTTCTTACAGAGATAGGCTTATTTTTAGCAAATAGCCAAAAAAATATAAATTATATGTTGAGTAAGCTGTCTATACACACATATATGGCTTTTTCCAAGCCTCAATCAGTCCATTGAGCTATCACAGCCTACATTTTATATATAAACATGTGCCATCTTGGCTCACTGCAACCTCTGCCTCCCAGGTTCAAGTGATTCTCATGCCTCAGCCTACCAAGTAGCTGGGATTACAGGTGTGTGCTACCATGCCCAGTTAATTATTGTATTTTTAGTAGAGACAGGGGTTTCACCATGTTGGCCAGGCTGGTCTGAAATGCCTGACCTCAAGTGATCTGCTGGCCTCAGCCTCCCAAAGTGCTGGTATTACAGGTGTGAGCCACCATGCCTTGTCAAAAAAAATTTTTAAAGATTTTCCTAAAATACATTTTCTATGTGATTCAGCCTAAATGGGGTAAATAAAACACATCCAGTATTATCCAGGATTTCACCACACATACACACAAAGTAAGGGACAGATTTTTGGCTTCATGACAGCTACTAGCAAATTTCCTAATCTCTCATTACTTATTTCCCCAAAATGTGGTTCACTAACATTCCATGAGAAAATGCTCAATTTAAATCTTAAACTTAAGGTTTGTATCAATCTTCATTGCCATTTTTAAGGGTCTGGCTTATTTGATTTCAGTAATGTGGTAATAACTATGCACAGCACAGCCAATTTAGAACCAATTTTTATAATTTTTCTTTTTCCAATTTAAGATCACTAGGTATAAACTGAGTTATTCTAAGTGGAAAGAGTCTAACATCAGTTGCTATTTAAATCCTGACATACTGTCATCTGTTGCTTTATAATTTGTGCCAAATTACTTCAGCCCAAAGCAAAGCGCATGAAATTCTCATTATTAAATTTGCATATACTGAAGTTATTACTAAACTTTGAAACATTAAATATGATATGGTTACAGTTTAGTCCAAACTTATGAACATTGGTAAGAACAGAAAAGAAGTTAATATATCATCTATAGATATAAATATAAAGTGAAATATATTCCTGCTATAATCCACTACTAATGGAGAACAGAAAATTCAAACAGGCCCATTAACAACAAAGACATTATAAAAGGTGGAATCCTCTTCAAAATATCCAACAGAAGCCAGAGTTTATTAAAAATTAGGTATTCACCAAGCAACTATTCATTGTATGAACTTGAATTTGCCCAACCTTGGGTGTTGGAGGTTCTCAGTATCATAATAAGATTAATTTTTTATAAACACATCAACACATATTCAAATAAACATTTTTGTCTCCTAATGTTTCATATAAGGATAATCTTGGTAGGTCATAAACTTATTTCAAAAATATAACTTAAATGAGTTTTGTAACTCATGTAGAATGACCTTCATAGTCAATAGAAATTCAAATATTATTACTTTGAAGTCACCTCTTAAAAATCTTGCAGCCATAAAATTATAAAGATAAAATATATCTTTAAATGTTCTAGTCACATACCTCATGTTATAGATGAAAAAGGAAAGAAAGTCTAAAGAAGATAAATAATTTGCTTAATATTATAGACTTAGTTATACTTGTAAAACCAGGACTATTATCTAGATAGAACTAATTACTAGATCCAGAAATAAATTATAATATTACCTGAAGCTCTTTAATATCTCTTATTTCTGCATAAAAAATATTTGCTAGGTTAAACAAGCAACAGATTTCATTTGATTAACAGTGATCTTCAAATAATTTTCAAACTCACACAACTGAAGATTATTAACAAAAATACCCACAAAGGTAATCAAATACATGTAATAAAATAATAAATTTTTGCCTTGAATTTGAAGATACGCAAATTCAAATTTTCAAAAGTACTGAGAAGAGTAAAATGAGATGCCCTTTCTTTGCTTGTCAGAGTCTATATCAAAACTTTTTCTTGAAATGCTTTTGAAAAGGCCATAACTGATTATAAATCAGACTACCAATTTATCTAGAATTAAATTGATGTGGAAATTGACTTCAAGGCATATATTACTAAAGAAATAATCCAAGAAACTTACAAATATTTATCTACAAAAGTGTTCCTCACAATGTATAATGGCAAAGAAGAAGAATGAGGAAGAGGAGGAGGAGGAGGAAGAGGAGGTAGAGGAGAAAGAGGAGAAGGAGAAGAAGAAATTTAAATGACCATCAAAAAGAAAATAATTATGGAAGAGTCATATGATAAAATATTATGCAGCCATTAAAAATTATGTTTTTAGAATAATTTTTAGTGACAAGGCAATAAAGAATCACAATACTACAATACATTTTAAAACCCAGGTATCAAATAATCATACAATGTGATGCAATTTTACCATATATGTTTATAAAAATGATAAATAGAAAACAACATATATAAAAATATTAGCAGTGGTTATCTCTGGGTAATAGAGGTATAGATGATATTCCTCAATCTTATTCTTTCTATATTTTTCCAGTTGTTTGCAATGAACACGGGCTATTCTTAGAAACAGAAATAGCATTGGGAGATATACCTAATGCTAGATGACGAGTTAGTGGGTGCAGCGCACCAGCATGGCACATGTATACATATGTAACTAACCTGCACAATGTGCACATGTACCCTAAAACTTAAAGTATAATTAAAAAAAAAAAAGAAAAGAAAAAAAAAAAAGAAATAGAAATACAAATTTTTAAAGGCAAGGGAATCTGAAAGCACCATTTTATAGCACAATTGTAGTCCCATTCCTCCGTCAATAGAGTCTGTATGCTGTACTCTCTAAGATCCCTGTCTCAGTTTTGCTTATTACTTATCCCAACCAGCACTTCCTCCTCCCACACCTTCCATTTGTTTGTTTATTAATATAGTCTCGACCTTAGGATGCACAGAAGAGAAAGTTAAATGTTTTTAATATTCTTAAGTGTATCTCAAAATAAGCACATAAATTCCAGCTTGGAGTTAAATTATGAGGTCCCAAACCTCTGAGCCAAAATGTCAGTAATGCATTTCTTAGTAATTTGTTACTGATAAAGGAAGTGAATGCTCAGTTTTCAAATGAAAGAATACTTATCCACAGAAATAGGGAAAGGTAGAAGCTATTGGAAGTAAAATTCTCCTTTGACATTAGCTTGAGCTTAATGCATAGAGTCTTTAGGGAGTCATTCTGATTCCTCTGTGTAATGGGACATAAAGTTATTACTAACTCTGTATTAATACCCCAAATATAAATACACTGGGATATGATTTAGATGTTTTGTCCCTTCCAAATCTCATGTTGAAATGTGACCGCCAATGTTGGAGGTGGGCCTACTGGGAAGTGTTTGGGTCATGAGTAGGGACCCTCATGAATGTCCTGTCCTCATGGTAATGAGTGAGCTCTCACTCTATGAGTTCACACAAGCTCACACAAGCTCTGGTTCTTCAAAAGAGCCTGGTACTTCCTCCCTCATTCTCTTGCGCCCTCTCACCATGTGACGCGCCTGCTCCCCCTTCATCTTCCATTGTGATTATAAGCTTCTGAGGCCCTAATCAAAAGTAGATGCCAGCCAGCACTATGCTTCTTATACAGACCACAGAACCTTGAGCCAAATAAACCTCTTTTCTTTATAAATAACCCAGCCTCGGGTACATTATAGCAACACAAAACAGATTAACACATACCGGCTTGACAAAACATTGTCAAAAATATCTAGGACTACAAAGAAATTAATTTACATGCACTCTTCATGAAACCCTACCAAAATAACACCTGGTGGAGACTGGATGTTTAAAAAGGATTTCAGTTAACCTCATGTCTAAAAATCACATTGTTATTCTGAGTAAAATAAGCAATTACTCTGCATAACCTAACAGCCAGAAATTTATTGGACTAATGGTTATACTTGATTTTGAAAAAAAAGACATAACAAGATATTCTCATTACTCCACTAACTTGCAGGAAAGTATTTGTTAGTTCCCAGTCACATAAGGCACACAATATTTATCCTGGCATTCCAAGCCTTTCCCAGTTTTAGACACTGGGGACTGATGCACTCTAAAATAAATTAGTAGTCTGATTTACAATCAGCAAACATCAATTGACATCGGTCTTGAGATTTGGGCCTAAAAAATCTGGATGCCAGACTCTGCATCTGAAGGGATACAACAAACATACCATAGCACCCATAAGACTGATTGATCCCTGAACGGCCAGTTGCCCTGCCACATACTTTCAGGCTACTTTTTTCCTATCCCCTGACCACAGACACACACACACACACACACACACACACACACACAAACACACACACAACCACCACCACCACAAGTGCCAAAGAATGAATAAAAGTGCTAGCCTTTGATGGGAGCATCTGGCATTTTCCCTCCCAAATCATCAGGATGCTTTTATAGCAAATAGAAAATGGCCCTTAAGAATCACTCTTCAGATTACTTGGCTGTGTCAGTCCTGAGGAAAACCCTGCCATATCGCTCACTCTCAGACATCCCTTTATGAAGACTCTATACAGCTGAGCCATCACATATAACTTAAAGAAAAAGTCAGTTGTTATAAACCTTGGTATTAACCAAAGCTAACCATTCCTTTCTTTTCCATCTCTGTTTATTTTGTTTCTAATTTCTTACCATCCTGCTTATCTCCCATTTCTTTTGCCCTATCCATCATCATTTCCTTCTACTTCCCCCTTGGGTCAGCCACATATCTAAACCTTCCCTTTCTAGGAGGGAGTGCTCATCACACACACACACACACACACACACACACACACACACACTCACGTTGTCACCCAAGTTTCTGTTCTGAGTGTCTCAAAGTCCTTATGTATAATAAAAATTAGTCACATGTGTTGAAGGATACTACAAAATGAAAACAGCACACGTGGTATCAGAAAGTTCTAATAATATCTGAAATGATAAAATAAAGGAGAGCTATTACTATAACACTATCTTAATGGAGAAGCTCTGTTACACTCAGCTGTTGGTTGATAGATTTTGTTGAGTATAGGTCATGGGAGAGAAAACTAAAAATTTGATAAGTACTAACTTAAAATAATTAATATTAAATTATGTGAAAGCCTAAAGAAAACAGTGTCAAGTTGTTAGCCTCTGTTTATTCTTTCTTTTTGCCATAATGAGTCTCTCCAGTTTGACACATCAGATATGTAATTTTAAAATTTCATATTTACTATATCAATTTTTTTTTAGTGAGACATGGTCTCGCCCTCCCAGGCTGGAGTGCAGTGGGACAATCATAACTCACTGCAGCCTCAAACTCCTGGGCTCAAGTGATCCTCCCACCTGAGCCTCCCAAAGTGCTAGGATTACAGATATGTGCCACTGTGCCCAGCCCTTTATCAATAATTAATGGAAAGTTACAGAGATTCTAATCAAATAAAATATTTTTTGTTACACATCTTGACAAGGAAGAAAACATATGAAAGCTAACAGGAGTATTTTAAGACAGTGTTTCAAAAATCGAAGCTCACAAACCAACTACATCAGATTTATTCAAAGTGTTTCTGAAAACAATAGATATATAACAATAATAGGGGTTACCTAAAACATATCACAAAAGATTCTCTGAGTTAGGGCCTGAGAATTAGCATTTTTAAAAACTCTCAGCTGAGTCTTAGGCATTTGAGAACTACTGCTGTAAGAGATATTTTCCAGTAGCTTGTCAAACCCAAAGCAAGTAACCATCCATCTTTCCTCATTAAAAGTCAATATGACTTTCCTGTTTTTCTTCTCAAGTGCCAGATAATTCAAAATAAACTGTCCAATATAATTGGTTATCTAAATCACCAGTCCCAGCCTTTGTTTATTATATTACATTTTCTAAAATACATCAAAATCTGTTTTCTCAAAGACTCATAGTTTGCACGGGTAGTGCAATTGGCTTTACACAGAGTTGTTTAAGTGCTCAGATCCAAGCCTGACTACCTCTTGAACTGGTATCTGAGTGGAGAGATATATTAACTTAAGGCCTTTGAATATGAATTGAAGAAGACATATCTAACAATAAAATAGCTATAAAATTGGAAATAAGTTTTCTAAAATTAGATTACCCATTACAGGCTCTGAATTTTATAATTATTTAATTATAAATGATCATTATTTTAATTGCATAGTATCCCAAAAATATAATCAATGATTTCTGAAAACAACATTAACTGTCCATATATATGAGAACAAAAAATTAAGATATATTAATAAAATGTTTAATAACAATGACATAGTGGAGGATACAAGATGCATGGAATAGATAACTCTTTGACAAATATTCTTCATTTCATATGAACCCTGAGCAGTTACAAAGATCCTCATTCCAAATACAATGTATCAAAGAAAGGAAATACACGGCATTATTTTTAATTATCTTAAATTTGTGTTAAGTCACTATTAATAATCAACAGTTTACACACAAAAAACGATGACTATTTTAATAGAGAATAGAATGGAAGAATAGGACCAAAGAAACTGAATACATCTTGCTGAGATTTTTATTAATTCTGGAGGAGAAAAAAATTGGAATTTAAAGCCAGAGCTTCTCTGCTTAAATTAATTTTAATTTGTGTCATTTCATTCCCCAGTGTGGCTTCAATCATTCCCAACTTATTAGATTGGTGCAAAAGTAATTGCAGTTTTTGCCATAATCATAATAATTCTGATGTAGGTGGTTTGTGAGCTTCACTTTCTAAAACACTGTCTTATAATACTCCTGTTAGCTTTCATATTCTTTCTTCCTTGTCAAAATGTGTAATATAATTCTCTTTAGAGTCAGATATATTTCTAAAGTTCTGAATTAATATCCTCTAGATATTATATTCCATAGTTAAAATTGCTAGAAATATTCTGGTATTCATGCTACATATATAACTATATATATGTTTGGTCTACAAAAGCTTATTACTAAAAGAAGTTTGATTCATTTGCATCAGAACAATATAGACCATCAAATGATTTTTAATAGCATAAATTTAAGTATAAAATAAACAAAGCTTTATCATTCAGGGCCCTAATTATATTAGTCCATAAAAAATTCTGGTTACATCCCTGCCAACCAATACCTTGTAGAGTAGGTGATAATCAGCAACACAAAATTTTAACAATTCTAAAAAGCAATACATAAATTATTTTCTTGTGTTATTCTGGTTACAAACCATGATACTTATTTACTTTTCAGAAATTTTAGGAATTTTGTGATGAAAGAATTTGGCAACAGAGTAAATTGAATGTTGGTATTATAAACTGAGCTAGGAAACAACCACTCGAATTCTATCTTATGAAAGAGATTGAGAATTCATATAATTTCTTCCTTAAATGTTGGTAGAAGTCACCAGCAAACCGATCTGGGCCTGGTACTTTTCATTTCTGATAATCTTGAATTTTTGAAACTAGAGAATATAGTGGTGATTTCTTTTCATAAGCTTTTAATTAAAAACATCAAAGGACTTCTGCTTCCAGCCAAGATATTGTAACAAATAACAAGACCTGGATTTACTTTCCCATCTGAAACAACAAAAAAAAGTTGAACAGAATACGTCAAACAATGGTTTTTAAGACATTTGAGATTAGGCAACAAAGGACAATGATCACTACCAGATGAAAAACAAAATGAGGGGAATCCCACAATTGCCAGAACTTACTGCCTTGAGTTTCCAACCAATAGCAAAAGGACAGGGTACCCAAGCATATTAGTCCATTTTCTTACTGCTGTGAAGAAATACCCAAGACTGGGTAATTTATGAAGAAAAAGAGGTTTGATAGACTCACAGTTCCACATGGCTGAGAAGGCCTTACAAACATGGTGGAAGATGAAGGAGGAGCAAAGGCACATCTTACATGGCACTAGGCAAGAGGGCTTGTGTAAGGGAATTCCCATTTATAAAACCATCAGACCTCATGAAACTTATTCACTACCATGAGGAAAGTATGGGAAAAACCCACCCCCATGATTCAATTATCTCCCACCAGGTCCCTCCCACAACACGTAGAGATTATTGCAACTGCAATTCAAAATAAGATTTGGGTGGAGACACAGCCAATCTTCTTGGGTTTTCTGCCTAATCAACAAGATTCCCTGAGCAGAGGTGATGAAACTGGGATACTGGGGAGACCAAGTTAGTTAGAGATCACAAAACAAAGTAATGGATGAGAGAGGCCTGCACATGGAAAAAATTTCAGGTATCTTTAGAGAGGTTCTCCTTAAATCAACCTGTGAATACTGATCAGCACATGTGTGTGAGGAAACTATTCATGGCCAAGGAAAGAACTACCCAAAACGATTAGAAAGAACATGACTGTTATGGACTGAATGTTTGTGTCCTTCTCCAAAATTCATATGTTAAAATCTAATCCCCAGTGTAATGGTATTTGGAGGTGGGGCTTTTGGAAGGTAATTAGGTCATGAAGGTGGGGTGCTCATGAATGAGATTAGTGCCATTATAAGAAGAGGCCTAAGAGCTAGCTCACTCTCTATCTACCATGAGAGGACACAAGAAGAATCTGTCAGTCTGCAACCCAGAAGACAGCTCTAAGCTGAACACAACCATGCTGGCACCATCATCTTGGTCTTCCAGTCTCCAAAATTGTCAGAATAACTTCTGTGAAAAATAAGTTTCTGTTGTTCATAAGTCACCCAGCCTAGTGTATTTTGTTATAGCTACCAAAACCAAGACAAGTACCCAGTACTCACCCAGGCCCAGTAATAGTGCCTGTTTCCACCAGACAGATTAGAAACCTCATAATCATAGAAACTGGCAGAATGTGCAGAAGAGTCTTGACTGAGTCATGGAACAAAATTGTCCCTAGACTAAATGCTACTCTAGTTTCACCTAAGAAATCTTAAAAGCAAGACTCAAAAGTATCAAACAGTTCTAAGAGCTTAACTGTGTCCCAGAACAAAGTTCAAGAATATTTATAGAAATGGAAAAATATCCAATACAAAATACAGTAAAAATTCACAACATTTGACATGCAATAAAAAATTAACAGGCATGTAAGGATGTAGGATAGTATATGCCATGATAGGAGAAAAAAACAATTTGGAACCAATACTGACAGTGATATTAATTAGCAGAAAAAAATACTTAAAAAGTTATAACTGCATTTCATTTGTGCAAAAAGTTAAGTGGAGACATGGAAGATGTTTTTTAAAAGATAGAAATTCAATTTCTAGAGATGTCAACAACAATGTCTGAGATGAAAAGTACACTGAATGGATTTTTTTTCTTTTTTTTTTTTTGTTGTTGTTTTACTTTAAGTTCTGGGATACATGTGCAGAATGTGCAGGTTTGTTACATAGGTATACATGTGCCATGGTGGTTTGCTGCATCTATCAACCAGTCATCTAGGTTTTAAGTCCTGCATGTATTAGTTATTTGGCCTAATGTTCTCCCTCCCCTTGCCTCACACCCCCTGACAGGCCCCAGTGTATGATGTTCCCCTCCCTGTGTCCAAGTGTTCTCATTGTTCAACTCCCACTTATGAGTGAGAACATGCGGTGTTTGGTTTTCTGTTCCTGTGTTAGTTTGCTGAGAATGATGGCTTCCAGCTTCATCCATGTCCCTGCAAAGGACGTGAACTCATTCTTTTTTATGGCTGCAGAGTTGAAAGGGATTAATTAAATATTAAATTTTGCAAAAAAAAAATGACTGAACTTCAAACCATTGCTATAGAAACGATCCAAAATGAAACAGGAAAAAATGAATCAAATAAATAAAGCACAACATCAGTAAACTGCAGGACAACTTCAAGGAGCATAAAGGAAGTGTCACTAGAGTCTCTGTAAAGAGAGGGGACAGAAAAAAAATATTTAAAGAAACAATGGTTGAAATTTTTCTAAATTGGATGGAAAAAAAAAATCTTGGGCCTTGAAGCTGCAAATATACCATCCTGCCCTAAAAGCTCACAGTCTAAGAGAAACAGACATTCACAACAAATAAGCAAGCTGGCTCAGGAAAATGGCAGATAGGAGTCAGGATTCACTTGCAGCTCACACTCAGACAGAGAAGCATGTGGAGACTAACATCATGAACTTTTGCTCCAAGAACTACTGCAGGAACATACCAGGAAAGCTAAGATAATCCACAGACCCTTTGAAAGACTCAGTTTGCCACTGCAGGGTCCATGAGACAGCTGAAAAACTGTAAGTGCCCTAGGTGTGAAGGGGAAACACGTGCCCCCAAACACACATTCTCACTGGGGAACCTGAAGGTTCAGATCACAAGAGAAAGATCTGACCATACTTAGAGCAGAGACAAATTCAGATTGCTGAGCAAAATACAAGGGTAGAGGAAGCAGTGGGAAAAGCCCTGTGAGCACTTTCAGCCCCCAGGGAAGCCATTCCATTCCTGACTTTGTTTCACAGGAGTCCTTGGGGAGAGCTGCCAGTGGAATTGGGGAAAGACCACAGGAAGAAGGAAACTTCCAGCTGAACTCTGTAACAATTTCACCCAAATGTGAAGCTTGCTCACAGTAACTGGAGGAGGGAGTGAACAGGGTGTGCAAAAAGCACATAAGCTGCAGCAGGCAGGGAGGTGCAAAACCTGAAAGCCCTGCTTGCCTTCTCAGCAAGGAGGCTGGTATCCCGGGACAAGTTCTCAGCCCCACTCACTGGCTGCTGTTGGGGAGGCATGGTTGGACTGAGACTGGCCTGTTGAGCTGGATAGGAGGTGGGTGAGGCCTGCCACTGCTTGCTTTCCCCCACTTCCCAGGCAACCTGTATGATGCAGCAGAGGCAGCCAACATCCCCCTGGGAACACAAATGCATCAGCCTGAGAGTCACACCCCCACTCCCCAAAGCAGCTGTAGCAAGCCCCACCCAAAAAGAGTCTGAGCTCAAATATGCCTAACCCTTCCCCCAACTGATGGTCTTTCACTACCCAACCTGGTAGCTGAAAACAAAAGGATATAATCTCTTGGGAGCTCTATGTTGCTTCCCACCACCTGAGAAATCAGAATAACTATCCAGGCACCCCTTGGGCAAGGTTGTAACTCCCCATACTAATGCAGTTGATGCTCTCTTGAAAGCACCACCTCCTGGCTGGAGGCTAACCAACACAGAAACAGCATGCTAAACAAAACGACAACCAAGGATCCTCACAGAATGTATTAGTCCATTTTCACACTGCTTGGAAGAAATACCTGAGACCAGGTACTTTCTAAAGGAAAGAGGCTTAATTAACTCACAGTTCAGCATGGCTGGAGAGGCCCCAGGAAATTTGCAATTATAGTGGAAGAGGAAGCAAACACATCTTTCTTCACATGGTGGCAGCAAGGAGAATTGCCAAGCAAAAAGGGGAAAAGCCCCTCATAAAACCATCAGCTCTTGTAAGAACTCACTCACTATCATAAGAACAGCAGCATGAGGGTATCTGCCTCCATAATTCAATTATGCCCCACTGGGACCCTCCCATGACATGTGGGAATTATGCAAACTACAATTCAAGATGAGATTTGGGTGGGGACACAGCCAAACCATATCATTCTATCCCAGCCACTTCAGGAATATACCCATTCCAAACGGGAGAAATTGGCCAAAAAAAGGGGGGCTACAGGCCCCATGCAAGCTTTAAATCCAATAGGGTAGTCATTAAGCCTTAAAGTTCCACGATGATCTCCTTTGACTTTATGTCTCACATCCAGGTCATGCTGATGGAAGAGGTGGGCACCCATGGACTTGGGCAGTTCCACTCCTGTGGTTTTGCAGGGTACAGGGCCCCTCCTGGCTGCTTTCATGGGCTGGTGTTGAGTTTCTGCAGATTTTCCAAGTGTACAGTGCAAGCTGTCAGTGGATCTACCATTCTGGGGTCTGGGAAACAGTGGCCCTCTTCTCACAAATCCACTAGGCAGTGCCCCTGTGGGGACTCTGTGTGAGGGCCCCAACCACACATCCCATTTCCCTTCTGCACTGCCCTAGCAGAGGTTTTCCATGTGGGCTCCACCCCTACAACAAACTTCTGCCTGGATATCCAGGCATTTCCATATGTCCTTTCAAATCTAGGAGAAGGTTCCCAAACCTCAGTTCTTGACTTCTGTGCACCCACAGGCTCAACAACACATAGAAGCTGCCAAGGCTTGGGGCTTGTACCCTCTGAAGCCACAGCCCAAGCTGAACCTTGGCCCCTTTTAGCCAAGGCTGGAGTGGCTGGAATGTAGGGAAACAAGTCCCGGCTGCACACAGTAGGGGGCCCTGGATGCAGCCCAGGAAACCCTTTTTCCCTCCTAGGCCTCTGAGCCTGTGATGGGAGGGGCTGCTGTGAAGACCTCTGACATGGCCTGGAGACATTTTCCCCATTGTCTTGGTGATTAACATTCAGCTCCTTGTTACTTAGGCAAATTTCTGCAGCTGGCTTGAATTTCTCCCCAGAAAATGGGTTTTTCTTTTCTATTGCATCATCAGGCTGCAAATTTTCCAAACTTTTATGTTTGGCTTGTTCTTGAATGCTTTGCTGCTTTGACATTCTTTCTACCAGATATCCTAAATCATCTCTCTCAAGTTCAAATTTCCACAGATCTCTAGGGCTGGGGCGAAATGCTGCCAGTCTTTTTGCTAAAGTATAACAAGAGTCACCTTTGTTCCTGTTCCCAAAAAGTTCCTCATCCCCATCTGAGACTAATTCAGCCTGGACTTTATTGTCCATATCACTATCAGCATTTTAGTCAAAGCCATTCAACAAGTCTCTAGGAAGTTCCAAACTTTCCCAAATCTTCCTGTCTTCTGAGCCCTCCATATCTCTAGGAAGTTCCAAACTTTCCTACAATTTCCTGCCTTTTTCTGAGCCCTACAAGTAGTTCCAACCTCTGCCAGCTACCCAGTTCCGAAGTCATTTCCACATTTTTGAGTATCTTTATAGCAGCATCCCACTACCCAGTACTAATTTACTGTATTAGTCCATTTTCATACTGCTATGAAGAAATACCCATGACCAGGTAATTTATAAAGGAAATAGGTTTAATTGACTCACAGTTCAGCATGGCTAAGAAGGCCTCAGGAAATTTACAACCATGGTGGAAGGGAAAGCAAACACATCCTTCTTCACATGGTGGCAGCAAGAAGTGCCAAGCAAAAGGGTGGAAAGCCCCTTATAAAGCCATCTGATCTCATGAGAATTCACAAGAACAACAGAACAGCATGGGGAGTAACTGCCCTCACGATTCAATTACCTCCCACTGGGTCCCTCCCATGACACATGGGGACTATGGGAACTATAATTCAAGATGAGATTTGGATGGGGACACAGCCAAACCATATATCAGAGTCCACTTCTTTCCCCTGCTACCTACCACAGGGCAGGTGCTGGTATTCAAGGCTGAAAGATCTAAAGATGGATCACATCACAGGACTCCTTGCAGACACTCCCAAGTACCAGCCTGGAGTGTAGTAGCTCCCCTGGGGGGTAGAACCAGAAGAGAAAGTACAATCACTGAAGCTCTACTCTCAGGAAGCCACATCAAGACAGTACCATGTGGGACAAAAGAATCTGAACAGCAGCCCTTGAACCTCAGATCTTCCCTCTGACATAGTCTACCCAAATGACAAGGAACCAGAAAAACAATTCTGGTAATATGACAAAACAAGGTTATTTAACACCCATAAAAGATCACACTAGCTCATGAGCAATAGATCCAAACCAAGAAAAAAATCTCTGAATTGCCAGAAAAAGAATTCAGAACGTTGATTTTTTAAGCTAAACAAGGAGGTACCAGAGAAAGATGCACACGAAGTTAAAGAAATGAAAAGAATGTTATAGGATATGGACAGAAAAAATCTCCAGAGAAATAGATAGCATAAATAAAAATAATCACAACTTCTGCAAATGAAGGACACACTTAGATAAATGCAAAACACACTAGAAAGGGGGTTTTGATTCAATAAAAGAAACAAGAAGAAGAAAGAACTTCAGAACTCAAAGACAAGGCTTTTGAATTAACCCAATCCAACAAAGACAAAGAAGAAAAAGCATTAAAAAAATGAACAAAGCCTCCAAGAGGTTTGGGATTATGTTAAATAACCAAACCAAAGAATAGTTAGTGTTCTAAGGAAGAGGAGAAATATAAAAGTTTGAAAAACATATTAGACAGAATAATTGAGGAAAACTTCCCTGGCATGGCCAGAGATGTAGACATTCAAATACAAGAAGCTCAAAGAACACCTGGGAAATTTATTGCAAAAACATCATCACCTAGGCACATAGTCGTCAGGTTATCTAAAGTCAAGATGAAGGAAAGAATTTTAAGAGCTGTGAGGCAAAAGCATCAGGTAACCTACAAAGAAAAACCTATCAGATTAACAGATTTGTCAGCAGAAACTTTACAAGCTAGAAACAAAACAATTATCAGCCAAGAATTTTTATCCAGTGAAACTAAGCTTCATAAACAAACAAAAAAAAAGATAGTCTTTTTCAGACAAACAAATGCTAAGAGAATTTGCCCCTACCAAGCCAGCACTACAATAACTGCTAAAAGGAGCTCTAAATCTTGAAAAAAATCCAAAAATAGAAGCTTCTTAAAGCATAAATCTCACAGAACCTATAAAACAATAACACAATGGAAAAAAAAGGTATTCAGGCAACAACTAGCACAATGAATAGAACAATACCTCATATCTCAATACTAATTGAATGTAAATGGCCTAAATGCTCCACTTAAAAGATACAGAATGGCACAATGAATAAGAATTCACCAACCAAGTGTCTGCTGTCTTCAAGAGACTCACATAAACTTAAGGTAAAGGGATAGAAAAAGATATTCCATGCAAATGGACACCAAAAGTAAGCAGGAGTAGCTATTCTTATATCAGACAAAACAGACTTTAAAGCAACAACAGTTTAAAAACACAAAGAAGGACATTATATAAAGATAAAAGGACTAGTCCAACAGGAAAAATCACAATCACATATATATATATATATCTCACACACACACACACACACACACACACACACACCTCTAACACCAGAGGTCCCAAATTTATAAAACAATTACTACTAGACCTAAGAAATGAGATAAACGGCAACACAATAATAGTGGGGAACTTCAATACCCCAATGACAGCATTAGACAGGTAATCAAGACAGTAAGTCAACAAAGAAACAATGGACTTAAACTATACCCTAGAACAAATGGACTTAACAGATATGTACAAAACATTCTCCCCAACAACTGCAGAATATACATTTTATTCATCAGCATATGGAACATTCTCCAAGACAAACCATATGATAGGCCACAAAACAAGTCTCAGTAAGTTTTTAAGAACTGAAATTATATCAAGTACTCTCTCAGACCACAGTGGAAAAGAACTGGAAATTAACTCCAGAAGGAACCCTCAAAACCATGTAAATACATGGAAATTAAATAATATGCTCCTGAATGATCTTTGGGTCAACAAAGAAATCAAGATAGGAATTTAAAAATTCTTTGAACTGAACAATAATAGTGACACAACCTGTCAAAACCTCTGGAATGCAGCAAAAGTGGTGCCAAGAGGCTTTGAATGCATACCTCAGAAAGTCCAAAAAACAAGATAAAAAGACAATCTAAGGTCACACCTCAAGGAAATGGAGAAACAAGAACAAACCAAACCCAAACTCAGCAAAAGTAAAGAAATAATAAAGATCAGAGCAGAACTAAATGAAATTGAAAAAGAAAAAAAAAATACAAGAGATAAATGAAACAAAACGCTGGTTCCTTGAAATGATAAATAAAATTGATAGACCGTTAACAATATTAATCAATAAAAGAAGAGAGAAGATCCAAATAAGCTCAATTAGAAATAAAATAGGAGATATTACATCCGATACCAGAGAAATATAATAAAGCATGCAAGACTTTACCTTTACGCACACAAACTAGAAAACCTAGAGGAGGTGGATAAATTCCTGGAAATATACCACCTTCCTAGATCAAACCAAAAAGAAATAGAAACTGTCAACAAAGTAAATGGTAATTTAAAAATTGCCAACAAAAAAAGTCCAGGCCAGATGGATTCACAGCTGAATTCTACCAGACGTTCAAAGAAAATTTGGTACCAATTCTATTGACACTATTCCAAAAGATAGGGAAAGAGGGAATCCTCCTTAAATTATTCTATGAAGCCAGTATCACCCTAATACCAAAACCAGGAAAGGACATAACAAAAAGGAAAACTACAGACCAACATCCCAGATGAACATAGATGCAAAAATCCTCAACAAAATTCTAGCTAACCATACCCAACAGCATATCAAACAGATAATCCACCCTGATCAACTGGGTTTCATACCAAGAATGCAGGGATGGTTTAACACACATAAGTCAATAAGTGTGATACACCACATAAACAATTAAAAACAAAAGACACATGATCATATGAATAGATGCAGAAAAAACATTTGACAAAATCCAGCATCATTTTATGATTAAAACAGTCAGCAAAATCAGCATAGAAGGGACATACCTTAAGGTAATAAAAGCCATCTATAACAAACCCACAGCCAACATTATACTGAATGGGGAAAAGTTGGAAGCATTCCCCCTGAGAGCTGGAACAAGACAAGGTTGTCCACTTTCACCACTTCTATTCAACATAGTACTGGAAGTCCTAGCCAGAGCAATCAGAAAGTAGAAATACATAAAGGGCATCCAAATTGGTAAAGAGGAAGTCAAGCTGTCACTGTTTACCTGTGATATGAGTGTATACCTATAAAACCCTAAAGACTCATGCAAAAAGCTGCTAGAACTGATAAATTAATTCAGTAAAGTTTCAGGATACAAAATTAATGTACACAAATCAGTAGCACTGCTGTACACCAACAGTGACCAAGCTGAGAATCAAATCAATAACCCAACCCATTTTACAATATCTGAAAACAAAAAAACCTTAGGAATATACCTAACCAAGGAGATAAAAGACATCTACAAGAAAAACTATAAATGAAACAAGACATCTACAAACAAAATACTAATGAAAGAAATCATAGACTACACAAATGGAAACACATCCCATGCTTATGGATAGGTAGAATAAATATTGTGAAAATGACCATAGTGCCAAAAGCAATCTACAAATTCAATGCAATTCCCATCAAAATACCAACATCATTCTCCCCAGAAATACAAAAAAAAATCCTAAAATTGATATGGAACCAAAATAAAGCCCACATAGCCAAAGCAAGGCTAAGCAAAAAGAACAAACCTGGAGGCATCACATTACTGGACTTCAAACTATACTATAAGGCTATAGTCACCAAAACAGCATGGTACTGGTATAAAAATGGGCACATTGACCAATAGAATAGAATAGAGAACCCAGAAATAAAGCCAAATACTTTATAACCAACTGATCTTCGACAAAGCAAACAAAAACATAAAATGGGGAAAGGACACCCTATTCAACAAATGGTTCTGGGATAATTGGCAAGCCACATGTAGAAGGAAAAACTGGAATCTCATCTCTCACCTTACATAAAAATCAACTCAAGATGTATCAAAGATTTAAATCTAAGACCTAAAACCATAAAAATTCTGGAAGATAACATCAATAAGACCCTTCTAGACCCTAGCTTAAGCAAAGACTTCATGACCATGAACCCAAAAGCAAATGCAACAAAAACAAAGATAAATAGATGGGACCTAATTAAACTAAAAAGCTTCCTAACAGCAAAAGAAATAATCAGCAGAGTAAACAGACAACCCACAGAGTGGAAGAAAATCTTCACAAACCGTATATCTGACAAAGGACTAATATCCAGAATCTACAAGGAACTCAAACAAATCAGCAAGAAAAAAACAAACAATCCCATCAAAAGTGGGATAAGGTCATGAATAGACAATTCTCAAACGAAGATATACAAATGGCCAACAAACATATGAAAAAATGCTCAAAACCACTAATTATTTGGGAAATGCACATCAAAACCACAATGTAATACCACCTTACTCCTGCAAAAATGACCATAATCAAAAAATAATAGATGTTGGTGGAGATGTGGGACAAAGGGAACACTTTTACACTGCTGGTGGTAATATAAACTAGTACAACCACTATGGAAAACAGTGTGGAGATTCCTTAAGGAACTAAAAGTAGAATTACCATTTGATCCAGCAATTCAAGTCCTGGGTATCTCCACCCAAAGGAAAAAAAGTCATTACATGAAAAAGATACATCCACAGGCATATTGATAGCAGCACAATTCACAAACGCAAAAATACAGAACAAGTCCAAATGCCCATCAATCAATGAGTGAATAAAGAAAACGTGGTGTATATATACCATAGAATACTATTCAGCCATAAAAAAGAACAAAATAATGGCATTCACAGCAACCTGGATGGAGTTGGAGACTCCATCTAAGTAAAGTAACTCATTATTCTAAGTAAAGTAACTCAGGAATGGAAAACCAAACATCGCATGTTCTCACTCATAAGTGAGAACTAAGCTATGAGGATGGAAAGGCATAAGAATGACACAATGGACTTTGAGAACTCGGGGGGAAAGGTGGGAGGGGGTGAGGGATAAAAGACCACACACTGGGTACAATGTACACTGCTCAAGTGATGAGTACACTTAAGAACTTATACATGTAACCAAACAACACCTGTTTCCCAAAAAACTATTGAAATGAAAATATAATACAAAAAAATTAAAATTTGATATTTATTATAATAGAAGTGCAAGGAGTCAAGATTTCACAGAGAAGGTGACTGCTAAGTAGCATTTTGAAAGATAAACTAAAATTTGCTTGGAAAAGAAGGCATGCAGATAGGGGAACAGTCTAGAAAATGAAATTTCAATCAAAATGAGTGACATGAACAAAATCACTGAGATGTGTAGCTGTACAGTATCTTAGAGAAGAACAACCTCAGCACTTCTGGAACATAAATAGTGTCATAGTGATAGGGGTAAGGAAAGGGACTGGCATCAATGGTGTAAAGATGAAGACCATGATGACTGCATTCTCTGCTAAGGTGCTTATCCTGAAAGTCATGGGAACCTATTACAAGGTTTTAATTAAAGAGGTGGCTTAGTTTGTAAGATCTGCATTTTAGGTAAATTAGTATAAAGCCACAACTAAAGGGAGTAGAACCAGAAGCTGCAGCAACAGTTAGAATTAGAGACAATAAAAGTGTGTCCTAAGGCAGGCAATAGAATGATAGAAGAAAAGAGAAATTCAGGTGTTTGAGGACAATTCCAGACTGATGTTTGGGAGTTAAAATCAGTAAGCATGGGTTATTTATTGATTGTGTGGAGGTAAAAAAGAAGGAATCAAGATGTCATCATCTCTTATCATGTGTTGTCAGATGATTTTGTTGTGCAAACATTGTAGAGTGTACTTTCAGAAACCTAGATAGTGTAGCCTTCTACATATCTAGGCTATAAGGTTTAGCCTATTGCTCCTAGGCTACAAATCTGCACAGCATGTTTCTACTGTACTAAATCCTATAGGCAACTGTAACACAATGTTAGGTATTTGCATATCTAAACATAGAAATAGTAAAAATACAGTATTATAATTTTATGGGACTACCATTGTATACATGGTCCATCATTGACCTAAACATTATTATTCAGTGCATAACTATATCTAGAAATACAGAAAAAAGCTGCAGCCCCTCTGTTTGTCTTCTAGACTGAATGGTTTTCCTCCATTTTGTTTCCCTAATCATCACTTCTTCCTCTTTCTGCCTTTGAGATAGTTGCTAAAATATTTTGTTTGTTCAAGAAACTCCTTCCCAATCTTCTCATTATGTTAACTTCATTATCATTACCTAATTCTCATTTTAACATTTGCATGGAAGGGAGATGTGTTCAAATGGGTAGACTTTGTGTTAGGCCATCCTTGTGTTGCTATAAAGAAATATCTGAGACTGGGTAATTTATAAAGAAAAGAGGTTTAATTGGCTCAAGGGTCTGCAGGCTATACAAGTCTGGTGCCAACATCTGCTCAGCTTTTGGTGAGGCCTCCGGGAGTTTTTAGTCATGGTGAAGGCAAAGCAGAAGCAGACATATCAAATGGTGAGACAGGGAGCAAGAGAGGTGAGCACGTGCCACACACTTTTAAACAGCCAGATCTCACAAGAACTCACTATCACAAGGGGATGGCACTAAACCATCATAAGAAATTTGTCCCCCTGAGCCAATCACCTTCCTTCAGGCCCCACCTTCAGTACTGGGGATTACATTTCAACATAAGATTTAGAGGGGACAACATCCAAACTATATCAGATTTCTATCAGCCATTTTGGACTGACACACTTCAGACCAGGTAGTTAGTGGAAATTAACATGTGCCTAATTCAGGACAGCCCTGGTGAAACACTTTCCATTACTGATAGAAAATTATGCCTATTTCTTGGCAGATATAGTTTAAATACTTTAGTGTGTATTTTGTTTTAGGGTTTGGATTTCAGTGGTATTACTATTATGGATATTACTGGTCAGATTAAGTATCAGCTTTTAGAAGTGAAATATTTCATCTACATCACCATTTATTTTGCTGCTTTATTCACTTGATTTAAGCAAGAACAGCAGCCTTCTCATTTCCATTTGGGTCTGGAGTCAATGTCCACTTCAGAGCACTTCTTGTTTTCTCAAAACAAAGCTTTTACTGAGCCCAGCGATCGTGGTTAGTGACCACATGGAATGGAAAGGCCAAGAAAAGTGGCCAGGGGACAAGAAACAGCTGGAAATCATTGAGAAAAGCTATAAAAACAAAAGCAAGAGGAATTAAAGTAAGAGTATGACTAATGTTTGAAATCCAGTCTCACAAAATATGTTGGAAGTTCTGAGTTGTCTTTTCCTGGGTAACAGTTTTACAAGTCTATGTCCATTGTCTACCTAAAATCCTTTCTGGAAGGATGTATCATGCCTATATATGAATTAAATCAAAACAGAACAGCAGTCATCAGCAAAGACTAAAATCTTATTGTGCAAAGGACAAGTAATCCTTTTGACAATAAAATGCTTGAATTTGATGTTTGATTGATTTAGTGTTTTGACTACTGACATCCAGTTTGAGAGCTTTAGTCCAGACCAGTTGGAAACCATAATACCTCTTCCCAGTGTCATGAGTTCAGAGATTCTTGAAGTTCAATTGCTCTTTAGCTTAATTCTCTGCTATTTTATGAAATTGCCTCTCCAATTTCTTGGTATCTCCAACAACAACAGAGACATATTTGCCAGGACTCAGTAACTTCCTGTCAGATACCAACAAAGGAAAATAATGGCACCAAGAATATTCACATGGAAAAATATGAATTTTTTCCTTCACAGATAAGTTATTCTCCAAGCACATCAGAAGCCATGTCCTGTTCTGAACATTCACTACCTGCCAACATGAGTGTCCTGCTGGCATCACTAGGTTTCCATCAGTATACTAGTGGGACACAACAGGTCAGGTTAAACAAGATGATGTTTTCCCACCAAATTTCAGAGCCCCCACTTTAATGAGAAAAGGGAGGACACTTCAGGATCCTAATATAACCTGAACTTGCTTCAGTGACTCCTGAAGCTAAGAAAGGATTTCTGTGGGAAGGATAGGGGTATTATACAGTATTATTATTTTGATCAATGCAAAAATTGCAACTGCTAAATTAGTTGCCACCCTCCAATCATTAAGCAGAAATGTCTTATATTCACTCATGAGGAACAAAGCACGCACTTCTCACATCAAAAATAATAGTAGAGAAGACAAATGTGTAAGCGTATGTGTGGTCGCTATGAGAGAAGTGCTCAAATTCTAAGACTGTTGACTAAGACTGGTCTGTTAGCTAGCTCAAAGCCATCCCAACAAGTAAAATTAGTGACAAAAAGGACAGTTTGTGAAGATTTCATAATCTTATTCTAAGAGAAAAAGCAGCATTTTCTTATTTCTCTGGCACTTTGGAATGATTGAAGGATAGGTTTTAATATTGAGTATCCACTAGGTACCAAAAGTTATGCTCATTAGGTTTTTTTTTTTAATTGATGTTATTTCATTCAATTTCTATGGCAATCCTACGAGGCAGATAGTACTATTCCCACTTAGCAAAGGAGGAAACCTATACTGAGACAGGTTTGATAATTTACCAATTCCCATAGCCAACAAATGGCAGAGCCAATAATTGAACCTGTTGACTGACTACCTACACAACATCATATTGTTTTGTCTAAGCTATAATCCACAGAAAAAGTTCTTTTGCTTTCCAATTGTTTTATCCTGTTTTCACTCATAGAACCCTGCATGTTTTCTAATACTTCTTTCCAATTTATCATTATTTCATATGGAATATGAAATAATGGATTTCCCAGTGGATTCCCATTTTTATTGTTTATATCACCCACAAAACGCCAAGCTTTCTGATGGCAGAAACCATGTCCATCTCTGTCATCTTTGTATTTCAAGAACCTGGCACAGAGAAGCAGGAACTTTTGTTGAAATTAAAGAATAAGTCACCAGGTGCAGTGGCTCATGCCTACATTCCTAGCTACTCCGAGGCCGAGGTGGAAAGATTGTTTGAGGCCAAGAATTTAAGACTGGTCTGGGCAACAGAGCGAGACCCTATTCTTAAAAAAAAAAAAAAAGAAAGAAAAAAAAAAAGAAAAAAACATTAGCTGGACATGGCGGCACACAACTGTAGTCCCAGCTACTCAGGAAGCTGAGGTAGGAGGATCACTGGAGCCCACCAGTTGAAGGCTATGGTGAGCCACACTCCCATCTCTGCACCTCAGCTTGGGTGACAGAGTGAGACCCTGTCTCTTAAAAAAAGAAAGAAAGTAAAGAGTAAGTCGATATTCTCCTTGGTAAAAAGTAGTCTACTCACACTTCCCTGGCTGTGCAATGCTCTTTTTGCCTCTGCAGCTTGTCTGCCATCACTCCATAATCCTGGAAGGATCCTGTCTTGTCTTCCCATCCAACCCCTACAGAGCAACTAGGACACAGCACAAGTCCTTTCTTCCCCAAGAATAATTTCTGTCCATGGTGAAATGCTGACTTTTCCTTGTCTCTGAATTTACATAGCATTTTTTAAAATTCCATTCATCTAATGCTGCTTTGTGAACTCATTTTTTGGTTTATAATTTATCCTTATGAGTGTGTGTGTGTTTGTGTGTGAGCTTTTTTTCACTTCTAAGTTAAAAGACACTGAAGAAAAGCACTGTGTCATAATTCCTTACATTCTCCCCCCAAAGAACTGCCACTTATTATATACAAAATAGATCCTTAAAATGTATCAAATAAATAAATAAATGCTTAGAAAGCATGAGAAGGCCCTGGTACAAGATTTTAAATGAACTGTAAATATTATCTATGGTGAAATGAACTGTGGATATGAAGTCAGGGTACTCTACTATCAGACAGACTAGTTATTTAACCTTAGCCTTTGCTTTTTCCTGGAGAAAATAGTAATCCCAGAAATGTGTGAGAAAAAGTATACTGAATAAATGCAAATGGTACCATTGGTTCCTTTTCCAAGCAGTTGACACTCTTCCCAAAGACCCCATGCCTTTTCCAAAGGACAAGAATACTGCCAACAAACAGAAGACACTTCCTATGTTCTCTCTCTTCTTTCCCCTGAAGCTATCACTGGTTACAGGTAAAGATACAGAACAGAAGCAAAAAGAAATTGCCAATGGGATTTCCAGACCACTGTAGCTGTTAATACATACAGAACACACAAATAAATCATTGTTTAATCATTCTCATCTGCCTGCAGAGAAAATTCAACATATCTAACCTGTCTTAATTAGACTGCCAATAAACAAAAAATTGATGCCCTAGAGCGGAAAAATTGGAGCTCAGAAGAATAAATGTGTTATTTCAAACTAAATGAAGCGTAAACCATTTAGTTTGGTCAATATCTCTTCATACATCTGTCTATGGCTAAATTTTCCAGAAAGTAATAAACAGCCACTGAAATAGCTTTGCATTCAGAGATGTCTGGCTCAGAAGGCTATGATGTAGCCCCTTAGGTAAGTTCAGGTTTGACATGGTTTAGGAAGATCAGGTCCTCAGGAGCTTGTTGCAGTGGCTGATATCTTTCCACAGTCCCAGCAGCTAGAGAGGACTCCATCCTTTAGTGCCCAACTCCAATCCAGGCAGCTGAGCTTGTGCTGCTGAATTCCACTAAGAAAACACAGGGAAGGGGCCCCAAGACTCACAGACATAATATAAATAAAAAAAATAATAATAATACACTCATGGTTCTAACTGTCCACACATTCTCAGTTAGGTTGCACCTATGTTATATTACTCAGCATGTGGTTTCAATTGTGACAACAATGCTCATTTGTTCAAGAGTATGCTGGCTGTTAACTTCACTTCTTACTGTGTTTAAATATGCCATGGCCTGTGACTCGCTTTTAGGGGTCAAGTGTCTGGCATGTGCCTGCTATGTTATGGTCGGTATAATCCTCTAGATTATCCTAGCTGCAGAATCAGAACCTTTGATGTCAAAAAGGCCTCTGTATATGTAATAGGTACATAGTGTATATATACGGAACAAGAAGAAAGGCATAAAGTGGAAAATAGGACAAACAACCCATTGGCGTGAAACAGCCGTTGCCTGGCTGTTTCTGGACTGACACACAACGGCTTTAAGGTTTTGCTCTCTCTTCAAAATATAAAAAGCCAAGCTGACCACCTTTAACTGTTGCTCACTCAGAGACTTTTTTCCTCACACCAAAGAATTATATTTCACTTTGGAATTTCACAGCAAAATTTGATACCACTCGGTATTTATTGAAACATTTATGTTCACAGCTTTCAGTGTTTCAACATCTATAATTTATGGTTCCCTCACCTCATTTGTAGCTATAGGCTCTTTAATAGAACATAAAAAGTTAGAAGAAATTCACCTTTAAAAGAAAGAGCATCCCTTTCTTTTCAGCTATTAGGGATTTTTATGTTGTAACAGAACATTGTGCTGTAATTTCCCTAAATTCTAAGGCTCTAGAAATCATATGAGAATTTTTGTTCTTAAAAACATTAATGCTAGTTTCTAGCAGTTGAAGACACATTTTTTTATGCTTGGAAACTCCTTTGAAATAGTGTGTTTTCTTTCCACTATCTTATTCTTCTTCATCTTTACTTCCCTTATGTATAAAGGTAGATGCAGTCAAGTAAAGCATGCTAGCTTCAAATCAGGAAATCCACATTCATATTCCAGCTCTACAATGCTCTAGCCATGTTAACTAATTCAATTCTTAAAATCTTCTATGACTTGACATCCTCATATATTAAATAACACTAATAATTCTTCCTCACAGGGTGAGTCTAAAGATGAAGTTAGATAGATAACGGAATAGTAAACATACTAATGCCAGTGTTTGTTAAGCATGGGCAAAAGAGTCAAAAAAAAAAAGTTTGAGAAGATTAGTTTCTGTGGCTACCAAATGAAAGAATAAAAGAGCGACAGAATAAAAAATGCTGAAGGAGGGGAAAATTTGAAAACATTAACCACAACAACAACTAAAATTTATATTTAGAGATGTCTCTATTTTGTACCATAGTAAAAAGTATGCCTTCCAGGCCACCCCTGTCCTGAGGCACCAGAGTCATGCTGCAGCCACACCCTTGCCATGTTGTGTTCCCATTCCTTTGCACCTCGTGGCTGCAGAGGAGACAGTTCAGGCAGTGATTGGGAATTATATTTCAAAAGAGGTCTTGGCCAATCAAAATGTGTCCAACAACATCAAAACATTGAAAGTTCATTCACCACCATTGCTCACCCCTCCCAAATGTTCTCTGACCCCAAATCACATGCTCTTAGTGACTCACTCCTTCAACTTAATACGCATCTGAATAAGCATTACAGCTCAGTAGAACTAACCCAGAGGAATCTGAACCTAAATCCTATTTATTCTTCCATTTTCATCCCACCAAGCCAATTCATCATGAAATCAAAACTTATTTAGGATACAGCTTCCTCTGAGGTTCCTCCAATTAGTCTGATTTATGTTTTCTAATTTAATTCATGTATTCAAAGTAAGCTCCTCAGCCTCAAACACTGGCCAGATTGTTCTCTCTCAAAAGATTCAGAGATGATGACTAAGTTTGGCTTTGTGTCCTCAAGGCCTGTGATCCTGATGGGTGTCACATTTTACAGAAAAACTAGTAGTAAGGCTGGGAGCCTTGTTTCCAACCATACCCTGCTTCTCACCATCCACAGACTTGAGTGGCTTCATGATCATGCACAGCTTCAGTTATTACGCCTGAAACCACACATCCAATTCACATTTGTCTCCTGGGCTCTAGAATAAGATTTCTAGCTAGATGTCTCCACTTGGATATTCTGCGGGCATTTCAAATTCAATATACTCAAAACCAAACTTATTCCCACCCATTACTTCTTGGTCCTCAAACTTGTTTCTTCCCCAGTATTCTTCAATTTGGATAACAGATATCAATCCCAAAATTACAGGAATTATTTTTTTATTCCTCCCTGTCCCTCTCTCATCTAATTAGTAACTGCATCCTATCAAGTCTACCCCTAAAATAGTCACACTATTTCTTCTATTCCTTTACTTCTTCCAGCACCTTGATAAAGGTCCTCATCATCTCCTATTTGAACTATCACAAGTAGTTTCCTGCTTATGTCAAGGCTTTGACTTACCACTGAAGCAAAAATGTCATCCTAAAACACAACCAGATCATTTGATCCCTCTAAACCTAACTCTAACCCAAATTTTAAACTTGATCACGTGTCAGAATCTGTGGGATGGAACTTATGCAGTTATCAGAGAAAAAATTACAGCATTGTATACATAATGCAATAAAAAGGAAAAATATACATATTCATTAAATATCCAACAAGAAAATCAAGATTAAAACCAAAAACACAGTAAACCAAAATACAGTAGAAAGACGGAATTAATAATAATAAAGTTAGAAACTGATGAGCTAAAAAAACACTAAGAAAGACTACAGTAAATCTAAAATCCGGTTATTTTTAAAAAATCAATGAAATAGACAAAATGTTACACATCCTAATTAAGAAAAATGAGAGAAAGTATAAGTATACAAAACTAGAAGAAACTAGAAGTAGTAACTACCCAAAAGAGAAAAATTTAAAATTATAAGTGATCATTTTGCATGACTCTATGAAAATAAATTTGAAAGCCTAAATGAACTGGATAATTTTTTACAAAAATATAACTGAGCAAAATTTACCCCTTAGAGACAGAAAAGTTAATTTCATCTGAAGCCAAGAAAGAAATATACAAAGTAGGTCAAAGATTCCCTCACAAAAAAGCATCAGACCCAATTGGTTTCACAATAAAATTTTACCAAATCTTTTAAAATTAGACAATTCTAGATCAGCACTGGCAAGTGGGAAATTGAAAATAATAAAAATAAAATAACAAAATAAAAATTAAATTAGATAATTCCAAAGCTACTTAAACTATACTAGAGCATAAAAAGAAGGAAAATTTTTAACTTTACTTTGTGAAGGAAGTATAATATTTTTCTCTAAGCTTGACAACGATCACATCAAAAAGAAAACTACAGAATAATCTCAGGAATATAGATGTAAAAATCCACTTAAGTAAAATATTAACAAACATAATAGATGACCCAGTGAGGTTTATTCTAGGAATGCAAAGATAATTCAATATTCAGAAGCCATTAGTATAATCAGTCCTATTAATAGAGGTAAGAAGAAACATCCTGCGATCAGTCCCCATAAAGATAGGAAAGACATTGACAAAATCCAGAGCCCATTCATATTTTTAACTCAATGAAACAGGAATTAATTACACTACCTAAATACAAAACCCAGTGACTTAATTAGTGAAAAAAAATAGAGGCTTTTCCACTAAATTTGAAACTAACACAAAGATAGTATATATACAAGTACTTAACATTGGGGTGGAGATATTATATCCATGCTAGAAAAGAGAAAGCAATTAAAGGAATTAGAATGGGAAACGAAGAGGTAACTTAGTGAAAAAAAATTATAAACAATAAGAAAATTGAGTAATTAGCTAGGCATAAAACCAACAGGCTTTATATCTACAAACAAAAACTAACCAGGAGAAAGATGAACAACAATAAAGAATAGAAAATATCTAAAAGTCTAATACTTATATGAGGAAAACTATAAAATGCTTCAGAAGAACTCAAAACTACCCTGTAACAAATAGAAAGTTAGACATTGATTTTGGACAAAATGACTCAATAAGATAAAGATGTGCTCCCTAAGCAAATTTACAAATTGAATGCAATCCAAATTGTGTGTGCGCGCGCGCGCATGCGCGTGTGTGTGTGTGTGATCTGTATTTTTTTTTTAATTATACTTTAACTTCTGGGATACATGGGCAGAACGTGCAGGTTTGTTACATAGGTATACATGTGCCATGGTGGTTTGCTGCATCCATCAACCTGTCAACTACATTATGTATTTCTCCTAATGTTATCCCTCCCCTAGCCCCACATCCCCTGACAGGCCCTGGTGTGTAATGTTCCCCTCCCTGTGTCTATGTGTTCTCATTGTTCAACTCCCAGTTACGAGTGAGAACATGTGGTATTTGGTTTTCTGTTCCTATGTTAGTTTGCTGAGAATGATGGTTTCCAGCTTCATCCATGTCCCTGCAATGGACATGAACTCACCCTTTTTTATGGCTGCCTAGTATTCCATGGTGTATATGTGCCACATTTTCTTTATTTAGTCTACCATTGATGGGCATTTGCGTTGGTTACAAGTCTTTGCTATTGTGAATAGTGCTGCAATAAACATGTGTGCATGTGTCTTTAGAGCAGGTATATACCCAGTATATGTCTTTGGGTATATACCCAGTAATGGGATTGCTGGGTCAAATGGTATTTCTGGTTCTAGATCCTTGAGGAATTGCCACACTATCTTCCAAAATGGTTGAACTAATTTACACTCCCACCAACAGTGTAAAAGTGTTCCTATTTCTCCACATCCTCTCCAGCATCTGTTGTTTCCTGACTTTTCAATGATCACCATTCTAACTGGTGTGAAATGGTATCTCATTGTGGTTTTGATTTGCATTTCTCTAACGACCAGTGATTATGAGCCCAAAAAAAAGCCCATATAGCCAAGACAATCATAAGCAAAAAGAACAAAGCTGAAGGCATCACGCTACCTGACTTCAAACTATACTGCAAGGCTACAGTAACCAAAAGAGTGTGGTACTGGTACCAAAACAGATACATAGACCAATGGAACAGAACAGAGGCCTCAGAATAACACCACACATCTACACCAATCTGATGTTTGACAAACCTGACACAGCAAGCAATGGGGAATGGATTCCCTATTTAATAAATGATGTTGGGAAAACATCATTGAGAAAGTTTGTAAAGACTGGGAGAGGCAGCTGTTTGTTCAAATGTGCAGACACAAGTGAAAATCTACAAGGAACATGAAGAATCAGGAAAATATGATACAGTCAAAGGAACAAAATAAAACTCCAGTAGTCAACACCAAAGAAATGGGATCTATGAATTGTCTGACAAATAATTCAAAATAATTTCATCTTAAAGAAGCTAAGTAAATTACAAGACAACTCACTAAGTAAAATCAGAAAAATGATACATGAACAAAATGAGAAAATCAACAAAAGTCAACAAAAAGATAGGAATTACAAAAAACAACCAAACAGAAATTCTGGAGCTGAAAAATACCATAATGGAATTGAAAATTTCACTATATGGGTTCAAGAGCAGACTTGATCAGATCAAACAGAAGAAAGAATCAGCAAATATAAAGACAAATGATTTCAAATTATCTAATCAGACAAGATAAGCAAAAAGAAAAAAAGAATGAAAGAAAGTGAATAAAGACTGAGGAGTCATGGGACACCCTTAAGAAAACCAATATATGCATTATGGGAATCCAAGAAGGAGAAAACAGAATGGCCAAAAACTTGCCAAATCTGGAAAGAGAAATGAATACCCACAACCATGATGCCCAAAGACTTTCACGTAGATTAAATATATTTTTAAAAAATCTTTGCTGAAACACATTACAATCAAATCCTCAAAAGTCAAGACAAACAATGTAAAAGAAACAAGAGAAAAGTAACTCATCACATACAAGGGAAGCCTCATAAGACTATCAGAAGACTTTTTGGCAGAAACCTTACAAACCAGATGGGAGTGGGATGATACATTTAAAATACTGAAAGAAAAAAGAACTGCCAACCAAGAATACAATACATGGAAAAACTGTCCTCCAAAAGGAGGGAAGAGTTACAATTTTTACAGACAACTGAAAATTAAGGGAGTTTATCACCATCATATCTGCCTTACAAGAAATGCTAAAGAGAATGCCCATCAATGACAGATTGGATGAAGAAAATATGGCACATATACACCATGGAATAATATGCAGCCATAAAAAAGAACAAGATCATGTCTTTTGCAGGAATATGGATGAAGCTGCAGGCTATTATCCTTAGCAGACTAACACAGGAACAGAAAACCAAATACCACATATTCTCACTAATAAGTAGGAGCTAAATGGTGAGAACTCATGAACACAAAGATAGTAACAACAGACACTGGGACCTATTGAGGGTGGAGGCTGAGAAGAGGGAGAGGAGTAGAAAAAATAACTATTGGGTACTAGGCTTAGTACCTGAGTGATGAAATAATTTGTAAAACTAATCCCTGTGACATGAATTTACATATATAACAAATATATACCCCCAAACCTAAAATAAAAGTTAAGAAAAGAAAAAGGAAAAAAGCCATAGTACTATACAGTTTGGTAACTTATTAAAAATGATTCCTCATCTGGGAAAAAAAAGAAAAGATAAAAAAAGAAAGGATATAAACAGCAGTATGAAAGCATATAAAAGCATAAAAATCACTGGTGAGGGTAATTATATAGATAAGTACAAAATACTGTAATACTCTAATCATGGTGTGTTCATTACTTTTAATACTAGTGTAAAGTTAAAAGATAAAAGTATTAAGAATAACATAAGTAAAAATATATGTTAATGAATACACAATATTAAAAGATATAAATAATGACATCAATAACATAAATTGTGAACAGAGAAGTAAAAATATAGAGTTTTTGTATGGGATTGAAGTTAAGTAGTTTTTGATTTAAAAGAGACTATTATATTTTGTATAGGCCTTATGATAACTACAAATACATATAGAAGATACACAAAATAAATTAAAGAGAAAGAAAATCAGGTATGGAAGGAATTCATCTCAACATAATAAAGGCCTACATGATAAGCCCACAGCTAACATGGTAAAAATGGAAAACTTTTCCACTAAGCTCAGGAATAAAAGGTAAGGATGCTAATTCTTGCCACTTCTATTCAATGTAGTATTAGGAATCATACCAAGAGCAATTCAGCAAGAAAAAGAAGTAAAAGGCATCCAAATCAGAAAAGCATAAGTAAATTATGTTTGCAGATGACATAATCTTATATATAGGAAACCCTAAATGTGCCATAAAAAAACTGTTAGAACTAATAAACAAATGTAGTAACGTTGCAGTACACAAAATCAACATAGAAAAGTCAGTTGCATTTCTATATACTAACAGTCAACTAGCTAAATAGGAAATTAAGGTAACAACCCTATTTACAATAGTACCCAAAAAATAAAACACTCAGGAATAAACTTAACCAAGGAGGTGAAATACTTGAACATTGAAAATTACAAATATTGATGAAAGAAATTAAAGAAAACACAAATAGATGGAAAGATATCCTGTGTTCATGAATTAGGAAACAGTATTATTAAAATGTCCATGCCACCCAAAGTGGCCTACAATAAAATTTCAATCAAAATCCCAATCACATTTTTTTACAGAAATAGAAAACACAATCTTAAAATGTATAGGAAATTATGAAAGACTCTAAATAGCCAAAACAATCTTGAGAAAGAAGAACAAAGCTGGAGACATCACACTTCCTGATTTCAAAATATATTACAAATCTACAGTAATCAAAACAGTATCTCACTGACATAAAGACACACATATAGATCAACAGAACAGAATAGAGAACACAAAAATAAACCAAAGAATAAACAGTCAACTATTCTTATACCATAGTACTGAGAATGCACAATAAGAAATGCATAGTCTCAACAAATAGTGTTGGGAAAAATAGATACACACATGCAAGATAATGAAATTGTACCCTTTATTTCAGAAACACAAAAAAAAACCTCAAAATGAATTAAAGATTTAAATGTAAGACCAGAAACTGTAAAATTCATAGACAAAAACACAGGAGACAAAAGAGAAAAGCTTCATAACATTTTCCTTGGCAATTATTTCTTGAATATAACACCAAGAGCACAAGCAACGAAAACAAAAATAGACAAGTGGGACTACATCAATCTAAAAAGTTTCTGCAAAGCAAACAATCAACAAGGCAAAATAACATTCTACAGAAAGAGAGAGCACAACAACAAAAACAAAAATAGACAAGTGGGACTACATCAAACTAAAAAGCTTCTGCAAAGCAAACAATCAACAAAGCAAAATAACATTCTATGGAAAGGAAGAAAATATTTGCAAATCATATACCTGATATGGGGATAATATCCAAATACATAAAGAACTCCTACAACTCACTAATGAAAATAAATAAATAACCCAATTGATAAATGGGCAAAGGACTTGAAGAGACATTCCTTCAAAGAAGACATACAAATGGTTAACAGGTATATGAAAAGATTTTCAATATCACTAATCATCAGGGAAAGTAAATCCAAACCTCAATGAGATATCACCTTACACCTGTTACAATGGCTATTATCAAAAATACAAAAGATAACAAGTGTTGGCAGAGATGCGGAGAAATTAGAACTCCTGCACACTTTTGGTGGGAATACAAAATGATGCAGCTACTATGGGAAATAGTACAGAGGTTCCTCAAAAAAGATTGAAAGTAGAATTACCATACAATCCAGCAATCCCACTACTGGGTATATATCCAAGTGAAATGAAATCAGTATGTAGAGGAGATATCTGCACCCACATGTTTATTGTAGCATTACTCACAATAGCCAAAATATGAAAACAACCTAAGTATCCATTGACAAATGAATATATAAAGAAAATGTGATATATCTGTACAATGGAATATTACTCAGTCTTTAAAAATAAAAAAAATCTGCCATATGAGACAACATGGCTGAACCTGGAGGACATTCTATTGAATAAAATAAACCAATCACAGAAGGGCATGCATGATTCTACTTACATGAAATACCTAAAATAGTCTAACTCATGCATAAAGGGAATAGAATGGTGGGTGCCCAGGAGACAGGTGGAGGGGAAATGGATAGTTACTGGTCTATGGGTGTAAAGTTTCAGTTAAGTGAGCTGAATAAGTTCTAGATTTCTGCTATACAATTTTTGCCTATAGTTAACTCTATTACACAGTCACTTTTGTGCCTACAGTTAACTATATTGTATAGTCACTTAAATTTTGAGGCAGGTAGATCTCACATTTACCACAATAAAATAAAATCAACAGCAACAAAAATAAACAAAAAATAATAATAAATTACAAGCAGAGAAAATTATTTGGAACATACATCAAAGGGAAAGAATTAATATTCTTGATATTTAAAGAGTGTTTAAAATGGAGAAATAAAGCCCAACAACCAAAACAAGCTAGGTATATAGAAATAGTTTACTGCCAAATAAATGAAAATGAGTTTTAAGCATTTTAAAATATCATTGATCTCAGTCTTTATAAGAGAAATGCAAGTTAATTCAATTCATCTTCCTATCAGACTGGCAGAAGTCTCACAATACAGTTATCCCTCAGTATCTACAAAAGATTGGTTCCAAGACTGCCCACAGACATCAAAATCTGGGCATACTCAAGCCCTGAAGTATGTCCTGTGGAACCTTCCTATATGAAAAGTTGGCCCTCTGTATCCATGAGTTTCACATCCCACGAATTCTGTTTCTTTTACCTATGTTTCCTTGTGGATATGGAACCCGTGGATACCTCCAACTATATTTATTGAAAAAGATCCATGTACAAATGAACCCTCACTGTTCCAACCCATCTTGTTTAAAGGTCAACTTTATACTCTTTTTTGTTAAGACTGTGAGGAAACAAGTATTCTCATATGTTGCTGATGAGAATGCAAACTGTACAATCCCTATAAAAGGAAATTTGGCAATATCTTGCAAAATTATATATACATTTATCTTTTGACCTAACCATTCTACTGCTAGGACTCTATCCCAAAAATACACTGATAACAGCCATATGCACAAGTCTATTTGCTGTACTGCTACTTGAATTAACAAAAGACCGGACACAACTCAAATGTTCATCACCAAGTGGTTAATTGAAAAACTAGGGTACATCTATGGTATGGACTCCTGTGTCATTTTAAGAAGCAGGAGAAATATTTCTATATAGTACTGTGAAGTTATATCCATAGATAAATTAAGTGAAAATAACAAGATAAGAGAAAATAGTATATAGTAGCCTATCACTGATCCAAGAAAGAGAGGCAATACAAATATATAGTATTTATATAGACTTGCAGGTTCTAAAAATTGAAACATAAGCCATAAAAATTTTAAACAATTACCTGTAAAGGGTGAGAGTGAAGAGGGTAGAGGAGCCAGGAAGAAGCCAGACTTTTTTTTTTTTTTTTTTTTTTTGAGACGGAGTCTGGCTCTGTCGCCCAGGCTGGAGTGCAGTGGCGCAATCTCGGCTCACTGCAAGCTCCGCCTCCCGGGTTCACGCCATTCTCCTGCCTCAGCCTCCGGAGTAGCTGGGACTACAAGTGCCCGCCACTACGCAGGGCTAATTTTTTGTATTTTTAGTAGAGACGGGGTTTCACCGTGTTAGCCAGGGTGGTCTTGATCTCCTGACCTCGTGATCCACCCGCCTTGGCCTCCCAAAGTGCTGGGATTACAGGCGTGAGCCACTGCGCCCGGCCCAGACATTTTTATAAATAGCTTATTTTGTAGATTTGCCTTTGAAATCATATAATTATTTCATATAATTATAAAATGAATTTAACTTATAAAAGCAATTCCTAAAAATTGCAAGTAAGATGAACCTAAGTACATAATAGCATAACCACCCAGAGACTCCTTATTACAAGTAACTATAAAATATAGTAATTTGATGATACATTTTAAGTCCTTTTCAGTAATCATATTGTAGGTTGGCATCAATTATCTCAGATTATTGTGTATACACTATGAGGTAAAGCAAATGAGTACTTATCTTACCGCTGCCAAGAACCAAGATTTTCAGAAAGGCTGAAAGCAGATTAAATGTAAGATAAGTTAAAACACCTTAATCCTGATTTTAAGTATGAATAAGAATTTATGGTTTATTTTATCTTTTAAAAATAGGTATCTATTTTAAAGCTCTATCTAGTAAAAAGACTAGAAATAATGACCAACTCAGTAACAGTGAACACTCCTTGTGCAGGGGTCTGTCCTGCAGACCCTGACCCAACGACAGATGAATAACATACACTGACACAGATATTATGCTTGTCAGTCCGGCTGAGGGTCTGGGCCATTTACAGACTCCAAGGAGAGTGCTGTAAAGAGTTGTAGCCACAGCCCTGACTCGCTGGCCCTGCCAGCATTTATTCAGCACACATTAAACGACAAAGGCTTTGAGTAAACACCACTAGAGGGTAATTGACTTCGTTGCCAACCCGAGAAGAGAGCAATTATGCACCTGTAGTTGATTAAAGCTTGGTCTTAGGACCACATGAGTAAACAAGCTATTTAAACTCCTCTACATTCCTATGTGTCTACTCTAAGTTATTTACTCAAGGTAAGGATTAGGCTGCCTTCAGCCAGATCTATTACTGAAGCTTATGCAAACCCCTCTGGCCTTTCAAGAAGGTTTGCTACTATTTCTTATAACTGTCATTAAAATTTTTCCTACCAGCCTGAGTGAACTCCCACATCCTTGCATTTAGACTATGGTCTCCTACCACCATATCCCACTAAAGTTAAGTCAGGGATTTTTGAAAAAATGATTGATTACAGATCTGGCACAGGAAATGCACAAGATGAATATGGAGCATCTTTTCATTTCAGAAGCTAGGAATCTATCAAAGAGTACTGGGATTACGTCAAAAATTCCCAGAAACCAACATGCATAAACTCAACTAAATACCTGAACAAGACATTAAAATACATAAACTATATTTCACTCCATGTGTTCATAATGATGCCTCCATAGCCCACCACCTCACTGCCCCTCCAAAAATGGTCACCTTTGCAAGAATCTAGGGATCCACCATTATTTTGAAAACTGGTATATAAAGAGAAAAAAATAAAAATTTTTGTTGCCTTTTTTATATGGCTCCTATCTCAGAAGGATGATAGGTGATGAGGGAAAGTTCTTTAGAGAAATTCTGCAGCTAATAATGACAAGAAGAAATGATAGAACTAGAATATCACCATTTTGCCACCCATAATGAATTAATGGACCTAGACAATGAATATCAAAGGTTGATAAATCATAGAAAAACATGCCAAGACATCATGTACCTCCTAGGAAGTACAAAACACCATGTAGAAAGTAATCTTGCCAAAAATCTCTCTGTATCTGAATTTAGATTTACAGTAGTCCCCCCTTTTCCACAGGGAATATGTTTCAAGACCTCCAGTGAATGCCTGAAACCATAATTGTACCAAACCCTATATATGCTGTCTTTTTCCATACATACATATCTATGATGATGTTTAATTTATAAATTAGGCATAGTAAGAGATTAAAAATAACTAATAATAATAGAACAATTATAACAATATACCATAATAAGTTATGTGAATGTGTTCTTTATTTCTTTCCCTCTCTCAAAATACCTTATTATACTCTACTGACCTACATTCTCTCTGCAACTGACCACAAGTAATTGAAACTGAGGAAATCCAAAGCTTAGATAAGTGGGGATTATAGATTTAGTAGAAATAAAAAGAGAGAAGATGTGTTAAACGGCAACATGGGGATGCAATCATCCAAGTCTTAATTATGGGGACTTTAGCACAAACCATCAGTTGCTTCAACAGAAAAACTGCAATGAGAAAAAAGGAAGAAAAATAAAGCAGATCCTATGGACTAAAAGGATTTAAGTAACATGATTAAACAATAACAATATATAACCTTATGTTGATTCTCTTCAAGCAAACAAAGCATTAAAAATATATAAGAAAATTGAGAAAACGTGAATACAGACTGGATGTTTGATGGTATCAAAGATATTTCTTATTTTTAGGTGTAAAAATTGTGATTGTGTTTTTTATAAAGGATCTTTAGCTTTCATAGATACATAATTAAATATTTACAGATATGATACCTGAGATTTGCTTCGAAATTTTTCTAAGTAAAAGGATGGGGTTCTAGAGGGTCTGGATATAAATGAGACAGAATTGACCATATGTTGATAATTGTGGAACATAAGAGATACACACACACACACACACACACACACACACACACACACCCCTATGCACACAGAGAGAAATTCATTTTTTATTATTCCTTTTTCTTTTATATATATTTTTAAAGGTCTATATAAAATCAAGCTTAGGACCAGGTCTTAATTTCCAGCCAAGATCTGATCTTTCCACTAGATCATACTGCAGCAGCCACTCATTGCCATCTCCAAAACCCTTTGTATGTAGTGAAACAGAAGCCTATATAAATTTATACTCTCAACGGGGGAGAAAACACTGCTTCTCTTTCACAAAATATCCAGCATGGTGCCTAAGGAAAAAAAAATTACACTCCCAAGACAGTTTCATTTGTTCAGAGGGACCAAAACCAGATCACCAAACGAATCTCAGACTATAAATTATAACATTGGAAATAAACACGGTGTTAGACAACATGAAGGAAAACAAACTAAACTCTGTTATTAAATAAACCTACAGACAGAACCTGGATGGGGATCTGATTATAGCCATCTACTTTGAAATATTAAAGAATATTCCACCCCCACCATACTGTGCTCCAAGAAACCATATGTAAAGCGATGTCATTCTTTAATGATGGAAATAAATCTAGTAACTGAAGACAATGCTTAGAAGTATAAAATGTGATATTAGCAATAAAAGAGCTCCCTAAGCTCATGGGTGACACTTCAGAGGAAGCACTCCATGGGTGAGTTATAGCTACAGCCCAGGCTTTGCTTTCCAGGAGATGTCCTTTAAAGTTTCCATGCTGAGCTTTCTGCCCAGAGTCTAGAACATGTTATTCCATCTCAGACCTTCAAGGGTCCACAGCAGCCTAGAGAAAACTGTTCTGAAATTACGTAATATTTCAGATCTAATAGTTATTTTGGCTTACTATAAATCCACTAGACGAGAGAAGTCACAAAAGAAATGTGGCTGGCCAGGCATCTCTTCTCCAAGGCTATGGATTCACATTTCAGTAAAATCTCTTCAACTAACTTATAAATTTAGTTCTATTATTAGTAATAACAACATCCAACAGGTATCCCTCAAAACAATGGCTCTTTGCAAACACTAATTCATTTAATTATTTTAAATAAAGGTCCACTTAGGAATTTTGTGAAAACTTCCAGCTACACTTAAATCCAGACCTTACTATTTGGATTATATTAGATCCCGCACTTAGGATCTTACTACAGATTGTATTATATCACTCAATTAGCTCAGCTTTCTCTCACCTCTCTTGTGTTCACTCCCTATTTTTTATTTAAAATATTCTATTGCATGTACAGGTAAATTGCAAGAGATAAGAGATAGAGACTGGGGAAGAAACATTTTACATTTTGTACTTAACTGTGTTTATTAATTGCACAAAGATTTTTTGACATTCTAAGTTTCTGATATCTTTAAAGGCAGAGAAGTTTAAGTGCATTTATTGGATAACTCTGCAATAACACATTGTGGCCCTTCCTCCTCTCCTTTCTTTTCTGTCTTTTCTGCTCCTAACGCCACAATATCTGTAAGTGGTTAAGTAAGCTTTATTACTAAGTCAACTATAATACATCAACTCATCAGAATAGTATACATACATAGCATACAACCTTAAAAGATAGTGTTGCAAACACCACGCTGTACCACAGGAAAAAGGCTGGATAAACTAAATGAAAGTACGAAACACAAAATAGTATATATATGGAAAGATGATTATCTAAATCTTCACTTCGCATGACAGTGAGCCAATTATTCCTTGTCTTCTGAATGTATATGCATTGATTTATTAACAGAAAAATATATACTGGTAATAAGCTTGATATATTATTCCAGATTCGTGACTAGTATCATTAAAACGAAGGACAGATCTCTTTAAGGGAAGAGAAGAAGGGCTCACACAATAAAACACAAATGCAGTTGTAAAAGTTCATAAGCAACTTGATAAGAGTATTGTCACAGGAATTAGGACATTATAGTGAGGACCTTTTTGAATTCATAAATAATGCCTTATTTGAAGATGTCAGTTCTCGCCTTAGTTTGATGGATGGTTAAAGCATAAAGTTGAGCTAATCCAGAATATCTACACTCCAAATATTTGACACTGAAATTAATCTTGAACTCACTGTGAATCAATGCCTTTTAACTGCTTGGTTGAAATAAATCATTTTTATGACTGAAGGCAGACTACAGATTCCTCTGATGTCATCTTTCTCTCGATTAAGACAAATTAGAAAATTTCATAAGTGGACAGCATTACATGGTCCACCCTTCTAACTCTATCTACTCCTACATACAACCCCTCCCTCTGCTCATTAGAATTGTATTAACTGAACTTCTTTTGAATTAAATGTACTGAAGCCATCAATCTATAATGAAAAATGGACTGTTTGCTTCCACCAAGTATAATGTTCACATGGCACTGTGCTTGAGGGCCAAATAAAGAGCTTGGTCTCCTTTCTCAGTATCAGATATTATGTTTTTCCCAAACAACTAGTTTGTTTGTGTTTTTTTAAAATCTTGTGGGCCCCTGGTATGGTCTGGATGTGTATCCTATCAAAATTTCATGTAAAAATGGGATCCCTAATGTTGGAGGTGGGGGATAGTAGAAGTTGTTTGAGTCATGGGGGCAGATGCCTCAGGAATGGCTTGGTACACTCCTCACAGTAATGAGTGAGTTCTTGCTCTAAGTTCACATGAGATCTGGTTGTTTAAAAGACCATGGCAATTCCCCCACCTTCCCTCTTACTTTCTCTCTCACCGTGTGACATATCTGCTCCCCCTTTGCCTTCCTCCATGAGTGGAAGCTTCCTGAGGCCCTCGTCAGAGCCAAATTCTGGTGCCATGCTTCCTGTAGAGCCTGCAGAACTGTGAGCCAAAATAAACCTCTTTTCTTTATAAATTATTCAGTCCCTAGTATTCCTTTATAGCAGTGCAAATGAATTAACACAGAAAATCAGTACTGAGCATACAGCATGGCTGTAAAGATACCTGGAAATGTGAAAGTGGCTTTGGAATTGAGTAACAGCAGAGATTAGAAGAGTTTGACAGGCTCAGAAAAAAACAGGATGATGAGCAAAAGTTTGGACTTTCTTAAAGACGCATTAAGTGGTTGTCACCAAAATACTGATAGAAATATGAACAGTGAAGGCCAGGTTGAGGGGGCCTCAGATGGAAACAAGAAAGTTCCTGGGAACTGGAGTAAAAGTCATCCAAATTACTCCCTAAGAAAGAGCTTTCTGCATTATGTTCATGCCCTATGGATCTGTGGAATTTTCAACTTACAAATGATGACTGAGGGTATTGGCAAAATGAAATTTCTAAGCAGAAAAGCATTCAAGATGTGGCCTGGCTGCTTCTACCAGCCTACAGTCAGATACGGAAGCATAGAAATGACTCAAAGCTGAGACTTGTATTTAAAAGGGAAGCAGAGCATAAAAATTTGGAAAATTTGCAGCCTGACTGTGTGCTAGAAAAGGAAAGAGCATTTTCAGTAGAGGAATGCAAGTAATCTGTGGAGAAATCACTTGCTAGAGAGATTAGCATGACTAAAAGAGAACCAGATGCTAATAGCCAAGACAGTGGGAAAAAGGCCTTGAAGGCATTGCAAAAATTTCTAAGGCGGCCCCTTTCATTACAGGCTCAGAGGCCTAGGAGGAAAAAGTTGTTTAGGGGGGCCAGCCCCAGAGCACTGCTGCCCTGCTCAACCTCAGGACACTACTCCCCATATCCTGGCTGCTGTATCTCCAGCCTTGGCTCAAAGGAGCCCAAGTAGACCTAGGGCCACCACTCCAGAGGGTGCAAGATATAAGCTCTGGCTGTTTTGATGTGATCTTAAGCCTGCAGGCACATGGAATGCAAGAGTGAAGGAGGTGGCAGCTTCCACCTAAATGGGGAAGCCTGGGTTGCCAGGCAGAAGCCTACTGAAGGGGTGGTGGTCCCACAGAGAGACTCTAGTAGGGCAGTGCCAAGGAAAAATGTTAGATTAGAGCCCACACAGAGTACCCACCAGGGCACACTGCCAGTAGAGCTATGGGAAAGGGACCACCCTGTAGTCCTGAGAATGGCAGAGCCAGCAGCAGCTTTCACTGAGCCTAGAAAAGCCACAGGCACTCAACTCTAACCTACGAGGGCAGCCATGGGGACTGCACCCCACAAAGCCACAGGGGTGGAGCTGCCCAAGGCCTTGGGAGTCCACCCCCCTTGCACCAGTCGGTGTACCAGGGATGTGGGACAAAGAGTCAAGGATTATGTTGGAGCTTTAAAGCTTAATGTCTGCTCTGCTAGGTTTCAGACTTGTGTGGGGCCTATTGCCCCATTCTTTCGGCTCATTTCTGCATTTTGGAATGAGAATGCTTACCTAATATCTGTACCACCATTGTATCTTAGAAGTAAATAGTTTGTTTTTTATTTTACAGGCTCATAGGTGGAAGGAAATTGCCTTGGGTCTCATATAAGACTTTGGACTGTTGAGTTAATGCTGGAACAAGTTAAGACTTTGAGGGACCATTGGGAAGGGATGATTGTATTTTGCAACATGAGAATGGCATGCTATTTGGGGGGCCAGGGTCAGAATTATATGATTTGGATTTGTGTCTCCTCAAAATCTCATGTTGAAATGTGATCCCCAATGTTGGAGGTGAGGTCCAATGGGAAGTGTTTGGGTCATGGGGCAGATCCCTCATGAATGGCTTGGTACCCTCTTCACAATAATGAGTGAGTTCTCCCTCTGAGCTTATGTGAGATCTGGTTGTTAAGAATATGGCACTCTCCCCAACATTTACTTTCTTTCTCACCATGTGACACAACTGCTACTCTTTCACCTTCCACCATGAGTAGAAGCTTCTTGAGGCCCTCACCAGAAGCAGATGCTTCCTATACAGCCTGCAGAACCATGAGCCAAAATAAAACTCTTTTCTCTACAAATTACCCAGCCAAAGTTATTTTTTAATAGCAGTGCAAAATGGACCAACAGAGCCCTGAATCTTACCACACTTCCCCCATCTCTGGTGAAAAGTGCATGGGTGTTTGTGCCCTATAATTTGTTTCCCAACATCACTCTCTATCTACTACTTTCTTCACCTTATCTATTTTCTTCATCTTGTTTTTCCATTACTTCATATTTCCCACTTAGTTTTAATTATTTGTTTTGCCATATTATTTGAATAATATTATTTGACTCTCTTTAAGTTGCCTTTGAAATAAGGTAGCATATAATTAATTAAAATTTTTAAATTACACAGAAATTCTCACTTATAAGGAATCTAATATGCAGTCCCCATTCAGCAGACTAGAGCCCCTCATATACAGAAAATGCCCAAGTAATGACAGGTATTGTTATCATTACATAATTCCACACTGTAGTATCATAGTAGTTTTCATAAACCAGATGAACACATGCATGCACACAAGCACATGCAATTAAATAAATAGTTAATGCAAGAATCTTTACTACCATCTTCCTCATAGTATTTCCAGTGTCTGAAACATTCCTAGAGAGTGTAAGCAATCCATAAACACTTTCTGAATAAATGAGTCAACAATGAATTTCCAGTATCATTATACTTATGTTTGTGATATAATGCTAAGGAGAAATTAGTGAAAATAACATGTATTTTTTAGACAGCTTGAGCACTATCCAAATGCTGATAACTCATAGATACTGACATGACATATCAGAGATAGTTTTTCTGAGATTTGCTTTTCTCATTAATGTTCCTAGTGTTGTTATAAGGATTAAATTAAGTAGTCTAACAGAACCTGGTCCACAGAAGTTCAATAAATATTAACCCCTTACTTTCCCTCTCTCTCCTTGACCTTGCATATTCCATAGCAGTATCACAGATTGTGTGTGGGGAGGGGGGAGGGGGGATGTGCATGCACATGCAAGTAGAAAGCCTAATGCACTCAAAAGTCATTACCACCAGAGGACCATCTGTATTTCCTTCTACAACTTTCTTCACCAACCATAAATAACCTTTCTCTTTTTACCTTACTTCCCATTCTTGCTATCTGACAAAACATGGGGACTGGGGAAAGTAGACACAAAGTAAAAAGGAAGAAAAGAAGGAAAGGGGGAAGAAAGAGTGAGAGAAGAGAAAAGAGAATTTGGCTATCTCATTAGAGAAAAGAATGTGCATAATACCCAGCAGATATGAACTGAATATCCTTAAAGAGTACTACATAATGTTCAAAGGAATCCCACCATTCTTTCTTAGCAGTCACTGACTGGGAGATTACTGAACCTGAGGGATTAGCAACTTGTTAGATATGCACTGTGCTTTTAGGCACGTCCTACCAGAAAATAAAGCAGATGAATTCACTCAGGAGGAGTAACAGCTTTAAGAAATCACTGGTTCTGTGGCTAACAGAACAGAAAGCCTGACTGATCACAGCCATCTAATGTGCAGGAAGCTAAATAGTACGACTACCAATCACTCCCAGATGGCTCCTGAATCCATGCAGTCATTCTTTTGTGTGTGGTGCACTTCATAATGAAGAAGACTTCACTCTGGAGGGTTTTTTTCACACAAAGCTTTTCAATCTGTAACCAACTCTGTTTTTGTCTCTTCATCCCAATCCCCTCCTCCACCTTATGGAGAATTTAAAAAGCAAGTACTAACCCCTAACACCTATGTCCAGGGCAATCTTTCCTAGACATACACCATTTGTCTCACTCTTCATCTTATCAAACAGCACCCTGTCCATATTCTGGGGTCCCTGTCCCTGACAGAGGCAGCACATTGTTGGGAAGTGTTTGCCTTAGCATTTGCAGGCATTGTGCTGGGATGAGGTATCAGATGACAGGCTTTCATCTGGATATGATTTATTTATTATATCAGTACTTTATATTAGAGAAAGTGCACCAGTGTGAAAATTGAAGGGGAAACCTATTTTGGCTACGGGATAACCTGGAAATTATTAAAGTCAAAAGCTTCTGGGTCAAAGGGTAGCAGCTTCATGTTATTAGAATAATATGTTAATATTTAAGTCCTATAACCTCTTTGGGCCTTTGAAACACCTGTGATGAAAATGGTTTTCACACTGTTAAAATGGTAACAAATAGATGGAGGCTCATTGCTTTAGTTTTGAATCTATTCGTGTGACTAAATTTTATGAGCCAATAAAACATATCCTAACATAAGTACAAAAAGATTCAGTAAAATAACATCCTGCCAATTTTTTTTTGCAACTCTGCTTTCTCTCTTTTTACTGCTACTTCGCCTCAAACATCACCCTCTCCAACTCTTCCCCTTTCCCATCTTCTTTACTCAGCTTTCATTTGATACAGCTGTTGCTGGAGAATAAAGACAAGTACTGCCACTGGGATAAATTAGAAAGTATGTTAGCTGCCCTATATTTTCTGTTATTAAATAAGATTGACACCATTGACTAGATTCTGCCCTTTGCCAAGCGATATTGCAAAAGATGTAAATCACTCGTCAACAAACAATAAATTACTTATGTGCATTTATTTCACTTTAATTTTTAGCATCAGTGTCCAAGCATGTATATGCACACACATGCACATACACATGCTTCTCAAGATACAAATCTCTCTCACGTATCCTAAAAGTCATAATGCCAATAAACCCTCTCAAGACAGGCCAAAGGGCCTCTTTCACCTGTAATTAACAGAATGATCCAAACTGACATTCTGAGAGGTGAGATACATCAGATTACAATAATTTTCCTTTATTATTTTAAATGTAGATGTCAAATCTCTGGAATTCTCTTATATATACACACAAAGTAGAGCAGGACTGCCATAGAAAATGCCCAGAGTTGAAAGAAAAATGAAATGGTTCGGCTAGCTTCAAACTGGAAATTATAAAAAGTTCCAGAATTCCAAAAATGTAAGAAAAGAAATAAAAATCTAAGTTAAATGTATCCTTGCCCTCAATAAGTCAATCAATTAATATTTAAAGAAGCATGTTACTGAATGAATTGTGTCCCCTCGAAATTCACATATTGAAGCCCTAACCTCCAATGTAAATATATTTGGAGAGAGGGCTTGTAAGGAGGTAATTAAGGTTAAATAAGGTGCAAAGGATGGGGTCCTACTCTGATAGATTTGGTGTCCTTATATGAGGAGGAAGAGAGACCAGAGATCATTCTCTCTCTCCCTACACACACATAAAGGAAAACTCATGTAAGGAAACAGCAAGCAGGTGGCCATCTGCAAGCCAGGAAGAAAGGCCCACCAGAAACCAACTCTGATGGCACCTTGTAACCAAATCTGATAGCACCCTGATCTTGAACTTCCAGGCTTCCAGAACTGTGAGAAAATGAATTGCTATTGTTTAAGTCACCCAGTCTATGGCATTTTCTTATGGTAGTCCTAGCAGACTAATACAAACCAGAAATATTTTTTTCTTCCAAAACATGTTATAATGATAGAGGTTGAAAAGACTTTGAAATCAATGAGACCTAGTGATAAATACTCACTTAGGGCCTCCGGAAGGACTACCATTAAGAACAAATGTTATCTAAATATTGTCCTTGAAACAAGTCAAATCAACAGAGATGCACATTTAGACATCATTGTTTGGGTTCCTATAGAGTTATGACATCAATTTGAACTGGGGGATATTGTAGGAAATCACTGAATGAAAATTGGTTAACATATTTATGGCACACTTTCAAGACTATAATCCTCTACACATCACCATGATATCTTAAAGGATAACATTCTTTCATATCTCAGTGACAAAATTGTTTGCTTCACCTAATCTTCTATTTTCATTTTCACACTGACTGTGACTCCCATAAAGATCACGTTACTCTTTGTACTTAGGTTATCAGGAAGCTTAGAGCCAAACTTGATATCTATTTCCAGTAATTACACAGACTCTCAAAGTGTGTTTTCTATGAACCAATTTTCCTTATGTACTACTCTTCCATTCTTGGTTTCCCTTTGTATAGATTTCCTCAAATATTTATTTGTGTTTTATGCATTCTGCAGGCCATCTCAAATTCTATTTGAAATTATGGGGGAAATGCATGCACAAATAAGTAAATATCATCTCATCCATCCCTATTACTCTACGTTGGGAAGCTGAGCTCTAGAATACTTTAGTGATGGGCTCAAGGTCATGCGGTCAGAGTAGGGCATAGGCAAGATCAGAAACTCAGTTTCCTCTCACTTAGTGTTCCTTTTCCTCCACCATAAAATTACCTCCCTGTGCAATGAAGGAGGAAGAAAATTCACTCAAAAGAGAAAGCATTGCTTTGGTACATATAGCTCAGTGTTTCTCAACAGAGGCAAGATAAGCCTCATTTGCTTTGTCAAATTGTTCCCTTCCAGAAGAATGTTAGGCACTCTTGGTCCCTGCCCACCAATTGCTGGTTGAGCTCCCAGTCATTGTATTATCAACAACAAAAAAAGCCACATATATTTTTACCTTTCCCAGTGCCCAACCCCATTTGATTTTTGCTTTTTATTTTTTGTTTGTTCTGATTGTTGTTTCAAAAGAGAAACAAAGGAAGTAGGAAATACTTCCTTGAACTGGTCAAAAATTGGGAAAGTAAGGGTCAAATCAGGGCCCAAAATATGTAAATTTAACAGCTGACATCAAAATTTATCTTAGGAAGGTGTGGTAACGTGTTTACAAAAATGACCACAATAATTTCCCTCCCTGCCCTATGCACTTGGGTTGTTGCCTCCCACACTAGCTTTGGCCATGGCCATGTGAATAGTTTGAGCCAATGAGACATTAGCAAATGTGACACAAGCAGAAGCTTGAAAAATCACTACAAATTGTGGCTGTTTAATACTCTGAGATTACCACGTGAAGAAGCTCAGGCTAGCCACCTGTAGGATGAGACACTGCATAGAGCATATTCAGGCAGTCTAGTTGAGCACCTCTTTCCCCACAAAACCAACAATTCTGCCTATTCTTGACTCTCGAGTAAGACTATACCAGACCAGTTCATTCAACTACATGCTAACCCCCATTGACCGCAGACTCATGAAAGAGCACAGCAGAGCTCAGCCAGGCCAGCCCAGACTTAGAAAAATCCACATAACCCAGGGAATAATTAATGAAATTAAAAGATTTTTTTGTTTTAAGCCATTCAATTTTGGGGTGATTTGTTATGCAGCAAAAAACTAATCATAAAGAAAGAAGTTGTCTTTGTTGAGGAAAATAACTTGAGTATCTGTAAGTCTGGGGAAAAATCCACAAATTAAACTGCTTTGGTAGAAGTGGGAGGTCAGAGATTATCATGAGATCATAACCCTCTCTCTGTCCCTACAAGAATTACAGAAATCTTGGGAAAAGGGAAATGGAAGGTAAATAGAGATTTAAGCCAATCATATCTAGTTCTTTAGAAGAAGCTAGTCTCCAGCTGACATCTTAAAGAGATACAGACATAAATTTAGATATAAATATAGATAGATATAGATATAGATAGATATGGTATCTTTGTTTGAGCCGCTATAACAAAATACCACACACTGGGTAATTTATAAACAATAGAAATTTCTTTGTTACAGTTTGGTGGCTGGGAAGTTTAACATTGAAGCACCTGCTTGTGAGGGGCCAGTCTCTCTGCTTCCAAGATGGTGCCTCGTTGCTGCATCCTCCAGAGGGTGCAGATACTGTGTCCTCACATGGCCAAACATACAAGGGCAAAAAAGGGGTGAACTCCCTTTGTCAACCCCTTTAAAAAGGCACCTAATCCCATTCATGAGGGGGGAACCCTCATGACTCAATCACCTATTAATGCCACCATAATGAAGATTAAGTTTTAATATGAATTTTGGAGGAAACACACATTCATTTGGATATGGAGGTGAAGATGGAGATGGAGATGAAGACAGAGATATGAAGATATCTCCAAGTAATTTGCCATAATTATCAACATGAAATGGTAGAAAACCTCACACAAGTGTCTGTAGACAAATCAACTCTCAGAAAACTTATTAGTCAAATGCAGTTTTTTATATTATCTTATAAAGGCTAATTTATTGACATTAATCTTTACACCAACTTGAATGAGGCTTGTGTCCAATGCCATTTTGCTGCTTTAAGAACTCACTTGCAAACTAACACGTGGACCACGTTTGTGAGACTAGTTCCTGGTGTGACTGTTAACCAAATACCTACTTCAACACCTATGATGTCCCTTTTTTTGTTTGCCTCCTCTCTAGTATTTCCCAACAAATTAATCAGTCAGCACCGTTACTCTTCCTTGTCACCCTGACATTAACTAGCATCTTACCCTCAGCCCACAATGGAAGCCCCCTCCTTTATTACAGTGCTGAACTGCTCTCCAGGACAGCTCTACTTAGCAACAAGCTAGACCCTATGGTCTATTCCTGGGACTTTGCTAAAGCAATAGAATAAATATTGGCCCCTACTACAAATTCCAAAACCTAATATCCAATTAACACATATTAGTCATCTTCCGATACATTTGGCCTCTTATTTACAGACAGTAAAGAAATTATCAATTATCAATCAATTTTAAATATCTAAAGTATTAGAATTGACAATATGAACATAGTCCAAAATGCTATACTATTCTCCAAGCAAGAAGCCAAGTTTATTTTCATCGGTGGTATGTTCATAAATGCTGACAGCTGTATACGTAGTCTGTGGCAGACTGTCTTTCCCAGAGATGGCTGCAACAGTATCTCCTGTCCCAAATGCTTTTCTAAAACCTTGCCACTCCGCATCAAAACACAGAATCTAATTTTCCTGCCTTTGAATCTTGGAGAATTTATGAGTTACTTGCAACCAACAAAATGTGGTGAAAGTGATGCTGCATGATTTCCGAGATGAGGTGCATAAAAGCATTGCAACTTCCATCTTGCTTCCTAGATGGAAGCCCTGAGACCTGAGCCACTATGTTGGCAGTCCAACTATCCTGAAGCTGCTGCTGTGGGGAAGCCCAAAGCAGCCTATACAAAGAAACTTCATGGAGAAGACTCCTGAAGCTGATTCAGAGAAACACCATTGTTCCTGATCAAACATGCTTTCAATCAGAATCTGTCTTGCCAGAGACAAGATCCAGTCCCCAGAAGGGGAACATCAAAAGCTAGGCAGATTCATACTAGAGTATAAACTGAAGAGCAAATACCACACAGAGACAAAAGAACAAGTATGCCAACCAGGTACCTATCTGGTACCCACAGATCACCCTCTTTAGATAAAATACCTAGCTTTAGGCATCAGGAGTAATTCTAGGTTCTAACTATTAGAGATGAAAGATCTTATCACAGTGTTGTTGTATTCTGGTCCAGATTGCTTCAGGCTTTTAGTTGTATTGAATTTTAAGCTGAAGGTCTTCAGATGCTGTTGTTGAGCACAAATAATAAAAGTGTGAGTGACAGCAAAAGAGCATGAAGTAAAAGGAAAAGCAGAAAAGGGTGGCATAAGTCAAAAGCAACAGAGTCTCACTGGTCAAGTCCAAAGGGATGGTACATAGTTCAACTAAGGAACATTCTAGGCAAGAAGAGCATGTAAAATATACAAATGGATGTTAAAACAGTACGGAGAGACCCCGAGTGGAAAAGCAGAGGCATGCTCAAAAATAAAGGTTGAGTCTGGCCAGGTATTACAGGAATGAGTGGCCATCGCATGAAGGTCTTTGGATATCAACTGAGGGGTTTAGATTTCATCCAATGATCAGAGAGTTACAAGGAATTCTCCCAGACGCTGAGAAGGGGGAGAATAAGCAGGCAATATTCTAGCCTCCCTTCCTCTGTTTGCACTGGAACAAAAATAATTTCAACTGTTTTACAATTGCTCTTCTAAGTAATCTTTCATTTGAAAGATACATTTTAAAACAATGGAAAAACTCCTGTAACAGACGAAGACTTTCATTGTACACTCTTGATGAGGAAAACAATGTGATAAAAACCATGTTTGAGGATTATTCCACTGCTTTGTTCAGAGTGTCAATAAGAAACTAAATAGGAGGAATTGAAGAACATGAGAAAACAAAAGGAAAAGAGAAAAAAACATCTAAAATGAAGAATCACTTGATTTAAAAAGTTGAGAAATAGAGAAGCCCAAACCCTATTTCCTTTACCCTACTTTGTTATCCACTGTGACCTTCTACCTTCCCAAGCTTTTTGGTCTCTATTTGGTCATTTAATCCAGTCCTTGATTCTCCTTTGCTCTGTCTCTTTCTGTGCCTGCTGTGCAATCTTTTATACTTCAGGTCCCTGCACTCATACCATGATCACAGGGCTGCTTTTGACTGGCACAACAATTCTGTGTTCTTCTCACTTTGCTTTACATTACACATTTAGGTCTTGCTTGTCCAATGTAATAACTTGTTCTAAAAATATTTTATTTTGCTGCTTAGCCTTCTCAAAGTTCTTTACAGACATTACCTCATCCATTTCTCTTGAAATTAGGTGCCCCGATGACAGAGTGGCCCCAAAAGCTACTTGTGTGGATTGTTGGGTATACATGTGCCTGGGACCTCAAAGGTGTCAATCCTGCCTATTTGGGATGAAAGATGGATGTCCTCAGCAATCAATAAGTGCCAAAAGCTCTCTCATTCAAAGAGAGGAAAAAGGTTCCAACACCAGGATAAAAAAAGTCTTGCATTAAAAAAAACCTTGCTATCCACCAAAGAAAGAAAGAAAACATACGAAAATGACATGTTACCGTGTCTCTTTTAAATTCCAAATTTTTACTTCTCATAAAACTTAAGTAGATGATTTTATATCTGAGGGCATTACTGGGTTCTCACGTACTCCTAAAAAATAGAGTCAATCTGCTCTTACTCAAAAGTCTGTAAGATCCTTTTGTACATTAAACACACACACACACACACACACACACACACAATTTCACCATCCCACACACCAATTTGTCTAATCTTCTTCTATGTAATGAATAAAACAGACATTTTGGAGAGTAGACTCTAATTGTGCAATTGGAACTGCCTAGCCCAGGCCAATATGAGAAAGTAAGACCAGCAGAGATAAAGGAAGCTCTGAGTATCTCTCCTTATTCCACACTCCTCACTCCACAGTTCCACTATTAGTGTTGTCCCATTTAGAGTTCTAGCCACTGTAATTTTAGGACCTTAGAAATGTCTGAACTCATAACATGGGAAAATATTAACATTTTATTAACTTAGTAGAAGACTCCAGGCAAAATAGATTTTTTTCCTCTGCAGAACATATGTTTAAAAGATTACAGGAAAGAATTTTTAACTCGAGTCTTCAGTTCCAATAAAGAATGACTCACTTGTATATTTTCATAAGGCATAAAGATTATTTCACTTAAACTACATTTAGTCTGTAAACCTTTGTTATGTACCTATCCCTAAGTAGGTATATGTAAATAATTCATACTGCAACCCAAAGTAAAAATTAGATATTTACTAAAAATAAAAGGATCCAGAAAATTAAAATATTATTATATTAAGAAAAAAGAAGTCCACTAAAAGTGATGTCTGGCCCTGGGACCCCAGTAAGGACTAAAAGACCTTTCACAGTCATTTGATGGGAGTTGAATATCCAAAAAGACTGTGGCTTTTATTCAGGCTAACACTTAAACATAGAGTTTCACAGTAACAGATCATGGTTCATATCACATTCTTCCAAACACAAGCTTTTACTCTTTTTGTTAAAAAACAGTTCTTTATCTCTGACAAAACAAAACTGCTGACTAACTGTACTTTAAGGAACACTCACTTCTTATTTCCGTGCATAGGGAAAAAGCATTGCCCCTCTCTAAGGAGTGAATCTTACTGAATAACCCCATGCCATGGACTAGTTTAAACTGCTGATGGTTTCCTAAACTTTTTCCAAGAGAAACAACAGCAACAATCATGATAGCAATACAAAAGGGACCCTGTTAAAAACTGCAACTCTCCATTCTTCGTTTCCCTACCCAGAGAACACCTGCTATAGGTACATCAGGCACACACATGTAGAACTTAGAAATTTCTCTGACTACATAGTTCTTTTTTACTTAAATGTCTTTAAATCCTCACAGCTAAACTTTAATATAAGAGCTATGAACAACAGGTGATCATTTTGACTAATGTAACAATATTAACCTAAACTATTTCCACCTAAACATAACAATCACCATATTTTATTTAAATATCATGCCAAAGGTTAAGAATAAATAAGTTGGTGAGAAATTTTCCCATTTCTTTTTAAAAGCATCCACTATTCTCCCTTTTGTGCTACAGCATTCTATTTGATAGATACTAGCACCCTATTGATGTACTCACCTACTTGTAAATTAAAAGGAAAATATACATTGCAATGCCCACAAAGTGAGAAAAAAAACAATGACAACCATAAAATATCCTGGCACTGAGAATGAATCACTTCATTAGACCATTGTAGCATATTTCTATTGTGCCTTTAACTTACTCAAGACTTTGTAGACTCTTATCAGGGTTCTCAGCTTAACTAACCATCATTCAAGGATCCTCAACAGAGGAAGTACCTATGAAGCATATGATCAGCTACTTCCTCTCCATAGTTCTTCCTTGTAAATAAGAAAACTGGGATAGTAGGTAAGGATATCTCAGGTTGGTGGGATGTTCCAGTCAGATGCTTGCAAATATTCAAGCATCCCAGATTTAAGCCACCCACAAAAACTGATGGAAGAATAGTCCATTTTCATTAACTTAAAAATACATAGAAAGATTATATTCATGGCATATGCTAACCTTTAGGGGCTCACAAGTATTCCTCTCTTCAATCCCCAAAGTTGAAGAAAAAGAAGAGTATTTCAAGGATGTGAAGTAAAGGGTGGAGATTTTAGGTAGAGGAGGAAACCAATTATAAATAGAACTGATCTGGGAGAAAGATTTTCTTCTCCCCAAACCCTTCTCTTACCTCTTTTCTGAAGTTCTCGCTTGGCTCACTCTATCTCAGGCAGCTTGTATTGTGAATCATGTCTAGGGAAGACTCCCACTTAGAAGGATGTCCTTGTGTGACCAACCAGAAACAGAACACAGCCTAGGAGGGGAGAGAAACCTAGTAGTCTGCTTATGGCTACCCTAGTCCAAGCTTTAAGCTAATAGGTCAGAAGGCATCTTGAGGTGTATTCAATGGCACAGTCCATTTCACCAAGCAGTGATTTGGCCATATCCCTCTTTGGTAATCATCTGTTTATTGTTCTGTTTGGTAATCATCTGAAATGAACTTTATGCAGCAGATATAAATACAGTTACAGATGTCATTGGAGATATTGCTGTGGGTATATGAGTAATTTTTTCTGCTTATTTGCCTGATCAATTGGCATTCTCCTTTCCCTCTACAAAAGATAGTGACCAATGCTCACAACTAAATGAGGTCTTAGGGATACTATGCCTTCCTCTAGGAAGCCTGAACACTTCTTTTCTCACCTCCTAAGTCATATACATACAAAAGTTTGATCTGTTTGTTCTCTAACCTATACTTTTGTGCAATGAATTTTAATAAATATAATCTAAACTTTAAAATGAGTGAAAATGGAAAGGGAGTTGTTTTAATAAAAATTGGGTTGACTGGGAGGGTAGAGGTAGAAGTATCACTTGAGGCCAGGAGTTCAAGACCAGCCTGGGCAACATAGCCCAGACCAACATAGCAAGACCCCATCTCTACAAAAAAAAAAATGGGTTGAATGACTTAAAGAGTCTAAAGATGAATAATTTTCAAACACTATTGAGTTAAACTGGTAAAAAAAAACATAAAATATTGCTGAAAAATAATAAAAATCTAAGGAATCCTGTATCAGATTGTTTCATAGTGTATACCCTACCTTAACAACACAAAACTATAATTTCAAGATCATGTTTTATTGATATTTCTTATGCGTGGAAAATAAAATGGAACTCTATTCAGAAGGCTTTTATACTCAAAGAAAAGGTTTTGTCCCTACATAAAAGATCTGCAATAAAAATGAGTTAAAATAAAATATTTAAAATATATACGCATTAAACATTTTATCATTTTCCACTTTGGTTTTTTTAAGAAACTACTTCAGAAAAGAAGGCTTTTCCATAGTTTTATATCTACACATTTATATCATTATATCTACACATTTATATCTACATCTATATATTTATAGATATATCTATGGGAACTAATTGAGGTAAAGATGGCACAGGAAACAGTCAAAAAATGATTGGCCTTTAGCAACATGTAACATACAGGAAGATGTGTTAATCAGTTCCCTCTTCAAGAAATAACTCTGTGCCCAGAAACAAGGACTATTGTTGGCTAAACAAACACTAGAAGTTAGTTATTTAGGGTCTGCCTCAGCTTTAGAGCCAAGGTCACATTCTTCTCAAGGTGGCCCCTAGCTAATGACTGAATGAGGTGGTGATACAAAAGTCTAGGCATTTAAGCTCCACATTATGATGATTTTTATGACAGAGCTGCCCAACAGGCAGGCAGAAACTTTAATAGGTCTATATCCTAGTCTGATGACTCATCCTATACAATCCTGCTCTCGTCCCGTTTCTTTCACAGGCGTTAGACCCAAACCTTTTGCACTCCTAACTCCATTTTAGAGTATACTTCCAGGAAAACCAAACAGATACACCAAATAATGGCATAACTAACAAACAGAATATTCCACACATGTATATATTGGCTTAATTTGTGTCAGGCATTCACCACTTACTGAACCCATCACTGGAAAAAGGCAATACCGTGACAGTGAGTCCATGACAATAAAGGAAAAACATAACTGACTTCCCACAAAAGCAGAGTTTGAGTCTAGAAAATATGCCTTGGATGCCTATCTCAATGGATTGCCTGGGGTCTAGTGCTAATATCCAAACTATGTGGAATATTGTATATACCATGTCCTGCCAGATGATTTTCAGGAAACCAGCCAAATTTTCTATCCAAGTACAAAAGATCAGTTTCATATACTCCATGAGAATGATCTGCAACCATTTCTTTCAAATTGAGTAGAAAAAATGCTGGTAGTTTTAGTTGAACAAGATGAGATCCTGATCAATATTTAACACCACGAGTTTGGCCAAACTGTGCCAGCCAATCTGATACACATTTAAAACACTGTGTTACATAAATGGCATTTGGTAGGTGCTCCAAAGTACTTTTCCCCTTTCTTTGTCAATTCTGAATATCAATGATTCAATATAAGTTTAAATATTTGCATCACGACCCCCAGAAGAGAACGGAATAAGACCCAACCATGGGAAAAAGGGTGCTTAGACTCTGCCAAGGATTAAGTCAGACATGGTTACTGAGAGGAAAAGACAGTATACACATTCTGATTTACTTTTCTCTCTCTCCTGGGCCCCTTCACACCTTGGCCAGGAAAAAGCCGAAAAGCAGAACTCAACAATTTATGTAACACTATGGAATTGATGGAAGGCAGGTATGATACATTAGTATAGCATAGGGCCTCCAGATTGAATGAGAATCTGGCTTCTTCTCTTGTTTCTCATACAGAGAATAGCTTGGATTGCCAAAGAAATTAAATTTGAAGCTTAAAAAATGTACATGTAAAATATCCACCAATGATACTAAACTTCTTAAGTAGTAAATCTCCTACTCTGTGAGAACTTGGGTGCGTGGATTATGCCCAAGAGATCTCTTCTAGAAATGTCTTTTGGAACCAGATAATCAGTTATTCTCATCCAACTTTTTACATTAAAACCTCATACTGAGATTAAAATTTAGAACAAAAATTGAGACAAGGACTTCCTACTGTTACAGTAATCACTAAAAAAGGAGATATTTAAGAAATTGAATAAGGGTGTTTCATGATTTATGATTTTACTTGGTAACTGTGTGACATTTTTAAAATCCTAAAACAAATGGTCCTCTGTATATAATTTTGAGTCAGCTATCATAAAATGCATTTAAAAGAAAAAGCCTAAAATCAGGTAAAGCCTAATATTTACACCAAAGCTAAAACACAAGAGCAAAAATCAGGGAAAGAACTTCAAGACTCTCCCAGAAAGTCCTTCCATCTTCTGCTCACTGCCTGATTCCAAAGGCTTTCCCAGATTTGTAGGTATTTGTTACAACAGCACCCCACATCCAGTACCAAAATCTGCACCAATCTGCATCAATTACTGCATAACAAATCACCCTAGCAAACATTTATCTTCTCACAGTCTCTATGGGTCAGTAATTCACGAGAAGCTTAGCTTGGTGGATCTGGCTCAGTGTCTTTCACCTGGTTGCACTCAAGATGTTGACTTAGGGATACAGTAAACTGAAGGCTTGACTAGGGCTGGTGGATCCACTTCCAAGACAGCTCACTCACACGACCCTTAGCAAGAGGCTTCAGGTCCTCTCTGTGGGCCTCCCCATAGGGCTGCTTGGGTGTCTTCATGACATGGCTGTCGGCTGGCTTTCACCAGGGGGAGTGATTCCAGAGAAGAGGAAGCAAGGAGAAAGCCACATGCCTTTTAGTCTTGAATGTTACACGCTATCACTTGCATCATTTGCTGCTCATTAAAAATGAACCACCAAAGCCAGCACTCTTGGGGTGGGGAGGACAGCATAGAAAATTAAGCTCCACTGTTTGAAGGAAATTTACAAAAAGACTTTAAAACCACAAGTGCCTCCAGGGGAGTATTAGGTCTAAAACACCAAATTATAAATTACTCTTATTGATGTCATTCTTATCTTGACCATGGATCAGTACCAGGTTATCAAAATAATCCTGGAAATAAAGTTAGTGTTCTCCCAGACCATCTGCAAATTAAACCTATCCTTACCCAAAACACAATGACATAGTACCATGCCCTAGTTTAGAATGATTATAATTTTTAAATGAAATATTGAGAATACCAATTGTGTGCAACGATGCAGAGTGATATGAACTCTCATACATTGTTGGAAGAAATGCAAAATAGTGTAGTCACTTATGAGAATAGTCCTGCAGTTCCTTATAAATTTAAACATGCATTACCAACCAGATGACTCAACAATGCTATTAAATACTCACCCAAATAAAATGAAAACTTATGTTCACAGAAAAACTTACATGTAGGTGTTAATTTAAAAATAATCTTTATTTATAACCTTCAAAATCTGGAAACAACCCATACATGCTTACACTGGTGAATAAAAAAAATAAACTGTGGTACATCTATATAATGGAATACCACTCATGAATATAAATAGATTAAATACTGATACATCCAACATGAATGAATCTCAAATGCATCACTAAGTGGAAGAAGCCAACTCAAAAATACATATACTACGTGACTGAATTTATATGACACTCTGAAAAAGGGAAAACTATAGGGACAGAAAACAGATAATCAGAGGAAGAGTTAACTACAAATGGAAACAGGGGATCTGGGGGGATGATAAAACTATATCTGTATCTTGGGCATCCAAATCAGTAAAGAGAAAGTCAAACTGTCGCTATTTGCTGATGATATGATCGTATATCTAGAAAACCCTAAAGACTCATCCAAAAAGCTCCTAAAACTGGTAAATGAATTCAGCAAAGTTTCAGGATACAAAATTAATGTACACAAACCAGCAGCTCTGCTATATACTAACAGTGACCATGCTGAGAATCAAATCAAGAACTCAACCCCTTTCACAATAGCTGCAAAAAAATTAAAATAAAATACTTAGGAATATACCTAATTGAGGAAATGAAAGACCTCTAAAAAAAACACACAAAAAAACTGATGAAACAAATCGTAGACGATACAAACAAATGGAAACACATCCCATGCTCATGGATGGGTAGAATCAATATTGTGAAAATGACTATACTGCCAAAAGCAATCTACAAATTCAATGCAATTCCCATCGAAATACCACCATCATTCTTCACAGAACTAGCAAGAACAATCCTAAAATAATTATGGAACCAAAAAAAATAAGAAAAAAGAAAAAAGCCCACATAGCCAAAGCAAGACTAAGCAAAAAGAACAAATCTGGAGGCATCACACTACTGGACTTCAAACTATAAGGCTATAGTCACCAAAACAGGATGGTACTGGTATAATAATAGGCACATAGGCCAAGGGAACAGAATAGAGAACCCAGAGATAATCCTAAATACTTACAGCCAACTGATCTTCCACAAAGCAAACAAAAACATAAAATGGGGAAAGGGCACCCTATTCAACAAATGGTGCTGGGATAATTGGCAAGCCAAGTGTAGAGGAATGAAACTGGATCCTCATCTCTCACCTTATACAAAAGATGGATCAAAGACTTAAATCTAAGACCTGAAACCATAAAGATCCTAGAAAATAACATCAGAAAAACCCTTCTCGATATTGGCTTAGGCAAAAACTTCAAAACCAAGAACCCAAAAGCAAATGCAACAAAAACAAAGATAAATACATGGGACTTAATGAAACTAAAAGGCTTCTTCTGCACAGCAAAAGAAATAATCAGCAGAGTTAACAGACAACCAACGGAGTGGGAGAAAATCTTCACAATCTATGCATCTGACAAAGGACTAATGTCCAGAATCTACAAAGAATTCTAACACATCAGCAAGAAAAAAAAGCAAATAATCTCATCAAAAAGTGGTCTAAGGACATGAATAGACAATTCTCAAAAGAAGATATACAAATGGCCAACAAGCATATGGGAAAATGCTCGATATTGCTATCAGGGAAATGCAAATAAAAACCACAATGCAAAACCGCCTCACTCCTGCAACAATGGCCATAATCAAAAAATCAAAAAATAATAGATATTGGCGGGGATGTGGTGAAAACAGAATATTTTTACACAGTTGATGGGAATGTAAACTAGTACAACCACTATGGAAAACAGTGTGGAGATTCCTTAAATAACTAAAAGTAGATCTACCGTTTGACCCAGCAATCCCACTACTAACTACCTACCCAGGAGAAAAGAAGTCATTAGATCAAAAGATACCTGCACACGCATGTGTACAGCAGAATTTGCAATTGCAGAAATATGGAACCAGCCCAAATGCCCATCAATGAGTGGATAAAGAAAATGTGTGTGTGTGTGTATACACACATGTTATACACATATGTATACACACATGTTATACACATATGTATACACACATGTTATACACATATGTATACACACATATATACACGTGTATATACACATACACACACATATATACACGTGTATATACACATACACACACACATAGCCCCCCGCTCTCTCTCTCTGAGCACTCTCTCTCTGAGCAGCAGAGAGCAACTTGGATGGAGTTGGAGACTATTATTCTAAGTAAAATAACTCAGGAATGGAAAACCAAACATCACATGTTCTCACTCATATGTGGGAACTAAGTTATGGGGACCAAAGGTATAAGAATGATACGTTAGAGTTTGGGGACCTGGGGGAAAGAGTGGGGGGTGGCGAGGGATAAAAGACTACACACTGGGTACAATGTACACTGCTTGGTGATGGGTTTACTGAAATCTCAAAAATCACCACTAAATAACTTATTCATGTAACTAACCACCACCTGTTCCCCTAAAAAAACCTATTGAAATAATTTTTTTTTTTGAGACACAGTCTCACTCTGTTGCCAGGCTGGAGTGCAGTGATGTGATCTCAGCTCACTGCAACCTCCGCCTCCCAGGTTCAAGCCATTCTCCTGCCCCAGCCTCCTGAGTAGCTGGGATTACAGGTACGCACCACCACACCCAGCTAATTTTTGTATTTTCAGTAGAGACGGGGTTTCACCATGTTGGCCAGGATGGTCTCGATCCCTTGACCCCAAAGTGCTGGGATTACAGGTGTGAGCCACTGCACCCGGCCTAAAACTTGTTTAAAAACTACATCTATATCTTGATTATAGAAATGCTTATGTGACTTTTTGTTTGTCAAAACTTACAGAACCATATGCTTAAAAGGATAAATTATACTGTATGTAAACTGTACTTTAGAGAAATGAAAAAAATCTAATCAGTTACTTTACTCTCCATATATAAGCAATCATGTCATGCACACTCTAAAACCCACATCCAGATCTATGTTAAGTGGCAGCTATGGACAGAGCCTGAACATCAGCCAATTCATATTTGTTCTCATCTCTTGCCTCTCCCAACCCAAATGGCCTCTTCCAAACCAACGATGTGAGAATCTGCATGGGTTGCATGAGCTGTCAGTAAACAACCCTTAGACCTCTGCTTAGCTTATGTAAAATTCTAGCCCATCGCTTTTAATCAGTTATAAATTAAGGAAATATAAAAGCATAATACCACAGCAACCAGAGTCAAAAAATTGTATCGTCATTCAAAGAAAAAGGGAGAATCACCTCCAAAATGGCTACTCCTGGCTCCCAAAAATTAACCACAGCTGTTGATGAAAACTAGACCAACTCCACAGGAAAACCACAAAGTTGGCAACTAAAAAAGATTAATATGTCTCCTGGAACAACTTTCAATCATGGTCCTTCAAGAACTCAAGGCCAAAGCTAACATACCATCTCTCCTCAGCAAAAACTTCATCCCCGTTTAGATACACCACTATGGCATCTTCCAGAGGCAGTGGCCACACTTCCCTCTAATAAACGAATAAACCACAAAGCAGTTCACATTGAAGGATAGAATTTAATCATCTAAAATTCAAAATTGCCAACAGGAAGAAAAAAATATATCCACACAAATAACCTGTAAGTGATTATACTTCAGCAAAGAGAAATGAAGTTTCCAGCAATTGTTTTAGCCCAAGACAGTGTGGCTGGAAACTTGGATGCAGGTGGTAGTGTGAAATAAAGAAAAATGATGGTTCCCTTTGCCATGACAGCCTTCTTTCCAGCTCCTGGCCAACAGTGTAAACTAAACCTTGCTGTCAGATTTTCTTGTCAATCCATCTCCAGAATTTCCTCCTAAGACTAGATATCCTAGTCATCCTGGAGTTTCATATCTTGTGGAGACTCAGTGACCCTCTTCAAGCTTGCCTCTCCTAATTTCATGAGATTTGATACAGATATTTCAAAAATGTGTTTCTGATCATTAATGTAAGATTTTCTTCTGGTAGTCATATCTAAATAGTGACCTATTGCCTGCCTCTCATTTGGATTAATTCATAGAATGTATTCATTTTAGTCACTATTCTCTTTGATTTTCCTCTGGCCTAGGTCTTGCACTGCCTAGATATTTTTAATCTCATTAATTAGAATGTAATATGGTTTTTATAGAAACCATACCACTACCTTAAGACAATCAAACATACTTCTTAGATTAGGATGACAGGATTCAAGCCTTTACACAAAGAGGCATTTTAATACTCCTTGACATGTTTCCAAAAATGATGTCTCAAGGAATTCCTTCTTTTCAGTATTTTTAATCCACTTTATTGAATTATAATTTATATATAATAAAATTCACCAGTTAAATTCCATGAGTTTTGACAAACGTTTACTCTCATATAATAGCCACCAAAATCAAGATATAGAACATTTTCATCACCCAAAAGCATTTCCTCATGCCTCTTTACAGTCAGATCCACTTCCCATAGGCTCATCACCTGGCAATCCCCAATTCTCTGTCACGGTAGTTCTGCCTTTTTAAAATATCATATACATAAATTTACATTATCTGGTCTTTTGTACCTGGCTTATTTCACATAGAATAAATGTTTTGAAGTTTATGTTGTGTGTATCAATGGTTTGTTTCATTTTGTTGTTGAGTATTCTACTGTATGAATATACCAAAATTTGTGTGTCTGTTCACCGATTGATTGACATTTGGGTTATTACAACTTTAAAGCTACTATAAATAAACCTGCTAAAAATGTTTACATAAGAGCTTTTGCATTGGTATAGATTGTCATTTCTCTGGAGTGAATATCTAAGAGGAGAATTTCTAGGTTATATGATAAGTATAACCATATTGTTAAGCATTCTAGTTGATGTGTAGAGAAAGACAGGATCGAAAGCAATTAAAATGAAAGAATATTTCAAAAGATAAAAGAGAATATAGAATAACATGGTTATAAAAGCCAGTGGAAGAGTGATTAAGGGATGGAAACTGGAGTTTCAATGTTAGAACTTCAGAAATTGAAAAAAAAATAAAAATGAGAACATTTCCTCTTCATGATACTCAAGGTAGGCAGAGTCAAAATAAAAGTGGAAATGTTTAATTATCAAACAGGAAGCAGTAGCAATAGTGTCACACTGAAATAAATTTACTTGAAGGTTTCAAGCGATCCTCCCACAGCCTCCTGAGTAGCTGGAACTACAGGCGGGTGCCGCCACACCAAGCTAATTTTTAATTTTTTTTGTACAGATAAAGTATCCCTATGTTATGTGCTTATATGAGAGTAATGAGAAGCTCAAAAAAAGTTTATAATCTTGTGTGAAATTGATTACAATTAGATAAAAGGCATAGAGCTCCGCCATTCTCTGCCAACCAATTAGAAAATAATAATTTCTGCCTAGATACAGAGTTTCAAGTATGCAGATATTTTACTACAAGTAGAACATCTAAAATAGGAAAAGGGGTTACAGTAAAATACCATAAAAGAAATGTTTTAAATCAGAGTGCTTTAACATTCACATTTCCACAAAACAAATCTACCGTTAAAACATTGTCACTAAGTACAATAAACAAAACTTTTAACTCTATACTGTTATTAAACTTGTACTATTTTTATTACTTTTCAAATATTAATACTATAAATACATATATTGCTGAACTCTCATATTATTTGTCATAATTTAATTCCCTTGAGTTTCCCTAGGTAGTATATTATTTTAATTAAAATTAATTAAAAATTAGTTCACCCCAAATAAATGCTACATCATTTAAAAAACCTTCTGACTAATCTTTGCTTCGGTTTCCACAAATTTTACAGACATAAAAAATAAAGATACAATTAAAACATAACTACAGATAGTCTCTAAATTTTAAAAATCAAATATGTAATTGTGTATACAAAAAGTAGAATTCACATTTGTTCTTTAACCATTTGTGAATGTATTCCAAATACATCTACTTCTATACCTCTGTTCAGACCTCTCTCTGGTCCATTAAGTCAAGCATGTTCAGTAATAGGGAGTAAAGTGAGTTATTTGGTAAGTGGTACCACAATCCCACACTTCATACAGTTTTCTTCAACCATCTGCCCTTTGCTATTGTCAAACCCATACTCCCAGCATATCTCGATTTCAAGAAGTTTAAAAACAGTGTCCCTAAATCATCTCTACAGAAGTTTTGGAAAGTTCCTTTTAAACCTCATGTACAGTAATTGAGTTAACTAGACTAGTGTCCTGATTTTTTTTTAAGGCAAATGTTTGGATTTGTTTTTTTGTTTTTGTTTTTGTTTTTTTTTAGATACAAGATCTTGCTCTGTTCCCCCAGCCTAGAGTGCAGTGACATAACCATAGCTCACTGCAACCTTGAATTCCTGGGCTCAAGTGATTCTCCCACCTCAGCCTCCCAAGTAGCTGGGACTAAAGGCGTGTGCCACTACACTTGGCTAATTTTTAATTTTTTTTGTAGAGATAGAGTCTTGCTATGTTATATTTTTATATGGGAGTAATGAGAAACTCAAAAACATTTATAATCTTGCATGAAGTTGATTACAGTTAAACAAAAGTCATACAGCTTTAAGGTGGTCAAAACAAAGAAATAGTTCATCTTCAGTACCTACTTCCTAGTTTCCTGTCCTGACTATTCTTATAAACACTACCATACTTCACAACATATGATTGGGTAGAGAAAAAAATTCAATAGAATTGATAGAAACCTATTAGAACTAATAATAAATTTTAAGAACATCACTGAATACAAGATTATAAAATAATAATTAATTTTATCCTAAACACAACAAACAATTAAAACATTTAATATCACAATAGCCACTATGTCAGAACTGGTTTGGGTGAAAGTAATAGAAACACAAATAACTGTGACAAACAAATAAAGGCTTATTTTTCTCACTTGGCAGGAAACCTGGAAAAAAAAACAGTTACGTACTTCAGCTGCTCTACGATCTCAGCCAAGTATCTAAAGGCTTTTTTTTCCACCTAACTGCCATGTTTTTTATACTCACAGTTTTGTCATTTCATATTGACAGAATAGTTGAAGTAGCTCTAAGAAATATGTTTTCACACCTCTATTACAAGCAGGAAGAAAGAGAAAAGAACAGCACAGTACCATACCTGTCTCTTTTACCAGGAAAAAAAAAATCTGAATAATCACCTTATAAGAACTTCTTAAACATCATTGGCCAGAACTAAGTCATATGGCCACCTCTAGCTGCAGAGGAGATTGAAAATTGCTACTACATAAAGTCTGCGACAGACACTTCTTAAAAACCCACAAAAAGATGTAAGGTACCTAGCAATAAATTTAATAAAAGATGTGCAAGAACTTAATGGAGAAAATAATAACAATTTATTGAAAGACATAAAAGAAGACAAATATATGGAGTGATCTATTTAGAAATAGAAAAAATCAATATTGTAAAGGCAGCAATTATCCCTTAATTAACATATGAATCAATGAAATTCCAATCAAAATCCCAACTTCTTATAGAAATTTGAAGTTTGTCATAAATTTCACTAACTTTAGTTACATCTGATCACCTCTAGAGACAGATGGAGCAGAAAAGGGAGGATAGTGAGTTTTGGGCTTTATCTATAATATTTAATTTCCCTAAAAAAGGACAGGTAGCATAAGTGAGAAATATTTTGCATTGTGTTAAGCCAGGTGATTTGGGGGTGCTTTGTTAATTCAGCATCAGCTAGTCTTACTAATACAGAATGAAAGACATAAAGATTAGGGGTAAGTAGATTATAAATTAAAATTAAGATGTAAAAGTGCAAGCCAACTCTCAAATGAATCAAATATGAGTCCATCTATAAAATGGAAAACAAAGTAATAAGCATATTACCTTGTAATATACTATACAGAAATATCTCCATTTTATGTTACCCAAATCTTCATTAAAATGGGTTTTCGACTATGCAATGATTAACCCTCAGAAGCTATGGATTGGTAGAAAAAAGCAACATGCCATTCCTATCAAACTGACAATGACATTCTACACAGAACTAGAAAAAAATCTATCTTAAAATTCATATGGAACCAAAAAAGAGCCTGAATAACCAAGACAATCCTAAGCAAAAGAACAAGGCTGGAGTCATCATGTTACCCAACTTCAAACTATACTACAGGGCTACAGTAACCAAAACAGCATGGTACTGGTACAAATACAGGCAGTACAAATACAGGCACACAGACCAACGGAACAAAATAGAGGGCCCAGAAATTAGGCCACATACCAACAACCATCTAATCTTCGACAAAGCTGACAAAAACAAGCAATAGGGAAAAGATTCCCAAGCCAATAAATGGTGCTGGGATAACTGGCTAGACATATGCAAAAGATTGAAGCTGGATCTCTTTCTTATACCGTATACAAAAATAAACTCAAGATGAAAAACCCGAAACTATAAAAACCCTGGAAGACAACCTAGGCAATACTATCCTGGATATAGGATTGGGCAAAGATTTCATGACAAAGACACCAAAAGCAAAAATTGACAAGTGGTATTTAATTAAACTAAAGAGCTAATGCACAGCAAAAGAAACTATCAACAGAGTAAACAGACAACCTACAGAATGGGAGAAAATTTTTGCAAACTGTGTATCAGACAAAGGTTTAATAGCCACCATCTAAAAGCAACCTAAACAAATTTACAAGAGAAAAACAAACAATCCCATTAAAAACTGGGCAAAGGACATGAACAGACAAACTCAAAAGAAACATACATGTGGCAATAAGCATATGAAAAAAGCTCAATATCACTGATAATTAGAGAAAGGCAAATCAAAACCACAATTAGATACTATTTCACACCAGTCAGAATGACTATTATTAAAAAGTCAAAAAATAACAAATGCTGGTGAGGTTGTGGAGAAAAGGAAACACTTATACACTGTTGATGGGAGTGTAAATTAGTTCAACCATTATGGAAAGCAGTATGGTGATTCTTCAAAGAGCTAAACACAGAAGTACCATTCAACCCAGAAATTCCATTACTGAGAATATACCCAGAGGAATACAAAGCATTCTACCATAAAGACACATGCACACATTATGTTCATTGCAGCACTATTCCCAATAACAAAGGCACTGAACCAACCTAAATGCCCGTCAATGACAGACTGGATAAAGAAAATGTGGGACATATACATGATGGAATACTATGCAGCCATTAAAAAGAATGAGACTGTGTCTTTTGTGGGAACATGGATGGATGTAAAAGTGCAAGCCAACTCTCATATGAAACAAATATGACTCCATCTATAAAATGGAAAACAAGGTAATAAGCATATTACCTTGTAATACACTATACAGAAATATCTCCATTTTATCAGCAACTCAAATCTAACTAATAGGAGGCTATCATCCTTAGCAAAATAATGCAGGAATAGAAAACCAAATGCCATATGTTCTCACTTCTAAATGTGAGCTAAGTGATGAAAACTTACAAACACAAAGAAGGAAACAACAGACACTGGGGTCTACTTGCGAGGGGAGGGTGGGAGGAGGGAGAGGAGCAGAAAAGATAACTATTGGGTACTGGGCTTAATACCTGGGTGACGAAATAACCTGTACAACACACCCCCATGACATGAGTTAACCTATGCAACAAACCTTCACATGTCCTCCCAAACGTAAAAGTTAAAAAAAAAAGAAAAAAAGCAACATGCAATCACAATATAAGATTAGATTACATTCATGATTAATAAGCCAAGCACATAAGAAGATCTTGTAGAAAACAAGATGGTGGCAGAGAGCAGGATGGAATGCAGCATAGCAGAGTTCAAAGTTTACCTTCCCTTGGAGTGGGGTTGAGAAACAGCAGAGCAGTAGCTGTCAGCAACAGTATGTGCACAAGGTAGGTCTTACTGATTCTGAGAAACTGGGTGCTTGCTACGCCATCACCATTTACCACTCCAAAATAATTTACACTATCTCTTTGCTCCCATTTGTTTCCCCAGAAGCAAATAATAGAATTTAGGTTCTTGCACTAAACAGCATCCTCATCTAAAGGACTTCCTCATGTATGGGAGAAAACAGAGCTATTACCCAAGGATCCTTGATAAATATCCCTGCTTCCAGCTTTCCCACAAAGCCCACTTATTCTTAGTCCACCCCCTGACTCAGTATCTCAAATGGGTAGTTTTAATGTGAATTTGGTGTGAATCTATACAAAAATGAATCTATTTTTCTCAGATTATCTTTAAGGTCATCTTTAAGTTCTTAGCAACATAGTCAAGTAGCGAGGCTGGAAAGCGGTATAGGATAAGGAATAGCCTGAGTATAAAAACGGCCTATGAACAAAGTAAGCAAAGCAAACGTAGGAACTGATATAGACTAAAATCAGATCACAAGTCACCTGTAAGAGAAAGAAAGAAGCAACACTAATAAAGACCTAGCAGTGGATAAGCCCAGGCAAGCAAGCAAAGAAATACATAAGGTAGTTATATGGGACTGCATTGCTTGACAAATCTTATAATATATTTAACCTAAGTAGTAATCAAATCATTGAACATGTAAAGAAAAATGCCTTCTATTCCTCCTCGTCTAATACAATGATGAAAAACTAAGTATATATATTCCAGGTGAGGGGGCAGGGCATTGGCATAATCACTCTGGGAGTCAATTACATATTGTGCATCAAAACTTTTTAGATGCTCATACATTTCCACCTAGAAATCCTGTTTCTGTTATCTTTATCATGAGGAAATAATAAGGTGCAAAATCATTACAGACAATTTATGAGAGGAAAAAATTGTATGTAGCCTAAACAGCTAACAAGATAACATATTAATAATGAAACTTCCATACAGTACAATTCTTGAAACCACCAAAAATATGTAAGTGAAGACTATTGGAGAATTAGAAGTTGTCCATGACATTTTATTAAATAAAAAGGTAGATTATAAATTAGTATATGTAGTATCATCTCAATTTTATAAAACACACATATATACATTTACATTCATACCCAAACAAGTAGACACACACCTATAAAGACTGAATAGCATACACATTTGCAAAAGTCACCCACCTCTGGATGATCTTGGCAGTCTTATTTGGGCTTTTCTTTCAAGCAGGACATACCAAGTTTCCCAAGGAATGTACTAGAAAAGTCCCATGTTGTTGTTTCTTGTTTTGCGGAGTGAAGCACTGCAGCTGAGGGGAAGGACTACAGTGCTCAAGTCACAGAGGGACACCACCCTGTGGTGGGAGTGGGGCTATACTTTGTAGAGAAAGAAAGAGGCGATAGGAGAGACTAGCAGAAGATAAGACAGATGATTAGAGAATATTTTAACAGGTTTTGTACTGTGCTATGCTCTTCTGTCACCTCATGAGAATTTCAGTAAATGCTGCAGCACTCTATAATACTTTTGGATTTGGCTTTGAGGAAAATGTTCCTTATTGAATTTGTTGATTTGTTTAGATAGAAATTTTTGGAGATGCAACAAAGTGCTGAGCCTGACCTTAGGAGGAATATTTTGAATTCATATGGGAGAAGACCAAGCCAGGCTCACGTGGCAAGCCAAATCCGCGGGCAGCAATTCAAAGAGGAGAAAGAACATACAGGGTATAAGCACAACTAACTAAGCAAAATACTTACATTACTATCCAAGCCATGCTAGATCAAGCAGTAAGAGCTCACACAAAAGGTGACAGAAAGCAGACACCGAAACAGGAAAGGCAGTTGGCATTGTTGATGGCCAAAACAGATGTCAGGAACTAAGTCACTGCGAAACTTAAGTTCAAGGTAATAACCCACTTAAGCATAAGGTAAGAACTTCCACACCATAGAACTACAGTGTTAATCAGGAACCCATTCCCTGGAGAGTACAGAATACACAACAGGAGCCAAATAGTTTCAGGTGAGATTTTAAAAAGAAAACTAAATCATTTAGACACTGGAGTGCCAAAAACAGAGGACATTTACTCAAACCTAAGCCAATGAGTTGTTTTTATAGTTATAATTAGGTTCCTCTGACTTATACAAGGATTGAACCTATAATGTAAATTAGAGCTAAGACTAAAACTGAAAGGGGGTAGGATAATAGCAGATTTAGAAAAATGTGAGTTTTGGAAGCCAAACAAACTATTACACTTCTCATTTATCATGAAATTTTAAAACCAAAAAACTTTACTCAGAAGGTCAAACTCCATTTCAAAAATAAACTCTGAGTAAGAAAACAAATAAATTGCCAATTATTTCAAGATTCTGAAGTGCTCCTGCAATTTAATGCTAACCAGAACAGCATTTGCATCTATAAAAATAACAAGACTTTGCTTTGCCCCTCACCCCAAGGAATATTGACATCTGAAATATAGGGACTAGGGAAGTTAACCGAACCTCATACAAAACTCCAGACATGGCTGCAGACATCACAAGAACTCTCCTACTGAAAAACAGAACAAAGCAAGATTGGTTTAGATAACAGCAAGGTTGAAACAGAGCACCTCACCAATAATCTTATTCCTGTTTTATCTAAAATGTACTCCAAGAAAAGTACGGAAAAAAAAACATCATTGTGTCTTGTTGACATTAATTCAAAATGCAATTATGCCCTGCATTCTGCATCTTCCAACTTGAGCCCTGATTTCTTGGGAAATCTAGAACTGGGAAAATGCATCTCAACCTACTAGAATGGCTTTTCAATACTATGTTGGCAGCCTGTGCACTAAAATAGAATAAAGAAGCTCATAGGCCTTACATTTTCCCGTAATTGAATAACAGTATGAGTCTTTGCATGTAATAGTGTAACAACATATACAGCTGTATATTCTGTAACAGGATATTGGCTCTATAAGAAGATGCACTAACTGCAAGTATAAACTGTACAAGATTAATTAAGCCCTTTGAATTTATACAGAGTTTAATCTGATAACGAAAAACTGAGTGATAAAGAGAAACTAAGATAAAGTGGAGACTCCAGCATAATGCTTATGAAATTGATAAAAAATTGCAGGGTTAAAAAGGTCACCATGTTGCTGTGCAGGTGCATCTATGATGCAAGTCACAGAATGAAGCCATATATAAACTCTGTATTATCTAAAGAGGGAATTTTGTATCATGTGAGAGTAGGAACTAGGTCTTATGTATCACTGTGCACCCAGTCCTGACATCAAGCGAGTGCTCATAAATTTTGTACTGAGGAAATAAATTAATGCAAGAATGAACAGATCAGGCTCTGAGCAAAAATGAATTAAGATGTGAACAGGAGCAATCTGAATAGTAAGCCTACCTGCAACTCACTTTAAGGGCACTCGTTCAGACACCAAAACCCACTCTAACAGAAAAATGTATCCCCCTACCCCAGTGACACACCCCTTGAGTATTGCAGTCTTGCTTCAGATTCTGGAAGAACAGTGCCACGTATGTGGCCTAAGCTGGGCATCAGTAGGAAAATGGGTGAAACTAGAGTCAATCCAAGATGACAAAGATAGTAGCCACCACTTAGAAAATGCTTGTCATGCATAAGGTACTGTCACAACCACTTTACAGTCTTTACTCATTTATTCTTCACAAAATACTTTGAGGTATATATTATTATTCTCATGTTACAGATGAGGAGACTGAGACTCATAAAGTTGAAGCTACTTATCCAACATCATAAGAAGCTAATAAAAAATAAGACTGGAATTTGAACAAGGTCTGTCTAATCACAAAGACTTCTTTCTATTACAACACTGTCTGGAATGATACAGAGTAGCTCCTACCTTCCAGCAGTTCCAAGAGACTCATTTCATTCAATCCCTTCAGGTTGATCCCAACCCTTAAAACCAATGAACTATAGTAGGGTCATGGCGGCCACCCTGGAATAGGATCCCTAGTGACACATCCAGACTTTGTCATCAAACATGTTTCATGTGTGTGAGATGATTTTTATAGCTAATTGACATTTTCTGCAATCTGGAGAGAAACTCACCAGGAGAAAAAAAAATGTGTGCTTCAGGGGTCGGGGGAGTGGGTAGGTAGGAGAGGAAACTAAGAAAAATAAGAGGGCAAGGGTACAAAGGGAACAGGAGAACCAGAGGCCAAGACAGACACCAGATTATTATTTGAACGCTGTCACTCTGCTAAATGAAACCTGAGACTCTAGGGTCTTTGAAAAGTATATGTGAAGAAATGAGAAACCTTTGCCAATAAACCAAGTAAAAATAAGCAGCTACAACAGTGTAGCCCATTGTTTGGAACCTTCTTTAGTCTACTTACTAAATTTAAACATGACAGCCAGTTTTATAAATTTTTTCCACTGCTTTTTTATTTCTGTTTTTTAATGCAGGTTGAAATTGGAACTTTCTCTGTTCCTTTTCTCCACCTTCCAAATAAGTCCTAATAACAGATTTCCTCAGACCCTACATCACCCACGATGCTTACACATGCCCAGCTATGTTTCTAAAGGTCTTTGGCCCACTTTTTGTTGTCTGATTATCTCTTTTTGACTTTATCTTGCCCTGTCATTACTTTCTTTACCTGAAGGAAGCTATATTTAAGCAGTTTGTCTAGAGGTACTTACATTTTCTGCAGTTAAATTAGACTGCTACGAACTCCAAAACTAAGGCTTCAGCATGACATTAGTTTGGTATAGTTTTAATTTTGACCTTCAAATCACTTTACTCAACTGTTTGTCTACCCATCTTGGACCAAGTGGTTGGCCCTGTCAGCCCTGCCCTGGCTGGCATGCTGGATTTCCTTACCACCTCTCCCCTGCCATAATCACTCTGTGACGTCATGCAGCATTAATGTTACTATTCATTAAGTGCCAAGCACTGGGCAAGGTGCCATTCCACAATAATGGACAAACTCCATAATCTCTTTTCTTCCCTCATGTACCCAGACTAAAGAGCATTCTCTAAGAGTTAAGAAAGTGTGTGAATGGTTTCCACCACAGATGCACACTGTACAGTGTAAGTTGGGCTCTTAAGTTTGTTTGGAAGTTAATTCTTTCATTCATACCTATCAATATTTGCTCAGCGTCTACCATGTGCCAAGCATAACTCTAGGCACTAGAAATGTGATGAATAAATGAATGAAGCAAATCCCTGCCATGATGAAGCTTACAATTTATGAAGAAGACAAAAATATATAACATGTCAAGTAATAAGCATTATGAAGGAAAGTAAAGCTGGGATTCATCTATATTTGCTCCGTGAAATATTCCCTTTGGGGGTTCTTCCCATCCTGTTCTCTTCCATCATCCCTGCAATCCTACATGCAGTTCCTTACATCTCTGTAGATTACATTTCCTTCAGTTTTACAGATAGAGACAGAAGGGGCAAGTCATCATTTATTCTCTTGACTCCTCTACATCTCAAAACATCTCTGTATCTTCACTCATTGTAGCAAGAAGAATGCTGTCAGTTGCAAGTAAAAGCAAACCCAACCCAAGCTGGCTGATATAATAATGGAAATTTATTGGCTTATATCATTGAAAATTCTAGAGGCAGTCAGGCTTTGGGCACATGGCAAAAGTTCCAGTTCTTTTTATTTTCTCCATTCTGCCCTTTTCTCTGTGTAAGTGCCGTCCTCAAGCTAGCTTCCCTTGATTGAAAGCTAGCTGCCAGCAACATGCTCACATCCTGGGAGTGAAAGCGTGTCCCTTTTATAGCATCATAGAAAATCCTGAACACCACTCTAGCTGAACCACCACTGAGACAATCACCAAGAAATGCCATGGGTTGACTGGATTGAGTCTGAACCTATCAATGGAGCAAGGGAGATGGGAACCAAACTCCAACCAAAGGTGGGGTCAATTCCACCAACCTGCATGGCTGCAACATGGTAGCATAAATAATAAGGAGATCACCATGATGTCCCCTTTACTTATTTTTTTCTCCATATCATAATCCTGGAGAAGCAGAAACCCTCCTCCTTGCTAAGACAATTCTTCTCCCCCACATTTGTTCCTACCTGTATTCTGGGAACTTGCTTTCCTCTCTTTTGGATGTTCTTGCCTTCTGACTGTTTTTCCCTCTGTCTACAAAGACACTTATGGTTTACCCTTATTCTGTGAAATCTTGCCACAAAACTGGTCTTTCTCAAGTCATTCTCTCTCTATTGTCGATTACCAAATATTGTGAAAAAGAAATCTGCACTCTAGTTTCCCTTTCTAATAACCAGTATAGGTCCAGATTTTGTGGAGCTGCATGGGGTGGCATGGTTAAAAGAATATAAAACTATGAAAACAGTATTAAGTTGTAAACGAATATTTAATTTAGAAAGGAAATCACAGTAATTTATAAATTTTAAAAAACTGACAATATCAAACATTCCAAAAGAATACAATATTTTATAACTGCCTGACCCACCTCTATAATATTATCTTACCAATTTTTTGACTGCATAACATTTGACCATATCTTATGACAATGATTTTTATAATCTTGTTTTCCATAGAGAGAATACTTATAAAGCTAAATCTGTCATCCTATAGCATTTTTGGTCAATATTTGTTTACCATTGATAGTTGGGAAAATTTCTTTCCATTTTATAATTCTTAATACGAAAGTCATGTAAATTTTAAGATCATCAAATTTGAGAAAGACTCTATCAAGTTTCTTTCATATATGAGCAATTAAATATCAGGGAAATTCAAATTTTCTTCTACAAGAAATAATTTCAAATCATCTTTAAACTGACTACACATTTTAATCTGTTCATTGTTGATGCCTGTTGTGATACCATGAGTTCTACATCCTCTTCTTTGTTCTATATCCTCTTCTTTGGTGACAGTATATTGTGTCAAGTCAGCAATACTTTTAAATCTTACTGGAATATGTTTGTATGAAGCATTATCTCTTCATTAATTAGATTATCAACTAACCCAAGGGAGTGCATTTATTACTTGCATTCAAAATTTATCTCTTCACATTGATAAACTATTGTATTTGTTATGATCTGAACACTTTTTTGTTAGAATTCACTTCTCAATCTTAAAATAATTTTTCTTAGTTTCAATGCCCACCTTTATCACTTTTTTTCATAGTCTATTAATTTTTGTCTTCACATTCTCTTCTTTAAGAAGTAAACTTAAACATGACAAAAGAGGGTCCACTTTACAAATGTCCTAACCAAGAGCCTATAAATTTTCACCTATTTCATTGAAACATTCTTTTTCCAAAATACAGCTAAAATTTGAGCTTTATGAACTTTTTCAACGACTTTTACAACTATTTTGCCCTATGGTTTCTTTTGAAAGTCTCTGAACATGTTTTTAAATTCCATTATACCCAGCTTGAAAGGCTGGGAACAGCATATTGTTATACCTAGAAATCTAACTCAGCTCAAGTTGAAGCTATGTAATCTATGGGACACACCAGAAAACATGGAGCTATTGCAAGATATCAGAATAGTAAACCTTAAAAAAACAATTCAGGAGCTATGGGCCAGCCTTTTCTTCAATAGGATTAAGAAAATGTGTTGCACACAACACACAGCCCATCAATGCATGATGTTTTTAAAGTGTGCTTCTGCACTTCTGCTTTCGTCCTTGCTGTTCATTACAGCTCTATTGTCATTGGATGGGTGTCATGACTGGTTACGACTGTCCAGAACTTGCTCCATTTTGTCGGATAAAGTAACAGGTAGTTTTCAATTGGTGAAAAAAGTTATTCAGTTTGGTTTCTAGAAATTTGTGTTATAATCTGGTATAGAAACTATGTTAATGGTATGGTATTTGATGTCTGCTTTATCTATTTTGCTTCCTTTATTTTATATAGATTTTCTCTCATTTATCAATTAATTCTTCAAAAATGTTTTGGATACATGCCACTTTTTTTCTTTTGAAATTTTTCCAAGTTGTCAAGGGAAAAAAGTCACACTGAATAATTAGTTTGATGATATCCATAACCTTTCCTTGATTTAAAGAATGCCACTTTTCATCATATCTGCTGAAGGAGAAACCTCTTTCCATTTAATTTTTAATAATCATAACTACTCATTTTAGTTCCTCAAAATAATGAGTGTTTGTTCTTGTCTACATCTTCAGACATTGTTCTAGTGCATTTTTATCTAGTTTTTGTAAAATTCAAGTAAATATAACCTTCTTGTATTCTTATGAGTAGAATTTCATGACTTTTCAGATTTCTCAATGTAGTTACCCAATTTGAAACCCAAGTGACCTAAGTGATATCTATCTTGTTGAAAATAGCTTACAAACAAAACATATGCATCCTTAGTTTTGGAATAAGTGAGCTAAGATCTATTCAAAATTTGACTTTACTTTTCTTTTCAAAATGTCCAGTTGAGCAACTTGTCTTTTGTCCCTTGTATGTTTTGCTTGATTCACTGAAAATTCTTTAGGGATCACAATTTTGAAAAAGCAAGCTGTCTTTTATTAAATAGTATTGCATGAAATTATTGCTTAATATACCAAGAAAAGGTGAAAAATTGCAAGACCTATTAAAATGAATTCATCAATATGACGCTGATGCTGATCTTTGGGTATGCTCTGTTGACCATACAAATTGTGTTCTTCACTATTCTTTTCTTCTTCCCAATGCTGTGTTATTTCCTCTTTCAAAGTATCCTGATTCTCAAAATCTTTAGTTTATCTTCTGATAAATTTTTATTATCTATATTTTTAACTCATTACTTCCTTATTGTTATGATTCAACCATCACTATATTTAGTTTTGATATTTTGAAGCTTCTGAGTTTCTTTCTTTCAGTGTGCTTTTTTGACTTCTACTAGGATATTTCTTTCTTATCATACTTGAATTTTGGAATAGTCATTTTTCTGAAACAATTCTACGAAATAAATCTGAAATTAAGGGATATATAAAAGCAATTCAAATAAATGCTTACATTGCTGCTACATTGAATCGTGCTACATAATTGTGTAACCAAATTATTTTTCCACTATCTACTTTAATTAATGTGTATCATACACTTTTGTCAGGTATATGCTGAATCTTTTAATACATCTCTTCAGTGGCAATTGCCAAGGAACAGTTGTAGTAATCATAACTCAAGAACAACAAAGTAATCAAGGGTTTAGATGACTTTAGGATGAGGACTTAGATCACCCATCAAGAAAACAAGCCTGATCAGCTACAGTCTGGGACAAATATAAGGGAAATCTAAACTGAATAGTAGAGGAGAAAAATGAAAACTATTAATTGTGTCCTTGAGACAAGCTTCACTAGCAAAAACTATAGTTTGTTTCTTTAATCATCTTTTTTTATTTTTTATTTTTTTGAGAAAGTCTTACTATATATTGCCCAGACTGGTCTCAAACTGCTTTTTAATCAACTTTTTTTATTTTTCATTTTTTTGAGAAAGTCTTACTATATGTTGCCCAGACTGGTCTCAAACTCCTGGAATCAAGCCATCCTTGCTTTGCTTTATCCCAGGAGTTAAAATTTTAAGTTTTCACTCAACCTTTTGAGTAGCTGGGATTAGAGGTATATGCCACCAAACCCAGCTCACTAATCATCTTGACTCAGGATTTTTAGAGGATGGCAGCTGGCTTTGCTTTGAAGAAGACTGAAATTTTACCTCTCCTTATAATAACAAATAAAGGTATCTTTTTCTCTCAAAATGAAGGCCCTATACTATCATATAGGAACTAAATATCATGGGAGAGCACATGTACACCTGTATCAGAAGGATTTATGTACAACCTCTGATAAATCCAGTTTCCAGGAACTTGCTACTTGCTCAGTTAAGTTTCTTGTATATTCAATAAGTTCCCTTACCAAAAATGAACAGAATTAATTTTTTAATTCTTTTTTAAATTTCTTTTTTTTGGAGCAGAGTCTCACTCTGTCGCCCAGCACGTGTATTCTGTTTAAGAAACATTTATTTGGAAGGAATAAAGAAAAAAAATAGCTTTATTGAGGTATAATTGACATGTAATACACAGTGAATATCTAATGTGTACAATTTGATAAGGATTTTGTTTTTGTTTTTGTTTTGAGATGGAGTCTCACTCTGTTGCCCAGGCTGGAGTGCACAGGCATGATACTGGCTCACTGCAACCTCCACCTCCTGGGTTCAAGCAATTCTCCTGTCTCAGCCTCCCAAGTAGCTGGGATTACAAGTGCGTACCACCACACCCAGCTAATTTTTATATTTTCAGTAATCCCACTCCCCGAGATCACACCACTCCCAGCCTTAAATTTCAACTTACATTTTAGATACAGCAAGTACATGGGCAGGTTTGTTACATGAGAATATTGTGTGATGCTGAGAGGTATAAATCCCACCACCCAGGCATGAGCCTCGTACCCAATAGGTAGTTTACTTTTTTTTTTTTTTTTTTTTTTTTTTTGAGAAAAGTCTCACTCTGGTTGCCCAGGCTGGAGTGCAGTGGCACGATTTCAGCTCACTGCAACCTTTACCTCCCAGGTTCAAGTGATTCTCATGCCTCAGCCTCCCGAGTAGCTAGGATTATAGGCACCCGCCACCACACTCGGCTAATTTTTGTATTTTTAGTAGAGACAGGGTTTCACCATGTTGGCCAGGCTGGTTTCAAACTCCTGACCTCAGGTGATCCACCCACCTTGGCCTCCCAAAGTGCTGGGATTACAGGCATGAGCCAACGTGCCCAGCCCCAATAGGTAGTTTTCAACCCATACCTCTCTCTGTTTCTCGCCACTGTAGTAGTTCACAGTGACTATTATTCCCATATTTAAAGTTACTCTTTTTAATAGACACTTGCCACATATCTTTCACATGATATAACAATATTCAAGGAATTAGAACATAATAAAGTGACATACTTCTCATACCCCTCTCATAACAATTCAATCATTGTTCATTATTATGAAGCCATTTGGAGATGTTGTATTGGCTCCAGTCATCACTGTGACCATCAACTATCAAGGTGTTGGCAAAGTATAGGAGTGACAACTAATAGTGACTTATAGCAACTGAATGCTGGATGTCAGAAGTTTTTATGAGTAAGTTTTTCCCTTTTTATTTCAAGAAAACAGAGCGAGAAACCCTATGATACATAGTCCTTCAAAATGAAGCTGATGTCTTCCCCAGAACAAAGAATATTCTCAAACAATATGTCCCACTAGGGTCCAATGCAGTAGAGAAAAAGGCACCAGTACACGCAAAACGTAGCAGATTTGTTCCCATGCAGTTACTTGCTACTAGGCAAGTACAAAATCAGTATCACTTTTCCAGTTCCCTATCATTACTAAAAGAACATTTATCTTTTGTATCTTTGTGAGGTTTTGCTATAACCTTCCTCTGTGGCTACTTTCCAGTTCTCTTAATACTTTTAATTCACATAATTGAATTATATATTCTCCTGTAAAATTTTACCTGGAATTCAGGAGGTATATGGTAATTACTTTCAATGATTCATTCCTCAGCATTTTTTCGTTATTTTACTTAACCTATGCTTCAAAACTAAATGTTAAAATTACTTTTTAGTTTCAATCTACTTGAAACACTGCATTATCCTTTCATTTTTTTCCTGTCTTAAAGAGAACAGGCAGTCGGTCACAGTGGCTTATGCCTGTAATTCCAGCACTTTAGGAGGCCAAAATGGGAGGATTGCTTGAATCCAGGAGTTCTAGACCAGCCTGGGTGACACAGTGGGACCAAGTTGCTACAAAACAATTTTAAAAATAGCTGGGTGTTGTAGAACACACCTATAGTCCCAGCTACTTGGGAATGCTGAGGTGTGAGTATTGCTTGAACCCAGGAGGATAAGGCTGCAGTGAGTCATAATTGCATGACTGCACTCCAGCTTGGGTGACAGAATGAAACCCCATCTAAAAAAAAAAAAAAGAAAAAAAAGAATAGTCCTTTCCAAACTAGGATAAATTGTAATCTTTCTGCATGGCAGCTTCTGTACAACATAGTCATCCATATCTAATAATCATTTTAATCAGAAGCCACTGGTGATATTCTCCCAGCCAAGCTTTATGATCTCCACAGTCCCTTAGATCTACTTCCTATGGCTATTCCCCAGCAAGAAGGCCCATCACTTGTCTGGTAATCTTCTCTCTGTCCCAAATCAGTCATAATTCTCACCTCAGGGTAAACTGACAGACCCCTAAGAAGACAAATTGGCCGTCAGAAGTAGAATCTAGAGCTCCCATCAAGACAATGACCCTGATAAATTCCTGCAGGGGTAGTTTTAAATGTCCGTCATTTAAATTAATACAAATATCGCAGTAAAGATTTGCTTTGGGAGAGGCTATCAAAGGCAAAATAAGAATAACTGGTTTGAAAGGAGGAGTTGGGTGTGTTTGTCTGTTTGAGCACCCAAATCCCCCTTGTGTAGCCCTTGCAGAAAAGCCGTATCACTTATGTGAAGCAGTCAACACATATGTTTTCCCTTCCTTTTTTTTTTTTTTTTTTTTTTTTGAGACAGAGTCTTGCTCTGTTGCCCAGGCTGGAGTGCAGTGGCATGACCTCTGCTCACCACAACCTCCGCCTCCCGGGTTCAAGCCATTCTCCTGCCTCAGCCTCCCTAGTAGCTGGGATTACAGGTGCATGCCACCACACCCGGCTAAGTTTTGTATTTTGAGTAGAGGCTGGGTTTCACCGTTTTGGCCAGGCTGGTCTTGCACTCCTGACCTCGTGACCCACCCACCTTGGCCTCCCAAGGTGCTGGGATTACAGGCGTGAGCCACTGCGCCCAGCTGCTTCCATCTTAATACAAACATTCACAGGAGAGGATTTATTGACTCTTATTTAAAACTTAGACTAAAAGTGTCACTGTTACCTTTCTTATATTTTTTTCTTCAAATAAAACACACCTCCATTTAAAAGTAAGAGCTTTCTTCCTACTAAAGGTATTAGGAATATCCAGAAGTAAGTGAGAGGAATAAAGTGAGTGATTATGTGTTGCTTATCTCGATCTTCAATGCAGGCATGGAGGGCCTGTCTAACACAGTCACTTTGGCTCCCTCGATTTGGTGTCTTCGGCAGAGTGTCTCAAAGTCTGACAATGTTTGGTTTCCATCCCAACCATGGGAGAAGCACCCTAAAATTGATGTGCTTTTCTTCTTACCTTAGATCTACAGGCCTTCTCTGGTTCCTATGCTTTTTAATGTCCTTCAGTTCTGAGTCCGCAGTTGGCCAATAAATTTCACTTTTTACTATTTGCCAGAGACTGTTCTTATTGCAACTAAAGAAGCTAAACTTATAAAAGAAGGAAATTTGGATGCAGAATAGTCCTTACTAGTTGCCTAAAATCACTCTAATATAGCAGTTAAGAAAAAATTATTTAGGCAGATAGTGAGGGTAAGGAAGTCCTCAGTAAGAGTTTCCTTTTAATGAAAAGCAGCTCCAAAACCATTTTCTTTTTTAACAAAGAGCAGCCTGTAAAATTGAGCTGCAAACATAGATAAGCAAGCTAGAAGCCTGCACGGATCAATGCTGGCACCTGTGCCAATACAAAAAGTCATGTGCAAAATGGCAGCTCCATATTCCCTTCTCTTTGCCAAACCACGTGTACTGCAAGGAAAAGACAACACGGCACTAGCCAGGCAAAGACCCCATTGCATAATAAGATTAGGTTGGGGCAACCAGCTTCCTCCAGTGCTATGTAAACATCACAACTCATCCAACCAATCTGGGGCCCTATGTAAATCAGACACCACCTCTTCAAGCCTGTCTATAAAATCCAATGCACTCCACCATGGGCCAGAAGTCCCATTCTGGTGCCTCCCCTCTCTCTCAAGACAGAAAGCTGTTCTCCTTTCTCTTTCTTTTGCCTGTTAAATCTGTGTTCCTAAATCCACTTCTTGTGTCTGTGTCCTTGATGCCCTTGGTGTGAGATGATGAACCCTGGGTATTTACCCCAGACAACAATACCACTTCAACTCCATGTTGGCAAGTGCCTGTACCATCTTTGCAGCAGGCTGTCTTAACTTCAAATTTTGGAGAAAGAACAAGCATGAATCATGTATTTCATTTCCAGTTAAAAATTAACTCCCTTGCTCATAGCCTGAATTCTCCTTGGTGTTAATTTTTTCTAGCCTATGACCCTAACAAGATGGACACTGAACTACATGAAGTTAATTAGAATTTTTTTCATTTTAATTGGATTGAGAATTAGTTCATTAGAAAAATCACTGACTCTTCATGGTTATATCCCAAATGTCCAACAGTAACATTAATAAAATATTTTAAGAGGAGCAGTGACCAGAAGAAGTCAAACAGGAATCACAACTATCATGTGAAAAAGCTGAAGAAATCTGTTTGTTTATATGTTTGATTGTTTTAAGCAAAAGAAAATTTAAGAATCCATAATGGGTTATCTTCAAATATGTAAAATGTTATCAGCTAGAAGGGTCAAAACTTTGAGTAAAAGGTAAATATTATAAGATGCCATATTTAGTTCAGTGTGAGAAATGCTTTTCAACTACAATTTTCTTAAAAGAGAACTAGCCACAGAGCAAGGCAAAAAGTTTTCTATCCCTGGAAACATTTAAGAGGCATAAGAGACATTTGTAAGGAAAGCTAGAGAATTCAGCTATTTCTATGTGCCTCAAACTAAAATTTCAGTTGCTCTGTTTCACATTCACAAAATAATGCTATCTAATAGCTATTAAAACTAAAATATATTTCATGCAGGATAATCACATATAAAAAGCAACAAAGGAACTCCTCCTGAAAATTACCCCCAAATGTTGTATACTTTAGCTTTTGATTTCCTTTCTAGAACTGTACTGCTTGGATTCATGCCTTGCATGTTAAATATAATTTATTTTTCACGTATGATTTACAAAATAAACTGCCATTTTTGAACAGGAAAAAAAAAAGTCATCTAGGACAAACCATAGCAGATGCACTTACTTATACTTTGAGTTGGCAAATCCAAATGGCCTCATCTCAAAGAAACAGGAACAGTTTATTGGCTGAAGTTTTCTTATTAATCTGAACCAAATTTTTCTACCATCATGTCCATTATGGAAGATTTTGGTTCTTCATTTACAGTATTTAGGAAGGGTGGTAAGCGATGATTTATGCAGTGGTTGATAAAGTAATAATATGATTTTCTGCATTTCATGGGCAGTAAAAGAACAGTTTAAAAAATTGTTTTATAACAGCAGTTTAATTTGTTACGGTATTGTAGTATTTTTCTAACCATGCCTCCAAAGGCCCTGGATGTGATCTATGCATAGCATTGATGCTAACTCTATAGAGCACAAAACTACAGCAAAGGAGATGGATTGGCAGCAGCAAACAGCCAGAATTAATGGTATTTTTCAGTCCTAATTATTCTCACTCCTTGCCTCTTTCCACCAATTTTGACTTTTTTTAACACCCATTTATTATAAAGGATTTGACAAAGGATACAGATGAAGAGATGCATACAGTGAGGTATGTGGGGAGGTGCATGGAGTTTACCTGCCCTCCCTGGGCACACCACCCTCCAGGAACCTCAATGTGTTCAGCTATCTGGAATCCCTCGAACCCAGTCCTCTTGGGTTCTTACGGAAGCATTCCTTCCTCCAGAGTGACAGGTGGGACCCTCTCACCAGGTCTTAAGCCCCACTGATTAGAGTCTTGCCTTGGGGCAGGTGAAAGGAAGGCAAGAGAGAGATGCTGTTTCCTCAGGCCTGGCCCTGAGGCCTAACACACCTGACACAATAACAGAAGACTGTAACAAAGACTATGGGAGTTATAAGTCAGGAACTGTGGATGAAAACCAATACATTATCAGAACACCATAGGACAGCCCCTTCTTTCCAACCATGGATCCCTTACAGCATAAGAATATGCACAATTATTAACAATTAGTCCAGTCCATCATATTGTATGAATGTCTCCCAGGGCGAGACTACTCAGGCTTGCAGGCTTTCTTTCAATGTTACCAGGTTCCGAAAGCAGGCATAATCTCAACAAACATACAGCTTCACCCTTTCAGGCAGCAAGAATAATTGAGCTTTTGCTCCAAGACTCTTTTGAGTTGTTAATGTAATATTGAAGTTCCCTCAATTCATAACCCACTTATTCATTTCTTTACTCTCAGCTACTGTTTCTTCTTCTTCCCATTAATAACCAAACTTTTTTACCTTTGGAAGGGACATTAGAATCACCACTGTGCGGGTCTATATTGCAGGCAGCAATACCAGTCTAGCAAGTGGCTCCTCCTCAGTCCACCCAATTCAGATAGGGAAAGGTTACATAGTGAGCTCTTTTTACCACCAGACAACATAGCTGTATTCACTGTTAGCCCCAGTTCTGCTAGATGGGGTAAAGACACAACCCATCCCCATCAGGCCCTTAGGAATTCCAACATAAGGTTTAAAACAGTTACAGTTTATTGCTTAGAAATTTTCCCTGCTGCCAGCACTTAAAATTGCAGCCCTGGTCCTAGGACTACTGTATCAGGTAGAGGAGAAAGGGGGAAAAAATGGGGAGAAGAAAGAAAAAAATGTATAGTTTTTATACCAGTGCACTACTCCCTTGGTAAGAATTCCATAGTCATACTAGCAACCTCCCCACTCCCTCCTCCCCAGATCAACCAGAAAATCAGAAAAATCTAGTGGGACACTAGCCCTACTGATGTTGAGGGTGAGCACACACTTGCGAAGGTGTAAGCCAGACCTTCATGCTTTCATCGCCCCCTCGTTTAGGTGACCAGTGTTTCAATTTCCTGTTCTGTTTCTCTATCAAACTACTACTCTAAGGAGGACCTCTCTGTGCCCCTTGTTGGACATTATGGGCTGTACAGTGTGTTCCCTGCTCTGAGGAAAGGATGGTCATCCATCTAAGTTCATGCAATATCTTCTGTTCTCGTTTTTTTGTTTGTTTGTTTGTTTGCTTTTTATGGCGTTTGGCATTTTCATCTTCCACCAAGTAAGCAAAGCCCAGTCCAGAATCAGTGCCTATTCCTGTCAAGACTCAAGTTGTTCTCCCCCAGGGCTACCAGCATCAGTCTCACTTGCCAGCTGTGTTCAGAGCCTTCCCAGCAGGAAGCTGCCTCATAGCCATGGGTAGTCTCTGTCTCTCTTACTGACAAACAGAACAGTCTTTATTGGCATTTTGTGCCTGAGAGGGTACAAAAGGAACATGTCTGTACTCAGCCCATGCCTGTACTGCTGCAGTACCCCCACACCCTCCCATTTCATGGACCCAGGTGGACACCTCGAGGAAGCACATCGGCATATCTGCTTGCAATTTTCACATTTTTATAACTAAAAATACTCTCAAAATTGACTCACCATTAAGAAAATACCCTTGATATAATACCTACACGTATCAAATACATGTCTTATTATGCACGGATTGTCAAACTTTACAAAGGAATAAATTGAACTAAACCCATTACAAATATGCCAGAAAAATTTGTGTCCATGTTGCCTCCATGAAGTGTCATATCCACAAATGATTTAGGGAATTTAACTCATTAACTTAAATAATTAGAAATTAATTGACATGGGGCGATGAAGGTAACCAAAGAATGCCATGTCATCCTAACTTATATCAAGGCAATGCAGAATCAATTTTCAGTGTTCCAGCAGTATGATACCAACCAGTAATTTAACTATTATTTATAAAATTAAACATAGAGACCAACATACAGATGTCAATCATTTGCCTTTATGTGGACTGCTTACTTAAGTTACCTGCTCACTTGAAAATATACAAGATGTATGTTTAGTAAGAAATCCTTCACTAACTAACTTATCCTTAAGTTTTTAAAAATATGTCTATTGTTATAATGTCCATATGCCTTTAAAACAATTATTTTCAAATAACTTGACGAAGAATCAGATGACAAAGTTAGTAATTTAGCCTACCGAGTTATTCATTACCCTTCAAGATTAACAAATTCTGAATACACAGAAGAAAACAGGAAGAAAAAAGGAATTCTCTATTGCATTGTAAATAAATGACATAGACTTATTCTCTTCTTCCAGATTTAAAACTCACAGCCCAAATAGTCTTGACAGAGAAAGAACGTAAGGAAGAAATTGAGCAGACCTTGCTAAGACTATTAGAAATCCAAGCAGGCACCCTGCAACCTGTCCTAAACCAAAAATAAACAGGGCGCATTCTCTGTCAGACTGCCTCTGGCATGCCATGTTCAGCGTTCTTTTTTTTTTTTTTTTTTTTTTTTTTGAGACAGAGTCTCACTCTGTCGCCCAGGCTGGAGTGCAGTGATGCGATCTCGGCTCACTGCAAACTCCGCCTCCCGGGTTCACACCAGTCTCCCGCCTCAGTCTCCCGAGTAGCTGGGACTACAGGTGCCTGCCACCACGCCTGGCTAATTTTTTTTTTTTTTTTTTGTATTTTTAGTAGAGACAGGGTTTCACTGTGTTAGCCAAGATGGTCTCGATCTCCTGACCTCGTGATCCGCCTACCTCAGCCTCCCAAAGTGCTGGGATTACAGGCGTGAACCACTGCGCCCAGCCCCCAGTGTTCAATTCTTAAATGTTGTTCAGCATTTAAGGACATCAACAAATAGGAATATATTCGCAGGTAAGTGGTCAGGTGGAAAGTCATGTGAAGCTATGTCAAGAGGAACAGTTGAAGGAAGTAAGACTTTAGTTTGGAGTAAGAAGAATCAGCAGAACAGGGAGGAGTCATGATAAGTGTTTTCAATGCTGGAGGCTTTTCATGAGTAAGAAGGTTTAGAGTTTTTAGTACGTTAAGAAGCTACAGGAATACAAAATTATCCCAATAAGAGAAAAACATTTTAAAATTCAAAGATGTTTAAAAATTACACTGTCTACCACTGAGACTATTAAACCACTTTCGCCGGAACTATTTGTGTAAGCTAGATAATTACTTGCCAGAGATGTTACAGCAGGAATTCAAGGAACAGTTGATGGATACCTGAGCTGTATGAGTTTCACAGTACTTTTTAAATATTAAGATTCTGAATTCTAAAATAGAAATGCTATACTCTCAGAGGTTTCACCATCTTCCTAAAAAGGGATCCTCATTATTCCGTTAGAGAATCTGTTATAAGTACAGTAGAAAATAGGACTTAGAGTCAGAAGTCACAGAAAATTGAAAGATAAAAGGGTGAAGATGTTTTATAGAGATCAGCACAAACAAAGAGAGAGAAACCAAAAAACCAAAAAATCACTTCCAAGTCTAAACTGGAATTAACAAAAGCTTTGAATGAAAGCATAAAGAATTAACATACCAAATCTCAAATGTAAATGTTGTATTTATAAAACACAACTGTGTGGTTGGCTAACTCAAGGATGCGTTAAAGTAGACATAACTAGACAGATAACAAAAGACAGTGTTATGAAAGCAGACCAAGAGTTTTTCCAAATTTCCTATCAAATGAGCCCTGGAAATTTTCTTTATTGTTTGAATTTTTTTACAATGAAAATAAACATTATAATAAATACAATAAGACCATTTTCATTAAAGAAACACATGGCAGTTTTAAAACATTCCTCCAAATTTCTTGATAATCCTCCCCTTCAAAGGTGTGTTTGATGTCCCCTCGCCTCAAATGCGGACTCTGTGGCTCATTGACCAGTAGAATACATCAGAAGTAATGGGGTGCCAGTTTCCACACCCAGGCTTTAACAAAATTGGCAGCTTCCACTTCCTGACTGTTGGGACACTTTCTCGGAACTCAGCCACCAATTCTATAAGGAAGTTGAAGTGCTCTACAAAGAGGCCCATATGGAAAGGAACTAAGGTACTTGGCCTTTGGCCCCAGCTGAGCTCCTTGCCAACAACCAAAGCCAGCACGGCGCCATGGAGTGAGTCATCTTGGAATTGCCCCTCCAGTCCCTTGTCAAGCCACCCAGCCGACACTCTGGAGAAAACATGAGCCTTTCCCACTGCAGGATTAAGGGCTAAATAATAGTTGTTTTTTAAGCAACTAAGTTTTGGGATAGGTTATTATGCAACAACAGATAACCAGAATCAAAACTAAAACTGGCACTGGCCCACATGCATCTTACTTAGAAATTTCCTCTCCTTAATCATCTATTGCTCTCTGCTACTTAGACCACTGATTTTGCAAGTCTTGTATCTTTGTCTATTGGACCTCTTTTCCTGGACTTTACTGATACAGAGTATACTATAAGGCATATTTTCAAAAGATATAAATGAATTTGTTATAACTTTGATTTGAACATTTTATAGCACTCTGAGATCATTATAGATATTGAAGAATTAATCACAAAATGAATACAGGAATCATCATATCTAGGAGCCAGGGGAGTTATGGGGCAGTGAATTTATCTCCTCACACAAAGTCATCCAGAGTTTTTCTTGCTCTATACCAGAAGAATATTTGAACTACAAAAGATTTTAGATAGAGATAGATAGATAGATAGACAGACAGACAGACAGACAGACAGACAGATCGATCGATCAATCGATCATTTGGTCCATTCCATGATATTTAAAAATATATATCAAACAATAAATGAGCCACAGAGATGGGTCTCTAATTTAGGTATCATGACTCTCCTCTAAGTGTGTTTTCACAACACACAAATGCTTTTCAAAAAACAAACAAAATAAAAATATAAAGGTAAAATCTATAAAAGTTTATTTAGATCTACAATAACAGTCCCCAAGAATTTATGTATTTCCTATGGTTAATTGCTCTTGGCTAGGCACCATGAATGATTATATAGTCTCTGCTCCACAGAAGTTCATACCGTAAAGTACACATACCTTAAACAATTACAGAACTATGATGGGGAAGAGTGAGCCAAAGAAAGAGAAGGTACAGAAGATTGTCGGATGTGTCAAGGAAGTCTTCAAGTGCATGTATACTACATTAAGGAGATTGTGTCATTAAAGCTATGGGACTGCAGTGGGAAGCAGGCAGAATCCATAATGGATATACATTTGCTGGAACATTAAATAGAATATTCTAGAATGCCTTACTGAAGTATTCAAATTTGCTCCGACAAACAGGGAGTTTCTGTAGTGATTTAAAATTTTGCAGCCTCTTCTACCGCAATTGATTTCATGAAAATATCACCCTTTAACAAATCTAAGCTTTTTGAGCATGCTGTTCCCTCTACATGGAATAATCTTTCTACATTTTTTGCCCTCTTAAACTCCTACTCATCCTTTAAGATTCAGCTCAAAGGACTGTAAAAGCTCCTCAATAAAGGCTTCCTTAACCCTAGGTTCTATATATTTTTCTAGAAACTCTTTTCCCCAATACTTGTATAGCATTCACCAGGTTATATGGTATAATTCATTTACTTACTGCTCCCTTCTTACTCTCTGATGTATGAATTCTTTAAGGTAATGCTTCCTTTCTTACTCTCACCACAATGTCTGACACATGTCAGATGCATAGTAAATGCTTGTAGAATGAATGAATCAATAAATTAAAATGTATGATTAATACAAGTGAGATTATATTATACATGTGAAATTTCTATTATACTCAGAATTGACAGAAAAATGTATGCAACATGTGAGAGGAAATTAATCCAATAAAACTACCCTCAAGCCACTCAAAATGCTAAATAATTACAATCAAAATGCTAAATAATTACAATCAAAATGCTAAATAATTTTATCCTTCTTCAATGAAACTTTATTACTCCTTATGATCTTGGCATTTGTCAAAAATGTCATAAAATATGCAATAAAATTATCATAGTATTATTTCTCCCACAGGCACAAAATCCCCTCAACCCAAACACTCGAAAAAGTATTGATATGCTTTGGCTGTGTCCCCACTTAAATCTCATCTTGAATTGTGTTTCCCATAATCCCCACATGTGGTAGGAGGGACCTGGTGGGAGGTAATTTAATCGTGGGGGTGGTTACCCCCATACTGCTGTTCTTGTGATAGTTAGTGAGTTCTCCTGAGATCTGATGATTTTATAAGGGGCTTTTCCCTCTTTGCTCGACACTTCTCCTTCCTGCCGTCATCTGAAGAAGGATGTGTTTGCTTTTCCTTCTGCCATGATTGTAAGTTTCCTGAGGCCTCCCAAGCCATGCAGAACTATAAGTCAATTAAACCTCTTTCCTTTATAAATTACCCAGTCTTGGGCAGTTCTTTATAGCAGCATGAGAGCAGACTAATACAGGTATGGAAATTAGCATTTTAGAATAATATCTAGGTATATTTAGTGAAAGTTGAATACTTTTCATTATGTCTTGCTGTAAAGAGGTAAATTACAGTTATTAGTGTCAGCACCATGCCACATCTTTATAATCTACTTCCATTCTAATGCCAAATGTAAGGAAGACAGCTCAAGAATCCATGGACCCACAAGCCACATTCAGCTTCAAACACGTCAGACCATAGGGACTCATTCAGAAATCATAAGCAATGCTGAGTCAAGAAATGAAAGTAAAGAACTACTTTATATGACATTTAACCAGAACAAGGGAAAAGTCTTGAAGCTACCCACATAAAATATCTGAGACAGAATTTCAACCTATGGTGGACTTCTGAAGACTTTTGTAAATTTGTATATAGATCTACAAGGATTGTCTTTGGTCAGTGTGTGTCTTCTATTAAACTCTATAGATCTCATTACAATAAAAAAAGAAAGGAAAAAGTCCAAATCCCACATTGTTAAGGGACAGAAAATTCTTCCAGAACAGTGCTTTTTGTGTTAAAAATATATCTATTATAAATAAGCATTCCTTTGAATTTGTATTTTGCAGTAAGTTTCCATAAAATGTGTGAGATAAGAATAGTTCTTTCATAAGCTAAATAGCAGGAAAATCTGACAGTGTACTAGTTCATCCTCACATTGCTACAGGGAACTACCCAAGACTAGGTAATTTATGAAGAAAAGAGGTTTAATTGACTCACGGTTCTATGGGCTGTAAGGAAGCATGGCTGAGAGGCCTCAGGAAACTTACAATCATGGTGGAAGGCAAAGTGGAAGCAGGCACATCTTCACATGGTGGAGCAGGCGAGAAAGAGTGAAGGGGGAAGTACCACACACTTTTAAACAGCCAAACTCACTATCAGAATAACAAAGGGGAAGTCACCCACATGATCCAATCACCTCCCATCAGGCCTTTCCTCCAGCACTGAGGATTACAATTCAACATGAGATTTGAGTGGGTACACAGAGCCAAGCCCTATCAAATAGTCCATTCATCTATTTACTCAATAGTTAAATACATCAGTATACGTTAGGCAATAAATATTGATTCAAACCTAATTTGTGCTTTATCCCTTATGAATGATCAATTATTATTCAATAGAGTAACATGATCTTATGATCTTGGCATTTGCCAAAAATTTCAAAATGTGAGTAAGTACTCAGGGAAAATGCACAAAAAGAACAACTAACCACCCAGAAATGGGAAAGCTCTAATGGAAATAATATTTCATCTTGAAGAATTTGAAGCCACTCAGACAGCAGAAATCATATGTGCCAAAAAATTGAAGTGCAACAGAGAGGAATCTACTCAACAAATAATAGTAACTCAGTATGGCTAAAGGCTAGGAATGAGGGAGAGGAGTGGCAGAAAAATGCTAGAAAGATAAGAAGCAGGGTTAAGGGTTGAGCTTAGGGATTTGCACACCACAAAGAAATTTAAATTTTATCCTCTGAGCAATAAAAACCCATGAAAATTTGGGGAATTCGGAGGGAGGGATAACATTATGAGATTTATATTACAGAAAAATACTCTGAAATTAGCATGAACAGTGGGTTGGAAGGAGTAAGGTTAGAAACAGGAAGGTCAGATAAGCCACTGTAGACAAAAATGATAAAAATATAACTAAGGCATAAGAAAAACACTAGGAACCAGACATTAGAGAGAATCCCAAGGTAGAATCAACAGAATTTGGTGATGTGGGGGTGAGGCAGAGAGGACTCTACAATAACTCCGGGAATTTCAACTTAAGGACTATATTAATGATGGTGACATTAATGGGGAATTCAAGAAATGGAGCTGGTTTAGGGGAGAAGAGATAACAGTGGGTTCAGTTTTACTTATGTTGGCTTTGATGTCAACTCTGGGCATCCAAAAAATAAGGGTCTGGAGCTCAGAATAAATGTATTGACTGTAATTACAGTCCAGATTTGGGAGCCAGCACAGAAATCAGGAAGTGAATGAAATTGTGTGCAGGGTGAGAAAGAAGCCATGGAAAATTGAGAAAGGCAGGCTAGAAAACCATGAGAAAAAAATGAGCAGTGTACTCGGGGCAAGGAACAATAAAGTTTCAAAAAGGAATTCTCTGCTGCAGGGTAATCTGGAAGTCTGAATGGAGAATTTATAGGGTAGGTTGACAAGAAATACACTTATGGGAGAAGTTGAGGGGCCTCCAGAGGGATAGGAATACCACATCATTAAAAGAGACCAGAGTCACAGAGTTTGATTTAAGAATAATGAATTGGTAATTTTCAACAGGGGTGCCAAGACAATTCAGTGAGGAAAGAGCAGTCTTTTCAACAAATCTTACATGGGCAACTGGATATATACATGCAAAATAATTAAGTTGAATCCCTCCCTTCCACCATACACAAAAATTAACTCAAAACGTGTCATAGACCTAAATGTAAGAGCTAAACTAATAGTCTTTATGACTCCACGTTAGGCAGAGCCTTCTGTTATAACATCAAAAGCACAAGCAACAAAAGACAAAGTAGATCTGTTGGACTTCATTAAAAATTTAAAATTTTTTGTGCTTAAAGGATTCTATCAAGAAAGTGGAAAGGCAACACACAGATGAGAGAAAATATTTGCAAATCTTATATCTGATAGGAGATTTATATCTAGATTATATAAAGAACTCTTACAAGTCAATAATAAAAAGATATATTCCATCTGAGAATCTGAGAATTAAGCAGATTCTGAATACACATTTCTCCAAAGGAGATATAGAAATGACCAACAAACACATGAAAAGATGCTCAACATCATTAGCCATCAGGGAAACGCACATCAAAACCACAATGAGATACCACTTCACACCCACTCAGATGGCTATGATAAAAATGACAGACAATAACAAGCGCTGATGAGGTGAGGATGCGTAGAAAGTGAAATCCTTATACATTGCTAGTGGAAATGTAAAATCATGCAGCCACTTTGTAAAACAATCTGGCAGTTCTTCATAATGTTATACCTAGAGTTGACCCAGCAATTCTACTCCTAGGTAAATACCCAAAGAAATTTAAAAACTGTTATCATTTATAAGTGGTAGCTAAATGATGAGAACACATGGACACATCAGGGAAAACACACACTGGGTCCTGTCGGAGGGTAGAGGGTGAGAGGAGGTACCGGATCAGGAAGAATAGCTAATGGATGCTGGGCTTAATACCTGGGTGATAAGATGATCTGTGCAGCAAACCACCATGGCACATGTTTACCTATGGACCAAATCTACACATCCTGCACGTGTACCCTTGAACTTAAAATAAAATCTGAATTCTTTTTAAATGCATACACACAAAAACTTGTACACAAGTGTTTATAGCAACATTTTTCATAATAACCAAAAAGTAAAAACAACTAAAACGTTCATTAAACTGTGAATGGATAAGTGAAACATGGCATATACACACAACGGAATGTTACTCAACAATAAAAAGGAATGACATACTGATACCTGCTGCAATATAGATGAAACTTGAAAACATTATTCTAAGTGAAAAAACCCAATCACAAAGAACACATACTGTATGATTCCATTTATATGAAATGCCCAAAACAGGAAAATCCACAGAGACAAAAAAAACAGATTAGTGGTTGCCTAAGGCTAGGAGTTGAGGAAAAATGGAACGTGATAGCTAATGAGTACAGGCTTTCATTTGGGGATGCTGAAATGTTCTCAACTTTATTGTGGTGATGAATGAATAACTCTGTGAATATATAAAAAGTCACTGAATGGTATGTTTTAAATAGGTGAAATGTATGGTATCTGAATTATATCTCGATAAACTGTTATTTTAAAAAACAAATAATGATTTAGGATCTTTCCCAGATTCAGCTCCAATGATGCATTCCCAGTTTCATAATTTTTATAAATATTTGAAAGCTTAAATAATTAAGAAACACCAATGTTAGTAATTTACATGGGGAACAAAAACAAGCTGCTAACAGCAACAGTTACCAGCATCAACAGTTACCCCAATGCCACTGATGTCCAACACTAGGGAACATCAGCAGACTGAAGGACAGGCCTCTTTGGTAAGCAGCAAGAGTGGTTATATCTTCCTCCAGTACCTGTGACACAAATTCCTGTTTCTGCGATGTAGCAGGAAAGGAGGAAAATGGCAGAAACCACAGGTAGCCAAGAATTGGTCAATGGAGCACACTGGAAGCACTTCTCCCAGAATGATTGTGATGGAATTATAGATGTTGTTGGATTCCTTAATAGTGGGTGGAACTACTAATTTGAGACTGTCACTCTAACATTATTTTAACCGTCACATCACTCTTAAGCCAAACTGCACTGGATCCACACAGCATACAGAGAGGGCAAGTAGGATGAGAATGAGAAGAGACACTTTAGATTCAGAAATTTCACCATTGCCCCCTCCCGCACCTAGGAAGAAATGGGTGTTTAATGTATTTTGCTCATGACTGCAGTATGCATGTATTTTTTCCTTCTCAGTGTTTTCTAAACTTGCACTAAAAGGATTCATTAAATCATCTTGTTCAGATGGCTCAGGTATTTCTGTTGCTTACCTTGTGCTGTTGGGTTCTACAGTATTTCTATAATAATGTTACAAGAATAGTGCTGCACTGTAATCTATCATATAGAACTACATGAGGGAAAAGTTTTGATCCATTTTTTTTCAAAAAATGTATCTTGTTTGCAAAGACACAATAAAGTTACATCTTATAGACTATAGGCAATAAAGCTAACAATAAACCTTATTTAACATATACACTCAAAAAAAAGGATTTGTTAACTACAGCAAGAGCACTTTTAAAAGAGTGGTGAGGACACAGCCACCAATTCTGTAGGATGAATATGGGGTAAGTGAGTAGAGGTAACAATTACAGACTGCTTTTCTCAGCAAGTTTGGCAGTACCCTCCTCACTACTGTTCAGTCCTCCTATCTAATCCTCATTTTCTTACTGACTTTACAGTAAAGAGGTTGCCAAGTGTTTGGAGTTTTGTCCCATTCTTTTTTTTTTACTACTATTAAAATCTTTATTTTTTAGAGTACTTTTAAGTTCACAGCAAAATTGAGAGGAAGGTACAGAGATATCCCATATACTCCCACCCTCACACATGCTGCCCCCATTATCAACATCCCCCACCAGAGTGGTACATTTGTTACAATCAGTGGACCTACATTGACACATCATTCTTATACAAAGTTTATGGTTTACATTGGGCCCACTCTTGGTGGTGTAGATTCTATGGGAAAAATGTATAATGGCATGCCATCCACCATTACATTATCATACAGAGTATTTTTGTTACTCTAAAAATCCTCTGTACTCCACTTATTTATCTATTACTGAAACACCAGGGGATTGATCTAGGTCCTGCTGCTTACCAAACAGAAGGCCAATGACTGAGACAATAATTATTGCAAAGGAAGAAGACATTAGTCAGTTGCTGTGGCAGAGGAGATGGGAAATGAGTATCAAATCTATCTCCCTGACCAACTAAACAAGGAGTTTATATGGCAGAGAAGAAATGTAACAATGTGTAAGAAAACAGGAACTAGGGAGGGCCAATGAAACAATCAAGATGAATGAGGGGTCCAGCATCTATCTCATTGTCTGGATGTGATGATCTGGTGAGTTTGAGTTCTGTAATCTTTTTAGAGGGTCCTGGGGGTTCTTTCTTGAAGAAGGAACTCAGATAAAACAGATGTAAGTTTCAAGCTTTAAGCCCAGAAGGGTCCATTTCTATGTTTAAAAAAAAAAAAAATGCACCGGGCGCAGTGGCTTACTCCTGTAATTCCAGAACTTTGGGAGGCCGAGGCAGGTGGGTCATCTGAGGTCAGGAGTTTGAGACCACCCTGGCCAACATGGCAAAACCCTGTCTCTACTAAAAATACAAAACTTAGCTGGGCGTGACGGCAGACGTCTGTAATCCCAGCTACTCAGGAGGCTGAGGCTGGAGAATCGCTTGAACCTGGGAGGCAGAGGTTGCAGTGAGCCAAGATTGCACCACTGAACTCTAGCCTGGGAGACAAGAGCAAAACTCTGTCTCGAAAAAAAAAAAAAAAAAAACTATCTATGGGATTATTGGATTGGTTTCATGTCCCTCACTTCCCCTAAATGCTGGCAACCACTGATCTTTCTTAATGTCACCATAGTTTTGCTTTTTCCAGAATGTCATATAATTGGAATTATATAATATGCAGCCTTTTCAGATTGGCTTCTTTCACTTAGTAATATGCATTTAAGTTTCCTTCATGTATTTTCAGAACTTTCTAGCTCTTTTTTTAACACTGAATAATACTCCATTGTCTAGATGTACAATATTTATTTATCCATTCACCTACTGGAGAACATCCTGGTCGCTTTCAAGTTTTGGCAATTATAAACAATGCTGCTACAAACGTCTGTGTTGACGTTTTATGTAGACATAAGTTTTCAATTCATTTGGGTAAATACCAAGAATGATAGCTGGATTATATCATAAGAGTATGTTTAGTTTTGTAAGACACTGCCAGACTGTCTTCCAAAGTGGCTGTACCATTTTGCAGTACTGAGAGGTGACAGCGTGCTGGCAGTCCTCAGAGTCCTCGCTTGCTCTCGGCACCTCCCCTGCCTAGGCTCCCACTTCGGTGGCATTTGAGGAGCCCTTCAGTCCCCCACTGCACTGTGGGAGCTCCTTTCTGGGCTGGCCAAGGCCGGAGCCCACTCCCTCAGCTTGCAGGGAGGTGTGGAGGGAGAGGCACGAGCAGGAACCGGTGCTGTGTGTGGCACTTGCGGGCCAGCTGGAGTTCCGGGTGGGCGTGGGCTTGGTGGGCCCTGCACTCGGAGCAGCCAGCCAGCCCTGCTGGCCCCGGGCAATGGGGGACTTAGCACCCAGGCCAGTGGCTGCGGAGAGTGTACTGAGTCCCCCAGCAGTGCTGGCCCACCGGCGCTGTGCTGGATTTCTCGCCGAGCCTTGGCTGCCTTCCCACGGGGCAGGGCTCGGGACCTGCAGCCCACCATGCCTGAGCCTCCCACCCACTCCATGGGCTCCTGTGCGGCCCGAGCCTCCCCGACAAGTGCCACCCCCTGCTCCACTGCAGGGGGTCCCAGTCCCATCGACCACCCAAGGGCTGAGGAATGAGAGCGCACAGCACAGGACTGGCAGGCAGCTCCACCTGCAGCCCTGGTGCGGGATCCACTAGGTGAAGCCATCTGGGCTCCTGAGTCTGGTGGGGACGTGGAGAGTCTTTATATCTAGCTCAGGGATTGTAAATACACCAATCAGCACCCTGTGTTTAGCTCAAGGTTTGTGAGTGCACCAATCGACACTCTGTATCTAGCTGCTCTGGTGAGGACGTGGAGAACCTTTATGTCTAGCTCAAGGATTGTAAATACACCAATCGGCCCTCTGTATCTAGCTCAAGGTTTGTAAACACACCAGTCAGCACCCTGTGTTTAGCTCAAGGTTTGTGAGTGCACCAATCGACACTCTGTATCTAGCTGCTCTGGTGAGGACGTGGAGAGTCTTTATGTCTAGCTCAGGGATTGTAAATACACCAATCGGCACTCTGTATCTAGCTCAAGGTTTGTAAACACACCAATCAGCACCCTGTGTTTAGCTCAAGGTTTGTGAGTGCACCAATCGACACTCTGTATCTAGCTGCTCTGGTGGGGCCTTGGAGAACCTTTATGTCTAGCTCAGGGATTGTAAATACACCAATCGGCACTCTGTGTCTAGCTCAAGGTTTGTAAACACACCAATCAGCACCCTGTGTTTAGCTCAAGGTTTGTGAATGCACCAATCGACACTCTGTATCTAGCTGTTCTGGTGGGGCCTTGGAGAACCTGTGTGTGGAAACTCTGTATCTAACTAATCTGATGGGGATGTGGAGAACCTTTGTATCTAGCTCAGGGATTGTAAACGCACCAATCAGCGCCCTGACAAAACAGACCACTCGGCTCTACCAATCAGCAGGATGTGGGTGGGGCCAGATAAGAGAATAAAAGCAGGCTGCCCGAGCCAGCACTGGCAACCCGCTCGGGTCCCCTTCCACACTGTGGAAGCTTTGTTCTTTCACTCTTTGCAATAAATCTTGCTACTGCTCACTCTTTGGGTCCACACTGCTTTTATGAGCTGTAACACTCACCGCGAAGATCTGCAGCTTCACTCCTGAGCCCAGCAAGACCACGAGCCCACCGGGAGGAACGAACAACTCCAGACGCGCTACCTTAAGAGCTGTAACACTCACCGCGAAGGTCTGCAGCTTCACTCCTAAGCCAGCGAGACCACGAACCCACCAGAAGGAAGAAACTCCGAACACATCTGAACATCAGAAGGGACAGACTCCAGACGCACCACCTTAAGAGCTGTAACACTCACTGCGAGGGTCCGCGGCTTCATTCTTGAAGTCAGTGAGACCAAGAACCCACCAATTCCGGACACAGTACCACCAGCAATGAATGATAGTTCCTGTTGCTCCACATCCTTGCCAGCATTTTTTGTTGTCAGTTTTCTGAATTTTGGCCATTCTAATAGGTTTGTGGCAGTATCTCATGGTTGTTCTAATTTGCATTTCCCTGATGACATATTACGTACAGCATCTTTTCATATGCTTGCTTATTTGCCATCTGTGTATCTTCTTCGGTGAGTTTTCAAAATCTTTGGCCCACTTTTTAATCGTGTTGCTTTTTGTTGCGTTTTTAGAGTTCTTTACATAATTTGGATAACAGTACTTTGTCAGATATGTCTTATGCAAATATTTTTCCCAGTCTGTAGTTTGTCTTTTCATTCTCTTTCACACAGCAGAAATATTTAATTTTGATGAAATCCAGTTTATCAGTTCTTTCTTTTATGGACTGTGCCTTTGTTGTCATATCTAAAAAGTCAACATCAAACCCAAGATCATCTGGATTTCCTCCTATGTTATCTTCCAGCAGTTTTATAGGTTTGCATTTTCTATTTACATCTATGATCCATTTTGAGTTAATTTTTGTAAAGGATATAAGGTCTGTGTTGAGATTCTTTTTTTTTCACACAGATGTCCATTTGTTTGTTCTAACACCATTTATTAAAAAGACTATACTTTTCTCCAGATGCCCACTGTTTTCATTTAAAATCTGTTCACATTATGACTAGAATTTTCAACCGTCATTCTAATTCCATTCAAAAACTGACACACTGTTACAGTCCTCAAAATTAATAGGCTAAATAACAAACAGGAATAAAGATAAATATTATTTTTAAGACAGACAAATCCTGTGTATTCAAACATTTTGCTTCTCTTTTACTTTCTTCAGTCCCATACTTATGTATATGTGTATAATACTCATGTATGTATCACTTCTCCACCTGTTTTGAAGAGCTTTCTACCTTTCTTAGCTCATATTTTTATTCCTTTTCACCATTCCTCTCTTCTATTTTCTACCCCAATGACAAGCATGGAATATAGTTGCCTTGATTGGCCAAGTTTTATAGATAATCAGTACAGAACTTTGCCTTATTTGGCATTATTCAATCTCTCGCTCTAATGAAAAGGACCCCTTAGCTTGAGAACTCTGCCTATATCTCTCCAGTCAGGATTAAGTAATATTCATTTTATCATAACTTCACTATTAGATAATTATTCCTCCCATAGGCAATTGTATCTAACAGTAAAGTTATGATAAAAGTAATGTGTACTATATAGAATGCTGATTTTCAAAATTCCTTTGACAAAGTTCTATACCAAAAGATACATTTATATTAATTTTGAGTAAAGGATGGTGAGGACTGATTGTCATGGATAGGGAACTAAATTAGAGACAAGTAACAGGAAGACCAAGGGTTACTTTTTATGCTTGGGATAAATACAGAGTAGAAAGTATAAACAGGCTCTGCAAGAATAAATCCTGGAATTAGTCTTATGTTATAAATGAACCCAAAAGAGTGTACACAAAGGAATTGCTATGATTTCAAATGATACTGAGATACTCTGAAACCTATAAGAATAAGAAGCCAAGTCAAAACGATTTTAAAGGATGGCACACTTTAAGGTAAAAGTTTTAGTCCCAGAAAAGAACACAGGAGCAAACCCAATATTTCTCTTTATAAAAAAGGACATCACCAGCATTTTCCTCCAGGGATTGTTTGTGCTTCTCATTGCTTTAACTAACAACAATATTTATAACAAGCTGGAAAAAACTATATTTAAATTAGGGTTCAGATCATTAAAAACAAAGAAGGAATAAATGGGCATCAGAGCCACAAATCAACATCTTACACATGCATAACCAAAAAAATCCACTGAGCAAAACAAAACAAGCCATCCTCATAAACACTGACTCACTAACCTAAGAAAACACAAACACTGGTAAGAAGGAAGACTGAAAATATGAATTCTCATTTTGTCCTTCCTCTCGCCTTAAAATAATTTGCATGGAAAGAATCAACAAAAGGCCCTCAATCAAAATAAAGTAGACTAAAAAGATGAGTAGTTTTCAAATGGTTAGTTCTATACCAGAGAACTCAATGAGGAATAATAAAAAAAATTAATAATGAATTTGGACATTTTCATGATTTGAGAGTTAGTCTGAGCAAGAGAATGGGAGTCATTATAAAAGCATTTTTGCTAAGAATTCAACTTTCTGCAGCAAGCTTGGTGGCCAAGTTTGGTGACATGGCATTAGTATCATAAAATTGTAGAGTACTTGGAAAGCAGTACATTACACTGGAGATCACTACACTGGTTTGGCAGGTCTGGATACTTTTATTAGGAAACATTTCCATTGCAACAGCAAATATGATATTAAAGAGACCAGATCCAATTTTCAGGATGTTTATGATCAATATATTGTATGACATTTCCTGTGACAGGAACTTGGGAGCCATGTCTCTGGGTGCAATGCGTATCCTGATATGTGAAATAAAGTATACAAACTGTTTCTGCAGGCTGAGTGCCTATCTGTATGCACAGCACCAGCTCTGTAGAGGTGTAAAACAGCAGTGTGGAAGGACAAAGCCAAAAGCTTACTAGGCCAAATGGTGGTGATAATCACATCAATTCCTCATATTTACTCACTAAATTTCTTCTTAAGGGTGGAAAAAAGAAAGGGAGAAGAGGCAATAAGATACTGGGTATGTCATGTAATCAATCTATTTTTTCAGAATATCCCTATATACATATACATACACATATTGTGTGTTTGTTTATGTGTGTGTGTGTATCTAGAGAGAGGAAGAGAAGGAGAGAGAGAGAAAATGCACGAAACAGGCATACCCAACAATTGTACATGAAATATCCATTTTCACATACACATGTCTGTTATGGCCAAGGAGAGATAGTGAGACACACACTATATGTCTGAAGGCCATCACTAAGTATGCTAGATGGCACATTGTGGAATAAAGATGACCTTATAAATCTAATTAATAACAAGTGAAAGTCCTAACATTGCTTAATTGATTTATTTGGTAATAGTAATTATAAAAGAAACCTTGGATATTATAATGGTTTATCATGGAGAAAACTAGTGGTCTAGGCAAATATTTTATGGCTAAGACCTCAAAAGCACAGGCAACAAAAACAAAAATAAACAAATGGGACTAAATTAAACTAAAACCTTCTGCACAGCAAAGGAAAACATCAACAGAGTGAAGAGCCAACCTGTAGAATGGGAAAAAAATATTTGAAAATTATTCATTCAACAAGGACCAATATCCGGAATATTCAAGGAACTCAACTCAATAGCAAATAAATAAATAAATAAAAATAATCCCATTAAAAAGTGAGCAAAGGATCTGAATAGATATTTCACAAAAGTGACATGCAAATGACCAACATCACTAATCATCAAATAAATGCAAATCAAAACCACAATGAGATATGGTCTCACACCAGCTAGAATGGCTATTATCAAAATGACAAAAAAAAAAAAACTAGCAAATGCTGGCAAAGATGCAGAGAAAAGAGAACACTTAAACACTGTTGGTGGGAATGTAAATTAATACATCCATTATGGAAAACAGTATGACAATTTCTCAAAAAAAATAAAGAGAACCACTATATGACTCAGGAATTCCACTACCAGGAATATACCCAAAGAAAATTAAATCAGTATATGAAAGGGATAGCTGCACCTGCATATTTATTACAGCACTATTTACAATAGCCAAGGTATGAAATCAACCTAAGCATCCAACAACAGATGAACAAAATAATTTGTTGTATATATACACAATAGAATGTTATTTGGCCATTAAAAAGAATAAGGCCCAGCGTGGTGGCTCACACCTGTAATCCCAGCACTTTGGGAGGCCGAGGCGGGTGGATCACAAGGTCAGGAGATCAAGACCATCCTGGCTAACACAGTGAAACCCCATCTCTATTAAAAATACAAAAAAAATAGCTGGGTGTGGTGGTGGGCGCCTGTAGTCCCAGCTACTCAGGAGGCTGAGGCAAGAGAATGGTGTGAACCCGGGAGGTGGAGCTTGCAGTGAGCTGAGATCACGCTACTGCACTCCAGCCTGGGCGACAAAGCAAGACTCCGTCAAAATAAAAAATAAAAAATAAAAAGAATAAAATTTTGTCTTTTGAGGTTATTAGGTTAAGTGAACTAAGTCAGCCACACAAAGACACAAATGTTACAGTTCTCATATATGGTAACTAAAAATATTGATCTCATAGAGATACTGTATAGAATGATAGCTACTACGGGCTGGGAGGGATATGATGGGGTGCGGGTGAGGGAGCTATGAAAAGTGGTTGGTTAATAGGTATAAACATACAGTTAAATAGAAGGAATATGTTCTAGTGTTCAACAGCACAGTAGAATACTATAGTTAACAATAATTTATTGTATATTTCAAAATAACTAGAAGAGTTGAAATGCTCCCAACACAAAGAACCGATAAATGTCTGAGATGATATCCTAAATATCCTAATTTGATCATTATACATTGCATGCATGTATCAAAATATCACATGTACCCCATAAATATATATTATTATGTATCAGTAAAAAAACTTCTGACAAATAGAATAAAGGAAAGAAATAAAAAGTCTATTTGAGGCATCTACAACAATCCAATTAGCCTTCCTAATTTTAGAGATTACCATGTGGGTTCATGTCTAAACAGAGGCTTAGAGTCTTAACTTCCCAGCACATATACTTCTGCTTAGTAAAGAGATGGAGTCAGTATGTCAAATCTGTGACTTTAAATTCATTTCTAAGCCAATAGAATATATTGCCTTAAATAGAGGGTTGAATTATGTTGAGGTAAAAGCAGAATGGCAAGGAAGAAAATTCAACCTGGATACAATTCTTTCAGTAAGACAAATAGAATAAACGAAAAAAAGAGATTGAACCAGCAAATTGTTTCTCATATGTGGAACAATACTTCTTTGTTTTCCTGAAACTATCTTTATGGTACCTTGACAGAATAAACTGGTTCCAATTTCTATGAACTAATGAAATAAATAAGTGTGGCTCCAGGAAACATAAAGGAATGAAGCTACTCTATAAAGTGCAAAGTAAAAGGAAACATTTTTATAAGGAAACATGAATATGCTAAATTTTTCACAATTGCATATGTACAGTTGTATCTCTTTGGAAAGACACAAGTTATTATATTTAACTTCTTGTTACTTTTCAGTGTAAAGGAAAGAGTTACAGATCAAGGGCTCTCCTCTTCAGCAAAAATACAGTAGACCCTGGATGGTATGACAAGTGATTTGACAATCTGCATGTCTATGCAGCCTTACAGGCAGAGAATCTATCAGAGTCAGTCAAGATGCTTTGACTTCATTACTTCAGATTTCAGTTCAATATGCTGAATCAATAAATACATTTTAAGATACCTGTGAGTTTTGGAAATTACATTTTATTGCTCAAAGAGGCAAGTGAATTTTTCACACTTGTTTACTTTGCCTGAATTAGATCAGAGTGTATTAGTATCATAGTTACAAATGTTAGTAAGTGGTACTTATACTGCTTGTACATTTTTACCAGAATTTCCTCAAATAGTTGTGTTTATAGAATTTGTCAGTTTGGTATATTTGCTTTCCATCCCTCTTCTGCTCCTAGCATGCTGAAAAGATCAAAACCAAGTACTGTTTGCACACAGTTACATTAATTCAGTGTTTGTACCATATATAAAGCTGGCCAACACTTTTCTCATCATGCAACCAAATATCTGACCTTGTCAGTGTCAGCCCCAGTGACTAGCATATGGTGGTGTCTTTCCTTCCTACTTCCTCAGTTCTGGTGGTCACACCCTGACGGTCAAACTTCTGAACTACAAAATCCATGCCATGGTCAAAAGCAGCCTGAGATAAAGCAGACCCACCTTGTTTAATACAGAATACTTTGAAGATCCCATGGAAAGTGGAGGAGAAGGTAGAGGAGAAAGGGTAACATTTGCTTTTTACCACCATCTCTAAGACTTTCAATGATGTTTTATTTTTAGGTAAATATTAGATACAGTGAAATGCTCAAAATCAGCCCAAGAAAGTTCCCAAGGAACCATTCCAGTCAATCCCCATACTCCCACAGGCAACCATTGTTCTGATTTCTAATACCGTATGTTAGTTAGTTCTCCCTGTTCATAATCTTCATGTAACTGGGATCATACAGTACTAAATCTTTTGTGTTTGACTTCTTTGCTTCAAAACAATGTTTTTAAGCCTCATCCCTGTAGTTGCATCCATAGTTTGTTCTTTTTGTCTATCCTAGTTGACATTCCCCATGTACTTAGTATTCTGCAGTTGTTGAGTGTAAAGAAAACACCTCGGGAGAAATGAATTAAGAGAAAAGGGGAGAGAAAAGGGATGGGGAGAGAAGGAAGAGAAGAGACTGAAATTCTAACTTTAAAGAGGTAGACAGGAGGATGGAGTTTACAAGGAGCAGTCAGAGACATAGGAATAATATAAGAATTTTAAAGAATAATCGGTGTAGTAGTACGCTATTGATAGATCAATAAAGGTAAGGATTGAAAAGTATCTATGCTATTTGAAAATTCAGAAGATACTAGAAACCTTGATGTGAGCAATTTCAATGGTCAGATAAAGGTGAAAGCCAATCACTGATCCATGTAATAGTAAATGAGACAATAAGTTTAGATTACCTTCTCAATAAGCTAGAATATTAAAAAGAGGCAATAGCAAAATGGAAAACAGGTTTTAGAGAGAAGTTTATAATATAAAATAGTGAGTGTATAGTAAAGGTGTGGGACCCTAAGCTCTAAGGTTTATGGAACAAGACCACAAAAGAGCCAGGAGCCTCCACTGGAAAGAAGTAAGGAGAAAGAAATATAACTGATATTTGTTGATTTTTGGCTGGGTTCTGAGCACTCTGCTTTGTACCTAAATGTATTATCTTATGTAATCATCCCCATAAGATTGGTAGTATGCTCACTTTTCACATGAGGACACTTACACTATAATAATTCAATGACCATGACCTTCAACTAGTAAGTACCAGGGCCATGATTCAAATTCTGTCTGCATGATGTCAAAACACATGGTCTACACTGCATTACCCCTTCCTCTAAAACAGAAGAAAAGTATCAAGACAGATGTACATGAACATGTGATTTTTAGGAAGGAGTGGTGACATTGGCACTGTGAACCTCTGATAATCACAATGTTCTCTGAGAAACCTACTAAAAGGGGTTGGAGTAGTGGTGGAATGGGGACTCATGAAAGCTGGAATAGTGCCTCTAGTTTTCCGAGTTCAGACCAAAGGACAAAGCAGTTTAGAATGTGGCTAAGAGAAATGGGGAATTTGTATTGACTCTAAACCTCATCATTTCAAAATGTTTTCCCCTAGTATTCAGAAACTCAGATGTGGGGGCTAAAAAGGTGAAATATCATGTACCAAAATACCTCAATAAAATTTGAAAATAAATCATCTGTTGGAGACAGAGAGATAATGCTTGAAGGGAGGTTGCTGTAGACAAAGGAAGAGCTGGTGACCTAGGTATGAAATATTATTTGAGCAACATTCAATAAGTAAGTCAGAGGCATGGCTGGTAATGCACAGCTACTGGAGACTGAAGAGCTAAATGAGGAACAGAAGGTAATTAGTGTGAGATACTCCCAGTGGTTTCCCTCTTTTAACCAGCAGAAGAAGGAACTTCCATATTGCCAGGAGAGCTGAGTAACTGACCCATTAGAAAGTGGCCTCCTGACCATTTTGCCAGGCTGAGGGAAGCAGCTAAGAGGGTGAGACTCCTTCAAGGTTGAGGGATCTTGGGATATACCTAGAGGAAAAATAAATGAGTAAAAGGAAGGGGTAGGGCTCATGCCTGTTATCCCAGCACTTTGGGAGGCCAAGGCAGGTGGATCACTTGAGTCCAGGAGTTTGAGACCAGCCTGGCCAACATGGCGAAACCCCATCTCTACTAAAAATACAAAAATTAGCCAGGTGGCGCGCACCTATAGTCCCAGCTACTTGGGAGGCTGAGGCATGAGAATCACTTGAACCCGAGAGGCAGAGGTTGCAGTGAGCCAAGATCATACCACTGTACTCTGGCCTGGGTGACACAGTGAGACTCTGTCTCAAATACATACATATATATTGTATGTATATATATTCAGCAGAAATGAACATGATATTTGCTAGTATTTCAAGTAGCATATATGAGCTTTAAGGGAAGACTCATAGTCTTTCATTCTAGGATTCTCCTACAGGCAACTTTCCCCAGTGTCTGGTTTGCTTCAATAGTGACTTTCTGTTTATAAATAAAATTCCAAATTGAATGTCAAAAAAATAAAAATTCAAAAATAATTTTTTAAAAAAGGAGGGGTAAAAGGAAGAAGAAATGCTGGAAAAAATCAGAGTGGGCAATTCAGGCAAATTGGGAAGGAGAGAATACAGACCATAAGGTCATGAAAAACTGAAGAAGTTTATGAGTGTGGTTCTATATCAAAGTTTCTAAACTTTCCTAAGAGCTTTGTTGATTTTCTTAATACCATATTCCCACTCTTTCAGAGTACCTGGCCTCTGGGGATCTTCAGATCCCTAATATTTAAAGGGTATCCCAGTTTTCCCCTCCATGCCCAGTTGCTTTTCTCAAAATTGCTTAAGACAGAAGTCCAAAGGATAAGACAGAACTCAACAGAAACAAAATAGACAATAGGAGCATTGCTGGGAGTAGGGAGTATGGTTAGTCTTTGACAAGACAGAATGAAAGATGTTGACAGGCCTATGAGAAGATATAACTGAATGTGTATCCACATTACACAACAAATTTAAATAGATATACATGTGCCCCAGAGCCTAGGTTAAATATAGAATAAAGAAGAGACCATAACAGCTATATGCAAAAGGGTTGCTAGTAATGGGGTACCTACATAGATCAAAGGAAGATCAATTATGTGGGGAAGATTAAAATATATACTCACCAATCTCTGCAGCTTGAAACTTTGTGCTTAAATACAGCTCTACTTTCACCAAATTACAAACTATATCAAATACTATCACAAGTGCATTAGACTCTATCAAGCTTGGTACTAAAATTGTGCACTCTTCCAAAGTATCAGAGTGGTTATAAAGCAGAAAAACTTGCTTTAAATGGGAAGATTAATAACCAATTTAGGTTGCAAACAAGATATAGGCAGAAAAGGTTCTGTAACCACAATCAATTTGACACTCTCCAATAATGACATATTAGGAAAAAGGGGCCAGATCTTATGCAGATAAATGCAGGTGCACCACACATGCCAAAACCCAACAGGCTGAAAAGTCTTAACTATAGTAATTTAGAGCTATGTTAATATGAAGAGGAAAGTGATTGGACTGGAACAGTGACAGCCCTAAGATTTTTATATACAATGGGCTTAAAATAATCCAGAATATTGAAGTGGAGTGTATATAACAAATACTCTGTACTTAGATGATATGTTTATATGAGTTGGCTTGTTGGGCAAGGGCTAATAGAATTCAGAAGAATTAAAGCCCTTTTCCTAGCACCATTTGATACAACCACAAAACTAAAACTAGTATTAGCAGAATACTGTTATCCAATATATGTAATAATTTTTAACTTTTAATCATCAACATTCACTTTCCCTTCTGAATAAAACAAAGATTTCAAGCCTCAAGCCCCAAATACTTATTGGCTACATCACTATGCTGAGATGGGATGTGGAGGATGCTTACATTATTGAGTATTAAATGGTTCATTGCCTCAATGCTTGAAACTCACATTAAAGCTACAAACAATATGGGCCGATCTACACAAGTGGCTAATTATCAAGCCTCTAAGGAAAGAAGTTCCCACTTGGAGCCCCATGATAATGTCTAAGCAACACTATTAGAAATAATACTTTATTTTGTAATCCCCATGTTTAACAGCAAACACTGTTTTTCTGTGATGTTGTCTGAAACCTATTAACTGCCAATGACACCACCAGGATTAATTTCTCAGTAGCACTGTGTTAAGAAACAATTGTATCCAGTGTTTCCCTAACATCTTGTTATTCCATATGACTCAAGGAAGAGCAATAGTAATATATGAAACTTTATAATATATGAAATTCAAAGGCCCGCATCATCAGTGGTAGTTGCCAAGGCCCACGTGAGTTAAAGTTTTTGGGACTAGCACTGAATCACAGATACTAAACAGCCCTGAAGATTGGTGTGAGCGCCAGCCCCCAAGATGCCTCCAGTGTACTAACCTCCTGGTAGTCACACCAGTGTGTAGTCCCTACCACATTTAATCATGGCTAGCCTAAGTAACCAATAGAATACCTACAGAAGTGCAGGTGTAATACTTCCAAATCCAGGTCATAAAAGATATTAGGGTTTCTGCTTTGGCCTCTTTTAGAACACTAACTCTGCGAGAAGCCAGTGTCCATGTCATGGAAACACTCAAGCAGTCCTATGACAAGACCTTGGTGGGAAGGAATTGAGGTCTCCCACCAACAAACAAAACATACTTAAAAGCTGTGTGAGTGAACCACCTCGATAGCAGATTCTTGGGCTCCAGTCAAATCTTCAAATGGCAGCAGCCTGGGCTGGCATCTCAACTGCTACCTCATGAGAGACATCTGAGCTATAAATACCCAGCTAAACATTCCCAAATTCCTGAAGCGGAGAAATGGTGAGAAAAGGGGAAAAATGCTTATTATCGTCTTAAGCCATTTTATTTTATAATAATTTGTGACATAGTAATAGATCACTAGTACAAGGGGGTTCTATCCTTTTCATTTTGACATCCTAGAGTCTGAGTTAGGTAATCCTCTTCTGTGTTTCACCAATATCCCAGGCTTATGTCTGTTTTGTCACTTATCATCCTTTATTGTAAATGTTTCCTTATATGGCCCCTCTAGATTAAAGGCACTTTGAAGGTAAGCACTGTGTTTCCTCAGAGCATTTCAGGGGTACAATAAATGTTTGGTGAAAGTATTTATGATCTACAACATGCTAGTTTTGTGGGGCTGAGTATGTAAAGGTAGTGAACAACACATGGTAGCACATTAGCTATTAAGTGTCAAGGAAGACATAAATATTGACAAACCAGTGAGACCAAGTAAAACCAAACACTTCAAGCTGGTTACAAGTTTCAGGAGCAGTCTCACAACAGCAGTAGCCTTTCCAGAGATCAATTACAGATACTAATCCAAGGACAAATTTGGTTCCAATCCAAGGGAAAGTGCCTAGCACTTAAAAAATAGGCTCAAAATAAAGGTTACTTTAATGAACGCTTACTGGACAAATGAAATAAGCTGATCTTAGATGGTTTTGGGGGAACCACCTCAGATTGCAGTCACTGTTGAAGCATAGCATTCTAAAATGAAGAACAATATATAAAATGGCTATTATTCACATGAAATAATAAGTTTATTAAAAACAACAATCACTCAGAAGGGTGGCTGCTTACTGTAGCAGGCATACCAATAGTGTCTGTCTATTGAACCACCATATCCCCAAAACCAAGTATAGCACTGATGCAGGGTAGGTGCAGAGTCAGGTTTTGTAGTAGGACTCAAAGAATCTGAAAATGTTTTCAGTTTCCTTCACTAAGCTTTTTCCATGTGATTGGAATGAAACTATATCCAGGCTTCCAGAACAATCACTAGGTTAATTCCATGAGTAGGGCAGTATCAGACCTGGACCACAGGATTGTCGTTGACACATTCTGATCACAGTCCTGTCTGAATATTCATTCTAATGACAACCTAATATTACCCCTTCTATAATCATACCTTGGTTTGGGAATCTAAGAGATCTCTGATTTCCAATAGGCAAAAGCAGATTTTACACCTCTTAAAAGTGACCCTATTTCCAAAGGGCTACATGCAATCCTCAGACCAGTAAAGAAAGGGTTAGAGATAGCACTTCAGTGTCTGATTCTAGGCATCCAGGCCTGACATGTCTGACACTGTGAAGCCCAGTGCCACCTCAGGGCCTTCCCCAGTCCTTCTCCCAGAATCAGATACGTGTAAAGCAGGATGTCCCTGAAGGGAGATATTTTAAATGATAATTGCATTTTATTTAAGTATCTTTTAATCTTTCATTGGGGATAAAAGCTGAAAAATCACCACATGCTCATCATTGTTTTAAGCCATTTTGAACAATCAAAGATTCTTTTTGGCTTTAATTGCCAGGCCACTGAGGAGCCTCATTCATTTCTCTCTGCAGCACCTAGTCTCTACAAAAACGAATGTTTTGCCATCATTCAGAGCTGTTGCAATGGTTAATAATCATAAAAACTGAACATGCTCACTTAATCCCCAAATCCATTATAATTTTATTGTGCCAAATTCTAGTTCTATGTAATGCTCTCAAAATTTCCCCTGAGGATTGTATAAAATAAGAATCAAGTCTGATACTCTGTCTCAAACACAGGAACTTTCATCTAAGGATTTCAAAGCATTTTATAACTGAGGTTAAGTGAGTTACTGAAGACTACCCAACAAATCAGCAGATTAGGCCCAAATTACCTAACTCTAAATTCTACCATTTTTTTAAAGCATAATACTCTGAGACTTGATATGTCAGTGCTAGAGGAACTGTATGCTGTACTCATAGGTCAGATATTTGTTCTTATCCATTCTTATTAAAAGAATGACCACATACAATCTAACCTCTCCACCAGAAGTAAACAAATATTTTTTTCTTTTAGGAAAAAAAAGCAACAGGATTAGTTTAAACCTACTGCATAGCAAATACCATCTCAAACAAAATTGACAGGAACATGTTAAAGTAGAAAAATAAATTCTTTACTTGAAATCAGATCTAAGTAGACTTGTTTCCTTTCATACTGAGAAAGTTGCTATACTTGAGTTCATTGATACTCATAAGTAGGGCTGTCTGGTCCTCTCAGTTTGATATACAGCTAGCTTGATAGCTGCCTTGACATAAAGCTAAACGATTTAATTTTAAATTGCTATCAATAAAACTTGGAGCAAGGTATTAGACATGAAATTTCACTCATTACATATAATTTTCTCCAAAATAATAACTTGTAGCATGAATTATATTTCCTCTTTGAAAACGCAAAGTTGTCACTAATCCAGATGGGTAACTCTTCCAGATTTTAGATTGCAGTTTTTAAAACTTATTTTCTAACAGAGTAATATAGAGCCAGCTGGTTCCAAAGAGCTGGATCATCTGGTAAAACATGTATTTAAAAGAATAGATTGCAACTCTGAACATCTTGGACAAAAAATAAAATGAAAAACTATTCTGTCCATCCCTGGGATTTGAGCTTTCAAATCAACCTATCCAAAAGGAATTCAGTACATGTATCAATCAAAATGTCAAGACAAAATTATAACAAAAGGCAAGACAACCCTAGAATAAGATGAATGCTCACAATTTCTAAGCCCTGCAATTTCTTGAATTCACCAACAGTTTCACACTCAGTCAACAACCTATATCAATCAATTTTTTAAAAATAGAGAGCAGGCCGGGCGCCGTGGCTCACGCCTGTAATCCCAGCACTTTGGGAGGCTGAGGTGGGCAGATCACGAGGTCAGGAAATCGAGACCATCCTGGCTAACATGGTGAAACCCCATCTCTACTAAAAATACAAAAAATTAGCTGGGCGTGGTGGCATGCACCTGTAATCCCAGCTACTCGGGAGGCTGAGGCAGGAGAATGGCATGAACCCAGGAGGCAGAGCTTGCAGTGAGCCGAGATCATGCCACTACACTCTAGCCTGGGTGACAGAGCAAGACTCCGTCTCAACAAAAAAAAAAAAAAAAAATAGAGAGCAGACCAGGTGCAGTGGCTCACATCTGTAATCCCAGCACTTTGGAAGGCCGAGACGGGTGGATCATCTAAGGTCAGGAGTTCAAGACCAGCCTGGCCAACATGGCGAAACCCCATCTCTACTAAAAATACAAAAAATAAGTTGGGCGTGGTGGCCGGTGCCTGTAATCCCAGCAACTTGGGAGGCTGAGGCAGGAGAATCACTTGAACCTGGGAGGCGAAGCTTGCAGTGAGCCGAGATCGCACCATTGCATTCCAGCCTGGGCAACAGGAGGAAAACTTTGTCTCAAAAAAAAAAAAAAAAAGAGAGAGAGAGCATATATTCAAATATAAATGGATTTTTGTCGTCCAGATATTCTTCAATAGACAGAACGAAGATGTGTTCTATACATGCATCTGTGATATAATTCTTATTGACAGTAAATACAGCAAAGTCTTTCTCAGATAGTTTTGAGAATTTGCTGCCAGTTCCAATGGGAATGTAAAAAAATGTGTTACCGCTAATGTTACTTACATCTATGATGTGTCACATTAAATTCGCAATAGCTAATGCGTTTGGTTCCCAAATGTTCACATAAAAAGTAATGGTTTAAAAACATATAAGCAAAATTGAAATGAAAAGCCTAATAATTTAAAAAGTGATGGTATCTTGACAGATTATTGCAACCAGATCTTACAAAGTTTATGGAGGCACCCAGGAATTCAAGAGAAAAGTATAGTTTTCAACTAAAATGACTCAAGTCATTGAATCTTTACAGACCAGGCTACCCATGCTACACTGACTTCATGAAACTAAAACCAACTTTTCCGCTGAAGTACCTTTTCAATAATAGAAATAAAAGCACTTAAAACAGAAATTTGGTGAGACAGTGTTTTTCATCCAAAACAAATGTTCCAGTTTTATATTTGTTTCAATTAGCTTTTACTTGTATACCAAATAGTCCCAAAACTTAATGACTTAAAATAACAATCATGTTTATCTCCTATAAGTCTGTGAATTGACTGAGCAGATCTTCTGGTCCTCACCAACTTGGCTGGGACTGAATAATCTAGTATGGTCCCACTCACATGTCTGAGGGTTGGCAGGCATGTTGGTTTAGAGAGACCTGAGCGAGGACAGGTCATATGTGTTCCATGTGTTCTCTCATCCTCTAGTACAGCAGTGTCCAATCTTTGGGCTTCCCAGAGCCACACTGGAAGAAGAATTGTATTGGGCCACACACATAAAATACACTAACGATAGCTGGTGAGTTTTTTAAAACCGCAAAAGAATCTCATAATGTATTCAGAAAGTTTACAAATTTGTGTTGGGCTGCATTCAAAGCTGTCCTGGGCTGCATGTGGCCTACAGGCCGTGGGTTGGACAAGCTTGCTCTAGTGGGACTTTCAGAGTTTCTTTACACAGAAGTCTCAGGGTTCCAAAGAATAGCAAGATAGGGTAAGCTCCGACATGTAAGTGTTCATCACACTAGCATCTGCCAGTGTCCAATTAACCAAAGTAAGTCACATTGTCAAATTCAGTTGCAAGGGTAAAGAAAATTGACTCTGTCATTGGGGGATGGTTAACGGGCACAAAAAAAATAGTTAGAATAAGACCTACTATTTGATAGTACAACAGGGTGACTATAGTCAATAATAACTTAATTGTATATTTTAAAATAACTTAAAGAGTGCAATTGGATTGTCTGTAAGACAAATGATAAATTCTTGAGGCAATGAATATCCCATTCTCCATGATGTGATTATTTCACATTGCATGCCCATATCAAAACATCTAATGTACCTCATAAATATATATACCTACTATGTACCCCAAAAATTGGAAATAAAATAATGTTTAAGAAATAGAATCCATCATTGATATTTTTTCCAACTAACCATACTATCATCAACTTTCAGTTAAAGATCGATAGCCTTGTTTAGGGTTTGAGATATAGGGAAATTTTCTTATGCCAGTGATAATGTTGCTTCTCTACTTCTGAACTGATGCTATAAGCTCTCTTCCTGTTTTATAGTCTTTGTTTATTTTCTTTCTTTTCCAGCCTTTCCTAGAAGGTGGCCAAGTAAAGAAAGCAGTTAATCAGGTAACAGAAAATATCAAGATTAATGTGAGAGAAGAGAGGACTATTACGTATTCCTTAATATCTCAAGCCAAGAAAAAATATCCAGAAATTTTTAATTTGCTTTATGTCCCATGGATGTGACTTAAGCATAGCTCTAGACTTCAGGAAAAAAAAATGATAGTGGTAGTTAAAATTAATAAGACAGAGGCAATTTGAGATCTAGAATGGGTGATTTATTTTTATCTCAAGTAATGGAAAAATGAGGTTTTTCTCAATATTGCAAAAAAAAAGGTAAGTTATCCTTAGTACGGAAAACTAAGGTAGTTTAATTTTTATAATACTATTTAGAGGCAATAATTCAAGAACTAATGCCAAACATAATTCAGCTTGCTTTGCTAACATTATTAAAGCAATGAAAATCTAGTTTTTAGAAAGAGCAATAATATAATGGCAGTCATTTTTTCACACAATCTGATCAAGAACACTTCATCAGGTGTAAGTGACAAGAAAGAGTTTCATTACCATCTTAATGGCAATTAAATAACCACTGACATCATTGGTAGGAAATGTCTTTCATCACCATTTCAGATTTCTTGAAATAGCAGGAAACGTGATTTTGTTATTGTAGTGTTATGCAGTTAGGGGGTATAATGGTCCCACAAAAGTAAAAACAGAGCATGAGCTTTAATGACAATCACCATCACTTTCTTGTTTAAGACAAAGTGAACTCTACGCATTTGATCAAAACCCCAACTAGACTTATAAGGCATCTTTTTCTTGTCAGTGAAATCATTTTTACTCCATTATAGAATTGGTTATTCCAACCTAATAATATAGGCAGTGAGCTGTGGGATTTAAAGTAGAGCTATGCATGTGGAAGTCAGAATAATCCAAACATTTTTCCACTGGTATCTTAAGATATCACATTTCTTACTTTTGCCTTTAAACCCACTCCTAACCATTTTTCTTTTATTTGGTCAATACATAATAGAAACTTCGTGAAATGTTTTTACCTTAAAAACTCAAAATGCAAAATAACATATAATTTTGTGATATTTCATTCAACTCAATAATCGTTTCCATATTTTTTGGCTCTCTCTGGCCAGTGTCAAACTGTTTTGATTATTAGTTGATGAAAATGAGAATTTTTCCCCCTGTACACTGCTATTCAGCTTTCATTTAATAGCAGTTATTTCCTCTGATATCACAGCTTGCAAGCACTGCTTAACCATTTAAATCATGTGCTTCAGATTTCTGACTTTACTGCAAAGTAATCCTGTATGGAAGTCTATCTGTACTCCCAGAAGAAATTTTATCCATTGGCAGCGATGGTATCCTTCAGAATTTAAAGAAAAAGAGACCACCATGATTGCAAAAATATTATGTGCTCTTGTTCTCTTGAAAATATAAAAATTCACAGACAAAAGAGTGGACAGCATACTGCAGTTACTCTTCTTAAATTATGGTAGAGTAAAATATTTTTGCCAAGCTTAAAAAATCTCCTTACCCAAAGAATCAAGTAAGTTAAACATGACCAGAAATATTTTATACTTTTGTTTGTATATTTATTTATATTTGGTTTTGTTCCAAAAGTCTACAGTAATAAGCACATAAAATTTTATGGTATCTCAAGTAGACTTCAACTCCTTAGCGAGGTTTAGCAGAGTTAGGAATTTTTCAAACTTCTACAAAAATTAGATTCAGACTACAACTGACAAAGGTTCCTGGTACAAGAAGGATTATGGCCCAGAAGATACCTCAAATCTCATCTGGATCTAAATTTGACTCTCAAGTGGCCTATGGCAGAACCACCACTGGATGTGTTTACTCTTAGCAATTAACCTTCTACTCCCTTTCCTTCTCCCCTCACCTCAAGAGCTAATAGCATTTAAAGTCAATTTTAAATGAGGACTCAAAGGAAATTACTACAACAATCCCACCTTCTTAATTAAGTCTCCTCACGCATACATATACATACACTTGACCGAGAGCTGAGGCCACTGTAGCTTACTCTTAGAAAGCTTCATCCCTGTCATCCAAAACCAACTGCACACAGGCATGGTTGGCCAGTTTACGCCTGTGCTGGCCTTAATCTGTAAGAGACTATTGAGCATCTTGGCCGCTTCCAAAATGACCTCAGAGTTTTTGTCAGATCAGTATTCCTGGATTTTTCCTCAAAGTAGACCTAGATTTCTGGAGTCAGTCCTGCCACCCACCTGAATTTCAGGGCATCCTTTGACCTAGGAATATCCCCAGGCCAAAGCAGTCATCCAAGGCCCATGGCCGTCAAACTCTGCTGCTCACACATATTAATAGCTTGCAAGAAATCACAAATATTAGGAAAAATTCAATGGAGCATCCACCTCAGAGGCACATTCCATGAAAAGAGAAAAAGGAAGAGGTTGGTAGAAGAAAATTAAAGGTTCTTATTTTTACTCTAATATTAAAACCACCTACTTGTACAGTTTCTAGGTGTCAAGGTACAATGTCAGTTTGATGTACATTGCATGTTTTAATTCTATTTTTAACTCTGTGCTGAATGAATTCCACTGTATCTTCTTACCATGGAGAAATATGGTAAAATGGAATCATAAAAGGTTTATCCCTTTCCATCTATCTTATTTCCAGTAAAAGGGGGGATATAAATATCATTATGGAGAAAAAAATAATGAGATACAAAAAGGAAAACAATTTTTTATATGTAAGAGTAAAGAAGACACTAAAACATTGAATGACCCCTAAAAAAGACTTGTCTGTAAGTAAAATCTACCAAGTCTGAGAAAACCAAGCTTAAATTGTCATTTCAAATCCAAAAATTTTTAATGATTTTTAAATGAGGGTATCTTCATTCTTTCCTGATGTTTATGTGTACTCTGAAAGAGAAGCTAAATATTGTGATCTTTCAATGTTGTTTTGCTAGTGTTTTGGTCGAAAGAGTTCAATTTACCGAACTTGCCCTGAAAAGTATGTGTTATCCCCACTTTACTGAGCATAATTTGGTGTGTGTGAGGAACTGGAAGAGATTATACGAAAACCACAGACATAGTTCTCTTCTGGCTATTATTATTATTTGGCAACAGAACTTGCGCCTGAAAGGTTTATTTCCGAAAAGTTCAAAATACATCTTGTGTGCACTATGTAATTATCATATTACATATTATACTTTTTACCTCTTTGAGGGAAATTTGCTCTCCTAGTTTGGTTCCCAGATGACATAATTCCCTATATCTATTTTATGTGTGTGTGTGTGTGTGTGTGTGTGCGCATGTGTGTGTGTGTTTTATAAATACACCTTAAAGCATATACATAATACATGTGACTGTCCTCCAGACAAGTCTTCAGCTGGCTCTCACTTAGAACAAGTCAAAAATCATATTGCTTGGCCCTCAGCAGGTTTGCTGTTCATGTCCAAACTTCTGTCTTTAATATTCACATAATCTTTAGCCAGTTTCTTGCAGCTTATCTTCTTGGGCCACGTGGCAACACTACCACCTAGTGGAGATTGCCTATCCTTTGGTGAGCATATCATGAAACCTTAGCAAGAGAGTCCCCACTTGTGATTGGGCTAAGTGGCCTTCTCCAAGAACTTCATTCCCAAAAGTATTCCTTCCTATGGCAAATGCCAACCAACAAGCTTCCACCTGTTAAGAAACTCCAACATTAGATTCATTTATTGGAAAGTTAGCTGTCAAAGATGGAAGCATTGTTTCCCATAGATTGCTATTTTAAATACACCTAATACCCAGGAAGGACAGGAGAATAATTTCTATGATTTTCTCAAATTTATAGGTTTTTTTTACTTAATTACTAACTGAAAAGGCATTTAAATGTAAAAGTGTAGTTATGCTTAGAATAACTGGGCAGAACCAAAATATTACAGTGATTACCTCTGAAGAATATAGATGAAAGTGAAGGGAGGGGCATGGCATGGTGTTTTTCTTGGTTTTTCAGATTTTCTGTATTGAGCAAGTACTTTTGAAATTAGATAAATAAATGCTAATCTTTTTTATACACTAGCTAAGCAGAGTGAATCATAGGAAGCAATTTTCAAGATGGTAAGGTGCAATACCCATTTATTACAGATGAGGAAGCCAAGGCTCAGAGAATTTAACTGACTTGTCTAAGGTAACTGTGATAGTAAATTTTATGTGTCAACTTGATTGGGCCACAGGATGCCCAGATAGCTGATTAAACATTATATTTCTGGATGCGTCTGTATGGGTGTTTCTGAAAGAGATTAGCATTTAAATCAGTAGACTGAGTAAAGCAGATCAGCTCTTACCAGTATTGGCAGGTATCATCCAATACACTGAGGGCCTGAAATAGAACAAAAAGGCAGAGGAACATTAAACTACTTGAGCTGGAACATCCATCTTCTCCTGCCCCCTATGCTCCTGGTCCTCAGGCCTTTGAACCCATACTGGAATCTACCCCACTGACTCCCAGGCTCTCAGACCTTCAGGCTACATCACCAGCTTTCTGAGATCTTCAGCTTTCAGACAGCAAATTATGGGATTTATCAAGCTTGATAACTGTATGAGCCAAAACCTTATAATAAATACAGTCAGCCTGCACCTGTACCTGCAGGTTCTGCATCCATGGATTCAACCAATCACAGACCAAAAGTACTTTTTAAAATACAACAATAAAATATACAAACTTACAAACAATACAGTATAACAACTATTCACATAGCATTTGCATTGTATTAGGTATTATAAGTAATCTAGGGATAATTTAAAGTACATGGGAGGATGTGCATAGGTGGTAAATGGCAAATACTTTGCTATTTTATATAAGGGACTTGAGCATTCATGAATTTTGGTATCTGTGGGGGGTCCTGGAATCAAACTCCCCAGGATATCAAGGGACAACTGTATCTTTAACTGGATGGATGGATGGATGGATGGATGGATGGATGGATGGATGGATGGATGGATGGAGATAGATAGACTGATTGATCATATTGGTTCTGCCTCTTTAGAGAACTCTCATACAGTACCACAGCTATCTGCTGGCATAATTGCAGCTTTCTGGCTTCAGTTCCAGTACCTATCCCACTATATCATGATGGCTCTTCTCCATCGCCTCTCTTGTTGGATTTCTTATATTTCTTCTTTCCAGTGTTTAAACCACTCTTATTGTTATTTTTCTGTGAACAATGTAAGCTCCGGTATTTTTGTATGAAAGTGGAATAATAGTACTAGGAGCAATGAATGTCTTCTGTGATGATGTGCTACGTGAGTGACAAGAACAGAGTATGATCCTATTGTGCATAAAATAGTGTGCCGCATTTAATTATCTCAGCTGATGAAAATACCCCAAATAATCTAGTAATACTGGAATACTAAATTTTTCAGTTTCTTATTAAAATATTCCCAAATCATGTAAAATGATGTATAAAATAAAATACCCAAAGCTCTAACAATAGCCTGAAAAATCTTCCTGAGATATTGAAAAATTAGTCATTCTACCCTAACACTAACTTGGTAAAGCCCCTAAGAGGTTCTCTTTTGTTTCTTAGACTCCCTCTTGGCCTATTTGCAAATAAGCAGTAAATAACCTTTTAAAACTGTTGACCAAGTAAACATAGTGATCATTTCTATTCATTTTCAGTTCACACACACAAACACACAGAGACACATTCCAATCTAGCTTTTCTCAGTATTCCTTGCTAACATTTGTTGAGCACTTGCTACATTCTAGGTACTCTGTAAACATCTCTAATTCTCACAATAAACGTACAAGATAGCTGTTGTTACCCCTTGCTTTAGAGGTTAAAAGAATGGAGCTCTAAGACCCACTAGTCAAGTAACTCACACAGCCACTTACATTTCTCTCCTCAGGAAGATTAAATATTTATGCCTATAATTGCACTTAAGTGCTTTCTATGCTAAGAGCCAAGTTATATCTAGGATCTTGTTTACGATTATTTAGGTCACCAAACCATTTCTGTGGGCCATGTCTCCCACATTACAGACATCTTCCTCTGCAGACAAAAGTACATAGACATGAAATTAATTAACTACTCCCTCTTTAAGGAGTTGAGTCTACTCAAGGATGTAGCAGGAGGACTGTATGAAAGACTCCTTGGAAAGAGAAAACACTTAACCTAGTTCTCTCCTGGAATTTCCGAAGGGGGAGGTAAACCACCCAGTCTCCCAGAACATCAAAACTCCAGTTAAAAATGAGCCAATGTTTCAATCAGCTCCACTGGGCTCTCTGGCAGGAAGCAGAGCTTGGACAGTCACAGTCTGTTGTGAGACAACAGGATTTTCTTCCACAGTGCTATTATTTTGGCACCTTTCACAAGCAATAAATCCTTTAAAACTTAACAAGTAATTGTTGAGAGATTTAAACTAAAGCAGCTATAGTTGCAAAGCTTTTAATGTGTCGCTGGAGTAAACCATCATGTCCACTGTTCTGAAAAGGAATGTAGAGGGTTATTTTTTTTACCACCTGCTATATATCTGGCACTGTGCTAAAAGCTACAAGGAATACACACATACACACACATACAAATTTCTGTCCTCAGGAAATTTAATGTGAGAATTAAGAGGCATGATATTTACAAATAATAAATACAATTTTTAAATGAAGCTTTTCTGGCTTATTAACAAGAACAGATTTAGAGTTGGGGCATTCCAAAATTGCCACATCTTAATGTAAAGTTATAGAAGCTTGTATGGGTTGCAGTTTCATGAAAAAAAAACTCTCCCCCAGATAGTTCAAGTGAAGAAAGGCCTATAAAGGGACCTAGGACAGGGTGTAGGAGGGATTGAGCTAAAAATGAGAGATGCTAAGACACCCAGAGGCCACCCATGGAAAGCATTACCACTCCTAGGGCTGAAAGGGACAGGGAGGAAAGAGTATTTAAGAAGCCCAGTGAGAGTTGGAGCTGCAGAAGGGGCTGCCCACCAGGAGCTCAATCACAGAGGACCACATCTATTGCAAGAGAAACCGCTACACAGAAGCAGGGAAGAAGCAAGGAAAAAAGAACCACACCTATTTTGCCTTCCATCCACCATGACTTTCCAGTCCTCCTAGGGCTGAATCCATCTGCAGGTCACCTGAAAAGGGGGCTGAGGTAATGCTGTTCGCAGTCAGCAGCCAACTTCCCGGACACAAGATGAGAGAGGGAGGGAGAACAAATGCAGAGTACTGGCATCCATGCCAATGAATTTTTATAGTTATTACAAATAACAAATAGCGCACGTAAAGAATTTACTATGCCAGACACTGGTCTAAGTGTTTTACATACATTAAATCATTTAATCCTCACAATGAGGAGGATGATTATGAGTTAGGACTATTATGCTCAATGCAGAAAAGGAAACTGAGACACAGAGAGGTTAAGTAATTTGCCCTAAGTCTCATAGGTAGTAAGTAGTAGAATACAGTTATAACCTTGGTAATCTGACTCCAAACTTCATAGCCTTAAACATTATGTCCCACAGCCTATCCTAAACCTAAAAACCCTCACTCCGCAAAATGGCTATTCTTCAGCAGCATCTCTGAATAAGAAATCAACAAAGTAAAATCAAATTCGCTGCTTCAAGATCTCCCTAAATAACTTTTTTAATGAACACGGCAATGGTATGGACACTCCTCTACATACAAATAAAGAAAATTAGGTATTTATTTAAAATTTGATTGTGCCTTTAATTCTCATAGATTCCGGAATTTTTGGAAGAGTAGTGGGAAAATAATCAGAAAACACTCCATTGCAAAGGAGGAAACCAGTGGTGGAGAGGAAAAAGACATGATTTAAAGCCCAAAGAGAGAAGTATTTTCACAAAGAGCAACTACGGCCATTGCTTCACCTCTGGTTCATGCTGAATGTGGAGAAATGTTGATGTTCTTGAACTAGTAAAATTGTAAAGCTCCTCAGAGACTTACTTCTTGGAGGCAGGAGAAAACTGATTAGCCATTTAACCTGAGGTAGGCACAGAACACAAGTTTAAAAGGAGCCAGGCATAAAGAAGGACTTATTCAAACAAGCCTGCAATAGTCACCAGATTGTTGTTGCAACTCATCACATCCTTCCTGGAAAATATGGAAGAAAGACTAAGCTTTCCCTGGCCCATAATAAATCACTCAGGAGCTACCACTCCCAGGCTAAATCTTCCGGTCCTCTCTCCTTTTTTTGCTTCATATTTTTCCTCTCTTATATTTCAGATCTCAGTTAAGGAGCATGAAAAGAGAATGATGGTAAAAGTAAACCATTTTTGCTCCAATTTTGCTCTAAATATCTGAGAAAATGTTGTATTATGGATCCCCTGCTCCTGCTTTTGCTCAAAATTTCTGCATCATAAATTTGCATTTGACAAGTGTCCACCAGAAAGGTATATAATTTTGGCTTTGTACTGAAAGAGAGCAGGTGGTCACTCAAAAAGATACAAGTTTTAAGACTGATCAAAAGACTCTGTCATCCAGAGCATTTCTCCCATTATCCTATACCAAGACCTCAAATTTCTTGAAGATTTACTTCTTTGAAATATCATCAATTATCAATTAAAAATATCAGCATAAATGCATATATTTGACACATCTCAAAGCACATTTGGAAGCATTGCCTATTTGATCTCCGTAACACATCTATGATTCACGGAACTTGCTTATTTCTATTTATGACACCACCATTGCTTATGAGGCCTTTGTAAATTTGAAAATTAAATGAAGGAAAAAGTACACTATAGATGGGGGCAAAATGAATAACTTTACAGTGGAGAAATCTGACAAAACCTACTTCAGCCAGATGATCAAGGCCATCAGTAAGAGGATAAGGCATGTTTATAGTCTGTACTCTTGATATGGTGAAAATGGCACTTTGCCTCTGTGGTCCTCCTCCCAAAAATTCATAACCCCAATCTAATCATGAGAAAATCCGGCAAATCACAAATGAGAGACATTCTACAAAACAGCTGACCACCACTTTTCAAAATGTCAAGGTCATCAAAACAAGGAAAGTCTGAGAAACTGTCACAGCCAAGAGAAGTCTAAGAAAGCATGGCAACTAAATATAATGCAGTATCCTGGATGGAATCCTGGAACTGAAAAAAGACAGCAGGTGAGAAATATGAAAGTGTGAATAAAGTATGGAATAAAAATATCCATAAAGTATGGACATTAGTTAACAACAGTGCATGAATAGTGCATCTTATAGTGCAACTATAAGATGTCAATAAGGGGGAAAGTGAGTATATAATATGTAGGAACTCTCTGTACTATCTTCACAATTTTTCTGTAATTATAAACCTGTTCTAAAAAATAATTTCATCAAAAATAAAATAAGGTAATATACAAAAGATATTTTGTAAACCATGGCATATTGTTATGGTGATGATGGTGGTAATAATTAGAGCTGCATTTTGGTGACAATCTGGTGGTAGCTGAAATGAATTGGTGCTATATTCACAAAGAAGTTTTCTTGGCTCTAATGTCTACTGCAATATTCACAGATTCAGTTTTTGAAAATTATAAATTTTCAGATACATAACCTCTGAAAGTGGTTCCACTTGTAATCTGATGAATTTCAGAAATTATTCAGTAGTTCCTTAATCACTCTGTAAGTCATTTTTTACTACTCATCATGTGCCAGGCACTATCTCAAGTAAGGAAAAAAAAGAAACTAGCATTTATTAACGGATCATAGTATAGCAAGAACTTTACCTACATTACTTCATGCCATCTGTTGCGGGAAGTCAGGGACCCCAAACAGAGGGACCAGCTGAAGCCATGGCAGAAAAACATAAACTGTGAAGATTTCATGGACATTTATCACTTCCCCAATCAATACTCTTATAATTTCCTATACCTGTCTTTAATTTAATCTCTTCATCTCATTATCTTCATAAGCTGAGGATGTATGTCGCCTCAGGACCCTGTGATGATTGCATTAACTGCACAAATTGTTCATAAAGCATGTGTGTTTGAACAATATGAAATCTGGGCACCTTGAAAAAAGAACAGGATAACAGCGATGTTCAGGGAACAAGGGAGATAACCATTAGGTCTGATTGCCTGGGAGCCGGGCAGGACAGAGTCATATTTCTCTTATTACTGAAAACGGGTAAGAGAAATATCACTGAATTCCTTCCCTAGTAAAGAATATTAATAATTAACAGCCCTGGGAAAAGAATACACTCCCAGGGGGAGACCTCTAAAATGGCCGCTCTTGGAGTGGCTGCCTTGTGCAGTTGTAGATAGGGATGAAACACGCCCTGGTCTCCTGCAGCACCCCCAGGCTTGCTAGGATGAGGAAATTCCAGCCTGGCGAATTCTAGTCAGACCGGTTCTCTGCTCTTGAACGCTGTTTCCTGTTAAGATGTTTATCAATGACAATGCGTGCACAGCGGGACATGAAACTTCATCAGCAATTCCAGTTTTGCCCTGGCCTCATGACCTTGCCCTGCCCATTTGCCTTGTGATATTTTATTGCCTTTGAAGCATGTGATCTCTGTGACCCACACCCTGTTCGTACACCTCCTCCCCTTTGAAAATCGCTAATAAAAACTTTCTGGTTTTGCAGCTCAGGGGGCATTACGGAACCTGCCGACATGAGATGTCTCCCAGACACCCAGCTTTAAATTTCTGTCTTTTGTACTCTTTCCCTTTATTTCTTAGACTGGCTGACACTTAGGGAAAATAGAAAAGAACCTATGTTTGAAATATTGGGGGCTGGTTCCCCTGATATTCATCCTCACAGAAACCTAGAAAATCTTCCATTGTGGCCTGAGTGTAGGGCATTCACTCCCATAGCATCCACTTCTTACTCCTATCCTGGAACTTATCACACAGGGGAGCAATTGCCTACATGCCATCCATATCCCCGCCAAACTGTGAAGTCTTTGAGTACAAGGACTTGTTCAGTGTTGTCACTCCAACATAATAAAGCATAATACCTGTCCATAATTGGTAGAGCGAATGAATGAAATTTAGTCAAGACTCTCATTGGCAAGTGATAAAAAATTAAAGCACAAAAGAAAATTTATCAGCTCAGGTACCCAAAAAGAATAAGGAAAACTTCTGGTGCTCTGAATTCATGTGTTATTTCTTCTGCCTAAGTAACACTTCCTCCTCACTCATCCTGTGGAAGGAAGATGGACTTAAACAACTGATGTATTCAGAAGTGGGTACCGCTGAGCTCAGTCTCTTCTGCTCCCTGACTTAGGGATCTGCCTCCCTACCTCACTACAGACAGTGTTCTGCTTTGCTTTCTACCACATGCTAAGCTTCCCATGCAGGATTTGGCTCTATAACCCCAATTCAGGGGAAAGCACTAGGAAATCCACTGTGCCTGCACATCTAAACTATGTTTACTAATTCAGCTTTTATTAGCATTACAGCTAATACTTTGATCTCCATCTGTCTAACTCTTATTGGTATCATTCAATTGGTTCCAAACATGAAGCGGGGAAAATGAAAGCCATTCATCATCCTCTAAAAAATACAGGAGTACTGGGCCACAGGCATGACAGAATTCAGGAGCTCAGATCCTGCCAGAAGAAATCAGATTGTCCATCTCTCCATTCCACTCTTCTGTGCATGACTTCACTCTTAGGTTGTCTTTCTTCAATGTGACAGTGCCTGCTGGTTCCAGGCTTATCACTCCTCAAGCTTAGCAAGTAGTAGGGAAAGTGAGCTGCTGCTTCTCAATTCTTCAAATAAAAATCCTGGGATTTACTCTGCTTCTTTTGATTTAGGTCCTGTGTCTATCCTGAACCAATCACTGTGACCAGGGTGTCAAGAGCCCTCATTAGCCAGGCCTGGACCACACAGAATGAAGGGTAGGGCTGGCACCTGTTGAATCACATGTATTTACAGTGGGGGAGGTGTGGTGCCATTATGGGAATAAGGGGGAAAGGTCAAACAAAAAGAAAAGACTGCAACAGCTATGACTAGCTCTTTTACACAGAAAAGAAAACTGAGGGCACACAGCTTGTATGGGGCAGATACGGAATTTTAAATCACATGTGTTTTTAACCCCATGTCTGCATGCTTTCTTCTACATCAGAATGCCTCCCGAAGCTTCTACCAACAAATCTCATCACCCTTAAGCAAATTATCTAGCTGAAGAAGTGATAGAAACCCTTAAGAAGGTTTTAGACCATATTGGTAGAAGACGACTGCTGGATTTCTTGTCATTGAACATGCCACTGTGTGCCCCACACTCCTAGCAAGAGGTAGGAATCACTCCTGCTAAATAATGGAGCAACACCTCAATGTTTTTCTGGAACACGTTAGCTCCAATTTAACACAAGTCATCTAAGACGAAGTGGATCATATTTGGAAGGCTTCTTAACATGCTCCATTTCTTTGCTAGCTTTCATATTGTTGTTTATAGTGCTAGAAAATCTATGTAATGGGTTCAATATAAGAGGCATGCCTTTTTTTTAAACTCAACTTACTCCTTACTCCACTTGATAGCAGGAAACTTAAACTCATTAATTTAGGTTAAACTCAGTTAACTTAATACTATCTCTGTCAAATCAGAGTAAACTCAATATGGGGTTCTCTCCTCCCTTCCCACATCTAAGTTCCAGTTGGCCTAGTCATGGCATCAGGAAGATGCACCTGCCCCTCAGTCCACACTGGTTTCTGCTGAAATGTACCTCATTCCACCTGACTCATGGAAGGCGTCACACCTCCGTTGTGGCATCTGCTGAAAAGGACACTACCTATCTGGGCTGCTTTCCAGTGTTGGCCCCAGCGTCTCTCTCCACAGCTGCCTGCCTTTGGTGCCACATCTACACCACTCTTGGCTGTACTGGAAAAGATTTGGCTCCTCCTCACCCCCCATGTAAGCACATGGAGATTCTCTAGGAGGCCCTTCTCCTGGTAACCCTGTGCTGTCTCCAACTACTCCGCTGTTCCATGAATAAGGACTGTAGCATCTGGACAGCCAGGCAGGAATTGAGGCACATGGGCCCTCTCCTCTGAGATCACTTGGCCCCAGGGCTGAGACTGTCACTAAGACAGATGCTGGGAAAAGCACAGCGAGCCTTGCCAGCATCTGACACCATTCTTTCCAACTTTGTTTCCACATCATGAGGAATCTTTATCAAGTCAAGGAAAGGAAAACAATCGCTTACATTATCATCCATTCTTGCTGATCTTCCAAACCTTTCTTTCAACTGCTATCTCTACCAGGAGTTTTAAACTCAGAAGCTGGCATCAACTGTTTTGTTTTTAATTGTTCTGTCTGATCCTTTTTCTCTAAAATAGTGAGCTCAGGCTGCCTGCAATGAGGGTAAAGGCCATTTGAAAAAAAAAAAAGGAATTAGTAAAAAGGAAAACAATGATTAATGGAAAAACTCCCCATGATGTAACTTGAACCAGTTGAATTTCTGTATTTGGGGTATTGAGACCAGGGCCACAGAGTGTAGAAAGCAGACCGGAAAGAATAGCTTCTCAAGTTAAATAGACTATGAATACTTGCTTTCAGAGTGACGTGGCCAACTTCTCCATGGCTGTTTTTGCACTATCCTAAGAAATGACCTGAGCAACCAACTGTCTGACATAGCCTTTAAGTGCTTGTTAACTGTGATGGTTAATTTTATGCATCAACTTCACTGGGCTAAGGGATATCCAGATATCTAGTAAAACATTATTTCTGGGTGTGTCTATGGGGTGTTTCCAGAAGAGATTAACATTTCAATCAGTAGACTGAGAAAAGAAGATCCGTCCTTCCCAAAGTGAGTGGGCCTCATTCAATCCATGGAGGGCCAGAATAGAACAAATAGGTAGAGGAAGGGCAAATTTCCTGTCTCTGTTTGATCTGGGAGGTCCATCTTCTCATCTTCTGCCCTCAGAAATCAGTATATCTGGTTATTGGGTCTTCAGACTCAGATTGGGACTTACACCATCAGCTCCCTGGTTCCCAGGTCTTCTGACTTGTACTGAATTACACCACCAGCATTCCTGGTTCTCCTGCATGCACATGACAGATAGTATGGCCTCTCAGCCTCTGTAATTGTGTGAGCCAATTCCTATAATTGACAGACAGACAGACAGACAGAGAGACAGATAGACAGATCTCCTATTAGTGCTGTTTCTCTAGAGAATCCTAACTAATACATTAAGGCAAGAGGAGAGAAAATAATCACATGTTTAACAATCAGAGACTTTATAACAAACATCAGCAGAATGTCCAGGAAAAGGACCAGTCCAGGGTACAAACCAGACGCACCACTCTAGACCACAGCAAAGATCCAGAGGATGCTACATAGACAAAAGTTCCCAGCTTCACTCATCACCATGAAATCACCCTCAGATTCCATCTGGAAGAAAAGCACAGAAAGGAAATAGAAATCTGAAGGGCCATGAATTGAATCTAAAAGACACTGAGCCATCAAAAAGCAACTAAGCCAAAAACGAATGTAAAAGATTATAAACTGCAAAACATAAAGTTTATTTTTTCTTAGCTACCCAGTGAGACTGTCAGCAATAAGGAAAGAAAAAGGCCAAAATGCTGTATTTTTCTTGCATATGTGACTGTGGTAAGAGTGACTACTGCTCTGCTATCCAATCCTCCAAAATCCATCTTTCCAACAGCATATACCAAAATGGAATGAGGCAAGGCAGTAGCAAGTGCTCCCAGGTACCATATCACAATAGTCCAACTGTCAAAAAGGCTTGTACTCTAGTTAATACTTTGGCTGAGTTGTGGATACTGAAGTGATTAAAAGAGAGGAAAAGAAGGAAGGAGGAAAGGAGGGAAGGAGGGAGGAAGGGAGGGAGAGGGAAATAAATAAAGGGTTGGGGGAGAGCAACAAAAATGATCTGTGTTGTATATAATAACTCTATGGTAAAATCATTTCCTCAACAGGTTATGAGTGAAATGAAAGCTAATGATAGTGACAGATTGTTCAAATAAGTAATGCTTTAAAAACCTCTCTTCAGTATATCACCAGTAAATTAGGAGCAAATACAAAAGGTTTCTTACTTTTACCTATCCTCATAGCTTGAATCTCTTCTCCAGAAAAACTTGAAGATTCTCTATGAAGAATAAAATCATCTATTTATGAAATCTTATTAAATGCTGCTTTTACAATGATTGAATGAAATAAAAAAGAGAGAGACCAAGGGAGAGAGGAACAGAGGGAGGTGGGGAAGGAGGGAGGAGGGAGAAAGAAAGAAAGGCAAGCATAGAGGGAGAAGAGGAAGAAAAAAAGCATAAAGCAACCTAAAGCCCTTGAACTTGAAAGTATTAATGATTATTATCAATGTCTCCATATCTTCATGAGGAGATTCAGCTAAGTTATAAAACCTAGATCCATTTACCAACTGATGTTCTGTGGTACTGCTTATAAGTGCAAAAGATACACTCCTCTCAGCAGAGTTGTAACCCATTTACCAGACTACACTGTAAATGAGCCTTCTTTCCTCCTAGGCTTCCCAGAAAGGGTGTAATGGCAAGTCCAGCCACTATAATTGTTCCACAAATCCCTTCAAGGAGATTTGAGAAGACCCAAAAGCCCACAAAGCTTATTCAGTCATATAAAGAATGCACAAAGGAGTTTTATTTTCAATTCCAGTTTCTTAATTTTTTATTATATTCCCCAGCACAGAGCAGTCTTTGTACCTTTGGATCTCCCTAAATGTTTATATCCCAAAGTACACAGAGGTGTGAAAAATATGACTCATGTTCTTGATAAATTCATATTATAAGACATGGCCTTGAAAATGAAAAGCTAATGAAATCCTTCTTTCCTCTAAATTTTCTTTCATGTCAAAGGTTAGTCTTGCTTATTCAACAACTTAGACCTCAGCACTTGAAAAATAATGAGTCTATCCAAGTGGTATCAACAGCTAAGGTTTTAGAAACATGAAAAGAAAGTCTTTAGAAAACTAACTCAGGGTTAGCAGTTAGAGAAGAGTTCACAGTTTTACTAGTCCAGAGATAAATTACTGCAAACTAAGTAACTGATATAACATACTCATTTGCTAACTCCCCCATAGCCTACCAGAAAAGGTTTAAAATGAGGACTTTTGACATAAACTGCCTTGCTCACTCTTAGAACACACTAAAATCTCAAGTATTTACCCTATAAAACTGTCAAGAATGTAACAAGTTTTTAAAAAATTCATCTCTTTTCTAAGAACAGTATAAGAATTATACCTATATTTTAAGCCAACAACAAATCCAAGCTACAGATTATCCATTGAATAGAACATAAATTTTTGTAATAAACTTATTATTTGTTCTTTCTTTCCCACCATTTTCAGGTTAGTGACAGCAAACCTCTGACAGGCCACCAAAGAATTTAGCTAGCAAATAACTTTGCGTATCAGCCATACCCCATTCCATTCTGGAAAAGACTGGGAATTCTCTTTGTGTTTAGTTTGCACATGGAATGTTATGACGTGAGGAAAACTAGGAAGGCCACAAAACTTGCCTGCCCCGGTGCCCTTACTTAGGCTCTGTGTCATCACAGACTATCTCTTCTACTCTATGACATCTTAGTTTGTATTAAAGCAAAAATAATAAGTAACAGGTAGTGAGTGCTTACTCTGTGCCAGGCACTGTTTAAAGCACTGACAGAAATTAACTCAAATAATATTCATAACAATTTTTCCTTCCCTTGGAATAAAAAAAGCAAAACCAACTGAGAATATGGGAAAATGAAAACAGTCTATTTGAATGGCTAAATTATGAATTAATGTTTTCTTTCATTTTGATTGTCATTAATGTTATTACTATATTCACATAGTAAATACCTATGTGAAGTTTCTTTGAAACCTCTTCCAAATGCTATTTTTCACCTGGAAAATGAGGATAATAACAATACTTTCCTCATAGGGCTGCTGCATTAGTTTTACATACTGTAAAAATCTTTCCAAAATGTCACTTGTGTTCATATAATATTCAACTGCTTATTGGATCTCATCAGACTTCTTAGCTGGTCATGCAAGTCCTCTTTTTTATCTTATTGCTTTACCATGTCACCCTCCACCCCAATTGGGCCCACGGCCACACCTAAGTCATTCCCAGCTCCCTATCTTAACTCACTTTCTCCCTCCAATCTCCTTGCAAATGTCCTCATCACTCCTCTCTGCTAATCATGTCTTCCCCATCCTTCATCATCTCATTCACATTTTCCTCCCTCTTTTTATGTCTTCCCCATACTACATTGCATTAACTGACATGCACTGAGTGCCTATGATGCACTTGGCACATTTTGGGTGTTATTTAATCCTTTCAGCAATCCTAGAGACAGTTAATAGTATCCCTATTAGACACATGAGGATTAGAGAGACTATGATTTATGCAGGGTGGCAGAGCCAGGGTTCACTCTCAGTTATCCTAATCTATCCTGCACTTAAGAGCTTGCTCCACATAAATGAACTCTTAAATTTATATTTTCTGGTAATGTTCTCTAATTGTTTAAGATGTATGAAGTCTATGTGATCTCCTATGTTCTTTGAGGTCCAAATCTCATGCAGGGCACACCATAAGCTTAGTTAATACTGATAACTTGAATTGGAAAAACTGATGTGAAGTTCCAACAAAAAGTTACTCTTTAAATATTAAATCATCCCCAAAATTTTAAAAGAACTGTGAACTACCAGATGTCTCAGACAGCCTGGTAGAGGCATCAGGAAAGCAACATCATAGAGAAACACTCACTGGATGTTTGAAGATGATGAAAAAAACTCTTTCGGGAATTGGATCTTTGACAGAATGAAGTAGAACTATCAGAGGAAGATCCAAGCCCTGCAAAACATAATGCACACAGACATTTAACTTCCAAATAGTTTACGTCTTAGGAAGGAGTGGGAAAGATAAATAAGGTGTTTCCTTCTATCACTTTCATGTTCTAAACCATTTCCTTTTTTTTTTTTTTTTACCCTAGAGGTCCATGTCAGCTGAAACAAAGTTTTAGAAGACAACTAAATTGGGCTGTTTCACTACCACTAAGTAAATTCTGACATAATTCTTTGTCCTCTGTCCAGAGGCCATGGTTCAAATACAAGGAGATGGAACAATGCCTGGACATATCTCAGCAATTATTCACCCAACTCTACTCTGGAACCACAGAGGAATATCTAGTCAGGTACCCTAGACTGTCATCTCTGTCCCCACACACCAGGCACTGCAACTGTACTACAGAACTTTCAGCTTTATTGGTACCCAAGGGATGGAGCTATAGTCCAAGAAGCCCATAGCCACAGAGCTATCAGGAGAAAGCAAATCCTTGATATCCATGAGTTTTAATACTAGCCTGTCACTGACTATACAGATGGGCCCCAACTTACAATGTTTCTACTTTACTATGGAGTAAAAGCCATATGCCTTCAGTAGAAAGTGGTGCCATACTCTCTCGCACTGCTGGGCAGTGGCAGCAAGTCACAGCTCCCAGTCAGCCATGCCATCACAAGGGTAAACAACCTCTATGGGGTTCTGTGCTGCCAGATGACTTTGCCCAACTGTAGGCTTAGTGTTCTGAGCACATTTAAGGTAGGCTAGGCCAAGTTATGAAGTTCACTGGGTTAGGTATATTAAATGAATTTTTGTCTTGCTATATTTTCAACCTAGGAAGGGTGTATTCAGACATAACCCCATTATAAGTGGAGGAGCATCTTCACCTCCAAAAGAAAATTCCTACCAACACCTTTTCAAGCAGTCTCATTGGCAACCTTTACATAGTAATATTTTCCATCACCATGGCCCTTGCTGCTTCTTAACAGCTAGTCCTTTGGAAACAGAACAAATTAGCAGCTAAAAGCTTCTAGCCCCTCAGCGCAGTCTTGCATATGCTGCATCTGAGTTTCTTTGTGACTTTTATTCAGAGCATGAGGTAGCTGGAGCGCAGCCGAACTCATCCTTCAACAGCCTTGCTCATCTGGTTTCAGGGGCCAGAGACAACACCCCAGCTGCCAGTTCCATGCCCAGTGACAGGGTGAATGATCTTTTCCACAGAAAGGCAAGGTTAATAAACAGTCTGGATCACAGACTTCTTATTCTCTCTTCTCTCCTCCCCTCTGCAGTGCCAAGGGACTTCCCTCCGTTTTTTAATGCCTTCTGTCATCAAACAATTAAGCCCATTGCCAGGCACCCACCCCTAGTGCCCTGTTTGTAGAAAATACGTATGTAACTAGACTGGGCCCAGCAGAGCAAGGGGGCATGATCTCTTACTGAGATGAAATTTGTTCACTAGCACACTCACATTCTCAAAAATTGGTTTAAATACTTCTAAAAAAATTAATAAAGCATTATTACCTACTCAAGTTTCCAGGCACATTTACACAAAACACCCTATCAGCCAAGAATGTATTTGCTTTGGGTTTTTCTTTTAAAGAAATTGCTAGGCTATCATATAAAAGCCTCCAAAATATAAGTGTATATAACATACACATATAAAATATTTCTATATTATATATTTATATATTGTTATATATTATATATTGTTATATATAAATATATAACCTCAAATATTTTTAAATGTATATTTATGTATATAGCTACATATTATTTATATTTTGAATTTTATATATTATTTATATTTATAAATTTATGTATAAGTATAAAAAATTATATAATATATACATGTTTTGGGAAAGTAGATATTTTATATAAAATATATTAACATAAATATATGTAACACAAATACTTCAAATAACATATTTATATAAAATGTATTTTATATATAAATATGAATGTTTCCTAAAATACTAATTAAAATACAAATACAAATACAAATATGTGTGTGTGTGTATATATATATATACACATATATATGTACATATATATGTATATATATACGTATATATATATACATATATATATACGTATATATATATACATATATATACGTATATATATATACATATATATATACGTATATATATATACATATATATACGTATATATATATGCTCTTACCCCAAAAAAGACCTGTGAGAGTCTCTCAAGTCCTATACTGAAATTTCTTCCACTCCTTATTTTCTTTTTTTGTTTGTTTATGTTATGAACAGGGAATGTCATGACAATTACAGAATCACATCTAATGAAGTCTGGCTCTGCTATTGGTTCAAATGAAAACTTCAACAGTTCCACAACCTTGAGGTGTCCTCACAGTTTACAAACAACTCTCTCATTTTCAAGAGGAAGATAAGGGGATTATAAGTAAAAGTTTCATTCCAAAATATTGACTAAAATGCCAACCTATTATTATGGATTTCACGGGTCAGTATAACTAATCTGAACTAACTAGAGACTAAACCTGAAGAGACAAAGTGTTTCAATGGAGGTAAAACAATGACAGCATTTATTCCCAAATACAGAAATAATTATCATGGCATAATGTAGTCTCAAGGCTTGGAAAACAGGAGCTCATCAGTTGCAAAACGTACCTAACTCACAAGGAATGTATGAGTATGAGAAAGCTCTCAATGCACAGTTCCTCTTGGTTTATCTTGTATTAATTTACTTCCCAGTCAACTAATTTCATGAAAGCATTTGAGGCAGAATTCCTTTCTAAACTATAAAGGACTGCTAGTGAGAGGTGGTGAAACAGGATTAATTGGGCTGCTGCTTTTCCTGCCTTCCCCAGACCAGGCTCCTACACGACCTGGGCAGGGCTGTCCTCCCACATTCCCCAGATTCAGAAAAATAAATAAACAAACATTTCACTATCTGGCACTATGTCTGACTTTTAAAGACATTCCATCAAACATTAACGATAAATAATTGTATGGTTTATGTAGACAACTTGCATTGTTTATAGCAATTATGAAGGAAGAAAGGCAGAGCAAGAGGAAATATTTTCTTCTGGCATTTCAAAGCAGATTCTGACATAACAAGTTATTGCATTTTAAGAATATAAACTGCCTCAGTAAATTCTATTCCCCTCAGAAACTGCCAAAATTGCATTCTGCAAACACTAAAAAAGAAGAACAATGACACTGCTGCCAAATACAAAGATATCTATCAGCCAAAGAGTTAAGAGAATGATAGAGCGCTATAATAAATTTCCTTTTCATTCCAAGTACATTGTAAATGACCTTAGCAGCTCAGATAGATGAATTTAGCATCTTATACCTAAAAAACAATTTATGAATTTACTAAAAATGTTTACTATCAATGCTACAGCACTTTTCTCAAACATTTTGTACCATGGAATTTTTGTTTCATCACATACCTACTGAAATTTTGTCAAATACTAATATTCCCAGAGCATTGTTTGGGAATCACTTAGACAGCATTTAATAATGTATTATCCGACAATATAGATAATAGAAATATACATACATGCTAACTTTAGAGAGGATAAAAATATGTATAGATACACTAGAACATGTTTCTTAAACACTATACTCAATAGTCTTGGCTCCTACTTTTACAATACCTCGCATCCATTCTTATTCATTTTCTCGACTTTCTATTTTCCTAATTTTAGTTCGCAAAAAAAAATTGACTATTTGAACCAATCTTTACTCAATTTGTATTTATAGGTAAAAGAAAACCCAAATATCACTAAGAACTATATGTGCCAATCTAAATAATAAAGCAAACAAAAACATTATTAAAATGACAATAAACATATGACATATCAAAATGTTTCTCTTTTCAGAAACATTACAGTTTTAGATAAATTTGATAGAGAAAAGCTACAGTATATGTAGAATAACTAAAAGGAAACAAAGAAACTGATGCTAGCAGTTGACAAAGGAAAAGTCTAGAGGATGTTTGTTACCACATATTCTTTGTTAGCATTTGAATTTTTCATCATGTGTATGTATTGCTTTTTCAGAAAATAAAAATATATACTAAATTAAAAATTTTAAATAATGATAACTAGAATCCACATAGCCAACACAAGAATAAGGTGGACTTATCTTGGGTCATCTACCTCACACACATGGATTTCATACTTAATTGTCAGATTAGACATGACAATTATTTGTTTAAGTTTTATAGTTGACAAAAAAAAATCAGGATTCCTGGAGAAAAAAAAAAATGAAATAGTTATCCAAAACAAACAAACAAAAAAGCTGATGCTGCTGTGTTGGGGTTGGTTTAAACATCTGACTTTTTATTCAGCATCAGTAAATCCTCAGTGGTATGTGACCTGAAATAAATACCTAAGAAATTAAAACTATTGGATCCACAATCAGTGGCTAAAAAACAAGCATTTCAAACTATAAAAGACTTGGAAGACAAAACATTAAGCTTTCTGGGCATTTGTACAGTGAAACAAACAGAAAATCCTCAGAGAAACGACTTAAAACTTGATTCAGACATAAAACAAAGCTTTAGAGGAAAATGATTATATGAATATTGAAAATATAATCCATGAGAAGAAAAACCTTATGTATTAAGGCATTCATTACAGTTTTATTTTAAGATGGGAAAAAGTGGAAATAGCCTAAATGTGTATTAGTAGAGGAAGTGTTCAAAGTTATAAAACACCCCTTCAATGATTATCATGAATTTTCATCACAAAAACTGTAACAACATGGAAATTATGTTTATCTAATGCTACATGGTGAAGCCAGAATATACAATTACATATATGCCATCATCAGAAATATGTTTGTGCCATATTTGTGGTAATTGACTGCTTCAGCATCAAGAGGTTGGAAAGAAACAAGCTAAGATCAGGACTCCTAATGTTTAAACATACAGACACACACACACACACACACACACACACACACACACACACACACCCCTCTACCACCCCATCAGACAGCCTGTCCTTTCTTGGGGTCTCAGCATAGTAGTGGACACATATTTCGGTCGCATGAAAAACACCTCCCAAAATACTGTCCCCTTCCTCAACCTTGAAGAAACTCCCCAAAATAATCCATATTTTTCCAGGATTAGAATATTTCTGTCTATCTCATGTCCTCCTTGCCAGTGTGTAAGGGGCGTTATTGGGAATCAGATAGTAAGTTGGGAAGGAGAATAAATTTAGTTGAGGAAATTCTTTTCATATGTTCATTCATCCAACAAAAATGACCTTAGTGCCCAATATATTCCAATTATGGAGAATATAGCAGTAAACAAAAGAAACACAGTTGTTCTCATCTGGGGCAATTAATGATGAGTTCTCTTTCAGACACACTGAATTTGAGTTACTTCCAGAATTACCTAGTAGAGATGCTTGGAGATACACAGAAATATGGCTTTCAAAAAAAGTTCAGGCAACACTCTCCACAGGCTTAGCTTTGGACACTAAGCACAGACAAATTGAAGAACGAGGATTTGGAGGGGCTGAGTGAGTGTTTCACTGAAAATACAGTGCAAGCTTGGTGGAACAGGCAATAAACAAGACATCAATTCCACAAATTTTGGAGACTTCAGAGGTGGAAGTTTCCTGGCGATGAATGAGGAGGTCTAGAGTATAATTGAAGTGGATCAGAGCTAAGATGGGGTGGAGATAGGAGTCAGAGATCTCAAAGAGAGCCAGGACCATTAAGTTGGAGGACTGGAAAAAGATCATTTTCATTAAAGTTTTTTCAGCATATGAGCAATTTAAACCAACACAATAGAGCTTGGGATACACTTCAATGATATTTGCACAGATAGTTATTCTGAAGGAAAAGGAAAGTTTAAAGGAGGTTGACATGCCTCAAGAGACCTAAGGTGGGATAGAATTCTCATGAATATAAACAATAAAATGGATTGGAGATGAGCTCAAAAAGAAGAAAAATTTTAAATTGTAAAAGCTAAGTATATGACTCATAAAAAATATATTCGTAGTGGGGAAGTGGGAAAAATGTTTAAAAAATTACAACTTCAAAGAGCATTGGAAAACTTGGGGAATTGGAGATGAGGAAAACACAAAAGAACAAACAACCATATTCAACGTGGCTCAAGAAATGATGTCAAGAACTTTTATTAGAATGATCAATACCATCAAGATATATATACTTTGTAGCCACTAGTGACCTAATCCTCCCTTCTCCCACTCATGTTGCAAACGTAAACAATAAACTACAGATCTGGAGCCTATGAAATAATAAAATTAAAAGTACCCTTTTGGGAGGTAACATTGGATAATACTGCTTCATCCACAAAAAAATGCAGCAATAAATGAGCCACTCAAAAGAATAAAGATCTCCAAATTCTCTACATTGATAGAGAAAATGTTTGGTTAATGTTGCTATGGCATTTAGAGTAGCATAATTGGGCAGGAGGTGCTTTTCAGATGTTTTTAATAGTATTTCAACATTTCTTCTCTGACATCAGTTTTTAAAATTATGAAACTCCAAAGCCTGTCAGGGCATTTAGTAATTATGTAATTTATTAACTTGGGAGGGCTGAGGAAGAGTAGTTTAGTGTTTCATTTCAAAAATAATTTTCAAGAGCTACAATTGGTTGAACCTGGTGAAGTTTTCCATATTTTCATGAAGATAAAATGCTACTAAGGTCTACAAACAAAATGTATTTTTATTAAAATTACTAATGTTTAGTGAAAAATTCAAAGGCTGGGAAAGAAGCACTAAAAAGAATTTTTAAAGCAACAGTTCAATTCACTTGGTTACTGGAAAAGTCATTTTCCGAGTTAACCTTCAGGGCTATCCACCAGCTGGGAAAGCAGCTTATTTTATTATGTAGTTAATAAATGTCATCCACTCTTCTTAAAAGAGTCAAATTATGTTACCCTTAAACACTGAAAATGAATCTATAAAAGCAGAAAAGATATACAATAGATTTAACACAAAATATGTATATCAAGAGATACTTTTCAACTAAATGCAATGTATGGTCCTCAATTGGCCCATGGGTCCAGAAAAATAATAAATAAAAGGCTACAAAAAACAGTTTTGTTATAATTGATGAAATCTGAATACAGAATCTATATTAAATTAATATTATTGATTTAAAACTGAGTTTCTTGGGTATAATAATGTTTTCAGATTTAGGTGGAATGTTCTTGTCCCTTAAACATTCATGCTGAAGTATTTAAGGGTGAAATGTCATGATGTTTGTAACTAATTTTCCAATGTTTTTATTAAGTGTGTTTTTATTAAGTGTGTTTTAAGTGTGAATGTCCATGTATGTGCGTATGGGTACACACATAGAGATAAAGCAAATGTTTCAAAGAATTAAAAAATAGGAAATCTAGATACAGTGTATATAAGCATTCACTGCACTATTATTTCAACTTTTCAGTATATTTTAAATTTTTATAAACAAAAAGCTAGGAGGGTGGTCAAGATATCTCAATTGGACATTATTAGAAATTAGAATCTCTACAGAGAGCCAAAGCAGAACTAGGTAGCAAAACATCACCACAAAAACAAATTTACTTAACATCTAAATACATATGATACACTGTATCAGATGTTATAACAATATCAAAAATAGTCACAGTCTTCCAAGAACATACAATCGAAGGCCAACACTGCCAACAAACATAAAGAGCACTTAAATAGAAAAAAAGAACACCTATACAAACTTGAACAATAAAGTAAGCATAAGTTCTAATGATCACCACTTTTCTGACCACAGAAGGAAAAGCTGTACAGATTTGGTAAAGCTCATTCCATATTTTAAGGTTCTATGTACCTTGGACCATGTCACTCAGGCTCACAGGGATATAGAAAGTTTAACCAGTGTCACCTTTTCTTCCAAGAAATTAGAGTGGCCATTTAAGAGGGACTTGATTTTATGAGGAAAAGAAGCTTATGTCTGCTCATAAGGCTAGCTTAGAAATTATATCAGAGTATTTTATGTTAAATTACAAATATGCCCTAACCCCTGCTTTCCTCCCTGAATCAGTTTAAGAATTCTTTCTTAAAAGCATTTTCTGATTGCCCTGCTAAGTTAGATGTCTTTCCATGTCCTGTCCTTGTATGTATTTCATGGCATTATTATCACTGATTGTTTTTTTGTTGCTCACACTGACCTAGCACTTGCTAGGTGCTTGAGATACAAGAATGAATAAGACAATATGCCATTGACAAGTTTATAGCCTGGTGGTAGAGACACCCATGCAAAGAAATAATGACGTGTATCATCTACTCTTATGCTATCCACCGAGTTGTTCAACTCACAAACCTTGAATTCCTCTTTTGATTTCCCTCTTTTCTTCACTGACATCTAGGCCATTGGCAAGTTGATTCTACTACCAAACGTAACCTGAACACACCTATTTCTCTTCATTTCCACTATTACTCAGATTCAGATACTAGCTACTCTCACCTGAATAGCTCCCACGAAACACAATTGGCCTCGCATACATGGCCTTTCCCTCTTGACTTCCTACAGTTTGTTTTCCACAAAGGAGCCAGAGTGATCTTTTAAAGCGTAAAATAGATCATGTCAATCTCCTGTTTAAAGCCTTCCAATGGTTTCTATTTGGAATAAAATCCAAATTATTTACCATGGCTACCTACGAGGTTCTATATAATCCGGACCTGTCCGTTTCTCTGGCCTCATCTAATTTGCTTCTTACATAGTATGCTTCAGTCACATGGCCTTCTTTCTATTCCTCAAATATACCAATGTGTTTCCCCTTATACTTTTGCACTAGTGGTTTCCCTCTGGCTGGAATGCTATGAATATTTGCATCACTGGCTCATTATTATTAATATCACGCAGGTCTTGATTAAAATGTTATTTCTCAGCAAGGTCACTTCCTACCACCCAATCTAAAATTGCCACCTGACCACTTTCCTCATATCACCCTACTTTAGCTTTATTATAACACTGATAACTACTTGATGTTTTCTTATTTAAGTTTTTACTAGCTGCCTCCCTCTTCTAAACCAAGCTTTCTCAGGAGGATTTACTACTGACCTTGCAGAAGTAAAAAAAGAATTGTAAGAGAATACTATGAGCAACTGTATGCCAACAAATTAATAATTTACATGAAATGAACAAATCCCTAAAAAGACAAAAACTACTAAAACTGAATGAAGAAAAAATTAAAAATGGATAAACTGATAACTAGTAAGGAGATTGAATTAATAGTTTTAAACCTTCCCATAAAGAGAAGTCCAGGGCCAGTTGGCTTCACTGATGACAGTTATAAAGTTTCCAGCAAACTTTATTTTAAAAATGAATACAAATTTTTTAAACACTCTTTCAAAAAATAATGAGGAGAAAGCAGTTCCCAATTCTTTCTATGAGGCCAGCATTACTATGACAGCAAAACCAATACAATAAAAAAAAAAAAAACAAGAAAAAAAGCTATAGGCTGATATCTCTTATGAATATAGATGCAAAATTTCTCAACAAAATACAATACTAGCAAACTGGACCATTAACATACAAAAGGCATTATATACCATGACCAATTTATGAAATAACTGTGTCAATAGGATAATGGACAAAAAACACATGATTATCTCGATAAATGCAGAAAAAAGTATTTGACAAAATTCAATACCCATTCATAATAAAAACACTGAAGAAAGTAGGAACTGGGAACGTGCTAAGCCTGATAAAGGAAGGACATCTGGGGAAAAACCCCGTATTAGTCTGTTTTCATGCTGCTGATAAAGACATACCCAAGACTGGGTAATTTATAAAGAAAAAGGAGTTTAATGGACTCACAATTCGACACGGCTGGAGAGGCCTCACAATCATGGCAGAAGGTGAAAGGCACATCTTACATGCCAGCAGACAAGAGAGAACGAGAGCCAAGCCAAAGTGGAAACCTCTTATAAAATGATCAGATCTTGTGAGACTTATTCACTACCATGAGAACAGTATGGGGGAAACCATCCCCACGATTCAAGTATCTCCCACTGGGTCCCTCCCACACCCATGGGAATTATGGGGGCTAAAATTCAAGAGGAGATTTGGGTGGAGTCACAGCCAAACCATATCACCCACATACTTAATAATGAAAGATTGAATGCTTTTCCCCTAAAATCAGGAACAAGACAAGAATGGCTACTCACAGCACTTCCATTTAAAACTGTATTGGAGGCGGGGATTAAGGGACCATGGCAGACGGGAGGCAGGACTAGATTGCAGCTCCAGATAGAGCAGCACGCGGAGGCTTGTACTGTGAATTTTAGCTCCAGATCGACTGCAAGGACAAATCAGCAATCCTGAGAGGACCCACAGACTCTCTGAAGGACGCGGGCTGCTCCTGCAGGACCCAGGAGACACCCCAAATACTGCGAGTGCCCCAAACTGCAGAAGTGGGAAAGGGAGACCCTTCTCTCCTGAACACACACCCCTACTGGAGAAGCTGAAGGCCTGTTTGCAAGAGAAGTTCTCGACTTCACCTGGAGGTGAATCAAGTTAGAGAGCTGAGCTGAGTGAAATACAGGGGTAGATAAGCAGCAGAAAGGCCCTGGGAGCTCGCTGGATCCCCAAGCAGCCCATTCCTGCCTGGCACCACAGGGATCCACCAGGAGGGAGGCCAGAGGAGCAGGGGGTAAAACTCCACAAGGAGAAGGACTTCGATAGCTGAATTTTGTAATAATTTGAACAGGGAGAGAAACCTCCTAGCCAGAACTCAGGGGAGGGCGCAAATCCGGCTTGCAGACTTCACAGGTGGGGGAAGAATTAAAGCCCTTTTCTTTCACAGCTGGGAGGCAGAAAGCCTCAGGCAAATTTTCAAGCCTGACTCGCCCTCCACCTGGAAACAGACTCAGGGCCGCTGGGTGGGGGCACAGTGGGAGTGAAACCAGCCCTTCAGTTTGCGTGGGAGCTGGGTGAGGCCTGTAACTGCTGGCTTTCCCCCACTTCCCTGACAACCAGCATGATTCAGCAGAGGCATCCATAATTCTCCTAGGTACACAACTCCAGTGACCTGGGAATCTCACCCCATCCCCCACAGCAGTCACAGCAAGACCCCTGCCAAGGAGAGTCTGAGCTCAGACACACCTAGCCCTGCCCCCACCTGATAGTCCTTCCCTACCCATCCTGGTAGCAGAAGACAAAGGACATATAATCTTGGGAGTTCTAGGGCCCCACTCACCGCTGGTCACTCTCCATACTACTACAGCTGATGCTTTCTGGAAAGTGCCACCTCCTGGCAGGAGGCCAACCAGCACAAAAAATAGAGCATTAAACCACCAAAGCTAAGGACCCCCACAGAGTCTACTGCACTGTCTGCCACCTCCACCAGAACAGTTGCTGGTATCCATGGCTGAGAGACCCATAGATGGTTCACAATCACAGGACTCTGTGCAGACAACCCCCAGTACCAGCCTGGAGGCAGAAAGACTCACTGGGTGTCTAGACTAAGAAGAGAGACAACAATCACTGCAGCTCGGCTCAGAGGAAGTCACATCCACAGGAAAAGGGGGAGAATACTACATCAAGGGAACACCCATGGGACAAAAAATCTGAACAACAGCCTTCAGCCCTAGACATTCCCTCTGACAGAGCCTACCCAAATGAGAAGGAACCAGAAAACCAACCCTGGTAATACGACAAAATGAGGCTTGTCAACATCCCCCAAAAATCACACTAGTTCACCAGCAATGGATCCAAACCAAGAAAAAAAAAATCCCTGATTTAAATGAAAAAGAATTCGAGAGGTTAGTTATTAAGCTAGTCAGGGAGGGACCAGAGACAGGTGAAGCTTGATGCAAGGAAATCCAGAAAATGATACAAGAAGTGAAGGGAGAAATATTCAAGAAAATAAATAGCTTTAAAAAAGAAATCAAGAAACTGTGGACACACTTTTAGAAATGCAAAATGCTCCAGAAACCCACCTAACACATAAGGACTCATATAACTTAAAGGGGTGGGAAAAGGCATTTCATGCAAATGGACACCAAAAGTGAGCAGGGGTAGCTATTCTTATATCGGACAAAACAAACTTCAAAGCAACAGTAGTTAAAAGAGACAGGGACATTATATAATGGTAAAAGGCCTTGTCCAACAAGAAAATATCACAATTCTAAACACATATGCACCTAACACTGGAGCTCCCAAATGTATAAAATGATCACTCAATTACTAATAGACCAAAGAAATGAGATAGACAACAACACAATAATAGTGGGGGACTTCAATACTCCACCGACAGCACTAGACAGCTCACCAAGACAGAAAGTCAACAAAGACACAATGGATTTAAACTATACCTTGGAACAAATGGACTTAACAGATATATACAGAACATTTCATCCAACAACCGCAAAATACACATTCCGTTCAACAGCACATGGAACCTTCTCCAAGATAAAACATATGATAGGCCATAAAACGGGCCTCATAAGTCTAAGAAAATTGAAATTATATCAGGCACTCTCTCAGACCGCAGTGGAGTAAAACTGTAAATCAACTCCAAAAGGAACCTTCAAAACCACGCAAATACATGGAAATTAAATAACTTGCTCCTGAGTGAGCATTGGGTCAAAAATGAAATGAAGATGGAAATTTAAAAATTATTCAAATTGAGTGACGATAATAACACAACCTATCAAAACCTCTGGGATACAGCTAAGGTGGTGCTAAGAGGAAAGTTCATAGCCCCAAATGCCTACATCAAAAAGTTTGAAAGTGCACAAACACACAATCTAAGGTCACACCTCAAGGAACTAAGGAAACAAGAACAAACCAAACCCAAACCCAGCAGAAGAAAGGAAATAACCAAGATCAGAGCAGAACTAAATGAAACTGAAACAAACAAACAAAAAAATTCAAAAGGTAAATGAAACAAAAAGGTAGTTTTTTGAAAAGATAAATAAAATTGATAGACCATTAGCAAGATTAACCAAGAAAAGAAGAGAGAAAATCCAAATAACCTCACTGAGAAACAAAACAGGGGATATTACAACTGACACCACTGAAATACAAAAGATTATTCAAGGCTACTATGAACACCTTTACACATATAAGCTAGGAAACCTAGAAGAGATGGATAAATTCCTGGAAAAATACTACCCTCCTAGCTTAAATCAGGAAGAATTACATACCCCGAACAGACCAATTACAGGCAGTGAGATTGAAATAATAATTTTAAAATTACCAACAAAAAAAAAAGTCCAGGACCAAACGGATCCACAGCAGAATTCTACCAGACATTCAAAGAAGAATTGGTACCAATCCTTTTGACACTATTCCACAAGATAAAGAAGGAACCCTCCCTAATTCATTCTATGAAGCCAGCATCACCCTAATACCAAAACCAGGAAAGGACACAACCAAAAAAGAAAATTACAGACAGATATCCTTGATGAACACAGATGCTAAAATCGTTAACAAAATACTAGCTAACTGAATCCAACAACATACCAAAAAGATAATCCACCATGATCAAGTGGGTTTCATACCAGGGATGCAGGGATGATTTAACATACATAAGTCAATAAATGTGATACACCACATAAACAGAATTAAAAACAAAAGTCATATGATCATCTCAATAGATGCAAGAAAAGCATTAGACAAAATCCAGCATCCTGTTATGATTAAAACTCTCAGCAAAATCAGCATACAAGGGACATACCTTATTGTAATAAAAGCCATCTATGGCAAACCCACAGCCAACATAATACTGAAGGGGAAAAGTTGAAACCATTCCCTCTGAGAACAGGAACAAGACAAGGATGCCCATTCTCACCACTCCTCTTCAACATGGTACTGGAAGTCCTAGCCAGAGCAATCAGACAAAAGAAAGAAATAAAGGGCATCCAAATCAGTAAAGAGGAAGTCAAGCTGTCCCTGTTTGCTGGCGATATGATCATTTACCTTGAAAAACCTAAGGAGTCCTCCAGAAAGCTCCTAGAACTGATAAAAGAATTCAGCAAAGTTTCCGGATACAAGATTAATGTGCACAAATCAGTAGCTCTTCTATACACCAACAGCGACCAAGCAGAGAATTGAATCAAAGACTCAACCCCTTTTATAATAGCTGCAAAAAAATAAAATACTTAGGAATAGACCTAACAAAAAAGTCAAAAAACCTCTACAAGGAAAACTACAAAACACTGCTGAAAGAAATCATAGATGACACCAACAAATGGAAACACATCCCATGCTCATGGATGGGTAGAATCAATATTGTGAAAATGACCATACTGCCAAAAGTAATCTACAAATTCAACGCAATCCCCAACAAAATACCACCATCATTCTTCACAGAGTTAGAAAAAAACAATCCTAAAATACATATGGAACAAAAAAGAGCCCACATAGCCAAAGCAACACTAAGCAAAAAGAACAAATTTGGAGGCATCACACTACCTGATTTCAAACTATACAATAAGGCCATAGTCACCAAAACAGTGTGGTACTAGTATAAAAATAGGCACATAAACCAATGGAACAGAATAGAGAATCCAGAAATAAACCCAAATACTTACAGCCAACTGATCTTCAACAAAGCAAACAAAAACATAAAGTGGAGAAAGCACACCCTTTTCAACAAATGGTGCTGGGATAATTGGCTAGCCACAGGAGAATGAAACTGGATCCTCATTCTCAGGTTCTACAAAAATCAACTCAAGATGGATTAAGGAATTAAACCTAAGACCTGAAACTATAAAAATTTTAGGAGTTAACATTGGAAAAACCCTTCTAGACATTGGCTTAGGCAAGGATTTCATGACCAAAAACCCAAAAGCGAATGCAATAAAAACAAAAATACATAGCTGGGACCTAATTAAACTAAAGAGCTTTTGCACAGCAAAAGGAACAGTCAGCAGAGTAAACAGACAGCCCACAGAGTAGGAAAAAATCTTCACAATCTATACATCTGACAAAGGACTAATATTGGGAATCTACAATGAACTCAAACAAATCAGTAAGAAAAAAAAACAAATAATTCCATCAAAAAGTGGGCTAAGTACATGAATAGACAATTCTCAAAAGAAGATATACAAATGGCCAACAAACATATGAAAAAAATGCTCAACATCACTAATGTTCAGGGAAATGCAAAGCAAAACCATAACGTGATACCACCTTACTACTGCAAGAATGGCCATAATCAAAAAATCAAAAACCAGTAGATGTTGGCATGGATGCAGCAATCAGGGACTTCTACACTGCTGATGGGAATGTAAACTAATACAGTCGCTATGGAAAACAGTGTGGAGATTCCTTAAAGAACTAAAAGTAGAACTACCATTTAAACCAGCAATCCCACTACTGAGTATCTACCCAGAGGAAAAGAAGTCATTATTCGAAAAAGATACTTGCACAGGCATGTTCATAGCAGCACAATTCACAATTGCAAATTGTGGAACCAACCCAAATGCCCCCATCAATCAATGAGTGGATAAAGAAACTGTGATATATATATATATATATATATATATGTATCTCCACACACATATATATGATGGAATACTATATATATATATATATATAGTATTATTCTAAGTGAAATAACTCAGGAATGGAAAACCAAACATCGTATGTTCTTACTGATCTATGGGAGGTAAGCTATGAGGATGCAAAGACATAAGAAGGATACAATGGACTTTGGGGACTTGGGAAGAGTGGGAGGGGGACAAGGGATAAAAGACAACAAATAGGGTGCAGTGTATACTGCTCGGGTGATGGGTGCACCAGGATCTCACAAATCACCACTAAAGAACTTATTCATGTAACCAAATACCACCTGTACCCCAATAACTTACGGAAAAATAAAATAAAATAATAAAAAAAATTAAAATAAAAATAAATAAAACTGTATTGGAGGTTCCATACATGGCAATTAGGCAAGAAGATGAAATAAAACACATCCAGAAAGGAAAGAAAAGAGTAAAACTATCTCTATTTGCATATGACATGTCCTTCTATATACCAACGAATATACCAAGAATATACCAAGGAATCCACTAATAAGCCTATTGGAATTAAGAAGCAAGTGAAGTGATGTTGCAGGGTATAAGACCAATATACAAAAATCAATTGTATTTCTATACACCAGCAATGACCAATCCAAAAATGAAATTAAGAATATCCTATTTACATAGCATTAAAATGAATAAAATACATAGGAACAAATTTAACAAAACAAGTGCAAAACAAACTCTGAAAACTACAAAATACTATTGAAAGAATTTAAGAAAATCTAAAGTGGAAAGACCTAAGTAAATGTTCATGGATCAGAAGACCTAATATTGTTAAGATGGTTATACTCCCCATGTTGATCTACAGATTCAACACAATCCCTATCAAAATCCCAAATGGCTTTTTGGGAGAAATTGACAAGCTGATTCTAAAGTTTATATGCAATTTCAAAGGACTCAAAACAGCCAAAGCAATCTTGGAAAGAAGAACCAGTAAGAGGACTCACATTTTCCAATTTCATCAATCAAGACAGTGTGGTGCTAGCATGAGGATAAACATATAGATCAATGAAATAGAACTGAAAGTCCAGAAATAAGCAGTTATATAAATGTGTGTGTGTGCGCACGTGTGTGTGTGTGTGTTTGATTAACTTTTTAAAAGTGTACCAAGTATTCCTTGGTGTATATGTGCCACATTTTCTTAATCCAGTCTATCACTGTTGGGCATTTGGGTTGGTTCCGGTCTTTGCTATTGTGAATAGTGCCACAATAAACATACATGTGCATGTGTCTTTATAGCAGCGTGATTTATAATCCTTTGGGTATATACCCAGTAATGGGATTGCTGGGTCAAATGGTATTTCTAGTTCTAGATCCCTGAGGAATCACCACACTGACTTCCACAATGGTTGAACTAGTTTACAGTCCCACCAACAGTGTCAAAGTGTTCCTATTTCTCCACATCCTCTCCAGCACCTGTTGTTTCCTGACTTTTTAATGATCGCCATTCTAACTGGTGTGAGATGGTATCTCATTGTGGTTTTGATTTGCATTTCTCTGATGGCCAGTGATGAGCATTTTTTCATGTGTCTTTTGGCTGCATAAATGTCTTCTTTTGAGAAGTGTCTGTTCATATCCTTTGCCCACTTGTTGATGGGGTTGTTTTTTTCTTGTAAATTTGTTTGAGTTCATTGTAGATTCTGGATATTAGCCCTTTATCACACACGGGGGCCTGTTGTGGGGTGGGGAGACGGGGGAGGGGGGAAGGATAGCATTTGGAGATATACCTAATGTTAAATGACGAGTTACTGGGTGCAGCACACCAACATGGCACATGTATACATATGTAACTAACCTGCACGTTGTGCACATGTACCCTAAAACTTAAAGTATAATAATAAAAATAAAATAAAATAAAATAAAATAAAAATTTTAAAAAAAAGTGTACCAGGATAATTCAATGGGAAAAGAATGGTCTTTTCCACAAATGAGGAGGGGACAACTGGATATCTACATACAAAAATAAATAAATGAATAAATTTAGATCCTTTATTCATTTCACAGACATCAAAAAATAACTCAAAATGGATCACAGACCTAAAAGTAAGAGCTAAAAGTTTCTGGACCTTGGATTTAATAATGGTTTCTTAGATATGATAACCAAGAGCATAAACATCAAAATAAAAAATAAATTGGACTTCATCAAAATGTAAACCTTTTACACTAGAAAGAATACCATCCGAAAAGTGAAAAGACAATTCACAGAATGGGAGAAAATATTTGAAAATCATGTCTGACAAGAGACTTCTATGTAGAATATATACAGTACTCTTATAACACAAAAAGAATAAAATAACACAATTTAAGAATGGGCAAAAGCTTGAGAACTAAAATGCCCACTTTCACCACTTCTATTCAACATAGTACCGGAAGTCCTAGCCAGAGGAATCAGGCAAGAGAAAGAAATAAAAGGCATCCAAATAGGAAAAGAAGAAGTCAAACTATCTCTATTCACTGACAATATGAGTCTATACCTAGAAAACCCTAAAGACTCAGCCAAAAGGCTCCTGGAACTGATAAATGACTTCAGTAAAGTTTCACAAAACAAGATCAATGTACAAAAATCAGGAGCATTTCTATAGACCAATAACATTCAAGCTGAGAGACAAATCAAGAATGCAATCCCATTTACAATAGCCACAAAAAATAAATAAAATAAAATAAAATACCTAGGAAAACAGCTAACCCAGGATGTGAAAGATCTCTACAGGAGAAGTACAAAAGGAAAAGTACAAAACACTGCTGAAAGAAATAAAAAATGACACAAATAAATGGAAAAACATTCCATGCTTATGGATTGGAAGAATCAACATCATTAAAATGGTCTTAGAGACCAATGCAATCTACAGATTCAATGCTATCCCTATCAAACAACCAACGTCATTGTTCGCAGAATTAGAAAAAAAATTCCAAAATTCATATGGAAACAAAAAAGAACTTGAATGGCTAAAGCAATCCTAAGCCAAATGAAGAAAGACAGAGGCATCACATTACCCAGCTTCAAACTATACTATAAGGCTACAGTAATCAAAACAGCATGGTGCTGGTACAAAAACAGACATAGTCCAATGGAACAGAATAGTGAATTCAAAAATAAAGCCATACACTTACAATCATCTTATCTTTGACAAAATTGGAAAAAATAAGCAATAGGGAAAGAACTCTTTATTCAATAAATGGTGCTAGAAACTGGCTAGCCACATGTAGAAGAAGAAAACTGGACCCCGACCTTTCACCACATATAAAAATTAACTCAAGATGGATTAAAGATTTAAATGTAATACCTCAAACTATAAGAATTCTAGAAGAAAACTTAGGAAACACTATTCCAGACATGGGCCTTGGGAAATAATTTATGACTAAGGCCTCAAAAGCAGTTGCAACAAAAATAAAAATTGACAAATGGGATCTAATTAAAGAGCTTCTGCACAGCTAAAAAAAAAAAAATCTATCAACAGAATAAACAGACAACCTACAGAATGGGAAAAAATAGTCACAAACTACGCATCTGACAAAGGTCTAATATCCAAAGAAAAGGGAAATACCCAGAGAAAAGGGAAGGCTTATACACTGTTGGTGGGAATGTAAATTAGTTCAGGCCCTGTGGAAAGCAGTTTGAGGATTTATCAAAGAATTTAAAACAGAACTACCATTCAACCAAGCAATCCCATTACTGGGTATATACCCAAAGAAAAATAGACCATTATACCAAAAAAACACATGAACTTATAAGCTCATCCATAGTAATATTCACAATAACAAAGACATGGAATCCACCTATGTGCCCATCAACAGTGGGCTGGATAAGAAAATGTGGTACATATACACCATGGAATACTATGCAGCCATAAAAAGAGAATGAAATCATGTCCTTTGCAGTAACATGAATGTAGCTGGAGGCCATTATCCTAAGCAAATTAACTCAAGAGTGGAAAGCCAAATACTGCATGTTTTCACTTATAAATGGGAGCTAAACATTGGATACTCATGGACATAAAGATGGCAACGGTGGACACTCAAGACTACTAAAAGGGGGAGAAAAGGTTAAAAAAAAAACTAACTATTGTCTACTATGTTCACTTCCTGGGTGGTGATGGGTTCAATCATATTCCAAACCTCAGCATCATGCAATATACCCTTGTAACAAACCTGCATATGTACCCTTGAATCTAAAAAGTTGAAATTATTAAAATTAAATGAATAAAATACACAAAAATAGGCAAAGGGTCTGAATAGTTATTTCTCCAAAGAAGATGTAGAAATACTCATCACTAGTCATTATCAGCCATCAGGGAAAAAATGCAAATAAGAACAGTTCTTTTAGTAGTTTTGAGATACCACTTCACAGCTGCTAGCATGACTCAAATCAAAAAAAAAAAAAACACAGACAATAATAAGCATTGGAGAAGATGTGGAGAAATCAGAAACCTCATACAAGGCCAGTGGCAATGTGAAATGGTACAGCCACTTTGGAAAAGGTCTGGAAGTTCCTCTAGAGGTTAATCATAGAGTTACTACACAATCCAGCAATTCCACTCTGAGATATATACCCAAGAGAAATGACAACATATGTCTACACAAAAGTTTTCACACAAATGTTTGTAGCAGCATAATACTTAATAGCCAAAAAGTTGAAACTGGCCTCACTGGCCATCTATTGATAAATGGATAAGTAAAATGTGACATAGCCATGTAATGGAATTAAAAGAAACAAAGTAGTGACACATGCTATAACATGGATTACCTTGGAAATACTATGAAGTGAAAGAAGGCAATCATAAAGATGATATATTGTATCATTCTATTCACATGAAATGTTCCAAATAGGACAATCTATAGAAACAAAGAGTAGATTAGTGGTTCCCAAGGGCTGGGGAAGCAGAGGTTGGGAGGAAATGGGGAGTGACTACTAATGGGTCTGGAGGTTCTTTCTGGGGTGATGAAAATGTTCTAAAATGGATTGTAGTGGTGATCATACAATTCTGTGAATATGCTAAAAAATCATTGAATTGTACAAGTTAAGCGAGCGAATTGTAGGATATGTGAATTATTTCTTAATAAAACTGTTATATATATATTTTAAGGATCATTTGTTGTGTGCAGATGACATGCTTTCATTACAGTGAATTACAAATACTCTTAATAGACAAGTGGATCTTTTAGCTAAATGCTTCCCACAAGGAAGGCAACAAATCAACATATGTAAAACCAATAAATATTTTTGATATCATCCCCTAAATGTGAACTGGTTTATTTCTATATGTTTATAGTTAACATATCCATGTAAGGATTCACATCATTCACTTTTGTGGCATATTTTTGAAACCCATTTTTCTTGGAGAGTAATACTAGAAGTCACATTGCTCAAAGACATTCTAATGGAGTTTTATTGATAATTTTGTTATGGCTCAAGGAGGGTGTTCGGTTACAGCTGCTTTAAAACTATTCCAGGTTACTGTGGTTATAATCAATGGCCAAGAATTTTGAAGCTTCCTTCACCCATTCAAATGTGGGTGAAAAGTTGCCCAGAACTCTTGAAGGGAATCTTGGTACTGTTCACAACTTTCTTAGGCATGTGTTCTTGTCAGGCTGCTTGATTTTACACTATACTGCCAATCCCATCTACAAGTCAGCTGACTGTTAAGGCTCTGCACTTGATTAAAAATATAAAATATATATGAATCAAGCCTTTGTCAGGAACTACATTCTCTTCCTGACAAATATATATTGTGTCACATTCACAGCAAACTCAGTGGAGAGAAATAATATTTATGAAGGATTATCTGAAGAAAATGTCACACATCTATAATCTTTAGCCTATGCCTAGATCCCACCCAAGATAAAAGGATCAGAATTTGTGGGGATGGGCCCAGGCATACGTGTCTTTCAAAAGTACCAAAAGTGATTCTAATGTGTAGGCAGGGTTTAGAAATACTTTATTCTAAAAGTTATACTTAGATTAAGCCAGAGCATCATAAAATTGAGTATCCAGAATTCATTACATTATACTCTCTACCACACACACATCACAAAATTCATTTTCTTCAATAGTGATTTGAATCAATGTCAGGCTACACTGGATGATTTTATTTAAATCCCTATGAAACTCACCACTATATTTATCATAAATATGATTATGAAGACATTTGTTTTTACCATATTTCATAATGTCTTCATAGTGAAGTCTCATGGGAGATGTTTTTCTCTGATCTCACTATCGAAAAGAATAACAAAAACTCTGGAATTATTTTTACATCATGAATACTGTGAACTTTGTAACTGATCCTGTTTTTTATTTTGGGTTGGGTTTATTTTTGGGTTTATCATACAACTTAAAGTAAAAATTTAGTTCCATCTCTGGTAGAACAGTACCTCCCAGCACAAGCTACATGTACTAACCTTACCCTTGACCTCATCTTATTTTTTCATCAAGCACCATGGTGATGACCCTGGATCTATTCCAGTAACCCCATGGTGACATACAAATATTATAGTTTTTATGTTCACGTGATATTAAAAAATGTTGAGAGGAACTGCTTTAGGGTGTCAATGATACATAAAGGTCTGTGGTAAAGTGGGAAAAAATATTTCTCCTCTCTTCATTTATAAGAAAAATGGGATCTAAGTCCTGCTGATATCCGTAATAGTTTACTGAGATTTCTATGAAACTGCTCTTCCTCTTTTTACATCCTTGTTAAGCCTCTTCTCTCACAGTCTTAAATATGCAAACATGAAATGTTGGGCCAGAAGAAAAATCCAAGTACAAGATATCATTCAAATATTAGGATATACACATTACTCAAATGATCAAAAAGTTGTTTCCAGGGAGGCTCCTTGGTATCTCTGTAAATAAAATTTCTGTTCACTCTTTCGAATCAGCTCCCCATGCATGTCTAGAGCCCAGTTAGACCCAGATGAGACCCACACTACCCTGGTGTCCACGTATTCTATACTCAGGCACTTAAAGTAAATTATCTCATTCAATTCTTAAAACAACCCTATGCATAAGGCATTATTGTACTGTTTTACAAATGAGTAAACAATTTCAGAGAAGGGGCAAAGACTTATCTGACAGCTAAATTTGGAAACAATTAAATGGGTGTATTAGTCCATTTTCACATTGCTATATAGAACTGCCTGAGACTGGGTAATTGATAAAGGAAATAAGTTTAATTGACTCAGTTCAGCATGGTTGGGAAGGCCTCCGGAAACTTACAAACATGGTGGAAGGTGAAGGGGAAGCAAGGTACCTTCTTTACAAGGCGGCAGGAATGAGTAGTGCCGAATAAAGCGGGAAGAACCCCTTATAAAACCATCAGATCTAGTGAGAAGTCACTCACTCTCACAAGAACAGCATGGGGGAAACTGCCCCCATGATTCAATTACCTCTACCTCTTCTCTCCCTTGACACATGGGGATTACGGGGCTTAGGGAGATTGCAATTCAAAATGAGATTTGAGTGGGGACCCAAAGCCTAATCATATCAAAGGGCATGCTCTGTCTAGCTTCAAGTCACATATTTTTGGAATCTGGGATGCTTTGAGTTCTGTAAATCATTATTACTTTAGCCTCCACTGTACTGTTATTGCCACTCTAGCACAACCTCCAAATAATTTTCTAATTGTATGCACTAAGGACAAACTGCCACTTTGGTTAATTTTTAAGAGCTTCAGTGCATTAAAAATATAGAACTCATGGGTTCTTTAAGTCTCTTAAGACTGTGAATTCCCCAATGTACAAATATCACTACACCAACAACAGTCACACCAAGAGCCAAATCAGAAAGACAATCCCATTCATAATTGCCACAAAAAGAATAAAATACCTAAGAATACAGATAACCAGGAAGGTGAGAAATCTCTACAATGAGAATCACAAAACCTTGCACAAAAAAGTCAGAGAAGACACCAACAAATGGAAAAACATCCCATGCTTATGAATAGGAAGAATCACTATCATTAAAATGGCCATACTGCCCAAAGCAATTTACAGATTCAGTACTATTCCTATCAAACCACCAATGACATTATTCACAGAACTAGAAAAAACTGTTTAAAATTTCATATGAAACCGAAAAAAGAGCCTGAATAGCCAAGGCAATTCTAAGCAAAAAGAACAACACTGATGGCATCACTTTACCCAACTTCAAACTATAATACAGGGCTACAGTAACCAAAACAGCACGGTACTGGTACAAATACAGGCACATAGACCAATAGAACAGAACACAGAGCCCAGTAATAAGGCTGCACACCTATGACCATCTGAACTTTGACAAAGCTGACAAAAACAACCAAAGGGGAAAAGACTCCCTAGTCAATAAATGGTGCTGGGATAACTGGCTAGCCATATGCAAATGATTGAAGCTGGACCCCTTCCTTACATCATATAATGAAATCAACTGAAGGTGAACTAAAAACTTAAATGTAAAATCCAAAACTATAAAAACCCTGGAAGACAACCTATGCAATACCATCCTGGGCATGGGAACGAGTAAAGGTTCCATGAAAAAGACACCAAAAGCAATCGCAACAGAAACAAAAATTGACAAATGGGATCTAATTAAACTTAAGGGCTTCTGCACAGCAAAAGTTACTATCAACAGAGTAAATAGACAACCTACAGAATGGAAGAAATATCTGTCAAAGATCTAACAGCCAGCATCTATAAGCAACTTAAACAAATTTACAAGAGACAAACAATCCCATTAAAAAATGGGCAAAGAATATGAAAAGGCAATTTTCAAAAGAAAACATACATGTGACCAATAAGCATTGGAAGAAAAGCTCAACATCACTGTGAAGGGGTGGCCTGCCCCTCCACACCTGTGGGTATTTCAAGTTGGGTGGGATGAGAGACTGAGAAAAGAAATAAGACACAAAGTATAGAAAAACAACAGTGGGCCCAGGGGACCAGCGCTCAGCACAGCAAGGACCTGCACCAGCACCGGTCTCTGAGTTACCCCAATTTTTATTGATTATTATTTTCATTATTTCAGCAAAAAGGAATGTAGTAGGAGGGCAAGGTGATAATAAGGAGAAGGTCAGCAACAAACACGTGAGCAATAGAATCTATGTCATAATTAAGTTCAAGGGAAGGTACTATGACTGGATGTGCACGTAGGCCAGATTTATGTTTCTCTCCACCCAAACATCTCAGTGGAGTAAAGAATAACAAGGCAGCATTGCTGCAAACATGTCTCACCTCCCACTATAGGGCGGTTTTTCTCCTATCTCAGAATTGAACAAATGTACAATCGGGTTTTATACCGAGACATTCAGTTCCCAGGGGCAGGCAGGAGACAGTGGCCTTCCTCTATCTCAACTTCAAGAGGCTTTCCTCTTTTACTAATCCACCTCAGCACAGACCCTTTACGGGTGTCGGGCTGGGGGATGGTCAGGTCTTTCTCATCCCACGAGGCCATATTTCAGACTATCACATGGAGAGAAACCTTGGACAATACCCCGCTTTCAAGGGCAGAGGTCCCTGCGGCTTTCCGCAGTGCATTGTGCCCCTGGTTTATTGAGACTAGAGAATGGCGATGACTTTTACCAACTATACTGCTTGTAAACATTTTGTTAACAAGGCACAGCCCTAGATCCCTTAAACCTTGATTTCATACAACACATGTTTTTGTGAGCTCCAGGTTGGGTCAAAGTGGCTGGGGCAAAGCTACAAATTAACAACATCTCAGCAAAGCAATTGTTTAAAGTACAGGTCTTTTTCAAAATGGAGTCTCTTATGTCTTCCCTTTCTACATAGACACAGTAACAGTCTGATATCTCTTTCTTTTCCCTACATCACTGATCATTAGAGAAATGCAAATCAAAACCACCATGAGATACCGTCTCACACCAGTCAGAATGGCTATTATTAGAAAGTCAAAAAATAACAGATACTAGTGACGTTGCGGAGAAAAGGAAACACTTATACACTGTTGATGGGAATGTAAATAAGTTCAACCATTGTGGAAAGCAGTATGGTGATTCCTCAAACAGCTAAAAGCAGAACTACCATTTTACCCAGCAATCTTTTTCCTGGGTATATAGCCAGAGGAATATAAAGCATTCTACCACAAGGCACATGCACACGAATGTTTATTGCAGCACTATTCACAATAGCAAAGACGTGGAATCAACCTAAGTCCCCATTAATGACACACTGGACACAGAAAATGTGGTACATATACACTATGGAATACTCTGAAGCCATAAAAAAGAATAAGATCATGTCTTTTTCAGGCACATGGATGGAGCTAGAGGCTATTATCCTTAGCAAAGTAATGCAGGAACAGAAAACCGAATACTGCATGTTCTCACTTATAAGTGGGAGCTAAATGATGAGAACACATGGACGCAGAGAAGGAAACAAGAGACACTAGGGTCTACTTGCGAGGGGAGGGTGGGAAAAGGAAGAGGAGCAGAAAAGATAACTATTGGATATGGGCTTAATAAATGGGTGATGAAATAATCTGTACAACAAACCCCCATGACATGAGTTTACCTATGTAACAAACCTTCACATGTATCCCTAAGCCTAAAATAAAAGTTAAAAAAAAAAAACACTACAGATTTCCAAAACCAAAACACCAGTACAAAATCAAACAGCCAAATTCTGGGCCATCAAGTAAACTCTTTCGAAAAGGACCCTACTCCCTTTGTATGTTGCACTGCAAGAGCTACTTTTACTTATTTAACCATTTGTTGATTTATCCAAGATTTACCCTGTATGTGCTCTGCAGCAGATATTCTGTGTGGCACAATAATGGAAAGATGATTAAGATGAGCCCACTCTTAGGCAACCCACAACTGAGTGAATATATTAGATAGTATTCGTGTCTCTGGAAAGAGAAAAAGATCTCACTAGTCTCTCTCTCCCTCCCTCTCTCTCTCTCTCTTGCACACACACACACACACACACATACACACACACAGTAGTTTGCTCCTTGCAGTTTCTGTGATGGTTAAGCTTATGTGTCAATTTGATAATTTAATTGGGTCACAAAGTGCCCAGATATTTGGTCAAATATTATTCTGGGTATGTCTGTGAGGGTGATTCTGAATAAAATTAACATTTGAATCAGCAGACTGAGCAAAACAGATGGCTCTCTCTAACATGATGGGGCCTCATCCAATTAGGTTAATAGAAAAGAAAATGCTAAGTAAGAAAGAATTCCTCCTGCCTGACTGCTTTGAGCTGGGACATCATTTTTTTTTCTTTCCTTTGGACTCAAAGTGAATTATCAGCTCTTCTTGGGTTGTTAGTTTCTCTAACAGTAAATTGATTCATTCTGAAATTTTGTTTAAAATGTAAAATTAGTTCTATACCACAAAACTAAGATATCTTCTTTGTTAAGAGTAGTATGCTTGAGAAACAACCAGGAGGTGAAATTTGCAGAGCAAAATAACAGTTGGAGAAGTTAATCTGAAAAAGGCTACATAGTGTGCGATTCCAACTATATGACATTCAGGAAAAGGCAAAACTATGGAGACAGTAAAAGGATCAGTGGTTGCCAGGGGATTGGTGGGAGGAAAGGATGAACAGGCAGAGCACAGATGATTTTTTAGGACAGTGAAACTATTCTCTATGATGCTTTAATGATGAATACATGTCATTATACATTTGTCATAACCCATAGAATGTACAACACAGAGTCAACCTTAGTGTAAACTACGGAATTTAGTTCATCACAATGTATCAATATTGGGTTCATCAACTGTAACAATGTATCACGCTAATGCACGATGTTAAGAATAGGGAGAACCGGGCAGGTACGGAGGAGAAAGGTGAGAGGCTCTCTGGGAACTGTACATTTTGCTCAAGTTTTCTATATATCTTAACCTGTTCTAAATAAATAAAGTCTATTAATTTAAAACATCAAAATCAATAACGGTTGACAGACTTTAGGTGGGACCAGGGCTTTTTAGTAAGTGGCAGAGCATTTTGAGCTTGGTACATGCTATGGTCTAAATATGTCCCCACAAAATTCACATGCTGAAACTGAATCACCAATGTGATGGTATAAAAGATTAGTGGTCTAAGAGGTGTGAGAAGCTGTCTGCTTCTCTTCCCTCTGCCACTTAAGGAGGCAGCAAGAAGGCTCCATCTTTGAAGCAGAACACAGCTCTCACCAGAGGCTGAGTCGGCCAGTGCCATAATTTTGGACTTGTCAGCCTCCAGAACTCTGAGAAATAAATTTCTGCTCTTTATAAATCACCCAGTCTAAAGTATAAGACAGCAGGAATGGACTAAGACAGTAGCATATAACAGCATACAATTGGCTACTGGCCAATATGAGGCTCAAAGGGATACATTTTGATAGGGATAGGTTTCGATAGTGCATTGACAGATTTTCACTGAGGTGCGGTAAAAAACACCTCAGGAGGAAAAACACCTCACGTAAGACTTGGTGAGTAGGGCTGCCAGCACTGAAATTTTTAAACTTAGCTGGAAGATAAAAACAGCCACTTTCTGAGGACTGAAGAAGCATACATAAATGTTTTCCTTCTCCAGATTATAGTAAATCAATGGTGACAAAATAACTTCTTGATAAGGGATTTCTCCCAATTAAGCTTAAACTCACTGGTCATGGATTCTAGATGTCTGGCTTCACTCGCATCCTAGTAAGATTGAATCGAGATTTTTTTCTTTCTTCGTTTTATCCTTTTGTCTCCTCAGTTACTATGTCTGATAGCTTTCTTCACTTTGTACCTCATTAATGGGCTCCTGTGCTTCCAGCTGGTTCAGAAGAGTCCAAGGAGGGACAGAGTGAGTTGAACTATTTCCTCCCTAGGCTCCTGCCTGCCCTTATCAGGAGGCCTCTCATAGTCATCTCCTCGTTAGGATTCCACTTGTTCTCTCCCTTCCTTCTTCAGGCCCAGCCGTAGTAACAGCCTCCCCATTACCAACCCCAGGAGTTTACACTACTCCCTGTGGCTTCTTTATATTCTGCCTACACCCTTACTATGTTTTCCTCAAATTATCCCAAGTAGAAATGTAATATGCCACCTACCTCAAGGCCCTTAGCTCAATAAATATACCACCAATCTTCCTGCATGCATCTTTGGAAATACTAAGGACAAGGTGTGGGGGAAATAATTTTGCCTGGGATAACTGTTCTGGGGACTAAGATTACGTGAGTGAAAAACCAGTGCTGTGGTCATTTTAGATGGCTTGTTGACCTTTTAGAATCTTTTTTAAAAATAAGGTTTATCAAAGATTTGGTTCAGAATCAATACAACTTCTGGAAGCTTGAAGAAATTTTACTAATTCCAGTGAGAAATAGCACCGGATACAACTGCCGCAAGAAAAGCAATTCTAGTCAGACATCAAGAAACTCTATCTGAGACTAAGCATAAGAATTTGGAGTTAGAACAAAACTTCAATTCTGGGGAATTTTTAACTCACAAATCCAAAAGAATTTGGACTTTAATTCTTTGGACTTTAGATTAACTTGAATTCTTCCAGACTCTTAACTTGAAAAGGGGTAAGATCTTTGAATATTTTTCCCCAAGAAATTTATAATGGGAGAGTGTTTGTGATGGTTAACATTATGTATCAATTTGACTGTGCTAAGGGAAGCCCAGATAGCTGGTAAACATTATTTCTGGGTATGTCTGTGAGGGTGTTTCCAAAAGACATTAGCATTTGAATCAGCAGACTGAGTAAAGAAGATCCACTCTCCCCAGTGTGGGCAGGCCAGGCATCATCCAATCCACTGAGGGCCTGAATAGAACAAAAAGGCGATGGAAGGACGAATTCATTCTCCCTTCTATAGCTGGGATATCCATCTAGTCCTTCCCTGAGACATCAGTGCTCCTGGGTCTCAGACCTTTAGACTCTGGGAATCACACCAGCGGCCTCCCAGGTTCTCAGGTCTTAGGACTCAGACTGAATTACACCACTGGCTTTCCTGGTTCTTCTCCAGCTTACAAACAGAATTATCATGGGACATTTCAACCTCCATAATCATATATGCCAATTCCCATAATGAATCTCCTCTTATGTATCTATATAGATACAGATACAAATATAGATATAGATATACATATAGATATGTCCTATGGTTCTGTTTTACTGGAGAACCCTAATACAGTTTCTATATTCAAATTTAGGGCATCTTTTTTAGTTTTGGAACATCTTAATGTAGTTGTTTCATTTCATTTTGTAACTTCTAAGTTACACTGGACAATTTGGCAGGTCATGGTTTCTTATGGGAACTGGACTATGGGATGAAATTTCTGTCCTGGAAATTACTTTGGAATTTATTTAATTAATGGCTATTCTGACCCATTTCAGAGCCTACTGGAACAAAATCTATGTTGTCATCAATAGATCAGAGGATCCACAAAGAAGCGATGGTTTGCATTGAGACAGTGGACTCAGGAAGGCAAAGCAGGATTGTTCTTAGCTGAGTGTTGATCTCTTTCCCAGCCCATGAAGCAGACAAAACCCAATGGGCTAGGCTCAGGGTGTCTCTAGGGGGTTAACCGGGACAATTCTTCCTTTATAAGGGAGACAATGTTATTGGGACAATTCTTTCTTACATTTCTCAGTTAATCCAAAAACATTAACAGAGGAACATTATTTACTGAACCTCCATGATCCTGCCTATCTACTAACTTAAATCTCCTGCTAATCTAGATTTCTTTCCCTGTCACACACAACCTTCTTTAATAAAACTTTTCTGTGCATTGTAAGATCTTTAGCATCCTTAGCCCCAACCCACTAAACATCATCAGTATGCTGCAATCACTGCTACAACCAAAAACTTTCCTAGAGGAAGATAACAATCCTGGTTTATAACCACTGGGTTAAAACAATAAAAATTTCAAAAAACACTTCTTTCCGCCTCTTGATGTTTACTTCCATGTAAAGGGGACCCCATTAAAGTAACATTCATGGGCTCCTGCCAAAACTTTACTCCCTCCTCCCCAAGAGAGACATACAGACTTACTGATTGAAAATTTTAAGAAAAATAAAATGGCACAGTTGGCTGGTTTCCCCATTTTCTGTCTCTTGGAAGCAAGCTGCTGGCAGAAAATAAACATTCAGTGCTGCAAAAAGTAGTACGGGGCAGTTCTAACCCTGCAGAGGAGTGCCTGCCTTGTCCTGTGCTATCTGAGACATGGTGGGGAAGGCTGCTTAGCTCTGGAGTCCGTTTAGAGGAAGCTCATTATTTTTACCTACAGTTAACACCGCAATCTCCAACATCAGCTTTACGAACATCTCCCATCTGTCCTACTTCATTTCTCAGTTAATCCAAAAACATTAAGAGAGGGACATTATTTACTGAACCTCCTCGAATCCAAACAACTACCATGATTCCGCCTATCTACTAACTTAAATCTCCTGCTAGATCTCCTAGATTTCTTTCCCCGTCACACACATCCTTCTTTAACAAAACTTTTCAGCATCTAAAGCAAGCCCACATTTTTCAGAGGCCTGTTCTCCTCACCCACTCCCATTTACATACAGTCGGTAATGGCTAGGAAAATGCAGACACCTAAAAATAGTTTGGTATTAAAAGCATTGGGAAACACAATGATAGTAAATGCCATCTAGCAAAACCTTAATTCCCAAATATTTTTCCTCAAATATCTGCCTATTTTTCCCTCTGTCCCTAAAATTTCTGAACACATCAATCTATTTCGAAAGAAACTTCAGTAAAATAATTTCATCACTAAGGCTAATGTTTAGAAACCATAAAACTCATTGTTAAAGAGAAGTTTATTATCTCTCATTCTTGTATTAGCAGTACTTTTATTGCCAGAAATATTTTCCACAAAGATGTCCCAACTCGAGTCTTTAGAGCTACTCAATTGTTCAACTATTTGGGGTTTGGAAGGAAAAAAATAGACAGCATTTTTTTCAGCCACTTTTTCCTCCTAATCGCTAAGCATGTACATTTTAAGAGAAACCTAATCCAGCTACTTCTGGTTTGTTTCCATTTAAATCATTAAAATTTATTTTTTTAAGTCATTTGTTGTCCAAGAGACTTTAAAAATTAGCTTCTTTGCTTAAAAATCCAAATTGGCCATAAGAGCATGAGCTCTGATGCCAAAAGTTTCAGGTTTGGAACAAAAGTGTCAGCCCCAAGTTGGAAATCAGTTTTACATGCCGGTTATGACATAAAGGGACCATGTGGACTACTTCCCCAACTCACTGAGCCTTCTGTGGAAGCAAACATTATAACCGAGGTTACCAGAAGGTCTTCAAAATAAATCCTGCATTCAGTAGTCAGTCAGAGCTTCTGAAAATTTGAATTTATGGCTTTGTCTTATGTTTGTGCTAATCTTGTGTGATTTCTCCTCTACACTGTTGAAGGCGGGAAATGCTTTCAAATAAATTTTAATTCATAATATAATACAATGCGTTAACTCCTTTTTTAATGTTTATGGTTTTTCATCTTCTTTTAAAACTAAGAAAATCCATTCAATTAGAGGTAAATTGAGTAACACCATTAGTTGAGCTCATTTTACTTCCTGCTATCCATTAGAAAAAACTCTCTATCCTCCACAAAAGTACCATTGCTATTAATGGTAGATTTCTGTGCACTTCTGATGCTGCATCATAAGTTAGGAAAAGTACTTCCAAATATAAAATGAAGTACCAAACTGTCATATAACACGGAGGGAGAAAAAAAGAAAAAGATTCTGGAAAGTTTTCTGCATTGCTTATTGGTTAAAATACAAATTAGAGCTTAATTTTCTGTACAGGTTTCTGGGTCTTCCTAACAGGAGGCGTGAACTTTATTAATTTATTTATTACTGACTTTATTGAGTTAGAAATATATAAAACTCACATTTTCCTAGCTTCTCCAAAACAATAAGAAAATATATTTCTACATATTCTGAAGATTTGAGAAATGAAAGCAACAGTTTTCAAAGATAACAAAAATATTTTCTTGTTTGTATCTTAACATGCAGACAATTGAAAGAGAAGTTAAAATAGTAACAGACAGAGAAGGAAGTCCACAGGTACAGACTGAAGATACAGCTTGACTTAGGGACATATCAGTAGGGGCATATCACCAGTTTACAGGATACTGGGTTTTGGTGAAATAAGTAGGAGGCATTCAAGAATACATCTAGTTTTTCACATTATTTATCAAACAATAATTGATATGTCAGTTATTCACTGGACAGTTTGCAGTTATTTACAATGATGTCTTAATTACAGTCAGTGGTAGAACCAAATACAAAAGATGTATAAACTTGTCAAACTGAAAATTCTACAGTAGCTTAACTGTAAAAGTTTTATAATTTATTATTCTTACATTTTTAAACAGTCAAAAGTTACGCTTATTTACTGCTGCAATGTGTGCTTTTAAATTGATCCAGTGCTGCTACCCTTCATTTCCTTATCTATGATTCTATAATATAAATGACACAAAATAAACTTATAATACAAATGACAGATATAAGGAGATGATTACTGATTAATAATAGTAAAAAGTATAACTTTTTTGGGTTCCTCAAGTACTTATCAAGCTCTTTGCATAGTTCAATGCTGACATTTGTAGAAAAATAATACTTTGCTCAGTAAAGAAACTATAAGCTTTTTCATCTTTTACATGAGACACTGCCTACTAAAGGTAGACAGACTACATAAATAAGTCTACTTTGTGAATCTGCAACAAGATGAATGGTTTGGCAATTCCAAACAAGGGTCATTGTATATTGTTAAAAAAAAAAAAGCCACATTAAAAAATGGTTTAAACTACTTTAGACATTACTCATGCAATGAATAATAAATGTTTAATGCTTACATTTTAATATCATGGCCCATATTTTGAAAGGTATTCCTTTTAATCTGAAAAGTTCTAGAATATTTTAAACATTGGAAATTTAGAGGAGGTGAATATAATTGTACATTCATACCACCTCCTGGAAAACTGAGTAAAGGAAAACAAAAGCACTGGTAAAGAACCAGACAGATCATAGGAAGTGTCATGTCTCAGCTTTTCTACTTACTACAGAGCATGAGCAGTATTACCAATGTTTAAAGTTATGAATACGATAATTACCCCAATTTGATCACTATACTATGTATATATGCATTGAAACATCATATTGTATTCCATAATTATGTATAATTATCATTTTATTTGTAATTGTTAATTACAAGTAAAAATGAAATTATAAATAAGTAAATCATACTCCTTAATGGCATAAATAAAAAGTGCCTCACTTAAATTAATAAAATTTTCCTGACAATGACTTCTATGATTTTTTAAGGGTTTTCAGTTTCTTTTAGGTTTCACCTTTTTGCTTCTAGAAAGAACTGAGAAAATAATGACTATTTTCCCTTTTGCATTTTTTTCGTTTCTTATAAACACTTTTATTTTCTCACAGTTGAAATGCCTAGACTTTTTTTATTGTGTTTGTATGGTATTCAACAAATCCCACTCAACATTTGGCATAGCTAACACTAACCTATCTACAATAAGGCAGTAATCCCTTTCCTCAGAGGTGCTGCATCATTCTGACAATCATGGCACTGGGGTAATTTCCTCTGCCAACATGACAAAACAGGGAACACTTTGCACTGCCTCATAAGCACCAGTCCAGAGACCATGAGCTCAACTCTCAAAGCAGAATATCATTGTGAGAAAATAAAGAGATCCATGTAGTCATTCTTGAGTTTTGCAGGTTCCCTGTGAATTTTAGTGATTAAATTTTCTTCTCATTTAGAATAAAAATTAATACAAAAAACTTATCCTTTTATATTATGCTCTTCATTTCAAAACAGGCTACATGGACTCTAGAACACCTGCTTGACTTATCCTCCAAATCAGGATAAAAGTGACATCTACTAACAGGTCCAGACAAACTTTCTATTTCCAAGAAATGAAGGAGAACAAATATATAAGAGAATTCACTTTTTTGCTGGATGTAACTACAACAACAAGAAAGGCTGGTTCCAGCAACACTAAACTTGGCTCAGTCATGCAATGGTCTCAGTGTTGGACAGAATTGAATTTATAATGTATGACAGAAGCAAAGTTGTAATGTACAATCATATAATTTACTTGAACAGTTGCTTTCCATATGGGAAGTAACAGATTGCCCAGTTGCATTTTGGCTAAGACTAAACCTACCATTATTCAGAGTAAAACAATTTTGTTGAAATCTGGAAATCCTGCAGAAAACACCTCTAAGTCTCTCTGATGACTCCTGATATTATTTCTTTTTTTCTGGGAATAGTATACAGCTTTATCCTGCTTTCTGAGTGTTCTTGACCCATGTTTAGCATATAGTATTTTCTGGAGAATATAATTATGTCCTACAGATTTTACAAATGAAATAACCATTCAGGCCACTTGACCAGATTTTTATGATGAAACCAAAACATAAAATTCACAGATGAAGAAGGAATCAAAAAAACAATAAATCTTTCTCTGCATATTCCTTTCTAAACATTTAAAATTACAAGGAAAACATACTATGAAGGAAATGGGTCTTTTTCTCTCTAATTTTATAGTACCAAAAAGTGTATCTCTGTTGAATACCAAAGTAGAACTCCTACATATTTAATAATATTCCCTCACTGTTAAGCTGTACTCCAGGAGAAGTATTTTATGGGGTGTGGAACATTCTTATTCATGACCTTAACATTTTAGAACAGTTTGATGGATAAGCAATGCATTTTCTACACTGATGCATAAATAATCTGCATCCCAAAATGTATCTTCAAAGTTTGAAAACTTACATTGTCCAGTAAAAATATGTCATTATCACCCTTTGAAAAAGTCTTGAAATTGCAACTATCTGTGGCCAAATATCATTTTCAGAAATCTGTCCCCCTGTGCATAGATTTATGAGTCCCATGGTTAGATAAAGGGAAATTATCCAAGGCAAAGTTGTTCAAATAGGCAATTATCCAACAGACTGGAGCCAAGACAATACTCTGGAGGTAATTATACAGGTTCAACTGCAGCTGCGTGGGAAGTATGGACACCAATCACCTCTCTAGAGTTTGCATGTCTCCAGGAAGACTAAACTAGGAAGACAATGTTTGTGTCCTAGGCTTTTGGTTTATACTTAAAGGGAAAAAAGTGAGAAGAAGGCTTAAAGCATTTACATATCTGTAATATTTCTACCTCCAAATAATTATATTATACAATAATGTAATAAACTTTTTTGCAGCCCTGTAATATTCAAACAGCAAACCAAATAATGGAAACAAGACTGGAAACACAGCACAACAATATTAGACACTTCCATGCAGTGCCTGCAGAGAATAGTAACAGTAGACTTACATGTGCAAACTAGCTGCATATATGCAATCTCACTTGTTCCTCTGGACAACCCAAGAGGGAAGTTACTATGATCTTCCTTTTACAGATGAGAAAATTAAAGCTCAGAAAGTTAGGTACATACTCAAAGGCACCCAGCTAGTAAGTGAAGAGTAAGGACTCAAACCAGGTGTTTGTCAAGAACCAATGCTCTCTCCAAACATGCCTTTTAGGACAAGTTCTTTATGGGTAAATGGTGGGTAATGTACTTACAAACACAGAAACAGATCTTTCTCCCATCTCCCTCAAAATTCCTACCATTTCCACTCTTACCACTGCCATCCTAAAAAAATAAGTTCTTACTGAGAAGTAGGCATTAAATTCTACTGACTCTTACTTTACGATGAAAGTATCCCTGGGAGTTTTTAACATTTTAAGTTAATACTCCTTGATATGAATTATCTAGTTTTACCAGATCTCCTTTATATTCCTCAGAATGAGAAAGTCAGAATTGACTATGTCTGCAAGATTAACAGAGCAAAAGGAGAGGGTGGTGAAAAACACAGAAAGGTGAGGGATCTTAAAGTTGAAAATGTTTATTATGGTTGGCCTATTTTTAAATTATCCAGTGAGAAGTACCTAACTATATTCCACTTTTCCCAATGTCTTTGAATCTAAGCATGATTTAGAAGACATTTCTTATAGAATGAAATTAGCTATGCTGCCATAGATTTTGAGTCCATCACTTAATCAGAGCAAATGTATTTATGTTCACCTGTTTATTAAACCCCACTATGTGTCAGATGTTGAACTAAGTCTGAGATTAAAAGTGCAAACAAGACAGTATCCCTGCATGAGAGAAACTTGTAGTGAAGCAAGGTACACAAATGACATCTGACACTATATTCTCTATCAAAATTCAATTTGTTGAATGGCAAAAAAAAGAATTACTCCTACAATATCAATCATCCCTCCTTAAAAGTCTCTTCCATTTGCTTATATGACACCAAAACAGGGTGCTTTCCCCTGTTACCTGTCTGTTGGCTTTTACTGAAATGCTTTTGTGGTTCCTTGTTTTTCTACCCAGGCCTACAAATGTCAGTGTTCCTCAGTAATCCGTTTAGTTGCTCTCTTCTCCTCTCATGCTGCAGCCTCTGCCTGAGCTCTCTCAGAACACTTCAGCTGACAACTCCCAATCAAAGTTTTCAGCATATCTCCCTCTCCTGAGACCAGTCCTATATTCTCAACTATGTACAAGACATCACCAAATGGATATTTTAGACACCTCATTCCCAAAATGGCTCCACTTCCTGATCACTTTCCCAGTGAATGGAAACATCAGCCAATCAGGAGCTCAGACCCATACACTGGGAGAGGTTTTTGTCCCAAATTTTCACTTACTCTATACATTTAATTGATTAGAAATCATTTCATTCATTCACTTATTCATTCGGTCCGGTATTCAGTGTCTATTTAGTACCATGCAGTGTGCCAGACATTAAGGTACCATGCTGACCTAGTCACTGTCCTTCCAGAGTTTTTAATCTAATGAATAACACACATGAACAGGAAGGTGAAATATAGATAATGAGTAAGAGTTAGAGAAGTAAGAGTGGGAAGAAAAGAACATGTGCAAAACTGTGAAAGCAGGAGAACAGAATATCGAAAATGCACTGAAAGAACTTTAGGATGTCTAGTGCTTAGAATAAAAACGGTTAAGTGGTGAGTGATGCATGTAAAGAAGTAGAAAGGGTCTTATAAGCCATATTTAAGAATGTACATTATAAGACTCACTAGAAGTCAGGGATTTTAAACAGGAAATAATATAATAACATATGCATTTGAGTAGATTAAAAGAGGGAAAGATTAAGGCATGGACATGAAATAGAAGACTTTTGCATTAATCCAGATAACAAGTAGATGTCAACTCAAACCAGGAAAATAGTAATAGGAATAGAGAGAAGTTTGCAGATCAGAGAAATATTTAGAAGGTGGAACAAATAGAATGTAGTTATCTTTAGATATGGAACAAAAGGGAGAGAGAGAAGTCAAAGATGATTTCCAAGTTTCTCCCTGAAATAACTGGATGATGTTATTTAATGAGATTGGAAACAATGGAGGATAAGAAAACTAGAGGAAAGAGATGATACGTTATTTCAAAATACCAATAAGATAGCCAAGTGAAAACATCTAATGGGCAGTTGAATATATTGATTTTGAGTTCGAATGTGATTGTTGTGAAGGAATCTTTCACTTGGGAATCATCAGCATATGGTTGATACTTCAAGTCACAGAAATAGATGACCTATTACAAGAACTGAAGAATGAAAAGAGAAGGCTATAAGAAAGGCCCCTAAGGGAGAGAAGCCTGCAAAGATGAATAAGAAAGAACACCCAAAAAGGTAAAAGGAAACCTCATATGTCATGGATGTCAAAGGAAAAAAAAGTGTGTCAAGATCCATAGTGTCAAATACTAGAAACAGATCAAATAACATAATGACTGAGGCATGTCTCTTGGCTTTAGCAAGATCACTAGTGACTTCAAAGAGAGGAGTGTCAGCCAAGCCAAGGAACTAACACAGAGTGGTGGAGGTAGATGTCATATCTCAGTGAGCTTAAAAGCGAATAGGAGGTAAAAGAGGAGGCAGTAAGTGTAAACAACTCTCTCAAAATGGTTGATCACAAGGGAGTGGAGAGAAATCAAGAGTACTCAGAAAGGGATGAGAGATTTAAATATGGCTTGTTTACAAAATGGGAGACATTTTTAAATTCTAATCGAATGTGTCAGAAGGAGAGAAGGAATAATTCATTGAGCCAGATTGCTAAGAAAATGATAAGAGATGAGATCCAGAGCTCAGGTAGAGAGATTATACTTAAACAAAAATTATAATTATAATAGGATGGAATGAATAAAAGATGGACATAGTGTAGATTTTCTTTGTAAAGTAAAATACATGTGATTCTGTTAAGAGAAGAGTGGTTGGCAAAGGAGGATGTACATGGTGGGAGTTCAAGAGAATAGAAACATTGAGCTTCTATGTAGAACTAAAGAAATAAGCTAAAAAGATGACCAGGCCATGTAAAATGTAAGGAAGTTTAGGAAATTGCTTAAAGAATAGTTGAAATGATGAACCACAGAAATTAAACTGGGTAATATAAAAATAAAGATGGAACAGGTGGCTCATGTGTATAATCCCACTTTGGGAGGCAGAGGCAGTGGATCATCTGAGGTCAGGAGTTTGAGACTAGCCTGGACAACATGGCGAAACCCTGTCTCTACTAAAAATACAAAAATTAGCCGGGTGTAGTGGCGCACACCTGTAGTCCCAGCTACTCCAGAGGCTGAGGCAGGAGATTTACTTGAACTTGGGAGGCAGAGGTTGCAGTGAGCCCAGATTGCACCACTGCACTCCAGCCTAGGTGACAGAGCAAGGCTCCATCTCAAATAAATAAATAAATAAAATAAATACAGGAAGTGACCAATAGGCAGAATGCAGACGGGTAAAAAAAAAAAAAAAAAAAACTGGAGGTCCATCTGAGGGGAAAAACAAACAAACAAACAAACCTGTGTGGTTGAAGTAATGGAATGAGAGACTCTGAAGGATAGGAAGTTATAGAGTGGCTCATTATTTCTTAGGAAGAACTGTTAGGTTATGACAAAGTCCAGGTTGTGGTCATGGAAAGGGGTGAATAAGTAGAAAGGAAGAAAAGTTGTCTGGAAACAACAAAGAAGATGAGAGATGTTAAAGAGCTGTAGACATGAACACTGTAGACACCTAAGATGATGTCACAACTGAAAGAAGAAAGGACACAATGAATAAGGATTGTTGAGTCTTAACAGCCTCAAATGCCATGCTCAAGCAAGAATTATATTCAATGTCTCTCTTCGTTCTAGATGAACACAGACTGCATTAGATACCAACCCTATTTAAGTCTGTAATTCAAGTGAAATAAATCAATTCTTCCTCTCAAAAGTCTATTTAAAACTTCTTGAATTTGGCTTAAGAAACATCTAGATACTTGGGGAAACAGATTATTATGGCTATTTCTCCAGTGGATTTAGGTATTTGTGGGGTTTTTCCTAAATATATGTGAAAATATTATTTTCAGTTGTCACTGTTTAAAAAATTTCTAAATAGCATTCTTATTTTCATAGAATAATATTTTTTCACCAAGCACAATGAAGCACATTGTAAAAGGGGGTTTGACTAAGGTTGTTTAATTCTTGTCTCATATTGACATTGATCCAAGAATCCATTGAACCCATTCATCATATTCTCAGTTAGAAGTGATTTTAGCTGCAAGTAGTAGAAGATCTGACTAACGATCAATAGGACAAAAGGGGTTTATTTTTCCCACATAAGAAGAGATAAAGAGGCTAGTGTTGGAGCAAATACTTTAGGATCCAGGATACTTCTATCTACTTACTCCACCATTCTTGGACTAGTTTGTTGCCTCATGATTACAAAATGGCTTCTACATCTTTGCTCTAGTTCTTCATGCAGGGCAGGAAGAAGAAAGCAAAGAGCAGTAACAGCTACATCTATCCTTTCAATTAAGAATGCTTTTTCTGAAGCCCTTATAGCTGACTTGCCTTAGGTCTCAGTGCCCCTAAGTGGATCACAGGGCTACAATTAGCTATGTGAAGTCTGGGAAGCAGAATGCAGGAATGTCATGATTAGCTTACACCAGTGATTCTCAACCAGTAGAAACATCACTCTCCCCATCCCCACAGAATGTCATAATATTCATGAGAATATTTTGATTATCATAATGATGGTGTGGATACCCATAGTGCTACTGGCATTTAGTGCGTAGAAGCCAGTGATGCCAAAAGCACTGAACTGTTAAGAACAATATTTTACAATGAAGACTTGTACTGCCCAAAATGTCATAGTGATTCCACTGAGGCACACTGGCTTAGACCATTTATGGCCCATCACTGGAGGGGCCACATTGCTATTCCAAACAAAATCTGTGTTCTGTTAACAAAAATGTGGATATTCGGTAGAACTGACAGTGTCTACAGCAGCTCCTCTGAGCCTTCAGGTGTTTGTAATAATTTTCATTTTTATTTTTCATTTCCTTTGTCAGTTGATTAGGCTATTGAGTGAAAGAATGAAAAACCAAAAAAATCCAACAGAGCTATGATTGACTCTTCTAAAAAAACAAAAGAAGGGAAGAGAAAAATCTAAGAGGGAAAAGAAGCCAGTATGGCTGAAGAAACTATTTGGGAAGAAGTTGGAGGAAAATGTGATATGGATTATACCAGGAAAACAATTGTAAGAAATTTAAAAGGGGATTTTTAGTAAGTTTTATATGTAATATGTAATGTAAATTATTCCTCTCACCCTTTGAAATCTTCAGTAAAATTTCCCTTTTTCATTAACCCAGGTAGAGAACTGAATATGTTTTGGGGAAGCCTTGTAACGCTGAGTCCTACTTTAAAATAGTCTTCCCAGAAAAATTTCATTACATTAAAATTATATTTACACGTATTCAAGGATTTCTCTTTTTTTAATGTATCTCATTTTTCCTCTATTATTTATATCATGCAAACATGTATGAGTAAAACTTAAAGGAAATAAAATCTCCTAAAATACTATGTCCAATAATGAACCATACAAGCATTTCATTGATTTTTTTCCTATGCAAATACAGTTCATCCTTGAACAACATACGTTTGAACTGCATGAGTCCTCATATGTGAATTTTATTTTGCCTCTGCTACCCTGAGGCAGTAAAAACAACCCCTCCTCTTCTTCCTCTTCCTCAGCCTACTCAACATGAAGATGATGAAGATGATGACTTTTATGATGATTCACTTCTACTTAATGAAGTAAATACATTCTTCTCTTTCTGATGATTTTCTTAATGATATTTTCTTTTCCCTAGCTTACTTTATCATAAAAATACAATATATAATACATATAATATACACAATATGTGCTGATTGACTGTTTATGTTATTGGTAAGGCTTCCAATCAATGTTAGGCTATTAGTAGTTAAGTTTTGGGAGGGTCAGTTACATGTGGATTTTTGACTGTGCAAAGGGATCAGTGCCTCTAATCTCTGCATTGTTCAAGGGTCAACTGTATACATACTTTAAAATACTTACCAAAAATTGGAACATTATAAACATGTAATTTATAGTATGTGAAAAGGTATATCTTCAAAGACAGTATTGTTCCATTAATAGAACAAGAAAAACCGTAATCCACATTTTAAAATTTTAAAATTTCTCTACTGCATTGCAGAAAGGAGTACCTTAATGTTATTAAATAATAGCTTCTTAAAGAAAAGCTATTGATTTATAATGAATGTGCATTCCTAAAATAATAATCAACTGTAGAAACTGGCCTCTTAAATAACCACCATCAGTCCTGAGAAAATACTCAGAGATACACCAAAACAAATCAAACTCTTTCAGTATGGTTGTTTTAGTGCTGTTTTATTTTGCTTTTTCAGCAGTCGATATGTAGGTTGGTCCCAAAACAAAATACTGATAACTATTTACCAATAGTTTCATCCACACATTTGCACTATTTTGTTTTTAAATGAAAGAAAGAAACATTGGGAAATCATGAATTAAATAATACATACAAATGGAATTATGAAGAAATATGGTTAAAGTAACTGAGAACCAAGTAAAAAATGAAGGTTAAGCCAAACACAGTAACTTACACCTGTAGCTTCAGCTACTCAGGAGGCTGAGGCAAGAGAATCGCTTGAGCCCAGAAGTTCGAGAGTTCAGCCTGGGAAACAGAGGATGATCATATCTCTTAAAAAAATAAATTTAGAAAACCTCATATTTTCTGAAATTTTAGTGGGGGAAGTGAGCTAATACCATTACCCAGTCAAATAATATTAATTCTAGGCCAATCATGAACTTCTTACACATTCTTAATCTTGAAATCATAAAATTGTAACAATAATCCAAAATTATAAAATAATCTGTGACTGAGCAACCTCTTGCAAATTCTGTAGTTTATCTGAGTTATACAGACAGGGTCACTTAGCCATCATTCACAGTACCTAATGTAGTGTTCTAGATACAAAAATTAAGTAAAGATGGTCTCTGGCCTCAAGGAATTCAGACTCTAGGGGAGACCAACATGTAAACAATTAAGTAAAAAAACTTTTATAGTTGAAATAATAGAAGTATAAAAATAGTCAAGCATATTCAGAAACCAAAACAGAGCTTCTTAAAGGAAATAAGTCTTTTTTTTAATTACACTTCAAGTTCTGGGGTACATGTGCAGAATGTGCAGGTTTGTTACATAGGTATACATGTGCCATGGTGGTTTGCTGCACCCATCAACCCATCATCTACATCAGATATTTCTCTTAATGCTATCCCTCCGCCAGCCCCCTACCACCCAACAGGCCCCGGTGTGTGATGCCCCCCACCATGTCCATGTGTTCTCCTCGTCCAATTCCCACTTATGAGTGAGAACATGCGGTGTTTGATTTTCTGTCCTTGTGATAGTTTGCTGAGAATGATGGTTTCCAGCTTCATCCATGTCCCTGCAAAGGACATAAACTCATCCTTTTTATGGCTGCATAGTATTCCATGGTGTGTATGTGCCACATTTTCTTTATCCAGTCTATCATTGATGAGCATTTGGATTGGTTCCAAGTCTTTGCTATTGTGAATAGTGCCACAATAAACATATGTGTGCATGTGTCTTTATAGTACAATGATTTATAATCCTTTGGGTGTATATATCCAGCAATGGGATTGCTGGGTTAAATGGTATTTCTAGTTTTAGAACTTTGAGGAATCACCACACTGTCTTCCACAATGGTTGAACTAATTTACACTCCCACTAACAGTGTAAAAGCATTCCTATTTCTGCACATCCTCTCCAGCATCTGTTGTTTCCTGACATTTTAATGATCACAATTCTAACTGGCAAGAGATGGTATCTTAATGTGGTTTTGATTTGCATTTCTCTAATGACCAGTGATGATGAGTGTTTTTTCATATGTTTGTTGGATGCATAAATGTCTTCTTTTGAGAAATGTCTGTTCATATACTTCATGCACTTTTGGTTGGGGTTGTTTTTTTCCTGTAAATTTGTTTGAGATTCTGGATATTAGCTCTTTGTCAGATGGATAGATTGCAAAACTTTTCTGCCATTCCGTAGGTTGTCTGTTCACTCTGATGATAGTTTCTTTTGCTGCACAGAAGTGCTTTCGTATAATTAGATCCCATTTATCAATTTTGGCTCTTGTTGCCATTGCTTTTGGTATTTTAGTCATGAAGTCTTTGCCCATGCCTATGTCCTGAACGGTATTGCCTAGGTTTTCTTCTAGGGCTTTTATGGTTTTAGGTCTTACTTTTAAGTCTTTAATCCATCCTTAGTTAATTTTTACATAAGGGGTAAGGAAGGGATCCAGTTTCAGCTTTCTGCATATGGCTAGCAAGTTTTCCCAACATCGTTTATGAAATAGGAAATTCTTTCCCCATTGCTTCTTTTGTCAGGTTTGTCAAAGATCAGATGGTTGTAGATGTGTGGTGTTATTTCTGAGGCCTCTGTTCTGTTCCATTGGTCTATATATGTGTTTTGGTAAGAGTACCATGCTGTTTTGGTTACTGTAGCCTTGTAGTATAGTTTCAACTCAGGTAGTGTGATGCCTCCAGCTTTGTTCTTTTTGCTTAGGATTGTCTTGGCTATGCAGGCTCTTTTTTGCTTCCATATGAAATTTAAAGTAGTTTTTTCCAATTCTGTGAAGAAAGTCAATGGTAGCTTGATGGGGATAGCATTGAATCTATAAATTACTTTGGGCAGTATGGCCATTTTCACGATATTGATTCTTCCTGTCCGTGAGCTTGAAATGTTTTTCCATTTGTTTGTGTCCTCTTTTATTTCCTTGAGCAGTGGTTTGTAGTTCTCCTTGAAGAGGTCCTTCGCATTCCTTGTAAGTTGGATTCCTAGGTATTGTATTCTCTGTGTAGCAATTGTGAATGGGAGTTCACTCATGATTTGGCTCTCTAGTTGTCTGTTATTGGTATATAGGAATGCTCACGATTTTTGCACATTGATTTTGTATCCTGAGACTTTGCTGAAGTTGCTTATCAGCTTAAGGAGGTTTTGGGCTGAGATGATGGGGTTTTCTAAATATACAATCATGTCATCTGCAAACAGAGACAATTTGACTTCCTCTTTTCCTAATTGAATATCCCTTATTTCTTCCTCTTGCCTGATTGCCCTGGCCAGAACTTCCACTACTATGTTGAACAGGAGTGGTGAGAAAGGACATCCTTGTCTTTTGCCAGTTTTCAAAGGGAATACTTCCAGTTTTTGCCCATTTGGTATGATATTGGCTGTGGGTTTGTCATAAATAGCTCTTATTATTTTGAGATACATTCCATCAATACCTAGTTTATTGAGAGTTTTTAGCATGAAGGGCTATTGAATTTTGTCGGAAGCCTTTTCTGCATCTATTGAGATAATCATGTGGTTTTTGTCATTGGTTCTGTTTATGTGATGGATTACGTTTATTGATTTGTGTATGTTGAACCAGGCTTGCATCTCAGGGATGAAGCCCACTTGATAGTGGTGGATAAGCTTTTTGATGTGCTGCTGGATTCCATTTGCCAATATTTTATTGAGGATTTTTGCATTGATGTTCATCAGGGATAATCGCCTGAAATTTTCTTTTTTTGTTGTGTTTTTGCCCGGTTTTGGTATCAGGATGATGCTGGCCTCATAAAATGAGTTAGAGAGGATTCCCTCTTTTTCTATTGATTGGAATAGTTTCAGAAGGAATGGTACCAGCTCCTCTTTGTACCTCAGGTAGAATCCGGCTGTGAATCCGTCTGGTCCTACCAATCAAAAACTTTTTTTGGTTGGTAGGCTATTAATTATTGCCTCAATTTCAGAACTTGTTATTGGTCTATTCAGGGATTCAACTTCTTCCTGGTTTAGTCTTGAGTGTGTATGTGTCCAGGAATTTATCCATTTCTTCTAGATTTTCTAGTTTACTTGCTTAGAGGTGTTTATAGTATTCTCTGATGGTAGTTTCTACTTCTCTGGGATCGGTGGTGATATCCACTTTATCATTTTTTATTGCATCCATTTGATTCTTCTCTCTTTTCTTCTTTATTAGTCTGGCTAGCAGTCCATTTTGTTGATCTTTTCAAAAAACCCAGCTCCTGAATTCATTGCTTTTTTTTGACAGGTTCTTTTGTGTCTCTGTCTCCTTCAGTTTTGCTCTGATCTTAGTTATTTCTTGTCTTCTGCTAACTTTTGAATTTGTTTGCTCTTGCTTCTATAGTTCTTTTAATTGTGATGTTAGGGTGTCAATTTTAGATCTTTCTTGCTTTCTCTTTTGGGCATTCAGTGCTATAAATTTCCCTCTACACGCTGCTTTAAATGTGTCCCAGAGATTCTGGTACATTGCGTCTTTGTTCTCATTGGTTTCAAAGAACATCTTTCTTTCTGCCTTTATTTCGTTATTTACCCAGTAGTCATTCAGGAGCAGGTTGCTCAGTTTCCATGTAGTTGTGTGGTTTTGAGAGAGTTTCTTAATACTGAGCTCTAGTTTGATTGCACTGTGGTCTGAGAGACTGTTTGTTGTGATTTCTGTTCTTTTGCATTTGCTGAGGAGTGTTTTACTTCCAATTATGTGGTCAATTTTAGATTAAGTGCAATGTGCTGCTGAGAAGAATGTATATTCTGTAGATTTGGGGTGGAGAGTTCTATAGATGTCTATTTGGTCTGCTTGGTCCAGAGGTGAGTTCAAGTCCTGGATATCCTTGTTAATTTTCTGTCTCGTTGATCTGTCTAGTATTGACAGTTGGGTGCTAAAGTCTGCCACTATTATTGTGTGGGAGTCTAGGTCTCTTTGTAGGTCTCTAAGAACTTGCTTTATGAATCTGGGTGCTCCTGTATTGAGTGCATATATATTTAGGATAGTTAGCTCTTCTTGTTGCATTGATCCCTTTACCATTATGTAATGCTCTTCTTTGTCTCTTATGATTTTGTTTGTTTAAAGTCTGTTTTATCAGAGACTAGGATTGTGACCCTTGCTTTTTTTTGCTTTCCATTTGCTTGATAAATATTCTTCCATTCCTTTATTTTGAGCCTATGTATGTCTTCGCATGTGAAATGGGTCTTCTGAATATAGCACACCAATGGGTCTTGATTCTTTATCCAATTTGCCAGTCAGTGTCTTTTAATTGGGCATTTAGCCCCTCTACATTTAAGGTTAATATTGTTATGTGTGAATTTGATCCTGTCATTATGATGCTAGCTGGTTATTTCGCCCATTAGTTGATTCAGTTTCTTCATAGCAACGATGGTCTTTACTGTTTGGCATGTTTTTGCAGTGGCTGGTACCAGTTGTTCCTTTCCATGTTTATTGCTTTCTTCAGGAGCTCTTGTAAGGCAGGCCTGGTAGTGACAAAATCTCTCAGCATTTGCTTGTCTGTAAAAATCCTTTACAGGCAAGCAAAATCCTTTCTCCTTCGCTTATGAAGCTTAATTTGGCTGGATATGAAATTCTGGGTTGAAAATTATTTTCTTTAAGAATGTTGAATATTGGCTCCCACTCTCTTCTGGCTTGTAAGGTTTCTGCCAAGAGATCCACTATTAGTCTGATGGGCTTCCCTTGGTGAGTAACCCAACCTATCTCTCTGGCTGCCCTTAACATTTTTTCCTTCATTTCAACTTTGGTGAATCTGAGGATTATGTGTCTTGGCATTGCTCTTCTCGAGGAGTATCTTTGTGGTGCTCTCTGTATTTCCTGAATTTGAATGTTGGCCTGCCTTGCTAGGTTGGGGAAGTTTTCCTGGATAATATTCTGAAGAGTATTTTCCAACTTGGTTCCATTCTCCCTGTCACTTTCAGGTACACCAATCAAATGTCAATTTGGTCTTTTCACATAGTCCCATATTTCTTGGAGGCTTTGCTCGTTTCTTTTCACTCTTTTTTCTCTAATCTTATCTTCTTGCTTTATTTCATTGAATTGATCTTCAGTCTCTAATATCCTTTCTTCCGCTTGATCTGTTCAGCTATTGATACTTGTGTATGCTTCATGAAGTTCTCGTGCTGTGTTTTTCAGCTCCATCAGGTCATTTATGTTCTTCTCTAAATTGGTTATTCTAGTTAGCAATTTGTCTAACCTTTTTTCAAGGTTCTTAGCTTCCTTGCATTGGGTTAGAACATGCTCCTTTAGCTCGGAGGAGTTTTTTATTACCCACCTTCTGAAACCTACTTCTGTCAATTCATCAAACTCATTCTCCATCCAGTTTTGTTCCCTTGCTGGTGAGGAGTTGTGATCCTTTGGAGGAGAAGACACATTCTGGTTTTTGGAATTTTCAGCTTTTTTGTGCTAGTTTCTCCCCATCTTCATGGATTTATCTACCTTTGGTCTTTGATGTTGGTGACCTTCAGATGGGGTCTCTGACTGGATGTCCTTTTTGTTAATGTTGATACTATTCCTTTCTGTTTGTTAGTTTTCCTTCTAACAGTCAGGCCACTCTGCTGTAGGTCTGCTGGAGTTTGCTGGAGGTCCACTGCAGACCCTGTTTGCCTGGGTATCACCAGTGGAGGCTGCAGAACAGCAAAGATTGCTGCCTGATCCTTCCTCTGGAAGCTTCATCCCAGAGGGGCACCTGGCAGATGCCAGCCAGAGCTCTCCTGTAGGAGGTGTCTGTCAACCCCTACTGGGAGGTGTCTCCCAGTCAGGATACATGGGGGTCAGTGACCCACTTGAGGGGACAATCTGTCCCTTATCAGACCTCAGACGCTGTGCTGGGAGACCCGCTGCTCTCTTCAGAGCTGTCAGGTAGGAATGTTTAAGTCTGCTGAAGCTGCACCCACAGCCACCCCTTCCCCCAGGTGCTCTGTCCCAGGGAGATGGGAGTTTTATTTATAAGTCCCTGACTGGGGCTGCCGCCTTTTTTTCAGAGATGCCCTGCCCAGAGAGGAGGAATCTAGAGACGTAGTCTGGCCACAGTGGCCTTGCTGAGCTGCAGTGGGCTCCAGCCAGTTCAAACTTCCCAGTGACTTTGTTTACACTGTGAGGGTAAAAACCACCTACTCAAGCCTCAGCAATGGCAGACGCCCCTCCCCCAACCAAGCTTGAGTGTCCGAGGTCGACCTCAGACTGCTGTGCTAACAGCAAGAATTTCAAGCCAGTGGATCTTAGCTTGCTGGGCTCCATGGGGGGTGGGACCCGCTGAGCCAGACCACTTGACTCCCTGGCTTCAGCCCCCTTTCCACAGGAGTGAATGGTTCTGTCTCTCTGGCGTTCCAGGTGTCACTGGGGTATGAAAAAAAAAAAATCCTGCTGCTAGCTCCGTGTCTGCCCAAACAGCTACCCAGTTTTGTGCTTGAAATCCAGGGCCCTGGTGGCATAGGCACCAGAGGGAATCTCCTGGTCTGCCAGTTGCGAAGACCATGGGAAAAGTGCAGTATCTGAGCCGGAGTGCACCATTCCTCCCAGTACAGTCTCTCATGGCTTCCCTTGGCTGGGGAAGGGAAATCCCCTGACCCCTTGCACTTCCCGGGTAAAACGACACCCTACCCTGCTTTGGCTAGCCCTCCAGGGGCTGCACTCACTGTCCAACCAGTCCCAGTGAGATGAACCAGGTACCTCAGTTGGAAATGCAGAAATCACCTGCCTTCTGCATCGATCTCGCTGGGAGCTGCAGATTGGAGCTGTTCCTATTCAGCCATCTTGCCAGCAAAAAAAAAAAAAAAAAAAAAAAAAAAAGGACGTTAAGTCCTAAATGGAAAATAGGTGTTCAACATATGCACCAAGGGAAAATGACATTCCAAGCAAAGAAACTGAATAAAAGCAAAGAGGTACGACATAACATGCTACTTTCAAGATCCTCAAGTAGTTCCGTGTGACTACACCATAGAATACAAAGAAGGTAAAGCATGAGATGATATGAGAGAGGGAAGATGCAGCTCATGGAGGACCACAATGATAAGTGTTTACCATATCACATAATTAGAAGCCATTGAAAGGCGACAATAAACATGATCACATCTTAGAAAGATTTATCTGGTAGTGGTACTGAGGAGTCACTGAAGCAATACAATATAAGATAAAATGGTTAAAAGAGTCCAGGCCAAGTGTTGATGGGCTGAACTATACACCCAGCGTAGAGGGGATGGAGAAGAGGGGGACTTATCAGTGATCTTCACAAAGGAGGATCACTTGGTCCTGTTACTATGTATGACCTTGGTTCAGACATGGCTTTCCCACCTACCAACTGCATGACCTTAAATAATATACATAACTCTCAACTGGAAAGTTTCCCTGACTGTAAAATAAAAATAGTAATAGTTTCTAATTCATAGAGTTGTTATAAGGATTTGATATTACAGACTCTAAAGCAACTCCATCTTAGATGTTAATCTGTCATATTGACTTCTGATTAACCCCAGTATGGTGATTGCTTCTAAGGTTTCTACTTTCATGTATTTACCATAAATTTTGCCCTTAGTTCAAAACAATCATATTATTGTTGTTAAAAGAAAAACTTTAGACTAATTAAACTTAACAGTTTAATTAAGCAAAGCACGATTTGCAAATCAGGCACCTCCTGAACTAGAATAGTTTCAGAGAAGCTCTGGTGTAGCTGCCTGGTCAAAGATATATGGACAGAAAATGGAAAGTGACATACAGAAAACAGAAGTGAAGTACAGAAACAGCCAGATTGGTTACAGTTCAGCATTTGCCTTATTTGAACAGCTGGTCGCCTTTGATGGACCAAAACTCAGTGATTGGCACAGGAATAGGTTATAGCCTGTTAACACATCCAGTTAGGCTACAGTTCACCGTGTAGGAAGAGAACTTGAGGTTCAACTTAATATACATAAGAAGACTGTTTTACGTTAAACTTAATTTAGCATTATAAATCACATACTTGCCATAAAGCCTGCACTTAGGCAAATTCCCTATGCTATATAAGCCCTGGGTTTGGGAAATAAATGGGGAAGGGATCCACCATCTCCTCTCCCAACTGCCCAAGACACAGCTTCTGTTTGTAAGTCCCTATTAATTATTTCTTTCTGAGAACCTGGATTTGTCAGTCTCTTTCTTTGGCTTAGCTTCTTTGGCCTTTTGCTGGTAGGTTTGCATAGAACAGATCTGTTCACCATGGAACAGATGAGTTAATGCAATATACTAATATGTTAAATGCCTATCACAGTGTCAGACCAATATTTTTATCATCATTAACATCAAGGAAATGAGGAGAAAACTGGTCCCGGGTTTCTGTTTTTGTTATCTGGAGATAAGTGTTTATGGAGATAAAATAGAAATTGAGTAGAATGGCAAGTTCTGGACATGTTAAGTACCTGGTACATATTAGGTCCTCAATAAAAATCCATTGAGTGAATGAATAAATTAATGCATGCCATGTCTACGGGACAACTGAAAGAAGATCTCTGCTCACATGTATCAGAAATTCAGGAGGTGGCCCTGGACTACAACTGTAAATCTTGGAGTCACTAGTGTTCAGATATTCTTTGAAACTATATGACTGACTTCAATCAAGTAAAGCATGAGGACAGATGAAGAACAAGGGAAGAAAAAGAAAGCAACATTTTTAAGACAAGACAGAGGGGAGTCAAAAAAGCATTCTGATAGTTATTTACCATTTGCCATATTTATCGTTTAGCAAAGGAAACTTATTTGTAACTTGTGATATTTATATCAAATAGCACAAGACTTTTTTGAACATTGTCATAACCTTCATGTAATAGTATGTGCCAAGATTATAAAGGGGAAAAAAGACAATAAAACCTGTAAGACAAAAGGAAGCCTCCCTTTTCCCTTCCCTTTACTGGAATTTTTATGAAAACACTTCTTTTTTAAGTTCTGAGAGTATATATCCCAGATACTTGGTTAAATATAACAGACACATATGATAGATAAGGGGGAAAGGAGGGTAGTATTTCTCCTATTAAAAATTGGAAAGGGAGATACTGGCTAATGCAAATGCTGAATACCAAATATGTTTCAAGGGCTTCAGGACATTTCCTATTTTCATGGCTAATTTATTAATCTCTAATAGCCATATGCTCTTCAAACACAATATTCCATAAATATGACTCCTTTCAAACGTGATTTTTTCAGTCATACCAATGAATAATAAAAGAGAAATGGCTGTATATTGAGTACCCCTTGGTCTGTAAAACAAAGACTTTCAGTCCACACACGGGGTAAATGTCCACCACAGAGAGAGAGAAAGGGAGAAAACGAGACTCAAAATAATTTAATAATAATAATAATAATAATTTGCATTATCTTTCCTCTGGCAAAATTTATACAATACTTAATAAGCCTCATTATTATTTCCTTTTCTTCTCAATTTGCATTAAACTTGCAAGGATAATGTGGAAAAATTATACTAGTTAAAGCCTAGCTCCAGGCCACAAGGTTTTTTTTGTTTTTTTTTTTGAAACGGAGTTTCACTCTTGCTGCCCAGGCTGCAGTGCAATGGCGCAATCTCGACTCACCACAACCTCTGCCTCCCAGGTTCAAGCGATTCTCCTCCCTCCACCTCCCGGGTAGCTGGGATTACAGGCATGCACCACTCCACACCCAGCAAATTTTGTATTTTTAATAGAGACGGAGTTTCTCCGTGTTGGTCAGGCTGGTCTCAAACTCCCGACTTCAGGTGATCCGCCAGCCTCAGCCTCCCAAAATGATGGGATTACAGGCATAAGCCACCGCACTCACAGGCCACAAAGTTTTTAAGAACAATTCTCTTCACTTAGGAGCTGACAGGAAATCTCCAAAGATGCTGTACACTGTTCTGGAGGAAAAACAGTGGATTGTGTAACCTAGATCCAAATACCTCTTCTTTTGTTTTTTTTTTTTGGAGATGGAGTCTCGCTCTGTCACCCAGGCTGGAGTACAGTGGCGAGGTCTTGGCTCGCTGCAACCTCTGCCTCTGAGTTCAAGTGATCCTCCTGTCTCAGCCTCCTGAGTAGCTGGGATTACAGGCACACACCACCATGGTGGGCTAATTTTTGTATTTTAGTAGATATGGGGTTTCACCAAGTTACCCAGGCTGGTCTCGAACTCCTGAGCTCAGGCAATCCGCCCACCTCAGCCTCCCAAAGTGCTAGGATTACAGGTGTGACCCACAGCACCTGGCCTCCAAACACCTCTTTTTAAATGCATGTACAGATATCAAATGATATAGAAGAAAAATGTGTTTTTCTAAAGATGAAAGTTACCATTAATCTTAACTTTCCTTCTCACATTATTATAATTCTTAGGGTTTTTTTTTTTTAACACATGGTTCTTTACATTTACAATATATTGCATAATTATTTTTTCCACTTCAACCTGTGATATTATATACATATAAAGCAGCCTCTCCTTTTTTTCCAATTTCTTCTCATAACCTAGCTACCATTATAAAGGTCCTATCTTTGCATGGGAGAGCCCACAGACCAAGCTGACTTCTATTTCATTTCATAGATATGGCAGTATATCTACTCTTTAAGCAATCATGTGTAGTACTGAATTCAGGCAAAATACATGTGCTTTTCCCCTAATATATAAAACTTAAATTGAGCATAGCCAGATGCTATTTATACTAAGAGTCTTCTCAGCCTAAGCTAAATTAATTCTCTTCCAAGTTCTTTTTATTCAGTGCTCTCAGCCTGGGTACCATGGCTCTAAATTCTTAATTGCCATAAAATAATTGTATTTCCCTTAGCTACGTCTGGAATATGGCTCTCAAAGATGACCTCCAGAATGTAATTTGCTATGTAAGGGCCCAGTCTGAGAATGATTTTACATACTATAACTGAACCTAATAGAATTCACAATAGCATTTCTCCTTTGTCAGGAAAGTAAAAAGGCAAAGATAGGCAGAGGTTAAAATAATATTTCTAAAATAAACCTTTCCTCCTAGTTATTTATCCTTACTTCTTCACATATTCCCAGGAAATATCATTGTCTAAGATTTCAAACCCAAAATCATTTCCCTTCAATATCAGGCAAATTGACAAATTTGAATTGTGCTGGATTTGTTATAGGAAGGGTATACTTTGAGATGGGGGAAGGGGAGGAATATGTTTCCCTTTTTAGTGCCTGCTTCATTCTTTAGAAGTAATTTCAAAATATTCTTATAGATTCTTATTTAAATAATCAAATCAAACCTAAAATATAGAAATTAACTGGAACTCTTCTTAAATAATTACCACTAAAACTAGCCATTTATTCATTCTAGACTCATTTCCTCATCTAGATTAAAGTCAAGGTCAAAAATACAACTACGTTAGTAAAACTCACCTCAAGATTTTAAAATGCTGACTATAGACAGAGACACCAGTCATAGAGAGTAAAGTGCATCTTACATTGAAGACATAGTATAAAAATAAACAGAAATGTTTCGAAAACATAGTAAGAATAAACTTTTCACTAGTAAAATGAGCTGCCTTCTCTACATAGGTGGGGAAAGACAGATTCTTAGCAGAGCGTGTTCTTACAGCTGTGGACATTTCTCATGGTCATGATATGTGAACCCCAACAAAACCACCCTCCCTCTTCTTTTTACCAAGAACATTTATTTATGACTTGGCTGCAAGATTACAGAACACGGTTTGTCATGGTTCTGGAAATTTTTTCCAGTAAGACTGCTCATATTAATTAGTTCTCAAAAATATTCTCAATATATAGAATTACAAGCCACTCTGCCTATTGCTTCCTAATCCCAATTCAATTTATGAATGAGGCACTGATTCACAGATGGAGCAGAATACATACAAGGCAACAGAGTCTCTGAGTACTTAATGGTGGCTGCATTACTAAAAAATCTTCCCAAAATGCAAGCATGACTGAAAAAGAGGAAGCCTGATGTACCCAGGAGAGGTATAAAGGAGACAGTTGTGGCAGTAAAGAGGCCAGAAGAAACATTTGAGAAAAGAAAGGAGGAAGGTGAAGAGTGCAGTCAAGTTTTAGCCACCGAATATGTGAAGCATTGGGAAATTTTTCAAAACAAAGCATAAAGTATAATTGGGACCAAAAATTGCACATACCGTATGACCCCAATTTTGCAATACAATTGTGTACTTTGTGGAAGAAAATACATCAAATATTAATAGGACTTGCGGTTCCCTGCCCCAGATTAAGCTTAACTTTTTCATTCTACTCTTCTGTGTTTTTAAAAATACACTGTGCTTTGTGAAACTGAAAAGTACATACCACACTGAAGTGTTTCGTGAAAATGCGGCTCCTTTCGTAGCTATAACTGATACAACGTGGCTTTCAATGCCCACGCTCAGTGGAGTTAGGAAGAAAAGTAAACCTGTCAGTTAAGGTCACTCCTGTTTTTCCTGATGTAACACACACACTCCTAGGTTAGAGTAACTTCTGGGTAATCGTGGGCACCTTGGGGTACTGGCCGAGTCTTCGAGAGAATCAGCAGGTGACATACCCCTCTCTTGGGCCTCCTAGACAGCACTCGGCCGCCATCTCCGGCCTTGATCTCTGTGCTCAGGAATCCACCACTGTCGTGCTGGGCTCACCTGGCTTTTGGGCCCCAGCAGGGTCCCCCGAGGTGCAACACGAGACTTCTAGGGTGTCCTTTATGCACTGGATTGCCAGTCCCAAACTGAACCCCACCATTCCCAGGCTCCCCCGCACCCCGCGAGCCCTCAGCTAATCCCCTACCTCGGACCTGCGCAGTGTCAGCTCTGCGCAGCATGGGCTCTGCAATGTGCCTTGGCAGCACCGAGGTCCGCTCCTCTGGGAGGTGCCCCACGTGATCAGTGAGCCTGCGCAGCACGGTCTTTCCAGTGCCTGAGCCGCCTCACGCAAATCCTGCCGGGGTGTAAATTCCTTCCAAGTCCATTAATGAGGCTTCTTGGTTCCCCTCCTCGACGTCAGGCTTTCCCCTGTAATGTGGTCCAAAATCCCTCCACTTTTTATCACCTATGCCACCTGCCGAGGTTTGCCCCTTTGGGAGAAGCCTGGACAAGCTTGTCTGACCATTCGCTTTGCTTACGTGGTCTTACCTAGGCTTCCTTACAACCATTTTCCTCCTCCCCAGGTAGTGTTTCCTTCTCAGCAATCATAATGGTGGACTGGCTGCAAGGAAACTAGTTTGGGGGTTTGAAAAAACAGGTGTTTAATATTTTAAGAGACCCCCATCACATATATTCTACTTCCATAATCCCATCCCCAAAATATTATTTTTTAAGTGTAATGAAGGAAAACCTGGAGTCATTCTGAAAGTCACTGACATCCAAGTTATTCTCAGTTACTGCCTGCAAGATAACTTTCCTGGAAATATGTTCCATTTTGGATTTTCAAAGAACACTTTGCTAGTCCTGCTTAGGCCAATAGAGTATGACGAAGACCTCTGTGTACCCAATAATGTATAGGAAGTGCTTAGCCTGCATACATATTGATAATAATGTTAGCTATTATTACCATGTTGCAGAAAGGGGGCAGAAGCAGGTTTTATCTGATTGCCAAAGTAGGAAAAGAATTGATATTTAAAGTAGTGAGCCCCATATCTGCATGGGACCATTAAGAGGTAAACAGGCCACTAATACCAGAGGCAATTTCAGTGCTAACTCAGTCTAGGAGACAAAGAGCACAGCCATCCTCGCCCTTATTTCACTTTCCATCAGTCATACTGTAATACTGATATAGAGGGGATGACTTGCCACCACTGTTAAAAATCTTCTACCTTACAGTGAAAGGAATGAACCTTTCAGATACAGAAACATGACTTGAACCCAACATATGTACAGTAAGATGGTATATTGCAAGGTTTGGATATTTTTAGAAAATGTCACTCTAGAAAAAAAGATAGTAAATGTACACACAGTTGGAGACATAGAGCCCTACAGCCTGTTAGATTAATTATTGAGAGAAAGAAGGAAGGGAGGAATTAAATAATCTAGCCAACATAAACTCTGAATTCCGGGAATGAGGGAACAGAGCAGGTGAACCGTTGTGGAAGATGAATTTGGTTAGTAAGTAAAAAAATCAATCCATCTGGATGACTGATTTGCTGATTTTTTTAAGGGAGGGGTTCTCCCTATGTTGGCCAATCTAGACTCAAATTTCTGGGTTCAAGGTCCTCCCAACACTCCTGCCTCAGCCTCCCATGTAACCAGGACTACAGTGATTTTTTATAGATTGGCTTCCAGAGAGGAGGAGGAGGAGAAATTAAGAGTCTTTTTATCTTACCTTTTTTTTTTTAAGGGAAGAACCCAGCATTGGGTTGTTAAAAACTTTATAAGACCCCTCCTCAATTAAACCAACTCCACTTAATAAGGCTAGAGCAAACTCAAACTTAATGATTCGCAGATATCTTTCCTCAACGATCTACTACAAATACCAAATATATAAAAGAGAAAATTTGGTAAATCATTTGCCAGTTTAACAAATTAAAACCAGCAACTACCACCTTCAAATGTTCTTGGGTTTTTATGTTGTGTAAATGGAAATCATAGTTTAAATTATTGTTAAAGATGCTACTTGATACACTACTCAGTATGTGAGTCCTTCAGGAAGTTATTTTGAAAGGTAAAACAATTCTGTTAACCAGTTTTCCTAACTTGAACCCAGGCTTAGCAGTCAAGTGGAAAATATCATCATGGGCTCAAGAAGAGTTTTCTTTTTAGCACAATATTTAACAGAGTAAAAATAAGTATGTTATTGAAGCTATTTCAGGTACATTCTAAAGTACATGCTAAAGGCCCAGGTCACTTTGTGGGGGAAGAATCTATTATATAATGGTTAACAGTGCTTTAAAATCACTATAATGTGGAGCCAAAATGGCCGAATAGAAACAGCTCCAGTCTACAGCTCCCAGCGTGAGCGACACAGAAGACAAATGATATCTGCATTTCCAACTGAGGTACCGGGTGCATTTCACTGGGGATTGTCAGAGAGTGGGTGCAGGACAGTGGGTGCAGCACACCCAGCATGAGCTGAAGCAGGGCGAGGCATCGCCTCACCCGGGAAGCGCAAGGGGTCAGGGAATTCCATTTCCTAGCCAAGGAAAGGGGTGACAGATGGCACCTGGAAAATTGGGACACTCCCACACTAATACCGTGCTTTTCCAACAGTCTTAGCAAATGGCACACCAGGAGATTATATCCCGCACATGGCTCGGAGGGTCCTACGCCCACGGAGCTTTGCTCATTGCTAGGACAGCAATCTGAGATCAAACTGCAAGGCGGCAGTGAGGCTTGGGGAGGGGCACCCACCATTGCCGAGGCTTGAATAGGTAAACAAAGCAGATGGGAAGGTTGAACTGGGTGGAGCCCACCACAGCTCAAGGAGGCCTGCCTGCCTCTGTAGGCTCCACCTCTGGGGGCAGGGCATAGCCAAACAAAAGGCAGCAGAAACCTCTGCAGACTTAAATGTCCCTGTCTGACAGCTTTGAAGAGAGTAGTGGTTCTCCCAGCATGCAGCTTGAGATCTGAGAATGGACAGACTGCCTCCTCAAGTGGGTCCCTGACCCCCAAGTAGCCTAACTGGGAGGCACCCCCCAGTAAGGGCAGACTGACACCTCACATGGCCGGGTACTCCTCTGAGACAAAACTTCCAGAGGAATGATCAGGCAGCAACATTGGCTGTTCACAAATATCCACTGTTCTGCAGCCACTACTTCTGATACCCAGGCAAACAGGGTCTGAAGTGGACCTCCGGCAAACTCCAACAGACCTGCAGCTGAGGGTCCTGACTGTTAGAAGGAATACTAACAAACAGGACATCCACACCAAAACCCCATCTGCATGTCTCCATCATCAAAGACCAAAGGTAGATTAAACCACAAAGTTGGGGTAAAAACAGAGCAGAAAAACTGAAAATTCTAAAATTCAGAGTGCCTCTCCTCCTCCAAAGGAACGCAGCTCCTCACCAGCAACAGAACAAAGCTGGACGGAGAATGACTTTGACAAGTTGAGAGGAGAAGGCTTCAGACGATCAAACTACTCCGAGCTAAAGGAGGAAGTTTGAACCCATGGCAAACAAGTTAAAAACCTTGCATAAAGATTAGACGAATGGCTAACTAACATAACCAATGCAGAGAAGTCCTTAAAGGACCTGATGGAGCTCAAAACCATGGCACGAGAACTACGTGACGAATGTACAAACCTCAGTAGCCAATTTGATCAACTGGAAGAAAGGGTATCAGTGATGGAAGATCAAATAAATGAATTGAAGCGAGAAGAGAGGTTTAGAGAAAAAATAATAAAAAGAAAAGAACAAAGCCTCCAAGAAATATGGGACTATGTGAAAAGACCAAGTCTACATCTGATTGGTGTACCTGAAAGTGACGGGGAGAATGGAACCAAGTTGGAAAACACTCTGCAGGATATTATCCAGGAGAACTTCCCCAATCTAGCAAGGCAGGCCAATATTCAAATTCAGGAAATACAGAGAATGCCACAAAGATACTCCTCGAGAAGAGCAACTCCAAGACACATAATTGTCAGATTCACCAAAGTTGAAATGAAGGAAAAAATGTTAAGGGCAGCCAGAGAGAAAGGTCGGGTTACCCTCAAAGGGAAGCCCATCAGACTAACAGCTGATCTCTCAGCAGAAACTCTACAAGCCAGAAGAGAGTGGGAGCCAGTATTCAACATTCTTAAAGAAAAGAATTTTCAACCCAGAATTTCATATCCAGCCAAACTAAGCTTCATAAGTAAAGGAGAAATAAAATACTTTACAGACGAGCAAATGCTGAGAGATTTTATCACCACCAGGCCTGCCCTAAAAGAGCTCCTGAAGGAAGCACTAAACATAGAAAGGAACGACCAGTACCAGCCACTGCAAAAACATGCCAAATTGTAAAGACTATTGAGTCTAGGAAGAAACTGCATCAACTAATGAGCAAAATAACCAGCTAACATCATAATGACAGGATCAAATTCACACATAACAATATTAACCTTAAATGTAAATGGGCTAAATGCTCCAATTAAAAGACACAGACTGGCAAATTGGATAAAGAGTCAAGACCCATCAGTGTGCTGTATTCAGGAAACCCATCTCGTTTGCAGAGACACACATAGGCTCAAAATAAAAGGATGGAGGAAGATCTACCAAGCAAATGGAAAACAAAAAAAGACAGGGGTTGCAATCCTAGTCTCTGATAAAACAGACTTTAAACCAACAAAGATCAAAAGAGACAAAGAAGGCCATTACGTAATGGTAAAGGGATCAATTCAACAAGAAGAGCTAACTATCCTAAATATATATGTACCCAATATAGGAGCACCCAGATTCATAAAGCAAGTCCTTAGAGACCTACAAAGAGACTTAGACTCCCACACAATAATAATGGCAGACTTTAACACCCACTGTCAACATTAGACAGATCAATGAGACAGAAAGTTAACAAGGATATCCAGGAATTGAACTCAGCTCTGCACCAAGCAGACCTAATAGACATCTACAGAACTCTTCACCCCAAATCAACAGAATATACATTCTTTTCAGCACCACACCACACCTATTCCAAAATTGACCACATAGTTGGAAGTAAAGCACTCCCCAGCAAATGTAAAAGAACAGAAATTATAACAAACTGTCTCTCAGACCACAGTGCAAACTAGAGCTCAGGATTAAGAAACTCACTCAAAACCGCTCAACTACATGGAAACTGAACAACCTGCTCCTGAATGACTACTGGGTACATAACGAAATGAAGGCAGAAATAAAGATGTTCTTTGAAACCAATGAGAACAAAAACACAACATACCAGAATCTCTGGGACACATTCAAAGCAGTGTGTAGAGGGAAATTTATAGCACTAAACACCCACAGGAGAAAGCAGGAAAGATCGAAAATTGACACCCTAACATCACAATTAAAAGAAATAGAGAAGCAAGAGCAAACACATTCAAAAGCTAGCAGAAGGCAAGAAATAACTAAGATCAGAGCAGAATTGAAGGAAATAGAGACACAAAAAACCCTTCAAAAAATCAATGAATCCAGGAGCTGGTTTTTTGAAAAGATCAACAAAATTGATAGACCACTAGCAAGACTAATAAAGAAGAAAAGAGAGAAGAATCAAATAGACACAATAAAAAAATCATAGAGGGGATATCACCACTGATCCCACAGAAATGCAAACTACCATCAGAGAATAGTATAAACACCTCTATGCAAAGAAACTAGAAAGTCTAGAAGAAATGGATACATTCCTGGACACATACACCCTCCCAAGACTAAACCAGGAAGAAGTGGAATCTCTGAATAGACCAATAATAGGCTCTGAAATTGAGGCAATAATTAATAGCTTATCAACCAAAAAAAGTCCAGGACCAGATGGATTCACAGTCAAATTCTACCAGGTGTACAAGGAGGAGCTGGTAGCATTCCTTCTGAAACTAATCCAATCAATAGAAAAAGAGGGAATCCTCCCTAACTCATTTTATGAGGCCAGCATCATCCTGATACCAAAGCCTGGCAAAACACAATAAAAAAAGAGAATTTTAGACCAATACCCCTGATGAACATCGATGCAAAAATCCTCAATAAAATACTGGCAAACCGAATCCAGCAGCACATCAAAAAGCTTATCCACCATGATCAAGTGGGCTTCATCCCTGGGATGCAAAGCTGGTTCAACATATGCAAATCAATAAATGTAATCCAGCATATAAACAAAACCAAAGACAAAAACCACATGATTATCTCCAGAGATGCAGAAAAGGCCATGACAAAATTCGACAGCCCTTCATGCTCAAAACTCTCAATAAATTAGGTATTGATGGGACGTAGCTCAAAATAATAACAGCTACTTAAGACAAAACCACAGCCAATATCATACTGAATGGGCAAAAACTGGAAGCATTCCCTTTGAAAACTGGCACAAGACAGGGATGCCCTCTCTCACCACTCCTATTCAACATAGTGTTGGAAGTTCTGGCCAGGGCAATTAGGCAGGAGAAGGAAATAAAGGGTATTCAATTAGGAAAAGAGGAAGTCAAATTGTCCCTGTTTGCAGATGACATGATTGTATATCTAGAAAACCCCATTGTCTCAGCCCAAAATCTCCTCAAGCTGAGAAGCAACTTCAGCAAAGTCTCAGGATACAAAATCAATCTGCAAAAATCACAAGCATTCTTATACACCAATAACAGATAAACAGAGAGCCAAATCATGAATGAACTCCCATTCACAATTGCTTCAAAGAGAATAAAATACCTAGCAATCCAATTTACAAGGGATACAAAGGACCTCTTCAAGGAGAACTACAAACCACTGCTCAATGAAATAAAAGAGGATACAAACAAAGGAAGAACATGCCATGCTCATGGGTAGGAAGAATCAATATCGTGAAAATGGCCATACTGCCCAAAGTAATTTATAGATTCAATGCCATCCCCATCAAGCTACCAATGACTTTCTTCACAGAATTGGAAAAAACTACTTTAAAGTTCATATGGAACCAAAAAAGAGCCCGCATTGCCAAGTCAATCCTAAGCCAAAAGAACAAAACTGGAGGCATCACACTACCTGACTTCAAACTATACTACAAGGCTACAGTAACCAAAACAGCATGGTACTGGTACCAAAACAGAGATATAGATCAATGGAACAGAACAGAGCCCTCAGAAATAATGCCACATATCTACAACTATCTGATCTTTGACAAACCTGAGAAAAACAAGAAATGGGGAAAGGATTCCCTATTTAATAAATGGTGCTGGGAAAACTGGCTAGCCATATGTAGAAAGCTGAAACTGGATCCCTTCCTTACACCTTATACAAAAATTAATTCAAGACGGATTAAAGACTTAAATGTTAGACCTAAAACCATAAAAATCCTAGAAGAAAACCTAGGCAGTACCATTCAGGACATAGGCATGGGCAAGGACTTCATGTCTAAAACACCAAAAGCAATGGCAACAAAAGCCAAAATTGACAAATGGGATCTAATTAAACTAAAGAACTTCTGCACAGCAAAAGAAACTACCATCAGAGTATACAGGCAACCTACAGAATGGGAGAAAATTGTTGCAATCTACTCATCTGACAAAGGGCTAATATCCAGAATCTACAATGAACTCCAACAAATTTACAAGAAAAAAACAAACAACCCCATCAAAAGTGGGCGAAGGACATGAACAGACACTTCTCAAAAGAAGACATTTATGCAGCCAAAAGACACACGAAAAGATGCTCATCATCACTGGCCATCAGAGAAATGCAAATCAAAACCACAATGAGATACCATCTCACACCAGTTAGAATGGCGATCATTAAAAAGTCAGGAAACAACAGGTGCTGGAGAGGATGTGGAGAAATAGGAACACTTTAACACTGTTGGTGGGACTGTAAACTAGTTCAACCATTGTGGAAGTCAGTGGGGCAATTCCTCAGGGATCTAGAACTAGAAATACCATTTGACCCAGCCATCCCATTACTGGGTATATACCCAAAGGATTATAAATCACGCTGCTATAAAGACACATGCACATGTGTGTTTATTGTGGCACTATTCACAACAGCAAAGACTTGGAACCAACCCAAATGTCCAACAGTGATAGACTGGATTCAGAAAATGTGGCACATATACACCATGGAATACTATGCAGCCATAAAAAAGGATGAGATCATGTCCTTTGTAGGGACATGGATGAAGCTGGAAACCATCATTCTCAGGAAACTATCGCAAGGACAGAAAAACAAACACTGCGTGTTCTCACTCATAGGTGGGAATTGAACAATGAGAACACATGGACACATGAAAGGGAACATCACACATTGGAGACTGTTGTGGGGTGGGGGAGGGGCGAGGGATAGCATTAGGAGATATACCTAATGTTAAATGACGAGTTAATGGGTGCAGCACACCAACATGGCACATGTGTATATATATATGTAGCAAACCTGCACAATGTGCACATGTACCCTAAAACTTAAAGTATAATAAAAAAATAAAAATATATATAGTCACTATAATGTGAATGCATATTTCATACATATTAATGTCATGTGTTGACTTAAGTCATGCTTAGAGATACAACTGTAAAATAAAATATTCCAAAGTGGAAAAGCAATGAGAAGTTGCTAGCTCAGAATACTGTCTGGAGCTGAAAAGGTAGATCAAAACATACCATTTTCACAATTTAACAACTCCTATGACTTGAATTTTCCTGTAACCAAAAAGTGTAACCTCCTGATCAGCTCATACACAATCAGGTTCCATGCACCCCTCAAACTCTTCATATTTGACTATACTTTTCTGGATGCCAGAGAAAATCTCACTGAAATAAAAAATACCTTTTGAAGAATTTTTCACAGTGCAACCTGAGAACTTGAAGAGTCACAGTGCCCTCTAGTGACCCATTGATAAGAACCATTTTTATTTCACTTTCAGAGAACAATAAAAGTTTAGGTGAATATTATGCATTTTCAGGGAGTTTTTTCCTATAAATATTTATAAATGCCAATTTCTGTTTCTGAAAGTGAAAATGTGTAAGTTACAAACAACTATGTAGCACACTGGAGAATAATGACTCCTTTATTGGTCCATTGCTCTCACAGTTACAATGTTGCCAGAGGGCAAAAAAAGTCTTTGCAATCAGCCCTACAAAACAAGGTGCATTAAAATGTACAAATATAAAATTCTTAATATGTAACTGTGATAAGGGTAAGTTTGTGGAGTGGTGTATCTGTATTCTAGTCCCAAATCTCTTGGTGCCTGGAGGCCTGTGCCAAAGAACTTGATTTTGTTGTACTTCATTTTCTTCATCTAGAAATGAAAAAAAGTTGGCAGTGTTGGTAAGGATGTAAGAAAGTGGACTCTAAACTTTCTGGTGGGAACATTAATGCTACAGCCTTTCTGGAGGGAAAATTCACAGTAACTCTCAAAAAGCCTCAAATGTACACTGCTTTAGTGCCGGAATAATAATAGCCAACATTTAACTCCTACTCTGCCCCATACATATTTCTAAGTGCTTTTTGTATATTGGCTTATTTAATCTTCACAACAATCCTATGACATAGGTACAATATTTAACCCAATTTTACACATAAGGAAACCAAGGCACTAAACCTTGCCTAAGTTCACACAACTAATAATTGGTAAAACCTACATACAAATTCAAGCTGTATGGCTCAGAGTCCATGCTCGCAGCCATCATGCTGTATTTCCAGAAATTAAACTTCTGAGAAAGGAAGGAAATAACCAAGGATGTACACAAATAATTTTCAATCAGGCTATTAATTCAGCATCACTTGTAGGAGGAACTAAAAGGAAAATAACCTAAGTTACCAACCGTAAGAAAATCATTACGATAATTGTGTTAAAGCTGAATCATTGACTCCGTAACCTTACGGAATTTCTAATGATATGGAAAATGTTCTCAATATATTAAGTGAATATAGTTTATAAACATACATATATATATTTACATATATGTACGGTGTGCTGTCATTTTTTAAGATATATATTTTTAAGAGTAAGGAAGGAAAATTACCAAAGCATAAGCATAGTTATGTGTAGGTGGTGAAAATAGGAAGTAAAGATTTTTTTCTTCTTTTTTCTTTTTTATATCCATTTTTCATTTTTAGCACTTTCTATAATTCTAAAAATGTTTTATTTTTAACGAGGGGTTTAGTTTAAATGTGATCTAAGAGACTTTCTAGCTCTAAATTTCTAGAAATGTGATCGAGAATAGTCATGAGATTTTAGAACTACAGAGCCGGAACAAAATCTTATGGTCTCTTTAGTAGTTCCCAAATTGGCCTGCTCCTCGGAAATCAACTGAGTAAATCAAAGTATAAATTCACAGCTTTACCCCTTCCCCAATCTGGATCTCTAGAGAATGAGGCCTTGGTAACTCTTATGATTTGTCAGTTTGGGGAACTACTAATGTATCCCCGATGCACCATTTTAATCCTTGCTAGCACATAAACCAGCACTCCTGGAAACCAAATGCAGACCAGGGCCATGATCTACTGTTGACTGTTATAAGAAATCCAATTGATATGGACAATTTGTATTTTGTATTTCAAATTCAATTTTTTAATTTTTTCAGAAAAAATTCTTCTTAAAATGAGTAAGAAATATACTAATAAAAATTTTTTAGCTGTAGAAATAATGCAAGTCAGACCCACCAACACTAAGCAGAATGTATTCTCACTTACATTCATTGCAAATGGCTTGTTCACATTTCTTAACTACATGCTATTTAAAGAAACCAAAATGTGTTCCTTTGTGCTCACAGATTTGCAAAACACAAAATCAGACCCAAAAGGAAAGAATATATTTGATACTGTATAGGGTGGGGGGGTGTATCAGTTAATGCAACAAGAAAGTTGTGTTTTAAACCAAAGGTTGTGTAAATAGTCCTGGTTGCACAGAGTAAGCGTAAGAAAAAGCCACTCTGGACACATAGCGAAAGCATTTATAAGGAGTTGGAGAAGGAAAGTCTTCCTTGGAGCTTCGGAATTAAAATTTTGTTACCTTTTCTGAAGCCACTTGGCATATTTTTATAGCAGCAATTTTTGTGGTATAGTAACCTTCGTGAGTCTCAAATTGACTGTAAAGGAAGAGATGAAGTTACCTAACTCACAGGGAGCTGCACAACACTCAGAGTCTATCTTTTCTAGGGCACAGACCTAGATGAATGATACACCCGTGTCACTTTGTGCATGAAGAGATCTTCCACAAGGTTTATCCCAGTAGAAAACAGGGCTAGCCACTGATCTAAAACAGGACAGGTAAATAAAAATGAAAGGCAATTTCTATCATTCAAAAAGAAATACACCCTGATGTAGCAATCTCAACAAAAAGCATATATACACACCCACAAATATTTAAAAACAAAAACTAGGACCAAGTTTGAATTGAAAAGCTCCATGAAAAATAGTTTGGCAATAATTGCCATTGAAGCCACATGAACTGTGGGTAGCCCGTGCTGTTGGTTTGATTGCTTGGGTAAGTCACCAGATGACCCCTTCCCCCAAGCTGTAACTGCAAATTCTGCTTCAATTCCCTTACCTGAGCTTTCACTCTGCTTTCTTACAGTCCTGGAAAATGTTCTACCCAAGGCAGCAAGTACACACATAGCCCAGATGAACTATAATTAAGGTGGCAAGAAACCAAGGAAAAGAGCAGGCAGTGTTAGTTCGATTATTTCCTTTGCATGGGTAGCAGATGGACTCAAAAGTCTAATAACCCTTTTGTACCTCAACTAAGGCTGACAATGCATCATTATACTCAGATGGGAGCAAGGAGAAGGTGCCTAGCAACTAGGACTTGGAATGCTTGGGCTTTTGTCAATTTACGTCATAATCTTAATATTAAACAGGCTTGCTCTCATTTGCCAGTCATCACCTCATTTTATGTTTTTCAAACACAAGAACATTAAAAAGTCTTTCCTGAAAGTACTTTAGCCCCTTAGATATAGAACAGTAGTAGTATTTAAGAGTCTCCCCTTATAAATGCATACATAAAACTGCCATGAGCCTTGATGGAAATTATATCAGTAAGTTGCAGGACCTACCATGGGTAATATTTTCATTAGTTATAGTATGCAACATAACCCAGGCTGTTTTTGAAACTGAGTGAGACAAAAGACTATTCCTTGCACTGCATTACTCTTGTGCTTTGAGTTGTTTATATATAAAAGAAGTTACTGAAACTTCTATTTCTATTTAGTTATATCTTTTCCTTTTTAACCTCTATTTGTCTATAATGCAAACAAAATATATGTTTCTGGTTGTGTGCTCAAAACATCTTAGATTGCTATGCCACAGTATGTGCTCAATTAATAATTAAGGAAGACAAGAAAGAATGTAGAAAGGACAGAGATCTGAGAATGAATCAAAATCAAGAGACAGTTGGTGGACCGTGTATTCTCACAGCACAGAACAGCACAGGAAGAGAATTTTTAGTAATAGGTAATTAGAAGAATGGAAATCTCCATTTTTCTCCAACATACTAGTGTGATGTCTGATTACATCAAACTAGGGGGAAGGGAACTTGTTAATCTTTAATTTTACTGTATAGTGAAGAAGATGCATATTGAAAAAAAGTAAATATCTATCAGGAAATCCAGAAATATGAATTGGGGATGTAAATCACATAGCCAGACCTCAGGTCCCAGATAAACAACTTAACATATAATTCACATTCTCCTGCCTTTCTCATTGCAGAAGCCAGTGAACAGGAAGAATATTACACAGACCATAAGTCAGAGTCATCATTGAATTCTTACAAATCTGTTTGACAACAACAACAGAGAATAGAACGAGGAGAAAGCAGAAATATCATTAATTATGATGATAAATATATAATCATTTGCGTTATTCATATAGGACCCATTCTCCCCAGTAGATATTTTAGAGTCTGAAGTACTTCAAAGAGGAAGAGAATTAGAAGATTTTATGGACCATGTAATTCCCACCCCACCAGGGAGGAGAGTAAATGTCCCAGTCCAAGCCTGACTTAGAAGAGGAAATTTTCCTAACATTATATTGACAAATATTGGCCTAATATCATAGTATCTTCTCCACTCTTCTTCCAAGGCTACACTCTCCTGCCATCCAACAACATCCAATCAAAAAAGTTTGGAGTGTCTATCTCATCTTGACCCGCCTCCTATCATCCTATGGTAAATAACGATATATTTGGAAGCTAGCAAGTGAAGTAAATATTACAGTGGGCCATAAAATAGTATAGAGAAGAAAAATATGAAAAAAAAAAAGCTGAATTGTAAAACAATCAGTAGAGGCAAAAAAGAAAAAAAGAAAGAAAGTCACTGAAGCCAGGCCATTCAAGCCTCTCCCTTGAGTAAATAATGTCATATTCCTGATTCAAACACAAAGAGGGAGCTAAATGTTTTCTGCCTTATCTCTCACAGCCATTCCAAATCTGTTGAACTGTCATTAGACCTTTTCAAAACTGTGTTAAACCTCTTCTAATATTTTACAATTCCTTACATAAAAAAGTTAAAGTAACCAGAGTTCCTTCTCCAAGATCCTACTTTTAGCTGGGAGGGGCTAACCTCATATGGAGCCTTGAGAATGTTTTTTTTTTTTTTTAACCTTTCCAGGTCAAGGATATGGCTTCCTCATTGGTAAAATTAAGCAAAATTATCTTCCTATACTTTCTTCATAAATTATTTTGAGATCCAACAAAAACACTAAGAAGTTTTAAAACATTGTGTTACTTTTTTCCTCCAAAGATAAAAAGGGACCATCCTTCCAATGAGGGAAAGACATGAAATCTACAGGATTAAGTCATCTTAGATGCTTACATGTGCAGCATTCTTAAAAAAGAGCCTCAAACCTTCAGCTCTGGATAACCTCTCACAATGGAGCTGCTGTTTTAATACATTCTTATAATGCCAAGGTTTTATAAAAGGAGGGTAAAAATACCTTCTTTGGGCAATGTGTGTGCAAATGGAATGGCTTATTAAAGATTCCCTCAATGAGAATGTGTAAACACTGGTCTTGGCCACAAACAAACAATTTCCTGGGGCAAACTTCATGGTCTGACTTCCCAGAAATACCCTGGAAACTGAACAAAAGGAAACGCCTTATACTGTTTTGTCTGTAGCCACAAAATATACACATAGGGTCCCACCCAGCCTGAATTTAACTCTGGGCCCCCATAAAAAACAGAAATAATAAAAAGTCCCATTATGAGGCCATTATACCTAAAAATAGTCTCCACGCTACCTACACAAGAAAGCCAGTATGATTATGGTCCAAGAATCTGACCATGCTTAAGGGTGGCAAAATGAACAGGTGCCCTGTGCTAGGCAAGAAACCACTCTAGTTGCCTCCATTCCCCTCAGCTCTACTGAGTTTAAATCCATCATAGGGAGGAGTAATAGGATAGTATTTGCTAACTTACCCAATTTAGAGTATTTGATAGATCTAAGTGAATATTTACAAGAAAATATCCATCAATTATTAATTTTAAAAAATGTTATTATCATAACTGTAGTTCTAACAAAAAAAGGCTTAGAACAAATCACTCAGACAGGGAAAACCCTATTCTTACATTGCTAACTCTCTCTCTACTACTATCTTGGGTCCAAAATCAGGTCTATTCATGTCTTTCTATTCCTGCTCCCGTTCAATCAAACCAGCTTACTGACAAGATTAACCACTTCTGTTGGCAGATTGGAAAGACAGAGTTAACATCAACTTCTCCCTCTGCTTTTTTCCTTAAACTCAATCACCATTCCTTTTTAAATATTTATTATAAATGCCTCTCCATTTCCTCTGCCACTACCATGGTCCAGGCCCTTGGCATCCTGCCCTGGTTGCTTCCAACCTTGCCTTTCCTACCACTGGTTCTTAGCACTAGCTGCACTGTAGAATTACCTGAGAAGATTTGAAAAATACCCCCAAACCTTCTATACAAAAAACCTCTAGCCAGTAAGTTCTTGATGCTTCCCTGTATCACTCAAAATAATAACATTTAGTGTAGAGGTACATGCATTTTATTTCTTTATTTTTGCTAAATTGAAATGCTTTATGGTAATAATATTTATGCATATTATCAAAGTAACAGTATGCATATTGTCAAAGGACATGCAAGCATTTCTGATCCCAGAGTGTAAAATGCCTGTGCTATTCATTTTGTAGAAGAGATTTTTCTCCCCCGAAAATTACCAACAGGTTACAAGCTACTATAACTGAGTTGAAAACTGTTATTACTATTGTATAATGTAATTGAAAGGGCACTGGACTAGGGATTTCAATTTTAGTTCTGATTTCTTGGTTGAGTTATTTTGTTCTGCTGAGCTTCAGTTTTCTTTTAAAAAAAACATGGGATTAATAGTATTGTCCCTACCTACCTCATACAATTATTGTCAAGATTAAATGAGATTCTATGTGTGTTTGTGTGTATATATGTATACAACTACAAATCTCAAAATCCTCCTCTCAAGTATATGCATTTTATTTCTAAACATACTATAAACCCTTAGATTTACTCTAGTAAATATCACAATATAGGTAAATATTGCAAATTAAGCAATATTCTACAAAGTAGAGAAAGCATTTTTTAACAGAGTTATTGTCTCTGTAATCAATTATGCTCATCAAATACCAGAGACAGCCTTCTCTATTTATAGAAACTACAAGTGAGAGTATGTGGAACCCCTCTCTCAGGCTGCCAGCACTTTCACCCTCATCTGTAATCATGCTCTGTTGTCCTTGGAAATCCTCCCTAAATCTGCAAATAATTCCCACCCCCTAATTTCAAAGACAAGAAAAAGCAAACCAATCAACAGGTAAACTACCAGCCATGTCTTCCTTCATCAGGCCTGGTTATCCCCTAAACTCCACTAAGAAGTGAGATGGGGAGAAGTATAGGAAAAGTTGCTGCAGAGGGTGAGGGTGCTTGGTGAGGGCACTTGAATCTAGTGAGGATGCGTCCTCAAGTGTTTGTCTATGAGAAACAAATAGTGTGTTGAAATGTAAATTAACAGGATATGATTCAATGAATGCAAGGGGAAGGTAGAGGGCCAAGACTAGTTTCAGGCCAAACCATATCACAGACACTGGAACATATTTGAATCTGCTTCAGAGCTCAGGTCTCTACTTGAAGTGTAACACAGGCTATCTCTTAATTCAGGCACCATAAGAATAATTCAAGAGACCTGAAGAGGTTTCTAATTATATCCCAATATACCAGATAAATCCCAATTAAAGTTCCAATCCCACAGTATCTTAGCCAAATAAAAAGTTCTCATAAAATATATCAAACCTTCTTATCCTATATATTTAGAAACATTAAAAAGTTTTAACAATAATCCAATACATGATTCTGAACATGAACTTAGACAATTCTCCAATTAAACTGTTTTTAAATGTAATATTCAAATTTTTTATTCAGTTGATTATTTATTGAGGAATTATTTATTACCTGTGTTAAAGACATTATACTAAAATTTCCATTGACAAAATACTTTTTTTCAGAGTTTATAATATAGTATACAGTATTGTTATCAGCCATTTGTGGTTATCAAATATTTTGAAAATTTGATAAATGATACAGCTACTCTTACCAGAAATGCACAAATACATGTAAAATTTGCATCGATTTCAGTGGTTGAAGATTATCTAAAGCTTATTAGAACCCTTAATGTTGAAGGAAATATAGAAATGAAGAAAATACAGAGTTGTATAATAGCCTTCTCCCCATTAAAGTAATAAGATTGGTGATAAGAGTTCAGATGAAGGAGCATTCATGTGGATATAAAATAATTAGATAAGAATTCATGACAGAAGACACTTTTGGCCTGACCTTGAAGGATGAGTAGAACTTTGCCAGACAGAAGTGGAAATGAAGAGACAACACTCAAGGTTGCAGGAATGACAAAACAGAGGAATCAGATAAAATATATGAATATCTGGCATGTCAAAACAAGAAAAATTTAAGTACCACTGGAAAAATTGGGCTTCATTCTATAAACGATGCCAAGTCATTAATGCTTTTTAAGCAAGGGAGGGACATAATCAGAATGGTATGTTGAAAAGCCTCTTCTAGTGACAGTAAAGGACACATTGGTGCCAATAAGGATTGAAAATAGGGAGAAGGCTATTGCAAAGGTAAGCAAGAAGTAATGAGTCAGTGGCAGTAGTTTGATGAACAACATTTCAGAGGTAGAAACAAGTAAAACTGACCATCTATTAGAATGTGGAGGATGCAAGAAAAAGAAAAAGTATAGGTGACTACAAATATATGCCTTTTTAAATGGTAGGGAACATGGAAAATTGGACACATTTTGAGTGGAAGATCAGTTTATTTACAACAGATTAAGTTTGCGCTATTAGTTATTCCTGAATATAAATGTAACATATTATGAATCTATCCCTCAGAATACTAATAGTATTAATAACTATAATATTAAAAGAAAACAGACTAAAACAAATATCTTGAGATTCTATCAGGAAATTGCTCAATCGTTCAAGAGAATTTTCAACCCTTATGCAAACAGGTAGGAATTCAGTGATTAGTTTGCAACTCACATCCCATTTCCAAATCATAATCTCTTAGTTTTAGGCTTTGCAACATAAAAAGGACTAATCTATAGTGCGTAAAAAAAGAAGGTGTGTGAATACTTAGTATAAGCAATGTTGCCAACCTCATCAAAAATATCGATTTCTTCCAAAGAGAAATAACCTCATCAAAGGGGTCTGGTTGGGAGGCTGAGGCAGGGGAATTGCTTGAACCTGGAAGGCAGAGGTTGCAGTGAGCCGAGATCGTGCCACTGCACTCCAGCCTGGCGACAGAGCAAGACTCTGTCTCAAAAAAAAAAGGAGGGGTGGGGGTTGGTCTATAGATACTTGACAGTAGCGGGTAATAGAACTAAATCAGAAACCACCTCCTTGCCTCAGCCTCAGCCCTCTCAGACTAAAACTAAATGGGATCCAAGAAATTACCTAGTGCAGCCTTCCTTGGGTAAACAAAAAAACCCTAATGTCCAGAGACATTAAGGAAGTCACTTTGCTAATAAATGGCAGAACTAAAGCTACAACTTTTGTCTCCTGATGCTCATTCCAGGTGTGCTTTCCTCAGCCCCCTATTTTCAAATGTTTCATTGGTCATGAATTAACCCATGAATTAATCCACTGACTTCAAGTTAACCTAAGTCCCACAGAGCAGGCCTGGGGAGAATACTGAGCTGCCACACTGACGGATGGTTGGAGTTGCCTCCAGCTGTTTGGGCCGAACCTCTCAAGCAGCTGGCTGTGGTGAGGGATGAGTGAATACACATATTACTAAGGAAAGAGTTAGAAAGGTGTAACAGCTTCCTCTTAGATGCCCTTTGCCCTCTTTCTGAATTTCTTTTCCAATTATCTTAACTGCCCAGTGGCTGCTAAGAGATCTGATATCCAAAGAGTCCAATGGCCTCCACTCTCCAGCCTGCACTTCTCTCTCATTGAGCCTCACACTCCCAAAGTATCTATACCTGTTCCTTCCTTGAAAGAATGCTAGTGCTTAAAAATCACTACTCTTTGAAACAGAGAAGCAATGTGATGAAAATGATATTCGAATTTCAGAATTTGGGAAGATACAGTGAAAATTCCCTTTCTCCACACTATTACAGAAGCAGAAACCAAATGCTTTATCCAAAATGCCTGGAAAAATCAGGCTTTCTGGGAGCAGAACCTAGGAATCTATTCAACAAACTCCCCCAGGAGATTCTAATGGTCAGCCAGGTTTAAAAATCTCCAGTATAATGTGTATACAAATTGTTTTCCCTGAAATTAGGTTTTGGGTGTTCCAGTTCCATAACTAAGACTCTTTTTTTAATTATTAGTAATATACTTTAAGTTCTAGGGTACATGTGCTCAACGTGCAGGTTTGTTACATATGTATACATGTGCCACGTTGGTGTGCCTAATGTAATGATGAGTTAACGGGTGCAACTAAGACTCTTAAATAAGAAAAAAGCAACACAGAACTGCTGGAGGTTGAATAAGACACAGCAAGTACTGGAGCTAGAAGGTTTTGGAGACTTCATCCAGCATCCTGTCTCTCATGCAGAAGAATGCCTCACGGGTTGCCCAAATTTCCCATTGTTACACATGAAAAGGAAGATTGACTGTTGTTTATTTTTTACAGATTACAGATAGAGAGTAAAATTACAGATTACAGATAGAAAGTAAAATTCTAAAAAGAATATCAATTTCAATATATTTCCTGAAGGAGAAAAAAAGAAACTATGTGTAGACAAAATTTGATAACCAATATACCTTTCATATGCTAAATCATTAATGCATTTTCTGCTTAAATGCCAAACAAAGATTAACATGCCCAAAAATATTCAACTTACTTGACACTTTACATAAGAAAAAACAGCAGGCCTCTCCCTTAGTGAGACTCTGCTTCATGGGTACTTATAGATGGAGTAGAATAACAAATCATTAGGACATTTTTGAGAGGGGAAAAAAGCATGAATAACTACACTTATTATATTTCATGTGTCAGTCTACTATCTCAGCATTTATAGAGCCCACAGGAGGAATTTCTTGATATTTCTTCTCAGTTAAAACCAGCTGGTAAAATTTATAGTTTTTCTGGTTCACAGAAAACTATGACCTTTGTACAGGAAGGGTGTTGGGCTTTTAGTAAGTGGAGAATAAATGATATTACCAAGAAATATTACTTTTCAACTTATTTTATACTAGCTCTATGCCACAGTCTAACTTCGATGCTCCCCAGTACCTTCTAAAATCTTAAAAAAGAAATCATATTCATCTTACAGAATGACTATCTCAAGGGAGGAACAATTTTCTAAGTTAGATAAAGTTTCTTTTAGATAAAACCAGGTTGTACCTGCACACAAATATCTCTTAACAAAACATTATACTTGCTAGCTAAGGTAAAGCTTACTAGTGAGTTCTAGTATATGTTGCTCCACATCAATATTTAATATTTTTCCATAAATATGGACAGCAGAAAACATAGAGGAAGTGGATTAATTTGGATTGTTTATTAAGTGACACATGCAGGAGACCAAAGAATAAGGTTCAGAATATTTGAGGTGCATTGAAATTACACTTATTGTGATGAGATGAAGATTCTTATAGCAAGAGTGTTTTCAAGCATGAGGGAGGATTCTGGTGGATTGGCAATGCTCTGTTTCTTAATGTGGATGGTTATTTTGTGAAAATCAGTGAATTTTTTGTTGCACTCTTCGATGTATTTGTTATATTTCACAGTAAAAAAAATTAAACAAAAAAAGAACATCACTCATTTCTTCTCCCTGCTGTAAACACCTTAAAATTACATTGAAAGGATTTTTTAAAGTTAGAAACAAAAGAACAAAGAGAATAGGGGAGGATAAAACAGAAAAAAAGAGAAATGTCAATTAAATTTTGGAAGGTGGAAATCACATAAACTTATAATGACTGACTTAGAAGACAAGAGAAAACTATATGCCTGCAGGAAAAAGACAAGATGCAAGCCTTAAAGAACCAGGAAAAGGCTCCAAAGTTGGGTCTATCAGATACGCCTAAAGTTGGGGTGCTAGTGGGACTAAAAATGGAAGAATTGGTTATCAGTCTGTATAAAAAACAGCTAAGTTCTTAGATGCCCTCTATCACCACAGCAAAAGACTATAGAGATTGAACCATAGGAACTCTGGACTAGGAGTTGTCCAGCACAGTCGAGGCCAGTGAAGCCATACTTCGTAAAATTCTGGACTACTTGAGCCCTCCCTGACTTGACTCCTTGTGTGCTGGCAGTGAGCCTTATAACCTCTAGACAGGAAAGTAAACAATTTCCATCTGAGAAAACTGACCATGTATAAAGAAAAGAACCACACAAAGTTAAGTATGAACAGCAAGGCAGCGTGCTGCCCACCAAAACAGCCTAAAGAGAAGACCCTCAATTGGCAGACCCTTCAGGCACACACAAACACACACACATACACACATGCACACATGCATACACGCAGCTTTCATTCATCTCTTTAAGCCCTCATTCTTAACTAAGAACAGGAAAATTTACCAGATATTTGAAAATATACATATATTTGATATGGATGATTATAAAAAAATTAATAAAAATGGAGCTCAGAGGAAATAGTCCATACAAAGAAAAAAATTAAACTTTTAAACAATGAAATTAATATCCTCAGAGATAAGAGAAGATATTAAACTCATGAAACAAGAATAGAATATAATAAAAAAGAAACATTAAAAGAGAAAAAACTTCTGAAAAATTAAAATTATGATTGCAGAAATTAAATATGAATTTTTAGATTAAAAATAATTTAGTACTGGGGATCAATGAAAAATTTGATGATACTAAGAATAAAGAAAAGATCCTAAAAGCCTCCAAAGAGTAAAACAGATGCAAACAAAAAAAAAAGGAAATTACAATGTCATCAGACTTCTCAATTAAGCAATACTTCTCAGTTAAGCAATACTTAACTCTAGCAAAAAAATGGCATAGTATCTTAAAATTCTGAGGGAAATTAACTTCCAACCTAGAATTCTACAAACATCCAAGTTTGAAAGCAAATAGGAATGTAAAATAAAGGTATTTTCAGTCCTATAAGTTCTCAAAACATGTACCTCTCATGCATCTATTCTAGGAAGCTACTAGAAGATGTATTCCACCACAACTGGAGAGTAAAGCAAGTAAAGGAATATAAGAGGCCCAGAAAACACCAGAGAGTGAAGAAGTAAATGTGTAGAATATTAGTTAACAGAAGTCCCGAGACAAAACCGTGTAGGAGAGAGAAAGACAGCTGCTTGCCTACATTGAAAGAGGAGGAAGGAAAGCTTCAGAAAGGTTGGCCCTAAGGAAAATATTAAACTGATAGATTACATGATGTGTCTGAATATATGGAGAGGAAATTCACATTTCTAACATTAAATTTGAGGATAAATTAGTGATAAGTACAAAGAAAACTAAGGAAATCAGTAAATATTTAGTGAAGAGAAAGAAAAAGTTTACAAAAGAGACCTTCAGCTTCCAGCCAAGATGGATTGACAGAGACTAGGCCTCTTACTCTACCACCTGAAACAAACAAAAAAAGGCAAATTATATGAAACAATGGTTTTCAAGACACTGGACATTAGATGGCAAAACACAGCATTCTCTGGGAGAACACTCCCTCCAACAAAAGCATAAAGCATAATACATATTCTTTTCAAGTGCACAAAAAACACACCATATTATGGGCCATAAAAAAAGTCTTGATGGCAAATAAGCATATGAAAAGATGTTCAACATCATACAACATTCAGGAATTGCAACTAAAACAGCAATGAGATACCACTATATACCTACTAGAATGGCTGAAATCCAAAACATCAATACCACCAAATGCTGATGAGGATATGAAGCAACAGAAACTCTCATTCACTGCTGGTGGGAATGCAAAATGGTACAACCACTTTGGAAGACAGTTTTTCAGTTTTCCACAAAACTAAATATATTTTTACCATACAATCCAGCAATCATGATCCTTGGTATTTATCCAAATTAGTTGAAAACATATGTCTGCACAAAAATTTGCGTGAAAAAGTTTACAGCTGCTTGATTCATAATTGCCAAAATTAAAGCAACCAAGATGTCCTTCAGCAGGTTAATGGATAAATAAACTGGTACATCCAGACAACTGGAATACAATTCAGCAGTAAAATGAAATGAACTGTCAAGTCCCAAAAAGACACGAAGGAAACATAAATGCATATTACTAACTGAAAGAAGCAGAAGAGGATTAACTAGGAATAAATCTGATCAAATATGTGAAAGACTTGTACACTAAAGACTTCAAAATATTCTTGAGAGAAATTAAAGAAATGTATCTTGTATCAATTCTCCCAAATTGGTCTATAGATTAATGAAATTCAATGAAAAATCTGACCACGAATTTTTCAAGAAATTTACAAGCTGATTCTAAAATTCACTGTAAATGCAGAGGACCTAGGATAGCAACAACAATTTGGAAAAAAAAACGAAGTTGATAGGCTAACAATTCCTGACTTCAAAACTCATCATAAGGCTACAGTAAAATGCTTGGCTGAGAGTGCAGCCTTCTATTGCCTGCTATGCTTCCCACAGCCACAGAGAATCCAGGTCAACCCTGTGGGGACAGCAAGGAGGCTGGAGTTAGGGGAGTGAGATGTCTGTCAGGCCTCTGATGGACTTCCTGATGCAGCTGGAAGATTACACATCTACCAATCCACAGGCAGTAACTGGTTACTACCTAAGCCATCCTGGCTTTGAGGCCTCAGACTCACAAATAAGTCAGTTTAGCTCCTTAGCTGCCCATAAATTCATCTCAGGTATTGCCAACTATGCCTTATAGCACTAAAAAATGAAGGGCAAAGCCCCTAGCAGCTCATGAAACAAGAGCAAAGACCACACGTACACCCAAACCATGGAAATCTTGACTCCTGCCCTTAGGAAGTATGGCATCAATATGAAGAAGCTGTACTACTTCTCCTGAGTCACCCAACCAAAATGTATTTGTCTGTTTTCTTGTCCCCACACCAGCTTATTTTCATAATAAACTTTGTTGTGACAGGCAAAAAAAAAAAAAAAAACACAGTAAAGACAATATGATATTGGTGTGAAGATACATAAATAGATGAATGGAATAGAATAGATAGCTAGAAGTAGACCCACATTTATACAGAAACTGATTTTTTATTTAAAAAATGGAAAGGAAATTCAGTGGAATAGAAAGTCTTTTCAACAAATAATGTTGGAACAACTGGCTATGGTAGGGGAGAAAAGTAATACCTTTCTTCACCCATCGCTAGGCTCACAGCTGAAACCTCTATAACAACAGACAGATTAACAAGAGAAAAGCATAAAAATTTTTATAAGTTCTATGTGATGCAGGATCCTTCAGAAATGCAGTCCCAAAGAAATGGGGAAACCTGTGTATTTTTATGAAACCTGTGCATTTTATGGACAGTCATGCAGATGATTGAAGGACAGAAGGATATGGTCTAATGTAATAAACTGGGGGAAACTTAGCAAGTCCTGTTTGTTAGATTCTTATTGATGTCTCTGTATCTTCAAAGATAAGGACATTCTTCTTTTCTGGGTATAGGGAGAACCCCTCTGGAATCAGATATTATAACATATTTTCAGGGAAAGCCAGCTAAGTTTTTGGCCTGCTTCAGGGGATAAGGAGTGAGGGTAATTCTTTCTAGTTTCTGTGGCCTGGTTCTGCTGTTTCGTCAAATGGCATAGTGCCATATTTTGGGGTAGCCTGTCCTATAGCCCATCATTATCCATACGCAGAAAAAGAGCTTTGATTTATATCTCATACCATACGGAAATTAATCCAAAATGAATCTTAAGCCTAAGTGTAAATACAAAGCTATAAAACTTCTACAAGAAAACATAGGAAAAAAATCTTTGTGATCTTTAGTTAGGCAAAGATTTCTTAGATACACCACCATAAACACAATCTATAAAAGAAAAAAGTAATAAAATGGACTTTATCAAAATTTTTAACTTTTGCTTTTCAAAAGTTTTCTGAAGTTAAGAGAATGAAGACAAGCCACAAACAGGGCTAAAATATTTCTAAATCATAGATCTGATAAATGACTTGTTTCAGAATATATCAAGAACTTAAATCTCAACCGTAAGGAAATTTTTAATATCCAATTTTTTAAATGAGCAATTTCAACATACACTTTACTAAAAAAGATACATAGATGGCAAATAACATGAAAAGATGTTATCATTAGTCATTAGGGCAATACAAATTATGTAATATATTATATATTACAAATATATAATTATTTATAAACAATATATTTGGAAATATGTATTTGTAAATATATAGTAATATATATTTGCAAATATTTGTAATACATAAGATAATATATATTGCAAATTATATATTGTATTATATCATTACTCATTAGAGCAACACAAATTTAAATTGCAATGAGATGCAAATACACACTGATTAGAATGTCTAAAATTAAAAAGACAGAAGACTGCCAATATGAAGTGTTGGTGAGGATGTGGAAGAATCGGAGCTCTCCTACACTGCTGATAAGAATACAAAATAATACAACCACTTTGGAAAACAGTTTGGTAGTTTCTTAAAAAGTTAAACATCTACCTACCATATGATACAACCATTTCACCCCTAGGTACTTACCCAAGAGAAATGAAAACATACGCCCATACAAAGATGTGTGCATGGATGTTCATAACAGTTTTATTTGTAATGGCCAAAAACAGGAAACAACCCAAATGTCCAATAGGTGAATGAAGGGATAAACAAATTGTAGTACATCCATACAATGTAATACAATTCAGCAATTAAAAAAATAAAATTACTGTGAAGTGCAGCAACATGGGGACTACATACTCTGTGATTTCATTATGCAAAATTCTTGAAAATGCAAACTAATCTATACAACAAAAAGCATATCAGTGGTTTCCTAAAGGGTGATAGGCAGTAAAGAGGGATTAGAAAAGGAAACAAGGAAACGTTGAGGGATTAGTATATTCAATGTCTTCATTCTGATAATAGTTTCATGGGCGTAAACATATATCAAATTTTATCAAGTTTTCCACTTTAAGTTTGCAAAGTATTGTGTTATATATTATATCTCAATAAAGCGGTTTTTGAAAGCTATGAATCAAATAAAAATAATCATAGATTTGAATAATATTTATATAGTCATAATAATATAACCACTGGCTATTAGTTTAATGAAAATTGTGACATATTTTTGGTGGGGAGACCAGAGGCTGGGTTGTTTCATTTGCATTTTTCTGATTTCTAGTAAGGTTTTGCATCTCTTCATATATTCATTGGTCATTTGGATATTTTTTCCCTTCTGCGAATTGTTTGTTCATGCACTTTGCCTGTGTTATCCCTGCTGATTGGCAGGAGTTCCTTGTATATTCTAGATATTAATCCCTTTTTAATTATATATGCTGCCCTATCTTCGCTCAGGCTATCCCTGACAGTTAACATTTTCTAACTCCTTGCCTTTCTTTGAAGGCCACCTAACCTTCCCTGTCCAAAACACTAGGCAGGTCATAGTGTCAATTGTCTTTATCCCTCAGTACTGTCTTTAAATATAATATCCTGAATAAACTAAAAAATATCCTCAAAGGTCATATGAGTCTATAAGATAGATGTCTCATTAAAGAGTTTTCCTGAAGAATAACTGCCCCAGCCAGAGAAATTTATACCTGGCTTTAGAAAACTGCAAGCTATGTCAAATTGGAGATAAAGAAAATAATGTGTTGTTAAACTTGGTCCACCCTCCCAAATTTCCCCACATCCACTTATTTGCTTATGAGGCAGTAAAGTACAGTGGTAAACCTTTGGAGTCTGATAGACATTATTTCAAATCCCAGAGTCTTCATTTTCTAGGTAAAAATGAGGTTGGTAAATACCTACCTCACAAGACTGTTTCCATGCTTAAGTATGATAGTGTGTCTGGAATTTATTCCTTCCAGTGGGTTCTTGGTCTCACTGACATCAAGAATGAAGCCACGGACCTTCGCGGTGAGTGTTACAGCTCTTAAAAATGGTGTGTCTGGAGTTTGTTCCTTCATATGTTCAGATGTGTCTAGAGTTTCTTCCTTCTGGTGGGTTCACGGTCTTGCTGACTTCAGGAGTGAAGCCACAGACCTTTGCAATGCGTGTTACAGCTCTTAAAGGTGGCATGTCTGGAGTTGTTTGTTCCTCCCAGTGGGTTCGTGGTTTCACTGACCTCAGTAGTGAAGCCGCAGACTCTCGCGTTGAGTGTTACAGCTTATAAAGGTAGTGTTGTCTCACAGAGTGAGCAGCAGCAAGATTTATTGTGAAGAGTGAAAGAACAAAGCTTCCACATCACCAAAAGGCACCTGAGCAGGTTACCGTGCTGGCTTGGGTGGTCACTTTTATTCCCTTATTTGGCCCCACCCATGTCCTGCTGATTGGTCCATTTTACAGAGTGCTGATTTGTCCATTTTACAGAGTGCTGATTGGTGGATATACACTTTAGCTAGACACAGAGTGCTGATTGGTGCATTTTTACAGAGTGCTGATTGCTGCATTTACAATCCTTTAGCTAGACACAGAGTGCTGATTGGTGCACTTACAATCCTTTAGCTAGACAGAAAAGTTCTCCAAGTCCCCACTGGACCCAGGAAGTCCAGCTGGCTTCACCTCTCAATAGTGCATGGAAGTGCTTCCTTAGCACAGTATCTAAAGCACAGTAGGCACCCAGTAAATGATACCGTTATTATTACCTAGACTGCCTGTATTAGTTTGTTCTTGCAGTGCTATAAAGGAATACCTGAGGCTGGGTAATTTATAAAGAAAGGAGGCTTAATTGGCTCATAGTTCTGCAGGCTGTACAGGAAGCATGGAGCATGCATCTGCTAGGTTTCTAGTGAGGCCTCAGGAAGTTTTCAATCATGGCAGAAGGCAAAGGGGGAGCAGGCACGTCACATGGCGAGAGTGGGAGCAAGCAAGAATGCAAGGGTGGGGGGGTCCTAGACTCTTAAACAACCAAACCATTCATGTGGGATCAATCCCCATGATCCAGTCGCCTCCCACCAGGTTCCTTGGGAATCACATTTCTACATGAGATTTGGAAGGAACAACTGTCCAAACAATATCACCACCTTTCCCCGGTCCACTCTCCCTTTCATCCTGGCAAAAACCCTTCTATTATTTTGTTGCAAGAGTAATTGCAGTTTTTGCCCTTTTTTTAATTTTTAATTTTTTAAAAAAGTAATGGCAAAAAACACAATTACTTTTGCACCAATCTACTTATCCTGTAAAGCTGAGTTCAAAAGCCGTCTCTTCCATGATAAAGGGCACTCGGGCACAGCTCTCGGCACAGCTCCACTGAAGCACGTCTATCACTCACTGAGGCTCATTGGGTCATGAATGAGGAACCACCTCCTCCTGCCATTCAAGCATAGGGGCCTATTACATAAAGGGAAGAAAAATAAAAGAAGAAAATGGCTACATTTGTGATCCATCCTGCCATCACTGCTGACTCCAGTGGTATCTGTGGCTGATCAGGGAACTGGCTAAATATGAATATGTGGGAGACCAAGTAATATTAACTGAAAAAGATCTGCTAGAGAGTGGTTTCAGAGAGCATCCCTTCCACCACTGTGTGGTTGCAGAGATGCCCAAGAAACACTGGACTCTGGAAAGAAAGAATTACTGTTGGTTTCACCATGTACTGTTGTACCTATGACCCTTGAATTGGCAAGCTATTGTACTTCTTTGGATGAGTAATGAAAAAGGCTTTGGCATAAATCAGAAATTCTGAAGAATTTAAGCCAGGTCACAATGAAGTATCACTGTAGCACCATGCACTTCTTAGTAGCAGAATGAAATGAACCATCTGTTAACCTCTACAAAAGAAGAGGTGCCCAGGGAAGACAGCTGGAGACCCTTCAAAACCGACAAGGAGTACTTGCTAAAAATGGCAGCAAAGGACTGAAGCGGGGTGTAGATGATGACAACATCCATTCTACTTTAGAACAAATTCCCAACTTATCTTGCTTTCTCTCCTGTTTATAGTCAAATAATAGAATGAACACTCATTTCAAAATTTCATTACCAGTGGCACTGTTGCATGTTTGGAATGTCGTCTCTTTAAAATGACAAAACTGTATGCAATTTGGAGTAGATTTCTCCTTGAACAACTTTTGATAAACTAGGTAGTATGGTCTTAACATATATGAAAAAGTCATTCTTTTTTCTTTTTTTTTTTTTTGAGAAAAAGTCATTCTTGTAAATCATTTAAATGGGTACGATGTACACACTGGTATTTAGAGTTTCTGTTTTAATTCTTTTTAAATAAACTATCATTTAATCTTAAAAAAACGATATGCAAATCCAGCTCTCACAAACAAGTACAAGCCAGCTTCAGCACACCACTGTTTAAACTCTATCATCACCCCCAAAATTTTAATCACTCCCTTTTCTGTGGTCTCAAGCACATTATTCGTTTGACTTCTGTGTATGGGAGAATACTATGATGAGCTCAATACATGACTATTTCCCACAGTAAAATGTGAACTCCCTAAAGTCAGGAATAATTACCCATGTCACCCATTTTTAACACAATAGTTTTCTTCTGAATATAGCTAGCAACTAGAGTAAGCACTATATATAAATACAAATGATAAAGAGATAAGCCAAAGAAAAGGGAAATAATATTGACCAACCGTAAAGAAAACGATCTTTTAAAATCACAAATGAAGAACGGAGGAGGAGGAGAAAGATGAAGAAAAGGAAAACAGGAAGAGGAGAAAAAAGAAGTGAAGGAGAAAGAGAGGAAAAGATGGTAGAGAAAAAGCCCATAGAAGCTTCTGAATATAACAGTGTCCTACAATATGATCCCTTTTCAAAGTATTTAAACTGTGCACACCATGTAAATTTCACTGGTGGTCTTTATTTAAATTGCTATAAATTGATATGTATCTATCATTGATTAAAGGCAAAGTGTCAGCCCCATTTATTTTTATTTTATGTAAAGGAAAATTATGTTCATTTTTCTCAACATGTCATTGTAAAAGCTCACATGGTGAGAAACTTTACTTGTGGGAACTTTCACTTCTGGGTGAAAATTAAATGCTTAATTAAAATGATTTTTATTGGCCCTCTGTAACACTCACCTTTCTGAAAAGGGTTGTCATATATTGCAACACTTACAATGAAAAAGGCTAATTCTCCAGTCTAAAAATATTTCCATCCTGCTTTAATGATGGTTTAATAAAGAAAGGAACATATATATTATTCAGCATTTAAATAAAATGTGGCTTAACCTTTAAGCAGAAGTTTTTCATATTTTTTAAATTTTTTTCTTTGGAACTAAAATAAGACATATTGCATTGATTTAATATTCACATACCTGAAAAAAATGTTTGCCCTACTCCCTGGGGGCAAAATCATTTTTAAAATTAGAAATGAGTAGTTATGACTTTACACAGTATTCTTGTCTTTTGAATATGTTCCAGTCATCTACTTCTATTTAAAAACCACTCCAAATTAAAGTGGTTTAAAACAACAACAATCATTTTATTATCTTTTATAGTTTCCTTGGGCCAAGAATTTAGAGTAGGCTCATCTGGGTGGTTCTGGCTTAGGGCCTCTCCTGTATTGCATGTATTATACAAGGACTTAGAACTTTCTGAGTTTTACAAAGAATATTTTAGTCCTATCTAGCCCTTAAATCTTTGTCCTAAAGCCCGTTTTTGAAAACAGTTTGTTGTCTGAAATGACCGCTCTGAACCTTTTCCATTTTCTATAAATTCCACTCAAAACAGAATAATTTGTTCTTTTGTTCATCACCCTCCTTTCATTTTGTCATGGGCAGTAAGAAGCCAGATTGATCCTTCAACATTCCACCTGGAAATCTCATAAGCTGGAGAACCACTGAGTTCATTAGGCACATGTTCTACGTTCTACATTCATACAGGCAAGAATTTTGCTAAATTTTCTGTCACTACATAACAAGGGTTCTCTTTTTTCTAACTTCCTGTTACATTTTCTTCACTTTGCATTAAGCCCTCACAGACAGCCTTCAAGATCCGTTAGGCTTCTGCTAACACTCTCCTCAAGATCCTTCGAGCTCTCACTGACACCCTCCCGAGGTACTTTGGGATTTCACTAAGTCTCTTCTAAAGGATTCTGTCCACTGCCCAGTGGACAAGCCCATAGGTTTTGTTATGTTAGCACTCCATTTCTGCATCAAATCTGCTCCATTAGTCTACTGCTACATGATGAATCACACCAAAAGGTAGTCACTTAAAACAACAACTATCATTGTTATCTTTCATTATTTCTGTAGGTCAGAAATTCAGAAAGGGGTCCACTTATGGTTCTGACTGAGAGTTGCTCATTTGCAGTCCACAGTAGGTGGAGCTGGAACAATGGACAGCTGAATCAGCTGGGCTAATGACAGCTAATGTTTCTCTGTCCATGCAGATTCTATGCTTCTCTATGTGGTCTCTCTATGTGGACTAATTTGGACTTCCTCACAGCACAGCAGTGCCAGGGCAGCTGATCAGCATACATAGTCTGACTTCCTCTGGAGGAAGCATCCTAGGAGAGCCAGATAGAATCTTATGGCTTGTTCTGAGTTAGTATCAGAATTCATGCAAAGTCACCTCAACTGCATTCTATTTGTAGGAGCAGTTGTAATCCCACCCAAATTCAAGATGAGGGAAAGAATTAAACTCCACCTTTTAATGGGGAAGCAGGACAGGATTTATTTTGCAACCATTTTTTGAAAATATAATCTGCTACATAATTATACTTTTCAACTTTGTTCTGTATGGTTTCATTTTCTAGCTGTTTCTAGGCAAGAAGTAAAATACACCATTAGTCATTGGAACAGGATCTCCGTTGGGGCTGGGGGAAGGGGCCATGTTTTTACCATGACTTCAAGATTATGGATTCATAATCCTGATTGCTAAATGAAATCAGGCTTTCAGTGTATACTTTAAATGGAAACCATGCTTTCTTTTCTTGAAAATGTATATTTATAAATATAATTATTTTGTTATTCTGCCAAGAAATGCTAGAATATAGTGCTGTTATATACCTTAGTTCCTCTACAATGAATGGTATTAAATATCAAACATTTATTTCTTCCCTTATTTGTCATACACATATAAAGCTGTCTTTTAAATAAATTTATCAACATGCCAAATAACATCATTAGTCATATCTGGTTGATGGGGTTAAAAATCATTTTTATCTTTTCCTAAACTTTTTTTACATTGACTAAATCTAGTGAAAACTATTACTTGTATTATTGGAATGGAATCCATACTCTTTTCAATTTAACCTTATCTCTCTGTATCATATGTTAACATGATTACAATTTTGAAGATTATATTTTCAGTGATTCTAACACTTCAAATGTCAATAAATATTGCCATAACACATAATTAAGAGAAAGATAACTATATGGAAATAAAATTTAATGAACACTTTGATACATCGAGTGCCATACATCCACACATAATTCACTCCTGCACTAAAGAAGTGTGAATAAAACAATACAGTACTCCCTAGAAAGAGGGACCCATCCATCGTACAAAGTGTAATTCATGATTCTGTGGCAGTTTGGGGAAGCAGGCCTTCATAACCTACTTCCACTATCCAAACAAAACCACATTTGCATTTACCACTGCCGAACAGACATGATCACATAATACAAATATCTCGTCTCTGCCTCTGAATAAAGTGATCTTTTCTGGAATGGAACATACTCTGAATTTCTTGGAACAGTTCAATTCTAATCATTGTGTCTCATAAGTATGTTTATATGTCTTAATTTGCATTGGGGAAAATAATTCCCATACTACAGGTCTTCCATGCTAACATCTCCAGCAAGTCCTATGACAACACACAACCATAGGTCCAGGTGAACATTTAACTCAGCAACCTCAAAGTAGGAAGACCATAGATTTTGGAGTCAGAAACACCAGTGTTCACATTCCTACCAGATCACATATTTTCCCTGGGATCTTTAGAAAATTACTTCTCTCTGAGCCCCTTTCCTTGCTTGTATAATAGTATATGGTATAATATACCTACCTCAGAGACTAGATTTGGGGAATCCATGCAAGGATATAAGGTGTATGATACATGAGTTACCTAGAAGCTGGTTTTCAGTAGTGAAGGTTTAGCTTTATTTACTTGGATTCTTGCAGGGCTCTAAAGAAATGGCAAGAAAAAAGAGAAAGTGTAAGTATAAATGAGGTGGAGAGAGGGTTTTTTCTTGAAATAACTTTGTTTGCCTTCAAAGCAATAGTTTATTTCCCCAAGAAACAAAGACTCCTCGGAATCAGGCTGCTAAGGGACTGTTTTAGCTCTATGAGAACAGGACCTGGATTCCAACCCTGACCTTTGTACAGCTGACTAGTTAGGGGTTCATACCCATTCTAATGCAAACACATGAAAACAATTAAACAGCCAAATTCCAGGCAGACTTCTCAATACTATGGCTTATTTAACTCTTAGCAGGGGATACTGCTGTGGCCAAAAAAACCTGGTTTACCACAGAGTGATGTCTGAAGAAAATATAAAATCGTATCAACAAGTTTGTTACAAACCACATCTTGACAATAGAATAAAGTCTGAATATACCATTGGTGGTGTGTATGTGTACCTTCTGCATAATGATGTCTACCCTAGAAGATTGAAGTGGAAGATAAAAATAGCCTAGATAATTTGAGCAAGAGGAATAATAATAAAACCTGCTACTTATTCAGGAAGGAAAAAAAGGTGATTGTTCTAATATTTGAATTTTATTAACTCAAATAGTTTGAACACTCAGTTCTCATTTACAGATAATTTTCTAACCTTCCACCTTCTTTTATCTGTTTTAACACAGCTCAATATTATGGAATTGGCAGATCAAGATTTTCAAAAGACATCAGCCACTGAGTCTCAAAACTTCACATTAAATCCAACTAAAAAATACAAGTAGTATTTTATTATTTTTATTGCTATAAACAAAGATAGACTCCTTTCTAAAAGATATAGTAGTTGCATCTCCAGATAATCAAAATGGTGATGCATTTTTAATTATATAAAATTAGAACATTTTGTATCCAGGTATCATGGAGCAATAGGGATATTGATTTAAGGTAAAGTTTATGTCTGCAGAAATAAAATGGTATACTTTAAAGCTTTGTGTCATATTTGTGACTTTTCATTCATTATAAAGTTACCTGTGTGATATAAGTAAAGTTTGTCTCCAGATTATAAGAAATTACTAAATAAAAATACAAATGTAAAGAAATGAACACTATGAATGTTTAAAAAGATAGTCTTTCCTTTAGAAATCTCAGATTATGACAGTTCAACATATTCAAAACCATGAAGATTATTGACTTCATGTAATTTTCATATCATAGTGTTTTTAGGTACATTATTTTTAAGTTATTATATTCTTTCCTAAAGTAGAATAGATAATGTATTCTTAGACATAGTATTTTCTGAGGACAGAAAACAATCAATAAATAAGTGAATGAATTCTAAGTCTATAAACATCAGGACCTTCAAACAAGAAATGAAGAAAAGGAAAATCAGCCTAGCTCTCCAAATTAGTAACCTAAAAATCAGTCCTTGCTCATAAAACAGTAGTATATAGAAATCCTTCTTTTCTTGTGAATAGTGTCCTGCTTATTCCTTCTATCATCATATAAATCACCAATCCATTGGCCTTCTCAAGTTTATTCAAGACTCTTCTATGGGTAGATGTGCCCTCTTTATTGTTTGAGTTGTTTTTATTACAGTAAAATACGTATAACAAAAAATTTGTCATTTTAACCATTCTTAAGTAAAAAATTAGTGGCATTAATTACATATACAATGTTGTGCAACCGTCCCAACTGTCTATTTGATGGGCCCTCTTTGCACAGAGGAACACAGAAAAGCCGAGATGTTTCTTAGAAAACAGTGCTACAGAAATTAGCACTGTATTTTAATGTTTTTTCTTCATTGTTCGAGGCTCTCAAATCTCTGCTCTCTCTGTTATTGACTTACCTAACTACATGTTTGGAGAGTGTGAAACATCATGCTTTCCAAACATACCAAATGTGACTCCCAGTTTTAATTAAAAAGTAATTTCAATTAAGACTCTTGTATGATACTGCTTTTAAAAAAATAATTTCAAGACTTTGGGGTACTGGGAGATCTAAAACCTATATGAGTTAGAAGTCAGAACAGTTATCTCCAGTAATCCTTTCTCTACGGAAAGAAAATCATAAAGAAAAAAATGCAGAAAGTGGAATATTTCTTTTTCTCAAAAAAATGCTTTTTGTTAGAAGACAAAGATTTGGTGATCATCTGTTCAGGCAAAGAAGCTAATTTTCCAATATTTGTAAGAGAATGTCAAACCTATCTTCTGCTCATATGGCTTTGCTTGGTTGATTTCTAAGTGTACAGATCTGCTCTTAATCAGAAACACAGAACACAGGAACTTAGGCTCCTTGCCAGAAAATGCAGCCTCAGATTGGCTACTGACCAACTTTTATCAAAAGCCTACTTGCAAAAAAAAAATAGCATTACTGAAAGGACGTAGAATCCACTCATTCCTTGAAAAGCTTTCAATTTTATTCCTGTGTGTCAAGATAATATTGGGAGACATTAAGCCAAGGTATCTGTTGTTTTCCAGTACTCTCCCTTCAACACTAAGGCAGCACCAACAGCTTTCTATATGAACTACCCTTGGGTTAGAGCAGATACAGAAAGAAAAAAAGGCAAAATCTTAAGCTTTTGAGTTCACAAGTTAACTTCTATAAATCTGTAGCATAGTCCTTGCTGTCAATTGCTAGTAAGGTACATGAAGTGAAAGGATGTTTTAAATTAAAAAAAAAAAAAGAAAAAGAATTTCTTTAAAATACCAAAATTCAGGCCAGGTGTGGTGGCTCACACCTGCAATCCCAGCACTTTGGGAAGTGGAGCAGGCAGATCACCTGAGGTCAGGAGTTCGAGATTAGACTGGCCAACATAAAAAACCCCGTCTTTACTAAAAATACAAAAATTAGCCGGGTGTGGTGGTGGGTGCCTGTAATTCCACCTACTCAGGAGGCTGAGGCAGGAGAATCCCTTAAACCCAGGAGGTGGAGACTGCAGTGAGCAAAGATCACTGCCATTGCACCCTAGCCTGGGCGACATGAACGAAATTACGTCTCAAAAAAAAAAAAAAATTCAGAGTCTGGCATACACACCAGAAATAAGGAGTAAGGGAGCATATTTGATAACATGAAATAAAATTTTTGGCCCCCAAAATAAGAAGTCCTTGAGAAGTGAGGAAGAAAAAGATCACAGAATATGTTACCAGGTGTTAGATGCCAGTTGGTACATTAAAAAACACCCACTACTCTACTCCTCAATCATATTTGAATCTAGGAGACAAGTTCATCCCATTGCTGAGTTGTACTGTGAAGGGGGCTGCTGTAGAACTCTCCAAAAGGTTGTTGACCCTGCAGCTACCACCTCTGTAAGTTTACGGCAACTCACAGAGTTGGTGGTGGGCCAGGAGCTGCTGTTGGTCATGAGGGCCAGCAGCTGGGAAGGACAGCTGGAAGTGGAGTGGGGAAGCATGGAGATGAACTGGAATCTCATGGCACTTGGCATCTGTCTTCACTGCTTCTAACCAATGATAACTTTCCAAGTATAATGGCTGCTGCTTTCACTTCTGCTTTCCAAATCTCCTCCAGCCTCACTTCTGGCCAACTCTAGTCTGGAAATATACAGTGAAACACAGTTCACAGTGTAAGCTCATAGTAGAAGGTACAAGGACTGAGACTGCTGGGGGACAAAATGAGAGTTATAAAATGGGTTAAACAAGGATATATAAAAAGGAATAAAGAAGGCATTGCAGATGAAGCAACAGAATGAGCAAAGGCACAAAAGTGGAAATAAATATTATGTGGATAGGAAATCAGAATATGTAGGAGAGCAGGAGGACACAAGATTGCTAGATTGGCTTTAGAGGAGCCATATTATGCAAGACACAAATACCAATTAAAGTATACAAATAGGTACATTCTTGAGGAAGCTACTAAGATGGGAGTTAGGAGAAGATTAGCATAGCATACACAGTGATTCAGAACAGAAAGAGGTTCAAAGGGATCCATAGAGGATTGCTGTTTATGAGATCACGAAAACATGGGCAAGGATAGTGGCAATGTGACAGAGCATAAAGCAAAATCTGAAAGACATACTAATTTACAAATCAACAGAACTTAATGCCAGACCAAAGGGCAGAGCTTCTGGGGAGTGAAATATTGGATAGCAAGTTAATAAAAACAATGCTTCAATGATTTATTCAACTATAAATGATTTTGAGCCATGACAACTGAGGTCAGATTTATGCACTATAGCTCTTCACCATCAACTTCTCTAGATTATATAAAGCAACTTCAATAAAGCAGCTTCCCAAGGTGTCTAGAGAGCCCATTGTTCAGGATGGTGCTTGTTATATTCCATAATAGCTACTCTAGTTTAGACCTTCATAGATCATTTCATCTACCCCCAAATGGCAATAAACAAAGGCTCTTTATTCAGAGTTTGCCAATCAAGGGACTCAGTCATCATCACTTGCATTTGGCAAAGACTTAAAGACAAGCCACAAAGTGGGAAAGCTTTATAGTGAACCAAAAGGTTCAGGTACCCCCTGATTGTAGGTTGTTGTCATGGGGAAGCTGGCGTTGGGCTACCTAGAAGTAAAGCAAATTATATCATTGATTTGGAGAGCACATTTGACTTTCTCTGATTGATCCTTATTTGGAAGCATTCTGTTGCTTTATCTGGAAGCTTGGACATCAATGGCTAAGCCCTGACCACTCTGGTCCAATTGCTGCAAAGGTTGTGGTTTTGCTTCCTGGGCATGTGGTTCAGAGTTGTATTGTCATATGTAGTCTTGTCATTGTCCATTTGCATATTAAGTCTTTCATTGAGAATATTTGAATGATAGTTCATTTTTTTCATTAATTTAGTAACTTTACTGATTCATATGTCTATGGGTTTTACTCTCCAAACTATAAAATTGTGTTTAACTATGTGACAAACACCAGGTATTGGGAAGGAGGGAAAAAAGTAGTTATCAACCTGGTAGATGAGTCAGCCCACCTTATTTTTTACTACATCCATAATAATAGTATAATCTTCCTAGATCACAACTTTCATCATGTCACAACTGAGTTCAAAAGTCTGTAATGGCTTCTTGTTGTCAGCCTCCTTTTTGTAGTGTCAAGCTCCACCATACATTCATTCCTCAAACGGTTATTGAAAGCCTGCGACATGTTAGGCATTGTGTTTAAATATTGGAGATGTAGTCCATGCCTGTAAAAAGTTCAATGTTTAATATGTAATGTAATAAATACCAATGCAGGGCATTGTAAGAACACAGAGGAGGAACATTAAAAGCAAACAGGATACCTCCCAGCCCTCCACCCAGTGGTGGAGGACAACCCAGGCCCAGGGTCTCCCAGCTCTCCACACCACAGCAGGAGACTGCCAGTGTCTTCTGGCCCTCCAGCCAGTAGAAAAGAGTGACCTAGATGTGATATCACCTGACCCTCCACCAGTTGCAGAAAGCAGCCTCAGTAGGCATTTTCCTCCTACAAAAGAACCAGCAGAGATTGAGCACAGGAAGTTTACTAGCACTGTGAATGAAGAGGAGGCCAGGTGGAATGTTCACCATACTGCAGGTCCAGCATCCCCCCACTGCCCACCTGATGACACTGGGGGAGGCCCAGGGAAGCAACTTCTACCTCATAGGTGCCACTGGCAGGCCCCAAATAGGAACCCAAATAGAACAGGAAGAGCAAAGCAAAACAAAATAGTATTAAAAGTCCTCTGAAAACTAATTGCATTTGAACAACAATCCACAAAAGTAAACCAGAAGCTACATGCTAAACCTAAACAGGGTAACTACCTGCTAAAAGAGAAGATTTAAATCAGATCAGGAATCTCTTAACATAATAGCCAGAATGTCTAGTATACAATGAAAAATCATTCATCATTGCAAACCAAGAAAATCACAACTTGAATAACAAAAGACAATCAACTGACACCGAAACTGAGATAATTCAGAAATCGTAATTATCTGAGATGGATTTTAAAGCCACCATCATTTTTTTTTAAATGCTTCAACAAGCGATTATGAAATCTCTCAAAATAAATGAAAAATAGAAAAATCTCAGCAAAGAGATAGAAGTTTTTTGTTTTTTTTTAAAGAACCAAATGGGAATTCTAGAGCTGAAAAAAATAATAACCAAAAATCCTTCACTGGATAGGCTCTATAGCAGAGTGGAGATGACAGAGAATAAAATCAGTGATTTTGAGGACAGATCTAAATAGAATATACTCAATCTAAACAACAGAAAAAAAATAGACTAAAAATGAACAGAGCCTTAGGGACCTGTGAGTCATTGACAAAATATACAACATTTGTATTACTGAAGTTTTAAGAAGGAAAGGAGGAAAGATGTGGGGCTAACAAAAAATACTCTAAGAAAAAAATGCCTGAAAACCTTCCAAATTTGGCAGAAGACATAAACATACAGATTCAAGAGGCTGAGCCAGCCCCAAATAGGATAAGCTCAAGCACATTTATCCCAAGACATATCATCGACTTCTGAATACACAAATAAAAAAATGAACACAGTGTAAAGACAAAGAAAAAAATTCTTAGAAGCAACAAGAGAGAAACAACACATTACCACATCCCCATAAGGGAACACCAATTCTAATGCAGAAGATTTCTCATCTGAAAGCACGGAAGCCAGGACAGGGTGGCACAACATTTTTCAAGTGCTGAAATAAAACTATCAACCTCAAGTTCCATATCTGGGAAACCATCTTTCAGGAATTAAGAGAAAATAAAAACATTATTAGGAGAAAGAAAACTAAAAAAATTAGTAGTGATAAGCAGACCAACCCTTAAAGAATGGCTAAAAAAGCCCTCCAAACTGATAAGATATGATTAGAGAAGAAGACTTGAAACTTCAGAAAGAAAAAATTAGAAGGACAAAAATATGGGTAAATATTCTATTTACTATTCTTCTCTTCATGAATTTCTTATATCATGAATTTTCATTTACTATTCTTCTCTTCATGAATTTATTATATCATATTAGAGGGTTAAAAATATATGACACCATCTGATGTGATGTTCAATGTGTGTAGAGGGAATACTTGACAATTGTGTTTTAAAAGTGAGCAAGGTAAAGGGACTTAAATGGAAATAAAGTTTCAGCACTTTTCCTAAGATGGTAACACAACACCTGCAGGCTGTGCTTCCTTTATATATATTTGTTACATATATATATACACAGAGAGAGAGAGAGAGAGTAATGCCTAGAAAAACCACTAAGAAAACAATACAAAGTAAAGTAAGGTACTCCAAAATACAAATAATAAATTAAAAATAGAATTCAAAAAATAATGTTCAAATACATTATAGGAAGGCATACTAATCAGGCTCCAGCCAGGTCCTAGCCAATCCACCAATTGACATCAAAAACATGAGCAAGCTGGTCAAGATCAGCATACCTTGGTCCAGCCAACCCACAGTCTTACAAGAAATAATAAACAAATGTCATATTAAGCCATTAAGTGTTCTGAATGGTTTGTTGTATACTATACTTACCTCAAAAACATGCCTTTAAAAAACTGAATTTATCAACTTCATTACTGTGAAAAGCATGCTTTTTCTTTCTAATTCTCTATTTTGATTATTCAATTACTTAAGCTCAAAACCTAGGAGTGACCTTAGAATCTTCCCACTTTTTCATTTGCTTTATTTTGTAGGCAAAGGGGAGTTTCTGAAAGCTTTTAAGCAGATGGAAAACATAATCAGGTTAGTACTTGAGAAAGAGGTATAGCAGCAGTTCTCAGAGTGTAGTCCAAGAAGCCCTGGGGTCCCCAAGACCATTTTAGAATGTTTGCAAGGTCAAAACTATTTCACAGTAATACTGTTCACATTCATTTTCTTATGAGTGTACCACGGAGGCTTAGAGAGGCTACATGACATGTGATATCACAATAGATTGAATGTAAAAATAATTCATCTGTCTTCTATTAAAACACACATAACAAAGATTTGAAAAAAACAATGCCACACTTCTCACTAAATTTTATTTTATAAAATATATTTTCATAAAAATGTTATTAGTTGATTTCATGCGCGTCCGTGTGAAGAGACCACCAGACAGGCTTTGTGTGAGCAATAAAGCTTTTAATCACCTGGGTGCAGGTGGGCTGACTCCGAAAAGAGAGTCAGTGAAGGTAGATAAGGGTGGGGCCATTTTATAAGATTTTGGTAGGTAAAGGAAAATTACAGTCAAAGGGGGGTTGTTCTCTGGCGGGCAAGAGTGGGGGTCACAAGGTGCTCAGTAGGGGAGCTTTTGAGCCAGGAGAAGGAATTTCACAAGATAATGTCATCAGTTAAGGCAGGAACTGGCCATCTGGATGTGCACGTGCAGGTCACAGGGGATATGATGGCTTAGCTTGGGCTCAGAGGCCTGACATTCCTGTCTTCTTTTATTAATAAGAAAAATAAAATGAAATAGTGGTAAAGTGTTGGGGCAGCGAAAATTTTGGGGGATTGTATGGAGAGACATGGGCGATGTTTCTCAGGGCTGCTTCGAGCAGGATTAGGGGCAGCGTGGGAACCTAGAGTGGGAGAGATTAAGCTGAAGGAAGGTTTTGTGGTAAGGAGTGATATTGTGGGACTGTTAGAAGAAACATTTGTCATTTAGAATTATTGGTGATGGCCTGGATACAGTTTTGTATGAATTGAAAAACTAAATGGAATAAGAGAAGGAGAAAAACAGGTATTAAAGGTCTAAGAATTGGGAGGACCCAGGACATCTAATTAGAGAGTGCCTAAGGAGGTTCAGCATAGTCCTGCCAGCAAAGATTATTTATTTACTTCAAGAGTTAAGAGTGGCAGTTTGGGGATAGCACCAGGAGATATCAGCAGTGATGGCTTGGAGAAACAGTGTAAACCGGCAGTGTAAACAAGAGCAGGGCATGTATGAGTAGTTGAGAACGGTGAATAGGAGTATGACTAGACAGAAGATAGTAGGGATGACAAGTTTTTGGGGCACAGTCCAAGTTGGTCTGGTGTCTGGAATGAGACTGGGGCTTAATAAAAAGGAGCATACATACAGGAGCTCAAATGGGCTGTACCCTGTAGCATTCTGAGGACAGGCCTGAATTCTGAGAAGGAAAAGTGGTAAAAGTATTGTCCAGTCCTTTTTAAGTTGGTGGCTGAGCTTGGTGAGGTGTGTTTTTAAAAGACCATTAGTGTGTTCTACTTTTCCTGAAGACTGAGGACTGTAAGGGATATAAAGGTTTCACTGAATACCAAGAGCCTGAAAAAATGCTTGGCTGATTTGACTAATAAAGACCGGTCTGCTATCGGACTGTATAGAGGTGGGAAGGCCAAACCGAGGAATTATGTCTAACAGAAGGGAAGAAATAACCGCAGTGGCCTTCTCAGACCCTGTAGGAAAGGCCTCTACCCATCCAGTGAAAATGTCTTCCTAGACTAAGAGGTGTTTTAGTTATCCGACTCAGGGCATGTGAGTAAAGTCAATTTGCCAGTCCTGGGCAGGGGCAAATCCTCGAGCTTGATGTGTAAGAAAGGAAGGAAGCCTGAACAATCCCCGAGCGGTAGTAGAATAGCAAATAGAACACTGAGAAGTGATTTCTTTGAGGATAGATTTCCAGGATGGAAAGGAAATGAGAGTTTCTAAGAGATGGGCTAGTGGCTTGTAACCTACATGGACGAGGTTATGAAATGACGACAGAATAGAATGGGCCTGTGAGGCTGGAAGGAGATATTTTCCTTGGTCTAAGAAACATTTGCCTTGTGTGGGAAGAGATTGATAGGTGGAAGTTTCAGCAGGGGAGTAGATGGGAGTGACTGATATGAAGGAGAAAAACTGGCCGTGAGGGACAGAAGTTGGAAAGCTAGCTGCTTGTCTAGCCACCTTATCAGCATAAGCCTTGCCTACAGCAATGGGATCTGACACCTTTTGATGGTCTTTGCAGTGAATGACTCCACCTTCCTTTGGAAGTAAAGCGGCCTTGAGCAGAGTTTTTATTAAAGAGGCATTAATGCAGCTTATATAACAGCATGGTGGTGCAGAACATGAAAGGCATATTTAGAGTCAGTATAAATATTGATACGTAGTCCTTTTGCAAGAGTGAGGGCTTGAGTTAAGGCAACTAATTTGACTTGCTGAGAGGTAGTAGAGGGGGGCAGAGTGGTAGCCTCAACGATAGATGTGGAAGATATGATAGCATAGCCTGGCTTTGCTGGCGAGTGGCGATTAGGCCTGGCGGAACTGCCATCAATAAACTAAATGTGATCAGGGTGAGGAACAGGAAAGAAGGAAATATGGGGAAATGAGTTGAATGCCAGGTGGATCAGAGAGATACAGTCATGAGGGTCAGGTGTAGTATCCAGAATAATGTGGGAGGCCAGATTGAAGTCCATGCCAGGAACAATGGTAATTGTGGGAGACTCAACAAAGAGTGAGTATAGCTGAAGGAGCCGGGGAGCAGAAAGTATATGCGTCAGGTATGAGGAAGAAAATAGATTTTGGAAGTTATGAGAAATGTAGAGAGTGAGTTGAGCATAGTTTGTGATTTTGAGGGCCTCTAAAAGTATTAAAGCAGTGGCAGCTGCTGCACACAGACATGAGGGCTAGGCTAAAACAGAAAGGTCAAGTTGTTTGGGCAGAAAGGCTACAGGGTGCAGTCCTGGCTCTTGTGTATGAATTCTGACCGCATTAACCATGCCTAGGAAGGAAAGGAGTTGTTGTTTTGTAGAAGGGATTGAGGTTTGGGAGATTAGTCGGACATGATCAGCAGGGAGAGCACGTGTGTTTTTATGAGAATTATGCCAAGATAGGTAACAGATGAGGATGAAATTTGGGCTTGATTGAAGTAATGGGGGCTGTCTGTGAAGGCTTGTGGCAGTACAGCCGAGGTAATTTGCTGAGCCTAAAAGCGAAGAGAGGCTGGGATGAAGGGTGCAAAAGAATAGTAAAGAAAGCATGTTTGAGATCTACAACAGAATAATGGGTTGTAGAGGCAGGTATTGAGGATAGGAGAGTATATGGGTTTGGCACCACGGGGTGGATAGGCAAAACAATTTGGTTGATAAGGTGCAGATCCTGAACTAACCTGTAAGTCTTGTCTGGTTTTAGGACAGGTACAATGGGGGAATTGTAAGGAGAGTTTATAGGCTTTAAAAGGCCATGCTATAACAGGCGAGTGATAACAGACTTTAATCCTTTTAAAGCATGCTGTGGGATGGGATATTGGCATTGAGCGAGGTAAGGGTGATTCAGTTTTAATGGGATGGTAAGGGGTGTATGATCGGTCACTAAGGAGGGAGTAGAGGTGTTTTATACTTGTGGGTTAAGGTGGGGAGATACAAGGGGAGGATGTGAAGGAGGCTTTGAACTGAGGGAAAAGGTGGCAATGAGGTGTGGCTCTAGCCCAGGAATAGTCAGGGAAGCAGATAATTTAGTTAAAGTGTCTCGGCCTAATAAGGGAACTGGGCAGGTGGGGATAACTAAAAAGGAGTGCTTAAAAGAGTATTGTCTAAGTTGGCACCAGAGTTGGGGAGTTTTAAGAGGTTTAGAAGCCTGGCCGTCAATACCCACAACAGTTATGGAGGCAAGGGAAACAGGCTCTTGAAAAGAAGGTAATGTGGAGTGGGGAGACTCCGTATAGACTAAGAAGGAGATGGACTTACCCTCCACTGTGAGAGTTACCCAGAGCGTCTGTGATGATCCTGTAGGCTTCCGAGGCGATTGGGCAGCGTCAGTCTTCAGCTGCTAAGCCGAGAAGATCTGGGAAGGAGTCAGTCAGAGAGCCTTGGGCCAGAGTTCCAGGGGTTCTGGGAGTGGCTGCCAGGTGAGTTGAACAGTCCAATTTTCAGTGGGGTCCCACACAGATGGGATATGACTTAGGAGGAATCCCGGGCTGTGGGCATTCCTTGGCCCAGTGGCCAGATTTCTGGCACTTGTAACAAGCTCCTGGGGGAGGAGGTTCTGGCGGAACCCCTGGCAGCTGCGGTTCAGGTGTTTGGAGTTCTTGTGTGCAGGAGATTGGCTGAGGTTTGTCTCATAGTGGAGGCAAGGAATTGCAACTCAGAAATATGTTGCTACTTGGCTGCCTCTACTCTATTATTGTACACCTTGAAGGTGAGGTTAATTAAGTCCTGCTGTGGGGTTTGAGGGCCAGAATTTAATTTTTGGAGATTTATTTTATGTCAGGAGCAGATTGGGTAATAAAATAAAATGCATATTGAGAATAAGACGGCCTTCTGACCTTTCAGGGTCTAGGGCTGTAAAGCTTCTCAGGGTTGCTGCCAAACAAGCCATGAACTGGGCTGGGTTTTTATATTTGATGAAAAAGAGCCTAAACACTAACTGATTTTGGGAGAGGTCAGATAAAGAAAAAGGAGCATTAACCTTGACTATGTCTTTAGCTCCAGCCACTTTTTAAGAGGAAATTGCTGGGCAGGTGGGGGAGGGCTAGTCACGGAAAGAAACTGTAAGCCAGACCGGGTGTGAGGAGCGGAGGTGATAAAAGGATTATAGGGTGGAGGAGCGGAGGCTGAGGAAGAATTGGGACCTAGCTCGGCCTGGCTAGGAGGAGAGAGGTCAGATGAGTCTGTAGAAAAGGAAGATTAGAAAGACTCAGCGATGCTTGGGGTTGGGACTGAGGGGATAGGCAGGAGGGAAGGAAGATTTCGGATGAGTTGCATTGGGAACAGAGAATAGGGAGAGACCGATGTGTAAAATAATGCCTGGACATCAGGCACCTCAGACCGTTTGCCCATTTACGACAAGAATTATTTAGATCTTGTAGGATGGAAAAATCAAAAGTGCCATTTTCTGGCTATTTGGAACCACTGTCGAGTTTGTATTGGGGTCAAGCGGCATTGCAGAAGAAAATAAAGCATTTAGGTTTTAGGTCAGGTGTGAGTTGAAGAGGTTTTAAGTTCTTGAGAACATAGGCTAAGGGAGAAGAAGGAGGAATGGAGGGTGGAAGTTTGCCCATAGTGAAGGAGGCAAGCCCAGAGAAAAGAGAGAGTAGAGACAGAGAGGGAAGGGGTTTGGGGGTTCTTACCCTCCAGAAAAGTGGGAAAGGGGTCAGGGCATGGAAATAAGGAGTTGGGGCACAGAGATAAGAGATCGGGGCATGGAAATAAGGGATTGGGGCACAGAGATAAGAGGTCAGGGTGCAGAAATAAGGGATCGGGGGGTTCTTGCCCCCTAGAAAAGTGGTACTTGCTCCTAAGGGTGAAGGAGAAGGGGTTGGGGGTTCTTGCCCCCCAGAAAAGCAGACAAGGGGTAGAGACATGGAGAGAAGGAGTTGGGGGGTTCTTGCCCCCCAGAAAAGCGGTACTTGCCGCTAAGGATGAAGCACCAAGGCAGGCATCCCCGCATGGTCAGACACCTCTGAAACGTGGGTGAATAATCAGGCAGGCGTCCCTGTGTGATTAAACACCAAGGGAAGACTGTCTTCCAGAGTCTGTGACTGGCGCCAGAGTTTTGAGTCTATGGATAATATGTGTCTCCTTTGTCTCTACCAGAAAATGAAAGGAATTGAAATTAAGAGAAGGGAGAGATTGAAGGGTGGTACCAAGATTGAAAGGAGAAAGTGGTTGAGGGATAGTGAGAGAGGTTGGAAAAGAGAGTAAGAAGAGGCCGCTTACCCGATTTAAAATTGGTGAGATATTCCTTGGGCTGGTGGGTCTGAGGACCCGAGGTTGTAAGTGGATCTTTTTCATAGAGCAAAGAGCAGGAGGACAGGGGATTGATCTCCCAAGGGAGGTCCCCCGATCGGAGTCACGGCACCAAATTTCATGCATGTCTGTGTGAAGAGACCACCAAACAGGCTTTGTGTGAGCAGTAGAGCTTTTAATCACCTGGGTGCAGGTGGGCTGAGTCCAAAAAGAGAGTCAGCGAAGGGAGATAAGGGTGGGGCCGTTTTATAAGATTTTGGTAGGTAAAGGAAAATTACAGTCAAAGGGGGATTGTTCTCTGGCGGGCAGGAGTGGGGGTCACAAGGTGCTCAGTAGGGGAGCTTTTGAGCCAGGAGAAGGAATTTCACAAGATAATGTCATCAGTTAAGGCAGGAATTGACCATCTGGATGTGTACATGCAGGTCACAGGGGATATGATGGCTTAGATTGGGCTCAGAGGCCTGACAGTTGATATGTAAAAATGAGATTTAATTTTTAAATTTTTTATTTAATTTTTAAATTTCTCAGTGTTAACTTCTTATAAATATTTCTATCGCATTCAAACAAAAGTTTGTTGAGGTCCTTAATAATTTTTAAGAGTGTAAAAATGTCTTGAGACCAAAAAATTTGAAAACTAATGATTTAGACTAAAGGTAATATGATAAATATTTTCAAAAAGTACCAAATTTAGGCAAGAAGTCAGTTGTAGACTTTCAAAGTGATAGATACACTAACGTAAACAATAGCAACGTGGATGGGCACAAAGAGATGGATAAAAGAGATATTAAACAGATAGGCTTACTAGGCCATGAGTGCTAGAAGCATTTGTGGAGGATAAAGGAGTGGGAAGACTCTGGGATAATTCTTGGGTACCTGGCTTAAGGAAACTTTGCCTACTCACTTGAAAAACTACAACTTATTCTTAGTGGTCAAGGTCTTCTCTGTGAAGGCTTTGAAGGAGATCAGGATACACCATCCCAAAATATACCATTTTGGCATAAGGATTATTTGAGGCAATTTAGAATAGGCAAATAAGGGCAGGGCAGATACATTTCCTAGTCATTTTCCCACCGTCTATTGTCCTTTGAAGCCCAAACCCTCTTTCATTTGTTAAGAAGGGTATGTAAGTTATATACCTTTCTTATATATATGTTAGCCACTTTTTGAATTTTATTTCTTTTCTATGATTCCCATACACATTTAAAATATTAATAAATCTGTATTCCTTTTCTCCTGTTAATCTGTCTTTTGTCAGCTGAATTCACAGACCCACAGTCACTGAATTTAAGTAGGTGGGGGAAAAGTTTTTCTTCCCAACACCTTTATTGGCCCACCCAAGCTTGGTGTCACCTATAAGGGAGAAAAAAATATAGTTTTTTTTCTACCTCCATTCTAGCAAGGTTTATGGCTGAGGCCCTAAACCTCAAGGTTTATGACTGAGGCCCACCCAAGGTTGGTGTCACCTATAAAGGAGAAAAAATATAGTTTTTTTCTACCCACATTCTAGCCAGCTTTATGGCTAAGGTCCCTATAACAAAAGACAAATTAACAAATGAAAAGCATACAAATGTCCTTAATGTAAGTTTTACATGACACAGGAGTCTTCATAAGGAAATGAAGACCTGATGACACATGAGTATTTTTATGCTAAAGTGTGCACTAACAGAAGAGCAAAAGATGTAAACTTTGAGTGTCCTTCATGTTTCCATGAGGTTTGATGAAGAATGGAGAGTTGTGTAGAAATATGATAGGCCAAAAAGGGTACAATCTAATGGTAGTGAACTGGGAGAAACTTAGCAAGTCCTGCTTGTTCAGATTCTTCTCTGTGTCTCTGTCTTTGGAGATAAAGATGTTCCTTTCCTCTGGGTCTAGGAAGGCACTTCTCACACGAGGGTTTTATGAACTGTTTCAGAGGAAAAGAGTGGGGCAAGGTCAGAGAGACCTTCCTGCACGTGCTGCTTCTCCAATTCCTTCTGAAAATATTCAATGTGCCAAGGTGCCATATTTTGGGGTAGCATATCCTGAAGCCCATCACACTCACAGTCTAATATCTAACCCAGGTTTTCTGCCCACCTCACTCATTATAATCATTTGTCTATATGCCTCTATCCTCTACTAAAGTTGAGTATCCTGAAGTTAGACACAATGTCTTATTTACTTCTGTTCTCAGTCTCCATAAGGCCTGCTATATATAATAGGGACTAAATCGATGTTTGATGAATGTATAATAGGAACAAAAATTATTGATTTATCCCCACATTTTCTGCTCACTAAAAAGGATCTTATCTTGTTCTGCTTAACTTCCCTGACATTTTGGCCCATTAATTCGGACTCATTAAGATGAGTTCAGTTTTGCCAGAAATTGCCAGGTTTTAAGATAAAGAAGAACAAACTGGAAAGGTGAGAAATGAAGAGAAGAGGAAGAAAAAGTAAAAGACATGGAGGCAAGTTTGGGAGAGAGGATATTGGGGGCTTAGCATAAACAGAGGCATCAGGAGTGCTGAAGGATGTGAGAGAACAGAGGAGAAGAAGAAAAGGAGCTTCTAGAAATGTTACTAAGGGTTACGAACTTGTGTCTCTTAATGTAGTTAAGGATGCCCCAATAAATATGGAAATTACTTTTTAATCACTTCTGGTTGCTAGAGTGAGTTTCTTTAATGTGGCATTAAGCCAAGATTGGGCCATATGGAGCCTAGGAATTTATTTGGAGTATAAATGAAGCGTGCATGTACAAACCTAGTTAATATGAGACATTTTTCATGGAAAGACCTTATATTTCACAGTATTTTGTGTGCATTTTTGTTAAGCATGTACAGGGGCTTTGGGCTTTGGTCTCAGCCTAAGTCGTTTCCTCTGCTGGGATTCAGAGAGTCTGGGCATGTCTAATGAGGTAGTGGTAACCTAGAGTTTTCTGTACAAACCGATTTGCCTAGGGAGAAGGTGGCTGCATGGAGTAGAACTTTTCAAGGCACTCTGCAGGAGATATCTGAGATTTGAGGGGAACAGGATGGTGGCTGTCCTGCTCAGACCTCACAGACTCTTGTTTGAGCTCTAAGGAGACAGGTGCTACAGACAAAAACAGAAAAAACTATTTCCCAAAGGAACATAGGAGACACAGTCTAAGCAGACCTCTGTGTGCCCAGCTGGCAAAACATTTTCTGTGTGGAACACAGCTTCTTTCTGGGCCAATGTTGATTGCAGGATATGCAACTCTCCTTGGTCCCTCCAGGTTGCAGCTTTAGAGGTCCAGGAGTATAATGACAACAGGCAGCAACCACTCCCAGATGTCTTTCTCAGATAGGGACATCATTGAGCAGAAAGGCTATTTCTGAGTGCATAGGAGAGATCCCCTAAACATACCCTAAAATATACTTAGCAGGGAGTTTTCAGGAGGCGAAGCCTCACACAGTCAGTAAAATTTGAGCGTTACACAAATGACGACACAAGCCTAACATGGTGTTCTGCTGAAGTCATGTTAAAGAATGCAAAGGAGTTGCATTGATGAGTGGATCTCTCATTTTATTTATTGAATAAATTGTACCTCTTTTCAGAAAGGATTTCAGGCAGCTGGCCAGTTTATTTAACAAGTTGCAACTGAAAGTTATTCCATTGAAAGAATAGTTTTTTTTCTAAAATCAAAAAGACATCATGATCCAAAACCTGTTTATTAAGCATTTACTCACAGGTGATGCTGCACTAAGACTCTTCACCAAGAAAGCTACGCAACTGTGACCCATGTTCTTTGGAATTCTGCAATCTGAATTGGGCTAAGAGCTAATTTCAGGAATGGAATGGTGGAATTGGAATTTTTTGCTTATTTAAAAAAAAAAAAAGAAAAAGGAAGAATTAGCAGTCTGGGACAGAGGCAGGTGTATCCTGTCATCAATATTGAGTGGAACCCATGCTTTTGTTTTCTTTTACAAAGGGACTCCGTAGAAACCTTTTTGTCTTTACATCATCTATTACCATGATTTTGCATTTTTATAGCACATGCACCCCAAAGACTCATAAATTTCTTCTTAAAAGATGGTATAGGCTGGGCACAGTGGCTCATGCCTGTGGTCCCAGCACTTCGGGAGGCCGAGGGGGGTGGATCAGTTGAGGTCAGGAGTTCTAAACCAACCTGACCAACATGGCAAAACCCTGTCTCTACTAAAAACACAAAAATTAGCCAGGCATGGTGGCACATGCCTGTAATCCCAGCTACTTGGGAGGCTGAGGCAGGAGAATCACTTGAACCCGGGAGGTGGAGGTTGCAATGATCCAAGCTCTCACCAATGTACTCCAGCCTGGGTGACAGAGCAAGACTCCATCTTAAAAAAAAAAAAAAAAAAAAAAAGAGATGTTATAAGGTTATAAGGTAGATGACAAGTGCTTTTTTGTTTTGTAAATAGTGACTATGTGTGAATCCTTTAAAGAATAATCTCCCATAGGTGCCTTTGGATTTCATTGACAGATGAATAAGAATATTCTAGAGACAAGATAATCTGCAAAAAAACTATATTGTAATCTTTAGATAATAAGGAACAGAAAATGAATCAAATTAGCCCTCAGAAGTCTAGAAATATGAAGTATCGCGCCTCCTTTTCTGTTTTTCATTCTGCACAAGTGGTTTTTAACTTTCTCCCAAGAAACAATTCCTTTTCATTTTTAGGAAACTCAACATAAAACAAGGAAAATCTAAGAAATCATTGGTTTTACTTTTTCTTTGGAATTCCTGTATACTCTTATAAAAGATTTATCTTGACTCTAATGCCAGCAAAAAAAATCTGAAATTTGATCTGCTTCTGGTAGTAAATGAAATGAAGGTTTTAGACACTAATCAAATATCATACTGCTTCGCAGATGTTGCAATGAAAAAGTCAAAGCTTGTTATGATTCCCAATTAGTAAACTGCCCCTTTTCATTGCTAGGCTTGCAGCTAAACACAGGTACCATGATAAATGTGGAGATACAAGGATCCAGGCCATGGTCAGACATTACACAGGTGTCCTTCATAAATGTCAAAGACAAAATTGACTATTCCTTGGAGATTGGAGTTTTCAGGGCTAAAGCTCTAGACACATTCATCACAGAAGCAGGCAAGATGCCATTGCCCCAAAGCAGAGCCAAGCCAAGCATGCTTAGTTACATTAAGATCTTGCAGCACATCTAGTAATCAGGGGCCCTGAAGTAGAAAGTCGAGCATTAGTGTAGGAAAGTCATCATGGGAAGTAAAATCACAGACATTCAGCTTCAACTTGTGGAGCTTATGGTAGATTTGCAGCCATTTTTTCTGGACTTTCTATAGCAAAAGGAAATCGAATTATTCCAGGAGGAAAATATGCTGTGGTTTTCTTTTCTGAAGAAAACACAATTTGCTCTCCCTTATTATGTTTGACTGAGGTCAGAATTGACATTGTTGCCAGTGTGTCTGCTATTAGAAGTCTTGGATAAGCCTTGAAATAAAATACTGAGCAGACACAGAAAACCCCAAAGGTTTTCTTTTTAAAGCTAATAATCATTCATTTATTTCAGTAGCTTGAGACATTTATGTATAAACACACTTAGAAGAATTAATGATGCTATACATAACATGAGTCATTTAAATCCTCATCTTCTTTCATTAGAAAGTCTAGTCTTTAACCTGGCTCCTTCTAGGCAAATATTTCATGATTTGAGTGTTCTTAATATTTTAATGCTAAGTCTACAACTTTGCTTCACTCTAAATTTCTTTTTAACCTAAATTTTTAGCTTCCTCCAAAGCACATGGAATTTCTCTATCACTCGTTAAAAACATTTATTAAGAAAAGCCAATAAAATTCAGGAAGTTTATGTTAACCCAAGCATAAAATTCCTAGAGAATTCTAGGGCAGTGAGTAGTGACAGGTTAGTTAAGCTGCTGTAACAAAGACATCCAAACCACAATGGTTCAAACTGGAATTTTATTTCTCTTCCATGAAACAATTTAGAGATGCATGGCTAGTCCATAACATTATCCAGGACCGAAAGTCATTTTATGTTCTTACTCCACATCCTCTGAAGTGTTGACCTGGCCATATAGTCAAAGTTGAGTCACCAGCATATATCTGTGCTCTAGCTGGCAAGAATGGGGAAAGATAGAAAGCAGAGTGGCAAGTACTTCTTCTTACAGAAGTGACCCAGAAGTTGCCTACATCATTTTTGCCCACATTCTGTTGGCAAAAACTTATTCACATAGCCACGTTAGTTGCAAAGAAGCTGGAAAACATGGTCTACAACTGTAAAGCTGTGTGCCTAGCTAAAATTCAAGGGTTATCTTACTAAAAGGAAAAGGAGAATGACTGCAGTCTCTGTCACAGACAGTATACCCTGAAGTGCATTAAGGGAACATTAGTTCTGTGAGAAGTCAGCAAACAGGCTTAGCAAGAAACAAATTCCATGTTCATGTAAGCTTGGGGATCACTGGGTTAAATAAAATTTAATGGAGTTCTTTATAGCCAGACTTATCAGAGCTTTAACAAACTGATCTTAAGCTCTATAATGGAGGAATAGCTTTGCTCTATTTCCTAAATTTGACCATAGAACCCATTTTGGAAAAGTCAATTCTTAGGGCTAATACTTTATAGACCACATTTTGTGAGCCACTACCTTAGAATACTATACTTAAATTCATTAACTCTGGTTACATATCAAAATTCACACAGGTAAAAATTAAAACCGTTGCTATATTCACATGCTATACTCTTTGAAAGGGCTGAATATACATAAACACTATGTACTTGAATTCTTGCAATGAACTCAACTCACTAGTTCATGACTAGTTTTGCTTTTTCCTTAAAAAGGGGGAAAGGGTATGCTATGGTTTGGATGTTTGTCTCCTCCAAAGCTCACATTGAAATTTGATCTCCCCAGTGTTGGAGATGGAGAATAGCAGGAGGTGCTTGGGTCATAGGGGAGGAGATTTCTCAAGAATAGATAAATGTCCTCCTTTGGAATGAGTGAGTTCTCACTCTATTAGTTCCCATGAAAGCTGGTTGTTTAAAAGAGCCTGTTATCTCCCCTCGCCTCTCTTACTTATTCTCTCAGCATGTGACCACTGCACACACCACCTCCCCTTTGCCTCTGCCATGAGTGGAAGCAGCCAGAGGCCTGTACCAGATGTCCAATCTTGAACTTTCCAGCCACCAGAATCATAAGCCAAATAAACCTTTTTTTCTTTATGAATTACCCAGTCCCAGGTATTATGTTACAGCAACACAAAACAGACTAAAACAGGATATTTCTTCATGAAAGACAAAATAAATGCAAATGATAAGCATCACACATAATGGAATGTCCAATGGGTTAATAGTGTATCCCAGGCTAAATCAGCAGGTTAATAAGATCAAGCCCATAGGGCCATAAATCAAGCAGTTTAATAAATGGAATATTGGTTAAACATAGTTTATGATTCCAAATCAATGTACTTTGACACAAAGCTACAGGGCAGGGAACAGCTAAATTAGAGTCCTATTTTATCACCTTGTTACCCATTGCTAAAGTACAGGGTGAGGCAGTGGAGGCTAAAGAACATTATCTTCACTCTGCAGGTCCGCAAACACCCCTGAGACTAGTTTATAGGACAGATTATCAGCAGAGTGATCACTGGTACTTACCCTCTTTTATCTTTAAGGAAAGCTTAGAGTCTAAGACACTCTAAGATTCTCATACAAGAAATTAATGTCTAATTTTGCCATCTTAGAAATTAATTTTTATATCATTTGTTCAGATTGCCTCTATCAATGGGTAGTGACCTTTAGACTGAAAGTGGATTGTTTGCTAAAATTATGGTAAAAGCAACTTTGAAACCCACCTGACCTGGGTTAAAATCCTGGCTTCAGAACTTCCCAACTATGTGAATTTATCTATTTATTCATACATTCATTTTGAGATAGGGTATCACTCTGTCACCTAGGCTGGAGTACAGTGATGCAATCACAGCTCACTGCAGACTCGAACTCCTGTACTCAAGTGATCCTGCCACCTCAGTCGCCTGAGTAGTTGCGACTGCAGGCACGTGCCACCACACCTGGCTAATATTTTTGGATTTTTTGTAGAGATTGGATTTTGCTATGTTGCTCAGACTGGTCTCGAACTCCTGGGCTCAAGCGATCCTCCCACCTCGGCCTCTCAAAGTGCTGGGATTACAAGCCTGAGCCACCATGTCCAGCCCCAACTATGTAACTTTAAATCATCTATCTAAAATGAGCCTCAGTTTCTTTGTCTATAAAGATTACAGTGATTACCTCACAATGTTTTTGTGAGAATAAATTGGAAAGTAGTATGTAAAGGACTTAGCACAGTGGATGGCACATAATAAAGATCCTAAAAATGTCAGTTTTCTTTCATTGTTTTCACTCCTGCCAAGCACAACGATTAAAAACAGGGATGATGGAGCCATACATACATAAGTTTCAGTCCTTGCTCTGCCTCTTATTAGCTATGTGACCCTAAGCCAGTTATTTAATCCCTCTAAGCTTCTGTTTCCTCACCTATAAACTAGAATATTAATAGTACTTTACCATACTGGATTATTAAGGATGAAATGTAATATTATGAAATTAATATAGTGGCTGGCATACATTGTATTTCATCAAACCTAAGACTTCATCAATTTTAAAATGCATCCTGTTTTTAGAGATGTTTAAATATGGGGCAGGGGAGCATATGTGACTCTCAGAATTGATCAAATGTGGTAATAAGCACTTTTTAAAATATTTGTTGTTATTATTCCATATAACTTATTATTAAAGAGATGTGTGGAGACCCAGGGGTTCAGCTTACAGGAATTGGAAAGAACAACAACCTTAGTCCCAGAAAGCAAAACAAAACAAGGAGAGTTAACATCATGGCCACAGTCAGGTATGATTAATGTAATAATGTAGATATGTCCATGAAGTAGAGATGCTAGAGAAAAAAACTGATCAACTTTGGCCTAGGATTAGGCGCAGGGAATGAGAGAGGCAAAGATAAAAAAGAAAAGCTTCACAAAGAATTGATTCATAAACAGGGTCTTGAAGAATGAACAAAGAGTTTAACTGCTAGGAAGGGACATCCTAGACAGAGGAAAAGGTAACTGCAAAATTACCCATGTTGGAAACACACACTATAGCTCAGCATTACTGGAATGTAAATTGCTTTCATCCTGTAAAAGAGAGTTCACAGGAACCCATATGGCCAGCAAAGATAAGCCCTCTTGATTCCCTGAAGGGATAGCTTCTAAGTAAAGGAATTTAAATCCATTCAGAGAAGAATCATAAAATAAATGTACCTAATCTCCTAACTCTGTAGGATAATACAAAAAAGATGAATGAAATCTCTAGGGCTAAAAGAAAAATTGACTTGGAAAGCCTAGTTCCTAAAGAAAAGTAGGCACTAATCAAAGAGCAGAAGATGACAAATTTGAACGTCCTTCATGTTTCCCTAAGACTAATCCCAAACAAATCCATTAGCAGCTAGATCGATCTTTTTAAGAACACCATCAATTTAAGCATATTTTATTTGAATCCTAGAATTTAAAATTTACATTAACATTAGTATATGACCTCATAATTTTGGTCTTAAAGTACAATGAGTTTTACTCTAGTTCTTCTGTTAATATCAGTTTCTAAACAACATCAATTGAATTTTGTACATATTCTGAGGTATTACATCCTTTACAAATATGAAGAAGATACACTCTGACTACCAAATTACTTGAAATCAGTAGATAATTGATCTTTGATTCAAAAATTCTTATCAGAAAGGTCAAGATGAAAATAACATATTCTTATCTGAGAATCCTTATTCAGCTATTTAATGTATGGGATATGGGACCAATCTCCCAGAGTTTCTACTATACCCTAGAAATATTATACCTTCAGTCTTTCATATATACCTGTTTCTGAGCACTTTACATATATAATGAAACTTCTGAAGGACCAATTAAAAAATGGAAATCATTAATCTTACATATATTGACAACTGCTTTAGCTTTTGAATACTTTGTTTCTCATTATATGAAAAAGGATCTATTGAGATTCTCACTGAGATCTTAGCAAGGGCCACACCTAGGTATAAGTAGCAAATGCACCATGCAATGGTAAAACTCCAGCAATGAGCCCAGCAGATATAAAGCCCTGCTATTAGGAAGCATATGTGATGTTTAAAAACAAACTTTGGCACATTGCGATTTTAAAGAGTTTATTTGAGCAGACAGTGATTCGTGAATTGAGCTGCTGTAAACCAGAAGTGTTTCATGAGCTCCACCAAAAAAGTGGAAGGGGAAGGCTTTTATAAGGTGAAATCCGAAGCAGTCAAAGAAAATATTTGACTGGTTCGTGTGGAACACTAGCCTCATTTGGATCATTCCAGTGGAAAGTCCTAATTTGAGGTTAGTTGATGTTTCTAATTGCTTAAGCTCAAGTAGTGGAAAGACCCGGGTTAGAAGTTATTTGGTGGGTTTTGATTGGTCAAGCTTAAGGTTCATTTTCCTAGAATATGACCATTTACACTGACTTGGTGTTGGTTTGCTTATGTAGGAACCAAGGGCTCTGGAGCAACCTCAGGCTACTAGCCTCTGTAGGGGAGGAAAAATATTTTTTCTTCAACCCTTATAAGTTCTGAGTTGGAATGGATTCCTGTAACAAATAACAGATTAATAGGAGAAAAAGAAAAGTTTATTAATGTGTGCAGCACACTTCATGCAGAAGACACTTCAATGAAAAGTTACTCAGAGTAAAGGCTTAGAACTCCAACTGATATAGCATTTTCAACAGGAAAATGAATTTGTGGAGAATAAGAGAACAAAGGGAGGAGTTTTAGGCTTCCAAAGGTGGGAAACTGTGAGAAGGCAAATAAATATATGGGACGAAACTAATAGAGTTAAGATTTTTTTGCAGATTCCTCTGGTACCCTCTCTGGGCCGATAGGAGTCACAGTTGTCTTCAGTAAAGAAGAATTTATATCCTGCCTTTAGGCAGAAAAAAAAGAAGATAGAACTTTTCCTCCATTTGCTGCTTTTTAATTGCCTTCAACTCAAAAATAATTTTATTTCACAGAGGCATATTTTGGGGATGACATTCCAGTTTCCTTCACCTCTCAATTAATTATTTTAACAGTGGATTAAGTCAAACAATAAAAAGTCACAGAAACATACCATGAGAATAAACCTCCTAAGTTGGTTAGGTCCTTCCTGTGGAGACAACATTTGAGAGGTTACCAGTGGAATCTCCTGAGCCCAAGACACCGACACCGACAATTTTACACAACCACACTGTCAGGCCTCTGGGTCTATGGATCTGTTACTTCAATCCTTTTTCCCCAACCTTGAAATATAAATGCCCAAGGGGACCAGCCCCATTTTAAAATGTTCTTGACTATCAAAATCTGAGCGGGAATGATCTGACCAGTCACTGTGAAAAACAGTGAGACTCCAGGGAAATCAGAAAGAAAGAAAAGGTTATTCATCATAAGGAAGATAATATGGCCAAAGGCTCTGCTAACTGCTCAAGTGCTTTCCACTCCAGACTTCTTTTGCTAGTATCATGACTCCTTTGAAGGCTTTCTCAAAATAGTCTTTCCCCATTTAAAAAGCAGTATCTCCCTCTTGATTCCCTAATCCCCAATCACCAGTTGAGGTCTTGCTGCTTTCATTCTCTTTTTTTTCTCCTCTGCAATAATTTCCTCAAATTCCCAGTACCCTTCTCTGTTATGTTTAGGCTCCTTGGCAATCAGCTGGGGGCAATATTTAATGATTTGTAGCTTTGTGGCTTTCTTTACAGACTATTTTAAGCTAGAGAGGGAGATTTTCATGTCACAGAATTGAGGTGTTACAGAAATAGAACAAGAGAAAGAATTTAACACCTTTCATTACACCCTTGCGGCCTGGGCTCCCTGTGCTTGGGGTGGCTGGTCATTTAGGGCCCTCTTTCCTCAGAGAAATGACAGCTCTGAATCTGAGGCCCAGGCAGTCTGGAGAGGATCATCATAAGGATGCAACTGGGTACAAGGAATTAGCAGACAATCAGTAATAACTAACATTTCCCCTTCCCCCAGCCATTCTTTGCCTTCTGCAAGAACATACTTGGCTTAGAAAAATGTTTTGTAGAAGGAATGATTGCTCTTTCAAAACAGAAGAACAAAACAAAGAAAAAGAAATGAAAGAAAGAACCAATATCTTCTTAAATTTTATTTTTAAAACGGCAGAGGCAGGCAGTGGGAAGTGGAATATGTGTGCAAAAAAGAAGTAAGCAGTTAATAAGCATAGAAGAAGGGGCAGAACAGGATAAGTGAAATAAAGTGGAGATGACTCCTGGATTAAGTCTTTGCAAACTGTAATCCAGAAGTTGTTGATCTCCCCATAGGCATTCTGTTTTTTTGAAAAAAATCTTTAGGAGAATTTACCTTTCTTATTATGAATGTCCTTTTTTTCCTTTCTGATGCCATTAAAATGAAATTACTCTCTCACAATCTGAGACTGCATCTCAACCTCCCTTGCTGGTAAAATAATTCCTGCTAAGATTTTAACTTGATAGTCAAGAGCAGTTTAAATTAGAGAAATGCTGAATTAAGCAAACTCTAACTGTATTTGGGTTATTGTGATTTCCCAGCCCTTTAATATATGTTTTAAGGGATAGAGTAGAGGTGAATACATAGCAGTGCTTCCTAAATTTAGTCTTCCATAGAACTCTTTTCCTAAGCACCTTTTATCTCCTCATGGAAGATGAACACTTACAGGAAAATAATCAGTCTTCTGCTAAAGCACAATATGTTGGTCTCAGGACCCCTCTGTACTCCTAAAACTTATTGATGACACCAAAAAGCCTTTGTCTATTAATATTTACTATATTGGAAATTAAAACTAAGAAAATTCAATTTTTCATTAATTCATTTAAAAATATAATAAACGTATTGCATGTTAACAAAAGTAACATTTGTACTTTTAAAAATAACTATATTTTCCAAAACAAGACTATTTTGTTAGAAGATTATTATTGTTTCAGATTTTTACAAATCTCTTTAATGTCTGGATTAATAGAAGACATTTAGTTTCTCATGTCTGTTTTTGCATTCTGTTATGATCTTATAAGTAACGTAGTCTCTGGAAAACTCCACTATACACTAGTGAAAGAATAAAATTGAAAAATGCCAATATCATCTCAGTATCATTCCAAAAATAGTTTGGACTTCAAGAATCCCCTGAAAGGGCCTGTGAAAAGTAAAGTAGAGGTTCCTCTTCAAAGACTTTTCTCCCCCTCTAATTAGGAATAAATAGTAACTTCTCTTAGGAGCAAAATGTATTCAAATACCTGTGCTAACATTCTTAAATATCTGCTAGCCATAATAAAGAAATCAATGTACTTTATGTTCTTAGCTCCCATAATTTAGCCTAAATATTTGCCCTGGCATGCTTATACTGGTCCAAGCAAGCATTAGGTCACAGCCAGTTCCTCTTCCTTATTTGAAGGTCTTTTTACTTTTCTCAGCATTCCACAAAGTACTTCCTCATTCCTTTGTTCTCCTCTGCCTTTGCCTCTTTTAAAAAGTTCTAAGTTGCTAGCCAATCAGGACAAATACAGAATGTGAGGTCCCATTCCAGCCAATGGAAACCAGACACAGCAGCAGGGTGGATGCATCAGGTTATAAATGACCCTGTCTCCTTCATTGGGTGTACTCCCACAGCAAAACTGCTGGCAAGTGTACCCTTTCTGCAGAAAGTATAAAAATGGCCTTGCTGAGAATATTAAATTTTTGTTCAAGTGCTATTTCTTTTTTTTTTTTATTATACTTTAAGTTTTAGGGTACATGTGCACATTGTGCAGGTTAGTTACATATGTATACATGTGTCATGCTGGTGTGCTGCACCCATTAACTCGTCATTTAGCATTAGGTATATCTCCTAAAGCTATCCCTCCCACCTCCCCCCACACCACAACAGTCCCCAGAGTGTGATGTTCCCCTTCCTGTGTCCATGTGTTCTCATTGTTCAATTCCCACCTATGAGTGAGAATATACGGTGTTTGGTTTTTTGTTCTTGCAATAGTTTACTGAGAATGATGATTTCCAATTTCATCCATGTCCCCACAAAGAACATGAACTCATCATTTTTTATGGCTGCATAGTATTCCATGGTGTATATGTGCCACATTTTCTTAATCCTGTCTATCATTGATGGACATTTGGGTTGGTTCCAAGTCTTTGCTATTGTGAATAGTGCTGCAATAAACATACGTGTGCATGTGTCTTTATAGCAGCATGATTTATAGTCCTTTGGGTATATACCCAGTAATGGGATGGCTGGGTCAAATGGTATTTCTAGTTCTAGATTCCTGAGGAACCGCCACACTGACTTCCACAATGGTTGAACTAGTTTACAGTCCCACCAACAGTGTCAAAGTGTTCCTATTTCTCCACATCCTCTCCAGCACCTGTTGTTTCCTGACTTTTTAATGATTGCCATTCTAACTGGTGTGAGATGGTATCTCACTGTGGTTTTGATTTGCATTTCTCTGATGGCCAGTGATGGTGAGCATTTTTTCATGTATTTTTTGGCTGCATAAATGTCTTCTTTTGAGAAGTGTCTGTTCATATCCTTTGCCCACTTTTTGATGGGGTTGTTTGTTTTTTTCTTGTAGATTTGTTTGAGTTCATTGTAGATTCTGGATATTAGCCCTTTGTCAGATGAGTAGGTTGCAAAAATTTTCTCCCATTTTGTAGGTTGCCTGTTCACTCTGATGGTAGTTTCTTTTGCTGTGCAGAAGCTCTTTAGTTTAATTAGATCCCATTTGTCAATTTTGTCTTTTGTTGCCATTGCTTTTGGTGTTTTAGACATGAAGTCCTTGCCCATGCCTATGTCCTGAATGGTAATGCCTAGGTTTTCTTCTAGGGTTTTTATGGTTTTAGGTCTAACGTTTAAGTCTTTAATCCATCTTGAATTGATTTTTGTATAAGGTGTAAGGAAGGGATCCAGTTTCAGCTTTCTACATATGGCTAGCCGGTTTTCCCTGCACCATTTATTAAATAGGGAATCCTTTCCCCATTTCTTGTTTTTGTCAGGTTTGTCAAAGATCAGATAGTTGTAGATATGTGGCATTATTTCTGAGGGCTCTGTTCTGTTCCAGTGATCTATACCTCTGTTTTGGTACCAGTACCATGCTGTTTTGGTTACTGTAGGCTTGTAGTATAGTTTGAAGTCAGGTAGCATGATGCCTCCAGCTTTGTTCTTTTGGCTTAGGATTGACTTGGCAATGCGGGCTCTTTTTTGGTTCCATATGAACTTTAAAGTAGTTTTTTCCAATTCTGTGAAGAAAGGCATTGGTAGCTTGATGGGGATGGCATTGAATCTATAAATTACCTTGGGCAGTATGGCCATTTTCATGATATTGATTCTTCCTACCCATGAGCAAGGAATGTTCTTCCATTTGTTTGTATCCTCTTTTATTTCATTGAGCAGTGGTTTGTAGTTCTCCTTGAAGAGGTCCTTCACGTCCCTTGTAAGTTGGATTCCTAGGTATTTTATTCTCTTTGAAGCAATTGTGAATAGGAGTTCACTCATGATTTGGCTCTCTGTTTGTCTGTTATTGGTGTATAAGAATGCTTGTGATTTTTGCACATTGATTTTGTATCCTGAGACTTTGCTGAAGTTGCTTATCAGCTTAAGGAGATTTTGGGCTGAGACAATAGGGTTTTCTAGATATACAATCATGTCATCTGCAGACAGGGACAATTTGACTTCCTCTTTTCCTAATTGAATACCCTTTATTTCCTTCTCCTGCCTAATTGCCCTGGCCAGAACTTCCAACACTATGTTGTATAGAAGTGGTGAGAGAGAACATCCCTGTCTTGTGCCAGTTTTCAAAGGCACCGGGGAACAAGCATTTCAAACAGGTCTAAATGACCCGCCTAGAGAAACCCTAAGCATACTTTGAAGACTTTTAGACAACATGAATAGCCTGTGGGAAGAGGAGGGGAAAGAAGGAAAGAATAAACCTTCTATGAGTGTCTACCACATGCCAAGAAAACAGCTCGGAATTCTGGGGGGTTTTTACTTTATTTTAGGTTCAGGGGTACATGTGAAGTTTTGTTAAATAGGTAAACTCATGTCACAAGGGTTTGTGGTACAGATTATTTCATCACCCAGAAATTAAGCCCAGTTCCCAATAGTTATCTTTTCTGCTCCTCTCCTTCCTCCCACCTTCCACCCTCAAGTAGACTCCATCGTCTGTTTTCTTGTTTGTGTTCGTAAGTTCTTATGATAGGAATTTTCATTAACATTAATTCACTTCATATAGTAACCACTTAAGGCAGTAGTCATTATTTCCTTTGTCTATACAGGACAGATTCAGAAGGATTCCTTAATTTACCCAAGATCAAACAGTTGGTAAAAGGAAGAACCAGTTTGAAGCTAATTTATGGACACCAATATATCTTAAAGAAAGCATTTTCAATGTTATGTTACTATATTAATTTTCTATTGCTGCATAAGAAATTACCACAAACTTAGCAGCTTAAAACAGCACCCATTTATTATCTCACAGTTGTATAAATTAGAAGTTCCGGAGTTGCTCAAATGGGTTCTCTGCTCTGAGTCTCACATTCAAGCTGTTAGACCAGCTAAGTTCTTATCTGGAAGTTCTGAGGAAGAAAGTGCTTCCAAGTTCATTCAGGCCATTGGCCAAATTCAGTTCCTTGCAGCTGTAGAATTGAGATTCCTGTTTTCATGCTGGCTACTGGCCAGGGGTTACTCTCAGCTCCTGGAAGTTGTTCTAGGGTCCTGGACACCAACTCTCTCCATCTTCAAGCCAGCAATGGGGAATCTCCCTCACATGTAAGAATGTTGGCATCTACTTGCTTCTTTTTCCATTTCCCAACTTTCCCAGAGCTGAAATACATGTGCTGACCTCATTCATCTGGGGTCAGTAGCTCAGTCCTGTCACAGGGCCAGCTTTCTGATTTGCTTAATGGAACCAAGCAAATAAAATCTCTGTTTCACAGCAGCTGAGTTGTTATCTCCCTGCACCTTCTGGGTTCAAATAGTCATTCAGCCTTGGCATCTACTCTCAGGCCCTAGGCTCCATGTCCCCAATATTCAATGAGGAGGAGGTTAACTTCTATGGGTCACAATGCCTGTCCTCTTTCATTTCTTCTCAAAATGTCTTTTCTCCTTTTTTCTTTCCTTCTCATAAAGATAAATGTAGTCACTCATATCACTGTTCTCAGCAAGTAATAAATTTAGAGATCATCTCTATAGAACATTGCTATAAAACAACTTCATTAAGTCCATAGTATATAATTTAGGACTAAAGGATTTAGAGTTCTACAAATTCTAGTCAAAATTTATTATATATTAGAAAGAATTAATATTAACTTTGTTTAGAGAAATTTATAACAACATTACAAAACCCTCTGAAAACGCTTAAGGTGAACTCTCTTTCCTCTTCTCCCACTGGGTGGTTGTAAAATTAATATCATGCAAAAAATACTACACGCTTTATAAGCAAACATTTGTTTTTTGTTTTTTGGGTTTTTTTTGCTTTATTTTTTATGTAAATTTACACTTCTAAAACAAAAAGCATTCAGAGAGTAGTATCACTAATTGCTTGTCACATGTGGATATTTGTTGTGACACGTGTGGAATTCCATCTTAATAGTTACTGAGAGTGGAATTAGCACAAGGATTTATGAGTTGGATTATAGAAATTGTACATATACAAGGGGACAAGGAGAAAAAAAATAGGAGACAGAAGGAGAGGTGGGAAAAGAAAAGAGGAAACAACAGAAGCCATGAAGAAGAGATATAGAGAACATTAGCATGCCATAAAAAAGATCCAAAAATAATGGAATCATCATGCCTTGAATAATCAACTAATAATATTTGTTGGATCAGGCAGTTTTAAGATGTTCTGTTTGTATATCTAGGGATATACACAAGAAGAAAATATAATTATAAGACTGTCAGGTCAGAGCTTTAAGAAATCTTCATATTAAACCAAAATTTCTTTGGTCTGAGTCCCAGGGTTTGGTCTGAGAATCCAAGAATAAATGTAATAAAGGGAATTTCAGAATCCACAGTCAATGTGGCGCTGTCTTTTATATTTATCTTCGTGTATAGTTAACAGTATTATTCCAAAGAGTGGAAATCATGCTTTTTTAGACAAAATAAAAATCTGTGTGGTTTGCTGACATGGTAATGTGATTATAGTTCCTGAAGAATGAAAATTACACAAGGTCAGTACCATCCTTTGACAGAAATTGTATCCTAACTTTTCTCAGAAGAAACTAGAAGTAGAGACAGATTCTTTAATATTTTCCTTTCTTTTTTCAATCATGCATAGATCTGTCATTTTTCACAAGCCTCATGTGTCATTTTGATGTAAGCTTGCTAGCGAGGGCTGCCATACCTAAGTACTACAAACTGGGTGGCTTAAGCAACAGAAATTTATTTCCTCACAGTTCTGGAGACTACAAGTCTAAGACAGAGGTGTTGACAGGGTTCCTTCTGAAGGCTCTTCCTCTTGGCTTGTAAATGACTATCTTCTTCCCATGTCTTTACATGGTCTTCTTCTATGTATATCTGTGTCTTAATCTCCTCTTCTTATAAGGACACCAGTTATGTGAGATTAGAGTCCATTCTGATGACCTTACTTTGCCTTAATTCTCTCTTTGAAAAGCTTGTCTCCAAATATAGTCACATTTTGAAGTACTAGGGGTTAGGATTTCCACGTATAAATTTGAGGGGAACATAGTTCAGCTCATAACAATGATCCTTGGAAAAACTTTGCTCCAATCAATGAAATTATCTGTGGATAGAAACCATCTTGAGTGACTGTTGTTGCCATCTTTAATGCAACTTTCTGCACTAAAAAGACAAAATCCACTGTAGGAGAGGAGAAAACAATTTCTCCTTTACTCTTCAGAGTCCTTAGCTGGACCTCCTGCAACAAAAGACAGATTAACAAGAGAAAAACAAACAAGTTCACTAACATGTATATTTCATATATACATGAGAGAGAACTAAAGGAAAGAGTAACTCTCAAAAAGATGGCTTAGAACTTCAGCTTATATAGCATCTTCAACAAAGTACAATACAATTTCAGAGAAGTGACAAGAAAAAGGAAAAGGACTTTGAGTGTCTAGATGTGGCATATTGTGGAAAAGCAATTATATGGGAAACCAATAGTAGGTAGAACAGTTGGTAAAGTTTGCTGTATAGATTTCTCTTGTGCCATCTCCAGGCTGATAAGGGTCTAAAGTCATCTCCACTGATCAAACTTTGTCATTCCTGGTAGAGAGGTAAAGAGGTACATCTTTGTATATTTATTTCCTGATTTTAGGCAAATAGGGAGAGGGCAGACAGCTTTTCTTGTTTGTGCTTCTTCTCAATTCCCTTCAGCTCAAGATAATCCTTATGCCAAAGTCGAATTCTGGGGGTAGCATATTCTCCTGCCCTTCACCACCAAGGTTTTCACAAGGAAAATCTCTGAAAGAAACAAAATAGGCAAATTAACAAGCAAACCCTAATTTGTTCTCCTCAAGTTTTATCTTCTACTTATGACTTTCTCACATTAATTCAGATGCTTCTATCATGGCATACACTAAGTAGACATTTGTACCCCTATTTTATTTCTGTGTGTTTGTTTCTTTAAAGCTTTCTTAATTTACTGCCTTTAATAAAAAAAATTGTTAAACATTGAATAATGTATAGATCATAGCTATAAACTCAGGATAGTTCTTAAAAAGCCTAGCCAACGGATTATCAAAACCAGTTGTTATGACTTGAACAGTTGTCCCCTCCAAACCTCATGTTGAAATATAATCCCTAATGTGGCAATGTTGAGGGGTGGGGCCTTTAAGAGGTAACTGGTTCATCAGGGCTTGGTCATCATGAATAGAATAATCCATTCATGGATTAATTAACTTTATAAGAAAAAGGAGAGAGACTTGAGCTAGCATGCTTAGCCCTCTCACCATGTGATACCCTACACTGCCTCAGGAATCTTCAGAGTCCCTACCAGCAAGAAGGCCCTCACCAGATGCAGCTCCTCAACATTGTACTTCTTAGCCTCCAAAGCTGTAAATAAATTCCTTTTGTTTATAAGTTACTCATTTTCAAGTATTCTGTTATAAGCAACAGAAAATAGACTGAGACACTAGTGTTTAAATTCTACCTTGGCTACTCACATAATGTTAGGTTGCCAACTATTTACTTCATCCTGTGAAGTAAATGTGTTCAATTTGATGAGTTTGAACATATGCAAATACCTATGATGTCATCCTACAATCAAGGTGATAGACAAATCTAACACCTCTCAAAGTTTCCTTATGTCTCTTTGTTTTCATTTTTGTTGTTTTTGTTTCTGAGGTAAGAACAATTAACGTGAGATCCACCCACTTAATACATTTTGAAGTGCCCAATACCATACTGTTAACTATAGGCACCATATTATACAACAGATCTCTAGAACTTATTTTCCCACATAACTGAAACTTTATATCAATTGAACTCTCCCTTTCCCTACCCCAGCCCCTGGCATCCACTATTGTACTCTCTGCTTTGATGAATTTGACTATTATAAATACCTCATATACGTGGAATCATGTCATATCTGTCTTTCTGTGTCTGGCTTATTTCACTTAGCATGTCCTCTAGGTTCATCCATGTTGTCACAGATGGCAGGATTTCCTTCTTGTTTTAGGGCTGAATTACCCCCCACTGTATATATAGACCACATTTTCTTTATCCATTAATTTGTCTGTGAACACTTGGGTTGTTTCCATATCTTGACTGTTGTGAATAGTGCTGCAATTAATTAACATGGAGGTGCAGATATCTCTGCAAGATCCACATTTTAATTCTTTTGGACATGTACTCAGAAGTAGGATTGCTAGATCATATGCCATTTTCATTTTTAATTTTTTGAGGAATCTTTATACTGTTTTCCATAGCTGCTGTGCCATTTTACATTCCTACCAACAGCGTAGAAGTGTTGTTTTGTTTTTTGTGAGGTTTTTTTGTTTGGATAATAGTCATCCTATTATATATGAGATGACATCTTTAATATTGTTAAAATGTCCACACTACCCAAAGCATTCTACAAATTCAATGCTGTCCCCATCAAAATCCCAATTTTTTAATGAGGTAGATAAAAGCAATTCTACAATTCATATGGAATCACAAAAGATCCAGAATAGCCAACACAATCCTGAGGGAAGAAGGGCAAAGCTGGAGGCATTAAACTTCCTGATTTTAAATTGTATGACAAATATGTACAGTAGTTAAAACAGTATGGAACTGGCATAAAGACAGATATACGTACCAATAGAACAAAATAGCCCAGAGATAATCCACACTAATACAGTCAATTATCTCCCACAAGGATTCCAAGAGTATTCAGTGGGGATAGAATAGACTCTTCAACAAATGGTGTTGGGAAAATTTGATATCCACATGCAAAAGAATGAAATTGGACTCTTATCTCACACCATACACAAAAATCAACTCAAAGTGGATTAAGGACTTAAACACAGCCTGAAACTGTAAAACTACTAAAAGAAAACGTAGGGAGAAAGCTTCTTGACATTGGACTTGGCAATGATTTCTTGGAAATGACCCCAAAAGCATAGGCAACAAAAACAAAAATAGACTAGTGAGACTACATCAAACTAAACAGCTTCTCCAAAGCAAAGGACACAATCAATAGAATGAAACCAACCTATGAATGAAGGCAACCTGTGGAATGGGAGAAAATATTTACAATCCATATATCTTTTAAGGGGTTAATCTCCAAAGTATATAAGGAGTTCCTACAACTCAATAGCAAAAAAACCAAATAACCCAATTAAAAAATGAGCAAAGGGGCCAGGCACGGTGGCTCACACCTGTAATCCCAGCACTTTGGGAGGCCGAGGTGGGCAGATCACCTGAAGTCAGCCTGGCCAACATGGTGAAATCTCGTCTCTACTAAAAAAAATTAAAATAAATAGCTGGGTGTGGTGGTGCGTGCATGTAATCCCAGCTACTCGGGAGACTGAGGCAGGAGAATCGCTTGAACCCAGGAGGCAGAGGTTGCACTGAGCTGAAATAGTGCCACTGCACACCAGTCTGGGCGACAGAGTGAGACTCCGTCTCAAAAAAAAAAAAAAAAAAAATGAACAAAGGACTTTTGAACAGACATTTCTCCCAAAACACACAGATGGCCAGTGGAAATATGAAAAGATGCTCAACATCATTAATTATTAGGAAAATGTGCCTTCATCTCTTATTCTGTATAATAAGAACAAAGGAACAATAATTCCTCCGTGAGGAAATTGAATAGAAACCTCAAACCTGGCTGGTTCAGGCATCTGACATTGCCCGACTTTGGCACACTCCTGCCCCCCGGTGGCAACTTTTAGACATATGAAGGCAGTGGCAAGGACGAAAACAAAACGTGAAAACTGTAAAGCAAAAACCATGAGATGCCTTCCTTGTAATGCACACTGGCTTTTTAATTGTTCATTTTCATGCCTCCTCAGGGCATTTTTTTCACTCCTACTGTATCAATAGTCCGAAGCAAACTATACAGGAAATTTCAGGAGTCATCCAATTACCCTAGAAAAATGATAGTACATTTGTTTTCATTTTTATTTTTTCTTCTTCTCTATTTTACAAGGATTTGTGGAGAATATCTATGGTTTTGTGACATTAATGTGTCCTTTTTTCTAAGTTGTGATAAAATACACCATAACGTAGAATTTACCATCTTAACCATTTTTAAGAGCATATTTTAATGGCATTAAGTATATTCACATCATTGTGCTACTTTAAAGAAAAGATCACGTTTTTCTAATTTAAAAAATAATTATGATTATTGTAAATAGTTCAGAAGGATATTAAAAACAGAAGCAAAAAACTACTCCAAATTTTGCCACCAGAAAAAAAATTATTTTTTATTTTGTTGAACAATGTTCATGAATATCTAACCCAAACATTAGCTAAAGTCCTTGCACCTGTAAAAATCAAGTATATTTTGGCTCTGACCCTAAATGCTCTGCTTCTCCACCTCCATTCTGCGTTTCACCAGCTCTGCATAGAGACCCAGCTGGCCACTGCCCTGTCACTTCACTATGAAGAAGAGTATTTCCTAATGAATGTTGTCTGGTAGCATAAGCAGCTAATGCTTAAGACAGCAGTGTGGGCAGCAGAGAAAAGCAGTCTATGGAAAATTCCATCTTATACATCCTGTCCTTCAAAAATTTCCTAAGCCTTTTCTACTCCAAGGAAATTTTCACTGTATTATATCTTCCACTTACTCCCTGCTGCTGGGCAACCCCCTTCCAACTTCTCTGGCTGGCATCTAGTCCCAAAATTCCTTTTAGTTTCTTATGAAGAAGAATTCTATCCCTTCCCCACCCATCACAACTATGCTAAAAGGAGCCATATCTTCATAACCAAGCACACCTATCTAGCACAATCATTTCAGAGAATTCTGAGGCCATCATTTAAAGAAACAATTAGTTCTCTCACTATATATGCGTAGAATTAGTTCTCTCTCTATGTATGCATAGAATTAGTTCTTGCTTTACATATGCATAGAATTTTTTATTTAAAAAAGCATCAAACTATCAGGGCTGCCACACTGTAAAATTCTTGAAGCACTGTTCACATCCCAGTTGTCACAAATGACAGGACTTCCACTAGGATGTGAATGGGACCCACTGAGGTTATGCATCTCTGAGTCTGTATGAAGAGATCTCTAATACTACACTTGTTACTTTATAACTCCACTGTATCATGGATATTTTTCCCTGTCACTAAATATGGCTATGTATCATTTCTTTAGTAGCAGTTGTAGGAGACCAGAATATGCCATTCAAAATATGACAGTAGAAGACCAGAATGTGCCACCCCAAAATATACCTTTTTAGCATAAAGATTATTTTGAGCTGATTATTCTGAGAAATAGCAGACACACACAGGAGAAGTTCTGAAAACAGAGTAGAGGTTACCCTTTCGTAAGGGAAATTTACATTTAAAAAAGAAATCTCCATTTGTAGAGGTGTCTCCCTCTCTGTACCAGTAAAGGAAGTAAAATCACAGTAAAATCTTAAGAAGGGAGAGGGCCCTCATTTAAATCTGCATAACAAACCTTTCCTTTTTTTGAGACAGGGTCTGGCTGTCACTTAAGCTGGTCTCAAACTCCTAGGCTCAAGTGACCCTCCCACCTTGGCCTGTCAAAGTGCTAGAATTACACGTATGAGCCACCGTGGCTAACTTCTTTTTTACCATACTTTTCCTGGTCACCTCCCCATAACTGGGCCTCCTCCAGATCCTCTTGTATTTAGCTAAAGATGGTAGTTCAGCTTGCATTCTAAGTCATCTCTCTCCCTGGGTATGTCCCATGTAAACATGAGTTGCACAGGTAATACACATGAGGACATTGTTAATAAACTTCTATTTGTTTTCTCTTGTTAATCTGTCTTTTGTTACAGGACGTCCAAGCCAGGAATTTAGGACAGACAGAAAATTATGTTTTGCTCCTTCACACTGTGAAGTATTCCATACTATATAATGTCCCATTGTCTGTAACCAACATATCTAACTAACTCCTTACAATAGGTAATTAGGTTATTTCCAATTTCTCATTATTATAAGCAGTGCTATTACTAGCTCCTCAAATATATGCCTTTGTGAAGATACCAGATTATAACCTTAGAATACATTTGTAGATATAAAATAAAGGATATACACATTATACATTTTGCCACATACTCCCAACTGCTCTCTTAAGAAGTGCCAGATTTTACTACACAGAGTCCTTTTCCTGTACTCGATTTCCAACGTAGACATTATTATATTTTTCTCCTTTTTCAATAAAATGGGCAAAAAAATGACATCTTGATAAATGTGTGTTTTCTGTGGTTACAAGCAAAGTGGAACCTCTGTTTTATATATTTATTGGCCATTTGCACTTCTCCATTTGTAAATAACACCTTTATCTTTTGGTCCATTTTTCTATTGGCGGGTTTATCTTTTTCTTGTCAATTTGCAAGAGCTATTTAAAAATTAGCAACATACTTAAACAATTGTTGGTTTTTATTTTACGTTTTGGAAATTGCCTTTATCTCAAGGGCTGCCCACTGTTAAAGCTAGACCATGAGACTAAAACTTACTCTTTCAGTGAACTGGTGAATAGGAAGAAGAAACAAAAATCAAATTCCTGACTTGGAGTTCCAAAATAGGCACTTGATATTGTTACTGGTGGAAGATATCTGAATTACTAGTAGCAAATCCCTACAGGTATGCAGTAACCTCAGTTCTTACCTCCTCAGAAGAAAGGATTCAACTGAGGGACATAAGGCAGAAAAAGAGACCAAGGCAAGTTTCAGAGCAGGAGTAGAAGTTTATTTTAAAAGGCTTCAGAACAGGAAAGAAAGGAAAGTATGCTTTCAAGAGACTCCAATAGACACTGCAGACTACTGTTGGGGAGAGAGGGAGGTGGACAAGGGTTGAAAAACTACCTGTTGGGTATTATGCTCACTACCTCTGTGACAGGTTCAGTCATACCCTAAACCTCAGCATCACACAATATACCTTGGTAACAAACCTGCGCATGTACCCCCCGATTCTAAAATAAAAGTTGAAAAAGAAAATAAAAGGAGCCTAAGACACTCCCTCAAGTTTTGTATAGCTAAAGGAATAGCTGAGGCCAGGCACGGTGGTTCACGCCTGTAATCCCAGCACTTTGGGAGGCTGAGGCAGGCGGATCACGAGGTCAAGAGATCGAGACCATCCTGGCCAACATGGTGAAACCCCATCTCTACTAAAAATACAAAAATTAGCTGGGCATCGTGGCACACACCTGTAGTCCCAGCTACTTGGGAGGCTGAGGCAGGAGAATCACTGGAACCTGGGAGGCGGAGGTTGCAGTGAGCCGAGATTGCGCCGCTGCACTCCAGCCTGGTGACAGAGTGAGACTCCGTCTAAGAAAAGAAAAAGAAAAAGGAAATAGCTGAGAGAGTTTCAGCAGACGAGATGCCATATTAGGTCAGAAATGTGCCTTCACCAGATAGGATATTGATTATATAAGCCACATGTCATGGCAGAAGCAAAAATATCAGAGGCAAAAACGTGAACAGCAGCTGCAGTGAGGATAGAGGCTATAAAGCAAAGTACATATTATCAGACCCCAGCAGATGACAACTGGACCAGTTTCCTCCTTCTACCAATGCCAAGGCACCATGTTAACCACCTGGAATACAACTGCCATTTAGGGAGAGGGGGCACAAGAAGGGAGGTATATAGATTAGACAAAAAAGTTATCAGTATCAAAATGGAGTCACTGATGTGAAGCCCTAATAAAAGGGAGCTGGAGGCCATGAAAAAGGGGTCCTCATACATGCATATCTATGCTGGGAACTCTGCAAGGAATTCCTTAAAACTGCAGTATTCCATATGAGCTGCGTGCCCAAAGACACTTGCCTAACAATGTCTCTGCCAATGAGTTAATGCCAACTATTGCAACAAGCTCCAATAGTCTTGTTCCAAAACAGCTTCTGTGGACTTCACCTTTCTGTCCTTAAAAGCTTTCCCCTACCCCACCTCCCTTGGATGCACCTATGATCCATCATAGCATGCATATCCTGGATTGCAATCTCCTGCTACTCTGGAATAAACTCTTTGCTCTGGAAGATCAGTCTCTCTGTTGCTCACTTTAGGTTGACCCAGAAAACGCTGAACCCTGAGAAATCACTACATCTAACTAAGTTTACTGGGAAATGACTAGATTAAATGTTTCATTGCCAAAGAAGAAAATTAAAATTTGTGCTAATATTGAATTTTAAATAGAGAAAGTTATACTTTTAAACACTAAAGTTTCAAAAATAAAATTATTTCCTGGTCCATATTAGTATATATGTTGCCAATATTTTTACTATACTGTAATTTACCTTTTAACCTTTTGGGGGTTTTGTTGATGGTGTTTTTTGTTTGGTTGGTTTTTGCCTTACAGTGCATGTTTGACTGTATTCCTTTATGCTTTCTGGATTGGGTATGATGCTTTGAAAGGTTTCCTTTGTTCCCAAATCATAAAAATATCCAACTATATTTTCTTCACTATTCTTAAGGCTTCAATTTTTGTAAGTAACACTTTGTTCTTGCACTATTGAATATAGATGCATCAATCTATAATTTGATGCATCTAAATTCATTTAAGTACAGAGATAAAAAAAAGAAATCTGGCTTTTTTTCCAAGTGATCATCAGCTTTCCTAACATAATTCATTAGTTTTATCTTTTCCTTAGTAGAATTAATAACCTCTTCATCATAAATTATATTTCTTTATATATAAAGAATTCAGTCTTTATCTGAAACCTGCTTTATCCCATATAGCTACATATTTTAACTGTTAAAGATTCATAACATATTTTAATAAGTGATACCTTCATTAAAATTTATTTTAAGAAATTTCCTGGATATTTTCACGTATTTCTTATTTCAGATAAAATTTAGTTTTTCAAGATTCCCCAAAATATATCTCAAGCTTTGTATTCAATGAAATTATATATTATTTTTACACTATTGAGTATTTCTATTCAAAATGTTACTAATTAATGATATGGACAGGAGACAGGGAAATACTGGGTAGAAGAGGGCAGTTCCCCAGCAAAGGCCCCACCCTCAAGCCTGGAAAACCGCAGCCTTAAATGGAAACAGGCATTCCTGTTTTTGTGCCCAAATGTTGCCTTTTGGCCCATTATCCCCACCCCCCATCCTACACCCATATAAACCCCAAACCCCAGGCTCCATAAGTATATGAGCAGAAGAGCAGAGGAACAGAAGAGTGGCACCACAGAGAAGGAGAGAAGAAAAGGAGTGTCTGAATGTCAAGAAGAGTTCGGCTGGGGACGGTCAGAGAGGAGATTGGCTGTGGGACAACTGAACTCCGGGGGAAGATCATCTTCCCACTCCATCCCCTTTCCAGCTCCACATCCATACTGCTGAGGGCCACCTCCATCCAGCAATAAAATCCCCCACATTTACCATTCTTCAATTTGTCTATGTGAATTGATTCTTCCTGGACACCAGACAAGATGGCACAGAGCTGGTAACACTTAAGCCATCTGCAGACAGCAAAGCTAAAAGAACACTGTAGCATGCCTACTGGGGCTTCAAGAGCTACAGGCACATACCCCTAGACACTACCGTGGGGCTGGAGCCCAAAAACACTTGCCCCAGCTCCTGACCCTGCCTGTCTGCCTGCTCCCCATCCTGTAAGGGGTTTGAGAGCACAGAAGCTGAACGGACGAGCCACACTCCTGTCATACATCCTGCAAGGGGGATCAGGGAACTCTCCCATTTCATTACCATATGGAAATTAATAGCTTTCATATGTATAATCAGTAATCAGTTAGAGGATATAAGAATAGAGAAAAGGTGGCCAGGCACAGTGGCTCATGCCTGTAATCCCAGCACTTTGGGAGGTCGAGGTGGGTGGATCACTTGAACCCAGGATTTTGAGATCAGCCTGGCCAACATGGTGAAACCTCATCTCTACTAAAAATACAAAAATTAGCCTGGTGTGGTGGCAGACGCCTGTAATCCCAGCTACTCAGGAGGCTGAGGCAGGAGAATCACTTAAACCCATGAGGCGGAGGTTGCAGTGAGCCAATGTCATGCCACTGCATTCCAGCCTGGGCAACAGAGCAAGACTCTCTCAAAAAAATAAAGAGAAAAGCTCATTTATAATACCAACCAAGAAGTTAATATACTTGGGGAAATTTACTGAGAAATATGCAAAACCTACATTAGAAAAACTTTAAAACACTTCTGAAGATATAAAATATAGCTAAATAAATAGAAAAATATGATGACTCAACATCTTGAAATGTCAGCTGTCCCTAAGTTGATCTATAAATTTAATGTGATCTCAATAAAAATACCAACAAGCTTACTATGTAACTATTGATAGACTATACAATATTGAACTTCATGTAGAAAAATGAACATATAGAATACACAGCACAACACAAAAAATAAAAACTGATGGAGGAAGGGATGACTAACCCTACCAGGCATTGAAACACTATAGAACTGCTATAATTAAAATAATGTGGTATTGTACATAAATACGCAGACTAGTCAAACAGAAGTTTTAAAAATAGACTCAAGTACATATTAAACTTCAGTATATGATAAAAATGGCATCTCAAGTCACCACTACAAAAATTGACTTTTTCATAAATGGAGTGAGAACAACTGTTTAACCATCTGAGAAAAATCAAAATTAAATTTGCACCTGACAACACACACACATGCGCACGCACACACACACACCTCTAAATGGATTAGAGATCTAAATATTAAAAAAAAACCATACAAGTACTAGAAAACATGGTTGAATTCTGCATTAACCTGTAAGGGATAATTTCCAACCATAACTAAAAACACAGAAGCAGTTTTTAAAAGATTGATACATTTGACTACATTAAAAATCAACAACTACTCATAGCAAAAAAAAAATATCAACTGACAAACTGAGAAAAAAAATCTGTATCATATATGTCACAGATAAAGAACTAATATCCTTAATATAGAAGTAACTCTTAAAGGTTAAGAGATAAAATATCAAAAACATGACAGAAAAATGGGCAAAAGACATGAACGGATGATTCACACACACCAGAAAAAAGATATAAAAATAGCCCTTAAATATATGACAACATTTTCATCCTCATTCGTGATCGAAGAAATGCAAATTAAAGCAACCACTCTCTTGGCAAGGCTTAGGGTAATAATTATTCTCATATACTGCTGGTGGGAAAGCAAATACAACAGTTAAAACACAATAAATGGGGGGCATCACCTAGTGCTGAGCTTTAATGATAAAAATAAATAAGACACACTCCCTGGCCTTGTATGCACAGTCCCTCTCCCCTGTCTCTGAAAAGCAAACAGTGCAGGAGAGGGCTGGGCACATACAGTCTAATTGCAGCGTACTGTGCTAAGTGCCAGAATGTCATGAGAGCAAAGAGGAGAGCATTTAGAGTAGTAGGAGAGAGTTTCCTGGAGGAAGTGATGCCTAAACCAGTACAAGTGAGTCAGAAGGAAGGAAAGGGGAAGGCAAATGTAAAGAGCCTGCGCTTCATCACATCAGCAAGGTGGAGCCATTGCAGTATCTCATAAAAAGTTGTGGCACTCAATTCTACAGCAGATATAATCTTGCCAATGGGACAAGAATACCTGATGGCCAACAGGCCATCTCTCCTCAACAGTAACAGAGTTGCCCACTTTCACTATCCTTTTTCTAGCTTTCATGACCGACGAGGACTCTCTAAGTGAATGGATGCAACCACAATCAGGTTACAGTGACATCTGGCTTACCTACTTGGCCTCTTACGGTCTGATCATTTTGCGATAATATTGAAGTTGTGCCCCCAAAGTGTAATCTGATTCCAAGGCTCTTGGTGAACACCTCACTAAAGAACCCATCTCAGGGTATAAATCAGGTGATCCTTTCAAATATATTGTACATAGCAAATTGCAGAGAACAATGGCTGTTCAACACGAAAACCGCGTAGTAAATTACAGAAACGGTTTAGCAGACAAATGATGAGGGTGCAACTTGGACAATCATGATGGATGCAGAGAGGAGAAGCCAAAGTGAGCTGACATCACACCTTTCTTCCACACACAGAACAATTACTTCTTTTCATTATAAGGTTTAAGCCTGAAAATATCTTAACCCAGCATTAAGTATGACAATCAAAATCAAATATCACATATACAATAGGAGGGCTTTATAATTCCCTTTATTTTTATTTGTCCATTCAGAATTCGTTCACTTGTTTAGTATTCTATTTTTTTTTAAAGTGGCATTAATGGTAATGTTCACTGAGGTAGAATTTACCTGGTACGTGTACAAATTTCATATCAGTCTCATAACTGTAACAATGAAAACACAAACGCGTGGCAGAATTTTTTTTTTTTAGATGGAATCTCACTCTGCCGCCCAGGCTGGAGTGCAATGGTGCGATCTCGGCTCACTGCAACCTCCAACTCCAGGGTTCAAGTGATTCTCCTGCCTCAGCCTCCCGAGTAGCTGGGATCACAGGTGCCCACCACCATGTCCAGCTAATTTTTGTATTTTTAGTAGACATGGGGTTTCACCATGTTGGTAAGGCCTGTCTTGAACTCCTGACCTCAGGCAATCCATCCACTGGCCTTGGCCTCCCAAAGCGCTGGGATTACAGGTACAGAATTTTTTTAAGTGGTCAGACTGTTCGTTATGAATGAACCTTACGAAATGAAGTGAGCCACATCTCCAGAAATGGCACTCAGTATTTGTTGCAGAGGAACTGGCAGAGCATTACAAATGTTACAAAACATTACAGAGAAAATGGAGGCCGGGCACGGTGGCTAACAACTGTAATCCCAGCACTTGGGGAGGCTGAAGCGGGTGAATCACCTGAGGTTAGGAGTTCGAGACCAGCCTGGCAAACATGGCAAAACATCCTCTCTACTAAAAATACAAAAAAATTAGCTGGGTGTGATGGTGGGTGCCTGTAATCCCAGCTACTTGGGAGGCTGAAGCACAAGAATTGCATGAGCCCGGGCGGTGGAGGTTGCAGTGAGCCGAGATCATGCCACTGTACTCCAGCCTGGGCAACAGAACGAAACTCCATCTCAATGAAAAAGAAAAAGAAACAGAAACAGAAAGAGAGAGAGAGAGAGAGAGAGAGAGAGAGAGAGAGAGAGAGAGGGAGAGAGAGAGAGAGAGAGAGAGAGAGAGAGAGAAAGAAAGAAAGAAGGAAAGAAAGAAAGAAAGAAAGAAAGAGAAAGAAAGAAAAGGAAAGAGAGAAAATGGAGCTTTTCTAGGTTTGTTTTCTGTCAATTATGCTACTGCAGAAAGGAATTTTTTTCTTTTTTCTTATTCATTCTCCTTGACTGTAATCAATCAACATCTTAAAAAATTACTTATCATAATAAACTTTAGTACCTTTATGTTTATAGACAGCTTAAATTAGTTCCTTCTTTTTAGGTGAGATTCTTCTCTTCTACATTTATGCCGTTTTCAACTTAACTTCACCACTTCAACTGGTGAAGTTAAGTTGAAAACAGAATATATATATTCAGACATACATATATATGTGTCTGGATCTGTGTATGGATGTATATACATATACATATACATTATACACTATAAGCTTTGCATTGCATCTTCAGTTATTACATAATAATAATGTAAAAAAAATCACAAAAACAAGCCCTTTTTTCCTATAAATGTTTGTCTAGCAGCTTAGGAAAATGATCTTTGCAAACTTTGTCACTTACCGTTCAAGTTATAGAATCAATAGTAGGCTTGAGATTGCAGTAGCATTTCCTAACTTAAACAGCACAAAAGCTGTCTCACACATGTGAGATGAGAATTTGATTAAGCTTGCAAAAGTTTTCCTTTTAGAAATGATGTAGATTTTTAAATTTACGTATCTAGTATTTTACAACTTGCTTGAGAATTGCTTCAAATCCTACACCACACAGGCCTTTAACTTTAACAGTATTTGCCTCTTACCTAATGCCATCTGGTGTAGATCAACATATTATATATAGCATCATCTCCAAAGAATTCTCTGTATTATTTATAAATATTATAATATGGATTGTAATAAGTTATGGAAAAAATGCAAACACATCTGGAGGTCATTTAACAAAAATCAATAAAACCTTTATAAAGTGAACCATTATTCATATGTTAACCTGATTGGCTTACTAAACATTTCCATTGTTTCATTAAACATTGCCAATTTTTCCAAATATGCCTCAGGGTCTATCAAAAGAATCAGTGGCTACATAAAACACTAATTAAGTTTTTCATAGCACTATTCCTTAGAAAGCTATAATCCTCTCACACTGATGAATCTTTATTTAGGCAATAGAAATGTGAGCACTTCAGCTACACAGGCAAAAGGAAATAGAAAATTATCACTGTCCATCTTCCAGGCAATCTATATAATACAAACTACCCATTAAAGATTACTTTGCCCAAGTTTTCTAAATCATTTTTCAAACCTCAGCGTTCCTTTGTCTATGTCAATATAACTATCAGACATTCCTATAAAAGAGCTTCCTCACACATTTTCAAACCACCAAAACCACAGTCACACATATTTATTATCCCAGTGGACTTTCCCTTACAAATTCCTGTTGATTTTAGCAGGACACACCCATTCCCCTGAGTATAGTCAGCTCTTCTCATCTACTCTAATGAGAGAAAACATTCTGTTAATAAAGCAGGTGGCAACCATTATAAATGTCTTATTAAATATTAAATAGTGGGGTTTTTTCTGAGCCAAGGAACAGTAATAGGCAATATCCAAACTTATGCACTATACTGGCAAAGGAGCTTTTTTATAGACTCTTTCCAGAATTAAGTGGTTTGACATCTCACCCTGATAGACAGGAAGATCACTATTTCTGACAGCCCACTTGTGCCAAGTACCGTACTAGGCATGTTATATACATTATTATTTTACAGACAAGTAACTAAGGTTCTTACAGGTTAAATAAGTTACCTACTAAAGGACACATAATTTTAATGCATCAGCCTGACTCCAAACCCCAAGCCCCTCCAACTTTTCCACACTGTACACATCCCCAGCCTTTGGGTATATAACACAAAAATGTAAAGGCATTGCAAATTAATCCACATCTCAGGCCAAGTTTACAGAGAGAATGTATCTCCTTCACTTTGCCTGTAGTTATATGGTTTTCCCCTAGGTGGGAGAGGAAAAGATTACTAAACGTCAAATCTTGTTTAAACTCTAGTCCAATTCAGTAATTTGAACTGTCTGCACAGGTGGTATCTAGTGGTCCTTCTATACCATATGTTCCCTGCCATAGAGAAGAAAGACTCATGGCTTAGATGGCAATGCAAATGGCACCTCCTCTGCTCTAGGAATTGAGTGCTCCAAATTTGCTTCTTGATATGCAAAAGTGGGAGAATAAAGGATTTTAGAAAACCCTCTCTATATATACACAGGCTTACAAGAATATAATCTTGGAGCAAATTTGAATTGAGGAGATATATTCCTTCCATAACCTTTTCTCCTTCCTCACCTCAAGTAAATGAATTCATAGACCAAATAGACCAAAGGTTATATATTCAGAAAAGTGAAAGAGAAAAGTATATTAATAAATTTCAGGCTATTTTTAGCAATCATAAAAGCATGAGTAGATGGAGCTGGTAAAATACAATGCCAATTTTGTGGAATAATTTTTCATTTGAAAATAAAATCTTTTTAATGTGAGTGTATTGTTCACACTATGAGAATAAACAATGGATTAGAAATTGTCACAAAATCTTTTAAGAGGGTTTCCCCATTTAATTGTCTTTTTTATAATTTTTAACTATTATAATTTTATAATTTTTAACTATTAAGAAGTAATTCTCAAAATACAACAAATATATATATATATAATTGTAACAATTTCCGTTGAATATCATTTTCTCTCCCAAAGTAACAGGAGTGATGTTAACCCTCTTGTGTGTATTTTCCATGCGTACATTTGCACAAACATACATTCTTGCAGACGTATGAATAAAGATTTTTTTGTACGGTTGTTGAAATAGTATCCCCACCCAAATCTCATCTTGAGTTGTAGTTCCCATAATCCCCACGTGTTGTGGGAGAGAACCAGTGAGAGGTAATTTAATCATGGGGGCAGTTACCCCCATGCTGCTGTTCTCATGATAGTGAGCTCATTCTCATGAGATCTGATGGCTTTAAGGGGCTTTTCCCCCTTTTGTTCAGCACTTTTTCTTCCTGCTGCCATGTGAAAAAGGATGTGTTTGCTTCTCCTTCCACCATGATTGTAAGTTTCCTGAGGCCTCTCCAGCCATGCTGAACTGTGAGTTAATTAAACCTCTTTCCTTCATAAACTGCCCAGTCTTGGGTATGTCTTTATTAACAGCATGAGAATGAACTAATACAGTAAATTGGTACCCACAGAGTGGACTGCTGCTGTAAAGATACTCAAAAATGTGGAAGCAACTTTGAAACTGGATAACAGGCAGAGTTTGGAACAGTTTGGAGGGCTCAGAAGAAGACAGGAAAATGTGGGAAAGTTTGAAACTTCCTAGAGACTTGTTAAATGCCTTTGACCAAAATGCTGATAGTGATATGGACAATGAAGTCCAGGCTAAGGTGGTCTCCAATAGAGATGAGGAACTTGTTGGGAACTGGAGCAAAGAGGACTTTTGCTATGTTTTAGCAAAAAGATTGGCAGCATTTTGCCCCTGCCCTAGAGATCTGTGGAACTTTGAACTTCAGAGAGATGATTTAATGTATCTGGTAGAAGAAATTTCTAAGTAGCAAAGTGTTCAAGAGGAAGCAAAGCATAAAAGTTTGAAAAATTTGTATCCTGACTATGTGATAGAAAAGAAAACCCCATTTTCTGGGGAGAAATTCAAGCTTGCTGCAGAAATTTGCATAAGTAATGAGGAGCTGCATGTTAATCATCAAGACAATGGGGAAAATGTCTCCAGGGGAAGACAATGGGGAAAATGTCTTCAGGGCATGTCAGATACCTTTGCAGCAGCCCCTCTGATCAGAGGCCCAGAGGCCTAGGAGGGAAAATGATTTACTAGGCTGGGCCCAGGACCCCCATGCTGTGTGCAGCTTCAGGACTTGGTGCCCTGCATCCCAGCCACTCCAGCCATGGCTAAAAAGGACTGAGGTACAGCTCAGGTCATTGCTTCAGAGAATACAAGCCCCAAGCCTTTGCAGTTTCCACCTGGTATTGAGCCTGTGGGTAGACAGAAATCAAGAATTGGGGTTTGGGAACCTCCGCCTAGATTTCAGAGAATGTATGGAAATGACTGGATGTCCAAGCAGAAGTTTGCCGCGGGGGTGGAGCCTTCATAGAGAACCTCTGCTAGGGCAGTGCAGAAGGGAAATGTGGGGTCTAGAGCCCCCACAGAGTCCCCACTGGGGCACTAGCTCCACTAGTGGAGCTGTGAGAAGAGGGTCACCATCGTCCAGACCCCAGAATGGTAGATCCACTGACAGCTTGCACCATGTACCTGGAAAAGCCTCAGGCACTCAATGCCAGCCCATGAAAGCAGCTGGGAGAGGGGCTATACTCTGCAAAGCCACAAGAGTGGAGATTCCCAAGGACATGGGAGCCCATCTCTTGTATCAGCATGACTTGAATATGAGACAAAGGGTCAAAGGAGATCATTTTGGAACTTTAAGGTTTAACAACTGCCTTATTAGATTTCAGACTTGCATGGAGCCTGCACCTGGTTTGTTTTGGCCAATTTCTCCCATTTGGGATGCATATATTTACCCAATGCCTGTACCCCCATTTTATCTAGGAAGTAACTAACTTGCTTTTGATTTTACAGGCTCATAGGCATAAGGGACTTGCCTTGTCTCAGATGAGTTTCAGCATTAACTGAAAATGCTGAAACTCATTTCAGCATTAACTCAGATGGACTTTTGAGTTAATGCTGAAATGAGCTAAGACTTTGGGGAACTGTTGGGAAGGCATGATTGGTTTTGAAATGTGAGGCCATGAGATTTGGGAGGGGCCAAATGATATGGTTTGGCTGTGTCCCCACCCAAGTCTCATCTTGAATTGTAGTTCCTATAATCCCCACTTGTTGTGGGAGGAACCTGGTGGGAAGTAATTGAATCATGGGGGTGTTATTCCCATGCTGCAGTTCTTGTGATAGTGAGTAAGTTCTCATGAGAGCTGATGTTTTTATAAGGGGCTTTTCCTCCTTTTGCACAGCACTTTTCCTTCCTGTCATCATATGAAGAAGGATGTGTTTGCTTCCCCTTCTGCCATGTTTGTAAGTTTCCTGAGGCCTCCTCAGCCATGCTGAACTGTGAGTCAATTAAACCCTTTATAAATTACCCAGTCTCAGGTATATCTTTATTAGCAGCATGAGTACAGACTAATACAATTGTATAAACAATCTATACACATTACTCTGCAATTTGCCTTTCTCATTTAATAATCGTTGAAACTTAATTCTCATATTGGTAAATAATAATAATAATAAAGTCCCACACAAATAGTAATGGGCACATGTCAAAATTTTATTTGACTCATTAATGAGGAAACTAGCAGAATGAGATTGATTCAATTTGAATGAGAAACTTGAATTTATATTCATATTAACAGTGAAAAAAAGAATACCTTAAATAAAACTGCTAGATTAAATATAAAATTGACCACTGTCCTATAGGGGAATAAAATCATAACATTTGGAGTTATTTTTACTATACAAAAAAAAAAATTGCACCTTATTACATTTCTGCAAGTTAACCTCTAGCTTTACCAAGTTTTAAAATTTAAGTGAAACCGTCTCTTTTCCCATGGTGAGAGCTAGATGACCTTTACAGTGGCTTGTTAGAAAATGTTATAGCAGGATATTAAGATCATCTTTTTTGCCCTATTTTTAAGTTTTGGAGAATTTTCCAAAACATAATAGATCACAGATATCCTTCTGGATTAGCAGATTTACCTCAAATGTATTTTTAATAACTGCATAATCAACACATAGTATAACTGTTCTATAAATAATCCAACAATCACTCTATTTGTGAACATACAGTTTTTTTCCAACATTTTGGCCACTACAAATAATGCTGGTTTAATATCTTTGTATATATGTGTTTTGATACTGGTGCTTCTATCATATAAGATAAAGTCCCCAAAATAGGGATATCTAAATCAAAGAAAATAGATGTTCTAATTTAATATCTATTGCCTTACTCTTTTATGAGTTTTCATAGTTTTGGATGTAGTCCTGTGTATACTTTTAACCTAGTTAAGTCAAAATAATCCCAACAAGATTGAAAATATGGGTAGCCTGCAAGCTGTGGCCAACCCATGAAAAGATAACAAGTAGGTTTCATGCCAAGAACTTAGTAGCAATGATTACTCAAACTTTGAATCAAAAAAAAATAAAGTATATATCTTTGTTGGTTAAAAATAAAATGTTTATATTTTTCTGTTATTTCTTTCTCTTGATTATTCTCATTCACTAGTTATTGATTTTCTTACCACATTTGGTACTATTCATGTGTAAATAAATAGTTTAACTTTTATTAATATACAATAACTGCTTTGTTTCTTCTGTAGTGCAAGAAAATGTTAAAGCAATCAGGCTGCACTAACATTTTCCTCAAAACACTTGACTTCATGAACATCTAATGAGAGGAAAAATATCATGTTCTGAACTAGCCTTTTAAAGGCTTATACAAAATATTTGTTAATAGAGAAAATGTAGAAACAACTTACACATCCCTCAGTAAGAAACTGATGAAATATATTACGGTATATACATACTATGTAATATTATGCAGTTGCTCCTTCAACAGTCATTCGTACCAGGACTGTTTGAGGTACTGAGGATTAAAGATGCTCGAAAGAAGACACAATTATAGTTGGAAGGACTCAAATCAGCACACTAATAAATTTATAACTACAAACAAACTAAAAGTCTAAAGGAAACACTATTGTATAAGGGCCTATAACACTAAGGAACCCGATCTAGACTTACACTGAGAAGGTAATTACTGATTTAGGGTCAGTTGGTAAAAGAAAGGGAAGAACATTCCAGTCAGAAAGAGCAGCATATGCAAGTCCCTATTGCCAGAAGGTGACAGGTGTGGCTGAAGCCCAGGAGCTGGGAAAGTGCCAGGAGATGAAGAAAGGGAGGTAAGTAGAGCAAGACTAAAAACTCTGAGTCATGGGAAACCACTGAAAGGCTTTAAGTAGAAAAGTAACACAATCTAGTTTAAATTTTAAAAGATAATTCTGGCTGCATTGAGGAGAAGGATTTGGTTAGAAGCCCAAGTGGATGTGTAGAGACCAGATAGGAAACTGAACAGGTGAAACACTGGCACCATGTCTGTGGAAATGGAGAGAAATTGGCAGATTTGAGAGATAGTAAGGAGATAAACAGAATTTGGATTTAATCAACTGGATTGAACATGGGAAGTTAAAGAGAAGGATTGCCAGGAGCAATGGGTGTCTGGTTTGTAAAATTAAATGGATGTGTAACTGGATTCTATGAAGCAAGAGCACAAACGGAGGACAGATTTGTGAGGGGAGAACATGATGGAATTGAAATGGAAATATCAAGTGAGAAGTTGGATACTCAAACCTGAAATGTAAAAGAGAGATCTGGACTGAAAATAAAAATTTGCAAGTCATAAAATAAAAGGGCAATTGAAACTCTGAGAGTGAATGACATCTTGTAAGGAGAAAATATCACATGAGAAAAGAAAAAAGAGACAGAGAATAAAAGAGGAAAAGGAGGAGAGAGAAGAGGTGAGAGGAGACTAGGATTGAACCTGAAGGTACTCCCATATGTAAGGGTTGCAAAGAAGACAGAGAAGGAGTGGTCAGAGAGGTAGAAGAGAAACCGGGAAAGAGGTAGATTTCTAAGCATTAACAGGTATATAGATTTAAGTGAGAAAACTTTTGAACATTACATAAAACCAGATTTTATTACTATAAAAAATTCAAATGATATACATAGACATAGATACTCATATATGTGTGTTAATACATAGATAAAAACTGGGATAAAAGAAACACAAAAAACTGTAGTAGTGGTTATCACTAGAGATTAAAGAGGAAGTTTAAGAGGCATGTTTACATTGTACTTTTTGCATTTCTATTTGTAATTAATCAATTAAATTACATATATAATTTAAGATATATATATATATATAGTGCTATTTCCTTTAAAGAAAAAGAAAAATATGAAGAGAATTACCAAAACATCCAAAGGAAAAAAACAGCAAAAACATGGATATCCTAAATAGTAGAAAAATAGAGCTAAAATTTTGAAAACTATATCTGTCAAAATATCTGATAAACATTAAGTTACTATATAACCCAATAATTTCACTCCATTGTATATACCCAAGAGTAATGAAAACATGTTCACATAAAAACTTGTACATAAATATTCATAGCAGCATTATTCATAGTAGCCAAAAAGTGGAAACAATCAAATGTTCATCAACTGATGAGTGAATGAAGTAAATATGATATTCCACACAATGGAACACTATTTAGCAATAAAAAGGAATGAAGTACTGATAAATGCTACAACACGGAGCAACCTTGAAAACATCATGTTACATGAAAGAAGGCAGATACAAAAGGCCACATATTGTGTGATCCCATTTATAGGTAATGTCCAGAATACAGAACCACAGAGACAGAAAGCAGATTGGTGGTTGCTAGGAGCTAGAGAATGGAGGAATAGAGAATGACTGCTTAATGAGTATTAAGTCTCTTTTGGAAGGATGATTAAAATAGTCTGGAATTAGATAGTGGCGATATTTGCACAACTTTATGAAAAAAACTAAAAAATGACGGAATTGTATATATTAAAATGGTAAATTCTGCAGGACATGGATTATATTTCAATTTTTTTAATGAAGGTGAGAGATACCTTGTGAAGTGAAGAAGGGTATGACTCCTCTCTGAATGGTCAAACATTGGAACAGAGCTACTCTAACTTTACTACAAGCTTCCAGTAAACATCTTCTTTTTACAGTCTGGAAAAGAACAAAAAATTACCTGAAAATTCAAGTATATAAATATGTTAGTACATTATATTTCAATGTGCACTGGCCAGGTAGATCCTTTTCTTACATCTAACAAAGAATAAAGTAAGGATGAAACTCCATGAAGTTATAAAAAACTGTATCTGAGATCTCGGCATTCCCCCCTACACACCCAAGCTCTATCAGTACAGCCCAGAGTCCTTTTCTTGTATGGACTATGCCCTTTCTTAATTATTGTTTCTTAGCTCCCAAACTACTCCCTCTTTACTCTGATTTGTGATGCTGGGGCTGGAACTCTGCAAACCACAGTCTGCTTTGCCAGTCGACTACTGTCAGGCTTTTCTAACAGGGGGGCAGACTGTAAGGCTGCAGTAGGGAAAAGAGACATGATCCTTCCTGTCCACTTCCTGTTAGTTCTATTGGCTGTCTTCCTACTTCCTAGTTCAGCAACAGCAGCAGTACCTTCCCACAGCAGTGGTTGAATCCAGTTTGTGGTTCTTCCAACACTTTCAGAACCAGCCTCAAGCATCCTTCAATGGATAATACTCCATTATATGTATGTACCCCAATTTTTTCCCATTCATCCATTAATGGATATTTGGGCTGTTTCCACCTGTTGGCTATTACAAATAGTGTTGCTAGAAAGTGAAAGAAGCTGACACAAAAGGCCACATATTGTATGATTCCATTTATATGAAATATCCAGAACAGGCAAAACCATAGACACAGAATGCTGACTGGTGCCTTCCAGGGGCTAAAGAGAGGAATGAATGTGGAGCAACTGCTTAATAAGTGCGGGGTTTTCTTTTGGGGTGATGAAAATATTTTGAAACTAGAAAAAAGTGGTAGTTGCACAACATTTGTAAATATAGTAAATGCCACTGAGTTATTGATTCTAGAATGATTAGTTTTATATTATGTCAGTTTTGCCTCAACAAAAATAAATAAGTAACTGGGTGGTTTCTCCTGACTGGGCCCGGACTGATACACGGACCTTCATTACACCCACAGCAGCCTTCAAGTTTGCCTTTGCCACCTGAGCTGCATGGCCTCTCGCCAGCTTTGTTCTTGTCTGTTCCTCCAGTTTTTACTGTTTGGGAAGTGGGTAATTATCAACAGAAAGTATTGTCTTGACTTGTGCTGCCTAAGATACTAGTCACCAGCCACATGTGGCTATTTAAATTTAAGTTTAATTAAATAAAAAATTCAGTTCCACAGTTGCACTAACCACATTTCAAGTGCTCATTACCCACATGTGGCCATGATGGCATGGCAGGCTGTCAGGATCGGCTGCTGCCATCATGCCAGCTGCAGTGGGGAGGTGTGAGCAGTGGTGGCAGGAGCAGTTGTGGGATCAGCAATGGCGGTGTAGATTCCCTGTGCCTCACATGCCCAAAGCAGCTGGCTGTGCCACTCCTACCCTCATGTGGCAGGGCAGGACCTATCCCCAGGCCCAGAGCCTCCTTCACTCTGGACTCTCATCACTCTTGCCTACAGCCACTGTGGGGAGGGTGCTGGGATGAGGTGGAGCTGGGCCTGGGGTGGTGCTGCACTCCATGGAGCCAGCAGGAGCCAGGGACAAGCAGGAGTCTCCTTGGAGCCCACCACCCTGGTAGCTGCCACAATGGGGCTGGGCAGAGTTGCCTGCCAGCAGGGGAGCAGCATAAGTTTGGCAAAGAGGGGTGGGCAGAGAGGGGCCCAGCGAGGACCTGGAGACCCCACCCCAGGTTGTGAGGAAGTGCAGCTGGGGATCCCTGCATGCTCCATAGAGCAGGTGAAAGAGCCCTGCCCTCCCAGGTGCAGTATGTGGGCATCTCTGTACTCTGCAACCTGGGGGGCCTGGGAAGGCCCCTACTGCCCCTGCAGGCTTGGGGGTGTCTGCTCCCTCCACCTGGCCTCTCTCTGCTCCTGGCACACTCTCCAATTTTGAAGTGGGGTTGGGGCCGAGTTCAGGCACTGTCACAGCCTATCCAGGTGTGCACACACTCAGGGCAGCACACTTGAAACCTGCCAGTTCCCTGCTGCCTCAGCCCACTCCTGACTTTGGGCAACAATGAGCATAGGGTCGGGGGAAAGCCAAGGGGAGACACTGAGGGCAGCTCAGTGCTGGCCTGCAGGTGCCCATTGGCATAAGCAGCCTGGGCACCATGGATGGTGGCAGGAGGCAGATAGGCACCCAGGTGGAAGGGGGCAGTCCCAGTGAAGCCCTACCTTCAAGCCAGGGAGGGCCTGAAGGCTGGGGGCTTGGCACCCAGTCCCACAGACTGGAGTGGGAACTTGTGATGCCTTTTTCAGGCCCACCCATAGCAGCCCATAGACCAATCAGCATGCATTTCTTTCCCTCTGAGGCACATAAAAGCCCCATGCTCAGGCAGAGCTGGACGGACAATGGGGTGACCAGCTGCAGAGAGGAGCCACCCTCTCTGCTGGAAGCTAAACACTTGTTGGGACAACCTGCCTGCAGAGAGGAGCTACCCTCTCAGCTGGGAGTTGAACATTCAACAGGACACCCTGGCTGCAGAAAGCAGCTGCCCCCTGTGAGTCTCCTCTAAGCTGTTATATCACTCAATAAATCTCCTCTTCATCTTGTTCACCCTTTACTTGTCTGCATACCTCATTCTTCCCAGTTGCAAGACAAGAACTCAGGACCTGCCAAATGGCAAGTCTAAAAGACAACCTGCAACACAAACAGGGCTGAAACACGCCCCTTGCTTGCCACATGTGGGCCAAAAGAACAAGAGGTGAGCTGCAGCCCTTTAGGAAGCCCAGACCTGGGAGCTCCCCAAGCCAGGGCTGTGACTCCCTCTTTGGGGCCCTGCAGTTTCTGGCATCTCCAAGCTTCTGGGCACCACTGTGTTCTCCAGTGCCAGCCATGGAAGCTGCCTGCAGTGCACCTGGTCTGGCCACAGACTCTCTGAAAGCCGGTGCCCATGCCAGCACCTGGAGCTGCCCACCCCACTGCAGCAGCCCGCATGACTGTGCAGTGGCTAAATCCCACACTGGTTCACACACCGCTCACCACTCCACGCCTGACTCGCCCTTGGCAGGTGGTAGGATCCAGGCCAGTAGCATGAGCTGAGCGCAGCCTGCCAGGTCGAGTATGGAAAATGAGCCCAGCAGGCCTGAGCAAAACTCAGGCAAAGGTGCCCCTGGCTACAGAGGTTTCCAGCCAGAAAAGCAACACCCCAGTGATCCCATAACAGCTAGTAGCTATGGCTTTGGACTACACAGAACATTTCCATCATCACAGAAAGTCCCATTGAATAGCACTGGTCTGCACTTCACCAAGGATCTTTCAATCATAAAGCCTCCAAAATATCTTGTCCATCAACCTGTAGTGATAGTCTTCCTTAGAAATTAAATGAGAAAAAAATCAGGGTAAAAGAGGTTAAGTCAAGAACAAACGTCTTTGCAGTTTTCACCACTTCACTCTAGTGTTTCTTCAACCCAGTAGCTTGGTTCTTATCCATCCTTCTCCCTAAATACACATCAGTAATTACTGCATTTACAACTATACATTTATTTTGATTATGCATTAGTTTGACCTATAAAACTATAAACTTCTCCAGGACAGAGTTTTTGGGTTTTTCATACACGCTCCTCACATTCTGTGGTAGATTCCTTGAACGCTCATCAAGTACTTGCTGACTGAACATTTGATGAGGCTAGCTCTGGTTTCAGAGGATTGGTTCAAAACTGAAAAAATAAAACCTCTGCCAGCACAGTGGTAACACACTGCCTAAATAAACAGAAGTAATTTGCAATGCTTTACTCTTATTATTTCTTCTGATTTTTATTTTTTAATGAGCATACCACTTCAAAAACATTCCTAGTGTGGCTCAGCCCAAATAACTCCAGTAGGAGATGGAAGCCTCCTTTTATGAAAACCAGCCCTACGCTAAACCTTTTCTGTTCCTCAGTAACAGATCAGATCCAAGATCAACCCAGAGTAATACAAGCCAAATGCCGTGCCCTTCCCTCAAGACTTTTCTGAGTGTGCTTCCTACCTTTGTTGTGTGGCTTTCAGAGAAGGCTCCAGAGAAACTGAATGGCATGTTCGAATCACAGGGTAACTGATCAGTAGTCTTGAATGACTTTTTGCAAACTTAGATCAGATTTTAAAGTACTATAGTTTGTAATTACAACAACTTCCTCAATATTTATGAATACAGTTTGAGGTAAATCTGTGCTTTGTGCAGTTTGCAGACTATTAGTGTAGGCATAAATATGTGCCAGGCCGGTAAAGGAGTAATTCTCCTTCTACTCACTGCATGTACGATATTGTCATTCTGCATTTATAGTGGAAATGATCACAATTCATGTAGGCTATGGTAAGTAGCTCAGCCTTGCTAAATGGAGGGAAAATAAAAGAACATGTTAGGAAGAAAGCAGATAAATATAGAAAGCTGAAGTCATGAGAGGCCTTGAAAATGCAAAAAAGATCCATTTGGGCATAAGAGTCAATTATCATTGGCTCTGCCACATGCTCATTTCTTACTTCTACTTCCTCTGCTACTTCTTTCTCCCTCCAAGCTTATACTATATTTGGCCAGTTTTCAAGTGACAAGCCCATAAGAAGAACCCAGTTCATAATCCCTGGAAGATAAATAATAGGGCCTGTGGAATCCATCACTGCCCTTGCTAGGTGCCCTCGGGCCTTATCATTTCTGTGCCCATGGCCTGACCTCCACCTGCTAGATTCTATATCTCCTTGTCTAAAGACTTTTTCACACAGCAAAAAAAGAAGTATCAGGGAATTAACACATGCTGGAGAGAGTCCTTCTCCAATGATGGGTGACATTACCCAGTTTCCCTGACCCTTGGGCAAACTCCCTGTGAAATGTGTGTTCTACATTGGCTCCCAGGTTTTCTGGTGGATTAAGCTCTAGTTTCCCATGCTGGTAACTTGTCCTTTATTGGCTGCCTTCCCCTCTCTGTTTTATATCCTCACTTCCCTATAGAGTTTTCTGGGATCACCTCCCAAATAAACTACTTGCACTCAAATCTTTGTTTTGGAAGGTGCTTCTGCATGATCTCAAATCAAGATATGTACTAATCACAATAGTTATCATTTGTTAAGTATATGCCATGTGACAGATATTGTTGTAAGAGCTTTATACCTATTAAGCCACTTAAATGTCACTCAGTGGATAAGATAGATACTATCATCATTCTCAGTGCACAGATGAGGGAACCACAGTACAGAGAGGTTAAATACCTATCTTTTGAACCTAGTCAGATGGCTCCAGAGCCTGTGCACCTATATTAAGCTCTGCTGCTTACTGCCTCAAATGGGCCTTTGAGACATGAACAAATAAATAAATAAAAACAGGAAAGGAATAAAATCAGAAATCCAGAAGTCACACTAATCAATTCATAAATTCTAAGGGCCTGACAGAGGAAGAACCAGCAGACTTGAATACTTATTGGATAAGAGGTAAAGGAGAGAGAGGAGCAAACATAAATGCAAAGATGATAGGAGGTATAATCCCTGAATAAAAATTTACATTACCTCTAGAAGGTTAAAGATGGCTACAAATGTTTTGTTACTCCTCCTATTGAGAGGTGGAGGCTGTAATTTCCCTCACATTTAAATCTGGACTGATCTTAGTGATTTGTTTGACCAGTTATATTAGTCAGGGTTCTCTAGAGGGACAGAACTAACAGGATAGATGTATATATAAAGGGGAGTTTATTAAGGAGTATTGACTCACACGATCACAAGGTGAGGTCTCACAATAGGCCATCAGCAAGCTGAGGAGCAAGGAAGCCAGTCTAAGTCCCAAAGCTGAAGAACTGGTAGTCTGATACTTGAGGGCAAGAAGCATCCAGCACAGGAGAAAGATGTAGGCTGGGAGGCTAAGCCAACCTAGTCTTTCCACGTTCTTCTGCCTGGTTTTATTCTGGCCGCACTGGCGGTTGATTAGATTGTGCACACTCAGACTGAGGGTGAGTCTGCCTTAACTGACTCAAACGTTAATCTCCTTTGGCAACACCCTCACAGACACACTCAGGAACAATACTTTGCATCCCCCAATCCAATCAAGTTGACACTCAGTATTAACCATCACACCAGCAGAGTGCACAGGAAGTAATAGTCTAACTTCCAAGACTAGGTCAAAGAAACCTTGCAGCTTCTGCCCAGATCTTTTAGGATGGTACCTCTGGGAACCTTGTACTACCATGTGAGAAGCCTTCCATGCTACAGAGGCCACAAGCAGGTGTGCCAACTGATGGTCTTGACTGGGCATAACTTCCCAACAACCCCTGCAAAGGCCCCAAAAAGCTTGGATCTTCCAAAACTAGAGTGCACCAATCTGTTTCAGAAGCAGCCAATAAATGGGTTCACTGTATGTAGGGACTTTTAAAACAATAATAAAATGGACGAAAAGTTGGTCTGCTTTTTGTTATTACCATGAGCTGGCAATTCTAAACAATGTCAGTGGTAAACTATTATTACCTGGAAAAAATCTTTTGTTGGCCTAATTTCTAAACAACCGCTGTGGTCATTGTTAAGTTTTAATCATATGCAAGTACACTTCAGATTAGCACATTTTTGTTACCTATTCTTTAATAAACATTATATTCTGCATGGAAGTAAATTCGGAGAACTCCTAGTTTTACCCCCAACACTTCCAGCCTCAGCAACATGCTTATTTCAAGCTCTCTGTGGGAACATTGTGGACAGCTGTGGACAGTTCATTCTCCTACCCCTGTAAGCACATATTCCTGCATTGCTATGTGAGAGTCAAACAATAATAGCACAGTAGTTGCAAAAACAAAGAAACAGACCTTGAGTGTCTTCAAAACTCTCATTCTACTTGACCACTTAGAGTTTTAATTTGTATTTAACATCTAAAACAGTGAAACAAGGTGTAAATTACAAGGTGTAATATTGATGTTTGGTAAGTGCAAATTTTAGTTTATACATTAAATAGTTTGCTGAGTTTAAATAATATTTTTAAAAGTTAAAATGTATTCTATTTTAATTATTTTAAATCTAAATAATAAAGCAAGAAAATGAAATATTACACGAGTAGTACAATTTAACAGTCCCCTAAATTAAATCTTTTATAGACTTTTCAGCTTTCCTAAAACTAACTAGTTACTGTACAATTATTATCTAAAATATTATTATACTAGACTGGAACAAAAAGGATCAAAGTTCAAACTATGCAGATTAAATAGAACAACTAGTTAATACATAGTTGTGCATTTTTCCTTTTCTTGGTACTGTACTATTTTACTTTCTTTTTCTTTTTCTTTTTCTAACAGACAGGGTCTCACTCTATCATCCAGGCTACAGTGTAGTGCAGTGTGTTTTTCTTTTTGTAAAACAGGTATGATTATGCATATAAAGTTTAATAAAAAAGAATTTTTCAATTTTTCTATTTCTCCTGTGGGCATTATTGTTATTAATTTCATTTCATGTTATTACTGAAAATAACTGTATCTTCTAGAGGAAAAGGGTGTTAAAAAATGTGATCTGTTCTTACACCATATACACAGCTCATCCACCAGCCAAATACCACCAAGTGGTCAACACTAATTCCACGCGGAAAAGAAGACCCACCTAGTCATGGCCCTGCCTGCATTCCAAAAGTCATGAAATATAATAAAATAGTCATTGTTTTAAGCCACTAAGCTTCGGGGAGGCTTAAGATTACAGCAAAAGAGAACTGAAATATTTACAAAGCTGAAAAACTAGGAGGTTTATAATATTTTTCCTTTGCTTTGTGAAATGATTTAACATGGATTTGTGAAACTGGAGAGTTTTTTCATAAGTTTTTTTTTTTTACTTGTTATATTTTTTAAAGTCTAAGATAACTCTAACAAGCAGTCATTCTTACCTAACAAAGTTTCTTGGGTGATTCTGATAAACTCATTCCCAAACCACCATATTCCAACATTCTTGAGAACTGCTAATATAAAGAAAAGCACTTGTTAAAGATAATTGGAAATACGTAATCATAGTCTGAGAGGGTTTTTTTGTTTTGGTTTGATTTGGTTTTTTTGAGACAGGGTCTTGCCCTGTCACCCAGACTGGAGTCCAGTGGTGCAATCTCAGTTCATTGCAACCTCAACCTCCCAAGCTCAAGTGATCCTCCTGCCTCAGCCTCCCAAGTAGCTGGGACTACAGGCACACACCACCACACTCAGATAATTTTTTTGTATTTTTAGTAGAGACAGGGTTCCACCACGTTGCTAAGGCTGGTCTCAAACTCCTGGACTCAAGTAATTCACCACCTCAGCCTCCCAAAGTGCTGGGATTATAGTCGTGAGCCACCATGACTGGCCTCTGAGAGTTCTTAATTAGTTGTTCACCAATATTTTTGAGCTCCTACCATGTGCCAGGCACTGTTGTAGGCACTGTGACGTAAGAGTGAGCAAGCCAGGGTTCCTGACCTTATGGAGCTTATATTCTGGTAAATTATGATAATCAGTTTACTTCTGGGTACATTTCATTTTAGAGATTATTGGCACATTCAAGTGACTGGGGACAATAGATATCCAGGAAAAAAGTAAGTGCTAGCCAATAGAACTGAAGATTCGGATTTTAAAATGATTAGGATTTGGCACATGTATTACTCCATGACAAAGTCTGAGTGAAAATTGTAATAATGGCCGGGCGTGGTGGTTCACACCTATAATCCCAGCACTTCGGGAGGCTAAGGTGGGTGGATCACTTGAGGTCAGGAGTTAGAGACCAGCCTGATCAACATGGTGAAACCCCGTTTCTACTAAAAATACCAAAAAAATTAGCAGGGTGTGGTGGTGCATGCCTGTAATCCCAGCTACTCAAAAGGCTGAGGTGGGAGAATTGTTTGAACCTGGGAGGCCGAGGTTGCAGTGAAGCTAGATTGCGCCATTGCACTCCAGCCTGTGCAACAAAGCGAGACTCCGTCTCAAAAAAAAATGTAATTATGTGGCTTCTCCTTAACTGTAAGTTCAGTATATGCTTCAGGCACACCTGGATCCTGATGCTCAAAGAAGGTCTTGAGGATTGTTATGCTTTTTTATCCCTTGAAGCCACTCTTCCCTGTGTTAGCTTCATTCTCAGGTAGGCCCTCTCCTCTCCCTGTGGCAGCAAACATGGCCATGGACAGCTCCTGATTCATGTCATTCAGAGTCCCCCACAGTGCTTGATACAGAGCAGACACTCAATAAGCATTTGTTGAATGGCTGAATCTCAGTTTATCATCCCAGACTAAAAGATGACCCTGTCTTCCCCAGCATTGATATAAAAACTTCAAGTGAACTCTGATTAGCCCTGCTTTGACAATGTGTCCATTCCTAGACTGAACACCGTGTTAAAAAATAGGAATTTTTCTTTCTGCTTTTTTTTTTCTTTTTAGAGATGAAGTCTTGCTCTTGTCCCTAGGCTGGAGTGCTATGGCACAATCTTGGCTCACTGCAACCTCCGCCTCTCAGGTTCAAGTGATTCTCCTGCCTCGGCCCCCTGAGTAGCTGGGATTACAGGTGCCTGCCACCATGCCCAGCTAATTTTTGTATTTTTAGTTGAGACGGGGTTTCACCATGTTGGCCAGGCTGGTCTAGAACTCCTGACCTCAGGTGATCCACCCACCTCGGCCTCCCAAAGTGCTGGGATTACAGGCGTGAGCCACCGCGCCCACCCCAAAATAGGAATTTTTTTAATTGGCCAGCCTGGTTTGGAATGAGAGCCACATCATAATCCTATGGCATGGGAGAGAGGCAATTTTTGAAAGGAAAAGGTGCTTCATAGGCAAAGTAATGTAATATATACCCTACAGTGTGAAAGGGAGCAAAATAAAGTAGGCCCAAGAATAGAGTTAAAAGAATATTCACAATAAAAGGCTAATAAAAGAAAAGGTCAAAAAGTAAGATAAACCAGGAGGGTATGAAATTTTAGGAAGTGAGGGATAGAGATGGCTTTAAATAACACAGGGAACTCAACAAAGTCTAATCCAGCATATAAAAGAGGAAAAGAACCAAAAATGAATCTCAAAATAGTGTGACTTGCTAGATACCTTAAAAAAGTGTAATGACCATCTACTTATGTGCCAAGCAATGTGCCAAGGACTGGAAATATACTGGTACTTTGATGTGGTTTCTAGTCTCTTTGGGAATACATAGCAGCAAACTGGCAAACACAGGACAAGAGCTTTGTCTCTGGAAAGCACTTGGGGCAGGAAACATAGGATTCCTGCCATGATGCCTACAGCATATGCTTTCAGACATTCACTCTTGGCTCCAAGGTCCATATAAATCAATCAACAAAATAATGAATGAAAAACTAAATTTTAAAAACTTTTATATCATACTTCTACTAATATAAGTGCTATTGACAATCATTACTATATACCCATATGCCACATACATGGAAAATGGTTTGCAAACTGCTTTTATCAATTTCATAGACCTTGATAAGGTCATAGATGTTTTGACTTGCATTTTATCCCATAATGTGATGGGATTGCCCAAAAGAGGTACTATTATATTCTAATTCCAATCAGTGTGAGGTACTCTGAGCACTAGAATCAACTTAGAATTATCAGTAAAAATACCTCTAAGAAATCAAAGATGACCTATTTAATTGGAAATTAATACCCAATATTAAGATTTACTATAGAGCTATAGTAATCAAGACAATGCAGTATTGGCAGAGAGATAGACACATAGATCAGTGAAACAGAATAGAAGAAAATGGAAATAGACCAACACAAATATGCCCAGCAGATTTTTGAGAAACGTGCAAAATTAATTCAATGATGCTGGAACAATAGGACATCTGTGTAGGCAAGGAAGTGAACCTAGATCTAACTTCATACTTTACACAAAAGTTAATTCAAAATGGATCAAACACTTAAATGTAAGACCTAAAACTATGAAAAATCATATAAAAAATAAGAGAAAATCCTTGTGATCTAGGACTAGACAAAGAGTTTTTAACTTGATACCAAAAGCACAATCCATGAAAGGAAAAACTGATCAATTAGATGCTTTACGAAAACTAAAAACTTTGGCTCTGCCAAAGACCATTGAGGAAGGTGTAAAGACACATTACAGACTAGGAGGAAGTATTCTCAAACCACATATCTGAGAAAAGACTAGTATCTATAATGCATAAGGAACTCTTGAAACTCAATACTTTTAAAAATCCAGTTAGGAAATAGGTAAAAGACATTTCACCATAGGGGATATGCAGATGGCTAATAAGCACATGATAAGATGTTCAACATCATTAGCTAGTAGTGAAATGCTAATTAAAACTATAATAAGATAATTCTATATGCCCACCAAAATCACTAAAATATAAAATAGTGACAACACCAAACACTATCAAGGAACAATAGAAACTGGATCACTCCTACATTCCTGGTGGGAATGAAAGTGGTACAGCCATTCTGGAAGACAGTTTGGCAGTTTCTCATAAACTAAACATGCAACCACATTCAAACCAGCAATTGTACTCTTGGGCATTTATCTTAGAGAAATGACAACTTATGTTCACTGAAAAATTTTTACATTCATGTTTATAAATGCTTTGCTCATAATGGCCAAAAACTGGAAGCCACCCAGATGTCTTTCAATGGACAAATGTTTAAACCAACAGTGGTACATCCATACCATAGAATACTTTGCAGCAATAAAAAGGAATGAACCATTGCTACATCCAACAATGGATGTATCTCCAGGGAATTATGCTTAGAAAAAAAAGCCAATCTCCAAAGATTACAAAGTATATGATTCAATTTATATAACATTCTTAAGATGACAAAATTATAGAAATGGAAAATAGATCTGTAGTTGCCAAAGATTAGAATGAGGGAGAAGGGTGTTATAAAAGGGCAACACACTTTAGGAGGCCGAGGCAGGTGGATCACGAGGTCAGGAGTTTGAGAGCAGACTGGACAATGTGGTGAAACCCCATCTCTACTAAAAATACAAAAATTAGCCGGGCGTGCTGGCGCATGCCTGTAGTCCCAGCTACTTGGGAGGCTGAGGCAGAAGAATCGCTTGAACCTGGAAGGTGGAAGTTGCAGTGAGCCGAGATCGTGCCACTGCACTCCAGCCTGGCCAACAGAGTGAGACTCTATCTCAAAAAAAAAAAAAAAAAAAAAAACCGGGGAAACACAAGGGATCCTTGTAGAGATAGAACTATTTTTTGTCTTTACTGTGGTATGAATATATAAACCTACACATGTGATAATAAATTGCACAGAACTAAATATGCACACACACACAAGTACAAGTAAATCTGCATAAGACAGACTGGATTGGTTGTGACATTGTACTAAGTAAAGGCTACAAAGGCTTTTCGGTACTATTTCTTAAAATGCATGTACATCTACAATTATCTCAAAATAAGAAGCTTAAGTTTTTATATGCCTCTAGATTTAATCATCAAAATAATGCAATCTACTAATACTAGCCCTTAACACATACAAGCCCTAATGAAATTGGAACAAGCCTCTTTAACTTTACCGGCTCTAGGTTGCTGCATTATGCAACATGACAATACATGTTACAATCAAAAGCCCTAGTAATCACCGTGTTTGTATTGTTTGCTGCTTTGCAGGGAATTTGAGGTGCAGAAGGACAAAAAAGAAGGAAGCAGCTTCTCTTAAGAGAAGCATGTGTTCACTGCCTCACAAATGGTCCACAAGCAAGTCAAAACTTAAAAGGCAGAATAGGTGACCGGGCGCGGTGGCTCACGCCTGTAATCCCAGCACTTTGGGAGGCCGAGGCAGGCGGATCATGAGGTCAGGAGATTGAGACCATCCAGGCTAACACAGTGAAACCCCGTCTCTACTAAAAATACAAAAAATTAGCCGGGCGTGGTGGCGGGTGCCTGTAGTCCCAGCTACTCGGGAGGCTGAGGCAGGAGAATGGCGTGAACCCGGGAGGCAGAGCTTGCAGTGAGCCGAGATCGTGCCACTGCACTCCAGCCTGGGTGACAGAGCGAGACTCCATCTCAAAAAAAAAAAAAAAAAAAAAAAAAAAAAGGCAGAATAGGTTATTGTCTGCAAATGAACAGACAATACAGAAGAAAACAATCAGGTTGGGTGTGCTCGCCGTAATGAAAACCTACCGCTACCTTGACTGACTGACCCGGGTAAGAAAACTGGGCTGCTGCTGCTTCTCATGCACCCTGTGTAGATGCAAAGAATGAAGGGGAGCCCTGCCATCTCTTAGGGAAATATTTCAGCCTGGGTAACATAGCAAGACCCCATCTCTACAAAATATAAGAAAATTAGTCCAGCACGGTGGCACACATCTGTAATCCTAGCTATTTGAGAGGCTGAGGCAGGAGGATCTCTTGAGCCCAAGTTCAAGGCTGCAGTGAGCTATGATCATGCCACTGCACTCTAGCCTGGGTGACAGCGAGACCCTGTCTCTAGAAAAAAAGAAAAGAAAAGAGAAGAGAAGAAAAAAAAGAAAAGAAAAGAAAATATTTCAATTCCCCCTTTAGAACAATGGCAATAAAACCACCATTTTACAGATACAACAACCAAAGAGCATAGGTAGGAAGCAAACTGCCAACGTCTCAGTTAGTAAGTGACAAAGCCAAGATTCAAAACTAAGTTTTCTAACTCCAAGGCCAATACTCTTTCCAAGGCCAGCTACATCATGGCTGCTAACCGCTTTAGACAGTCTTTGGCTAATAACGATACAGAACACTATAACTGGAAGAAGAAAAGCTGTACGATTAAATTAATCACCCTCACCTTTCATCTTGTGGGTTTTAAGTTTGGAGTTTGATGAACCTTTAAGTTTGGAGAGATAAACCTTTGAATTCACATGTGGGAAAAGTGTTGCACATGAATATGTCATTTCATTAATAACACGTAAAATGCTTTAAAGTACATTTGATCCTCACACAATCCTATAAAATAGGTAAGGCTGGATTTGTTATAACCACTTATTAAAACAAGAAAAATGAGGCTCAGTGAGGCTAAGTTGGCTTGCCAAAGATGACATAGTTTTTATATTAGAGATGGAGCTGGAACAAGAACTCACATTCACTATCTGAAGGTTTTTTACACTTCTATTTCTATTTTATTATTTTACTTACAAAAGGGCATATATTATAATCAACCACACAGCTTAAAAACCTGAACATTGACATTTTTGCTGAAGTCCCTGGATCCCCTCCCAAAAGACCACTGTGCTTCCTAACTCCAAGGATCATCATTTGTATATCGTATAGTGCTAAGAGTGCCCTGGAGTTGTGCCTCTGGTAGTCCTGCCCCATCTCACCTCTCTCCCCTCAATCCTAAACTGTGTTTATCATTACCTTGCTTTTCTTAATACTTCACCACATATTTTTATTACTCTTAAAACATATTATTTAATTTTGCCTGTTTTTTATATTTTTTCATTCTGTTTCTACTCTTTTACGACTTGTTTTTTCACTCCATGTTTTGTTTGTGAGCTTCATCCATGTTGATGTGAGTAGCTGTAGTTCATTCATTTTCAACTTCAGCATGGTCTTCCACAGTATGAATTCCCCAATGTGTTTGTCTAGTCTCCTGCCATTGAACATTTGGGTTGCTTCTAGATTGGGGCTCTCATAAGCAACACAACCATGAATATTTTTATGTGTGTCTTCTGATCCACAAGAGCAAGAGTTTTTCCTAAGTATGAAAGTAGAAGTGTAATTGCTAGGTTGTAAGATTTACACATCTTCAGCAATACCAGACAATTCCAAATTTTCCAAAGTTTTGTACCAATTGATATTTTGATCATCAGTGTATAAGAGTTTCTGCTTTATCTACATCCTCAGCAACCACTGATATTATGCATTTTAATTTTTGCCACTATAAGTATAAACCTCATAGTACCTCATTGTAGTTCTAATATGAATTTTCCTGATTACAAATGGGGTTGAGCGTCCTTTCACAATTTTGTATTCATTTCTGTGTCCTTTTCTGTGCAGTGATTGGTCATATCATTGGCCCATTTTTCTGTTGGATTGCCTGACTTCCTCTAATTGATTTTTTAAAATAATTTGCATATTAAGTAAAAATCTTTGTCAATTATATATGCTGCAAATTTCTTCTCTCAAGTTGAATCCTGTGTTTTACTTTGTTTAAGGTATCTTTTGATAAGCAGATCTTAATTTTAATATAAGCATATTTATCAATACATTCATTTTTGGGTTAATATTTTCATCTGTGATGTGGTGAAAGATACTTAAAAATAACCCAAAATAATCTTTGCACTCCTGGAATAAACCCAACTTGATAACTATGCAATCTACTTTTCTGTGCACTGCTGAATTTGATTCTGTTTAGAATTTTTATTTCTATATTTATGAATGAGATTGATCTGCAATTTTCCTTTTCTTACTCTGGTTTTGATATTAAAACTGTACCATTCTTACAACATAAAATAGAGAGTATCTGAAATAATTTTCTTATTGATATTATGTCTTCCTGGAATGCTTTCTAGAATTCAGCAGAAGAGCTCTCTGATCTGGTGTTTTCTTTGTGAAAAGATACAGAACCACTGATTCAATTTCTTTAGTGGTTATAGGATTCAGGTTTTTAAATCCTTCTTAAGTCAATTAGGGTTAACATTTTTCTAGGAGTTTTTCCACTTGGTTTTTAAATTTACTGGCATACATTATTTTAATGTCTGCTGCATCTGTATTTATGTCCTCTTTTTCATTCCTTATTTTATTTGTGGCTTTTCTCTTTTTATTATAAATCTTGCCATCTATTTGGTAATTTTACTGGTATTTCAAAGAGTCAACTTTTGACTTCTTTATTTTCTTTATTGTATTTTATTTTAATTTTATTTATTTCTCTCTTATCTTTATTATTTCCTTCCTTTTACTTTATTTATGTTTCTTCTACTGTGCTCATTCTAATTCTAAAAAGACTGGATTAAGCCAATTATATTTAAATTTCTTCTTTTATAATACAAGTATTTAAGACTATAAGTTTCCCACAGGTTCTCTTTTTTTTTCTTTTTTAAAACATTTCAATTAACAAATAATAATTGCATATATTTGTAGGGTACAGTGTGATGTTTTATATATTATATGTTGTGGAATTATTAGATCAACTTAATTAACATATCTATCGCCTCACATACTTAACCACAAATTCTCTCTTATTCCATATCAAATCTTTCTCATTTTCAGGGTGATTCCTCCTTTTACTAATGAACTTCTTTATTCTTTTTATTATATCTTATTTTTTATTCTCTTTATTATAATCTTATTTTTATTCTCTTTACTATATCTTCTTTTATCAATGAACTTCTTTATTCTCTTTATTATATCTTCTTTACTTCTTTATTCTCTTTATTATATCTCATTTTTAATTTTATTAATCCCCTTCTTATCTTTATTATTTCCTTCTTTTTACTTTATTATGTTTATTCTACTGTGCTTGTTCAAATTTCTAAAGAGACTGAATTAAGTCAATAATGTTTAAATTTCTTCTTTTATAATACAAGTGTTTGAGGCTTGGGGTTTTTTTAATTTCCAAATATAGGGAATTTATTTTATCTTGTATCATCTTATTGATCTCTAACATAATTGTCTTGAGAGAAACAAAAATATGATCTATAGCATATTAATTATTTGAATTATTGCTCTATGGCCTGGAATTTAGTCCGTTTTTGTAAATGATCCACATGAACTTGAAAAGAATGGATCTACATCAATTGCAGGGTTCTACTTTCTATATAAGTTCATTAGATTAACGTAATTAGTTCATGCTAATTATGTTGCTGAAGTCTTCCATATTGTTACTAATTTTTTTGTTGGCTTAATCTATAAATTGCTGAGAAGACCATTAAAATTTTCCAAGGTGATATTTACCAATTTGATAAACAGTGGATACATAGTAAATATAACAATTTTTATTTGCAGTTCTATTAATTTTTGCTTTTTGTATGCAAAGTTATGTTATTATTCTAGGAAGGATAAATTAATTCTTTTTAAGTTAACTATGTACTGGTTTTCTTTCACCCTGTTTAAACTTCAAGTCTATTTGTCCAACAGTAATATGGCTATACCAGCTTTCATTTCACACATATTTACCTATCTTTTCCTATCCTTTTACTTTCAACTTTTTGGTATCGTTACAGGGGTGTGTGTCTGTGTGTGGTGTGTGTGTGTGTGTGTGTGTGTGTGTGTGTGAGTGATCCACTATAACAATGTTTTGCTTTTAAATAGAGAATTTAACTAATTTATATTTATTGAAAACATATTTTTTATTTATGTATTTTGTGCTTTCATTTTATCCTGCTTTTTCTACATTTATTTCTTTTTCCTTGACTTCTTTTGGATTAACTGATTTTTTGACACTTCTTTGCTTTATTCTCCTCTAAAAGCTTGAAAAATATATAATCTATTTCTATTTTCTTATGACTTCCCAGAAACTTAACATACGTAATTAACAAAATCTGAAGTTAATCAACCTCTTTCTTGTCAACCAAACAATTCATGGAATTTGGAGTGTTTTTAATACAATGATCATCATTAGACTCCCTACTGAAGTAATACTATATTGTCCAGTAGAAAAAAACTAAGCCAGAACAAGAAAGATCAGGAGTACTGAGAAAAATGGGCAAGTTGCCATTTTAAGTACAGTAAAGGTTCAGGCCTCATTAAGAAGACATTTGAGCAAAGACTTGAAAGAGATAGTGTTAGGCAGAATCTGGGGGGACAGCATTCCAGGCAAAGGGATCCACAGGTGCAAAAGCCGTAGGAAAGAAACAAGCCTAGAGAGTTCTAGGGACAGCAGGGGGTGTGGCTGGAGCAGAGTGAGCTGAAGGAAAATACTAGATGCAGTCAGACAAGCAATGAAGGGTCAGCTCAGGTGGGACTTTCTTGGTCGTTTTAAAAATCTGTAGCTTTAACATGTGGAGCTTTTGGGGAATTTTGAGCAGAGAAGTGACATAACTACTTTTATTTTTAAAGTTCTCTCCCTTAATTTAAATACTAAGATACTAGAGAATTTTCTCAGAAACAGCGTTTCATTTCTACACATACATGCACATACAAATGCCATCGTATTTGGATGAAAGGAAATAAGAACATCTTATGGGAGACACTTTTAAATATGTGTGTTTCGTGTTGATTAAACTTTTTATAGTCCTAGTTTTTCTGTAGAAAAAGTTAAAATCATAGATGATCAGAAAGAAAAATTATGTCTAATTGTCCAAAGAATACCACAATTGAATTATATTGTAAATATATAATACATAAAATATCTGCTTTGTCCCTTAACAACATACTATGAAATTTCTTCATCCAAGCAAATATCTATCTACATTAGTTTTTCATGGTTAAATAATATTCCATTCAATAAATGAATTATGTATTAATTTTCTCTTTTTTGAGACACGGTTTCACTACTGTCCCCCAGGCTGGAGTGCAGTAGCATGATCTCAGCTCACTGCAACCTCCACCTCCCAGGTTCAAGCGATTCTGCTGCCTCAGTCTCCCAAATAACTGGGACAACAGGCATGCACCACCATGCCCAGCTAATTTTTGTATTTTTAGTAGAGACGGGATTCTGCTATGTTGGCCAGGCCGGTCTCAAACTCCTGACATCAAGCAATCCACCCACCTCAGCCTTCCAAAGTGCTGAGATTACAGGCATGTGCCACCATGCCCAGCCCCATAATTAATTTTTAAAACTTTTAAAATTCCCCCATATGTTTAAGGTACTTCCTATGTTTACTATTCTTAATAACTCTTCAATGAACAACTTTGCATTTGCAAGTTTGTTTACTTGTTCCACTACTTCCTGGATATAAATTTTTGGATGTGGTTTTGCTAAGTCAATTTTCAAATTTTTAAGATTCCTAAGTCTTTGGAATCCTCCTGCTCCTTTAGCTTTCTGAAAAATGATTGAATGTATTCCTTTGACACAGTCACCCCCAGGCTGTTGGTCAATAAATCCACATCTTACCCAAGCTGTATAGTGCCAAAGAGTATTTAGCCAGGTGTGGAGAGAGAACAGAACAAGCCAACTCTCCAGAATCCTTTGGGATATGTGCATAATGGTCTTCTCCCACAAGGAAAACAAAACAAAGATACGGCAAAAATTCAAAGAAAACCGTGGAACTCAATAACACACTATTCTTTGGTTTCAGCATTTCTTGATGATTATTATGTCATTTGCAAATGATGGTTCAGGTTATTCTTCTCAGATAACACATATTTATCTTCTCCAAAGATGTTAGCCCTTTATGTCTTCCTTCTGAATGTTCTTTAAAACACTGTCTCTGGAGAGAAGAAAAGAATTAAAAACAAGGAAGAATTTCTGGCAGAACAGTATGGTCTACACCATTAAATGTGCTCTGTCTTTCTTCCTCATTTCTCCCCTAGTCCATAACTCTTTAGAAAAAAAAAAAATGCTGATAGAATTATTCTCCTTAATCTCTGCGCAGTTTAATTTGGAAATATTCCTAGAACAACATGGCAAAATAATTTAGGGCATGTAAAAACGGTGAAGTAGACCTTGACCAAAATTCAAGCAATCACTGAGGGATGGATCGGTCAGAGGACCTGGGGACTTGAAGACAGGGCTATGGCAGTAGGAACACCTAACAGGGGGGTTTTAACACCCCTTTACCTCCCTGTATGATCCAGTGCTTGCTCAAAGAATTAGGGAGAGGAGGTATCCTGAAGACACCACCAAACTGGGAATATAAAGGGTTTGTTTTGAGGCTTGAGACCCAACTATCCCAATTATCAACTTAGAACATTATCACTTAGAAGCAATACAGCACAGTAGTCAACAACCTGGGCTTTGGAGTCAAGCAAAGGAAATACGGAAGGCTTTGTCCCAAAACTCAAGCAGCCTAGATACTGGAATTTTTTTCATGTCTAAACATAAACCATGAATATTCAGAGAGCCTCTCTTAAAAACAGTCACACTGTCAGCAGAGAGGAAGGTTGCAGCTGCCCTTGAACATCTCTGCCACTTATTAGGGCACACCCCATGGGGACCATAATGCTCACCCCATGTGGCGGCTGTGAGGATCAAGTGTGTAAAGCACTCAGCATAGTGCTTGACACAGAATGCTATAGCTATGATTATGCTATTAATAAGATTACTTACCCTTTCTAGATCACAATTGACTCATCTATGAAATAAAAAGATGGTACTTGATGATTACTACAGTTTCTTTTAATTCAATTCTAATTAAAGTATATTAAATATAAAATACTGTGCAAGCACAAAATTTGCACCTACATTAAAGATTTAATCAAAACACTTGAAATTAAAATATATACTTTATTCACTTGTGAACTATTCTCAGATCAATACAATCATCACAGTTAAATGCATGTCACCATATCTAAAAACTGAGCCCTCAATTTTCATTTAACCCAGGGAGGTACAGAAATACACATGCAAATTTCATCTCATATCGCCACCTCTGTGAGCTCATTTTCTTCAGTACTCTCTCTCCTCAATCCTCTCCAGCCTCAATACTGTCCTTGATATTCCATAGGCCACGCACAATCTCAGCTCAAGGTCTTTGCACTTGTTCTCTCTTCCTAGAATGCCTTTCCAATACATATTTACATAGCTTTCCCCGACACTTCACTCACATCTCCTATCAGAAAGGCTTTCCCTGACCACAATGATATCATTCTCTATCCCCATACCTTTAATATTTATTGTGTTAATCCATTTTGCATTGCTATAAAGGAATACCTGAGACTGGGTAATTTATAAAGAAAAGAGATATATTTGGCTCACAGTTCTGCAGGCTGTACAAACATGGCACCGGCATCCATTTAGTCTCTGGTGAGGACTCAAGAACCTTACAATCATGGTGGAAGGCAAAGGGGGAGCTGATGTATCACATGGCAATGGTAGGAGCAAGAGAAGGATGTCAGGCTCCTTTAAATAACCGGTACTTATGTGAGCTAACAGCAAGAATTCACTCATTACCCTGGGGAGGTCACCAAGTCATTCATGAGGGATCCACCCCCATGACAACACTTGCTTAAACTATTAGAGCAAAATAAACTCAATTTGAGATTTGGAGGGGACAAATATCCAAATCATATCACCCATGTATTACATGCATGTCTGTTCTTGTCCATGGCCCTCACTATAAATTATGTTCCATGATGAGAAAGATGTTGTTGCTATTACTACCTGGATCCCCAGAGTCTAGATGTATGCCTGGCACACAGTAGAAGCTCAGTAAATATTTGTCATTTGAATGAATGAATGAAAGAGTGAAATATTCATGAAGAGTGGATCAAGGAATAAAAGGAAATCTATTAATCCCTTTCTAAGAAATGTGTCTAATAAACACATTAATTAGGAGCCTTAGCTACTTCAACTGATGGTAACATTTTAAATTCAGGCATGTGTTTGACTGATCCTGGAAAGTGAAGGAGGACAGAAGATATTAGGCTGGGCCAGAAATCTACCCAGCCAGCTTTGTAAAGACTCTCAACTCTAAAGATTCTGTGTCCAGCTATGTAGCTAAAAAGAGAAAAATGTGAGCTGTGAGTCTTTAAGAAGAAATAGAATCCTGTCTCCTCTCAGCCTGCCTGGAGGGAGTCCTGCTGGCTTCTTCCCTTAGAAGGACAGCTTGCTCCCCTTTGAATGGAAAACGGGGGGGCGGGGGGGGGGGGAATGGGTTTTGACGTTTCTTCTCAGTCTTCTTCACCTTGAGCTAAATGAAGATAGTGACTAACCCATAACATAGGAATACAACCATTTTTGTCTTCATACATGACGAAAATGTCTTTTCTTCCTAAATTTTTAGGTTGACAAAGAAGTATTAAGTTTATATTGCTGTAATAGTTCAGGCAAGTGTTATAAATTTAATTTCAATTCCAAGGAAAATTTGGAGAGAGAACTCTTTTCAGATATGCCTCTCAAATTGAAAAACTACCTTATTATATACCCTACTAGCATGAAGAAAGGTCAGCATCTGGCAGAAAGACTCCTTTTCCAAGAATTCCGGGAGGGTGGGCAAGATGGCCGACTAGATGCAGGCGGGAAGTGCTGCTCCTACGGAGAGACAACGGTATTTCAACCAAATCAACATAATTTGAACAGATCTTTGGAGAGAAAATGCCAAATGTGGACGAAGAAAAGATACAGATGCTGAAGCTGAAGAAGGAGGAAGCTGGGAACCGCATGTGGAGTGCCTGAATGCTAGGGTTGGGTTTGACTCCTGGGAAATGAGTCAGTGAAGGAACTGAGGGAATGCCTACTCTCACCATGGACCTCTGGCATCCTAGCTGCAGGGGACCCCACAGTCCTCACAGATGTTTGAGCTGGTATAGGGGGATCTTCCTGGAGATTAAATGAAGACAGACATATAGCAGGCATGGAGCCAGGGACCTTTGTGCACAGGACAGCTCCAGCAGAGCCAGGCCGTAAGTGTCCATCCCCGGGGCTCTCCGTCTCCCTCTGAGAAGTTCTGGCCCCAGCTAACCACCATGGAGAAAGCAGTGCTGGCTTCCCTGTTGGACTAGGGCATGTGTGCCCTGCAAGCCCACCTGCCCGCCAGCCCCTCCCAGGGCTCCTGCTTGGCTGCCCCAAAAGAGTGTGTACGCAGTGCAGCCTCTGCTGCCCAGCATGGGTGCTTTGCTCCAGCTGAGTGCATTCTGGCAGCTTGGGAGCCCTTTGGATTCCCCAGCACACCTGGAACTCAACTCCCTAGGTCTGAAGGAGGGGACCAAGAGTAGGTCCTATTCCCCCAGGTCTACCACCCTTGGTTTGGCAGTGTCAAGCCGAGATCTATGCCCAGCGCTGGAAGTTGGAGAGGAGGAGGCCACACTCTCAGAAAACTGAGAGAGCTGAGTCACACAGGTTTGCGGGCTGGTTTGGGACCTAGGCGTGCCTCCCTCCACAGGCTGGTCTTGTAAGGGCGTGGCCTATCTCTCGGCCAGACCTCTGCCCAAGGGAGTCCCGCAGGCCCCAAAGAGCAAATAAAAACAGTTGCAGCGGGCACGGTGGCTCACGCCTGTAATTCCAACACTTCGAGGCTAAGGCGGGCAGATCACCTGAGGTCAGGAGTTCAAGACCAGCCTGGCCAACATGGCGAAACCCCGTCTCTACTAAAAATACAAAATAGTAGCCAGGTGTGGTGGTGCAGGCCTGTAATCCTAGCTACTCGGGAGGCTGAGGCACAAGAATCGCTTGAACTCAGGAGGCTGAGGTTGCAGTGAGCAGAGATTGCACCGAGCAGAGATTGCACCATTGCACTCCAGCCTGGGCAACAGAGCAAGACTCCTTCTCAAAAATGAAACAAAACAAAACAGTTGCAATAGTTTTGTGTTTAAAAATGTGTGGCAACTTCTCCCTACTCTCTCTCTTGCTCCCACTCTTGCCATGTGATAGATACATCAACTTCCCCTTTGCCTTTTGCCATGCTTGTAACTTCGCTAATGCCTCTCCAGGAGCCAAGCAGATCCTGGCACTATGCTTCCTGTACAGCCTGTGGAACTGTAAGCCTGTTAAACCTCTTTTCTTTATAACTTACCCAGGCTTAGGTGTTCTTAATAGCAGTGCAAGAATGACCTAACACAAATTCTTTTTCTGGTGTTTAATATATTTTCTTATTGCTGGAGTCTGTTATTGCAGAATTATTGTGTTCCTATGAAGGTGACATGTTTCTTCCTTTTTCATGTTTGATATGTCCTTTTTTTTTTTTTTTTTTTTTTGCATCTGGTGAAGGAGTCACCTCTTCCAATTTTATTTAGCAGGTTTTGTGGAGAAAGACGTATTCCTATAGGTGACTCTTGATGTGTCAGCTGGGTGGAGTGCACTGGCTTTGGTTCTAGGTAGGCAAAGTAATATAGTATCTCTGTGCAGTTTCTTCAGCTATAAACCATACTGGTGATGTTTGCAAGTGTTTCAGTGACTATGCGCATTTGTGGAGGCAGTGTAGTACAGTTTGTCTACCAGTAGCAGGCCCACTGGGCTGTTTCTTAGGCTCTGGGCTCAGGCACATGATTACTTGGCCAGCCTGGGAGTGGGTCTATCAGGAATGGACTTCCAGGATGTTTCTCAGGTCCTGGGCACAGGTGCAGGGCTGCTGGGCAGTCCTAGGAGTGTGTCAGCTGGCAGCTGACCAGTGAGGGAGTGGTCAGCCCATGTCCACAAGTGAGTGAGTGGTCATGTGCCAGTGTCCAGAGCCTGAGAAACAGCATTGTGGGCCCATCCCTGGCACACACACCTCTAGGCTGGCTGAACAGCCATGTGCCCTAACCACAGGCCGGAGTAACAGCCCTGTGACCCCAACTCCAGTGAGCCAGAGCTCAAGTTTGCCAACCCATTGTATGCATAGGTTGTATGCAGGCCTGGGAGTGTATCGGCTGGGGGCGGACCAACTGAAGTGTTTCTCAGGTCTTGAGCACAGAAACATAGCCACTCTACTGGCCGGGAGTGGGGGGCATTTTAGCTGCTAGACAGCTTGGAGGCCACTCCTGCTTGAGGGAGGGTGCATGGCAGTTTGGCCAGCTGAAGGGCGGGTTTGCCATGGGCAGGTCTACCAGACTGTTTCTTTGGCTGGGACTACAGGTGCACACCACCATGCCCAGCTAATTTTTGTATTTTTTGTAGAGACAGAGTTTCACCGTGTTGCCCAGGCTGGTCTTAAACCCCTGAGCTCAAGCAATTTGCCCACCTCGACCTCCCAAAGTGCTGGGATTACAAGCGTAAGCCACCACATCCAACAGAGGTTGGTTTCCTGGCCATGCAGGACCAGAGCCACAGCCTGTCCTGGGCCCAGGCTCCATGCAGCCAGGGTCACGTCGTTGCAGTCACCCATGTGGCTCTATACCACCATGTGGTCTTAGTGGAAGAGACACACAGCCTCATGGCTGGAGATGTTCAGCGGCTACTGGCTCCCAGAGCAAGGTGCACTCCAGAAGTGTCTCTGGTCTCAAGATGGCACCATACTGCAGCAGCTTAGGTCACAAGGGTTGAGAGTGAAGGCGGGAGTTGGGAGTGCACACTTTGTGCTCTTAATCTGGAGCAATGTAGCTGTATAAATTCCTAGCAGCTCCCTAAATTGGGCTCAGTGCTTGTGAAGACTATGGGATCTCTTGTAGTAAGCACTGTAGGTGTTTGCAACAACAATGAGGGCTCATGAGGTTCTTCTGCTTACCTTCTTCCCACAAGGGAAGTCCCTCCTACCTCTGGGCCAATCCAGCCTGGGAAGATGGAGCAGCAGAGATCGAGTGTCTCCATGCTGCCCTCCTGCGCTTTTTAATCACCACAGGCATCTGTTCACTTACCTGTTGCACTCCAGCACTCTCCCTTTCAGACTCCTGTCAAATCGTAGCTGTTTATTCATTGCTGTGGTCCTTTCCTGGGGGATGGGGGTGGTGGCAAATGCCACATGTCTCTAGTCACTCTCTTTATTCCACTTAAAGACTACTTTTAAAGTTTGTTTGCATGATCACAACAGTAACATTAGAAAATGTTTGGAAAATACAGAAAAAAATAATAATTTCACCACACATACGTAATCTCTGTTAACAATTTGTTGTATTACACACACACATACATAGACACACACACATACAGTTGATACATAGTTGGGATAATACAGAGTATATGGTTTTATTTTGTCTATTTCTACTTAAAAATGAAACACAGGCAGGACATGGTGGCTCACACCTGTAATCCCAGCAGCTTGGGAGGCCAAGGTGCACGAATTGCTTGAGCTCAGGAGTTTGAGACCAGCCTGGGCAACATGGTAAAATCTTGTCTCTACAAAAAGTACAAAAATTAGCCGGGTGTGATGGTGTGCACCTGTAGTCCCAGCTACTTGGGAGGCTGAGGTGGGAGGATCTCTTGAGCCTGGGAGTAAGCCACGATCATGCCACTGCACTCTAGCCTGAGCAACAGAGCCAGACCCTGTCTCAAAAAAAAAAAAAAAAAAAAAAAAAGAAACACAACTATCCCAAAGGAGTATACACAACCTTTCTATGTGATCACTTTTGCAATAACATAATCTGTTTCAAGAAGTTCTTTGTAAATTCTAATAAGTAAGAATATACTTAACAATTCATCAAACTTTGAACTTTTATTAAAGTTTTATTTTTATTAAAGTTTGTTAAAGCTAGAAAACCTTTTTACAAATAAGTTAGCCAGAGAATTTTTTACTCGTAATAAAGAATTCCTATGAATTTGAGACCTATATTTTCTCTTCCTTTCTTAAAAGGGCACAAGGCAAGTGGTGTATTCCTGCCCTAATTTATGATAGTGACATGGCATAGAAGTTTAAACATCTTTAATAACAACCTTACAAGTTTATTGAAAAAAAATTTAAAAATCAACTGGCTTAATGGAAATTAAAATGTCCTTAGCATGATATTTTGAAAATTCATAACACTACGAATTTAGAACAGTAATTTTCTAAAAAGTAGAAAACACTACTTTTTGGAACAGTAATTTTTGTTCCAAAGATACCAAAGGTACCCAAAGATACCTTTTCTGACATTTTGCTGAATATTCATTTTTCTATTAAAATGTTTAAAATAATAATCACACATTTGTCTCCTGAATTTTTAGCTAACCTTATGAAACTTTAAAAACCCTCTATGTAATTTAAAAACATTATTTTAATAACATATCTCTCATATAAATGTATCATAATTTAACTACTTGCCTATTACTCAATATTTTACAATTCCAAGGTTTTTAGCAAAAGTGAACAGATTTGCACAGAAAGCTTTTTCTATATTTATGCTTATTTCTTTAGGTTAGTGTAATGGTCTTTTGATATGTCAACCTGGCTAGGCTACAGTCCCGTTATTCAAACACTAATCCAGGTGTTGCTGGAAAGCATTTTGTATTTGTGACTGTGAAGTCCATAATCAATGGACTTTGATAAGGAAAACTATCCTAGATAATCTGGTGGGCCTGACTGAATCAGTTGAAAGGCCTTAAAAGGCAGAGTTGAGGCTTCCCTGGAGAGGAAATTTCACCTGTGGACAGCCTGCCCTACAGATTTTGGACTCGTATAGACAGTTTCCACAACCCATAAGCCAATTCCTTACAGTAAATCTCTTAATACATACCTCCCATTGGTTCTGCTTCTTTGGTTGAACCCTGACTGATACAGTTATATTTTCAGAAGTATACACACTAGGTCAAAATGCTTACCCTATTAAAAAGGCCACAATAGTATTACTGTTGGGTTTTTGTTATAACTTTCTCCATGATGTTTAAAATATTTAGATGATGTCCTACTTGCCAACTGATTTCACATAGTCTAAAATTGAGCAAATTGCTAAAATCATGTTTGACTGAAGACCTGTTTTACAGCTAAGTTAAGAAAAATTACACTCAGAAGAAGCAAAATTGGTGGCATTTGTTCCATTTGTATGCTAAACAAAGTATACCAAGACTTGGTCCAAATCCTTCCCCAAAAGTGTTGGCATTTGTGCAAATTGTCTCAACTAACACTTTATTTTCCAGGCAATCTAAAGACTTCTATGATACCATTCTCTTCTTGGATTGATTTTTTGAAAAGACTCAGCTCCATTCATAATGTAATATAAAACATGTTTGAGAAAAGAATTTCACCCACACCTATGTGCATATATACATATACACCACCCTCAACAGACACAATCTTTCTTTTTTTTTTTTAGACGGAGTCTTGCTCTGTCGTCCAGGCTGGAGTGCAGTGGCGCGATCTTGGCTCACTGCAAGCTCCGCTTCCTGGGTTCATGCCATTCTCCTGCCTCAACCTCCCGAGTAGCTGGGACTACAGGCACCCGCCACTGCACCTGGCTAATTTTTTATATTTTTAGTAGAGACGGGGTTTCACCGTGTTAGCCATGATGGTCTTGATCTCCTGACCTCATGATCCACCTGCCTTGGCCTCCCAAAGTGCTGGGATTACAGGCATGAGCCACTGCGCCCGGCCAACAGACACAACCTTTTAAATGTTCCTTCCTTCCTTTTAAATAAATAAGACTCATTTTGTCTTATATGATCCCTTATGGTTTATCGATTATTCTTTATAATCTCTTCAGATATTTTCTAATTTCATATATAAAGAATTATTTAAATGACTTTAGATTGACAAGAAAATGCTATAATAATTAAATAACAATTGCACACTGATGAAGCATATGTAAGCTGATATTTAAAATGTCACATGTATCATTCTTATTCTAGAAAATTTAACAGGATACTACCATCAGAGCAAGACCTAATCAGTTTACTGTCTTTCCACAGAGTGTACACAATTGGCTACATATTCAGGTCACATATGCTACTGCATCTCTACTACACTACATAAGAACAACCACAGATTTGAGGACAAGGTTTTCAACAGTCTAACTATAAAACTGACCTCAAACAAAAGAATTGAACTATTACAAGGTGACTTCTCTCTTCTAAGGTTAATGCTTCTGTGCATCCGAAATTATTATGAAATGAATAGGTTTCTCCATCTACATAAGATAATGAGAAAAATTTTTAAATGACATGCCACAAGATGTTTTATAAATGTGATTCTTCCAGAGTCGCAACTTAGGTAGCCAACAGGAAGACACAGTTAAGGGAGTCTAAGTATCTCACCACATTGGAAATGCCCATGTTGCCCACGAACAGCTATGTAACTGGGTGAGAAATTTAGACCTGAAATGCAAAAGTGAGGTCAACAGAACTATAATTACTTAAAACATGTCCACGCAAGGTAAAGTGGACATGTTTTAATGTTTGATATGCCAAAAGTCATGATCTGCAGACAACAGTAAATGTGCTGAATGAATGAATCTTTTTTTATGCATAAAAATCCTCTGGATAAAAACAAAAAGAACTAAAGAAAAATATATAGGCATACCTTGAAGATATATGCCAGTTTGGTTCCAGACCACCATAATAAAGCAAATATTGCAATAAAGTCAGTCACACAACTGTTTTGTTTCCTAGTGCATATAAGTTACCTTTATACTATTTTGTAGTCTATTAAGTGAGCAACAGAATTATGTCTAGAAAAACAATGCACATTCCTTAATTTTAAAATACTTTATTACTAAAAATTGCTAACAATCATCTGAACTTTAGCAAATCATAATCTTCTTTCTAGTGGAGGGTCTTGCCTGGATGTTGAGGACTGCTGACTGATCGAAGTGGTGGTGGATGAAGGTCGGGGTGGCTGTGGCAATTTCTTAAAATAAGACAACAATGGGGGCTGGGCGCGGTGCTCACACCTGTAATCCCAGCACTTTGGGAGGCTGAGGCAGGTGGATCGCCTGTGGTCAAGAGTTCAAGACCACCCGGGCCAAAAATGGTAGAAACTGCCGTCTCTACTAAAAATACAAAACTTAGCTGGGCATGGTGGTGGGCACCTGTAATCCCAACTACTCGGGAGGCTGAGGCAGGAGAATCGCTTGAATCCAGGAGGCAGAGGTTGCAGTGAGCCAAGATCACACCATTGCATTCCAGCCTGGGCAACAAAAGCGAAACTCCGTCTCAAAAGAAAAAAAAATGACAACAGTGGGGAGTCTCAGAACCTACTCTGCTCAAGAGGCTGCCTGATACATGAATCATTCATTGCTAAATTAAATTCCTTTAAATTAAAAAAAAAAGACAACAATGAAGTTTGCTGTATGAATTGACACTGCCTTTCATGAAAGATTTTTCTATTACCAGTAATGATGTTTGATAGCATTTTACCCACAATAGAACTTCTTTCAAAATTGTAGGCAATCCTCCTAAACCCTGTTGCCACATTATGAACTATGTTTATGAAATATTCTAAATCCTTTGCTGGCACTTCAACAATGTTCACAGCCTCTTTACCAGGAGTAAATTCCATCTCAATAAACTACTTTGACCCCCACATTCCCAGGGCTGAGCAAGAAGCTTAGTCTACTGTGCATTCCACAAACCAGCCCGTTGTCTGAGATAACAGAGAGCTTCTCCCAGTAAAAAAGGACCAGGTATATACCCAGCTTCATTGGCTGCAGCCAGCTCTTACCTATAAGCACCATCTACTGGCCTGTAGGTTGAACTGCACAGCCCAATATTAAAGCTGCCAAGAGAAGTGCATGAGGCTGCAAGGTCAAAAGACCCTATCCTGCATTCTCTACAGCCACACCCTTTAGGGAGGAAGGAGAAAGGGAAAAGGAAAGAACAAAAAGTATCATAGGGAAAGAAGAAAAAATTCTACCTGCACTAAAATAATTACAAAATTTTGAAGTGCCAGCTTATCCAGATGAGAAGGAACCAATGCAAGAATTCTGGCACCATTAAAAATCTGAATGCAGTGACACCACCAAAGAATCACACTAGCTCTCCAGCAATGGTCCCTGAACAAAATGGAAACTCAGAAATGACATATAAATAATTCAAAGCATGGATTGTAAGGAAGCTCAATGAGATTGAAGACAAGGTTGAAAACAACACAAATAAACTTCTAAAGCAATACAGGAAATGATGGAAGAAATAAACAGTTTCAAAAGAAATCAATCAGAGCTCTGGAGCTGCAAAACTCACTTAAGGAATTTCAAAATACAATTGATAGTTTTATTGATAGACTAGACCAAGCAGAAGAAAGAATTTCAGAGCTTGAAGACTGGTCTTTTTAACTAACCCAGTCATACAACTATAAATAAAAAAAGAACTTTAAAAAAAATGAACAAAGTCTTCAAGAAATATAGAATTATGTAAAGTGACAAAACCTACAAAGTATTGGCATTCCTGAGAGAAATAAAGGAAACAACCTGGAAAACACATTTGGGGGGAAAAATTCAAGAAAATTTCCTTAACCTTGCTAGAGAGGTAGACGTTCAGATATAAACAATCCAGAGAATACACATAAGATACTTTACAAAAAGAACATCACCAAGGCATGCATTCACCAAATTGTCCAAAGTCAGTACTAAAGAAAAAGTCTTACAGGCAGCTAGAAAAAAAGGTCAGATCAGGTACAAAGGAAACCCCATCAGGCTAACAACAAACTTCTCAGTGGAAAGTTTACAAGCCAGGAGAGATTGAGGGCCTATTTTTAGCATTCTTAAAGAAAAGATATTCCAGCTGGGCATGGTGGTTCACCCCTGTAATCGCAGAACTTCAGGAGGCAGAGGTGGGGCGGATCACTTGAGGTCAGGAGTTGAGACCAGCCTGGCCAACATGGTGAAACCCCGTCTCTACCGAAAACACAAAAATTAGCCAGGTGTGGAGGCATGTGCCTGTAGTCCCAGCTACTCTGGAGGCTGAAGTGGGAGAATTGCTTGAACCCTGGAGGCAGAGGTTGCAGTGAGCCAAGATTGTGCCACTGCACTCCAGCCTGGGCGACAGAGTGAGACTCTGTCTCAAAAAACAATAAGATAATAAAAGAAATTCCGGCCGGGCACAGTGGCTCATGCCTGTAATCTCAGCACTTTGGGAGGCCAAGGCCGGCAGATCACGACGTCAGGAGATCGAGACCATCCTGGCTAACATGGTGAAACCCCATCTCTACTAAAAATACAAAAAATTAGCCAGGCGTGGTGGCGGGCGCCTGTAGTTCCAGCTACTCGGGAGGCAGCAGAATGGCGTGAACCCAGGAGGCGGAGCTTGCAGTGAGCCAAGATCGCGCCACTGCACTCCAGCCTGGGCGACAGAGCGAGACTCTGTCTCAAAAAAAAAAAAAAAAAGAAATTCCAACCAAGAATTTTATATCTCACCAAACTAAACTACTTAAGCAAAGGAGAAATAAAATATTTCCTAGAGAAGGAAAAACTAAGGAAATTTGTTACTACTATACCAGCCTTACAAGAGATCCTTGTGGGGGAGGAGCCAAGATGGCCGAATAGGAACAGCTCCGGTCTACAGCTACCAGCGTGAGCGATGCAGAAGACGGGTGATTTCTGCATTTCCATCTGAGGTACCGGGTTCATCTCACTACGGAGTGCCAGACAGTGGGTGCAGGTCAGTGGGTGTGCACACCGTGCGTGAGCCGAAGCAGGGCGAGGCATTGCCTCACTTGGGAAGCGCAAGGGGTCAGGGAGTTCCCTTTCCAAGTCAAAGAAAGGGGTGACGGACAGCACCTGGAAAATCGGGTCACTCCCACCCGAATACTGCACTTTTCTGACGGGCTTAAAAAACGGCGCACCACAAGATTATATCCCTCACCTGGCTCGGAGGGTCCTATGCCCACCGAGTCTTGCTGATTGCTAGCACAGCAGTCTGAGATCAAACTGCAAGGTGGCAGTGAGGCTGGGGGAGGGGCGCCCGCCATTGCCCAGGCTTGATTAGGTAAACAAAGCAGCCGGGAAGCTCGAACTGGGTGGAGCCCACCACAGCTCAAGGAGGCCTGCCTGCCTCTGTAGGCTCCACCTCTGGGGGCAGGGCATAGACAAACAAAAAGACAGCAGTAACTTCTGCAGACTTAAATGTCCATGTCTGACAGCTTTGAAGAGAGCAGTGGTTCTCCCAGCACGCAGCTGGAGATCTGAGAATGGGCAGACTGCCTCCTCAAGTGGGTCCCTGACCCCTGAACCCCCGAGCAGCCTAAATGGGAGGCACCCCCCAGCAGGGGCACACCGACACCTCACACGGCAGGGTATTCCAACAGACCTGCAGCTGAGGGTCCTGTCTGTTAGAAGGAAAACTAACAAACAGAAAGGACATCCACACAAAAAACCCATCTGTACATCACCATCATCAAAGACCAAAAGTAGATAAAACCACAAAGATGGAGAAAAAACAGAACAGAAAAACTGGAAACTCTAAAAAGGAGAGCGCCTCTCCTCCTCCAAAGGAACGCAGTTCCTCACCAGCAACGGAACAAAGCTGGATGGAGAATGACTTTGACGAGCTGAGAGAAGAAGGTTTCAGATGATCAAATTACTCTGAGCTACGGGAGGACATTCAAACCAAAGGAAAAGAAGTTGAAAACTTTGAAAAAAATTTAGAAGAATGTATAACTAGAATAACCAATACAGAGAAGTGCTTAAAGGAGCTCATGGAGCTGAAAACCAAGGCTCGAGAACTACGTGAAGAATGCAGAAGCCTCAGGAGCCGATGCGATCAACTGCAAGAAAGGGTATCAGCAATGGAAGATGAAATGAATGAAATGAAGCAAGAAGGGAAGTTTAGAGAAAACAGAATAAAAAGAAATGAGCAAAGCCTACAAGAAATATGGGACTATGTGAAAAGACCAAATCTACGTCTGATTGGTGTACCTGAAAGTGATGGGGAGAATGGACCCAAGTTGGAAAACACTCTGCAGGATATTATCCAGGAGAACTTCCCCAATCTAGCAAGGCAGGCCAACGTTCAGATTCAGGAAATACAGAGAACGCCACAAAGATACTCCTCGAGAAGAGCAACTCCAAGACACATAATTGTCAGATTCACCAAAGTTGAAATGAAGGAAAAAATGTTAAGGGCAGCCAGAGAGAAAGGTCGGGTTACCCTCAAAGGGAAGCCCATCAGACTAACAGCGGATCTCTCAGCAGAAACCCTACAAGCCAGAAGAGAGTGGGGGCCAATATTCAACATTCTTAAAGAAAAGAATTTTCAACCCAGAATTTCATATCCAGCCAAACTAAGCTTCATAAGCGAAGGAGAAATAAAATACTTTACAGACAAGCAAATGCTGAGAGATTTTGTCACCACCAGGCCTGCCCTAAAAGAGCTCCTGAAGGAAGCGCTAAATATGGAAAGGAACAACCGGTACCAGCCGCTGCAAAATCATGCCAAAATGTAAAGACCATTGAGTCTAGGAAGAAACTGCATCAACTAACGAGCAAAATAACCAGCTAACATCATAATGACAGGATCAAATTCACACATAACAATATTAACTTTAAATGTAAATGGACTAAATGCTCCAATTAAAAGACACAGACTGGCAAATTGGATAAAGAGTCAAGACCCATCAGTGTGCTGTATTCAGGAAACCCATCTCACGTGGAGAGACACACATAGGCTCAAAATAAAAGGATGGAGGAAGATCTACCAAGCAAATGGAAAACAAAAAAAAGGCAGGGGTTGCAATCCTAGTCTCTGATAAAACAGACTTTAAACCAACAAAGATCAAAAGAGACAAAGAAGGCCATTACATAATGGTAAAGGGATCAATTCAACAAGAATAGCTAACTATCCTAAATATATATGCACCCAATACAGGAGCACCCAGATTCATAAAGCAAGTCTTGAGTGACCTACAAAGAGACTTAGACTCCCACACATTAATAATGGGAGACTTTAACACCCCACTGTCAACATTAGACAGATCAACGAGAGAGAAAGTCAACAAGGATACCCAGGAATTGAACTCAGCTCTGCACCAAGTGGACCTAATAGACATCTACAGAACTCGCTAACTCAAATCAACAGAATATACATTTTTTTCAGCACCACACCACACCTATTCCAAAATTGACCACATACTTGGAGGTAAAGCTCTCCTCAGCAAATGTAAAAGAACAGAAATTACAACAAACTATCTCTCAGACCACAGTGCAATCAAACTACAACTCAGGATTAAGAATCTCACTCAAAACCGCTCAACTACATGGAAACTGAACAACCTGCTCCTGAATGACTACTGGGTACATAACAAAATGAAGGCAGAAATAAAGATGTTCTTTGACACCAGTGAGAACAAAGACACAACATACTGGAATCTCTGGGACGCATTCAAAGCAGTGTGTAGAGGGAAATTTATAGCACTAAATGCCCACAAGAGAAAGCAGGAAAGATCCAAAATTGACACCCTAACATCACAATTAAAAGAACTAGAAAAGCAAGAGCAAACACATTCAAAAGCTAGCAGAAGGCAAGAAATAACTAAAATCAGAGCAGAACTGAAGGAAATAGAGACACAAAAAACCCTTCAAAAAATTAATGAATCCAGGAGCTGGTTTTTTGAAAGGATCAACAAAATTGATAGACCACTAGCAAGACTAATAAAGAAAAAAAGAGAGAAGAATCAAATAGACGCAATAAAAAATGATAAAGGGGATATCACCACCGATCCCACAGAAATACAAACTACCATCAGAGAATACTACAAACACCTCTATGCAAATAAACTAGAAAATCTAGAAGAAATGGATAAATTCCTCGACACCTACACTCTCCCAAGACTAAACCAGGAAGAAGTTGAATCTCTGAATAGACCAATTACAGGATCTGAAATTGTGGCAATAATCAATAGCTTACCAACCAAAAAGAGTCCAGGACCAGATGGATTCACAGCCGAATTCTACCAGAGGTACAAGGAGGAACTGGTACCATTCCTTCTGAAACTATACCAATCAATAGAAAAAGAGGGAATCCTCCCTGACTCATTTTATGAGGCCAGCATCATTCTGATACCAAAGCCAGGCAGACACAACAAAAAAAGAGAATTTTAGACCAATATCCTTGATGAACGTTGATGCAAAAATCCTCAATAAAATACTGGCAAACCGAATCCAGCAGCACATCAAAAAGCTTATCCACCATGATCAAGTGGGCTTCATCCCTGGGATGCAAGGCTGGTTCAATATACGCAAATCAATAAATGTAATCCAGCATATAAACAGAGCCAAAGACAAAAACCACATGATCATCTCAATAGATGCAGAAAAAGCCTTTGACAAAATTCAACAACCCTTCATGCTAAAAACTCTCAATAAATTAGGTATTGATGGGACGTATCTCAAAATAATAAGAGCTATCTATGACAAACCCACAGCCAATATCATACTGAATGGGCAAAAACTGGAAGCATTCCCTTTGAAAACTGGCACTAGACAGGGATGCCCTCTCTCACCACTCCTATTCAACATAGTGTTGGAAGTTCTGGCCAGGGCAATTAGGCAGGAGAAGGAAATAAAGGGCATTCAATTAGGAAAAGAGGAAGTCAAATTGTCCCTGTTTGCAGACGACATGATTGTATATCTAGAAAACCCCATTGTCTCAGCACAAAATCTCCTTAAGCTGATAAGCAACTTCAGCGAAGTCTCAGGATACAAAATCAATGTACAAAAATCACAAGCATTCTTATACACCAATAACAGACAGACAGAGAGCCAAATCATGAGTGAACTCCCATTCACAATTGCTTCAAAGAGAATAAAATACCTAGGAATCCAACTTAAAAGGGATGTGAAGGACCTCTTCAAGGAGAACTACAAACCACTGCTCAATGAAATAAAAGAGGATACAAACAGATGGAAGAACATTCCATGCTCATGGGTAGAAAGAATCAATATCGTGAAAATGGCCATACTGCCCAAGGTAATTTACAGATTCAATGCCATCCCCATCAAGCTACCAATGACTTTCTTCACAGAATTGGAAAAAACTACTTTAAAGTTCATATGGAACCAAAACAGAGCCCGCATCACCAAGTCAATCCTAAGCCAAAAGAACAAAGCTGGAGGCATCACACTACCTGACTTCAAACTATACTACAAGGCTACAGTAACCAAAACAGCATGGTACTGGTACCAAAACAGAGATATAGATCAATGGAACAGAACAGAGCCCTCAGAAATAACGCCACCTATCTACAACTATCTGATCTTTGACAAACCTGACAAAAACAAGAAATGGGGAAAGGATTCCCTATTTAATAAATGGTGCTGGGAAAACTGGCTAGCCATATGTAGAAAGCTGAAACTGGATCCCTTCCTTACACCTTATACAAAAATCAATTCAAGATGGATTAAAGACTTAAACGTTAGACCTAAAACCATAAAAACCCTAGAAGAAAACCTAGGCATTACCATTCAGCACATAGGCGTGGGCAAGGACTTCATGTCTAAAACACCAAAAGCAATGGCAACAAAAGACAAAATTGACAAATGGGATCTAATTAAACTAAAGAGCTTCTGCACAGCAAAAGAAACTACCATCAGAGTGAACAGGCAACCTACAGAATGGGAGAAAATTTTCGCAACCTACTCATCTGACAAAGGGCTAATATCCAGAATCTACAATGAACTCAAACAAATTTACAAGAAAAAAACAAACAACCCCATCAAAAAGTGGGTGAAGGACATGAACAGACACTTCTCAAAAGAAGACATTTATGCAGCCAAAAAACACATGAAAAAATGCTCATCATCACTGGCCATCAGAGAAATGCAAATCAAAACCTCAATGAGATACCATCTCACACCAGTTAGAATGGCAATCATTAAAAAGTCAGGAAACAACAGGTGCTGGAGAGGATGTGGAGAAATAGGAACACTTTGACACTGTTGGTGGGACTGTAAACTAGTTCAACCATTGTGGAAGTCAGTGTGGCGATTCCTCAGGGATCTAGAACTAGAAATACCATTTGACCCAGCCTCCCATTACTGGGTATATACCCAAAGGACTATAAATCATGCTGCTATAAAGACACATGCACACGTATGTTTATTGCAGCACTATTCACAATAGCAAAGACTTGGAACCAACCCAAATGTCCAACAATGATAGACTGGATTAAGAAAATGTGGCACATATACACCATGGAATACTATGCAGCCATAAAAAATGATGAGTTCATGTCCTTTGTAGGGACATGGGTGAAATTGGAAATCATGATTCTCAGTAAACTATCACAAGAACAAAAAACCAGACACTGCATATTCTCACTCATAGGTGGGAATTGAACAATGAGATCACATGGACACAGGAAGGGGAATATCACACTCTGGGGACTGTGGTGGGGTGGGGGGAGTGGGGAGGGATAGCATTGGGAGATATACCTAATGCTAGATGATGAGTTAGTGGGTGCAGCACACCAGCATGGCACATGTATACATATGTAACTAACCTGCACAATGTGCACATGTACCCTAAAACTTAGAGTATAATAAAAAAAAAAAAACATTTAAAAAAAATAATAATAAATAAATAAAAAAATAAAAGTGCTGAAAAAAAAAGAAAAAAACATATGGAACAAGAATATAAAGAAAGAAAATATTTTCACAGCTGTACAATGCGTTTGTGTTTTAAGCTAAGTGTTATTACAAAAGAGATCATAAATTTAAAAAAATTTTAAAGCATATAAAGTAAAAAAAAAGTTACAGTAAGTGAAGGTTAATTCATTTTGAAGAAAGAAAAATATTTTTTATACATCTAGTGTAGCCAAAGGGTACAGTGTTTATAAAGTCCTCAGCCCTCACATTCACTCACCACTCTCTCACTGTCTCACTCAGAACAACTCCCAGTCCTACAAGCTCCATTCATAGTGAATGCCCTATACAGGTGTACCATTTTTACCTTTTATACCATATTTTTACTGTACCTTTTTTATGTTGACATACACAGTGGTTGTAATTGCCTAAAGTATTCAATACAGGTATGTAGCCAAAGAGCAATAGACTATACCATATAGCCTAGGTATGTTGTAGACTATACCATATAGCCTAGGTATGTTGTAGGCTATACCATCTAGGTTTGTGAACATACACTCCATGATGTTCATGCAATGGTAAACTCACTTAGAGCATTGCTCAGAATGCATTCCCATTGTTAAGCAATACACAACTATATTAAACTAAAATAACATTTAGATAAGAAAAACACAACGTAAGTGTCTTAGTCCATTCATACTGCTATAACAAATACCATCAACTGGATGGCTCATAAACAACAGAGGTTTATTTCTCATAGTTCTGGAGGCTGGGAAGTTCAAGATCATGGTTCCAGCATGGCTGGGTTCTGGTAAGTGCCCTCTTCCAATTTCTCACTGTGTTATATGGTGGAGGGGGCAAGGCAGCTTTCTGGGGTCTCTTTTACAAGGGCACTCGTCCAATCACCTCTAAAAAGCTTCACCTCCTAATACCAGCACTTTGGTAACTAGGTTTCAACATATGAATTCTGAGGAGACACATTCAGAGACCCTAGGAATAGGTCCATAGGAATATTTTATGAGCTATATTTACACTTGAAGGCAATTGTCATAGAACCTGGTATAATAAATAGGTAAAGTACCTTTAAACTCGTATTGTGAACTTTATTAAAGAGATATGATAAAGTCCTGAAGAAGCTATTTAACTGAGATCAGAAAACTTGAGTCTTAATCACTGTTCTGCCACTAACCTGCTGTAAAACCTTGAGCAGTCATTCAACCTCTTTGTCATCTCATAAACTGAGGAAGTTTGGAAAAGGTGATTCTGTGTGATTCTGCCCAGTTTCAAAACACTATATAATCAACACTATACTTACAGTCTGAGGAAATGACTATTGAGAGTTATTGAATTTAAAGGCTTGCCCTTTTTTTTTTTTTTTTGAGACGGAGTTTCGCTCTTGTCACCCAGACTGGATGGGCGTGATCACGCAATGGTGTGATCTCGGCTCACTGCAACCTCCGCCTCTCAGGTTCAAGCGATTCTCTTGCCTCAGCCACCTTAGTAGCTGGGATTACAGGCGCACGCCACCATACCCAGCTAATTTTTGTATTTTTAGTAGAGAAGGGGTTTTGCCATGTTGGCCAGGCTGGTCTCAAACTCCTGAGCTCAGGTGATGTGCCTGCCTCGGCCTCCCAAAGTGCTGGGATTACAGGCATGGGCCACCATGCCTGGCCAAGTCTCGCTTTTTAAAACATATTGTTGGTAATATTATGCCAAAATTGATGATCAGGCACATACCAAGCCCCTGAGAATTATATCATTCCAATACAAAACATAAGCTACTTTATAACAATCTATTTTATAATATGGTTTCCAGAAATGTGTTATGTTGAAAATCAATCTTTAAAATCACCCCACATTATCAGAAAATAATTCAAAAAATATTTTATTTCTGTTTTTTGTGTGTGTGTGTGTTTGTTTTTGTTTTGAGAGAGGGTCTCGCTCTGTCGCCTAGGCCGGAGGCACGATCACGGCTCACTGCAACCTCTGCCTTCCAGGCTGAAGAGATTCTCCCACCTCAATCTCTTGAGTAGCTGGGACTGCAGGTGTACACCACCATGCCCGGCTAATTTTTTTGTTTTGTTTTTTGTTTGTTTGTTTGTTTGTTTGTTTATAGAGACAGGGTTTCACTGCTTTGCCCAGGCCAGCCTGAACAAATATTTGTTGATCACTTACCGTGGGTCAAGCTTTGTTTTAGACATTGCATGAAAAAATAATACTATACACCACCTCTGTGGCCCAGCTACTCGTGAGGCTGAGGTGGGAGGATAACTAGAGCCCAGGAGTTGTGGTACAGCCTGGGCACCATAGCCAGATTGTCTCAAAAAAACAAGACAAAACTTGGATTAAGATACTCTTCTGTCCTCAAGAACAGAATTCAAGAAAAATATAAAATAGCTTTAATATAAGGTAGGTCTTAATATAAGACCTGGTAAAGGCATAAGCTGAGTGCATAATTCAGGGGGGGAAAGGGATGTGACATCCAAATGAGAACAGGGAGGGCGTAACCAAGAACTTGGCATCTAGATGTATCTGGAAGATGGCTTGAATTTTTACAGATGAAAATGAAAAAAAGTATTCCTGGTGAATAGAACAGCAAGAGAAAATGTGAAAAGTTGAGAAAATGTAGCACATTTTCAAGAAAAAAAAAGCAAATTGATGAGTTTGACTTGAGTGTAGAGAATAAAATAAGTCATGAGAGGTTATACAGAGACAGCCAATTATAGAGGGTCCTAAATACCAGGCTGAAGGATACATACTCAGTTTGAAATATGCAAGTGGGTCTCTGAAGATGTTGATCAGGGGATTACAAGACAGAATGTTTTGAGGGAAAAAAGGAGAAAGCTAAAGAAACTGTGTGTAGCAAGGCCTCTTGACAGTGAAGAGTCAGGCAGGCAGGCTGAGGGTGAGGCAGGTTCCAGATAATGTCAATAGCTTAAGGGGAAGACAAAATATTGGAGCAGTCAAATGTCAGTGGAAGCAATTAGATATGGACTGTAGGATTGCGAGGAGTATGGTGACATGAAAGTTTCTTTCACTCTTTCAAGGTCCCAGAGACTCTCAGGATTCTGTGACAGAAGCTCCCCTGTCAGTGAATGCTGTTACCCTAAATTCCTCACTTTCTCTGGTAGTTATCAGAACTAGGAGTTGCTCAGCATATTAGCAAAATTAAAGGGGAAGAAAAAAGTTCTAGATGTGCCCTATTTCCAAAGTAAATATAGTCCCTCCAAAATGTGGGTAAATAAAATTTTTAAAGATCAAATTATGTGCTATATATCCAGGAATCTTGGAGTACAAGATTTCCTTTTGCAAAACAAAGGATCATTTTGTGCCAAAAGTAGCTGCCCAATAATTTCTATCTTTCAACCTTCTTTTAAACCTACTGCCTCTTTCTAATAAATCTAAAAATCTCAGGCCCTTTTTAAATGTTATTCAAACTTTCAATGTAAAATGATTAAGAACACATCAAAGTAATTATACAATGAAATGTGCTTTTTTTATTATTATACTTTAAGTTCTAGGGTACATGTGCACAACGTGCAGGTTTGTTACATATGTTTACATGTGCCATGTTGGTGTGTTGCACCCATTAACTCGTCATTTACATTAGGTATATCTCCTAATGCTATCCCTCCTCCCTTCCCCCACCCCATGACAGGCCCTGGTGTGTGATGTTCCCCAACCTGTGTCCAAGTGTTCTCATTGTTCAAAGCTGAAATGTGCTTCTTAAAACAATATATGCTCCTACTGATTCTGATGTCACCACCAGCTACCTCCCAGAATACACCCTTATCCCACACCAAAAGACCTCTACAATATTTGAACAAAAGCACTGACTCTAAAACAGAGTCATTGTTTGCAAAAAAAAAAAGATACACCATTTGAACTTTGCTGTCTCAGAGCTAATTGCACAATCAAAAGAGGGCAAGTTTATTAGTGAAACTTCCTAATTATCTTTACACTAAAGAAGCTAACTACAAACAGAAAAAAAAAGAATACTCCAAAAGTCATATATTTTTTGGAATGCTAATAGATTTGCTTTTCTAATTATGTTTAATGTAACTTATTATTGCATTTCCTAATCCCACACTGACATAACATAGGAGACAGATCACAAACAGTGCGGATTAGAAGAAGCCAGTGAAAGTTTCAAAATGTGTTGGAAAAACCCGTAAAACAGAAAACTCATACAGTATCTTGAGAACCAAGATACAGTAAGGGCAGTGACTTAAAAGACCTGTAAATAGTCCTTCACAATTTTTTCTGTCATCATCTTTTTAGGTTGGTAGTGTTACATTACAATTGAAAAATTCATTCCTATCGTTCTATAATTTTTTTAAATTTCATGTGGTTTTTTTCCTTGCTTTTTTCTTTCTTGCTCCTCATATGGTTCCCCACCTTCTGCAGCACCTAGACACGATCCATCAGCTAGATAGTCATTTCTCAGGAAAGTACTGATGCAAAAAGGGAGGAAAGTCATCAAATGAGTTGTCGTTTTCATTTTTACAGATGAAAACACTGAGCTGATAAATACCAAAGTCAAAATTTAAACCCCAAAATGACAGCTGCTTACATTTATACACCACTTATACTTTTTAAAGGATTTCATACATATAGTTTAAATTTACTTAACTTTTTTTTTTTTTTGATGGAGTCTCTCTCTGTCGCCCAGGCTGGAGTGCAGTGGCGTGATCTCGGCTCACTGCAAGCTCCACCTCCCAGGTTCAAGCGATTCTCCTGCCTCAGCCTCCCAAGTTGCTGGGATTATAGGTGCATGCCACCACGCCCGGCTAATTTTTGTATTTTTAGTAGAGACGGGATTTCACCATGTTGGTCAGGTTGGTCTCAAACTCCTGACCTCGTGATCCGCCTGCCTCAGCCTCCCAAAGTGCTGGGATTACAGGCGTGAGCCACTGCACTGGGCCAAAATTTACTTAACTTTTATTAGATAATTTTATCTAAAAATGGGTTCATGAAGGCAGGGGAGAGATATGCTAAGATTCATATTTGTGATACTTGCATTTTTTTAAATTCCACATATAAATATAAAAATTAGGGGTAAAAATGTTAAGAAAACACTTGCTTTTTTAGGTTTTCGTTAAGCCATGTGGTTTTATAAAGTTATCTATAAAATTGTTCAGATTATTTTACATAGTTTGGTCTAAACTTAAGCCAATAAGAATATTTAGGCAGATGTCCAGTCTAAAATAAACCTATCAGCAGGGCACCGTGGCTCACTCCTGTAGTCCCAGCACCTTGACAGTTCGAGGCAGGCAGATTGCTTGAGCCTAAGAGTTCAAGACCAGCCTGAATAACATGACAACACCCTGTCTCTACTAAAAATACAATTAGCCAGGTGTGGTGGTGCATGCCTGTAGCCCCAGCTACTCAGGAGGTTGAGGTGGAAGGATTGCTTGAGCCCAGGAGTCAGAGGTTGCAGCAGGCCGAGATCCTGCCACTGCACTGCAGCTTGGGCAACAGAGTGAGACCCTGTCTCAAAAAAAACAATAATAATAATAAATAAAATATAAAATAAAGTAAACCTATCAAAAAAGAAACTGAGGCTAAAAAAACTACTTCTTCTTTCTGTCATCTCTATAGTTCATGAGGATTTGTTCTTACTCAAATTATTTGAGCATATTTTGTTGTAGCATATACACAGTATTTTGAGAATTACAAACCCAAAGCAATGCATAGAGAATGTGCCCAATAAGAGAATTGAATGCATAAATAAGTTAAATTGAATAGACAGCAAAAGGATAGGTAGGTGTAATAAGAAAACTTGAGAATGGAAATAGAAGCAGGATAATTTCAGTGATATCTTATAATAAAATGACAATTGGGAAATGAATGATTTAACTCATTGATGCTTCTACATAATTTATTTGTGTTTTTAAATTCCAGGTGCGTTTAAAATAAAGGTAAGTCTAAAATTATATCAAGATTTTTTGTGCGCTAGAAATGCTAAAAACTTGATATTTTGTATTATTTGTTGACTTATTTTAAGGGAAATTAAGTCACATTAAAGATTATTTAAAGATTTGTTTCCAATATGAAAAATTCGATATTCTTGTGCCCTGTGACCTACTTATCCACTTTTTGGTTTTTGTTGTTTCAGTATTCAATAATATGCTGAGATATTTTAGAAAATGAAAATTTTCATACTTAATTTCTCAAGCATATTAACAAATTGCATCACATATGAACAGCTGCATATAAAGTGGACCAATGTCTTTGAACAAAGCAGTGAATGCCCTCTAGTGTTTCTTGCTAGAATATCTGTTTTAATAACAGAAAGATAAATTATATATTTAAATGATATTTTTATAACTATTTAAAAAGTAAATTATAAAAAACAGAATCTGAATATGTAAAATGTCTCAAATGTAATAAAAAATAAGAGTAGCAATACATATTGTCCAATCTAAACAACAGATATTATTGTAATGTATACATAATGGTGATAGAAATCAGAGATTTCCTGAGAGTTTTTCAGATGTGAAACATACATCAAGCCTCATTTCTAGTACTAATTTTCTAGCTAACTCTAAACTAAAGTACCTATAGAAGTCTTTTTTTGAGACAGGATCTTGCTCTGTCATCCAGGCTAGAATGCAGCAGCGCGATCATGGCTCACTGCAGGCTTGAACTCCTGGGTTCAAAGGATCCTCCCATCTCAGCTTCCCAGATAGCTGGAATTACAGGTGCACATCACCATGCCCAGCTCATTTTTTATTTTTTGTAAAGACAGAGTCTTGCTATGTTTCCCAGGCTGGGTCGAACTCCTGGATCAAGCAATCCTCCCACATTGGCCTCTGAAAGAAGAAGTCATTCTCAAAGCAGCAAATACACATATTTTGTCCCAAAAGCCATACCTGTGCCCTGTCCATGAGCATGCATACACAGAGCTTCTATCTCTAGAAGATAAAACACTATTCCCACGGGCATCTGCTGCCTCTGCTCAAGTCATCCTGTTAATAATGGCCATAGGGAAGCAGTAAAGAATACCATTTACCTGGACACTCGCCAAGCCTGCAATTTTCCAGTGTGCCTTGACTTAACTTTACACGGCAGCAATCATTTCAAGAATATACAATCCCAAGAATAAAAAAATACCAATACCTCAGTGATAAGCACCAGTGCCTGGTCTATCTAGTGTAGCATTTGCTTAGAGAGAAGAAACGAACATCAAAAACCATGTTGGTGAATATCTGAGCTTGTCATGACTTAACAGATAGTGCATGTCATCTTAGAAACTAAGGAAAGTGATTATAACTGTCACAAATGAAAAAAGTCATTGGAAAATATTTGAGTTGACTACATCAAGTAGTGAGTATCTGTTATTTTCTTGCCCAGCATCCCTTCACTTTCTTTTGGGGACCACCCCTCTTGTATTGCACAAAACTGGCATTTCACGGAAGGTATTTTACTTTCTTCAGGACCAAGGAATGGGCTCAGAGTGCAACCTTACCCAGACTTTAACTTAAGGAGTATCTTAGGCAGAGCAAAGAGGGGATGAAAAGTTTCTCCCTAGACCTCAGAGCCTCCTGTTCCTGCACTTCCCAAGGCCTAGATGTTCAGCTTTTCCTTGGAGTCTGTGTGAAATATCAGTAGCTCATTTTTTCCTCTTTTTGCTTAAGTTAACCAGAATAAGGATGCCTAATTAAACTACTTCATAATAACAGTGTTATACTTATCACAGTTAAGTGGTTGCATAAAGCATGAAGAACAAAATTAAGTGGAATAATTATTTTGTATTTTAACTACAAATGAATAATTTATGGACAATATTTTATCATGTAAGAACATTATCAGCTACAGTTTTAAAACAGGATTTGTGGAGATGTTACATTATTAATTTACTTTCATGAAAACCTATAAAAGAGCACAATAAAAAAATTAAAACAAAAATATTATTCATTGCTCAGGTCTACAGATAAACAAAGATGTCTTCTTTCATTCTGTGCTTTAATTGTCAGGTTCTATAAAAATGTGTTTCCTCCACCACTGCCTCAAAAATTGAAGGGAGAGAATTAACCTCTCTGTCTCTCCAGATCTTTCATGCAATTCAAATTTACACTTAGTTTTGTTTCCATTTTTAACCTACCAAAAGGTAGCTAAGTTATAATATTTGTCTTTATTAGTAAATAATCTATGTATTTTACATGAAAGAAGCAAAGCAAAATAAGATCTATTTTAAAACATATTTGTTTATTTAAATAGTTGTTTCAGAAAATTTTTACTTAAATATCTTTACATGTACTATAAATGTCAAAATTCCTATGAAAGATCAGAATACCTACTTATATTTTTAGCAGATAATTTTATTAGAAATACAATTAAACTATGATTATATAAACCTTAAAAATGCAATGTGCTTTAGTTTACTGAGTGTTCTCAAGTGGGTTATTTCATTTAAGCCTTATGACCATGTGAATGGGAGTCAGAGAGTTATAGCCCCATCTTACAGATAAGGAAAGGGAAGTTTAACGAAGGTAAGTGGCTTACCCAAGGTAAGTGAAGCCAAGACTCAGATGCAGATATTCTACCTCCCAGGCTATGGTTTCTTTCCATTCTCTTATACTACAAAGTAATCTGAGGTTTTATTTTCCTAGAGTTGCATTAACCTCTTAGTGTAAATATCAGTGAGATAGAAGCAAACCAAGCACATGGAATGACACAAGATCCCTGGGCAGTTTCCAGAAATCGCAAGTTACTGGTGCTTATTGCCTTTCTATCAGGAACTGAAGTGTCTTTCACTTCACATAGTTGATTATTCTCTAGGATACTCCAATAATGTATATCCCATTTCAATGAGAGCCAACAAATCTGAATATGCATTTGCATCATCACCAGCACTTAATATTGAAAAATAACACTAAATATGATTTGTTGTGTGGGTTAAAATGACATTAAAGTCCTTCTCTTCATCAGTAAAAAAAAAATTTTTTTTTTTTTTGAGATGGAGTTTTGCTCTTGTTGCCCAGGCTGGAGTGCAATGGCACGATCTCGGCTCACCACAACCTCCGCCTCCCAGGTTCAAGTGATTCTCCTGCCTCAGCCTCCCGAGTAGCTGGGATTACAGGCATGCACCACCACACCTGGCTAATTTTGTATTTTAGTAGAGATGAGGTTTCTCCATGTTGGTCAGGCTGGTCTCGAACTCCCGACCTCAGGTTATCCACCCACCTCAGCTTCCCAAAGTGCTGGAATTACAGGCATGAGAAGGCATTTTTCTAGAAGCGATGTTGGATTTGCATTGATTTATCATCACTCTTGTCCAAAAGCCCTTGTGACTAGTGCAAACAATAACATGCTGACTAAATTAAGTAATTAAGTATATTATTTTAATATACTTTGGTCAACTCTATCAGTTAAAAATTGGAGGCTTTTGACCCTATCTTTAATATTTTTATTATATAAATTTATTTATATTTATTAATCCTGTCTTTGCATCTGTTTCTCTGAGATCCTGGAGAATTAAAGGATCACAGAGAGCCTTTATACCTTATATGGTATATAGTTATATCATGTAAATAGTATAATTACTTTGAATTTTAACTATAACATCCTTTGAGATCTTATAGTTAAAATACAAAATAATTATACCATTTTATTTCATTCTTCATGCTTTGATGCCATGGAGCATCAAAGTGTCAAGTGGTTCCCTAGGACACATGAGCTTTTCCACACCATGCACTAATTAGCAAAGCTCAAAGAGACCCGGACCTGAGTTTAAGATTTCAAAATCTAATTTAATGCATAAGAACCAAATAGTAGATCACCCAGATATTAGAAAATAAGATCAATGTCTCCACTTGCTCATTTTTCATAAAAGTTCCAGAAGGGAAATTGTGTTAGCCCAGGACCTCAGAGAAACAGATACAAAGACAGGATTAAATATGTCAGGATTTTAATAGTGGGAAATGCCTGTGTAAAAAGAAATAAAGAAGGAGCTAGGAAAGGCTGGGACAGCTGTCGGACTGCATCCAAGTCTGACCCCAGGATGAGGGAGAGAAGGTTGAATGGAAGAATCCTACACTACTCTGCAGTCTAAGGATTGTTTGTCAAAGCCATGGGGAAGTACTCCAGCCTAAGCGGTGGACAAAGGAGCCCCACCTGTCTTCCGGGACTAAGACGGCCTCAGTATCGCCACAGCATTCAGTCAGTCCATTGGTAACAGCAATGAATGGGAGGTGTGGCTGACTTCAAAGCACAGCAGCTGGGTGCTCTGTCTGTGAGGTGCATTTTCATGCCTGCCAAAGATAGGATGAAGGGAAGGTGCATGAGAGAAGTTTCTCTAAAATCTTTTAAAATGTTAAAGGAAACATTTTTTATCAGACATACATTAATTACTTCATAAAAGAACTAAGTCCCTGTAATTTTGGAACAATATCAATAGCATTACTATAAACAGAAAATCGAGAAAAGCATTTTGAATTTCAATTTTTAGAAAATGTAAAATCATCAAATCATTTTAAAAAGTCTATAGTTTCATTCAACACCAGGTGGAGCCCTTTTGCTTTTCAAAACTAAAAGAGGAAACTTCTTAATTTAATACAGGCTTAGGCTGATTATTTCACAACTCTTAAGTCATCATTTTAAATCATTTTAAGACTTTTGCATTATATTTATCACCATTGTAAACCTGATTTTTTTCCAAATACCATGGACTAGCTAAAACTGCAATGTTAATATAAAGCAACCAATTCCAATATTGTTAAATATCTAAAATAAAGTTTTTAATAATATTGTTTTAAACATTTGTATACTTTTAAAGGAAAGAGTAAAATGTGATTTAAATTTCATATTCAATACTTAAACAAATTGAACTACTTAAAATGCTCTCCCGAATCTCTAACTTGCTACGTCATCATTCTTTTTATCCAAAATACCTTCTCTATAGAAAATGTATTGCTTTAAAACAGGTTTCAGTTAGCAAGCAATGAGTTTCTGAAAATATATATATTTAAAAAGCAAAAAAAAATTAAGTTTAAAAAACACGTTTCAGGTTATAAAGTATAATATTTTTAATATCTGTCCTGTGCCAATCAGAAAGTATAGGATAAAAATAACAATGTTTATAAAGTAGACATGCTTTTTCCAAGTAAATTGTAACAGCAAGGAGGCATTATTTATTCTGTGTCTATGCTTCAGAATTCTGTCCTTCTCATTGCAGGGAAATAGAAACAGATAAATATAAATATATTTTTGTAATAAAAATGTTAATGATAGGGTTAAAAGCCCCCAATTTTTAACTGACAGAGTTGACAACAGTATATTAAAAGTGTATATTTAATGGCATAGTTCGTATACATTTTTATTTATTCATCCATCCAAGAAATACTTACAGAGATCTTGCTATATGCTGAAGAGACAGGAATAAATAAGACATTCATAGTACCTGCCCTTGAAAGTTCAGAAGGCATTCAATGAAGCAAGCATTATAATAAAAGCTATTGTAATTAAGGAAATACACAGTACTCTGGAAGCACCCAGCAAGGGAACCTAAGGGCTAACCTAATCTGGGGACACGGAAGACCTTCCAAAGAATTGAAATTTAAGCTGAGACTCCTCAGTAGGAGAGAATGAGGCAAAGAACAAAAGGCAGGGTTGGGGTTTTTATGCTTATTTTATTTTTATTGACATATAATAATTTTACATAGTTAATAGGGTACCACACGATATTTAGATACATGTATATATTGTGTAACCATCAAATCAGGATAAAAGGTAGGGTGTTTAATGTGAGCAAACAGGTTTTAAAAGGCCTTTGGGTGAGATAAAGTAGGTCAAATTCTAGAAGGTAAAACCATTTCAACATAGCTAAAACACAGAGCTCTAGAGGAAGGGTGAAAATAGAAGACCTGAAGAGATTTGTGAGAACCAAATTGTGGAGGCTCTTTCAACAGAATCAGGAAATTTGGATTTTATCCAAAAACAATGGAAAGCATAAATCAAGGTTCTGAGTTAAAACATGAAAGAAAGCATGTGATAACCAGATTTAGAAGTGTTTAGTGTCTACAAGAGCAGTATATTTGATGAATCATCAGTACCTCTACCAAAGTAAACTACTTACTTAGACATGATAATTTCAGCTTTTCTTATCCATTAGAATAGTAGCATTGAAATACAAGCTCAGTTTATATAATGATTGTTGATTTCAATGACATTTTTACCATCATACCTCTTGAAAAGTTATACTGACTTTCACATTATCTGGGTTTTTTTTTTTCTTGTTATAATTACCTTTCCCAAAAAAACATGCTAAGTAGATTTACTGTAAAAACTGATATTTCAATATTACAATTTTAGAAAAAGTCACCATTTTACTCAATACATTTCTAGTCAGGAAATTTCAAAATGGAGCAAATTTGAATTGAGTTCCACGTCTGGATGGTCCAAAAATATTTTTCTGTGTGGACCTATGCCAACAGATCTATGCTCTGCAGTTTGCGCTACACATTAGCTGTTTCCGTGTGTTTCAAAGCACTGTAATGTCTACCCTGTATTTTTCTTTGAAGGCGGCCTTAACTGTTATAAACTTTATTTTTTATTTATTTATTTATTTATTTATTTATTTATTTATTTATTTTGAGACGGAGTCTCGCACCGTCGCCCAGGCTGGAGTGCAGTGGCGCGATCTTGGCTCACTGCAAGCTCCGCCTCGCGGGTTCACGCCATTGTCCCGCCTCAGCCTCCCGAGTAGCTGGAACTGCACGGGGTTTCACCATGTTAGCCAGGATGGTCTGGGATCTCCTGACCTCGTGATCCGCCCACCTCGGCCTCCCAAAGTGCTGGAATTACAGGCGTGAGCCACCGCGCCCGGCCTATAAACTTTATTTTTAAGTGTAATTTGAGTGCAAATAATTGTGATCTCCCTAAAGTCAAAAAAATTGATGAAGATCATGCAGAAAAAAAGAATGCACCTTTCAAAGAATGACTCCCCAACCCCCCACATCCTCCTTCGCCACCCACTATGAAGCCATTTCTTCCTCCTTTGGAGAATATAATAAATCTTCATCATGTTACATTTTATGTATGACCTGTTTATTTACTTTCAAGTTGTTTTTATTACTTATATTTATATTATTCAAATGATCTTTTTTCTATCTGTGAAAAGTGTTTGGTTATCTTGGGTTGAGACGGCATACACTGTAATTTTCCTGTTAAGTTTCACAGAAAGAAATTTTTTAAAAATTTAAATTTATGCCATAATTTTAAGGCATATCATTAAAGAGTATTTATTTATCTGTCTCTTTTTTAACTGCCTGCTCCTGTCTTTTCATTTTTCTTTTGGGGTTTTAGTCTCTTTTCACTCCTTAATTTTTTAAACTAAAAAAAGTGTTATTTAGCTATAATTGACATACAATAAGTGGCACACATTTAAAATATTTAACTTGATGAGCTTTGACATATGCATATGTATAACAATCACACCGATTTCCCCCCACATGAAAAGATGCATAATTTCACATATAATTAGAAATGCCAAATACTAACACAATTTTTCACGTTTTAGATAGGCAAAAATTCAGGAGCTTTTCCATACACACCATTAAGGAGAAATGAACAGGGCACTCTCAAACTTTTTACATGGCACTACAAGATGATGTAATCTATTAGGAGGGTATTAGCAAATTGCATGTGCATTTATTCTTTGTTCCAGCATTTTTACTTCTAGGAATTTACCCTGAAGGTATACCTCACCCAAAACAAAAGGTTATTCAATATGGCATTACTGATAATAGTAAAATATTAGGAACGATCAAAATGCCCATGCATAGGAACCTGGTTGAATAAACAAGATGCAGTATTATGCAGGTCTAAAATTGAACAAAGAGCTGGGACTCCCTCCCTCACAAGGTGCACAGAAATGTGAGAGACCTGCACAGAACTGTCTCTCTCCCAACACCCAGATCTTGGTGTCTAAATACCACCCCTTACTTTTAAATAAATACACAAATAATTTTTAAAATGAATTTCTTTGATAAACAGTTGATTATAAATTTGGAGCAAGGAAAGTTCAAGGTGAATTTGAAATATTGTACTGTGTTGGAAAGCAAAAGAATCCTGAAAAATTGATGGAGATGTTCAAAGGAACACTGGAGTCAGAACAATACCAAATTGGTAACATAATCAGAAAAAAAAGAGAATTGAAGTATCTTTATAGTACAGTAATGTGACTGCATCTTGGGTGTGATATACTGTAAGGACAAAAAAAACTGCAAACAACTACTGAACTTATAATGACTTTAGCATAATAATTCTAATCCCAATTTATATGAAAGGCAGGAAAGAGCAATTGTGTGAATATATTGATATTCTTAGGAACTGGGGCTCTCTCTGTTGGAGAAGGGAGATGTAAATATGGATTAGGGGAAGGAGAGGAAGAACTTAATGGCATTGTTTTGAAATAGGAGTTGTTAGTATCAACTTGTGATTTTTTAAAAATATATTCCTAGTTTTCTCCATTGAAAAGGCATGGAAGCAATGATACATCAGTAGCAGTAAACACACCCATTCCCCAGTGTCAAGAATACAGAGTCTGAGATTTTATCCTACTTGAAACCTGACAAGCTAGCCTGCCAGTTTCATGAATGCCAGCAGAACACAAGAAACTCCTGGGTCAGCAACAAAGGACTTTATTATTCGTGGAAATAGAGTTCCCAGAGTACAGCATTTGCTCCTGTTCTCCAACCTCAATTCCCACAGAGCAACGTGAAAAGAACCAAGTGACGTCTGCACACGCAATGGGTTCTGTTATAGGAAAAAAACCCTGAACTTAGCCGAATCTTGTAGAATGGGAAGGCTGTCTGACATTTGCCCCAGAGAGAGACATTATCTTGATTACACTGGACAGTAAACAAACCTGGCCTTTGTTATGGAGAAAGACATTATCTCTATCTTCCAAGGCTGTTCACTTCACAAACACCCTGGAAAAAGGAGTCCAGAACAAAGAGTTGGGACTCCCTCCATCACAAGGTGCACAGAAATGTGAGAGATCTGCACAGAATTGTCTCTCTCCCAACACCCAGATCTTGGTGTCTAAATACCACTCCTTACTTTTAAATAAATACATAAATAATTTTTAATGAATTTCTTTGATAAACAGTTGATTACAAATTTGGAGCAAGGAAAGTTCAAGGTGAATTTGAAATATTGTATTGTGCTGGAAAGCAAAAGAATTCTGAAAAATTGATGGAGATGTTCAAAGGACCACTGGAGTCAGAACAATTTAAGCATCAAAAAGAATAACTATGGAATGGATTTTAACACATTAAAAATAGAAAAAGAATCTGCAAGGCAACAGTGATCCTTTAAAAAGGTAGAGGGAGTTCATCCTTAAAAGAATGCCAGCTAATAATATAAAAGCAATGAGAGAATGAGAAAATAGGTATGAATCTTCCATGGACACCAAAACTCTTGGTTAAAAAGTTATTGAGGAACACAGACTCCAAACATCACTCCAAAGATTGTTTATTGATTACAAATGGGAAAAGTTACTATTACAGTGGAGAAATCTAGCAGACACCACCTTAACCAAGTGCTTAAACTCATCATTACCAATGATGAGGCAAGTTGACATTATATGCAACCTGGAGGGATGCATTGAAAGCAGTATCACCTACGTATTATTCATATTAAAACATGTTTAACCTGATACAGTCATAAGGAAACTATAAGATAAATCCACATCATGGGCCAGGCATGGTGGCTCACATCTGTAATCCCAGCACTGTGGAAAGCAAGGTAGATCGCTTGAGCCCAGCAGTACAAGACCAGACTTGGCAACATGGCGAAACCCCATCTCTAATAAAAATGCAAAATAAATTAGCTGGGTGTGGTGGCACATGTCTGTAGACCCAGCTACTGGGGAGGCTGAGGTAAGAGGATTGCTTCAGCCTGGGAGGCAATGGTGCAGCAAGTCGAGATCGCGTCACTGCACTCCAACCTGGGTGACAGAGACCCAGTATATATATATATATATTTTTTAAATCCAAATTGTGGCCTATTCTACAAAACAACTGGCCTAGACTTTTCATAGATGTCAATACCAAAACCAGAAAAAAAAAGGACTGGTAGTATGTTTAAAATGAAAGATTAAAGAGACATGACAACTTAATGCACAAATAATTATTGATTGGCTTCTAGCTTTTTTAAAAAAATAACTAAAATATTATTGAAAAATTTGGAAATCTGAAAATGTGGACCATTTATTAGATAACACTAATGTGTCAGTCATATTGTGATAATAATATTGTGGTTACATAACAGAATGTCTTTTTTCTTTGGAAACAGATGCTAAAGTATTAGGAAAAAAACAATGTGACCTCCGCAACTTATTTTCAAAGAATTTGGAAAAACGGAGATTATGAATGTAAAAAATGCTCATTGATGAATTCTAGGTGAAGAGCATATAGATGTTCATTTCAACTTCTTTGAGGGTTGGCAATTTTTCAAAATAAAAAAGTTGAGAAAAAATTAATAAATCACATTCCCTGGTCATCTTTCCAACCTGTATTCCTGATCTCTTACAAACGTTCAGCCCACCCATTTTTAGGATCATTTAAATTACCTCTTTGGAAACATTTTCCTATTTTCTTATTATCTTATTATGGAGTCTATTAAAACTATGCATGGAATTTTGCTATCAGAGCACATGACTTTGACCTAGGGTAGATGATAACCTTTATTTTGTATCAACATTTTGTTTAAAATCTTGAATTTCTAGGCTGTCGACACTGAGATTACACCTTAACTGATTTTCAGGTCTTTCACCTAGTTCATAACTGATAACACATAGATAAATCTAATTTGGATTAATTTTTCATATATTTTCAATCACTGAAATTAATATGCCTTTTTTGTCTATTCATGTAGTTACCAGTTTATTCCATAGTCATTAAAATTCCCAAAATAGCTTAGCAACAAGCAATATCTTCAAGTATGTCACTGCCTATTCTGACTTTCTAGTATTTATAAGTTGTTAAACCCATCCAGTTCTACCTTTCCTTTTGGAGGCCTCTATTGATGACAATTCTATTCCCAGAGACTTTTCATTTTATGTCTCTAAGACTTTTTACACCTTTTAAATTGTCTACCCGCTTCATCTTTTCCCATTGCAACATTGATGGAAAATTTTGTGAAAGGCTTTTTGAATGATAAAACAAATTATGTCTATTGTTTCTGTGCATCCTTATTCATATATGCCCCCAAAATTAATATATGAGCCAGACACGATAACTTTGAATAAATTGTGCTGTCTTTCCCCTACAGAAGGCATTTGCTTGAAGTTACCAAATTCCCTTTAGTCCATTAAAGGTCAGAACACTGATTTTTTGTGCAACCACTGCCTTATCTCCTCTTAGGTTTCCTCTCACTTCCTTAATTCTCAGTTATGTGAACACACCATCCTTATTTTTACAACTTCACTGTGTCATTAATTATATCTGGACCACAACAGAATAAAAGACACTTAACAAAGGCACCGCGTCTTTGTAGCATTTCACTGTCTATTCCTACCTCCTACACAGGTTCTTACACATTCTTATGCTTACCTTTCATCCGTGTGATGCCATTAAAAGGAGAGTGAAGGGTGATACCATGCATTATGAGACAGCATTACTGTTAGCAGCTCACACAAACACACAGCATCCAGTTGAATGTTCAAAACACACTCCCGTACTCTAAGACTGAGTTGTATCTTTCAAATGAAGAAGTCAGAGGTTTCACCGCTGGTGCTCTATGCCATTTAACGAATTTCCAGCTCCTGAAGAGGGAGGCATATGCCAGGCCCCAGAGAGAATAGAGCAAGGAAAGAGCCCTTTCCACCTATTTTGTTGTAAGGGTTTGCACACAGAAAGCATTTGGATCCAAGCAAATAAAACTTTTTTTTTTTGAGGCACAGTCTTGCCTTGTCACTCAGGCTGAAGTGCAATGGCGCGATCTCTGCTCACTGCAACCTCCACCTCCCAGGTTCAAGGGATTCTCCCGCCTCAGCCTCCCGAGTAGCTGGGATGACAGGTATATGCCACCATGCCTGGCTAGTTTTTGTATTTTTAGTAGAGACGGGGTTTCACCATGTTGACGAGGTTGGTCTCATTCCTGATCTCAAGTGATCCACCTGCCTCGGCCTCCCAAAGTGCTGGGATTACAGGCATGAGCCACCGCGCCCTGCCCCAAGCAAATAAAAGTTTATCTACATATCTGCCTATCATCCTATTTATCTGTCACTCCACACACATATTATTATTCAATGATGAAAACACCTGAATATGCATTCAGGGGTCCAGGAAATGGCAAGAGTTTATCAATTGGGTATCAGATGGTGGTGGTATAAATGCTCCTGCTATGTTCTAGAGTGACAGCAGTGGGACAGCCTGAGACAGGGTAGAGCTTGGTACATCAGAGCTGAAAACTAACTCCTGAGAAAGTGGCCAGGATCCCTAACCCTGGAGGATGCCAAAAATCTAACAAGATGCCTCATCTGGTTAGGAAGATAGAACAAGAACCAAGTGATATAGGACATTAAAAGCATTTTTAATGGATGATATAGTGATTCGCATTTAATAATATTCATTAAATATTTGTTAAATAAATAATATGCATGAGGAAAAGTCAGAAATGCTAAATTGTTATAACCCTGCCGTTATGCCTCTCAATGTCTGGAAGAGTATACACATATAGAACATTACCAAAAAGAACAGTCTTATCAGAATCCTATCATGAGCACAGAGTTCAGCAGGTAAAAAACATTTCTTTCCCGCCTACGTTACACAGGCTGGTGTGTACCCAGAAGCTCTGTCTTCCGTATTCCTTCTCAGCCCCTACCTCACCTCCCACATATTCCAGCCTCGCCCTGCCAGATGACCCACCATTCTGGTGTCTTTTGTGGGCAAGGTCCTTTGAAGTCGACTTTTTGTTCCATTTTCCAGTGCAATGATGGATTCTCAAATTCTTCAGAAGGCTGAACCTAACTAAAAAACAAAACTCTTTATAGATAATTGATAATAGCTCTAACCCATTTTTAAGCTAAAAGACTCCTCCTAAATAACGATGTGTAAATAGAAATAGAGAAGCCTGCTCTGCCAACTATAAAAACTGAAGAAAGTTACTCTTTCTAAAGGAGTAATGACTAGATTAAGATATTTCTATAATTTTAAAAATCTAGACCTCCTATGTGCAAAGCAGTTTCACTGTGCACTAGTTATTATTTCAGCCCACTGCATCCCGGGCTGCACCTGTACTACTTGTGGGAGTCCAGTGAGACAAAACACTCACACATGTTAAGAAGGTACATGCAGGTCGAGTGCAGTGGCTCCTGCCTGTAATCCCAGCACTTTGAGAGGCCGAGATGGGCAGATCACCTGAGGTCAGGAGTTTGAGATCAGCCTGGCCAACATGGCGAAATCCCATCTCTACTAAAAATACAAAAATTAGCTGGATGTGGTAGCACATGCCTGTAATCCCAGCTACTCAGGAGGCTGAGGCAGGAGAATCGCTTGAACCCAGGAGTGCAGGCTGCAGTGAACCAAGATCGCACCACTGCACTCCAGCCTGGGTGACAGAGTGAGACTCCATCTCAAAAAAAAAAAAAAAAAAAAAAAAGAAGTTACATGAAGCATATTTATTACTCACAGATAGTCAGCAAAGGACAACAAAAGCCTAGGATTCACGATGAGCCAGTCCCCCAAGACTCAAGAAAGCTACCCAAGGCTGATGGAGTCTCATCTCCATGTGCCCCACTTAAAATGCAGCTGAAGGACCCCAGGAAGCAGCCCATTCTGGGTTTTATACCCTGGCAGCTACAGGACGCAGTGGGCTAAAGTGTTGGAGGGCATTCTGTTTCTAGGGCTGACTGAGCCGTTGTGGCCAATTCCTCCTTATCTCAGGCTACTGCATTCCTAGCACATTCTACGATTATTCTTGAGAACTACATGTGAGAAAGGAGGGAGAACTGGGCCAGTCCAAGGCCACCTGGAGAACTTTCCTGACTACATATGTACTGTCCTGAGGGTAGAAGAACACAATTAAATCCAATGTGTCAAGGGTAGTCAAGTATTAATATATCATTCCATACTTTGACTCATGCTATATCTTCTTCCTAGGGCAGAGAGCTCATAAATGGTCACTACATTAAAGCTGCAAGAGTGAGCCAGTGTTGGAATGGACACCTGTAGCCACTGGAAATGCCAGAGAATAAAAAGAATTTCAGAAATTCTCTAAGGACTCACACTCCACTTCATTTTTCTGTTCAATACTAGATTCCACTAGTGCAACATCCTTGCCAGGGGTCCTGCAACCTCTACTGACGAACCCCTTTAGTGACATAGAGCCCCATCACACTGGTGCATCTTCTTTTACATCGTGTTAGATGCTGTGGAGCACATTGATCTCCGCCCCTTTCATCCCCGCCTTTAGGAGGCAAGCATTCATTCTTCCACCCAGCTGGGAATGTTGACAGCTGTGATTCTCAGCTGAGTTCCTCACCAATAACTTCCTTCAGCTGAAGATAATTACCTTGCCCAAGGTTATGCCTCTTTTCTAGTTTAAATGACTGGTTAAGAGGTTACAAGGACCTTTCCCTCTTGCTTCAACTCAGAACAACTCTGAGGGACCATCTCATCTGAAGCACATGGGGTCAGCTGAGGTCTTTGTTAAGCCTGCGTTACCATTCAACAGCTCCCTCTGCCCAGTCCTTCCTTCACTCCCCTATAGTTATTGATCCTAAGTTTATTGTGATCAATAAACTTCCTATATGGAAATCTCTATCTCAGAGTCAGCTTCTCAAAAAGCCCAACTTGCATTATATAGTAAGTATAAATCTGCCCTCATATAAAGTCTACTTGTCCTAATTCTAACTTCAGAATATATACTGAATAAGACAATCTCTGTTCCACATGGTGGCCTTTAAGATGTTTGAAGGCAATTACTAGATATGTGACTTCTGGTGAGAGCTCCAACCTTTAGAGTTTGGGAGAAGAGGAACCAAAAAATGCAAAAGAACTATAGTCAGAAGAATATGGTGTCTTGGAAATTATGTCTGCATCAGAGCTGCCAAGCACTGCTAGAGATTATTTTCATCCACAGGGACTACTGGGTGGAATTGTTCATAGTCCATTGGCCATCACCATTCCTGAAAATACCCTGTATCAGTTTTCCATTGCTACATTTAAAAAATTGCCACAAACTTAGCAGTCTTAAACACACTCATTTACTAGCTCAACATATTGTAGGCCAGAAGTCCAGGCAAGCTCAACATGGTTCTCTGTTTATGGTTTTACATGGCAAAACCAAAGATTCAGCAGGACTAACCTCTTATCTGAAGGATCTGTGGAAAAATCTTCTTCCAAGCTTATCCAAGCTGTTGGCAGAATTTAGTTCCTTGTAGTTGTAGGATTGAGGTACCCTTGCCAGCAGTCAGCCAGGGGCCACTCTCTGCTTCTAGAGGCTGCCCCTCCATCTGCAAATCAGCAATGCCCCACAGAGTTCTTCTCAAGAGCATCTCTCTAACTTCCTCTTTTGCCATCAGCTGGAGAAAGCTCTCTGCTCTTCAGGGCTCATGCAATTAGATCTTTCCCACCCAGATAATCTCCCCATCTTAACATCAACTGTGCCATATAATATCAGATCATTACAGGATTGATACCTCAGCCCATTCTCAGGTTCTGAGGATTAGGGTAGAATGTCTTTTGGGGGCCATTTTAGAAATCCTGCTGACCAGTGCCCTGAACATGCCAGACAAGTTCTTTACATTTATTACACTGGTCAGCCCTGTCTTCCTCTCACTACATCAGCGTGATCTTTTCCATGCTGTTTTCAAACCTCCATCCCCTACCTGCCCTCTCATATTTAGCAGATGATCTTGTCTCCCATTTTACACACCCAAAAATAGAATCCAGCTGTCTTAGTTTCCTAGGGTTGTCATACCAAATTAATACAAACTGGGTGGCACAAAATGACAGAAATTTATCTTTTCACAATTCTGGAGGCTAGAAGCCCTAAATCAAGGTGATGAAAGGGCCATGCTCTCTCTGAAGGTTCTTGGCAACAATGTGTCGCATGCCTGCTCCTAGCCTCTGGTGCTGGCAGCAATCGTTGGCATTCCTTGGCTTATAGATGAATCACTCTGATCTCTGCCTCTGCTGTCTTATGTCACTGTCTTTCTGTGTCTTCCCATTGACTTTCCTCTGTGTGTGTGTGTATGTCTCTCTTCTCCTCTCTCATAAGGACACCAGTTATATTGGATTAGGACCCACCCTAATTCAGTGTGACCTCATCTTAACTTGATTACATCTGCAAAGATACTCCTCCAAATACAGTCACATCCAGGTACCAGGGGTTAGGATTGCCATGTATATTTTGAGGGGACATGAACCAACCCATAATGCCCCCTGACTAGAAGACTCCATCTTCAACCATTTAACTTACAAACCTTCACACCTGCCCTGATTTGTTGTCCACAGGATACCAGAGAGCAGTAACCCCTCTTCTCTGTAAGACAACTCATTTTTCTTCCTTTTATGCTCAGCCTCTTCCTCTCAGTTATTTAATAGATTATCCTCACAGTTATTTTAACCTTACTCAAGCCTCTGACATTATAATAAGGTAAGGGAGGGAAGAATAGAGGAAGGAAGGAAGAAATCTGCCTTAACACCATGTTAACCCATAACTAATTCTCTTCTGATGCAAACTTTGCAGAAGAGCTATTTCTGCTCTTTGCCTGCACTTCCTCCCCTCCAACTCACTCTCCCAGCTGTCTCAATACATCTCCCCACCACCACTACTCCATACAATCAGCACTCACTAATGAACTTCTTGTGCCTAACTTCAAAGGACATATTTCAGGCTTCATCATCCTTGACTTTCCAGCGGAAATATTAAGTTCCCTTTGCTTCCGTGATTTAAGTCCTTTCTTTCTCTGGCCACTTCTGTGTGTCCTTTCCAGGCATATATTCTTCTATCCTGCCATTAAATATTGCTGTCCTTCAAGACTCACTCCATTCTAAAGGCAATGACAACAACAACTAAGACTCATTCTTGGCTATCCATTCTTCATAGACCAAACCAGGGTGAATTTTTTAAAATAGCTCACCATGTCATCATGTCAGTCCTCTACTTAAAACTCTTCAATGACTTTATTTTGTTGCACTGAGGATAAAGACCATAATCTTTAAGGCAGTGTATATAATCTGGCCCCTGCTTGCCATGTATACCTAGAGACAGAAGTTTGAAAAAGAGAAAAAAAATTTAAAGATGTGCCAGAAATTTCTATTATTAAAAAATCAAAAAAAAGCCAATAGATATTGGAAAGGATGTGAGGAAAAGGGAATACTTTTATACTATTGTTGAAAATGTACATTAGTAAAATCTCTGTGGAAAACAGTATGGAAATTTCTCACAGAACTAAAAATAGAATTATAATTCAATCCAGCAATTCCACTTGTAGATATCTATTTAAAAAAATGAAATCATTATATCAAAAAGATACTTGGACTCAAATCTTTATCACAGCACTATTCACAATAGCAAAATCATGGAATCAACCTAAGTGTTAATCAATGGATGATTAAATAAAGAAAATGTGGTATATATACACCATGGAATACTATGCAGCCATAAAAAATGAAATTATGTGTTTTGCAGAAATATGGGTAGAGCTGAAGGCCATTATCCTAAGTGAAGTAACTCAGAAACAGAAAATCAAATACCACAACTTCTCACTTATAAGTGGGAGCTAAGGGATGGATACTGTATTAGTCTGTTCTCACACTGCTATAAAGACATACCTGAGGCTGGGTAACTTATAAAGAAAAGAGGTTTAATCACTTCACAGTTCTGCAGGCTGTGTAGGCTTCGTCTGAGGAGGAGGCTTCAGGAAACTTACAATCATGGTGGAGGGCAAAGGGGAATCAGGCAAGGTCTTCACATGGCTGGCAAGAGAGAGAGAGTGAAGGGGTAAGTGCTACACACGTTCAAACAACCAGATCTCATGAGAACTCACAATTATGAGGACAGCAAAAGGGAAATCCAACCTCATGATGCAATCACCTCCCATCAAGTCCCTCCCCCAACATTGGGGATTACAATTCAACATGAGATTTGGGTGGGAACACAGAGCCAAACCATATCAGGTACACATGGACATAGAGAGGAGAATAATAGACACCAGGGATTCCAAAAGCAGGAAGAGTGGGAGAGGAGTGAGGATTGAAAAATGACCTATTGGGTACAATGTTCACTATTTGGTTCATAGGTTCACTAAAAGCCCAGATTTCACCACTACACAGTATATCCATGTAACAAAACTGCACACATACCCCTTAATGTATAAAAAAGAAAAAAATGATGTGTCAAGAATTCTTGGACAATGCTACTGAATTAGTTTTTTCCTAACCACCTTTCATGTAGCAATGCTCAAGTATTTCCAAGAGGGTGATGGACCACAGAAGAAAGTAAAAACAGGAGATTTATGACAGATTGGTGGGTTTGATGGATCCTAATCCACTCCCCTAGCAACAATGTGTTTGTTAAAATCTGGTACACAGAAGACAGAAATTTATATGGTACTTGAGTAGTGTACGATGGTAGCCACTTTAACACTGTTCATATTGCAATTCAATAATTTGCCTGCATCTTTTATGCTTGAATGGCTGCTAAGCCTGCTTGTTTTCCTTTCCTGATCTATTATAATTATTTTTTAAATATGTGCAAAAATACACACACATACCTTTTCCTTTTCGAGTTAGGGTTTCCAGACTCCAGAAATTTTGTAAGAGCCAACACATTTCCAATTTTTCATCCACTGCAATTTTGGCAAGCATACTTTCCCTATTTTCATTAAAGTCATTAATTAAATTATCAAATAGAACTAGGTCAAGTATAGAACCCTGTAGCGAGCCAGTGAAAACAGCTCTCTCAAACTTCAAGTCAATATTGAGTTGACCCAGGATTTCACCTTCAGAAGCAAGCATGATCCAGGATGCAGTCACTCAACATATATGGATGCTTGAGGTCAAATCATGTACTACCTAATAGATTCTAAAGCCTCTTGACATCATTTGACCTCAAAAAGCTTTAGAATCTATTAGAGGAGATCAGTTAATTCATGATGCATTAAAAAATAGTACCAATATTCTATGAGCCTAAAACTAGGGTGGGTTTTTTCTTTTTTATAAAGGTATTTATTTCTCTAAGGCAAAAGTCTAAAAATCATTATGGAAACCATTATTGATAAAGGTCAGAAAGGATAAGGACACCTAAAATTAGTGAAAAGGTATGGCTCTGTCCTGATTTCTCTGGTAGCTGTCAATTTTTATTTAAAAATCTCTACTATGAAATGCAGAAAATTATGGTAATAATAATAATGAAGTGTGCCTCTTCTAGTCCAAGGCGAGACCTCCAGTTGTGCACTAATATACCATTTTCTCCTAACTCTGGGACTTGGCAGTACCAATGATCTCGTTTTTCTTTTGCATCATCAACCTCTCCCTCTGTAAAGGTTGTTCATCTCCAAATACATGTTGCAAATATTTTATCTTATTTTCCTTATAAGTTGCTATAAGGAAAGTATGATTGAAACAATCCAATTAATATACAAACATAAAAACATGGTGAGAATCTTTAAGTGGTAGAAGTTTCCATGTTAAATGAATTATTCTGTTATGAGATATAAGTTGTCATTGTCTAGAATAAATTTGAACGTATAGAATATTTTCTTGCCCACAAGTAGCTATAGATAAATCCTACTTTAAGAAAACGTAAGTAAATGAAGATTTATTTTGAACACGTAATTGAATAGCGGTTTATAACATCATAAACTTTTCACACAAAACATTTTTAATGTTTACTACTGACTTCTTTTTCAACTGTTATTTTACATTCAGTCAGTACATGTGCAAGTTTGTTACCTGGGTATATTACCTGATGCTGAGGGTTGGGATAAGAATGATCCCACCACCCAGGTACTAAGCATAGTACCCAACAGTTAGTTTTTCAACCCTTGCTCCCCTCCCTCCTTTCCCCGTCTAGTAGTCCCCAGTGTCTATTGCTGCCATTTTTATGTCCATGAGTACAGCATGTTTAGCTCCCACTTGCAAGTGAGAACATGGACTTTTCACAAAATCTGAAGTCAGATGGAAAACTTATGTAGTAGTTTCAAACAAAAGATAAATTATTATAGTAAAAAAAAACATAGCAAATATCTGATTTACAAAATAACTATTCTCTATATAAAAGATTTGTAATGGTCCTTTTTTAAAATGTAGGCTAACCTTGTACCCTTAAATGATAAAATATTTTGCAAAACCACTTATGTATATCTGAGAATGGTAATCTGAAATAGATAATAATTGGAAATTATTACCCACAAATTCAGTTGCCACCAACTATTCTTCAAATCAATCTGGATTTTGTTTTGTTTTTTGTTTTTAAGAGAGGGGGATCTTGCTATGTTGCCTAGGGTGGTTTTGAATTTCTAGGCTCAAGGTATCCTCCCACTTCAGCCTCCCAAGTAGGACTATAAATCATTCTTTTCACACATTTACATTCCCACAATGGATTGAATACATTCTGATTAAAAAATAATATATATTTATTGTAAAAAATGTAACATGGAAAACTACAAGAAAAAAAAATCATTCATAATTTTACTTCCAGATATAATCATTTTTAAGATTTGGTGCGTGTCCATCCAATCAATTTCCCAATTTTTACATAGCAACAAAAAACTGAATATACAATTTTGTCTCCTGAATATTTACTAAAGTTTAAGTCATAAATATTTTTCTTATGCCATTAAGCATTTTATTTAAACTTCCTTTTAATAAATATATATTAGATCACTGTATGAATGAACTTTAACCTACGTAGGTAGTTATATTAATTTGGGACATTTATACCTTTCATATTTTTGCTGTAATAATGTACTGCAATGAACATCACGACCCTCACTTTTTATCATTTCCTTGGGGTTAATTTCTGAATCAAAAGACATGAACATTTTCAGATTCTTGATGCAGTGGACTCAAGAACACAGGTACAGTGTAGACCAGGGGTAAGGCAACTTACTGAAAAGAGAGGAATTAAGTAAAAGTCTATATGCTAAGAGATGGGGCCTCCATCATTCACCCTCTTAACCCACTTGGCAGCCAGAAAGACATCCCTGATTGGAGAAATGGACCTAAGAGAAAAGATCGGCAGATAACGACATTTAGAGGTCCTACAGTAAGTAGCCAAGTCCCAGCTAATTACCCTAAAGTTTAATCTATTACCATTTATCATTAATCTGTAATCTATAACCTATGATAGCTCACATTTTAAACTATTACGCTCCAGTTTCTCCATTTATTCTCCTTCAGTGGTTCCCCTTACCATTCTGGCCTGTTCTGACTTAGGGACAGTCTACAGTAGGAAGTCACACACGCGTCACTTTTCCCACGATGGAAAAACCACCAAGCTAATTTTGTCTTCTCTTTGACCACAGGCCATAGAATAGTTCACTGAAATACCTAATGCCCTAGAGTAGAGACTGTCTCCTGGGGTCAAGTATATTTTAAAGCAAATAAATCCCCCCAAAAGAGAATAAAGCCACATTAGACAAGTCAGAGTCCACCTTTTATTCACTCTTGTACCTCCAAGGACTAGAACTCGGCCTGGCACATAGCAAGTGGTAATACACATTTGCACGGACGGATGAATGTATATGGCTTCTTTAGGCTGAATTAAAACTCCCACCAAGAGCAGACAACTACCTTGCCTCTTCCCCACTCGTTTTCGGGTCTTCCACAGAGCAGCCAGAGCCTCAGAGGCCCTTGAGAGTTTCCTCCACTCCTCCCTTGTTTGCAGCGCTAGAAGCTGCAGGTGGTAGTTCCTACACTGGGGGCGGCGCCTGGACGCGGGTGTCCCTGGCCAAGGCGGCCTCGCTGTCCTGGAAGGGAGGGTGAAGAGCTGCATCCCGCACTAGGCGGCGAAAGAGGGCAGCGCCAAGCGGCGGGGTCCGGAGGCGCTCGACGGCTCGCGCCCAGCGCCGGAGACGGGCTGTGTGTTGGGCCAGTGGAAGACACCGGAGAAACCCAGACGTGGAAGACCGGGCAGCCTGGACTTCGCGAGCCCTGGTGGGGCTGGCGGCCCACAGAGCCCCCACCTGCCCCGAGCTCCCACAGCGAGGAGTGGCCGCGCCGCCCGCCAGTGCGCCGGGCTCCGAGACCGGCAGGGGAGCACGCGGGCGAAGGAGGGGCCGCCGTCGCTGACACCACCGCCTTCAGCCCTTGGCTTCCGCGCGTCGGAGGCTGGCACCTCCAGGTTCACCGCGGCGGCCGGAGCTGTGCGGGGGCCAGACGGTTCGGCGGGAGCCGGGGCTGGGACCTGGGTGACCTGTCGTCCGCCCCTGTAGCGAGTCTCCAGTGGGCATGTTTCAGGTGGGCAGGTCCAGCATCCCCAAACCTGCCCCCCGCAGCCTGGAGGACCTGGACTCAGTGCAGCGTGTCCTGTTACACAGGTCAGTGCAGGGCCCCGGGACGCGGGGCGAGACCGTCCTCTTGCCCCGGAAATGTTGGCGAGGGAGGGGCCGCTTTTCTTTCTGGGGTCTTTCTGGAAGCATCTGACTTGGGATTCGCCTTAGTGCGGCGCTGGCCGCGAAGGGCCGTTGGGACCTGCACCCCACCCTTTCCAGAATCGGGTGCCAGCGATCCACCCTGTCCCGCTGCCGAGACTGGCCCCGCGCGGGTCCCGGTCACCCATCTCCTCCGGAAAACGCTACCTTAGGAAGAAGAGAAAGAAAGATTAAGCGAAGCTGTCCCTTAACACCTCCAGGCTTCTTCCAGCAAGCTAAGAGTTTTGTTTGAACTTTAGTTGTGACTGGAATGGAAAAGAGCTTCTTTTCTAACAAATCTAATTCTACCCCACCCCCCCAACACGCGCGCGCATGCGCTTGCGCCCACACACCAAAAACTGCACAAAAGAAATTTAAGAGTTTCTCTAGGAAGAATGAGAACCCTAACTTTCTGTAAGCTGCTAGTGCATTAATTTTCACTGCTGGTACTTTCGTCCAACCTTATCCTTTATGCAAAATAGACTAACAAATATTAAATCCTGTGGTTACAGTGATGGGTTTATAGAAGAGAAAGAAATAGTCCACATGAAGAGCAAATTGTCTTTCAATTTTAAGAGAGGATGGATGAAATACCAAGCAGTTAATGCTGCTTTAGTTCTAGGAAGGCCTGGCCTTCATAAGACGTTGTAGGGAAAAAGAACTCTTAGAAATATATCTAAAGTGTCTCTTGAATACGTTTGTGGCGAGAAAGAGTAAGTGGCGCTTCGTAAATATCTGTCAGGGGGAGGTTTATGTGAGCCCTCTCATCTGTAAACGTTTCAAGTGGCCCTTTTAAGTCTTTGTACAAAACCATATGAGCTGTAGAAATCCTGTTCTATTGGAAGTGTGAGTAAAAAAGAAAGTGTGCAAGGGAGAAATTGGGTGTCTGCGATTTCAGAGCTGTCTTCTGAAACCTGCAATTTTCTGCAGTTGGTTTCCCCCAACCCCCAAAGAGCCCCTGCCATATAAAAGAAAATATTATTAAACGAGCTGTGAAAAGGATATTCTGCTAAATTCCCAAAGAAAATTCCCCCTGCATTTGATAAAATTATAGTCCAGGAATAAATCCCAAGAAGCATTAACTAAAAACTCATTCACAGCATGACTTTGTTGTAAAGCCGGGAGGGGTGCTAATTTTAAAAGCTTAAGACCTTGCTGCAACAGAATTTCTTTATATTTCTCATGTTTTAAATGTCAAGTGCCAAAAAATTTCAAACTGATGAACACTTTAGGGTTTCAGATCCAAGGCACAAACCTGTCCGAATAAACCAGGCAAAAGAATATGTTTAAGCTATAGTCATCAAGACTGAGATGATTATTTCGGAAGTAGTGGAATATTTTTAGAATAACCTGCTCAGTATTACAATGAAAAACTACTTTATCTGAATTACAAATAACTGCTCCCATATGCTGGAGGAACCAATGGAATCTGGAACTATAAATATGTTTGTCAGTATCATGGCTAACAGTGCTTTCTTTTTAACATTATACGAAAATCTTTTTGCTACTGCAATGCATTACTCTTATTAGTGGTTATTTATTATTTAATGTTTTCAAACACGCACTTAAAAAACTTAGACATCTGTAGAGGTTTCTCTTTCATTTAATGCATCTGTGTTTCACACAAGTTCACATCTAATCAAATGTCTTTTGCTTGTATATATACAGATTTGTTTAGGCATAATATTATAGAAATTAGGGAGATTTGATAACCCTTAAATCATACTTGTACTTATCATAGTTCTCATGAAGTATATCAATGCATGGCCTATTTTAAAAGTATTACTGTTACAAAACTTTTATGTTTTTCCTTTAAAACATCCATCGTAAATTATATACAAAATTTTGGCAATTGCATTAAAGAGACTAGTAGCCATGTTATTAAGAGAAAATAACAGACTGTTTTATTTTAACGTGTTACTTTAAAGGGTAAGTCTTGTGAGTGTGTCCTTTTTTAAATTACTTGTATATTTTCCATTGCAAATATGGTTTTTAAAATGTAAAGCATTAAATTGCTGTGCTTTTGAAAAAGATACTTCAGCCAAACCAAAATTAAAGCAAAGCTGCAAACTTTTCTCTGCATGAGGTGCTAACTTCAAAATGTCAATTGTAAAATAACAATAGCTCAGCAAAATAAATTTAACTATTCTGCTTTTTGAAAAAAGTTACACATAAGTTGTCTGAGTCAAGGAAAAGCATCAGTATTGTATTTCTCAGTTACTTAAGTTATTTTTCTGTCATCTTGATTATAAGAAATAACCAAACAATACTATTAATACTCAGTATTTTGCAAATTTTTTTAAAAAAACATATGCACAATACTATTGCAAATTAATCATTTCCTTGGAGTCCTAATTCCTCTGTTGCACAGTAGTTGTGTGACTTGGCAAGACTTTTAACTTATTTATATTTTCCCCTGTTCTTTCTGTAATATAAAGGGATAATACCCACCTCACAAGGTGTTGGTGTGAATTTCTGATGATATGGAAGTGCTTTATAAAACTAAAGTTCTGTCAAATATAAGGGATTATGGTAACAACTGTTCTATAGTAAAAAACTAAAACAAAACACAAAATGATAGTTCCTAAAGATTCTGAGAAGATTCAGCCTGGTGACTTTGCCCAAGGCCTAATAGCTAATGAATGGTGCTGGTCCAGGCTGGAGTGCTGGTTTTTTGACCCCTAAGCCAATGGAGAGAGTGAACTAGAGGTGATTCTCAAAATTTTTGACGACCCAAATTTCATACTCTTACCAAAGGTGAAAATATGCAAATTCAAAATACCGCAACTATCCAGAATTCTCAGGGGGTATGCCCAATTAAGTAATATTCCTGTTAGTAAAAGAGTATGTAATATCTTTTTAAGATCTAAAAATAAAAACTAAAATGAATAATTAAAAAAAACAGCTTTTGAAAATATAATATAAAGTACACACTGCTCTGTTTCTTAAGGTATAAGGCATTAGATTTCAAGGGTTATCTCATTTGATTTTCAGCAACCCTATAGAGTAGGCAGAGATTATTATTGCTGCCTTCAGATGAGGAAACTGACTTTGTCCACTTCCACTTGGTTATTGGTGCCAAAATCAGGATGAGAACTTGGATCCCCTGACTGGAGAATGCATGGCACTTACAGATTATCAAGTGTTTTTTACAGTCGATGTCAAATTATTGTAGGATTCAACAATGCTGTGAATTTTTTTGTTTTAGGTGCTACTTAGGTCATTTGGCAGTTATTTATAAACTATGGTTTTTTGTTAATTCTCATGTCTGCCTTTTGTTTTCTACTTTCCTCTTCATCAGCAGATTGTCAGCCATCAACAATTTCCAGGGTTGTTGTATTCCTGTTTTAAGGGAGCCTTCTTTCCTTCTGATTGGCAGCTATTGATCTATAGTGGTAGAACAGCTTGCCAAACTTGTTATAATTTGTAAATGAAGATCTAAAATGAAAAGAAATAGGAGTAAATGAATTGGGTTTTGGGCTTGAGCTTTGTGCCATCTATTTTAGTCTCACTTGTGCTTCTGGATTCTCATCTGTATTCCATTACTATTCAAATGTGGAATATATGGTCTTATTGCAGGTAAGTTGTATGCATTTTAACAAGTAATTCAACTTTTATAGAGGGAAATGAGAATTTTAGACCATAATGCAATTCTGTACCTTTAGGATTGCTGAAATGTTATTTTGATATATAAACTCTGAAATCTGAAATCTTCTACATAATAAAGTCTCACTTTCTAAAATGCTATTTTGTTGGTCTACCAAGTTATTTATTCATATTTTAAAAATAATTATGGCTGTCATTATTACCACATAGTTCATAAAGTATTATTATTTCTGTGTTCACAATTAAGGCAATATTAGTTTCTAACAAAACTCTTACATAATTTTTACCTTGTAGTTTAAATTTTTAATGAATATGACCTCATGTGGCCCTATTTTCATTTACTTCTCATTGCCAGCTTCTATTACTACTAGAGAAAGAGCTCCTGAACCTGCTAACGATACTAAATATTTAATTATGTCCTTTTCTGGTGTATTTTATGTCAGAATTGTAGTTCGCCTAATCAAGATGGTAATCTATGGAAATAAGGATGTCAAGTCTCATATGCATTAAATTAAACATATTTGGGCTTCAGAAGATGGCTGGTCATTTTGTAGTGGAAAAGAGAAAATGAAAATATACCCCAGTCTAAATCTCTTAAATCTTCTTGCAATTGCTAATTATGAAACACACAGAATATTCTTATAAAGGCCCTGAAAATGGCATCCTATTCCTTTCCTTTCTTCATCCTTTCAAAAATATCTAAGCTTATTAAATATTAGCAAGGTTAGTAGAAATATGATATGTAAATTTAGAAATATGACTAATTGATACTACAACCTGAAAATTAAAATAAGGATAAAAATGATTGCTATTATTTCTTCTTTGATGAAAGATAAAGCGAGGTGGTAAATTTTGTTGTTGCTCACTTTTATCCATTTAACTAACACATGGAAGTAAATTAGCCAAGGGAGTTAACGTAACTCAGGAATATAGCTAACGTCCTAGCAGGTATACTTTCATGTGGCATTTTTTGCTCCAGTTCAACCTTGTGACAAGTGAAAGACTGAAGAGAAAAAAAAAAAAAAGACCCAGTCAGGTTCTCCAGGAGATTGTCATTTGGTGGCAATGATAGATGTATTCCTATTTAATTTAGATATAAGACAGACTGATATTAGTTATAACCTAATTTTATGGGATAGATTATGAGGAAAGAGTAGAAAAAGGAATTCTTACTGAGGTAGGAGATGTGTCTAGGAGGGCTTTTGGGAAAAGGTGCTGTTTGAATTGGATCTTGAAGAAAGGTGTAGTATTTCAACAAATGAATTTTGGGTAAGTATCATTCCACAGTAAGAGAACTGTGTGAGTAAATGAGATAAAATAGCTGTTTTATTGATGCTTTATGTGCTAGGTACTTTACATGCATTAACTCATTAGATTCCAAACAGTCCTGTGAAGTAAGTACCATTTTCTGAATTTACAGATAAGGAAAGTGAAGCTTGTGGAGGTCATTTGCTCAAGGTTACGTGGATGATGGATTCTAGAACAGGGAGAGAGGTCTGTCTGCCAGGCTTAAATTCAGGAGGTGGAAGTGGGTTCCGGCCTATTCAGGGAATGACTAGTGGGCCCGTATGCATGAAGCACAGAACTGAGGGAAAGTTTAGGGCAGTTTCTCAAGTTTGCTGAATCACTGGGGGCACTTGTTTAAAATAGAGATTTCCAGGCCCCTCTCCTGGAGATTCTGATCCTGTTGATGTGGAGCAGGGCCTCAAAATCTGTATAACAAGCTCCAGTTGATTCTTTTGAATAGACAAGTTGATCAGCTTGATTAACTTACGATGTAACATGGAATAAACCATTTAATTCTGAATTGGTGTTCAATTGTTTGTAGAATTGGAGAAAAAAATTTAAAAGAAGCTACACAGTTTGGACTTTGTTCTCTATTTAAGGAGGTGCCATGCAAGGTTTATGAGGCAGGGTATGAAACTACTAGATGCTTACAAAAAAAAATTGATGAAAAATTTGTAGGAAGAAAATGTGATATTTTCCTAAAATTTGTAAATGTCCTTTTTTAATTTCTTATTTTATTTTTTACTTCCAATAAGTTGCTTTTAAAACAAGGAAAGGTTAACTTATTAAAGAGGTAACTAAAGCACTTTTTATTTTGAAATGGAATCTTAAATCATTTCTAATGTTTAAGATTGTGGTGAAAGTAAGCATATATATTTTACCATGAAACTCAAAATAATGAGTATAGGGACTCCAGCTTTTTAAAATAATATTGTTTCTCTGATTTTAAAAGTAATACATTTTTTGTTGGATCTCAATGCTAATGGAAATATTTGTTTCCCTTCCTTCCTGTCTCCACTTTCTTCAAACTTCCGACCCCATTACTTCCTCCATCACGTTCAGCTGGCAAGGTTGCAGCCTACTTACCAGACGATAAACACTGTCACATGGAGACTGCCTCAGCTTCCTGCCTGAAACTGGCAAGTCACCATCCACACCAGCACCCTTCTTTGGCTCTTTCTTCTAGTTTTAGGGAAGAGGTGTCCAGGGAGGTCATATCCCTCCTTCTGTGCCTTGGATGCTATCCCCTCCTACCACCTCAAGGACCTCCTGTTACCAGAAAGGGGTCCCAATCCAGACCCCAAGAGAGTTCTTGGACCTTACCCAAGAAAGAATTCGGGGCAAGTTCATAGAGTAAATTGAACGCAAGTTTATTAAGAAAGTAAAGGAAAAAAGAAGGGCTACTCCATAGGCAAAGCAGCGGCATGGGCTGCTTGACTGAGTATACTTATAGTTATTTCTTGATTATATGCTAAACAAGGGGTGGATTATTCATGAGTTTTCTGGGAAAGGGGGAGTAGTACCCAGAACTGAGGGGTCTTCCCTTTTTTAGAATATATTAGATAACTTCCTGACATTGCCATGGCGTTTGTAAACTGTCATGATGCTGATGGGAGTGTCTTTTAGCAACTAATGCTCATTATCCTCACTGCTCACTGTACTCTAATTATGATTCGCGTATAGTGAGCAGTGAGGATGACCAGAGGTCACTTTTGTAGCCATCTTGGTTTTGGTAAGTTTTGGCTGGCTTCTTTACCGCAGCCTGTTTTATCAGCAAGGTCTTTGTGACCTGTATCTTGTGCCGACCTCCTATCTTGTCCTGTGACTAAGAATGCCTAACCTCCTGAGTAGCAGCCCAGTAGGTCTCAGCCTTATTTTACCCAGCCCCTATTCAAGATGGAGTCGCTCTGGTTCAAATGCCTCTGACACTCCTTTTGCCCATTACCCCTTTACAAACTCCTCCTCCTGTTCTTCAACTTTAGTAACATATAGACCTCTTTTAAGGAAAAACTATTGTGGATTTCCATGGATGACTTAAGTTTTTTAATTATAATTTTAAATAAATGAGGTATAATCTGTGCTTTATAGCTCCTATATAAGATGAAAACAATTTTATGAATTAATACAAATAAATTACAAAATGTAATCGCTGTTATAACACTATAAAAACACATTTAGAAATTAAAACAAAACCATAAAACCTAGGAAATTCAAATGTATATAGTTTAATGTACATTTGTACATGTAATATACAAATTCAAATGTACATAGTTTAATGTATATTTGTACATGTAATGTACAGTTAATGTAAATACAACTAAACTTCAGCTTAAAAGTATAAGCTGCATACTGCAGCTTGTTTGGCTGTGAGGAAGGTAAAATATACTATCCTGGCCATTTAAGTTTAATACACTTGAAAAACAGCAAGTGCCTTTGTGCTGCTTCTTAAAAGCAACAGATGAAGCTCCCATGTGAAAGACACCCTCCCTATACTAGAAAAATGTAACATTCTTATTCTCAAGGGCATAGAAGTGAAACCAAGAGAATTCTGTACAGACCTTGTTAAAATAACTTATCTTTTAAGCTTCCCAATTTAGTTTAGTTGCTTCTTCACAACTAACTATTCTTTGTCCAATCCAGTATATAAGTTAACTGACTCTAACTGCTTCTTTGGGTCTTCATTTCTTTATGAGGGCTCCCCTGCCATGTAAAACTTGGATTCTAGAGCAAGGAGAGAGGTCTGTCTGCCAGGCTCAAATTTGCGAGGTGGGAGTGGGTTCCAGCCTATTCAGGGAATGGCCAGTTGGCCTGTATAGATGAAGCACAGAACTGAGAGAAAATTTAGGGCAGTTCCCCAAGTTTGCTGAATCACAGGGGGCACTTGTTTGAAATAGAGATTTCCAGGCCCCTCCACTGGAGATTCTGATCCTGTTGATGTGGAGCAGGGCCTCAACATCTGTATAACAAGTTCCAGTTGCTTTTCTTTTGTTAATCTATTTTAGGTAAGTTTAATTCTCAGGCCCAGCTGGGACCCTAAGAAGATGGAGGTAGAGTTTTTCTGCCCCTGCAACAGCTACAATTCAGGTTCCTTTGAGTTCTCCATGCATATACCCATACCGGCCATGTGATGACTCATCTCCCATTACTCTTTCTCTGTTGGAACCATGCCATAATAACAATATAAATTAATACTTCCTCTAAGAAATTTGTCATGGCCCCACGTATACTACTTTGGTTTTTTCTGGATATTCCATTAGAACCTTGTATTTATTGTAATACTTATCACTATGTTATAATTGCCCATTAGAGAATCCCCAGCACCCAGCCTTTTAGATCATAAAATAACATTATATCCTTTTTTTACACGCTGCAACATGAACATTTCCCCCATGCTTTACTCTTTGAACACATTCTAGTTAAAATCATAATCATCATATTTTATATATATTTAACTTTTCCCCCATTATTTGACATTTTAAGATTGCTTTCAGCTTTTCACTTTTACAAATTTTATAAATTTGCATCCTTTCTCAGAGTAGATATCTAATAGTTGAATTACTGGGTTCTGAGGGAGGAAATTTCATGTAATGGTTATTGACTTAGGTTCATTTCTTGGTTGACTTTGTTGACTGCTAGCCATGTAACCATTAGTAAGATGCATAACTTCTCTAAAGCTTAGTTTCCTTATTTAATATAGAGAAAATATTTACTTCATAGTATGTGAATGCTCAGCATTGTATATGAATAAAGTGAGCAGAGCCAAGGCTGACTCTCAATCAATGCTAGCTGTTATTTTTGTACTTAAAAAATACTTGATATAGGTATTCATAAATAACAGGTAGATTTTACCTGTTTACACTTCCAACTTTAATAATGAGAACACTTAATTAGATTATAAAATTTTGAGTTAGAAAATGAACATGAAGTTGATTCCACAGGATTGCCACTCATTTGTGGCACTCTACAATACCCACTTGGGATAACCGTGAAAATGTTTGCAATTGCGAAACAATATGAAACCCATAAAACAATGGAGCGTATTTACATTAACACCTAGATCGCGTTGCTTAAAAGCGTCCATTACTTGCACGGATGAGGTCCTAAGGAAAGGTAAAGTGCGGTTTCCTTCACCTCGAAGGAAATCCAGGCTGACCGACAGCTGTTAGGCATTAGAAACACAGGACAAAGAGCAAACTGGATATCCAGCACTGGAAGAAAAAGGTGAGAAGCCCAGTGCATCTCCGCCTGTTTTAACAGGTTATGCTGCTCTAAGGAATTGCGTTCCGGAGAGCGTAAGCGGTGAAGTTTTAGCTATTTCTATCCTTCCAACTGAGAAGCCCTCCTGGAAGTTTCAGCCCATTGGCTGCTTTCTGTTCTCCCTGTTTCTTCTGGGAAGCTTCTCCGTCTCCCTGGCAACGCGACCTGCCACCAATTGCAGCTAAGGATTGGTGGTCACATGGCCTCTGCCCCTTCCCAAGCAGAGGCAACATGGCGGCCTTAGCAAGCTATAGCTGCGAGATTTGAATTACTCCACTCGTAGCTATTGCATTCCTGACGATGGCCTCTGTGGCTTCGTGCGATTCGCGTCCGAGCTCAGACGAGCTCCCTGGAGACCCCTCTTCACAAGAAGAAGATGAGGACTATGATTTTGAAGATCGGGTCAGCGACTCGGGTTCATATTCCTCAGCGAGTAGCGATTATGAGTAAGGTTTTCAAAGAGGGACAATTAATCCCATCCCATCAATCCAGAGAATATACACGTGGGCTGGGGGAACTGCAAGGGTGTTGGCGTGGTTGGAATCGAGTATTTGGGGTTCTATAATAAGTGGGATTTAATTGCACCACGTTCCATTGTATGGTGGTGTGAGCAGAAATGACGATGCCATTCTTTGCTACTGTAGGTTGTTTTTTGTTTGTTTTGTTTTGTTTTTTCAATGATTCTTAGATGAGGAGAATCTCCTCTTTTTGGTCATGGGCTCTGTCTAGGCCATAGGAGGATATATCTGTAACAGCGTTCAAAAAACTCTGTTTCGATCGCAGTGTCTTGATTCTTTGGTGTGACCTTTGTGGCTTAATCTCTTTAGTATTTGGAGTGGAGAGACACCCTACGCGTTTTATAAGGCAGTTGTTAAATTTATGTAGATTTTTTCTGTTATGGAAATGAATAGCTATATAACAGAAGGAACGCCCACCCATAGTCTCACCATCAAGGACAACCTCTCAGCACTTCTGGATATTTCTGCTGTATTTTCCTATGCATCTCCATGATTTTCTTGTTTTCCATTTTACGTCATAATTTAATTTTTAAAAATACAGATACCTAAAGGTTTCACTTTCTTAATAATGCCATGAAAAGGTTATTTTGATTCACAGTATTCAGTGCTACTTCATTTTTAAGAAAAATCTACCCCTTACTGCTATGGATTAAGAACTTTAGAAAAGTCAACTAGCAGTAGCTTGAAGAGAATGACTAATCGTGAAAAAGTTTTGGTGCCAAAATGTCAACTAACCCAGTAATGGACAACCATACCTGGTCAGTTTTAGGATGACATTTTATGTGTATTTAGGAACAACAGTTACAAATCATTTATATGTATGTAGGAGCAACTGTTATTTGGCAATTGTTTTTACCTATCAGTATGTAAAAGATTTTTATCATTGCCTTTAAAAGTATGGTGGGGAAACCTGTTTAATACATTCTTGAAGACTTAAACAAATTTTAAAATATCGTATTTTTTTGTAATCTGCTGTAGGCATTAAAAAAATAATTTTAAAATTCATGATTATTACACAAGGCTGCTGGAAGGAAATATGAATTACATAGAACCTTATTTGGTCTTGGTATGTGAAGCCATAGACAGTGTAAGACTCAAACTCTTGGCTTCTCCACATTTTAGAGTCGCATACTTTTAGCCCAGAAAGAATCTATGATTCATGTATAGTTGCACAGCTGAGTGTTGTCAGTGTGAGAATTCAAGACGCCTGATACCTAATGGGCCACCATGACTTTGATGGGATTAAAATAGTGAACTTTGTTTCCTAGGAAATGACCAATCTGAGGACCTTGTGATAGGAGAACTTGTCACTTAAAAGAATAAAAGTATTTCATGATTCAAAATACATGTATGTATGTTATATTTTAGCTTTTAAAAAATGATCATTAAGCTTTTCACATGTCACTAATCACGCCACATGTTCTAGTGTCTTTATCCTCCTAATAATAAAAGTATAGAAAATCCCTATCATAAGATGTTTTGCTGGTCTGTATTTCAAGTCCTACCAAGTTTCAAATTTTAAGTCTGTCCCTTCTTGATTTGTAGGACATGAGGGTTAATTTGCTGAACTTACCAGGAAGGCTTATGTTCGGTTCTTCCCTTATGGTAGATGTTTACTTCCCTAAGCTGCAGTCATCATTACAAACAGTGGCCTTCCCAACTTGTACAGAACCACTCTTTAATCAAAGGCACAGGAATGCCAACCTTAGTCTTTCTCATTAAAGCAAAGACATGAATTTCCTATTGTATTTCATGGACTACGTGAAGCTTACTAAGGAAGTTGTACTGCATATTGACTCACATAAAGTATCCTGAATTTTCAAGGTTTTAGTTAACTGCGTGTTCTTTTTAGAAGTTACTGTTTCATACATGCTTTGTACCTGAGCTGTATGTGATTGTCAATATAGAATTTAAAAGTTTATCATCTTGGAGATAAAATTACATTATGGTAAATTCTGGTAGAGTTCTTTTAATAGGTTTGTTTTAGGTTTGTTAGAGAATAAGAGTTTATATTGCTGCAGTATGTCTTAAGTTGACACATGGGCACATACCCTGGGAGGCTTCCGAGATAATACTGGTGGGTTGGTTGGGTTGAGGGAGCCATTAGCTAGTTTTAGCATTAAGATAACAGAAATCACACATTCACCTGCAACAATGCCAAGTTACCAGCTAATATGCCTAGTTCATGTTACAGAGAGTTTGTCAATGTTGTGACTTGGATTTTTAATTTTTCAAAGTGAATTTTTTGTTGTTGTTACATCAGTTTTAAAACTGGCTGATGGAGAGAAACAGGAATCATTTTAAATGAGATATTAGCTGTTAAAGCTAAGGAACTTCCACCTAAAACACAAGGATTGGCTGGAGAAGGGAGGTATGTCCTTTAAATTTTTTTCTGGGACTTTAAAAATAGCTTCATTGAAGGATAATTTATATACAAAAAACTGCACATATTTTTAATGTACAATTTGATGTTTTAACATGTATACGTCTGTCAAGAAAATGAACATATCCATCTCGCCTAAGAGTCTCCCCATGTACCTACTTAAGTCCATTTATGCCTCTCCTGATAACCATTTATCTGCTTTTTGTCACTCTATAGGAGTTTGTAGTTTCTAAAGTTTCATAAAGATGGAATTGTGCAGTATGAATGTTCTTTTTTGTCTGCCTTCTTTTATTCAGCATAATTACTTTGAGATTCATCCATGTTGTTGCCCCCATTAATAGTTCATCTCTCGGCTAGGTATGGTGGCTCATACCTGTAATCCTGCTTTTGGGAGCCAACGCAGGAGCATTGCTTGACACCAGGAGTCAGAAACCAGCCTCGGAAACATAGTGAGACCCCCATCTCTAAAATAAAAAATAAAAAAATTAGCCAGGCATGATGGTATGTGCCTATAGTCCTGCAACTTGGGAGGCTGAGGCGGGAGGATCACTTAAGCTCAGGGTTTCAAGGTTGCAGTGAGCTGTGATCACACCATTGCACCCCAGTCTGGGTGACAGCAAAATTTTGTCTGAAGAAAAAAAAAGTTCTTTTTTTTGGTACAGTGAAGCCCTATCACCATTGTACACTAAAGACCTATTCTGAGCTGGGCTCACACCTGTAATCCCAGCACTTTGGAAGGCCGAGGCGGGCAGATCACCTGAGGTCACGAGTTCGAGACCAGCCTGGCCAATATGGTGAAACCCCATCTCTACTAAAGATACAAAAAATTAGCCGGGCATGGTGGTGTCCACCTGTAATTCCAGCTACTCGGGAGGCTGAGCCAAGAGAATCACTTGAACACAGAAGGCGGAGGTTGCAGTGAGCCGAGATCGCACCATTGCATTGCAGCCTGGGTGACAAAGTGAGACACACCATCTCAAAAAAAAAAAAAAAAAAATCTGTACAGCAAAGCCCTAACACAAAATATTTTGCTGGTCTGTGATTTTTGTTCTGCCAGAGTTACATCATATCCCCAACTCAATGATGTGTAGAAATGCTGACTTTCCTCTCTTTCTTGAATTTTTAACATGGGAACATACTAGTTGTGAAGAATCAAAATATTTCATTTAGACTCATGATGCCATACTGTTAACATCCAATTTAGGATAATATTTCCTACTTTTTCTTCTGCTCTGAACCCTGACTCCTTTTTACTTTTAATTTAATACAGATTAAAAAGGCACATGGTATATAACTAGGTTTATGATGAAAAATGGTATTACCCTGCTGTCATCTCTACTTCCAGCTCAGTGTGTGAAGATAATTCATTGTCTTCCATTTCTCCTCTAAGGCTACCCATCTCATTTACTGACATCATTATCTCCTTACTCTTGTCTTCAGATCTGATGTCTCCAGTACTATTGACTTCCTTCTCTGGTTTTCTCTTCTCCATTCTCACAGGCACTGCCTTACTTAAAAGGTTGCCTCTTGCCTCTTGCCTGTTTCCCATGCACCAGTGGAGTTGCCTCCTAACTAATCTGCATGCTTCTGATTTCTCCTGTCTGTGGTCTTTCTTCCATACCACTGCCAGTTTGCTTTCTAAAACACAGTTCTAAATCATTTTTCTACTCTACTCAAAAGTTTGGTGGCCTTCCAAATAAATTCTAGGTTCCTTAGGATGATTTTTAAATTTTAGATCTGTCCCAAGTCTTTCTTGTCTCATTTCTATTGATCTCCCTGTTCATTATTGAAAATGATTATCCACTTATTCTCAAATTGACCACTTGCTTTCACACCTACACCTTTATGTACTTTGTTGTCTCTGTTTGAAATACCCTTTCTTCCTATCTCTACTTGTCAAAATCATTCAAGGTCCCACTTAAGTTCTACCTTCTCCTAGAATCTTTTCTGGTCTCTCTTAGACTATCTCTCCATCCTGTACTCTAGTCCTATAGCAGTCTTTATTCCTGAGTGTTGGCACTTGCATTTCAGCCATTTGATTCTCTGTCCCATCTGACATCTTTAAAAGTACAGTAAAGTCCTATCAGAAAATGTTTTGTTGATGTATGACTTTTGTCCTGCCAGGGTTAGATTGTATCACTAATTTAGTGATGCATAGGAATGCCCTGTTTAGCTGAGGGGGCAGGTGGTAGGAAATGTGACCCGGGGAATGAAGTCACTATTAGATGTGTTCCTGATGTAGAAATGTATTACCTGCAGTGAATGAACAGTTATGCATTTATTGACTGATCCCTTTGCCTTCTTTGACATGCTTAACAGTTATTCTAATGTTGCTTAGCAAGAAGAGCTTCAGCTCATCTGAGACTCCCTACCCCTAAGCTGCTATATCATCCAGCATACATGTTAATGATTGAAATTCATGGTGTTCCTTTAGTAAATGATCAGAAGACCATCAAGAGTGAAAATCAGATATTGTTGGTAGACAGAACACAGAAAAGAAAACACAGAAAAGCATAGGCAGGCAAGTGCTTACTGAATAAGTGCCGGATAGAATCCATATTAATTTGTCACAGTGTTTTTATTGTGTGTGGTTTTTCTCTGTTCCTAGAATTGTCCTGTTATACCTATTAGCACCACATAACTATATGTGTTGACCACTTCGGTAAAGTGCATTGTGCTTTGCCCACTAAGAAAAAAAGAAAAAAGTATACTATAACAGATTTGGAATAGTAGCAAGTGTTTATTTTCCTTAACTAAGGAAATGTGCCAGTGGGGCTGGCTGTTTTATAACTCCTTTCTTGTGGTAGTTAAGGAAATTGCTGTACTATTGCAAATGATGAAAAATGCTGGCATTAATGCAAATAAAGACCTGAGAGATTCAAATAACTATTAGAGGGGTATTAAAAGATGTAGTGTTGACCTAGATATTTTTGAATACGTCAGGAATGAGACAATTATTAGCATTATCTGAAGTTCATTTTCTTTAATATATTTATGTTACAGCTTATGCAAGTGAACTTGCTTATTTGCAAATTAACAAGTCTTTCTTTGGGAAGAAGGGCTCTACTCCTGTTTACCACATCATTTAGGGCCTTGAATACCAATTAAAATGCCCTAAAACGTTGCTGGCAGGCTATAAACATACACTTATTCTGCTTAAAGCAAAGCAGAATAAACAAAATAAGACTCATTGAAAGAAAATTGAAAAACATTTACACAATAATTATGCAGCTTGTACTATAAGGTCTTAGAAAATTTTGAAGGCGTATTTATATTAGTGCTGAAATATGACCCATGTACTACAAAGATCTGAATTAAAACTGCTAGATTTAATTCCTTCCATTAATTTTCTTTTTATTTTTGAGTAAGTTTAGATTTACACAAGAGTTCCAAAGATAGTACAGACTTCCCATAAATCCTTCACCCACTTTCCCCTGATGTTAACATCTTACACAACTATTATGCATTTGTCAAAACAAGACATGAATATTGGTCATTTCTGTTAACTAAACTCCAAACTTTATTTGGCTTTCACCACTCTTCCATTAATGTTCTTTTTCTATTCCAGGATTCAATCCAGAATATTGTATTGTCTGCTTAGTCTCCTCTGGTCTGTAACAATATCTTAGTCCTTTCCTGTTTTTCATTACCTTGATCACTTGGTTATGTAAGGTAGTGTCTGCCAGGTCTCTTCCCTGGAAAGTTACTATCTTTCTCTTTCCATACTCTGTTCTCTGGAAGAGTATAGTCACTAAGTCTATACTCAAGGGGAGGAGGGATTAAACTTCATCTCCTGGAGTGGGGATTATCTATATGTATTGATTTCTTTAATTTAGGGAAGTTGTAGTGAAAGGTTAGGTTTTTGTGGGTTTTTTGTTGTTGTTGTTGTTAACACATCCCCTTTCTTCTAATAGGGCTAGAAGAACTAGTTTGGGACAACAGTCATTAGAATTCTATTAAAATTTCTTAATACACTAATCATTTATCCTCTTTTTAAAAAATTGACACATAATAATTACACATATTTGTGGAGTATAATGTGATGTTTCAATAGACATATACATTGTATAGTGATTAAATCAGGGCATTTGGCCTATTTATCACCTCATATGTTTATCATTTCTTTGTGATGAGAACATTCAAAAATCCTCTGTTCTAGTAATTTTGAAATATACACTATAATATTGTTAACTATAGTCTCCCTACTGTGTAATAGAACACCAGAATTTATTTCTCCTATCTAACTGTAACTTTGTACCCGTCGACCAATCTCTTGATGCTTACTTAACTCGGAACTATTCCTCTGGAGTAGAAATAAAGAACCTTCCAGGAATATTGACCTGTAGGGTCCTTAAAGGCAGTGCCTCGCTTTGCTTCTTGTGTCACTATCACCTACCCTGAAACCTGGCAAACTGAGATCATTAGAGACACCTTCATTTAATGCCAGTTAGAAAAATACAGAAACACAAGAGTTATATCTAGTAAAAGCAAGAGGAAGGGAACTGATATTTATTTGGAACTTAACCATGTCAGGAACAACATTATTGTATTTTCTATTGACAAGAGTCCTGTGAGGTAGCTATAATCTATTTTCAAGAAGAGGAAAACTAAAGCAATCAGTCAATCTTAGAAAGGTTAAAATCATAATAGAACAAAATTTGAACTCAGCTCTTCATGATTTCTCAGTTCATTTGCTTTTCAGTATAAGTTGCCCTTCTGTGTGGGGGTCTCTTATTTACACTTCCCTGTCTCTACCTCTTTATCTTCCTTTTAGTTTCTTCCTCTTTTTAAAAAGTGTCTTTCTCTTCTTAAAATGATGTATATTTAGAAATCTAGACATTAAGAGAGTGGATCCCACACATCGCTAGTGAAAATATAAATTGGTATAGTCTTTTGGGTAAAGATACATATATATATATATATATATATATATATATATATATATATATATATATACATATACATAAACACACATGTGTATATTGATGGTTCCTATAACTTTGTGGTGGAAAAACAAGAACTGAACACAAAGCTTATCAGTAGGTGAATGACCAAATGTCCTACATCCTTGATATTGAATATTATGCAGCCACTAGTGATTTCTAAGCTGTATTGTTAAGTGAGAAATTATATATGTACTTTATATAGGTACATATATAATGATTCCACTTTTTCAAAACAGTGACAGAATAACCCTATATGTGTTTTTATATGATTATAAAGCATGGATTTTTTAACAGTGTTCATGTGAGAGAGAGGTAGTAAGAGAAGTATTAAGATTGTGTTCCCATGTATTACAATGAGTCTGCACATGGGTACTCACAAAAGGATGCATGAAAGTATAGTCACCAGCTAGAAATCTAGTCAACATGAATCCCTCTCTCTCTCTCTCTCCCCACCTAATCAGTCTCAAAGTTCTGGTGATTTTCAAGAGTTTCTCACATATTTTTCCTACTTTCCATGTCTTCTACTATTGCTTTATTTGTCATTTTTGCTTCAGCTACTGAAACAGCCCCCTGACTAGCCCTCCTGCCTTGAGTCTTGTCCACCTCAAATCCACCAACGATTTACTTGCCAAAGTAGACCTATCCAGGGATATCTAACACGTAAACTCTCTACTTAAAACTCTTTGTTGATGCCTTCTTACCTGCACTACAAAAGCCAAACCCCTTAGGGTGATCTAAAAAGCCTGGCAAAACTAGGGCTTGACCACTTCTGTCATTCCCCACCTTCCGCATTTACTCTGACAACTGCAGACTGCCAGTGGTTGTCCGTCTAGGCCATGGGGACTATCCTCAGGTCTTTGCTTATGCTGTTACTCCTGTTTGAAATCCTCTTCACATCTTTCCCTTCAGCTCCCCACCTCTCTCCCTCCTTCATTTATCCTTTCAAACTGGTTTCTGGGGTCTCCCTGATCTCCCCTCAACCTCCAGCTAGGCTAAGCTGGGTGACTCTCCCGTATGGCTAAGCTGGGTGACTTTCCTGTATGGCTAAGCTGGGTGACTCTCCTGTATGCCTCTATCTTGTACTTACCCTGTGTACTGTCATGAATTCTTTCTCACTTTCTCTTCTTTACTAAGCAAGGGCGGGAACTGACATTCTCGTCATTATAATTCTGGTACTTACCATAGTTCCTGGCACTGTTTAGTTGCTCCACAATTGAATGCCAAGATGCTATCCCCTTGGCCACCACGTGCATGGATCTTTGAATCATAACCAAAAGTGATTTCACATTCAAACTTTAGAGATTGAAATGAATCATCTTCATATTTAGTAAGTGGAAAAGATGTTTCTTTTATATATCTCTAATACAAATAACTTACCAGGTTAAAAGGGTGAGATAATAAGGCTGATACACTTTATTCATTGTTTAAATTGATATATATATATATTTTTTAAATTGATACATATGTTTTTAAGTAATTAATGTGCAATCATGGTATTTACACTGTAGCAATTAAAATTAAGGTAGCTTTGTTACTAAATGATTATGGTGGGGATATAGTTATTTAGACTCTCAAGAGTAGAACTGCATAGTTATTTAAATATTGATTCTGTGGGTACAGATAGGTATTGTTGAAATAAGTGATATTTGGTTGATAATCTGCAATAAGTGAGGCTTAGTGCCTATGATGATGCCACACACTGGGAACCAACAAGTCCCAAAGAAATGTTAGTTTTGATATTTTCAGCTTGTTAGGCATTTTTAAAAATGACTCATATGTAGCTGAAAATTCTGTATTAATGACCAGCCACAGACCAGGGCAGTGGTTAGTTTGAGTTGAGTAATAGAATAGTATATTTTGGGGGCTAATTTTCAAAGTGTTTAGAAAGAGACATTTGACTTTTAAGTTAAGAGAACTGGAGTTGCTAATAAACACTGCAGAAAACAGAAATGTCTTCTATCTGATTTAATGATTACAACACAAATTATACTCTTTCAGGCCGGGATATTACAGCTCATGTTTCTGAAAAGACTCTCTACATGTTAATTTTTCCACTATTACTAGTTTCACTTTAAAGAATAGCAGTTTGAAAGGTAAACTGTTCATAACATTGAACAGGGTAGAGTTTAGGTTTGTTACCATGAGTATTTTTGCTCCTTAATGCTATTTCAATCATTTTAATAGCAGTAATTTTGTTTTTTTTTTCAGTGGCATACTTCCCAGTTAAAAATATTTTTTATAATCACGATGAATTATGTAATATGTGCTTTTTTTTTTCTACTACAATTTTTCATAAAAAGGAGTTTTATGGAAATTATAGACAGTAAAGTGATCATTACTATATTAACTGTGATTATAAATGGGTTGTTTTCAGGACAGATTTTAGTTCATGGTGAAGTGAATGTTTCTTTTTTGAAAACTTATGTAAAAGTCTGTTAAAGCTGGCTTTAGCTTTCATTTTAACCTGACAGCCATCCTAAATAATTTCTATGCAAATAATAGATTTTCATGTACAATTTCCAAATGGCATGCTTGTGTGGATATAATTGCATAATCAACTGCTAATGCAAATTATCATTCAGTGAAATTGTTTAAAGTGAGCAGTAACCACACAGTGGTTGATTTAATTTTTTTCAACTCATAGATTCTATAAGGGGACCATCTCTTTTTTCATTGGTTTTCCTTTCTATTGCTATGCCTTTTTGATTCCTTCTCCCCCAACTCCTATTCAAAGCTCTACAAAAAAAGCATCCTATATGAAATAATGTTGAGGATCACAATAAATTAGAAATAGTAAGGATAATTTGAAATAATAAAGAAGTTTCACCCTTTCCCATCTTCCTGCTCCCCAGCCCCAACCCTCACCCCCATGCCAGGATGACATACCTTTCTTTTATATATTGGGCTGCTATTAAGATTATCTTTTCTCTCTTTCATAGTGATCTTGAGCCTGAATGGCTGGACAGTGTGCAGAAAAATGGAGAGCTGTTTTATTTGGAATTGAGTGAGGATGAAGAAGAAAGCCTCCTTCCTGAGACACCAACTGTGAACCATGTCAGGTTCAGTGAAAATGAGATTATCATTGAAGATGACTACAAAGAAAGAAAAAAGTATGAACCCAAACTCAAGCAGTTTACCAAAATTTTAAGAAGGAAAAGACTTTTACCCAAGCGCTGCAATAAAAAAAATAGCAATGACAATGGACCAGTATCCATTCTAAAGCATCAGTCCAATCAGAAGACAGGAGTCATTGTCCAACAGCGATACAAAGATGTGAATGTTTATGTAAACCCCAAAAAGCTAACTGTTATCAAAGCCAAAGAGCAGCTCAAGCTTCTGGAAGTGCTGGTTGGAATTATTCATCAGACCAAGTGGAGCTGGAGAAGAACCGGAAAGCAGGGTGATGGAGAGAGGCTTGTGGTTCATGGCCTGCTGCCAGGGGGATCTGCTATGAAGAGCGGTCAGGTACTCATTGGTAAGTGTTGCTGGTACACATCCATCCCTGTTTACAGAGATCTTGATTAATGATGACACCTTGCGGGAAATGTGATAAAAACAATTATATACAGTCTCCACAGATAAAGAACTGATTAATGACATTTGGTACAGTAGAGAAATGGTTACACATGGTGCACTACAAGGCACAGTGTTCTTAAAATGACCAGTTCAGTGTGTTGAGTATGTGTGTGCCTTGTTCAGGCCAAGAAATAGCTTACCTAATTTTCAAGTTTTGAATTATATAATTTTATTTCATCTTGGTTATATTTGCTGACAAGAAAAAAAACGTTGATCATAGAGTGATAATTTAGGTTTGAATGGCTATATCCAGTAACAGGATACAAAAATATATAATTTATGAATAAAAATACTTTTAAATTGTATGTTTGCACTTGAGTACACTAAGTTCTTGGAGTGGTTTTCAACTGTTTCATTTGGCATATTTTGCAACAGTGGTGTTATATATAAATTTCCTTTTAAGGGCGTGTGTCATAAAATATATCTGTCATAAAATAGCCCACCAATTTTCAAGAAAAATAAACCCACAAATTATTCTGAATATATATTAAGATGAACATTTTGTGTTGCTGATAAATTTTAAGCTGTTAGATACAATGTTTGAGTTAGTAGCAATCTAATTACTTAAAGATAAATGAGTAAAATTTGAGGATATATTATTACTAAAATTTAAAAGTAATAACAGTTCTAAAAGCTGACAGTCTTTTAAGTTTATCTAGCATAAGAGGTTTAAATGAAGAACATTTACAGATAAATTTACAAATATTTCCAACTTTAAATCTGAATTTCATTTGTTTGTTCACTGATTTGACAGTTTGTTTTTTTAGCATCTGCTAAGTGCCAGGAATACAAAGATTACTTTACTGATCCAATTATTTCTTGAAAGGAGCTATGTTTTAGTGGAAGAGACGGGTTACAGATAGGCAGGCAGCTCCTCACTGTCTGATAAGTGTCATCATAGGGGTTTACAAGGAGGATCATATGGAATCTTGTAAGAAGGGCATCTGTGGCAAAGTATGTGTTCCAGAATGATCTCAACAGGATCTGCACACTTTCTTAAAATGTAGTGTTGATACTCCTCCCATGGAGAGTTGTGCTCTGTGTCATTGAATCTGGGTGGGCCGGTGACTACAGCTTAATTGGTGCCATGTGACTTAAGAGGTTGGATCATAAAAGGTGATGCAGCTTCTGCCTGGTTATTTTGGGGATACTTGCCCTTAGAACCCAGTCACCATTGTGTGAAGAGGTCAAGACACCAGTGATCCAGCTGATAGCCCCAACTGAAGCCCTCGCCACCAGATGTGAGTGAGAAGCCTTTAAGATGACTCCAGCCCCAACCACCATCTGCCTGTAACTGCATGAGGAATCCCAAGTGAGAACCACAGCTGACCCCAGTTAACCCCAGAACCAGGAGAGATGATAAATTATTGTTGTTGTTATTTTTTTATTTTTTATTTTATTTATTTATTTATTTATTTTTGAGATGGAGTTTTGCTGTTGTCACTCAGGCTAGAGTGCAATGGCACCATCTTGGCTCACTTCAACCTCTACCTCCCGGGTTCAAGCGATTCTTCTGCCTCAGCCTCCTGAGTAGTTGGGATTACTGGCACCCACCACCATGCCTGACTAATTTTTTTGTATTTTTTAGTAGAGATGGAGTTTCACCATGTTGGTCAGGCTGGTCTTGAACTCCTGACCTCAGGTGATCCACCCGCCTCAGCCTCACAAAGTGCTGGGATTACAGGCGTGAGCCACCGTGCCTGGCCAACTGTTGTTGTTTTAAGCCTCAGAATTATTTGGATAGGCCTGGCGTGGTGGCTAACACTTGTAATCCCAGCACTTTGGGAGGCCAAGGTGGGCAGATCACTTGAGGCCAGGAGTTTGAGACCAGCCTGGCCAACATGGCAAGACCCCGTGTCTACTAAAAAATACAAAACTTAGCTGGGCCTTGTGGTGCATGCCTGTAATCTCAGCTGCTGGGGAGGCTGGGGCACGAGAATCACTTGAACCTGGGAGGCAGAGGTTGCAATGAGCCAAGATTGTACCACCGCACTCCAGCCTGGGGGAACACAGTGAGACTCTGTCTCAAAAAAAAAAAAAAAAATTGTTTGGATGACTTATTATGCAACAATAGATGACTGGAACAGGGGCTAATACATACTTACATTCTCTTGGGTCCTCTACTTTCCTTCTTGTGAAATGATAGGATAGAACTAAATATCTCTATGGTTTGTTCTTTTAGTTCTGTAAAAGGAGCCAGAATTCATTTAACGTGCCCCCCTTTCAGTGGTGTTTCCTGTGAGTTGGTAGTTAGATCTTGAGGCCTATCAAACATATTTTATAGGTGGTCTGTGTGCTTCCATCAGGAACAACATATTATCTGCTGTTTTTCTTTTTGTGATATTAACAGTTATTGATGATCATTGCCTAAATCCATTAATTCATTAAGGGACTGCAAAATGGTGATATTCCAATTCTGTCAGTCTTTCTCAATATTTCAGTTAGACTACTTTCATAAAAAGAAGCTCCCCCTCACCTCTGGTAACCTTGACATATGGTTTAGACAGGAAAGGCAGGATAAATGTCTGATTTTTCTTCATTTAACAGTTTTCACAAAAGCAAGTTGGTACCATTATTCAAGGACTTCAGAATGGTAGGTTGGGAGGGGCCTTAATTCTCTCTAGTTTGGTGCCCACATATTATAGACGAGGGGTTGAGATTGAAACTCAAAAAAAAATAACAAAATTTATTGTTAGTAAATGCATTGGCAGAAAACATTGAGTTTTGAATGTATAAAATGGCAGTATAGTAACTGCTTTTCAAAAACCAGATTCCCTTTCCCTGAAGTCAAATTTGGCTTAATTAAAAGGATCAATTTCAATTCACAATTTGATCTCATTTTTCTGTCCCATACATATGTGCCACTCCTTCTATCCATAAATCCCCACCTCTAACAAGCAAGCCTGATTTATTTTTTTCCTAACTGACCTCCAGATACACCTTGTGTGTCCATCTTTGCTTTTTAGCATTCGTGATTCCTTTTTTGGTGCATCACAAAGATTGCTTTGTATTACTAGGCTAGTGCATTCATCTTCTATTGCTGCCGTGACAAATTACCACAAACTTAGTGGTTTAAAACAATACAGATTTATCATCTTGCAATAATGTAAGCCAGAAATCTAAAATGGGTCTTCTTGTATGAAAATCAAGGTGTCCACAGGGCTACATTCCTTTTGGAGGCTCCAGGGAAGAATCCCATTCCTTGGCCAGCTTTCAGAGGCTACCTGCATTCTTTGGCTTGTGGTCCTGTCCTCCATCATCAAAGCCAGCAGCATAGCATCTTCCAGTCTCTCTCATGCTGACCCTGACACTTTTGCCTTCCTCCTATAAAGACCTTTATCTTTACCTGACGATCATTCGGATAATCCAGGACAGTCTTCCAATCTTTTAAGTTAATTACAACTGCAAAGTCCTTCTTGCTGTGTAAGGTAGCATATTCAGAGATTTCAGGGATTGAAACATAGACATCTTTGGGGGGCAATTATGCTGCCTACCTCAGTGGGGGGTTTTTTGGTAAAATATGAGTTTTTTTTCTTTTTGTGATAGTAATAATATACGTTCATTGTAGACAATTTAGAAAATACAATTAAGCAAAAAAGAAAAATTCCATATACCCAAAGACAACATTTTGTTATATATCCTCCCTTTTCCTACATTTATATACAATAATCTTTTGTCAAAAATAATTTAAGTTGTATATTCATTTTATATATAGTATAAACACAGCAGTAAACAAACTTTTGCATATATATTTTCATAGCCCTTGGTGCCTTATGTAGTAGCCCTTTAGTACACATGTTGTTTGATGTTAAGTATATACTGAGAAATTGATGGCTTTTCTCACATAATTTAACTTTACATTGAGGAACTGTGATAAACTGATCTCTTTTTAAAATATTTTATTTGGTTCTTAAATATATCTCTTAATAAAAATTTTCTCATATTTCTACCCAGGCCATTTCTTATTTAACAATGCAAATCAATCATATAATTCATTCCCTTTTAGCCTTTGAAATGGGACAGATCATATTAATGACTCCCGTGTACTTATGGAGAAAGACCTTTCCTTGGGTTTAGGATGTCCACTGCAAAGGTGCGATGTCCGGGAAGCCAGCCATCTCTGAGTCACTTCACAGAAGTGTTCAGAAACACTAGAGGAAAACAAATGTCTGGGAGAATGAGAAGTGGATATAATATTTATTTCATAGAATGGGAAAATTTTCTACTAAACATTTAAAAATATTGGGTATACTACACTTGCTTTCAGAATTTATTTTCATATATTTTTATGATGAACCATCTCCTCTTTTTAGAGGTTTGTTAGACTTGATAATTTTAGATAATACTCCCTATAACACTCAGCTACAGGAATGTATTCATTAGGATTTGGAGAAAAAAGTCATTTGGCACATCATCCAATGGAGTTTTAGTTTAAAGTAACAAATTTAAAATGTTTTTACTATTTCTGTGCCCTGAGGATAACAAACTATAGACAACAGAACTAATCATTAGGATAGTCCAAAAGTGGTTTCATTTTACATTGACACAGCTATACTGTGTCCATCATTCCTTTATTTTCTTTTAATCACTACAGCTATAAGTAATTTGATATAGTACTTTTGTTTAATCTCTTATATAGGAGAAATTAAACAGGCATCTTGTTGTGTTTTTTTTTTTCCAAGTGGACTTCAAGTTGAAAGTTTATTTTGGTCTGCAAGTTCTTACTTTTAAGAAAAGTTTGTCCAAAGTGCTGTAATAGTTAACCATCATAATGACTTGGTGCCCATGCTTGCAAAACTCCCATCTGAGTTGTATCTCTTGAGCATCTAAACCTAGTTCAAGCCTTCACAGTTGGCCTAAGAAAGTACTCCTGCTTACTCTGCACTTAACCCCATTCTCATTCAATAGAGTATCAAGGAGAGGAAGGAAAAAAAGGAGGAATAGCAGTACCTACAGTGGCAACATTTTCATCTGTTTGCCAACCCTACAGATGGCCAAGTGATGCCTAATAATGGGTTGCCTTAAAGGAAAGGAACTCTGAACTTAGGGAACACCAATCTTTTATAAAGAACAGTTATTAATAATAAGATATTGAGCACAGCATTGACCTTATTATACCATTCAGTAAACAAGCTTGACCTTTGCTCAGGATGGAAACATATCTCTGTTGTCCAAGGCTGTTCATTACACGAACGTCTTTGAAAAGACAGTCTAGAACAAAGACTCTCAATGCCTCGGCTTGTAAGATGTACAGAAACATGAGACTCATGAAGAATTATCTACCAACACGATTCTACATATACAGGTTGAGTACTCCTTCTTCAAAATACCTGGGACCAGAAGTGCTTCCAATTTTTTTTTTTTTAATATTGCATTATACTTACCTGTTGAGCATCCCAAATCTGACAATCCTAAATCCAAAATGCTCCAATGAGCATTTCCTTTGAGGGTCACGTTGGTGCTCAAAAAGTTTTGGATTTTGGAGGATTTTGGATTTTCAATTTTTGGATTTGGGATACTTAGCCTGTATACATGTTTATTATCCATCTTCCCCAAAGAATATTAAGCTCCCTGAGAGTAGAGATTTTGTCTTTGTTCAATTCTTTGTCTCTAGTGCTTAGAAGAGTGCCTGGCACACATTAAGTGCTCAGTAAATATTTCTTAAATGAATGGATGAATATGAATTATTTCATCAATTTCCTAATAATATATTTAGGAATGATGAGAAAAATAACTTTGGTATGTCTATATTTCTATTAATATAGCTCACTGGTATTTTGATAGTATCTTTAATTATGTTCTGAAAGTGAATTTCCATTTTAACACTGATATTTATTTTATTATCAGATTTGGAAAACATACACATTTCTTTTAAAGTACACGGAAAAGGAAATTTTTACCAAACATGCAGTGTATTTTGATATGGTTGGGGCCTTTGAAGCAAAGAACTGTTTGTAGACATAGATCAATAACAGAAGTGAATACTATAGCATATTGTGTTATGATATGCCACATGGATTTAATTAGAATTTCAGGTGGGTTTTTGTTTTGTTTTGTTTTAATTTTTTAATTTTTTTTATTATACTTTAAGTTTTAGGGTACATGTGCACATTGTGCAGGTTAGTTACATATGTATACATGTGCCATGCTGGTGCGCTGCACCCACTAACTCATCATCTAGCATTAGGTATATCTCCCAATGCTATCCCTCCCCCCTCCCCCCACCCCACCACAGTCCCCAGAGTGTGATGTTCCCCTTCCTGTGTCCATGTGATCTCATTCTTCAATTCCCATCTATGAGTGAGAATATGCAGTGTTTGGTTTTTTGTTCTTGCGATAGTTTACTGAGAATGATTTCCAATTTCACCCATGTCCCTACAAAGCACATGAACTCATCATTTTTTATGGCTGCATAGTATTCCATGGTGTATATGTGCCACATTTTCTTAATCCAGTCTATCATTGTTGGACATTTGGGTTGGTTCCAAGTCTTTGCCATTGTGAATAATGCCGCAATAAACATACGTGTGCATGTGTCTTTATAGCAGCATGATTTATAGTCCTTTGGGTATATACCCAGTAATGGGATGGCTGGGTCAAATGGTATTTCTAGTTCTAGATCCCTGAGGAATCGCCACACTGACTTCCACAATGGTTGAACTAGTTTACAGTCCCACCAACAGTGTAAAAGTGTTCCTATTTCTCCACATCCTGTCCAGCACCTGTTGTTTCCCGGCTTTTTAATGATTGCCATTCTAACTGGTGTGAGATGGTATCTCATTGTGGTTTTGATTTGCATTTCTCTGATGGCCAGTGATGAGCATTTTTTCATGTGTTTTTTGGCTGCATAAATGTCATCTTTTGAGAAGTGTCTGTTCATGTCCTTCTCCCACTTTTTGATGGGGTTGTTTGTTTTTTTCTTGTAAATTTGTTTGAGTTCATTGTAGATTCTGGATATTAGCCCTTTGTCAGATGAGTAGGTTGCAAAAATTTTCTCCCATTTTGTAGGTTGCCTGTTCACTCTGATGGTAGTTTCTTTTGCTGTGCAGAAGCTCTTTAGTTTAATTAGATCCCATTTGTCAATTTTGTCTTTTGTTGCCATTGCTTTTGGTGTTTTAGTCATGAAGTCCTTACCCGTGCCTATGTCTTGAATGGTAATGCCTAGGTTTTCTTCTAGGGTTTTTATGGTTTTAGGTCTAAGGTTTAAGGCTTTAATCCATCTTGAATTGATTTTTGTATAAGGTGTAAGGAAGGGATCCAGTTTCAGCTTTCTACATATGGCTAGCCAGTTATCCCAGCACCATTTATTAAATAGGGAATCCTTTCCCCATTGCTTGTTTTTCTCAGGTTTGTCAAAGATCTGATAGTTGTAGATAAGCGGCGTTATTTCTGAGGGCTCTGTTCTGTTCCATTGATCTATATCTCTGTTTTGGTACCAGTACCATGCTGTTTTGGTTACTGTAGCCTTGTAGTATAGTTTGAAGTCAGGTAGGGTGATGCCTACAGCTTTGTTCTTTTGGCTTAGGATTGCCTTGGCGATGCGGGCTCTTTTTTGGTTCCATATGAACCTTAAAGTAGTTTTTTCCAATTCTGTGAAGAAAGTCATTGGTAGCTTTATGGGGATGGCATTGAATCTGTAAATTACCTTGGGCAGTATGGCCATTTTCACGATATTGATTCTTCCTACACATGAGCATGGAATGTTCTTCCATTTGTTTGTATCCTCTTTTATTTCCTTGAGCAGTGGTTTGTAGTTCTCCTTGAAGAGGTCCTTCACATCCCTTGTAAGTTGGATCCCTAGGTATTTTATTCTCTTTGAAGCAATTGTGAATGGGAGTTCACTCATGATTTGGCTCTCTGTTTGTCTGTTATTGGTGTATAAGAATGCTTGTGATTTTTGTACATTGATTTTGTATCCTGAGACTTTGCTGAAGTTGCTTATCAGCTTAAGGAGATTTTGGGCTGAGACAATGGGGTTTTCTAGATATACAATCATGTCGTCTGCAAACAGGGACAATTTGACTTCCTCTTTTCCTAATTGAATACCCTTTATTTCCTTCTCCTGCCTAATTGCCCTGGCCAGAACTTCCAACACTATGTTGAATAGGAGTGGTGAGAGACGGCATCCCTGTCTTGTGCCAGTTTTCAAAGGGAATGCTTCCAGTTTTTGCCCATTCAGTATGATATTGGCTGTGGGTTTTGTCATAGATAGCTCTTATTATTTTGAAATACGTCCCATCAATACCTAATTTATTGAGAGTTTTTAGCATGAAGGGTTGTTGAATTTTGTCAAAGGCTTTTTCTGCATCTATTGAGATAATCATGTGGTTTTTGTCTTTGGCTCTGTTTATATGCTGGATTACATTTATTGATTTGCATATATTGAACCAGCCTTGCATCCCAGGGATGAAGCCCACTTGATCATGGTGGATAAGCTTTTTGATGTGCTGCTGGATTCGTTTTGCCAGTATTTTATTGAGGATTTTTGCATCAATGTTCATCAAGGATATTGGTCTAAAATTCTCTTTTTTGGTTGTGTCTCTGCCCGGCTTTGGTATCAGAATGATGCTGGCCTCATAAAATGAGTTAGGAAGGATTCCCTCTTTTTCTATTGATTGGAATAGTTTCAGAAGGAATGGTACCAGTTCCTCCTTGTACCTCTGGTAGAATTCGGCTGTGAATCCATCTGGTCCTGGACTCTTTTTGGTTGGTAAACTATTGATTATTGCCACAATTTCAGCTCCTGTTATTGGTCTATTCAGAGATTCAACTTCTTCCTGGTTTAGTCTTGGGAGAGTGTATATGTCGAGGAATTTATCCATTTCTTCTAGATTTTCTAGTTTATTTGCGTAGAGGTGTTTGTAGTATTCTCTGATGGTAGTTTGTATTTCTGTGGAATCGGTGGTGATATCTCCTTTATCATTTTTTATTGTGTCTATTTGATTCTTCTCTCTTTTTTTCTTTATTAGTCTTGCTAGTGGTCTATCAATTTTGTTGATCCTTTCAAAAAACCAGCTCCTGGATTCATTAATTTTTTGAAGGGTTTTTTGTGTCTCTATTTCCTTCAGTTCTGCTCTGATTTTAGTTATTTCTTGACTTCTGCTAGCTTTTGAATGTGTTTGCTCTTGCTTTTCTAGTTCTTTTAATTGTGATGTTAGGGTGTCAATTTTGGATCTTTCCTGCTTTCTCTTGTGGGCATTTAGTGCTATAAATTTCCCTCTACACACTGCTTTGAATGCGTCCCAGAGATTCTGGTATGTTGTGTCTTTGTTCTCGTTGGTTTCAAAGAACATCTTTATTTCTGCCTTCATTTCGTTATGTATCCAGTAGTCATTCAGGAGCAGGTTGTTCAGTTTCCATGTAGTTGAGCAGTTTTGAGTGAGATTCTTAATCCTGAGTTGTAGTTTGATTGCACTGTGGTCTGAGAGATAGTTTGTTATAATTTCTGTCCTTTTACATTTGCTGAGGAGAGCTTTACTTCCAACTATGTGGTCAATTTTGGAATAGGTGTGGTGTGGTGCTGAAAAAAATGTATATTCTGTTGATTTGGGGTGGAGAGTTCTGTAGATGTCTATTAGGTCCACTTGGTGCAGAGCTGAGTTCAATTCCTGGGTATCCTTGTTGACGTTCTGTCTCGTTGATCTGTCTAATGTTGACAGTGGGGTGTTAAAGTCTCCCATTATTAATGTGTGGGAGTCTAAGTCTCTTTGTAGGTCACTCAGGACTTGCTTTATGAATCTGGGTGCTCCCGTGTTGGGTGCATATATATTTAGGATAGTTAGCTCTTCTTGTTGAATTGATCCCTTTACCATTATGTAATGGCCTTCTTTGTCTCTTTTGATCTTTGTTGGTTTAAAGTCTGTTTTATCAGAGACTAGGATTGAAACCCCTGCCTTTTTTTGTTTTCCATTTGCTTGGTAGATCTTCCTCCATCCTTTTATTTTGAGCCTATGTGTGTCTCTGCACGTGAGATGGGTTTCCTGAATACAGCACACTGATGGGTCTTGACTCTTTATCCAATTTGCCAGTCTGTGTCTTTTAACTGGAGCATTTAGTCCATTTACATTTAAAGTTAATATTGTTATGTGTGAATTTGATCCTGTCATTATGATGTTAGCTGGTGATTTTGCTCGTTAGTTGATGCAGTTTCTTCGTAGTCTCAATGGTCTTTACATTTTGGCATGATTTTGCAGCGGCCGGTACCGGTTGTTCCTTTCCATGTTTAGTGCTTCCTTCAGGAGCTCTTTTAGGGCAGGCCTGGTGGTGACAAAATCTCTCAGCATTTGCTTATCTGTAAAGTATTTTATTTCTCCTTTGCTTATGAAGCTTAGTTTGGCTGGATATGAAATTCTGGGTTGAAAATTCTTTTCTTTAAGAATGTTGAATATTGGCCCCCACTCTCTTCTGGCTCGTAGGGTTTCTGCCGAGAGACCCGCTGTTAGTCTGATGGGCTTCCCTTTGAGGGTAACCCGACCTTTCTCTCTGGCTGCCCTTAACATTTTTTCCTTCATTTCAACTTTGGTGAATCTGACAATTATGTGTCTTGGAGTTGCTCTTCTCGAGGAGTATCTTTGTGGCCTTCTCTGTATTTCCTGAATCTGAACGTTGGCCTGCCTTGCTAGATTGGGGAAGTTCTCCTGGATAATATCCTGCAGAGTGTTTTCCAACTTGGTTCCATTCTCCCCATCACTTTCAGGTACACCAATCAGACGTAGATTTGGTCTTTTCACATAGTCCCATATTTCTTGGAGGCTTTGCTCATTTCTTTTTATTCTTTTTTCTCTAAACTTCCCTTCTCGCTTCATTTCATTCATTTCATCTTCCATTGCTGATACCCTTTCTTCCAGTTGATTGCATCGGCTCCTGAGGCTTCTGCATTCTTCACGTAGTTCTCGAGCCTTGGTTTTTAGCTCCATCAACTCCTTTAAGCACTTCTCTATACTGGTTATTCTAGTTATACATTCATCTAAATTTTTTTCAAAGTTTTCAACTTCTTTGCCTTTGGTTTGAATGTCCTCTCGTAGCTCAGAGTAATTTCATCGTCTGAAGCCTTCTTCTCTCAGCTCGTCAAAGTCATTCTCCATCCAGCTTTGTTCCGTTGCTGGTGAGGAACTGCGTTCCGTTGGAGGAGGAGAGGTGCTCTGCGTTTTAGAGTTTCTAGTTTTTCTGTTCTGTTTTTTCCCCATCTTTGTGGTTTTATCTACTTTTGGTCTTTGATGATGGTGATGTACAGATGGGTTTTTGGTGTGGATGTCCTTTCTGTTTGTTAGTTTTCCTTCTAACAGACTGTACCCTCAGCTGCAGGTCTGTTGGAATACCCTGCCGTGTGAGGTGTCAGTGTTCCCCTGCTGGGGGGTGCCTCCCAGTTAGGCTGCTCGGGGGTCAGGGGTCAGGGACCCACTTGAGGAGGCAGTCTGCCCATTCTCAGATCTCCAGCTGCGTGCTGGGAGAACCACTGCTCTCTTCAAAGCTGTCAGACAGGGACATTTAAGTCTGCAGAGGTTACTGCTGTCTTTTTGTTTGTCTGTGCCCTGCCCCCAGAGGTGGAGCCTACAGAGGCAGGCAGGCCTCCTTGAGCTGTGGTGGGCTCCACCCAGTTGGAGCTTCCTGGCTGCTATGTTTACCTAAGCAAGCCTGGGCAATGGGGGGCGCCCCTCCCCCAGCCTCGCTGCCGCCTTGCAGTTTGATCTCAGACTGCTGTGCTAGCAATCAGCGAGACTCCGTGGGCGTAGGACCCTCCGAGCCAGGTGCGGGATATAATCTCGTGGTGCGCCGTTTTTTAAACCGGTCCGAAAAGCGCAATATTCGGGTGGGAGTGACCCGATTTTCCAGGTGCGTCCGTCACCCCTTTCTTTGACTCGGAAAGGGAACTCCCTGACCCCTTGCGCTTCCCAAGTGAGGCAATGCCTCGCCCTGCTTTGGCTTGCACACGGTGTGCGCACCCACTGACCTACGCCCACTGTCTGGTACTCCCTAGTGAGATGAACCCGGTACCTCAGATGGAAATGCAGAAATCACCTGTCTTCTGCGTCGCTCACACTGGGAGCTGTAGACGGGAGCTGTTCCTATTTGGCCATCTTGGCTCCTCTGTTTTGTTTTTACTGTGGGTCTAAGTGGTTAGATTCAGTTTTGTCAAGTACAGTATTTGGTTCATGCTAACAAATTTTCCATTTGTTCTTTGGGTTTACATAATTCTCCCAATTGTATCAAGAATAAAAATAGTTATTTTTTAAAATATTCATAGGTTGTATTATTTATGGTGCAATAATGGGCAGTATTATAGATTAAGAAGAGTAAAGTTAGGAGAGTAGCCCTGCCACCAATGAGCTGTATAAACCTGGACAAGTTCCTGCTTGTCTGCACCAGATTTCTCACTGTACTTTGAGGATGTCAGAGTAGCTGTTTAATGTTCCAATTCTAGACCTCTATGGTTTTTAGATATTCATAAAACTATCTTTTATTGTTATTCTGGTTTCAGGTGATGTCCTTGTTGCTGTGAATGATGTCGATGTTACTACTGAAAACATCGAGAGAGTTCTGTCTTGCATTCCTGGACCTATGCAGGTATGGACATTCTTTTTCTATATTTTATGATGTTACATAAAATAAATATATAAATATATCGTGCACTATTTTCCTTTTTAAGCGTCTGAAAAGTATCATGTATAATGGATGAGTTACACTGATACTTGCCTATTTAAGAAAATTTAGCTCTTGCTAATATTATTAGCTTCTGGAGATTATTCTAAAAAGAGAGAAAAATATCTACAAGTAAAATTCTACATAAAGCAGTAACAGCAACAGTAATGAAAACATACATAATTGCAAACTTGCCATTATAACTACCATATATGCTTGTGACAATCTGGTTCCTAGAAGAGTCATTTTAAATAGTCAGGGAGTTTTCTGTTCTCTGACTTACTAAGATCACTGTTGCTATAATGTTTTTTTTTCCAATGTGATTTTATTTTAAAAACAAATCATACAAGTTTCTTGATTTTTTTTGTTATTTAATTAAGCTTTTCTCCTGGACTTTTGTTTGGCTACTTAAGGAATTATTTTTCAATCCTTGTAGATAGAAATAAATTTATTTTATAAAAAGTAATTTTGATACCCTAAACATTGACATTGTGTATCGTAGATGATGTTTTTCAGTTATTAGGGGTATTTTGCAAGTGCTATACCTTTTGGTAACAGAGTATACCATGAATACTCTGTTCTAGATAGCATCAGGAATTAGCATTCTCTTTTTGGGGGGATAGGGAAGATTATATGCTTTATGTGGGTTAGAGCAGGGGTCCCCAAACCCTGGGCCACGGACTGGTAGTGGTTCGTGGCCTGTTAGGAACTGGACTCCACAGCAGGAAGTGAGCAGTGGGCAAGCGAGCAAAGCTTCATCTGTATTTACAGCTGCTCCCCATCGCTCACATTAGTGTCTGAGCTCCACCTCCTGTTAGATCAGGGGTGGCATTAGATTCTCCTAGGAGCACGAACCCTATTGTGATCTGTGCATGAAAGGAAGGGATCTAGGTTGTATGCTCCTTATGAGAATCTAATGCCTGATGATTTGTCACTGTCTCCCATCACCCCCAGATGGGACCATCTAGTTGCAGGAAAACAGATTCAGGGTTCCCACTGATTCTACATTATGGTGAGTTGTATAATTATTTCATTATATATTACAATGTATTATAATAATAATAGAAATAAAGTGCACAATAAATGTAATGTGCTTGAATCATCCTGAAACCGTCCCCCAACCCTGGTCTGTGGAAAAATCGTCTTGCATGAAACCAGGCCCTGGTGCCAAAAAGTCTGGAGACTGGTGGGACAGAGGACCCATCAGGCAGTGAGAGGATGAAGTCGTTTTTGGATTGGTCAGGTTGAAGAATAGAATCCCTGATAAATCAGAATCTCAGCTGCATCTGATTTGAGATTCTGAAATAATAAGGCACATGATGAAATTCCTTATTTTCTGGGAAACAAGGTTTCCCTAATGCCCATTTATTTGTTTTAAACATACTTTGTATGCACATGTATGTGTGCGCATGCACACACACACACAGATGCTCTGTAAATTTAGCTATCTTTGGAAATGTAAAATGAAAGTGCTGGAATAACTATGGTAGCTGAGACCAGCAATGCCTAGGAATGGATAGCGAGATGGAGATGGAGATGGGGTGGTGTTTGAAATAGTAACAATCAGGGGGACATCAGCCAGCCATGGTGCTAGAGTAGGTTGTACTGTTACCCACTTTAGTCACTAGATGTGGGGAGGTCCAACAGAGGGTACTAGGGTACTTCAGGGTGCTCAGACAGCAGCTACTTATTGATTAATAGTGAAGAATTGCAGTATTTTGACAAGTGAGTCAGCTTCCCCCAAGTGGAGTAGCTATGTATTATCCTGAGTGAGGGATCCCCTTTTCTTGCCTATGTTGGTTGCAGGTGTGCTTCCAGTATTGCCAGAGTTCAATCATGTCTATTCTTTCTTCAAAAATATGAAAAGTTATGTTTACAGCAGAATCACATTATACTTATATTTAATTAACCTTTGCAAATTCAACTGTGCACACTTAGCAGAAGAAAAAGGGAGAGAAAGAAATTAGGATTTAATATTTTGGACCAGTTCCATCCACAATTAATCCATCCTTGTTAAACATGCAAGAGGAGTCAAGTATACATTTATTGTATGCACGATTTCTATTAGTATGAAATAATTATACAACTCACCATAATGTAGAATCAGTGGGAGCCCTGAGCTTGTATTCCTGCAACTAGATGGTCCCATCTGGGGGTGACAGGAGACAGTGACAGATTATCATGCATTAGATTATCATAAGGAGTGCACAACCTAGATCCCCCACATGCACAGTTCACAACAGGTTTTGTGTTCCTGGGAGAATCTAATGTCACCACTGATCTGACAGGAGGTAGAGCTCAGGCAATAATGTGAGTGATGGGGAGTGGCTATAAATATGAATGAAGCTTCGCTCACTGGCCACTCACCTCCTGCTATGCCACCTGGTTCCTAATGGTTCTGGTACCTGTCCATGGCCTGTAAGAAGATGCCCTTATCCTTAGGAGATACCTGCTGAAGTACTTAGGGACAATGTGTTAAAATACCTGCAAATAATTTGCAGGTTCAGCCAAGAAACTTAAAAAATACATATAGAGAAGAGAGGAGTATGGAAGGAAAGGAAAGGAAGACCAGAGAGAAGAGACAAAATGAAGCAAATGTGACAAAATGTGAGCAATAGTGCCATTAGGTGTGGGATTATGGGCAATCATTGTTCTCTTCTTACAACTTTTCTGTAGTTTTAAAATTTCTAAAATAAAATGTTGATTTAAAGAAGAGGTTTTCGAAATTTTAAATAACAAGAACAAAGGTGCAAATACCCATCTAATTGTTGACTTTTGTGACCCTGATCCGTTTCTGCAGCTCTGTGCTCTCATTCATTTAACAGGTACATAATCATGCTTGTAGTACATCGTCTCTTCCCGTCTTTATCCGGGAGCTTGGGTCCAAATTTTGCAGATGACGAAGACTGATTTCATTTAGTACTGGGCCATAGCTGGCTTTTTTAGAGCTTTGGAGGAACCTAACTCCTTTTCTAGGAGAACAGCCTGAAGATTATTAGTCTTGGACTCTTCTTTCTCAGGTAGTTCTTAGGCCTAAAGGAGGGGGCAAAGGCTTCTTAAAGGAAATGATTCTTGAGTGGAGTGTTTTAACTTTTATTATTTCCTTGTTACACAGAAATGATACATATACTGTGGAAAAATTAGAAAACAAACTAGTAAAATTTTTTAAATATTTGTAAATCTATTCTCAGAACCCAGAAGTAACCATTTATATCAACATTTTAAAGTGCAGGACTTACATGCAAATCAAATTTGCATTTTAGGAATATATCACTCTGGATGGGGGAGGCATATGCAAGACAGGAGGTCAGGAAACCAGGTGGTTGGGTTTGCAGTAGTCCAGAAGAGAGATGATAAAGGCCTGAGCCTTTATTGACCGGGGATGGAGGAGGAGATTAGATTTAAGATAGAGAGGAAGGAAAGAGGACAATATTTTCTACAGGAGAGAGAGAAGTCCAAGAAGCCTTCCAAGTTTTGTCTTGAGTCACTCAGTGAGGTGGCCCAAGAAGAGAAGAGGATGGAGGAGAGATAATCTGCTGAGCCAGTCAGACTCGATTCCCTCAGAATTTTGACTAAGGAGTATTGAAATCATCTGCCAGCTGTTAGCCAACAGGGAAAGGACAACACATGCAGAGAGCAGTGTAGATGATGGGAGAGACGGTGCAGACTGAAGCAGAGGTGACAGACTGGTCAGCTTCCACAGCTGCTGCAGATTCTGACAGCCTCCCCAGGTCCCATCTGTGAAGAGGATGGTAGCTAAAGGGGAATCAGAGGATTTCTTTGTTTGGTAGATGATTTCTTTGTTTGGAAGAGACATTGCTTTTTAAATAGGATGGGCTAAAGACTGAAGTAGAAAGAAAAGACAAAGCAACAAGACTTTGGAAGTGATGAGTCATAGAGAGTGCGTCCTTGGGTCTGAGGAAAGGCTGGGCAAACCGCACAAAGAAGAGGGACATAGGACACGAAGGATCCTGAACCTTGTACCAGGTTAAAGTCTCACCGAGTAATAAGAGAAAACCCTTTATAAGAAGCTTCATGTAAACTAACTTATGTTAAGTATCATTTAATAAAAGTTTTTCCCTATAAAACATATAATATCCCTAATATTTATGTATATCAACCTATTTTTTAAAATAGCACTTAACTCTTAATTTGGTTATCTGTCTCACCCTTTACCATTTTATCAAGGCAACCAGATTTCCTGACATTTGTAGCTACTTAACATGTAAGCTTTTAAAAATGTCTTTTTAAAGTATAATTTTATTTGTATTATGGAGCCAACTTTACTTAAATCAGAAGAATAGTGGCTGAAATAGTTCCCTAAGGAATTTTAATGGATGGTTCGGTGGTGTGTGTTTTTGTTTGAGTTTTTGTTGTGGTGAGACAAAAAGGTCCTTGCACCACAGAAAATAAATGATGTTGTTTGCCAAGTATAACACTAGTTTTCAAGTATGTTGTTTTTCACCAAGCATAGCAAACCAATCTTAAATTTGAGGTTGTTGCTGCTGCCTGAAGAAAATTGGTGAATTTTTGAGTCTATTTTTGGTAGACTTAAAAATTTCCCTTTTTTTATTTTTGGTAGGTTGCACCCTACCTCTCCACCCATAAGAATCTCAGCTGGGAAAGATGCCTTCCTTGTTCTGAGATGCGTTTCTTTCTCTGAGGACCCGCTTTCTTGTCACCACTTCTTATGCACAACTCTCATAGACACTCCAGCTTCATCTCTGTGACACCTGCTTCCCTAGGATGTGACTCATCTCATGCTCCCTCTGATTTGATTTCTCCCCTTCTGTACCGCTCACACATCTCCACTCAGAGCTCCTTCCTAAAGCCCAATGCCAGGGGACAATCTTCAGAGCTCCCATCTATCTGTCACAAAGTCTATACTCAGGAATTCCCCAAAGAGTTCTCAAATTTCCAGGGAACACCACCAAAGTCTTCCATATACTTTCTTTTGGGTACTCCTAAATCCTCATTCTCAGATAAAGGAATTTGGGGTAGATACCCAGTAGAGGGGTTGCTGGATCTAATAATAGATCTGCTTTTAGTTCTTTTAGAAGTCTTCATACTGTTTTCCATAGAGGTTGTACTAATTTACATTTCCACCAGCAGGGCATAAGCGTTCCCTTTTCACCACGTCTGCTCCATCTATTGTTTTTTGACTTTTTAATAATGTCCATTCTGGTTGGAGTAAGGTGGTAGGTACCTCATTTTATTTTAACTTGCATTTCCCTGATGATTAGTCATGTTGAGCATTTTTTCATGTTTGTTGACCATTTGTATATCTTCTTTTGACAAATGTCTGTTCAAGTCATTTGCCCACTTTTTAATGGGATTACTTTTTTCTTGCTGATTTGAGTTCTTTAGAGATTCTGAATATTAGTTTTTTTGTCAGATGCGTAGTTTGCAACTATTTTCTCCCATCCTGTAGGTTGTTTACTCTGTTGATTATTTATTTTGCTGTGCAAAAGCTTTTTAGTTTAATTGGGTCCCATTTATTTATTTTCGTTTTTGTTGCATTTGCTTTTGGAGTCTTAGTCATAAATTCTTTGCCTATGCCAGTATCCAAAGAGTACATTTTCTTCTGGAATTGTTATGGTTTCAGGTCTTAGATTTAAGTCTTTAATCCATCTTAAGTTAATTTTTGTGTACGGTGAGAGACAGAGTTTCATTCTTCTATGTGTGGCTATCCAATTTTGGTACTTCTTTGAAATGAACGAGTTATCTTTGACCAATTGGTATCTAGACAAATATTTCCTTTTCCAAGGATAGGTAATTTTAATACTTCATCCCTAAGTACTTTGAAATGTATCTCCTAAGAATAAGGGCATCCTCTTACACCAGGGGTCCCCAACCCCCAGGCCACAGACCAGTACCAGAACCATTAGGTAATTGAGAAATGGAGGCTACCTTTCCATACCTGTGGAAAATGGCCACATTCTGGACTCTTACCAATCTTGACATCAGGCCATGAAATTAAAACTCTCTTGATAAAATTGATAATCTTCTTAGAGCCATGTTGGTCTAAGATCCAGCATGCTGATAGCGTTTACTTTCCTTGGCCTTTGTTTTAAAGAACCAGAAAGAATGTCTGAGAGAAGAATATTTGAAATACCACCTTATTTGAAAGGAGAGTTAACTTTGGTTGTGTGAAGTCACTCTTAATGCTGAATGTCTTCCTTCTATCTTCCCAGATAAGCCAGTGCTATCGGCATTGATATTGTGGTGTTATTCTTTTTGCACTATCAGATCATACTAATTTCTGGTTTTTGATGGCCTTTCTTATTTTTATAGTCAACAATTTAGACTGCAATGATTATGTTTAATTAAATGAATTTTATACAGAACATTATAATTCTTATTCAATAAATATTTGTGGTAATATGTATCAGACACTCTCCTAGGAGCCGAAGATACAAATATAAATAGAATACGTAGTCCCAGCCATCAGGAGCACTCACTCTAGGATGATTTATATATACTGTACATACCTGGGTGTATGTACATGCACAGATCCTTCATTGTGAAAACTGCAGCTGATTTTCCCTTGTCGAAAAGTCAACACATTGTTTTAATTTTTAAAGGTGAAACTGACATTTGAAAATGCATATGATGTGAAAAGGGAGACGTCCCATCCAAGACAGAAAAAGACACAGTCCAACACAAGTGATTTAGTCAAGCTTCTCTGGGGAGAAGAGGTTGAAGGTATCCAGCAGAGTGGCCTAAACACTCCTCATATCATTATGTATCTCACACTACAGCTCGACTCAGAAACCTCAAAGGAAGAGGTGAGTGTCCTCAAAAGTCCAAAGGAAATAAGTTTAGTCAAAAGCCCAAAGGAAAAAGTAAGGACCTTTTATCGTATTCCCAGTGAATAGTGAGTATATTTGATTTAAGCAAGAGACAAAAATGAATTAACTGTTTTTCTTTAAAATTGTGTATCTAATACTCTATTATAGATATGAATATTTCATACCACAAATGTTTTTAAAATGAAAACAAATTATTCAGTTATTTCTGTAGGAAAAGAAAAAAGAGGAAGGTATCGTTGCAATATCTTTTAACTTAGAAGCTAAGGTCTTTTTAGCTTTTTTTGATATGTTTCCTTGAATTATTACTTATACATAATAAAATTCAACAATTTTAAGTGTACAATCTGATGAGTTTTGACAAATATATTACACTTTTATAACCAGTATCACAATCATGATATGGGACATTTTTATCACCTCAAAAAATTTCCTCTGTGCTCTGTTACAATCAATCCCCTCCTGCTATTAATAGCTTTTAATGCAGGGGGATGTAGCATTAACTTTCTTCCATAGGTTGTAAATAGTTTTTATGTTTTACATATTATTTTTTAAATTCATTTTCAATGTTTACTGAATACGTACTTTTTGTCTAGCATAATATCAGATATTTGGTATTTTTATTTGCAGGTAAAGGACATAATCCTAGTAAAGATAAGTAAAATGTTTAAGTTCACATAGCTAGTAACTGACAATTTCTACTTAAGCTGAAGTGTTTCCAAATTCTATGCCCTTTCTTTGATACCAGGTTACCTTTCAACCTCAATGTTTTGAGGCTGTTAATTGTTTTGTTCAAGTTTTATCTTTTATTGGTTTCTTGTCTGCTTTGCCTATTCATAATTAAGAAAGATATAGAAATCTCCCCCTCTGATGAGGATTTGTCCATTTTTCCCTCCAGTTCTAAATATTTATGCTTTATATATTTTGAGACAATTTTGTTAGGTGCATTAATGTTTAGAATTATTAAATCTTCCTGGAGAAAACTAAACTTTTTGACATCATGATATGATCCTCTCCACCCTAGTTTGTTTCTGTCTTAAAGTCCTTTTTTAACATTAATGTTTTAAAAATAATATTTAATATCATAGAGCTTTATTTTATAAGTATTTGAATTTTTTTTCTTTCTTTTTCTCAGTCCGTGTCTTTATGTATTTGACATATCTTTTACACGCAGCCTGTTTCCAATCTGGCAGTCTCTGTCTTCTAACAGACAAACTCAGTGAGTCCATTTATAGAGATTACTGATATATTTGAATTCATGTCTGCTATCTTCTTTAAAAATTTCTACTGGAACTGCTTTTTCTGTGATATTTTTCTTACCTATTTTTCGTTGCTTGTATCATTATTCTTGCTATATACTCTTTCTTTTTTTTAAATGATTACACTTAAAATTTAACATGATATTTGTCTTAACAGATACTAAAGTGAAACACTATCTTAACCCCTTTTCAAATAATTCAAAGCCCTTAATACACCTTAGTTTCAGTTACCCTTCCTTTACTCATGTGCTATTGTCATCAATATTTTAGTGCTATCTCTTTTCTCCATCATCTATAATTATACTACTACTACTTATTATTATTACATTTTATACACCAAAAAATTTATAAATTAAGTATATATTATACAATATATAAATGATATAAATATAATTATATATTGCATATATTTATATGTTTGTTTTTAATATAAATATTATGTATTTCATACAGCTGTACCTAGTTTAAATTTACAATTGTGCCTCACTTTTTCTTTACTCATCATCCTCTTACATCGGAAACTGTCTTTATTGGATCATTCTTTTCTTCCTAAAACATATTTTAAATATTTCTTTTTAGTGAAAGTGTGTGGGTGATCAATTCTTTTTGTTGTTATTTATCTGATGATGTCTTCTTTTACCTCTTCCTGAAAGGTAGCTTGATAATTCTAGATTGTATTCATCTGGGTAGGCTACTTGCTATAACAAACAATCCTAATGTCTCAGTGGCTTAACATGATGAAAGTTTAGATCTCATTTCATTTAACTGTTCCTGGTCATGTGGCTCAGTGACTCCAGCCTTTCTTCTAGTGTTCCTATTATTCCCAAGGGCTTAGGAGTCCTCTGTTAGATCCTTTGCATCTAGCTGCCAATGAGAGAAGAGAGAAGGCAGGCAGTATCACATGGGACATTTTGGAGACCTGACTTGAAAGAAGTATCATCATTTCTGCTCATGTTCCACTGGGTAGAATTAGTCACATGGTCTATCCATATGCAAGGAAGTAAGAAATGTAGCCTTCCTGTGTGGCCAGGAAGAAGATCAAGTGAATACGTGGGATTGCTTGTGCCACCTAAGTAGATAGTTATTTTCTCTAATCTATTTGAAGATAGTATCCCTTTGTCTTTTGACCTCTATTATTGCTGTTAAGAAGTCTACTGTCAGTCTATCATTCCTTTGTAAGGAATATGCCTTTTCTAGTGTTTGTTCAGCTTTTAGTATTCTGTGCCCAAACTGTTGTTTAATCTCTCCATTGTGTTTTCTATTTAAACAATTATATATTTATTTTTAGAAGTTTCTGAATAGTGCTTAATCAACATTTCAAATCTGCCATGATATCCCCGATCGTCTCTTGTTGCTTGCTCATCTTTGTGACTCTATACTTGTAGACTCTATACTCTATTCTAGATCTACTAGATTCTACTAGCTCTAGTCCTAAGTGGATTCTCACTTGTAATGGTTTCCCTTCTTATGTCCTTGGGGATCTTTGACTAAACTTATTGCTTGATGTTATCTTTGGGAGTCTTGTCATTCTAATGAGGGGATGCTCTCCTCCAGAGATAATTTACTTCTTCTGCTTTTGCCACTGACCTAGGATATTTCAGCCTTACTTGAGGGTATGGGCTTAATACAGTGGTTCTAGGCTCAGCTCACCTACCTTGTTCCTAGCCCAGTACTCAGTGTCCTGATGGAAGCTGTCGTGGGAATCAGCCCTCAGGACAGCCCTGCTTCTGTCTTTCTGCCCACCACTCAACACTCCCAGCAGAGACCCTAACTTGCTCTGCAGTAATGGAGGAAGTTAGAAGGTTGTCCTTGGAAACCTCTCTGCTTCTTGCATGTCAGCAATTTGAAAAGTATGTTCTGGCCATGGATCTGGTTTTACAGCGCAAGGGTCTCTCAGAGCATCTAGTCAAACATAATGCTTTGAACAGAAGTGAGATTTAAAATGTTTTTAACTAATCTGTATCTCTTTCTTTTTGAAATCCTTCCAGTCTGTATTCTCAATGCTAAAGCTATTTTATCCAAAAGGATGCATTTCCTTGTGTTGCTTCATATATCAAAATTTAGTGAATAATCAAAATGGCAAAGAAGGAATTTACTTAGACACATTTTTTTTATTTTCTGTGTTCTGAAAAATACATACAGACCTAGAGTTAATAATTCTAATTTCTTGTGTGTAGTACTGATCCTTTATATTTTTAAAACAAATGAAATATTTAAGCATTTGTTATATAAAACATAAAACAAATTTCCGGGATGATAACATCCTGAATCTTTCTAAGTCGTTTTGGAGTAAGATACTGCTAAGACCTTTTGTCATCCTTGCCTTTCTTTCCATGGGAAAGTGTGTAGATGTTTCTCAAAAGAACAGGTTTCTGTCTGTTGCCAGCCCTGTATCAACATTGTAATTAAGAGAGGCTTTTATTCTTATTGAACAGAGTGGAAGCTGCTGCAAATGCATGCTACTAATAAGTGCTTAAAAATACAGCTAATTAAATTGGTTAGGAACCGTAGAGCTTGCCAGGTCTTTAATAGTGAGGCTTTTATGACTGGAATAGAGACCTTCTCAAAAGACCTTTTTTAACTGGTATGGCTTAATTTATAACAAAATGTCATAAGGTCATTTTGTTTTCTGTGAGTTACATATTTAATAAAAGCTTAGCTTCTTCAAGTCACAAGATTTCAAAATGTAAAGACCATAAGCTTGGAGATTTCGAAAAACTATTCAAAGAGTATATGGGTTTTTTTTGTTTAAAGTAGTGTATGGTATTTTGGCTAAATGCAATAAAATTATTTATTGGCCAAGATTTAAATCTATTAAGTAGACAACAGAAGATCTTAACTGATATTTAACTTAATTTCTAGATATAAAATAATGTTTTGTAACTTTTTTACACTAGAATTACTGCAATACAATTTTAGTTGTTAGGCAGAGTGTATTTGGCCAGCATATTCTATAGCAATTTGCATATATTGAATGTGCTTACTAAGTATAAAAAGCAGATGTCTCCACTTTATTTATATTTGTCATAATGTAAAAGTTGGCAAGACATGGAGACCATATCATGTAATTATTTATTGTATAGCGAGACCGCAGCAAGATATATAATACTCTTTAGAGAGCTGGAGAACCAGAGAAAATACATGATACTATTTAAGGAGTTTGGGTTTTCAATGGTGGCAATATTAATATTTATGGATACAGTCATTAAACAGGGCAACTGGAAGCTACTCTGAATTCTTCATGGTTCCTCTCTGAACATTTTCATTTTGCCTGCTTTTAATTTTCCTTGTGAGAGAAATAAATGTTGCTTTAAGTAACAACAAAAAATGAGGTACAGAATGGTTCATCTCTTTGTATGAAAGTATTAGCACAGCGCACATCCTGATTTTGAAGTTTGTCATTTTATTTTGTAAAAACTATCTGTTTCCCGGGACATGCTCTTCTTGAAAACAGAAAAATATAAAGCATTTTGTGAATTATCTTGTATGTCTAGTATTTTCCATGATTTAAAATAAAATATGCTCTTTTAAAGTTTGAATTCAGATTAGTTTGTGGTATACACAGTGTTTCTAATTTGACAAATAAGATTTTATAATATCGTGACACTTTTTTCTTATTATCTATATTATAATTTAGTTCTGTATTCTCACTTTGTAAGTTTAATTGCTGTCTTGGCTTGGATTTAATGATTTCACCAAAAATGTTGAATATTGTCTTTTAAAAAATAATGTAAAAGTAATTAAATTTAAAGACTCTTAATAGTTACTTGTGGTACCTGTGTAGCTATGTAACCACAGGGGACGAGAATAACTGTATAGTATTAACAAACTATAATAAAATATTAGTATTATAAATTATTATTAAAGAGATTAAAGTTTAAAACTGTTTTAAATGATTTGTAATGTAAATTAATCAGTATCCTACTTAGTATATTATTTGTTATTATGACTAATTTCGGCAGTCTCTAACTTATTTTCAAGTGTAGTCTTTTACATGCTAGTTAATGTGTTAAAATTCCAAGCATAGTTCTCCCCTTGTGTTTGAACAAAACTCCCACTGAAGCTGAAAGGATTCATTTTTTGTTCTTTTCTTAACACAAAGTTTGAACTTGCCCTGACAAAGATAATGGTTGGAAAATTGGGTGGTTTGATCATTTGTTTCATTTAACAGCAGGAAATTCTTTATCATTATCCAATGTCTGAAGCATCTCAGAAACTTAAAAGTGTGAGAGGGATTTTTCTCACACTCTGTGACATGCTGGAAAACGTAACTGGGACACAAGTTACTAGGTAATAATTTTTATTTAGCTTTAATTCTGTTTTTTTCAAGTTCTTTTATTTCACCCTGACAAAATGCTAAAACAAGTATCTGGTATACAAATATACTTGTATCTACAATGTATGTATTATATACATTATAGTCTATAATGTATGTATATACACGTATATATCTATACATTATAGATAACGAGCTCTGCAGAATGTCTGCAGATTTTTGCTTCATCTAAGTTATTTCTACCAGTCATCTATTTGAAGTGTAGATTCTCAACACAGCTGTAGATCTGGGTGTTTTGGCACATTTTAAAAAACACTCGGGCCTATATTTATTATTTCTTCATGAAGATGTATCTTTTAAGCATGGCATTATTATGAATCTCAGCTTTTTCATGTTTCTATCTTGATTGTTAACTTCCTAGGCAATACCTTTGTGGCAAACAGAATTGGCAAGAATGACTGAACACGAAAATTGGTCATATAGTTAGGACATATTCTGTTCTTACAACAATGATAGAAAAATACAAAATGTTCTTTAGGAGGGCTATTCATAATCTGTGAATTTTCCTGCCCTCCCACCCTTCAAAATCTCCAATGTCTGTTATTCCACATTCTATGTCCATGTGTACACATTATTTAGCTCCCATTTGTCCCTTTAATCTAACTTGATTTAGGTTAAAGGCTTAAAAGGAAGACTTGACACTATAGAAATGCTAGAGGAAAACCTAGGAAAAATGCTTCTGGACATTGGCCTAGGCAAATAATTCATGACTAAGACCTCAAAAGCAAATGCAGCAAAACCAAAAATAGACAAATAGGACAGATGCATTCGTCATCAGTGTAGTTAATGATGGATGAGCAACATTGATGTCAAATAATTTTATATTTAGAACTCTTAATATAGTCAATTATAGAGTCAAATACCCATTCCATTGATTTATTAAGCCCTGACATTGAAATGCCATAGTTAATTTATGGGAGGAAAAGGCTCAAAGCTTTTAGGTTTTGTGTTTTTTTTCATAAAATAAATCTAAGAATTATAAACAATTTTTCTTCCTTATTATTTCAACAATTTTAGACTTTACAAGGAAATTTTATCTCAAATTTCAACAGCCTCCGTAATACTGAAAAAATATCAAGTTGGATTTTCTAGGCTTTAACTTTTTTTCCCCCATATTCAGGTAGAAATGACATTTCTATGATTTTAAAAGAGGTAGAATCTACAAGGCAATAGACAGAAGAATTTTATGTTTTAACTAATTAAAAGTCATGTTTAACTATGTGACTTTAATATAGTGTATATACAAACTGTTAGTTTATTTTCAATACAGTAGTACTGGAGGCTCTATTTAGTTTATAAATTTGGGTTCATAAAAGCATATTGCAGGCCTCTTTTTATTTTTTAAAAATCTTTATTGAGATATAGTACATAAGTGATACAATTCACCCATTTGAAGTGCATGTGTAATCCTAAAATTGGTATGGAACCAAAAAAGAGCCTGAATAGCCAAAGCAGTCCTAAGCAAAAAGAACAAAACTTGGAGGCATCACATCACCTGACTTCAAATTATGCTACAAGGCTTTCTATAGTAACCCAAAACAGCATGGTACTGGTATAAAAATAGACATAGATCAATGGAACAGAACAGAGAACACAGAAATAAAGCCACATGCCTATAGCCAATTGACCTTTGACAAAGTTGACAAAAATATACACTGGGGAAAGCACACCCTATTCAATAAATGGTGCTGGGAAAGTTGGATAGCCATATGCAAAAGAATGAAACTGAACCCATCTCTCTCACCATATACAAAAATGAACTCAAGTTAGATTAAAGACTTAAGTGTAATGCCTGACACTATAAAAATGCTAGAAGAAAACCTAGGAAACACTCTTCTGGACTTTGACCTAGGCAAATAATTCATTAGTAAGACCTCAAAAGCAAATGCAACAAAACCAAAAAATAGATAAGTAGGTCTTAATTAAACTGAAAAGTTTCTACACAGCAAAAGAAATAGTCCAGAGTCAATAGATAGCCTGCGGAATGAGAGAAAATATTTGCAAATTGCACATCCACCAACTGACTAATATCCAGAATCTATATAAGGAACTCAGACAACTCAACAAGAAAACAACAAATAACCCCATTAAAAAGTGGGCAAAGGACATGAACAGACATTTTTTAAAAGAAGACATACAAATGGATAACGTGCATATGAAAAAATGCTCATCACTAATCATCAGAGAAATGCAAATTAAAAGCACAATGAGATAACATCTTACACCAGTCAGAATGGCTATTATTAAAAGGTCAAAAAATAACAGATGCTGGTGAGGATGCAGAGAAAAGGGAATGCTTATACAGTGCTGGTGGAATTGTAAATGAGTACAACCTCTACAGAAAACAGTATGGAGATTTCTCAAAAAACTAAAAATAGAACTACAATTTGATCCAGTAACCCCATGACTTGGTATATAACCAAAGGAAAAGAAATCATTATATCAAAAAGGTACCTGCACTCATATATTTATGAGTGCTATTCACAATAGCAAAGATAATGGAATCAATCTAAGCATCCATCAACAGATGACTGGATAAAGAAAATGTGGTGTATGTATATACTATGGAATAAAAAAGAACAAATAAATAAATGGAGTAAATTAAATAAATAAATGGAATAAATAACAGAGAATGAAATCATGTCATTTGCAGCAACGTAGATAGAACTGGAGGCCATTATCTTAAGTGAAACAACTCAAACAGAAAGTCAAATATCACATATTCTCACTTATAAATGGGGGCTAAATAATGTATACACATGGACATAGAGTGTAAAATAACAGACATTGGAGCTTTTGAAGGGCGGGAGGGGAGTCAGAAATGAAAAACTACTTAATGGATACAATGTACACTCCTTAGGTGATGGTTACACTAAAAGCCCAGACTTCACCACCATGCAACATCCATCTATTAAAACTGTACTTGTACTCCCTAAATATATACAAATAATAAATTTTAAAGTGTACAAGTAAATGCTTTTTGGTGTATTCACAGATATGCGCAACCCTCATCAAACTCAATTTTAAAACATTTTTCTCACCTCAGAAAGAAATCCTATACCCTTTAGCTCAGCCAGCCCAACCCCTGGGCAACTGCTAATCTACTTTCCATTCCTATAGATATCCCTGTTCTGGATATTACATATGAATGGAATCATATAATGTGTGGCTATTTGTGACTGGCTTCTTTCATTTAGCATAAGGAGGTGCATTCCTCCTTTTCAGTCTCATTAGAAAGAAAATTTAAGTTTCTCTGTGCGGTGTTGCTTTTTTTTTTTTTTTTGCCTTTATTTTTTCTACTGTAAAGAATAGATGTTATTTTACCTAATATTTAGATTTTGTTATTAACCATGAGATATGGGTTAATTGTGGAAAGCAGTAAATACAGCTAGAAAAACTTTTTTAAGAAGGTAATAAATATGAAAATTATTTTAGGGGTTCCTTAGCAATGTGTGTATCTTTTGTTGCATACACACTTTTTAAACTATAGTAATATTAGTATACTATAAGAGGCTAATATTTGTCTGAAAGTGTATGCATTTCTAAAAGTATTAAGACAAAAGCAATGTTCTGTGTGAAAAAATTTATTTTATAATTTATATTTTAAATTCCACACACTTAAGTTCTCTTTATTATCATAGTTCATTATTGTTTCTCTTTTTAGAACATAATTAAATTTTTAAAACTTCACTGAAGTATAATGAAGTAAACTGAACATATGTAAAATGTACAATTTGAATAGTTTCCACATAGGTGTATACCCTGAAACTATCGACACAGTGAATACATTCATCACCCCAAAAGTTTCCTTGAGAACACATTTAAATCTGACTTACATTTTGGTTACTTGTTTATATATTTGTGTCCCATACTGATTGTCATCTCAGCTGGGACTACATCTTCCTTTCTTTAGCAAATCATCTTCATAAATAGGCAGTCACAAAATATTTGTTAAATTAACCAACTGAGATGAAGCTTTTTTTTGTTTTGTTTTTGAGACAGGGCCTCGCTTTGTCACCCATGCTGGAGTGCATGGTGCAATCATGGCTAACCGCAGCCTTGACCTCCCAGCCTCAAGTGATCTTCCCATCTCACTCCCCACCCCAAGTAGCTAGGGACTACAGGACCACTCCACTACACCCAGCTAATTTTTTTTTTTTTTTTTTAAGAGATGCGGTCTTACTTTGTTCCCCAGGCTGGTCTCAAACTCCTGGGCTCAAGTGATCTTCCCACTTTAGCTTCCCTTAAGTGCTGGGATTATAGGTATGATCCACTGCACCCAGTTTTGAAGCTTTCTTTTGGAAAAAAAAATTATATTTAGTCACTTAATGTTAGCAAGAGAATTTCAACTTTTTTTTTTTTTCTATAATAGGTCTATTTTTGTTTGGCCTAGAGTTTTCTTTTTTCTTTTTTTGAGATAGAGTCTCACTGTGTCACCTAGGCTGGAGTGCAGTGGCACAATCTTGGCTCACTGCAACCTCCGCCTCCTGGGTTCAAGCACTTCTCATACCTCAGCCTCCCTAGTAGCCAGGATCACAGGCATGCACCACCCCACCAGGCTATCTTTTGTAATTTTAGTAGAGACAGAGTTTTGCCAAGTTGGCCAGGCTGTTCTCAAACTCCTGACCTCAAGAGATCCATCTGCCTTGGTCTCCCAAAGTGCTAGGATCATAGGTGTGAGCCACCACACCCAGCCTGGCCTAGAGTTTTCTGTTTTTTTGTTTTTTTTTTTTAATATGTTGGAGTATATTTTTGCTGTCATATAATTCCTTGCGTTTTTTATGTGACAGGAATATGAAAAGAAATCACTTATTAAGTATGTAGTTCTTAAATCATACCATATGCAATCTTTTATGAATTATACTTATAATTTTATGACATTTAAAGGTATTCTAACCTTATTTTGAATATATTGTTTCTTAGTTCATCCCTCCTTTTAAATGGAAAACAAATTCATGTGGCTTATTGGAAAGAATCTGACAAGTTGTTGCTAATTGGCCTGCCTGCTGAAGAGTAAGTTGAGGTTTTGCTTACCTTAAAATCATTTCCAAATAATGTTAACTTTTGTTTTGTTAAAATTATTACATTTTTGTCAAAAGACAAACTCCTTGAACAGTTTTACAGTTTAAAGATCTATTGCACTAGTAAAATAGTTACCTGTGTTCGTTTGGTATGAATAATGCAGAAAGGTGCCATGAAGCCTCAGCTGGGCCAGTTAGTAAGGGTGGGGCTGTCAATACACTTGCTTCTTTTGTGGTCAATAGAGAGGTGGCTGAGAGATGAGCTCTGCCTCTGCTTAAATTTTTGACAACATTGTGATTTGGATTTTGCACATTTACAGTTTTTTACTGTTGGAGGTTTTGGAGAATTAAGGGTCAGCAGAAGGGTATTTTGCCCTGATGTTGAGCATCTTTGACAAAATAAGGTATATGTAACTCTAAAGTGACTTCTCTAATGGTACATCTTATATTATCATGGTCTCCCTCTTAACTTTTTTGTGAGTATTTTGAAGTATACATTATTTTAATAGTTGGAGGTAAAAGCAGGATTGACATTATAATAAACTGACCTTGTGCTCCAGGGACTGCATTAGGTACTTTATATTTATTAAACTCATTTAATCTTCAAAATCACTTCCAGACGTACTTAGTGATTATTGGCTCCATTTTCCATGTGAGGAAAGTAAAATCAAAAGAGGGTTCAGTAACTTGCCAAAGCTCGCATAATCAGCAAGAGGCAGGATTGGAAATTGAATGTGGGTCTGTCTGAATTCTTTCTACAACATTGATTCCCTAACATCATAGGACATTGAAAACTAAGGGAGAAATAGACTACAAGTTTAGAGAATGGCCCTAAAGAGATAGACTTAACTACTATTATAATAGTGTTATGTTCCTGTTCAATGGTTTTTAAAACTTGTAATTTAGACTTTTGCCTACTTTAAAAAGGATTCAGACAACTTTTATTAAGTAATTAAACACACTTTAGTTTTCTCCTTTGGTCTGTAGAATCATAGCGTATGGTCTACAAAATAGGAATCAAATATCAAAATAAATACTATAATATGTGATGGATACAACTTCAGAGAATACCAGTTGAGATAAATTTTCTCTTGATGTTGCTTCAAGCTTCCCAAGAAAGAAAAAGATGTACCAGAAAGATGCATTATCTAGCCAATCTGAACGTGAATATGACTATTTTTTATTACTAATGAATTTGTTAACCAGATTTCCTTCATTATACAGCAGTGTATTCATTTTTTATTGCTGTGTAACAAATCATTCCCAAAAACATAGGGGTAATTTAAACTTAAATAGTAAACATTTATTAACACAAAGGTGTTTTCGTGGTTCAGGAATCCAGGAGTAATCTAGCAGGTAGTTCTGCCTCAAGGTCTTTTCTTGAGGTTACAGTCCAGTGTTGGCCAGGGATAGACTTATCTGAAGGCTTTAACTGGAGCTGGAGAATCTGCTTCCAAAGTGGCTTACACACATGGCCATTGTCAGGAGGCCTAGTTTCTTGCCACATGGACCTCTCCATGTAGCTGCTTGGGTATCCTCATAACATGTCAACTGGCTTCCTCCAAAGTGGCGAGCCAAAAGACAGAAAGAGGGGGATGCTACAAGACCTTTTATGGCTTAGTCTTAAAAGTGATACACTGCCATTTCCACAATATTTCTAATTTCCACCATTCTGTTTGTTAGAATTGAGTTACCAAGCTCAGCCCACACTCATGGGGAGAGGAATTAAGCCTCACTTCTTGAGGGGAAGAGTATCAAAGAATTTGTGGACCTATTTTACCATCACAAACAGGAATTCCAAAGATGGCTACAGTGAAAAATATCAAAATGATTATGTTTTGAAGGTAACTTTAATTTTGGACAGAAAGAAATATAATCCACCATAAATGTGGGGTTCAAATCTTTTTACATGGAGGGATAATGGCGCTGTGACATATACTAGATGAGGGCACTCTTTAACCAGCCACACAAGAGAAAAATATGTGTTTTTCTGTCTAAAATAGGATACTGAACCCTTCTCAGAGACTGTCCTTTGGGTTTGGATTATGAAGAACGAAGGAGTTGTTTAGAAAGTATGGCTCTACAGCCAGGCAGTGGCTCACACCTATAATCCTAGCACTTTGGGAGGCCAAGGCTGGCGGATTGCTTGAGCTCAGGAGTTCAAGACCAGCCTAGGTAACATGGTGAAACCCCGTCTCTTCAGCAAATACAAAAATTAGCCAGGCACAGTGGCATGCACCTGTAGTTCCAGCTACTTGGGAGGCTGAGGTGGGAGGATTGCTTGGGCCTTGGAGGCAGAGGTTGCAGTTAGCTGTGATGCTGCCACTGTACTCCAGCCTGGGTGACAGAGCAAGACAATGTCTCAAAAAAAAAAAAAAAGAGAGAGAGAGGTGGGAGCCAAGATGGCCGAATAGGAACAGGTCCAGTCTACAGCTCCCAGCGTGAGCGATGCAGAAGACGGGTGATTTCTGCATTTCCATCTGAGGTACCGGGTTCATCTCACTAGGGAGTGCCAGACAGTGGGCACAGGACAGTGGGTGCAGCGCACCATGCCTGAGCCGAAGCAGGGAGAGGCATTGCCTCACTCGGGAAGCGCAAGGGGTCAGGGAGTTCCCTTTCCTAGTCAAAGAAAGGGGTGACAGACAGCACCTGGAAAATCGGGTCACTCCCACCCCAATACTGCGCTTTCCCAACAGGCTTAAAAAAAGGCGCACCAGGAGATTATATCCCGCACATGGCTCGGAGGGTCCTACGCCCACGGAGTCTCGCTGATTGCTAGCACAGCAGTCTGAGATCAAACTGCAAGATGGCAGGGAGGCTGGGGGAGGGGAGCCCGCCATTGCCCAGGCTTGCTTAGGTAAAGAAAGCAGCCGGGAAGCTCGAACTGGGTGGAGCCCACCACAGCTCAAGGAGGCCTGCCTGCCTCTGTAGGCTCCACCTCTGGGGGCAGGGCACAGACGAAAAAAAAGACAGCAGTAACCTCTGCAGACTTAAATGTCCATGTCTGACAGCTTTGAAGAGAGCAGTGGTTCTCCCAGCATGCAGCTGGAGATCTGAGAATGGGCAGACTGCCTCCTCAAGTGGGTCCCTGACCCCTGACCCCCGAGCAGCCTAACTGGGAGGCACCCCCCAGTAGGGGCAGACTGACACCTCACACAGCAGGGTACTCCTCTGAGACAAAATTCCAGAGGAACGATCAGACAGCAGCATTCGCGGTTCACGAAAATCTGCTGTTCTGCAGCCACCGCTGCTGGTACCCAGGCAAACAGGGTCTGGAGTGGACCTCTAGCAAACTCCAACAGACCTGCAGCTGAGGGTCCTGTCTGTTAGAAGGAAAACTAACAAACAGAAAGGACATCCACACCAAAAACCCATCTGTACATCACCATCATCAAAGACCAAAAGTAGATAAAACCACAAAGACGGGGAAAAAACAGAGCAGAAAAACTGGAAACTCTAAAAAGCAGAGTGCCTCTCCTCCTCCAAAGGAACGCAGCTCCTCACCAGCAACGGAACACAGCTGGACGGAGAATGACTTTGACGAGATGAGAGAAGAAGGCTTCAGACGATCAAACTACTCCGAGCTACAGGAGGAAATTCAAACCAAAGGCAAAGAAGTTGAAAACTTTGAAAAAAATTTAGATGAATGTATAACTAGAATAACCAATACAGAGAAGTGCTTAAAGGAGCTGCTGGAGTGGAAAGCCAAGGCTCGAGAACTACGTGAAGAATGCAGAAGCTTCAGGAGCCGATGCAATCAACTGGAAGAAAGGGTATCAGTGATGGAAGATGAAATGAATGAAATGAAGCAAGAAGGGAAGTTTAGAGAAAAAAGAATAAAAAGAAACAAACAAAGCCTCCAAGAAATATGGGACTATGTGGAAAGACCAAATCTACGTCTGATTGGTGTACCTGAAAGTGATGGGGAGAATGGAACCAAGTTGGAAAACACTCTGCAGAATATTATCCAGGAGAACTTCCCCAATCTAGCAAGGCAGGCCAACATTCAGATTCAGGAAATACAGAGAACGCCACAAAGATACTCCTCGAGAAGAGCAACTCCAAGACACATAATTGTCAGATTCACCAAAGTTGAAATGAAGGAAAAAATGTTAAGGGCAGCCAGAGACAAAGTTCGGGTTACCCACAAAGGGAAGCCCATCAGACTAACAGTGGATCTCTCGGCAGAAACCCTACAAGCCAGAAGAGACTGGGGGCCAATATTCAACATTCTTAAAGAGAAGAATTTTCAACCCAGAATTTCATATCCAGCCAAACTAAGCTTCATAAGTGAAGGAGAAATAAAATACTTCACAGACAAGCAAATGCTGAGAGATTTTGTCACCACCAGGCCTGCCCTAAAAGAGCTCCTGAAGGAAGCACTAAACATGGAAAGGAACAACTGGTACCGGCCACTGCAAAATCATGCCAAATTGTAAAGACCATCGAGGCTAGGAAGAAACTGCATCAACTAACGAGCAAAATAACCAGCTAACATCATAATGACAGGATCAAATTCACACATAACAATATTGACTTTAAATGTAAATGCACTAAATGCTCCAGTTAAAAGACACAGACTGGCAAATTGGATAAAGAGTCAAGACCCATCAGTGTGCTGTATTCAGGAAACCCATCTCACGTGCAGAGACACACATAGGCTCAAAATAAAAGGATGGAGGAAGATCTACCAAGCAAATGGAAAACAAAAAAAAGGCAGGGGTTGCAATCCTAGTCTCTGATAAAACAGACTTTAAACCAACAAAGATCAAAAGAGACAAAGAAGGCCATTACATAATGGTAAAGGGATCAATTCAACAAGAAGAGCTAACTATCCTAAATATATATGCGCCCAATACAGGAGCACCCAGATTCATAAAGCAAGTCCTGAGTGACCTACAAAGAGACTTAGACTCCCACACAATAATAATGGGAGACTTTAACACCCCACTGTCAACATTAGACAGATCAATGAGACAGAAAGTTAACAAGGATACCCAGGAATTGAACTCAGCTCTGCACCAAGAGGACCTAACAGACATCTACAGAACTCTCGACCCCAAATCAACAGAATATACATTTTTTTCAGCACCACACCACACCTATTCCAAAATTGACCACATACTTGGAAGTAAAGCTCTCCTCAGCAAATGTAAAAGAACAGAAATTATAACAAACTGTCTCTCAGACCACAGTGCAATCAAACTACAACTCAGGATTAAGAAACTCACTCAAAACCGCTCAACTGCATGGAAACTGATCAACCTCCTCCTGAATGACTGCTGGGTACATAATGAAATGAAGGCAGAAATAAAGATGTTCTTTGAAACCAACGAGAACAAAGACACAACATACCAGAATCTCTGGGACACATTCAAAGCAGTGCATAGAGGGAAATTTATAGCACTAAATGCCCACAAGAGAAAGCAGGAAAGATCCAAAATTGACACCCTAACATCACAATTAAAAGAACTAGAAAAGCAAGAGCAAACACATTCAAAAGCTAGCAGAAGGCAAGAAATAACTAAAATCAGAGCAGAACTGAAGGAAATAGAGACACAAAAAACCCTTCAAAAAATTAATGAATCCAGGAGCTGGTTTTTTGAAAGGATCAACAAAATTGATAGACCACTAGCAAGACTAATAAAGAATAAAAGAGAGAAGAATCAAATAGACGCAATAAAAAATGATAAAGGAGATATCACCACCGATCCCACAGAATTACAAACTACCGTCAGAGAATACTACAAACACCTCTATGCAAATAAACTAGAAAATCTAGAAGAAATGGATAAATTCCTTGACACATACACCCTCCCAAGACTAAACCAGGAAGAAGTTGACTCTCTGAATAGAACAATAACAGAATCTGAAATGGTGGCAATAATCAATAGCTTACCAACCAAAAAGAGTCCAGGACCAGATGGATTCACAGCTGAATTCTACCAGAGGTACAAGGAGAAACTGGTACCATTCCTTCTGAAACTATTCCAATCAACAGAAAAAGAGGGAATCCTCCCTAACTCATTTTATGAGGCCAGCATCATCCTGATACCAAAACCTGGCAGAGACACAACCAAAAAAGAGAATTTTAGACCAATATCCTTGATGAACATTGATGCAAAAATCCTCAATAAAATACTGGCAAACCGAATCCAGCAGCACATCAAAAAGCTTATCCACCATGATCAAGTGGGCTTCATCCCTGGGATGCAAGGCTGGTTCAATATATGCAAATCAATAAATGTAATCCAGCATATAAACAGAGCCAAAGACAAAAACCACATGATTATCTCAATAGATGCAGAAAAAGCCTTTGACAAAATTCAACAACCCTTCATGCTAAAAACTCTCAATAAATTAGGTATTGATGGGACGTATCTCAAAATAAGAGCTATCTATGACAAACCCACAGCCAATATCATACTGAATGGGCAAAAACTGGAAGCATTCCCTTTGAAAACTGGCACAAGACAGGGATGCCGTCTCTCACCGCTCCTATTCAACATAGTGTTGGAAGTTCTGGCCAGGGCAATTAGGCAGGAGAAGGAAATAAAGGGTATTCAATTAGGAAAAGAGGAAGTCAAATTGTCCCTGTTTGCAGATGACATAATTGTATATCTAGAAAACCCCATTGTCTCAGCCTAAAATCTCCTTAAGCTGATAAGCAACTTCAGCAAAGTCTCAGGATACAAAATCAATGTACAAAAATCACAAGCATTCTTATATACCAATAACAGACAAACAGAGAGCCAAATCATGAGTGAACTCCCATTCACAATTGCTTCAAAGAGAATAAAATACCTAGGAATCCAACTTACAAGGGATGTGAAGGACCTCTTCAAGGAGAACTACAAACCACTGCTCAATGAAATAAAAGAGGATACAAACAAATGGAAGAACATTCCATGCTCATGGGTAGGAAAAATCAATATCATGAAAATGGCCATACTGCCCAAGGTAATTTATAGATTCAATGCCATCCCCATAAAGCTACCAATGACTTTCTTCACAGAATTGGAAAAAACTACTTTAAAGTTCAAATGGAACCAAAAAAGAGGCCGCATCGCCAAGTCAATCCTAAGCCAAAAGAACAAAGCTGGAGGCATCACCCTACCTGACTTCAAACTATACTACAAGGCTACAGTAACCACAACAGCATGGTACTGGTACCAAAACAGAGATATAGATCAATGGAACAGTACAGAGCCCTCAGAAATAATGCCTCATATCTACAACTATCTGATCTTTGACAAACCTGAGAAAAACAAGCAGTGGGGAAAGGATTCCCTATTTAATAAATGGTGCTGGGAAAACTGGCTAGCCATATGTAGAAAGCTGAAACTGGATCGCTTCCTTACACCTTATACAAAAATTAATTCAAGATGGATTAAAGACTTAAACGGTAGACCTAAAACCATAAAAACCCTAGAAGAAAACCTAGGCATTACCATTCAGGACATAGGCATGGGCAAGGACTTCATATCTAAAACACCAAAAGCAGTGGCAACAAAAGACAAAATTGACAAATGGGATCTAATTAAACTAAAGAGCTTCTACACAGCAAAAGAAACTACCATCAGAGTGAACAGGCAACCTACAAAATGGGAGAAAATTTTTGCAACCTACTCATCTGACAAAGGGCTAATATCCAGAATCTACAATGAACTCAAACAAATCTGCAAGAAAAAAACAAACAACCCCATCAAAAAGTGGGCGAAGGACATGAACAGATACTTCTCAAAAGAAGACATTTATGCAGCCAAAAAACACATGAAAAAATGCTCATCATCACTGGCCATCAGAGAAATGCAAATCAAAACCACAATGAGATACCGTCTCACACCAGTTAGAATGGCAATGATTAAAAAGTCAGGAAACAACAGGTGCTGGAGAGGATGTGAAGAAATAGAAACACTTTTACACTGTTGGTGGGACTGTAAACTAGTTCAGCCCTTGTGGAAGTCAGTGTGGCGATTGCTCAGGGATCTAGAACTAGAAATACGATTTGACCCAGCCATCCCATTACTGGGTATATGCCCAAAGGACTATAAATCATGCTGCTATAAAGACACATGCACACGTATGTTTATTGCAGCACTATTCACAATAGCAAAGACTTGGAACCAACCCAAATGTCCAACAATGATAGACTGGATTAAGAAAATGTGGCATATATATACCATGGAATACTATGCAGCCATAAAAAAGGATGAGTTCATGTCCTTTGTAGGAACATGGATGAAATTGGAAATCATCATTCTATCGCAAGAATAAAAAACCAAACACCGCATATTCTCACTCATAGGTGGGAATTGAACAATGAGAACACATGGACACAGGAAGGGGAACATCACACTCTGGGGACTTTTGTGGGGTGGGGGGAGGGGGGAGGGATAGCTTTAGGAGGTATACCTAATGCTAAATGACGAGTTAATGGGTGCAGCACACCAGCATGGCACATGTATACATATGTAACTAACCTGCACATTGTGCACATGTACCCTAAAACTTAAAAGTATAATAATAATAAAATAAAAAATAAAAATAAATAAAAGAAAAGAAATAAATTATGGGTTTACAAGGATTGGAGAACATCCAGAATGAGATGATTTAGGATGTAGCAGCAGAGTAAAACATGTCTCTTTAAGACTTTTGTAGCAGCCCAAAAGGCAAAAGAGAAGAAAGAGAATACAGTGGTGAGATAAAGGTAGCATAGGCAGTTAGAGAGAGGAAAGGCAGACCTGGATAAGGAACTGAGCAAAGGCTGTTCAACCACACTCTGATGACACCAGCCGAATCAGCTAGGCAGAGACAGTTTCCAGGTGAGTTTGTATCCTGAAGCCAACAAAGGACTGTCACTGCTGAGCTCTGGACCAAGGTTGTGCCACATGAGGGATGCTCTAGCTAATTTCTCAATCTTTATTAAACAGGGTGGGGGAAGGGAGGCCATCTTCCCTAAATATTTATGTCATTCCTCTCCTAAAGAACTTGGCTTGATAAGTTAGAATTAATTTGAAGATCCCCTTTATTCTCTTTCCTGAGCTTCCAGTGAAAAGTAAGCTTGAGCCATCTCTTTACCCTTCTCTTAAATGCTCACACCAACCCTTTGTTCCAGATTATTTTCCCTCTTCTATCTCATTTCACATAACTAAAAGATAGGTAGTAGTATTCTCATTTATTCAAACTTGGAAATAGAGTATGGAGAGATCATGCATAAGCACCTCTTCAGTGTCAACTTACACGTCTTCGTATCACCAACATTTTGCATGTGCTTTGTAATTGAACTCACAGCCCTGGGATTTTCTCCTCGTCCATCTCAGTGCCATAGACTGCGTGTTTCCCTCCTCACCTCTATGCCTTTTATAAGCAGGGTGAGAAAAGTGCTGTCCCACAGAATTTAGGGTGGGGCACATGATCGAGGGACATGTGTTTTCAGATGGGAAGATCACATTCCCGTGATGGCTGCAGTGAATAGCGGAAACCTAACCAGGAGGACAGTGTGGGGTAGTGGGAGAATAACTTTGGGTCTAAGAAGATAAGTGCTCACCGGCAGGCTCTACTCCCTTTCTACCCTTGCAGAAATTACGTAATTTCTTGGACTTCTGTTTACTTATTTGTATAATGGGAATAATAAGAGCTACCTTATAAAATTCTTAAAAGGCTTCAATGAGAAAATGTAAGTCCATTTCTTTATTTCCTTTCTCCTACTTTCTTCCCATCCTCCATTTCAATTAAGAGTGTGTTTTTGTCACAGGACTTGGAGGCCCAGTTGATATGTGGGTAATACTAAAAAGTGTCAAGAATTTAGAATTTCTTTTTATGGGCCCAGGTCTTGTAAAAACTAGTTTATTTGCATTAATTTCATTTAATTCTCAGAATCAATCTGAGAAGGGCTTGGTGACTACTGGCCTCATTTTACAGATGAAGAAACTGAACTTTAGAGACAGTTACATGATTTACAAATAAATGGTGTTATAAAATCCCTGTTAGATTCATGCTGGAACTAAATCTAGAATAAAGTGATCAATGGTCATTGAAAGCGACCATTTTGTACAGCTTTACTCAGAGTTGACACACATACTTTTCACATTCCGTATGTGTAAAATTCAAGGATGATCTACTTCTTTTAGATAAATGTCATTTGATTATGTTGTAAATTAATACGTGTAATTTTGCTTTTTTAGAGTTCCTCTTCCTCGTCTAAGGAACATGATAGAAAATGTCATCCAAACCTTAAAATTTATGTATGGTTCTTTAGATAGGTAAGTACTTCTTCAAATTGAATCTCAAGTTTTAATTATGTGATTCTAAGTCATCTTCTGCATTTAAGACCATTTCTTGCTTGACAGGTTAGTTATTTGTCTCTTTTCTCCTCCCTCCCCTCTTTCCTCCTCCTCTTCCTTCCTCTTCCTCCTCCTCCTTCTTCCTTCTCCTCCTCTTCCTTCCCCCTTTCTCTATCCTTATTCCTCCACCTCCTTCTTTTTCTCCTTCCTCTTCTTATTTTCTCATCTTTTATTACTGGCTTTTTTGTTATAACAGTAGACAGTTTTTCATTTGATTCATTTCCTTTTTTTTTTCCTTTTTGGTCTCATATATGACTTTAGTGAAATTTCTTAGTGAATTAGTGATATAACCACAACTGTGTTCTGATTTGATATATTTCTGTAGGGGCAAATGTAAGAGTATTTCTTCATAACAGATACAGAAAAGAGAAAGACTTAAAATACATTTTTGTGTTTTTCTTTGCTTATAAGACCATCAAATTCACTATCCTGAAATATGCTTCTTTCTCAAAAAAATTTCTTTAGTAAAAAATTTATGCACTATTATTTAAAAAGACATACAGTAGAGACGGTATTGACTGGTTTTGTTCGTGTCCTTCCATATATTTTCTATACAATAAAAATATACATACTCCCTTTTTAATAAAAGTATGCTGTTATGCATATTTTTCTGCTTCTTGCGTTTTTAACCTTCTTGATTGGAAGGCAGAAATTTGAGGTAACATTTAACATAAAATTGGGTATGGGAAATCGATTTTTCTCTTAGTGACTTTTGTTCTTGTATTTCTGAGGGCTAAAATGGTATCTTTATGTTTAAAGCCTTAGGAGTATATCAGTACAAAAATCCAAAGGCAGTTTATACATTTTTCCAAACCATAGTGATATCAGCTCTCTGTTTATCTATAGTGGATCTTTGTTCTCATTGTTCTTACAGTATCATGAAGGAATTTTCTGTGATTGTGTCATCTGGGAAAATTATCTAGTTTGCAGTGTTCTCTAGAGGAACTGCTGAGGAGGCACATCCCTGTCAAACCTGATTGCTTACCAACATTTTCCAGATAAGTGAGCTACAAAGAGCTGGGCATCCATAAATAGTGCTTTTACCTTTTACTAGTAAGGAAAGTTTTAACCAATGAAGAGTAAGAATGTGGTTATGAACTGCCTCTTTAAGTTTACTCAACAGAAGAAAACTTTGCCATATTTTGCCCTAATTGAAGCTTTCTGTTTTCATAAAACCAGAGATTATCAAAGATTAAATTTTTGCAATGATTTTCATACATATAAATAGTCCATTGGAGTTGTCCTACAAATTCCATTAGAGTAGACTGGGGACAGAGGGACTTAATTTCTCTTTCATCTTGAAATTTATCTTCCATTGATAGTGGAAGTATCTTTTTGATGGCAGCAAATTTAACTCTTTTCTACTTCAAGTGAGAATTTAAAGAGCAAACTACGATAATAAATGTGAAGATCCATTGAGTTCTTAAAACCAAGAAGCACAGTGAATCCAGGATGTTATTAATAGACATTTTGTAATAAATTTTTATAACAACTTTTTTTCTGATTATGAAAGATATTAAGGGCCAATTGTGAAAAATTACAAGAAGACCAAAAAGTGTAGAGACTTGATTATCTTTTTAAAGTTGTGAGCTGGTTAATTCTCTATGAGCCACAGAAAACTGACTATATACTAACAGTTTAACGTTGTGACCAAATTAAAGCTATAACAATTTCCTTCACCATTCCCCACTAATTCATCAGCAAGTCCTGATCAGTCTGTCTTCAAAATCTCCAATCTGTCCATTTCTCTTTATCTTTATTATTGCCCTGTCCAGCCACTGCTATCTCTCACACACTACAGTAGCCTCCTAACTGGTCTCCTTCCCTTCATTCTTGCCACTTGAACTAATTTTCATATAGCAGCGTGATCTTTCTACATTATTATCTGGTTCCTACCTACCCCTCTGACTTCAGATATCAAACCACACGTGCCTCCTTTGCACTGTATTGCAAACACCCTGGCAAAGCTTTTCCCCAGCCCAGGGCTTTTGTACTTTTTCTTCTTGCTGGATCTTTCTGACATTGGAATATCAGCTCAAATGCCCTTTCTCAGAGATTCTTCTCCAACCATTCAACCTAAAATAGCCAATCTGTCACACCACCCATTCATATTGTGCTATTTTCTGCATAGTCCTTTATATGAATTTGTGTTTTTTACTTTTTGTTCATTTGCTGTCTTTCTCCATTAGAACATAAGCTTCATGGGAGCTCATTGTCTTTTGTCTTGATATTTTTACTGCCATACCTCCAGCAATGAGAATAGTGCCTGGAATGTAGTAGTCACTCAAATATTTGTTAGATGAATCAGCAAATAATTATTTTGATATGCCGATAGCATATGTACCTGCTATTTTGTCATTCAGTGAGCTGTTCCAATAAATGCTTGCAGTCAATGCTGTGTTACTTTTATATGGCTAAAACCAAGTATTTCGGTTTTTTCTGTCATTTTGTTTTTTGAGTTCTTTAATGTTATACCTTCAGTAGTAAAGAGGGGAGGAAATAACTTATGCTTATTATGTACTTACTGTTTACCAGTAAATAATAAGCATAATAAGAACTTATGCTTGTTATGTTCTAGGCATTCTGCATGTGAGCTAGATTGTATTAACCCTGTTTTTACAGAGTTGGAAACCAAAGTTAGAGAAAGGTTAGGTGATTTGCCTGTGATAGCTACCTAGAAAGAGCTGTGATAAGCCAGATCTGTTCTATTACAAAGTTCAAAATCTCTTTATCATTCCACGTTGCCTGAAAGATTTCAGGAGTTGTAAATGGTTAAAAGACAGTCAGAGGTAAAAACAACCTACATTTTTTACAAAAAGGGTACTTCAGCCCTTTCTTTTATAAATATGTCACTTGTGTTAGCCCTGTGGTTCTTCCATAGAGCCATCTACTTGATACACTTGAGAGTAGGTTTTAGGGTAAAAAGTTTGGACAGGGTAAATTTCTTTACACAATCCGTCAGTAACATTCTAGCAGCAATTCTATTGAAGGAAGAGAGGAGTGAGGAAGATAGCCTATGTAGTTGGGAAAGATCCAGTTCCCTTAGGAGCACACAAAAAATGACCACCATTTCCATATGTCGTTCTAACTTACAGCTCTTATTTCTCCAGTGCCTTTTGCCAGATTGAGAATGTTCCTCGTTTGGATCATTTTTTTAACTTGTTCTTTCAAAGAGCACTTCAGCCTGCGAAACTGCATTCCAGCGCCAGTCCCAGTGCTCAGCAGTACGATGCTTCCAGTGCAGTACTTTTAGACAACCTCCCTGGAGTCCGGTGGCTCACACTTCCACTGGAAATCAAGGTAATCTTAGGTATTATAAAGCAGAAGCAGAACCAGGTGCCTTATTATAATCTTGTATCTTCTCTTTTTTTCGTAGACTTTTTGTTATTTTTGGAATTATGGTTAAAAATTAAAGAGGCAATTGGTTGACAAAGTAGGAGGTCCAGTGCAATAAACCCAGAAAGAGAAATTATCCTTTATAAGTAGAAATTAGCTCTCTCCTCTTACTTTTAAATTTAAGCTTTATCCAAGCTAGGACTACTTTTCAGAAATCGTAATTAAATGGTGTGTCTTACTTTGGAATTTTGTGACTTTGATTTTATAATGTAAGGTTATCAAGTTAGAATTATGTTTCTGTACAAAAAAAAAAAAAGTGGATGACATGGTTGACTAACAGTATTCTCAGTTAAAATACAAAGTCCACTAGTCTACCAAAATCTTTTTTTACATGAACATATGTGATTAGCTTTTGGCTTGTCCCATGGATCGCATACCAATAGTAAAACTGTATGACGGTTAAGAATTATCAATATGATTTTAGTTATATCTGTGAACCTAGAATAACTTTATTATTGAATGATTGACAAGATTATTTCAGACATTTTCATCAGTGTAGATCACCATATAATCTATTTAGTTACAGCATTTGTATTAGTATTAAATGAGGCATTATGCCATAGCCACTTCTCTGCTCTTGAAGAAACCTAGGCTATGTTACAGTAGAAACCTAATTCAAGTTCCTACTCTTCATAAGACTCTACAATGTATGATCAAATAAATGCCTTTTTGACAGCTTAATAGTTATTTAAATTGATGTATCAATCACTTTGCTCAGTTTCCTCATCTGTAAAATGGAGGAAATAATAGTCCCTACTTCATGGAAGATTTATGAGTTATTACACGTGAAGTATTTAGAATTGTGCCCGGCACATTGTAGTTGTAGTTATGGGAGCATTATTATACAATTACTATTTGAAAGGAGATGAGGTGTTAGAGCATGTTCAAAAGATGCTTTGCCTTCTGGTATTTTTTTTGTCCTTAGCTCTATCAACTGCCTGGTCTTTTGATATTTCAGGACAATAATTACCCTTTCCTTTCTTTCTTTCTTTTTCTTTTCTTTCTTTCTTTTTTTTTTTTTTTTTTTTTTTGAGACAGGGTCTTGCTTTGTCACCCCAGCTGGAGTGGGAGTGCAGTGGCATGATCATAGCTCACTGCAGCCTCCACATCCCAGGCTCGGGTGATCTTCTCACCTCAGCCTCTCAGGTAGCTGGGACTACACATGCACACCACCATGCCTGGCTAATTTTTGTATTTTTAAGTAGAGACCAGGTTTCTCCATGTTTCCCAGGCTGGTCTCGAACTCCTGAGCTCAAGCAATCTGCCCGCCTCAGTCTCCTAGAGTGCTGGATTACAGGCATGAGCCATGGCACCTGGCCTACCATTTTCTTAAATTGTATAAAAAACTAAGAAGTATGAGATATATAATTCTACCTAATATTTTCATAAGAATATATAAGCATTGGCTGGGCATGGTGGCTCATGCCTGTAATCCTCGTGCTTTGGGAGACTGAGGTGGGAGGATCACTTGAGGCCAAGAGTTCAAGACCAGCCTGGACAACATATGGAGACCCTATCTCCACAAAAACTTTAAACATTAGCAGAGCATGGTGGCACACACCTGTATTCCAGCTACTCAGTAGGCTGAGGTGGGAGGATTACTTGAACCCAGGAGTTGGGCTCCCCACTCAATCATAGTTGCAGTGAGCTATGATTGCACCACTGCACTACGGTGGGGCAACAGAATGAGACCCTATCTCAGGAAAGGAAAGGAAAAGGAAAAAGAAGAGGGAAAAGGGAAGAGAAAAGGAAAAAGGAAAGGAGAAAGAAAGGGGAAAGGAAAGGGGGAGGGAAGAGGCAAGGGAAGGGAAGGGAAGGATATAAGTGTTCGATATAGATAGAAACATAGAAAGTAACTAGATAACTTTACCTTTAAAAGAGAAAGACCCTGGTTCCAAAGACTGTCTCATGCCCATTCTGGGGTCTTTTATCCTCAGTCACAGGGCCCATGCCCACTTCATGAGTCAGAAGGTACCATCTCGTGAGGCTTGCCATTCTACCTGGCCATTACTTAGGTTCTTGCCCCTCTGTCAGAATTTCTTCATTAAAGAAACCTCTTCCCTCAAAATATATAGTCCCTTCTTTCTGTGATAGTAGAGGTACTTAATGTTTTAGGGGCAGTGTGTTTAGAATTTAGATACATTAAATATTATCTTCCCTCGAAGAAGTTTAAGATGTTCTAAAGTATTGTCTATTTGGGGCTTACAGATTCCATGTGAAGGCTACCTCTTTTTCATTGAGATTTTTGTTAATTTAGCATATATTTCTTTAAAAGATTTATATGCTTTTCTTTATTTCACCCTAAAAGAATATCAAATTAAGAAATCACTGTGTGAATTCTGGTATACATTTTTAATTCATTGCCTTAAACCATAGCTGTTGCTTATCTTGCCAGTGCTTTGGCTGCTTTTATCCTTGTTACGTCTAACACTGCTGTGTGGAGATCAGTGTTCATTGTGCCGGTTGCTCAAGTCTGTGCCATGCTTTGCAGAATCCAGAAAAACCTCTAGATGTTCACAGTCAGGTTGAGCAGGTGAAATTAATACACAGGAAACAGTGAGGATCTGGCTTAGATGTTTTCTACATTTTGTAGTCCAGTTAGGAGATTAAGAACAATACTTTTGGGAAGAGAGCTAGATACCTTTTGCTAAAGTAGTCTAAAGCTCTATTTGATTAATATAAAATTTGAACAACAATAACATTTGAAGTTTTTTTTATTCTATTTTTTACTGCAGTTTTAGGTTCACAGTAAAATTGAGAGAAAGGTACAGATTTCCCACGTACCCCCTTCCCCCATACATCATACATGCATAGCCTCTCCATTATCAACATTCCCCACCACAGGGGTACAGTTGTTATAATTGATGAACCTACATTGACACATCATAATAACCCAAAGTCCATCATTTACATTAGGGTTCATTCTTGGTGGTGTACATTCTATAGATTTAGACAGATTATAATGACATGGATCCATCCTTTTAGTATCATACAGAGTAGTTTCACAGCCCCAGAAATCCTCTGTGTTCTGCCTATCCCTCTCTTTCATCCCTCCCTTTCCATTAACCCCTGGAAACAAATGATCTTTTCACTGCCTCCATCATTTTGCATTTTCCAAAATGTTATATAGTTGTAATCATATGGTATGTAGTCTTTTCAGATTGGCTTCTTTCACTTAGTAATATACATTTTAAGTTCCTCTTTGTCTTTTTACAGCTTGATAGCTCATTTCTTTTTAATGCTGAATAGTATTTCATTGTTCAGGTATACCATAGTTTATTTATCCATTCGCTGAAAATCTCTGTTGCTCCCATGTTTGGGCAATTAATTCTTGGTCAAATAGCAAGAGAATGTTTAGTTTTGTAAGAAACTACCAAACTGTCTTCCAAAGTGGCTGTATTTTGTATTCCTACCAGCAATGAATGAGAGTTCCTGTTGTTCCATATCCTTGTCAGGACTTAGTTTTGTCAGTATTTTGGATTTGGGTCATTCTACTGTGTGTCTAGTTCTGTCTCATTGTTATTTTAATTTGCATTTCCCTGATGACCATATGATGTGGAATATCTTTTCATGTGCTTATTTGCCTTCTGAATATCTTGTTTGGTGAAGTGTTTGTTAAGGCCTTTGGCCCATTTTTTTTTAATTCGGTAGGTTTTTGGGGAACAGGTGGTGTTTGGTTACATGAATAAGTCCATTAGTGGCAATTTCTGCAATTTTGGTCCACCCATCACCCAAGGAGTATACACTGTACCTAATGTGTAGTCTTTTATCTCTTGCCACCCCCTGCTCTTTCCCCCAAGTTCCCAAAGTCCAATGTATCATTCTTATGCCTTTGCATCCTCATAGCTTAGCTCCCACCTATGAGTGAGAACATATGATGTTTGGTTTTCCATTTCTGAGTTACTTCACTTAGAATAATAGTCTCCAATTCCATCCAGGTTGCTGCAAATGCCATTATTTTGTTCCTTTTTATGGCGGAGTATAGTGTTCCATGGTATGTATATATATATATATATATGTCACATTTTCTTTATCCACTCGTTGATTAATGGGCATCTGGTTCCATATTTTTGTAATTGCGAATTGTGCTGCCATAAACATGTGTGCAAATATCTTATTTGTATAATGACTTCTTTTCCTCTGAGTAGATACCTACTAGTGGGATTGCTGTATCAATCAGTAGATCTACTTTTAGTTAAGGAATCTCCACAATGTTTTCCATAGTGGTTGTACTAGTTTACATTCCCACCAACAGTATAAAAGTGTTCCCTTTTTGCCCCATCCACACCAACATCTATTTTTTTTTATTATGGCCATTGTTGCAGGAGTGAGGTGGTATTGCATTGTGGTTTTGATTTGCATTTCTCTGATCATTAGTGATGTTGATCATTTTTGCATATGCTGGTTAGCCAGTTGTATATCTTCTTTTCAGAATTGTCCGTTCATCTCCTTAGCCCACTTTTTGATGGGATTGTTTGTTTTTTTCTTGCTGATTTGTTTGAGTTCCTTGTAGATTCTGGATATTAGTCCTTTGTCAGATGTATAGATTGTGAAGATTTTCTCCCACTCTGTGGGGTGTTAACTCTGATGATTATTTATTTTGCTATGCAGAAACTTTAGTTTAATTAAGTCCCATCTATTTATCTTTGTTTTTGTTGCATTTGCTTTTGGGTTCTTGGTCATGAAGTCTTTGCCTAAGCCAATGTCTAGAAGGGTTTTTCCAATGTTATCTTCTAGAATCTTTTTGGTTTCACATCTTAGATTTAAGTCTTTGATCCATCTTGAGTTGATTTTTGTATAAGGCTGAGAGATCAGGATCCAGTTTCATTCTTCCACCTGTGGCTTGCCAACCACCCCAGCACCATTTGTTGAATAGGATGTCCTTTCCCCACTTTATGTTTTTGTTTACTTTGTCAAAGATTAGTTGGCTCTAAGTATTTGGCTTTATTTCTGGGTTCTCTATTTTGTTCCATTGTTCTATGTGCCTAATTTTTATACCATGCCATTTTGGTGACTGTGGCTTTATATTAGAGTTTGAAGGTGGGTAATGAGATGCCTCCAGATTTTTTTTGCTTAGCAATGCTTTGGCTATGAGGGCTCTTTTTTGGTTCCAAATATTAATTTTAGGATTGGTTTTTCTAGTTATGTGAAGAATGATGGTGGTATTTTGATGGGAATTGCACTGAATTTGTAGATTGCTTTTGGCAGTATGGCCATTTTCACAATATTGATTCTACCCATCCATGGGCATGGGATGTGTTTCCATTTGTTGGTATTGTCTATGATTTCTTTCATCAGTGTTTTGTAGTTTTCTTTGTAGAGGTCTTTCACCTCCTTGCTTCAGTATATTCCTAAGTATTTTTTTGCAGCTATTGTGAAAGGGGTTGAGTTCTTGATTTGATTCTCAGTTGGTAACTTTTGGTGTACAGCAGAGCTACTGATTTGTGTACATTAATTTTGTATCCTGAAACTTTGCTGAATTCATTTAGCAGATCTAGATGCTTTTTGGATGAGTCTTTAGGGTTTTCTAGGTATATAGTCATATCATTAGCAAACAGTGACAGTTTGACTTCTTCTTTACTTATTTGGATGCCCTTTATTTTTTTATCTTGTCTGATTTCTCTGGCTAGGACTTTGAGTACTGTGTTGAATAGAAGTGGTGAAAGTGGGCATCCTTGTCTTGTTCCAGTTCTCAGGAGGAATGCTTTCAACTTTTCCCCATTCAGTATAATATTGGCTGTAGGTTTGTCATAGGTGGCTTTTATAACCTTAAGGTATGTCCCTTGTATGCTGATTTTGCTGAGGGTTTTAATCATATAAGGATGCCGGATTTTGTCAAATGCTTTTTCTGTGTCTATTGAGATGATCATGTGATTTTTGTTTTAAGTTCTGTTTATGTAGTGTATCATTTATTGACTTATGTATGTTAAACCATCCCTGCATTCCTGGTATGAAACCCACTTGATCATGGTGGATTATCTTTTTGATATGCTATTGGATTTGGTTCACTAGTATTTTGTTGAGGATTTTTGCCCCTATGTTCATCAGGGATATCAGTCTGTAGTTTTCTCTTTCTGTTATGTCCCTCCCTGGTTTGGGTGTTAGGGTGATACTGGCTTCATACAATGGTTTAGGAAGGATCCCTCTTTTTCTGTCTTTCAGAATAGTGTCAATAGGTTTGGTACCAATTCTTTTTTGAATGTCTGATAGAATTTATCTGTGAGTCTGTCTGGTCCTGGACTTTTTTTGTTGGCAGTTTTTCCATAACCATTTCAATCTCGCTACTTGTTATTTGTCTGTTCAGAGATCCTATATCTTCCTTGTTTCATCTAGGATGGTTGTATATTTCCAGGAATTTATCCATCTCTTTTAGGTTTTCTAGTTTATGCACATAAAGGTGTCTATAGTAGCCTTCAGTAATCTTTTGTATTGCTGTGTTATCAGTTGTAATATCTCCCATTTCATTTCTAATTGAACTTATTTGGATCTTCTCTCTTTTCTTGGTTAATCTTTCTAATGGTCTATCAATTTTATATATCTTTTCAAAGAACCGGATTAGTTTAATGAAGTCTAGCTTATCAGTTTCATGGATTGTGGTTTTGGTGTTGTCTCTAAAAAGTTAGTGTCATACCCAGTGTCATCTAAATTTTCTCCCATGTTCTAGGAATTTTATAGTTTAGCATTTTACATTTAGATATATGATCCACTTAGAGTTAATTTTTGTGAAGGGTGTATGGTGTGTGTCTAGATTGATATTTTTTATATGGGTGCCCAGTTGTTCTAGCACCATTTGTTGAAAAGACCATCTTTGCTCTTTACATTGTATTTGTTCCTTTGTCAAAGATCAGTTGACAGTATTTATGTGAGTATATTTGTGGACTCTCTGTTCCATTGACATATTTGTCTGTTCTTTCACCAATAATACAATGTCTTGATTACTGTAGGTTTATATTAAGTCTTAAAGTAGGATAGTATCAGTCCCCAGACTTTGTTCTCCTCATTCAACATTGTACTGGCTGTTCTTGGTCTTTTGCTTCTCCATATAAACTTTAGAATACCTTGTTGGAATTTTGATTGGGATTGCATTGAATATATAGATCAAGTTATGAAGAACTGACATCTTGACAATATTGAGTCTTCCTATCCATGAACATGGAATATCTCTCCATTTGTTTAGTTCTCCTTTGATTTCATTTATCAGAGTATGGTAGTTTTCCTCATACAGATATTGTATATACTTTGTTAAATTTATAACTAAGTATATTTTATTTTGGGGAGTGCTAAGGTACATGGTATTGTGTTTTTAATTTCAAATTCCACTTATTCATCGCTGGTATATAGGAAAGCAATTGACTTCTATGCTTGGGTGCAGTGGCTTATGCCTGTAATCCCAGCGCTTTGGGAGGCTGAGATGGGTGGATCACTTGAGGTCAGGAGTTCAAAACCAGCCTGGCCAACATTGTGAAACCCTACCTGTACCAAAAAATGCAAAATTAAGCCGGGTGTGGTGGCACATGTCTATAGTGTCAGCTACTCAGGAGGCTGAGGTGGGAGAATCACTTGAATCTGGGAGGCGGAGGCTCCTTATATACTGATGCAGCATACAGGGTTAATATAGAAAATTGTAATATATAAGATTGTGTCAATTCTTTCAGATTTTCTGTGTAAACAATCATGTCATCTATGAACAAAGACAGTTTATTTCTTCCTTCCCAATCACGTATTTCATGTTCTTGCCTTATTGCATTAGCTAGGCCTCCCACTGTGATGTTGAAAAGGAGTGGTGGTAGGGGACATCCTTGCCCCTTTCTGATCTTAGGAAATATCTCATTTCTCACCATTAAGTATGAAGTTAGCTGTAGGTTTTTTGTAGATATTCTTTATCAAGATAAAGAAGTTTCCCTCTATTCCTAGTATACTAAGAGTTTTTATCATGAAGGGGTATTGGATTTTATCAAATGCTTTTTCTGCATATATTGATAGAATCATGTGATTTTTTTAAAGCCCATTGATCTGATGGATTACATTAACTGGTTTTTGAATGTCAAACCTGCCTTGCATACCTGGGATAAATCTCCCTTGGCTGTGGTGTATATTTCTTTTTAGACATTGTTGGATTCCCTCTGCTAATATTTTATTGGAGGTTTTTGAATGTATGTTCTTGAAAGATACTGGCCTGTCATTTTTTTTGTTTTTTTCTTATAATGTCTTTGTCTGGTTTTAGTATTAGGGTAATGCTGACCTCATAGAATGAGTTAGGAAGTATTCCCTCTGTTTCTGTCTTCTGAAAGAAATTAGAGAGAATTGGTATAATTTCTTACTTAAATGTTTGGTAGAATTCACCAGTCTACCCATCTGGGCCTGGTGCATTCTGCTTTTGCAAGTTGATTAATTATTGATTCAATTTCTTTAATAAGTATAGACCAATTTATAGTATCTGTTTCTTCTTGTATCTTTCAAGGAATTTGTCCATTCCATCTAGGTTATCAAATTTGTGAGCATGGGGTTGTTTACAGTATTCTTCTCCTATCCTTTTAATGTCCATGGACCCTGTACTAATGCCCCCCCCCTTTCATTTCTGGTATTAGTAATTTGTGTCCTCTCTATTTTTATCTTAGTTAGGCTAGAAGCTTATACGTTTTATTGATTTTTTTCAAGGAAACAGCTTTTGGTTTCATCGATTTTTCTCTACGGCTTTCCTATTTTCAGTGTCGTTGATTTCTCCTCTAATTTTTATTATTTCTTTTCTTCTGCTTATTTTAGATTTAATTTGCTTTTTGTTCTAGTTTCTTAAAATAGAAACTTGGATTATTGATTTTAGATATTTCTTCTTTTTTAATATATGCATTTAATGCTATAAATTTCCCCCAAGCACCACTTTTGCTGCACCATATAAGTTTTGATAAGTTGTGATTTCATTTTTTTAGTTCAAAATATTTTAAGACCTTCACTTTATACTGAAACATTCTGAGACATGAGAATAAATTATTAAACCTCACTGTTTTAGACCAATAAAGCCCTATCCGTTTAAATTGCCAATTACTTCGTTTAAGGCAGTATAGCACAGCAGTTTAATAGTCAAGATTCTCTACTCAGTGTATTTTAAAATTTCAGCTTGAACAGTAGTTACGTGAACTTAATCAAGGTCTTTTCCTTAATGGCTTCATTGAGATATTTCACATATCATAGAATTTTCCCATTTAAAATGTGCAATCCAACATTTTTTAGTCTGTTCACAGAGCTGCCTAACCATCGCCGCAATCAATTTTAGAACATTTCACCATCTAATAAAGAAATTCCGTGACCATTCGTAGTTATTATTTACTTCTCTCTTTCCTCTCCCAATTTCTTCTTCTCCCTACCCCTCCATCCCCAGGCAATCATTTGCATAGTTTTCATTTCTGTAAGCTTACCTGTTCTAAATATTTTTTTAAATTTGACTCCTCTTATCTGTGATTGTATATCCTTTGACCAACATTTCCTCATTTACCCTCTCCCCTAACTACCCAAGCCTTTGGTAATCACCATTCCCATTCTACTCTCTCCTTCTGTGATATCAGCTTTTTTAGGTTCCACATATGAGTGAGATCATGTGGTAGTTGTCTTTCTGTGCCTGGCTTATTTCATTTAACATAATGCCCTCTAGGTTCATCTGTGTTGTCATAAATAACAGGATTTTGTTCTTTTTATGGCTAAATAGTATTCCATTATGTATATATGGCACATTTTCTTTATCCATTCATCTGTTGATGAACACTTAGGTTGATTCCATTTCTCTTGAGATTTCTCATTGTATTAAAAAGTAGGATTTATTGAGTATGTATCTTCTAATGGAAAATATTAAGGAATTTAATGCCTTAAGAAATCTAGTTAAAGGCCAGGCATGGTGGCTTATGCCTGTAATCCAAGCACTTTGGTAGGCTGAGGTGGACAGATCATCTGAGGTCGGGAGTTCAAGACCAGCCTGACCAACATGGAGAAACCCCGTCTCTACTAAAAATACAAAATAAGCTGGGTGTGATGGTGCATGCCTGTAATCCCAGCTATTTGGGAAGCTGAGGCAGGAGAATCACTTGAACCTGGGAGGCGGAGGTTGCGGTGAGCTGAGTTCATGCCATTTCACTCCAGCCTAGGCAACCAGAGTGAAACTATGTCCACAAAAGAAATCTAGTTAAAAACGTGTGTGAGGCCGGCCGCAGTGGCTCACACCTGTAATCCCAGCACTTTGGGAGTACACACCTGTAATCCCAGCACTTTGGGAGGCCGAGGTGGGAGGATCACAAGGTCAGGAGTTCGAGACCATCCTGGCTAACACGGTGAAACCCCATCTCTACTAAAAATACAAAAAATTAGGCAGGCGTGGTGGCGGGCGCCTGTAGTCCCAGCTACTCGGGAGGCAGAGGCAGGAGAATGGCATGAACCTAGGAGGCAGAGCTTGCCATGAGCCAAGATTGTGCCACTGGCACTCCAGCCTGAGCAACAGAGGGACACTCTGTCTCAAAAAAAAAAAAAAAGTCGTGTGTGAGGTAACATGCCTGGCAATTTTAGGTGGAAATAGTTATTTTTGCTTGTTTATTTTTAAAAACAAACTAAATAGTTATTTTTAACTTGGAAAAAACCTATTTGTTCCAGGTTTAGTATATAATGAGGTCTTACTTTAGTTTTTCTTCCCAGATATTTGAGAATTTTCCTCATTTTGATATTCTTTTTTCAATCATATTTTCCTAGGGTACAGTGAAATAATTAAGAGAAAAGATATTTGTATGTTTTCGTTTAAGGAATATAAACAAACATATATATTAATCTTGTATACTAATTAGCCTGTAGAGTTTAGTAGCAGGAATAGCAACTCATTGAACAGTTTCTGAGATCAAATACCACAAATTGGTAATTTTTTGTCCTGTGGTTTTTCACAAGACAGACTAATAGCCACAAAAAAAGGGAACCTGAAGTATTTGCTAGATGCAGAAAAATGTAGGTCACAAATGAGTAATAACTCATACTGTGTGAAAAGCATTGAAAGGCATGACTAATATTTCAAAAGCTTTTGTCATCTCAGTAAGACACAGTTAGTGTGTGAAACAGTCCTGCAGAGAGTGCCTTGGCCTTTAAAGAAAAAAAAAAGATTCTCTGGGAGGCGGATTGCAGTGAGCTGAGATTGCGCCACTGCACTCCAGCCTGGGCGACAAAGCGAGATTCCATCTCAAAAAAAAGGGATTCTTATTCACAAATAGCATGTATGCCACACAATTCAATTGCCGATAGTTTTCATTTGTATATATATTTGTATTACAGATTAAACTTCAGATTAAATTTATTCTGTTTTTAAATTTGGAATGCTTCAAAGAAGAACAAAGGTGATACATGAAAGAGTTCAGGCAATTTCCATAGAAACAAAACCCAAATCCTAAGTAAGAGATTTTTTTTTCTAATAACTCTGTGGGGTAGTTGAACTGTGCCAGATTCCAGAGGAACACTTGCCTTCGTGTTTTAATCTAGGAATAAAGATTGACAACCCTTGAATGCAAAACGTTGTGTCCAGGAGAAAGACAGGGAAGAATGTTGATATTTTTCAAGAATCCAACTATTGAGTAATATACAAGAAATGGAGAATCGAGAACAACTCAAAATAAGTTGGCTACTTTAAGACTGATTTTCATTTTCTTCTATGAAATCAAAAGGGTTAAATTAATTTCTAACTTAAAACTGGAAAGCAACTTTTGAAGCTCATAAATTTACTATGCATTGAATACATGTGAAGACCATTTTGCAGTTATTGAGATTTAGTTGAAATATGGTATGTTAAATGAGTAAGTTGTTTTATATTTGCAAAGCTTAAAAACAATATGTTAAATAAGTAAACTGTTTTACAGTGGCAAAGCTTAAAAACAATATGTTCCATTTTGAGACATTTCCTAAGTAACACAAAAGAGAAAGATACTCAATTTTTCAAGTAGTAATTAAGCACTTTTTATATGGCCATTACTAAAAAAGTAACTAATATGAGTCAAATGTTTATGTTACTCTTTTTTTTTTTTTAACATAGATGGAATTAGACATGGCATTAAGTGACTTGGAGGCTGCAGATTTTGCAGAACTGGTAAGGGAAGGAGTGGATTTTATAAAAGGCTCAATGTTGAATTATTTTGTATAACAGTCATTATTCTAAATATTTACCAAGTGGATATATAATAATCTTGAAATACACATTAGGCCTCTGTTTTGACAGTGACAAAATCTATTTTGCTTGCCTTAGGATTTTCTACTGAGTTTAAACAGTTGTTACATAATGTATATTATGGGATTAAAAATGATTAATTACACTGGTGTCACTGAGAACTAAGCTTTTGAGGAAAATAAATATAGATGTAATACTGATTAAGTTAAATAAGAACCCTGTAGAGCTGTACTTAAATTGGAAGTGTCAATATCGTTTTTAATCTTTTAATTATTGTATTTCCTAGCTATGGCCAATGAAAAGGCCTAGCAATAGTGACCATCGCAGTAGCGATAAGTACCACTAATACCCAGACCATGGTGTATAAATAACATTTCTCACCAAAAGGAACCAGGACTCCTCAAGAATTGGCTCATTCAAAATTGGGGCTGAAAATGCACAAGATAAGTCTGAGAACATCTTGTCATATCAGAAATTCAGAAAGCTTTCCAAAAATTAATAGGGTTATAGTAGAGCTCAAACTGTCATGAGACAACTTGAAGAGGCTCCCTGTTGAACATCTATAAGGAAATAACTACAACAGATTGAAACACATCAGATATGTATAAGCTCATGAGTGCATAATGATACTAAAAAAAAAAAAAAGGAAACTTACTAGTCAACTTTGGAGAATATGAGGGCACTAACTTGTTTTTGTGAAAACTGTTAAATGAAGAAAAATCAGACATTTATCCTGCCTTTCTTGTCTAAACCATATGTCAAGGTTACCAAACAGAGGTGAAGGAGAGCTTCTTTTTATGAAAGTAGTCTAACTGAAATGTCAAGAAAGACTGACAGAATTGGAATATCACCATTTTGCAGTCCCTCAATGAATTAATGGATCTAGGCAATGGTCATCAATAGCTATTAATATCACAAACAGAAAAACAGCAGATAATATGTTGTTCCTGATGGAAGCACACAGAACACCTATAAAATATGCTTGATGAAGCCTCAAGATTGAACTACCAACTTATAGGAAATACCACTGAAAAGGAGGCATGTTAAGTTACTCCATTTTTGGAAGAGGGGTTGCAGTCAGCAAAATCCAGACTGGCAAATACTGCAGGACACTTTCTTCTCCAAATAAATTAGAAAAGGCTGGCGTGAGGTGGGGGAGAAGGGAGAGAAGTTGAGAGAGATCTCAGTTACAAGAGACTGAATATTATCAACCAAGTGTATGTATGTCCTTTCTTAGATCCTAATTCAAACAAACTTTTAAAAACCTCTATGAGACAACGAATCTCATAGATGAGGCTGAATCTATTCATGAGTCTCATACATTCAAGGAAAGTAAACACTAATGACTGGGTATTAGATGAAAATAATTCTTTATATTGTGATAATGGTATGATTATATGTATTTTAAGATTCCTTCTGTTTTATACATACATTCTGAAGTGTTTACAGATGAAATTATATAATATCTGGGATTGGTTTTGAAATAATTCAGCAGGAGGAAGGGAAGATGATGATACAGATGAAACAAGATAAGCCATGGACTGGTCATAGTTAAACCTGGGTGATGATGGCTATACAGGAACTAATTATACAATTCCCTTTTTGTATATGCTAAAATTCTCAGTAATAAAAGTTCTTTTACAAAGTAAATGGGAAGTAAGGAGGTAAAAGCCATGAGGTGTGGATTATTCTCAAGAAGATCGCCAGTGAAAGTGGGAGGAGAATGTTAGCTTGAAAGGGTAACTGAGTCTTAACAAACACCCTAAACAAATGGAAGGGTGTTTTGTCTGTAAAAATAATAGAAATTTAGGGATGGTAAACTCTTATGGCTCATAATTTTTTGAGTAATGGAAAATGTTTAGATGGATATTAACTATTAGGAGCAGTTCAGATCTAAAGTATTAAAATATCTGGTTTTTGGAACTTACATCCAAAATGTTTAATTTAAAAATCTAATTCCTGCCTTTATAGAACACTATTTTAATGAGCAGTGGAGTTAACAATATTTTCTATGGTTAAAAAATAATCTATTTTGATTCCTTAGATACAGTAAAAAAAAAAGAAAGAAAACCATAATTCATAAAAGAAAAAATGGATAAATTGAGAATGTAAAATGGTACAACTACTTTGGAAGACAGTTTGGCAATTTCTTAATAACCTAAACATATACCTACCATGTAATTCAACCAGTCTGTTCCTATCTTTTTAAACCAAGAGAACTGAAAGCATATGTAATACAAAGACCTGTATACAAAGCAACTTTATTTGTAATAGCCAAAAAGTGGAAACAACTCAAATAACTTAACTGTCCATCAGCAGGTGTGAATACCAAAACAAATTCTGGTATATCCAGGAATGGACTACTACTCAGAAAAAAAGTTGGTGTAGGGAGGTGTTGAGGGAACTGTTCTACATCTCAATTTTGGTGGCACTTACATAGCTATATGCATTTGTCAAAACTCACAGAACACTTCACATTGAATTTTGCCTTTAAAAAAATATGAAAATAAGGATCTATTCTACACTTTTTGGTGAAATTAGATTAAAGATTTAATCTTATATCCTAATGCTGTGTTTTCCTTAGTTTTTAAAAAATATTATTAAGGTATAATTTATGTTCAGTAAATTCTTCTGTCCCCTTTGGAGTCGACCCCTCTCCATACCCCCAACCTCTGGCAATCACTGATCTGTGTTCTGTCCCCATGATTTTGCCTTTTCCAGGATGTAATATAAAGTGAATCATCCTGCTCAGCCTGGCCCTAATGCTGCTCTGGTTGCTCAGCATACCTCCTTTTACCTTCTCATACCTGGGCATCCCTGCCCTGTTCAGCCCCACAGTTCCCAACTATTTGGTTCCTGCTCCATGGTCAGGCCTCTGACAACCCCTTTGAATAAACCAGACACTCCACATGTGTCTTGAGAATTTAAATAAATAAATAATCATACAGTAGGTAATTTTTGTGTCTGGCTTTAACTTAGCATAAATGGATTTAAGATTCATTCCTGCTATTGTACAGGCAGTTCAGTCCTTAATATTGCTGAATAGTAGTATTCCATCATATGCATGTATCACAATTTGTTTATCCATTCCCCAATTGAGGAATGGCTGGGTTATTTCCAGTTTTTAGTTTTCTTTAGGTTTCATTGGGTTTTTTAAAAAGAAAAAAAACTTATAAAAGTAATAGCTGTGTACGGGGTGAAGCTCCAAGCATGGTTATTAAAAGCAAATACCTTCGCTTATCCCTTTCTCTCACTTCCATCCCCAGGTGTAACTGCTCTTATGGATTGGAATGTATCCTTCCAGACCTTTTTCCATATACATACATTCCCACACACAAACCAACACACATGTATATAGTTGGTGGGGATGCTATTTTTAACAAAAATCAGATGATAACATATATTTTGTTCTGCAGCTTGCCTTCTTTGCTGAGCAGTGTATCCTAAAACCTTTTATGCCTGCTCATATAGATCAATCATATTTTTTTAACATATGTGTGATATTCTGTGGTATATCTAGTTTTGCTGGCCATTCCTCCATTGTTGAATTTCATGTTATCTCTAATTTTTCCATATTACAAATAATCCAACTGTTAACTTTTTATATAAAAATCATGATTCCACTGCTTGAGTATTCCTGTAGATTTCTAGAAGTAGAATTACTCAGAGGGTATATATACTTAATTTTTTTTACATACCACTCAGTTGCTTGCAAATAGGTTGCATCAATTAGTGCTTTCAAAAATAGCTTATGGTAATATTGGATACTGTAGATGATGTAGAGTAAAAGTTTTTTGTCCTAAAAAGATGTGTTGTAAGAAATCCCTCATAGAGTGACAGATTTTATGTTCTTAATGTCTCTAATCAAACATCTTAAAAGAATGAAACATAAGGTTGTTCTCAGTGAAGTAAACGTATGCATATTGTATTTCATCCTAATATTCTGGTATATTGATTTCTAAAGATGGCACTATGAAAAGTTTAGTTACTAAAGAATATAATTTTCATTTTAACTATTATAGCTTAATTGGAATTTTTATCACAAAAAAATAAAAATATAAAATCCACTATGAATTTTTCCCCCAGTCCGAGGATTACTATGACATGAGGCGGCTGTATACAATTTTGGGGTCTTCTCTATTTTACAAGGTAAGTTGAAGCTTGAAGTCTAAATGTCCAGCTGCTGTATAAAGAGAACTAAATTTTCAAAACTTTTACAAACATGAAAAATACATTTATCTCTTTTCTTTCAAATGTAGGTACCATAAGATTAAGAGCTTTCTCATTTTAGAGACAGGGTCTTGCTCTGCCACCTAGGCTGGAGTACGGGGTACAATCATAGCTCACTGCAACCTCCAATTTCTGGGCTTAAGCAATTCCCAAGCTCAAACAATCCTCCTGCTTTGGCCTCCCAAAGTACTGGGATTACAGGCGTGAGCCACCATGCCTGACCAGATTAAGACCTTAAAACAAGATTTGCATCTACATACTTGTAAATATAATAAATATTTATGGTTTCATTGCATTCTAAAGCATGTATAAAGTATTTACAAATGTGCACAGGAGAAGCAATACTCAAAGAACCAAGTTTGTAAGAGAGAAGACTAATATTTTTCTGGATTTCCTTTTGAAAGAGTGTATTTTTTATCCTGTGTTGAAAAGTCAGCTGGGCATGGTGGCTCACACCTGTAATCCCATCACTTTGGGGGGCCGAGGCAGGCAGAACACCAGAGGTCAGGAGTTCGAGATCAGCCTGTCTAACATGGTGAAACCCCATCTCTACTAAAAATACAAAAAAAAATTATCTGGGTATGGTGGTGTGTGCCTGTAATCCCAGCTACTCAGGAGGCTGAGGCAGGAGAATGGTGTGAACCCGGGAAGCAGAAGCTGCAGTGAGCTGAGTTCGTGCCACTGCACTCCAGCCTGGGTGACAGAGACTCTGTCTCAAAAAAAAAAAAATAGTAACCTACATCTTTTAAATAAATCTTATATAACATTTAGTTCATGTCCATGTAAAGCAAAGCATCAAATGAATTTAAGTACTTTTATTTTTAAAAAAGGATTTTTAAACACAATATAAAACACATCTAACAAAGAAGCAATAGGGAAGGGTGCACAGTGAAAAGTCTCTGTCATGACCCCTGCTTCTTGACTTTCCATTCTCAGAATTCAGTTATTTTCTAATTTTGTCAAATACTGAAGCTATGCTGTGCAGAAGGGATCTTGCTTTGTGCTGAAGTCTACCTGTCGGTACACCTTAAGTTATCATTTGAGCTCTACTTTGACCTCAAGAAAAGAAACATTTACTTTTACTATATCTTCATTTACCCCATTTGAAACTAGAATATTCTAAACCAACGGAAGAAGTGTCTATGAAACTCTTAGAAATATTATGGGACTATTGCTTTATATCACTGGTAGACTTTTGCTCTTTGTGGTTAAATTCAAGGGTTATTTGATATGCAGTCATTTGCCCAAGGATGATCTTATTGATATTGCCGTATACTGTCGCCACTATTGCCTGCTGCCTTTAGCAGCAAAACAAAGAATTGGTCAGTTGATCATATGGAGAGAAGTGTTTCCTCAGCATCACCTCCGACCTTTGGCAGACTCAAGCACTGAAGTCTTTCCGGAACCTGAAGGAAGATATTTTTTGCTAGTTGTTGGCTTGGTAAGTTTACCTCAGCTTCTTTCTTAGGATTTTTCTTCTTTTCTTTTATTTTTTTCTTTTCGGCAGGGGTTGAGGGATGCAGCGGTAGGTAGGTATCTATTGACTGTCTAAATAAATACACAAACATGCTCATGTAAAATTATTAGTATGTCTAATATCAGTATTCAAGGAAATGTTACATGTCCCCTTATTCCTTTTCTTTTGCATCCATTTAATACTCATGGACAAATATTAATAAAGTCTAAGAAAATATTTTAGCAGGTTTTTAAAGTCTTTTGTTCCCCTTTCTATAGTGGTTTTATCCATTGGCTTGTTTTGGGAGATAGAGGGAGACATGAAAATAATATAGAATCAGAAACAGAATAAATATGCAATTGTAGATGAAAGGACTTCCAGTAACTGAGGCTCTTGACAGCTATCTTAGGGAATTCTGTGTCTCAAAAGAAGTGGTTTGATGGTATATCAAGATAAGGCAATGTAAGATTGTTTTCAACTGGGATCAAGAAGCATTAATAATAACCAAAAAGGAAAGATGACGGAGGAATTTTTAATAATCATCACATGATTATGCCATAGGCCTCTATGTCTTCGATATTTATAAGTTTATACATGCACATTTTATGTAAATATTTTCATGGTAGCTAAACCTACATTTGTAATTTTTTTCCCTATAGAAACATTATATGCTATGTGTACTATTAGAAGCTGGAGGTTGCGCATCCAAAGCTATTGGGAGTCCTGGACCAGACTGTGTATATGTGGATCAAGTCAAAACAACTCTTCACCAGCTGGATGGAGTAGATTCTCGCATAGATGAACGGCTAGCATCTTCTCCAGTCCCCTGTTTGTCTTGTGCTGACTGGTTCCTTACTGGATCACGTGAAAAAACAGATAGCTTGACCACTTCGCCTATTCTCAGTAGGCTACAAGGTACTTCCAAAGTAGCAACTTCTCCAACATGCAGAAGAACGCTTTTTGGTGACTATTCCTTAAAGACACGCAAGCCTAGTCCTTCCTGTAGTAGTGGAGGATCTGACAATGGTTGTGAAGGTGGAGAAGATGATGGCTTTAGCCCCCATACTACACCGGATGCAGTACGGAAGCAAAGAGAATCTCAGGGCTCTGATGGTTTAGAAGAAAGTGGGACCTTGCTTAAGGTGTGTGCTTATTCAAGTGTGTATGTTCTGGGAGCTAAGTTGTCTCTCCAGTCCTTGTTTTATAATTGCAAGACATTTTTTTAGTGGCATACCATTCTTCATTTGACATGGTGGTTATTTCAGTCACTGCTGGCAAACCAATGATTTTGAACCAAAAAGAAAAAGAAATATCAGGCCAGGTGTGGCAGATTGCTAGAGGCCAGGAGTTCAAGACCAGCCTGGCCAATGTGGCAAAACCCAGTCTCTAATAAAATTACAAAAAAATTGCCAGGCACGTTGGTGCACACCTGTGATCCCAGATGCATCGGGAGGCTGAGGCACAAGAATTGCTTAAACTCAGGAGGCAGAGGTTGCAATGAGCCGAGATTGTGCCACTGCATGATTTGTCACTCCAGCCTGGGTGACAGAGTGAGACTCTGTCTCAAAAAAAAAAAAAAAAAAAAAAAAAGAAATATCAAATAATAAGATAAGAACCCCTTGACATTCATATCTGTTTAACAGTACTTAGAAATAGGAAAACTTTAATCTCAATTTCCGTGTTCATCTCTTCCCTATTTGCAATGACAACAGAGAGCATCCAAGCTGTGGGGCCTGTTGGGGGCTGATCTGACTAAATAGCCAATGAAATATTCAGCAAAGAGAATCAGAACCCTAAATGTGTGTATTTGTGTGTCTGTGTGTGTGTGTGTGTATGTCTCTGTGTGTATTATCCTATTTTTATAGATTTTAAAATCTGAACCTTTGTAACACTTAAAGATTTAAAAGTTGACTCTAAAGAGGATGTTCATTTTTCAGATCATTTTTCCTAATTTTTTCCCATGAAAATACCATAAAATATCCAAATGATTATCAAAACATTCACCCTGGGAGGCTTTGTACTTATTCTAGTGATGCTGTCGTCTTTCAAAACATTTTTGAAACTTGTCATTTGGGTGGATGGAGGTGACACCAGATGAGGAGTCTGAGAAGGAGCACAAATAAACTATGAAATGCTAGTAGCATGGCATAAATAACCAGATGCAATCTCCTCATACCAAACAATAGAATACTTTTGGACCCCTAAGTGGGGTGTATTTGGAAGTACTTACATCAGTACCATACCTATTATCACAGTCGATGGAATTGGTAGGAAATAGTCTAAAAAGATTTGGACAGATTAAAGAATTACCAAGCCATGAATAGCTCCTAAGAGAAATTGAGTTAACCTTTAAGATTCAGCCATTCAACAAAGGTTGATTGAATACCTACTAAGTGCCAAGGGCCATACTACACAAAGGAGATACAGAGATGAATAAGACACAGCCCCTGACTTTGAGGAGTGCAGAGTCTAGGGAGGGGAGACAAGTATGCATACATACAAATTTGGTAATGGCTCTGGTAGGAGGTTTTCAGGGAACACCATCATGCCCTCCCAGGACATGACCCTGGGATCCCTGTCAGCCATGGATAAGCCAAGAGGTACAAGTTAGCATCAAAAATATTTAAAGGAAGCATTGCAAATGGTAAGTAGTTCCCTCAGAAGGATGTTTAATTTTTAAATTGTTTCTGCTATATGATTCCATTCTTAGATATAAACTGATCTACTTAACTATATTTTTCAGGTCACTAAAAAGAAGTCTACTCTTCCAAATCCATTTCATTTGGGAAACTTGAAAAAGGACCTTCCAGAAAAAGAATTAGAAATATATAACACAGTGAAGTAAGAAACTTTCTTATTCTTGTTCACTTAAACTCAGGAAGTTTTACAGTGAGAAAGTACAATTTTATAACATGTATTTTACTCAACAAATGTAATTCTGATATATCTTACATATTAAAGGTAATATCTGTGGTATTTCTTTAATATTTCATTACACATTTAGGAAAATGACCATATTAGTATTATGAAAGAGAAAAACACACAAAGTAATATTTCAAAATGTGAAAGTCTCCCTTTATCTCTCCACAGGTAACCTCCCTTTTGTATATTTAATATAATTTTTAAATTAGAGTTTACTATTTTTTAGAGTGTTTGGTGGATGCAGTGGTGTGCTGTCCAGTTACACCTTAGCTCAGGGTATTCCTTTCCAACACTTGAGAATGGTGGCTGCTAATGCCTCACAGCTCCCCTAGCCTTGTCACTCCCCTAGCCGTGTCCTACACGGAAACTTGTTGACTCAGCTAAGGTTACATTCCTCCCTGGGAGGAGCCCATTTCTAATGACTAATAAATAAGTGAGTACAAAGGCTTGGCCCCTTGCCTAAATTGAAGACAACTCTGAAAGGCCAGCCAAGCTTCAGAGTACACAGTGGTATCGGCTGAGACTTGTTGCCGCTGCAGCACAGTTCATCTTCTCCCTCTGCTCAATCCTGCTCAGTCACTACACCCCTACAGCTGTTTTTCCCAAGAGTACTTCCTAATAAGTTTCCTCCCGGCATATCTCACTCTCAGAGTTTGGGTCCCAAGGAACTTGTCCCATAACACTCTCTTTAGAAAATAGGTATAATTTCAAACGTTCATTGAGTAGGGAATTCTGAGGTAAAAGAAACTGAGTGAGGAGAGAATGTTTAGCAACTTAAACTGTCTGTAATTATTATAATATGAAATGTTATATATTCACTTCTTGTGCACTTATGTGGTGACACGCAGGTCTGCCTGTGCCTTGGCAGGTATTTAATTATGACATCATGTGTGGGATCAACTGGTGTAATAAACTCAATTGCCTACTTTTATTTGAACAACTAGACACGTACTAATAGAATTCACACACACACACACACACACACACACACACACAGTACAGAGCTACCACATTCTTAATCACTGAAACACTTTACAGTAAGTTCAAATATATGTGTTACAAAGTTGTTAGAAAATTCTTTTTTTCTCAAGTCAAGACAAAAACAAAGTAACTTGTCTGCATAAAATAATACATTAGAAATCTGATGTGTTAAATTTTAGTATTTAATGCCTCCAAATATGAATGTTTAATTTTTTGATAGTTAAACATGATTTTAAGACAAATAAATTGGAACCAAACCTTTTATGGAACCCAAAAGTACCTTCACAAAACTCTAGTCTTCCATTTAACAAAAACTATTGCTCTGAAATTTTATTAACTCCATATCAGAATTTTAAAAATATGTATGTTGTGTTGGCATTGTCTCTAGTAAAAGGAGACTCTTTTTTCAAGTTCAATGGTTTAAACATAAATTCACATGTGGTGTAAATCATAGGCTCTCCTATTTTAAAAGGTGCCAAAGATGTGTGTTTATTCTCATTATTGACATGCAAAGATGTTTTTATATGATGTAGTTCATTTTAAAAGCATGATATAAAACAGGATGTAATATATTATCCTAACCTTTTATGCACCTATCTTTGTAAAATACAATATATATAATATATTGAAAATAATATATAAAACATTTCATTCAGTAACTAAGTCCTACCCATTCTGCATTCCAGTAGTTCTTGAGGAACATCAGTTTGACTATCATGGTAAAATACTTTAATGCTACTAACTTAAATGTATTTAATTTGTTGGAAGGTATTTTTATATGTGGTCTACCCTAGACTGATATCTTGTTTATGGCTTATAGCTATCTGGGCCAGACACGAGCTGAATTATTTAATACCAACCATGGAAAAAGAGACAGTTAGCCAATTTGGGTTGTTTAGCAAAGGAATGATTAAGTTACTTGCAAATGAATTGAGGTTTACTTATCCTTGCATAACATGTAGTATTTGCCTCCATTAAGGGAATTAATAACCCTAGCTTGTACTTCAGTTACGGATGAAGAGGGAATTAAATGTTTAGCCCAGTTTCCCTTCCCTAATTATACTACTAATATTATATTGTAGATAAAAGCTTATAAGAAGTCTACTAAATTCAAAATGAACCAATATTTTAAAATTTACTAAAATTTCTTTTTTCTTCTCTTTGATTTTTTTTCTTTTTAAGACTGACATCTGGTCCTGAGAACACACTTTTCCACTACGTTGCCTTAGAAACAGTGCAAGGAATCTTTATTACTCCTACCCTTGAAGAGGTGGCACAGCTAAGTGGCTCTATCCACCCTCAGCTAATAAAGAATTTCCATCAGTGTTGTCTTTCCATTCGTGCAGTTTTCCAACAGACATTGGTGGAAGAGGTAGGGCACTGCTATAAATACAGTTTTCTGCCAGTTTAATTTCCAGATCTCTAAGCATTCTGTTATCTAATCAATATGCCCAGCATTGTTTTCATTTCATTAAGTTTTTTTAAATAGTCACTTAATCTAACGTGGGTGCCAAAACAATTATACTCACAGTACTTCAAGGTTTTATTTTATACTGAATCTGATGTCTTGGGTTACTTTTCAGGATATGGTAGACCTGTGTTTTCTACAGCAAAGCAAAATACAGTCGTTTGTAATGTAAATTAACCTTCCATATTTGATATCTGTGACTCAACCATTACTTGAGTAATAATATCTACCAATTGGTTCCTAAAATAACTCTGATAATTCTTTGAGTATTTAGCCAATAGTATAGGGATTTTGGAATATAATGGATTAAGGCAGGGGTCCCCAACCCCCCTGGGCCACATACCAGTAGCTCTCTGTGGCCTATTAGGAACCAGGCTGCACAGCAGGAGGTGAGTGGCGGGCCAGGGAGCCTTACTGCCTGAGCTCTGCTTCCTATCAAATCAGCAGCACATACGAGTGCAAACCCTATTATTGTGAACTGTGCATGTGAGGGATCTAGGCTGTGCACTTCTTATGAGAATCTAATGCCTGATGATCTGAGGTAGAACAGTTTCATCTTGAAACCATCCCTCCCCCAGAAATTGGTCTCCAATGCCAGAAAGGTTGGGGACTGCTGGGTTAAGGTACAGCTATAGACACAAGACTAATGCAAATTTTTTGGCATTTGGTTGGTTGATTGCTTGCTTGCTTTTCTATCCAGGATGAAGTTTCATTGAATGTTGTTATCTGTTGAATAAATAATAATGCTGTGTACAATTACAATATCAGATTATTTAAATGGCAGGAAAAGATAGGTGTTGATTTCTTGAAAAGGATAAAACTTACAGAGGTTTACTTGTGACGTTATACAGCCAAAAAACCTCTCTGAAAATGGTTGTAATGTATATAGCAATACATGTGTTAGGGATGCCAAATTTGTGAAGAACTTGGGTTTAAAAGTGGAAGAACATTGGACAAGGAATAAGGAATCCTGGACTGAGCCTCACCTCCTATTTCCTTAGCTATGAAGCAAGTGGGCTGAATTACATCATCTCTCCAGGTTCATTCAGCAGTAAAATTCTGTGTCTTGTAGGATTTTTTTTTGAGTCCTCAGAAATTGTTATTCTGTAAAAATACTGTGTTTGACCCTATATTCCTGTATGCTTTGGGTTCTTATGCTCCTATTTCCCTTTTTAACATTAACTGATAAATGTTATAAAGGAATATTTCATTTACTTATTTGATAATATTTAGTAATATAAATTAGTTTTCCCCATCTTATTTAAACATTGAGGTACCTACTCTGCACCAGACACTATTCTAGGAACGTGGGATACAACAGTGGACAAAACAAAGTCCCTTCCTTCACGAAGCCTATTTTCTAATTAGAAATTAGTATGCTGAGAAGAATTAGAAAATAGTATGCTGAGAAGAATCAGTGTCAAGCAAAATAATAAAACATGGTAAGGATTAGAGGTGGGAGTGACTATTTTGAAAGGTCTCTCTGATCATGTCAAGTGATACTTGAACAGAGACCTGAATGAAGTGAGGGAGCAAGCCATGTGGCTCTCTGGGGACAGAGCTTCCAGCAAGGGGAACAGCAAATGCAAAGCTGCAGAGCATTACCGCCTGAGGTCTGCCTCCTGTCAGGTCAGCTGCGGCATTAGGTTCTCATAGGAGTGCAAACCCTACTGTGAACTGTCCATGCAAGGGATCTAGGTTGCCCACTTCTTATGAGACTCTAATGCCTGATGATCTGAGGTGGAACAGTTTCATCCTGAAACCATCCCCTAGGGGCTGGGAGAGTACTGGAGCAAACTGAGTGAGAAGAAAGTGGAAGAAGAGATCACAAAGGTAGCAGGGCCAGCTTATGCATGGCCGGATAGACTATGATAAGGACTTTGGGCTTTGTTCTGAAAGAGATGATACATTCTTGAACAGTTCTGCCCAAATAAGGGACATGATCCGTAATTTTTTTAAAGGATCACTCAGGCTACTGTGGGTAGAACAGGAAACAGAATAGCAAGGGTGGAGGCAGGGACCAGTTAGGAGGCTTTCAAAATTCTCAAAGCAAGAAATGATTATGGCTTCTGGACTGTGGATATATTTTGGAGGGCAAACCAAAAAGATCTGTTGATGGATTAGATAAAAGCTATGAAGGAAAGAAAAGGATCAAGGATCACTCCACTGTTTGCCCTGAAACTTATAAGAAGCCTTTATAGTCCAAATGAGTCATTGTTTTGCTAATGCTTTAATCAGTATGAAATTTAGAGATTATGGGTCAAAGGAAGACAAAATACTGTTTTAAATATATATTTTTTCAATTTATTACAGAATTATCTGTTCATTTAGAACACATTTATTAAGCACCTACTATGAACCAGGCACTGCTGGTTTTAAAACACACAAAGAAGATTGCATATTGTCTCTTCCCTGGGGAAAAAAGCTTATAATTTTCTATCTTCCACTGTGGAAGACAGATCTATAAACTGCTAATATAATATAATATACATACTAATAATATAGGCCTGTGAACAAAGTGTTCCCTAGAAAAGTCAAGGGACACTTTATCCATGAAGTCTCCTTTAGGATATGGTATTTAAGTTTTGAGGAAGAGTAGAAATTTTCCTGCAGATAAGAAGAATGTCATTGCAGGCACTGAAGTATTTGGATCAGCCAATTCAGATTACTCTGTGAAAACATTTTAAAGTAACACTGGTAATACCAGTTAATACTAACAATACCTATTAATTTACAGAAAAAGAAAGGACTAAATAGTGGAGACCATTCAGATTCTGCAAAGTCAGTGTCTTCTCTTAACCCTGTTAAAGAACATGGTGTGTTGTTTGAATGTTCACCTGGAAACTGGACTGATCAGAAAAAAGCACCACCAGTTATGGCTTACTGGGTAGTAGGGTAAGTGAGAAAAAAAAGTATTTGAAAGTAAAGTGTTAGAAAAGTGAAAGAAAAGTGGTAAAGGAGATTAACATTTTAAAATGTAAGCATGGAATTTTTTATCTAGCTATACTATTTTAATATATTTCATTTTATTTGCTAAGTATCTCCTTTAAATCCCTCCCAAGTATTTTTCTATTGAAAATTATCTTACAAAATTAAATTTCAGTAATACACTGAAAGAATAATTCCAGTTTTTCTCTTCTTCCCTTTTTCCCCTGCTTCCTTCATTTTTCCCCCTCTCTCCTTTCTTTCCCTCTTACCATCCTCTCCCTTTTCTTCCCTTCCCCTCTCTCTGGCCCCTGCCACAGGACCATGCCCAGTCAGGACCCTGCCCACCTTTGTTTCCATCTCCTGTCTCCTTCCTCTTCCATCCACTGTGCACCAGCTGCACGAGCACCAATCAAATCTTGTTTCTGTTGTTCCTTCTGCATGGGATATTCTATCCCTTGACCTTTGCACTTCTGGATCCTTGATATTCAGACCAGTGCTAACAGGTCATCTTGTCAGAGACGATCCATTATCTCTTTCCCTCATCAAAGTGGCTACTCAGTTATTCTCTATATGACTCTTTTATTGTTTATTTTCTTGTCCTTCTCCACCCCCCACCCTCATTACAATATCAGCTTCATGAGGTCAGGAATTGTATCTGTCTTGTCCACCACTGGCACCTGCAACAGTACCTGGCACATAATATAGTCACTTGATAAACATGTGATGGCTGAGTAGGTGAGACTGTGCCTGGCAAAATGTGAAACTGGTGGTGGGTTGGGTGGGCAGTGGGCGGTATGGCAAACACAGAGACATAGTCATTGCCTCTAAGGGCCTTATATCTAGCAGAAGAATTATGAAATATGCTGAAATATCTATATATTTATATATCTATATTTATAGGTATAGAGAGAAATCTTATATATATGTGTGTGTATACATATATGTAAAATGAATCTGATGATACAACCAAATACTATAGGAATTCTGAGGAGGGGGCAAAATCTAATGAACAAAGATGCGAACAGTGGAAATTATACAGCACAGCAGTGAACAGACTGGTTTGCCAGGATGGTAGAGGAATGGCATATACAAAGATTAAGTGAAAGATCAAGTTGGGAACCTAAGTTAGGACCACTGCAGAAGGTTATTTGAGTTGGAGTAGAGGTTGGTGGAGGAAAGGGCACAGAATTAGTTGGGAGTAGGGGTAGTGGACACATACCATGTAGTATTAAGCTGTATGACAGACACTTTACAGACATTATCCAAAGCAGAAATTCCCATGTGCTAGTCCATGGGATTTAGAATCACCTAAGTCACTTGTTAAAATCTGAGATGCCTGGGCCCCAGACCTACTAAATCAAAATCTGTGAGAGTGGGAATCTGTATTTTTAGTAAGCTCCTTTGTGATTATCCTGTGAACCAGGCTTGGGAACATCAGTGTAAGCTTAATTCCATGTAGTGTAATCAGAGTTGTACTGCTGGAAGATTAAACAGGGAGCGCCAATGGAATGATGTGCACATGAGAGATACTAGAAATGAGAAGACCAGTTAGGCACACATGTAGCTGTTCAGTCGAGTGTTAACTACGTTCATGACAATTGGAATAGAAAGAATCAAAAGATGTTGAATTTTGATAATGCAGATTTATGCAGAAGAGAAATTTAAGAAAATCAGGCAGAACTATCTCCAGTTTAAATAGATCAATTTGTATACATTAGTATTGATTAAATGGATTTCAATTTTAACTCTTTAAGAAAACCAAACAAAATTTCAATGTTAATTCCAATTCAGTTCTATTTGCCAAAAAAAGCTACCATATATTTAATGTTTTAATAAAAATTAAACATTAGAAAGTAAAGAGCAATAAAATACTTAATAACTATTGTGCCTATAATGCTAGTGCTATTGCCTTTATTATAATAACTAGATTTGCTATTTAAAAACTGAGTGGTATCATAATACATATTGATAAAATAGGATTATTACACTCTAGAGCAATAAAAACTAATTGACCTAAGGCATATATTATTTATTTAGAAATAAATCTAGCTGCTTTCTCCCTAGTATAGATTTAGATTCATGGATTTTAAATTTACTACTGATGCTTTCAGAAACAAAAATTAAATTAATTGGATGGTTAGAGTTTTTGTTGTTTGTTGTTTTAATTTCTGAAATGAGTGTGTTCTTTTCTTCTGCAGGAGACTTTTTCTTCATCCAAAACCTCAAGAACTTTATGTCTGTTTTCATGACTCAGTCACAGAAATTGCCATTGAAATAGCTTTTAAATTGTTCTTTGGGTTAACCTTGTAGCTGTGCTTTCTTGATGCGTAGAAACACGTGCATGGAGGATCAAACACTGTCAGAATTGCTGAAATCAATACACAAAGAGATAAAGTTTAGCTTCTTTTTACTATTCAATATTGAACATAATATTGTTAAATATTGAGATGAAATGCTGTTGGATTTGATACATTAAATCTTAATGTAATATTGTAAGACTTTTGAGAATATACTTGATTAAAATGTGAAAGAAGGGATTGTTAACTTATTGCTATTTTGGTATATAATGTTAATTTATTGACTAGTTTGAAATAATGTGAAGTGTTTTTTATATCAGATTAATATAGGAAATGTTTATTCTTGAAAAATACTCAATTTGTTGTTGTTTATTTTTCTCAAAATTCATACTGATATCTGATGAAATGATTATGAAATTGGGAGCAGGTGACCAGGTGCTGTAACTAAGTAGTGCTATGACCATGAGCAAGTTTTTGTACCTCTCTAAGCTCAGAGTTTTCATGTAAAATGAGATGATTGCATTGAGGTTTCAAAAATACCTCTTAAGTAAAATGTGCTTTTATTTTATTTTAGTTTTAGTTTTAGTTCTGGGGTACATGTGCAGGATGTGCAGGTTCGTTACATAGGTAAACATGTGCCATGGCGGTTTGCTCCACCTATCAACCCATCACCTAGGTATTAAGCCTAGCATGCATTAGCTATTTTTCCTAATACTCTCCCTACCCCCACAACAGGCCCTGGTGTGCATTGTTCCCCTCCCTTTGTCCATGTGTTCTCATGGTCAGCTCCCACTTATAAGTGAGAACCTACAGTGTTTGGTTTTCTGTTCCTGCATTAGTTTGCTGAGGATAATGGCTTCCAGCTTCATCCATGTCCCTGCAGAGGACATGATCTCATACCTTTTTGTGGCTGCATAGTATTCCATGGTGTATGTGTACCACATTTTCTTTATCCAGTCTATTGCTGATGGGCATTTGGGTTGATTCCATGTCTTTGCTATTGTAAATAGTGCTTCAATGAACATATGTGTGCATATATATTTGTAATTGAATGATTTATATTACTTTGAGTATAAACCCAGTAATGGGATTGCTGGGTCAAATGGCATTTCTGGTTCTAGATCTTTGAAGAATCACCACACTGTCTTCCACAATGGTTGAACTAATTCACATTCCCACCAACAGTGTAAAAGCGTTCCTATTTCCTCACAGCCTCGCCAGCATCTGTTATTTCTTGACTTTTTAATAATAGCCACTCTGACTGGTGTGAGATGATATCTCATTGTGGTTTTGATTTGCATTTCTCTAACAATCAGTGATATTGAGCTTTTTTTTCATATGTTTGTTGGCTGCATGAATGTCTTCTTTTGAGAAGTGTCTGTTCATGTCCTTTGCCCAGTTTTTAATGCGGTTCTATTTTTTCTTGTAACTTGGTTTGAGTTCCTTGTAGATCCTGGATATCAGATCATTGTTGGATGAATAGATTGCCAAAATTTTCTCCCACTCTGTAGGTTGCCTGTTCACTCTGATGATAGTTTCTTTTGCTGTGCAGAAGGTCTTTAATTTAACTAGATCCCATTTGTCAAGTTTTGCTTTTGTTGCAGTTGCTTTTGTGATTTCATCATGAAATCTTTGCCCATGCTCATGTCTTAAATGGTATTGCCTAGATTTTCTTCTAGGGATTTTATAGTTTTGGGCTTTACATTTAAGCCTTTATTCTATCTTAATTTTTTGTATAAGGTATGAGGAATGGGTCCAGTTTCTATTTTCTGCATATGGATAGCTAGTTCTCCCAGCACCATTTATTAAATAAGGAATCCTTTCCCCATTGCTTGTTTTTCTCAGGTTTGTTGAAGATCAGATGGTTGTAGATGTGCAATCTTATTTCTGAGTTCTCTATTCTATTCCATTGGTCTATGTGTCAGTTTTTGTACCAGTACCATGATGTTTTGGTTATTGTACCCTTACAGTACAGTTTGAAGTTTGGTAGTGTGATGCCTCCAGCTTTGATCTTTTGGCTTAGGATTGCCTTGGCTATACAGGCTCTTTTTTTGGTTCCATATAAATTTTAAAATAGTTTTTTCTAATTCTATGAAGAATATCAATGGTAGTTTAATGGGAATAACATTGACTCTATAAATTACTTTGGGCAGTATGGCTATTTTCATGATATTGATTCTTACTGTCTGTGAGCATGGAATATTTTTCCATTTGTTTGTGTCCTCTCTGGTTTCCTTGAGCCGTGGTTTGTAGTTCTCCTTGAAGAGGTCCTTCACTTCCCTTGTTAGCTGTATTCCTAGGTATTTTATTCTCTTTGAAGCAATTGTGAGTAGGAGTTCATTCATGATTTGGATCTCTGCTTGCCTGTTGTTGGTGTATAGGAATGCTGGTGACTTCTGCACAATGATTTTGTATCTTGAGACTTTGCTGAAGTTGCTTATCAGCTTAAGAAGCTTTTGGGCTGAGACAATGGGGTTTTCTAGATATAGGATAATGTCCTCTGCAAACAAAGACATTTTGACTTCCTCTCTTCTTCTTTGAATACCCTTTATTTCTTTCTCTTGCCTGATTGCCCTGGCCAGGACTTCCAATACTATGTTGAATAGTGGTGAGAGAGGTCATCCTTGTCTTGTGCTGGTTTTCAAGGGGAGTGCTTCCAGCTTTTGCCCATTCGGTATGATATTGGCTGTGAGTCTGTCATAAATGGCTCTTATTATTTTGAAGTATGTTCCTTCAATACCTAGTTTATTGAGAGTTTTTAACATGAAAGGATGTTGAATTTTATTGAAGGTGTTTTCTGCATCTATTGAGTTAATCATGTGGTCTTTGTCTTTAGTTCTGTTTGTGTGATGAATTAAGTTTATTGATTTGCATATGTTGAACCAGCCTCACATCCCGGGAATGAAGCCAACTTGATCGTGGTGGATAAGCTTTTTGATGTGCTGCTGGATTCAGTTTGCCAGTGTTTTATTGAGAATTTTTACATTGATGTTCATCAGGGATATTGGTCTGAAGTTTTCTTTTTTTGTTGTATCTCTGCCAGGTTTTGATATCAGGATGATGCTGGCCTTATAGAATGAGTTAGGGAGGAGTCTCTCCTTTTCATTTGTTTGGAATAGTTTCAGAAGAAGTGGTATCAGCTTCTTTTTGTATTTCTGGCAGAATTCAGCTGTAGATCCATCTGGTCCTGGGCTTTTTTTGGTTGGTAGCCTATTAATTACTGCCTCAATTTCAGAACTTGTTATTGGTCTATTCAGTGATTCAACTTCTTCCTGGTTCAGTCTTGGGAGGGTGTATGTGTCCAGGAATTTATCCATTTCTTCTAGATTTTCGAGTTTATTTGCACCGAGCTGTTATAGTATTGTCTGATGGTTGTTTATATTTCCATGGGATCAGTGGTAATATCCCCTTTATCATTTTTTATTGTGTCTATTTGGTTCTTCTCTCTTTTCTTCTTTATTAGTCTAGCTAATAGTCTATTTTGTTAATATTTTCAAAAAAAAGCAGCCCCTGGATTCATTTATTTTTTGAAGGGTTTTTCATGTCTCTAGCTCCTTCATTTCCACTCTGATTTTGGTTACTTTTTGTCTTCTGCTGGCTTTTGGGTTTGTTTGCTCTTGGTTCACTAGTTCTTTTAGTTGTGATACTAGGGTGTCGATTTGAGATCTTTCTAGCTTTTTGATGTGGGCATTTAGTGCTATAAATTTCCCTCTTAACACTGCTTTAGCTATGCCCCAGAGATTCTGGTACATTGTCTCTTTGTTTTCATTGGTTTCAAAGAACTTCTTGATTTCTCTCTTAATTTCATTATTTACCCAGGAGTCATTCAGGAGCAGGTTGTTCAATTTCCACGTAGTTTTGTGGTTTTGAGTGACTTTCTTACTCTTGAGTTCCAATTTGATTGCGCTGTGATCTGAGAGACTGTTTGTTATTACTTCAGTTCTTTAGCATTTGCTGAGGAGTGCTTTACTTCTAATTGTGTGATCAATTTTAGAGTAAGTACCATGTGGCACTGAGAAGAATATATATTCTGTTGTTTGGGGGTGGAAAGATGTCTAGATATTTATCAGGTCCCACTTGATCCAGAGCTGAGGTCAAGTCCTGAATAACTTTGTTAATTTTCTGTCTCGATGATCTAATATTGACAGTGGGGTGTTAAAGTCTCCCACTATTATTGTGTGGAAATCTAAGTCTCTTTTTGGGTCTCTAAGAACTTGTTTTATGAATCTGAGTGCTCCTATATTAGGTGCATATATATTTAGGATAGTTAGCTCTTCTTGTTGAATTGACCCCTTTACCAGTATGTAATGCCTTTGTCTTTTTTTTAATCTTTATTCGTTTAAAGTCTTTGTCAGAAACTAGGATTGCAGCCTCTCCTTTTTCTGTTTTCCTTTTGCTTGGTAGATTTTCCTTCATCCTTTTATTTTGAGTCTATGTGTGTCCTTGCATGTGAGATGGGTCTCTTGAATACAGCACACTGATAGAGTTTGACTCTATCCAGCTTGCCACTCTGCGTCTTTTATTTGGGGCATTTAGTGCATTTACATTTAAGGTTAATATTGTTATGTGTGAATTTTATCCTGACATCATGATGCTAGTTGATTATTTTGCAGACTTGTTTATGTTTTTGCTTCATAGTGTTACTGATCTGTGTATTTCAATGTGTTTTTTGTAGCGGCTGGTAACAGTTTTTCCTTTCCATATTGAGTGCTTCCTTCAGGAGCACTTGCAAGGCAGGCCTGGTGGTGACGAATTCCCTCAGCATTTGCTTGTCTGAAAAAGATTTTATTTCTCCTTCACTTATGAAGCTTAGTTCAGCCAGATATGAAATTCTAGGTTGGAAATTCTTTCCTTTAAGAATGTTGAAAATTGGCCCCCAACCTCTTCCAGCTTATAAGGTTTCTGCTGAGAGGTCTGCTGTTAGTCTGATGGGCTTCCCTTTATAAGTGACCTGGCCTATCTCTCTGACTGCCCTTAACATTTTTTCCTTCATTTCAGTCTTGGAGAATCTGATGATTATGTGTCTTGGGGTTGATCTCATGGAGTATTGTATTGGGGTTCTCTGGATTTCCTGAATTTGAATGTTGGCCTGTCTTGCTAGGTTGGGGAAGTTTTCCTGGATGATATCCAGAAGTGTGTTTTCCAACTTGGTTCCATTCTTCTGTCTCTTTCAGGTATATCTACCAGTCGTAGGTTCAGTCTTTTAACATAATCCCATAGTTCTCAGAGGTTTCATTCATTCCTTTTCATTCTTTTTTCTCTAATCTTGTCTGCCTGCCTTATTTCAGCAAGATAGTCTTCAAACTCTGATATCCTTTCTTCCACTTAGTCTATTTGGCTATGGATACTTGTGTTTCCATTATAAAGTTCTCATGTTTTTCAGCTCCATCAGATCATTTACGTTCCTCTCCAAACTGGTTATTCTGTTTAACAGCTCCTATAATGTTTTATTATGGTTCTTAGCTTCTTTGCAGTGAGTTAGAACATATTCCCTTAGCTTGGTGAAGTTCGTTATTTCCCATCTTGGATGGATGATTGACATTCATCCATCTCAGCCTCAGCCCAGTTCTGTGCCCTTGCTAGAGACATGTTGCAATCTTTTGGAGGAGAAGAGGCACTCTGGCTTTCTGAGTTTTCCGTATCCTTGCATTCTTTCTCATCTTCATGGGTTTATCTACCTTTGATCTTTGAGTCTGCTGACTTTTGGATGAGGTTTTTGTGGTGTCTTTTTTGTTGATGTTGTTGCATTCTGTTTTTCTTTAGTAGTCAGGCCCCTCTTCTGCAGAGCTGCTGCAGTTTGCCTGGGGTCCACTCTAGACCCTATTCGCCTGGGTCTCTCGTCTTCCAGGAGATATCACCAGTGGAGGCTGCAGACCAGCAAAGATGGCAGCCTGCTCCTTCCTCTGGGAGCTCTGTCCCAGAGGGGCACTGGCCTGATGCTAGCCGGAATGCTCCTGTATGAAGTGTCTGGAGACTCCTGTTGGGAGGTCTCAGTCAGAAGGAGCGGGGTCAGAGAACCACTTAAATAAGCAGTCTGTCTGCCCCTTGACAGGGTGGGTGTGCTACACTGGGGGGAATCCCCCTCATCTGGACTGCCTTGACTCTCCAGAGCCAGCAGGCAGAGAAGACTAAGATCACTGATCCATGATACTTCAGCCATCCTTCCTCCTAGGGGCTCCTCTTGGGGTTATCAGCGTTTTGTCCATAAACCCCTGGCTGGGGATGCTGAGATTCCCACAGGGAGGCCCTGTCCAGTGAAGAGGAGTGAATCTGGGTTCCACCCCATCTCGCCGGCGCTAGCAGCAAGGGAAAGTGGCCAATTGAAGCCGCAGTGATGGCGGCCTCCCCTCCCTTCTCCCCCCTCTCCTTCCCCACTTCCAGAACTCAGTCGTCTTAGGCAGTTTCTAGCTGGTGGGGGAGGATTCCAAGCCAGTGGGTTTTAGCTTATAGAGTTCTGTGAGAGCAAGGCTGCTTGGCTCCCTGGCTTCAGCCCCCTCCCCATGAGAGTGGACAGATCTCCTGCCTCACGGGAGTTCCCAGAGCCGGAGTATGCAAATACTCCAGTGTCTCAGTGCCTGCTCAAAGCGGCTGCCCACCCAAGCAGAGATTTGTGCTTGGGACCCAAAGCTCTGGTAGCATTGGCTCAGGAGGGAACCTCCTGATCTACAAGTTGCAAGGATCTGTGGGAAAAGCCTGGTTTTCAGGGAGGGGAAGCAAAATCCTTCACCATCTCCCTTGGCTGGACGAGGGAGTTCACTTTGCTGCGTGCAGTTCCTGGATGGGATCTTGCTCCACCCTGTTTGCTTGCTCTCCGTGGGTCATGCCAGCCACCTAGCAGTCCCAATAAGAGAACTTCAGTATCTCAACTGAAGATGCAGAGTTGACTCACAGTTTTCTTCCTTCTTGGTGGGAGCTGCAGAGCAGAGCTGCCTCTCTTTGACCATCTGGGCTCTCTGTTCTACTTTTTTTTTTTTTTTTTTTGCCTCTTGCATGTTGGTCACCTCCTAAATTAGTAATGTCCAAGTACTTATTCCTTATCAGATACTTTTCGTTAATTTAACTATCCTAGTACATACCTCACTGTGGGGAAAGGGGGAAAGATGAAAATTAAACTTACTTTTTATTTATTTGATTCTCTTTAAGTTTCAGGTAAGCTCAATTTTGACTAGGATATATATATGTGTGTGTGTGTATATATATGTATTTTTTAAACTATTTGTCAACTTTATTTTTTTTTGTTTGTTTTTGTTAAAATACATTCAGCGGCTGGGCTTAGTGGCTCACGCCTGTAATCTCAACACTTTGGGAGGCTGAGGCAGGTGGATCACTTGAGTCCAGGAGTTCAAGACCAGCCTGAGCAACATAGCAAAAACTCCATCTCTACAAAAACACCAAAATTAGCCGGGTGTGGTAGCACTCTCTTTTAACAGTCCCAGATACCTGGGAGGCTGAGGTGGGAAGATCACCTGAGCTCAGTCGGTTGAGGCTGCAGTGAGCTATGATCATGCCACTGCACTCTAGCCTGGGCAACACAGTGAGACCCTGTCTCAAAAAAAAAAATCACATTCAAGTATATTTCACATGCATTTTATATAATTCATGAATTTCAGGAAAGCTGCATGTAAATCTTTTTTTAAAGCTAAATCATGTTAAAGACACTGAAAAAGTTAACTAAAATTCTATGGTGACTTCTTTTATAAAATACTAATTTTTGGCCGGGCACGGTGGTGGCTCACGCCTGTAATCCCAGCACTTTGGGAGGCCGAGGCAGGTGGATCATGAGGTCAGGAATTCGAGACCAGCCTGACCAACATGGTGAAACCCCATCTCTACTAAAAATACAAAAATTAGCTGGGCGTGGTGGTGTGCACCTGTAATCCTAGCTACCTAGGAGGCTGAGGCAGGAGAATCGCTTGAACCCAGGAAGCAGAGGTTGCAGTGAGCCAAGATCACACCACCGCACTTCTGCCTGTGGAACAGAATGAGACTCCGTCTCAAAAAAAAAAAAAAAAATACTAACTTTTATCTTAGAAATATAGATCATTATGCATTGGGTTTTTTCAAAGGGGGAACACTTTAGTGAACAATAGTTTACTTGACCTTTAGTTGGAAAAGAAAACTAATGGTGGAGAATTTTCTTTGGCTGGGAGAATTTGGTAGATTGAGAGAAAGGAAGAACATCAATACTGCATTTTTACTTGACATTTACCCTGTAGATCCTCCTAGAGGTTCGATGCCCCCAAGACATTCCAACACTGAGCTGTTTCTTCTCCAGGTCTTAAGCTTTGAATACAAGCTATACCAGCACATCTAAAATCGGTCTCTACATTTTTCCATCTTAAATATGAGCTGTCCAGCTTAGTCAAAACTAACTGCAAAACACTGGGTGTACCATTTGAGTCATTTGGTCTTAAAAGAAACACTATTATCACTGTGTCACAGTTTGAGAGATTTTCACTTAAGCATTTAAGTTGCAAACCACTACATATTTGTCCCATTAGTGACTAGTGGGCCTTAATTTTGGCATTCAAATTAGGGTAAAAAACCTTGGTTCTTGAAATGCTACAGAAAATAGCTTGAGGCCAGGCACAGTTGCTCACACCTGTAACTCCAGCACTTTGGAAGGCTGAGGCAGGCAGATCACTTGAGGTCAGGCGTTTGAGACCAGGCTGGTCAACATGGTGAAACCCTGTCTCTACTAAAAATACTAAAAAAAAAAAAAAAAAAAAAAAAATTAGCCGGGCATGGTGGCAGGTGCCTGAAGTCCCAGCTACTTGGGAGGCTGAGGCAGGAGAATCACTTGAACCCAGGAAGCAGAGGCTGCAGTGAGCCTAGCTCGTGCCACTGCCACTCCAGCCTGGGCAACAGAACGAGGCTCTGTTTAAAAAACAAAAAAGCTTGAAATACCTTCCCCTTAAGATCACAATATTGTCATATGCTACCATTTGACTCACAACTGCTGTCTTAGGACTGCTTATTTACATATATATGTATTAAGACACTTTGGTTAAAACAATTTATTAAATGTCTTAAATTTCTGGATATGTCCCTGAAAATACCATGAACTACTTCTAATACTGATAATTATGAATAAACGTAGCTGTTGATCACCTCAGGTTTTCATACAAACTGAACTAAGGTAGGGTTTTATCATAGGGGACTTTTTGTTTCATTTAATGAAATTTTGATGTGTTGAACTGCTTTCCTGGTGTCAGAGAAACATGAGACCATCGCTCAATAATGGAAATAAAAAGGCAGAGCAGACTACTGATCTTAATAAAAGGAAAATTATTTGCTGTATCGTAGATGTGCACTGTAATTTCCATGTTAAAGAGGCACTGCATTTTTAAGAAATAAAATCACACATCTTATTTTTTCATTTCTAAATGGATATTGAACTAAGCTCTGAAGGCAAACTTAGCTGCCTATTTTTCCAAATATGTTCAGAATCACATCTGAAACATCAAACTGATTATCAGACAATAAAGTGCCTGTTACTTTATTAAATAAAGGGGGACAGGATGACAGTGCAGATATCCTAGAAATATGCTTTAGAAGACATAGAAACGTTGTTAAATTGGATTTTATTAGTATGCAAATGTTCCCTTCCACCAACAACTATTAATGTGAAAAACTATATATAGCTAGCATTTTTTAAAATATCAAATACTGTCTCATTATCATATGTTTAGCCCCCCCAAAATTACATTTTAGACTCTTACTTTCTCTCCCTCTCCCCTTTCTTTAGCTCTTGTTTGTGTCTTGCCAAAGAAGTGTACCTAGTAAGGGAATGTTTCTTATTTGTGCCAAGGGACTATTGATGATGCTGTATAATGGCAAGATAGCATTTTGTAATACCTGCTTTTTTATATTTCTAATACAAATGGGCAAAGCTGTGAAACCAATTTACTAGGTTTTTCTGCTTTGGACATAATTGTATGTGTTAATTCTCTCTAAACAGTGCCTGGCACATATTACATGCTATAAAAGTGTTAGCTACTACTGCTACCATTTATTATTATCATTATTAAATATCCATTGGTTGAAAAACCAAGTAGTCAGCTAAATCATACCTGCTACTGTACAAAATGTAGGGGAAAAGCTGAGAAAAATCATTTATCAATAAACAGTTTTCAGAACAAGAATTTATACTTTGGATATTTTTAAATTGTTAAATGTTATTGAAACTTTATGCACCAAAACTGTATGAAATAATTTAATTTTGCAGTTGTGTTTCTATATTCTATGTAATTAAAGCTACTTTTATACTATATTGATAGTTTTAAATAAAACTGGTTTGGAGGTTTGTTTGCAGTTGTATTGCCTTTTTCATGCATTCATCCAACATGTATTTATTGCATTTCTACCCTGTGCCAAGCGCTGATGTGGAGGCAGAGGCTATAGCAATGAATAAAACAGCTAAAAATTCCTGCCCTCATGGAGTTTATGTTCCAATGGGAGAGGCATACCACAGACAAGATAAATAAGTAAAATATGTAAATGCTGAGAGAAAAAATCGTAAAGCAAGAGAAGGGGATGTAAGATGTGGCAGACAGGGTGACCAAGGAAAGGGATGCTGAGCTGACTGCAGACCTGAAGTGAGGAAACTAATCATGCTGATTTCTCCGGAGAGCAAAGTGAACAGAACAAAGATCCAGAAACTCTACTTTTAATGTTAACATAAATCACTAGAATTTTTTTCCTTCCCTAATCAGTAAGTAAAATCAATGCAGTAAATTACTCAGTTTCAGCTCCGACCTATTGAAGAGTTGATTTAGTGCTTTTAATAAGGTTAAAAAGCTACTGGGCGCGGTGACTCACTACTGTAATCCCAGCACTTTGAAAGGCTGAGGCGGAAGAACTGCTTGAGTCCATGAGTTCAAGACAAGCTTGGGCTTGTCTTGATATGGAGACCCCATCTCCACAAAAAATTTTTAAAATTAGCTGGATATGGTGGTCTTTGCCTGTAGTCCTAGCTACTTGGGAGGCTGAGGTGGGAGAATTACATGAGCCCAGGAGTTCAAGGCTTCAGTGTGCCATGATCTTGCCACTGCATTCCAGTCTGGGTGCAGAGTGAGACCCTGTCTCAACAAAAAGTTTTTTAAAAGGTTAACAAAGCTACATTTTTAAGTTGACACTTTCACTTTTGTCTGTCTTCTATCAATGAATACATGTCAGAAATAAGCTTGATATCATAAAGGAATATGATGTAAACATTGTCAGCTATCAAATCAAATGTTAGAGGAGGGTAGAAAGAGAAAGTTGCCCTGGGGAGCAGCAGAACACTTCCTTTCTGTCCTCAGAGATGGTTCCCTTACCTTTCTTGGATCTTAAAAAGACACTCTTACCTGTAGTGATTCAAGTAATTTCCCCCTTAAATTTCTCCGTATGTGCCTGCTAATGCTTCAAATTCCCTTGAAGGAGAACGAAACCTTTCATTTTTCAGATGTTTGCTAATAAAAAGCCAATTGTTTATTGAATTTACAATGAATTTGACAAAGGATTTTGAAGTCAATGCAATGGAAAGACTTTCAATTTTGTTTAAGCTTAAGAATTAATTAATTAATGCTTTAGACACATTAATCTGGCTGCTGCATGTGAAAGAGAGAAACAGAGATTCGAGTTGGAAAACCCAGTTAAGAGTTGAATAAGCCGGTCGGGCGTGGTGGCTCATGCCTGTAATCCCAGCACTTTGGGAGGCCAAGGCGGGTGGATCACTTGAGGTCAGGAGTTTGAGACCAGCCTGGCCAACATGGTGAAACCCTGTCTCCACTAAAAATACAAAACTTAGCTGGGTGTTGTGGTGGATGCCTGTAATCCCAGCCATTTGGGAGGCGGAGGCAGGAGAATTGCTTGAAACCCGGGTTTCAGTGAGCCAATATTGCACCACTGCATTCCAGCCTGGGCAACAGAGCGAGACTCTGTCTCAAAAAAAAAGGTTGAATAAGCCACCATGGAAAGGAAGTAGCACCAAACATATGATATCAGTAGGACTTGCCAACTGATTTTATGTGAGGTAATCAAAATATTGACAACATTCCTGGTCTGGAATCCTTCTGACCTAAATGGTTTTTTACTAGTGACAAGTACTAGTAGAAGGGTTATAACACATAAGACAAAGGAAAAATTAGAACCTAACATTCAAAAAAAGCTAAAAACTCATTTCACATTTTATAGATGTGTTGTAAGGCTCTGCAGGTCCTACAGAGTAAGAGGTGATAAGATGGGATCTCCATTTATTTCAAAACACCAAACGAGCTGTAAAAAGGGATATATTAAATGCTACTATAGAAGGATCTCCACGATATATTAAGTGAAAAAAGTGAGGTGAAAGAAAAAGACAAATGTTATGTACAGGCTAGACGTACCTCTACTGAGTATTTTTGCCGAAAGAAGTCAAACCTGAATCTGCCAACCTCCTCTAAATGAGTTCTCAAAGTGCAGTTTAGAAAACCCCTCTGTGTCACGGAGACAGGAACACCATGAAGTCAAAGGTATTTTCTTAAATGATACTATTATTTGCCTTTTTCACTTTCATTCTGTCCTGAATAAACAGTGGAGTTTTCCAGTGGCTACATGTATGATATCACAACAGACTGAATGCAAAAGCAGTAATGTGAATCTAGCTGTCTTTTATTAAATCAGACATTAGAGATTCAAAAATATAAAACAATACTATTTTTCTACTACATTTTTTATTTAAAAGTCGTACTTATGCTATCCTGTAATGGATTATTTTTATTTTAAATGAATTAAATATTTTTAAATCGTGTTTTAATTTCTGAGTGGTAAATGCCAATATACATAATAAAAACGGAAGCTTCATTGTGTCTTCAATAATTTTTTTTAAGAGACAGGGTCCTGCTCTGTTGCCCAGGCTGGAGCACAGTGGTGAGATAATAACTCACTGCAGCCTACAACTCCAGGGCTCAAGCATTTCTCCTGTCTTAGCCTCCTAAGTAGCTATACTTAGGACTACAGGCTTGTGCAGCCACGCCCAGCTATTTTTTTTTTTGTAAAGGAGGGGTCTCACTATGTTGCCCAGGCTGGACTTGGCCCAAAGTTTTGGGATTACTGGTACCTGGCCTTCAATAATTTTTCAGAGTGAAAAAGAGGGGTCCTGCAATCGAAAAGTTTGTGAACTACTCTTCTAGATAGGTCATTGGCCCTCAACCCTAGAATTAGAATTACTTCAAACACTAGAATTACCTGGAGAATTTAAATACTGATGCCAGGCCTCACTTCTAGACGTTCTGATTTAATGTGCAGGGCCTAATCCCAAGCATCAATTTGAAAAACAAAACAAAACACCCCTCATCCCCTTGAATGTGCAGTCTGGATTGAGAACCACTGCTCTGGATATTATCAATTTAAATACAATATGAAAAAGAGGAACATGTATTATGCTATGGGGGCACAATCATCAAAACGACACAGAAAGTGACTAGACAAAGGATCCCTGCTTAATTAAAGGAACAGATTAAAGCAATTTCCAAGGGAATTTGAAGCATTAACAGGCACATAGGGTGAAATTTAAGGGGAACATCACTTGAATCACACAACAGGTAAGACTGTCTTTTTTAAGATGCCAAGAAAGGTCAAAGGAACCATCTCTGGTCAAAAAAAACGTAACGGATTAAAGCGATTAAGAAAGTGAAGGGGGTAACACTAGGAACTAAAACTAAATTCTGTTAATCTCACACCGCTGGTTTACTGCTCTGGCCTAGTCTCAGCTACTAAATTTCTTCACACAGAACTGGCTCTCCTCGGCCCCTCCCCTCGCCTTTCCTGCTCAATGCTCACCGCCTCCGGACCCCTCCCTCATCAGAAAGCCCAGGCTCCGCTCGTAGAAGTGCGCAGGCGTCACCGCGCATCCAGGAGCCACGTGTCAGGAGTCACGTGTCAGGTGTCACGTGTCAGGCGTCACGTGGCTGGAGGCCGTTGGAGCGCCTGCGCAGCTTTTCCGCACGCGCCTCGCCGGCGCGCGGCTCTCTCAGCGTCCCAAGAGCCACTTTCTCGCCAGTACGATGCTGCAGCGGTTTTCCGGTTTTCCGCTTCCCTTCATCGTAGCTCCCGTACTCATTTTTAGCCACTGCTGCCGGTTTTTATATCCTTCTCCATCATGCATCGTGAGCCTGCGAAAAAGAAGGCAGAAAAGCGGCTGTTTGACGCCTCATCCTTCGGGAAGGACCTTCTGGCCGGCGGAGTCGCGGCAGCTGTGTCCAAGACAGCGGTGGCGCCCATCGAGCGGGTGAAGCTGCTGCTGCAGGTGCAGGCGTCGTCGAAGCAGATCAGCCCCGAGGCGCGGTACAAAGGCATGGTGGACTGCCTGGTGCGGATTCCTCGCGAGCAGGGTGCGTCAAGGCAGGCCGCCCCGACAGCCTCTCCCGGCGCCCTCGTCAGCTTCCCAGAGAAGAGGGTGGCTGGGAGGGGCATGATTGTGGGCCCCACAACCACAGCTACAGCTGTCGGTGATGAATTTGCTTCTTACCCTTCCAGAATTTAGTTTCTGAACCTAACAGGCTCTGCTTTTCCAGGGCCGCGTTGGTCCTGACCAAGTCCTGGTACCGGGGAGACCACTGCCTTCTCTTTCTCTAAATCTGCAGTGCGATTTACACCTTGGTGCACCTGTGCCAGGTCCAGAAGGAGAGTGGTTGACCTCCCAGGATTGAGGGAGATGCCATTAGGCACTCTGCTATAACTAGTGCTCTAAGTTGCTTAAATATTTGTTGGTATAATCACCCCACTATGCTCCAGCATGGGCGACAGAGGAGACCTTGAGTCAAAATCTATATGTATATTTGTTGAAATAGTATGTCTAAGAGAAGTACAAATATGGGAGCACTAGGGCTTACCAGTACTCTGAAACCTATTAGTGAAAAGAGGTTCTGCTTATTCTACTGAAGACCAAGGGGGTACTTCGTTCTGCCCAAAATTCAAGGGGGCCCTAAAAAAAAAAAACCCAACCCTCAGTCATCAAGATAAAAAGTATTTTAAGGCCAGGCGCGGTGGCTCACGCCTATAATCCTAGCACTTTGGAAGGCCGAGGCGGGCGGATCACTTGAGCTCGAGCTCAGGAGTTCTAGACAAGCCTGACTAACATGGCGAAACCCAGTCTATGCTAAATATACAAAAATTAGCCGGGCGTGGTGGCGCACGCCTGCAGTCCCAGCTACTTGCGGGACCCTGATGCGGGGATTTCAGGGAGCCCAGATCGCGCCACCGCACTCCAGCCTGGATGAAGGAGTGAGACCCTGTCTCAAAAAAACAAACAAAACTTTAGGGTCCTTCCGTTTCCGAAGCCCCTCTCTTTCAACTAGAGAGAGAGCTGTTCTCCTTTCTCTTTATTTTTTCTATTAAACCTCCACTCCTAAAAACAGGAAAAAAAAAAAACTTTAAACTATTTTAATGCAATCTTTTAAAAATCAAGTCATGCAAAAGAATTCATAACAAACACAATATATACAAGTTTAAAATAAAGATGGGATCAGTATTACCAGTTTTTCTTTTTGCATCAAGCACTGTCCTTATTTAAAATTTCATTTTTGTTCATCATTGATTTTTTCTATTAATATTGGAATGATTTAAAGAAATAACGAAAGTGCTTTGTGAACCATTGCTGCAAAATGGCTCCCAAGTTAGCTAAAGGGATAAGTCTATCAGATATTTTATATAATCCACCCATATAGTTGGATTCAATAGAAAAATCTGTATGATCTTTTAAAAAGAAATAGACATTTATTGTGTATTCTCAAGAAATGAAGTGGCTTCAACTCCAGTGCAGACCTTTCTTTTAGTCCTGTTCTAGGGCCAGATACTGTCCCATTTAAAAAAGCACCTTGTACCCTAGGAATGCTAGGGATGTGGTTACAACTCTTCCAGACCTGTGGCGTGGAGTATATGGGGTCAGGGGTAGAAACTTAATGCATCATCTGGGAGCTAAGCTCAGGTCTTTCATAGTTTGCCTCTCTCCACTCATTCATTTAATTAAAGCAAGCTTCTCATTTCCCCCAAGATTTTTTCAGGAAAAGCAAGGAACCTGTCTCTTCTTCGTTTATATTCTAAGACTTCTGAAGAGAAGTAGGGGCCTCTCTATTATTAGCTTTTCTGCTTCAAATATTTTGTCAGGTAAAATGAAGTATTCTGGTCAGATAGGGCTGACTAGTGCTAATTTATTTCATATTTTAAATGTTTTTCACAATATTTAAACCTAAACGTATTCAATATGGCCCTTGTAAGTTGATATCATTCTCAGATGTATCCTGGTCCTTGCTTTAAGTTCCAAGATGAGAGGATCATAAGTAGAACTTGAAGATGTTTTCTATTATATATAAAGCTTTATGAAGGTACCATGGTGTATCCTATGCTAAGAGATCAGTAATTTACAAGGATACTATTGCCATCTAGAGGCAATTTCGGAAACTTGTGGGGCAATTTTTTTTTATTTAGCACAAAGATAGAGGGGTATAATCCTACTTTACAATGGTATGAAAGGCAAGGGCCAGGAATGTTAAACGTCCTGCTGCTATATGCAGGCCAGTCATACATGATGAAGATTTATCCCGCAACCTGAATGACTTTTAGATCTCCCCTTCGATTTTCGTGTAGCAGTGAAACCTGTTTATGTTTCTCTAAGCCTAGAAATAACTTAACTCTGATTTACTTATAAACACATTGTCTGGGGCATGATTTTAGTATACACTGATTCCAGTAATGCAGCTACCATATAAGGAAGTAGAAAAAAGATCGTACTTTCTTCTGTTCAGAAGTTTACTAAGAGTTCATCATTGCAGAAACTCATGTCAGCAACTCTGCTTATAGTATTTGGTCATCATTTATACAGGTTGAGTATCCGAAAAGCTTGGGACCAAAAGTTGTGGAATTTTTAATTTTTTCAGATTTTAGAATATTCTCATTATATTTACACATGAGCATCCCTAATCTAAAATCCAAAATGCTCTAATAAGCATTTCCTTTGCCCATGATGTCAGTGCTCAAAAAGTTTCAGATTTGGAGAATTTTGGATTTTTGGATTAGTGATGCTCAACCTGTGTCATCTGTATTTGTAGCTATTGAATCTATGATGATTGTATGTATACTTGTACACATATTTATTTGACGTATTTCAAAATGTCAATATGCAGTTAATTACAACTGAATCGTTATAAGTAGAGGCAAGCTTGACTATTATATTTTTGGTATGGTCATGACCTACCAACTTCCTTATTTTAAAACATAAATTTCTTGCAATTTGCCTTCTCTTTCTTTTTTGAAAGTCAAGACACATGCACATCTCAGGTGTCCTGAAGATTGTTTTTATGTTTTCTCTAATTTTATTCACAACTTTTCCTTTCTTTAGGCCATGTGAAATGAGCTGGAGAAAGAGATATGAACACAGAATGCACAACTAGATGCTCTCTAGTTTCTTACCTTATCTCTACTTTCTTTCCATTACAAGAATAGATCTCTGCATTCTTGCCTTGAATATAGCTTTAAATATCACTTTGAGTGTTTCTGACACTTTTTATAAGCTTTTCTTGGCTTATGAAAGCTTCTGGATTTATCCTTATGTTGTTCTTAAAGATTTATTATATTCTTTAGTTGGTTTTATCACCTGCCAACTTTGTATGTGTACTTTTATTTAACACTGTTTAAACCTTTATTATGCAAATAATGCATAATTATTGTAGAAAATTAGAAAATATAAAGAAGCAAAAAGTAACATCACTGCTAAAGTCACCACAATTAACATTTTGGTTTTTCACTGAGCAAAATATACATATGTAAATATGTGTTTAATCAAAGGAACTGTCTTATTAGTATATTGTAAATGTAGCCTTTTAAAGAACTGATTTTCTGGGTGTGGTGGCTCATGCCTGTAATGCCAGCACTTTGGGAGGCAGAGGTGGGCAGATCACTTGAGGCCAGGAGTTCAAGACCAGCCTGGCCAACATGGTGAAACCCCGTCTCTACTAAAAATACAAAAATTAGCTGGGCATGGTGGCGCACGCCTATAGTCCCAGCTACCTGGGAAGCTGAAACACAAGAATCACTTGAACCTGGGAAGCACAGGCTTCAGTGAGCCAAGATCGTGCCACTACACTCCATCCTGGGTACAGAGGAAGACTGTCTCAAAAAAAAAAAAAAAAAAAAAAAAAAGATCCGTACAGTCTCATTTTTACAAGCCTATCCAAACTCTTCTCTTTTAGGAGTTCCGTGTCACGAGTTTATCAGCTTTCATCTAAGCTTTTCCCAAACCCATTTTTCTGAAGACTTAGAACAGTGAGGTTTTTTAATATCCTAGGGTCCATCTTGAAGATGCTATTTTGGGGTATGGGAAGAAAATATTAGGTATTTTATTTATATGTACTTTAAGTAAAATACAAAAATAAATTTTACTGATATTTAATATATAAATTGGCATTGTCCCCTATGCTTGGGCCCAATGTCAGTTACATATCACGGGACATTAAGGGATCCTGAAAAAAAGAGTGGGAGTTACACAAGGTAGAGGGAATGACAAGCACCCTTCCTCAATAATATATTATTGTTTATGTTTGCCCAATTAACTGGATTTATAGATTCTATTATCAGGTTTTAACTAAATCCTCAAAACATGGACAAAACTTTGAAAAAGATTCTGCCGTGAAAACCAAATCAAGGGTAACACCAATATCAAATGATGAACCACAAGAAAAAGCTGATGCCATTTACTCCAAGAAATGGCGTATTATTTCATCATTCACATGACATTCAGTGTAGAAACAATGACAGTCTAATTGGACCTGAGACAAGAAGACTATTTGAAATATAGATTCCTATATACTATTCTTAAAAATGAACTTCACCCTAACAGTGCCTTGAGATAATAGTAAATGGTGGTGTGAAAGCATCATAATTAGCAAGATGTTTGAAAATATTGTTTTTCATCTTTTAAATAAATGTTTAACTTTGCTCTAATATCATCTAACATTCAAGTTTCCCTAACAACCCTATCTAAATAGCCTTTTATTATTCCCAATCTTCATATATTGTTTTTTTGTTTACAGTTTTTTATTGCTAACAGACATAGTTATTTGCTACCTGTCTCCCTGGTCCCTCCCTCTTAAGATGTAAGCTCCATAAGATCAGGAACATTGTTCCTAGTGCTGTCCCCAGTAGGCACAAAATGTCTGCTGTGGAGGAGGTACCAAATAAAAGTTTTTAAATGAAAAATCTTTATCTCATTCTTTAATTTATATTTTGAGTATGTTTTACAGATGTACATAATATGGTAGTATAGTTGCAAAGGTATATAATTTATTAATGTATACTATTTGGAAGTCATGCAGACTTTTTTTTTAATTGATAGGCATATCATCAAAACATGTTGAACCTCCCCTGCAAAAAAAAAAAAAAAATGTTGGTTTAGACTGTATATCCAAACATGCCTAACATTCTTTTATTTTATTTATTTATTTATTTATTTATTTATTTTTTTTTTTGAGACGGAGTCTCGCTCTGTCGCCCAGGCTGGAGTGCAGTGGCGCGATCTCGGCTCACTGCAAGCTCCGTCTCCCGGGTTCACGCCATTCTCCTGCCTCAGCCTCCCGAGTAGCTGGGACTACAGGCGCCCGCTACCACGCCCGGCTAATTTTTTGTATTTTTAGTAGAGACGGGGTTTCACCTTGTTAGCCAGGATGGTCTCGATCTCCTGACCTCGTGATCCGCCCGCCTCGGCCTCCCAAAGTGCTGGGATTACAGGCGTGAATGCCTAACATTCTTGTTCTTGGCAAGGCCAGCCAATAAATGGCCCAGTAACTTTTTCCTGTCACTTTTATTTCAATTCTTATTTATTTGTTCAAAATTAGGTTCAGAGCAGGTTTTTCTCATCCTTCTTAAATTTTGAAGAAATTTTTTTCTTAGGAATTAGAAACTTAAACTTTTATTTATTTATTTTACTTTTAATGGAGAAAGAGGTCACCATCACTATATTTTTCTCTACCAATTTTGTGATATATATTAAGAAACCATCCATTTATTCTGTATGACTAGAGAGTCAAAACGTTCCTGCCATTGTATCACTTCTGCTTTAACCTTGTTTTATTCTAACCAAAAAATACTGTTTTATCCAGAATGGATTTTTATATAGAGGCAATAGAAGTGCAGTAACTCTAGACCTCGAGTCGAATGGACCTAGAACCAAGTCTCAGCCTTTCCTATATCTTGTAACTTTGAACAGTTTTTATTTAACCTTTCTCAGCCCCAGTTCCCTCAGTGGTATACTGGTATAATAACTATACCTATCTGATACGGTAGTTGTGAGGATTAAAGAAGATAATGCATGTAAAATATTCAACATGTGTCTACACCATAGTTAGTGCTCAAGTAATTGTTACTAATGTGTATGTGTGTGTTCCTGAATTTATAAACATGTACTCCAGATGTTCATTTGTAAATGAAATAATTTGGGATAAACTTGCATTATGCATAGAGTAGATTTTTGTAATCTATCCAAGGGAACTGGAACCTATGTAGTGCATAGCATATCTAAGTAGAGTTGAATTAAAACGCTGAAACCTGACTCCCAAAAATAGTTAGAAAATGCATTCAGAATTTTACTTAGGGGCTCCTCCTGTGTTATACTCTTAGCAGGGGCATTGGAGTTTCTAACAGCAAGGTACAGCAGAGGCAAAGAAGGAAATAAGAATAAGATGTTTTAGTGTGATCTATGGGAAAAGAGGTTAAAACAAGAGTTCTTAACCTGACACCTGGAGCTTCAGGGAATTCAAGAATTCTGTGACATCTATGTAAAACTATTTTATGTATGTGAGATTTTATATTTTTTCTGACCTAACCCATTAAGAATTGCCTGCTATACTACTTTAACAGTTTTCCTGTTATACTTCTAGGGATTTGTTTGTAAATTTTCATTGAGATATTGACATTTCTTTTGATGCAAATGGTTTTATTCGTGCAAATACAATTTTTCTCAAAGGAACACATTCTTCAGCCAACACTAGCAAACCTCTTTAGTCATAAATCTGACACTCTGTCATCATGGTCTCATGTTAGTTTCCAGATGTCTTTATCATTAAAACCTTCTGTTTATGTTCAGTACGCTAATCAAAGTTACAAACCTTTGTACTACTCTTTTTTTTTTTTTCTTTTAGATAGGGTCCTGCTCCATCGCCCAGGCTGGACTGCAGGGCACAATCGTGACTTAACTGCAGCCTGGAGTTTTGGTGTTCAAGAACTCCCACCTCAGCCTCCTCAGTAGCAGGGAGCACAGGCACATGCCACCATGGCAGCTAAGTTTGTTTGGGGTTTGTTTTTTTTAGAGATAGGGTCTCACTGTGTTACCCAGGCTGGTCTCAAACTTCTGGCCTCAAGCAGTCATCCATTTTCAGCCTTCCAAGCCATTGGGATTACAGGCATGAGCCACCATGCCTGGCTTGTGCTATTATGTATTATACTCATTTTTTATATACTCAGCAATATAATCATAATTACAGAATTATAACTAATAACTCCTAGTCTGAAACCCATAATATCTCATACCAGTCAGCTGTATTAGCCATTTCCAAAGTGGCCATTAATAGTTAAAAAGCCATGTGTAAAATAGCCTTCAAAAACCAGCTTATTAGTTTTTTCCTTTAAACAGCTGATTTCAATTTTCTTTTTAGGAGAGGGTCTCACTCTGTTCCCCAGGCTGGAGTGTGGTGGCACCATCACAGCTCACTGCAGCCTTGGCCTCCCAGAGTCAAGCGATTCCCACTCCGGATTCAAGCAATTCTCATTCCTCAGCCTCCTGAGTAGCTGAGACTACAGACGTGCACCACCACACCCAGCTAATTTTTTGTATTTCAGTAGAGATGGGCTTCCACCATGTTGCCCAGGCTGGTCTCAAATTAAGCTCAGGCAATCTACCTGGCTCAGCCTCCCAAAGTGCTAGGATTATAGATGTGAGCCACCACGCCTGGCCCAAATTGTTTAATTTCCATATAATTTGTGCTTTTGAGAGATCTTTTTGATATTGACTTCTGTTTTTATTCTGTTGTGGTCAGAGTATGGTTGATATAATTTCTATTTTTTTGTATTTATGGAGACTTGCTTTATGGCTTAGCATGTGGTCAATCTTGGAGTATGTTCCATGTGTAGAAGAGAAGAATGTAATTCTCTGGTTGTTGGGTGGAGTATTCTATAGATGTCTATTAGGTTCGAATGGTCAAGTGTGGAATTTAAGTCTAGAATTTCTATGTTCATTTTCTGCCTTGATGGTCTAAAGCTGTTGGTGGGGTGTTGAAGTCCCCCACTCTTATTGTGTGACTGGCTAAGTCTTTTTGTAAGTGTAGAAGTACTTGTTTTATAAATCTGGGTGGTCCAAATGTTGGGTATGTATATATTTAGGATAGTTAAATCTTCTTGTTGAATTGAACCCTTTTTCATTATGTGATGCACATCTTTGTCCTTTTTATTTTTGCTGGTTTAAACTCTGTTATATCTCATATAAGAATAATGACCCCTGCTCTTTTTTGTTTTTTATTTGCATGATCCTTTTCCAACCCTTTACTTTGAGCCTGTGGGTGTCATTACATATGAGATTGGTCTCTTAAAGACAGCAGACAGATGCATCTTGTTTTTTATCCAACTTGTCACTCTGTCTTTTAAACGGGGTGGTTAGAGGTTTACACTGAAGGTTAATATTTGATATATGAGGTTTTGATCATATTGTGAATTTGTTAGCTGGTTTCTTCATATTTTATATTGTGTGGTTGCTTTGTAGGATCTCTTGGCTATGTTAACAGTGTTTTTGTGGTAGCAGGTATTTTTCTTTCATTTCCATGTGTAGAGCTCCCTTAAGGATTGCTTGTCACCTGGTCTGGTGGTAACTAAATTCTCTTAGCACTTGCTTGCCTGGAAAAGATTTTATCTCTTCTTCATGTATAAAATTTAGTTTGGTGTGATATGAAATTCTTGGTTTGAATTTTTCTTTAAGAATGCTGAAAATAGGCCCCCAATCTCTCCTGGCTTGTAGTGTTTCTGCTGAGAAGGCTACTGTTAGCTTGATGGGTTTCTCTTTGTACATGATCTGACCTTTTCCTTTAGCTCTCTTTAAGATTTTTTCTTTAGTGTTGACCTTGGACATTCTGGTGACTATATGCCTTGGTGATTGATGTTCATTTTGTACAGTATCTCACAGGTGTTCTCTGGATTTCTTGTATCTGGACAAAGATTAGGGAAATTTTCTTGAATTATTTCCTCAAATATGTTTTTTGGGTTGTTTACTTTTTCTGTTTCAGGAATGCCAGTAACTTGTAGGTTTGGCTGCTTTACATAATCTTATATTTCTCAAAGACTTTGTTCATTTATTAAAATTCTTTTTTCTGTATTTTTGTCTAACTGGGTTAAAGGACCAGTCTTCAAGCTCTGCATTTCTTTCTTCTGCTTGGTCCAGTCAATTGATAATTTTTTTAATTGTATTTTGAAATTTCTTAAGTAAGCTTTTCAATTCCATAAGATCTCATTGATTTCTTTTGAAGATGTTTATCTCTTCTTTCATTTCCCAGATTACTCTAGAAGTTTGTGTCTATTTTCAACCTTCTTTTAGATCTTATTGAGCTTCCTTGCAATTCATGCTTTGAATTCTTAGTCATTTCTGAGTTTCCATTTTGGCTAGGAACCATTGCTTGACCGCTAGTGTGATCCTTTGGTGTTGTTATTACATTCACATTTTTTGTGGTGCCTGATTTCTTGCCCTATTCCTTCTCAACTGGAGACACTAGTGCTTCCAATTTTTGTAGTCATTTTAATGCAGGTAGGATTTTTTTTCTTTTTCTATGTAACATTATTGGGGTTTTTTCTTTTCTCTTTCCCCCTCCTCCCTTGGGGGTGTAACTGTAGACAGTGTTGGGTAGGGGCTTTTGACTTTGCTCTATAACCCTTGGGGGTGTAACTGTAGACAATGTTGGACAGGGGCTTTTGACTTTGCTTCTATAGCCCTATGCATGTATGTCAGCAGGTTTTATATTGGGCTATGGGATCCAACCTACAGGCCAGTAGATAGCATGTACAGCTGAGTCAACTGAGGCAAACACAGCTACATATGTACTTGACCCCTATTTACTGGGAGAAAGGATGCGCCAGGCTGATGATTCAGGAGAGCAGATGGTCAGAATGCCTGGAAATCTGCCTGGTTGTGGAGCAGAGACAGCCCCACTTCACCACAATGTCTGCACAGGAAGGATGGGGCAGCTCAGGCTGCTGATCATGGCAAGTAGGTACTCTGCCTGCCTGAGTGTGAAGCTGAGAAGGCCTCCTCCACACAGATCTCTGCAAAGGAAGGGTGGGGTGACTCAGGCTGCCAATGCAGGTGAGCAGGTTCTTTGAATGCCTGGAGATCTGCCTGTGTATAAAGCAGAGAGGGCCCCACTGCACCACAATCTCTGCACAGAAAGGGTAGGGTGGCTCAGGCTGCTCATCTAGGTGAGTGGGTGCTCCAAATGCCTGGATATCTCTTCAGTTTCTTTCATCAGTTTTTTAAACTTTTTGGCGTACAGATCTTTCACCTCTTTGGTTAAATTTATTCCTAATGTTTCGTGTATGCTATTGTGAATGATACTGTTTTATTACTTTTTCAGGTAGTTCATTGTTAGTATATAGAAATGTGATTGATTTTTCTGTGTTGATTTTATATCCTAAAACTTTACTGAATTATTAGTCTAATAGTTTGTTGGCATATTTAGGGTTTTCTGTATGTAAGATCATGTCATCTGCAAACAGAGACAGTTTAACTTCTTTTTAATTTGGATACTTTTCTTTTTCCTAATCACTCTGGCTAGAACTTAAGGTACTATATTGAATAAAAGTGCAAGAGTGGATCCCTTTGTCTTATTCCTGATCTCAGAGGAAAGTTTTCAACTTTTCTCCACTGAGTATGTTATCTGTGAGCTTGTCACATATGGCCTTTATTATGTTGTAGTACATTGCTTCTATACCTAATTTGTTGAGAGTTTTTATTACATAAAGATAAATTCTGTCAAATGCTTCTTCAGCATTTTTTGAGATGCTCATATGATTTTTGTCCTTCATTCTGTTAATGCGGTATATGACATTTACCCATTTGTGCATGTTGAGCCATCCTTGCATCCCAGGCATAAATCCCACTTGATTGTGGTGAATGATCCTTTTATCATTATATTGAATTCAATTTGGTAGTATTTTGCTGAGGATTTTTGCATGTTTGTTCATTGGAATATTGGCCTGCAATTTTCTTTTCTTGTAGTATTTTGGTTGGCTTTGGTACCGGGGTAATGTTGGCCTTGTAAAATGAATTTAGTAGAATTCAGCTGTGAAATCATCAGATCCTGGGCTTTTCTTTATTGTTAAGTTTCTGATTACTGATTCAATCATTGTTGGTCTGTTCAGAAATTTATTCATGATTCAGACTTGGTAGATTATATGTTTCTAGAAATTTATCAATTTCATATATGTTATTTAATTTCTTGGTATATAATTGTTCATAGTAATCTCTTACAACTCTTTGTATTACTGTATGTTAGTGGTAATGTCTTTTCTTTCACTTATAATTTTACTTACTTGACTCTCCTCTCTTTTTTTCTTAAGTCTAGCTAGAGGTTTGTCAATTTTGTTTATCTTCTTCTAATAAAATACCAACCAGCACTGGATCTCAAAAAAATAAACTCTTAGTTTGACTGATATTTTTCTATTATTTTTGTAGTCTCTATTTCATTTATTTCTGCCATTGAAACCAGCTCAATTGGCCCATGGAACTGATGTTTATTGTTTCTCATCAATAAACCAAGAAATTGACCTCTCAGTCTTAAAACTTGAGAAACTCGTATTTGTCATATCTGAGTTCCTTTCTCAGGAAACCAACCTTTGGGCCTCCCAGATAGTATCGAGGAACTGAAACTTACCAGATCACCACATCTGGACATTGAGACACTAACCCTTCGCCTGTCATGACTGCCTGATTGATTACCTGTTGACCAAGTCCTTCTTCTTATTCCTCCCTAATTCTTGCTTTCCCACACATAGTTACATTTCTTTTCTGCTATATAAACTCCTAATTTTAGTGCATGAAAGAGATGGATTTGAGATTGATCTGTTCTCCTCAGACACAGCACCCAAAACAGCCTTCTTCCCTGGCAGTACTCATCGTCTCTGTGATTGGTTTTCTGTGCAATAAGCAGCAGAACCTAGACTAAACCCTTGGCATTTTGGTAACACTAATTTTTATTATCTCTCTCCTTCTTCTAACTTTGGACTTAGTTTGTTCTTTCTCTAGCTCCTTGTGGTATCAAATTAGGTTATTTGAGATCTTTCTTCTTTATACATATGCATTTATTGCTATAAACTTCTCTCTTAACTGCTTTTGATGCATCTGTGAGTGTTGGTATGTTGTGTTTCCATTTTATCCCAAGATTTAATTTTCCTCTTCATTTCTTCTTTGACCCATTGGTTGTTAAGAGCATGTTGTTTAATTTCCATGTATTTGTGAACTTTTTCATTATCTTCCTGTTCAAAAATTGTTACAGCAGTTTCTTTTTTTAATAAAGCTTCATCTATTATAATTTTAGAACTTTTCTGTGATTTGTTTCTCCAGAAATCCAAGCCTAGAGTAGAGTTTTGGAGTCAGACAGAAAGCCTGATTTTAAGTCTTGGTTGGCTAGTAATCCTCAGAGAGTTTTTCTTTTTTCTTTTCTTTTTTTTTTTTTTTTTGAAGACAGGTTCTTATTCTGTCACGCATGCTGGAATGAGGTTGTGTGATCATAGCTCACTGCAGCCTCTACGTCCTCAGCTCAAGAAATCCTCCTACTTCAGCCTCCTGAGTAGTTGGAACTACAGGCACATGCCACGGCACACGGCTAATTTATTTTTTTAATTTTTTGTAGAGATGCGGTCTCACAATGTTGCCCAGGCTGGTCTTGAGTTCTTGAGCTCAAGCAGTCCTCCCAATTTGGCTTCCCAAAGTGCTGGAATTACAGGCGTGAGCCACTGCACCTAGCCTAGTTTTTAAACTTTTTAAAGTTTCACTTTGTACATACTTAAAATGGGTGCTGTTGGAGAACCTACATAATAAGCATAATTGATTACATGATATACATGTAAATCCTTTGCCAGTGACTGGTTCATATAGTGAATGCTCAGTAAGTAGTAGTTGTTACCATCACATGTTGAATACTCTAGTAAAGATGGAGTCAGCTATGAGTACTGAGAAGATTATTTCTTTGCCATTAAATATGCTTCTGAATTGTCTTTGTGTAATCACTTTATATTCAGCCTTGGGTTCACCAAGATTATTTTTTCCCACAGGGTTAATGTTACTTATTTAACAAATAATTATCTTTCCCTCTATGTACTTATCTAACTTTGTTCAATTCTGAGCACTAGCGCAGTTAACTGAGATTATTTTCTTTTGAATCTTTATTTTTAAAAGACTGATTCTGGGTATTCTCCGAACTGGTGCTAGAGGTATCCTGTTCAGAACAGCAAGGCCAAAGCATTTTACAATTTGTAATCGAGTGAAAACAACCAAGGCTATTGCAGAGCTAGCCTGCCATGCTCTAGGGCAGCTCTATATCATAAGGATAGTTCTGAATTTTAAGGGGTACACAATGAATTATATGGGTTGGTCAATCCCTGGAGAATTCAGGTAGGGAGATTACTGGCGTCAAAGATTTCTTCCCATCTCTCCCTCAGTTCTCTAGAAACTGCCTGGAATTGAAATGGATCCCTTTTCTGGATAAATTTTAACACCCATTCAAAATGGTTCCAGATCATAAAGATAAGGGCACTTTAGATTCTTTTATCCTGTTCTCATTCTCATAAGTATGTGTACAAATCAGTAAGTGGATTTATTCTATCATACTCATTTGTAACAGCCTTACCACCATAGGTGTTATACATCAGGATTTGGGAATAAGCCTTAGGGTTACTAGCCTCTGAGAAATACAACTGAGTTCTGTTTATCTACTAGTAAAGAGCCCTGTATTCAACTGATAACACTTTCCGTTTTAGGTATTCAAAGCTCTTTATTTGAAATTTTTTAAAAAATGGAATGGGGTTCAATAGAGTTAACACTGCCTTTTTATTTTTCAATGGAGACACACATTTTAGAAAACTTTATTTTTCTCATAAGAAAGAGTATGTTTTAGATAGTTCATATAGCTAAATTTGCTAAAACTATGGCAATTGTTTAATAATACAATGTAGGTTTATGTATTTATATGTTTCCCTCTGTAGGTTTCTTCAGTTTTTGGCGTGGCAATTTGGCAAATGTTATTCGGTATTTTCCAACACAAGCTCTAAACTTTGCTTTTAAGGACAAATACAAGCAGCTATTCATGTCTGGAGTTAATAAAGAAAAACAGGTAATTATATTTTTTTTTTACTTTTTTCTTCCAATATAGAAATTTTCCATCCAATATAAATTTCCCATCCAATGTAAATATATTTCACTATCTCTAAAATTTTCTTTAAAATGGTTAGATTTGTCTTAACTGTGATGTTTTATTTGGGGAGGATGTGCTCAAGTAGTGGGAAAAAATAGTAAGTGTTTATTGTTACAAAAATCATAAAGGATCTTTTGTCTCAAGGCAGTATTTTTTGAATAAATATTACACTTAATGTAATTTCATCTTATCACTGTTTTGCGCTGGGGAAACATGGCATTTTGTCTGCTTATTTTAAGCGCAGAAAGAAATCAACAAGTACGTAGTTCCTATTACTGAGGTAATTTATATCCTGAAGAAGTAAATTCTTTCTTCTTTGAGAATAAAGATATATTTAGCTGAGATTAAAGTGTATAGGAAGTCCAAATGGAGCAAAACTGGAAAATGATAAATTTAAACTAGAGAATTCTTTTTATTGCAAGGATACTTTTTTTTTTTTCGAAGTAATTACTCCCTTGGTTACAAAATCTCAATTTCAAAATTTCCTACTCATATAAACTACATGTTATTTATTCTGATTTCTATTTGTTTTGTTGTATGCAATACACTATACTACCTACATTACTCCCAAGATCTTCCCCTCACTCTTAAAAAATCTCTCTTCCCCCTCATCTTTTCTCTTTTTCTCCCTATTACTCCTCATCTCCCACTCCTGCCTCAGCCAACCAAGCTGTCTTAGGAGGTTTCTTAAAAGCAAGTCTTTGTGGAACATTTCATTGTTGCTGCCTCCTTAAATTTCCTTTTATGCTCTGTATTCCCTTTTTTCACAGTTTTATTAACAGTTGTTCATTGAATGTTTTGCCCTGTACTTTGGCCAGGGTGGTGGGGCAGGGTGAGGGGGCACAGGTAGAAAGGTAACCAAGAAAATTCCCTAGACTTAGAATTGGAAGGTTTAGATTTGGATCTTATTTAGCTACATGAGGTTTTTTTACTTTTATTTTAGGTTTGGGGGTACATGTGAAGGTTTGCTTTATAGGTAATCTCGTGTCACAGGGGTTTTTTGTACAGATAATTTCATCACTCAAGTATTAAGCCTAGCACCCAATAGTTATTTTTCCTGCAGCTCTCCATCCTCCCACCACCCACCCTCAAGTAGATCCCAATGTCTGTTTTTTCCTTCTTTGTATTCATAAGTTCTCATCATTTAGCTCCCACTTACAAGTGAGAACATGCAGTATTTGGTTTTCTGTTCCTGCATTAGTTTGCTAAGGATAATAGCCTCAAACTCTGTTCATGTTCCCACAAAATACATGATTTTGTACTTTTTTATGGCTGCATAGTATCGCATGTTATATATGTACCACATTTTCTTTATCCAATCTGCCATTTATGGGCACTTAGGTTAATTCCAGGTTTTTGCTATTGTGAGTAGTGCTACAATGAACATTCACATACATGTGTCTTTATAGTAGAATGATTTATGTTACTCTGGGTATATACCCAGTAATGATACCTCTGTTTTTAGCTCTTTGAGGAATCACTATACTGCTTTCCACAATGGTCCAGCTAATTTACACTCCCACCAACAGTATAAGTGTTCCCTTTTCTCCACAACCTCGCCAGCATCTGTTATTTTTTGACTTTTGAATAGTAGCCATTTTGACCATGAGACAGTATCACATTGTGGTTTTGATTTGCATTTTTCTAATGATCAGTGATACTGAGCCTTTTCCATATGGTTGTTGGCCACGTGTATGTCTTTTTTTCAAGAGTGTCTGTTTATGTCCTTTGCCCACTTTTTAATGGGGTTGTTTTTCTGTTGCAAATTTAAGTTCCTTGTAGATGCTAGATAGTAGCTACACCTTTGTCACTTTGCAAATATTTTCTCCCATTCTGTAGGTTGTCTGTTTACTCTGTTGATAGTTTCTTTTGCTGTGCAGAAGCTCTTAAGTTTAAGTAGATCCTATTTGTCGATTTTTGCTTTTGTTGCAATTGCTTTTGGTGTCTTTTTCATGAAATCTTTGCCCATTCCTATGTCAAGGATGATATTGCCTGGGTTGTCTTCCAGGGTTTTTATAGTTTTGGGTTTTTCATTTAAGTCTTTAATCCATCTTGGGTTGATTTTTATATATGGTGTAAGGAAGGAGTCCAGCTTTAATCTTCTGTATATGGCTAGCCAGTTATCCCACCACTATTTATTGAATAAGGAGTCCTTTCCTCATTGCTTGTTTTTGTCAGCTTTGTCAAAGATTAGATGACTGTAGATGTGCAGTTTTATTTCTGGGCTCTCTATTCTGTTCCATTGGCCTATGTGCCTGTTCTTGTCTTAGTACCATGCTGTTTTGGTTACTTTAGCCCAGTTCTATAGTTTGAAGTTGGGTAACATGATACCTCTAAGCTTTGATATTTTTGTTTGGCTATTCGGGCTCTTTTTTGGTTACATATGAATTTTTAAACAGTTTTTTCTAGTTCTCTGAAGAATGTCATTGGTAGTTTGATAGGAATAGCATTGAATCTGTAAATTGCTTTGGGAAATATGACCATTTTAATGATATTAATTATTCCTGTCCATGAGCATTGGATATTTTTCCATTTGTTTGTGTCACCTCCGGAGGTGAAAGATGAGAATTACAAAACACTGCTCATAGAAATCAGAGAAGATATCAGATAGAGATCTTTCACTTCCCTGATTAGCTGTATTCCTAGGTATTTTATTCTCTTTGTGACTGTATGAGGTTTTAAAAGTCAGTTTACTTCTCTGATCCCTAGTTTCCTCTTCTAAAATTTGGGCATAATAATACCTATCTCGTAGTTTTATTATGAGGTTTAGATGAGATTACTTGTGAAATGCATAGCATAGTACCTTGCTTTTATGACAGGCATTCAGTAAAATGTTTCTGGCCTCTTAAGCTGACAGCTCTAATAATTGGAATTTCCCTTGACTCAGATTGTTAGTTCCACAGCGTCAGGGTCTCCAAAACTATCCTCAGGGTCAGTGACTAGAAGGACATATAGAACTTAGAAAATCTGTTATACTGTGGTTTATTAAAGCAAAGGTACTCCAATTAAAATCAAAGGAAAAAGGCACACAGGGAAGAGACCTAGAGAAACCAGGTGCAAGTTTATAGTTGTCCCATCCTAGTGAATCATGTAGACAGAATACTTACTTCCCAAGAACATACGACAACACGTGATGTGTTGCCACAGTGAGCTTACCTAAGCCTTGGTGTCCAGGGTTTTTCTTTGGGATCAGTATCATAGGCGTGGAATGTGACTGACCTTAGCTACACAGTTTCTGGTCCCCTTCCAGAGATCAAACTCATACAGCTTAGTCCAAAACCTCAGGCATAGACAAACAGGTGTTTACCATAAATCACAATGTTAGCACAAACTCTCCCAGCTGAGTCACTCACCTCAGTCCCTTATAGATCTTGAAACAGTCCTATAAATCGGCTCCTGCCCTTCTCATTTGCAGCCTGAGAGCATGCCTGCTCACCCAGCAACCCACCAGGAGGCTCATCTGTACGTGACCCCAGAGACAAGCTTAAAGAGCTCGGTCTCAACAGTCCTAAAACAACCCTGTGACTTGGTTCCAGCCCCTGTCACCCATGGACCAAGTCAGTACTCCCTTCCCAGGGACCCACCCAGTCATCTAATGGAAGTGGTTCCAGAGTTGGGAGGAAACCACACCCATCAGCACACCTAGTAACAGGCCTACCATCAATGAAACGTGCAGGCCCTCATCCTGGCACCAACTCACAGACCAAGGTCCTTGAGACAGTCCAGTTCACCCAGAATCTAGATAGGATATGTGCTCACTACAGTTTTTGGTTAGAGACCCACCAACTCCATTCTCCACTGTGGACCCAGCAGCAGCCATGTGACTTGGATCCAACCCCACTGAACTGCTATCTATATAGCAGTCCTATCAGTCCAACGACCTAACAGGAGAAGATTTTAACTTGCCAAAACCAGTTTTCTAAGACTGCAAGAAAAGTTTGGTCTTTCAGATATCCAGACACCAATACAAGGCTACATGGATAACAAAGACTCAGGCAACCAGGGCATCACCAAAGGAAACTAATAATGCTCCAATAACAGACCCCAAACAAATGGAGATATACAAATTGCCTATGAAATAATTCAAAATAATTATCTTAAAGAATCTTAATGCAAGATAGACAACTGAATGAAAATAGGAAAACAAAACCATACATGAACAAAATGGGAACTTTAATAATGAAATTGAAACCATTAAAAAAAAAAAACAGAACAAAACGGAAATCCTGGAGCTGAAGAATACAGTGACAGAACTGAAAAAGCTCAGTAGAGAGCTTTAACAGCTGACGCAATCATGCAGATGAAAGTATCAGCAAACTCAAAGATAGGTCATTTAAAATTAGCCAATTAGAGAAAAAAATATAAAGACTGAAGAAAGCATAAGGAACCTATGAGACACCATCAAATGTACAAATGTGTGAATTATGGCAGTACACAATGAAGAAAAAGGGGAAGAAAGCTTATTTTTAAAAATATTGTCTGAAAATTTCCCAAATCTTTGGAAATGTATGGACGTCCAGATTCAGGAAGCTCAGAGGACTCCAAGCAAGATTAATTTTAAAAAGATCCAGGTGTGGATGGGCACTGGTGTGTAGTGGCTCAGGCCTGTAATCCCAGCACTTTTGGAAGCCGAGCCAGGCGGATCACGAGGTCAGCAGATCGAGACCATCCTGGCCAACGTGGTGAAACTTTATCTCTACTAAAAATACAAAAATTAGCTGGGTATGGTGAGGCAGGAGAATCGCTTGAACCCAGGAGGTGGAGATTGCAGTGAGCTGAGATTGCACCACTGCATTCCAGCCTGGGTGACAGAGTGAGACTCCATCTCAAAAAAAAAAAAAAAAAAGCCAGGTACAGTGACTCACTCCTGTTATCCCAGATCCTGAGGAGGCTGGGATAACTCTGGTTATCCTGAATACTTGAGGTGGGATGATTGCTTGAAGCCAGGAGTTTGAGACAAGCCTGAGCAATATAGCAAGACCCCATGTCTAAAAATAAATTAACAAAGAATACTAGGAGATACATTTTAACCAACTTGCCAAAAGTCAAAAACAAAGAATTTTAAAAGTAGCAGAAAGAATTAATCACGTGAGGTTATAAGTGAACTTCTTAAAGGAAACCTTGCAAGCCAGGAGTATTGGCATGACATTTTCAGAGTGCTAAAAGAAAAAAAAAATGTCAGCCAAGAATATTACACCTGGCTAAATTGTCTGTCAGAAATGAAAGAGAGTTAAAGACACATTTCAAGGCAAAAGCTAAAGGAGTTCATCACCACCAGACTGAGCTTGCAAGAAATGCTAATGGGAATTCTTTAAGTTGAAAAGACAATAAATAACATGAAAACATATGAAAGTATAAACTTAAGTGGTAAAGGTATACAGGTGCTCGTCAACTTACAGTAGGGTTACATCATGATAAACTCATAAGTGGAAAATATTAAGTCAAAAATGCATTTAATGCCCTGATAAATTGATTATATAGTCAAAAATCATAAGTTGAACCATTGGAAGTCCAAATACTCCTTGACTCATGATGGGATTATTTCCTTATAAACTCATGGTAAAGTCAAAAATTGTAATTTGAACCATTTGTATTGTCAAATTTGAAATACTCTAATACTGTAAAGGTGATGTGTTTATCACTTTTAATCCTTAACGTCAGAAGACATTATTAAAAACAACTATAATATTTAACAGATATGCAGTATACATAAATGTAAAATGTGATATCAGTAGCATAAAATGGAGAAGTAAACGTGTAGAGTTTTTATGTGCAGTTGAACTTAAGTTGATAATCACCTTAAATTAGAATATTGTAATTATAAAGTGTTTTATGTGAGCCCCATGATAACCATAAAGTTAAAAACCTCTAGTAAATACAAAAAAAAAGAGAAAGGAATTAAAGCCTACCTTTACAGAAATACAACAAATTATGAAGGAAGACACCAAGATTGGAGGAAAAGAAGAAATGAACTACAAAAAAGTAAACAGTTAACAAAATGGCAATAGTAAGTCCATATTTATCAATAACTTAAATTGTAAATGAATGATTTTTAATTAAAAAACATAGTGGTAAAGGGATTAAAAAGACTCAACAGTCAGTTGCCTATAAGAGGCTTACTTTAGCCTTAAGTATACACATATACCCCATCAAGCTACCAATGACTTTCTTCACAGAATTGGAAAAAACTACTTTAAAGTTCATATGGAACCAAAAAAGAGCCCACCTTGCCAAGTCAATCCTAAGCCAGAAGAACAAAGCTGGAGACATCACGCTACCTGACTTCAAACTATACTACAAGGCTACAGTAACCAAAACAGCATGGTACTGGTATCAAAACAGAGATATAGACCAGTGGAACAGAACACAGCCCTCAGAAATAATACCAGGCATCTACAACCATCTGATCTTTAACAAACCTGACAAAAACAAGAAATGGGGAAAGGATTCCCTATTTAATAAATGGTGCTGGGCAACTGGCTAGCCATATGTAGAAAGCTGAAACTGGATCCCTTCCTTACACCTTATACAAAAATTAATTCAAGATGGATTAAAGACTTAAATGTTAGACCTAAAACCATAAAAACCCTAGAAGAAAACCTAGGCAATACCATTCTGGACATAGGCATGGGCAAGGACTTCATGTCTAAAACACCAAAAGCAATGGCAACACAAGCCAAAATTGACAAATGGGATCTAATTAAACTAAAGAGCTTCTGCACAGCAAAAGAAACTACCGTCAGAGTGAACAGGCAACCTACAGAATGGGAGAAAAGTTTTGCAATCTACTCATCTGACAAAGGGCTAATATCCAGAATCTACAAAGAACTCAAACAAATTTACAAGAAAAAAACAACCCCATCAAAAAGTGGGCAAAAGATATGAACAGACACTTCTCAAAAGAAGACATTTATGCAGCCAACAGACACATGAAAAAATGCTCATCATCACTGGCCATCAGAGAAATGCAAATCAAAACCACAATGAGATACCATCTCACACCAGTTAGAATGGCAATCATTAAAAAGTCAGGAAACAACAGGTGCTGGAGAGGATGTGGAGAAATAGGAACACTTTGACACTGTTGGTGGGACTGTAAACTAGTTCAACCATTGTGGAAGACAGTGTGGCGATTCCTCAAGGATCTAGAACTAGAAATAACATTTGACCCAGCCATCCCATTACTGAGTATATACCCAAAGGATTATAAATCATGCTGCTATAAAGACACATGCATACGTATGTTTATTGCGGCACTATTCACAATAGCAAAGACTTGGAACCAACCCAAATGTCCATCAGTGATAGACTGGATTAAGAAAACGTGGCACATATACACCATGGAATACTATGCAGCCATAAAAAATGATGAGTTCATGTCCTTTGTAGGGACATGGATGAAGCTGGAAACCATCATTCTCAGCAAACTATTGCAAGGACAAAAAACCAAACACCGCATGTTCTCACTCATAGGTGGGAATTGAACAATGAGAACACATGGACACAGGAAGGGGAACATCACACACCGGGGCCTGTTGTGGGGTAGGGGGAGGGGGGAGGATAGCATTAGGAGATATATCTAATGTAAATGATGAGTTAATGGGTGCAGGACACCAACATGGCACATGTATACATATGTAACAAACCTGCACATTGTGCACATGTACCCTAGAACTTAAAGTATAATAAAAAAAAAAAAGATATTGCAGGCAAATGGAAATTTAAAAAGAGCAGAGGTGGCTATACTTACATCATACAAAATAGACTTTAAGTCAAAAACTGAAAACAAAGAATGTCATTACATAATGATAAAGGGGTCAGTTCATCAAGAGGATATAACAATTGTAAATATAAATGCACTCTACATCGGAGCACCTAAATCTATAAAACAAATATTAATAGATTTGAAGGGAGAGACAGACTGCAATGCATACTGCACTTTCAACAATGGGCAGATCATCCAGACAGAAAATAAGAAAACATTGAGCTTGAACTGCACTTTAGATCAAATAGATCTAACAGATATATTTAGAACATTCTATCCAAAACCTGCAGAATACACATTTTCACAAGCATATATGCAAGTCTTAACAAATTTAAGGAGGTTGAAATCATGTCAAGTTATCTTTTCTGACCATAGTGGAGTAAAACTATAAATCAAGAACAGGAGAAATTTAGGGAAAATCACAAATATGTGGAAATTAAACAACATGCTTCTGAACAACCAGTGGATCAAAGAAGAAACCAAAAGGAAAAATTTTAAATATCTTGAGAGAAATTTAAATGGAAGCACAACATAGCAAAACTTATAGGGTATAGCAAAAGCAGTTCTAAGAGGAAGTTTATAGCAACAGAAGAAAGACCTCAAATAACCTAATGTTAAACCTTATAGAACTAGAAAAAGAAGGATAAACTAAGCCCAAACTCAGTTGAAGGAAGGAAAAAAAAATCACAATAGAAATAAATGAAATAGAGACTAGAGATAAAAGATTTTTAAAAACTAAGAGTGGGTTCTTTGAACAGATAAACAAAATAGAAAAACCCTTGGCTAGGACTAAAAATAAGTCTCATATAAATCAGAAGTGAAAGAGGAGACATTGTAGCTGAAACCTAGAAATGCAAAAGATCATAAGAGTATTGAAGGATTTTTATGCCATATAAGTTATGAAAATTTATATGCCAAGTAATTATGTAGCCTGGAAGAAATGGATAAATTCATAGAAACATACAACTTATCAACACTGAATCATGAAGAACTAGAAAATCTGAACAGACCAACAATGAGTAAGGAAATTAAGTCCATAATCAGAAACTTCCAAAGAAAAACCCAGGATCAGATGGCTTTATGGCAAATATTTAAGAACTAATACCAGTCCTCCTCACAGTCTTCAAAAAAATGGAAGAGAAGGCAACACCTTCAGACTCATTTTATGAGGTCAGCATTACTCTGATACCAAAGCACCAGAGAAGGACACTAGAAGAAAAGAAAATTACAGGTCAGCGTCCCTAGTGAACAAACATGCAGAAATCCTCAAGAAAATACTAGCAAACTGAATTCACCTGCACATTAAAAGGATTATTTATTATGATCAAGTGGGATTTATTCCTGAGAAATAAGGATAGTTCAATATACACAAATCAATACATGTGATAAACTGTATTAACAAAAACCATAGCAGCATCTGAGTAGATGTCAGAAAAAGCATTTTACAAAGTTCATTCTTTCATATTAAAAACTCAGCAAGTTAGGCATAGAAGGAATGTATCTCAACACAAAAAAAGATCACATATGATAAGCCCACAGCTAACATTATATACAACAGTGAAAAGTTGAAAGCTTTTTCTCTAAGATCACAAACCAGACACACTCACCACTTCTATTCAACAAAGTACTAGAAGTCCTAGCCAGAGCAATTAGACAAGCAAAAGAAATAAAAGGCATGCACATGGACAGAAAGAAGTAATATTGTCTCTGTTGTCAGGTAGCATGATCTTATATATAGAAAACCCCAAAGACCACCAGAAAACTGTTAGTACTGGTAAATGAATTCAGTAAAGTCACAGGATACAAAATTAACATGCAAAAATTAGTCACATTTTACATACTAACAATGAATTCTTTTAACAAGAAATAAGAATAACATTTACAATAGCTTTAAAAAAAAAAAAACACAAAATGCTTAGTAAATTTAACCAAGGAGGTGAAAGATCCATATACTGAAAAGTTTAAAACACTGATTAAAGAAACTGAAACTGAAATATAAGACCTGAAACATAAAACTAGTAGAGGAACGCACAAGTAACTGGAAGCTCATCGTGTGTTCATAGTTTGGAAAAATTAATACTATTAAAATGCCCCTACTATCCAAAATAATCTACAGATGCAGTGCTGTTTCTATCAAAATTCCAATGGCATTTTTTCACAGAAATAAAAAAAGAATCCTTCAATTTATGTGGGATCACAAAATACCCACAAAAAGAACAGAGCTGGAGCTATCATACCACCTGGTTTTAAAATCTGCTACAAAGCTATAGTAATCAAAACAGCGTGAAAATGGCATAAAAACAACCAACCAGTATGACAGGACAGAAAGCCCAGAAGTAAACTCACATATCTATGGTCAGTTGATTCTTGACAAAGAAGCCAAGAACACACAATGGGGAAAGGACAGTCTCTTCAATAAGTGGTATTGACAAAAGGGATGTCCATATGCAGAAGAATGAAATTGGACTCTTATCTCACACCATATACAAAAAAATTAAAACATATTAAAGATTTAAATATGAGACCTGAAACATAAAACATTGGGGAAAAACTCCATGACATTGGTCTGAGCCATGATTTTTTGGATATGACCCTAAGAGCACAAGTAATAAAAGCAAAACTTATAGACAGATGGGATAGTATTAAACTAAAATGCTTCTGAACAGGAAAGGAAACAACAGAGTGATGAGACAACCCGTGACTTGGGAGAATATGTTTGCAAACAAAATATTTGCCAAAAAAAATCTGACAAAGGGGCTAATATAAAAACTGTATAGAGAATTCAAATACTTTCATAATATAAAAACAAATGACCTGATTAGAAAATGTACCAAAAACCTAAAGAGACACTTCTCAAACGAAGACATACAGATAGACAACAGGTACATGAAAAAATGCTGAACATTACTAGCCAGGGAAATGCAAATTAAAACCGCTTTGAAATATCACCTCATACCTGTTAGAATGACTATTATCAAAAATATGAAAGATATGCGTGAGCAAGACTAGAGAGAAAAGAAAACCCTTGTATACTGTTGGTGGAAATGTAAATTACTATAGACGCTTTAGAAAATAATATAGAAGTACCTTAAAAAACTAAAAATAGGGCCAGGTGCTGTGGTTCACGCCTATAATCCCAGCACTTTGATAGGCCAAGGCGGGCGGATCACCTGAGGTCAGGAGTTCGAGACCAGCTGGCCAACATGGTGAAACTCCATCTCTACTAAAAATACAAAAATTAGCTGAGCGTGGTGGTGTGTTCCTGTAATCCTAGCTACTAGAGAGGCTGAGGCAGGAGAATCGCTTGAACCCAGGAGGTGGAGGTTGCAGTGAGCCGAGATCGCGCCATTGCGCTCCAGCCTGGGCGGCAAAGCAAGACCCCACCTCAAAAAAAAAAAAAAATAGAACTGCCACAGTATTCAGCAATCCCACTACTGGGTTATATATCCAAAGGAATTGAAATCAGCATGATGAAGAGATATCTGCACAATCTGCAGTCTTGTTTATTGCAGCATTATTCACAATAGCTAAGGTACGGAAGCAACCTAAGTGTCCATGAGCAGATGAATGGATAAAGAAAATGTGTGTATTCAGTGGAATATTACTCAGCCTTATAGAAGACAGAAATTCTGTCATTTGTGACATGGAATAACCAGCTAAGTGAAGTAAGCCAGGTGCAGAAAGACAAATACTGCTACTGACTTTGTACATCCCACTTATATATGGAATTTTAAAATTTTGATCTCATAGAAGCAAAGTAGACTGGTGCTTTCTGAGGTCGATGGAGCGTGGGGGGATGAGGAATGGGTAGATGTTGCTCAAAGGGTACAAAGTTTCATTTAGACAGGAGGAATAAGTTTTAGGGCTCTGTTGTACACCATGAGACTGTAGTTAATAATAATGTATATTTCAAAATTGCTAAAAGAGTATGTTTTAAATGTTCTCACCACAAAAATTTAAGTATGTGATATATATGTTAATTAGCTTGGCCACTCAACAATATAAATATAAATCGCAATACCACATTGTACCCCATAAATATATACAATTATTTGTCAACTAAAAAAATTTTTAAGTCATTGATACTTTTAGCCATTGTACCGAAAAATTTTTTTAAGTCATTGATACAACAAAATAAGATATCACTAAATACCTACAATAATGATAACACCAAATTGGACAGTGCAGAGAAACCAAATCACTCTCATATTGCTGGTGGAATGTGAAATGGCACTGCCACTGTGGAAAAAAGTATGGCGATTTCTTAGAAACTAACATGCACCCACCGTATGATGCATGTTTACACTTTTGGGTGGGCATTTATCCTGGAGAAATGAAAATTTATGTTCATACAAAAACCAGTGTACACAATGTTCAGTAGCAGCTTTTCTTAGAATAGGCAAAATCTGGAAACAACTCAGATGTCCTTCAGTAGGCAAATGATTAAACTGGTAAATCACATCACAGGATATTACTCAGCAGTAGAAAGGAAGAAAATTTTAAAATAATAGATTCAGGGGATACATACACGTCTGTTACATGGGTATATTGTGTAATGCTGGGGTTTGGGCATCTGTTGAACCCATCAACCAAATAGTCAACATGGTACCCAACAGGTAGCTTTTTAACCCTTCCCCCACTTTCCTCCCTGCTTTTGGAGTTGCCAGTGTCTATTGTTTCCACCTTTATGTCCACACGTACCCTCTGTTTAGTTCCCACTTATAAGTGAGAACATGAAGTATTTAATTTTCTGTTTCTGCATTAATTCACTTAGGATAATGGCCTCCAGCTGCATCCATGTTGCTGCCAAGGACATTATTTCATTCTTTTTTTAAAGCTGTATGGTATTCCGTGGTGTATATGTACCACATTTTCTTTATCCATTCATCCATTGTTGGGCACTTAGGTTGATTCTACGACTTTGTTATTGTGATTCGTGCTAAGATAAACATACAAGTTCAGATGTCTTTTTCATACAATAATTTCTCTTCCTTTGGATAGATAGCCAGTAATAGGATGGCATAGTAGTTCTATTTTTAGTTCTTTGAGATATCTCCATACTGTTTTCCATGGGGGTTGAACTAATTTACATTCCCACCAACAATGTATAAGCATTCCCTTTTTTTACACATGACTGACATATATCATTTTATGACCTTTTAATAGCCATTTTGACTAGTGTGAGATGGTATCTCATTGTGCTTTTAATATGCATTTCTCTGATGATTAGTGTATTAGTCCATTTTCATGCTGCTGATAAAGACATACCTGAGACTGGGAAGAAAAACAGGTTTAATTGGACTTACAGTTCCACATGGCTGGGGAGGCCTCAGAATCGTGGTGGGTGGTGAAGGGCACTTCTTACATGGTAGTGGCAAGAGAAAAATGAGGAGGAAGCAAAAGTGGAAACCCCTGATAAACCCATCAGATCTCATGAGACTTATTTACTATCATAAGAGTAGCATAGGAAAGACTGACCCCCATGATTCAGTTACCCCACCACCCCCGGGTCCTTCCCACAGCATGTGGGAATTCTGGGAGATAAAATTCAAGTTGAGATTTCGGTGAGGACACAGCCAAACCATATCAGTGATGTTGAACATTTTTTCATATGTTTGTTGGCCAGTTGTCTGTCATCTTTTGAGAAATGTCTGTTCACGTCCTTTGCCCATTTTTTAATGGGGTTATTTGGTTTTTTTCTGGTCAATTTATTTAAGTTCGTTATAGATTCTGGATATTAATCCTTTGTCAGATGCATAGTTTGCACATATTTTCTCCCATTCTGCATATTGTCTGTTTCCTCCACTGAATGTTGTGCAGAAGCTTTTTCAGTCCCATTTGTCAATTTTTGTTTTTGTTGCATTTGGCTTTGAGGTCTAAGTCATCAATTCTTTGCCAAGGCCAATGTTTAGAATTTTTCCTAGGTTTTTGTCTAGGATTTTTTTAGTTTGAGGTCTTATATTTAATTTTAGTCTTTAATTCATCTGGAATTAATGTTTGTATATGGTGAAGGGTAGGGACCCAGTTTCATTCTTCTGCATATGGCTAGCCATTTTCCCCAGCACTATTTGTTGAATAGGGTGTCCTTTTCTTATTGTTTATTATTGTCAACTTTGTTAAAGATCAGTTGAGTGTAGGTGTGTGGCCTTGTTTCTGGGTTCTTTATTTGCTTCCATTGGTCTATGTGTCTGTTTTTGCACCAGCACCATGCTGTTTGGGGTATTATAGCCTTGTAGTATAGTTTGAAGTCAGGTAATGTGATGCCTATGGATTTGTTCTTTTTGCGTGGGATTCCTTTGGCAATTCAGTCTCTCTTTTTGGTTCCATATGAATTTTAGAATGCTTTTTTCTAATTCTTTGACAACTGATGTTGGTAATTTGATAGGAATTCTGTTGAATCTGTAATTGCTTTGGGCAGTATGGTCATTTTAATGATACTGATTCTTCCAGTACATGAGCATGGAATGTTTCTCCATTTGTTTGTGTCATGTATGATTTCTTCCATCAATGTTTTGTAGTTCTCCTTGTAGGGATCTTTCACCTTCTTGGTGAAATGTATTCCTATGGTTTTTTTTTTTTTTGTGGCTACTATAAATGGGATAGAGTCCTTGATTTGAGTCTCAACTTGAATGCTATTGGTGTGTAGAAATGCTACTGACTTTTGTACATTGATTTTGTATCCGGAAACTTTATTGAAGTCATTTATCAGGTCTAGAGGTATATTTAGGGTTTGGGAGGCATATCTTGGGTTTTCTAGGTTAAATTACTCATGTAATTTGACTTCCCCTTTTCCTATTTCGATGCCTTTTATTTCTTTCTCTTGCCTAATTGCTCTGGCTATGACTTTCACCACTATGTTGAATAGAAGTGGTGAGAGTGGACATTCTTGTCTAGGAACAAACTTTTGATAGGGCAAATATTGTATGATTCTACTTAAGTACTTAGTATAGACAAATTCATAGTGACAGAAGGGAGATTATAGATTAATAGGTGGTTAACCTCTGTTAAACTACTGAGAGGGGAGATGGGGAGTTAGTGTTTAATGAGTTACAGAGTTCTGTTTAGGATGATGAAAAAGTTCTGGAAATAGTGACAAAGTTTAAACAATGTTGCAAACATACTTAATGCCATTGAATTGTACACTTAAAATAGTTAAAATGGTAAATCTTGTGTATATTTTATCAGTATACAAAAAAGGAACAAACTTTTGATATGTGCACCAACTTTGGATTTTAAGGTAGAAAAAGCCAATCTCAAAGGTTATATGCTTTCTGATTGCTTTTATATAACGTTCTTGAGATGATGAAATTATAGTGATGGAAAAAAGAATACTGTTTGCCAGGAGGGAGAGAAGTGGCTGTGATTTTAAGAGTGGCATGAGGGATCCTTCTCATGGAACTGTTGACCAATTTGAACATGTGACAAAACTGCGTGTCACTGAATAAACACACAACTGAGTCATGTTAAACTGACAAAATCTGAATAGGGTAGGCCTTATCATGTCCATTTCTTGTACTACACATATGCTTAGTACACTGAGGATAATTCGTTGAAGGATTTATAGTCTCTCTGTATATTACTCCTTATAATAAATGTGAATCCAAAATTATCTCAAAATAAAAAGTTTTTTAAAAAATGGTAAGGGAAGCATGTGCCTACTATATATGTTGTTTCACTGAATCTTCACTTCACTCTTTGAGGTAATTATTTTTACCCAGAAGGTACAGATAAGGAGAGTGGGACTCAGAGCTTAAAGCTTTTGCTCCACTAGTTTGTTCCAATCTAACTCCCAAACTCACCTGAGGTGACTAGACTGGATGAGCCTCAGCTGGGCCTGGGCATAAACTGCTCCTCAGCCACCCCTTAGCAGCTTTCAGCACAGCCCTCAATGAGGAAGACTAGAGCTGCTCCCAGCTCTCTTCCTTGTCCAGACAAGTTGTTATAAACAACTTTGGTCTCAGGGCATTTGTTGTTTGATGCATCATTGAGTCTTTTCACACAGTATCTGTCAACAATTAAAAATAAATAGGATTATTTTTCCTCAGAACTCTCAGACTTTCATCTTCTCCCTTCCTGATTCTTCTCCGTGCCTCTTCTTTTAACAATATAGTAGGCCAGGCATGGTGGCTCACGCCTGTAATCCCAGCACTTTGGGAGGCCGAGGCGGGCAGATCACAAGGTCAGGAGATCAAGACCATCCTGGCTAACATGGTGAAACCCCGTCTCTACTAAAAATACAAAAAATTAGCCGAGTGTGGTGGCGGGCGCCTGTAGTCCCAGCACTCCAGCCTGGGCGGGGGGAAAACACCAATATAGTAATACTTTAAATTACTAACTTACAACAACCAAAACTCACTTATACTTATATACATACTACCTTTTCTGGGTCTGTTTTATTTTCAGTCTTACTTGTGGAGGGACAGGCTTTGTTACATAAATGCAGGATCGTCACTCAGCATGGGCAGATTCTTACTGCCTTTCTCCCTCTATTTCTGTCCTTCCTACCGTCACTACATAGATCGGCCATACCGTTTATATATGTTGTGCCTGCCCCTGTCGTTTTTTCATAGCTCCCACTTTCTGTATCAGAAGTGTCCTGGTTTGAATGATAAATTACATGATTATCCACGCCAAAAATCATTGATCTGCCTTCTTTCTCATCAAGAAAGAAAAAAAGATTAAGTAGAACTTAAGATCTACTTTATAAATCTTTATGCCACATATTTTGTTTGGTTGATGTGCTTGGTTTTCATAAGCAGAGATTAACTCAGATTACCTCAGGAAAAAGATGATTTATTGTAATGATACAGTGGCACTTGAATTTCAGCCACAGGCACCTCTACGGACCAAACTATACTCTCATCTTTCTCTCCCAAGTCACCTGTTCTTTCTCTCTAATTACCTGCTTTTAGTGTGTGTGTTTGCTCTGTTTTCTCATTATTGCCTACTTTTTTTACTTACTGATATTTTCTTATTCCTTTAAATTCAATATTTGTACCATAGTAATCCTTTTTGGCCTTTCTAAAGGTCAGAGGTTCTTAACCTGGGATCCGTGAATGCTTCCAGAATACCCCACACTCTAAAAATATATGTTCATACATGTGTAATTTTTCTTAGGAGAGGATCTATAGCTTTAAACAGTCTCCAAAAAGTCTAAGACATTAACTTTTCCTTTTCTGTCCTTATTGATAACTAGTATTGAATATTTAAAGTTCAGTTCCCAAGAAAGAGGCTCTGGCCCAGCTCATCTTTTTCTACCAGGTTACCAATCATCTACTACACTGTGGATTAACTACCCTTATGTCAGATGCAATCTCCTGATCTAATTATTTCTGTATGATGAGACATGCTGCTTATACAATAAAACTGATGAGTGTTACTTAAAAAGATCCATGGGAGTCTGGGAACAGTAAGTGGCATTACCAGTACACTTTATTAAACAAATACTTATTTAATACATATCTCTGGGCAAGACCTCCTGACTTGCTCTGTGAAATAAACAGAGGAATTAAGAATCTTGGCCTCAAACAAATGGAAACAACCCAAATGTTCATCAGCTGATGAGTAGATAATGTTCATAAAATAGAATATTATTTGGCAATAAAAAGGAATGAAGTATTAATATGTACTGCAACATGGATGAACCTTGAAAACATGCTAAATGAAGGAAACCAGTCAAAAAAGAGTGTGTCTTATGTGATTCCATTTATATGAAATGTCCAGGATAAGCAAATATATAGAGACAGAAAGTAGTTTAATGGTTGCCTAGGACTTAAGGAGGTAGGGAGGATGTGGAGTGACTTATAACAGGCCTGGGGTTTCTTTTTGGTGTGATGAAAATATTCTAAGCTGTGGTGATGGTTGCACAACTCTGTGAATATATTAACAATTGAATTGTACGCTTTACATAGGTGAATTTTATGATATGTGAATTATACTTAGTAAAGCTGTTAAGGAAAAATAATGCTGGCCTCAAGAAATTTATAGTCTGGGCCGGGCGCAGTGGCTCACACCTGTAATCCCAGCACTTTGGGAGGCCTAGGCAGGCGGATCACGAGGTCAGGAGATGGAAACCATCCTGGCTAACACAGTGAAACCCCATCTCTACTAAAAAAAAAATACAAGAAAATTATCTGGGCGTGGTGGCGGGCGCCTGTAGTCCCAGCTACTCAGGAGGCTGAGGCAGGAGAATGGCGTGAACCCAGGAGGCAGAGCTTGCAGTGAGCCAAGATCTCGCCACTGCACTCCAGCCTGGGCGACAGAGCGAGACTCTGTCTCAAAAAAAAAAAAAAGAAATTTATAGTCTGTAGGAGTATAAATGTACACAAATAATTATAAATTGAAAGTAGAAAATGGTTGTAAGTGATATTTAAAAAATAAGAGTCTGTGCAGTGAGTCGAGATCGCGCCACTGCACTCCAGCTTGGGTGACAGAGCTAGACTCCATCTCAGAAAAAAAAAGAGTCTATAACATGTTAATACATTTTATGTATTGGTCATGGGATTCAACTTTAATTCTCTGACAGAGATGAAGTATTTATGGGAAGAGGGTATGATCATATACAGTTTCAATAGATGGGTTGGAGATCAGATATTTCATGAAAGAAGTAGAACTTGAATTAGAGCATGAAGCAATAACTATTTTTTTGTTTAAAAAAGGAAGAGCATTCCAGGGCTAGAGAACATTGAGAATTGCAAAGCTGTCTGACACTTTATTGTTAGAAATAAAAACCAGAAAATAAAGCAAGAAATTGAGCTTGACTAGCATATTATTCACTTTAATGTATTAAGTGCTTGCAGTGGCCTCGTATCCTGGATTTTTCATAACAGCTCCAATTCAGATACTCCTTTCTTCTCGCATAAGCACTAGATGTTGAAAAGCATCTTGCTGAACCTGGGGAGGGCACATTTTAAATGTTGATCAAAAGTAATTATACTTCTTCAATAGCTCATGTGAACTAGTAGACCAGTGAGGCCTAACTTAAATGCCATACAACTACATTATGATTGATGTCTGCCAATCTCCATGTTGTCATTTGAACATAATTAAATACGTATTTTTGAGCTATTCAAATTTAATTCTATTTAAATTACAAAGTGAAGCTGGGGCATTGTGAAGTATTTTAGGTTGGTGCAAAAAGTAATTGCAGTTTTTTGCCATAATACTACTTACTTCACCCTTCACAGAAAAAGGGCACAACTAAAGCCTCCATATGTGCCTGACATTGTAATCATAGCAAGCACTATTATTAAGAATTATGTAGCTATTAAGGAAAAAAAAAAGTATACAGCGTAAAGAGATGATTATGCGACCTCTTTTGCTAATTTGGGCTGCTTTGCTGGAGAACATTAAAATATCCTGGAATTTCAGTATGTCAGCATCTAAACTGTGTCTTCCAGACTGCATGAAACAAAAGCTATATGGCTATAAAAATAAAATATTTTGGATAGCATGGTATGCATTATTATAGATGTTTACTTTATAAAAGTGGCTTATAAATCTGGTGTTTTAACATTTATAAAAATAAGAATTTACCAGGTATTTTAAACAGTTAGATTCTGTGGTTTAATAACCACTTTTAAATTAATATGTTTCAGTTCTGGAGGTGGTTTTTGGCAAACCTGGCTTCTGGTGGAGCTGCTGGGGCAACATCCTTATGTGTAGTATATCCTCTAGATTTTGCCCGAACCCGATTAGGTGTCGATATTGGAAAAGGTATGAGATTTTTAGAAATACTAACTTTTCCTTCTTTGCATTTTGAACCATCTGTTATTTATTGGCATTAATTGTGCTATAATAGTGTTACCAGATAAAGTCTACGAACTTTGTTCTCAACCAAATGGTGGAGTCATAGGGCCTAAAGTATATTACTTGCTTCTTTTCCCTTAAAAAAGGGAAGGAGGGAAAGCCTGTTGTAACAAAAAAAGTGAACATAAAAATTGCTTATAACTTAGTCCCATTTTTTTTTCCTAGAAAGCCCTTCCTAGATTTTTTTCCATGCACTTAGTCCTGTCTCAGCTGTGGCTCCCTTCTAGGTTAGATGCACAAATCTCATCCTAGGGAGTCCCTTTGCCTCTATCCTTACTTAAATATCACATCTTCCCTTTTTTGTTATTACACCCTTGTTTTTTGGTAGAGTATATTCTTTGGTAACTTTTTGAGAAAGAGTGAAAAAAAATAAATTGAGCTCTTACATATCTTAAAAAAAGTGTTTGTCTTACCCTCTCAAAAAGGGTAAGACATATATGAAAGTCTGAGTTTAAAATTATTTTCCTTCACAATTACGAAAATATTACCCTGACTTCTAGTTTCTAATGTTGCTCTTAAGATACCAATTTGCTTACTCCGGATCCTTTAGTATATGTTTTTTCTTTTTAGTTTCTTTCTATCCCTGATGATCTTATATTTCACAATAAAATATCTTTATGTGAGTCTTTTTTCAGTGTTTGAGTGATTGCAGCGGTCACACAACTGGCCCCGTTAAATCTGGAGCCTTGTGTTCAGTTCTGTGGGTGGCAGCACAGTAAGTCATTTGGCTGCTCAGGGTGAGGTTGTGGATATTGAGCATCTCCCTGCTCCTTTGCTTTCATCCTGGAAGTAGTAGTTAGTTCCTCTAATTTCTAAGTCTTTCTGAGGTTATTGTGATCAAATGGCTTGCTTCCCAGCAGTATCTTCCTCTGTAAGAAAATAGGTTCAGCTTTTTCTGCTCTATTTGGTGAATTACCACTCCTCCCTATTCTCTCCATCTGGCAAAATTTTGTAGATTTCATTCTGTCATGTTCTCTTATTGGCCTATCTGGCTTTAAACCTGTTTTATTTCATTATTATTAATGTAACAGAGTTTCTTTAGGGTACAGAGATTCATTCAACAAATATTGAGTGCCTTCTGGAATACAGGGTGCCTGCAGATACAGGGCGTGTGTGAGTGTGTATATGCGTATATATATGCACACATATTCACACCCCACCCCCCATGTAAGACATAGAGCTCATGCCTCATGTACCTAAGAGTCTAGTGGAGGACACAAGTAATAATAAATGAATAAATGACTAAAATATATTGTCACTTAATGATAAATGCTAGGGAAAAAAGTTAGAAGAGAGTGATAGCAGTTTTAAATAAGTGATCAGAAAATGTCTCAGAAGGGGTGGCAGTTTGAGCAAAAATAAAAATGTGAGTTTCATCTATTTAACTGGAAGTTGAAAGTTTATTTTTATTAATAAGAGGGTAAAAATAACTCAATATTATCTTGCTTTAAGTTCCATAGTTTTGTTTTCTCTTTCAAATCAGGAAGATTTAGTTTATTTTTGGAAGATTACATTGTACATATATAATAGTTTTAAAATATTGTCAAGGAATTCTTGGTCAAGGGAAAAGAAAAATAAAACCAGAAAATACTGGAAAAATATGACCCCTTCATATGAAATGTTAACTATCTTAAACTATCCTTACTAGTTTTTAGCTTTATCTTTTTGCTTTTCAACAGTCCTGGAGTTTTTTTATTTGTTTTTTTTTTTGTTTTTTGTTTTTGTTTTTGTTTTGAGACAGTCTTTCTCTGTCACCCAGGCTGGAGTACAGTGGCATGATCTCAGCTCACTGCAGCCTCCACCTCCCAGGTTCAAGCAGTTCTCCTGCCTCAGCCTCCTGGGTAGCTGGGATTACAGGCGACCACCACGACGCCTGGCTAATTTTTGTATTTTTAATCGAGACAGGGTTTCACTATCTTGCCCAGGCTGGTCTTGAACTCCTGACCTCGTGATCCACCCACCTCAGCCTCCCAAAGTGCTGGGATTACAGGCATGAGGCACTGTGCCCTGCCAATTTTTCCTTTCTAAGTGTTTCTTTGTTTTGTTTTGTTTTGTTTTAATAGAGACAGGGTCTTACTCTGTTGCCTAGGCTGGAGTACGGTGGCACAATCATAGCTCAGTGAAACCTCCAACTCCTAGTCTCAAGTGATCTACCTGCCTCAGCCTCCTGGCTAATTTTTTTTATTTTTTGTAGTGGCAGGGTCTCACTGTGTTGCCCAGGCTGGTCTCGAACTCCTGGCCTCAAGCAGTCCTTCTGCCTTGGCCTCGCAAAGCACTGGAATTACAGGCATGAACCATCTCACCTGGCCTGTTTCAAATTATTTTCTGAACCTCAATTAGTAACTTCTGGTAACTTTAATAAAATACTTTAAGGCAGGTTGTTTGAAGTAAATTGTTTTCATGAGAGATTAATATTTTCCATTTATTTCTTTTGAGATAGTACTTGAAATCTTGATTATCTGTAAAAGAATGGGAGGATTTTGATTTGTGCCTTCTTTGTTAGATTTGTAAGTGGGAATTTCAGATCATTTAGATCTGTAAAGGTTTATTTTGATTAAAGTGTTTATTGGATATATAATGTTGCTAATAGATTTTAAATGGCTTTATTTTAGGTCCTGAGGAGCGACAATTCAAGGGTTTAGGTGACTGTATTATGAAAATAGCAAAATCAGATGGAATTGCTGGTTTATACCAAGGGTTTGGTGTTTCAGTACAGGGCATCATTGTGTACCGAGCCTCTTATTTTGGAGCTTATGACACAGTTAAGGTAATCTGGGGGCTTTAACTTGGACATATTAAATATATGGTTTCCATTTATTTAATTAGTAATGTTTTCAGCAGATATGTTACTTTTAATTATAAAAATAAAAATCAGTGATGAAAAAAGAGAGACATGAAATTCTGCTTAATCATGATTTTGCCATAACCTAATTAAATTATAACTGCAGTATGGATCTGACTTTAGTTATAAAGCATGTATCTAAGTTTTTGAGGTGTTTTCACTGTACATCACATTGCAAATGAAAAACACGCTAATTAAGCTTACATCATAATCAAATCATTGGTATATGGAAAGGCATCTTCTAACAGTTTTTCTGATTTTATGTTAACCCTATTATCACTTTTTTATATTCAAATAATAAAATGTCATTTTGAGAAGGAGACAAAGCAAAATTAATTAAATAAATGCTACTGTAGCTTGGTTATCTACCGGATACTGTTAGATTCTGTGTTGTATTCTCCAGGTTGTTCTGCAATTTACCTTTTCATTTCAGATTTTAAGAACACTTCCATGTGGTAGGAAAAAGAAAAATTGTAACAATGGCTACCAATTTTTAGCTATTACCTAGTTCTAGGAAACTTTTTAAAGTACTTTACATCTTGAATCTCAGAAATCACTGGTAAAGAACTTACCCATGTAACCAAAACACTACCTGTTCCCCAAAAAACCTATTGAAATAAAAAGTAATAAGAAAATAAAGATAATTGTAGTTGTTTAAAATAAATAATAAAAAAATAAAATCCCCCCTTTGTTTAAAGATAAATAGCCTAGGAATTGTTAAGTAAATAGCCTAGGAATGGTTAAGTAATTTACTTGTTAAAGGCAAGCAAAAAAAAATCCATGTTCTTAATGACTACATTATAATGCTTCCAAAAGGAAGCAATGAAATTAATATCAGTATTATTTATTAGTATAATAAATAATTATACTATACTCCTTCATTAGTATAAATGTAGTTGCATGGCATTTTTATTGTTGTCTGGACAGATCAGTTTTTAGTGTATTTTTTAGACTGCTATGTTAATGAAAATTACAGGATCTTGTACATTTATTTAATCACAAAAAAAGTTATGTGTGTACTCTGTCTCTAGTTTGTTATCACCTGCAGTAGTTATGAAATTTAGGAACATTTCTCCACTAGTTTTAAAGCTGCCCATCAAATATGTGTTGATGATAAAAGCAAGCATTTGTTTCACTTTTTTTCAACCCCACAAGGAAGAGCCATGGAAGAACTTCTTTTTTGTCAATGTCTGCTATCTTCCCTAGTTTTATGTGCATTAATAACAAATTCTTATAATGGCAAATATGCTTTATATTTTTGAAATATACCTTTGAAATATAGTCATGTGTGGCATTCCACTTTTTATTGATCTGCTACTATTAAATCCAACATTTTTATTGCATTTTAAGTATAATTGGGCCCTCTTTCATATATTTATAAAAATTATCCTTTAACTTAAGAATTTAAGATATTTTAGAAATTTGGATAGTTACTTGGCACATTTTTCTTTTCTAGGGTTTATTACCAAAGCCAAAGAAAACTCCATTTCTTGTCTCCTTTTTCATTGCTCAAGTTGTGACTACATGCTCTGGAATACTTTCTTATCCCTTTGACACAGTTAGAAGACGTATGATGATGCAGGTATTTTATGTTATTGTTTCTAAGCTTAGTTGAGTTTTTAATATCTCTGATATTTAGGTATAATCAAATTTAAGAGAAATGTTGGCTGAAAGGCATAAGTCATTTGTTTTACTTAGCTAAAATAAATACATGATGTATTCTGTCTTATATTCTTTCCTATCCTAAAATAACCATCAGCCAGCAAAGCTGCTTCCTCACCTACCATCAAAACAGAAATGCCTACTATTCCTGTAGCATATATTGCTTGGAAGGTAGAGGGTTATGGCAGAAATTGGATGAATATGTCTATCTTAACTGAAATATTAGATTAAGTAGAATAAGCCCAGTCACAAGCCATTGAGATATTTCATTATTTATTGTAATATATTTTTAAGAAAGCAAATAATTTTGAACTCCAAGGACAAAAACTTGTTTGTCATGATGTTCTAAATATAAATCCCTAAACCAAATTTTTGATACATTTGATCTCTATTGTTATTACCAGTTGACCATCCCAAATCTGAAAATCCTAAATCCAGAACACCCCAAAATTCAAAATGTTTTGAGCACCAACGTGATGCTCAAGGGAAATGCCCATTGGAGCTTTTCAGATTTCAGGTGCTCAGCTGGTAAGTATACAAAGCAAATATTTCAAAATCTGAAAAAATTGAAAACACTTCTAATTCCAAGCATTTCAGATAAGGGATACCAACCTGTACTTATTACATTCATCCATTCAGCAAATATTTGCATGCTTCATCTATGCTAAGCTCTGGTGACAGAAAAAGACAAAATCTGCACCCAAATTCATAGTCTAATATTGAAGACAGCAGTTAATGGTTTAAATACAAATGTGTGTAGGTTCCAGGAATACATAGAGGAGGGTTGCCCAAATGCTTAAAATGATCAGACGTGGTCTCCTAGAGAGCTAAATCTCAGTGAGTAGGTTTACTTCAGTCAGTGAGAGAACATTCTAAGCATAGGGGGAAAATCGTACACAGAAATATGGCTTGAGAAGTAGTTCAGGATAGCCAGGTCATAAGTTTTATGAGGGCAAGTGAAAATAATGAGGTCAGAAAACTAGAATAGTAATATAGTGCTTATTATATGCTTTATACTGTCCTAAGAGTTCTGTACTTTTACTCATTAAATTCTCAAAACACTGAGGTGTAGTTCCTATCATTATCCTCATTTTTATTGACTACAAAATGGTCCTGGAAGGACCAGTAGGCAATCTGGCAGATTAAAACTAACCCGTTACTTCACTTAGGGATAATACTTAGAGTTATTCCATTTATGTCTGTGTTTCTTTTCTTTCTATAGCTAGCTCTAGTTTAGCACATTGAGAAACTTTTTAAAATGGAAAATTAATTTGCACGTAGACTATGGATTGGGTCAGTGGTATTATATTAAATTTCCTGAATTTGATAACTGTACTTTGGATATGTAAGAAAATATCCCAATATTTAGAAAATAAATATGCACTTGAGCCAGGCACTGTGGCTCACGCCTGTAATCCCAACACTTTGGGAGGCTGAGGCGGGTGGATCACGAAGTCAAGAGATCAAGACCATCCTGGCTAACACGGTGAAACTCCATCTCTACTAAAAATACAAAAAATTAGCCAGGCGTGGTGGCGGGCGCCTGTAGTCCCAGCTACTCGGGAGGCTGAGGCAGGAGAATGGCATGAACCACGAGGCAGAGCTTGCAGTGAACCAAGATGGCGCCACTGCACTCCAGGCTGGGCAACAGAGCAAGACTCTGTCTCAAAAAAAAAAAGAAAAAGAAAATATGCACTCGAGTGTTTAAGGATAAACGGCATGATGTCTGCAACCTAATCTCACAACAGTACAGAAAAAAAAATGGGAATATGAGTCTTATATGTGTGTGTGTATTAGTTTGCTAGGGCTGGTGTCACCCACAAAAGTGGTTTGCTTAAACAACAAATTTATTTTCTCACAGTTCTGAAGGCTACAAGTCTGAGATCAAGATGTCAGCAGACTTGGTTTCCTCTGAAGACCTCTCTCCTTGTCTTATAAATGGCTGTCTTCTTCCTGTGTTTTCACAGGGTTCCTCCTCTGTTCTTCTTCTTCTTTTTTTTTTTTTTTTTTTTTTTTGGAGATGGAGTCTCACTGTGTCGCCGAGGCTGGAGTGCAGTGGTGCAATCTCGGCTCACTGCAACCTCTGCCTCCCAGGTTCTAGCAATTCTCCTGCCTCAGCCTCCCGAGTAGCTGAGATTACAGGCACACGCTGCCACACCCAGCTAATTTTTTGTATTTTAGTAGAGACAGGGTTTCACCATTTTGCCCAGGCTGGTCTCGAACTCCTGAGCTCAGGCAATCCACCCACCACAGCCTCCCGAAGTGGTAGGATTACAGGCCTGAACCACCACGTCTGGCCTGTTCCCCTTTTTATAAGGACAGTCATATTGGCTTAGGGTTCACTCTTGTGATCTCATTTAATTCTAATTACCTTTAAAGACCCTATCTCCAAATACAGTCACATTCTGAGGTACTGGGAGTTATTAGGATTTCAATATATGATTTTAACAATTCAGCCCATAACAGTACTACTTAATTTTTGTGTATTTCATTTTACATCCCACAACTTTGTTAACCCTATTACAAACACGAATGTGTATGTACATACCTTCCAAATTTTTATTTACATGAACAGGCATATAATCTGCAACTAATATCAGTGTTTTCTTCCTTCCTTATCAATTCTTACACCTTTTATTTCTCTTTCTTGCCTTTCTGTACTCACTGAGACCCCGGATTCAGTGTTATATTTACAAAGTAGTAACTGGCAACCTTATCTTGTTCCTAATCATACAGAAAATGACGTCAGTGTTACATAATTTAATATTAACTGTGGGGGTTTTTTGTCATTATCATTTATCATGTAATGACAGTTCCTTTCTGTTCCTGGATTACAACAATTTTTAATTATGAATGGCAGTCATGTTCTTTCTGTATCTGCTGAGATGATTAAACCTTTTTTTCTTTTAATATGTTTACATATTGTGTTAAATTAATCTGTTTTCTAGAGCTAACTCTTGTATGCCTGGGATAAACCCAGTTTGCAAGTATTGTATTCTGTAGCACTTGCTAGATTTGATTGCTGGGTTTTGTTCAGGATTTTTGCATCCATGTTTAATGACACTGGCTTGTATTTTTCCTTCTTGTATTGCTCTAGTATGACTTCAGTAGCAAGTCTGTGCAAGCCTCATAAAATACGTTGAGGAGTCATCCCACTTTTTCTCTCCTCTAGAATAATTTCTGAAAGATTGGAATTAAACGTTCATTGAATGTTTAGCAGAACTCACATGTAAAGCCTTTTGGACATGTGGTTTTCTTTATGAGAAGATATTCAACAACTGATTGAATTTTTAACAACTATAGTATTATTCCAGTTCTTTTCTACTCTGTTGGTAAATTATACTTTTCTAGGAATTTATCCATTTCTTATGACTTAAAAATAATTGTCATGAAGTTTTTTATGACATCATCTTGCTCTTAAATTTCTGGATCATCTGCATTTTTGTTACCGTTGCCATTTCTGATAATCTTGGGGCCTTTTCTCTTTTTTCCTCAAACAATATTTCCAAACTCTGTCAGCAAAGTATTTCAAAGACCTAACTGGACTTTTTTTGTGCTGTTGTGTGTGTTTTCTATTTCCTTTATTTCTGCCAGTTATTTTCTTGTTTTTACTTTCTTTAGGTTTATACTTTGTCTAAAAATGTTTAGGTTGCTCATTAACTTTTAGCCTTTTCTAATATTTCAAGGTCATTAATTTCCTTATAAATTACAACTCGAAGCTGCATCTTAAAAATTTAGGTAAGAGGTTTTGTAATTATCATTTGGTTTTCAGTATTTTCTGAGAAGAAGTGTTCTTAACATCCCAACATATGATTTCTTTTTTTTTTTCTTTTTTTTTTTTTGAGACAGGGTCTTACCCTGTCACTTAGGCTAGAGTGCAATGGTGTGATCATGGCTCACTGCAACTTTGACCTCCCAGGCTCAGGTGATCCTCCCACTTCAGCCTCCCGGGTAGCTGGGACCACAGGCATGTGCCAGCACACCCAGCTAATTTTTTGTATTTTTTGTTGAGATGGCATTTTTCCATATTGCCCAGGGTGGTCTCAAACTCTTGGGCTCAAGCGATCTTCCTGTCTCGGCCTCCCAAAGTGCTGAGATTACAGGCATGAGCCACCATGCCTAGCCCATATGGTATTTTTCTATTTTGCTATTGATTTCTCAGTTAATTGCAGTGCTGTGAGAGGATAAATCATGGTCTATGTGATGACATCCTTTGACATTTGTTAACGCCTAATGTATGGTCAGTTTTCAAGTGTGCCTGAAAAGTATGAATGTTCTCTAACCACCAGGGACAGTAGCCATATATGCCTATTAACACAGTGCTACTCAACACAGTGTTTATCTTATCTATCCTTAGTGCTAATAGAAGACTGTCTTAAGATAAAAGATATTCAGATAATGGAAAACCCTTTGTTTTTCTTTGTATAGAGTGGTGAGGCTAAACGGCAATATAAAGGAACCTTAGACTGCTTTGTGAAGATATACCAACATGAAGGAATCAGTTCCTTTTTTCGTGGCGCCTTCTCCAATGTTCTTCGCGGTACAGGGGGTGCTTTGGTGTTGGTATTATATGATAAAATTAAAGAATTCTTTCATATTGATATTGGTGGTAGGTAATCGGGAGAGTAAATTAAGAAATACATGGATTTAACTTGTTAAACATACAAATTACATAGCTGCCATTTGCATACATTTTGATAGTGTTATTGTCTGTATTTTGTTAAAGTGCTAGTTCTGCAATAAAGCATACATTTTTTCAAGAATTTAAATACTAAAAATCAGATAAATGTGGATTTTCCTCCCACTTAGACTCAAACACATTTTAGTGTGATATTTCATTTATTATAGGTAGTATATTTTAATTTGTTAGTTTAAAATTCTTTTTATGATTAAAAATTAATCATATAATCCTAGATTAATGCTGAAATCTAGGAAATGAAAGTAGCGTCTTTTAAATTGCTATTCATTTAATATACCTGTTTTCCCATCTTTTGAAGTCATATGGTATGACATATTTCTTAAAAGCTTATCAATAGATGTCATCATATGTGTAGGCAGAAATAAGCTTTGTTCTATATCTCTTCTAAGACAGTTGTTATTACTGTGTATAATATTTACAGTATCAGCCTTTGATTATAGATGTGATCATTTAAAATTTGATAATGACTTTAGTGACATTATAAAACTGAAACTGGAAAATAAAATGGCTTATCTGCTGATGTTTATCTTTAAAATAAATAAAATCTTGCTAGTGTGAATATATCTTAGAACAAAAGGTATCCTCTTGAAAATTAGTTTGTATATTTTGTTGACAATAAAGGAAGCTTAACTGTTATAAAGGAGTCTTTTTTTCCCTGACTCTGACTTTATTAGTAAGCAGAGTATAGCAAAATTTTTGTCAGAACTGGCTTAACTAAAGAGAGAGGTATTTCTCAATGGACAGATATAAACAGCATTCCAAGGTTTTGTACGGGAGTTTGTCTTGTTTTTCAGAGCTGTTGTAGAATACAGTATATTTGAAATCCCCAAGTTTTTAACGTTCTAATGAGTAAAGGGATGTTAAGCTAGTGGGGATAAACTATAGACGGATTTTCTGAGGCTGTGAATGGGCAAAATGGGGTGGAGGAACTTCCTTATGCACAGGGACAAAGCGTATTTCAAGGACAATAATACAGACCATACTTTTAAATATATTGGTGTTATCCCTCAAGAGGAAAAAAAGTCAAACTCTAAACATCATTTCTTGCAGTGGTCAACATAATGGAGTTACAGGAACAAAATAGAAAATATTTTCCTTTCCTGCTGCACTATCAAATGGTTCAAAGAAAGATGGTTAAAATAACCAAATATGAGGAATAGTTTCCCATATAAAGAGTAAGATAATATAAAAGTTTTCAATTCGTACAGAGGCATGCATAGAGGAAAAAAGACTCTAAATTCTGAATGGCATGGATAGAGGGCAAACAGGAATTTAATCGCTAAATTGCTAGACAATTCTATTCTTTGAAGCCTAAAAGATGTATAGTTAGAACAAAAAGTAAAAATATTACTTAGTATCCTGGACAGAGCTAAAACTGTATAAACTACATTAAACTGTTATTAATGAGAGTTTATAGTGAGCAAAATCATAACGTGATTTTATAAGGAAATTATTTTTTAAAATCTTAACATTGGAAAATGAATAGTTAAAATATATTTAAAATATATACAATTTTTATCTTAAATGACTAGTGCTGCATCTTTTTTTTTCTGTAGAAGAGAGCTGGAGTACTGCATCTTTTACAGTGTCTTATTAGATAGGATTTTTAATTTCCTGCCCTAAAACTATCTCCCCAAATAATACCTAAAATTCCATTCTCAGAGCTTCATTCTCTTGATTCATTAAAATACACCCTGCATAAAACAAGATGACCTTTTAAGTTGGTAGTCATTTATACTTACTGAAACTACATTTATTTTGATGAATTTTACATTGTTTTCTCACAGCACGTTATGCTAGAGAAAGAGGAGGGGGGAATGAAAATGACAGACATTGTCTGGGTAGTAAGAGGCCAAAAGCCCCTAGAGAGATTTTTGCTATTTTATATTCCTACTCTAGATTGATGCTTTCTAGTAAAAATTAGAACTTTGGTACCCTCACATTAAATTTTCTGAAACAGTTCCTTTGTTCATATATAAACATTATGCTACACAAGTAAGAAATTGATACCTTCATTCCTCATTAGCTGATAGATCGAAATGTAGATTCAGAAGGGCTCATTTTCTTCCACCACTTCTTAAATGTTAGTATTCTCCAGGGGCCAGTCCTTTGCTCTTTTCTCACTTTATATATGGTAGATTGTGCTGACACAGATGCCCCTCCCCCACAAGTACATGCTGGATAAAATATATCCAAAAAGATTTGGTTTTGTTTTGTATTGTTTTAAATAGGGAAATAGCATATCAAGAGATGTCAGAAATAAGATGCTCAAGGCCAGGAGAGTAACTGGGAGCTAACATTGTAGCAGCCCACAGATTTCAGAAACAAAAAGACACTAAGGGTGATTTTGACACCCACATGTGTAGATAGGAGTTAAGGAATTGGGGCCCTGGTAGAGTAGGCGGTTGAAACTGAAACATACCATGCCTACCAACCACACAAACTGTCCAATGAAGCTACAAACTTGGGTCCAGGCACAGGATGCGAGGCATGCGGCTGGTTTGAGGCCAGGAATTCAAGACCAGCCTGGGCAACATACCGAGACCCCTGTCTCTTAAAAAAAAAAAAAAAAAAAAAAAATTAGCCAAGTGTGCTGGCACATGCCTGTAGTCCCAGCTACTCAGGAGACTGAGGTGGGAGGATCACTTGAGCCTAGGGGACGGATGCTTCAGTGAGCCAAGATCATGCCACTGACCTACAGCTTTGGCCACAGAGCAAGACCCTATTTCTGTTTAAAGAAAAAAAAGCTACAATCTTAAAAAAGAGTGTTTTATTTAAGAAGAGATGCTAGAAAAATAGGCAACAAATCATAGTGGAAAAGAATTGCCAACTACCCCAACAGTGAATAGGGAAAGAAAAACGCACCTGTGATGTATCTGGTTTGGGGGTTAACAATTTTAAAAATTAAAAAGCCACCTGTGAGAAATCAAAACCCCACAAGCTTGTGCCACAACAAAGTATAGAACACACATATATATATTTAAACTATCCGTATAATACAGGAACTCCAAGCCAAACCATTATAACTGTTATAGGACCAGTGAAGCCCTCAGGGCATTGGCAAAAACAAATACAAAACCTCTCTGAAACACTTCTACAACCTAGGCCACAAAAAATCCTACAGAAAAGGTAGCCTTCAATGAAGATGAACTGATGAGTCACCGAGAAAACAAAGCACTGTGTGGCAAAGGTGGTAGACATCACAAACAGAATTAGCACCCCAAGACTAAAAATGTGATGAAACACTAAAAGAAACTATAAAATTGGAATGTTTAAAATGATAGACTTTTTAAGTAATTAGATTTTTTATTTTTTAATAGTACAGTATGAAAGGACAGGCAAGTTTGAAAAAACATCTAGAAATAGTACAGTGTTTGAAATTAAAAACATGACAAAGGAGAGTCTAAAGGTCATAGTGGTTTGAATACATTTTACATATTCTAATAAGAGATCCAGAAGAAACTGAAAAAGGGTGTGAGAGACAACAAAAGAATAATGTTTGATACTTTTCCAGAATCTCAAGAATCCATTTGTCTTCAGGTTAACAAAAAACTCTTGAGTGAATAAGTAAAAGCAAATCTACAATTAAAGACATAATAAAATTGCAAAATATCAAAGAAAAGACAAACTGATTATTTAAAAAGGAACATTATTTACACTCAATAATGGATGACAAAAGATTGGAAAATACTGTCAAAATTTCTACAGTCAGCCAAGTTATTATTAAACAGTTCCATGACAGTAATATTTTCAAACAAACAAAGTAGTTCACTATTCAGAGACCTTTGCTTAGCAGTCCCCAACCTTTTTGGTATGAGGGACCAATTTCATGGAAGACAGTTTTTTGCACAAATTGGGGGAGGATGTTTGGAATGAAACTGTTCCACCTCAGATCATCAGGCATTAGAGTCTCATAAGGAGCATGAAATTTAGGTCCCTTGCATGCGCAGTTCACAATAGGGTTCACATTCCTATGAGAATCTAATGCCACCTGATGGGAGGCACAGCTGAGGTGGTAATGCTTGCCTGCCCTCTGCTTACCTGCCACGTGCCCAGTTCATAACAGGCCACTGACCAGTTGGCTGCTTGGGGATTGGGGACCCCTGCCTTTGCTGAAAGGAACCGAACTCAAGAAGAAGTCAAGTTGAATGCAAGCAGCAACAAAGTAAAGAAATTGTTAAACATGTTAGTAGACCTAGATAAACACTGCCTGTGAAAGGAAAAATACATACTTTTTGGTGAGAGGAGTGACTTACCTTGATGAATTTCAGAATAATTTAGCCTCTTTCTCACTTTTCTTGGGAGCCTACACACATTCTTTTCTCTTGCTCTTTGATATGAGTTTATAGGAGAAGACCCTAATGTAACATTAGTGTGTATTACTGTGACTAGATAGATAAGTCTACTTAATTCTGGGGTGCAATAATTAACAAACCCATAGGCACCTAAGACATTTCTCTAATGTTAATGTTAGGTACACAGCTAAGGCTAATCCTCAGAGAAGCAGCCTGCCTACAAAATCACACCTATAGGCAAAAATAGAGCAGCCTGGGGAAAACTCAGGCTGCACCTGCACAGATAAGCAGGCAGGGTCCAGCACAGAAGCCTTTTGTTCTTTATGTGATTGGCAGGCTCCCAGGAAAAAGTGTCCTCCCCTTTTCAGACATGTACACGGTGGGCTCCATGGGAACTTCTGTAGGGAGAAGGAGGGATTACCTAAATTAAGCCCGCAGTTACAGAAACAAGAGAAGTGGCACTTTGTGCTTGCCTAGAGACATACCCACAACTACATAAGATAAGGGGAGTTGCACAGACAGCTACTAATAAGAGAAACTACTCAAACAGCTACAGAGATGAGGGGAGTTTCTTATAAAAGCTTTTGAATTCAACTCTAAAAACAGCAACCCACTAGGGCTCCCCTCTACACTGTGCAGAGGTTTCTTCTTCTGCTTATTAAACTTTCGCTCCTATCTCACCCTTTGCATCCACGCTCCTTCGGTCGTGAGACAACGAACTCGGATAACACCTTAGACAACAAGACCAGTGACCATTGGCCTGTTTCATTTTATCCTCATTGCCTACTCTCCAACTTCAATTCTTTGAAAATTCAGGTAGGAATATAGCTAAAATGGTACGTAGAAGGAAATTTACAGCTTCAAGTGTATGTATTAGAAAACAAGAAACTGAAAATCAATGAACTAGAAAAGGAATAAACAAAAATAGTGAAACAAAGAGCAGATGGAACAGAAAACAAAGACAATTAAGTCAGGCAAGAAAACCAAAAGCTGGTTCTTTTAACAAACCATACTGACAGGAACCAAGAAAAGGAAGAGATTAAAATAAAGAATATTAAGAATGAAAAAGATGTACATATAACTACTGAAGAGATTTTTTTAAGTGAATAATCAACTTTGTGCCAACAAACTTGAAAACCTAGATGAAATGGTAAATTTTTAATAATACAAATAACCAATAATGATTCAAGAATAATAGAAAACATAGACCATAACCACTAAAGAAATTTAATCATTCATCATAAACCTCATAAACTCTAGGCTAAGATGGTTTACAGCCCTTTTTTTTTTTTTTTTTTTTTTTGAGACGGAGTTTCTCTCTTGTTGCCCAGGTTGGAGTGCAATGACGCAATCTCGGCTCACCACAACCTCCGCCTCCGAGGTTCAAGCAATTCTCCTGCCTCAGCCTCCTGTGTAGCTGGAATTACAGGCATGTGCCACCACGCCCGGCTAATTTTGTATTTTTAGCAGAGATGGGTTTTCGCCATGTTGGTCAGGCTGGTCTCAAACTCCTGACCTCAGGTGATCCGCCCGCCTCGGCCCCCAAAGTGCTGGGATTACAAGCGTGAGCCACCCCGCCCAGCCGGTTTACAGGCTTTTCTTACCAAAACTATCAGAAGGGAACAAAAAAGAGGAAACCCCTTTGGCTTCCTCTATGAGGCGATAATCTTGACGCCAATAAAAAGAGTAAAGAAAGAAAAAGGCCAGTTTCATTTATGAATATAGATGTAAAGATCCTTCATAAAATAATCACAAGCCAAAACAATCAGAACCATCATGGCCTTTCTGGTTTATCCCAGGGATACAAGGATGTTAGAAAACTCTAGTAACGTTATTCATTGTATTAACAAATTAAAGGGCAACAAACAGGTCATTAGATGATGGTTAACATTTGTTAAGTTTCAGTATCCACTTACAGGCGTGTGAGTGGATTTTATGAGAAAAATCTCTTAGCAAAGTAGGAATAGAAGATAATTTTGTTAACTTTCTTACATCATAAACACAAAGGTATTTAATGTTAGGGACAAGACAAGGATGCTTACCACTACTGTTTATTTTCAAAATTTTACTGGAGCACTTAAGCAACATAATCCAGGCAAAACAATAAGAAACAGAAGAAATAGAAATGAAGAAATTCATTATTTCCCAGGCCATATTGTTCTATACACAGAAAATCCAAGAAATTCTGCAAATACTTGAATTTAGAATACAGCAAGGTTGCTGGATACATGACCAATGTACATGAATCAGGATCATTCAGCAGCTAAGCATAGCTAGCATTTATTGACCGTTTGGTGCCAGGGACTGATGCAGTGCTTACATTATTTAATCATAAAAACAGCCCAGTAGGCATATTTGTCCTCATTTTAACAGACTGAACCTGTGGCTTGGAGCATTAAGTAACTTGCCAAACGTTATACAGGTAGTAAGTTAGGCAAGCCTGGTACTACAACCCAAATCTGTGTGACCCCAAAGCCCGTCATGGTTTTAACCACTGGGTACTCTCACGTCCTGCCAGTAATTGTAAGGAACGTGATGATAACACCACTTTGCTCCTGGCCTCAACTTCCTTTTTACTTTGATATTTTAAGTGGTATTTTTAATAGGAAAAAAAAAAAACATTCTTACACCCTCAAGTTGTATAGACAACATGGATAAACTAATGGAATTAAGATAAATTAATTGTACTAGGAGAATTTCAGGATATTCTGGAATAAATCTAGATAGTGATGGCCGATGTCAGAAGAGGTGTGTGAGGAGAACTGGTGGAAGTCACAGGCGCCCAGCAGGACCAGGGCCCAGGGTTCAGTCGCAGGGCAACGCCCAATCCCTGTTCTGCTCACGAGCTGCCCGCTGGGACGCCGAGTTCTGCGGTGTCTCAGAGCGCAGCTTCACCCAGGGGCTCCACGTCTCCTGAGTGCTCATGAAGGGAAGAGAGGCCTGATTGATTTCTTCAATGTAGAGACCAGAGCCCAAGCAATACTGTACAATCCAGTTGCCTCAGTATTGCCCTTGAAAATGGATTTCACGTTCATTCTAACAGCAGCAGGAACTATAGCCACCCTTGCTGCTGCTGCTGCTGTAGCAACATTATTAATAGTAAAAAATCTAAGTTATTTAAAGAAGTGGACAACTAGGGATAATCAGAATACTAAAGAATCTAGTAAACAAAACAAACAAACAAAAAAACACGCCTGTTTTCAAGATGGATACCAAAATGGAACAGGAAAACACACAAAGAATTGGATGAGAAGGAACAGAGACTAGATGAAGAGGACGGGGAGGAACAGGGAACAGACCAAGGACTGGCAGAGAAGGAACAGGGCACACACGTAAAAGTGAACGAAAAGCAACAAGACAGCCAAATTTCTTAAGTGTAACATAAAACTTGGTTAATTACAGACAGGCAACACATGCCGATCAAACCAAGAGGGAGGGCGCTGGACCACACTGGGCTCTTTTTTGAGGACCACAGGGCAGCGGCTGGAGGCTAAAGCACAGACTTGGCTGGTGTGAGTGGCACACTTAATTAAGGTCACTTTCCTGTAAAACTGGTTTCCAGAGACAAGGGTCAGCGGCGGGGCCAGCATCTTTTAGAAAGGTGTGAGGAAAGGTACGTGGAGGGAAAGTTGTCAGTGTGATCTTATTTCTTGACAGAAGTTTGACTTTTGATATTTCAAATCCTGCTGATGAAAAAAGAAAAAAACCTAACATGTGCTCATCCCGCTTTCGCACAAGAGTCTGTCCCGGGCTCGGCAGCTCCCCCGGGGCTGGACAGGGCGGAGCGGCGGACGTCGGACAATGCGCGCCACCTCACAGAGCCGGGCGCGGCGGGCCTCCAGCCACAAGGGGAGGGCGCCGGGCTGCACATGGGCCCCTCGGGGAGGCGAGGCCTGCGGGCGAGCCCTTCTGAGGGCAGGGGGTGAGGGGGCGGCGCCCGCCAGCCAGGACAGCATCCTGCCGCCGTGACAAGCACGCCTCCGGTTGCCAAAACAACCCAAAAATGTGCCTCAAAACACGTTCGCAAAGCCCCGGGCCGGCCGGTCGCCTGCCTCTCACCTAGCCCGACCGCCCGACGTCCTACTGCCGAGCGAGGGCGAGCAAGCCAATGTGCCTAGCCTCCTTTCCCCGATCCTCCCCGCCCCGCCTTCCCGCTTCTCCCGCCCCCGGATAGCTCAGCAGCCTCCATTTTCCAGATCTTTCTCGAACCCGCAGCTTCTTGGGCAGCCGTTGCCCGAGTGCTGACGGAAGCGGCCGAAGTCCGGGCCCGGAGCTGGCTCGGGCGCGGAGCGGAGGCTCGCGCGCCTCCCGGGCAGCCGAGCGCGCAGGCGCAGGTCCCAGTAACCGCCGGTTGGAGGCGGCCGAACCGCAGTAGGGAAAGACCCAGGCTGCGGGACGCGGTGCAGGCTGCGGCGCTGACGGCCTCTGCTCCTTCCGCGGGTTTCCGACTCCCTGCCCTAGATTTTCTGCTTAGCGACTTGGGGTCCCCTCTCGTTTGCTTCTGGTAGGAGTCGCAATCCCAGCAGCAATAGCCCAGAAGAGGACACGGTTCCCGTACCGAAGGGTTCAGTACCAGCAGCCCGACCATCACGCGGCGGGATGTCTGTGGTTGGCATTGACCTCGGCTTTCTCAACTGCTACATTGCTGTCGCGAGAAGTGGCGGCATCGAGACCATCGCCAATGAGTACAGCGACAGGTGTACCCCGTAAGTGCCTCTGCTGAGCATCACCTCGACCCTAAGAAACGTTTTTCTCTCCCGTCCTTAACGTTTGTCCTGTCTGCTCGCTTCCTCGGATTTTCCCCTAACGTGCGCCGAACCCCGAGATGACAGGTGCAACCCGTCAACCGCAGTCCCTAGAGACCGCCGGGTGGCAGTCGGACTTCCTCGCCCCGCAAAGCTTCTTTTCCTTCAAGGACGAGGGACCGCACTAGTTTGCGCAGCTCTCTTTTCTGTACCTACGCACGTCCCCTGCCTCGTGCCGCTGTCCCCCAACGCCTCTTTTGCTTGCGAGGAAGAGGTTGCTGTGGGACAGCCCCTGGCGTCCGGAATATTGAGAAAGATCTCCGGTTGCCTCTAACGAGGTTTACGTGGGATTATCGGCCCCGCGCCAGCTGCCCTCCTTCCTTTCCCCGTCCCTCTGGGTGACAGCTTTTTCTCAGAAAAGTAAAAAGTCAGCTTCGGCTGCACACGTCAGAGATGAATTGCAGGTTCATCTGGCCCCGAAAGCCTTTTTTTTTTTTTTAAGGGCGGGGAGTGAGGCATGTGGGGTTTTACAAAACCCAGTGCCCTTGAGAACTGCAGGTAATGGAGCCGGTTTACAGGGCCAGGTCAATGGTGCATTGATAGGGAGAGCCTCGGGATGGGAGTCACTGGCCTTGTGCATTGGTAACTACGTCAGTTGCTGGAATGCGGCGGGGTTGGGTCGGACCAAAAGCGTGTTTCTGCAGAGTGAATTGCCGGAGTCGGGGGCAGCTGTCCCGTATAAACATGACTGTGGAGTGATTCTATTATGAACGCTTAATGAAAGGCTTAGGAGGAGCGGCGTTATGTCATGGAAACATGTTTCCACATGTTCCGTTGTTTCTCTGGCCTGGGAAGTTTGTTGGCAAGGAATATAATGAAGTAATTCTGAAATATGAAAAACTAGTTGCTGCTTATAGGCTGCTGTTACTGGTAATTTTATGAGGAAACCAACTGTATGAAACCTATATTACTTTTTATGGAAAGGTAATTTGGCATCTTAATTTGACCGTTCTGAATGGTCCAAAATATAATACCTTAACTATACTAAAACAAGGTCAGTGTCCAATGGTCTTTAAATGCCTCATTTACTATTCTATGGAAAGCTTTAAAATATGGCAAAAAGATGTTGAAGAGTAGCTCACTTGAAGCAGTCTGTGCTTTGATTTCTTTCCAAGAAGATTCTAGAAGGTTTTATACCTTTTTTCGTAGATGTACACGTTTCTTCTATTGAAATTTTAAACGTTTTGGACGTTTATATTTTCAATACATGGGCATAGATAAGGTAATCCTCAATAATGTTTGAACTCTTCTACTTTTTACATCTTTTTCTGGCTTTTATGCACAGTGAGAGGCCGAAACAGTAACTGTGAAGTCGATGAATTCGTCTCTACAAGGTTTTATATTAAGCCACAACAAATACTGGCTTTCGCCAGAAACAGACCGGAAATTCCACTCTCCACCTTCAGCAGAGTAGGGGTTAAAAATGGGAGCAATCTTTGGCTTCATTGACTCTCAACCTATAGAGAAAAAACTGAGAGGTAGGGTGGACATTCTTTTAGTCCTTAAAGCCATATCCTAAAAGATCAGAAACCAGAACAGTAAGAAAGATCGATCTGCATTTCCAGGCTGAGAAATCTCTTTAGCAGTGAGTGAACCTGTGATTCTTTAAAGATCCTGGCCGGCCAGACTTAGTTCTTTAAAAAGTGGGCTTCTAGAGTCTTCTAAAAGTCTCTTTGTTATTGTACTTAGGCATATTCGCTGGTTCTGTGTGGTTGAGAAGTAATGTGATATTTCTGATTTGTGTGCTAGAAAGCCAATAGTAATATCTAGATTTAATGAGCCTAATCTAAACTAGAAAGTTCTTAAAAAGTGAAAGGATATTCTCACTTAGCTTGCATCAGCAACTCTTCTCTCCATGGCTGGGCACTGTCACTTACCTCAGAAGTGTATCTTTTGTTGTTTCTGAACAAAAGTACTTCATGGTAGTGTAGTGCTCTTACACTATGTATTACTTTGTGGGTCCAATTGTTGAGGAAAAACATAGCCCTTCCGGGCCTCAGGACATTTATCCATCAATTCAACACCGATCATGCAAAAAGCATTGTAACTATTAGATAACCTTTAACTTCTCTAATACACCACAGTATTTAATAACACACATAAATAAAATGTTAGCTTTGCAAATAAAATGTTTTTCATATTCCAATTGCTTACATCAAGGTAATGTGACATATTTTCTAAGATGTGAATACATTATAAAATGATCCTATGAAAAGAGGAAAGAAATGTTCAATTTAGTTGTTTTCAGCATTCATACATTTTACGTTTCTTTCATTAACATATTTGATTGCTTATGGTTGAGAGGATTCCATATAAACCAAGAAGGACAGTTTAATGAAAAAGAACCAAGTTTTGGCCTATAATTAAGGGACAAAAGACAAGTTAATTTAACCTATTTAATTCAGATTCACCTTCTGTAAAGTTAGAGTGTTTATACTAGCCTCTCATCTCCTGCATAAGTTGAAGAGGGAGAGAGAAATTAACCTGCATAAATTGAAGAGACAAAATAATTTTCCTGAACATCTTATTGAAAAATTATTACATAATAATATGTGCTCATTATAAAAAATACTGGCACATTAAAAGGTGAAATTAAAAATTTAATTCCTCCAGATGGTTTTCTGTGTGTGTTTTCAAAGGGAAGGGGAAGTATTTACTTTATGTTTAGTAACCTTTTTCTTTTTTTCTTTTTTTTTTTAAGACGTAGTCTTGCTCTTGTTGCCCAGGCTAGAGTGCAGTGGCGCGTTTTCAGCTCACTGCAACCTCCGCCTCCTGGGTTCAAGCGATTCTCCTGCCTCAGCCTCCCGAGTAGCTGGAATTACAGGCAACGACCACCACGCCTAGCTATTTTTGTATTTTTAGTAGAGACGGGGTTTCACCATGTTGTCCAGGCTGGTCTCGAACTCCTGACCTCAGGTGATCCACCCGCCTCGGCCTCCCAAAGTGCTGGGATTACAGGTGTGAGCCACTGCACCCAGCCTATGTTTAGTAACCTTTTTCTATGTAAAACATACATATTTCTATACTATCAGTTGTAGTGTCTGTATAATCATGATAATTTAATCCATAGCCTAATAATTCAGGTTGTTTATGATACTTTGTAAACAGTGTTGCAATAACTATCTTTGTAACTAAATTTTTGATCCTTCAAGTAAATTCCTAGAAGTAGAATTACTGAGTGTCCACATTTTTAAAGGCCTGGTACATGTCTGCATTGTTACTTAAAACAATTAGAATTTCCATCCCAGGCTTAAGTATACCAAGGTGATTAGTTTCACACATGGGGAAAAAAATGATAGCCAAGAATCGTCATTAAGTATCAAATTAAAGCGTGTGGTAAATTGGAATAGTGATTGCTATGTGCTAAGCAAGCATTGTCATATGTATCACAATTCTGTGAGTTTGATCATACTAACTATCTTTTTTTTCCGTAAGAAGCCTAAAGCAAAGTTAAATCACTTGGCCAAAAATTAGTAAAACAATGAATTGGATTCTGTTTCAGGCCTCTCTGACCCTAGAACCCAAATGTCTTTCCAGTATCCATTGTTGTAAGGATGGCATATACGTAACTAGGTTAATGATGAAAGGAACAAATTACCTGGTTGAGCAGTTATTGTACAGGAAAGCATCTTTGCTCTACCATCAATAAATGTCTAATTTTAGCTAGTTTTTAAGAAATACTATCTTTTTTAAAAACATTATTTTAATAATTCCTAAAAATTTTTTTGACACAGGGTCTTGGTCTGTTGCCCAGGCTGGAGTACAGTGGTACAGTCATAGCTCACTGCAGCCTTGAGTTCCTGGGCTCAAAGGATCCTCCCACCTCAGCTTCCTGAATAGCTAGGACTACAGGTGCATGCCACCATGCCACACTAATTTTATTTTTTTCCAACAGAGACAAGGTCTTGCCATATTGCCTAGGCTAGTCTCGAACTCCTGGCCTCAAGCCATCTTCCCATCTTGGCCTCCCAAAGTGCTGGGATTATAGGCGTGAACCAACGTGCCTGGCCAGTAATTCTTTTAAGTTATGTTAAGGACATGTAAAAATCTTACTTTGTTTTTAAAATTCATAAAAAATACATACAAAACATATTAGTGTAAACATTTGGAGAAAAAGTAGTGTGGAAGACAATAAACTACTATTAATAATGGATAGATACTTCTCAGAGGTAGAATTATGGAGGAGGTGCTTTTAATTTATAGTCTGTAATTAATACTTTGTAATAGGGAATATGGATTTTCTTTAAATGAAACTGTGTCAAGATTTTTGTTAGGAATATTTTATCATCAAAATTCTTTATGATTCTTCAATATTCAGTTCTCTGGTTTTCTATCTTATTTTTTCCTATTTCTTTACTAGCATATGAATAATCTGGAAATATGGGAAAATGCTGTTTAAACACTGTTTCAGATGAGTGAGACCCCTCTTAAATGCATGAAAATAGAAATCACTTTGGTGCACTGAAAACAACAGCACATAGAAAATGCCAAATCGGGGGGTTAACTGTGGCTATAATAGATGGGCATTTTCTGGTGATGGCAGTTTGGGATGAAGAAGAGGCTTTTACCTTTTTTTGTTAAATATTCTTTTTACTACATGAGTTGGTTTTATATGTTTTACTATTTGAGCTTATATTTTATTTAAAATATTTTAAATGCTGAAGAATTACACAAAGTAAGTCTCCCCCTTCATCCCTTCCCAACCACATCCTAAAGTTTGATTTATGTTTCTAGCTATACAAGTATGTGATTATATGTACATAACTGGGATTTTTTAACAAAAGCAGAATTACATTACATTCTGCTTTCATTAAAAAATAGTTTTTAAGTATTTTGCAAATTGCTTTCTTTTCACCTCAAAATATTGTGGACATCTCAAACTTATGGCTCTAATTTACTTCATTCTTTTTGCTAGCTGTATAGTATCCCATTGATACAGTGACTGTTTTGGACATTTCAAGTTAATATTTTGCTAGCGACATATAAAAATTCAGTGAATACCTTTGCTTTTTTTAAATCAAATTTGCTGAGATGAGTGAAAAGCCAGGTTATTTCTAAATGTTTAACATTGAACTGACTTCCTTAAGCACTGAAAAAAAAAAGGTTTAATATAGCACTGATAGTCTTTTAATATGTGGTCATTATAAATTAATGAGTATAGTTGTGTTGTGATGAAACTTTATTTACAAAAATAGGTTGCAGGTAGTGGTAGTTTGCAAACTCCTGGTCTAAACAATTATAACCAAAAGAATTTTAACATTGTTACGCATTGATATTTGTGTTTGAACCAAGTGAATTATAGGTAATATGAGTTTTTCAAATAATATATCTAATATAATAATTTAATAGTTAAATAATGTATCAAATTTAATGTAGCTAGTATACCTAATCAGCTTTTAAAATATTGTCTACCTATGTAAATATTTGTGTGGTTTCTACTAATGGCTTCAAGCTAATTTATTTATGATTACCTTTACTAAGCATTTGAAAACTCTTAAATTATTATTGTTTATATATTGTTAAATGTTTAATTATTTGTCCATAATGAAAAGCTGAAAGCTTTGTTATTACTAAATCATATGTGCCCAGAAGTCTTATTTTTAAGTAGCAAGCTAGAAAGCAAATTGCAGCAGTGAGTTTTTTTTAGAGCATTCTTCCCCCTCCCCCTTCTAGGGCAACATTTTTTCCAAATAATTTGAGAAACAATATCCAGATGTTTTCTTTGCTGTAGAATTTTGTAGATCCCTTAATTTGTTCATAAGCATTGAAATTCTCCAAGAAAGGGATGTTTTTCCCAAGCTTATTTGAACGTCTGAGGAATTATGTTTCATAGAACACTATTTGGGAAATGTTGTTCTAGGGCAGAGGTTCTCAACTGGAGGTGATTTTGCCTCTGAAGGGATAACTGACAGAATCTGAGATATTTTGGGGTATGTCACAACTGAGGTCTAAAGAGGAGGTACTACTGGCATCTAGTGGTTGGAGGCTAGGAATACTCCTAATATCCGACAGTGCATTACAGTACAGCCCCAGTGACCCAACAAAGAATTATCTGGGCCAAGATGTCAGTAGTGCCAAGGTAGAGAAATCCTGCTCTGTACACATCTTGGCAAGCATAGTTGAAACTATTTGTTCAGCCTTTGATTTAAACCTATGGATTACAATGATAGCAGAGGGTAAAGAGTAATTGTGATTTTATGGAACTGGCAAGGAAAAGAAAAGGGCTGTTTTTAAAGATTAGAGAGTGAGGATTGAATCTTAATGGAGAATAATAGGGAGCAAACAAACTTAGTACTGAGCTTTTAGGCAACAAATCTCTTCTGGTAGTATGTATTTTCTCCAACCTAATTACGCTTGGCCTTATAAAAATTAGCTTTTTGAGAGAAGAAGAAAATCCTAATTTTAAAGAGAAAATACAGATACAGCTTTCTTAAAGTAGCATCTTGTCATCTGATTTTTATGCCCCTCTCCTACTAAAAGGAACATAGGACATTTAGAAATCTTCATTGTTTAGAATTTTGTGGTATTTTCTGATAGTCTGAGATTACCACACAATAGCAAGAGCAGATTGGATATTATAGATTTAAACTGCATTGAAAACCGTCCCTGGCCGGGCACGGTGGCTCACGCCTGTAATCCCAGCACTTTGGGAGGCTGAGGCGGGCAGATCACAAGGTCAGGAGATCAAGACCATCCTGGCTAACATGGTGAAACCCTGTCTCTACTAAAAATACAAAAAAAATTAGCCGGGCATGGTGGCGGGTGCCTGTAGTCCCAGCTACTCGGGAGGCTGAGGCAGGAGAATGGCGTGAACCCGGGAGGTGGAGGTTGCAGTGAGCTGAGACTGCGCTACTGCACTCCAGCCTGGGCGACAGAGCGAGATTCTGTCTCAAAAAAAAAAAGAAAACCCTCCCTTTATTTTAGCCATAAAATGACATTTCTAAATAGTAGTTGAAATAATCAATACAAAGTATAATATAGATTATGCTGTATACACTTGGATAAACTGTATCTTTTTCTGTGAAAACTCTTACATCAGCCTAATATGTGTTATAATGTGTCTGTTTCCCTTGCTATTACTAATATAAAAGTTTTGAGAGCAAATATGTGTTTAATTTATTTGGGTTTTTCTGAAAATACTTGGCAGGTATTTTTTATTTCATGATTGTAACATCCTGGAATGTATTTGAAAGAAAATCGAAGGAGTTTGAAGGGTGCCTTTATAAAATGGGTTTTCTATGTATTTTAAACTGGGCATTTCCAAGCCTGGTTAAATGACAGATTTTTTAACTTTAAAAGTTGTCTGCTTTCAACTTCAGAGAATATCTCATACTGGTAACTGTTTAGCTTTCTTTGTGAAGCGATACATGTATGAAACACATTTCAAGGAACCAGCGCTTAATGATAGTTGAATCTGAATCTTCTTTGGCTCTACTGTTCTAACAAAAATTAAACTCTTGAGAATCAACCTACAAATAAGATTTTCAGTGTAGTCAAGTGATGGTAGCCTAGTATTGAAAAATTAGAAGTATTTGAAAGTGTGTCCAAATAATGGAGTTGGGAGCAAGATGAGTTATAAGGTAGGCTGAGAAATGGCAAACGCATATTTTCTCTAATAGATGAGTTTTAGGATGGAATGCCAACATCCACACATTACCAAATTGGATATGTAAATTTTTACTCTGGCAGAGAATATGTTGAATCAAGGAGTTATTTATAAGAGATGTGAAGATGTCATCTAAGCCACTGATTCCTGCTATACCCTTATTTTCCTGTTTTTCACCAAATCACAACTAAAGACTAGTAACTTCCATTTCCTCTTTAATTTGACCATCACTTTTAACATTTCAGTTCTAAATATATATTTGCTTGGATGCCTCAAACTTACCTCAAGCCTAATGTGTTCACAATAGAGTTTGTGACTGTCCTGTCCCCAAACCTATCTTTCTTAGAAAATTTTCTGTCTCATTGAGTGCAACTAGAAACCTAGATATTATTACTGTCACTTGCCTCTTCTTACTATCTAGTCCAGCACTGTCCAATAAAAGCATATGAGCTACATAGGTAATTTTAAATGTTTTAATAGAGCCAGGTACAGTGGCTGACACCTGTAATCCCAGCACTTTGGGAGGCCAAGGCAGGTGGATCACTTGAGCCTAGGAGACTAGCCTGGGCAACATGGTGAAACCCTATCTCTACAAAAAATTTTAAAAATCAGCCAGTAGTCCTAGTTGCTCAGGAGGCTGAGATAGGAGGATCGCTTGAGCCCTGCAGGTCAAGGCCTCAGTGAGCCAAGATTACGCCACTGCACTCCAGCCTGGGTGACAGAGCAAGACCCTGTCTCCAAAAAAAAAAAGTTCCAATAATTAAAAAGGCAAAATGAAGCAAGTGAGATTAATTTTAATATATTTTATTTAATTCAGTATATCCAAAATTTTATCTCAATATGTAATCAATATTTTTAAATTGAGATATTTTACTTAGTATTAAATTTTTAGAATCTGGAGCACAGATGTCCAACCATTTGGCTTCCCTGGGCCCCATTGGAAGAAGAAGAATTGTCTTGGGCCACACATAAAATACACTAACACTAAAGATAGCTGATGAGCTAGAAAAAAGGTCCATCCATAATTTTTGTGATATCTGCCACCACAGACAAAAGAGTCCCTGCATTCAAACGGTTGGACACCCATGGTCTAAAGTTTATTTTGCACTTTATATAAGCACATCTCAATTCAGACTAGCCACATTTCATGTGCATAATAACCACATATGGCTGGTGGCTAGTGGCTGCCATATGGGATGGTGAAGATCTAGTCTGTCACCAAGTCCTTTAAGTTTCCTCCTGAATATCTCTTCTTTCTTCTTGTGTCCCAGCTGTCACCATCCTGATATAGACTACTGGTAACTTTTTGCTCTCCTCTCATCAGTTAACACTACAGTCAATATGATCTCCAACAAACTCTCTACCACTTTTATCCCATCATCATTTACTCTTCCTTAAAATCTTATTTCCTTGGGTAAGCCTTTCCTGACTCTCCTCCTCTAGGTTAATTCTTGCTGTTACAAACTTTTATAGCACCATGTTCACCTTCTGTTATAGCACCTAGTTTACTTTCTTTTGTGTGAGTCTATAGCATTGTGAGATCCAAGAGAGCCAAAACCATGTTTTCTTTCATTATTATATCCCTAGCAACTAACAGTGTGCCAGGCATATAGTAATTATTAACAAACATCTGTTAAATTGACTAAATTAACTTTTTAACTGTTTGCTTTCTCTGAAAATCCAGTAGTCCCCAGCAGAACAGTGTTTTGTTCAGCCCTTGGAAAGCACTGCTCTGGAATATTGCCTCTCCAGTTTGTATTATGTATCAGTATGTAGGGTCCTCTCCATTATTCAGAAACATTTAATGAATCCTCATTGAAATTTAATCCTCATTAACTGAATAAATTTTAAGATTATAATCTGGCACCTGAGACCCTATATAATCTGGCCTTGATACTATCTTATCAAATTGTCCTATGAAACTAGCCAAGTTGTATTCTTTTTGTTTTCTCCCTGGCTGAGTCCAAATTATATTCTTCTAGTCCTCAAATGAGCATTACCTTAGGAACCATTATTCCATTCATTATGTAGCTTTATTATGTCCTTGAAAAAGATCTAGGCTAGAAGATCTAGGCTAGTGCTATCCAGTAGAACTTTCTGTGGTATATTTGTTCTTGTATATTCAGTTCTCTGTATATCTGCTAGCCACATGTGGCTGTTGAGCACCTGAGATGTGACTAGTCCTGAGAAACTGAATATTCTAGTTAATTGAAATTGTACTAGCACCACATGGCTTGTGGCTACCATATTAGATAGTGCAGATCAAGGCAGTGGATACCTGTTACCTTGCCTTCATAGAGTTCACGTTCTGGCTTCTGGTACTGAGATACAGTCACTAAATGAATTGTATCAGATGGTAATACATACTATGGAGAAAAATAAAATTGGGTTAACAGTGTGAGGTATGTGTTGGGGAGGAGCAGGAATGTTTTTTATATAGGATGGTGAGGATAGGTGTTTCTGATAAGCTGACATTTGAGCAGAGACCTGAAAGGAGTGAGAGCACCAGCCACATGGATGTATTTTCTGAACACTTCAGAAAGAGAGAACAGCATTTACAAAGGCCCTGAGGCAAAAGGGTGCTTGGCATATTCTAGAAATAGCAAGGAGACCAGTGTGCCTAGATTGAATTTGCAGGGTAGAGCAGCCAAGGACTGGACCATGAAAGGCCTTATTGGCTGTTAGGGGGACCCAAGCTTTTACTTTGTGAGATAGGGCACCATTGGAGGATTATTTCATCATCAGAGAACAGCAGAGTTTCATGATCTTAGTTTTTAAGTGGATCACTTTGGCTACTATATGGAGAACAGACTTACATACCTATATATCAGGAATGTCTATTTCTGCAAGACAAATAGATATTAAATGTTTTCCCTCAAGTCCTAATTCAAGAAGTCACCTCTCTTATCTAGAAGTAATTATTCTCTTCTTTGCTAGTATTATTCATAATTCTATATATTCTATTGATTTTTTTTCAATAGACTATACATTCTCCCAGACAGGTATTGTGACTTGTATACATGGAGTGCCTATAAATGTTTGTTGATTGAATGTAGTTTTCTGTAGTTATAACTGAAATCACAGAAACATTTTCTTGAATCATAACATTAAATGGTATTTTGATGAAGATGTTATTCTGTGCTTGCTCTGTGTTATTATTCCATGCTATTACATTTAAATGTGGTAATTAAAATACAAGAATTTACATAATGTTTACTATGTGCCAATTATTGTTCAAAGCATTTACCTATATCCATTCTCTTAATTCTCACATAACCATATGAGCAGATATTATCACAATCTTCCAGACAAGAAGCTGAAGCACCCAGTGGTTATGTAATTTCCACAAGGTTAAGTGGCAAAGCCAGGATTTAGCCTTTTTAACTGTTTACCTTCCCTGAAAATCCATTGGTCAACACGGTTGAGTTTTCTTTTAATGGGTCATAGATCAGTGTAATTTGAAAAACAATTTTGGAGATCAACATTGTATTGCCAGCTATTAGGACTTTTTTAAAAAATTGTAACATTTATTCTGACCACCATTTTATTATATAGGGAAACTTTAAAATAAATTTTTGATTTGCATAACCTATTTTTAAAATAATATATGGTTATATTTCTCCTTTTAAATTCATTTTCTTATAAGGAGAAGCAAAATAATAGCACAATAATATAAAAGTACCATGGAACAAACTTTTTGTTTTTCTGGTTTAGGGCCTGTATATCATTGGGATCAAGAACTCGAGCCATTGGAAATGCAGCAAAGAGCCAGGTAAATTGTTAATGTGGATGTTTTGACTTACAGGAAGAATTAACTGAATATTGGTAACTAAGTTCCTTAAGTTATATTGTTAAGAGTGAATAAGAGAGTGAGGAAAATAGGACAGGTACTACATCTTTGTTTTGTTTTGTTTTGTTTTTTTAAGATATAATTTGCTTTGGGTTGTAAAATATTTCTTGAATTTTATTTTTTAAAAATATTTTTTAGTTGTGAAGTTAGGGTGTGCTACTATGTGACATCAATTTTTCCCCAAATGGTCCCTCAGGTGACCATCCAGAGAATAATGAGGGATATTCTGTCTAGAACATACATTTCAATGATAGTTAAGTAACATCTTTGTAAAATAAGGTAGGAAAAATGAAAGAACTAATTTCCAGAGTAACTCAACGTGGCTACCACTAATTTACATAGAATTTGTTGAAGTATTTATATTTTTAGGCTTTTGAAATCTTTATGATTAGAACGTTGACTTTTAACATTCCATGTTATAAACTGATTTTCCTTGGACTTTCATTACCTCCCTGAACTAAAAGCCCTTAACAATTATTTCTTGCATTTTATATATATCTGGGTCTTATATCTCATATTCTGGCTGACCTTCTAAGTGTGTCACAGATAATCAGAGTCTCTAAAAGCAGCCTTTAAAGTCATTTCTCCTAAGGAGTTAAAGAGAGCAACATAGTAATTCAGCATCCCTATAGTTTTCATGTCATAATTGAAGATCAAGGTCTGTTTGGCTTTAAAGGTCACTAGGATTATAGCAACTGGATCTCAGTAATATTCTGTAATTTGAACTGCATATTCTAGTTAAAGAAAAAATTGCTTTGCAAAAATGCAAGCCATTTACAAATTAAGATACTTTCATTTAGCACTATGCTACATGGAAGGGATTTTAATTTACTAGCCTAGGAGCAATCTGCAGCAATGGAAGCAACATGGTAGTACATGAAGATTTTCACAAAGAATTAGATATGGAGAGGAAAAAAAAACCTAGACAATAATAAACCAGTTTAAATTAAAACACAGAAATGGAAGTGGAAATAAATAATCAAAGATACAGGCTGCATATCCCTTATAAGAAATGCTTGGGACCAGAAGTATTCAGATTCTGTATTTTTTCAGATTTTGGAATATTTGCATGATACAGGTTGACCATCCCAAATCCTGAAATCCAAAATGCTCCAAAATCTGAAACTTTTTAAGTGACAACATGATGCACAATGGAAATGCTCATTGAAGTATTTAGATTTCAGATTTTTGGATTTGGGATGTTCAGCTCGTACTAATTCACTAGAGCAAAAGCTCGAGGAAAACCAAAAAGATGAGTTGTAGATATTTGTAATTTGAAACGTTTTAAAGGTTTATTCGTTCTCTTCTGAAGACATTAATTTTGAATCTAACATTCCCAGGATAGGTGGATAATTTGGGAGGCAAGTGTTAAAATGTGTACATTCTCATTGTATGACTTTACCATCAGTTGGAAACCAGAAAAAATGAATGATTATTTGTAATCCTAAACTTGGATGTGTAGGATAAAGGAACTTGGTGGTTGTCAAGTACTAGGATAGAATTTTATTTTGCATTTATTAGGTAACTGATAAATACAAGTGTTTACTGCCAACAGATAGTCACGAACGTAAGAAATACAATTCATGGCTTCAAAAAGCTTCATGGGCGATCATTTGATGATCCCATTGTGCAAACTGAAAGGATCAGGCTTCCCTATGAACTGCAGAAAATGCCTAATGGAAGTGCAGGAGTTAAGGTAAGCTTTATATTCCCAGGGTTACAAACATATCTTCAAATTAAGTAAACCCAATGTGATAATATTGCTATTTGTAGTTTGACCTTTTTCCTCTAGATACAGTACATACACACCGAAGAGATAGTAGTTTTTGTAATAATTTTAGTGAATGCCAGGAGATCTAATTTAGATAATTTTTTCATTCAAATCACACTATTATTGTCAAGGAAAAAAGTGGTTATTGAGACTCAAGAGAATAGTTTTTAGGGGATAAAAATGAAGGTATATAGGATTCAGAAGAATAGACCCAAAAAGTATGTTAATTCAGAAGAATGGACCCAAAAAGTATGTTAATAGCTGTAATGAGTTTAATGAGTTCTAATTTAGAAGAATCTTATACTATAAATGTTAAAGCATACTTTTCTTCCAAGTAAGAGATGGATTCTGAATTTTTAATTTTATATTCTGAGATAGTTGTAGATTAGTTAACCAAAACATGTTTGTGCTGATTTTTTTCAAAAACTAGCCTCATAACACATGGAACTACTTACTATATGGCCCCGAAATTCCACTCCTGGGCTTATACTCAAGGGAATTGAAACATACGTACACATAAAAACTTGTACATGAATGTTCATAAAAGCATTGTTCATAATAGCCAAAAAGTGGAAACGATACAAGTTTCTATCAACTGATGAGTAGATATACAAAATGTGGTATATCTTAACACATGGAATATTATTTGCCCATAAAAAGGAATGGAGTACTGGTATGTGCTACAACATGTATGAACTTTGAAAACATGCCAAGTGAAAGAAGCCAGATACAAAAGGCCACATACTGTATGATTCCTTTTATATAGAATGTTCAGAGTAGAACAAATTCATAGAAACAAAGTCAGATTAGTGGTTGCTAAGGGTTAAGGGGAAGGAAAAATAGAGAGTGACTGCTAATGGGTTTCTTTTTGGGTGATGAAAATGTTCTACAATTAGATAATGGTGATCAGTGCACAGCTTTGTGAATATACTGAATTGTACACTTCAGAAGGATAAACTTAATGCTGTGCAAATTATCTCTTAAGAAAGTTATTTTTAGTAACTAATTTTAGACTTGATATATGTGTTATGGATATGTACACAGTTCCATTTTTAGAAGAGGGTTCTGACTAAAAGGTGGATGATGAATCGTAGTAAGGAGACAGGAGGCTGTTAAAATAGTTGAGGAAGACACCATGAGAAGTTGAAGACAGGGAACAAATTGTAAATCCATATTTTAGGTGAAATTTTCAGGTTACTAAAGTGAGTAGCTGGATGGGTTATGATAGTAACAACTGAGATAAAAAATAATATTCAGATATCTTTTAGATATGATAAGCTCTAGTTAATGGTTACCTAGAGCAGTTTTATTCTACTCCAGTTTAAAATTTGAACTACTTAATTTTGTAAGTAGTTTAACTTCTTAAAGTGAAAATTAATAGATCAGGCTTTGAGAATAGGCTGAGAAAAACAGAATAATGTTTTTAAAGAAAGGCAGAACCAAAGTTTTGAGTGATATAATTTTATACATTCATAGTAAGTGCCTGTAAGCTAGTAGAAAAAGCTTTGAAACATCATCTTTTGAAGACTTAAGAAAATCAATGTTCAACTCCTCAAGCATGTTATACATTTGTTTTTTATACATTTATTTAAATTTATTTCATCTAACTTTAAAAAAAATTTTTTTTTTTTTTTTTGAGACGGAGTCTTGCTCTGTCTCCCAGGCTGGAGTGCAGTGGCGCAATCTCGGCTCACTGCAAGCTCTGCCTCCCGGGTTCCCACCATTCTCCAGCCTCAACCTCCCAAGTAGCTGGGATTACAGGCACCTGCCACCACGCCCAGCTAAGTTTTTGTATTTTTAGTAGAGACAGGGTTTCACCGTGTTAGCCAGGATGGTCTTGATCTCCTGACCTCATGATCTGCTCGCCTCGGCCTCCCAAGGTCCTGGGATTACATAGAATATTCTTATACAAAAGAATACTGTATGATCATGCCTCCAAAAGTCAGATTAAGACTATGATTCATTTTCTCTTATTTCTGTTTGCTTGATTTCTTTATGCACCCCTGGTTTAAAGGCAGTAATTTGGCATAATACTTGTTTTTGAATTTACTTGTAAATAGGTTTGGAAACAAATGCTTATCAATTTTAGGTCTGATTCAGAGTAAATCTTATGTCATTAGATATATATATTTATACATACTCATATACATAAACACATTGTGCTGCTTGAAAGAATGATGTTCTCATTTCCTTTTCCAAAACTGTATGACTGAAGCTTTTATTTTAAACCCAGGGAGAGTTCTGACTTTCAAAAGAAAGATTATTTGATCTTTTCCTTTTTCATTGTTTGCTGTGTCACATTTGGAAAATGAATTATAAAAATTGTTTTTGTGGGAAGTGGGGATCTGAGAGGGTAGAAACTACACTTTTGAAAATACTTTGGTTATAATACTGTCTGTAAGGTACTACAGCCTCAGAAATGACATAGTCACTGTTTTTAATGGGATCATGATTCTAAAATGACAATCTTTCTGGAATAAAACTTCCTTGAGCAAGGGTGTCTTTTTCCCATTGTATGTCTATCACATATACAGTAGGTGCTCACTGAATATTTGTTGGATAAACAAATGACTCTTAATAAATATCCCAACTTTTGGTGTTAGGTGCGGTACTTAGAGGAAGAGAGACCTTTTGCAATTGAGCAAGTTACTGGAATGCTGTTAGCCAAGCTTAAAGAGACTTCAGAAAATGCTTTGAAGAAACCAGTGGCTGACTGTGTGATTTCAGTAAGTTTTACTTCAGTAATGAATACCCTTGAATTATATTTTACAGTGTATTAATGTAATATTGAAAGATTTTTCTTCCCTTACACTTTCTGCCCTTATCCAGTAAATAACCTAAATCCATCTGACTTTCTTTTTAAAAAAACTGCCTTATTTGCTAAAGTTTAGGATTGAATTTCCCATAAAATCAATTATGATGAGCAGTGACTCTTAAAAAACTGTTATGTAACTAGTGACTGCTGCTATCTGGGATTTATCCCTAAGAATCTTCTCAGATAGCAATTAACTTCCCACCTGTGAGGACCTTAACATTTTATAGCAAAGGTTGAAAATTTCTAGTTGGGAATTTGAGGTTGTGTATCAGGGGAAAAAAAAGATCTTTAAGGATTCTTAACATTTAAATTATTTACCGTCTTATCTCTTGAGGTCCCATTAAACATTGTTAACTGGTTCTTTACCTACATGTTAACTAAATTGATATATTCCTACTATTCAACTTGACTACAAAAGTTCAAGAGTCTTATGTCATCAGAAAAACAGAATCAGATGATGAACTTTTCAGTGAGTTTAGTAATCAATTTTTTTTCATAGGCATTTGGAATTTTTTTAATGGGAGAAAAATATTAGAGCTTAATATTTTATTTTCTAGCCATTTAGTAATAGCAAATAATAGAGTTTACCATTGACCAGGTACTATTTATAGGCATTTTAACCCATTTAATCTCAGAAGCAATCTATAAGGTAGGGATATTATTAACCCTAGTTTTACAGATTCAAAAAGTAGGATACTGAGATGTCAAATAACTTGCCCAAAATCAGCACAGCTAATATAGTGTTAGAGCCAGATAGTTAATTCCCAAGCCCATGCTCATAATTGTTATACTGCCACTTGAAAGGATATGTTAGAATCATACAAATTTTAAAGATTCGTCTTAAATTCAAATCCATTTCTATTTAATTATATTTTTCCTTGTGTGTCAGAAATTCATGTCAGAACAGAGTAATACAAACTTTTGACCATTATTAACTTTGTGGTTGGTGCAGTAGACCCATTGTAAGCTCTACAGGGACAAGTATTTTGTCTGGTTTGTGCACTGTTTTCCTGGTAGCTAGAAAAGTACCTGGTTTGTAAGTGCTCAATGAATATTAAATGAACCATGCATGATAACTTAGATTTTTGTCAGGAGGATAATACCAAATCAGCAAAATTTATATTCTTTTCCTGTTGCTAATCTGTTCAATGAAATTTCTAAATTCATAAAACAATAAAATTAAAGGAAGCTACTTATTTGAAACTTAAAACTGGAAGAGCCCAAGTTGTTTTATATGTAAATACACTTAATAGCTTTTTAGAAATGGGTCTATATGTCAAAATACTTCTCAGTTTGATAAAACTAGGGTGTATACATACGTACATCTTTATACATTTTAAGACTGAGTTTAATTTTTAAATAGAGATGTAGTTAATGGGCTGGGCATGGCGGCTTATGTCTGTAACCCTAGTACTTTGGGAGACCAAAGCAGGAGGATTGCTTGAGGCCAGTAGTTAACAGACCAGCCTGGGCAACCATAGTGAGACCCGTCTCTACAGTTTTGTTTTGTTTTTTTTTAACTAGCCAGGCATGGTGGCACACACCTGTAGTCTCAGCTACTCAGGGGGCTGAAGCAAAAGGATTGCTTGAGCCCAGGAGTTTAAAGCTGCAGTGAGCTATGATTGTACCACTGCACTTCAGCCTGTGAGGCAGAGCTAGACACAGTCTCTTTCAGAAAAAAAAATTTTGTATACATATATATGTATGTGTGTATGTATGTATGTATATTTTTTCAATGTTATTTGGTGATTGTTAAAGGAAATTCCTATTTATCACAAGTTCCCTACAATATAGTTCCCCTCCTTTGAAATATAATTGTTTTAAACAGTTGGGACTGTATTCTTCTGGTTGGGTGTATATACGCACGATAATGAAGTAATGTTATATGTGCCCTTTTTTAACATAATAAAGATAGAATTCCATAACAATTCAGATCTACCTGATTCTTTGTAACAGCTACATAGGATTCCATTATATGGATATACCATAATATATTTCTCTAATCTCATTTTCAGACTCTTGAGTTTTCAGTTTTTTATTATGAAAGATGAGCAAATATATTTTTAATAGATCAGAATAACACAGGAAGTATTTAGACGAATAAAACTTAGGCAACTCTGCCATATTACCTTACTTTAAATTAGTATTCATACTTTAGGTCAGATTTTTATGGTATAGAAATTGTCAAACTTAAAAAATAAAACACTAGTATTTTTCCTCTTTAGTTAGAACATCTTTATTTGCCTTAAACTGTACATAAGTTTTAGGGTAATTATATTTTTCAGTTGACAAAATGTTTACATAAAACATTATACTTAACTGTTGTTTTTAAATACTAGATTCCTAGCTTTTTTACTGATGCCGAGAGAAGATCTGTGATGGCTGCAGCCCAGGTTGCAGGCTTAAATTGTTTAAGGTTGATGAATGAAACTACTGCAGGTGAGCACTTTGCAATTTGAAAATCACTATAAGCAAAATACTGTTCTAGTTTTTTTCTAATTATTAACAAAGCATTATTTTTTTTTAACTCCAAGGCAAGAGGATTGCTTGAGCCTGGGAGTTGAAAGCTGCAGTGAGCTATGATCATACCACTGCACTTCAGCCTGTGAGGCAGAGCTAGACACAGTCTCTTTAAAAAAATTTGATATATATAAAAATACGTGTGTGTGTGTGTGTGTGTGTGTGTGTGTGTGTGTGTGTGTGTATGTACTGATTCTTATAAGCTTGTTACTTTGTAGTACAACTTTTTGGCAGAGGTTAAATATGTCTTAATGGCTTTACAAATCTTTACTATTACAGAGTTATAGATGAGTAAGGAAAAAATAAAGTTAAAGCATTATTAACCGAATTGTGAAAAGTTCATTTACTTTGAAGATAATAATATGTATTACTATACTGCATATTAAAGTACAGTATCAAAGTGACATTTCTTGTTTTCCAAGTAATTACTGTGCTAGAATTAACATAATTCTTTGTTCTTATACAGTTGCACTGGCGTATGGAATTTATAAACAGGATCTTCCCCCATTAGATGAGAAACCAAGAAATGTAGTATTTATTGATATGGGACATTCTGCCTATCAGGTCTTGGTTTGTGCTTTTAACAAAGGAAAACTTAAAGTAAGTAAACACATGGTTTGTTATATTTACATATGTTAAGAACACAGACTAAAGAACCGTAATAGCTGGGTTCGAATCCTGGCTCTGCCCCTTAAACTATGACCTCAAGCAAGTTACTTAATCTCCCTAAATCTTCAGTTTGTTTATCTGAGAACAACAGTAGTAACTACCTCATATAATTTTTCAGGACAAAATGAGTTAATGTGTACAAAATTCTTGGAAAGCCTGGCATAGGGTAGCTGCTATAATATATATTAGCTATTTTTATTGTTGTTTCTATTGTTAGGTTGTTAAGTCATCTATCAGGAAGCATAAATTATTTATCCATAAATGTAATTACAGGAAGCATTTTCTAAAATGATTCCCATTGATTTTAGAAACCTTTCTATCCAAGCGTTCTAATCGTAATTTTACTTCTGTGTGCTTCTTACAAATTAGGTTTATAATCATTTTTACATTGATTCTTTTGTCCAGACTTATGATCTCTCTCCAGTATGCACAGAGTAGAGTTTACTTAGGAGATAAACTGCAACACTGCAAGAGTATTCTGTCTTAATTTATATTACTATAATAGCATCTTTGTAATCAAAAAATTAAAGGGAAATGACTCAGACTGAATATAGGGTAATTTTCAGTATAGATTGACTTAATCCTTGGCCTTTAGTCTTACATATTAACTTACTTTAAAAAGAACGTTTTTTTCCTTCCTTTTTAGTAGGTAACTTTGTAGTGAAATACGATTTTTAGATCACAGACCCGTTTGAAAATCTGATCAAGGCTATAGCCCTTCTTCCAAAATACACACCTGTACTAGTTATATACCAAGATAATTTTGCATTTGATTTTGGGTAATACTAGACTTCATGAGAGGTCTATACATGGATTCTCCATGCTAGTCTGTGGGGCGACATTCCACGCAGATTGTACTCATATCCTCCTGTGATATTTACCACCATACTACCACCCCACCACCCACCTTATAATGAAAGAGCTGCAAAACCACCCCAACAGTAGGATTCTTTATTAGTGACTGTTGTAAGTAGTCATTTAACCCTAGGGAGAGAGCCTAGATGTTTGGTCCTATGTTTTCAAGAACTGTAGTGTTGAATTTCTATGACTCTCTTCTGCTGGGAAGCCTGTTGCTCAACCAGCTTGTTACATTGTTACCTGGTTTTTTTGTTGGTTGGTTTTTTGGTTGTGTTTTTTGTTTTTTTGTGTGTTTTGTTTTTGTTTCTGTTTTTTTGTAATAGTCAAAAGGCCTAATTTCTGATCCGTAAATTGACCAATTATGGTATTTTATATTTAATCTTTGAATCTGCTTTTCTTGGATGTTTTGCTCATGTTTATATGCTTAGGACTGTTTCTTTGCTCTCTTAAACTTGGTTTTGGTCTATCTGTTCAGTGCTGTTGTAGAACCAAGTGACTGAGATAATGAGGCTTTAGTTGTAATTCAGTTATTTCTGAATTAGAATTCTTTTAATTATGATATATGGATCTGTAACTATAAAGTAGAAAATTCAGAATAAGGAAATATGTTGACTAAATATAAGTGATAATTTAACTCTGATTCCAAATTCAGCACCCCTGTGATTGGACAAGTTTTTTTAGCGTCATTTTTATTTTTACATTTTTTTATTTTAGAGGTTTTTCTTTTTTTTTTGGAAGAATCTATATTTCTGAAAATACAGTTCTGCTTTTTCAATTAAACAGGTCTTGGCTACTACCTTTGATCCATATTTGGGTGGCAGGAACTTTGATGAGGCTTTAGTAGACTACTTCTGTGATGAGTTCAAGACCAAATATAAGATAAATGTGAAAGAAAACTCTCGGGCCTTGTTGCGTTTATATCAGGAATGTGAAAAACTAAAGAAGCTAATGAGTGCAAATGCATCAGATCTTCCATTGAACATTGAGTGTTTCATGAATGACCTTGATGTTTCTAGTAAAATGAACAGGTACCACGTATGTTTTTAGTTTGAAAAGTGTTTACTTATTTTATAATGTTTAGATCACGTCTGATTTGTTTGTTGTTTTAGAAGATACGCTCAACTTTTAATCCCAGAATAATGAATTTTATTCTATTTTCTCACAGGGCTCAATTTGAACAACTGTGTGCTTCCCTTTTGGCCAGGGTTGAACCACCTTTAAAAGCAGTAATGGAACAAGCTAGTAAGTGGAAATTACTGGACTATCAAAACTGTACCATAATGTTGCCTACTTAGCGGGGGTAGATAATGATAAAATAAATTTTTAAAACTTTGTTTTTTAAAAAGATTTATATTTCTCATTTTAGGGAAGGAGATTATAACTCATTATTCATAAGAGTAAGGCAGTATAATTCTGGGTTTATGAGAATTCTTCCTGGATCTTCTTATTGTTTATATCATAAATCTCATGCTAGTTCTGGCCAAGCACGGTGGATCATGCCTGTAATCCCAGCACTTTGGGAGGCCGAGGTGGGTGGATCACCTGAGGTCAGGAGTTCAAGACCAGCCTGGACAACATGGTGAAACCCCATCTCTATTAAAATTCCAAAAATTAGCCAGGCATGATGGTGCGCACCTGTAACCCCAGCTATTCAGGAGGCTGAGGCCGGAGAATCACTTGAACCTGGGAGGCGGATGTTGCAGTGAGCTGAGATTACGCCATTGCACTCCAGCCTGGGCAACAGAGTGAGACTCTGTCTCAAAACACACACACACACACACACACACACACACACACACACACTCATGCTAGTTCTATTTGGAAGTGTTTATAAACTATAGATGATTCTAAAATGAAATTAATGTAGAAATGGGGACATAATTGCTTTTTCGTAAGGATTTTGGTAATCAATTAAAAATATCTTCTATAGGGATTTAGGAGGTAGAAATAAGAAAATTGAAGGACTCTGAAGAGCTCCTTTAAAACCCATGAAGTGCTTTTCTCTTTCTATTGCCACTCCATCATCTGGACCAAGTTGGACCAAGTGCATTGCCTGTCACATAAATAATATTTATTAAATGTTATATCTTTCTAAAAATTGTATTTTTCTTCCCTTTTATTTTCTGACAAGTAAAAAGTCAATCCACTTTTTAAAAAAGTACTCGACAAAGCCTTCTGTTGAGATTTTTAAAGACTATCATTTTTCTCAATTAAAAAAATTTTCCAGACTTACAACGTGAAGACATTAGTAGTATAGAAATTGTAGGAGGAGCAACACGAATTCCTGCAGTGAAAGAACAAATCACTAAATTCTTTCTTAAAGACATAAGTACCACATTAAATGCTGATGAAGCTGTTGCAAGAGGATGTGCGTTACAGGTATAATTGTTATTTTATTTTTTAGAATATGTATTTTGCCAGAAATGAGTGATAGATCCAAAGGGGCCTTTTAATGTTATCTGTTCCATCCACTTATCAATAAGCTAAAGTAAATTGAAGTTATTTCTGATAAATAAGTCTTATGTCTTTCCCATTTATGTTTTTAAGCTATAATAGGACAGTGTGTCTGTAAGGACACTGAAAGAATATTAATTTTACAAATTATTGCAGTCTGCCCATTTAAAATCCCTTTTGGAGATGTAAAGATATTCTGTTAATTTTTATAAGGTCACATAAAGAGTACTCAGGCCCTTTTAAATTTTCACTTCTCATTGCCAAAAACCAGTAACTTTTAAAATGTAACAGTTGTAATAGGAGGACTCTATTAAGCAGTTCAATCAGAGTAACCTAGGGTATGTTTTGTATTTGTTGATTTAAATATGGTATACATCTTATTTTCAGTGTGCGATTCTCTCACCAGCATTTAAAGTGCGTGAATTTTCCATAACAGACCTTGTTCCCTATTCAATCACATTAAGGTGGAAGACCTCTTTTGAAGATGGAAGTGGGTAAGTTATTTTTAAAACCTTGATTAGAGCTTGTCATAAATCTTTACCCAGTTAAACCTACTTTTCTAAATTAGAGAAATTTACGCTTCTTAAAATTCTGCCAAATACTTTAAAATAATGTATTAAAGAGATATAAAAATGATATATCACCTATAAATCATAATTGGGCATATTTTTAAATTTATGTTTTTTATAAAAGTAAAACAAGGCTCATTTTCAAATAAATCACAGTATAGAAGTATAAAAAAGACCTGCATTTGTCATATTCTCTCTTAGCCCATTTTACAGACATAAACATTTTTAAAAGCTAGTTTATCTGTCCAGTCATTTTCTTTGACTATCCATAAATAAATAAAATCATACATTTCTTAGGTACATATAGAATTATCTATAAATCTCTAGTGCAACTTAGCTTTTTTAATTATATTGTATTTTATTTTTCCATGTCAACAGACAGTAACTGTTTTTTCAATAGTTATATGTGCCATAATAAATTTAACCAATACAGTATTAAGTCATATTTTTGCTATTTTAAACAGTGCTAGTAAGAACATCCTTGTGCACAAACCCTTGTTCAGTTGTGCTTGGTATATCTGTAAGACAGCAGTGTAGGAATGGAATTGTTTAGCCAAAGAATATGCACATTATTTTGAGTAATATTTGCAAATTATTCACTAAAAGGATACTGGTTTATATTCCTATTAACTTTCATGAGATTGCCTCTTTTAGCTCATTTTCTCCTGTACTTTTAATTGAACATGCCAATATTTTAAAAAAAGCACTGTTATTAAATTAATGTTTCCCTCTGTCATAAGCTACAATATTTTCATGCTTGCATTAACATTTACATTTTTTTCCATGAACTGCCCAGGATTTAGGTAGCCTGCTTCCCTACCAGAATCAAAATTTATATTTCAAATATTTTACTTGACTGCTTTTCAGAAGTATAGCTTGTACAATGAATAATGGTGTGTTTACATTTTGAAGTTATTTTTTAAATTTTGTTCTGTGTTCTGTACATAAGTACCCCCAAGAAAATGAGATTTTTGTATACATTTCAAAAATATGGATTTTCAGCCTTATCTGAATGTCTTGCAAAAGATTTTAATGGCATGTGTTAATGTCAGTTTTTTTCTTTTTAAATAATTTTTCACCTGTCTGCCCCAGATAATGTCAATTTTGAGGCAAGAATCATTATTCTATAAAATTTAATTTCAGTTTCAAGGTATAAGTGATCCAGAAAAAAATTGTAAGAAAACGTATGGGGAGCTAAATTGAAAAGTAAATATAGCCTAATGACTACAAAAAGAAAGTAGAAGGTATTGGTAGTTTCTTGAAAACTAGGATAGAGTAAGAAGTTTGTGGATTCAAGATTTTAAAATCTTCCATACTTATAGTAATAGGATGATATATAGTATTAAAGATTGGTTTCTGGGCCACTATAACAAATAGTCATAAACTGTTTCTGTTAAACAATTTAAGGAATAGGAATTGCTATGTAGGTTTTAAAAACTCCCTGTATTGGAGGGGTAAAATGCTGCAAAGGACATTGTTGTATCAACTGAAAAAAAGATGGAAATATGAATAGGTAAAGCATCAGAGAATATCCCTATTAGGATGCACACTGACGTTTTTAGGGGTAAAGCACCATAATGTATGTATAACCCTCGGTTGGTTCAGGAAAAATATATACAGAAAGTGTGTGCACTCAGATGATGAAACAAATGGAGTAAAGTAGCAAATCTAGGTAAAAGATATACAAGTGTTCCTTGTCCTATTTTTAATTTTGCACCTTTTCATAGGTTTAAAATTATTTGCAAACAAAAGTTTCTATTAAAGGTAGCCAGAATTAAAAGGGTAATAGGTGGCAAGTATTTTAGAAGTTAATGGGTAGGACTTGGCCCTCATATGTGAGGGAAAAAAACCATACACATTGGCCTTAAAATATACGTATTCTCAGGTAATTTTTCTCTTTTTAATAGTATACAGTTGTCTGTTATTATGATAGACATTATGAAAACTTTGAGCCATAAATCTGTTGCAATGCATGTTTAGAGCAAAATCAGTAATTGTTTTTTCTTTTTATTTGTGCAGAGATTTTTGCAGTTGCTGCTAATGAATTAAGAATGAAATGGATTCAGTAAATAGGTTCATAGGCAACTTTCTATTTGTTTCTAAGTGAGTTCTTTCCCTCCATTTTAGGGAATGTGAAGTTTTCTGTAAGAACCATCCTGCCCCATTCTCAAAAGTCATTACTTTCCACAAGAAGGAACCATTTGAACTAGAAGCATTTTATACTAATTTACATGAAGTGCCTTATCCTGATGCAAGAATTGGTAAGATAAAAAAAAGTTCTCCATAACATTTTGGCCTTTTATAAATAATGTGTTATTTTAGAATCAAGGAAACAAATAGACATTTCAGCTAAGCCAGTATGGGACTTTTAAAGAAAGATATTTATACTCTTTCTAGAAATGTGCATTTGTAGTGCTCAGTTTATTTCTATAATGACAGCAGGGTTTACTGCAGTCGGCCCTCAGTATTCATGAGTTTGGCATCTGTACATTCAGCCAATATTAGGAAAAACAAGTGTCTGTACTGAACATGCCTAGACTTTTTTTTTCTTGTCATTAATACATGTAACAACTACTGACATACCATTTATTTTGTAGTAGGTATCATAATTAACCTAGAGATGATATAGACTTAAGAGTATTTGGGAGGTTGTATGTAGGTTATACACAAAATACTATGTCATTTTTTTTAATAAGGGACTTGACTACCAGAGGATTGCTTGAGCCCAGGAGTTGAAGACTAGCCTGGGCAGTATAGTGAGACCCCATTTCACTCACATGCAAAATGATGTATAAAAGGTTCTTCCATCCTCAGAGAGACCTGGGACCAATACTCAATGGATACTGAGGGGACAGCTATATTTCTAATTCATTTTTACTTCTATATTTAAAATGCTGTGCAAAAATTAGCTGGGTGTGGTGGCACACACTTGTAATCTCAGCTACTCAGGAGGCTGAGGCAGGAGAATTGCTCGAACCCAGGAGGCAGAGGCTGCAGTGAACTGAGATTATGCCACTGCACTCCAGCCTAGGCGACACAGTGAGACTCCCTCTATCAAAATAAAATGCTCTGTAACTGTCCTGAAAGGTTTGTGTGATAATTATTTTTTACTGAAAAACTTTAATTGGTATATTCTAATTTTAAACTTAATGTTTACTGGCAACAACTAGAATGACTATTACTGGATTAATATGAAGGTGAGGGCGATTGGAAGGTGAGGCGGTCCCGGAGTTCTTGCATCCCAGGTGATTGTGAAGTGCTCACCATTTGCCACTGCACATAATTGAAACAAAATAGGAAAATTGCATCAAACTCTTCAGGACAAGGTTTTCAAAACAAGTTGCAATCTTGGCAGAACTGGACAAAGAGAAAAGAAGACTACTTATGCAGAACCAGTCTTCAACAAATCATCCTGGAGCTAGCATTGCACTCTCGAGACCCTGTCTTAATAAGGACTTCTGGGATCACGCTGAGCCGCAGTATATTGCAGCCCAGCAGAAGGCAGCTTTGCAGCATGCTCATGCACATTCATTTGGATACTTCATAACTCAAGACTCTGCATTTGGGAACCTGATTCTTCCTGTTTTACCTCGCCTTGACCCAGAATGAAGAAAATATTTGTGATGGAAAAGAGACTTTGTAATATCAAATGCCAAAGCTACTGTCATTCAGTGCTAGATGAACTGTGACTTTCAAAATTTTGGTGAACTTTGATATTTTTTGTTTGTTAAAGGAATGTGTAAGTGAAAGCAGAAAGAAGGGTAATCAGGATGATGAGAGCTGTGGAGGCTGTATCGTCCAAGGAATTGATTATGTACCGTAACTGTAACTTTTTTGTAATGCTGTTTAACAGTAATCAGACTCTGAACTGGATGGTCACAAAAACATTCCCCAACCCCTAGCAAGTTTGACTGAATATATCATGTCCACAGTAGATTTCCAAGAATCATTTATAGTACTTAACTTTAAAGAAACAAGAGTACTTTTAAAAAATGAACCAATAAGCTTAAATCTGTTACATCCATATTTGCTGTTTATAGGATTGGTGTCAGTGTACCTTTTGAGTTTACAGTCAACATGTATCATCCTAAAATATTATTTCTGAACTCATAACTACTTCCCCCTTTCTCACTTTAAAACAAACCCCAAGAATAAATTACTAACCAGTCTTAACCATCTTCTATAAACATATTCTTCTATAAACATCTTCTATAAACCATCTTCTATAAACATCATTATAAATGATGTGACTAAATGCAATTAAAAATAATAGAAAAAAAAGGAAAGTGAGAATAGGAGATTGTAATATCCATTTTAACTGAGTGAACTTTTCAGAAGATATAAAATGAAATTACAACATTTAAAAGGATTTTCAAATTTTAAATTTTTTTCTATGTACTGCTTTATAGACTAAGAAGGGGACAGCACAAATATTATAAATATTTCAAGGATATTATATAAAGCAGTAAAATTATTGAACATTATATTAGTTTGCTAGGGCTGCTATAACAAAGTACCACAAGCTAGGTGGCTTAAACGTTAGAAATTTGTTGTCTCATTTCTGGAGGTTAGAAGTCTGAAGTCAAGGTATCTCCAAATACAGTCACGTCTGAGCATGGTGGCTCATGCCTGTAATCCTAGCACTTTGGAAGGCTGAGGCAGGAGGATTGCTTGAGCCCAGGAGTTCAAGACCAGCCTGGGCAACATAGTGAGACCTAATCTGTACTAAAAATCAGAAAAATTAGCTAGACATGGTACCATGCACCTGTAGTCCCCGCTACTTGAACGCTGAGGTGGGAGGATTGCTTGAGCCTGGGAGTTTGAGGCTGCAGTGACCTATGATCCTGCCACTGCACTACAGCCTGGATAACAGAGTGAAACTGTGTCTCAAAACAAAACACACATAGTCATGTTCTGAGGTACTACGCACAGTGTGGGAGCAGGTGGGGGGCAAAATTTAACCCATAAAAAAGTCATCCAAGTTTTTTACTACCTGATTTTACTGCCTAATGTTCTCTCTTCTATAGATAATATATATATGAGATTTCTTTAGAGAAATAAAACATCAGTAGATTTCTTAAAGCATTGATAATGATCTCTGCAGGTATTTTGCTATAGGAAAAATAAAAATTGGAATTGCTTTATTTATGAATTACCAAGATGGTTATGATTTGTAAAGCTTATATCAAAAAAAATCTATTTTGTTTTCAAATTCAGAAAGTGAATCTTGTTATTTTGGTTTTAGAATAGCAGTATTATGAGATAACTTACTGCCTTTGAATCAAATTGTCCATGGTTAAATTCCCAGTGCTTTTTTTTTTTTTTCCTAGCATTGATGATTTTGAGCAGGTTACTTAAGCTTCCTGAGACTTAATAACAGGTTTGTTATGGTTTATAAAAGATAATCTGGGGGAAGTACCTGCCCCATAGTGATCAATCAGGATATGATCATAATTATTGCCAAGATGATTATTTGCCAACATCTTAAAGATGATAGCCAAATTATTCAATGAATTGAATAAGTTAATCTGAGGCTCACATACTGATTGGAGTTCTTTTTTCCTTAAGGGAGCTTCACTATTCAGAATGTTTTTCCACAGTCTGATGGTGATAGTTCCAAAGTGAAGGTTAAAGTTCGTGTTAACATCCATGGAATCTTCAGTGTGGCTAGCGCATCAGTAATTGAGAAGCAAAATTTGGAAGGCGATCACAGTGATGCTCCAATGGAGACAGAAACTTCATTTAAAAATGAAAACAAAGATAATATGGTATGTAGAAATTCTTTCTCAATGTTCTTGTAATAGATAGTGTATACAGTATATCTTAATCATAACTGGGACTTTAATAGTTGAATACATTACTCTCTGAGGTTTTGCTTTGATTTTCTGCTGTGGGAATCTGTATAAAGTCTTTTGATAAAAGCATTAAGGAATAATACTATTTTCAATGCTTTACATCTTTCACGTTGTCACATACTTTTTAAGAGTTTGGTGCATCTTTCATAGTATTACATGGAGCAGGTGAACCTGGAATTCTTTCCTAAGTTCTTAACTTCCATTAAAACATGTATTTTATTATGGCTAGATTTTTAGCTTACAGATAAAACCACTTCAGAATGATAAATTTTGAACTATACATTCTTTTTAGATTGAAAATACATGCTTAATAAATAATTTTTCAGGGTTTATTTGGGGGACATCTGAGACAGTTAAGCAGAGGAATGTGCTGTACATTCAGTAATGTTAAAGTACAGATTTTTGGCCGGGCGCAGTAGCTCACGCCTGTAATCGCAGCACTTTGGGAGGCCGAGGCGGGTGGATCACGAGGTCAGGAGATCGAGACCATCCTGGCTAACACAATGAAACCCCGTCTCCACTAAAAATACAAAAAATTAGCCGGGCGTGGTGGCAGGTACCTGTAGTCCCAGCTACTCAGGAGGCTGAGGCAGGAGAATGGCGTGAACCCGGGAGGCGGAGTTTGCAGTGAGCCGAGATCGCACCACTGCACTCCAGCCTGGGTGATAGAGCGAGACTCCATCTCAAAAAAAAAAAACAAAAAAAAAAACAGATTTTTTAACTTTATTAAAGAGTTATGTGACCTGAATTTACTGTGGGGATACTATAGATGAAGGAATCTTAGGAGAACTTTATCGTATTTAATTACACAACGTTTTCATCTTTTTATGTGTGCTCCTCATGAATTATTTGTGTGCATTATTTTTAATGGCATTAGATTTTTTGTCTAATTACAATTGGAAGTCTGCCCTAGATTTTTTGTTTGTTTGTTTTTGTTTTGTTTTGTTTTGTTTTTGTAGCCCAGAGGTCCTTTATTTTTTTTTTTTTTTAACACCTATGCCATGAATTCATAGGGAATAGGTTCCAGCAGCTCAGGCTCCTTCCCATTGGTTCTCACAAAGTGTGCTGCTCTGGGTGGAGCAGGCTGGCGCTTTAGTTGAACCCAGGTACCTTTCTCTTTGGCTTCTTTCTTTTTCTGATCATTTTCCTTCACACGTTTCAGGAAGCTATCTCGGCTCTTAGAGTGCTTAATGTGCTCAATACGCACATTAATTCTCTTGGCAAGAATCTTGCCCTTAACTTGTTTGTTTACAACAATGCCAACAGCATGCTGGGTAACATTGTAGACTCTTCCAGTTTTGCCATGGTAACACTTGTGGGGCATTCCTTTTTGAACAGTACCCGTTCCCTTGATGTCTACAATATCACCTTTCTTATAGATTCGCATATACGTGGCCAAAGGAATAACTCCATGTTTTCTAAAAGGCCTAGAGAACATATATCGGGTGCCTCTCCTCTTTCCCTTTGTGTTCGTCATTTTGGCGAATTACTGGAAGATGGCGGTTCCAGCCGAAAGGCGATTTTCTTTTATTCTATTTTAAGACAGTTTCTCCCTTTTTTTAAGGTTGCTTTTTGTTTTTATTAATAATTACTATGCATCTTTCTTCCAAATTGATCAGAATTCAACCACTAGACTTTAAACTACTTCATTTAAGGACTGTGGCTTTTTCTTTCAATCTTTCCATGTATCATTTTGTAATCGCTTTCTTATTTGAATTGAGGAAGAGGAAATGTCTTTATTTGTTAGTGAAGGTACAGTTTTTCATAAATTAACATAATAATTGGTGAAAAGTTAATATTTTAAATTATAATCCACAATAACTAAGATATGTAAATTTAATCCATTAAGATTTATTTTTACTGAAATTGAAAGTGCTTTGTATGCCTTCTAAGACCAGGTGTTTATAATCATTTATCTATTTTTTTGTTGTTGTTGTTTGAGACAGTCTCGCTCTGTTGCCCAGGCTGGAGTGCAGTGGCACAATCTCGGCCCACTACAACCTCTGCCTCCTGGGTTCAAGTGATTCTCCTGCCTCAGACTCCCAAGTAGCTGGGACTACAGGCATGTGCCACCACGCCCAGCTAATTTTTTTTGTATTTTTAGTGGAGACGGGGTTTCACTGTGTTAGCCGGGATGGTCTTGATCTCCTGACCTCCTGATCCATCCAACTCGGCCTCCCAAAGTGCTGGGATTACAGGTGTGAGCCACTGCGCCTGGCTCATTTATCTTTTTTTAAGTATTTCTGCTGAGACCTTTAATTTTCTTTATATAATATTAGTGAATCCTGGGAACTGAAAATACAACAAGAATATTATGGTACCCATCTTGTACTTCCCCTGGCAGTTCTTATTTGCTGCTTCTGTTTGTCTGTGAGCTGGAAATTCAGTTAACCAAGCTTTAAAGGATGATTTCTGTATGTGAACTAAGTGGGTTCACCTGTGAATAAAGTGCATGGATTTATGGCATCTGCTTTGGTTACTCAGAGACTTACCTGCTTATGATAGTTTTTGGCTTGCTAGAACATTTGCAGGCAGTTGAGGTTCCCATACAAGGAATTTCTAGATAGGTGATGTGTTCCTTAATATTTCTTTTACAATGTATGTAATCAAAAGAAAAAAGGTAGCTAACATTATGGATCATATACTTGGCATTGTTGGTGAGCACATTCATATATGTATTATCTTTTTTTTTAATTTTTTTTTGAGCCACCATGCCCAGCCTAAATCTTTTAAATCCCTACTACAGCTAATATAATAAATATTGAATAAATTGTAGTTTATTTCCTTTTCCTTGCTAATAAAAGCGATGATGCTGAATACACTGTGTTGAAAATATTCTGTGCACTTTTTACTTTTTTTTTTGAGACGGAGTCTCGCTCTGTCGCCCAGGCTGGAGTGCAGTGGCACAATCTCGGCTCGTTGCAACCTCCACCTCCCAGGTTCAAGCAGTTCTCCTGCCTCAGCCTTCTAGTAGCTGAGATTACAGGCATACGCCACCACGCCTGGCAGATTTTTGTATTTTTAGAAGAGATGGGATTTCACCATATTGGTCAGGCTGGTCTCAAACTCCTGACCTTGTGATCCACCAGCCTCTACCTCCCAAAGTGCTGGGATTACAGGCGTGAGCCACCGTGCCCGGCCTGTGCACTTTTTAATGGTTCTCTCTAGGATTTTTCTCTTTAATTCTGTATTTGGAAGTTTAAAGACTTAAATACCATTATAAAGTAGTCTCCCCTTCCCCTCAAAAAAGTGAACCAATTCAAAGACTCTGGAAGCTAATTGTTTAAATTTCAAGGGGTGGAATAATAAGATAATAAGTTCTTCTTTTTACTCTATCCTAGCTGATGGTATTGCTGGCTCTGAGGTAGATAAAGAGGCCCAGACATAAACCAGTGAACATCAGCAGGAGCCTTTTTTTTTTCTATGAGGGTCAGTTTATGAAAGACTATTTTGTATGTGTTATTTTCTAATTCAAAATTAAAATAGCATTGATTTTCCCGAAAAATCACAATAGAGCTTGCTGACTTCAATATAATGATATGTGAGAAAATTGACACCTCTCTTGTAGGTATAATTTAATACAGGGGCATATTAAGAAATTACCACATCAAGCCCTGAATACTTATTAAGAAATTACCACATCAGGCTCCGGGTACTTACTAAGAAATTACCATATCAAGCCCCGGGTACTTTGGTTTGTGCCTATAGTTACAGCTACTCAGGACGCTGGGGCTGGAGTTTGAGTCCAGCCTGGATAACATAGTCTGCAAAAAAAAAAAAAAATTATCACATCTTAAACTATATCACAAAACCCAGGGATCAAAGAAACTATATGCTATTCATCTTACTAATGTACCACAGTTTATTTCCCAATTGTTGACCATTTGGGTTCTTTATCTTTTTATTTACTTCTATTTATTTTTTTAATTCCACATATTTGCTTATGTGTAGCCAGGACTCTTCTATGCACTAGGGATACAGTGATTAAACAAGATTGAAAAGGTTGCCACCCATCTATAACTTACAGTCTAGTGGGAGAGGACAGGCATGAAGCAAAAAGATAGCATATAAATATAAAGGAAGTTAATGGGGATGCATAGTGGGAATTATGTGATAGTGATGAGGAAACCACTTAGGAAGGAACAGGTAAGCTAGTCTGAAAGATGCAAAAGGCAGCTTAAGGGTAAGGAGTAGATAGGTAGTTGTCCAGGCAGAGTGAATAACAAATAGAAAGGCACTGAGACAGGAAGGCCTTCTTTTTCGTTGTTGTAACAAATAGAAGAGTGGTTGGTGTATAGGATATAGGTGTGGAGAATGGGGGAATAGCAGGAAAAAAAATGAAATTGAGAGGGTAAATCAAGCGACAAATCGGGTAAAACCTTAAAGTTCATGGTAGTATCTAGATTTGTTTCTTAAGTGCTTTATGTTTATTTAGCAAATAGCTATGAGTACCTAAAATGTGTGCTTGGTCATAGCAGCAAACAGAAAGATGGTTTCAACTCCCATGGAGTTTAAAATCTATCAGTGAAGTCAGAGTCTAGAGGCACTTCCATTAATTATCCCACTATTGATAATATTTCTATAAACATCTTAAAATCATTTTAAAGAATTAACAGTTTATTACCATTTCATATCCATTTTAAGATGTGTAATTTTCTGCTTTTAAATGTATCTTAGTCTTGCAAATGATAACATCTTATATTTGCTGTTGATCATGGCAATAGTCATGAGATACTTCTCATCACCTGTGCATCTGTGAACTCGGTTGTAATTCCTAGTGGCATGACTAGATAGTTGGCAACCTCTTGACATTTTAGTGAACAAACCATTTAAGGAGCATTCAAGGAAGGAATACGAGTCCTGGTTGGTTGAAAACAGGTTGTGATAAAGATACAGTCATAAGTCTTGTAGAATAGGTGTTAGTGGCTTGTAAGAAAACACTAGAGGCTATATTAGAGCAACTTTTAAACAAATGCTGGGTCATTTATACTCCTGATGACACACAGAGTGATATTGTATAGAAATATACATTAACAACTGGATTAAGTGATTCAGAAGAGTTGGATTCTGAATGTGAAGAAATTTTAGAAATAACTACTTAATCTGGTTTATTTTCCTTTTCTCTGTGAAAGATATAAATATATAAACAATAGAAGAGCTCTTTCAATAAATATAAAAATTCTAAGTGATAAGGCATTGTGACCATTTAGCATTTTTTTCTGAGTAATACAAAAATTAGAGTTAATAACTCAACACTTTATCACTTTTTTCACCTATCTTACCTATCAACAGGGTTGGGGAGGTTGTAAGGTAGGGCAGGGGAGTTGAAATATCAAAAATAATTGATTTTTTTTTAATTTGAGACAGAGTCTTGCTCTGTCATCCAGTTTGGAGTGCAGTGGCACGATCTCAGCTCACTGCAACCTCCGCCTCCCGGGTTCAAGCAGTTCTCCGGCCTCAGCCTCCTGAGTAGCTAGGATTACAGGCGTGCACCACCATGCCTGGCTAATTTTTGTATTTTTAGTAGAGACAGGGTTTCACCGTGTTGGTCAGGCTGGTCTTGAACTCCTGACCTAGTGATCTGCCTGCCTTGGCCTCCCGAAGAATAATTGATCTTTTAACTACAAAAAAAAAAAATTAGCTCCTCTTTGGCAGAAATAAGCTTTTATTCAAGATAGCTTTCTGGGTATTACAGATTTGCTTAATTCTAGATGTAGTTGAAGACCTAACTTATGCTGATTCCTACATTTCAAGCTTTCTTCAGGAGGATGGTGACAGGATTAAGAAGGTGACCAAAAAAATCTATTATATATATGGGATTATTTGCCAAGTGGAGAGTTCATTTTGGAGATTTTATTGGTAGAAAGTTTGGTTTTTAGACATAAAAAAATCTTAAAAGTGTACCTTTTAATAATTTAGAAACACCCACTTTGAGTTTTGATTAATTTGATTAATTTTGATTAATTTATATCAAAACTCAAAGTGCATATTTCTAATTATTTTACATTTTACAATTTAAAGATATAGTATTGTATTTGTGTAATTCATAGATTTTGTATCTTTTTCATTTTATTTTCTTGTGTTATTTATAAACATCTTTCATATCAAGTTGAATGTTCTCTATTTTATTTATTTTTATTATACTTTAAGTTCTGGGATATATGTGCAGAACATGCAAGTTTGTTACATAGGTATACATGTGCCATGGTGGTTTGCTGCACCCATCAACCCGTCATCTACATTAGGTATTTCTCGTAATGCTATCCCTCCCCTAGCCCCCCACCCTTGAATGTTCTCTTTTTTTGTAAGCTTTTGTGAATCTTGATTTGTAAATTTGGCTTGAGAACAATTTTCCACGTATTTTGCAATTACTTAGCCATAGATAAACAAGATTTATCCCATAGCATCAAATAGATCTTTTCACTTTACTTCCCTGTTAATCTGTTTATTTGTAGCAATTCTCATTTGAAAAATGAGCTTCTACTTAACTGTTTCTACATTTTACATTTCAAAACAGGCTTGAACTCTTAAGATGCAGTTTACATTTTTAAAACAAAAAAAAGACACTGCGTATATTATCAATTATGTATTTTCTTTCTAGGATAAAATGCAGGTTGATCAAGAAGAAGGGCATCAAAAATGTCATGCTGAACACACTCCAGAAGAGGAAATTGATCATACAGGAGCCAAAACAAAGGTTTGGTTTACTTTTTCTGTAGTTATGTCTTTTTGAAATTGATATTTTGAATTATTGTATTTAATGCTTTCTTTTAACGCACTTGATATTTTTGATCTTAGAATTGTGAGAGAATATAGAAAGCTGATAGCCAGAATAAATATACTTTAATGATTTATTAAGAGTTGTGTTTTTTAAAAAGGAACCCTAACAACATGAGCAAAATTACCTTTTTTGGTAGGAAAAAAGATACATTTTTCATTAACTTTTTTTTTCATCTCATGAGAACACACGGACACATAGAGGGGAACAACAAACATTGACGCTTACTGGAAGGTGGAGGGTGGAGGAGGGAGGGAGATGATCCCTCCCCTTAATGGGTACTAGGCTTAATACCTGGGTGATGAAATAATCTGTACAACAGACCCCTGTGACATGAGTGTACCTATATAACCTGCACATGTGCCCTTGAACTTAAAAGTTTAAAAAAAAAAAAAGGAAATTTTATCAAAGAACCCAACAATAAAATTGCCTGAATTCTTTACCTTATTTCCTTAATTCATTATTTCTCATGTTTCACCAATAACTGCATTGTATTTCTAAAGTATGAATACATAAGTTAAAATCTTAACTTTAAGTGAAAAAAATCATTTCAGAAAAATATGAGATGGAACAAGCTATATGAGGAAAACATGTTAGCTGTACTCTATATCTCAGAATTAACCACTCTAATTATTTTGTTGCATATCATAAAATATTTTTCTATGTGTAAAAATTAATACTTTCAAAAATAAAATGTTAAAGGATAAATGATTTATTGAGAGTAATTATTTTTCTAAGATAGTGATTGCCAATAAGACAGAAGGGAGAGGCCCTGCCCCAGTCACCCAGATGAATGTGGTTATAACTCTTAAAGCTATCATCTTCAACAGATTTTTCTAACCTGCATAGATTAAATTCTATGCAGGTTAGCCAAATAGATTCATTTCTCAGAGATTGTAAAGATTTAGTTTTAAATTGTAGATTCTAAAGTTATTTAAAACCTGGAAACTTTTTTTCTGACTTTTTCAAAATTTTAATTGTTGAACAGCTTTATTGAGATATAGTTTACATGTCATTCAAATCATCCAATTAGTTGTACAGTTTTTAGTATATTCAGTTGTGCAACCATCATCACAATTTTAGAATATTTTCATCATCCCAAAGAGAAGCCTTGTTATCTATTAGCGGTGACTTCCCATTTCCCTTCAGCCCTCTCCCTGCCAGCCACAGGGAACAGGCAATAGATTTGCCTATTGTGAACATTTCATATACGTACAGTTATACAGTATGTACTTATTTGTGACTGGCTTTCACCAAACATAATGTTTTCAAGGTTCATCCAGGTTGTAGAATATATCAGTATTCCTTTTTATGGCCGAATAATACGGCATTGTATGAATACATACCACATTTTATTTATCCATCTATCAGTTGATAGACATTTGGGTTATTTTCACTTTTTTACTCTTATGATTGTTATGAACAATCATGTATAAGTTTTGCGGGGGTGTGTATTTTCATTTTTCTTGGGCATATACCTAGGAATGGAATTGCTGGGTCATAATTGTTTAACATTTTTGTTAACATTGTTTTGTTAAGATTGTCATCTTGAACATTTTGAGGAACTTCCCAACTGTTTTCCAGAATGGCTGCAACATTTTACAATCCTGCAAACAATGTATGAGGGGTTGCAGTTTCCCCACATCCTCAACTAACACTTATTATTTTATATTTTTTAATTGTAGCCACTGTAATGGGTGAGAAGTAGCTACTCGTCTTACTTTTGCTTTTCATTTCCAACCCAATATTTTTAATATAGAAACTAGGATTTAACATACACAGACTACAAAATAACATCAGTCTTAAGGTAGTACTTTAAAATAAATATAACAGATCATAATCGTTTTGATTTTACTTTCTGTTTTACCTCTTAAATCTATTTTTAAGCTAATTTTAGAAATTTATACTTCTCTTTCGGATTTGCAGTCAGCTGTCTCAGACAAACAAGACCGATTAAATCAGACACTTAAAAAAGGAAAAGTCAAAAGTATTGATCTACCGATCCAGAGTAGCCTATGTAGACAACTAGGCCAAGATCTTCTCAACAGCTACATTGAAAATGAGGTATGTAAATCTGAGTTGATGCTGAAATAGGTGGTAGTTTATTCTGAAATTTTGTAGAAGTCAATGATTATCTCCAAAATTTAGGGCACTAGTTTATAACTCCTAAGGAATTATATTAAGTAGATTACTAAACTATTTTTTACAAAATACTGAGCTGTTTTAATGCCATATGTACTGTGTAGCTATCATCTTAGTTGTGTGAAAAACATGTATTGCCTCCTCTATAGAGAAAGACTTTTCTGAAATTGATTCTTCCTTTTATTCTGTCTTTAACAATGACACCCAGCAGACCACATATGGGGAAATATTAGCTGCTCCCCTCTTCTCCTGTGTTGTCCTTAAAGATTATATCTCTGTTCAAAATGTTTTCTGACATCCATTAAATATTTTTTTAAAAAATCTTTGTCATTCTTGACATTTTCTTACATGTTCTTTTCTATTTACATGTTTAAGTTACAGTCTCTAGAGGAAACGAGTTTTGTTTCTTTACCAGTATCTGTTTAAGAAGTAATTTATATTTTATAAGTTTACATTTAAGTGGTAGTTCCTAATTTTTACAAGCTCAGCTGGCATTAAAAGGTCAGTCTTCTGACTTTACAATGCTTGCTTTTGTAGTACCTACCTATATCATCTATTCATTAATAATTGTTAAAGGCTGCATTTTATGTGAAGCAAGCATTCCTGGAGATCCTGAATAATTTGGAATTTGTGTGTCTTGAGAAAAATTTTCCCAAAGGAATGAATTGTAGGGAAGCACAGTTTTGGGAAATTTTGTATATAAAATGAGATTTTCTTAACTTTTGAATGTCTCATTATTTTCACTTCACAAATGTGAATGCATTGTAATTTATAAAGGGATTCTTAACGTTTACATGTGTTTTTATTAAAGTGAAAATTTTGCTCAAGTATTATAATCTTCAGGTTATTTCTTTGCTTTTGTTCATCATAAACTAACATCTATAAATACTTTTTATTTTTACCCTCAAACCTATGAAGTGTAGGTTCTGTTAGAGAACTACATTTCACAGGTGAGGAAACTGAGACACAAGTAGACTAAATTACCCAGGATCAGAGAATACCCTTTGGATTTGGATCCAGGTGATTGTTCTCCAAAGCTCAGTATCACAACCACTATACCATATCCACCCCCGCAAGGCTTTTATTCATTACCAGTTATGTGTCAAACATGGAACTAAATATTTTACATGAATTATCTCAACCTTATTAGCAGCCCTATGAGTTAGATGGAATTATGCTCTCTGTTTAGGATAAGAAAACTTATGTTTAGATGATTTTCCTGCTATCTCAAGATAGTAAATAGGGAACCTAGGATTTTAATCTGAGTATGTAGAATGACATAGGCTATGTTTTCTTTTGTTTTTTAACAGCTTTATTGAGATAAATTTACATATCATAATTAACCCATTTAAAGTATCCAGTGGTTTTCGGTATACTACGTTAATTTTTTTACATGAAATTTGCTATTATAACCATTTTTAAGTGTATAATTCAATGGCTTTAATTACATTCACCATACTGTGCATCCATCACCACTGTCTATTTTCAAAACAATTCCATCACCCCAAACGTTAACTCTATAATAACTTATTTTCCTCCCTTCTCCCAGTTCCCTACTTTCTGTCTTTGCGAACTGCCTAGTTATCAATAGATAAGAATCATGTTAAGTGGGATTATACAATGCTTGTCCTTTTGTGTCTGGCTTATTTTACTTGGCATAATGACTTCAAGATTCCTTGTTTCAGCACGTATCATAACTTCATTTCTTCTTAAAATGAAGTAAAATACTACATTGTGTTTATATACTTTTTTTATTTGTTCATCTTTTAGTGCACATTTGGGTTGTTTCTACTTTTTGGCTATTGTGAATAATGCTGCAGTGAACACTGACATACAAATATCTGTTCAAGTCTCTGCTTTCAATTTTTTGTGGGTGTATCTAGGAGTGAAATTGAAATTCTGTGCTTAGCATTTTGAGGGACAGCCAAAACGTTTTCCATGGTGGCTGCAGCATTTTACATTCCTCTCAGCAATGTACAAGGGTTTCACTTTCTCCACATCCTCATGAATACTTATTTTTTGTATTGTAATCATCCTAGTGAGTGTGAAGTGGTATCTTGTGGTTTTGATTTCTATTTCCCTAATGCATATTCTTATGGCAACTAATCTGAAGCTTTTTGAATAGGGGAAGATGATCATGCAAGATAAGTTAGAGAAAGAAAGAAATGATGCTAAGAATGCCGTTGAAGAATATGTATATGATTTTAGAGACAGGCTGGGCACTGTCTATGAAAAATTCATCACTCCAGAAGTAAGTCTAAATTCTGTTAATTTTTTGTGAGGACTATTTAAAGGTTTACTCGAGAATGCTAGTACAAATTACATAAATAAATGTACCAAATGTTGTTATTGTTGCCAATCTTGGGCCCATATGGGGAAGGTTCTTATTTTTACAAGTTGCAGAAGTATGGTGAAAAACATATTTTTGAATAAGAAGTTAGAAAATTTTGAAATTTAATATTTTATACTTGAAAAACATTCTGTCCTTCCATGATTTTTAATTTTTTTTTTATTTATTTATTTGAGACAGCATCTAGCTCTGTCGCCCAGGCTGGAGTGCAGTGGCACGATTTCAGCTCACTGCAACTTCTACTTCCCGGGCTCAAGCAGTCCTCTCACCTCACCCTCATAAGTAGATGGGAATACAGGCACATGCCATCATGCCTGGCTAATTTTTTAATTTGTTGTAGAAATATGATTTTGCCATATTGCCCAGGCTGGTCTCTTAGTTCTGGGCTCAAGCGATCCTCCCACCTTGGCCTTTCAAAGTGTTGGGATTACAGGCATGAGGCACTGCACTGCACTGAGCCCAATGATGACTTTTATTTCTAAGGAAAGTATTTTTAATTAGTGTCTCTCAAATATATTACTAGGACTTGAGTAAACTGTCTGCAGTATTGGAAGACACAGAAAATTGGCTTTATGAAGACGGAGAGGACCAACCTAAACAAGTTTATGTGGATAAGCTTCAAGAACTAAAGGTACATTTTTTTAAAGTCCATGTTAGTATAAACCAGTAACTTTTTCTAAAAATTAGGGTGTAAGAGCACAGTTTATGTTCTATTAATTTTTAATTTTTTAATTGAGAGGAAAATTGTATATATTTGTGGTGTACGACATGTTTTGATTATGCACACATTGTGGAATGGCTAAGTCAAACTATTTAACAAATGCATTACCTCACATACATTTCTTTCTTTGGGGGGGAGAACACTTAAAATCTACTCTCTCAACCAATTTTCAAATATACAGTATATTGTTAAGTATATATGGTAACTGTGGTTACCATGATGTACAATAGATCTCTTGGACTTACTCCTCTTGTCTAATTCAAATGTTGTGTCCTTTGACCAGTAGCTCTCCATCATACCATCCCCTGATAACCACCAATTCTACTATCTGATTCTAAGAGCTTACCTTTTTTAGATTCAACCTTTGAGATCATGCAGTATTTGTCTTTTTGTGCCTGGCTTATTTCACTTAGCATAATGTCCTCCAGGTTCATCTAAGTTGTCTCAAATGACAGGATTTACTTCTTTTTAAGGCTGAATAGTATTCCGTTGTATATGCATACCACGTTTTCTTTATCCATCATTTCACTGATGGACACTTAGATTGAGTCTCTATTTTGGCTATTGTGAATAATGCTGCAGTGAACATGGAGTTTAGATATCTCTTTGGCATAGTGATTTTATTTTCTTTGGATAGATACACAGTAGTGAGATTGCTGGATCTGTATGTTTTTAGTAAGTATGTGAAAAATTACTAAATCAGAAATGTATAAGAGGAAATGTTCTAATTTTAAAAGCATTTTGAGAAGCCAGCAATGCTATATAATTGAAATCAGATATTGTATAGTCATAATGTTGAAATATAAATGTTTATAGATGATCAGAGTGTTACTTTTGCACAAGCTATATATTACTGGCATGTCTTTAAGAAGTGATAAGTATATCATCTTGACCATTAAAGGAGTCACCCTCTTCTCCTGCTCCTCTGACTGTTAACTGTCTGATGTTAGGGAGTAATACCACACTGGTCTGTTGTATTTTCAGTGTCACTGCTCTTGAATTTTAACGTCCTTTCACAAATCAAGAGACTTGGCCACAAAATCTCCTTTTTTAGGTCAGTGGTGTTATTTTAGGGAAAGACCTTCCATACTTGCTACCAAATCTGGAAAAAGTACCTTAAAAGATTAAAAGTTTATATTGGGCTGGGCGCAGTGGCTCACGCCTCTAATCCCGGCACTTTGGGAGGCCGAGGCGGGCGGATCACAAAGTCAGGAGATTGAGACCATCCTGGCTAACATGGTGAAACCCTGTCTCTACTAAAAAAAAATACAAAAAATTAGCTGAGCGTGGTGGCGGGCACCTGTAGTCCCAGCTACTCTGGAGGCTGAGGCAGGAGAATGGCGTGAACCCAGGAGGTGGAACTTGCAGTGAGCTGAGATTGCGCCACTGCACTCCAGCCTGGGCGACAGAATGAGACTCCATCTCAAAAAAAAAAAAACACGTTTATATTGGAAGGATGAAGGAAATTTTCAGTCATTCCTTCTTAGTATGGATCATAGCAGTTCTTTAATGTGCATATGAATTACCTGGGTGCTTATTGAAATGGAAATTTTGATTCAGTAGATACAAGGTGGGCCCACTTTTAACAAACTTCCAAGTGATGCTGATGATGCTGGTCCCTGAACTATTCTTTGAGTAGCAAGGGATTATATAGATGCTAAATGATGACATTAACAAGGATTTTTAGAATATGGGGAAAGATGGCCCTTTACAACTTGGGACAGGCATGAGGTGGGGGAAGGTGTGCAAAAGAAGTTACTCAACTTAAAAGTAAAAGAAGTTAATACTGTGCAAAAAATTACCTTCATGCCAACAAATACTTCCAAAGGAAATAATTAGAAAACCTAAGTTTATGATAGCAAAACTAGGCTTTACCATGTCTTCTTGGTAGTTTTTAATCCCTGTCTCCCTAAAAGAAACACAAGCCAGCCAGGTGCAGTAGCTCATACCTGTAATCCCAGTGGCCCAAAGTGGCAGAGGCAGGTGTATCACCTGAGGTCAGGAGTTCCAGACCAGCCTGGCTAACATGGTGAAATCCCATTTCTACTAAAATTACAAAAAATTAGCCGGGCATGGTGGCACGCACCTGTAATCCCAGCTACTCAGGAGACTGAGGCAGGAGAATCGCTTGAACCCAGGAGGTGGAGGTTGCAGTGAGTTGAGATTGCGTCATTGCACTCCAGCTTGGGCAACAAGAGCAAAACTCCATCTCAAAAAAAAAAAAAAAAAAGAAAAAAGAAACATAAGCCAAGCAGCTGAGGCCAGTAGAAATAACTGGAAATCCCAGCAGTTCCTATTATGGATTCTTCTGCTTCAAATATGTAAGTAGCCATAGAAATGAATGTTAGAGAAGTTTTCACAAGTTTTACTTTTTCTGTTTTTGAGATGGCATTTAAAAATTTAAAATGGTGGCTAGGAGCAGTGAATCACACCTGTAATGTTGGCACTTTGAGTGGCCAAGGCAGGAGAATCACTTGAAGCCAGGAGTTCAAGACCAGCCTTGAGCAACAAAGCAAGACCCCATCTCTACAAAAAAATAAATTAGCCAGGCACAGTGGTATGTGCCTGTAGTTCCAGGTTGGGAGGCTGAGGCAGAAGGATCACTTGAGCCCAGGAATTTGAGGCTGCAGTAAGCTGTCGCCATTGCACTCCAGCCTAGGTGACAGAGCAAGACCCTGTCCCAATGGAAAAAAAAAATGCAGTACTTGCTTCCCTTTCAAAAACATTTAAACTATAAAAAGTATGACGTGAATAGACCAAATGTAGTAATGGTATCCTGGAACAGATGATAATGAACTCTGAATAAAGACTGTAGTCCAGTTAATAGTAATGCTCCAGTGGTAGTTTCTTAGTTTTGACAAATGTACCCTAAGATGCTAACATTAGAGAAAAGCATAGAGAAGCGTCTGGTGCTTGCTCTCTGTATAATTTCCTTTTAACTTTTCTGTAAATCTAAAACTGTTCTAAAATAAGCCGATTTTTATTTAAGTATATAAAGAATTTAAAAGAAAATATTTTATCCTTCTAATGTGCTCCCCTTCCCAAAACTACAGAGTCTGTTTTAACATTTAGAAACTCCTTAATCCAAGACATGTAGGGGAAAAACCTACATATACTACAGTACACATTTTACTGATTAAATGTATAAATAATATTTAGTTGATAATAATTATCAGTCCCAGTAATTATGTTGTACATAGAGGGTTATATTATGATTTTGAGTATTTGATACCAAGTTTCAAATCTACAAATTCTGCATGCAGTATAGTTTTTACAGTTTTCTTATTTTAATAGTTCTATAAAGTTTTAACACCCAGCTTTTAAGGAATTAAAGTTTTGATTGAGACATTGGATTTGAGAAGCTAAGAAGTAATCTTAATGAGTGAGAAAAAGATAAGGTGTGTGGAAGGCATCCTTGTGTAGGATTGAGGAAGTAGCTACTGTAACTTGCTTCCATACAGGAAAATAAGAGGGGATATATTTTTATCTGTCCATCTTTTCTTCCTATTTATCATCCTATAAGGGCCCTATAAAAGTTTTCTGTTAAAACTCAAAAATTTTTCTTCTTTAAAAATTTCTTATGTTAACAGAAATACGGCCAGCCTATTCAAATGAAGTACATGGAGCATGAAGAGAGACCAAAAGCCTTAAATGACTTGGGAAAAAAGATCCAACTTGTCATGAAAGTGATAGAAGCTTATAGAAACAAGGTATTGAATTCATAAAGCCAATTGGTGACGATGGCATGTGCATGGTACATAGAATGGGGCAAATCTAAAAGTTCTCAGCTACAAAGCTATAGCAGTTGTATCTATCAAATTCCAGAGACTTTGTGTACCAAACTTAAAACTTTTTTTTTTATTGGAGAATTTCACTTAAGGATTCTGATACATTTGAAATACAGTAAAGGTATGTAGCTTTCATCTTTTAGAATTTCCTGAAACTACATTATAAAATAACCCAGTGACCAAATCCATTGTTTTCTTCCTAGAGATTTCATTTTTATGTTTTTCATATAGTGAAAAAGAGGACCTCTTTGACTTTTTTTAAATTATGGGCCTCTTTGAGACTGGACTCTGCTAGCCTTTATTTTGTTTCTTGGCTTATTTTTCTTTTAGTTGCTTTTTGTCCTCCAGTCCATTAGTCATCCATAATCTCCTGTACGCTTTATTCTTTTATGTACATATTCAAATCTATATAACCTTAATCTTTCCACTGTCAAATATGTAGTTATACAGATGATACTTCCATTTAGATATAACCGTAAAATTTGAGAAAATTAAGCTTATTGTTTTGTTTCCTCTAAATCAGTAGTTATCAGACTTTTTTTAAGACAAACAATATTTTAGGCTTTGTAGTTTTTACTGTGTCTGTACAGCTATTCTTATCTGCCACTGTAGCACAAAAGTACCATAGACAATACACAAACTAATGGACATGGCTGTGTTCCCAAAAACTTTATTTAAAAAATCATAAGCAGTGGCTGGATTTAGCCGATGGGACAAGTTTTTTAATCCCTACTCTAAGTAAATATTCTCTGTAATCCCTAGTTTTTGTCATTGATGTTAAACATGCATTAGTAGGAAGAAGAGACCAGCACCAGAAATATTCAAGCATGTCAAAATAGCTTACATTTATTGTGCACATCATGAATTTTAAGTACTTTATGTGGATTATCTCACCAGGATATATCCTATACAAAGTTAATGCTATTATCTTTATTTTACAATTAAGAAAACGGAAATACTTAAGCAACTTATTGAGGTTTACCCAAGTAGTTAATGATGGAATCAACATTCAAACCTAACCAGTCTGACATCAATATACAAATTCCCAGCAACTATACTGCTTTCCACTACACAAAATTGAGAAGAATTACTTATTTTAGAAATAAGAGATTTTTTAGTTTTGTGAAACAAAAACTGCAGTTCAGAAAACCTAAAGGAAAAATTCAGATATTGATTGTAAATATGCCTGCTAATATCAGTGTTCAAATTGTTCTTATAGGCACAGATAGAATGTTGTAAGGATAATGAAAAAGTAAGAAGGAAGAAACAACCCAATGAAAACACCAAGAATATTTTAAATCTGGTATAATTACTAGTGTCACAGTGCTCCCCAGGCTTTAGCTATCTTCTTCAATATGCACATTTAAGATATTATCCCACACAAGGCAAGACTTCACTTTTGCTCAAACATTTGAGTTTTTATTATGTGCTAGGCTATTTTCTAGATGACTGAACTATATTGTCAAACAAAACATTGAACTTGTTTTTAATATGCTTCAATAGTGAAAGGTGGACAATAAATTACTGTAAGTTATGTCAGATAGTAATAAAAAGCTGCAGAAAAAGTAAAGGACTGCCAGGGTTGGAAGAGGTTTGTCAGAAAGGTGTACTAATAAGGTGATACACATGTTAGGAGAGAAATGAAGAAGTGAAAACTCAAAGATGTGTGATAACTGGAAGAGAAATGCTCTAGACAAAGAATAGCAGTTGCAAAACACCAAGGGGAGAACATGTTAGAGGAACAGCAAGGTCACTGTGGTTGAAAATAGGGGTAAGTGTAGCAGTTGAGAGATCATAAATGGGTCTAGTTGGCCCTTGTAAAAGTTTGGGTTTTACTCTGAGATAGGAAGCTGTTGGAGGTTTTTGAGCACAGGAGTAATAACATTTGGCTTTTTTTTTTAAGGATCTGGAGGCAGAGAGATGGAATAAGACATTATTAGAATAATACAGCAAGAAATGATGGAGGCTTGAACCCAGATGGTAGGGTTGGGGAGCCAAGAATTGGTTAGATTTTTGCATTTATTTTGAAGGTAGACGCTTTTAAGATTTCCTGATAGATTTGATGTAAATCTATCACAAAGAAGCTGAAAATTACTCCAAGGATTTTGACCCGAAAGAATGAAGTTTCCATTTGCTGAGATGAGGAAAACTGGGAAGAGTAGGTGGGGACATAATCAGGTGTTTGAAACATAAGCATTTCAAACTTTACAAATAGAAACTCAAAGTTGGATATAGAGTTGAGAGTTAAGGGAAGAGGTTCAGGCTAGAGATTTTTTTTTTTTTAAAGCATATGGGTAGAGAGATGAATGAGGATGAACTGGCAAAAGAAACTTAAAAAGTGATCCATGACATAGGAAGAAATTCAAGAAAATGTGGCGACCTAGAAACTGAGTCAGATGATTGATGCATAATTTGTAATAAAAGCAGAAGGAGGATTTGGGTATCCGAGGAAGCTTTATGGGTTTTCCATTTGTTTGTTTGGGGTTTTTTTTCTTCATATATATAGCTTTATGGTTTTAAAAATGGCATCACCATCCTCCCACTTCTTTGACTTTGGAGTGTTCTTACATTCTCTTTCCCTTTATCTTCTGTGTCCAAACTAATCCATCAGGAGATTCTCTTTCTATATGTTCATTGCCATTTCTTTGTGATTCTGTCACTACTAATCTAAACCATGACTACTTGGTTGTGTATTACATGTGACAGCTGCAGTTTCTCTTCTTCAGAAAGAATTTTGTCATTTTTCTAATCAAGAATTTAATATGCTTTTCTGTTATATATTCATAATTTTGTGTCTAGTTTGCTATATGCCTTGTTCACCTTATTTCTCCTTTACAAATTCCATTTCCTTGCAACTTCTTCCTTGGCTAAGTGCTTTCTCCATGAGTATTCCTTAGTAGTCATTCTTTCCCAAACCTGATTTCTTCAGAGAGCCTTTCCTTTTTAAACTCACACTGATCTTATCTTTTATCCCATTCTCTTCAGTTCTGTGTTATTCGTATGGGGTTTCTTCAGATGAGTACATTTGAGATATACAGTCAATAAGAGTCTAAATTTTTAAAGTAGAAATTACTAATAAACTGGTGCTAGCTGAAAAATCATTAACATGCAGTCAAGCTTTTTTTTTTTAAATAGGATGAAAGATATGATCATCTGGATCCTACTGAAATGGAAAAGGTTGAAAAATGTATCAGTGATGCCATGAGTTGGCTGAATAGTAAGATGAATGCACAGAACAAACTAAGTCTCACTCAAGATCCTGTGGTAAAAGTTTCAGAAATAGTAGCAAAGTCAAAGGTAAGAAGTTTATGAAATTGCCTTTTTAATGGTTTCAAGTATTAAAATTTTTAATGAGAGTCATACTTTGGCAAATAATCAACTTGCAGAAGAACTTAGAACAGAAATTTAAGACTAATTTTTTATTTAGTTAAAAAATTTTAAGATTTTAGGTATGGGGTATCCCTTGATTTAATTTTTCATATACCAGGCTGGTTTTTAAACTTCAAGAGTAATACAGAATGAAATAAAAGCAATGTGACAACTTTCTGATTAAGTATTTCAGACTTATAGGTTGGATGAAACCTCTAAGTCTTCATTACAAAATTTTTCAGTATAAGTCTGTCTTTGACCTAGTTTGAAGCGTATAAACTTCCATGGTAAAATCTTATTCCGAGATAAACTTTTCAATTTAAAAAACACTGCTAATGAAAATGTTGGCCAGGCGTGGTGGCTCACGTCTGTAATCCCAGCACTTTGGGGGGGTTGAGACAGGCGGACTGCTTGAACCCAGGAGTTCGAGACCAGCATAAACAACATGGTGAAACCCCATCTCTACAAAAAATACAAAAATTAGCTGGGCGTGGTAGTGCATATCTGTAGTCCCAGCTACTCAGGAGGCTGAGGCAGGAGGCTCCCTTGAGCCCAGGAATTTGAGGCAGTAGTGAGCTACAGTCATGCCACTGCACGCCAGCTGGGTGACAGAGCAAGACCTTGTCTATTAAAAAAAAAAAAAAAAAAAAAAGGAAGCAATCTAAATATCTGTCAATAGGAAACTAGATCAATAAGTTGATGCATCCATACAACACTATGCAGCCATTAAATATAGCATTTTACATATAGAGATATCTGTTTAAAGATGTATACAGTGTATTGGTAAGTTAAATTACAGAACCTAAATGTATTCATTTGTACAAATACGTGTGCTCATAGATTTGTTTATATGTATGTGTATGCCTGAACATACATCTAGAAGGATATCCACCAAAAGGTTAATATTATTAATTTGTAGGAGATGGAATTTCAGGGGATTTTTAAAATAACATTCAGTATGTTTTGGGATATGTGATTTTTTTTCTTTTTTTTTAACAAAAGCTGGTATTTTTTATAATGAAGTAAGTAATAACAATATTTTTATTCTAACAAAGTTTTGCCAATAAGCTATAATATATATTTTACTCCTAATGAGATGAGATGAGATGTGGAGTGTGACAAGAGCAGTTTGCAACTAAAACATTCCCCTTAAGATGTTAATCCCTATATTTCCGTGGCTACCCCGATCTTTGTGACATTGATCTTCAAAGGTTTTTAAATTTGAGTAGTGTTTGTATAGTGGTCTTCTATTTGTTTGTAAAAAGCAAGGAAATTGAAGAGCATTGTTTCATTTAAATTATTAAGTTCCAATTTACTTTCACGGCACTTTTTCCTTCAGGAGAGGCTACTCAGCTATTTTCAAACAAAAAAAAATGTCGTTTGTGTATGTATTTGTATGATTCCATTTATTAGAATTGTTTTCATATAAATGTTGAAAATTTTCAGTTTATGAAATAGGTGTTATTTGATGTAATTCTCATAGCAAAGCATTACACGTAATTTAAAGGAAGAATTAAAAATTATTCCTGCCAAAGTAAACTGTATTTGATTATAAAGAAACAAGTTTTAGAAAGGTTAAGTACAAAAAATAATTGTTTAAGATTCAATAATTTTTGACTGCCACAGACATATACTAACAAACAAGGTAAATCTCTCATGAGGCATTTGAAGAAAACAGTTGGCTATCTAGCTGAGCAAATTCAGAAAGGGGGAATTATGTGAAAATTTAGAAAGTTAATGTGGAATTTAGAAAGTTAATGGTAACTTGTTCTGTAATCGTTTTAATATAATCAATTTCTTCATGTCTTTAGGAACTGGATAATTTCTGTAACCCCATCATTTACAAGCCCAAACCAAAAGCAGAAGTTCCTGAAGACAAACCAAAAGCTAATAGTGAACACAATGGCCCAATGGATGGACAGAGTGGAACTGAAACTAAATCAGATTCAACAAAAGACAGCTCACAGCATACTAAATCCTCTGGAGAGATGGAAGTGGACTAAGTCTTAATTTTACCTTCACATTAATTCAAACCGTGCAAGTAACCACGGGGTCCATCTTTTACATCTGGTACACACAACAGACGCTCAGTTGTTCTTAACCACTTTTGTCATTTGTTTTTTGGAGTAGTTTTGAAAAGTGTTTTATATTGAGTGCACTTCTGTTCATTTCCATTGCTGCTTATATGCAGTGTTAGCCGAATTAGATTTACAAGACAATCTAAGCTTTCCGGATAATTTTATATATCAAACATACAGGATGGATACATAGTTGGCAACAGTCTACCTTATTTAAAGCTTCTACTGGGATAAACCTCAATTCCTTTATTCAGGAAAGGATACTTTATTGCATTATTGTTGCAGAAGCATAGATTTAATTGCATCTTTATTTTGAAAAACAAATGAAAATTGATGGGGTTTAAAGCTACAGAGGCACTGACCTTTTTCTAGTTATTGTATTGCTACAATTTAAATATTAAAACAAATAAGAGCTTTCTCAACAAATTAGTCCATCTCATTGATGTACCACAGAAATCCAAAGCTTTGCTGTCATCACATAAATGAATTAAATCACATGTGAAAGGGAACACACCCAATTTTATGTTAAGGTGAAACCAGCAGTTTGCTTCTTTTATTAGTAATGTGGATTGATGTTTTCTCAGAGTAACTCGTTGTCTTTTCGCTTGAAATTTTTGATCTTGTCCTGAAGACTAGCTGCTGCTAAAACAATGCTAGCCTAAAGATACAGGAGTCTCTGACAAAATGACTTTCATGTTAAGGGGAAATGCTGTTTATCTACTCAGACATGCATCTGTGATGTTCATAGCCTTGTTTCAGTTATAATAGTTGTCTTGTTTTTTTCTTAATTGATTTTGTTAATAATACCTTAACACAGGGTAGGAAGAAGTGGCACAGTGTATTGCATTATATACATTTATCATTGATTTACCTAATGTTACCTTGTAGATTAAACACTATTAAGTGGTAATACTTGAAAAGGAGCACTTATACCATAAGTCTTAGGAAATAATGTTTGTAATAAACTTAACTATGTTACATATCAACAGGCAAAAATATAGAATGTTACATAGTGTTGTGTGATTAAATTATAGTTCCTGCTGTTAACATTACCTTTTGAAACCTTGGCTCCAGTTTTGGTGCTTCTTATACAAATTAAATGCGAAAAGGGACTGTAAACTTAAGATGTATTTTAAGGACTTTATCTGTGCTTCATCACCCAACTTGTTCACATTGTTAATTTCTGTCCAGAGACCTGAAACTGCTTAAGTATGGGAACAGACTGAAATGGTGTTTCAACCTGCAAGAGACAGAAGCATAGACAAGTATATGAGCCCTTATGTCCTTAATGCCAATCAACTAGATTGACCTAGGTTAAAATTTCAAAAGGCTCATTTTCTCCCAAAGCTAAATCTTTATATTAGGAACAATTAAATATTGACTTAAGTTGTAAAAATTGAGAGTACAATATCTTTAGGGATAGTCATTATTTCTCACAACTAGTTCTCTACGAGAGATTTTGTTTCTACAATGTAGTCAGCACTTAATGGAGAGTATGGAGTAGTGCATTTTGCAGGGATTTTTATTCCGTCTTTTGAGGGGAAGAATCTCTTTTTTGCATTAAAAAATCATATAAACTTAATATATTTTTAAACTCTCCTAGTCTTTAAACTTTCTCTTAATTCTCTTAAAATGAAATAGGTATATCCAATAGGTGATGAAATACATTTTTTACAAACATAGATGCTTTTTATTTGTATGTTGAATGTACAGATTCATTTCAAGAAAAGCATGAAGATAATGAAAGCAAATATGTAACAATACAAGTAGGGACTTTAGAGCTTCTATTTGGGTTAAAACATCCACTCACTTGGTTAGGAGCTATGCCTCAGAAACTTCCTGGGAGTAAATATGGGAACAACTTTTCTATTAATACATCTAAATTTTCTAGTATATCCTGACATTTTCCATTCCTGCTCTGAAGTCACTTTTAGTTTTGTGTTTTAGTCAGATAGTACCACTAATTTTTGTAATTATATAACACTTCATTTAATAACTTATATACATCCAAATATATATACTTTTTCTACCCAATTATTCAACTTAAAAGATTTCAAAAACGATTTAGCCTTATAATGTATTTATTTATTTAATTCATTAATGAAAGAGAGTGCTCTCTTTAATGCAGCTTTGGGTAGACAGTCTAATTCAGTCCAATTTTAATCTGCATTAAAATATGCAATGCTAGACAAAGATTTTCAAAATAAAAAGCTATTATTTCAGAAATTATTTTAAAAGATGCATAGTAAAACAGTGTTTTCCTATGGTAAGCAAATAAGAATGAAGTTTGTAGGGAATATTTGGAATGATTAATATAAATTAGTATACTTTGGCTCTGTGGAAAAGTGTAAATTGTGGTTTTAGAAACCAACTCTTGATAGTTGTACTGTGATTATAAAAAACAATTGTTAAATAATATAATGGAAGTTTGTGATAATTCCTTAGCAGTAATGTAAAATTATTAAGTTTTGGCCAGGCGCTGTGGCTCACGCCTGTAATCCTAGCACTTTGGGAGGCCAAGGCAGGCAGATCACCTGAGGTCAGGAGTTCAAGACCAGCCTGGCCAACATGGTGAAACCCTGTCTCTACTAAAAATACAAAAAAGTAGCCGGGCGTGGTGGCATGTCCCTGTAATCTCAGCTACCCGGGAGGCTCAGGCAGGAGAATCGCTGGAACCCAGGAGGCAGAGGCTGCCGTTAGCTGAGATCGTGCTCCTGCACTCCAGCCTGGGCAACAGAACAAGACTCCGTCTCAAAAAAAAAACAAAAATTCTTCCAAAAAACTAGAAAGAGCACAGCAAAGAATTTGGCTATTGAAATAACAGATAAACTTGATTTTGAAAAGGATAACAAGGCTGGGCACAGTGACTCACACCTGTAATCCTAGCACTTTGAGAGGCTAAGAAGGGAGGATCACTTGAACCCAGGAGTTCAAGACCAGCCTGAGAAACATAGTGAGACCCTGTCTCTAAAAAAATAAAAACTTAGCAAGGCATGGTGGTGCACACCTGTAGTCCTAGCTACTCAGGAGGCTGAGGTGGAGGATCACTTAAGCCTGAGAGGTCAAGGTTGCAATGAGCCATAATCATACCACTGCACTCCAGCCTGGGCAACAGAGTGAGGCCCTGTCTCAAACACATAAAAGGCAGTGGCCCACGCCTGTAATCCCAGCACTTTGGGAGGCCAAGGCGGGCAGATCACGAGGTCAGGAGATCAAGACCATCCTGGCTAACACGGTGAAACCCCGTCTCTACTAAAAATACAAAAAATTAGCTGGGCATGGTGGCGGGCGCCGGTAGTCCCAGCTACTCAGGAGGCTGAGGCAGGAGAATGGTGTGAACCCAGGAGGCGGAGGTTGCAGTGAGCCGAGATCGCGCCACTGCACTCCAGCCTGGGCAACAGAGCAAGACTCCATCTCAAAAACAAAACAAAACAAAAACATAAAAGGAAAACAAGACATTTACTAAGAAGAGCTAAAGGAAAGAATTAAAGGTTTCTTATGCTTTTTTGGGGGGGGGTGTCAATTTTTAGTATATTAAGAGCTAAAAGAAGTAAAGGTTTCTTAGACTTTTTTTGGGAGGGAGGCGTCAATTTTTAGTATATTTGTGATTAATTCCATGATAGAAGTCTTTAAAGAGAATTTTGGGGCTCAATAATTTAACATAATGTCAGTGTTAAAGCACTTAATCCAAATTAGCCCATCTTTAACTGTTTTGAAAAATCTATATTTATTAAAGGTAGTAGACATTTGAATATAGTAATCAAATTAACTGATTTTGTTTTCACCCTAAATACATACAACCATTCCTCCACTTTCATAAATTTGACAAATAATAAGCCTCTCCCATTAGGATTTTCTGTTTTATAGTAAATAGTTGGTATTTGGTAGTCCACAATTAAAGTCATTGCATTAATTTTACAAATTATAGATTTAGAAATGATTCTTAAGTTATTGGTAAAATATAACTTTCTCAGTTTTTAAAAGTTTACAAAATTTTTTTTTTTGTTTTGAGACAGAGTATGGCTTTGTTACCCAGGCTGGATTGCAATGGGGTGATCTAGGCTCACTGCAGCCTCCACCACCTGAGTTCAAGCGATTTTTCTGCCTCAACCTCTCCTGAGTAGCTGGGACTACAGGTGCATGACACCACACCCAGCTAATTTTTGTATTTTTATAGAGATGGAGTTTTGCCATGTTGGCCAGCCTGGTCTTGAACTCTTGAACTCCTGACCTCAGGTAATCCACCCACCTCAGACTCCCAAAGTGCTGGGATTACAGGCGTGAGCCACCATACCCGGCCAAAAATTTTTGCTTTTAAAGTTAATGTTATTTTGTGGTTAAACTTCTAAAGTTTTGAACTGTAAGCAGAATTTTGTTTTGTGATATTTTATTGTATAAACTGTTAATGAGAGGCACAGCTAATTGTACATATCAATATACATTTAAAATCTGGTAACACTGGTTAAATAGCCCTTGATGACTTTTCATGTGGCATGAGAGGGATATGCTTATAAAGCTTAATTCTGATATTATCCTCTTACTACCTACAGTATGTTTTGCAAAAATCAGTCCACTTAGCAAACTAATCTTTGTAAAGCAGTCAGTTTCAGAAGATACTTTTTATCAAAAAAGATGGCAGGTTTAACATTATACCTTTTGGTTTTTGCCCAACATTTGATTTAATCTAAAGCAAGAATATAAAATAATTTTAAGAAGCATATAATTTCTTTTGATAAAAAGTAACAAAAATTTAATGCAGATCAAAGACCAAGGCTTGTAACCAAAACAAGCAAAAAGAAACTTTAGCTGTTTAACTATCACCTCTCTAATTTAAAATGCATGAAAATTAATACTTTGTTTTTGTTTTTTTTTTGGAAACAGTCTCACTCTGTCACCCAGGCTGGAGGGCACAATCTCTGCTCACTGCAACCTCCACCTCCTGGGCTCAAGCCTCAAGCAATTCTCCTGCCTCAGCCTCCCAAGTAGCTGGGATTACAGGAACCCACCACCACGCCCAGCTAATTTTTGTATTTTTAGTAGATGGGGTTTCATCATGTTGGCCAGGCTGGTTTTGAACTCCTGACTTCAAATGATCCACCCACATCCACCTGCCAGAGTGCTGAGATTACAGGCGTGAGCCACCGCACCTGGCCAATGTTCTTTTATATACTCATGTTTTCTAACAAAACAGCTTTGGATTTATAATGCTGCCAGATGTCATTACAATTTTTTTTCTAAATTCAAAGGTAATTATTCTAAACAATAAAAGGGCACCTGGAATTTTCAGAACATTAAAAAACTGAAACCACTTAGAAGAAAAGAAGAAACCTAAATGTCTGTGGAAGTGATCAGTATTAAGTGGGTGATGGCTCTTTCATCTTCCTTATCCCTAAAGATACTTCCAACATATTGTTAGAGTAAGTATTAAAAGAAAAAGTAGGTTTGCTGAAAAACATTACTAAATGACTTGGAGCTCTCCAGTCAAAGAAACAAAGCTAATTGAAATAATGTACATTTGGTTCAGTCTGTCAGGCAAGTACAAATCCATAACAAAAAAAATTAATAGTATGCTCTTTGCTTTGGAATCTCTAATTTACGGTCATGCCCTAAGTCACAGGATGATTATTAGGGAAATGTCATTGACACCTGAAAATTACCTATCCTGTAAAAAGACTGGTGAAATTCAACATGTTTTAAATAATTTAATTGCATTATAGCATATAAACTATAAATGAAAATGATCTTTGTCTTTCCTTTATCTTGCTTTATCCTCTTATCCAATTCTAGACTCTTAAATAATCACTGTATTTTTCTCAAGTATTTGTTATTTTTTATTATCCTTTAGATCTTTTTGTTCATGGCTCTTTAAAAATAGTTTTACTGATAATCCAATCACTTGGATAGTTAATTTTATTACTTTTTGTTTCCTTTTTAATATTTATTCTTCCCGTTAAGGGTTTTTTGGCTATAAATTCGTACTTGATAAGCTATGTTATTTCTTTGTGTAATTTAATAGTAGCATTCTGGAGTAGATTCTTTTTTTGTATTCTGGCCTTGGAATACTTTAATTCCGGACCAAAAGAGGTCAATTTTGTGAGTATTGCCTATTAAGTAAACAACATCCCTCATTTTTAATCCAAATATCAATTTGACAGAATAACAAGGGTCAGAAATTCAAAATAGCTGTTAGACACCTTTGATTCTTTGCTGCTCTCTGGTTATGTATGTGTGTTGTGCATCTTCCTTGTTGTTTTAGAGTTTCCTAAATTTTTTGCTTCTGGGGACTTGAGTATTTTTAAATGTTCTTAAAATTATATGAATCTACCCAGAATGTAGATGTCAAAATGTAATTAGAGGCCCCGTGCAGTGGCTCACGCCTGTAATCCCAGCACTTTGGGAGGCCGAGGCAGGTGGATCGCCTGAGCTCAGGAGTTCAAGACCAGCCTGGGCAACATGGCAAAACCCCGTCTCTACTAAAAATACAAAAAATTAGCTGGGTGTGGTGGTGTGTGCCTGTAGTCCCAGCTACTCGGGAGGCTGAGGCAGGAGAATCGCTTGAACCCTGGCGAAACCCCATTTCTAAAATAGAAAAATTTAGCCGGGTGTGGTGGTGTGTGCCTATAGTCCCAGCTATTCGGGAGGCTGAGGCAAGAGAATTGCTTGAACCCGGGAGGTGGAGGTCGCAGTGAGCTGAGATCCTGCCACTGCACTCCAACCTGGGGGTAACAGAGCGAGACTCTGTCTCAAAAAAAAAAAAAAGTGTAATTAGAAATGGAAATCTAGGTAAAGGAAGCTTTAAAATGTTGTATTTTTTCCCTGAAATAAACTTTTATGATTTAATGTCTTGGAAAAAGACTCACATGAAAAGTGGCTTTTATATTTGGTAGGATAAAGCCATTGTCCTTTAATACCATAGCAAATAGAAGCAATTTTTAATGAGGTTACTGAATTGTTTAGTATTCCTAATATGGCATCCAGGTCATCTTTTCTTTTCTCCAACCATTATTAAAATAACTTGACACTTTGGGAGGCCAAGCTGGGCAGATCACCTGAGGTCAGGAGTTTGAGACCAGCCTGGCCAACATGGTGAAACCCCATCTCTACTAAAAAAAATACAAAAATTAGCGGGGCCATGGTGACGTGCACCTGTAATCCCAGCTACTCGGGAGGCTGAGGTGGGAGAATAGCTTGAACCTGGGAGGCAGAGGTTGTGGTGAGCCAAGATCACGCCACTGCACTCCAGCCTGGGTGACAGAGCAAGACTCCATCTCAAGAAAAAAATAAATAAATAATAATTTGTGTATGTGATGACTGACTCTAGTCATTATGGAAAATAACTTTTGGCAGTTTAGTTCCTAATGTTAACAATTCCTCTTTTTAAGAGAGGTACTACATTTGATTTCTCAATTTCTCAGTTTGTTTTCAATACAAACAGCAACCACTGAAATGCAGAAAATGGTAATCAAGTGTGATGTTTCTATAAAAATAATTGAGATTCACATGTAATAGACCCTTTAGCTTTAATGAGCAGACATGAGAATGGTTTATGATCTTAAGTTGGTAACATAGGAATATGTATTTGTCAATTTTAGTTCACAAACATATCCATAAGAATGTTTACACATGGCAGTATCAAAGCATATAAAATATTTTCTATGTAAGTAAATTGCATCTTTATGCTAGTGAACAAAGTAGCAATAAATGTTCATTTTTGGATGGCAGTACACATTGTTAACAATCGTGTAATTATAATAAATATGTCTACCTACTCCTTGAACCATGAATTTTGCACACCTGAGGTTTAATTTTCACCTATTGAACTTTATTGATTTGATGATGGTCTGTGGACAGATCATCAAGTTCATTTATAAAAATTTACTTGGCAATGAGGGTTTTTAAGTAACCTGGGAAATTTTTCAAACCTTCAGATACTATTGATTCTGAAAACTAAAATAGTACTTTGCTAATGTTGGAAGTATTGTTGTTAGAGAACAACCCAGGAATAAATGAATTTTAAGACTTTAGAAATTCTCAACAGGCAAATGGACGCTTCCTGCCCCAGTGATTCTGATAATAGCTCCTCAGTTTTGAGAATTGCTGTTCCTAATAAAAATGTGTCAAATAGCTTAGCATGTTGGGAAAAGAAAATGGTTGAGGTCCCCGGTCTAGACTGGAGCATTTGGTGCTTAATAATTTTTTTGTGGTTGGACAACTTGGGAAATTTGAAGGATTTGGATCCTCAATCCAGAAAAGTGTTTATACGCCTATGCACTTTAAACAAATGCGAATAAAGTCTAGAAGGCTGAATAACTGGCAGTTCATTCCCATTTTGCTAACTCCTGAGTTTGGAAGAATGAGATAGAGTTTTGCTTTAAATCAAAACCCTGTTCCTACTGATTAATGAGGTAAGAGTTGTAACCTTTCAGAGGTGATTGTCTGATTGTACCCAATATTTTATCCACAAAATTTTACCATTTTAAAAGGTAAGGAAATAGGTTCAAGGGAGTTCAGACATCCTGCAATTGCTAGAAGGCAGTATGAAACCAGTTGTGTCCAGCTGTGGTGATAAAGCAGTATAAACCTGAAAGTATTTGTGTATTAGGCAAAAATCAGGTTAAATTTAGATAAATAAGGAAGAAACAACATGTAATAAAATGAACCCTGTTAAAGGCAACAGAGAAGCGAAGAAAAAAATCACAAAATAACAAATCCAAATATCTAAGTAGTTACAATAAGTACCATAAACTTGCAAGTTTAAAGACCACATGTGGGCCAGGCATGGGGTGCCGTGGCTTATGCCTGTAATCCCAGCACTTTGGTGGGGAGCGGGTGGCTCACGCCTGTAATCCCAGCACTTTGGGAGGCCAAGGCGGACGGATAACAAGGTCAGGAGTTCAAGACCAGCCTGGCCAATATGGTAAAACCCCGTCTCTACTAAAAAATACAAAAAAAAAAATTAGCCAGGCGTGGTGGCGTGTACCTGTAGTCCCAGCTACTCGGGAAGCTGAGGCAGGAGAATCACAAAAAAAAAAAAAAAAAAAAGGTTACAGAGACTTCTTAAACATAATGATGTAATAGTTACAAATAGATTGGAAAAGATATACTAAAAATCTATCAAAAGAGAAGTGACAATCAGATAAAATTGATTTTGCTTTGGAATTACCTTAAAATTGATTTTAAGGTAAAATAATAAAGGGAGTGTGGGAATAAAGAGTAAGCTTTTAACAATGATAAATGGAGCAATTCAGGATTATAACAGCTCTGAAACAGCCTCAAAATATATGAAGCAATTCACAATGAGAAGCTGAAACCCATAAGAATAGTAATAGGCCATGTGCGGTGTCTCATGTCTGTAATCCCAGCACTTTGGGAGGCTGAAGCAGGCACATCATTTGAGCCCAGCAGTTTGAGACCAGCCTGGGCAACATGGTGAAACCCTGTCACAAAAAAATCTAAAAATTAGCCGGGCATGGTGAATACATATATAAAAGAATGGAGCAAAATTTAAAAGCTGGATCTAATGAAATTATATAATAAATTGTCACTGGACTATTAGGTAAAACTTTTCCAAATACACATGGAATAACATATTCACAAAAATTCATTATAGTAGACCACAAAGCAAAACTTAATACTGAAGACCGTAATAGTTTTTCAGACAAGAGAAATCACCTTATAAGACAAGATTAGAAATCACCTATGAAATAGAGATGGTGACTGTAGTTAACAGTGTATACATTTGCTTTACAATGTATTTCAAAGTAACTAGAAGAGAGAACTGGTCATGTACCCAACACAAATGATAAATACTCGAGGTGATGGATACCGTAAGTATCCTGACTTTATCATTACACGTTCTACGCATGTAACAAAATACCACATCTACCCCACTAATATGTACAAATATCAGTTTTTAGATGTTTTTAATTTTAAAAAATTATGTAGATAATCCAAGACATGCCAAATGTCCATATGCTTGGATTGAAAGTATTAACTTCTAGAAATGTCAAATCATGTTGAAAATTAGAAAATACTTCAAATGACAGTGAATATTGTTACTTTAGCAACTGTACCCCTTAAACTCCAACTGCTTTTTAATATACTTTTTCCCATTGCATCTATCCCTATATATGTATGTGTGCATGTATGTACACATGTTAACTGTAAAATGTATCTTCCCACTCCATAAGGGCAGCAATTTTTATCTTTCCCATACAACTACAAGGATGCCTGGCACAGTAAGAGATCAACAATTTTTAAATAAATGGAAGCTGCATGTAAGACTTGGTAGGATGCAACTAAAGTGTTAGTTTATATGCTTTAATCATATACTGAAAATGATGATTTAATGACAAACTCATCCAAGTAGAGATAGACGACAAAATACACCAAAAGAACTTGGAAGGAATTAATGGCATAAATTGATAATGGAATTTTCCCAACATGGTGTGCCTCAGCCACTTGGAAATAGCAAAATAATGCATAAAGATCCACTCCGTGAGAAAAAAAATAAAAAATCACGGAAATTCACGGGAATAGCAAAAGACACCCCAGATCCCGAGGAGGAGGAGGTGGACAGGTGGCCCCCATGATAGTCTCTGGCTGATAAAACTGACACTCCAGTACGTGAGGGGGCAGAGAGCCAGTTTCCGTGACTCACCTTTCCACTAGGGATCCGTGCAATCCAGGCCGAGGGAGAATAACTTGTTTCTCTCAAACCCTGGAGATAACTTGGAGAGAGGCGAAGAGACAGAGAGACACCAGGAAAAGCTGCAGCCATTTTCCCGGACTTGGGACTGAGATGAGGACGCAATCTTTAACCCTGGCTTATACAAAGTCAGTCACTGGCCACCTGGCAGCAGGGGCCACTGCAGGCATTTTAGTCGCTGGCTGGAGATTGGAGCACATGCTCTGAGCAGGAAATGGCCCACAAAGCCAGAATTGAGCAGTGAGTGTGGCGAGTGCCCCAGCACTAGGCGTTGGAATTGGGTTCCCTACCACCGCAAGACTGGAGGACTGCAGCGGCAGGAGAGTTACTGAAGCTGAGGTTTATCCTGGGTGGTGAAACGAAACCAGAGACAGCCTTGCAAGCTAGAATCAGTCTGCATGTGTCTGGGTACCCTATCCTGCTCCCTTGGTCAGTCGGAAGAGTGCCCCACCAGTTACAAGGAGTGGGAGGTGGACCCCACTCTGTCTTGCCTGGATTGGGAGCAATGGGTCAAATTCCTCTTTCCTTGCAAAGACATCAGTGTCAGGGGTGCATTCTCTGTGGTACACTCATAGTCCAACTCATTCAGAGTAACTTTAGCAGCCCAAGCCACATTTCCCTTCCTGTGCAGAGATTTTGGTGCAGTGGCACTCTCTCCACTCCAAACCCAGGCATATTCCCAGGCATTTGGAGCACCCACATTCCTTGATTAGCAGCCTGAGCTGCTCCTCCCTTTTCCTGGAAAGACCTTATTGCACCAGCAGTACCTCCACTCCTTGCCAGGGTACACGTTTTCAGCCATTCAGAGAACACATTAGCCTGGATTAGGAGACAGAGCTGCCCCTCCCTTACTGTGTAGAGAACTTGGTGCAGCGGGGCCCTCTTTGCCCCCACACCGAGGCATATCTTCAGGAATTTGGAGCACTGGCTCATCTGGATTAGCAGCCTGAGCTGCCCATCCCTTTCCCTGCAAAGACTTTGTTGTAGCAGCAGTTGTTCACTCTTCACCAGTGGACACATTTCCAGGCCATCGGGCATGTGCTCACCTAGATTAGGAGCCTGAGGTGCCCCTCCCTTCCTGTGCACAGATCTTGATACAGTGGTGCACTCTCTGCTCCATACCCAGATGTAACTCCAGACTTTCAGTGCACCTGCCCCCTGGAATAAGAGTTTAAGCCACCTTCCCATTCCGCACACAAAGAACTTGGTGCAACAGCACTCCCTCTGCTCTACTCCCAGATGTAACTCCAAGCATTTGGCACACCTACTCCCACGGATTAGGAGTTTGAGTCACCCCTGCTTTCCCTCTTGTGGTAGCAGTTTCTCTGCTCCTGCCCTGGGCTTATCTATATCTGGTTTTGTTACCAGTGGGAGGTATCTGAGTTACCGGCAACAAATCCATACAGGTCTGCAGCAACTTCAATTCTTGCATCCTCAGAAGAAAGAATTTGACTGACGGACATAAAGCAGAAAAAGAGACCAAGGCAAGTTCCAGAGCAGGAGTGGAAGTTTATTTAGAAAGGCTTTAGAACAGGAAGGAAAGGAAAGTTCACTTGGAAGAGACCCAAGTTGGCACCTGAAGGTCAAGTGTGACATTTAACTGTGATCCTACTTTATAGGCTCACCTCTTTCCCATGACTCTTCCCTTAGAATGGGCTGCTTGCATGCACAGCACCCTCCTTTTGCTTGGGAGGTGAACACATGCAGTGTGTTTAGGAAGTTGTATGTATGCCCATCTGAGGCTTTCTTCCTTTTTCCAGTGGAGTGCCCCTGGAACATCCTACTCTGCCATTTTATCTCTTAATATGCATGCCCTTCTGCTTCTCCCTGGCATCTGCATTCAGTTAACACTTCAGGGCAACAGGTGTGGACCATCAGGAAATGGCCTCTCACTGGCACCAGCTGCCAACATATCACTTTTAGATAGGCAATGCAATAATTGCCAAACCATCACCCAGCATTCCTAGTGGGTTTGCAGGAGATCCCTTTCCTGCCCCACTCATGCCTGTTTAACTACCTGTAACTGCTTGAGGCACACCTGCTTCCCCGAATTAGGAGGTTGAGCTACCCCTCCCATCCCCTGCAATGTCTTTGTTGCAGCAGCAGTTTCTCAGCTCCTTGCTGGGACATATTTCTAGGCATTTGGCTCACCCACTCACCTGGATTAGGAGCCTGAGCCATCCCACCCCTTCAGGTGCACAGATCTTGGTTGCAGTCATGCTCTAACCACTCACTGCTTGGTCATATCTTCAGGCATTTGGAGCACCCACTCCTAGATTAGGAGGTTAGATTGCCCCTCTTTCCCATGCAGAGACCTTGGGTCAGTGGAGATCCACCCACTGGAAACCCCCCACCCACTTGGAGCTGGTGCCTGTTGCTGCCATTGGAGAACCTGTAGGCAGGCCTGCCCAGTCTAGTCCCACCCATCTTTCCCCTTCTCCAGGTCTTATCAGGGAACTCAGACCACTGTACATTCCATAGCCCATGCCTGAGGCAACAGAGGGTTTCTCCCAGTAAAGAAGGATCAAGTATATACCCAACTGCATCAGCCACAACTGACTCTTACCATAAGCATCACCTACTGGCCTGGAGGTTAAATGGAATAACACAATAGGAAATCTGCTGACACAAGCATGCAACCCTGTGGAGAATAAGATAAGCTTCCTAACACCTCCTCCACCCCAGCCACACAGGAGCCAATGAGCCTGCTCATATGCCCAGTACCTTGCTGCTACAGTGTTTGGAAAAGCCACCATACAAAAACTATCTATAACCAGGCAACTTAGACTCTGCCACCAAAAGCACCCAGAACCAAAACCAAAGCACCCTACACAAAATACATTATAGACATCCCTTCAAGGGAGAAACAAATCCTGTCCAAATGAAAGCAAGTTAAAAAAATATAAGGAGAGATAGCTTATCCAGTGAGAAAGAACCAGAGAAACAACACTGAAAGTAATTTAAACAAAACAAAACAAAACAAAAAGACCAACACCCTCAAAGGATTATGCTAACTCTCCAACAACAGATCCCAACCAAAATGAACTCTTTGAAATACTAGATAAAGAACTCAAAGTACTCCAGCCTAGTGTGACACAGCAAGACCCTGTCTCAAAAAAAAAAAAAAAAAAAAAAATCAAAGTAGATTTTTACAGAAGTTCAATGAGATTCAAGAGAAAGCTGAAAACCAACACAAAGAAATCAGAAAAACAATTCAGGATATGAAAGCTGAGACATCATTTTAAAAACCCAAACAGAACTTTAGGAAATGAGAAATTAATTGAAGGAATTACAAAATACAGTTGAAATCTTTAACAACAGTCTAGACCAAGTGGAAGAAAGAATTTGACAGCTGAAAGACAGGCCCTTCTAATTAGACTAAACAGACAAAAATTTAAAAGAATTTTTAAAAATAAGGCCTTCAAGAAATATGAGTCGTAGATATTCCAGAAAAAAAAAAGAAAAAGTAAAAAGTATGGAAAACCTATTTGAGAAAATAATTCAAGAAAACTTCCCTAGCCATGGGAGACATTTAGACATCCAGATATAAGACACTCAGAGAACTCCTGGAAGATACATTGCCAGAAGAACTTCACCAAGGCATACAGTCATCAGACTATCCAAAGTTAACAAGAAGGAAAAAATTCTAAGACTGGCAAGAGAGAAAAGTCTAATCACCTATAAAGAAAATTCCATCATACTGATAGCAGATTTATCAGCAGAAACCCTACAAGCCAGAAGAGACTGGGGGCCTATTTTTAGCCTCCTTAAAGAAAAAAAAAAAATGCTAGCCAAGTATTTTATATCCTACCAAACCAAGTTTTATAAGTGAAGGAGAAATAGTCTTTCCCAGACAAACAAATGCAAAGGAAATTTGTCATCAGTAGACCAGTCCTGCAAAAAATGCTCAAAGAAGTTCTAAACATGGAAACAAAAGGGCAATATGCACCACCACAAAAGAACACGTAAGTACAAAACTCACAGATCCTATAAAGCAGTGACATAATTGAAACTCCATGGCAACTAGCTAACAACACTATGACAGAAAAAAACCTCACATATCAATATTAACTTGGAATGTAAATGGACTAAATATTCCACTGAAAAGATGCAAAAGCAAGCAGAAATAGCCATTCTCATATTAGAAAAAACAGACTTTAATCCAACAAAAGCAAAAAAAAAAAAAAAAGACAAAGAGGGGCACTATATAATGCTGAAGTGTTCAAAACAACAAGAAGATTTAACCTAATTAAATATATATGCATACAATACAGGAGCACCCAGCCTCATCAAGCAAATACTACTTGAACTAAGAAAACAATTTGATAGAAATACAATAATAATGGGGGACTTCATCCCACTGACATCACTAGACAAATCATCAAGGCAGAAAATCAGCAAAGAATCTCTGGACTTAAACTGGACTGCAGACCTAATGGACCTAATAGACATTTACAGAACATTCTATCCAACAACTGCAGAATATATATATACTTATCTGCATATGGAACATTTTCCAAAACTGACCATGTGCTGGGCCTTAAAGCAAGTCTCAGAAAAACAAAACAAAACAAAACAAACAGAGATCAAGTATCTTCTTGAACCACAGTGGAATAAAATTAGAAATCAATACCAGCCCAGGCATGGTGGCTCATGCCTGTAATCCCAGCACTTTGGGAGGCCAAGGAAGGGGATAACCTGAGGTCAGGAGTTCAAGACCAGCCTGGCCAACATGGTGAAACTCCGTCTCTACTAAAAATACACAAAAAAAATTAGCCCAGTGTGGTGGGAGGTGCCTATAATCCCAGCTACTCGGGAGGCTAAGGCAGAAGAATTGCTTGAACCTGGGAGGTGGAGGTTGCAGTGAACTGAGATCGTGCCATTGCACTCCAGCCTGGGTGATAAGAGTGAGACTCCATTGAAAAAAAGAAAAGAAGGAGAGAGGGAGAGGGAGAGAGGGAGAGGGAGAGAAGGAGAGGGAGAGAGAGAAAGAAAATGGGAAAGAAAAGAGAGAGAGAGAAAGAAAGAAAGAGAGAAGAAAGTCAATACCAAAAGGAACTCTAAAAAGCCACACAAGTACATGGGAACCAAACAACTTGTTCCTGAATGATCTTTGGACAAACAATGAAATTAAAGCAGAAATCAAAAAAATTTTCAAAACGAATGCAAATAGAGACACAACATACCAACTCTCTGGAATACAGCAAAAGCAGTACTAAGACACAGTTTATAGTGTGAAATGCCTACATCTTGACAGAAAGATCTCAAATAAAATTTAATGTTGAACCTCAAGGAACCTGAAAAACAAGAACAAACAAAACCCAAAGCTAGCAGAAGAAAATAAATGGCAAATATCAGAGCAGAACTAAATGAGACTGAGACCAAAAAAATGATACAAAGGATCAACAAAACAAAAGCTGGTTCTTTGAAAGGATATGCAAAACTGACAGATGGTTAGCTAGACTAAGAAAAAAAGAGAGAAGATTCAAATTAGTATAGTCAGAAACGATAAAGGTGACATTACAACTGACACCACAGAAACAGAAAAGATCACCAGAGGGCTGGATGTGGTGGCTCATGCCTGTAATCCTAGCACTATGGGAGGCCAAGGCACATGGATTGCCTGAGCTTAGGAGTTCGAGACCAGCCTGGGCAACATGGCAAAACCCTGTCTCTAAAAAAAAATACAAAAAAAAAAAAAAAAATAGCCAGGCATGGTGATGCATGCCTTTAGTCCCAGCTACTTGGGGGTCTGGGGCAGGAGGATTACTTGAGCCCAGGAGGCAGAGGTTGCAGTGAGGCAAGATCTCACCACTGCACTCTAGCCTGGGTGACAAAGTGAGACCCTGACTCAAAAAAAAAAAAAAAAAATCATCAGAGACTATGAACACCTCTCTGCACACAAAGCAGAAAACCCACAGGAAATGAATAAATTCCTGGCAACATACAACCTTCCAAGATTGAAGCAGGAAGAAAGAGACATCCTGAACCAGACCAGTAATGAATAATGAAATTGAATCAGTAATAACAAATCTCCCAACAATAACAACAACAATGAAAAGCCCAAGACTAGAGAGATTCACCGCCAAGTTTTACTGACTGTACAAAGAAGAGCTGATACTGATCTTGCTGAAACTATTTTGAAAAATCAAGGAAGAAGAATTTCTCCCTAACTTATTCTATGAAACCACTATCACCCTGATAGTAAAATCAGGCAAAGACAAAACAGAAAAAGGAAACAATAGGCCAATAGCCCTGAAGAACACAGATGTGAAAATCCTCAATGAAAGAGTAGCAAACAGAATCCAGCTGCATATCAAAAAAATAATTCATCATGATCAAGTAGGTTTTATTCCAGGAATGCAAGGATGGTTCAATATTTGCAAATCAATAAATGAGATTCACCATATAAACAGAACTAAAAACAAAAACCATATGCTCATATCAATAGATGCAGAAAAGGCACTCAATAAAATCCAACATCCCCTTATGATAAAACCCCTCAACACACTAGGCATCAGGGGAACACACCTCAAAATAATAAGAGCCATGTTTTACAAACCCACAGCCAATATCATACTTAACAGGGAAAATTTGCAAACATTCCCTTTAAGAACTGAACCAGACAATGATATCCACTATCACCACTGCTATTTAATATAGTACAGGAAATCCTGGACACAGCAATCAAGCAAGAGAAAGAAATAAAAAGACATCAAAATAGGAAAAGAGGAAATCAAATTATCTCTATTCACTGGCCATGATTACATATCTAGAAAACCCTAAAGATTCCTCCAAAAGACTCCTAGTCTTGATAAACAACTTAAGTAAAGTTTCAGGATACAAAATCAACATGTCAAAATCAGTAACATTTCTACACACTAACAATTTTGAAGCTGAGTGCCAAATCAAGAACACAATCCCATTTACAATAGACACACGCACACACAAATACCTCAGAGTACATCTAACCAAGGAGGTGAAGATCTCTACAAGGAGAACTACAAAACACTAATGAATGAATGAAATACATGACACAAATGGAAAAAATCCCATGCTCATGGATTGGAAGAATCAGTATCATTAAAATGACCATAGTGTCCAAAGCAATCTGCAGATTTAATGTAATCTCTATCAAATTACTAACATCATTTTTTCACAAAATTGTAAAAAAAAAAAAAAAAAAAAATCCTAAGTTCATATGGAACCAAAAAGAGGGCAAATAGCCAAAGAAATCCTAAGCCAAAAGAAAAAAGCCAGAGGAATCACATTGCCTGACTTCAAATTATACTATAAGGCTATAGTAACTAAAATAGCATGGTACTGGTACAAAAATAGACACATAGATCAATGGAACAGAATAAAGGACCCAGAAACAAAGCCACATACCTATAATCAATTGATCTTTGACACAGTCAACACAAATTAATAATGGAGAAAGGACACCCTATTCAATAAATGGTGCTGGGAAAAATGGCTTGCCATGTGCAGAAGAATGAAACTGGACCCCTATTTCTCACCATATATAAAAATTAAGATGGACTGAAGACTTAAATACAACACCTGAAACAAAAAAAAACTTTTTTGGGGGGGGGTTTTTTCCTGTTTTTTTTTTTGAAAACGGAGTTTTTGCTCTTCTTGCCCAAGCTTGAGTGCAATGGTGCGATCTCGACTAACTTCAACCTCCCCCTCCTGAGTTCAAGCGATTCTCCTGCCTCAGCCTCCCAAGTAGCTGGGATTACAGGCATGCGCCACTATGCCTGGCTAATTTGTTGTATTTTTAGTAGGAATGGGGTTTCACCATGTTAGCCAGGCTGGTCTCGAACTCCTGACCTCAGGTCATCCACCTGCCTTGGCCTCCCCAAGTGCTGGGATTACAGGCATGAGCCACCACACCCAACTAAAAAAATCTTAGAAGAAAACCTAGGAGAAAAACATTGGCCTAAACATTCTGGACATTAGCCTAGGCAAAGAATTTATGATGAAGACCTGAAAGCAAATGGAACAAAATTTTTACAAATAGACAAATGAGATTTAATTAAACAAAAGAGCTTCTACACAGGAAAAAATCAACAGAGCAGACAGACAACCTACAAAATGGGAGAAAACATTTGTATTATGCCTCCAGCAAAGGACTAATATTCAGAATGTGTAAGGAACTTAAATCAACAAGAAAAAAAATACCATTAAAAAGTGGGCAAAGGACATGAGCAGACACTTCTCAAAAAAGACATACAAGTAACCAACAAACATAAAAAATGCTCAACATCACTAGTCATCAGGAAATACAAATTAAAACCACAATGAGATACCATCTCATATCAGTCAGAATGGCTATTACTAAAAAGTCAAAATATAACAGATGTTGGAGAGGATGCAGAGAAAAGGAAAGGCTTATACACTATTGATGGGCATAAAATAGTTTAACCTCTATGGAAAACAGCATGGAGATTTCTCAAAGAACTAAAAATAGAACTACCCTTCAATCTAGCAATCCCACTACTGGGTATCTACCCAAAGGAAAGGAAATCATTGTATAAAAAAAAAAAAGACACCTGTACTCACATGTTCATCTGGCACTATTCACAATAGCAAAGTCATAGAACTGCCCTAAGTGTCAATCAATGATTGACTGGATAAGTAAAATGTGGTATATATACACCATGGAATACTAATGCAGCCATAACAAAGAATGAAATCAAGTCCTTTGAAGCAACATAGATGAAGCTGGAAGCCATTATCTTAAGTGAACTAACTCAAAAACAGAAAACCAAATAACACATTTTCTCACTTATAAGTGGGAGCTAAATATATGGACATAAGGATGTAAATAATAGACACTGGGGACTCCAGAAGGGGAGAGGGTGGGAGATGGGGAGGACTGAAAAATAACCTATTGATATAGGAGCTAAAAGGGAGTTATTTAGGCAGTTAGTAAGGGTAGAAGAGATCTCAGTGGAATTTTCTTTTAATAAAAAAGCAGCCCCCAAATCATTTCTTTTCTAACAAAAAGCAGCCTTTTTAAAAAGTCAAGCTGCAAGCATAGATAAGCAAGGTGGAAGCTTGCATAGGTGAATGCCTGCAGCTGTGCCAACAGAAAAGGGATACCTGAAAGCCAGGTATATTCAACATGGAGGTTTTCTCCTCCTTTTTCTTTGTCACCACGTGTGCAAGTGTCATGGCACCAGCCAGGCAGAGACCCTATCTGCATAGTAAAAGATTAGGGTGGGAAGGCCAGCTGCCTCACATTCTATGTAAATAGCACACCTGGTCCAACCAATCCTCTGGACCCTATATAAATCAAATACTGCCTCCTGAAGCTCATCTATAAAACCAACCACATTTTGCCCCAAACTCAGAAACCCACTTGGGCCCCCTTCCTCTGCATGAGGAAGCTGTCTCTTCTTTCTTTCATGTATTAAACTTTCCACTGTTAAAGCCACTTTGTGTGTGTCTGCATCTTCAATTTCCTTAGCGTGAAACAACGAACTTCAGGTATTTCCCCCAGATAAACAATGCCACTTCATTATCAGGTACAATGTTCACTATTCAAGTAATGGGTATAACTAGAAGCCCAATCCCCACCAGTAAGCAACAAACATCTACATGTAACCCCTAAATCTAAAAAAAAAAAAAAAAAAAAAATTCAGACAGGGCTTAAATCCACTGCTCAGACTGGAGTGTTGCGGTGCGATCTTGACTCACTGCAGCCTTGACCTCCTGAGCTCAAGTGATCCTCCATCCTTAGCCTCCCAAGTAGCTGGGACTACAGGCATGTGCCACCTTGCCTGGCTAATTCTTTTGTATTTTTAGTAGAGACAAAGTTTCACCATATTGCCCACACTGGTCTCAAATGCCTGGGCTCAAGCGATCTGCCTGCCTCGGCCTCCCAAAGTGCTGAGATTACAGGTGTGAGCCACTGCATCTGGCCATAAAATAAAATTTAAAAAAAAAAAATAATAATAATATATATGTATTTTAAAAAACAGACAAGCCTCTAGCAAATTTGATGAAGGTAAGTACACATATAAGCATTAAAGAAATTGATTTTGAGTTTAAAATCTACCTATTAAAAATATACCATTCCCTTATAGTTTTAACAAACAAATATTCTAGGAATAAATAAGTCCTTTTGAACTTAAAATGCTATAGAAACTTGGAAAAGAATACTTCCCAACTCCTCATATAAAGCCAGTTTCATTGTATACTCTTGATATCAAACCAGAAAAGTTTGGTATAAATAACAAAAGTATTTTTCTAAACTTGCTCATGAACATAGACATAATAAATTATAAATTTCTAAATTCTAGCAAACCGAATTCACTAATATATAAAAAGTATACTATCAAATTGGTGGTATCCCCAGAATGCAAGGATGGTTTATTGTTAAAAAATCTACATCATTCCCCATATCAACAGACTAACGAAGGAAAACATATATTATTATAATAACAAATACTGAAAAACTATTTGATTACTCTTTTATGATTTTAAAATAGTTTTATACCACTCCTTAGTCTAAACCACCACCATCTCTCACCTACATGATTATTACAATGCACTAACTGGCCTTCCTAACATCTATTCCCAATATGGAATTCAAATTTGATGTTTTCAAAACTTTCATCAGATACATGCTGCTTTTCTGGTTAGAACACTCCATGGCTTCCCATAGCACTCAAAATAAAATCCAAAGTCTTTACCATAACCTGTAAGGTCTACATGATTTGTACCATTAACTCTTTGACCTCACCTTTTACTTCTTTCCTCCTTGATCACAAAGCCCCAATACGATGGCCATCTTTTGTTTTAAGAGAGTTGTAGGGCCAGGTGTGGTGGCTCACGCCTGTAATCCCAGCAATTTGGGAGGCCGAGGCGGGCAGATCAAAAGGTCAAGAGATCGAGACTATCCTGGCTAACCCCGTCTCTACTAAAAATACAAAAAATTAGCCAGGCATGGTGGCGGGCACCTGTAATCCCAGCTACTCAGGATGCTGAGGCAGGAGAATCGCTTGAACCTGGGAGGTGGAGGTTGCAGTGAGCCGAGATCATGCCACTGCACTCCAGCCTGGCCAACAGAGCGAGACTCCATCTCAACAACAACAACAAAAAGAAAGAGAGTTGTAAAACTGTTGAAAAGGAGAAAAAGACCATTTCTCCTCTACAGAGCAATAAGACTAGTTAATGGCTGATTTTCAATGTAAATGATGAACTCCAAGAGACAAAAGAATGAAATGTCCACTACTTCAAGTAGTGAAGAAAAAGGGAAAATATCTATTAACCTAGAATTCTATACCCAGTGAAAATACCCTTCAGAAATGAACACAAAATACTCTCTCATATAAAAACTCTTTGGTTCTTACCAAATATGCACCAAAAATAATACTAATAGGGAATTCTTCAAACAGAAGGAAAATGCAAGAAAAAGACTACACCAGAAAACACAAATAAATATGAGAGTAAATCTAAATGAATATTAAACATATTAGTTATTGATCACAATATGAGAACTATAATTCATGACAACAAATAATGTTCTAAAAAGTACCTAACCAAAACCAGTTCCTATACTCTGGTTTCTCTTCAGATCACATAAATCTTTCGCCTTTTACCAAAACCAGATCCTGAGTTGAAAAGCACATTTTATCTCAGATGGTTGTCTTCCTTGGCAGCAACAAAAATAAAATGCTACTAAACTAGTTTGAGACAGTTGCCATATATGTTTACATACTTACAGACATATATCCACACATAGACATATATCCACACAGGTGTGTGTATACTTGTATATATACACAAGCCTGTTAAAATTTAATTCCATATGTATCACAGTTATAATGCTATCTCCCACTATAGATGCTTTTTTAAAAAATCATGTTCTTGAATTTCTAATACTTTTGTGTATTTAACCACTATAGTTTTTGGTTCAAAGTATTACCGAATCAAACCTGGGCCTGCCTATGCAGCACTGCAAAGCCAAACTCTGACATCAGGGCTGCAGTGAGAGAAAGTGAGGCATTTGGCCAGGCACAGTAGCTCACGCCTGTAATCCCAGCACTTTGGGAGGCTGAGGCAGGCAGATCACCTGAAGTCACGAGTTTGAGACAAGTGTGTCCAACATGGCGAAACCCCATCTCTACTAAAACTACAAAAATTAGCCAGGCATGGTGGTGCACACCTATGATCCCAGTTACTTGGGAGGCTGAGGCAGAAGAATTGCTTGAACCCTGGAGGCAAAGTTTGCATTGAGCCGAGATCGCGCCACAGCACTCCAGCCTGGGCGACAGAGAGAGACTCCGTCTCAAAAAAAAAAGAAAGAAAGAAAGTGAGGCATTTATTTGCAGGGCACCAAGCAAAGAGAATTAGGTAGCTCATGCTAAGACCTGAATTCCCCAACGGCTTACAAGTAAGGGTTTTTAAAGGTAGAGAGACAGAGGTGATGGGCAAAGTCATAAATCCATATGTGGAGGTTATACATTGGTTTGACCTAAAGAGGCTGAATATCTTAAAATGGGGTCTTACAGATCTTAGGTAAATTCAAAGATTTTCTGATTTGTAAATGGTTAAGAAAGAGAAGCTTTGTTTAAAAATTTCAGGTCAGCAGAAAAGAATTAGCACTGCCTCATGGGTGTGACTTCCTCCAAGCCCCTCAAGAAGAATTTTAGAACAAGGAAGGGTAGTCAGAGTTCAGTCCTCTGTTTCCCCCTTATCTGAGGTCTATGTATGTGCCAGTGCATCCATTTGGCAGGGGTACAGGTTTCTGAAAAGTAATTCAGGGACACATGTTAAGATTTTATCTTTAGTTTCTATATGGAACAAAATATCTTATGACTCTAACTACCTTGATATCATTTTTAAGCTACTATAACCTTGCTTTTGAAGTTGCTCATTTACTGCTCAGAGTTCACTAGGTATCTGGAATTTCCCTTGAAGGAACTCAAGATTTTCCTTTATTTTCATGCTTTCAAGGTAGGGGAGTTATAAGCCACTAAGAGGGGTCCCTGCTCTGTCTCAAAGGGATTTATAAGATCTTTTTAATCAGTTGTGACTTCTATCATTATGTAACATCCTTTTTTATGCTTGTTATTCCTTTTAACTTTAAATTCCTCCTTACTTGGTAATGAGGAGTCTGGTTCCAGGCCAAATTCCTGTGTGTGACACTTCAAGTCCAACCACAAGTTTTGCTTAGGAGGCCTCATGGGGGAAAACTGCCCTACCCACATCAGATTTGATGCACAGTCAATGCACTGTAGTCTCTGGACAGCTGCAGACAAGTACTCAGCTCCCAACCCCTGCCTAGGGCCATCATTGCTTATACATTCAGCAGGCTTAATCCAGGTGCCTCCACTCAGAGACCTCCTTAAAAGGTGGGTGCCTCCACGGAGATGTCCTTGTAAGGGGCCCCTGACTAAGACACTTTTCCCCTTTGACCCAGTACTTTTCCACTGCTAGCCCTTCCCTTTTCCTCCCTGTAGACCTAGCGTAGGTCCATAAATGGCAGAAGCCTTTTGTTCAGTGCTTTTCAGCAGTGAGGCATTCTCTACCCACCCACCTGCCTTGCCTGTCATCGGACTGGCCCTCACCCAATGCCATTGCATGGAGTGAAATGAAACACTGAGGAGCTGGCACTTTTTCTTTGTCTGTTGCCTGAACTATCGTAGCAAGTGAATAAAGTTTTGAAGGCTACTTTCAGTTTGGATCACTGTCCTCATTAACCACCTTGACATCAGACAGCTTGACAGATAATCATTCTTCCACTTCCTCTTTATTAATTTTCACTGGCCTAGTATTTTAAGTAATTTCTTTTATAAAGCATTAATATCCACATTCCAGGAAAAAAATCCTCATAAAGGGGGAAGAACAAAAGAGGCCTATTCACCATGCAAATGAAAACAAACAAACAACAACAAGAAAACATTCCTAGAACCTTCACACAGTAACTGTGACACATGTGCTTTGCCCAGAACTTAGTGTCAAGGCTACCTGTATCTGCAAAGTAAGCTCAAAAATTTAGTTTCTCACCTTGTATGTTACTTTTCCTCAAAAAATTGGGATTCTGTTAAAAAGGAAGGAATGATGTATATGGAATGGAATCAAACTGACAATAATTAGGACATACAGGAAAACCACTATTCAAAGAACACCCAGAAAATGCATTGCAAAAAGATCATTATCTAGGCACATAGTCATCAAGTTGTCTAAAGTCAAGATGAAGGAAAGAATCTTAAGATCCGTGGGAAAATAGCATCAGGTAACTTATAAAGGAAAACTTATCAGATTAACAGCAGATTAATCAGCAGAAACCCAAAAGCTAGAAGGGACTGGGGTTCCTATCTTTTAGCCTCCTTATACAAAACAATTAGCAGCCAATAATTTTGTATCCAGCAAAACTAGGCTTCATAAGTGAAGGAAAAATAAAGTATTTTCCAGACAAATAAATGCTGAGAGAATTTGCCACTACCAAACCAGCCCTACAAGAACTGCTAAAAAGAGCTCTAAATTTTGACACAAATCCCCAAAATATACCAAAATAGAATCTCTTTAAAGCATAAATCTCACAGAACCTACAAAACAACAACACAATGAAAAAAAAAAAGATATATAGGCAACAACTAGCACAATGAATACAATAGTACCTCACATCTCAACACTAACATTGAATGTAAATGGCCTAAATGCTCTACTTAATAGATACAAAATTGCAGAATGGGTAAGAATTCACCAACCAAGTATCTGCTCCCTTCAAGAGATTCACCTAATACATAAGGACTCACATAAACTTTAGTTAAAGGAGTGGAAAAAGATATTCTATGCAAATGGACATCACAAGTGAGCAGGAATAGCTACTCTTATATTAGACAAAACAAACTTTAAAGCAACAGCAGTTAAAAAAGACAAAGAGGGACATTATATAATGATAAAAGGACTAGTCCAACAGGAAAATATCACAATCCTAAATATATATGCACCTAACACTGGAACTACCAAATTTATAAAACAATTACTACTAGACCCAAGAAATGAGATAGATGGCAACACAGTAATAGTGGGGGACTCTAATACTCCACTGACTGGACTAGACAGGTCATCAAGACAGAAAGTAAACAAAGAAACAATGAACTTAAACTATACCCTCAAACAAATGTACTTAACGATATTTACAAAACATTCTACCTAACAACTGCAGAATATGCATTCTATTCAACAGTACGTGGAACATTCTCCAAGATAGGCCATATGATAGGCCACAAAACAAGTCTCAACAAATTTAATTTAAATTATAGCAAGTACTCTGTCAGATCACAGTAGAATAAAATTGGAAATCATCTCCAAAAGGAACCCGCAAAACCATTCAAATACATGGAAATTAAATAACCTCTTATGAATGACTGTTGGGTCAACAATAAAATTAAGACAGAAATTGAAAAATTATTTGAATTGAACAATAACAGTGACATAACCTATCAAAACCACTGGGATACAGTAAAGGTGGTGCTAAGAGGAAAGTTCATAGCATTGCATGCCTACATCAGAAAGTCTGAAAGAGCACAAATAGACACTCTAAGGTCACACTTCAGGAGCCAGAGAAACAAGAACAAACCAAACCCAAACCCAGCAGAAGAAAAGAAACAACCAAGATCAGACCAAAACTAAATGAACTTGAAACCCCTCCCCCGCAAAATACAAAAGATACATGAAACAAAAAGCTGGTTCTTTAAAAGATAAATAAAATCGATAGGCCATTAGCAAGATTAACCAAGAAAAGAGAGAAGATGCAAATAAGATCAATTAGAAACAAAATGGGAGATACTACAACCAATATCACAAAAATACAAAAGATCATTCAAGGCTACTATGAACATCTTTATGCACATAAACTAGAAAACCTCGAGGAGATGGATAAATTCCTGGAAATGTACAACCCTCCTAGATTAAACCAGGAAGAAACAGAAACTCTGAACAGACCAATAATCTCACTGTTATTGAAGTGAGATTGAAATGCTAATTAAAAACTTGCCAACAAAAAAAGTCCATGACCAGATGGATTCACAGCTGAATTCTATCAGATATTCCAAGGAGAACTGGTATCAATCCTAATGACACTATTCCAAAAGACAGAGGAAGAGGGAATTCTCCCTAAACCATTCTATGAACCCAGTATCACCCTAATACCAAGACCAGGAAAAGACATGACAAAAAAAAAAAACTACAGACCAATATCCCTGATGAACACAGATGCAAAAATCCTCAACAAAATAAACGCTAACAGAGTCCAATGGCATATCAAACAGATAATCCACTACGATCAAGTGGGTTTCATACCAGGAATGCAGGGATGATTTAATATCCACAATTCAATAAATGTGATACACCACATAAACAGAATTAAAAACGAAAGTCAGGAGGAGCCAAGACGGCCAAATAGGAACAGCTCCAGTCTACAGCTCCCAGCGTGAGCGACGCAGAAGACGGGTGATTTCTGCATTTCCAACTGAGCTTTGAAGAGAGTAGTGGTTCTCCCAGCACGCAGCTTGAGATCTGAGAACACGCAGACTGCCTCCTCAAGTGGGTCCCTGACCCCTGACCCCCGAGTAGCCTAACTGGGAGGCACTCCCCAGTAGGGGCAGACGGACACCTCACACGGCCGGGTACTTCTCTGAGACAAAACTTCCAGAGGAACGATCAGACAGCAGCATTCGCGGTTCATGAAAATCCGCTGTTCTGCAGACACTGCTGCTGATAACCAGGCAAACAGGGTCTGGAGTGGACCTCCAGCAAACTCTAACAGACCTGCAGCTGAGGGTCCTGTCTGTTAGAAGGAAAACTAACAAACAGAAAGGACATCCACACCAAAAACCCATCTGTACATCACCATCATCAAAGACCAAAAGTAGATAAAGCCACAATGATGGAGAAAAAACAGAGCAGAAAAACTGGAAACTCTAAAAAGCAGAGCGCCTCTCCTCCTCCAAAGGAACACAGTTCCTCTCCAGCAACGGAACAAAGCTGGACAGAGAATGACTTTGACGAGTTGAGAGAAGAAGGCTTCAGACGATCAAACTACTCCGAGCTACAGGAGGAAATTCAAACCAAAGGCAAAGAAATTGAAAACTTTGAAAAAAATTTAGATGAATGTATAACTAGAATAACCAATACAGAGAAGTGCTTAAAGGAGCTGTTGGAGCTCAAAGCCAAGGCTCGAGAACTACGTGAAGAATGCAGAAGCCTCAGGAGCCAATGCGATCAACTGGAAGAAAGGGTATCAGTGATGGAAGATGAAATGAATGAAATGAAGCAAGAAGGGAAGTTTAGAGAAAAAAGAATAAAAGGAAACGAACAAAGCCTCCAAGAAATATGGGACTATGTGAACAGACCAAATCTACGTCTGATTGGTGTACCTGAAAGTGATGGAGAGAATGGAACCAAGCTGGAAAACACTCTGCAGGATATTATCCAGGAGAACTTCCCCAATCTAGCAAGGCAGGTCAACATTCAGGTAATACAGAGAATGCCACAAAGATACTCCTCGAGAAGAGCAACTCCAAGACACATAATTGTCAGATTCACCAAAGTGGAAATGAAGGAAAAAATGTTAAGGGCAGCCAGAGAGAAAGGTCGGGTTACTCACAAAGGGAAGCCCATCAGACTAACGGTGGATCTCTCGGCAGAAACTCTACAAGCCAGGAGAGGGTGGGGGCCAATATTCAACATTCTTAAAGAAAAGAATTTTCAACCCAGAATTTCATATCCAGCCAAACTAAGCTTCACAAGTGAAGGAGGAATAAAATACTTTACAGACAAGCAAATGCTGAGAGATTTTGTCACCACCAGGCCTGCCCTAAAAGAGCTCCCGAAGGAAGCACTAAACATGGAAAGGAACAACCGGTACCAGCCGCTGCAAAATCATGCCAAAATGTAAAGACCATCGAGACTAGGAAGAAACTGCATCAACTAATGAGCAAAATAACTACCTAACATCATAATGACAGGATCAAATTCACACATAACAATATTAACTTTAAATGTAAATGGACTAAATGCTCCAATTAAAAGACACAGACTGGCAAATTGGATAAAGAGTCAAGACACATCAGTGTGCTGTATTCAGGAAACCCATCTCACGTGCAGAGACACACATAGGCTCAAAATAAAAGGATGGAGGAAGATCTACCAAGCAAATGGAAAACAAAAAAAAGGCAGGGGTTGCAATCCTAGTCTCTGATAAAACAGACTTTAAACCAACAAAGATCAAAAGAGACAAAGAAGGCCATTACATAATGGTAAAGCGATTAATTCAACAAGAAGAGCTAACTATCCTAAATATATATGCACCCAATACAGGAGCACCCAGATTCATAAAACAAGTCCTTAGTGACCTACAAAGAGACTTAGACTCCAACACAATAATAATGGGAGACTTTAACACCCCACTGTCAACATTAGACACATCAACAAGACAGAAAGTTAACAAGGATACCCAGGAATTGAACTCAGCTCTGCACCAAGCGGACCTAACAGACATCTACAGAACTCTCCACCCCAGATCAACAGAATATACATTTTTTTTAGCACCACACCACACCTATTCCAAAATTGACCACATACTTGGAAGTAAAGCTCTCCTCAGCAAATGTAAAAGGACAGAAATTATAACAAACTGTCTCTCAGACCACAGTGCAATCAAACTACAACTCAGGATTAAGAAACTCACTCAAAACTGCTCAACTACATGGAAACTGAACAACCTGCTACTGAATGACTACTGGGTACAGAACAAAATGAAGGCAGAAATAAAGATGTTCTTTGAAACCAACGAGAACAAAGACACAACATACCAGAATCTCTGGGACACATTCAAAGCAGTGTGTAGAGAGAAATTTATAGCACTAAATGCCCACAAGAGAAAGCAGGAAAGATCCAAAATTGACACCCTAACATCACAACTAAAAGAACTAGAAAAGCAAGAGCAAACACATTCAAAAGCTAGCAGAAGGCAAGAAATAACTAAAATCAGAGCAGAACTGAAGGAAATAGAGACACAAAAAAAACCCTTCAAAAAATTAATGAATCCAGGAGCTGATTTTTTGAAAGGATCAACAAAATTGATAGACCGCTAGCAAGACTATTAAAGAAGAAAAGAGAGAAGAATCAAATAGACACAATAAAAAATGATAAAGGGGATATCACCACCGATCCCACAGAAATACAAACTACCATCAGAGAATACTACAAACACCTCTATGCAAATAAACTAGAAAATCTAGAAGAAATGGATAAATTCCTCGACACATACATCCTCCCAAGACTAAACCAGGAAGAAGTTGAATCTCTGAATAGACCAATAACAGGCTCTGAAATTGTGGCAATAATCAATAGCTTACCAACCAAAAAGAGTCCAGGACCAGATGGATTCACAGCTGAATTCTACCAGAGGTACAAGGAGGAACTGGTACCATTCCTTCTGAAACTATTCCAATCAATAGAAAAAGAGGGAATCCTCCCTAACTCATTTTATGAGGCCAGCATCATCCTGATACCAAAGCCAGGCAGAGACACAACCAAAAAAGAGAATTTTAGACCAATATCCTTGATGAACATTGATGCAAAAATCCTCAATAAAATACTGGCAAACCGAATCCAGCAGCACATCAAAAAGCTTATCCACCATGATCAAGTGGGCTTCATCCCTGGGATGCAAGGCTGGTTCAACATATGCAAATCAATAAATGTAATCCAGCATATAAACAGAACCAAAGACAAAAACCACATGATTATCTCCATAGATGCAGAAAAGGCCCTTAATAAAATTCAGCAGCCCTTCATGCTAAAAACTCTCAATAAATTAGGTATCGATGGGATGTATCTCAAAATAATAAGAGTTATCTATGACAAACCCACAGCCAATATCATACTGAATGGACAAAAACTGGAAGCATTCCCTTTGAAAACTGGCACAAGACAGGGATGCCCTCTCTCACCACTCCTATTCAACATAGTGTTGGAAGATCTGGCCAGGGCAATTAGGCAGGAGAAGGAAATAAAGGGTATTCAATTAGGAAAAGAGGAAGTCAAATTGTCCCTGTTTGCAGATGACATGATTGTATATCTAGAAAACTCCATTGTCTCAGCCCAAAATCTCCTTAAGCTGATCAGCAACTTCAGCAAAGTCTCAGGATACAAAATCAATGTACAAAAATCACAAGCATTCTTATACACCAATAACAGACAAACAGAGAGCCAAATCATGAGTGAACTCCCATTCACAATTGCTTCAAAGAGAATAAAATACCTAGGAATCCAACTTGCAAGGGATGTGAAGGACCTCTTCAAGGAGAACTACAATCCACTGCTCAATGAAATAAAAGAGGATACAAACAAATGGAAGAACATTCCATGCTCATGGGTAGAAAGAATCAATATCGTGAAAATGGCCATACTGCCCAAGGTAATTTATAGATTCAATGCCATCTCCATCAAGCTACCAATGACTTTCTTCACAGAATTGGAAAAAACTACTTTAAAGTTCATATGGAACCAAAAAAGAGCCCGCATTGCCAAGGCAATCCTAAGCCAAAAGAACAAAGCTGGAGGCATCACGCTACCTGACTTCAAACTATACTACAAGGCTACAGTAACCAAAACAGCATGGTACTGGTACCAAAACAGAGATATAGATCAATGGAACAGAACAGAGCCCTCAGAAATGACGCCGCATATCTACAACTATCTGATCTTTGACAAACCTGACAAAAACAAGAAATGGGGAAAGGATTCCCTATTTAATAAATGGTGCTGGGAAAACTGGCTAGCCATATGTAGAAAGCTGAAACTGGATCCCTTCCTTACACCTTACACAAAAATTAATTCAAGATGGATTAAAGACTTAAACGTTACACCTAAAACCATAAAAACCCTAGAAGAAAACCTAGGCATTACCATCCAGGACATAGGCATGGGCAAGGACTTCATGTCTAAAACACCAAAAGCAATGGCAACAAAAGACAAAATTGACAAATGGGATCTAATTAAACTAAAGAGCTTCTGCACAGCAAAAGAAACTACTATCAGAGTGAACAGGCAACCTACAAAATGGGAGAAAATTTTCGCAACCTACTCATCTGACAAAGGGCTAATATCCAGAATCTACAATGAACTCAAACAAATTTACAAGAAAAAAACAAACAACCCCATCAAAAAGTGGGCAAAGGACATGAACAGATACTTCTCAAAAGAAGACATTTATGCAGCCAAAAAAAACATGAAAAAATGCTCACCATCACTGGCCATCAGAGAAATGCAAATCAAAACCACAATGAGATACCATCTCAGCAGTTAGAATGGCAATCATTAAAAAGTCAGGAAACAACAGGTGCTGGAGAAGATGTGGAGAAATAGGAACACTTTTACACTGTTGGTGGGACTGTAAACTAGTTCCACCATTGTGGAAGTCAGTGTGGCGATTCCTCAGGGATCTAGAACTAGAAATACCATTTGACCCAGCCGTCCCATTACTGGGTATATACCCAAAGGACTATAAATCATGCTGCTATAAAGACACATGCACACGTATGTTTATTGCGGCACTATTCACGATAGCAAAGACTTGGAACCAATCCAAATGTCCAACAATGATAGACTGGATTAAGAAAATGTGGCACATATACACCATGGAATACTATGCAGCCATAAAAAATGATGAGTTCATGTTCTTTGTAGGGACATGGATGAAATTGGAAATCATCATTCTCAGCAAACTATCGCAAGGACAAAAAACCAAACACCGCATGTTCTCACTCATAGGTGGGAATTGAACAATGAGAACACATGGACAGAGGAAGGGGAACATCACACTCTGGGGACTGTTGTGGGGTGGGGGGAGGGGGGAGGGGGGAGGGATAGCATTAGGAGATATACCTAACGCTAAATGATGAGTTAATGGGTGCAGCACACCAGCATGGCACACATATACATATGTAACTAACCTGCACATTGTGCACATGTAGCCTAAAACTTAAAGTATAATAATAATTTTAAAATAAATAAATAAATAATAATAATAATAAATGATGAGTTCATGTCCTTTGTAGGGACATGGATGAAACTGGAAACCATCGTTCTCAGCAAACTATCGCAAGGACAAAAAACCAAACACCACATGTTCTCACTCATAGGTGGGAATTGAACAATGAGAACACATGGACACAGGAAGGGGAACATCACACACAGGGAACTGTTGTGGGGTGGGGGAAGAGGGAGGGATAGCATTAGGAGATATACCTAATGCTAAATGACGAGTTAATGGGTGCAGCACACCAACATGGCACATGTATACATATGTAAAAAACCTGCACATTGTGCACATGTACCCTAAAACTTAAAGTATAATAATAATAAAATTTTAAAAAGAGTCATATGATCATCTCAATAGATGCAGAAAAAGCATCTGATAAAATCCAGCATTGCTTTATGATTAAAACCCTCAGCAAAATCAGCATAAAAGGGACATACTGAAAGGTAATAAAAGCCATCTATGACAAACCATAGCCAACAATGTACTGAACGGGGAAAAGTTAAAGCATTCCCCCTGAAAACTGGAACAAGACAAGGATGCCCACTTTCACTACCTCTATTCAACATAGTACTGGAAGTCCTAGTCAGAGCAATCAAGAGAAAGAAACAAAGGGCATCCAAATCAGTAAAGAAGAAGTCAAACAGTCACTGTTCACCAATGATATGATCATATACCTAGAAAACCCTAAAGACTCATCCAAAAAGCTCCTGGAACTGGTAAATAAATTCAGCAAAAGTTCAAGATACAAAGTTAATGTACACAAATCAATAGTCCTTCTATACACTAACAATGACCAAGCTGAGAATCAAATCAAGAACTCCACCCCTTTTACAATAGCTGCAAAAATAAAATAGAATACTTAGGAATATACTGAACCAAGGACGTGAAAGACCTCTACAAGGAAAACTACAAAACACTGCTGAAAGAAATCACAGATGACACAAACAAATGGAAACATATCCCATGCTCATGATGGGTAGAATCAATATTATGAAAATGACCATACTGCCAAAAGCAATCTACAAATTCAGTGCAATTCCCATCAAAATACCATAACCATTCTTCACAGAACTGAAAAAAGAAATCCTAAAATTCATATATGGAACCAAAAAAGAGCCTGCATATCCTAAGCACGACTAAGCAAAAAGAACAAATCTAGAGGCACCACATTACATTACCTGAGTTCAAACAATACCATAAGGCCATGGTCACCACAACAGCATGGTACTGGTATAAAAAACAGGCATATAGGCCAGGCGCAGTGGCTCATGCCTGTAATACCAGCACTTTGGGAAACTGAGGCAGGCGGCGTTCGAGACCAGCCTGGGCAACGTGGTGAAACCCCATCTGTACTAAAAATACAAAAAATTAGCCAGGGGCAGTGGCAGGTGCCTGTAATCCCAGCTATTCAGGAGGCTGAGGCAGGAGAATTGCTTGAACCTGGAAGGCAGAGGTTGCAGTGAGCCAAGATCATGCCACTGCACTCCAGCCTGGGCAACAGAAGTGAAACTCTGTCTCAAAAAAACAAAACAAAACAAAAAAACAGGCATATAGACCAAGGGAACAAAATAGAGAACCCAGAAATAAACCCAAAGACTTACAGCCAACTGATCTTCAACAAAGCAAAGAAAACCATTCAACAAATGGTGCTGGGATAATTGGCAAGCCACATGTAGAAGAATGAAACTGGATCCTCATCTCTCCCCTTATACAAAAATCAACTCAAGATGGATCAAAGATTTAAATCTAAGACCTAAAACCATAAAAATTCTAGAAGATAACACTGGAAAAACCCTTCTAGACACTGGCTTAGGCAAAGACTTCATGACCAAGAACCCAAAAGCAAATGCCACAAAAACAAAGATAAATAGATGGGACTTACTTAAACTAAAAAGCTTCTGCACAGCAAAAGAAATAGTCAGTAAATAGACAACTCACAGAGTGGGTGAAAATCTTTGCGATCTATACATCTGAGAATGGACTATTATAATATCCAGAATCTATAAGGAATTCAAACAAATCAGCAAGAAAAAAACAATTCCATCAAAAAGTGGGCTAAGGACATGAATAGACAATTGTCAAAAGATATACAAATGACCAAGAAACATAAGAAAAAATGCTCAACATCACTCATTATCAGAGAAATGCAAATCATAACCATGATGGGATACTACCTTACTCCTGCAAGCATGGCCATAATAAAAAAAAAATTTTTTTTAAAAGATGTTGGCATGGATGTGGTGAAAAGAAAACACTTTTACACTGCTGGTGGGAATGTAAACTAGTACAACCATTATGGAAAACAGTGTGAAGATTCCTTAAAGAACTAAAAGTAGAACTACCATTTGATCCAGCAATCCCACCCCTGGGTATCTACCCAGAGAAAAAGAAGTCATTATACGAAAAAGATACTTGCACATGCATGTTTATAGCAGCACAAATCAACTACAAAAATATGGAACCAGCCCAAATGCCCATCAATCAACAAGCAGATAAAGAAAATGTGAGATATACATATATATATGTTCTATCAACAAAATCTATTTTATCTGTAAACCATAATAAAGCTGTTGTCTCTGTGTGTGTGCGTGTGTGCGTGTGTCTCTGTGTGTGTCTTCTATCAACAAAATCTACTTTATCTGTAAACCATAATAAAACTGTTGCAAGTATAGCACTTTCTTGAGGGCTGTGAGTCAATCTAGGAAATTACATACATACCATGGAATGAATACTACTCAGCCATAAAAAGTAACAAAATAATGGCATTTGCAACAACCTGGATGGAATTGGAGACCATTATTCTAAGTGAAGTAACTCAGGAAAGGAAAACTAAACATCATATGTTCTCACTCTTAAGTGGGAGCTAAGCTATGAGGATTCAAAGGCATTAAAATGATAGAATGGACTTATGGACTTTGGGGACTCAGGGGAAAGGGTGGGGAGTGGCGAGGGATAAAAACATAAATTTATTTCAGGTTGTGGGCTCGCCGTGATGGAAAGACACATCATGTGATTAAAGAGTTGGGCTTTTTGAAAGGTGAAATCAGCCCAACCTTCAGGGAGGAGTAGGGGGCTAGAAATTGAGTTCAATCGTGTGACCAGTGATTTAATCAATTTTGTCCGTGTAATGAAACCCCAGTAAAAACAACACTAAAGCTCAGTCTTCTCATTGGTGACAAAAATTAATGTGCCAGGAGGGTGATGCATCTTGATGACACAGAAGCTTCATGTTTGGGACCCTGCCAGGCCTCACCCTATGCATATCAAAATAAATAAATAAATTACTAATTTATGATCACCAAGCAGTGTTATTCAAGAAATGGAGGAATAATCAGGAAATCAACAAAATCTATTTTATCTGTAAACTTGTCACAAACTTTGAAGAGTCTTGGATTTTGCCCTACTTGCAAGGTAACTCAGCCTGACACAGTCTCACTGATGCTGGTAAAGTTGGCAAATACCCAACTTTTGGTAGTATACATAAAACTCCAGGACCAAGGGTGAAGAACAATTTATTTTTTAAAAAATAGCAGTAGCCTGGCTATCAGCAATTTTGTGCCTATTCCCTGAGGCCTAATTCTTACCAGGCAGCACAAATAGAATGATGACACCTGCACATACAGTGGGTTGCATTTTAGGAGAAGAGTCTGGCTTACGAGACCGATTTTTTTTCCTTTGCAGAAAAACAAACAAAAAAACACCACAGAGGCCAGTGCAGTGGTGTGTGCTGGGGATGGTTGAGGTGAGAAGATTGCTGGACAAAATAGAGAGACCCCCTCTCTAAAAGATACATAAATATATATTTTTAAAAACACATAAATCTACCCTCTTAACAATTTCTAAGTGTACATACAGTACAGTATTACTAATTAAATGCACACTGCAATTCAATACATCTGTAGAACTTTTTCATCTTTCATGATTCAAAGTTGAGCTAAAAGTTGAACAACAGCTACCTGTTTCCCCTCCCCCTTCCATGGTAGAAGGGGCCAAATACCATTCTACTCACTGTTTCTATGAGTTGGATTTCTTTGAATCCTTCATATAAGCAGAATCATGCAGCATTTGTCTTTTTGTGATTGCTAATTTCACTTAGTATAATGTCTTCAAGGTTAATCCAAGTTATCCAAATGAAAAGATTTCCTTCTTTTTTAAGGCCAAATAATATTTTATTGCGTATATAAACCACATTTTTATTTATTTTTATTTTTTCGATGAGAAAAAAAGTGAAGTATTTATTTTCATTAATATCTGACTGAAGATTAGGATTCCATAAATATAAACAACAAATCACTGTAGTAGCTATATAAGTCACTATAGTAATTTTGCAACTACCAAAAATTGCAAACATTTTCACATTGCATTACAGATGTAGGTATAATAAAATATTACTTGCAGTCATTGCTACTTTAAAACTATAGGAGTTATTAAATCAGCTGCTAGATTTTTATAAATATACACATTGCATTACATCACAAAGTATAAAATATTTTGATAATTTTATTTCATAATAATTTCCTGCAATCCTATGTATTTTATGCATTTAAAAACATTGCTCTGAGAAAGGTCCATAGGCTTCATCAGACTGTCAAATCACTATCTTGTGCAAAATCAAGAACCCTTGTACTACAGGAAGATACACACAGGTCAAATAAGGATCCCTGGAGTTAGAAGAACAAGTAATAGCCCAAGGCAGCCTCCTCCTCTTTATTCCATGTCCTAGCATTAATCCTGCCTACCCTCTCTGTTCCAGGCCTCTGAGGTATTCCTCCTTGTAAGACTTGTACCCACCCATTCTTGTTCTGCCTCTCAACCTCTGCTCCAACTTCCATATATTTAGATTAATTCATTCATTCATCAAATATTTTTCTGGGGACTTATTATACACTAAGTACTATTCTAGATAGTGAAGGTACAGCAGCAAAAGAACAAATAATAAAACTTGTCTTCACAGAGGACATTCTAGTGGGGGAACAGACCATGAGCAGAATAAAGAAGTATGATGTTAAAGCGTGTAAGGGAAAATAAAGCAGAGAGGCCAGGCTGCCTGAGATTCTTCTTCTGAAAATAAAGCAGGGAAGGGAAATAGGGTTTTCCAGGAAAAGGGAGGGACTTGAAGTTTTTAAATAGAATGAGCAGGGAAGGCTGTGCTGAAAAGTTAACATCAGATACAGACTTGAAAGAGGAGAGGGTGAGTCACTTAGCCCTCCAGGCTGAGAGAAGAGCAAGTGCCAAAGCTGGAGTATGCTTGGTGTATTGGGAGAAGTCAGAAGGCCAGTGTGGCTGGAGTGAAGTGGATGTAGGGAAAACAGCAGGAGTGAGGTCAAGCAGATACGTGATGGGAAAGAAGACCACGTGGAGGAGCATGGTAAGCTACTGAAAGGACTTCAGCTTTTACTCTGAGTGAGATGGGGACCACTGCAGAGATTGAGCAGAGGGCCAACATGATCTAAAATGTTTTAACAGAATTTCACTGGCTTCCATGCAGTGAATAGACAAAGTGGGGCAGGAGCAAAAGCAGGAAGAATGAATAATGGATGCCAGCACTTGACGTGTGGTGCTTTGGAGTGGGCTTTGGAGCCAGGCTGCCTCAGATTCTTAATCTGTAAAATAGTATCTGTTCTTCACCAATAAAATGGAAAAAGAATAAACCTAATGTGAGGATTAGATCAGCTAATGTGGGCAAACTTCTTAGAATAGTGCCTGGCACATTGTAAATATTCATTAAATGTTGACTTTCCTTACTTTTCTCAGAGCCTAGGATACATGCTATGAGGGTACCACACCGCTATTTGACACATAGTGGGCAAGACGGTAGGACTTGAATAAGTTTTGGGGGGGATCTTGTTCCTATGTCTTGATTTTAGGAGAGTAGTTAAGCAAAGCAAGTATCAGATGCTGCCTTGAAATCTAGAACCTTATTCTTTTCATGTGATGATAGTGACAAAGCAACTGACACCAACTCTGATTACAGAAAGTAGGGAATTGGTGAATTGAATGTGTACTGCTACTTAAAAAAATAGAGACATGGCTGGGCGTGGTGGCTCACACCTGTAATCCCAGCACTTTGGGAGGCTGAGGCGGGCAGATCATGAGGTCAGGAGATCAAACCATCCTGGTGAACATGGTGAAACCCCGTCTCTACTAAAAATACAAAAATGAGCTGAGTGTGGTGGTGCACGCCTGTAATCCCAGCTACTCCGGAGGCTGAGGCAGGAGAATCGCTTGAACCCGGGAGGTGGGGGTTGCAGTGAGATTGCACCACTGCACTCCAACCTGGGTGACAGAGCGAGACTCCATCTCAAAAAAAAAAAAAGAAAGAAAAGAAGAAAAAGAAATAGAGATGTAGCTATGATTATGATTAAATAGATGAAGAACCAAAGCATCCTATAAGGAAGTATCTTTAAAATTGCACAGATGTCAGCCGGGTGCAGTGGCTCACGCCTGTAATCCCAGCACTCTGGGAGGCCAAGGTGGGTGGATCACCTGAGATAAGGAGTTCAAGACCGCCTGGCCAACATGGTGAAACCCTGTCTCTACTAAAAAAACAAAAATTAGCCGGGCATGGTGGTTGGCACCTGTAATCCCAGCTACTCAGGAGGCTGAGGCAGGAGAATCACTTGAATGTGGGAGGCAGAGGTTGCGGTGAGCTCAGATCGTGCCACTGCACTCCAGCCTGGGCAACAGACAAGACTTTTTCTAAATAATAATAATAATAATAAATAAAATTGTATAGATGTCAGCTGGTGCAGCGGCTCACGCCTGTAATCCCAGCACTTTGGGAGGATGAGATAGGCAGGTCACCTGAGGTCAGGAGTTCGAGACCAGCCTGGCCAACATGGCAAAACCCCGTCTCTACTAAAAACACAAAAATTGGCCAGTGGTGGTGGTATGCGCCTGTAATCCCAACTGCTTGGGAGGCTGAGGCAGGAGAAGCCCTTGAACCCAGGAGGCAGAGGTGGCAGTGAGCCGTGATCAGGCCATTGCACTCCAGCCTGGGCGACAGAGCGAGACTCTGTCTCAAAATAAATAAACAAATAAATAATCTTATAATTATTAAATGAATTGGAGAGGACAGTGATGTTAGCAAGATGGCAGAGTATTGTTATGGATAATAATAGTTATCCATAAATGATAATAACTTTGGGAGGGATCAAGGGCCCATTTAAGAACTTGTGGTAACACAGTGGAGGAGAAAAATGGAGAATAACCAATGTGGAACAGTCAAAGGACAGCAGTATACCTGAGACATCTAGAGACAGGAACAAAAGACAAGGGTAGGAGCTATTAGTATCAGCCGCACAGCATGGGCTACTGTGGTCCCCACTCACCTGCTCTATAGAGGACACCAGCAACTGAGGTAACCAACAGCCATCCCCACTGCAGACCCCTCCACTACCACCAGAGAGGGAAACATGGCTATGCCCCCTCCAAAGGCGCCACTGTTGGGCTTTTCAGGACTGGAGCCATCATCCCTCACAATCCCGTGCTAATCCCTGACATCTGAACTATGGTCATTTCTCTGTCATGCTTCCTGTTACGCCTGAAGAACTGTGGGTCAATTAAACTTCTTTTCTGCATAAATTACCCAGTCTCAGGTAGTTCTTTATAGCAGTGTGAAAACAGACTAATACACCATACTACACAAAGCAATCCACAGATTCAGGGAAGTCCCTATCAAAATTGTAATGGCATTTTTCACAGAAATAGAAAAAGCAATCCTAAAATTTACCTGGAATTACAAAAGACCTTGAGTAGCCAAAGCAATCTTGAGCAAAAAGAAGAAAGCTGGAGGCATTATACTACCTGATTTCAAAATAATTTATAAAGCTATAGTAATTAAAACAACATGGTACTGACATAAAAACAGACATATAGACAAATGGAACAGAATAGAGAGCCCCAAAATAAATCCATACATTTAGGCAATTGATCTTCAACAAAAGTGCCAAGAACACACAATATGGAAAGGACAGCCTCTTCAATAAAGGGTGTTGTCAAAACTAGACCTCCACATGCAGCAGAATGAGAGTGAACCCTTATGTCAGCTGATATACAAAAATCAACACAGAATGGATCAAAGATTTAAACACAAGACCTGAAACTGTAAGACTATTAGAAGAAAATATAAAGGATAAGCTCCATGATATTTGTCTAGGCGATGATTTTTTTAAAATATGACCCCAAAAGCACAGGCAACAAAAGCAAAAATTGGCAACTGAGATTGTGTCAAACCAAAATGCTTCTGCACAGGCAAGGAAACAATCAACTGAGTGAAGAGACTACCCATGACTTGGGAGAAAATATTTGCAAACCATACATCTGATAAAGGGTTAATATCAAAATAAAGAACTCAACTTGATAGCAAGAAAGAAGTAATTTTATTAAAAAATGGGCCAATGACCTGAAAAATCACTTCTCAAAATAAGATACACAGCCAAGCGCACCTCTAGTCCCAGCTACTTCGGAGGCTGAGGCAGGAGGTTCACTTGAGCCTAGGAGTTTGAAATGAAACTGGGCAACATAGTAAGACCCTGTCTCATATTTTTTTAAAAGGGAAGAAGATATACAACTGGCCAAATAAAATATTTTAATTTTCACATTATTTACTGATGTGTATTTTAAAGAAATAAAGAAACAAAATAATAGTTCTTTATATTTATCTACATAGTTCCCATTTCTTTCTTTCTTTTTTTTTCTTTTTTGAGACAGGGTTTCACTCTGTCACCCAGGCTGGAGTGTGGTGGTGCGATCTCAGCTCACTGCAACCTCCACCTCCTGGGTTCAAGCGATTCTCGTGTCTCAGCCTCCCAAGTAACTGGGATTACAGGCACACTCCACCACACCCAGCTAATTTTTTATTTCTGGTAGAGACAGGATTTCACCATGGTGGCCAGGCTGGTCTCGAACTCCTGGCCCAAGTGATCCGCCTGCCTCGGCCTCCCAAAGTGATTGGATTACAGACATGAGCCACCATGCCCAGCCCATAATTCCCATTTCTGATGTTCTTGATTACTTTCTGACAATATGAGTTTCTATTTCTTATCAAATCCACACAGTGTGAAAAAATTCCTTTGGCATTTCTTGTAGTGCAGGTCAGTGGATGATGAATTATCTTGTTTTCATTTATCTAAATTACTGTTTTTGTTAGATAATAGAATTCTGAATTGACAGGGGCTTTCTTCATCAGCACTTAAAGATGTCAATTCACTGTCTTTTTCCTTCCATTATTTCTTGTGAGAAGTCAACATCATTTATGTTACTTTTTTGTGTGTGTAATATATTGATTTTTGTCTGGTTGTTTTCAAGATTTTTCTCATTATCTTTGATAATCATTTGACTTTGATGGTCAAATTATGACTGTCACTTGATTATTATGTACCTTGGTGTGGTTTTCATTGAATTTATCTTGCTTAGGATTGACTGAGCCTCTTGAATATGTATATTTATGTTTTTCATTGGCTATTCTTTCTTAAATATTTTTTGCCCCCATCTTTTTCTCTTTTTTCTTGTGGGGGTCCAATAACGTATATTGGTCTTTTAAAAATATCGTTCTACAGATCACTGAAGCTGTATTCATTATTTTTTTTGAGGCGGTGGCTCATAAGATTTTTTAAGTACTATTTATCTATCATCAAGTTGCCTGATTCCTTCATCTGTCATCCCCACTCTACTATTAAGCCCATTCAGCAAAGTCTTCATTTGCCCTTTTTTCAGGTCTATGATTTCCATTTGGTTCTTTTTCTAGTTCCTATTTCTGTGTTGAAATTCCTACTTGCTCATTCATTACTAGCATAAATTCCTTTGCATTCTGGAGCATAATAGTTATAATAGCTACTTTTAAATCCTTAAGTACTAATTCTTTCATCTTGGTCAACTTTGTGGTTGGTCTCTATTGATTCTGTTTTGTCTCTTTTAATTTCATGTCACATTTTCTTATTTTGTTAATATCTACTAATTTTAGATTTTAGCCTGGGCATTTTGAAAACTTCATGTTAGATACAATAGATTTTATTATATTTGTCTTAAAAAGTACCATTATGTTGTTTTTATAGACATCTAAATGAGCTAAACTCAAATTCCAAACTATCTTCCTTGGAGTGGGCAGCAGCTAAAAAAAATCTGTGCAATTAACATTAAAATCTGCACAGCACATGTGTAATTCAGGGCACAGCCAAATATTTGGGCAGAGCTTTTGCATAGAATTTATGGTTTCCCTCTCTCACCCTGTATGCTTTTCTACTCACTTTTAGCTGCTGTGGTCAGCCCAAATTCTGGTCTGATTCCTCAGTTGGTTAAGACTGCACAGACATGGCACCACCTGGAACTTCTCACTCAAAGAGTCATAAAAAAGTTAAACTCACCCTATGACACATTTCTAAAAATTATTGAACTTTGAAATTCATTATTGCACTGTTCTCTCTACCTATCATTTTGCCTGAAAATTTTTTATAATAAAAAATTCCATGCTCAATATAAATATTTTAAAAATTAAGGCTATGGGAGGTAGAAAATGAAAGTTCCCTGCAATCCCTTCATCTATACATAGCCCCTATATATAGCCAATAGACTATCTTAGTAAAGAATAATCTCTTGACTCAGACTATCTCAGAGGAAAACATTATTTCAAGTAAAGATATGAGATGAGATAGTCTTAACACAGCTTCCTCAGAATTACACATCACTATTCCTTAAAGTGCTGTTGAGAGCACTAGCTTTGTTCTGCATTTTCTTAAACCGTAGAAGTAACTAAAAGTTATACAAAGAGGGGAAAGGATTTTGTGTATCTCAGCTGTAATATTTACTTAATTGTAATAACATTGTAAACTCTGAATATTGAGAAACAAAAGTTACGAGGTAGCCAGGCATGGTGACTCATGCCTGCAATCCCAGCACTTTGGGAGGCTGAGGCAGGTGGATCACTTGAAGTCTGGAGTTTAAGACCAGCCTGGCCAACATGGCAAAACCCTGTCTCTATGAAAAATACAAAAATTAGCAGAGCATGGTGGCACATATCTATAATACCAGCTACTTGGGAGGCTGGGGCACAAGAATTGCTTGAACCCAGGAGGCAGAGGTTGCAGTAAGCCAAGATTGTGCCACTGCACTCCAGCCTAGGCGACAGAGGGGGACTCTGTCTCAAAAAAAAAAAAAGTTAGGCCGGACGCGGTGGCTCATATCTGTAATCCCAGCACTTTGGGAGGCGGAGGCAGGCAGATCACCTGAGGTCAGGAGTTCGAGACCAGCCTGACCAACATGGAGAAACCCCGTCTCTATTAAAAATACACAAAAATTAGCCAGGCTTGGTGGTACATGCCTGTAATCCCAGCTACTCAGGAGGCTGAGGCAGGAGAATCGCTTGAACCTGGAAGGCAGAGGTTGCAGTGAGCTGAGATCGCACCATTGCACCCCAGCCTGGGCAAAGGGCGAAACTCAGTCTCAAAGAAAAAACAAAAACTTATGAGGTAATTACATTTAGAGAATGAGGTCACAAGAACTGAGGACACAAAGGGATGAAAGTGGCCGGGCATGGTGCCTCGCACCTGTAATCCCAGCACTTTGGGAGGCTGAGGCAGATGGATCACCTGAGGTCAGGAGTTCGAGACCAGCCTGGCCAACATGGTGAAATCCCGTCTCTACTAAAAATACAAAAATTAGCTAGGTGTGGTGGCGTGTGCCTGTAATCCCAGCTACTCAGGAGGCTGAGGCAGGAGAATCACTTGAACCTGGGAGACAGAGGTTGCAGTGAGCTGAGATCGTGCCATTGCACTCCAGCCTGGGTGACAGAGCAAGTCGCTGTGTCAAAAAAAGAAAAAGAAAAGGGGTGAAAGTAAAAGCAACTAAAGAAATAGTTCCTCATCTTCCACAATAGAAAGTTAATAGAGCTAAATCTATAACTGAAAAAAATCAAAAAAGAAAATAAGCATGTTATTTAGAAATACGGTAGAATATATAAAAATGAACAGTTAAATGAATTGAAGAGGGTTGCATCTGGGAAGCAGAAATGCAGAGTTTGTATGCTTGTTATTAATATTTGTTATAAAACAATTTGATTTTTAAAATTATGTATATATGGTAACAGTGATTAAATAGAAATTTAAGGTAGTAGGAACAACTATGTGAAATTAGATTAGAATTGGTGATATCAGCTTGAACTCATGATTACTAATATTTTTTTCTTTAGTTTCATCTGCTGAAAAGGCATAGATGCAATGACACCTAAGTCGCAATAAGCTTGCTAAGCTCCCAGATATTGTTTTTTAAGCACCATTTTCTACTGTAAGGTGTCAGGACACTTTGCAGAAATGGCTCCTTTCAGTGCTGGGTGAGAGAAAGCCCAAAATAAAATTAGAACATCTTGTTGTACCAGAAAGTAAAGAACTGCTTTTATATATATATGTCCTATCAAAACAGCTAGGTTGAAAGGAGCTCTCACTAAACAAATCTCAGACACTTTGAACACCAAAATAAGATGGTAATGGATTATAATCCTTTGAGGAAATGGATTATAACTGATTCAATAATCTGGGAATCCCTAAATTCATACTGAAAACACAGATGTTCCTTGAATTATGAGGGGGCTACATCCCAATAAATTCATCATGAGTCAAAAATATCCTAAGTCAAAAAATGCATTTAATAGCCTTATAAATACATTGTAAAGACAAAATATCATAAATTGTACCATCATAATAATAAGTTGGGGACCATCTGTATATCATTAAACAGGGCAAAATGTAGGGCTCTTCTGGTTGTTTTTTGTTTGTTTGTTTGTTTGGAGACAGGGTATCGCTCTGTCGCCCAGGCTGTGGTGCAGTGGCATGAACCTGGCACACTGCAGCCTTTGCCACCCAGGCTCAAGTGATCTTTCCACCTCAGCTTCCTGAGTGGCTGGGACCACAGGTGCAAGTCACCTCCCCTGGCTAATTTTTGTATTTTTTGTAGAGACTGTGTTTCCACTATTTTGCCCAGGCTGATCTGGAACTCCTGGGCTCAAGCGATCTGCTTGCCTCAACTTCCCAAAGTGCTGGGATCACAGACTTGAGCCACCACACCAGGCGGGGCTCATCTTTTTGGCAAAATTGTTTCTAATACATATGGAAAGAGAACAATTATCATTTTGTAACTATCATAGTAAAGACTAGTTTAGGAAAAATCAATAATACTGCTAAATTGTGAGAGAGGGGTTTGCTGAGGAGCAGAATATTTGCAGGAAATTCAAGTGTCTCCCCCATAGATTGCTTATTAGTTGCAAGTAGAAAACCAGCAATTTATACAGTGGAGAAACTGGGATCAAATTAACATCACTAATGAGAGACAAACAATATCACGTGCCTCCAAATGTGGTCTCTTGGAAAGAATATAACCTCATGTATGTAATATTACAATCAGGAATACATAACCTGAATCTAATCATGAGGAAACACGAGACAAACCCAAAGTAGGGAAGATTCTGTAAAATAACTGGCCCTTAACACACACACACACACACACACACACTCCTAAGAGTGGTGACAATGTGTTAATTTGATTGTTGTAATCATTTCACAATGTATATGAAATCATCATGCTGTACAACTTGAATAAATACAATTTTTGTCAACTATACCTCAGTAATACTGGAATGAACAAATGAACGAATGATAAATAATTGGCCTGCACTCTTCAAAAATCTCAATGTCACAAAAATACAAATGCTGAGGAACTCTTCCATATTAAAGGAAATTAAAAAGATATGGTAACTAAATACGGTATGTGATCCTGTACTAGATCTATACTGGAAGGAAAAAATGTTAAATAAAGACATTACTGGAACAATTGACAAATCGGAATATGAACTGTAGATTAGATTAAATATAAATATTGTATCAATGCTAAATATCCTTAATTTGATAAACATACAAGAGGATACCCTGGTTCTTAAGAAATTCACACTTTAGAAATAAGGGGTATAAGAGCATAGTGTATGTAACCTATTTTAGAATGATTCATAAAATACAAATAATAGGCTTATTTATATATTTATACATGTATATTACACATGAAGAATAGTAAAAACAAGTGTGGCAAAATGTTAAGAATTGGTTAATCTGAGTAAAGGACAACAGGAGTTCTCTATTATTTTTACAACTTTTCTGTAAGCTTAAAATTATTTGAAACTAAAAAGTTTAAAAAAAAAAATGGGCCGGGCATGGAGGCTCACGCCTGTATTCCTAGCACTTTGGGAAGCCGACGCAGGCGGATCACCTGAGGTCAGGAGTTCGAGACCAGCCTGGCCAACATGGTGAAACCCCGTCTCTACTAAAAATACAAAAATTAGCCAGTCGTGGTGGCGCGTACCTGTAAATCCCAGCTACCCGGGAGACTGAGGAAGGAGAATCGCTGGAACCCAGGAGATGGAGGCTGCAGTGAGCCGAGATCGAGTCACTGCACTCCAGCCTGGGCGACAGAGCGAGACTCCATCTCAAAAGAAAAAAGAAAAAGAAAAAGAAATACACACTAACATCAAGGAAAAGAGCTTTCACTTAATAACAGAAGATCTAAGTTTGTGCGCTACTTCTGTTTGTTAAATATCCTTCCTTAAGCATCACACTTTTCTCACCTGCAAAACACCATCCCAAACTTACAGAGGTCTCTTTTGATCCATACAAATTATGTGTATGAGAGATCTAACTGTAAATTATTATACAAATGACATTATAATATTAAATACTTAGGAGTTTGCCAAAATAAAGAATGGAGTTCGTTTTCTTAAGGTACCGTACACATTAACTACAGTTATAACAAACTACGGAATAAGCGGTAGTGGTGTAAACGGTGTTCCTTAAAGGAAGGTAATGTTTTTTGCCCTGTTCCGTCAAGTCTTAAACGCTTGACATTTTAAAATAGTTTTAAACCCTTTCCGGAATTAGAAGTGGTATTTCGGACCGTGAAGTAACCGATCAGCCATAAGTGTCCCATCTTTAAGGCCTGCTCTTTTACCCGTCTTGCAGAAGTTCTTCCGAGAGTGGGCCCGAGACAGCCTCCCGCCCGAACTAAACTCTCCGCAGCGCTTCCGGCCCTTGGCCCCGAAGTCTAGAACCCTGGGCCGGCCGCAAAGGAAGGTCTGCCGCGCATGCGCGCCCCGGCGCAGCCTATCCGGAGCGATCCATCTCGTTACGTCACCACCAGCCTAGCTCGGACGGCAAGCGGCGGGAGATTTTCAAAATGGGAGCCCAGAGGCACCGCCCAGGCCTCGGAAGGTGTCAGGGAGAACTTTCCGTGGTTTCAGCGTCGTCGCCTGGAGCGGCGGTTTAGAGAGCCGAGCCTGATGGGCGCCAAGGCCGGCTGGCTGCTTGGAGCGCTGCCTCGAAGGGACTGCGTGAAGGAAGCTAATCCGGAGAACCCAGGCCAGAGCCTGGAAATATGGCGACCTGCATCGGGGAGAAGATCGAGGTGAAAAGACTCGGCAGTCTGCAGCGGGGCGGGTGGGAGTAATTGTGGGAGGACACGAGACCGCTGTGGGAAGGGGAGCGAACGAAGCTAACGGCTGCGGGGCGGGCACCGAGGTGCTTAGGGAGGGTCCCAACGGCCCAGACCCCTGCTGTTTAGGGGCGGAGCGGCCCGCCCCTCAAGAGACAAGAGTAGGGAAGGCGGGACAGGTGAGTCCCTCCCCGCCCGGCAGTGTCCCGAGGCACTGCGGCTTTCTTTCAGCAATCCCGCCCGAGCTACCGCGTTAGAGCAGGGCAGGGCTACCTCCCACTTCTCCAAGGGGATGGCGGTTATCTCCGGCGGGAGCTGCGGCGGGATTCTGACCGAGCCCTCCGCTCCCGGGGATTGGCTGGAGATGGGAGGAGGGCGCTTAGGCTGCACTGAGGTTGAGGAACCAGATCACTAGGGTGCACCATCACCCTGAGCTTCCAGTCCAGCCTGGAAGCGCAGGTATCCCCGCACGGAGTCAACATGCCTTCCACCCTAGACACCTGCTGCATCGAGGTGTAATACCCGCTTGAATTTTGTCAAATTCCCCACTCGATCCATTTTATCTTCTTTTTCCAGCCCCTTCCCATCTTCCTTTCTACTGTGAGTCATCACACATAATCTTTAATTTTAACTTTTAAGGATTTTAAAGTTGGAAATCTGCTTGGTAAAGGATCATTTGCTGGTGTCTACAGAGCTGAGTCCATTCACACTGGTTTGGAAGTTGCAATCAAAATGGTAAGAATAAACTAATCAACTTCTCTCCTGTACTTTGCAAGTAACTAGAGAGGTATCAGAGATGTCAGAAACTCCTTGTCTACTAGCCTTTCCTTTGATTATAGTGTAAGGAACACTTTACATAGGCAGAAGACAATAGTGCCAAGTCCAGCCGTTGAACTTAAAAATATTTTAGGAAAGCCTTGACCTTGCTTAAGTAAGTTTTATCTTCATTAATGTTCAGTAGACCTCGTATGTGGTGTAATTATCCATACTTGGAGTAATGAGTAGAAATCAACTAACAAATAATTTGTTTATAGTTCACTGTGTATAATTTTGTATTTCCCTGTAACATACAAAATATTATTCTTGATTGTTAGAAGTCAGCCTAATAGGAGTAACATAAACATAAGCAAATTAAGAATTATTTGTCAGCCGGGTGGGTGGCTCACACCTGTAATCTCAACGCTTTGGGAGGCTGAGGCAGGTGGATCACCTGAGCTCAGGAGTTTGAAAACAACTGTGCAACATGGTGAAACCTCCTCTCTACCAAAAATACAAAAATTAGCTGCTGCTGGGCACGGTGGCTCACGCCTGTAATCCCAGCACTTTGGGAGGCCGAGGCGGGTGGATCACCTGAGGTCGGTAGTTCAAGACCAGCCTGACCAACATGGAGAAACCCCATCTCTACTAAAAATACCAAATTAGCCGGGTGTGGTGCTGCACACCTGTAATCCCAGCTACTCTGAAGGCTGAGCAGGAGAATCGCTTGAACCCGGGAGGCAGAGGTTGTGGTGAGCTGAGATCGCGCCATTGCACTCCAGCCCAGGCAACAAGAGCTAAATTCCCATCTCAAAAAAAAAAATTAGCCAAGCGTGGTGGCATGTGCCTGTGGTCCCAGCTACTCAGGAGGCTGAGGTGGGAGGATAGATTGTGCCTGGGAGGTTGAGGCTGCAGTGAACTGTGATCATGCCACTGCACTCCAGCCTAGGTGACAGTGAGACCCTGCCTTTAAAAAAAAAAAATCATTTATCTAAACCACTTAGAAAAAGAACTGGAGGTTTTGCTCTAAAATTTGCCTGAATTGGGATTTTTTTTTCTTAATAGTTAGGCTAGTTGTGCTATTAGATTATTTAAATTGAGATAGGATATTAGAATTAATTGGTCAAACTTTTACCAAGCACCCTCTCTGCCGAGCACTCTGCTAGGTGCATGGGGAAAACAGATAACAGTAGGTTGACCACAAAGACGTATAAAAGGACTTCAGTCTATTTTAAAGTATACTTTATTTTCAAAGTTCACTTTTAAGCAGTTTATATTTGAAAGTCTGTCAACATTTAAACCTGTTATTTTTAGATAGATAAGAAAGCCATGTACAAAGCAGGAATGGTACAGAGAGTCCAAAATGAGGTGAAAATACATTGCCAATTGAAACATCCTTCTATCTTGGAGGTAAGATATAAATTTTGTAGAAGTGACCAAGGACACTGAATTTTTGTATATTTTAATTTATTATGCCCTTTCACATTTCAGCTTTATAACTATTTTGAAGATAGCAATTATGTGTATCTGGTATTAGAAATGTGCCATAATGGAGAAATGAACAGGTATCTAAAGAATAGAGTGAAACCCTTCTCAGAAAATGAAGGTAGGTGTGTGGTTTTTTTTGTTTGTTTTGTTTGGGTGGATAAAAGTTTTGCATTTTAAAGTGTAGTTTTGAGGAATATGCTATTTTATAATATATAGTAAAACTGTTTGAATTATTACTTTAAGCTAGAAAAGGAGATTTCCTACATCCCAAGCTGCTAATTCTTAAAACAATTCAATTATTACGGTAGTAAAGTAAGAAATTTGTTATCCTTCTGTCCTTAAAACCACATTTTAAATTAAATTATTGGTAGCAGTTTACTGTGTATCTTTTCAAATGTAGTAACCTTTTTAGGATGTCATTGGTGACTATAAAGTAGTTCTAAATCAAGCATAAATAGCCATTGAAACTGTTTATTATAGAAAACATGAAACATACAGGTAGTGTGCTATAATGAGTCCCCTGAACTTAACACTCAGCTTCCAAAACTAGTGACTCATGGTCATATTATTTCATCTTTACTGTTTTTACTACCTTGATTTTCCAAAGTATTTTGAAGCAAATTATAGACATATTTTTAACTAGAAATATTTCAAAGTATAGACTTCTTTAAAAACGTAGCCACAAAGTCATTATCACACCTAATAATTATTTACTATCAAATATATAGCTTCAGACTTCCTCAATTTCTCATAATTTTTTGCAGTTCAAAGCAGAACCAAATAAGGTCTATACATTGACACAAATGATTGTTTTCAAGTTATCTTGCTCTGCTAACTGAGATTACAGACAAGCTAACAGAAGTAGTTGCTGATAGGCTTCTTGTACATCTGAATCTATATAAGCCATTTGGAAAACAATTCGGACATATGTATTTAGAGTTACGGAAATATTTATATTCTTTGACTCAGATTCCATTGTTGGAAGTTTATTCCAAAGAAATAATACAAATTGAAAAAAAATTGATACTCATCTTGATAATGACTACTGCAGTTTTTTATAATACTTCATTAAAAAAGGCCTTATTAGGCTGGGCTCAGTGGCTCACGCCTGTAATCCCAGCACCTTGGGGGGCTGAGGCACGTAGATCACCTGAGGTCAGGAGTTCGAGACCAGCCTGGCCAATATGGTAAAACCCCATCTCTACTAAAAATGCAAAAATTAGCCGGGCACGGTGGCTCATGCCTGTCATCCTAGCTACTTGGGAGGCTGAGGTGGATGGATCACAAGGTCAGGAGATCAAGACCATCCTGGCTGACATGGTGAAACCCCGTCTCTACTAAAAATACAAAAAAAATTAGCTCGGTGTGGTGGTGCTCTCCTGTAATCCCAGCTACTCAGGAAGCTGAGGCAGGAGAATTGCTTGAACCCGGGAGGCAGAGATTGCAGTGAACTGAGATTGTGCCACTGCACTCCAGCCTGGTGACAGATCAAGACTCCATCTAAAAAAAAAAGCTTACAAATTGATTACTTGGGAAAGTTTGGGAGACATCGTTGGAACTTTAGCTTTTTCTTTTTTTTAACAATTAGAAAATATGTATGAATCGTTTGTGCAATTGTTTTTCTTAATTGCTATGGTTACCCTAATGACTCTCAGTTGCTAAAAAAAAAGTAGGCTTCTCTTAACTGCATGTAAAACGCTCATCAGTTGGAAATAACGAAGATTAAAAGGAATGCCTAGTTTTCTTAAAGGTTAATATGATAGGCCAGGCGCGGTGGCTCAAGCCTGAAATCCCAGCCCTTTAGGAGGCCGAGGTGGGTGGATCACGAGGTCAGGAGATTGAGACCATCCTGGCTAACACAGTGAAACCCTGTCTCTACTAAAAACACAAAAAATTAGCCAGGCACGGTGGCGGGCGCCTGTAGTCCCAGCTACTCGGGAGGCTGAGGCAGGAGAATGGCATGAACCCGGGAGGCGGAGCTTGCTGTGAGCCGAGATCGCGCCACTGCACTCCAGCCTGAGGGACACAGCAAGACTCCGTCTCAAAAAAAAAAAAAAAAAAAAAGGTTAATATGATCTCTTTAGAGGGGTGTGTTGGTACCACTCTGATAATTGCTGGTAATTGAAGTGGCTGGTAAATCTAAGCTCCAAGCCACTGTTCTACTACAGTGCTCTAGAATATTTACCTGGGTTTCATAATGTATACTAAATACTAGATACTGAATCTTCCAGAGTTTCTAAATTGTAAATTCTCTTTTTTAAAATCCTAACAGCTCGACACTTCATGCACCAGATCATCACAGGGATGTTGTATCTTCATTCTCATGGTATACTACACCGGGACCTCACACTTTCTAACCTCCTACTGACTCGTAATATGAACATCAAGATTGCTGATTTTGGGCTGGCAACTCAACTGAAAATGCCACATGAAAAGCACTATACATTATGTGGAACTCCTAACTACATTTCACCAGAAATTGCCACTCGAAGTGCACATGGCCTTGAATCTGATGTTTGGTCCCTGGGCTGTATGTTTTATACATTACTTATCGGGAGACCACCCTTCGACACTGACACAGTCAAGAACACATTAAATAAAGTAGTATTGGCAGATTATGAAATGCCATCTTTTTTGTCAATAGAGGCCAAGGACCTTATTCACCAGTTACTTCGTAGAAATCCAGCAGATCGTTTAAGTCTGTCTTCAGTATTGGACCATCCTTTTATGTCCCGAAATTCTTCAACAAAAAGTAAAGATTTAGGAACTGTGGAAGACTCAATTGATAGTGGGCATGCCACAATTTCTACTGCAATTACAGCTTCTTCCAGTACCAGTATAAGTGGTAGTTTATTTGACAAAAGAAGACTTTTGATTGGTCAGCCACTCCCAAATAAAATGACTGTATTTCCAAAGAATAAAAGTTCAACTGATTTTTCTTCTTCAGGAGATGGAAACAGTTTTTATACTCAGTGGGGAAATCAAGAAACCAGTAATAGTGGAAGGGGAAGAGTAATTCAAGATGCAGAAGAAAGGCCACATTCTCGATACCTTCGTAGAGCTTATTCCTCTGATAGATCTGGCACTTCTAATAGTCAGTCTCAAGCAAAAACATATACAATGGAACGATGTCACTCAGCAGAAATGCTTTCAGTGTCCAAAAGATCAGGAGGAGGTGAAAATGAAGAGAGGTACTCACCCACAGACAACAATGCCAACATTTTTAACTTCTTTAAAGAAAAGACATCCAGTAGTTCTGGATCTTTTGAAAGACCTGATAACAATCAAGCACTGTAAGAATAATTCTATCAGAGGCATTTTGTTTTTTGGTAACATTATACTAGTATAAATATGAAGCTGCATGTAAGCGGGGGGATACCAGGGAAATGAATGTCTAAAAAAAAAAACCACTGTCATGATTTTGACCTGTGGTTAACAGTCTTAACAGGAGTGTGTGTGTTCATGAATGTGTTTATAAAATTGTTTAATATTTGGAAATTTTTAGCCTCATTTTTTAATTTTATATGGAGTGAGTCTCCAGTGCAAAGTATCATATATATTAGTCATGCCTTACCCCCTAAAGTACTTAATAATAACTGTATACATAGATAGAAAAGCTGAGATTGAGTGGTCATAATTCTGACTGCTTCCAATATGAAAACTAATTTTCAGTGACTGTATTGTGTGTTTTTTTTCTTTTTCTGTTCATTTTGTGATTTTTATGCTTAAATTATAAGAGGGCAGTAGCCATACAGAAATGCTGTCAAAGTGCCCTGGGCATTTTGGCATGGGAGTTTAGCTTTTTAAAGATAGCATAGTTATGCCAATATTGTTTTCTATAGTTATTCTAAAATGTTCAGGTATTCAAATCAGAAGAAATCCTTCTCTAATATTTTTACCTTAAAAAGTTACCTGATAATTTTTTATTAGTTTATGGGATTTTTTTGTTTGTTTGTTTAGCTCCAATCATCTTTGTCCAGGAAAAACTCCTTTTCCATTTGCAGACCCGACACCTCAGACTGAAACCGTACAACAGTGGTTTGGGAATCTGCAAATAAATGGTGAGTTTTTAATGGAGTATTTAATCAAGAATTAATTACTTGGAAACTTACCAAGCATTGCAGTGTTCTATTTGAGATTTTTAAAGAAAATCATTTTCTTGCTTGGTGCAGTAGCTCATGCCTGTAATCCCAACACTTGTGAGGCCAGGACTGGTGGATTGCTTGAGGGCAGGAGTTCAAGACCAGTTTGGGCACATAGCAAGACCCTGTATCTACAAAAAATAAAAAATTAGTTGAGTGTGGTGGCATGTACCTGTAGTCCCAGCTACTTGAGAAGCTGAGGCAGGAGGATTGCCTGAGCTCAGGAGTTCAAGGCCGCAGTGAGCTATGATCACACTGCACTCCAGCCTGTGTGACAGAGAGAGAGACCCTGTCAAAAAAAAAAAAAAAAAAAAAGCATTGGCCAGGCGTGGTGGCTCATGCCTGTAATCCTAGTACTTTGGGAGGCCAAGCCAGGCAGGTAACTTGAGGTCAGGCATTCGAGACCACCCTGGCCAACATGGTGAAACCCCGTCTCTACTAAAAATACAAAAATTAGCTGGGTTTGCTGGCACACACCTGTAATCCCACCTACTCGGATGGCTGAGGCACAAGAATCGCTTGAACCAGGGAGACAGAGGTTGCAGTGAGCTGAGATCACGCCACTGCACTCCAGTCTAGGTGATAGAGCTAGACTGTCTCAAAAAAAAAAAAAAAAAAAAAAAAAAAAAAAAAAAGCATTTTCAGTACGTCTCAATAAAGCTCTGTTACAATATTTGAATATTTGCTGTAAGTCAGCCACTGTCCTTAATGTTTAACATATATTAAGTTCTCACAAAAAAACATGAGGAAGATACTGTTATTATCTCCGTCTTACAGATGAGGAAACTGGGTACACAGAGCTTAATTTGCCCAAGCTATGTGACCATTCAGCAGAGGAGCCAGGGTTCGAACATAAGTAGTCTGGCTCAGAGACTTTATTCTTAACCCCTGCTCTTGCAGCCTCTCTATAATCAGCACCTTCTATCAGTGCCCATAAAATAATGAAAAGATGATTGACCTTATTTTTAAGTGGAAGCTGATAAGGACAGTATAGGGTACCAATGGGACCTCACACTAAAGTACAGAGCTACTAAAACCTAAATATTTTTAAACAGCTATCATCCAAGTCATGTTGTTTATAATACAGAGTTTGAAGGTTAAACATTCCTCATTAATGAACATGACAGATTCACAGAAGGTGAATTGGGAAATAATGATGGAAAAAAGAATAAAAGAGACATATGGAGAGGAGGAGATCATTTTTTACTAAGTATCGTATTACCTCATAGACAAAAAGCAAATAACACAGCTGTAATTTAATCAGAGAGTTGTATGTTATCTTGAGTCTATTCTCTTTTTTTAATGTATATTATTCTCAGAAGCCCAAAAGGAAATTAATCTTTTTATTTATAGTAATTAGAGATGATAATTCAGGTTTGTTTTTTAAACTATAAAACTGCCACATACTTAATTTTGCACATCTGTTGTGTTTACAGATACTTATATTTAGTAACACAGACTTGTCTGAGATGGAGAAATAACCTTGTTTATAATAATCCAGTAGTGTTCCTGCAATTTTTCAGTATATTATTTGATACAAAATACTTTCTGTCATAAGGAGAGTGGGGGGAAAGCACTAAAAAGTCATTTAAGAAAAAAAATATAATTCAAATTTTTAGTTTAGCATTGAAAAATTGCCTTACCAAGTTTTATATAATCTGATCATTTAAAGCCTGTAAAAGATACTGTTCTGTATGTGAACTTTAAAACCATACAAAATAAAAATTGGTAAACTTAATTACTTTTTTAAAAAATGCTGGTGCAAGTACATGTGTAATATTAAATATTAATGTTAAAGCTGTTCATATAGTGTTTTTGCTTTTAGTTGCATATTTTCATTAATTGCAGGTATTTCTAAGTAAAGATGGGCTAGACAGTTCTTAGCTTAAAGAGAGTAAGTTTATATATTTTTCTCATGTAGAATGATTACTTGGGAACTCAAATCTGCTTTTGTTGGCACATTGGCAGTTGCATGCTTTAGGATTAATAGGTGACCATATAGTGACTAGTTTTTGCCTTAATTGAAAAATTAATTTTATGTTAATATCTTTTGTGTCTTAGTCTTAGGAATACTAAAGGTATTTCTTCACGATCTGGTTTAAAATGTTCTTTCAAAGTCATGTCTTAAACTGCTTATTTGTTAGAAAATTATGAGCTCTTATTGTTTTGTTTTTTGTAACTAGAATTCTTTTGTTCAAAAAATGCTATTACAATCAGAGTGACGTTATTTTGTGTCGACTTGTGTTTTTAGTTATTTACTAAATTGCTTCATTCTATGTATATTGTAGCTCATTTAAGAAAAACTACTGAATATGACAGCATCAGCCCAAACCGGGACTTCCAGGGCCATCCAGATTTGCAGAAGGACACATCAAAAAATGCCTGGACTGATACAAAAGTCAAAAAGAACTCTGATGCTTCTGATAATGCACATTCTGTAAAACAGCAAAATACCATGAAATATATGACTGCACTTCACAGTAAACCTGAGATAATCCAACAAGAATGTGTTTTTGGCTCAGATCCTCTTTCTGAACAGAGCAAGACTAGGGGTATGGAGCCACCATGGGGTTATCAGAATCGTACATTAAGAAGCATTACATCTCCGTTGGTTGCTCACAGGTTAAAACCAATCAGACAGAAAACCAAAAAGGCTGTGGTATGTCTGTTATCTTCTTAAGTTACTAAATAACATTTTACTTGAGAATACAATTCTTGAGAACATATTTTTTAGTCCTCTGTAATGTCCTTTTACTTTGGGGTGTATACATGATCAACTTTATTAAAGAGAAAAGAGACTGGGTGTTTATGGAAAAACAGCTCTTATTTCCCTCTATCTTCTTAATTATAGTGACATGATACTGGTAAGTTTTGAATTTTAAATTATTAATTTAAAGTAGATTTGAATGAAAAACATTTTAAAATAATACTGGCTATATGCTGGTTAAAGATTATTTTGTTCACAATTCCAATCAGTGAGCTAATATTATCCTTTGCTTCTATTTTTATTGTTTGTAAATTTAATCCCATCTCAAATTTTAAAAAACTGGAAAATATAACTTTTATTTTTTTAGCTTCTGGAACTAAAGAAAAGGCATATACACATTTAAGTTTAGAGTTTAAAAATTATTGTATGTGAATTGAGAATGGTGTGTGTTTTTTTAATTCTATCTTTATCCTGTTGTTTGTTCCCATTTTACTTCCCATTTCATCCTTGCCTTTGTTTGGCTTGCTATTATCTTTTCAAAGTCCTTATTCTCCACTCTACCTTCTGTTTGCTTTCTGCTCATTGATTATCACTTCACACTTCATTATACATTCTTAACTTTGCACCATATGGTTCACAGTTGTGCTCAAATATACCTCTGATCTGGACTGTTGTAGTGAAGCAGCTTTGATTTTGACTTCAATATTTGTTTCTGCCATGGTTAAGTACTCCTAAGTATTATGTATGTCAGAGCTGTTCTAGTAAACAAAAGAATTATTACTGATTTTGGGTTTTTTTTTTTTTTAGGTGAGCATACTTGATTCAGAGGAGGTGTGTGTGGAGCTTGTAAAGGAGTATGCATCTCAAGAATATGTGAAAGAAGTTCTTCAGATATCTAGTGATGGAAATACGGTAATGTGTAGTTACTTTATTACCTTGCAACTTCAAATTATCGTTTAAGCACGTTTAGCATTCTAATTCATTTTACAATGATGTAAGTTTTTTTAAAATCAGTTTGCCAGTATGATAGTGTCTCTGGAATTCAAAAATTGAAATAGCATATTAAACATATTTAAATAAATTGGTGCAGTGTTAAAAATAATTATATCTAGTAAGAAAATCTAAACTTTTGGTTTAAGTTAAAAAGCAAAAAAATTACTTTTACAGAATATTTAACATTTTTCTATAAAATAATATTTAATGTTACATTTAAACACTTTGTATACGTTTTAGCAAGATATAGTACTGGAACTTAATGGCATGTAATTAGAATTTTAAAAAAATCTTTTGGCAGATCACTATTTATTATCCAAATGGTGGTAGAGGTTTTCCTCTTGCTGATAGACCACCCTCACCTACTGACAACATCAGTAGGTACAGCTTTGACAATTTACCAGGTATGTGAATTTACCAGGGAATAAATTTTGATAGTAGATTTATATGTATATACGTATAAACTCTATATATAGATATAATAAATTATAAATAGCTTCAGTCAAACTTTAGGTCATATCATATTCTTGTACTTTGTTTCTGGTGAGAGTTGTATGCCTTTAATGCAATGTTTATTATTAATATTCTGTGTTATAATGGTACTATATTCTATTTAAAAACTAACTCTAGAACATTAGTCATATGTCTCACAAATGTAATTTGTATACTTGTTTAGAATGTGGCTATAGTTATGTTAAAAAAAATTCAACATTGTGCTTGCTTCAGAGCACATATACTAAAGTTGGAATGTTACAGAGAACATGGCCCCTGTGACTCACAAATTTGTGAAGCATTCTGCATTTAAAAAATAATTCACCATGTATGTGGCTTTTGAGCTTTGAAATCAGTGCTGCTACATAAATGATTATTTATAATTATAGTTAACCAAATTTGACTCCCAGTTTGGTTTCTGGATATTATGGACTATGGACATAAGTACTGAATAGTAAGCCTTCATTGAGGTAACTCTTAGAAAAGAATAAGAAAACCTGTCTAATGTAACCCTATTAGAAATCACAATAAATAGATAAAACTGTATGTCAGGTCAACACTTTCTTCCCTAATGTTAAGTATTTTTTTTCCTTAGAAAAATACTGGCGAAAATATCAATATGCTTCCAGGTTTGTACAGCTTGTAAGATCTAAATCTCCCAAAATCACTTATTTTACAAGATATGCTAAATGCATTTTGATGGAGAATTCTCCTGGTGCTGATTTTGAGGTTTGGTTTTATGATGGTAAGTACCATTTGGAAATGGTAATTTGTTCCTTTAGTTTGTAATTTAGTAGTTACGTATATGTGGGTTTTTAAAATTCAACACAGTCAGTTTTAAAGATGTGTATGTATATAACTATACATATAAATTGCACAGCGGAGTATACATGTCAAATCATATTAATCAAAATTTATCTAGCCTTCCTTTAAACAATTTATCCTATAATATGTATATTAGTCCTCTTTTTCTACTTAGCTCCAGTTTAACTACGTCTAGGCTGATGGTATAAAAATCACATGAAATGCGCAATGTCCTATTTCTTATTAGAAACCTTAAATGGACATATACCAAATTATGAGAATTATAAATGTAGCAAAAAGGATAGGGTTGAGTCTAAATCTATTCTGTAAAGATGAATGTTCTTATTTTCTAAATCTATTCTATAAAGATGAACTATTTTTTAATCTATAAACCTCCTTTAAGGGACGCAAAGCATTCATATCACACAGTACACATATAATTATAGCTATCCTTCAATTATGTTTTTGTATGAATATAGTGATTTTTTAAAATGTAAAAGTATCAGGCTTAAACCAGATATATGTTGGGAAAAAAATGGATGATCCATATTTATTGAATGCTTTGATAGTCTCATTTTATTAATAGTCAATAAATGAATAAAAATGATACCTTGATCCAGGAGCCATTATATACTGGTATGATAATAAATATAAATCTAGGAATATTTTTAAAAAGGATAAGAGAACAGTTTTCTGATTTTTTTTTTTTAGGGGTAAAAATACACAAAACAGAAGATTTCATTCAGGTGATTGAAAAGACAGGGAAGTCTTACACTTTAAAAAGTGAAAGTGAAGTTAATAGCTTGAAAGAGGAGATAAAAATGTATATGGACCATGCTAATGAGGTACATACCTAATTGTAGGTTTTTCATACCAATTAATAATGATTGCAAATGACATAGGTGAAACAATGACAGAAGCACTCTTCTTTTGAAATAGGGTCATCGTATTTGTTTAGCACTGGAATCCATAATTTCAGAAGAGGAAAGGAAAACTAGGAGTGCTCCCTTTTTCCCAATAATCATAGGAAGGTAAATGTCTGAAAATTTTAAACATATGGCTAAAATGTTTTAAAAGTTTGATGTTTATATTATAAACATTCTTTAGTTTTCTGTAAATTGAAAGCTTCAAGGGAATATATTTGGACTTTTCCCCTTCAGAAAACCTGGTAGTACTAGTTCACCTAAGGCCTTATCACCTCCTCCTTCTGTGGATTCAAATTACCCAACGAGAGAGAGAGCATCTTTCAACAGAATGGTCATGCATAGTGCTGCTTCTCCAACACAGGCACCAATCCTTAATCCCTCTGTAAGTAAATATATGTCACTTCTGTACTTTAAACCTTTCAATGATTGCCTGATGCCCTTCTTGTAAAATAGTTTATTGTGGCTTTACTATCATCTACGTACTTTTCCAGCCTCATCCTGAGCCACTTTATCCCATACTATTTATGTTTGAGCGTCAAAGGCCTTCTTTCAGTTCTTTAAACAAGTCAAAGGGCCTTTTCACATGCTGTTCACTTGACCTGGAACTCTTTTCCCCAACCACTTAACTTTATATGTGTAAGTCTTATTTTTCAAGTCTCTGTTTAAATGTTACCTCAATGAGCCCTAATCTCAGCCCTCTGGGGAAAGCTAAGTGTATTAACATATACATATGTAGTTTTTTTTTTTGTTTTTTTGAGACGGAGTCACCCAGGCTGGAGTGCAGTGGCACGATCTCGGCTCACTGCAAGCTCCACCTCCTGGGTTCACGCCATTCTTCTGCCTCAGCCTCCCGAGTAGCTGGGACTACAGGCGACCGCCACCATGCCTGGCTAATTTTTTTTGTATTTTCAGTAGAGACGGGGTTTCACCATGTTAGCCAGGATGGTCTCAATCTCCTGAACTTGTGATCCACCTGCCTCGGCCTCCCAAAGTGCTGGGATTACAGGCGTGAGCCACCACGCCTGGCTAGTTGTTTTATTTTTACTAGTAAAATATCATTAACTGCCTAAATGCTCATGATAGACTCATGATTAAATTTATTATATATTTAATGAACATGGCGATGAAGATTATATAGCAGTGTAGAAAAATGCAACATTAAAGAAATAGGTGTGTATATTTGTGTGTACTCACCCACATACACAAAAAGAACATGCCATGGGATAAAAAGATGAAAGAAATCCACCAAAATGAAAACAGCAATTGTGCAGGAGGGTGGGGGGTTCTTTTCTGTATTTTTCTAATTTCCAATAATGTGGTTATATTTTCGTTAAAAAATGTTTGTTTTTAAAAAAATTAAGCTAATGAAAAATCTCATAATTGTCTGCTTTTGCTGAATGTGGCTTATAAAAATGCTGAGGAATAATATCTTCCTGTCCTTTATTCTTTGTAGATGGTTACAAATGAAGGACTTGGTCTTACAACTACAGCTTCTGGAACAGACATCTCTTCTAATAGTCTAAAAGATTGTCTTCCTAAATCAGCACAACTTTTGAAATCTGTTTTTGTGAAAAATGTTGGTTGGGCTACACAGGTGAGAAGTTTCTAGTACAGTGCATTTTCTCAGTATGAATTTCTTTTCATTTTCACACTGATAAGACAATTACCAAAAAATACAAATTATTGTAATGATATCTTTTTACAAGGAAGTTTTTGTACCTTTTAACATTGGTTATATCATTAAAAATTTTAACTTCTTAAATTTGTATTCAGTTGGAAGACTCCAGACATTGCTGATAAGAGGTTGCCTGCTAGGCTTGGGTGACCTACTTTTGCCATTTGTTTTTAAAGTAGAGGTCATGATAATTACTAATTGTGAAGAGTAGAGTGTGATATCTGGGACGTTTTAAATTTTGGAAATTATTTGTAATCAATATTAGTAGAGTAACTTTCTTTTTTTTTTTTTTTTTTTTTTTTTTTTGAGACAAAGTCTCACACTGCAAGCTCCGCCTCCTGGGTTGACACCATTCTCCTGCCTCAGCCTCCCGAGTAGCTGGGACTACAGGCGCCCACTGCCAAGCCGGGCTAATTTTTTCTATTTTTAGTAGAGACGGGGTTTCACCATGTTAGCCAGGATGGTCTCAATCCCCTGACCTTGTGATCTGCCTGCCTCAGCCTCCCAAAGTGCTGAGATTACAGGCGTGAGCCACTGCCCCCGGCCAGTAGAGTAACTTTCATCTGGCAAAAGAAGAAAAGGATTTTTCCATTAAAAGTCATGTGAAAGCCAGGTGTGATGTCACGTGCCTATAGTCCCAGTTACTCAAGAATCTGAGGTGGGAGGGTCATTTGAGTCCAGGAGTTTGAGGCCAGCCTGGGCAACAAAGCAAGACCCCATCTTTTTTAAAAAGTGAAGTCAATATTGAGTTTCAAACTTATAGAATTTTATGTAGTTGTGAACCTATATGTGTATATTATCTAAAATCTTGAAACTTGGAGAGACTTCTGAGCCTGACACATGTACTTTTACTTAACAGTGAAGTAAATGCAACCTAGTACTTTATGGGGGTAGGTAACATTTGTTGAGCACCTGCTTTGTGGTACCTACCATGTTTTTCACATACTTTGTCTAGTTTATCCCCCAAAATAACCTAGTAAAGTTGTATCTCCTTTTATAGATAGTAAAATTATGCTTCATAATGGTAGATTAACTTGCACAATCCTACACTGTACTCTTAAGTTGGCAGAGTCTAGATGTAAGCCTAGGTGTGTTTGATTTGGCGTCCATGTACTATGCACTTCTCCATTTTGAGTGACACATTGTGACTATTAATGACTAAAGGAAGAAGTTTCAGAGGCTAAAATGTAATATTCTCAGGCCAGGAAAGAAATTCTTGTGGCTTAAGGACAAAGAAAATGTTGCTTTTATTCCCTAAATCTCTTCTTGTTAAGAAATACTAAATATTTCTTGTGGGGGAAAAAAACCAACAACCAAAAAACTTAGAAATCCTAATGGAAATTAATGGGAAACAGGATTCACTTTCTAATAATTTTAATATTGTAATACCTTAGCTATTAAAGGAATAATCTGAAAAAGACATGAATATTCTCAGTGCTCTGCCATCGTAGCCCCAAATTTGTAGTCACTTAGAGAGTTTTTTTTTTAACTGTGGAAAACCTGTTAAATATGTTAAATATTAATACAGAACCACAAACCCTCTACTGTATAGTAATTTTGTGTGCTACTACTGCTGTTTTTTTTTTTTTCTGTGCCTGTTCTTACCCATGCTTATTATTTTTCTAGTTAACTAGTGGAGCTGTGTGGGTTCAGTTTAATGATGGGTCCCAGTTGGTTGTGCAGGCAGGAGTGTCTTCTATCAGTTATACCTCACCAAATGGTCAAACAACTAGGTAAGTTCTTAAAATACTGGTCGAGATTCAGCCCTTTGCTATAATTTCTCTTTCTCTATATGTTGAAATGGATGATTTAATAAAGATACTTCTTTCATTTTGACAATGATCGTGTGATTCTTTAAACTGTTAATTATTCTTAGCAATTCATGTAGTCATTAATGCATATTTTATGATTATCTGTATTAACTCAGGGCAATTGGTATAAATAATCCACTCTAAGAGGTTGGGTTCCTTGTAGCCTTACTGTTCCATAGTGTAACTCGATGGCCTTTTTCAGAAGTAAGGGACTCCTAATTCTAGGTTCAAATAATATACCAAACCTATTTACTTAAAAGAACAGAAAAAAGAAATCTTTAAGATATAACCTGCTTATTTTTCCCAAATGAAAGGCTATATCCCCAATCTAATGTAACGTGATTAATGTTTGAAAGACTTTTTTGAATGTGTATATTCATTCTATATGAAAATATGTGTCAGGCACCAAGCCAAAAATAAAGAATCTGGCAATATGAAAAACAAGGAGTTATTTGCTTTCCTCATTTAAATCAGAACTTACTAAAAGTAGGGTACTGACGATGCCAATGCAGGCGTTCTCTTTTATGAGAAGTGCTTATTGTAATGGAAGTACTTGGGACAAATATAATCTGTAGATACCTACCAACTGCATTTTTGTGTTAAATTTAGATAATGCAGTGCCATCACTTAAATAACTATGTTTCAAGTGAGAGGCTTTGTTAAAAGCTCTTTGAGGTGCTCCAGAAAGTGGAAGGATGCAGATGCAAAGTGGGTAAAACCCTTGTTCCCAGGATACATGTTGACATTTTATTTGCTATGGTCATTTGGAAAATGTTAACATTTAAATAGAAATATATTCATAATGTGTTTAGCTTGGTATTTTTCTGTAGAATTAGGGCTTTTTTTTTTTTTTTTTTTTTTTTTTTTTTTTTTGAGACAGAGTCTCGCTCTGTTGCCCAGGCTCGAGTTAGTGGTGCGACTTGGCTCACTGCAACTTCTGCCTCCTGGGTTCAAGCAGTTCTCCTGCCTCAGCCTCCTGAGTAGCTGAGATTACAGGCATACGCCACCACACCTGGCTAATTTTGTATTTTTAGTAGAGACAGGGTTTCAACATATTGGCCAGGCTGGTCTCAAACACCTGACCTCGTAATCCACCCCCCTTGGCCTCCCAAAGTGCTGGGATTACAGGCATTAACCACCGCGCCTGTCCGGGGCCTTTTAAATTTAATGAGGAATCCAGATTTTTGGCTTGCTTTTGAAATTACGAAGCCAGTTCAAGTTTATCTAATTTTCCTTCTGTTACTTAAATGTGTTTAGAAAATGGTCTGTTTTAAAAGAAAAGAAACTGTATGCTTCACTTGATTTAGGTATCTAATAAATAATTGTTATAATTTTTCTGAGGTGCCTCTTGTTATTGAAGAATTACTGAAAAATATAATGTGCTTTTTGGGACTCTCATGAGAACCAAGTAATTCAGTTACGATTTTGTCTTTTTTTCTTTTGCTTCACTTAGGTATGGAGAAAATGAAAAATTACCAGACTACATCAAACAGAAATTACAGTGTCTGTCTTCCATCCTTTTGATGTTTTCTAATCCGACTCCTAATTTTCATTGATTAAAACTCCTTTCAGACATATAAGTTTAATAAATAACTTTTTTGTTGACTTTCAAGTAAAGTGATTTTTTTTAATTTAACATAAAGTCTTCAGAAAGCCTTTCTATGAAAGAATTTTAACCTATAATGTAAAGGATGTATTCTGAGAGAACAAAGCAGAATGAAACTTGAGTCACTTACTAAATATAGTGGATATAAAATAGAACACCTGACTTTGCTCTTAGACCATAACCCCCGAACTTACTATGTTCATATATTTGTATTGAACAATCTTTTAAAAGCAAAAATGTAAATGATGTGTAGTTTATTTGTGCTTTTATTGTTTTCCCTGCGTCTCAGACATGTTGAGAATCATGGACAAAACCTGCTGGAATTTTGGAATTTTTGAAGATGTAAATAATGTGTATTTATGTTATAAGTAACATATGTAAACATGTATATTTGTTTTATATTTATTTTTGTAACACCAGTGTCTGATGAAACATTTTTGCAAATGCATTTTATAAAAAAATAAATATAGTGATAAGTTACATTATCTTTTGATTCATTTAATTAAATACTTATTTTTAAATAACTTACCAGTAAACTCACTTTTTAAATTTTGTTGCCTGTTGAGGAGCCAATTAAATTTTAAATATTAATTTTGCAAATGTTAAATACATTGTTTCTCTATTATCTGAAAATCTTGGTATATTTTAATGAATTTTTTTAAATTATACATTAAGTTCTGGGTTACATGTGCAGAACATGCAGTTTTGTTACATAGGTATACATGTGCCATGGTAGTTTGCTGCACCCATCAACCGGTCACCTACATTAGGTATTTCTCGTAATGTTATCCCTCCCCTAACCTCCCATCCCCCACAGGCCCCAGTGTGTGATGTTCCCCTCCCTAGGTCCATGTGTTTTTGTGGGTTTGTTTTTTTTTTTTTGAGACAGAGTCTCACTCTGTCGCCCAGGCTGGAGTGCAATGGCACGATCTCGGGTCACTGCAACCTCTGCCTCCCAGGTTCAAGCGATTCTCCTGCCTCAGCCTCCCAAGTAGCTGGGATTACAGGTGCATGCCACCATACCCAGCTAATTTTTGTATTTTTAGTAGAGATGGGGTTTCGCCATGTTGGCCAGGCTGGTCTTGAACCCCTGACCTCAGGTGATCTGCCCGCCTTGGCCTCCCAAAGTACTTGGATTACAGGCATGAGGCACCACACCCAGCCCCATGTGTTCTTATTGTTCAGCTTCCACTTATGAATGAGAACATGCAGTGTTTGGTTTTCTGATCTTGTGATAGTTTGCTGAGAATGATGGTTTCCAGCTTCAAGTCCCTGCAAAGGACATGAACTCATCCTTTTTCATGGCTGCATAGTATTCCATGGTGTATAAGTGCCACATTTTCTTAATCCAGTCTATCATTAAGGGGCATTTGGGTTGGTTCCAAGTCTTTGCTATTAGGAATAGTGCTGCCGCAATAAACATAACGTGTGCATGTGTCTTTATCGTAGAAAGATTTATAATGCTTTGGGTATATGCCCAGTAATGGGATTGCTGGGTCAAATGGTATTTCTAGTTCTAGATCCTCGAGGAATCTCCACACTGTCTTCCACAATGGTTGAACTAATTTACACTCCCACCAACAGTGTAAAAGCATTCCTATTTTTCCACAACCTCTCCAGCATCTGTTGTTTCTTGACTTTTTAATGATTGCCATTCTAACTGGCATGAGATGGTATCTCATTGTGGTTTTGATTTGTATTTCTCTAATGACCAGTGATGATGAGAATTTTTTCATATGTCTGTTGGCTGCATAAATGTCTTCTTTTGAGAAGTGTCTGTTCATATCCTTTACCCAGTTTTTGATGAGGTTGTTTGCTTTTTTCTTGTACATTTGTTTAAGTTCTTTGTAAATTCTGGATATTACCCTTTCTCAGATGGATAGATTGCAAAAATTTTCTCCCATTCTGTAGGTTGCCTGTTCACTCTGATGATAGTTTCTTTTGCTGTGCAGAAACTCTTTAGTTGAATTAGATCCCGTCAATTTTGGCTTTTGTTGCCATTGCTTTTGGTTTTTTAGACATGAAGTCTTTGCCCATGCCTATGTCCTGAATGGTATTGCCCAGGTTTTCTTCTAGGGTTTTTATGGTCCTAGGTCATACATTTAAGTCTTTAATCCATCTTGAGTTGATTTTTATATAAGGTGTAAGGAAGGGGTCCAGTTTCAGTTTTCTGCATATGGCTACCCAGTTTTCCCAACACCATTTATTAAATAGGCAATCTTTCCCCATTGCTTGTGTCAGGTTTGTCAAAGATCAGGTGGTTGTAGATGTGTGGTGTTATTTCTGAGGCTTCTGTTCTGTTCCATTGGTCTATATATCTGTTTTGGTACCAGTACCATGCTGTTTTGGTTACTGTAGCCTTGTAGTAAAATTTGAACTCAGGTAGCGTGATGCCTCCAGTTTTGTCCTTCTTGTCCAGGATTGTCTTGGCTATACGGGCTCCTTTTTGGTTCCATATGAAGTTTAAAGTAGTTTTTTCCAATTCTGTGAAGAAAGTCAGTGGTAGCTTGATGGGGATAGCATTGAATCCATAAGTTACTTTGGACAGTATGGCCATTTTTACAATATTGATTCTTCTTATCCATGAGCATGGAATGTTTTTCCATTTGTTTGTGCCTTCTCTTACTTCTTTGAGCAGTGGCTTATAGTTCTCCTTGAAGAGGTCCTTCACATCCCTTGTAAGTTGTATTCCTAGATATTTTATTCTCTTTATAGTAATTGTGAATGGCAGTTCACTCATGATTTGGCTCTCTCTTTTTCTGTTATTGGTGTATAGGAATGCTTGTGATTTTTGCACATTGATTTTGTATCCTGAGACTTTGCTGAAGTTGCTTATCAGCTTAAGGAGATTTGGGACTGAGACGATGGGGTTTTCTAAGTAGACAATCATGTCATCTGCAAACAGAGACAATTTGACTTCCTCTCTTCCTGTTTGAATACGCTTTATTGCTTTCTCTTGCCTGATTGCCCTGGCCAGAACTTCCAATACTGTGTTGAATAGGAGATGTGAAAGAGGGCATCCTTGTCTCGTGCTGGTTTTCAAAGGGAATGCTTCCAGTTTTTGCCCATTCAATATGATATTGGCTGTGGGTTTGTCATAAATAGCTCTTATTATTTTGAGATACGTTCTATCAATGCCTAGTTTATTAAGAGTTTTTAGCATGAAAGGCTGTTGAATTTTGTCGAAGGTCTTTTCTGCATCTATTGAGATAATCGTGGTTTTTGTCGTTGGTTCTGTTTCTGTGATGGATTATGTTGATTGATTTGTGTATGTTGAACCAGCCTTGCATCCCAGGGATGAAGCCAACTTGATCGTGGTGGATAAGCTTTTTGATGTGCTGCTGGATTCGGTTTGCCATTATTTTATTGAGGATTTTCACATCAATGTTCATCAAGGATATTGGCCTAAAATTCTCTTTTTTTTGGCCTCATAAAATGAGTTAGGGAGGATTCCCTCTTTTTCCATTGATCGGAATAGTTTCAGAAGGAATGGTACCAGCTCCTCTTTGTACCTCTGGTAGAATTTGGCTGTGAATCTGTCTGGTACTGGACTTTTTTTGGTTGGTAGGCTATTATTGCCTCAATTTCAGAACCTGTTACTGGTCTATTCAGAGATTCAACTTCTTCCTGGTTTAGTCTTGGGAGGGTGTATGTGTCCAGGAATTTATCCATTTCTTCTAGATTTTCTAGTTTATTTGTGTAGAGGTGTTTATAGTATTCTCTAATGGTAGTTTGTATTTTTGTGGGATCGGTGGTGATATCCCCTTTATCATTTTTATTGCATCTGTTTGATTCTTCTCTCTTTATTATTAGTCTTGCTAGCGGCCTATCTATCTTGTTGATCTTTTCAAAAAACCAGCTCCTGGATTCATTGATTTTTTTGAAGGGTTTTTTGCATCTCTATCTCCTTCAGTTCTGCTCTGATCTTAGTTATTTCTTGTCTTCTGTTAGCTTTTGAATTTGTTTGCTCTTGTTTCTCTAGTTCTTTTAACTGTGATGTTAGGGTGTGAATTTTAGATCTCTCCCGCTTTCTCTTGTGGGCATTTAGTGCTATAAATTCCCCTCTACACACTGCTTTAAATGTGTCCCAGAGATTCTGGTACATTGTATCTTTGTTCTCATTGGTTTCAAAGAACATCTTTATTTCTGCCTTCATTTTGTTATTTACCCAGTAGTAACTCAGGAGCAGGTTGTTCAGTTTCCATGTAGTTGTGCAGTTTTGAGTGAGATTCTTAATCCTAAATTCTAATTTGATTGCACTGTGGTCCGAGAGACAGCTTGTGATTTCTGTTTGTTTACACTTGATGAGGAGTGTTTTAGTTCCAATTATGTGGTCAATTTTAAAATAAGTGCGATGTGGTGCTGACAAGAACGTATATTCTGTTGATTTGGGATGGAGAGTTCTGTAGATGTCTATTAGGTCTGCTTGGTCCAGAGCTGAGTTCAAGTCCTGGATATCCTTATTCATTTTCTGTCTCATTGATCTGTCTAATATTGACAATGGGGTGTTAAAGTCTCCCATTATTATGTGGGAGTCTAAGTCTCTGCACATCTCTAAGAACTTGCTTTATGAATCTGGGTGCTCCTGTATTGGGTGCATATATATTTAGGATCATTAGTTCTTATTGATACCTTTACCATTATGTAATGGCCTTCTTTGTCTCTTTTGATCTTTGTTGGTTTAAAGTCTGTTTTATCAGAGACCAGATTGCAACCCCTGCTTTTTTTTGCTTTCCATTTGCTTGGTAGATCTTCCTCCATCCCTTTATTTTGAGCCTATGTGTGTCTTTGCACGTGACATGAGTCTCCTGAATACAACACACCGATGGGTCTTGACTGTTTATCCAATTTGCCAGTCTGTGTCTTTTCATTGGGGCATTTAGCCCATTTACATTTAAGGTTAATATTGTTATGTGTGAATTTGATCCTGTAATTATGATGCTAGCTGCATATTTCGCCCATTAATTGATGCAGTTTTTTCATAGCATCGATGGTCTTTATAATTTGGCATGTTTTTGCAGTGGCTGGTACCAGTTGTTCCTTTCCATGTTTAGTGCTTCCTTCAGTAGCTCTTGTAAGGCAGGCCTGGTGGTGACAAAATCCCTCAGCATTTGCTTGTCTGTAAAGGATTTTATTTCTCTTTCACTTATGAAGCTTAGTTTGGCTGGATATAAAATTCTGGATTGAAAATTCTTTTAAGAATGTTGAATATTGGCCCCCACTCTCTTCTGGTTTGTAGGGTTTCTGCCAAGAGATCCGCTGTTAGTCTGATGGGCTTCCCTTTGTGGGTAACCCGACCTTTCTCTCTGGCTGCCCTTAACATTTTTTCCTTCATTTCAACCTTGATGAATGTGATGATTATGTGTCTTGGAGTTGCTCTTCTCAAGGAGTATCTTTGTGGCGTTCTCTGTGTTTCCTGAATTTGAATGTTGGCCTGCCTTGCTAGGTTGGGGAAGTTCTCCTGGATAATATCCTGAAAAGTGTTTTCTAACTTGGTTCCATTCTCCCCGTCACTTTCAGGTACACCAGTCAAACACAGATTTGGTCTTTTCACAGAGTCCCATATTTCTTGGAGGCTTTGTTTGTTTCTTTTCACTCTTTTTTCTCTAATCTTGTCTTCTTGCTTTATTTCATTAATTTGATCTTCAATCACTGATATCCTTTCTTCCACTTGATCAAATCGGCTATTGAAGCTTGTGTATGCTTTACAAAGTTCTCGTACTGTGGTTTTCAGGTCCATCAGGTCATTTAAGCTCTTCTCTACACTGGTTATTCTAGTTAGCCATTCGTTTTATGAATGAAAAAGCCATTCAAGGTTTTTAGCTTCTTTGCAATGGGTTAGAACATGCTCCTTTAGCTCGGAGAAGTTTGTTATTACCAACCTTCTGAAGCCTACTTCTGTCAACTCATCAAACTCATTCTCCATCCAGTTCCGTTCCCTTGCTGGCAAAGAGTTGTGTTCCTTTGGAGGAGAAGAGGCATTCTGGTTTTGGGGATTTTCTGCCTTTCTGCCCTGGTTTCTCCCCATCTTTGTGGTTTTATCTACCTTTGGTCTTTGATGATGGTGACCTGCAGATAGGGTTTTGGTGTGGGTGTCCTTTTCGTTGATGTTGATGCTATTCCTTTCAGTTTGTTAGTTTTCCTTCTAACAGTCAGGCCCTTCAGCTGCAGGTCTGTTGGAGTTTGCTGGAGGTCCACTCCAGACCCTGTTTGCCTGAGTATCACCAGCAGAGGCTGCAGAACAGCAAATATTGCTGCCTGATGCTTCCTCTGGAAGCTTTGCCCAGAGGGGCACCCGCCTGTATGAGGTGTCTGTCAGCCCCTACTGGGAGGTGTCTCCCAGTCAGGCTACACAGTGGTCAGGGACCAACTTGAGAAGGCAGTCTGTCTGTTATCAGAGCTCATACACTGTACTGGGAGAACCACTGCTCTCTTCAGAGCTGTCAGGCAGGGACGTTTAAGTCTGGAGAAGCTGTCTGCTGCCTTTGGTCAGATATGCCCTGCCCCCAAAGGTGGAATCTAGAGAGGCAGCAGGCCTTGCTGAGCTGCAGTTTGAGCTTCCCTGCCACTTAGTTTACACTGTGAGCATAGAACCGCCTACTCAAGCCTCAGCAGTGGCGGACATTCCTCCCCCCGCCATGCTCCCATGTCCCAGGTCGATCTCAGACTGCTGCACTAGGAGCAAGCAAGGCTCCGTTGGCGTGGGACCTGCCAAGCCAGGCATGGGAGTGGATTCTTGTTCTGCTGCTTGCAAAGACCATGGGAAAAACGCAGTATTTGGGCAGGAGTGTACTGCTCCTCCAGGTACAGTCACTCATGGCTTCCCTTTGCTAGGAAAGGGAAATCTCCCAACCCCTTGTGCTTCCTGGGTGAGGTGACATCCCATCCTGCTTTGGCTCGCCCTCCGTGGGCTGCACCCAGTATCCAACCAGTCCCAATGAGAAGAACTAGGTACCTCAGTTGGAAATGCAGAAATCACCCATCCTCTGCGTCGATCTTGCTGGGAGTTGTAGACCAGAGCTGTTCTTATTCCTTAATGAAATATTTTAACACTGAAGAACTTGATGCAATTAATTGACATGATGAAAAAATATGTGATAGTGGGATAGCCATTCCTAATGAAGGAATAAGAATAGAATGAAACAACTTCAATATCATAAAGACTGTTTAACCTAATGTGTCCTGCTGGTTTTTATAATCAGAAATATTAGAGCTGTTTCTTTTAAGTAGACAAGTAGACAATGTTATGATTATTCAACATTGTTTTGGAGGTTTTTGCCTCAGACAATAAGGAAGAAAAATAATACTTATATTTGCAACATAAATTGCAGAACTGATATTAAACTACCACCATACCCCTCTCCCAGAGAAAACCAGTAACAGAAAAAAGGGGATTGAAGGAAATTTTCTGTTGTCACACAGTAGAAAAATGGACAAGACATATGAATTGATAGTTCACAAAGGAAGGAAGTCCATATGGTCAATAAAAAGGAAATATGCTCAACCTCATAAAAGTTGGGGAAATGCAAAGTTAAAGCAAGATAATAATTTTCCTTTATCAAAGAATGGGTTTAAGATTAAGTAATAGCCCAGTGCAGTGGCTCATGCCTGTAATCCCAGCACTTTGGGAGGCCAAGGCAGGCAGGTCCCCTGAGGTCAGGAGTTCAATACCAGCCTGGCCAACATGGTGAAGCAGTGTCTCTACTAAAAATACAAAAATTAGCGAGGTTAGGTGGTGCACGCCTCTAATCCCAGCCACTTGGGAGACTGAGGCACGAGAATCTCTAGAACCCGGGAGGTGGAGGTTGCAGTGAACTGAGATAGCGCCACTGCACTCCAGCCTGGGTGACAGAGCAAGGCTCTGTCTTTAAAAAAAAAAAAAAAATTGAAATAATAATGCTCACAATATGTATAAGACATTCTCAGGTGTTGATTAGGGTGTAAATGATAACTGTGAAAGTAATATGGCAGTATCTATAAGAATTACCACATTGATAATCCAACTTTGGGGAAAGGAAGGATGTAAGCCCTTAGAGAAAATATGATCAGTAATAACAATTTCCCTTTAAAAATTGAAATAAAATGCCAGGCACAGTGGCTCATGCCTGTAATCCTAACACTTTGGGAGGCCAAGGCGGGTGAATCACTTGAGGTCAGGAGTTCAAGACCAGCCTGGCAAACATGGTGAAACCCCATCTCTACTAAAAATACAAAAATTAGCTGGGCATGGTGGCACACGCCTGTAATCCCAGCTACTCGGGAGGCTGAGGCAGGAGAATTGCTTGAACCTGGGAGACAGAGGTTGCAGTGAGCCAAGATCATGCCACTGCACTCCAGCCTGGGCAACAGAGCAAGACTCTGTCTCAAAAATAAATAAAATAAAAATGGAAATAAAGTAATCCCGAGCTAAATTTTATTTTATTTTATTATTTTTTTTAGACGGAGTCGCCTTCTGTCACCCAGGCTGGAGTGCAGTGGCATGATCTCGGCTCACTGCAACCTCTGCCTCTCAGGTTCAAGCGATTCATCTGCCTCAGCCTCCCAAATAGCTGGAATTGTAGACATGTGCCACCATGCCCAGCTAATTTTTGTATTTTTAGTAGAGATGGGGTTTCAACATGTTGGCCAGGCTGGTCCCGAACTCCTGACCTCAAGTGATCCACCTGTCTCGGCCTCCGAGAGTGCTGGGATTACAGGCGTGAGCCACCGCACCTGGCCTGAGCTAAATTTTAAAGGCCAATGACTCAAAACATACATTTCTGCTTTGACAGATGTTAACTAGTATACTTTTTATTATCTCTTCGTCTTTATGAGTGAGTCTATTTTTTAAGTATTTTTCTTATACATAACATATAGCTAAATTTTATTTTGATTACAATTTAATAACTTCTAATTTTTACATATATTGTTATTTCTGGCTGTCTTATTGTCATTACAGTTCTATTTGGATTTATGTCTAGCAATTAATTTTGTGCTTTCTAGCATGTACTATATTTTTGCTTTGCTTTTCTTTTTTTCCTGTTACTTCTTTCAAGCTGAGTTTCCTTTAATCCCCTTTTTTCTCTCTACTCGTTTTCTCTGGGGGAGGGGTATGGTGGTAGTTTAATATTCAATGTTTATATTACTGTGACTATGAAAATATTCATAGCTCCGCCAGGCGCAGTGGCTCACACCTGTAATCCCAGCACTTTGGGAGGCCAAGGGAGGCGGATCACCTGAGGTCGGGAGTTCGAGATCAGCATGACCAACATGAAGAAACCTCATCTCTACTAAAAATACAAAATTAGCCAGGCATGGTGGCACATGCCTGTAATCCTAGCTACTCTGGAGGCTGAGGCAGGAGAAACTCCAGGAAGCAGAGGTTGCGGTGAGCCGAGATCGCACCATAGCATTCCAGCCTGAGCAACAAAAGCGAAACTCCATCTCAAAAAAAAAAAAAGAAAGAAAAAGAAAAAAAGAAAATACTCACAGCTGAACTATGTACTATGCTAGAATTATATTTCTTGAACAATTTTTTTTCTGGAATTCTTTTGTTTTCTCTGATATGTCAGGTAATCTGTCTGTGCTTTTTTGTTGATCCATTTATCCCCTCTTTTGGAGACATCTCTCTGCTTTCCTTTTTCTACCTGGACTGGTTCCTTTGTAGTTTTCCAGTGTAGGAATGTACAGCAGTTTGTTTATATGTTATACTGTTGATGGACATTTGAGTTGTTTCCAGATTTTGGCTGTAAATATATACTTTATGAACATCTTCTGGTGCAGCTACATACAAGTTTCTCTAGGATTTTACTGCAATGAATTTAGTAATCTTACGATTTGTGTATGTCAAACTTTAGTAGATAACGCCTAATTTTTTTACACTTCCATTTGCAGCATATAAAAGTATATTTTGCTTCACATCCTCGCCAGAACTTGGTGTTAGAGTCTCTTAAAATTATTGCCAGTTTGATAGAATAGTGTAAGGCCAGGCACATTGGCTGTAATTGTAGCACTTTGGGAGGCAGAAAGGTAGCTTGAGGCCAGGTGTTCAAGAACAGTGTATCAATGTGGTTTTAACTTGAATTCTCCTCATTACTAAAGAGGTTGAAATGTTAAATGTTTATTAGATATTTGTCTTGTGATTTGCCTGTTAATATCTTTTGCCTATTTTTTCCTATTGTGTTGTCTGGCTTTTTCTTAGTGGTTTTTAAGAGTTCTCAGTATGGGCTGTGCGCGGTGACTCACACCTGTAATCCCAGCACTTTGGGAGGCCAAAGCGAGCGGATCACGAGGTCAGGAGATCAAGACCATCCTGGCTAACACGGTGAAACCCTGTCTCTACTAAAAATACAAAAAATTAGCCAGGCATAGTGGCGGGCGCCTGTAGTTCCCGCTACTCGGGAGGCTGAGGCAAGAGAATGGCATGAACCGGGAGGCGGAGCTTGCAGTGAGCCGAGATCGCGCCACTGCACTCCAGCCTCGGCGACAGAGAGAGAGACTCCGTCTCAAAAGATAAAAAAAATTAAAATTAAAAAATAAAAGTTATCAGTATGTATCCTTCGTTTATTGATATATGTTGCAAATATCTTCTCCCTTTCTATGCTTGTCCTTTTTTAAAATATATATATATTTCTAAAATACTTTATTAACACGTATGTAAGGAAAACATGTTACCAATGCTAGAAGACATCCTCCTTAATTAAGTTGGCGAGAGGTACCACATTCTCCACAGGCTGGATGGCGCCAGTGGATTTTGGCAGATTTCACTGGAGAAAGAAAATGCCAGGCTGACAACCTTTATATTCCTTATGGAAGACGTTGTTTTGTAAAATTCCCATTTGGGACAATATCCATCTCTGAGATCTTTCAAAGGAAGCTCACAAAGTATCCCAGAGGATAACTGACACGGAGCTAAACATGACATGGGAGTGAAAACAGTTATCTGTTTTCCTAGTGAGCATGATACAGGAAAATTAGCGTTTGGGACAAAGATGACATTTCTAAATGATTGGATCAATCAGTGCAACATTAAACCAAATTTAGAACAGATAAAAACTAAACAGGCAAGATGAAATGCACAGAAGGCACCAAGTACACATTCTTCATAGATAAAAACCTCGAACACTTATGAAAATCTTTATCAGTTCTTAAACATATTGCTAGGAGCATAAACATATTGCTCTGTGTATCAGAGAAGGTCACTATTTCATCATAATTGTTTCATAAACGTAGGACCAGTTCTTGTTTTCCAGTAACAACAACAACAATAATAGGAATAATAGCAGCCAATATTCATTGAATGATTACTACACACCAGGCATTTCTCTGAGAACTCTGTAAATTGTCTCTACCTATCTGTGTATAGGCTTGTCCTTTCACTCTCCTAATAGTATCTTTTGATAAACAGAAGTTCTTAACTTTAATATTATCCAATTATGCAATCTTTCTTTATGGCTAGTGTTTTTTTTTTTTCTATTTCTTTCTTTAGTTACATACAAAGTTGCAAAGATATTCTTCTAGATTGCCTTCCAAAACATATGGTTTGTTTTACTTTCATAAGTGTATAATGTGGAAAGTTTTTTGTTGTTGTTGTTGTTGTTGTTGTTTTTTGAGACGGAGTCTCACTCTGTCCCCAGGCTGGAGTGCAGTGGCGCGATCTCGGCTCACTGCAAGCTCCGCCTCCCGGCTTCACGCCATTCTCCTGCCTCAGCCTCCTGAGTAGCTGGGACTACCGGCGCCCGCCACCACGCCCAGCTAATTTTTTGTATTTTTAGTAGAGACGGGGTTTCACCGTGTTAGCCAGGATGGTCTTGATCTCCTGACCTCGTGATCTGCCCGCCTTGGCCTCCCAAAGTGCTGGGATTACAGGCGTGAACCACTGCGCCCGGCCCAACCAATCAGCTTTTTAAGTCCTTCACTTAAAAGCTATTTTATTATGGAAAGATTCCTACAAATATAAATGGACTAGCATGATGAGCCCCCATGTAACCATCACTCAGCTTCAATAGTTAGCATGTGGCGAATCTTGTATCACTTGTACCTCATTTTATCCTCTCCCAGCTAGATTATTTAGAAGAAAATCCTAGGCATCATACCATCTCATCCCACCACAGCCTCTTAAGTAGCTGGGACTATAAGCACATGCCACCATGCCTGGCTCTTTGTATATTTTTAGTAGAGATGGGGTCTCGTCATGTTGCCCAGGTTGGATTCTAGTCTTCTTAGTTTAAAAGAATTTAAACAAGAGACACACAGCGAAGGAGATGCAGCATAGGGCAATTTATCGGAAAGGAAAAAGAATATTTCGAAAGTTAACTGCAGAATAGACAGCACACCCTAAAAGAGAGAGGATCCTGGGCATGCTGCTCATAAGGATGAGACAACATTGATTATTGCTAAGGAGGTGGAAAGAAGTGTTACTAGTAAGCATGTTCTGAGTGACGTCCTGGCTGCATATGTGCAGTAGCTGTACGTGCTCGTTCATATGTTCCATGTCTCATTAGCATCTTAAATCTCCATGCAGGGTTGTGTTTTTCACTCTTATAACAAGCAAAGGGTCAGTTTGAGGACAGGCAAAATCAAAATCAGGGAAAATTTCCTACTGAAGATTGCTTTGCTTGAATGAGCGTTAACTGCAATGCGAATGCTGAGGCTTATCATGTCGCCACATTTGCCATGCCCCACGGACATTGTCACTTCCTTGACTACCTATCCTGCCTTATAACTACGATCCATTTCCAGAACTTTTCATCACCCCAAATTCTGTACCCATTAAATAACAACTTCCCATTTGCTCCTCTGTCTAGCCCTTGGTAACCTCTGTTCTACTTTCTGTCTCTATAAATTTGCATATTCTGGGTACCTTGTGTAAGTAGAATCATACAATGTTTATACTTTTTTGTCTGGCTTATTTCATTTAGCATAATGTCTTCAAGGTTCATCCATATTGTATCATGTATCAATATTTAATTCCTTTTTTAGGCTGAATAATATTCCATTGTATTTACATACTGTACCATGTTTTGTTTATCCATTCATCCACTGATGGACTCTTGAGTTACTTCCACCTTTTGAGTATTATAAATATCTTTCTTTAGCTTTTTGTGCTGGGTACATAATTGGTTTATTTTCTACTGTCATTTTTATTGATATAGATATTTAATGTTACTCATTTTCCTCTGAAATCTGTTTTAGCTGCATCCATTCTGATATGTTATCTTTTCAGTATTATTTTTTCAAGAAATTCTGTGATTTCAGTTCATATTTCTTCTATGACCTAAGTTTGTTACAAAGCATGTTTTACAAATTAATTTTTAAGGAAGTGTCCAATATATACAGAAGTAGATGGGATAGTATAATCTATCTCACTGTACTAATCACTCAGCTTCAAAAATTATCAAAACTTATCAATTTTATTTCAATATCTGCCCATTTCCTTCCTGAAACTGTATTATGTATTGCTTGGCAATGGGGTTATGTTCTGAGAAATGCATCATTAAGTGAGTTCATTGTTGTGTGAACATCATAGAGTGTACTTACACAATCCTAGATGGTATAGCCTACTACATACCTAGACTATATGGTATAGCCTATTGTTTGTAGGCTACAAACCTGTACAGCATGTTACCGTACTGAAGACTGTGGGCAGTTGTAACACAGTGGTAAGCATTTGTGTATCTAAACATATCTAAACATAGAAAAGGTACAGTAAAAAATGTGATATGAAAGAAAAAAATGGTACATCTGTATACATCTGTGTACACTTACCATGAATGGAGCCTGCAGGACTAGAATTTGTACTCAGTGAGTCAGTGAGTGAGTGGTGAGTAAATGTGACTATACACTTAGGCTGTACTACATTTATAACATCTGTTTTTTTTTGTTTGTTTTTTCTTTTTTTGAGATGGAGTCTTGCTCTGTCACCCAGGCTGGAGTGCAGTGGTGCGATCTTGGCTGCAACCCCTGCCTCCAGGGCTTATATGATCCTCCTGCCTCAGCCTCCTCAGTAGCTGGGACTACAGGCGCGTGCCACCATACCCGGTTAATTTTTTGTATTTTTAGTAGAGATGGGATTTCAACGTGTTCACCAGGCTGGTGTCAAACTCCTGATCTTATGTGATCCACCTGCCTCGGCCTCCCAAAGCACTGGGATAACAGGCATGAGCCACCACGCCCGGCCGAATTATACTTTTCAGAATTCGTTGTTTCATTGCTTTGGTATTCTTTTCCAAGATTTATATGTACGTTAAATCATCTGTGCCTAGTTTCTACATGTATTGCTTTCTCACAATAATTTTTTATTTTATTTTTATTTTTTTTGAGACAGAGTCTCACTTTGTCACCCAGGCTGGAGTGCAGTGGCGTGATCTTGGCTCACTGCAACCTCTGACTCCTGGGTTCAAGCGATTCTCCTGCCTCAGCCTCCTGAGTAACTGGGATTACAGGCGCACGCCACCATGCCCAGCTAAATTTTTTTTGTATTTTTAGTAGAGACGGGGTTTCACCATGTTGATCAGGCTGGTCTCGAACTCCTGATCTCAGGTGATCTGCCCACCTCAGCCTCCCAAAGTGCTGGGATTACAGGCATGAGCCACCACACTCAGCCTTATTTAAGTTATTTTGATTTCCCCTCATCTTTTATTTTCTTATGAAGTTATTTGTGATAATTAAATCACTTTTGTGTTCCTTTTAATTTGGTCTTCATGCCTAAAATTGTTTTTTAAATTTCTTATTCTTTCCTGAGCTCTCCCAGCAATATTTTCATATCTTCCTATTGTCTGTCTCATTTCTGCTTCCTTTTCTTTTTTTTTTTTTTTTTGTTTTGTTTTGTTTTGTTTTTTGAGACAATCTTGCTTTGCTGCCCAGGCTGGAGTGTGATGGCACAATCTCAACTCACTGCAACTTCTGCCTCCCGAGTTCAAGCAATTCTCCTGCCTCAGCCTCCAGAGTAGCTGGGATTACAGGCGCACACCACCAGGCCTGGCTAATTTTTGTATTTTTAGTAGAGACAGGGTTTTGCCGTGTTGGCCAGGCTGGTCTCAAACTCCTGACCTCAAGTGATCCACCCACCTTGGCCTCCCAAAGTGCTGGGATTATGGGCGTGAGCCCCCCTACTTGGCCACATTTCTGTTTTCTAATTACGATTTTCACCTTTCGTCAAGTTTCCATTACCTAATCATTTATTTTAGCTCATTTAAAATGACATTCGGTTCTTACCTTTTAAAAAATTTTTATTTTTCATTTGTTTTAGAGACAAGGTCTGCCTCTGTCACCCAGGCTAGAGTGCAGTGGCATAATCACAGTTCACTACAGCCTTGAACCCCTGGGCTCAAGCAATTCTCCCACCTCAGCCTCCAGAGTAGTTAAGAATACAGATGTGTGTCCACAATGCCTGGCTAATTTTTAAAAAAGAAAAAAAACTTTTTGTAGAGACAGCATCTTGCCGTGTTGCTCAGGCTCACCAATCTACTCTCTAACTTCATGAGATTCGCTTTTTTTTTTTTTTTTAGCTGATATTTATCTTTCTGTGCTTGGCTTATTTCACCTAACATGATGACCCTCAGTTCCATCCATGTTGCTGCAAATTACAGGATTTCATTCTATTTTAATGGTTGTGTATATACATTTCTTCCCACCCCTCCCTCCCTCCCTCCCTCCCTTCCTTCCTTTCTTCCTTTCTTCCTCCCTCCCTCCCTCTCTTCTTTCCTTCCTCCCTCCCTCCCTCCCCATATTTTATCTCTCTCTCTCTTTCTCTCTTTTGTTTTCTTTTTTTGACAGGGTCTTGCTCTGTCACCCAGGCTGGAGTGCAATGGCACAATCTCAGCTCACTGCAGCCTCAACCTCCCAAGCTCAAACGATCCTTTCACCTCAGCCTCCTGAGTAGGTGGGTTACAGGCATGTGCCGGCATGCCCATAAGACATCATATAATTTCTATATAAAAATTTCAGTATGTATCTTTAACGAATAAGAATTTTTTAAAAGCACAATATTCTCACACACCTCTAAATTAATAATTCTTTAATATCATCTAATATTTAGCCCAGCTTCAAATTTTTCCAATTGCTTCAGAAATATCTTTTTTACATTTGGTTTGTTTGAAATAGCATCCAAAAAGTCTATATAATGCATTTGATTTATATGTCTCAAGTTTCTTTTCATCTGAATCCTGTCTTCTCAACCTTTCCATGTCCTTCCCCCGCCCCCATTTTTAAAGTAACTGGATCATTTGTCCTATAAAATATATCACCTTGGGCCTGGCGCAGTGGCTCACATCTGTAATTCCAGTACTATGGGAGGCCCAGGCAGGCGGATCACCTGAGGTCAGGAGTTCGAGACCAGCCTGACCAACATGGTGAAACCCCCATCTCCACTAAAGATACAAACAAACAAAAATAGCTGGACGTGGTGGTGGGCACCTGTAATCCCAGTTACTTAGTAGGCTGACGCAGGAGCATCGTTTGAACCCAGGACTTGGAGGTTGCAGTGAGCTGAGATCGCACCACTAAACTCCAGCCTGGGCGACAGAGCAAGACTCTGTCTCAAAATATATATATATTTTTTTATGTTATATATATTTATATTATATAATATATATAATATTTTATATATATATCACCTTCTGGATCGTAATTACTTCCTGGAGGTGACATTTAACATGTTTTTTTATCCTCTATATATCCAAAAACTTGTAGTTTATATGTACAGGCTTGGTTAGATTCTGGTTCGATATTTTGGGCAGGACACTTTCACAGATGGTGCTGTGTACTTCCTGCTCTATCAAATCAAGAGGCACATAATGCTAATCCCACTTTTAATGATGTAAACAGTGCTCAGTGTCCAACTGTTGTCAGCCTCAACCATCCTTAGAAAGTTCCTCATTAATCTTTCACCTAATAGTTTAAGCATCCATTGATGAGTGTTGCTCATTATTTCACTAGAGGTTGCTAAATAGAGATTTTTCCATTATCCCCTCTGTATTTATCGGCCTGGATTCTTCTACAGAAAAGAACTTTCCTTCAATATTTGTTTACCCTGATGTTTAGGTACAGGAGAGGCAGAATAGATGCTTCATTCTTTATTTTCTGGGTTTTGCTGTTGTTGTTGAGACGGAGTCTCACTCTGTTGCCCAGACTGGAGTGCAGTGGCACGATCTCAACTCACTGCAACCTCTGCCTCCTGGGTTCAAGCGATTATCCTGCCTCAGCCTCCTGAGCAGCTGGGACTACAGGCACACGCCATCACTCCTGGCTAATTTTTTGTATTTTTAGTAGAGACAGGATTTCACCATGTTGGCCAGGCTGGTCTCGAACTCTTGACCTCAGGTGATCCTCCCGCCTCAGCCTCCCAAAGTGCTGGGATTACAGGTGTGAGCCACAGCTATTTTCTGGTTTTCAGAATAAAGAGTGAATGCTCTAGAAGCCTCCAAAGGTGACCAACAAGTTTCTTATTTTTAATATCATTTTGAATTCATGGATTTTCACACATTTGTTTAAATTAACAACAGATACTATTCTTTATGCGTTAATTACCCCATTTTTTGGCCTACTGGCCACTTTGAGTCCTCTGTCCTTTTGGCAAGATTTCAGTAGTCTTTGATAACTTCCTTGCTTTCTGGCACAATAAATGTCTCCAGCTCTCCTTGCCCCAGACCTGAAACTAGCCATGTCTACAAGATGCCCAGTATTCTTTTAAGAGAAAATGTTACCTTAAATACCTTCTCACTTTTTTTTATTTTTTTGAGAGGGAGTCTCACTCTGTTGCCCAGGCTGGAGTGCTGTGGTGTGATCTTGGCTCACTGCAACTTCTGCCTCCCTCTGCCTCAGCCTGCAGAGTAGCTGGGATTACAGGTGCCTGCCACCACGCTGGGCTAATATTTGTATTTTTAGTAGAGTCAGGGTTTCACCATGTTGGCCAGGCTGGTCTCAAACTCCTGACCGCACGTGTTCCACCTGCCTCAGCCTCCCAAAGTGCTGGGATTACCGACATGAGCCCCATGCCCAGCCACTTTTCTTAAATAAAGTCCAAAATACCTAATATGGAACAGTACCATGCTTTTAACATTGGTATATCACAAATAAATACTTGTTATACTTGTAGACGGTAATCTGATCCCTTCTGAGCTTGGAGGTGATTCACAGGGCCTGCACTGGCTAAAGAAGCTGGGTACAAATGGTTTCATCCATTTCCACAGTGGGGCATATAATATTTCCTATGAGTGCAATGATGTGGAAACAGCTGGGAGGGGTAGTGGGGATATATTTTTTGTCAGCAAACCTTTCTTTGGTGGAATCTCCTTTTCATTCAGTTATGTCTGTTTAGACCATGTAATTGGGACGAGCTCCACAGGGTTCTTCCCCTCCTCCCTCCCACATTGCATTTCCAGAATGGATGCGTGATCTATATCTGGGTTAGTAGAGGAGTCTATCCTCATGTGGTCAATTCAGGGATGTGTACATGAGCTAAACTTGGCTACTTCATATTTTTTCTGGTACTACTACCCAAGCCATTTTTCTCTAGAATTGTGAACTATAAGGATGTTGTGTGCCTAGGGCTGCCAGTGGTCCTCTTCCTACAAATATGGACAGCATCTGAAAATAAAGTCAAGCAGAGACATGTAGAACCCAAAGAAAAGAGTCCTGATGACATTTGGATTCTAGCTCCAACCATGCCTAAATAGAACTCTTAAACTCTTAGTTGCACAAGAAGTCTTAATACCTGGGGCCTGCAAGGCCTTGCATTGTCCCTTTATAGACTCAGCTAAAATTAGGCTTCTTCTCAACCACTATACTCCACCCAACTTGGACCTATTTTTAGTTCTGTGAAAGCTCCAAGATCTTCCCACCTCCAGGGCTTTGTACACACTGCCTTCTGCCTGAAAAGTACTTGTCCCACTCTTCACCAATCCAAATTTTCTCTTCCACTAGGTCTTGGCTAATCATTTCTTCTGGAGAAACATGCCTGACTCTCCTGTTCAGGTCAGGTTCCCTGTTAATCATATTCACCCTCATAGCTCCCTATGCTTCTCTCTCATCACCCCTCCCTCAATCATAATCATCTGTGAAATCATCTTGTGAATATCTGACTTTCTTGCTGGTACATAAGCCTCATGAAGGTCGGAGCTCTGTGTGTTTTGTTTACCGCACAATCCCCCAAATGACATTGTAATTGGCACATAGTGGGTACCCCCTTAAATATGTACTGAAAGACGACTGAATAAAGTTTTAAAGCTTAAGGTACATATGCAAAATAATCTTGTTTATTAGAAAATGAACATTCACAATGTAAAGTAGAAATTAAATTACAAATAAGTCTTCAATGGTCAAAAATGGTGCCCAGAATTTCTTCTCAAAATAAGTTAATCTATTCTTAAACAGATGCAGGTAAGTAGTTTATCCTTGTCAAAACAAAAAATTAACAGATTTCACTTTATGTAAGAGATAAGGTTTATATGAACAAGAAGAGTTTATTTTTAAATGTAAAGCTGAACAAGATAGAATGGAGATGCTTTGTGAAGTTATAAATCCCTTCAAAATATGAAAATCATCCTTTCAAGTTTAAATTTGTTTTCAAAAACATATTTTCTCTTCTTAAATATGTACTACTCTTAACAATATATCATACCTTAAAATCTCCTGTTGTCATTTTCTCTTTATACGCAACTTGGCCTACTCAAGAAGACATCAACATGGTGATTTTTTTTCCTCAAACTTTATCTCCTTGCTCTTTTCCCAATCCCATGTTACTTCCTTTCGCCTTCTTTTGTGCCAAGATGAGCAAGGTATAATCCTCCAAAGAAGAAAATGCTCCAAAGAAAATGCTCTCAATAAAAAGGAAAGTAAGAGTCATTTGTGTAAGGTTAAGTTTATCTAAATTTTAATCAATATTATAAACCTTTGAAAGCTGGGAAACTTTTTTCTGTTATATTCTTGCTGGAAACAGGTTATTATGCTAAGACAAAAGCTCCAGTCAGTGGGCTTATGTTGCCCAAATATTTCTGCTAGTAGGACTCACTGGTATAGTTAAATTACCCTACAATTAGTGATTAATTGAAACTGCAACTTTCTGGGATATTTTCCTCACTATGAAAAATCAAGTGGTTAAGACTGTGGACTTTAAGGATAGACTGTTACTTAGACAAGTAACTTTTCTGTGCCTCCATTCTTTCATCTGTAAAACGGGAATCATAATAGTATTTTCACTCCATAAGACTGCTGTAAGAATTAAATTGTATGTTACACATTACCTGGAATGTGGAAAGCACTCCACAAATTTTGCTCTTATCATTTTCATCATTACCATTATTCTTGTTATTTTTGTCATGCACACTATGCAAACCAAGGGTAGAGTTTACTCTTTAAGATTAGACGTGGCCCAAAAAATGTAAGACAGAGAAAGCAGCTGCAGAATAGCAGGTAAGAGGGATCCCAGACTTGACCAAATAGCCAGAACTGGCTACGGTTCTGAGAAATCTATGGAAGCAGTCTTGCTATGGGCGGCAGAGGAGAGTGAAAACAGTCTTCAAAATTTAATCGTAGAATAATTCTATCAAATTAAGCCCTTTATTAGAGCTGAAAAAATTGAGTTTAAGAGCACAGCTAGTTTAGCATAAAGTGCAGATTATACAGTTTTAAATTTTTGTTTTTATTTTTTGTAAAGACAGGGTCTCACTTTGTTTCCCAGGCTGGTCTTGAATTCCTGGCCTCAAGCAATCCTCCTGCCTTGGCCTTCCAAAGTGCTGGGATTACAGGCATGAGACACTGCACCCAACCTATAAAGTGCAGATTATATAGTGTTTATTCTCAGATTTGAAACTATTTCTAACTTAAAGTAGAAAACATTTGGAAAAGTGTTTAGAAATATTTTTGCATTTTCTTAACAGTGCTTATCAATATACATAGTTATCTACTAGTTCCTTTTATCAGCATTCAACTTATGTAGAGGTAGAAGTTAAACATACAGTGTTATTTAGCCAACTTCAGGTAAACTCAGTAAATTGTTAGATTAAAGCCATTTTGCCTCAAATACTTATTAGCCTGACTAGTTTGGGGCTGTCAGGGATCATCCAAATTAAAAATCCAACTAAAATTCTGCAGCTCTACACAACTATGCAGACATAGATTGAAAACTGTTGTGTTCCTCCCCGCCACTACTGAGAGATGGGAAAAATTAAAGTAAATTAATTAATGTTTTACTAATTAAATGTTTTTCTCCAGTTTAAGGGGGTTGAAAAATAGCAATAATTTTAAGAAACCATTTACTGTTTTGTATATATATATATAAAATAACACATATCTGGATTATGTTTCTAATGTGAATTTTTGGCATTTGAAAGAAAGTAGGTATCCCTATTAGGCTAATAGGCAGTGAAGTATCTTGATCTCTTAATCCTCTGTATTGCTCAAATATTAGCATTATCCATACTCATTTATTAATGTAGGGGTTACTTAGTGAAACCCTGAACTAAAATAAGGCAGAGGTGTAGTATTAGAAGAAAGACTCATAGAAGGCAAGGTAGGATGTTAGGCACGCTAAATGGAAAATATGTGTTATAATTTTTATTTCATAAGTGAACTTGATAATAGAAAATGCATTTTTTTATAAATAAAAAGTAGGTGTCTGAATAAAAATACCTCTACTTGGGTAGAGGTATTTAAAATTCTATAATTTTGTTCTGCTATGGCTAATTCTTACAGAACCCTCTTTCTGGTTCCACTGTATATTATTTTAATGACACTTCTGCAGTGGGTATTAAGAATACAGCTTCACATTTATTCATCATTGTCCATTCACTCATTAGTTCATGCAACCACAAAAAGGTATTATAAGAATAATATTTCATTTCTGAGGTAAGGAAATTATCATCTAGTATGTTTTTATATAACCTACTATTCACAATGACATGTAGAATTCTCTCTGTTATTCAACATATGTTCTTGTTCTTCAAAATCTGCAATATCTGTAGTCTGATTCTTGGAGACTGGCTCACCGCAATTGTCTAGCAGAGCTTTAGACCAGGAAGTGCCACACAGCAAGTAGTTTCCATCACAGTCTTAGCTAGTTTATTCCTGAATCCTCCCATATCTTACAGAAAGAGCAATGAGTCTTTTGTAAACCACTCCCAGGAGGGTGATGGTGAGCACTATTATTCCACACACCAGGCTGAATGCCCATCGTGGTCCCCAGTGAGCATACACTTGGCTGATGAACATAGGCCCAAGAATCCGGGCTCCACTTCCAGATGCTGTTAACCAGCCCATGTATACACCCTGTTGGGGGTGAAATGGAGGACAAGCAGATTGATATTGGGGTTTAGTTATTTAAAAGCAAAGAAATGGTATTACCAAACTACAGCAAACTTACAAGAATCATTTCTGCATCTTTTACTTTTAAATTAAACATAAAATGCCTCCTATAAATATAGCATTTAATATTAAGTCAGATTAAAAAAAATAAAAGGAGTGTAAAGGGAAAAACTTACTGTCTGCTGAAGCCCTGGGAATAATAAAATTGATTAAAATACCTTTTAAAGCTAACATTTATTTTGTACCTGCTACATGCCAGTCACTGAGGTAGGTGCTTTAAATACATCATTTGTAATGTTCACAAGTTTCGATGACAGGTGTTATGCCTGTTTAACAAAGGTAGAAGCTGAAACTCAGAAAGTTTAAGTAACTTGTTCAAGAGGTTTGAAGCCATATTTGGCTGACTCCACTGTGCCACTTTACACTCTACCACAATGCCACTCCTACAACTTCTGTATCCAAAACTATAACCCACATAACCTACCCAAGAATGAACTTTATAGAAGTTGTGGGATTTTTAAAAATTTTAAATGCTGAATATGATAAAAATCCCTCAAATCAGTCTGTGTAAAAATAGAGAATGGCAGCAAAAAATGTTGAGTGCTTACAAGTATATTTTCTATAATTGCAATGTCAGGGTACCTGGCTTACCTGAGGTTTTGGTCCTAGAATTTTTGAATATAGAGTATAGGACATAAGATTGCAGACTGGATAGCCTAATCCTATTAGCACAGCTGATGTAAGGAACTGGGCCAGATGAATCACCGGGGTGTAGAGGCACCAGGCTTGTTCAATCGAGCAACCAGTTGGTCTTTCATTGTCATCTTCCATTGGAGACTTCCAAAGACCAATAATAATTTCCCCAAATGTGGTATTAGGGATTGAATTATTGTGCAAATCTGTAAAAACAAAACCATTGCAGTGCATTACTTGTTGATTTTAGATAAATAACAGAGGTTAACATTATAGAATTATGTATGGCTATACCTTCCCACTGTATTTTGGGAAATTGATTTCCCCAAGGTAACAAGATAAAGAAGCCAACCCATACAACGATGAGTCCTCCCAGTAGAATAGCACGCTCGCCAATCCTGTTAAAGAACAGAAACTCTGTAATTTTAAAATGAAACATTATAACATAGCTTCATTACTTTCATAATTTTAAAAACTAAAAATAATATCTTGTACTTTTAGTGATATATCCATTAAAAAGAATGCTAAATATAATTTTCCACTAAAAATAACCAGGACTCCTCTGAAAAATGGCTGACTTAAGGTCTGGGACACAAAAAGTAGATGAGCTCAGATCTTTCACAGCAAAAAGCACAGAAGTTATCAGTGACTACTAGGTCATGAGTCTTTTTGACTCAGCCAATTTGAAGAAGCTGGCCAAAAATGTGACAATGTGAGTACCAAAACAGAATAATAATGGCAATGGATTGAAACACACAAAAAGTATTATCATCTGTGGCCTGGTGTAGTGGCTCACACCTATAACCCCAGTACTTTGGGAGGCCAAAGCGGGAGGACTGCTTGATGCCAGAAGTTCAAAACCAGCCTGGGCAACATAGCAAGACCCCATCTCTACAAAAAATTTTAAAAATTAGCCAGGAGTGGTATTTGGTGCCTGTAGTTCTAGCTACTTAGGAGGTTGAGGCAGGAGGATTACTTGAGCCCAGGAGGTCAAGGCTGCAATGAGCTGTGATGGCACCACTGCACTCCAAACTGGGTGACAGAGCAAGACCCTGTCGCCAAAAAAAAAAAAAGTGTTATAATCTATGAATTCATAGTATATTAAAATAAAGTACTCTTTGGTCAGTTTTTGAGGATGTTAGGGAAACAAAAGAAAATAATCAAGCCTTTATCCTGCCTTTCCTATACAACTATAGCTCAGGTTAACCAAATAGTTGGTGAGGGAAAGATTCTCTTCATGGTAAGTATTCTAGCAAATAAATAAAGGAATGATAGAATTAAAATACCAGAATTTTGTAATGATTCATTAATGAATTAATGGATCTATGGAATAATCAGTGGCTACTTACATGTTAAGAAGAGATAAACAAAACATTATATTTCTTCTGATATAAGCACATATTCCCACCTATAAAGTATTCTTGCCAAAAAATTGAACCCAAATTTCATCAAGCTTCTAGATGCAAGTACTAGTTTTTAAGAAATACAGCAATCATGTCATCTGCAAACAGAGGCAATTTGACTTTCTCATTTCCTAATTGAATACCCTTTATTTCTTTCTCTTGCCTGATTGCCCTGGCCAGAACTTCCAACACTATGTTGAACAGGAGAGGTGAGAGAGGGTATCCTTGTCTTGTGCCGGTTTTCAAAGGGAATGCTTCCAGTTTTTGCCCATTCAGTATGATACTGGCTGTGGGTTTGTCATAAATAGCGCTTATTATTTTGAGATACGTTCCATCAATATCAGTTTATTGAGTGTTGTTAGCATGAAGGAGTGTTGAATTTTATCAAAGGCCTTTTCTGCATATATTGAGATAATCATGTGGTTTTTGTCATTGGTTCTGTTTATGAGATGGATTACATTTATTGATTTGTGTATGTTGAACCAGCCTTGCATCTCAGGGATGAAGCAGATTTGATCGTGGTGGATAAGCTTTTTGATGTGCTGCTGAATTCAGTTTTCCAGTATTTTATTTTTTATTTTTATTTATTATTATTATTATTATTATTATTATTATTATTATTATTATTTGAGACAGAGTCTTGCTCTGTCGCCCAGGCTGGTATGCAGTGGCGTGAACTTGGCTCACTGCAAACTCCGCCTCCCGGGTTCATGCCATTCTCCTGCCTCAGTCTCCTGAGTAGCTGGGACTACAGGTGCCTGCCACCACGCCTGGCTAATTTTTTTTGTATTTTTAGTAGAGATGGGGTTTCACTGTGTTGGCCAGGATGGTCTCGACCTCTGACCTCGTGATCCACCCACTTCAGCCTCCCAAAGTGCTGAGATTACAGGCGTGAGCCACCGCACCTGGCCTGGGTTTGCCAGTATTTTATTGAGGATTTTCGCATCGATGTTCATCAGGGATATTGGCCTTAAATTTTTTTTGTTGTGTCTCTGCCAGGTTTTGGTATCAGGATGATTCTGGCCTCATAAAATGAGTTAGGGAGGAGTCCCTCTTCTTCTACGGTTTGGCATAGTTACAGAAGGAATGGAGTTTCAGAAGGAATGGAAACTTTGTACCTCCAGTAGAATTCGGCTGTGAATCTATCTGGTCCTGGGCTTTTTTTGGTTGGTAGGCTATTAATTACTGCCTCAATCTCAGAACTTATTATTGGTCAATTCAGGGATTCGACTTCTTCCTGGTTTAGTCTTGGGAGGGTGTATGTGTCCAGGAATTTATCCGTGTCTTCTAGATTTTCTATTTTATTTGCATAGAGGTGTTTATAGTATTAGAGAATACTGTGGTATTCTCTGACGGTAGTTTGTATTTCTGTGGGACCAGTGGTGCCCAAAATCTCCTTAAGCGACAAGCAACTTCAGCAAAGTCTCAGGATAAAAAATCAATGTGCAAAAATCACAAGCATTCCTATACACCAATAACAGACAAACAGAGAGCCAAATCAAGAGTGAACTGCCATTCACAATTGCTGCAAAGAGAATAAAATATCTAGGAATACAACTTACAAGGGATGTGAAGGACCTCTTCAAGGAGAACTACAAACCACTGCTAAAGGACATAAGAGAGGACACAAACAAATGGAAAAACATTCCATGCTCATGGACAGTAAGAATCAATATTGTGAAAATGGCCATACTGTCCAAAGTAACTTATGGATTCAATGCTATCCCCATCAAGCTACCATTGACTTTCTTCACAGAATTAGAAAAAAACTACTTTAAATTTCATACGGAACCAAAACAGAGCCCATATAGCCAAGACAATCCTAAGCAAAAAGAACAAAGCTGAAGACATCACAATACCTGACTTCAAACTACACTACAAGGCTACAGTAACCAAAACAGCATGATTCTTGTACCAAAACAGATATATAGACCAATGGAACAGAATAGAGGCCTCAGAAATAACACCACACATCTACAACCATCTGATCTTTGACAAACCTGACAAAAACAAGCAATAGGGAAAGGATTCCCTATTTAATAAATGGTGTTGGGAAAACTGGCTAGCCATACGCAGAAAACTGAGACTGGGCCCCTTCTTTATACCTTATACAAAAATTAATTCAAGAAAGATCAAAGACTTAAACATAGGACCTAAAACCATAAAAACCCTAGAAGAAAACCTAGGCATTACCATTCAGGACATAGGCATGGGCAAGGACTTCATGTCTAAAACACCAAAAGCAATGGCAACAAAAACCAAAATTGATAAATGGGATCTAATTAAACTAAAGAGCTTCTGCACAGCAAAATAAACTATCATCAGAGTGAACAAGCAACCTACAGAATGGGAGAAAATTTTTGCAATCTATCCATCTGATAAAGGTCTAATATCCAGAATCTACAAGGAACTTAAACAAATTTACAAGAAAAAAACAACCCCATCAAAAAGTGGGCAAAGGATATGAACAGATGCTTCTCAAAAGAAGACATTTATGCAACCAACAAACATATGAAAAAAAGCTCATCATCACTGGTCATTAGAGAAATGCATATCAAAATCACAATGAGATACCATCTCACACCAGTTAGAGTGGCAATCATTAAAAAGTCGGGGAACAACAGATGCTGGAGAGGATGTGGAGAAATAGGAACACCTTTACACTGTTGGTGGGAGTGTAAATTAGTTCAACCATTGTGGAAGACAGTGTGGCAATTCCCCAAGGATCTAGAACCAGAAATACCATTTGACCCAGCAATCCCATTACTGGGTATATACCCAAAGGATTATAAATCATTCTACTATGAAGACACATGCACATGTATGTTTATTACAGCACTATTCACAATAGTAAAGACTTGGAACCAACCCAAATGCCCATCAATGACAGACTGGATAAAGAAAATGTAGCACATATACACCATGGAAAACTATGCAGCCATAAAAAAGGATGAGTTCATGTCTTTTACAGTAACATGGATGAAGCTGGAAACCATCATTCTCAGCAAACACAGGAACAGAAAAACAAACGCCACATGTTCTCACTCATAAGTGGGAGTTGAACAAAGAGAATACATGGACACAGGGAGGGGAACATCACACACAGGGGCCTATTGCGGGGTGGGGGGCTAGAGGAGGGATAGCATTAGGAGAAATACCTAATGTAGATGATGGGTTGATGGGTGCAGCAAACCACCATAGTACATTTATACCTATGTAACAAACCTGCACATATATTCCAGAACTCAAAGTATAATAAAGGCTGGGTGTGGTGGCTCACGCCTGTAATCCCAGTACTTTGGGAGGCTGAGGAGGACGGATCATCTGAGGTCAGGAGATCGAGACCATCCAGGCCATTGCATGGCTCTTTGCTGACTTCACTAAGGTCTCAGCTTAAATGTAACTTCCTCATATATACCTTCCTTGAGCAGTGTATCAAATACAACATTTCCCCACTTCCCAGCCCTGCCCTTGTCACTCCTTATTCTTTTCTCTTCTATTCTTCTTTGTAGTACTTACCACTATCTGACTTCACATTTGTGTTTATTGGCTTTCCCCCTACTGGAATACACGTGCTTTGAGGGGATGGTATTGGACATTCTATAAGAATGTGTATCAGCAGCACTGCTCTACTTCTGTAGCAAGATGTAATGTACTTCCTATTAACTTTGAATATAAATATATGTCTATCTTATATCTTGATCCCTCTACTTGGCTCCATAAGGACAAGAATTCTCATAGTACCCCCATAGCACTGAACCTGATACACTGACTTAACATTTGTTGATTAATTTTAGAACCTTATTAAAGTACATACAGTCTCTGACTTATGAGTGTCCAACTTAGAACTGTTCAGCTTTACAACAGTAGGAAAGTGATACTCATTCAGTAGAAACCACACTTCAAATTTTGAATTTTGATATTTTTCCAGACTAGTGATCTGTGGTATGATACTGTTTCATGATGCTGGACAGCAGCAGAGAGCCACAGCTCCTAATCAGCCACATGATCACAAAGGTAAACATCCAGTACTATAATCTACAGTATACTGTATTTGGCAAATTACATGAGATATCCAACACTTTATTATAAAATACGCTTTGTGTTAGATGATTTAGCCAAACTGAAAACTAATGTGAGTGTTGGAGTGTGTTTAAAGTAGGCTAAGCTAAGCTACAATGCTCCGTAGGTTAGGTGTATTAAATGTTTTTTTTTTTTTGTTTTTCGCTTTTTTTGAGATGGAATTTCACTCTTGTCATCCAGGCTGGAATGCAATGGCTCATTGCAACCTCCACCTCCTGGGTTCAAGCGATTCTTGTGCCTCCACCTGTGGAGCAGCTGTGATTACAGGCACTGGCCACCACACCCAGCTAATTTTTGTGTATTTAGTTACGACGGGGTTTCACCACGTTGGCCGGGCTGGTCTCGAACTTCTGACCTCAGGTGATCTGCCCGCCTTGGCCTCCCAAAGTGCTGGGATTGCAGGCGTGAGCCACTGCACCCAGCCTGTATTTTCAACTTAGTGCTATTTTCAACTTATGATGATCAGTTTATCAGGATGTAGCCCCATTGCAAGTTAAAGAGTATCTGTATTTGAGGAATACTTAAATAGAACTGTCTAAATTCATCAACTAATGTTCCACCATAGACTATATGACTGAACTTAATTTTACACAAGCATTTCCCTAAAAATATGTTCCTTACAGTTGTACTTTTACAAAATGATTCTTTTTTTAAGAGATGGGTCTTGCTCTGTCACCCAGACTGGAGTGTAGTGGTACAATCACAGCTCACTGCAGCCTCAAACTCCTGGGTTCAAGCAATCCTCTCGCCTCAACCTCCCAAGTAGCTGGGACTACAGGCGTGCTCCATCATACCCAGCTAATTGTGTTTGTGTGTGTGTCTGTGAAGAAATAGGGATCTCATTATATCATAGTGAGATAAGATCTCACTATGTTGCCCAGGCTGGTCTCAAACTAACTCCTGGGCTGAAATGATCCTCCCATTTTAGCCTCCTAAATTGCTGGGGTTGCAGATGTGAGTCACCATACCTGGCCAAAATTATTCTTTTATTTATTTGTATTTATTTATTTATTTTGAGATGAAATCTCACTCTGTCACCCAGGCTGGAGGGCAGTGGTGTGATCTTGGTTCACTGCTGCAACCTCCACCTCCCAGGTTGAAGCGATTCTCTTGCCTTAGCCTCCTGAGTAGCTGGGACTACACGCACATGCCACCACACCCTCTATTTTTAGTAGAAAAATTTTTTTGTTTTAGTAGAAATGTGCCACCACGCCCTGTATTTTTAGTAGAAAAATTTTTGTATTTTTAGTAGAAATGGGGTTTCACCATGTTGGCCAGACTGGTCTCGAACTGCTGACCCCAAATGATCCAGCTGCCTTGGCCTCCCAAAATGCTGGGATTACAGGCATGAGCCACTGCACCAGGCCCTCAAAATGATTCTTTTAAACAGTGAATAGACATTCTCAAAAGACATATAAAAGGCCACTAAGTAAATAAAAAATGTTCGACATCACTAATCATCAGAGAAATGCAAGTCAAAACCACAATTAGGTATTCTCTCAACCCAATTAAAATGGCTTTAATCAAAAAGAGGGAATAATGGATGCTGGCGAGGATGTGGAGAAAGGGGAACCCTTGTATACTGTTGGTGGGAATGTAAATTAGTAAAACCACTATGGAAAACAGTACAGAAGTTCCTAAAAACTTAAAATGGAACTGCCATATGAACCAGCAATCCCATTACTAGGTATATATCTAAAAGAAATGAAATCAATATATCAAAGACACATCTGCACTCCCATGTTCATTTCAACACTATTCACAATAGTCAAAATATGAAACCAACCTAAGTGGTCATCAATGGATGAATGGATAAATGTGGTATATATATATGGGAATATTATTCAGCCATTGAAACCATGAAATGCCATCATTTGGGGTAACATAGATGGAATTCATGGTCATTATGTTAAGTGAAATAAGCCAAGCACAGAAAGACAAATTATCACATGTTCTCACTCATGTGGGAGCTAAAAAAGTGAATCTCAGGTCGGCAGCGGTGGTTCACGCCTGTAATCCCAGCACTTTGGGAGGCTGAGGCGGGCAGATCATGAGGTCAGGAGATCGAGACCATCCTGGCTAACATGGTGAAATCCGTCTGTACTAAAAATAAAAAAAAAAATTAGCCAGGTGTGATGGCATGTGCCTGTAGTCCCAGCTACTTGGGAGGCTGAGGCGTGAGAATCGCTGGAACCCAGGAGGTGGAGGTTGCAGTGAGCTGAGATCGTGCCACTGCACTCCAGCCTGGGCAACAGAGCGAGACTCCGTCACAAAAAAAAAAAAAAAAAAAAAAAAAAAGAATCTCATGAAGATAGAGAGTAGATTGGTGAGCCCAGGAAACAAAGCAAGATCTTGTCTCTACAAAAAGTTAAAAAAAAAAAAAAAAATTAGCCAGGCATTATGGCACATGCCTGTAGTCCTAACTACTCATGAAGCTGAGACAGGAGGATTGCTTCAGCCCAGGAGTCTGAGGCTGCCATGAGCTATGATCACTCCACTCCACTCCATTCTGGGCAACAGAGTGAGACGCCATCTTTTACAAAAAGAAAAAAAAAAAGAAGAAAAGAAAGAAAGAGACTAGATTGGTAGTTACCAGAGGCCACGAATAATAGCGGGAAGGAGGCAATAAACAATAGTTGATTAATAGGTACAAATACACAGTTAGAAGAAATAAGACCTAGTTTTCAATAGCTCAGTAGGGTGACTATAGTTAGCAATAATTTAGTGTACATGTCAAAAGCTAGAAAAGAGTAATTCAAATGTTCCTAGCATAAAGAAAAGGTAAATATTTAAAGTGATGGTATCCCAATTATCTTGATTTGATCTTTATACATTATACGAATGTATCAAATGATCACTCATACCCCAAACATATGTACATCTATCATGTATCAATTAAAAAACACTTATGCTGGGCGCAGTGGCTCATGCCTGTAATCCCAACACTTTGGGAGACTGAGGCTGGAGGATTGCGTGAGCCCAGGAATGAGACTAGCCTGGGCAACATAGTGAGATAATATCTCTACAAAAAATAAAAATAAAAGAAATTAGCCAGGTGTGGTGGTCATGCCTGTAGTCCAGCTATTCAGGAGGCTGAGATGAGAGGATCTCTTGAGCCCATCAGGCTGCACTGAGCCATGATTGCACCACTGCATTCCAGTATGGGTAACAATACGAGACCTTGTCTCAAAAAAAAAAAGAGTGTTGTGTGGTCTGGGAAATGACACAAATTTTATTTGCCATGATGATGATATAGAATATATATACTATGGATAGAAGTTCTAGAATAAGTTTGGTAATCTTAACCAAGATTTTCCAAACTTAACCATGAATCTTTTTTGTTGCACAATATATATTACAATACAGTAGAACAATGGTTTATGAAATATACTTTCAGGAAAACATAGTAGACAAAAGATAAATAAGAGTCAATTATATACTTTGTGAGAAATTTTGTTTTACCAAAGAAATGCTGTAATGTATAGAAATATGATAATCTCTTAATAAATTGTAAATTTGTGTGCAAAAAAAAGCTTTAAATTATTTTCCTGGTATATCCATTTGCATTGTTAGCTCTGTTTTTTGTTTTATTTTTTAAAAACAGACATAAAACCAAAAACACTTAACTTACTTTTTGGAAAGCAACTTAACTCCTAAGAAAATAACAACGGCTTCAACCCCAAGAGCAGCAAGTATTATGCCATTATATAACACAGCTTGTTCTTGAGTCCAGGCATACATATCCATTGTTAATGGAGTAATGATGCTAAGAAAAAAAAAATTATTCTTATTTTATTTAAATCACAGTAACTGTTATACTTAAAGTGAAGTGTAAGTTTTAATAACGACATCTACACATTCAAGAATGTGCATGCCTTTTAGCAATGACAACAGACCTAAGCAAAAGTTTGAACACATTTTAAGCGTTTGTTGTTACATACCTAAGTTACTAAGTCTGCCTACTCATATTTTACTTCCTAATGTTTATTTTAATTATATAACTAATATAGCCATATTACAGAAAGTCTGAAACAAAGGAAAAGGAAACAAGCCACACCAATCATAATGCCTATCATTCTAACATTACTAAATAATCATGGTTATATTTTTAATTAAATTGGTCTCTTTCAATGCAATAATGTTATATTAAGTTATCAGAATATACTGGATTTTTGAATATATATATTTTTCTCTTTGCCTCTCAATGTCTCTTCCTTTATATGACTATATCCTTCCTTGCCAAGTTTCTCTCCCTACATTCGATCTCTATTAACTGACTACAAAATGCAATTTATATTTATTGTTTATTACTATTATTTTTGAGACGCCAAAGTCTCACTCTGTCACCTGGGCTGGAGTGCAGTGGCATGATCTTGGCTCACTGCAACCTCCATCTCCTGGGTTCAAGCAATTCTCCTGCCTCAGCTTCCTGAGTAGCTGGGACTAAAGGCGCCTGCCACCATACCCAGTTAATTTTTGTATTTTTAGTATAGACAGGGTTTCACCATATGGCCAGGCTGGTCTTGAACTCCTGACCTCAAGTGATACACCTGCCTCAACCTCCCAAAGTTCTGCGATTACAGGCGTGAGCCACCGCACCCAGTCTGAAATTTATTTAACATTGTTTAATTGGTATGTTACTGTTTAATGGGTATGGAACTTCTGTTTAGGATGATGAAAACATTCTGGAAATAGCTAGTGGTCATGGTTGTACAACATTGTGAATGCACTTAATGCTACTGAACTGCATACCTTAAAAATAGCTAACATGATAGTGCCAGGCGCGGAGGCTCACGTCTGTAATCCCAGCACTTTGGGAGGCCAAGGTGAGCAAATCACTTGAGCCCAGGAGTTCGAGATCAGCCTGGGCAACATGGGGAAATCCTGTCTCTACAAAAAATATAAACAAATTAGCTGAGCATGGTGGCGCATGCCTGTGGTCCCAGCTACTTAGAGGGCTGAGGCTGGAAGGTCACCTGAGCCCAGGAGGTCAAGGCTGCAGTGAGCCGTGATTGCACCACTGCACTCCAGCCTGGGTGACAGAGTGAGACCCTGTCTCAAAACAAAACAAAAAAAGTTAACACGATAAATTTTATGTTATGTATATTTTCCCACAATAAAAAATTGCCCCTAAAATATCAGGTGAGCTGGAACTTTCATATATCTCAATAATTTTGAAAATAAAAACACCAAGCAAACCTACAAGTACTAACATAAAAATGACACAATGTATTAACAAGTAAATAAACCAAGTTGTCAAATGATAATATCACATAATCTATGTAAGTTTAATAGATACATGTATATACATACACTCTTATACATACATAGGAAAAATGTTTGAAAAAACACAAACTAAAGTATTAGCAGTGGTTACTTTCACAGAAAGGAGTGGATATAGAAATACAGTTGTAATATTTGGGATTTGAATGTACTATTTTTATAATTTCATGGAAAGTTATTTTAAAAATAAAACAGCCATATGATAAAGGTCAATAAAGCCTGCACAAGGCAGAGATTTTGTAATATACTAGGTTTTTCTTCAAGGTCAGGTATTAAATTGAGTTAAAATTACCAGATTGAATCATATATATATATACATATATGTAGGAAATTATAGAGCTTAAGGATAATTAAATCATGGCACTAAAGTTTTATAACTGTATTTATCATAAAACTCAGATGAAAGAGGGAAAGAGTAGTGAAACAGATTCTTTTATAAGAAAATAAGATAAGGTAGTTAAGATTATGGACAAATAATTAACTACATTCAAGTTACAAGCAACAAAATGTATATACATTTTTTACATCATGGTAAGAAAAATTTGCCTTACATAAGATTTTCAATAACATCTATATGCCTAATTAACATTGCATTAAGAAATAAAGGTTAAAACATAATCTGATTCAGATGAAGATGGAATAAAACTTACGTTTCAAAAAGGGCAAAGATAAATAGAGTCACAAAAAACAGAACATTGATGGCCACAACAGCAACCTGGTCAATATTTCCTTGGGGAACCTGAGCTTCATCTGTACTTGCTATAGGGAAATAGGAGAAAAATTACATTACCTATACATCTAATTTTTCTTATGACATTAAAGTAATGTAGAAATTACATTGTAGCAAAATTTATAAATAAACATTTAAAAAAATTTTTAGGCTTCAAAGTAGTTTAATAATAAGAGAATTTGTTTATTTTTATTTTTTGAGACAGGGTCTCACTCTGTCACCCAGACTAGAGTGCAGTGTCATGATCACAGCTCACTGCAGCCTTGACCTCCCCAGGCTCAGGTGATCCTCCTACCTCAGCCTCCCAAGAAGCTGGGGCTACAGATGTACTACCACGCCCAGCTAATTTTTATATTTTTTGTAGAGATGAGGTTTCATCATGCTACCCAGTCTGGGCTTGAACTCCTGAGCTCAACCAGTCCGCCCGCCTTGGCCTCCCAAAGTGTTGGGATTACACGTGTGAGCCACTGTGCATGGCCAACAATAAGATAATTTATATGACAGAAATAATTTTTAAATGGCATTTAAAAGCAAGGTGAATTTTCTTCCCCAGAGATATACTTCAATCCTGTTATCTTAAGAAATACTCAGATGTATTTTGTACTTGGTATATCTCAATCCAAAAATGGGAATGTAATTTATAGAACTCTGTTAACATAGTGATCTCATACTAAATATATTTGCTTTAAATTTCAACTGCAGATTTTTTCCACCTTACTTAAATCTTAGACTTACAAGAATTTCATGAAGAACTCCAGTGGTTTATTAAATCAGTTCCCAGTTCTATGATTTACTACAATGGATATATATTTTGAATTTCAGTGTTACATGAAATTAGTACTCATGGCCAGGAGTGGTGGCTCATACATGTAATCCCAGCAGGTGGGATTACATGTGGTTTACATGTGGATTACATGTGGATTACAGCAGGTGGGAGGCCAGTGCAGGTGGATCACCTGAGGTCAGAAGTTTGAGACCAGCCTGGCCAACATGGCAAAACCCCATCTCTACTAAAAATACAAAAAAGAATTAGCCGGGCGTGGTGCCACATGCCTGTAATCTCAGCCACTTGAGAGGCTGAGGCACGAGAATTGCTTTAACCAGGAGACTGAGGTTGCAGTGAGCCAAGATTGAGCCACTGCACTTCAGCCTGGGTGACAGAGACCCTGTCTCAAAAAATAAATAAATAAATAACAAGAAATTAGTATTCGTAAAGATCCTTATGTTATCATTACCATTTTAAAAACCCCTATCATTTATATTTCTGCAAAGAAATAATCAGGATTTGACGGTGGTTTTATAAATAAGGAGGACAAAGTAAGTGTACTGACTTCTCATCTTGAACAACGCCTTAAGGTTAATACACATTAAGCTATTCTTGATGTAACTGAGAATCATGCAGACATATTAATCTACTCATATATATTCATCACACTGTTTTGTAATTTATCCACTTATTCAGAATAAAATAGTATTTTTACACAAATAAATACCAAAATAAGCCAGGTATTTTTTTTTTTTTTTTTTGGCGGGGGGGACGGAGTCTTGCTCTGTTGCCAGGCTGGAGTGCAGAGACCCGATCTCTGCTCAATGCAACCCCCAACTCCCGGGTTCAAGCGATTCTCCTGTCTCAGTCTCCCGAGTAGCTGGGACTACAGCTATTTTTGTATTTTTAGTAGAGATGGGGTTTCACCATGTTGGCCAGGATAGTCTCAATCTCTTGACCTCGTGATCTGCCCGCCTCGGCCTCCCAAAGTGCTGGGATTACAGGTGTGAGCCACCACGCCCAGCCTATGCCAGGTATTAATACATAAAATATTACAAAAATATGTTTATTTATGCTATCTTAAATTGTGTGTAGTGTCAGTTGTTGTTAGTGGGTGGGTGGGGGGGCTTTCCTAAGATGCAGTAAGTTTCTATGATTTTTTTCATAATAATGCCTGCTTTTCTATCTCAGGATTCTTGAGAAGGAGTTCCTCCTCCAACAATAAGTAGATTTGGAAATAGTCTGCTATACTTAAAGGGAATTAAGCACCTTGGATGCTCAACATAGCCTTATGACCTTCCTTTGTAATCACACAAAGAGAACTGGCCACCTTTGTCCAGAACCTTTGCCAGGGGTAGGCCCTGATGGTTGTGGCTCTTGTACTATTTTGGATAGACCTCTCTGATTCTTAATCACCACCTAGAAGTCAGTCTTTACTCCTTCAAGTCAGTATCAATATTGCCCCAAGTCAGACTGGAGTTTGCTTCATAATATGTGGTTAGTTTCCTATAGCTTCTACTCAGTGTTGGCTTCAGTGGGGTATCTCAGAAATGTTGCATCCTAGACTATGGGGATTGACTAGATATCCTAATTACACATTTTTTAAAAGACTACATTAGTATATGGATTCAAATTCTATGCAATTAGAAATTATAATCCTGTCTCATAATAACCTCTTTAAATTTGAATAGCTTTAAATTAAAACAATTATGGAAGTTTTTACCAGACATATTTTATGCAAACATTTATTGAAATTTAAAAATTTTATTTTATAAAAATTATTTTGAAGTAACTAGAAATCTCATAAAAGAAAACACTACATCTTCTCTAAACTCATTCCCATTTGTACTTTAGAACAGTGCTGCCCAACAGAACTGTGACATGACGGAAATGTTATTTATCTATGCTAATACAGTGGCCACTAGCCACATATACCCATTATTGAGCACTTGAAATGTGGCTAGTATGACAGAAAATAATTTCTTAAATTTACTTTATTTAAATAGCCACATGTGGCTAATGGCTACTATATTGGGCAGCATAGCTCTCAATCTTTGCTGCACAAAGTGTGATTTGTAGACCAGAAGCATCACATCACATGGTAGTTTGTTGTAAATGTAGATGCTCAGCATCTCACTAGGGTTGCCAGATTTAGTAAATATACAGGAGACCCAGTTAAATTTAAATTTCAGATAAACAATAAGTGTTAATATAAATATGTTCTGTGCCATATTTGAAAGTTAAGTATAAGAATGTTCCATGAAGTATTTGGATTGTATTTATACTTTTTTTTTTTCTTTTTGAGACAGAGCCTCACTCTGTCACCCAGGCTGGAGTACGTGGCGTGATATCGGCTCACTGCAACTTCTGCCTCCCAGGTTCAAGCGATTCTCCTGCCTCAGCCTCATGAGTAGCTGGGATTACAGGCGCCTGCCATCACACCCAGCTAATATTTATATTTTTAGCAGAGACAGGGTTTCACCATGTTGGCCAAGGGTGGTCTTGAACTCCTGACCTCAGGTGATCCACCTGCTTTGGCCTCCCAAAGTGCTGGGATTACAGGCATGAGCCACTGTGCCCAGCTGGATTGTATTAATACTAAAAGTTATTTGTTTCCAGGTGCAGTGGCTCACACCTGTAATCCTAGCACTTTGGGAGGCCCAGGGAGGCAGATCACTTGAGTCCAGGAGTTTAAGGCCAGCCTGGACAATATGGCAAGATCCTGTCTCTATTAAAGAAAAAAAAACCAACGTTATTTGTTGTTTATTGAAATCCAAATTTAACTGGGTGGGACATATTTATATTAAAACATTATTAAAATTTAATTGGGCATTCTGTGTTTTATTTTTTATTATAAATTATATATTTTTATATTTCTTTATTAACTCCCCTATTCTGAGAAGCAACATCCTGTGTTTTACAGGCAACCCTATTAAGTATCACCCTAAGCCTAATGAATCAGAATTTGCATCTTAACAAGGTTCCCAGGTGATTTCTAAGCACATTAAAGTAAATGAAGCACTGATGTATATCATTATCCCCTTCCAAGTTCTGAAATACTGATTTTTACATATCTTCCCTTTGTCATACCTCTACCTCACCCTCTTAACTTCCTCCGTCACTTTACCTGATAGCTCCTTGAAGTTAGCATCCTATTTTTTACCTTTGAAAAAAGGAGTTTATACGCACTGCTGGCACTTCACCTCTCATTCTTTGTGTTTTATTTTGAAAGTTTTCAAACATATTCTCACATATTCATTCCTCAGATTCAACAATCTTTTGCCACACTTGAATCATCATGCCATCCTTTCTCTCACTCCCTTTCTGCTGCCATAGTGTGTTTCACTGGGTGACTCATAAATTTTTATCTCTAGCTTTTATTTCTACTGTCAAAATTACAAATGCCTGTGGGATTTTTTAGTTGTTCTAGAGTAACAGCATATTCAGCTTGATCCAAATTGAAATCATCTTCTCTTTTCATCTAACCTCCCTTCCTAAATTCTTGTTCTCTCTCATTCTTCCAGGTGATCTAGAATCAAAACCTGGCAGCAATGTTGGCTTTCTCTAATCCTTAATATTCTCTATCCAAATCTCTATCTTGATTCCTCTTTCAACAACTCCTACTTATCCCTTCTCCATTCTCAGTCACTGCCCTACTTCAGGCCTAGTCAAAATTAATACTTTTACACTGTCTTCCTGAGTCATCCACACAATGTTCTCTTAAAAAGAAAAACACAAATATTGTACCTATGAAAAGCTTAATAAAGAAATTGTTTAAATTTGTTACTGGCATTGTATTTTTTTCACATTTGATACAGTTTCTTTTACTGGCTTTTCAGTAATGAAATTGTTACCAATGAGATATTACCAGTGAGATATAACCAATCTGGATTAGCCTCTGCATGGAATCAATGTCAAACTTCTCCTAGTTCAAAAACTTACTGTAGCTCCTCACCACTCTGCTCTACTACATTTATCTTCCACTATTTCTTTTGTGAAAATTAAATAAAAGAGCTATGAAAGTACCTGGTAAAATAGTAAAATAATACTATGTCTTTTCCACAACTTTATGAACTACTGAGGGCCAGGATCAGTCCTTGCATTCTTTCCGCAAGGAGGATATAATTAGTACCTAAATAACAGGTTTTTTTTTGGTAAAATATAGCTACTTACTGGGTTCTCTGGCTTATATGAATCAGAGAAGATCTAAAAGATGAAAATGTATATTTCTAAAGTATACCAAAACAACAAAAATAAAAAGGCAAAACCATACCCATTTTCATACTTAAGATAATAAAGAACTGCTTTAAATAGACATATTTATTTGGTAGTAAAGATATGGAAATCATTGCAAATATCTCAAAGGCTTTAGGATACTGGCTCTCTGAAAATAAGACAAAGCGATTTTTTACAATGTTTGTAACCTTGTCAATCATGACCACCAAATAACCAATATGGGTATGCCTCTTTAAAAAAAATCAATTTGCTCACGCCTGTAATCCCAGCACTTTGGGAGGCCGAGGCGGGTGGATCACAAGGTCAGGAGATCGAGACCATCCTGGCTAACATGGTGAAACCCCATCTCTACTAAAAATACAAAAAATTAGCCAGGCGTGGCGGCATGCGCCTGTAGTCCCAGCTACTCAGGAGGCTGAGGCAGGAGGATGGCATGAACCCCGGAGGCAGAGCTTGCAGTGAGCAGAGATCGCACCACTGCACTCCAGCCTGGGCGACAGAGCGAAACTCTGTCTCAAAAAAAAAAAAATAAATAAATAAATAAATAAATAAATAAATAAATAAATAAATTTAGGTCACTTTCAGCTTTGAAGATCTTCCCCAATCACCCACTGTGTTGTCCTCAGAAGCAAAATCGAAGTAAATACCAAACAAACAGAATCATTAGAAACACTTTGATAATGTTATATTAATTCAGCCAAATGGGTTAAAAGTACCTTCTTCAAAATTAATACTTTTACACTGTCTTCCTGAGTCATCCACACGATGTTCTCTTAAAAAGAAAAACACAAATATTGTACCTATAAAATGCTTAATAGAGAAGTTGTTTAAATTTATTATCGGCATTGTATTTTTTTTCACATTCTAATATAGTTTCTTTTATTGGTTTTTCAGTAATAAAACTGTTACCAATGAGATATAACCAATAAACTTAAGACAGAAGTTACAATTCTTATCAAATTATCATAAACAGGTAAAATGAAAAAAATCCAACTCATCCTAAAGCATACATGATCTACTTTAGTATTTGAAGTTTTACAGTGATTATAAACATTAGTAATAAATGTTTTTAGACTATTGAATAAAGCACTCTAAATAAAACATAATTTTAAAAAATTTTTTCGAATATATAAAAGATAAGAGATATACATTACTAGTAACTTTTATATTTAAGACTGATACAAATCCATTAATCTATTTAAAATGTTACTTCCATGCCTTTCCCCTACTTAGCAACATGTAGTTAGTAAATCAAGACCAAACCTTGAGGCCGGGCACAGCCTCACATGGCCTCATGCCTGTAATCCCAGCACTTTGGGAGGCCGAGGTGGGCAGATCACTTTGAGGTCAGGAGTTCAAGATCAGCCTGGCCAACATGGTGAAACAAAAATTAGCTGGATGTGTTGGCATGCACCTGTAGCCCCAGCTACTCGGGAAGCTGAGGTATGAGAATCCTTGAATCCGGGAGATGGAGGTTGCATTGAGCCGAGATAGTGCCACTGCCCTCCAGTCTGAGCAACAGAGTAAGATCTTGTCTCAAAAAAAAAAAAAAAAAAAAAAAAAAAACTTTGAATCTTCAAAGACCTTCCTTTTCTGTTCTCATTTATCAGGTTGTCTTTTGGTTGCCAGTATTACATGCTTTAGTACTACCTGACCAAAAAATATAAACAAACTATAGACATAAAAAACTACGTACACTTCATAAGGATAATTATCTTCCAACAATTACAAAGCTCATTAAATTTCACAATCTACAAAAATAGTTTTATCATTTCTATCTAATTACCTTAGTATGGCAAGGATCAGAATAATATTTAAAATTCCCAGGAAGGCGCTAAGTAAAACTGGTGTTGTATACATGTTTATCTGCAGTTTAATCACATCCCATGTCACACCTTTTTCTCCAAGGAATGTAAAACAAGTCTGAAAAACTTATTAAGATAAAATTTTCACAGATGAATTATTATATGAGAAGCATAGGATAAAAAAATGAAAAAGACATTTACAACAGAATTGGGAACAATGTTATGGAATCATCCTTCTATATCATGCATTCTCAACAGATGGAATTGGTTCTTGATGGGGGGTCAAAAAATTTCCTCTTTTTATGTATAAAGCAGGTATGTACAGATATACATATGGTACATAAAAGATATATGACACATCTGTGGCACTAAAATTTTATGGGGTAAAGAGAGTAGGAAAAAAATACCGAAAAAGGCTCCTTAGGGAGACAATAATGAAAAAAAGGTTGTGAAACACTGATTTACATGCATTCACAAGGAATTGTATCTTACATAACTTCTCAGTTTTTTACAAAACATCTCCATAGGCAATTTAAATTATACAATTTCTTCCAAAAATTAATTATAAAGGTTTAATCAGCTTCATTATAAGAATGAAAATATCATATTTTAGACCAGATATCTTAAATATTATTCTGTATATGGTATATATATATATATATATATATGTGTGTGTGTGTATATATTTATTATCATTTGACCATAGTATTATATACAAGTAAAATGAAAAAAAAAAATTATTTCATCCAAAAGCATACATAATCCACCTTAGTATTTGAAGTTTTTTTTAGTGATTTTAAACATTAGTTAGAAGTGTTTTTGGACTGCTGGATAAAGCACTCTAAAGAAATATGAAGTGGCAAAATCTAATTTGGATCTGTGGCAAAAACTCAATTGGAAGAGTACTGGTTTGCTCTTCTGATTTAGATTCAATATGTGGCTCTATAGTAATTCACATATAACTCTAGGGTGAGGACTAAAATATTGCACCTACCGTACTTAGAACAGTGACTAGCATACAGTAAGCACACAATAAATGTTAGTGCTTGTTGAGGGCTTATTATTGGAAAAGTCATCGAAGCTTTTCAGGCTTACATTTACTCATCTATAATGCAAAATTTTTAAATGACATAATCTTTAAAATGCTTTTAAGGTGGTAAAAAATATTTACTAAGAACATAAGTCTATACCAGGTATTATGCTAGATACTGAGGGTAGACTGGTAAATAAAGACTCAAACCATGTCCTCATGTACTTTACAATATAGTATTCAAGTTCAATTATTCTACATTTGTGCTTGTATTTGTTTCAGGGTACAAAACTGAAATAGTAGATTTTGGTGAACAGTGAATTAGATTCCCTTCTGTTGAGCCTTTTCTTTTTGGCTAAATAGAGGAACGTAATGGAAACTGGGGGTGGGAGATGGGGTGTTAATGATGAAGTAAGCTGAGTTGGATTCAAACTGATAATATTCATAACTTCAATATTCAAAATATGGACCAATTATATGGTTTTTCAATATTATTCTAGGCATGAAAATGACTGATTCTTTACTCAGCAGAAAATTAATTTGCCTTGAGGAAATACTAAATCTCATTAATTTTTTTTGAGACAGAGTCTCGCGCTTGTTGCCCAAGCTGGAGTGCAATGATGTGATCTCAGCTCACTGCAACCTCTGCCTCCGAGTTCAAGCGATTCCCCTGCCTCAGCCTCCCAAGTAGCTGGGATTACAGGTGCCCGCCACCACACCTGGCTAATTTTTGTATTTTTAGTAGAGATGGGGTTTCACCATGTTGGCCAGGCTGGTCTCAAACTCCTGACCTCAGGTGATCTGCCTTCCACAGACCCCCAAAGTGCTGAGATTACAGGTGTGGACCACCACGCATGGCCTCACTAATTTTTTTAACACTCAGCAAAAGGGTGACCTTGGACAATTTACTTAGATTCTCTATGCACTGGCACTCTCAACTATAAAAGGGGACTAATAGCACTTAATTTAGTGGATTGGCATCAAGATAAAATGAGTGTAGCCTCATTCCTGGATTAAAAAAAAAATTAGCTTTCCTCCCTTTCCCTTCAGCTATGAGTTTTTATACTTGGGTTACACTGAATATTTAAGCCTCAAAAGTTTTCCCAATTCAAATTCAAGTAATGACATGTGAAGAACACCTACCTGGACCTAGAATAAAACCTAATGCTTGACACATGCTTATGTTTGCCATGGAACTTGTTCTTTCCTGAAGGGAAGTAGCACCAGCAGTATATGATCTAACAACTGCTACATTTCCTTAAAAACAAGACACAATAATCCAAAGTAAAAGAAAGTATCATTCAGCTTATAAAATTCAATCCAATTTGACTTTATACAGAAGAAGAAATCTTGGTCAACAGTACAGTCACTGCTTCCTCTTTATGATCACACAAAGCATGTAAGGTATTTTTATTAAGCAAATGCATCAATTAATGGACCATACTAGTTTTGGTAATATGAAAACAGTTAAAGATATCAATGAGTGAAAAAATGGTATCATAAGAAAACCAAGCCGGGCACAGTGGCTCACATCTGTAACCCCAGCACTTTCAGAGGTTGAGGTAGGTGGATCATTTTGAGGTCAGGAGTTCAAGACCAGCCTGGCCAACACGGTGAAACCCCGTCTCTATTAAAAATTCAAAAATTATCCACCTGTAGTCCCAACTACTCAGGAGGCTGAGGCAGAAGAACTGCTTGAACCCAGGATGCTGAGGTTGCAATGAGCCAAGATCACGCCACTGCACTCTAGCCTGGGCAACAGTGAAAAAAAAAAAAAAAGAATATCAAACTTACTTAGTACTAAAAAAGCACTGAGTGAATGGCATACCATTGATTACTACAACTGTTTTTAAAAGAAAAGTATTACAATATTACAAACTCTGTATGCATAGACATGTAATATAAGAAACAGAAAAAAATGCACTAACAATTTTACTGAAAATTTTCATTGAGTACATTACATTCAAGAGACTCTGTTAGGGGGCATAGGATATTTTTAAAGTATCATTAATTCTTTCTAATTGCAAAAAGTTTAGGTTGGGAATGGTGGCTCATGCCTGTAATCCCAGCACTTTGGGAGGCCGAGGCGAGTGGATCACGAGGTCAGGAGTTCAAGACCAGCCTGGCCAAGATGGTGAAACTGCGTCTCTACTAAAAATACAAAAATTAGCCAGGTGCAGTGGCAGACGCCTGTAATCCCAGCTACTCGGGAGGCTGAGGCAGGAGAATTGCTTGAACCCAGGCAGGTAGAGGATGCAGTGAGCCAAGATTGCGCCACTGCATTCCAGTCTGGGTGACAGAGTAAGACTCCGTTTCAAAAAAAAAAAAAAATTATTATCTGGTTAGTGAGAAAGGATAGAAACAGTACAATACTATAAGCAAGTGCCAGAGACATGTCAGAGAAGAAAAAAATCTCTCAAGGGGCAGGGTAGCCCAAGATGGCTTTGTGGAAAATGTGGAGCTTGAATTGGATCTATTTTTGTTTTGGGTTTTTTTTTTTTTAGATGGAGGTCTCCCTATGTTACCCAGGCTGGCCTCGAACTCCTGGGCTCAAGAGATTCTGCTACCTCAGTCTCCTGAGTAGCTGGTATTATAGGCACGTGCCACCACACCTGGTTTAAACTGAATCTTGAAGGATGAAGAATGATGAGAACAGAAGAGAAACTATAGGTAATGAGAACATCATGAGCAAAGGCAAAATGATAAGAAAAATATTTGTTTACAATGAGAAACATGTATGTTGAACTGTGAAATATGAGTTTAAAAGGGGATGAGACCAGTTAAAAGTGAGCCATAAATGTCAGAATGAATGTGAATATGACACAACCAAACATATACATACAACCTTACCTGCTCCAATTCCCAACAATCCACGAGCAACCAGCATGTAGTATTTATTATGAGAAGCTGGGATGTGGAGATATGCATAGAGGCAGTTGGCTGCCACGGAAATCAAGATGGAGACAATAAGAGGCTCTTTTCTTGGTCTATAATTAGACCATAAACCAAATATAGGTGAAGCTACCATTTGGCCAAGACTATATGAAGCAATAACCCAGCCCAAAAAACTTGTATCAGCTGTCGGATCAATCTGCAGAAAAAGGTACAGTGCTTTAAGAATTGTTATCCAAGAAAAGTTTAAAACTAAATACATTTGTCATACCATGTAAGATTTCCTATCAAAAAATAAAAACAATTCTAACGTATAAGTTTTATAACACTATTACTTATAGTAAGGGATTCAAACTTCTGACAATACAATTAAATGTGCTAACAATAGACTGTACACAAGGGAAAAATGCTTGGGAGGCTCATTTTTAAGAATGACTGGAAATTTTTGGTTCATATAAACCTTGGTAAGAAGATAATCACACACACTATATACGCATATAGCAATAACATCATGAAAAATAATATAAGCTATTCTTTAATTCTTGTAAATAGAATTCTTTAGACTTATGCTACCCTATACGTTAAACAGCCATTAGCGCTGTAAATCATTTTTTTTAAAAAAACTAGGCACAAGAGTCAAATGCATAAAGAAGATAATAAAAACACAAAAGATGATAGACAATTATCTCAATAAACCTGTTATAAATTCTTCCGTTCTATATAGACCACTCAGTATTCTACCACTTTAAAAGGGTTTACATATCATGATGAACTTAAGGGGAGAACCAAATGACTACAACTCAGAAAATAAAATACTTTCAGAAAAATAGAAAATGTTAGCTTAGAAAAGGCACTATTGTTTATTTTTATTTTTATTTTTTTTTTGAGACAGGGTCTCACTCTGACATCCAGGCTGGAGCGCAGTGGTCCGATCACGGCTCAGTGCAGCCTCGACCTTTGAGGCCCAAGTGATCCTCCTGCCTCAGCCTCTTGAGTAGCCAGGACTACAGGTATGCACCACCATGCCCACCTAATTTTTTTATTTTTGTAGAGACAGGGTCTCCCTATGTTGCCCAGGCTGGTCTTGAACTTCCCGCCTCCAACTCTCAAAGCAATCCTCCTGCCGCGGGAGGGAGGAATTCTCCCACCTTGGCCTCCCAAAATATTGGGATTAGTGGCATGAGCCACCGCACTCAGCCAGATTACTTTTTTTCATATGTGGTAGGCTAAGCCAGGCGAAGTGGCCCATGCCTGTAATCTCAGCTACTCAGCAGTCTAGAGTAGAAGGATCCCTTGAGCCCAGGAGTTGGAGGCTGTAACACACTATGACTGTACCTGTGAAAAGCCACTGCACTCCAGTCTGGGCAACATAGGAAGATTCTATCTCTAATCTTCCTATTTAATGGCTTTTATTAAATTTTAGGAAATAAATTTAAACAAATATAGATAAGTGGTAGAACAATTTAATAAGGAAAACTATGACCTTTTGTTCCCTAAAGATATTTATTTATTTATTTTATTTTATTTATTTATTTACTTTTGAGACGGAGTTTTGATCTTGTTGCCCAGGCTGGGGTGCAATGGTGCGATCTCAGGTCACTACAACCTCTACCTCCCAGGTTCAAGCGATTCTCCTGCCTCAGCCTCCCAAGTAGCTGAGATTACAGGCATGTGCCACCACGTGGGCACAGCTAATTTTTATATTTTTTTTAGTAGCGACGCGGTTTCACCATGTTGGCCAGGCTGATCTCTTAACTCCTGACCTCAGGTGAGCTGCCTGCCTTGGCCTCCCAAAGTGCTGGGATTGTTGGTGTGAGCCACCGTGCCTGGTAATTCCCTAAAGATATTTAAAGTGAAAATATTTAGGTGCGTTTTTCTTTATGAAAAAAATAAGAAATAATATGCAAAAGTATAATGATACATAATATTTAAAGTTCTAGCCGTTAAAATATCTTTCATTTTAGGTACTCTGGTTTTCATTTTCTTCCTGTATTACCTTTAGCTTCATTTGTCATCTCTACTAAAATAGAAAATAATAATTTCATGTTACATAAAATTTTAATTTTCAAAAAAGCAATGAAAACTCAATTTTAATGTTAAATGTGTAGTGGTTTGAAAGCAAAACTTTTTTTTTTTTTTTTTTCTGAGACAGGGTCTGGCTCTGTCACCCAGGCCAGAATACAGTGGCATAATCTTGGCTCACTGTAACCTCAAACTCCTTTGCTCAAGAAATCCTCCCAACTCAGGCTCCCAAGCAGCTGGGACTACAGGGAGTAGCACCACCATACCCAGATAACTTTTTAAATTTTTTTGTAGAGACGAGGTCTTATATCGTTACCCAGGCTGGTCTTGAACTCTTGGGCTCAAGCAATCCTCCCAACTTGGCCTCCCAAAGCGCTGGGATTACAGGCACGTGAGTCACAGCACTGGGCCTGATAGCAAGACTCTTTAAAGAGTTTTCAAAATATCTGGAGAAAAGAGAGTACTTTTCAAAACTCAACATAGTATGCTGAGTAGACCTAATCACTACTAATATCCTTCTTTTGAGAATTTTGACTAAAAAGACTAAATGCCAAGAAATTAAGAATTTTGATACATGAAAATATCTTTTTAGTAGAGAAGACGTTGCTCCAGAATTGTGCCAATTCCAATGACTACCAGCATGGAAAGAATTTTTAGTGTAATGGGTAATAATTTCATGTAATATTATTTTCAAAATAGCAATGAAAATATGGCACTAAACCAGTAAAAAGTAAAATTTGTATTTCTTTTCTTCTTATATTCCTTTAAAAATATATTTTAGGAGAGCATTTTCAAAAAGTAGAAATTCGTAAAAACTGGGCTGGGCATGGTGGCTCACACTTGTAATGCCAGCACTTTGAGAGGCTGAGGTGGTGGGTCACCCAAGGTCAGGAGTTTGAGACCAGCCTGGTCAACACAGTGAAACCCTGTCTCTACTAAAAATACAAAAATTAGCTGGGCGTGGTGGTGCACGACTGTAATCCCAGCTACTTGGGAGGCTGAGGCAGGAGAATCACTTGAACCTTGGAGGTGGAGGCTGCAGTGAGCCAAGATTGCATCACTGACCTCGAGCCTGGGTGACAGAGCGAGACTCCATTTACAAAAAAAACCACAAAAATTAAAAAAAAAAACAATCCTAACAATCTAGACAATCTAGTAGGGGAGTTAAGTAAACTCTCTGTAAATACAGTGTTAGGACACTCCATATTAAGGGCTAATGATAAAGGGAAACGGGAGTATACAGGAAAAGCTTCTGACCCAAATTGTTGTGAGGGACAGTGAGAGAAGCCTTTCCAGGCCAGGTGCAGTGGCTCACATCTGTAACCCCAGCAACTGGGGAGGCTGAGGCAGGATCACCTGAGGTCAGGCGTTCGAGATCAGCCTAGCCAACATGCCGAAAACCCACTTCTACTAAAATTATAAAAATTAGCCAGGAATGGTGGCGGGTGCCTGTAATCCCAGCTACTTGGAAGGCTGAGGCATGTGAATCGCTTGAACCCAGGAGGTGGAAATCCCAGCACTTTGGGAGGCCGAGGTGGGTGGACCACCTGAGGTCAGGTAGAGATCAGCCTGGCCGGTATGGTGAAACCCCGTCTCTACTAAAAATACAAAAATTAGCCGGGTGTGGTAGCTGGCGTCTGTAGTCCCAGCTACTTGGGAGACTGAGGCAGGAGAATCGCTTGAACCCTTAAGGCAGAGATTGCAGCGCACCAAGATCACGCCACTGCATGCCAGCCAGGGCAACAGAGCAAGACTCCATTGCAAAAAAAAAAAAAAAAACAGAGAGAGAGAGAAGGCTTTCCAGAGGAGGTGACACTGGAGCAAAACCTTGAAGAGTGAATAAAAGACAGTGAGGAAGGAGAAAGGGGAGAGCAAAAGAAAGATGGAGAGAGGAAAAGCATTCCAGTAAAAAGGGAGACAAATGTGTAAAGACCTGAGGAGCCTGGGTTCATCCAAGTACCATGGATTTATCTAATAAATTGTTGGCTATACATCTAATATGGGACAAAGTTCAGAATCTAGGATAAAACACACATATGCACGTGTGAACACACACACACACACACACACACACACACACACACTCTCTCTCCAACCTCATAGAAAAACCAACAAGGGATAAACTGATAAGGAAGAATACACAAAAGAATTTAAGAATAAGTCATTAGAGTTAAGAGGAAAGCCAGGATAGAGAAATGTCACAGAAGCTAAGAGGTGGTGCCATGGTTTGAATGTGTCCCCCAAATTTCATTTTTTGGAAATTAATATTTAAATTAATATTATTAAAATATTGAAAGGTAGGACCTTTAAGAAGTGACTGTGTTACATTAGGTAGCTAGTTGGGTATGAACAGGGCAGGAGAGGTCTCCCCTGCCCCTCACATGGGGAGTGTGGAGAGACTGTTAGGTGATGGTCAGGCGGTTGTTAACGCTCTCTAAAGTAATTATTGGTCACAGCTAGTGCTAGGAAAAGGCAGCCTCCTAATAAATAGAAAACACCTGGTAATTAGCAGCTTCCTGATACGATCTCAGGGGTGGGGTGAGTGGGGAGAAGTAATGCAAGACCCCAAAATTATGCCAGTGTATGAAATCCCAAGTCAAAAGGTCAAACCGCAGGCTTGTCTTTCAAGTTGCCCACTTGGCCCTCTTCCAAGTGTACTTTCCTTCTTTTCCTTCCTTTCATTCTTGCTCTAAAGCTTTTTAATAAATTTTAACTCCTGCTCTACAACTTGCCTCAGTTTCTCCTTCTGCATTATGTCCTTTACTTGAATTATTTCTTTCAGGAGGCAAGAATTGAGGTTGCTGCAGACCTGTACAGACACAGATCTGCCAACTAACAATTGGATCATGAAGGCTGTGCCCTCATGAATGAATCCATTTATGTATTAATGGGTTATCATGGAGTGGAACTGGTGGCTTTATAAGAGAAGGAAGAGAGACCTGAGCTAGCATGCTCAGCCCCTTCATCATGTGATGCCCTACACTGTCTTGGGACTCTTCGGAGAGTCCCCACCAGCAAGAAGGCCCTCACCAGATGTGGTCTCTCAAACTAGGACTTCTCAGCCTCTGTAACGGTAAGAAATAAATTCCTTTTTTAAAATAAATTATCTGGTTTAGGGTATTCTGTTATAAGCAACAGAAAACAGACTAATACAGGTGGTTTCAGGAAGTAAGGAGAGGACAACAATGTCAAATCCTATCCAGGTGTCACCTAAAATAAGGACTGAAAAGTATTTCGTGATCAACAATTAAGTAATTGGAAACCTTACAAGAGCAGTTTCAGGACAGCAGAAAAGTTAATCAGATAGCAGTAGGTTAAGGAGTAGGTTAGGAAATACAGAGGAACTCTTTAAGAACCTTTACTAAAACATTGTTATAGATGAATTATGTAACCAACTTATATACTGATTTTTAGTTAAGTTTCTTCCTGGAGATTTAAGATAGAACTGACAGGACCTGATGATCAACTGATGTTAAGCTACCTAACAAACTTACATATTCATGTCACCCCCTCTTCCCCTTCTAGTAATAACAGCATCAAAAAATACATATGTTCTAGTCTTTACAATGTTACCTGATAGCCCAAATTAATTTTATGGGAAAAGCGTTAAATTATTCCACAAAAATATCATTTACACACTTTAGGAATTCAGACTATTACTAGTTTCCTTTTTATTAGGGAAGAGGTAATGATGGAATATGAATGTGGCTTCTGAGTAGGTGACCATACATCTACCTTTGCCTGGGACTATCTGGGTATGATCCTATTTTTCCTTACGTAGCAGTCTCTTCACTACAAAAGTGTTCTGGCTTGCACAATAAAGCATATGGTCACATTACTTATAAGCCTCTTTTAAGGAACTATTATCTCATTATTCTTGTAAAGATTAAACCATAGAATACCAAAGAGACTCTTTAGAAAATGCTTAACTACGTAAGAGTTACTACTACTGTAGCTATAAGGGAAAAATAGATTGAAATGTACAAACCTTTTGGAGATATGGCCATATGGACATCATCACTACAGAAAACCCTGTGAAGAAGCAAACTAGGTTATTTATACTTATAATAATTTAATCATTATTACAGATACAATTTTCTGAACCGTGGCATGGATTTTAAAATATTCTGAACCTAAAATCTATGCATACAAATGCCTAATTTATGAGGCAATGAGATTTTAATTATCAGAAGAAAAATAAAGACTAAAAGAACATACAATTACAGTCCCTCATCATAATAACAAATACAAAAAAGCAGAGGATCTACTTCTCCATACTCATGTGCTTTTACTGTAAATGGAAATAACCAAAAGCTTTGTTAAGTTTTTATAGCAGAAATGAATGGAGGAAAGGCTATTTTGTTAGACAGGAAGTGCTAGGCTTCTATCCTGTGTTGTTTGGAGGAGATAATTGACTGAAGGGAAGAGCAGGAATAAGGAAAATGATCATCTACAGGGGGGCTATAGAAAACCAGAATACTTCAAGATGGCCATACCTTAAAAGAAAATTCACTATTTCTGCTAGCCTTTACTACATGAAAACTATAATGATTAACTCCAACACTATCTGTCAATTTTAAATGTTAGGCAAATGCAGCCAGCAGTGACTTATGCCTGTAATCCCAGCACTTTGGGAGGCTGAGGCAGGCAGATTACCTAAGGTCAGGAGTTTGAGACCGGCCTGGCCAACATGGTGAAACCCTGTCTCTACTAAAAATATAAAAATTAGCCGGGCATGGTGGCACATGCCTGTAATCCCAGCTACTTAGGAAGCTGAGGTAGAAGAATTGCTTGAACCCAGGAGGCGGAGTAGGTTGTAGTGAGCCAACATCGCACCACTGCACTCCAGCATGGGTGACAGAGCTTGACTCCATCTCAAAAAAAAATTAAAAATGAATAAATAAATGTTGGGCAAATCAAGAAATTCTATAAAGCCTGTTCTTCAAAATGGCTTTACTGAGGCTGGGCACAGTGTCTCACGCCTGTAATCCCAGAACTCTGGAAGGCCGAGGTGGGTGAATCACTTGAGGCCAGGAGTTTGAGACCAGCCTGGCCAGCATGGAGAAACCCCTCTCTGCAAAAAAAAAATACAAAAATTAGCTGGGCATGGTAGCGCATGCCTGTAATCCCAGCCATTCAGGAGGCTGAGGCAGGAGAATTGCTTGAACACGGAGGCGGAGGTTGTAGTGAGCCAAGATTGCACCACTGCACTCCAGTCTAGGTGAGAGTGAGACTCTGTCTCAAAAAAAAAAAGGAAAAAAAAGAAAAAATAAATTTAAAAATAGCTGTTGAGATATATAATTCCCATATCATACAATTATGCATTTAAAGTATACAATTCAATGGGTTTTAATATAATCACAATGGGTTTTAATATAATCACAGATATGTGCAACCATCATTACAGTCAATTTTATTTGATTTATTTATTTTTTGAGACAGAGTTTCTTGTCGCCCAGGCTGGAGTGTAGTGACCCGATCTCGGCTCACTGCAACCTCCGACTCCTGGATTCAAGCGATTCTCCTGCCTCAGCCTCCCGAGCAGCTGGGATTACAGGCTCCTGCCACCACAACAGGCTAATTTTTGTACTTTAGTAGAGATGAGGTTTCACCATGTTGACCAGGCTGGTCTCGAACTCCTGACCTCAGGTGATCTGCCTGCCTTGCCTCCCAAAGTGTTGGGATTACAGGCATTAGCCACTGCGCCCAGCCATTACTGTCAATTTTAGAACACATTTGTCACCTCAAAAAAAACTCTATACCCTTCAGCTATCACCCTGTTTCATCCCCTCTCCTGCCAGCTGTAAACAACCACTAATGTACTTTGTTTGTACTCTATAGAGTTTTATCTGTATTTTCATACAAATAGAATAATATAATACATGGTCTTTTGTCTTGTCTTCTTTCACTTAGTATTTTTTTTTTTTTTTTTGAGACAGAGTCTCGCTATGTCACCAGGCTGGAGTGCAGTGGCGCAATCTCGGCTCATTGCAATCTCCGCCTCCCGGGTTCAAGCAATTCTCACACCTCAGTCTCCAGAGTAGCTGGGATTACAAGCACGTGCCACCACACCCAGCTAATTTTTTGTATTTTTCGTAGAGATGGGGTTTCACCATGTTGGCCAGGATGGTCTCAATCTCCTGACCTTGCAATCCGCCTGCCTCGGCCTCCTAAAATGCTGGGATTACAGGTGTGAGCAACCGCGCCTGGCCTTAGCATTATATTTTCAAGATTCATCCATGGTGTACATGTACATTCCTTATATAAACCCTATTTTAAAACATAATTTAATTATTAGCTTCATTTCAGGCCAGGCACGGTGGCTCATGCCTGTAATCCCAGCACTTTGGGAGGCCTGGGTGGGCGGATCATGAGGTCAGGCTATCGAGCCCATCCTGGCTAACACAGTGAAACCCTGTCTCTACTAAAAATACAAAAAATTATCCGGGTGTAGCGGCATGCATCGTAGTCCCAGCTACTCGGGAGGTTGAGGCAGGAGAATGGCGAGAACCCGGGAGGCGAAGCTTGCAGTGAGCAGAGATTGCGCTACTGCACTCCAGCCTGGGTGACAGAGCAAGACTCTGTCTCAAAAAAAATAAATAAATAAAAATAAATAAATATTAGCTTCATTTTAAAGTATTTTGAATTGACATAGTTACTTTGATCAGTAAAGGACTGAAAGCACCAATTAATCTTTTAAATCAAGGCTACAATTTTGGAGTACAGAAATTTGTAAACAAAATGTTTAACATGCCAATTAAAATCTAAAGTTGGCCAGGCACAGTGGATGATGCCTGTAATCCAAGCACTTTGGGAGACTGCGGCAGGCAGATCATTTGAAGTCAGGAGTTCAAGACCAGCAATGGCAACATGGTGAAACCCCGTCTCTACTAAAAATACAAAAATTAGCTGGGCGTGGTGGCAGGCACCTGTAGTCTCATCTATTCAGGAGGCTGAGGCAGGAGAATCGCTTGAACCCGGGAGGCAGAGGTTGAGGTGAGCTGAGATCGTGCTACTGCACTTCAGCCTGGAAGACAGAGTGAGACTCCACCTCAAAAAAAAAAAAAAAAAAAAAATCTAAAGTTAAAATAATTTTCTTTTTTTGCTGTTGAATTTGAAATTGTTTCTTATAATTTTAGATAATTGAGTACTAAAAACCAGAAGTGTTTAAAATGGAAAAATAAATCAATTGCAGGCATTGCTACCAAAACAGTATCCATTGGCCCCTTCCACCTTCTTGATGGAACCCCAGTTCTATTCAGGTATCCATACTTCCTCAACAAAGCCTCATGGTCTAAGAGAAACTCTCTCCATGTTCGATCCCAGAGGGTACATTCTGATTAGTCTAAAAAATTCAACTGGAGTAATCCCATCATCTTAGTTGATGTTGGTTTAGAAATTTACAGGTCACACCTGTAATCCTAGCACTTTGGGAGGCTGAGGCGGGCGGATCACCTGAGGTCGGGAGTTCAAGACCAGCCTGACCAACATGGAGAAACCCCGTCTCTACTAAAAATACAACATTAGCTGGGCATGGTGCCGCATGCCTGTAATCCCAACTACTTGGAAGGCTGAGGCAGGAGAATCGTTTCAACACGGGAGGCTGAGGTTGCAGTGAGCCAAGATCGTGCCACTGCACTCAGCTCAAAAAAAAAAAAAGAATAAATTACGTTACAGTATAAGCCAACTGATTCAGCACTTTTTCTGATATTTGCACAAGGCATTCTGTTTTTTTTTTTTTTTTTTTTTTTTTTTTGAGACGGAATCTTGCTCTGTGGCCCAGGCTGGAGTGCAGTGGTGTGATCTTGGCTCAGTGCAACCTCTGCCTCCTGGGTTCAAGTGTATTTTTAGTAGAGATGGGGTTTCACCATATTGGCCAGACTGGTCGCAAACTCCTGACCTCGTGATCCGCCCGCCTCAGCCTTGCAAAGTGCTGGGATTACAGGCGTGAGCCACCTTGCCTGGCCCTGCACAAGTCATTCTAACTGATACACAATGCAAGGTGAAAATGTATTATAAAGAATTGTTGAAAATATCCTTTATCATTCACTTTTCTTTTTACCCAGTACTGAATCATGCACAACTTTGGCAAGTGAGAGAAAACAGGATGATTGGGGTAAATAGAAAATATATGGAAAATATATGGAAAGCAATTTAGTAAAATGACCTTCCTTAATTCCTCTCAGGGGAAAGAGACCACTTGTAATATTAGTGCCTATAGATTTAGAGGGTTTCTACTTGGAAAAAAATTCATTTCCTAAAACAGTCCTTTAAAAACTATCACAATATTGATCATTCCTATATATTCTCATCCCATCCTTTTAACATGGTTATAGATGTTTAATATTTTGAAAAGTTTTCCTCATGAAGTTTTACTTTTTAGTAACTACATATTCAGAAATAATGTGAATAGGTTAAAATACATCAAGCAATACAAATTGAGATTCTTGTATTTTACTTTTTGTATGTTTTATCAATATAAAAATAAGTTGAGGTTAGAGGCAACAAAAGATAAAAACAGCCAGGTGTGGGGCTCATGCCTGTAATCCCAGCACTTTGGGAGGCCAAGGCAGGTGGACTACCTGAGGTCAGGAGTTTGAGATCAGCCTGGCAAAAATGGCAAAACCCCGTCTCTACTAAAAATACAAAAATTAGCCAGGTGTGGTGGCACACACCTGCAGTCCCAGCTACCAGGGAGGCTGAGGCACAAGCATAGCTTGAACCCGAAAGCGGGAGGTTGCAGCGAGCCGAGATAGTGCCATTGCACTCCAACTTGGGCAACAAAGCAAGACTCTGTCTCAAAAAGAAAAAAACAGAGAAGGTGGACTACATCAGTATTTAACACTTCTGTGAATGTGAATCACAGGATACATTTAGCACACTGAATAGAAGAGTCCTGGAATGGGAGAAAATATTTACAAATCATATATTGGATAAGGGGCTAACATTCAGAGTATATAAAGAATTCCTACAACTCAACAACAAAAAATCCAACTAATAAATGGGCAATGGTCTTGAACAAACACTTCTCCAAAGAAGATATACAAATGGACAGAAAGCACAAGAAACATGTTCAACATCACTAATCATTAAGAAGATGCAAATCAAAACAAGATACCATCTCATCCACTAGGATGACTACTATCCAAAAGAAAGTTAACGTTGGCAAGGATGTGAAAAAATTGGAACCCTGACTGTTGTTGAGAATGTAAATAAAATGGTACGGCTGCTATGGAAAACAGTATGGCAATTTTCCAAAAAATTAAAAAATTAAAAAGAAAATCATAATATGATCCAGCAATTTCACTTCTGGATATATACCCAAAAGGACTAAAAGCAGGATCTTGAAGAGATATTTGCACACCCATATTGACAGCAGCACTATTCACAACAGCCAAGAGGTGGAAGCAACCCAAATGTCCATCGACAGATAAATGGCTAAACAAAATGTGGTAGGCCAGGCTAGGCTGTAATCCTAGCACTTTGGGAGGCTGAGGCCGGTGGATCACGAGGTCAGGAGTTCAAGACCAGCCTGGCCAAGATGGTGAAACCCCATCTCTACTAAAAATACAAAAATTAGCCGGGCATGGTGGTGGGTGACTGTAATCCCAGCTACCTGGGAGGCTGAGGCAGAGAATTGCTTGAACCCCGCAGGCGGAGGTTTCAGTGAGCCAAGATCACACCACTGCACTCCAGCTTGGACGACAGAGCGAGACTTTGTCTCAAAAAAAAAAAAAAAAAAAATGTGGTATATACTGAAGGCAATCAGAGTATGCTACTCCAAAAATCTGCTGTTTTGCCATATTAATTATCTCAAACTGAAGGCAACCGAGAAATAGCAGATGCAGGAAGGGTTCTCTGCTCTCCCCCTTTCTGCCTGAATGCAGAGAATAGATTGAATTTTGTTTTGTTGTTAATTCTTTGAGGCACAATTGAGATTCTGTTACCTACAATCTGTCTTGGGACATTAAGACACAGGTATAATTAAGACTGTATATTTAAACTTAAGAAATTTTGCACTGGCCAGGCGGGGTGGCTCACGCCTGTAATCCCAGCACTTTGGGAGGCTGAGGCGGGCAGATCATGAGGTCACGAGATCGAGACCATCCTGGCTAACGCCGTGAAACCCCATCTCTACTAAAGATACAAAAAAATTAGCTGGGCGTGATAGCGTGCGCCTGTAGTCCCAGCTACTCGGGAGGCTAAGGCACAAGAATTGCTCGAACCCAGGAGGCAGAGGTTGCAGTAAGCCGAGATCACACCACTGCACTCCAGCCTGGGCGACTCCACCTCAAAAAATGAATAAATAATAATAAATAATAAAATTTTTTTAAAAAGAAATTTTGCACATCTTCAAGAAGTAGCAGAACAAATAATTGACTGATGGCTGTAAAGATGAAATACTTTTGGCCAGGTGCGGTGGCTCAGGCCTGTAATTCCAGCACTTTGGGAGGCTGAGTCTGGCAGATCACGAGGTCAGGAGATCAAGACATCCCGGCTAACACAGTGAAACCCCGTCTCTACTAAAAATATAAAACAATTAGCGTGGTGGCGGGTGTCTGTAGTCCCAGCTACTCGGGAGGCTGAGGCAGGAGAATCACGCGAACCTGGGAGGCGGAGCTTGCAGTGAGCCGAGATCGCGCCACTGCACTCCAGCCTGGGCGACAGTGCGAAACTCCGTCTTGAAAAAAAAAAAAAAAGAAAAAAGATGAAATATTTTTAACTGGGGGCGGTGACTCACGCCTGTAATCGCAGCACTTTGGGAGGCCGAGGTGGGCAGATCACCTGAGGTTGGGAGTTCGAGACCAGCCTGACCAACATGGAGACATCCCGTCTCTACTAAAAATACAAAATTAGCCAGGGGTGGTGGCACATGCCTGTAATCCCAGATACTTGGCAGGCTGGGGCAGGCGAATCGCTTGAATCTGGGAGGTGGAGGTTGCAGTGAGCTGAGATCGTGCCATTGCACTCCAGCCTGGGCAACAAGAGTGAAACTCCGTCTCAAAAAAAAAAAAAAAAAAAGATGAAATACTTTTGTGAGTACATGAAAGTGTTAGGGACTCTTAGTAGTTGTCTAGTTTCGTTTGTATGTACATTCCTTAATGTTATTTGTTTCTTTTCATTAAAAAATATTAACATCAAATAAATTTGTATACTTTTTTAACTGTTAGTCTTTCTTTTGTCAGCTTAATTCACAAGCCTTAAGCACATAGGAGAATAGAGGAAAAATTTCTCCTACCCTAGAATACATATAATGAACTATACAGCCTTTAAATAAAAGGAAATTATCACAAGTGCAACATGAACCAACTTGAGGACATTGAGTGAAATAATCTCATCACAAGAAAAAAAATACTATATAATTCCATTTATATGAGCTATCTAGAATAGTCAAATTCCAAGAAACAAAGTTTGCTAGGGCTTGGGGGATGGGAAAATAGGGAGTTGTTTAATGGGTATAGAGTTTCTCTTTTGCAAGATGAAAATGTTCTAGGGATTGGTTGCACAACAATGTGGATATACTTAAGGCTATTGAACTTAGATATGGTAACACGGTAAATTTATGTCACGTATTTTTTAGCACAATAAAGATAATTTCAGAGGCAATGAAAGTAAATGAAGTAAATGAAGTTAAAATATGACATCTGATCTGAATTGTTAAAATTATGTATTTCTAATACTTACCTACACTGCTGAGAAACATAGTAAGATATAAAATCCTAATAGATCTCCATCGGCTCTTATAATGCTCTTCAGTCTCTAAAATGTCCCATTCTCTAGGTGTAAAGAAGAAAAAAGTAGTATAAATTTATCTCATTACATGTGGATCTTAAGTGTCAACAGTTTTATTCTCTAGTTATGAAAATGATGTGATAGAGGTAGAATTTACCAATATTGATTCTGCTACACTAATTTATCTATGAATAAGCATTATTTTTTTGAATTTCCATGGATTGTATATATGCATTATTGTATACAGAAATTTGGGAAACAGTATAGTTTTAAAAGAGGAAACTTTTTGCAAGGCAATTATTTTGCTACCATTGACATGCACAGATTTATTAATCAAGAGTGTTGCAATTTGTAAAAATGAATAAATTACGTCAAGATAAATCAAATAAACTAGCTACAACTAGATCCCCCGTAGCTACTAAGTACTAAAAAATAATAACTGTCATCATTATAACATGCTCTACTTGATGACAGCAAATTAAATTGCTGCAGGAAGCTCTTTTGGCTTCCTACTTCAGAAAACAGGAATGATACCAGGAAGGTTTAACGTAACCTAAGACATTTTCAGCCCTGGGACCTCCTAAATGGGTTACCAGATAAATTTTATCAGCAGACCAAAGAGAGACCATGACTCCCCAGACTTAAGTGATCTTTTGGATAAGCGTCTGATCTGGACCAAAGGCATGTATACTAAGTAGATATCTTACCTCCATTAGGTGACACATGAGTCTATATACTCATTACATTTTCACACACACAATAGAAAGAGTTAACAAGTTCACCTTAACGTGAGCATTATCTTTTCAAATAATCAAGACATGCAGAACAGACAAAATGCCTTCTTATGTTCCAAGATTAATTTCTTAAAAATAAGCCTTAGAACTGTCAAATTAGTCTTCAAAAAAGAAACTTTTTTTTTTCAAACGTGATATGGTTGGGAGTGGTAAAGAGGAAAGGAAGAAGAGAAACAATGTTTTTAGATGTATTATATGCCAAACATATTAGTTCCTAATATATTTAAAGTGTTTAACACTATATATGTCATTCCATATAAACAAACCTCTTCTGAGTCAAAGGAGATAAGAAAAAAATAAAAATAATGTAGCTTACCTGAGAAAAATACCAGAACCCTAGATGCCCATACTTTGAAATCAATATACTAGAATTTGAATAAAAAACCAGATATATCTAAGTTAGGGAATCAAGAAGTAAATTATTTGATTCTAAAAAAATAATAAAATTGTTTGAGTGACTGATTTAGAGCTCAGACAAAATCTTTCTTCTTTTAATGACAAATGACAATTATTAAATATTGAAAGGATAAAATTAGAAAATAATAATTTAATGGCCACTTTCTATGCTATAATGGAAGGATCATCAATGGATGCTAAAACAACTGACTGGAAGATTGTTAAGGAGAGGATAGTCAAAGGCCCTCAAATGTCACCCCAGTGTCTGCTTACTAATTACAAAATGGAACATGAACCTTTATAATTGAAAGATATAGCAGTCACCCTCTTAACAAGTGGTCATGTTTGGCATTCCCAGTAGTGGGATGTCCTGGCATCCTGTACCTTTTGATGTAATGTAGTGGGGTGTTCTCAACATAACCCATGTGATATTCTTGCCAGAAATGTTTGACCAGGATCTATTTTGAAATAAACAGTCCATAAATCCAGAATATTAGATGTTCTGCAGAAAACCTGACCTAGACTCTTCAAAGATTTTAATGGTGACAAGAAAGAGATAGGTCAAAGGATAGTTTTAGGTTAGGGGAGTCTAAAAAGACCTAACAACAAATGCATAAACATTGATTATCTCCTGCATATGGCTCCTGGTTTTTTTTATTTTTGTTTTTTTAAAGAATATAAGGTATATTTTTGGAACAATTGGAAAAACTTGAGTATTAACTATGTATTGCATGATATTCTTGAATTAATATTGTATTTCTAGTTGTAACAGTGATGGAGTTGCGTAAAAGAATTTCTTTGTTCTTGGGAGGTGCAAGCTGCAATTAAGTACTTGGGACAAAGTATCACAATGTCTGCAACCTACTTTTGGGTAGTTTGGCAAAAGAGGTGCGTGTGGGTGTGTATGTACCTGCCGAAAGATTTCGGCAGTGTGGAAAAGGCTAACAGTTAGTGACAGGATATACAGGTGTTCGTGATTTTTTCATCTTTTCTATAGATTTAACATTTTTCAAAATAAAAAGATTTACTTTTTCCTTTTTTAATTAAAAAAGTATAACTTCAATGAAAAAAATTATCTTTCTACCTTGTTGGAGACAGTAGAAATATAGGAGAATGCAACTGTCCTTCAATCAAGTGACCATATTTATTACATTTTCTTAGCTTTGATGATTCAGACAAATATGTCACATATCTGATTGAATTTCCAGAGGCTTCTTTCTTGTATGACCGGGTACAAAAAGGAATGCTGCATTTCTAAGATGATTTGCTTAACTTTTAAAATTCCTTTCTATAATCACTGCTGCATTCTGGCATTAGTTCCCCATTTGAGATTTTCCTTCCAGTAAAACTGTAGTACTACAGTTTTATCCTGTTCAACATTTCTATTACAAACTGAAATACTCCAAATGATAGCATGCTTGTCAAACTTGTGACTTAAAAACTAAAAGGAATACACAATATAGTGGAGTGAACTGATCAGCAAAATGAGTTAGATAAAATTTAACAACGGCCAGGCGCAGTGGCTCATGCCTGTAATCCCAGCACTTTGGGAGGCCAAAGCCGGGCAGACTGCTTGAGGTCAGGAGTTCAAGATCAGCCTGGCCAACATGGTGAAACCCTGTCTCTACTAAAAATACAAAAATTAGCCAGGCGTGGTGGTGGATGCCTGTAGCCCCAGCTACTTAGGAGGCTGAGGCAGGAGAATCACTTGAACCTGGGAGGCAGAGGTTGCAGTGAGCAGAGATTGTGCCACTGCACTCCAGCCTGGGCAACAGACAGTCTGTCTCAAAAAAATAAATAAATAAATAAGAGAGAGAAAAGAAAGAAGTGTGTGCTCAGTGACAGAACAGTGTAGTGGTATAACAGTTACAGAAATAAACTGAAAATATTCTATAAAGATATGCCCTATAAGGACAGATGCCCTAATAATACAAATTTTACAGAGACTAGGCTAAGGTTGCAAAAAAATTTTGAAATCATTTGTAACTTGGATCAGTAACGTGAGCTACAAACGGTTTTTACAGATGAATATTTATCAGTTTGATGACAGAAAACACCAACTCTGAAGTGCAATTAAGGAAAATGTCATCCCCTCCCCCACCAAATTCTATCCCTTTCATTAACAAACCTATATTATACTTATTATTATATTTTAAATGTCATTACTAAAAAATTTTGTGGAATTTGTTTTCTGGTTATCTAAACACCTATATAATATCCTTGATTTTTCCCCTTGCCCTAAACAAGCCTAAAATATTTACAATCTGGGACTTTACAGGAAATGTTTTCCAACCCCTGTTGTCTTAAATAAAGCTCCATAGAGGGGGTCAGTGGGGAGCACTGAGGATTCAAGAGGCCAGCTCCACCAGACCAGCAAATAATAATCAACCTTGTTAGTGAGGAAAAGTTGGTGGTGACCTAGACATGTTTGTGCAATATATTCAAAGTGAACAGGTCCTGCCAACTAGTTGTACATAGGTTCACTTTACTAGGGAATATACTTGTTTTTAAAGACATATACTTATTATTTTCAAAATACTCCCTTTTTGTTTTTAAAATGCTAAATCTAGAACCTCAATCAGAGGTATTGATTATTGGCAGGAACACCTAAATCTGGACAGATCCTAATGAGCATCAATCACTTTGATGAAATCAAAGCTAAGAGTATGAAAAAAAATTCTCTTTTGTACAAGGTGACAGAATGTACCAGAAGACCACATTTAAACATAACTCAGGGATCCTGCAATTATCTGGAAAATAGCTAAAAACCAGGACGAAGCAAAAAGAATTCTGAGGCCGGGCACGGTGGCTCACACCTGTAATCCCAGCACTTTGGGAGGCCGAGGCGGGCGGATCACGAGGTCAGGAGATCGAGACCATCCTGGCTAACACGGTGAAACCCCGTCTCTACTAAAAATACAAAAAAAATTAGCCCGGCGTGGTGACGGGCGCCTGTAGTCCCAGCTACTCTACTCGGGAGGCTGAGGCAGAAGAATGGCGTGAACCCGGGAGGCGGAGCTTGCAGTGAGCCGAGATTGCGCCACTGCACTCCAGCCTGGGTGACAGAGCGAGACTCCGTCTCAAAAAAAAAAAAAAAAAAAAAGAATTTCTGAGTTCTGAGAAAACCAAATGTCATGAAGTCCACGCACTCAAGCTTATGCACTTAACTAGTAGGAAAGACATTTAGCTCTCAGTCAGAACTACCAGGTTGTAATGACACACAGTTACATTAAGCATAGATCCAGGGTTATCAAAGCTATAACAAACAAGAAGCCCCAAATTAAAGCTGGTGGAAAGAGTATGGTGACAGCAACAACAATAAAACAACTGTTGCTGCCAGATTTCAAAAACATGATGCAGAACAGTCTGCGAGGAAAACAGTCTGTCAGAAAAACTAAAAAGCAGACGTAAGTACTTAAAAAGTATAGCAACGGGCCTCAGAGCCTATTGAGACATTTGGGACTGTTTGCTTCTACACCAGCACTTTGGGAGGCTGAGGTGGGTGGATCACTTGAGGTCAGGAGTTCCAGATCAGCCTGGCCACCTGGTGAAACCCTGTCTTTACCAAAAATACAAAAATTAGCCGTGTCTGGTGGCCCACGTCTGTTAATCCCAGCTACTCCAGAAGCTGAGGCAGGAGAATCGCTTGAACCTGGGAGGCAGAGGTGGCAGTGAGCCAAAATCGCACCACTGCACTCCAGACTAGCCCACAGAGCAAGACCCCGTCTCAAAAAAAAGTATAGCAGTGTAGAATAAATTGGTATAGAAGCAACAGTCCCAAATGTCTCAATAGGCTCTGAGGACATCACTCTATTAAAATTCATATCAGCATCGATATTCATTTTAATGATCTCAAGATAAAATCAAGTAAAGATAAAACTGCACTCCAGGCTCACCACTGCACTCCAGACTAGGCCACAGAGCAAGACCCCGTCTCAAAAAAAAAGTATAGCAGTGTAAAATAAATTGGTATAGAAGCAAACAGTCCCAAATGTCTCAATAGGCTCTCAGGACATCACTCTACTAAAATTCATATCAGCATCTAAACTCATTTTAATGATCTCAAGATAAAATCAAGTAAAGATAAAACTGCATTGCATAAACTCTGTTTAGTAAATCGAGGACCAGAGAAATACATTTGCCAAAGGGTTTTGAGTTAGAGTGCTCACAAAAGGTTGGTGCTTAAGGGGAACAAATGAGTAAAAATTATTATGGTCATAGACAGCTGAAGTTTAACTGAATTTATTAATTTACCTGAGGTAATTATTATGTATATTTCAAATAAAATAGTAATTCCGTTTTCCTAAAGGTAAAAATACATTAGGTATACATTCCCGAGTCACTGCCCATAAACTAGGATCAGAACAACCAGAATTATAAGGATCAAAATACTGACGTTATTCCTTTAATGCCTTAAAATTAGTCTTTCTTTGTACATTTGGCATAGGACAAAGGCGAGCTCATTTTGGACAGATTTGTTAAACTATCAAGAGGTTGTCAGGCAATTAGGCAGCAGGTCATTACTAAGACCGATACCTTCAAGTATCTATTAAAACCATCATTTTGAAACTGTGAAATCTGGAAAGTGATCAGCTACAAAGGGCCAAATATGGAATGCAGAAGATACAGAATGTGGTGGCTTTGTGTCCGGGATTGGTGGGTTCTTGGTCTCACTGACTTCAAGAATGAAGCTGCGGACCCTCGCGGTGAGTGTTAACAGCTCTTAAGGTGGCACGTCTGGAGTTTGTTCCTTCTGATGCTCAGATGTGTTCAGAGTTTCTTCCTTCTGGTGGGTTCGTGGTCTCGCTGGCTCAAGAGCGAAGCTGCAGACCTTCGTGGTGAGTGTTACAACTCTTAAGGCGGCGCGTCTGGAGTTGTTCGTTCCTCCCCGTGGTCTCGCTGGCTTCAGGAGTGAAACTGCAGACCTTCGCGGTGAGTGTTACGGCTCATAAAAGCCGTATGGTCCCAAAGAGTGAGCAGTAGCAAGATTTATCGCAAAGAGCGAAAAAACAAAGCTTCCACACTGTGGAAAGGGACCTCAGCGGGTTGCCACTACTGGTGGGCAGCCTGCTTTTATTCTCTTATCTGGCCCCACCCACATCCTGCTGATTGGTAGAGCCGAGTAGTCTGTTTTGACAGGGCGCTGATTGGTGCGTTTACAATCCCTGAGCTAGACACAAAGGTTCTCCACGTCCCCACTAGATTAACTAGATACAGAGTGTTGACAGAAAGGTTCTCCAAGGCCCCACCAGAGTAGCTAGATACAGAGTGTCGACTGGTGCATTCACAAACCCTGAGCTAGACACAGGGTGCTGATTGGTGTGTTTACAAACCTTGAGCTAGATACAGAGTGCCGATTGGTGTAGTTACAATCCCTGAGCTAGACATAAACGTTCTCCACGTCTCCACCAGACTCAGGAGCCCAGCTGGCTTCGCCCAGTGGATCCCGCACCGGGGCTGCAGGTGGAGCTGCCTGCCAGTCCCGCGCCGTGCACCCGCACTCCTCAGCCCTTGGGTGGTCGATGGGACTAGGCACCGTGGAGTAGGGAGCGGCGCTCATCGGGGAGGCTCGGGCCGCACAGGAGCCCACGGAGTGGGTGGGAGGCTCAGGCATGGCGGGCTGCAGGTCCCGAGCCCTGCCCCGCGGGAAGGCAGCTAAGGCCCGGCGAGAAATCGAGCGCAGCGCCAGTGGGCTGGCACTGCTGGGGGACCCAGCACACCCTCCGCAGCCGCTGGCCCGGGTGCTAAGCCCCTCATTGCCCGGGGCCGGCAGGGCCGGCCTGCTGCTCCCAGTGCGGGGCCCGCCAAGCCCACGCCCACTCGGAACTCCAGCTGGCCCGCAAGCGCGGCGCGCAGCCCCGGTTCCCGCTCACGCCTCTCCCACCACACCTCCCTGCAAGCTGAGGGAGCCGGCTCCCACCTTGGCCAGCCCAGAAAGGGGCTCCCACAGTGCAGCGGTGGGCTGAAGGGCTCCTCAAGTGCCGCCAAAGTGGGAGCCCAGGCAGAGGAGGCCTGGAGAGCGAGCAAGGGCTGTGAGGACTGCCAGCACGCTGTCACCTCTCAGCTTGGGTGCTGCAACAGGCAAAGCAGCAGCCTGGGTTTCTCCAGCCCCGTCACTCGAACCCACGGGCTCATCACCGCACGGTGCGGCCAGACGCCCTTTCTCCTACGTTGGGAGCGAATCTCCTCGGCTCACACAACCCAGCCACCGGCTCCCACCGCGCTGGAACCCCTCTGGCAGCGAGGGTTTGTCCCAGTGCGGGTGACGCCCGGAAAGGAACCAGTCCCAACAGCGCAGGAGACTGAGGGGTCCCTCCACCAGGATCCGCTCACCTGCTTCCAGGTGTGTCGCCTAAGAGCGGCTCCTGTTCACTTTCGTTCCGCAGGCCGGCCATAGTTACACTCCCTACAAGGCGTCTTGCGCCCAACTCTCGCGACACCTGCTTTCTCCCATCCCGGGTGGCGTGAAGCTGGCAAAACAAGCCTGTAAGTGCGCGTGCGCACCTGACGGTCAGACGTAGGCGGAACGCCCCGAGGTCATAGGCGGGGTCACGCGGAAGGCCGGGCAGCGCAGGGCGAAAGGAGGCTGTGTCCTCAGCCTCCTCCCTCGGCACGCGCCTCCCATCCTGACGGGGACTGAGAGCCCAGGAGAGCTCGGGGCGTGTCCAAACTGCCGCGCCGCCCTGCTCCGGGTTTGTCTTCCTCCCTCCGTTTCTCCTTCCGCTGTATCTAGCATTTCGGTTCCTGGAAAGGTTACCGGAGCTGCGATTGGGGCTGGGACCAAAGTTGAGTCCTGGAAAGGGAGCCTGGAGAGCGGCGGTGCTGGGAGGCCCGGCCAGCTCGATCGCAGGCTTCCACCTGGCGGCCAGTAAGTAGCCGGTCCGGTTAAGTAGTAGGTGCGCTAAGAGCTCCCCGCGCCTCTTAGCGCGCCGTGTACGCGCCTGGAGGCAGGGACCGGGGACGCGGAGCTGGGCGGGAGACTCGCGGGTCAGGGACGCGGGGTGAGGCTGGGGGTGAGAGACAAGGCTGGAGTCCGTGGCGCGCTTCGGAGGGCTGAGATAATGGGGGCGAGCGCGCGGGCAGTCCCTTCCCCCCGTGAAAGGTAGAGGTGGCTTCCAGCTCTCTTCTCTAGCTCGGCTAAATGCAAAGGCGCCTTACCTGGAGGGCTTGTCAGAGCCAGGACTGAAGGTGGGATCTGCTGCTTGTAACCTGCAGGTCCCCGGATGCGCACCCCAACGGCGCCTGCGCCTACGGGGGCCTCAGCCTTGCAAAATGTCACTCAGCAGAGCCTGCTGCTGAAACGTGGGAGTTGAAAAAGGTACAGCACCTGCCTAGCAATGACCAGCTCCTTTCGTCACAAGGAAGATGACATTTTTAGAAAACATGTCATGGGTTTTCACTAGATCTCCATGTTTATTTCTTGGTGGTTATGTATTAACATCTTATCTCTACTATTAGGCTTGTAGGCTAGCTGGCGTCAGTAGTCATTCTGTGTCTCATAAATTACCGTTTTATTAGCGCCAGATACATTGTCATGTAATTTCATTTGATCACAAGTATCCTATGAGATAGGCGAAGCAGACACATTGCTAGTTTACTGAAAATTAAGATCCAGACAAGTTAACCCAGAGTCACTCTGTGTGGAAGTGGCAAAGTTGGAAACCAAACTTAATTTTTTTAAATTAATATTTATGAGCATTTACCCTATGCTAGGTCCTATACTAGTTACACAGTCATGTATGGTATATGCCATCACTTCTGATCTTTGTGTCATTTGTGACCTTGTGTGTATCAGCCAGGCGCAGTTCACTGGTGAACACCTAAACTTGAAACGTGCGGTCTGGGTGCGATGGTTCATGCCTGTAATCCCAGCACCTTGGGAGGCCAAGGCGGGCGGATCACGAGGTCAGGAGATCGAGACCATCCTGGCTAACACGGTGAAACCCCGTCTCTACTAAAAATACAAAAAAAAAAAAAAAAAAAAAAAAAAAAAAAAAAAAGCCGGGCGTGGTGGCGGGCGCCTATAGTCCCAGCTACTCGGGAGGCTGAGGCAGGAGAATCCCTTGAACCCGGGAGGCGGAGGCTGCAGTGAGCCGAGATCACGCCACTGCACTCCAGCCTGGGCAACAGAGTGAGATTCTGTCTCAAAAAAAAAAAAAAAACCAAAAACCTTGAAACGTGCTATTCAGAAATATCTTCTAAATCAAGACCTGATATTTTGTACTTGGATTCAGTCTTGCAGATTCATTTGTAACAGCTCACAAAAACAAGTCAGATTTGTATTATTGGTTCCAAAAAGACACATAGGTAGAAAAGTTAGTATTTTCTTGCCATAATGTCGCTTTATTATATTGTCTTTTTTAATTCCTGGGGGCTAGCAATGTATGGCACATATATAGTGGACAAGGGGATTTTTAACCAGTATAGCAGTAAGCAGAATGGCTCCTAGATAAATATATGTTGGATGAATGCTCATTGAATTACTTCATCTCATCCTTACAACAATCCTCTGAGGGGGGAATTGTCTCATGTGTACAAGGAAATGGAAGGCAGGGAGATTAAGTAACTTGCCTAGGATCATACTACTAACAAGCAACAGAGCTAGAATTCAAGAAATGCAGGACTCCTGATCCTAAGCCTGTGCTCTTTACCACCAGGCTTCTTATGGGAAAAAATGGCAAAGCGGCAAGAAGAATCTTTCCTTATATCTCATAAAAATATATAGTAGATATTCAGTTTTTATCTAAGTGAAATAATTGGCTATCATGTATCAGGGCAGATATTACTTTCTGTTTATAGGTTAAGGTGGCTTACTCAAGGTCACACAGCTGGTAGAGGAATCCCAGCCCTCTGACACTGCTCTTTTCCATTGGTGCCTCCAAGTGATGACTTCAGACCACAAAAGCATATGGAATGAGTACATATACAGCTGGTGAAATCTAAGTAAGCTTAGTGTATTGTACCAGTAGGAAAAAAAAAAAAAGAAAATGTCTCTTAGGAACACACACATAGCATCCAAAGTAAACATTTAAACATATATATATATGTAATTTTTTTTTATAAAGCCCATGGAAAAGAGGAGCTAAATTTGAAGAGATTAGATTATTTCCCGAATGTTTCACACAAGAATATGAGACTCCATTTGGTGCATTTCCTTAGGTGACTGCCCAGGATATTTACCCACACCCCTTTCAAACAAACAGCCGGGCGCGGTGGCTCACGCTTGTAATCCCAGCACTTTGGGAGGCCGAGGCGGGCGGATCACGAGGTCAGGAGGTCGAGACCACGGTGAAACCCCGTCTCTACTAAAAATACAAAAAAGTAGCCGGGCGTGGTGACGGGCGCCTGTAGTCCCAGCTACTCGGAGAGGCTGAGGCAGGAGAATGGGGTGAACCCGGGAGGCGGAGCTTGTAGTGAGCCGAGATTGCGCCACTGCACTACAGCCTGGGCGACAGAGCGAGACTCCGTCTCAAAAAATAAACAAACAAACATCCTATTTTCTTACTCTTGTTCAGTGTAAGAGTAAGGAATTATATTTGTTGAATTATATTTGTGAAGCTAGGGAAGTAGATTTTAACAGTGGATATCTGAGGTATCTAAACCCTTTCTTAGCTACTTAAACTTGTATAGACATTATTTAGAAGTGAAATTACAAGATAAAATTTAAAGTCTTCTTTTTTAGGTAAGGGAATAAGTTCTTGTACATGGTGATATTTTTTAAATTTTCATTTATGCCTTTGAGATATGTATCACCAATGTAAGGATAAAAGTCCAGAAAAAATTAGTATTGCATTGTTAAATGCTTAGGTACCCAAATGACAGGAAATAAAAGCACTAGATAGCATAATAAATGATGAGTGTCACTTTAGCAATAGAACTCATTTCTAGGAAAGACTTTTTAGTTCTTGGCACTGTACTAGAACTTCTATTTTTGTTTCCCTTTGCTTTTCCCTTTCACATTGATAACTGTGTCATTTTAGCTTGATATATACTTCAAAAATAGGTTCTATTTCTGCAGAAGCTCATTGTTGTCTGTCCAGCCTGAAGTGGGGACTTTTAAGTATCTGGCATGACTCCAGATGGTGCCTTATTTTGGTGATTTGGAGTTACGTTCACCCTGGGCTTGGATTTTTATCTGTTCATGGTGGCACTAGATACCCTGGACCCAGCCAACCCTGTCTAGAAAGACTTACGTGTTTAGAGAGTTCCACAAAAACTGTCTTTTATGTTGTTCTTGGAGCTGAAATGGGATTTAAGAAGATTTGTATGACCCCAAACCCCAGAACCAAATTTATACTAACCTATATGTGCGTTTGATTTACTTTCTTTTCCTCATTTATTAGTTGTTTATTAGTAGGTAAATATAGTAAGGAATATGCTGTGTCTAAGTTTGGAGTGCTGACTTTTGTGGCCTGTTATGCAGGGAATTAAAGTGATTTGGGAAGGTTTTCTTTTTTTCTTTTTTCTTTTTTTTTTTTTTGAGACGGACTTTTGCTCTCGTTGCCCAGGCTGGAGTGCAATGGTGCAATATCAGCTCACTGCAACCTCCACCTCCTAGGATCAAGGGATTCACCTGCCTCAACCTCCCAAGTAGCTGGGATTACAGGTGCCCACCATCACACCTGGCTAATTTTGTATTTTTAATAGAGACGGGGTTTCTCCATGGGTCAGGCTGGTCTCCAACTCCCAAACTCAGGTGATCCGCCTGCCTCAGCCTCCCAAAGGGCTGCGATTACAGGCATGAGCTACTGGGAAGGTTTTCTAGTTTGGGTTGAAAACTAGAAATAAGTAAATAATTTAGGCAAACAATAAATATAGTACTTTACAAAATATTTGAAAAGTTCATTGTTCTTAGGTCCTTTCTTGCTTCCTTTGCAACTTTCTAATTCTATATTTTTGCTTTATCTTGGTTTTATCTACCAATCTAGAAGAATATCAAAGTTTAGGAAAATGGAGCATCTCATGAGCAGTATATTACTTTTCTTCTTACTGTAAAATATAGGTGTTGGAATTTTTTTTTTTTTTTGGAGACAGGATTTTGCTCTGTTGCCGAGGCTGGAGTGCAGTGGTGCAACGATGTGCACTGTTGCCTCAACTTCCCAGGCTTACACAATCTTCCCTCCACAGCCTACTGAGTAGCTGGGACTACAGGTGTGCACCACCACACCTGGCTAGATTTCAAAATTTTTTTGTAGAGACAGGGTCTCATTGTGTTGCCAGGGCTTGTCTTGCGCTCCTGGGCCCGAGCAGTCCTCCCGTCTTGGCCTCCCAAAGTGCTAGGATTACAATCATGAGCCACTGCGCCTGGCCAGGATTTTTTTTTTTTAAGAGACGAGGTCTCACTATGTTGACCAGGCTGGTTTCAGATTCCTGAGCTCAAGCAATCCTCCCTCCTCAGCGTCCCAAAGTGCTGGGATTGCAGATGTGAGCCACCACACCCAGCCTAGCCAGGATTTTTAATTAAATGTTATTTTACTATTGTGGATTCTACTTATTGTTATTGATGCCATGGGTGTTACAAAGAAAGATGATGCCCCTGGTTCATTTCATGCTGATGTTAAGAAAATAAGTGGGCCCAGTGTGGTGGCTCACGCCTGTAATCCCAGCACTTTGGGAGGCCAAGATGGGCAGATCACCTGAGGTCAGGAGTTTGAGACCAGCCTGACCAACATGGAGAAACCCCGTCTCTACTAAAAATACAAAATTAGCCAGGCGTGGTGGTGCATGCCTGTAATCCCAGCTACTCGGGAGGCTGAGGCAGAATTGCTTGAACCCGGGAGACGGAGGTTGTGGTGAGCCGAGATCGCACCATTGCAATCCAGCCTGGGCAACAAGAGTGAAACTCTGTCTCAAAAAAAAAAAAAAAAAAAAAGAAAGAAAATAAGTGACCTATAATATATTGCAAAAGGCAGTGAAGTCCTATCTGGGTGCAGTTGCTCATGCCTGTAATCTCAGGACTTTGAGAGGCTGAGATGGGAGGATTGCTTGAGCTCAGGAGTTCGAGACTAGCCTGGTCAACATAGCAAGACCCTCATCTCTACAAAAAATAAATTAGGCTGGGCATGGTGACTCACGCCTGTAATCCCAGCACTTTGGGAGGCCAAGGTGTGTGGATCACCTGAGGCCAGGAGTTCCAGACCAGCCTGGCCAACATGGTAAAACACTGTCTCTACTAAAAATACAAAAATTAGTCAGAAGTGGTGGTACATGCCTGTAATCCCAGCTACTTGGAAGGCTGAGGCAGGAGAATTGCTTGAACCTGGGAGGCGGAGTTTGCAGTGAGCTGAGATCGTGCCACTGCATTCCAGCCTGGGTGACAAGAGCCAGACTCTGTCTCAAAAAAAAAAAAAAAGAAAGAAATTAGCCGGGCAAGGAAGGTGGCCTGTGTGCCTGTGGTCCCAGCTACTCTAGAGGCTGCACTGGGTGGATTACTTGAGCTGAGGAGATTGAGGCTGCAGTAAGCCATGATTGCCCCACTCGCACTCAAGCCTGGGCAACAGAGCAAGACCCTGTCTCAAAAAAAAAAAAAAAAAAGACAATGAAGTCTTGCATTCCAATGACATGCCACTGTTCTATTGCACTTTAATAAATGTATGCAAAAGATATATTGATGCTGTATATTTTAACAATTCCAGAAAGACCCAGGGAATAAAATAATTAAAATTATCACCTAGAATTATTTTTCCTCATGCCATAGCATGTCATGCCACCCCCTGCCACTCTCTGAATATGTCCAGAGTTGGCTTTTTTTTTTTTTTTTTTTTTTTTTTTTGAGACGATCTTGCTCTGTCGCTCAGGCTGGAGTGCAGTGGTGTGATCCTGGCTTACTGCAACCTCTGCCTCCCTGGTTCAAATGATTCTCCTGCCTCAGCCTCCTGAGTAGCTGGGACTACAGGCACCCGCCACCACGCCCGGCTAGTTTTTTGTATTTTTAGTAGAGATGGGGTTTCTCCGTGTTAGCCAGGGTGGTCTCAATCTCCTGACCTCGTGATCTGCCCCTCGGCCTCCCAAAGTGCTGGGATTACAGGCGTGAGCCACCGCACCTGGCCTAAGAGTTGGCATCTTATTTGGAATATGTAACACTAATCAGAATTTTGGTAAAGAGTAATCTATTCCATTTCCACTCCAACTGGGTGTACTTCAGTTCCCAATTCTGACACTAACCACCTAGAATTAATGCAGACCCCACAAGTTAAGGGCTCAGTTCTTCAGATGCACTTCAGGGGTCTCCAGGCCTCTCATCCTTCTGACCGACTTGGCTAAAAATTTAGGAGCTCCTGAGAGCCCTGTGGGTCTATAATTTGCTAGAATGACTCAGAACTCAGGAAACAGCTAAATTTATGATTATAGGTTATTATAAAGGATACAACTCAGGAACAGCCCAATGAAGAGAAACATGAGGCAAGGTATGGGAATGAATGTGGAACTACCTGGCCTCTTCCTATGGACTCAGGGAGCATCTCCTTCCTGACGCACCAAGGTGTTCATCAACTAGAAAGCTCCACCAAGGTTTAGTGTCCATAATTTTTACTGGAGTTTCATTAATAGGCATGATTGATTGAATCTTTGGCCATGTGATTGAACTCACTTTCCAGCTCCCTTCCCCTCTGTGGAGGTCAGAGGGTCCCAAAGTTCCTTTCTGGTGGCCAGCCCTGATTCTGAAACTTTCAGGGGGCCCACAGGGAGTTGCTTGTTTAGCATAACAGACACTCATCACTTAAGAAATACCAGGGGTTTTAGAAACTTCATGCCAGGAGCTGAGGTCAAAGACCAGATATACTCTTTTTTTTTTTTTTTTTTTTTTTTTTGAGACAGAGTCTCGCTCTGGCTAATTTTTGTGTATTTTTAGTAGAGACAGGGTTTCACCATGTTGGCCGGGCTGGTTTTGAACTCCTGACTTCAAGTGATCCACCTGCCTTGGCTTCTCAAAGTGCTGGGATTACAGGCGTGAGCCACCGTGCCTGGCCCAGATATACTCTTTATTATTCCAGAGTGACATGCCCTCTACAAGAAAAACACTAGTCAAGCAATTTATATACTACATATACTTACATGATTGTAATTGCACTAAAGTAGAAAATATATAATTAAGACGCATTTCAGAAGTTAGTTTGCCTTTTACCATTTGTTTCATGATTAAAAAAATTCTAAGAGGCAAGTGTTTTTACTTTGTTTTGGTTTTTTTGTTGTTGTTTCTGACAAAGGTGTTAAGTGAATGAAAATATATAAACATGATTTAGACAATCTTTTCTCTCCCCTACCCTCCCCACTCGTTTCCTTTCTTTTCTTTTCTTAGACCGGGTCTCACTCTGTCACCCAGGCTGGAGTGCGGTGGTGTGATCCTGGCTCACTGCATCCTCTGCCTCCTAGGCTCAAGCAATCCTCCCGCCTCAGCCTCCCGAGTAGGTGGGACTACACAGGCACACACCACCACTCCCGGGAAAGTTTTGTATTTTTCATAGAGGCAGAGTTTCCCCATGTTACCCAGGCTGGTTTTGAACTGCTGGACTCAAGCGGTCCTCTCACCTCAGCATCACAAACTACTGGGATTACAGATGTAAGCCACCACGCCTTGCTGATTTAGACAAACTTTCAAAATTTGCTTATAAACAAATGTTTATTCAAGTCTGTGGAGTTTGGGGGTTTTTTTTTCCCCCTTACTGGTAGGAAAATGTGAAGAAAGTAAGTAACACCTGTTATTGAGGGTGTCAGCCCAGATACTCTACTCAAATGCTGAGAAGTATAATTGGTTTCTCTCAGTGTAGCAGACAGTTTCTAAGGTGGCCCTCAAGATCCTCAAATTCTGATGTTCATATTTTTGTGTGATCCCCTTCCTTGAGTTTGGGCAGAACCCATGATTTGCTTTCTAACCAGGCATATGGCAAAGGTGATTGGCTGTTATTCCCATGACGACATTATGTTATATGGCAAAGGTATGGCTCCTGTGGCTCACACTTATTTTCCTGCTGGCCTTGAAGAAATAGCTGCCATGTTGTGAACTTCCTATGAAGAGAGCCATGTGACAGGGGGCTGTGGATAGCCTCCAGGAGCAGAGGCTGGCCTCTGGCTGATGAACAGCAAAAAAAAAAAAAAAAAAAAAAAAAAAATTGAAGCTCATAGTCCCACAGCCACACACAAAAAAAATGAATTCTGCCTTCAACCTGAGTAAGCGTGGAAGTGAGTTCTTGTCTCTTCAAGCCTACAGATGAAAATGAAGCCCAGCTGACACCTTGATTGAAGCCAGATGAGGTTCTGAAGCAGAAAACCCAACTAGGCTGGGTTCTTGGAAGATAATCCTCAAGGAAAAGGGAAGAAGATGGAGGAAACAAACTAGATGCAAGAGATTTGTTCTTCAAATTATATTCTTTAAAGGTCTTAGTTATTAAAAGCTTCCAACTATTTAAATTATGCAATGGTCTTTTTTGAAGAGAATATTAACCTTAAGTTCTGTTTTTTTTTTTTTTTTTTTTTTTTTTTGAGACAGAGTCTTACTCTGTCGCCCACGCTGGAGAGCAATAGCACTATCATAGCTCACTGCCACCTCACTCTCCTGGGCTCAAGCTATCCTCCTACCTCAGCCTTTTGAGTAGCTGGGACTACAGGCGCACACCACTATGGACCACTGCACCCAACTGTATTATTTTTGTGTGTGATAAGGTCTCACTGTGTCACCCTGGCCTGGAGTGCAGTAGCCATGATCTTGGCTCACTGTAGCCTCTGCCTACTCAGTTCAAGCAATCCTCCCACCTCAGCCTCCTAAGTAGCTGGAACCACAGCCATGCACCACCACATCTGGCTAATTTTTTGTATTTATTGTAGAAATGGAATTTCACCATGTTGCCCAGGCTGGTCTTGAACTCCTGGGCTCAAGCTATCCACCCGTGTCAGCCTCCCAAAGTGCAGGATTACAGGTGTGAGCCATGGCATCTGGCAAGTTCTGTTCTGAGATAAATAGTGAACTACTTCTGGCTGGGCGCAGTGGCTCACACTTGTAATCCCAGCACTTTGGGAGGCTGAGGAGGGTAGAGGGTGGATCACCTGAGGTCAGGAGTTCGAGACCAGCCTGGCCAACACGGTGAAACCCCGTCTCTACTAAAAATAACAAAAATCAGCTGGGTGTGGTGGTTGTCGCCTGTAATCCCAGCTACTTGGGAGGCTGAGCCAGGAGAATTGCTTGAACCCAGGAGGTGGAGGTTGCAGTGAGCCGAGATCGCGCCATTGCACTCCAGCCTAGGCAACAAGAGCAAAAACTGTGTCTCAAAAAAAAAAAAAAAAAAAAAATAGTGAACTACTGCTTACTGACAAAGTTGTCAAAAGGAAAAGAAAGCATCAATTTACTTCCCCTCAAAATTTTATTTGGAGACTCAACCCCAAATTCTATTTTGTTTTCTCAGTTTTTTTTCTTGTGGTAAAATACAGTAACAAAATTTACCATCTTAATAATTTTAACTCTATAGTTCAAAGGTAAGTATATTTATATTGTTGCGCAACTGTATCACCACCATCCATCTCCAGTTTTCTTCTTGCAAAACTGAAACTCTATACCCATTAAACAGTAGCCTCCCCCTTTTCCCATCCCCCCAGTACTGGGCAACCATCCTTCTACTTTCTGCTTCTATGAATCTGACTACTCTAGGTATCTTGTTTAAATTGAATCATACAATATTTGTCTTTTTGTGGCTGACTAATTTCACTTAGCGTAATGTCCTCTGAGTTCATCCATGTTGTATCATGTGCCAGAAGTTCCTTCCTTTGTATGACTGAATATATTCCTATTGTGTGTGTGTTTGTGGTTGTTTGTATGTACATACTTTGCTTATCCATTCATCTGCCAATGGACACTAAAAGCTCCCACCTTTTATGTATTTATTTATAACCTAGGAAGTGAAGAAGCTTCTGCCAAATTCTAAATTTTATGGAGGAAAACAAATCATGGCTGATTAGATAACTAGTGTTTACTTTAGATAGAATATTAATTTTAGGTCTACTTTATGGCATATAGAATTTTTTTAAATCAATATTTGCATTATATTTATGCCCATTTTATAGGGTTGGGATAATTTACTTATTTATTTTACTTTATTTTATTTTATTTATTTTATTTTGAGATGGAATCTTGCTCTGTCACCCAGGCTAGAGTGCAGTGGTACAGTCTCGGCTCACTGCAACCTCCGCCTCCCAGGTTCAAGTGATTTTCCTTTCTCAGCTTCCTGAGTATCTGGGATTACAGACATGTGCTGCCACACCCAGCTAATTTTTGTATTTTTAGTAGAGATGGGGTTTTGCCATGTTAGCCAGGCTGGTCTTGAACTCAAGTGATCCGCCTGCCTCAGCCTCCTAAAGTGTTGGGATTACAGGCATGAACCACCACGTCTGGCCTGTAATTTTAATCTAGTGATTTATAGTTGTATCTTTACATTTATAACATTAGTGTTATATTTGTGTCATACCTATGATTTATTTGATTTTCTAACCCAGGGGTCAGGAAGCTATGGCCTATTGTTCAACCTGCCTGTTTTTCTATGTCTTTCAAGTTAAGAATAGATTTTACAGGTGAACATTTGTACCCAATTTCATTATGGGGTACTAACTTTGAATCTCAATTAAGCAAACGCCCAAGAAAAAAAAAGTTTATTCTTCTCATTAATTATACATTACAAAAAATTATACTCAGTTATTTTTATGACATTTTGAATTTCCTCAATGCAAAAAATGTGACTCTGAAATGAAAAAAATGAAAAAAATGTTATCTGAAATACCTACATAATATCCTTAATTTTGCCTCTTGTCCTACAAGGCCTATCATATATACTGTTCAGCCTTTTGTGGAAAAACTTTGCAGGGTCTCTCCTCTAGTCTTTTTATAGCATTCTTTTCAGATACTATTTGGAAACATATTAAAATGGAAACTAAAATTTTATGTTTATATCATCTATTTATTGTTTTTCCATGAGGAATTCTACTAGGTATCCTACCAGTCATTGGATATACTTAGTATAAGTTGTTTTTAAAATATCCTTTAGCCAGGCGCTGTGGCTCACGTCCGTAATCCCAGCACTTTGGAAGACCAAGGCGGGCGGATCACAAGGTCAGGAGATCAAGACCATCCTGGCTAACACGCTGAAACCCCGTCTCTACTAAAAATACAAAAAATTAGCTGGCCGTGGTGGCGGGCACCTATAGTCCTAGCTACTTGGGAGGCTGAGGCAGGAGAATGGCGTGAACCCGGGAGGCAGAGCTTGCAGTGAGCCAAGATCGTGCTACTGCACTCCAGCCTGGGCGACAGAGCGACACTCCATCTCAGAGAAAAAAAAAACTAATTAAATAATAAAATATCCTTTAGTTTTTGTGTACCTTAAAATCAATATTTTCTCCCAATTAGGTATATTATTAAGGCTGTTTTGGAAAAATGTTATTCAGGTATAATCAGAAATCTGTTTAAAAAAAAAACAAGCTGGGCGTGGTGGCTCACGCCTGTAATCCCAGCCCTTTGGGAGGCTGAGGCAGGTGGATCACCTGAGGTCGGGAGTTCGAGACCAGCCTGACCAACATGGAGAAACCCTGTCTCTACTAAAAATACAAAATTAGCTGGGCGTGGTGGCGCATGCCTGTAATCCCAGCTACTTGAGAAGCTGAGGCAGGAAAATGGCTTGAACCTGGGAGGCAGAGGTTGCAGTGGGCTGAGATCATGCCACTGTACTCCAGTCTGGGCAACAAGAGTGAAACTCCATCTCAAAAAATAAAAATAAAAAATAAATTTAAAAATCTGTTTTAAAGACAGTTATAAAAATATTTAGGGTAATACAGATTGAAAAGCTTAATCCTATAAAGGTAGTAACATGCATAGAACTTTCTTTATGATTTTTCATCTTGGGTTTCTGATAGGCTTAACTTTGAAGAAATTAGAGGAGTGGCATAGTATAGTAGAAAGATGCATATTGCATTACAAACGAATAAGTCTCTGCTAAATGTTTGATGCATTCATTTCCAATTCTAATACAAAACTTGCAGGACAGAAGAAACATTTAGAATAAATTTTTTTTTTATGAATTAGTAATAAGCATCTAAGTAGAAAACACAAAGAAAAGGAATCTTATGGTAGTTATCACAAATACTAAATAATTTATTAGTAGCAGAATTTGTGTAGTAAAGATACTTAAAGGATAGCATAAACATTAACTGAGAAAATAAATAAAACTGGATTAATGAATAAATAGGTATATCTCTTGATGAGAAGACTAAAACTCACAATGCTATTGAGTTAATATATGGATTGAACACTCTATTAAATAATTACATTGCCAGTGGTGTATTTTATGTCATGACATAAACTGAATATATATGGAAAACTCATTGTAGAATTTTAAACATGAAAACAACAGTTGTAGTTTATAAGAGCTATTTGAAAGAAATTTAAAACAATATAGATTTTAGAACTTAATCCAAGTTTATGAAAGACTTCTAGATTTTTATTTTTGAAAATTTTTGTGGGTACATAGTAGGTGTATGGATTTATAGATTTCTAGATTTTAAAAATAGGAATTAGAAAACAGTAGAGAGAAAATGTTCCTGGAAAAATGGTTAGTAAAGAGAAGAAAAATACTCCATTTTACAATGACCGCCAATGAGAAGAAGGAATTTAATATTTTAAAGAACTAAATTTGAATACTTTTACAGCGTATTGAGGAGTTCTGCTGGATGTGATGAGATGGATTGGTTGATTATATAAACATTTAAGCGTACAGAATACATGTAAATATAATTTGTAAAATTAATGGAATGGTAGAAGCTTTTTGGTATAAATCTGATAAAGACTTAAAATCCTGATTCTGTACTAGGTGTAGCATTTAAATTTTCAAAGAGCTGTTTAAGTGCCTTCTATATACTAATTTAAATTGCATACCAATTATTTGAGGTAAGTATTATCATTACTTCCATTTTACAGATGAATTACAAAAAGGCTAAGTGACTTGTTAAAAGTCTTATAGTAAGAATTTGACCCAATTTGGCTCTAGAGTCTGTTCTCTTAGCCACAGTGATATATCACATATTAAATACAGATGCTCCTCAGCTTATGATATGGTTACATCCTGATAAACCCCACTGTAAATAGAAAATATTGTTAAGTTGAAAATGCACTTAACACTCCAACGAACCCACTGTAAAGTTGAAAAATCGTAAGTTGAACCACTGTAAGTCTAAATGTTCCTCAGTTTATGATGAGGTTACATTGTATAAATTCATCATAAAGTTGAAACATCAACTTTATGGTAAGTATGTAAGTCAAACTGTTTATTCAAAGTAAATGTAAAATAGCTAAATGTGAACAACCTACAGAATCAATAAAAAACAACAAACCAAATATTTATCATCATAATAAATATAAATGTCCTAAATTTACCTGTTAAAAAGATGAGGTGGATCTGTATACCCTGAATTTGAAAGAGCTTTGCAGCTGTTTATAAACAAGAGGAGGAATAGCACTGAAAAAATAATTAGTAGTTACTCTCTTCCAAGTTTAAAAAACACCAAAAAGGCTGGGCGCGGTGGCTCATGCCTGTAATCCCAACACTTTGGGGAGCTGAGGCAGGTGGATCACGAGGTCAGGAAATCGAGACCATCCTTGCTAACATGGTGAAACCCCGTCTCTACTAAAAATACAAAAAATTAGCCAGGCGTGGTGGCGGGCACCTGTAGTCCCAGCTACTCGGGAGGCTGAGGCAGGAGAATCATTTGAACCGGGGAGGCAGAGCTGGCAGTGAGCTGAGATTGCGCCACTGCACTCTAGCGTGGGCGACAATGCGAGACTCTGTCTCAAAACAAAACAAAGAAACACCAATGGATGGAACAAGGTATTAAATGGATAGAACAAGGTATTAAAATATTAACAATGGCGGCCGGGCGCAGTGGCTCACACCTATAATCCCAGCACTTTGGGAGGCCGAGGCGGGTGGATCATCTGAGGTCAGGAGTTTGAGACCAGCCTGGCCAACATGGCAAAATCCTGCATCTACTAAAAATACAAAAATTAGCTGGGCGTGCTGCTGTGTGCCTGTAATCCCAGCTATTTAGGAGGCTAAGGCAGGAGAATCACTTGAGCCAAGGAGGTAGAGGTTGCATTGAGCCAAGATTGTGCCACTGCACTCCAGCCTGAGCGACAGAGTGAGACTCCATCTCAAAAAAAAAAAAAAAAAAAAGACAATGGGAGGACACAAAGAAGTGATGAAGAGAAGTTTCTCCACTTTATAAAATTTTTATATTGTCTTAATTCTGCCAAAAATGTGTTACATTACTTTAGTAATTTTTTAAAAAGTATGTGCAGTGGCTTAAATGTGTTCCCGATAGTTCACGTGTTGGAAACATAATCCCCAATGCAATAGTGTTGGGAGGTGGGTCCTAATAAGAGGTGATTAGGTTATGAGGGCTTTATCCTCATGGATGGATTAATGGTATTATTTTGGAAGTGAATTAGTTATCTGGAGAGTGGGCTTGCTCTAAAAGTGAGTTCGATTCTCTATTGCTCTCTTATGTGATACCTTCCACCATGTTATGCAGCAAGAAGGTCCTCACCAAATGTTTCCCCCTCAACCTTGGACTTCCAACCTGCAGAATTTTAAGAAGTAAATTTCTCTTCTTTATAAATTACCCAGCTGGTGTTGCTCTGTTATAGCAACACAAAACAGAGCAAGACAGTGTGTGTAGGTAAATAAGTAACATCAACAAGAAAAAGATCAGAAAGAGTAGAATCCAAACTGTTAGCACTAGATATGCCTGAAATGCAAAATTAGAAGTGATTGGAAGGGGGCCAGGTACAGTTGCTCATGTCTGTAATCCCAGCACTTTGAGAGGCCAAGGCGGACGGATAACCTCAGGTCAGGAGTTCAAGACCAGCCTGGACGACATGGTGAAACCCCGTCTCTACTAAAAACACAAAAATTCGCTGGGGTGGGGTGGTGGGTGCCTGTAGTCCCAGCTACTCAGGAGGCTGAGACAGGAGAATTGCTTGAACCCAGGGGACGGAGGTTGCAGTGAGCTTGGGATCGCACCACTGCGCTCCAGCCTGGGCAACAGAGCAAGACTGCATCTCAAAAAAAAAAAAAAAAAAAAAAGTGATTGGAAGGGGATTATTTTCTCCATTTTTACTATACATACCTTCATATTGTTGAATTTAAAAATTTTACAGTGAGCATTTTTTAATTTAAAAACAGTATTTAATTTTTTTTTCTTGCCTTTCCCTTATATGAATTATCTGTACCTGTGCTTTACCCACTGGGTAGATAATTTTCAACAAATCTCATTGGAACATAGTAATGGGTAGATTTCAAGAGGTGTATGATTTTAATGAGATTTGCAATTTAAAGACTTGGGTGCTCCTTTTCATGTAGCTATTGGCTTAAATACTTACAGTCTCTAACTTATGGTGGTTTGACTTACGATTGTTTCAACTTGACCATAGGTTTGTCAGGGTATTAAATGTATATTCCACGTATGATATTTTTTTACTTATGATGGGTTTATTGGGATGCAATCCCATTGTAGGTCGAGGAGCATCTGTATTTTTGGTACCTCTTCAAAGATTTTTTTAAATTACCAAAAGAGCCCTTTAGTTGTTAGCACATTGCCTTGTTTCATTTTCATCATAGTGTTATTCTACTCTTATTTTGATAGTTAGATAGATTTTTTAATTTTTAATTATTTTCCCTCCACTAAAATATAAGATCAATGAGAACAAGACCATTCCTTTGTCATTTTTGTGGCACAGGGCCTAAAATAATGATTGGAATATAATAAGCAGTTAATAAATATTTGTTGAATGAAAAAAATCATACATATTCTTAGAAGTGCAGGAACTTATTAACCCACCCAGGGATGGTTCATCTATGGTGAACTGCACTCAACACTGGATGGATGATAATTTATAGGAATCTAGTAATTAATACCAGTTTATGTATAGTGGTAGACACAAATAGTATAATAAAACTGTATATGCAATACATTTTTTTGAACATTATTGTGTCAAAACCCCACATTTATCAAAGAGCCATTGAAGAGCACATGGAAACTGGGAAAAAGAGAGATGGGTGCTATTAAAAAAACACTTAATCCTATACTCTGGCCATACGTTGTCTTGTCTGACAAGTACATTAGCTAGTAAATGTTTCTTCTTGGTACTGAGAATTATGAGAGGCAGTATGAAAGACTTGGTTTTGCTAGTCCAACCATAAAATCAACTTAAATGCCAGCCCAATTGATGGTGGGTTACATTCTACACGTAGGCAAACAGAGGAATATTAAGTTGGTCTTGCAGGTTATTAAAAAATGAAAAAGTAAAAATAGAAGATAAAAGGGATGGTTTCAAAAAAATCTGAAGCAATGGATAAGTATTTCTTAAAGCCCATTGATGGAAATGCAGATTTCCTAAGATCTGAGAAAAAATAAAAAACAATTGAAAAAGGAAATGCAGATTTTCATTTTTCATTTATTTAAGTAGAGTAAACCCTGAATCTGAATCAGGTTTCACCCGCAAATCAAAACCATACCATTCAGTTTGACAAGATAGAGGTAGATACTTAAAAATCTTTAGAAATACTTGAGAAGATAGATAAATGGTATAAAAGTAGTAGCAGTGATTATTTATTATTTTTCATTCACTGTAGTATAGTAGAGGGGAGTGTAGTGTGGTAGTTAGATGTTGAGCTGTGTACCTGGGATTGAATCTTAGCTATGTTTCCCACTAGCTGTGTGACCTTGGGTAAATTATACTCTCTATGCCTCAGTTTTCTTGTCTGTGTAATTGGGATAATAAATCCTTCCTCAAAATTGTTGGTAGGTTTAATGAGAACCTGCGTGTGTGTTTGTAGTTCTTAAAATAGTGGTGCCTGGCAGATAATACACTATCACATATTATCCCCTACTATTTTTATCCAGCAAATAGAGGGTACTTATTTCAGCAACTGTACTGAGGATGGGAAGATCCTACCCTAGAGAAATTCACAGTTCAGTGAAGTTCAAAGGTGTACATCTTCTCTATTTTCAACTCAGCTCTTTTTTTTCCCCCAAATCTTGTATTTTGTTTCCAAAGGAATTAATTCGTCTCAATCTTTAATTTTACATGATAGTCAAAGAAATGGTTAGAAAATTGACCTGCTACCTTGAAACAAATAAAATATTTTAAAGCCATTTTAAATTTTGTTTTATAGATGCTTGTTTGCTACTGATGGGTGTGAGCAAGTTAGATATTCTATACCGGAGACTTCTCCTAACAAAACTTTTTATCAGAGGATGGGGAAGGCCAGAAGATCTCAAAAGGCAAGCAATTTTTTTTCCTGAATACTTGTTCTGAATTTGTTGTTTTAATGAACATTTAAAACTTTGTTATAAAATCCTTTACTCTCAAATACAGAGCAATTGTCCAGCAAATTAAACTATGTAAAATGTAATTATTTCCTTTTTACTTTTGTCTTTTTAGTTATTTCTCTTAAATTTTAGCCCATATCATAAATGATACTGTTGTAAAAATAATTCAGATTTTTTAAATACAGAACTCTCAGAAACACAGAGTAGATTTTTGAGTTCAATAATTATTAAGCTGATTAGAGTTGTATGTAGTTTCCAAGGATTGAGTCTTCTTAGATAACCCGAATTTGTAATGACTCTGAAACTGGAATACTCCGTAGCTCACAGGAAAATCTGGACTTAAGAAAATTAATTTTCAGCCAGGATTGGTGGCTCACGCCTGTAATCCCAGCACTTTGGGAGGCTGAGGTGGGTGGATCACGAAGTCAGAATTTCCGGATCAGCCTGGCCAAGATGGTAAAACCATCTCTACTAAACATAAAAAAATTGGCTGGGCGCGGTGGCTCACGTCTGTAATCCCAGCACTTTGGGAGGCCAAGGCAGGCGGATCACGAGGTCAGGAGTTCGAGAACAGCCTGGCTAACATAGTGAAATCCCTTCTCTACTAAAAATACAAAAAATTAAGCGGGCATGGTGACGGGCACCTGTAATCCTAGCTACTCAAGAGGCTGAGGCAGGAGAATTGCTTGAACCTGGGAGGTGGAGGTTGCAGTGAGCCGAGATCGCGCTACTGCACACCAGCCAGTGCGAGACTCCGTCTCAAAAAAAATAAAAAAAATAAAAAAATACAAAAATTAGCCAGGTGTGGTGGCACATGCCTGTAATCCCAGCTACTCGGGAGAGTGAAGCAGGAGAATTGCTTGAACCCGGGAGGCAGAGGTTGCAGTGAGCTGAGATTGCGCCACTGCACTCGCCTGGGTGACAGAGCGAGACTCCGTCTCAAGGGGGAAAAAAAAAAAAAGAAAGAAAATGAATTTTCAGGATTGGTGCCTTTAATTTTGAGTCTTGTATGTATTAATTACTTTCTGAACAATCTATTGTTTCTCACATTTTTCTGAAAAAAGTGTTCAGTTTGGGAAAAAACAACAGCCTAATCGCTTCAGTGATCAAAATTAAATTTTAATATGGCTTATGAACTGGATTTGCTAATTTTTAATTACTGTTAATCAGTCTCAATTATAATGTGCTTAGTAGGTGATATAAAAGATTAATTTTTTCCTTTTTGTCTTCTTTCCCATAATAGACTCTTTGAATTCAGAAAGATGATTGGAAATCGGGAAAGATGCCAGAATCTGGTTTCAAGCGATTATCCAGTACACATTGATAAGGTATTCAAATGAGAGAAACACAGTTATAGGAATTGTGGTTTGACATAAATATGTCTAAGAATAGATTACATATTGGAGTATAACAACAATAAACACTAAAATATGAGTGCCGTATGGATTTTTCATTTCATATTTAAAGAATACTATTTGTGGGCCAGGTGTGGTGGCTCACGCCTGTAATCCCAGCACTTTGGGAGGCGGAGGCGGGTGGATCACCTGAGGTTGGGAGTTCAGACCAGCCTGACCAACATGGAGAAACCCCGTCTCTGCTTAAAAAAAATACAAAATTAGCCGGGCATGGTGGCACATGCCTGTAATCCCAGCTACTCGGGAGGCTGAGGCAGGAGAATCACTTGAACCCCGGAGGCGGAGGTTGCAGTGAGCCAAGATCACGCCTTTGCATTCCAGCCTAGGCAACAAGAGTGAAACTCCGTCTCAAAAATAAATAAATAAATAAATAATACTATTTGTGCGTTAACTGGATGTTTTTAATAACTATGTTCACATATATTGGAAGCATATGTTTATTACTTGCCTAAATATATAGAGAAGTATTTAGGCTGGATATTTCTGGACCTCATTTTCTGTCTTTAGGCTCAGGAGGGTTAAACCACTCAACATTACAGAACAATAGTGAGTATTAAAGGGGAATAATCTAGTTGGAGAATCAGCACATAAGAAATTATTAACAAACAACTGTTAAATAACACCAGGAAAAATATTATGGGATACAGTTAATTCCTGAGAGAATGGTAGAAAGAAAATGCTATAAAATTAGAGAAGGCAAGGATGTTTTTGTAATCTTTTTTTTTTAAGGAGGCACCTGGTTTTCTGTAAAATATTTCTAGGTTTATGTAATTGCATACTTGGAGGTATTGTTGGAGAGGGGATACAAATGGGCAAGTTTCACACATCCCTCACTCGCCTTCAAGCAAAGTAACTGTACTTGCATCTCATATGTTTTGGATATCTTTTAGATTTCTCTTTTCAAAAGAGTTCGACTGCTAAGAACAAAATTTTATAGATTGAAAACTCCTCCTCTATATCATAGAAGTTCTTTCTGTATCTTCTGAATTAATAACATTTCTCCCTGACCCTCAAATTTTGCTAAATATTTTTATCTTCTTTATTTTTTTCTATTAAAAAATTATAAACTTAAAACAAAAAAATTTAAAACATACCAAGTTAAAAAAAAATCTCCTTTAATCTCTGCCACTTTCCACCACCTAATTCCATTTCCCTCCCAAGAGTGAATTGCTGTTAAGATTTTGGAATGCATTCTTACTGATCTACTACCCTTAGTTTTTAAAAATTGAGATAAAGATACCCCAGCACTTTGGGAGGCCAAGGCGGGCAGATCGTGAGGTGAAGAGATCGAGACCATCCTGGCCAACATGGTGAAACCCCATCTCTACTAAAAAAAAAATACAAAAATTAGCTGGGCATGGTGGCACATACTTGTAGTTCCAGCTTTCCAGCTACTCGGGAGGCTGAGACAGGAGAATTGCTTGAACCCAGGATGCGGAGGTTGCAGTGAACCAAGATCGCGCCACAGCACTCCAGCCTGGCAACAGAGCTAGACTCCGTCTCAAAGAAAAAAAAATTGAGATAAAATTCACCCTTTTACAATATACAATTGAATGGTTTTTAAATTATATTACCAAGATGTGCAGCCATCAACATTGTCACTAATTCTAGAATATTTTCATTGTCCTAAAAAGAAACCCTGTATCCATTAGCTGTCACTTTCCATTGCCTCTTCCCCCACCTGCTGGCAATCACTAGTCTACTCTCTGTCTCTATGGATTCACCTAATGTGGACATTTCTTATAAATGGAATCATGCAATATGTAACTTTTTTTGTCTGGCTTCTTCACTTAGCATAATGTTTTCAAGGTTCATCCATGTTGTAGCATGTGTCAGTACTTCTTTTTGTTTTTGTTTTTATAGCATCAGAACATTCAAGAAAAACTTTATCCTTTTGTATAGCTAAATAATATTCTATTGTATTGTATACCACAGTTTGCTTATCCATTCATAAATTGATGGACATTTGGGTTGTTTTCACTTTTTGGCTATTATAAATAATGCTGCTATGAATACTCAAGTATGAGATTTTGTGTGAACATGTTTTTAGTTCTCTTGTGTATACTGAAGAGTTTAATTATTGGTCATGTGATGATAACTCTAAATTTAACTTTTTGACGAACTGTCAAACTGTTTTCCAAAGTGACTATACTATTTTATATTCCCACCAGCAGTGAATAAACATTCCAATTTTGCCATACTCACCAACCTTGTACTTGTCCAAGCCATCATAGTGGGTATAAAAGTATTTCCTTGTGGTTCTGGCTATGCCCTAATGACTGTGAGGCTGAACATCTTTTCAAGTGTGAATTGGCCATTTATATACCTTCTTTGGAGAACTGTCTTTTCAAACCCTTTGCTCCTTTTTACATTGAGTTATCCATCTTTTTATTGTTGGGTTGTATATTGTTTAATTTTAAAATCCATGTTATGTATAATATGTGTAATTCTAAAATTGTTTATTCTTACCAAGTTGCCAGCTATCAGAACACTAATTTGTTGCATTATTTTTCCCTTTAACATTAGTTTGTTCTGCTTCCTTTATTAATAATTAATAATGGGCTGGGTGCCGTGCCTCACACCTGTAATATCAGCACTTTGGGAGGCCGAGGCAGTGGATCATTTGAGGTCAGGAGTTCGAGACCAGCCTGGCCAACATGGTGAAACCTCGTCTCTACTAAAAATACAAACATTAGCTAGGTGTGGTGGTGCATGCCTGTAATCCCAGCTACTTGGGAGGCGGAGGCAGGAGAATTGCTTGAGCCTGGGAGACGGAGGTTGCAGTGAGCCGAGATCATGCCACTGTACTCCAGTCTTGGCAACAGAGTGAGACCCAGTCTCAAAAAATAGTAATAATAATGTATTAGTTTGTGCTGCTGCTTTATCAAATAACTTATTCTTATAAAATACATAAGAGGGTTGAGTGTGGTGGCTCACGCCTGTAATCCCAGCACTTTGGGAGGCTGAGGAGCATGGATCACTTGAGGTCAGAAGTTCGAGACCAGCCTGGCCAACCTGGCAAAACCCCATCTCTACTAAAAATAGAAAAAAATTGGCCAGGCATGGTGGCACATGCCTGTAGTCCCAGCTACTCAGGAGGCTGAAGCAGGAGAATTGCTTGAATCTGGGAGGCAGAGGTTGCAGTGAGTCGAGATAGCACTCACTGCACTCCAGCCTAGGTGACAGAGCAAGACTCAAAAAAAAAAAATAAATAAATAAAAATAAATACATAAGAAGAACACTTTATGCTAATAGGCATAAAAAACTAAATTGGAACGTTTTTTTGGATTAAAAATTCAGTTTTATAGAGATATTATGTCTCCTTAATCATTTTTTAAAATGCAATGCAATTTCAATTAAAGTATTGAACATAGAACCTAGATCCATACAAGCATCCTAAAATTATTTTGAGAAAATACTTGAGAGTACAATCAGATCAGGAATACTCTGGTAAGGAAGAGTAGTAAACAAAGACTAGTTCAGTCATATAACAATGAGTATTAAAATGCTGCAGTTGTCAACACAGCGTGATATTGGTGGAGAAGTAAAAGATAGGCAAATAAGACCTAATGAAGGATTGAAAATAACTTGTAGAAATATATGGATATTTAGTACATGATAATAGTAGCGTTTTAAGTCAGTTGCAAAAATATGTGGGTTATTTAATAGATGACATTTGTCCAACTGACTACAAAAAAAATTTTTGGTTTTTTTGTAAACAAAATACTGTTTTGTTTTGAGACAGAGTCTCACTCTGTCACCCAGGCTGCACTGCAGTGGTGTAATCATGGCTCACTGCAGCTGTGACCTCCTGGACTCAGGTGATCCTCCCACCTCAGCCTCCCACGTAGCTGGGACCACAACCACATGCCACCACGTTCAGCTAATTTTTGTATTTTTTGTAGAGACAGAGTTTTTGCCATGTTGCTCAGGCTGATCTTGAATTCCTGGGCTCGAGAGATCTGCCCACCTTGGCCTCCCAGAGTGCTGAGATTACAGGTGTGAGCCATTGTGCCTGGCCTGATAATGGGTTTTTTAAGTTGTTTTTAATTCAAATCAGAAACAAAAACATATCTGTGGATGATATGGCCACCGTGCCTGGCCAACATTTTACATTTTTCAAAAGAAGACATACACATGGCCAACCAGGTATATGAAAAAAATGCTCAGCATCACTAATCATCAGAGAAATGCAAATCAAAATTACAGTGATATATCATTTACCCTAGTTAAAATGGCTTTTATCCAAAAGACAGGCAGTATTGAAAGCTGGTGAGGATCTGGAGAAAAAGAGGAAACCTCGTACAGTGTTGGTGGGAATGTAAGTTAGTACGACCACTGCGGAGAACAGTATGGAACTTCCTCAAAAGCCAAAACTGGAACTACCATATGACCCAGCAATCCCCCCACTGGGTATATATGAAAAAGAAAGGAAATCACTGTATCAAAGTGATATCGGCACTCCCATATTTATTGTAGCACTATTCGTAGTAGCCAAGATGCGGAATCAACCTAAGTGTTCATCAGCAGATGAATGGATAAAGAAAATGTACAAATATGCAGTGAAATATTATTGAACCATAAAAAAGAATGAAATATTGTCATTTGCAACAACATGGGTGGAACTGAAGGACATCGCGTTAAGTAAAATAAGCCAGGCACAGAAGGACAAATTTCATGTGTTTTCACTCATATGTGGGAGCTGAATATTTTTACAAATTGAACTCATGAAGAATAGATTGATGATTATCAGAGGTTAAGAAAAGTAGCAGGGAGGGGAAGATAAAGTGGAGATGATTAATTGGTGCAAATGTACAGTCAGATAGAATCAATAAGATCTAGTATTTGATAGCATAATAGAGTCACTATAATTAACAATAATTTATTGTATATTTTGAAATAAGAGTGGAATTGGAATGTTCCTAACACAAGGAAATGATAAATGCTTCAGGTGATGGATACCCCAATTACCCTGATTTGATCATTACAACTCGTATGCCTGTATCAAAACATCACATGTACCCCATAATACATTCAATGATTATGCACACAAAATAATTTAAAATAAAGTACAGTGGCATAAAAAGTTTACATAGTAGGTGCTGAAAACATGATTTTAATTGGATAGAACTTTTTATTAGAAGAACATCCATGACAGACCAAGATATCTTAGTTTTCTTGCATACATCTTGGTTTTGATTTTCTTTTAGATTGAAGAGCAATCAGATTGTAAGATCTTAGATGGACACTTTGTTTCCCCCATGGCTCACTATGTGCCTGATATCATGCCAATTGAATCTGTTATTGCAAGGTAAGAATTTTTTTGTTCAAAAAGATGAATACATTATTTATGTTCATTAAAATTATAATATCAACACTATGTTATTTGAAATTAGGAGTAACAAGGCAGGCCTAAATTATTGAAAAGGCTGAATTAGAAGATATTTTAATTCTTCAAAGAACATAAGGAGTATATGTACAAGGATATTCATTGAAGCATTGTTTATAGTTGCAAAAAACAGATAATGCCTAAATGTTCAACAATAGGCGATTAATTATCCATACTGTGGATACCATTAGTAACATGGAAATATGGTCACAATGTGTGAAAGTTTAAGAAGATAATACAAATGATTTTTTAGTTCCATTTTTGTAAACACACAAGTATGCACAAACAATCACAGAGAAGTTTCCAAAGGATATATATGAATATACAAACTCTGCTTATCTCTGAGTGGAGAGATTTTTGGCTTTTAAATTTTTAGTTTTAGGTCAAGCATGGTGGCTTATGCCTGTAATTCCAGTACTTTGGGAGGCCAAGGCAGTGGGATCACTTGAGGTCAGGAGTTCTAGACCAGCCTGGCCAACGTGGCGAAACCCCATCTCTACTGAAAACACAAACAATTAGCCAGGTGTGGTGGCAGGCACCTGTAATCCCAGCTACCTGGGAGGCTGAGGCAGGAGCATCTATTGAACCCAGGAGGCGGAGGTTGCAGTGAGCCAAGTGTGCCACTGTACTCCAGCCTGGGCCACAGAGTGAGACTCCATCTCAAAAAAAAAATTTTTTTTTTAGTTTTAAATTTTTACAATGTACATGTGTTGATTTTATAATAGGAAGAAGAAGTACTTTTAAGTGAAGAAATTAAGAAACGTGGTAACTTAGACTAGACAGACTACACAGTTCAGCTAAGTAAAGTGCCTCAGGATTGGTATGTAATTAGCATATCAGTTTGAGAATGTAAATAGATGTTCCGAAATACCTGAGGTTCCTAAGTGGTTAATTATACAATAGTTGAAAACTGGCTTTTTGGATCTTTGTTAATGTACAGAGGTTATTCTTAGCCCAGTCTTGTTAATGGTTTTTTGTTTGTTTGTTGAGACAGAGTCTCACTCTGTTGCCCAGGCTGGATGGAGTGCAGTGGTGCTCACTGTATGCTGTGCCTTTCAGGTTCAAGCGATTCTCATGTCTCAGCCGCCTGAGTAGCTGGGATTATAAGCGTGTGCCACCATACCCGGCTAATTTTTGTATTTTTAGTACGGATGGACTTTTGCCATGTCGGCCAGGCTGTTCTCGACCTCCTGGTCTCAAGGGATCCACCTGCCTCGCCTCCCAAAGTGCTGAGATTACAGGCATGAGCCACCATGCTCGGCCACTGTTAATGATTTGTGTTTTGTTTTGTTTCGTTTTGTTTTGTTTTTGAGATGGAATCTCACTCTGTCTCCCAGGCTAGAGACAGAGTCTCCAGAGTCTTGCTCTGTTGCCTAGGCTAGATGGAGAGCAGTGGTGCTCACTGCACCCTCCGCCTCCCGGGTTCAGGTGATTCTCCTGCTGCAGTCTCCGGAGTAGTTGGGATTATAGGCACCCACCACACCTGGCTAATTTTTGTATTTTTAGTAGAGACGGGGTTTCAACATGTTGGGCAGGCTGGTCACGAACTCCTGACCTCAAATGATCTGCCCACCTCAGCCTCCCAAGTGCTGGGATTACAGGAGTGAGCCATTGTGCCTGGCCTGATAATGGGTTTTTTAAGTTGTTTTTAATTCTAAATCAGTGTTGAACCTAGATCTTTACACAGTTTTCTATTTTATGTTTTAGCTAATTTTATTTAAAAAGAACAAACTACTGTACTTTTTTTCCCCTACACTGTTGATAATAAACTATTTGCTGCTTCTGGTTAGTAGGTGTTTTCTTCTTTTAAGATTTTGTCTGCAATAGCAATGATAAAATAGTGATACATGTATGGGCATTTGAAAAATTCTTCAGTCAAGAAGAGATTATTCTGTAATGGAAACCTACTTAACCTTTTAAGTGAACGTATTGGAATCCTGAATTCCAATACATTCAGAACCCTATAAATGAATCTATAAAGTGTGAACTAACAGAAGAGTGGTTTGATTGACCTGATTAAAAGTTGTAGTCAGCTGTCCATTATTTTGTTACCCCTAAGGCATTATTTTAAATTTATATTTTTTTCTGTTGATAACCTCTGAATGAAAGGCAAGCAATGTCATGTAGTGGAAAGAGCTAGAACTTTGGAATTAAACAGATCTGGAATTGAACCCTAAGTCTACTCTTTATGGACCTAATGTCAATTACTTAAACTCTGAACCAGGCTTTATAAAGTAGGACTAATAACACTTATCTGGTAGGGTTGTTAAAAGTGATAAATAAGGAATGAGGCCGGGCACGGTGTCTCACGCCTGTAATCCCAGCACTTTGGGAGGCCTAGGAGGGCGGATCACCTGACATCAGGAGTTCGAGACCAGCCTGGCCAACATAGTGAAACCCCGTCTCTACTAAAAATACAAAAAAATTTAGCCAGGCATGGTGGCAGACATCTGTAATCCCAGCTACTCAGGAGGCTGAGGCAGGAGAATCACTTGAACCTGGGAGGCCGAGGTTGCAGTGAGCTGAGATCGTGCCATTGGACTCCAGGCTAGGTGACAAGAATGAAACACCATCTTAAAAAAAAAAGGAATGAAAATAGTGTGCGGGGAATATAAAAAACATAAACATGTAGCTCGTTTATGTATTTATTTATTTGTTTGACAGAGTCTTGCTTTGTCAATCAGGCTAGGGTGCAGTGGTGCTATCTTGGCTCACTGTACCCTCAACCTCCCTGGCTCAAGTGATCCTCTCACCTCAGCCTCCTGAGTAGTTGGGACTGTAGACTGATGTCACTAGACCTGGCTAATTTTTTTTAGTTTTTTTTGTAGAGATGGGGGTCTCACTACATTGTCCAGGCTGATCTCAAATTCCTGGGCTCATGTGATCCTCCTGCCTTTGCTCCCCAGAGTGCTGAGATTACAGACTTGAGCCACTGCACCCAGCCTTAACTCTTTTAGATATGCTTTATCTTATTAATGCTTTACTGAAAGCATTAAGTCAGCCTGAGCAACGTAGAAAGACCCTGTCTCTACCAAAAAAATAGAAAATAAATTATCTGGCCATGATGGCATGTGCCTATAGTCTTATATACTGAGGATTGCCTGATCGAGGTTAGAGTGAGCTATAATTTTACCACTGCACCCCAGCCTGGGTGACAGAGCAAGACCCTGTGTCAAAAAAAAAATTTTTTTTTTAAAGCATAAGTGAATGTGTAGCTCTTTAGCCAGTATGCTAAAGGATATAGAAGGAAAAGAAACTTTCAGTTTCTGTATATCATCACTTCAATCCCTGGAACTATGTGTCCCTTTCTCATAGATTCTCCACCTTATCTGGACAGTTATACAAGCTATAAAACATAAAGAAAGGAGGAAAATTATGTGCTTTTACTCAGACTCAGAAATACTCCTCAACATCTGTTGGAAATTGAGGAACGGTTCTTTCCAGTTAGTGACAGGAATGGGGAAACAAGTTGACTTCCTGTCTCTGCAGTGGCATATTTTTACAACACAATTAATATTTTTTTCAACAATTTCTAGTCAAATTTGAAGCATAACTTACTTTGATGAAATACTATAAGTTCCCAGATGATGCACATTGACATCTATTTTTCCTTTCCCCCGTCATTCTTGTGCAGCAATTTATCTTATTGCATTAAAACATTAGAAAATGCAAATAAGAAAAAAGAAAAAAAAATTCCACCAATGAGTGTTAACCACTATTTTATGTATATTCTAGTCTTTCTCCTATGTGTTCACATACAACTGTACTTATTTTTTTTTACCTAATTAATCAGTGAATATGCAGTTGGTTATCATTAATGGCTCTTTGGTATTCCATACTGTGACTCTACCATAATTTACTAATTCCTTATGGTGCACATTTAAGTTGCATTGTTTTTCACTATTATAAACAACATCACAATGAACATCCTTATATACATCTCCTTACCTGCTTCTCTATTTTTGTGCCATAAGTTGCTAAACATGGAATTTCTGGATTTATAAGATTTGCGCAGATTTTAAACTTTTGATCATATTGCCAAATAAGTAGGAAAATTTTAAGGCTATGCCAAGTATAGATTAATCCACAAGGAGAAACCTATTTGTCCTATTGTCATTTGGTCCATTACTCATGATTCTGTCTCTTTTTCACACTTTCTGTTTTTATTGAGGTAGAGAAAAATATATCAGGTAAATGAAATAAGGGAACTGCAAGCATTCTTTTCCGTTAAAGAACAGTTTTAAGACTGCTTAAGATCTGTGGTGACAGGTTTTATAGACCACAAAATATGGATTTCCCTATGTAATGTAAAATAGCTCATGAATTGTGATGTATCTTTGGGACAGCCTATATTGGAAATTTATTTATGTCAAAATTCCAAATGAATTATAATATTTTAAAACATAGCATTCAGGCCAGGCTTGGTGGCTCATGCCTGTAATCCCAGCGCTTTGGGAGGCCGAGGTGGGCAGATCACCTTGAGGTCAGGAGTTCGAGACCAGTCTGGCCAACATAGTGAAATCCTATCTCTACAAAAATTAGCAGGGCATGATGGCGGGTGCCTGTAATCCAAACTACTCAGGAGGCTGAGGCAGGAGAATCGCTTGAACCTGGAAGGCGAAGGTTGCAGTGAGCCGAGATCGTGCCATTGCACTCCAGCCTGGGTGACAGAGCAAGAATTCCGTCTCAAAACAAACAAAAAAAACAAACAAAATGTCCATTTGAGCAACCTTAAATAATTTTATGGTAACATGGCATAGTTTAGTATTCAAATATTACCCAAGATTGAATTCTAATACAAGTTCAGGAAAATTTAATATTTATCTTCTGGTAAAATATTAATATTCCTTTGAGGATAGTTTATATGTCTTCTATATGATTTTCATTTCTCAGCATCAGAGGTAAAAAATATTTTTCACATAATTGGGTTTAGGTTCCTCAAATATTTAGGGATAAAGCACTCATTTTATGTATGTATTTATTCATTTTTAAATTTTTTAGATGGAGTCTCACTCTGTTGCCCAGGCTGGAGTGCAGTGGCGCGATCTTGGCTTACTGCAACCTCTGCCTCCTGGGTTCAAGAGATTCTCATGTCTCAGCCTCCCTAGTAGCTGGGATTATAGGCACATGTCACCACGCCTGGCTAATTTTTGTATTTTTAGTAGAGATGGGGTTTCACCATGTGGTCCAGGCTGGTGTCAAACTCCTAACCTCAAGTGATTCACCTGCCTCAGCCTCCCAAAATGCTGGGATTACAGGCGTGAGCCACTTGGCCCGGCCAGGCACTCATTTTAAATTATGCATACTTGCAAATAAACTGCTCCAGGCTTTCATGATATTTTATTCCATTTATAGAAATATGTGTGTATGTGTAGGTATATATCTGTGTGTGTATGTGTAACAAAAACAGCTATCCTTTTCAGCATTACTTCAGGCATTACTTTTATGCCATATTCCAAATTGAACCAAAGAAATAAGATATTACTTAAAATAACAAAATGTAGATAATTCCTGTTCTGATTTCATGCTTACTACTGATCTAGTTTTTATTTTTAAAAGAATAGTGGTTTATTAGAGAGTAGAAAGATCAATATTTCTAAATTAATAGACTCGTGATTTTAAATATGTATGTTAAACTTTAAAATTAAATTTTACAACATTTTAAATATATATCAAAATAAACATAAGCAGGAAAAATAATACTTTAATTTTCACTGCTACTTTATTTTGATGGTTTTAACAGCAGTAAATTAAATATATTTATGTGTGATTTTAAATATAAGTATGTAACTAAGTAAATTCAATATTATAAGCAGGGAAAATAATACTTTAATATTATACTCTGCTTTTTTCTAATGATTACAACAATAGTTTTTGCCAATATTTTAAAAATCATTCTTACTGTCTTTAAATGGCATAAATGGCATTCAGTAGTTCTCTACTCATTCTAAAAAGGAAAAAAAATTGTATAAAAATTTTCCTTGGCTATAAAAAATTCTTTGTAGGTACTGGTAATTCCCTGTGTCTAACATAAGGAAGAGCCATGGGCCATGACTCAGCCACTCAGCTCCCTGCCCTTGGGCAATTTATTTAACTGTATGGTACTTAACGGCTTCCCACTTCTGAATTAGGGCTTGCTGGAAAGATACAGGCAGGAATAAAGAAATTAAAGTTGAAAGGAGTGTGGATGAGTAGAGGAAAAGGAGTAGACAGCTACATATTCATTTACATGTGCTGGAAAACCAGTATTTAGCTAAAATCTTTTATAAAACTAATGTGATATGACCTGAGCAGAGCCAAAATTTAACTGTTCAGATACATAGTATTCACTCACCTTTTCACTTTTATCGGGGGAACCAGCCCCCAATATTTCAACATACATTCTATTTTCCCTAAGTGTCAGCTGGTCTGAGAAATAAAGAGAAAGAGTACAAACAGAGAAATTTTACAGCTGGGCCTCCAGGGGTGTCATCACATATTGGTAGGACCATGATGGCGACCCCGAGCCGCAAAATCAGCAAGTTTTTATTAGGGATTTTAAAAAGGGGAGGGGGTGTACGAACAGGGAGTAGGTCACAAGGATCACATGCTTCAAAGGGCAGTAAAGATCACAGGCAAAGGCAAAATTAGAATTACTGATGAGGGTCTATGTCCCGCTGTACATGCATTGTCTTGATAAACATCTTAACAGGAAACAGGGTTCGAGAGCAGAGAATGGTCTGACTAGAATTTACCAGGCTGGAATTTCCCAATCCTAGTAAACCTGAGGGTACTGCAGGACACCAGGGCATATTTCAGTCCTTATCTCAACTGCATAAGACAGACACTCCCAGAGCAGCTGTCTGTAGACCTACCCCCAGGAATGTATTCCTTCCCCAGGGTTATTCCTTCCTGGGAAAAGAATTCAGCGATATTTCTCCTACTCGCTTTCTGCAAGAGGAGAAATATGGCTCTATTCTGCCCGACCCTGCAGGCAGTCAGACCTTATGGTTATCTTCCCTTGTTCCCTGAAAATCGCTGTTGTTCTGTTCTTTTTCAGGGTGCACTGATTTCATATTGTGCAAACACACATTTTACAATCCATTTGTACAACAGTGGTCCTGAGGTGACATACATTCTCAGCTTACGAAGATAACGTGATTAAGAGATTAAAGTAAAGACAGGCATAAGAAATTATAAGAGTATTGATTGGAGAAGTGATAAACGTCCATGAAATATTCACAATTTATGTTCAGAGATTGCAGTAAAGGCAGGTGTAAGAAATTATAAAAGTATTAATTTTGGGAACTGATAAATGTCCATGAAATCTTCACAATTTATGTTCTTCGCCTTGGCTCCAGCCGGTCCCTCCATTCAGGGTCCCTGACTTCCCGTAACACACTTTCTAATTGATTTGCATCTAATACAGATGTACATACACAATCTTACTGTACTCTCTGGAGATCAGGAAATATGATGAAAGAGTGTTAAAGACTTACATTTCAAAAGACTAGGCAGTCAAAAGGATATTTTTATTTTAAAAAGGAAAAAAAGTAACAACAACAAAAGACTAGGCAGAATCAGTACAAGGAGTTCTTTGAGGGTGGGGTAGAAGGAATACTGATTTCATATGACTTAAATTAGAGTTTCCTTGAATCTCAGCCCTCTTCAGTCTGCCTCTCTTCTAGACTCAAAAAGCTATGTATTTGCCTTTTGGAATGTGTAGTTTGAAACTTGTAGAGTACTGCTTTCAGCCTTGTCAAAGGCAACAAGTGATTAAGAAAAGCAGTGTACCACCTGGCGGCAGTAGGCAACTATGTGATTAAAGATGTGTAACCATAGCAGCTGTTGGCTCAGAGAAAAACTTAGTCATTTCTTACTAGCTCTCATCTTCCTCCCTCCTTACTTTCTGTTCCACTTCTTCCTTCTTTATTCTTCCTTCTTCTTCTTTCTTCATCTCCTCCTTCTCCTCCTTCACCTTTTTCCTCTCCTCCTCCTCGTTTTTTTTTGTTTGTTTGTTTTTTGTTTTTTGACAGATTCTTGCTCTATTGCTCAGGCTGGAGTGCAGTAGCGCAATCACAGCTCACTGCAGTCTTGAACTCCTAGGCTTGGGTGACCCTCCAACCTCAGCCTCCTGAGTAGCTGGGACTACAGGCATGCACCACCACAACCAACTAATATTTTTTTTATTTGTAGAGAACAAGGTCTCTATGTTGCCCAGGCTGGTCTTGAATTCCTGGGCTCAAGGGATCCTCCTGCCTCAGCCTCCCACAGTGCTGGGATTATAGGCATGAGCCACCATGCCCAGCTTCACTTCTTTATCTCACTTCCTCTTTTCTCTCTCTCTCTTTCTTTGACATGGTCTCATTTGTCTTATCCTTTGTAAATTTTTCAAGACGTTTCTTTTTTTTTTTTTTTTTTTGAGATGGAGTCTTGCTCTGTCGCCGAGGCTGGAGTGCACTGGCACGATCTCGGCTTACTGCATTCTCCTGCCTCAGCCTCCTGTTCCCGCCACCACACCCTGCTAATTTTTTGTATTTTTAATAGAGACAGGGTTTCACCATGTTAGCCAGGATGGTCTCGATCTCCTGACCTCGTGATCCGCCTGCCTCGGCCTCCCAAAGTGCTGGGATTACGGGCGTGAGCCACTGCTCCCGGCTGACTTTTTTTTTTTTTTTAAGAGACTGGATCTCACTGTTGGCCAAGCTGGTCTCAAACTCCTGGACTGAAGTGATTCTACCCATCAGCCTCCCAAGTAGCTGGGACTATAGGTGTGCGCCATTGCATCCAGCTCTAATTCTTCAGGTCTTTCTGGTTTTTCTCCACTCCCCTCTCTCTGCAAATGCCATTATTAAATGTAGCCCCCACCAAAAGGCAAAGAACTAAATAAGATAAAAGCAAAACAGTTTATTCTAGTAACTTATAAATGTTACATTTTAAATTATATGAATTGTCTAAGTCTGTAGCTTGTCTTTAACTCTGCCACTATGGTACTTTACGTACTTAGGAACTTTAAACATCTTTTGAATGATTATTGGGATGAAATATTGGGCTTTTAGAGTCTAGAATCCAAAGCAAAGCAGTTATGCAGCTATGGAAGCGATATAGTTGTTCATTGATTTCTTGATTACTCAAGATGAAGGAGTTCATTATTATACGCAGACTTTCATTTAAATATATAAAATATATATATATTTTTAAAAAACATGAGCCTGGCCAACATGGTGAAACCACATTTCTACTAAAAATACAAAAATTAGCTGGGCTTGGTGGTGCACGTCTGGAATCCCAGCTACTAAGGGGGCTGAGACAGGAGAATCACTTGAACCTGGGAGGTGGAGGTTGCAGTGAGCAGAGATCGTGCCACTGCACTCCAGCCTGGGCGACAGAGTGAGACTGCATCTCAAAAATAGAAATAAAAAGTAAGAAAGTAGCCTTCTGGTGGCTTAGTTCTTACCATAGCTTAAAATGAAAGAGGCTCCTAGGTGAAGGTGAGTTGCTGATGTGGAAAAAAACAGGATTTTTTACTCTATTTAAAAACAAAACAATGACAACATATTAGCTAAAGCACTCATTTAGATTGTTTTAAAATTACAAAATAATACATGGTCATTATAAAATGAGTGCAAATAATACAGATTCTGGAGGAATCTTTAGGAAGGCTACCTATCAGGTACTATGCTCATGACCTGGGTGATGGGATTATTATTCTTTTGAAGGCTGCCTATTTGTATCTTTTTCCTGTTTTTTAGTGAGGTTATTTGGTTTTTGTTAAATTGTTTAAGTTTATTATAGATTCCGGATATTAGACCTTTATTGAACGCAAGTTTGTGAATATTTTTCTCACATTCTGTAGGTTGTCTCAACCTGTTGATACTTTGTTTTTTTTCTGTGCAGAAGCTCTTTAGTTTAATTAGGTCCCACTTGTCTCTTTTCTTTATGTTGCAGTTGTTTCTGGGGACTTACTTATAAATTCTTTGCCAAGTGTATTAGTTTGCACGCTGCTGATAAAGACATACCCAATACTGGGCAAACAAAAGAAAGAGGTTTAATGGACTTAACAGTCCACGTGGCTGGGAAGGCCCCACAATCATGGCGGAAGGTGAAAGGCACATCTCATATGGTGACAAACAAGAGAAGAGAGCCTGTGCAGGGAAACTCCCCTTTTTAAAACCATCAGATCTCATGAGACTTATTCACTATCACACGAACAACATGGGAAAGACCTGCCCCCATGATTCAACTACCTCCCACCAGGTCCCTCCCAAAACACGTGGGAATTCAAGATGAGATTTGGGTGGGGACACAGCTAAACCATATCACCAAGGCTGAACCCAGAATTTCCTAGGTTTTTCTTCTGGGGTTTTTATTGTTTTAGGTATTACATTAAAGCCTTTAATCCATCTTGAGTTAATTTTTGTTTATGGTGAAAGGAATGGGTCCAATTTCAATCTTCTGCATATGGCTAGCCATCTATCCTAACACCATTTATTGAATAGGGAGTCCTTTTTCTTTTGTCTGTTATTGTTGACTTTGCCAAAGATCAGGTGGTTATAGGTGTGTGGCTTTATTTCTGCATTCTCTATGCTATTCCATTGGTCTATGTGTCTGTTTTTATACCAGCATACCAGTACCGTGCTGTTTTGGTTACTATAGCCTTGTGGTATATTTTGAAGTTGGGTAATGTGATGCTTCCAGCTTTGCTTTTTTTGCTTAAGATTGCTTTGGTGATTCATGCTCTTTTTTGGTTCCGTATATGAATTTTAGAATAATTTTTCTAATTCTGTCAAAAATGGTTTTGGTAGTTTTATAGGAATAGCATGGAATCTGTGAATTACTTTGGACAGTACAGCCATTTTAACAATATTGATTCTTCCTATACATGAGCATGGAATGTTTTTCCATTTGTTTATGTCATCTCTGATTTCTTTCAGCAGTGTTTTGTAATTCTCATTGTAGAAATCTTTTACCTCCTTGGTAAGCTGTATTCCTAGGTTTCTGTGTGTGTGGTTGTGTGGCTATTATAAATGAGATTGTGTTCTTGATTTGGCTCTCAGCTTGGATGTTATTGGTGTATAGAAATGTTACTGAGTTTTATACATTAATTTTCTATCTTGAAACTTTGCTGAAGTTATTTATTAGTTCTAGGAGGCTTCTGGCAGAGTCTGTGGGGTTTTTGAGGTATAATATTATATTGTCTGCAAAGAGAGATGGTTGACTTCCTCTGTTTCTATTTGGATGCCTTTTATTTCTTTCTGTTGCCTGATTGTTCTGGTTAGGATTTCCAATACTGTGTTGAATAGTAGTAGTGAGAATGGGCATCCTTGTTTTGTTCCAGTTCTCAAGGGGAATGCTTCTAGCTTTTGCCCATTCAGTATGGTGTTGGCTGTGGGTTTGTCATAGATGGCTCTTATTATTTTGAGGTATCTTCCTTTGATACCTAATTTATTGAAGGTTTTTAACATGAAGTGATGTTGAATTTTATCGAAAGCCTTTTCTGTATCTATTGAGATGATCATGTGGTTTTTGTAAGTCTGTTTATGTGGTGAATAACATTTATTAATTTGCATATATTGAACCAATCTTGCATCCCAGGAATAAAAGCCCACCTGATTGTGGTGAATAACTTGTTGATGTGCTAGTGTTGTCCTTATAGCTTCTGATACTTTTTTCATTGAGGTTCTGTAGATAGTAAATTTTCTGAGTTATTTATATGTAAAGATGCCTTTATTATCCCTCATACTTAGTTAACCCCTTGCCTACTTATGCAATTCTTGGTTCAAAATAACTTCCTTCAGAATTTAGAAGGTTTTGGTGTGTTCTTTTCTGTCTTCCAGGATTATTGATGAAATGCTTGATACCAACTTGATTCTTCTACCTTTGTAGGTAACCAGTTATTTCTCTCTAGAAACTTTTGTGGTCTTTTGTATATCCTTAGTGGTTAGATGTTGAGTTTTGTTTTGTTTTGTTTTTTTTTTTAATTCCTTGTGCCTGCCACTCAGAAGACCCTTTCAGTTTGAAAAAAACAGATAAATTTTCATCTATTATTTTTGCAATTTTTTTCTCCTGTTTTGTCTCCATTCTTTTATGAGAGTCCTGTTAGAAACATGTTGGAGCCAGGCATGGTGGCTCACGCCTGTAATCCCAGCACTTTGGGAGGACGACGCAGGTGGATTGCCTGAGGTCAGGAGTTCGAGACCAGCCTGGCCAACATGGTAAAACCCGATTTCTACTAAAAATGCAAAAATTAGCTGGGCGTGGTGGCAGGCACCTGTAATCTCAGCTACTCTGCAGGCTGAGGCAGGAGAATCACTTGAACCCGGGAGATGGAGGTTGCGGTGAGCCAAGATCGTGACACTGCACTCCAGCCTGGGCAACAGAGCAAGGCTCCATCTTTTTTTTTTTTTTCTTTTTTTGAGATGGAGTCTCGCTCTGTCACCCAGGTTGGAGTGGAGTGTCCCTGCAATCTCAGCTGACTGCAACCTCTGCCTCCTGGAGTCAAGTGATTCTCCTGCCTCAGTCTCCCAAGTAGCTGGGATTACAGGCACTTGCCACCACATCTGGCTAATTTTTGTATTTTTAGTAGAGACGGGGTTGTGCCATGTTGGCCAGGCTGGTCTTGAATTCCTGGCCTCAGGTGATCTCCCTGCCTTGGCCTCCCAAAGTGCTGGGATTACAGGTGTGAGGCACCACACCCTACCAAGACTCTGTCTCAAAAAAAAGAAAAAGAAAAAAAAAAGAAAGATGTTGGAACTACTAGATTAATACTTTGTTTGTTTGTTTGAGACAGAGTCTCGCTCTGTCACCCACGCTGGAGTACAGTGGCGTGATCTGGGCTCACGACAAGCCCTGTCTCCTGAGTTCAAGTGATTCTTCTGCCTCAGCCTCCCGAGTAGCTGGGACTACAGGTAGGTGCCACCACGCCTGGCTAATTTTCATATTTTTAGTAGAGACAGTGTTTCGCCATGTTGGCCAGGCTGGTCTCAAATTCCTGACCTCAGGTGATCCACCTGCCTCACCTCCCAAAGTGCTGGGATAACAGGTATGAGCCACCACCACCACACCCGGCCATATTATCTACACCTTTTAACTCTTCTCTTATAATTTATCTCTCTGAATTTTTGTTGTTCACCACTTGTTTGACATTTGACCTTATTCTTCTAGTCTTCACCTTCATTATTTGGTCATTGTAGAAATTAATTCAAATAAGCCGGGCACGGTGGCTCACACCTGTAATCCCAGCACTTTGGGAGGCTGAGGTGGGCGGATCATGAGGTCAGGAGTTCGAGACCAGCCTGGCCAATATGGTGAAACCCCATCTCTACTATAAATACAAAAATTAGCTGGGCATGGTGGCCGCGTGGCTGTAGTCCCAGCTACACAGGAGGCTGAGGCAGGAGAATCACTTGAACCCAGGAGGTGGAGGTTGCAGTGAGCCGAGATCGCGCCACTGTACTCTAGCCAGGGCAACAGAGTGAGATGCTGTCTCAAAAAAAAAAAAAAATTAATCCAAATAATACAGATTCTGTTAAATTAAAATACATATTGTAAACCATAGAGAAACTACCAAATAAAAAGAGAAGTATAGCTAATAAGAGGGATAAAATAGAATGAAAAACACCCAATTAATCTAAAAAAAAGATAGAAAAGAATTTTAAAAAGAATAAAGAGATAACAGATGGAAAGCAAATGGCTTTTTATCATAATTTCCAAGATCTTTTTATTATCCAGCTAATTCTTTTCTCTTAAAAACATAATTTTTTATATATTTGGAAGTATTCTATTTTTCTGGCATGTAAATTAGAATGTGTATGTATATTTTAATTTTTAAACAATTTTATTGAGGTACATTTTACATATAAAATTTACTTATTTCAGGCTGGGCAGAGACAGCAGTCTCTACTGAAAATAGCAAAAATAGCCTGGTGTGGTGGTACGTGCCTGTGGTCTCAGCTACTTGGGAGGCTGAGGCTGACGATCGCTTGAGCCTGGGAAGCAGAGGTTGCAGTGAGCTAAGATCATGCCACTGCACTTCAGCCTGGGTAACAGAGCAAGACCCTGTCTCGATTTAAAAAAAAAAAAAACAAAAAAAAACCAAACAAACAAAAAACCATTTCAATTGTAGAATTCACTGATTTTTTAATACTTTACCTAGTGATGAAACTATCCCCATGATATAATTTTTTTAAATTATTCTTTTTATAACATCTGTTTCCTTCAAGATCAGTTGTTCTATTTGTTCGTCTCTACTTTCCCTGCCTCTTTTTGTTTTTTTAGAAAATATGAGGCTCAGCCGGGCACAGTGGCTCATGCCTGTAACCCCAGCACTTTGGGAAGCTGAGGCAGGCGGATCACCTGAGGTCAGGGGTTCGAGACCAGCCTGGCCAACGTGGTGAAACCCTGTCTGTACTAAAAATACAAAACTTAGCCAGGTGTGGTGGCACATGCCTGTAGTTCCAGCTACTCGGGAGGCTGAGGCAGGAAAATTGCTTGAACCTGGGAAGCAGAGGTTGCAGTGAGCCAAGATCGCACCACTGCACTCCAGCCTGGGCAACAGAGCAAGACTCCATCTCAAAAAAAAAAGAAAAAAAAGAACCAAAATAACAACTTCTGCCTCTGCTGCAGCCATCTCCTATGTCTGTTCTCAAATATTGTTCTAGCTCTTCAATGGAAAAACTTTAAACTCATCTTAGTAATAAGGTTTATTCAGTAAATTTATGTTTAGCTCCTTGTTAAAAATTATACGTGAGAGCCGGGCGCAGTGGTTCACGCCTGTAATCCCAGCACTTTGGGAGACCAAGGCGGGTGGATCACCTGAGGTCAGGAGTTCGAGACCAGCCTGGGCAACATGGCGAAACCTCGTCTCTACTAAAAATACAAAAATTAGCTGGTTGTGGTGGTGTGTGCCTGTAATCCCAGCTACTCGAGAGGCTGAGGCAGGAGAATCACTTGAGCCCGGAGGTGGAGGTTGCAGTGAGCTGAGATTGCGCCATTGCACTCCAGCCTGGGCGACAGAATGAGACTCCGTCTCAAAAAACAAAACAAAACAAAACAAAAATTATACATGAGGCCAGGCGCAGTGGCTCACACCTGTAATCCCAGCACTTTGGGAGGCCAAGGCGGGTGGATCACTTGAGGTCAGGGGTTCAAGACCAGCCTGGCCAACATGGCGAAACCTGTCGCTACTAAAAATACAAAAAATTAGTTGGGCATGGTGGCACACGCCTGTAATCCCAGCTACTTGGGAGGATGAGGCAGGAGAATCACTTGAACCTGGGAGGTGGAGGTTGCAGTGAGCTGTGATCATACCACTGCACTCCGGCTTTTGCAACCAGTGAGACTCTGTCTCAAAAAAAAATTGTACATATCCAAAACATGTTGAAACTTTGGTATAAAGTCTGTTTGTTGTTTCCTGCCCTATTTGTGCTATCATCAGCTGATTTCCTATTACTTAGATTCATAGGTAGCTGGAATTGAGAAAGGCCTATAGAGGTCATCTAGTTTATTATTCCTTTAAATGCTGTTGCTATTGCCATCATGCCAGTAAAGGAATGAAAAGCAAATCAACTTGTATGCATTTTTCTTTCTTTTTCTTTTTTTAAGAGACAGGGTCTCACTCTGTCACCTAGGGTGGAATACAGTGGCCTGATCACAGCTCACTGCAGCCTTAAATTTCTGGGCTCCAGTGATCCTCTTGCATTGGCCTCCTGAGTAGCTGGGACTACAGGAATGTTCCAGCACATCCAGCTAATATTTTTTATTTTCAGTTTTGCAGAGATAAGGTCTTGAACTCTTAGCCTCAAGAGATCCTCCCACCTTGGCCTCCCAAAGCACTAGGATTATAGACATGAGCCACTGAGGCGGACCTCCTGTGTGCATTTTCTACCTCATGAGATTTTAGAAGCGGGAAATGGGAAGCCATGAAGATCCAAGAGGATACTTCCCTTATCTCATCTTCTTCCCTGTTGCACAGTCTCTTGTCTCTGCTTTATGCCCTATGTCTATGTCATGGGCAGTCTGGCCTCCTCATTTCTCATACAGCTAACAAAACATAGCTACCACAGCCCCACAGAGCTTTCATATCCAAAAGCTCAACAGAATCTAACTATAGTCTGTCCCAATTCCATATTACCAAAAGAGCAAATCTCATTGCCCTAATTTGGCTTATGCTTGACCCAGTCAGCTGTGGCAGAGGAGTCACATGGCCTGTACCCATTCATCATGGGACACTGGGGAAGACTGTTAGAAGATAGTCGAATTTGAGCAGAGACACTGATTACTGAAATTAATTAGGTGGGTAGTTAGTTAATACTCCAATAAAAAATTCCTATTAAAGCTATTATCCAATAATGAAGTCACTACATGCATTGCTATGGAACAAAAGGAAAGTACAAATAATAGCAGAGATGTCCAGCTTTCTACTGAAAAAATTCTTAAGTGTTTTCATCTCCCCAAAATCTTTAAAATATCAGGAAACTCGACAATGCTGAGAACGCAAAATGAAGCAAAGGTGTTAGTTAACAGTGCCAGTTCTCGTTATGAGATTGAAAATTAAGAGTTCCCATGAGCACAACACAGAAATAATTCTTAAACCATTCTAAATTTATCTGTCTTTGTTCTATTCAGCAATTTATTGACAGTGGATAAGGGGTAATATTACCCCTTCTGTCCACGCAAAGTTTTCAGCTCAGAATTGAGGTTTTATGTTGCCTAAGAATCCAGTCACCTCAGGTCAAACCTTCAGCTGACAGAGTACAGTCTTTTACTATGATAGTAGTTCTAAAATACGAACTGCTAAGGAAATTAAAATGAGAAATCAGTTTGGGAAGATGAAAATGTTTTTAAGATAGATGATAGTGATGGTTGCACAACAGTGTTACTGTACTTAATGCCACTGAATCATACACTTAAAAATGGTTAAAACGGACACGTGTGGTGACTCATGTCCATAATCACAGTTATTTGGGAGGCCATGGCGGGAGGATCACTTCAACCCAGGAGTTCAAGACCATTCGGGGCAACATAAGGAGACTGTCTCCAGAAAATTAAAAGAAATTAGTTGTTCAAGACCAGCCTGACTAACATGGAGAAGCTGCATCTCTACTTAAAATACAAAATTAGCCGGGCATGGTGGCACATGCCTGTAATCCCAGCTACTTGGGAGGCTGAGGCAGGAGAATCACCTGAACCTGGGAGGTGGAAGTTGCAGTGAGCCAAGATCATGCCATTGCACTCCAGCCTGGGCAACAAGAGCAAAACTCCATCTCTCAAAGAAAAAAGAAATAAAGAAATTAGCCAGGCGTGATAGCACATGCCTGTAGTCCCAGCTGCTTGGGAGGCTGAGGTGGGAGGACTGCTTGAGCCCAGCAGGTCAGGGCTGCAGTGAGCTGTAATTGTGTCACCGCACAATTGTGTCACCCAATTATGGGCTAAAGTGAGACCTTGTCTCTAAAAAAAAAAAAAAAAAAAAGGTTAAAATGTATATTCCACCAGAGTAAAACAAAGAGAAGTCATATAGGTTAAAAGAAAAAACATAAAACATTAAATAAGGACCAAAATACTACAATAAGAAAAAAACAAAGGCCAGGTGCAATGACTCATGCCTGTAATCCCAGCACTTTGGGAGGCTAAGGCGGGAGGATCACTTGAGTCTAGGAGTTTGAGACCAGCCTGGGCAACATAGCGAGACCCCATGTCTAAAAAAAATGAAAAATTAGCTGGGCTTGGTAGCAGATATCTGTAATCCCAGCTACTTGGGAGGCTGAAGTGGGAGGATCACTTGAGCCCAGGAAGTTAAGGCTGCAGTGAGCTGTGATCATGCCACGGCACTCCATCCTGGGCAACAGTAAGACCCTGTCTCCAAAAAAAAAAAAAAAATAGACAAATAGAGAAAACTATCTGTGCGTTTGTGTTTTTTGTTTTCTGGCATGGATTGACTTTACTTGTAAGTATCAACATCTTAATGAATCAGATTCTATCATATACTAAAAGTTTTAAAAAAAGACAACATAAACTCTTATTGATATATCAACAGCTTGTACAGCCAAGCATTTCTTTTGCAAAGAGAAAAAGTCGGAGCTATATCTAAAGAGTTATTTCTTTTGGCTAGGCATGGTGGCTCACACCTGTAATCCCAGCACTTTGGGAGGCTGAGGCGGGTGGATCACAAGGTCAGGAGTTCAAGACCAGTCTGGTCAACGTGGTGAAACGCCATCTCTACTAAAAATACAAAAATTAACCAGGCGCAGTGGTGTGGGCCTGTACTCCTAGCTACTCAGGAGGCTGAGGCAGGAGAAGCACTTGAACCTGGGAGGCGGTGGTTGCAGTGAGCTGAAATCATGCCACCGCCCTCTAGCCTGGGCAACAGAGTGAGACTCCGTTCCTTTTTTTTTTTTTTTTTTTTTTTTTTTTGAGACGGAGTCTCGCTCTGTCACCCAGGCTGGAGTGCAGTGGCACAATCTCGGCTCACTGCAACCTCTGCCTCCCGGGTTTAAGCGCTTCTCCTGCCTCAGCCTCCTGAGTAGCTGGAATTACGGGCATGTGCCACCATGCCCGGCTAATTTTATTTATATTTTTAGTAGCGACGGGGTTTCTCCATGTTGATTAGGCTGGTCTCGAACTCTCAACCTCAGGTGATCCACCCATATTGGCCTCCCAAAGTGCTGGGATTGCAGGCGTGAGCCACCGCGCCTGGCCAATAGTTACTTCTTTTAAGACTTACTCATATATAGTGGTGTCTCTACAAGATAAGAAAATTTCTTTATGTATTTATTAAGTTATGATATTGAACAAGGTAAAGAATAGGGACAATAAATTCTGTTTGTGTTGTATTGAATATTTTAATATCCTAACAGAAAGCAGATTTACAATATCTTTGTAGCGTTTGGACAACTTAATTTAGTTAATTACAATTTGAATGTTAAAATTTCGACTGATCTTTTCTGTCAGATAATTTAAATGTAAAAGTTTTAAGAACTGAAAGTTTTTATTGAAAGTCCTTTAAAGAGAATTTTATTGATAAGTCTATGCTTTTAAAAATAGGTTCCAATTTATTGTGCCTAAAGAATGGAACAGCAAATATAGACCTGTATGCATTCATCTTGCTGGAACAGGAGATCATGTAAGACTTTATTATAATGCCTTAATCTCTAGATAATTTGTTAACATATTCTCCTTAACAGAAGTGGCTACTATATTCTTTTGAGTATGTGTTCTTTTCTTTCCTTAGCATTACTGGAGGCGACGAACACTAATGGCCCGTCCTATGATTAAAGAAGCCCGAATGGCTTCTTTATTGTTAGAAAACCCTTATTATATCCTTTTGTGATATCTAAGAAATCTTTTGCCTTGTTTATTTATTGATATATTTAGTCATCAAAAGGAATGATAGTAACCAAGTTTTCTAAACCAGTTAAATTTAGTCATCAGTTCAGAAAATACTTAAGGAGCAAGAATCAAAAGGAGTGAAAGACTATTTCATGCTTTTTAAAAATTAACATAAGGATTGTACTTCTATTGTGCAGTAAAGAAATTGTACTTCCATTTCTTGGGAGACTTATGCTAGATTTTAATATTAGTAAGTCAAATGTTTGCTATTAAGGAAACAATCATGTTTTAAATGCATTTACAGTATCAGTTGAGGTTTAGACAGTTCTTAACTTAATTTTCAAGATGACGTCAGACTATTCACAGAAGAAGAAATGAAACTGGTGCACAGATATAAAGAAATGTTCAACGTTGCTGGTAATAAATGTAGAGTTAAAACAACAATGATCAAATATTTTAAAAAAAACAGTACTGGTGAGGCTGCTTTGAAATGGGCACTCTTGTTACTAATGACTGAAAATTAGTTCAACCGTTTGAGAAAACATATTTTACCATATGTATCAGGAGCTTTGAAACATCATATCCCTTGACAAAATGATTTTGATTCTGGGAAATTTATTCTAAGGATAAAAACTAAGAAAAAATTAAATAACAAAAACATGTTTGTATAGCTTTAGTAAACATGTCAGTAAAGCATTAGAAATAGCTAAATGTCTAAAATAGAAATAGTTATGTAAACTGTGATTCATAATATTGGAATTTTATGCAATTGGTTGTATTCCATTTATTTCTCTACCTGTGTTATATTTATTTCTCTACCACTTACCACTTTTGTGACCTTGGACATGTTACATAACCTTTAGTACCTCAATTTTCTCATTGATAAATGGGAATAATCTCTTAGGTTATTGAGATTATTAAATGATTAATACTGTCTAGAACAGTGCCTGATAAATAATAAGCATTCAGTAAGTTTTAACTGTTATTATTAAAAAGTTTACAATAATGTATGACCAGTATTTCTGATGTGAATGTAGGATATAGGCCAGGTGCAGTGGCTCACGCCTGTAATCCCAGGACTTTGGGAGGCCGAGGTGGGCAGATGATCTGAGGTCAGGAGTTCGAGACCAGCCTGGCCAACATGGTGAAACCCTGTCTCTGCTAAAAATATAAAATTAGCCTGGCATGCTGGCATATGCCTATAATCCCAACTACTCAGGAGGCTGAGGCAGGAGAATCACTTGAACCCAGGAGACAGGTTGCAGTGAGCCAAGATCACACCATGGCATTCCAGCCTGGGCAAAAAGAGTGAAACTGTGTCAAAAAAAAAAAAGAAAGAAAAGGAAATAGGATATAAAACTCTATGGTGTGGCACAGGTATGCAAAAAAAAACTAAAAACAAAATCCAAAGCAAAAACTGTGCATTGGCCTGGCACGGTGGCTCACGCCCTGTAATCCCAACACTTTGGGAGGCCAAGGCAGGAGGATCACCTGAGGTCAGGAGTTCGAGACCAGCCTGGCCAACATGGCAAAACCCCTATCTCTACTAAAAATACAAAAATTAGCCAGGCGTGGTGGCGTGTGCCTGTAATCCCAGCTACTTGGGAGGCTGAGGCAGGAGAATCCCTTGAACCCAAGAGGCAGAAGTTGCAGTGAGCCGCCTGCACTCCAGCCTGGGCGACGGAGCAAGACTGCGCCTCAAAAAAAAAAAAAAAAAACCGTGGATAAAGAGAAATACACCAAAATGTTAATATGGTTGTCTGTAGATAAAGTAGTTGTTCTTTAATCTGATTTTTTGTACTTTTTGGATTTTCTATAATAAAAATTTTATGAACGAAATAAAAAATAAACTTCATTTTAAATTTAAATTGAAGAGTGTACAACCCTGTTAATTTACTGAAAACATTAATAAGTATACTTTATTGGCTGAATTATGTGATATATGATTTTTTTTTTTTTTTTGAGACGGACTCTCGCTGTCGCCCCAGGCTGGAGTGCAGTGGCACAATCTTGGCTCACTGCAGGCTCCGCCCCCCAGGGTTCACACCATTCTCCTGCCTCAGCCTCCCGCGTAGCTGACACTACAGGCGCCCGCCACCTCGCCCAGCTAATTTTTTGTATTTTTAGTAGTGATGGGGTTTCACCATGTTAGCCAGGATGGTCTCGATCTCCTGACCTCGTGATCCGCCCGCCTTGGCCTCCCAAAGTGCTGGGATTACAGGCGTGAGCCACCGCGCCCGGCCTATGTGATATATGATTATATCAGTAAAGCTGGTTTTTTTTTTTTTTTTAAAAAAAAGGAAAATAATTAAGTTGAAAACTTAAGAACTTCTAAACAGCCTACTTAAGATAATTAGAATGGAGTTATTTCAGTATTAAATTGTGTAAAATTTAACTATTTAATGTACTCTCAGACAAACAAAATTATTTAATTATTTTAAAACTTTCTCTTTGACCCACATTCTTAAATGGCTGCAGGAAACCCAAGGACCAAGTGTAAGTATATATCACTTTCATTTTTGCAGTCTTTTTACCCAATATCCAGCAGTATTAAAATTTTGGTTGCCTTCAGTTAACCATTTCTAAATTGAATACCTAAATATTATGGGGGGGGGGAGTTCTGTTATGAAACTGTAGTATGAATACTGACTTTAATTTTTATTTTTAAGATTTTTGCATTTTAATGTCTGTTAAGGAAATACAATAAAAAATTTTAACAGGTAGACTTAATATATAGTTTAGTTGTGAAACTGTAAATGAAGAAATGATAAAACCCTTTCTTTTTTTTTTTTTGAGACGCAGTCATTCTGTCACCCAGTCTGGAGTGCACTGGTGCGATCTCAGCTCACTGGAACCTCTGCCTCCTGGGTTCAAGCGATTCTCTGCCTCAGCCTCCCAAGTAGCTGGAATTACAGGCATGCACCACCACACCTGGCTAATTTTTGTATGTTTAGTAGAGATGGGCTTTCACCATGTTGGTCAGGCTGGTCTCAAACTCCTGACCTCAAGTGATCCACCCACCTTGGCCTCCCAAAGTGCTGGGATTATAGGCATGAGCCACTGTGCCCAGCCTACCTTTTCCTTTTTAAGGTACATTTACTTTGTGTAATTAGACACTTTATTCTTACAATGCATAGTATAGAAAATCTGAAGATAAACTTTCTCTTTTCAGTCTTTTAAAATGATAAACTCCAAGGCATTTCCATAATCTGTATTGTGTTTGGTTTGGTTCAGTCAATAAATATTTGACCCTAGACACTAGGAATACTGCAACAATAAGACAACATTTTCTCATAAAGTTCATATTCTAGTGTGGGAGATAGATAACAATAAATAAGGTGATTTCAGATATTTATCAATGACCAGTGAATGAAGTAAAGCAGGGCAATTGTATAAAGAGTAATATGGGATGCAGTGTAGTAACAGTATTATATATGAGAACATGATATAATGAGAAGGAGCCACCTGCATGAAGACTTGGAATAAGATCAGCCACAGAGAAGGAAAAGTAAATGAAAAGCCCAATGTAAGCGTCAGGAGGGGAGAGTAGTACAAGATGAGGTCAGAAAGATAGGCAAGGGCTGGCTGCAGTGGCTCACACATGTAATCCCAGCACTTTGGGAGGCCAAGGTGGGTGGATCACTTGGTGTCAGTAGTTCGAGACCAGCCTGACCAACATGGTAAAACCCTGTGTCTACTAAAAATACAAAAATTAGCCAGGCATGGTGGTATGCACCTGTAGTCCCAACTACTGGGGAGGCCGAGGCAGGAGAATCGCTTGAACCTAGGAGGCGGACGTTGCAGTGAGCGGATACCATGCTGCTGCATCCAGCCTAGACGACAGAGCAAGACTCCATCCCAAAAAAAAAAAAAAAAAAAAAAGACAAGGACCAGATGGTGAAAAGCCATCATGCTTTCAATGTGAATGATCTGAAAGTGCAATGGGAAGTGTCTAGAGGACTTTAAGCAGATGAGTGGCCTGATTTATATTTTTTAAAACCTACTTTGGCTACTTTGGTTTACTGGGACAAGAGTAGCAGCAGAGAAAACAAATAGGAAGCTATTGAAATGATGCAGGAAAGAGTAGTGACTTTAGTTTAACTAGGTAGTAGTGGAAATGGAGAGAAGTTTTCCTGAGTTCAAGATATAGTTAAGTTTAAATAATAGGACTTGTGTATGAATTGGATGGTGTGGGAGGGAAATCAAAAGTTCTGGGCCGGGCGCAGTGGCTCACGCCTGTAATCCCAGCACTTTGGGAGTCTGAGGCGGGCAGATCACAAGGTCAGGAGATTGAGACCATCCTGGCTAACACGCTGAAACCCCATCTCTACTAAAGATACAACAAAATCCGGGCGTGGTGGTGGGCACCTGTAGTCCCAGCTACTCAGGAGGCTGAGGCAGGAGAATGGCGTGAACCCAGGAGGCGGAGCTTACAGTGAGCCGAGATTGCGCCACTGCACTCCAGCCCGGGCGACAGAGCGAGACTCCGTCTCAAAAAAAAAAAAAAAGTTCTGACTTGGATGTGTCAAATTTGTAATTTCTGTTAAACCTGCAAGTGGAGAAATCAAGTAGGCAGTTGGAAAGTGCTGGAGATGTAGATTTGGAAGTCCCATGTTCTATGTGGTCATAGCATGAAAGAGGTATAGATGAAAGTAGGATGGGGTGGAGGCAAACCGGTATACTATGAAGAATGAAACTTGATAGTTTATAATGAACTTTGTGAAACCTTGTGAAAAATTAAAGGCCAAGCTAAGTAGTTGAAGAATTTCCACCTTTTTTTTTTTTTTTTTTTTTTTGAGATGGAGTTTCGCTCTTGTTGCCCAGGCTGGAGTGCAATGGCGTGATCTCTGCTCTCTGCAACCTCCGCCTTCTGGGTTCAAGCAATTCTCCTGCCTCAGCCTCCCGAGTAGCTGGGATTACAGGCATGCGCCACCACGCCCAGCTAATTTTGTATTTTTAGTAGAGACAGGGTTTCTCCATGTTGGTCAGGCTGGTCTCGAACTCCCGACCTCAGGTGATCCTCCCGCCTCAGCCCCCCAAAGTGCTGGGATTACAGGCAGCATCCACCGCGCCCAGCTGAAGAATTTCCACTTTGGAACCAAGCCCAGAATTCAGAATTAGGTATGTAATTTTTACCTTATCCATAAATTGGTTAAAAAGCAAGAAGAGTTTATTTAGGTCTAGTGAGAGGCAGCCTGGGTTTAATAGAAAGACTGACTTTGGAGTCATACAGGCATAGGTTGGAATTGTAACATTTGTTTACTGATTACCTCATTCATAAAATGGGAATACTATGTAATTTCTTCCATGTAGAAGTGTTGTGAGAATTATAATGTTTATAAAATATTCTATCACATACTGTATACTCAAGTCAAGAAATATAATAATGGCCCTATGTATTTGATTTTTCTCTAATAATTCATCATAAGAAATGGCTTACTGACTGGGTGCAGTGGCTTATACCTGTAATCCCAGCACTTTGGAAGGCTGAGATGGACAGATTGCATGAGTCCAGGAGTTCAAGACCAGCCTGTGCAACATGGCAAAACCCTGTCTCTACAAAATATACCCCCCGCCCCTAAAAAAAAAAATGGCCAGGTGCAGTGGCTCACGCCTGTAATCCCAGCACTTGGGAGGCCGAGGCAGGTGGATCACCTGAGGTGAGGAGTTCGAGACCAGCCTGGCCAACAGTGTAAAACCCTGTCTCTACTAAAAATACAGAAATTAGCTGGGCATGGTGGTGGGCACCTGTAATCCAACTACTCAGGATGCTGAGGCAGGAGAATCGCTTGAACCCAGGAGGCAGAGGTTGCAGTGAGCCAAGATCGCCCCATTGCACTCCAGCTTGAGTGACAAGCGCGAAACTCCATCTAAAAAAAAAAAAAAAAAAATTAGCCAGACATGATGGTGCACACCTGTAGTCCCAGGTACTCAGGAGGCTGAGGTGGGAGAATCACCTGAGCCTGGCAAGTCGAGGCTGTTGTGAGCCATGATCAAGCCACTTCACTCCAGCCTGGGCAATGAGAGTGAGACTCTGTCTCAAAAAAAAGAAAAAAGAAATGGTTTGCAATTTAAATCACAGATACTTCTCTGTCGCTCTCTCTTTTTAAAAAGCCATCTTAAGTCTGTTTTCATCAAAAGTGCTGAAACAATTTGAGACCGAGTCTACTATTATAAATAACTACTGTCCCAGAATTTCATATCAGTAACTTCTACTAAAAGAGCAATCTGGGGGACCTGAGAATTCAAGGCTCCCATACAAGGCTAAAAGAAAAAGTTGGGGAAATTGTGTAATCATAAATAGAAAAATGACTTGAGGATAGGAAACAAAGATAAGAATAATTTTTTTTTTTCTGATGAAGCATGACTATGATCTGTTTGGACGAAGGATAGCATAGTTTCCATAAAAAGAAACCCTCCCTTCTGGACTTAGAGCTCTGAGAGGACTTGGTAGGACAGTGGAAGTAAGCTCTTTGGGAGCCAAGATTTTGTTTTTCACACTTGGCATTCCTTCTGGCACCTGGTTCTTTGCACATATTATGTGTAGGCATATGATAAATAATCATTGGTAAAATGAATTTTTGTATACTTTGGCAAGGTTTCATTCAATAACCAGTTACATGTGTCTTAATACAAGTTACATTTTGAAAAGTAGATTCTAATTTGGTCATTTTAGTAATAATATATATTTATTTTGATCACTATATACGGATGGTTCTAGGACCCAAAAAGATATATTTAAATACTTTTTTTTTTTTTTTTTTTTGAGATGGAGCCTCACTCTGTCACCCAGGCTGGAGTGCAGTGGCGCAATCTCTGGCTCACTGCAACCTCCACCTCCCGGGCTCAAGTGATTCTCCTGCCTCAGCCTCCTGAGTAGCTGAGATTACAGGCGCGTGCCACCACGCCCAGCTAATTTTTGTATTTTTAGTAGAGACAGGGTTTTATCCTATTGGTCAGGCTGGTCTCTAACTCCTGACCTCATGATCTGCCCACCTTGGCCTCCCAAAGTATTGGGATTACAGGCGTGAGCCACTGTGCCCAGCTTAAATACTTTTTATAAGGAAATATACTTCTGTGTAAAATTAGCTTCTAAAAATGAAATTCCAGTTGGTCTTTATTTAAAACATGTATATTTATAAAAATGTATTTGTTTTATATTTTATTATATTCATAAATTATGTATTTTGTGAAAATAAGCAACATATTTGAGATTTCAGTAATACATGAGCCTAGTGTTTGGTTAAATTCTTTATTTATATTGCCTTTTTTAAAAGTTATGCTTTAAGACTGGGCGTGGTGGCTCACGCCTGTAATCCCAGCACTTTGGGAGGCTAAGGCAGGCAGATCACTTGAGCTCAGGAGTTCAAGACCAGTCTGGCCAACATGGTGAAACCCCGTCTCTGCTAAAAATACAAAAATTAGCCAGGCGTGGTGGCTCACGCCTGTAATTCCACCTACTCAGGAGACTGAGACAGGAGAATCGCTTGAACCCTGGAGGTGGAGGCAGCAGTGAGCCAAGATCCATGCCACTGCAACTCTAGCCTGGGCAACAGAGCAAGACTCCGTCTCAAAGAAAAATAAAAAGTTATGCTTTAAATTCTGTTATAATAATTTCAGTAAAGATTATGTGCTATAGAACAGGAACACTTTTTTTTGTTAAGTTTTAGGTGATTTGATATGTAATCCAATGTTAGCAGCTGTGTAATTCTATTTTTTTTTTCTCTTTTTGAGACAGGGTCTCATTCTGTTGCCCAGGCTGGAGTACAGTGGTGCAGTCTCAGCTCACTGCAGCCTCTGCCTCCCAGGTTCAAGCGATTTTCATGCCTCAGTTTTCCACGTAGCTGAGATCACAGGCATGCGCCACCATGCCCTGCTAATTTTTGTATTTTTAGTAAAGACAAGGTTTCACCATGTTGCCCAGGCTTGTCTTGAACTCCTGACCTCAAGCGATCCCCCTGCCTCAGCCTCCCAAAGTGCTGGGATTACAGGCGTAAGCCATCACGCCTGGCCCTAATTCCAATTTATTACATTGTTTTACTTAACTATCTGGTCCTTTAGAAGAGATGCATGAAGTCTGGCAGCCTGTTGTAAATTTGCATATATTAGCATGTAAATACATAAAATAATCATTTTCTATTTTGTTTTGTGAGGCTAGAAGGTCCAGCTTAAAAAATGTGTCCGACCTTTTTGTGATGGGAGGAGCTCTTGTTTTAGAATCTGCAGCTCTCTTGCACTGGCTAGAGAGGGAAGGTTACGGCCCTTTAGGAATGACTGGAATATCCATGGGAGGACACGTAAGCCTTTTTATTTCTGCTTACATTTAATTATGTTTATGTTTGTAAGATCTAGAGAACCTGGTTATTTTAAAAATTCACTTTAGGTATAGAATTAGTTTTAGTAAAAGTAGGAAGCAGAAACAGATTCCAAACTCTTACTCCAATTATGAAGTAATGATGTTAATTTTTTGTACGATTTATTGATTGTACTACTCCACAGTTGTATCTCAGATATTAGATTTAACAGAAATTAATTATAAAATTTAACTTTTCAAGTCTCAAGTATAAATGCCCAATTTTGCTGTTACATTGGTGAAGATAGCTGAATTGGAAAATACTTTCCATTTATCTGTCTCCCTAGTACCACTAACCTATTTTACTTTTTGTCTGCCTTTTAGAGTGTACTAAAATGGATTCCTAATTGCTTTCTCTGTCTCTAGTCTTTTCTCTTATTAATCTTTGTCTTAACCATTTCTCCTCCACACCCTAACTACAGTGATCTTTCTAAATCTAGTCTTTGTTCTGTCTTGTTCAAAACCTGCCAAAAGCTTGCGTGCACACTGGGCTCCAGCTGTGTCACGTGCTAGCATCTCTCTAGTGCTCCCTTATTCTCTTTCACCTAGGAGTAACAGCTTACCCTTCTGTTTCAGCTGTGACACCCAGCCTTACCTCCAGACTATACTTCAAACTCTGATTAGTAACTTTTTACTGTACTTTACTGACTTGTTTAGCAGTCTGTTTTCTCCATGAAGCATTTGAGATATTGAGGGCCAGGAATATGCTCTGGTTTATTACTTGGCACATATTAGTCACTCAGTACATTTTTAAAAAATTATTAGTATTTTGTTTGTGTGTGGGCTCAAGTGATCCACACAGTTTGGCCTCCCAAAGTGCTGGGATTATAGGTGTGGGCCACTGCACCTGGCCTAAAAAATAATAATACCCCAACCTAGGCAACATAGTAGTAAGACCCACCCTGTCTCTACAAAAAAAATTGTTTAAAAAATTAGCCAGGCATGGTGGCACATCTCTGTAGTTGTGGCTACATGGGAGGTTGAGGTGGGAGGATCACTTGAGCCCCAGAATTTGAGACTGCAGTGAGCTGTGATCATACCACTGCACTCCTGATTAGGTGACCCAGACAGAAGCGAGATTCTATCTCAAAGTAATAATTATTATTATATGAAGTTTCTGTATGCCTCTTGAATTAGAAAATTAAGCTCAAAAACTTACTCAAATTCAAAACTATGCTGGGCACGGTGGTTCACACCTGTAATCCCAGCACTTTGGGAGGCCGAGGCGGGCAGATCACCTGAGGTCAGGAGTTCAAGACCAGCCTGACCAACATGGTGAAACCCCGTCTCTACTAAAAATACAAAAACTAGCCGGGTGTGGTGGCACGTGCCTGTAATCCCAGCTACTCAGGAGGCTGAGGCAGGAGAATCGCCTGAACCCAGGAAGCGGAGGTTGCAGTGAGCTGAGATCGCACCACTGCACTCTAGCGTGAGCAACAGAGTGAGACTACATCTCAAAAAAAAAAAAAAAAAAAATTCAAAACAACTACCTGACAGTGAAACAAAAGATGGAAAAGGATTTATTTTCCTACCTAGTAGTGTTTCCATTGTTATCACCTAGGTCAGGTCCTTATAACTTTCACCTGGATTACTGCCTATTAACTGGTCTCCTACCTCAGTTCTCCCCTTCTCTATTCAATCCTGTAAACTACTATCATGTTACCTTCTTTGAATCACTTCTTTGACAATACTACTCCTTTGCTCAGACCTCTTTATTAATTCCCGATTATCTATAGAACAAAGGACCTCTAATCTGATCTTGATCAATCTTTCTAGCCCTACTTACCTCCCTCACTCCATTGGCCATGTGTGCCTATTGACCATCCCAACTGAAGTATATTGGCTGTTTCCCTATGAGACCCTGTGCATTCTCACAGTCTTGCCTTTGATCATACTGATTCTTTCTCTGGAAGACAAGACCCTATCTTTCATTCCTCTAGAAGACTCATCCATTTCATGAAGCCTGCCTTTCCCTTCTGATTCCTCCAGCCCAGAAGGGAAAGTAACTTTTTGAAAAGATAAAGTTTTCCCTTCTCCAAAAGGGAGAGTGATTTTACCTTCTCTAATCACACACATTACATTATTTTAGATCTATTATATAATCTGCTTTGTAGTTCACCAAATTCTTGGCATACTCAGTCAACCTCAATGGTCTGATGTTTTATAGTTGTGATTTTGCTCTATCTGGCAAGTCACTTAAGTAATGAGTGTGTTTACCCTGCTGCCCAGCATCTACATCTCAGCATCTTTGCTCCATATTTACACAGTAGAAAGTAGCTCTCAGCGAATGGTCTTGAGGTTAAAGTTTTGTATTACATTTTATTGCTATCTAAGGGGGAAATTAAATGTTGAATTTATGATTTGGGGAATTTAATGAGGTGGCTAGACATTCTCACGAATGTTTGCAGACTTTGTGTTTATCTGACCAACTATTTACTGCACGGAATGCTTATTAATATTAAATATTTTTATTTTAATGAATAGAAACTCTAAATAGACGCTCTCTATCTGTTATATTACAGATGGCTTCCTTAGCGGTATCCAACTGGCCTAAGCCCATGCCATTGATTCCATGCCTGTCTTGGTCCACAGCATCTGGGGTCTTCACTACGGTAATTTAATTGTAATTAATATTAGGTAGCTATATATAATTAGAGGTAATTGTTTTGGGGGGGTCCCCAAAACCACCCTCAGCTTTGGTGATTCAAAGAAAGAATTATAGGACTCAGGATATAGTCGTAATCATGATTAAGCCTTAACTACAGCAAAAGATACAACACAGTCAACAGAAGGAAAAAGCGCATGAGGTAGAGTCCAAAGGAAACCAAGAACAAGCTTCCAAGAGTCCTCTCCTAGTGGAGTGTTACAGTTCATGCTTAATTCTTCCAACAATAATTATTGACAATAAGTGCAAAGTGCTGTCCATCAGTGAAGCTCCCCTGAGCCTTGCAGTCCAGAGTTTTTATCAGGGGTTAGTGACTTAGATAACTTCTGCCTAGCATGCACCAAAAATTCAGAAGGAAAGCAGGTGTTCAGCAGAAACCGCATTGTTTATATAAGCAGTTTAGGTACAGTGACCCACTCTTATCATTTAGGAAAAGTTTTATATAAGTATAGAAAGCTGTTTACTGGTCAAGTTCCCAGACTCCAGTTAAGGGCCAACCTTACAAGCAGGCTAAAGATAGGAAGTCTTAGGCCAGGTGCGGTGGCTCACGCCTGTAATCCCAGCACTTTGGGAGGCTGAGGCTGGTGAACCACCTGAGGTCAGGAGTTCAAGACCAGCCTGGCCAACATGGTGAAACTCTGTCTCTACTAAAAATACAAAAATTAGCTGGGCGTGGTGGCACATGCCTGTAGTCTCAGCTACTTGGGAGGCGGAGGCAGGAGAATTGCTTGAACCCAGAAGGTGGAGGTTGCAGTGAGCCGAGATAGTGCCATTGCACTCCAGCCTGGGCAACAGAGTGAGACTTCGTCTGCAAAAAAAAAAAAAAAAGGTAGTCTCACACAGTAATAATAATAAAAGTATTGGGCAAATTGCCTTATGATGTGGTTTGATCTTAATTTAGCTTATTATTTCAGGGTGTGTTGAGTAAATCAATTAATTGGAGGGAGCTGGAAAAGCAATATTATACCCAGACAGTTTATGAAGAAGAAATTATTCACATGCTTGAATACTGTGGAGTAAGTATTTCACTTTCCACCCAACATTGGTGGTGGGGGGAGTTGATTGTATATTTAATGATTCAGGTTTTTAAAGAGAATAGCAAATTTTTAAAAACATAGCTGTACATACTATTTTTTACTTTAAAAGATTTTTCATTTTTGTCTGGGCATGGTGGGTCACACCTGTAACCCCAGCACCTTGGGATGCTGAAGTGGGTTGATCACTTGAGGTCAGGAGTTTGAGACTAGCCTGGCCAACCCCATCACTACTAAAAATACAAAAATTAGCCACGTGTGGTGGTAGGTGCCTGTAATCCCAGCTATTCAGGAGGCTGAGGCAGGAGAATCTCTTGAACTTAGGAGGCAGAGGTTGCAGTGAACCAAGATTGTGCCACTGCACTGCAGCCTGGGCGACAGAGTGAGACTCTGTCTTAAAAATAAATAAATAAAAATTCTTTTAAAATAAAACACAGATACAGAGAATCATGCAAAGCAAATATGTGGTTTACTACATTTATTAAAAGGCAAACACACTGTAACTAGTACCTAGGTCAAAAATAAAACTTGACCACCCAACCCAGAAACCCCTTCAAATGTGTCCTAATCACAAGGCCTTCCTCCCTGCATTATTAGTAATCGTTATCCTTATGTTTATAGTAATTACTCCTTCTGCCTTTAAAATAATTTTATTATCCAAATGTGTATCTGTAGACCCTATAGTTCTTTTATTTGAAGTACCTTTAATAAGTTGCCTTCCGATAGAAAACCAAACACCGCATGTTCTCACTCATAGGTGGGAATTGAACAATGAGAACACTTGGACACAGGGCGGGGAACATCACACACCGGGGCCTGTTGAGGGGTGGCGGGCTAGGGGAAGGATAGCATTAGGAGATATACCTAATATAAATGGCAAGTTGATAGGTGCAGCAAGCCAACATGGCACATGTATACCTATGTATCAAACCTGCACGTTGTGCACATGTACCCTGGAACTTAAAGTGTAATAATAAAAAATCAATCAATCAATCTGTAAAAAAGAAAAAAGATAACTTGCCTTCCATCCCTTTATTTTCCTTATAATTTATTTCATGAAGAATTTAGGTTATTTGACCTGTAGGGTTTCTCACAATCTAGATTTTTCTGATTGCATTCTCATGGTACAGTTCAGCATATTGCTCTACGTTGCCTGAAAATTGGCAGTTGGATCTAAAGGCTTGATTAAACTCATTGTTTTGATTTCTTTCACAAGGCTATATAGGAAACACATAATATCTGATTATCTCTTTTTTTATGATATAAGCCTCTACTGATGCTTAATGACTATATCAATTCATTGAAGGTTGCTGATATTCTATTATTTCTTTTTCATGTATTTGAATACTTTTATAGGGAGACACTTACCTCATATATTATTTAGTTACATGGTAGTTCAGTTTGTATAAGAAAGGCAGTTATGGTAAATGCTTGATTTTTTTTCTGTAATTTACCAGTTTTCAAGATGATGAATTGGTTTCCTACTGCTCTTCAAAAGTGACCGATCCTTTTCTTTTTTTTTTTTTTTTCTCTGTCTTGCTGTGTCGCCCAGGCTGGAGTGCAGTGGCACGATCTTAGCTCTCAGCTCACTGCAACCTCCGCATCCCAGATTCAAGCAATTCTCCTGCCTCAGCCTCCTGAGCAGCTGGGACTACAGGCACGCGCCACTATGCTTAGCTAATTTTTGTATTTTTAGTAGAGATGGGGTTTCACCATATTGGTCAGGCTGGTCTCAAACTCCTGACCTCCTGATACACCTGCCTCGGCCTCCCAGAGTGCTGGGATTACAGGCATGAGCCACCGCGCCCAGCAATCCTTTTCATGAATTTAAATTTTTTACTGTTTGAAAGATACTGAGACTCTTAAGAAACTTCAAAAAAAAGAAATCTTTCTACTATGAATGAGAACTTTTTATTTATAATTAAATCACTGTAAACTTTACTCTTGTAAAGTAGGTCTATCTCACGTAACTTCAAAAGGTAGTTGATTGCTTGCCTAAGAACTTTATTACAAAATAGCTTTATCGGGACCAGGCGTGGTGGCACATGCCTGTAATCACAGCAATTTGGAAGACTGAGGTAAGAGGATCACTTGAAGCCAGGAGTTTGAGACCAGCCTGGGAAATAAAGTGAGACTCTTGTCTCTACAAAAAAAAAAAAAAAAAAAAAAAAAAAAAAAGCTGGGCATGGTGGTGCATGCCTGTAGTCCTAGCTACTCAGGAGGCTGAGGTGGGCAGATCACTTGATCCCAGGAGTTCAAGGCTGTAGCAGTGAGCTATGATTGTGTCATTGCACTCCAGCCCAGGTGACAGAGCAAGACCATTTCTCTTAAAAAAAAAAAAAAGGCTGGGCGCAATGGCTCACCCTGTAATCCCAGCACTTTGGGAGGCCGAGGAGGGCAGATCACGAGGTCAGGAGATCGAGACCATATTGGCCAATACGGTGAAACCCCATCTCTACTAAAAATACAAAAAATTAGCCGGGCGTGGTGGCAGGCAGGCGCCTGCAGTCCCAGCTACTCGGGAGGCTGAGGCAGGAGAATGGCGTGAACCCAGAAGGCAGAGCTTGCAGTAAGCCAAGATCACGCCACTGCACGCCAGCCTGGGCAACAGAGCGAGACTCCGTCTCAAAAAAACAAAAAAAAGCTTTACCTGCTAGTTAGTTCCTATACATATAATCAGAAGAATACCTGTATTTGAAAGTTTATGAGAAACTTACATGTATGTTTTAAAGGAAGTTTATAAATTTTGGTCATCTGAAATTGCAATGTAGTTGTCTTAGTCAATTTTGTGTTGCTGTAACAGAATATCTGAGACTGGGAAATTTATAAGACCAGAGATATATGTGGCTCACAGTTCTGGAGGCTAGAAAGTCCAAGGTTGAGGGGCCCACATCTGGTGAGTGCCTTCTTGCTGCATTATTTCATGGCAGAAGGCATAAGGGCAAGAGAGAATGTGTGTGTGTGCAAAAGAGATAGAGGGAGGGAAGAGGCTGAACTCATTCTTTTATCAGGAATCCATTCCCGGTAACTAACCCACTCCCACAGTAAGGGCATTAGTCCATTTATGAGAGCAGAACCTTCATGGCCTAATTAAAGGTCCCACCTTTCAACACTATTACATTGGGGATTAAGTTTCCAACACATGAACTTTGGGGGACATATTTAAACCATAGCGGTAGTCTTATTTGGCACTTCTCATCTCACTTAGAACCAGTTCACAATAACGAATATTCAATAAATGTTAAGATGTTTTCCCTACTCTTTGTATTTTCCCAGTCAAAAAAAAAGTTCAATTTATTGATGTCCCACTCTGAGTAATTCGGGGACCCTTTGATCTTTACATTTCCATATGTTACTAAACTTCCTTCCTCTTATAGTGATTTGTTGTGGTAACCAGGTTGTTCGGTATTTTTGTTTTCCTTGCCTTCAACCAATTTTAATTTTTTTTTTTTTTGAGATGGAGTTTCACTCTTTTGCCCAGGTTGGAGTGCAGAGGCACAATCTTGGCTCGCCGCAGCCTCCGCCTCCTGAGTTCAAGCGATTCTCCTGCCTCAGCCTCCCGAGTAGCTGGGATTACAGGCATGTGCCACCACGCCCGGCTAATTTCGTATTTTTAGTATAGACGGGGTTTCTCCATGTTGGTCGGGCTGGTCTCGAACTCCTGGCCTGAGGTGATCCTCCCACCTCGGCCTTCCAAAGTGCTGGTATTACAGGCGTGAGCCACTGCGCCCGGCCAACCAATTTTAATTCTTTAACTTAAAAAAAAAATGTATGGTCATATAATTCAAGCATCAAAAAGTATAAATAGATACATATAGTGAAAAGATTCCTACCCCATCTGTGCTTAGGTCCAATCCCCATCAACAAATAACAACCTATATTGTTTAGTGTTTCAGGGAATTTTTGGTCCATGTGCAAACCAATAAAAATATGAACTTTTTTTATCTTTTTCTTTTTATTTTGTTGAGGTAGGGTCTGGCTCTGTCACCTTCTACCTCAGCCTCCTGAGTAGCTGGGATTATAGGTATGCACCACCACACCTGGCTAATTTTTGTATTTTTTGTAGAGATGGGATTTCACAATGTTGCCCAGGCTTGTTTCAAACTCCTGGGCTAAAGCAATCTGCCTGCCTCAGCCTCCCAGAGTGCTGGGATTACAGGTATGAGCCACTGTGCCCAGCCTCACTTCCCTTTTTTATGGACTATACAAAGTGTTTCCTTATTATTTTTTACTGCTATATAATAGTCTATTATGTGAATGGATGTACCATAATTAATCAGTACCCTGTTGATAGATGTTTATGTTGTTTCTCATCTTTTGCTATTAATAAACAGTGCTGCAGTGAGTAACTTTGTACATTCATGTTATATAAGTGTAAATTCCTAGAAATATGATTGCTGAGTCAAGGGTATAATAATGTAGTTAGATTTTGTCTAATTCTGGTTATGTCAGTTTACACCACCAGCAGGAATGTGTCTTTCTTCATAAGTTCTCAAATTCAGTGTGTTATCAAACTTTAGTTTTTATTTTTTGTCAACTGGCACTGGAAAATGGCGTAGTTTTAATTAACTTAAGCATGAGGGAAGTTGAGCAAGTTTTTATAAGTTTAAGAGCAGTTTGGCTGGGCACGACGGCTCACACATGTAATCCCAGCACTTTGGGAGGCCGAGGTGGGCAGATCATGAGGTCAGATTGAGACCATCCTGGCCAACACGGTGAAACCCCGTCTCTATTAAGAATATAAAAAATTGGCCGGGCATGGTGGCTCACGCCTGTAATCCCAGCAGTTTGAGAGGCCAAGGCTGGCAGATCACCTGAGGTCAGGAGTTTGAGACCAGCCTGGCCAACATGGTGAAACCCCGTCTCTACTTAAAATACAAAAATTAGCCGGGCATGGTGGCAGGCACCTGTAATCCCAGCTACCCGGGAGGCTGAGGCAGAGAATTGCTTGAACCCAGGAGGCAGAGGTTGCAGTGAGCCAAGATCATGCCATTGCACTCCAGCCTGGAGGACAAGAGCGAGACTTCTTCTGAACAACAACAAAAAAAAAAAATTAGCCAGGCATGGTGGCATGCGCCTGTAGTCCCAGCTACTCAGGAGGCTGAGGCAGGAGAATCGCTTGAACCCAAAAGGGTGAAGTTGCAGTGAGCTGAAATCGTGCCATTGCACTCCAGCCTGGGTGACAGAGTAAGACTCCACCTCAAAAAAAAAAAAAAAAGAGCAGTTTGTATTTTGTTTTCTGTTGCCCTTATGTGTATATCCTTTGCTCATTTGGGGGTTCTGGGCTTTCAAAAAAATTATTCAATTCTAGCTCTTAATAAATTAAAGTGATTTGCCATTTGTAATATGAGTTGCAAATATATTTTCCCAGGCTGTCATTTTTTCTTTTGACTTTGGTTTTAGCATATAACAAAGTTTATTTTTACTTAAATTCTATTGTACAGTCATGCTCTGCATAACAATGCTTCAGTCACATATATAAGGTGGTCCAAAAGATTGTAATACCATATTTTTACTATATCTTTTCTTTTTCTTTTTTTTTTTTTTGAGACGGAGTCTTGCTCTGTCGCCCAGGCTGGAGTGCAGTGGCACAGTCTCTACTCATTGTAACCTCCGCCTCCTGGGTTCAAATGATTCTCCTGCCTCAGCCTCCCAAGTAGCTGGGATTACAGGTGCCCACCACACCTGGCTAATTTTTATATTTTAGTAGAGACAGAGTTTCACCATGTTGGCCAGGCTAGTCTTGAATTCCTGACCTCAAGTGATCAACCCACCCTTGGCCTCCCAAAGGGCAGGGATTACAAGCATGAGCCACCGTGCCTTGCCTACTGTACCTTTTCTATGATTAGATACACAAATACTTACAATTGTGTTACAATTGCCTACAGTATTAAGTACAGTAACATGTTGTACAGGTTAGTAACCTAGAAACAATAGATTATACCATATAGCTTGGGTGTGTAGTCAGCTATACCGTCTAGATTTACGTAAATACATTGTGATGTTCACACAACAATGAAACCACCTAGTGATGCATTTCTCAGAACATATCCCATCATTAAGCAACACATAAGTGTATTTACAAGTCCTTAAACTTAGAATATAGTTTTGAGACTTTAATAGGCAATATTTCTTTTTTTCTTGATAATTTTTTTCTTTTTTTTTTTGAGACGGAGTCTCACTCTGTCGCCCAGGCTGAAGTGCAGTGGCACGATATCAGGTCACTGCAACCACTGCCTCCCAGATTTAAGCGATTCTCCTGCCTCAGCCTCTCGAGTAGCTGGGATAACAGGCACACACCATCATGCCCGGCTAAATTTTGTATTTTTAGTAGAGACAGGGTTTTGCCATGTTGGCCAGGATGGTGTCGATCTCCTGACCTCGTGATCCGCCTGCTTCAGCTCCCCAAAGTGCCGGGATTACAGGCGTGAGCCACCGCGCCTGGCCAGTAATTTTAAATTCTGGTTAGTTCAACCAGAGAAAGGGATTTGGAGAAGCTGGTATCCTCCTGTGCTTGAATTTACATTACTCAGTTGTAAGACTTTTGGAAGTTCAAAGGTTAAGGCAGATCATGGATTTTAAAACTTTGGCTATAAAAAAAAATGATGCAGGCTAAATGATACCCTTTACTGTTTAGTAGGAAACAGCAATAAAGTGTAAGTCATTTATCTTAGTCGTGAGTTAAATTTTAATACATCTTTGTTTTTTAAAAAAGTCATGGTAAATATATACAACATAAAATTTACTATCATAACCATTTTTAAGTGCATAGTTCAGTGGCATTAAGTATATACATGTTGTGCAACCATCACCACCATCTATCTCCAAAACATTTTTATCTTCTCAAACTGAAACTTACCCATTGAACAAAACTATTCATTCCTCCCTTCTCCCAGTCTCTGGCAACTGCCATTCTCTTTCCATCGCTATGAATTTTACTACTATAGGGACCTCATACAAGTGGAATCATACAATATTTGTCCTTTTGTGTCTGGCTTATTCACTTAAGATAATGTCTTCAGTGTTCATCCATGTTGTGGCATGTGTCAGAATTTCATTCCTTTTAAGACTGCATAATGTTTAATTGTTTGAATATACTACATTTTATTTATCCATTTATTCATTGATGGACATTTGTCTTTTCTCTTTTTTTTTTGACAAAGCTGTTAATACCCTATTTTATATTAAATAATGTTTTCTTTCCTTTCATATGTTCAGACAGATTCTTTCAAAATGGGACAAGAGTTTGTGAAACACTTCACTAGCAGTGCAGACAAGCTAACTAACCTTAATCTGGTTTCCAGAACTTTAAATTTAGATATATCAAACCAAGTTGTATCCCAAAAACCTGCTGACTGCCATAATTCTAGCAAAACATCTGTCAGTGCGACATCAGAAGGACTCTTATTGCAAGATACCTCTAAGATGAAGCGCTTCAATCAAACACTTTCAACCAACAAAAGTGGTTATACAAGTCGCAACCCTCAGTCATACCACCTACTTAGTAAAGAACAAAGCAGAAACAGTCTTCGGAAAGAGTCTTTAATATTTATGAAAGGAGTCATGGATGAATGTACTCATGTAGCAAATTTCTCAGGTACTAATTTTTATATGAAATTGAGAATATTTGCTGATGTGTAAGTATTTGTGAAATATTTTAAAAGATGCTCTATAAGATAATTTTATATTTTCAAGGGTATATTTTTTTGTTGGCTCCAGAATATGTTTGCAAAGATAAGTTGGTTACTTAAATGTATCATATTCTATCTATGAAAATTTAAGATTATCTTATTCATTAAGAAACACACTGGACAGCCGGGTGTGGTTGCTCATGCCTGTAATCCCAGCATTTTGGGAGGCTGAGGCAGGTGGATTGCTTGAGCCCAGGAGTTCAAGACCAGCCTGGGTAACATGGTAAAACCCTGTCTCTACCAAAAAAAAAAATACAAAAAAGTAGTCATGTGTGGTGTTGCAAGCCTGTAGTTCCAGCTACTTGGGAGGCTGAAGTGGAAGGATCGCTTCAGCCCAAGGAGTTGGAGGTTGCAGTGAGCCAAGATCACACCACTGCACTCCATCCTGGGTGACAGCAAGACTCTCACACACACACACAAACACACATACACACACTCTCACACACTCTGGAGCTGGACACAGTGGCTCACGCCTATAATCCTAGCACTTTGGGAGGCTGCGGTGGGAGGACCGCTTGAGCCCAGGAGTTTGACACCAGCCCGGGCAACATAGTGAGACCCTGTCCTTATCAAAAATGTAAAAATTAGCTGGGTGGCCGGGCCCAGTGGATCACGCCTGTAATCCCAGTGCTTTGGGAGGCCAAGGCGGGTGGATCACTTGAGGTCAGGAGTTTGAGACCATCCTGGCCAACATGGTGAAACCTCATCTCTACCAAAAATATAAAAAATTAGTTGGGCGTAATGGTGTGTGCCTGTAATCCCAGCTACTCAGGAGGCTGAGGCAGGAGAATCATTTGAACCCGGGAGGTGGAGGTTGCAGTGAGCAGAGATCATGCCACTGCACTCAGCCTGAGTGACAGAGTGAGACTCCATCTCAAAAACAAAAATAAATTAGCTGGGTGTGGTGGCATATGCTTATAGTCCCATCTACTCAGAGGCTGAGGCAGGAGGATCCCTTGAGCCCAGGAATTCAAGGTGGCACTGAGCTATGATTGCACCACTGCACCCTAGCCTCGGTGACAAAGTGAAACTCTTATCTCCCAAAAGAAAAACACTGGATTGCTGAGTGTGGTGGCATTCACCTGTAGTCCCAGCTACTCAGGAAGTTAAGGAGGGAGGATCACTTGAGCCCAGGAGTTCAAGGCTGTAGTGCACTATGATCTTGCCAATGAATAGCCACTGCATTTCAGCCTGGGCAATACAGTGAGATCCCATCTTTAAAATAAATGATTGAGGCGATGCATACCTTACGTACTCTGATGTGATTATTATGCATTGCATGCCCGTATCAAAATATCTCATGTAACCCATAAATATATACACCTACTGTGTACCCACACCCACACAAAAGAAATAAATTAGTTAATTTTTAAAAACCACAGTATTTTGTATCATTTTTAGAATATTTATCTCGTACTGGAGATGAGTAAGGTAGCATATTATAGTTGATTTTTAATTTAATCAAAAATGTTTAGTTTGACGAATGTTTTATTTACTGCATTGTGTGGGTTTTTTTATTTTCTAATGTGTATATGTTGAATTTTTAAAAATCCTATACCTAGTCCCAGTTGATCCAAGCCTCATTATAGTGGTTCAAGCCAAAGAAGATGCCTATATTCCACGAACAGGAGTTCGAAGTTTACAAGAAATTTGGCCTGGTTGTGAAATCCGATACTTAGAAGGGGGTCATATTAGTGCTTATCTTTTTAAACAAGGACTCTTCAGGTAAGACGGCTGGTCTAAACATGTATTCGTTCATTTGTTGTTTGTTTTCTGGATTTTTTGCTTCAACAAATGTAAAAGATCACATATTTTTATAGTCTGTTTCAATCTTTGAATTCCCTCCTCACCTCCCACAAATCTCACAGAGTTACTTTTCCCTCTTTCCTAGAATTTGATCTTCTTATTTTCTTCTAGAGAACTAAGCATGATGCATATTATAGGCATGCTTTATCGTGTGGCTTTCCCCTCTTCAAATATTAATGGCCAGGTATTTTAGGATGTGAGAAGGAAGATCATGGCTTGTTAAAGTTGCTTTGGTGCATCAAGAGTTTTTTCACTCTATTCTGATGTTTTTTCAGAATGGCCTGAACATCTGTGGAATAATTTAGCAATGTTTTTCAGTTAGCAAGTGAATATTGAACCTTAAATAAGAAGTGCTTTTAATGTGAACAACCTTATATGACTCCACTATTTTAGTTAGAACTTATAAAAACTTTTATGCTGGCTGGGCGCGGTGGCTTACGCCTGTAATCCCAGCACTTTGGGAGGCGGAGGCGGGTGTATCACGAGGTCAGGAGATCAAGGCCATCCTGGCTAACACGGTGAAACCCCGTCTCTAGTAAAAATACAAAAAAAAAAAAAAAAAAGTAGCCGGGCATAGGTGGTGCATGTCTGTAGTCCCAGCTACTTGGGAAGCTGAGGCAGGAGAATGGCATAAAACCCGGGAGGCGGAGCTTGCAGTGAGCCGAGATCACGCCACTGCACTTCAGCCTGGGAGACAGAGCGAGACTCCGTCTCAAAAAAAAAAATTTTTTTATGCTAAAACTATAATTTTCTGGTATTCTGCATTATTGAAACATATTCCTCATGTTATTATTAATGATTAAGTAAATTGATTCACATAAATGGTTAGATCAGTGCCCTGTACATAAGTGTTAAAAAAAACTTCCAACTGGATAGCTATATAATAGAAGAATTGTATGTGATATGTTTGACATGTTTTAGCTCTTGTTAACGGAGGAAATAATTTTTCTATGTTGTTACTTATCTAGCCCAACTTATAAATGTCACCCTTTTTAGAAATAAACCAATTGTTCAAGTCTCTCATGTCTTGAAGGATATAGTAAACCTTTCTTTTTATAGTATGATCTTTTAAGAAGTATTCATGCAGCATTTGAGTCCCTATTGGTGAGTGAGCAGACTATCCAATACTCATTGGCCCTCTGGCACAACAAAATTAAAACAAATAAACAAAAATCCGTGACTACCTAGGGTTGCTAGGATTGCTTAAGAAGAGTCTAAAGTTCTGTTATACATGTGAACGCAGAGGACCCACATGCTTGCATTAGTAAATTAGTATCAAATTTCTTTCACTCTTTTGTGTATCTAAGTGGGAGTATAGCTAAGACGTATTAGGAAGAGTAGATTTATAATCAAAGTCAAATATAAAAACACAAAAGTGCTATTATGAAGGCTTCATTTGAGAGAGATAAATGTTAACTATTATCATGTGCCAGATGCTAGGGCAATTGCTCTGTTATTATCCCCTTTACACAGAATAAAGGGAACAAAAAAGATTAAGTAACTTGCTCAAGTGGAGTCACTACTAAGCTATTTGACCTCTTCCATTCCCCATCAGTCACTTCAAAACTTAACAGAGGTTAGATGACATTGGAATAGTAGAATTTTTAAAAATTCAGTCTTTTCACACACCAAACATAAAAATAAAAGAAGCCGCCAGGTGCGGTGGCTCACATCTGTAATCCCAGCACTTCAGGAGGCCAAGGCGGGTGGATCATGACATCAGGAGTTCGAGCCCAGCCTGGCCAATATGGTAAAACCCCGTCTCTACTAAAAATACAAAAATTAGCTGGGCGTGGTGGGCACGCACCTATAGTCCCAGCTACTCAGGAGGCTGAGGCAGGAGAACCGCTTGAACCTGGGAGGTGGAGGTTGCAGTGAGCTATCGCACCACTGCATTCCCCCTGGAGGCAGAGGTTGCAGTGAGCTGAGATCGCACCACTACATTCCAGCCTGGGTGACAGTGAGACTCTGTCTCAAAAAATGAATGAATGAATAAATAAAGCCATTCCTTTATGTGCTCTAATATTTTGTGTTATTTAGAGCTTATTGATAATACAGGTGAATAAGAGACTATTCACATGATTAAAAAGGGACATACATTACATGTACACAAGCCCGTATTGTAACTTTTGGCACCAGGAAGTAAACAAATTCAGATTCATTCCACAAGAGCAAGTGCCTGGAACTAACTCTGAGGAAAAAAATTATCCAGTGGGTGGGCCGGGCGTGGTGGCTCACGCCTGTAATCCCAGCACTTTGGGAGGCCGAGGCGGGTGGATCACGAGGCCAGGAGATCAAGACCATCCTGGCTAACATGGTGAAACCCTGTCTCTACTAAAAATAGAAAAAAATTAGCTGGGCGTGGTGGCGGGTGCCTGTAGTCCCAGCTACTGCAGAGGCTGAGGCAGGAGAATGGTGTGAACCCAGAGGTCAGAGCTTGCAGTGAGCCGAGATCGCACCACTGCACTCCAGCCTGGGTGACAGAGTGAGACTCTGTCTCAAAAAAAAAATTATCCAGTGGGCAATAATTTCAAAGCCCTCTTTACTTCTTCCCTATTGCTGTCATATCTGTCTTCAAAACAAAATCTCTTTATGTGTTTACACCAACATGCAAATATCCACCTCTAATTTTTTTCCCTTCTTATGGTTCATTATAATTCACAGGGAACAAGTACTTGAGCCAAAGAAAGACAAGCATGTTGTAAAACTATGACTTCCCAACATATTGGAAATAATAATCTATTAGCAGGCTATCAGTTTCAAAGATAGTCTTTTTTTTTTTTTTTTTTTTGTCTTTTTTGAGACAGAGTCTCCCTCTGTCACTCAGGCTGGAGTGCGGTGGCATGATCTTGGCTCACTGCAACCTCCACCTCCTGGGTTCACGGCATTCTCATGCCTCAGCCTCTGCAGTAGCTGGGACTACAGGCGCCCGCCACCACGCCCGGCTAATTTTTTTCTATTTTTAGTAGAGACGGGGTTTCACCATGTTAGCCAGGATGGTCTCGATCTCCTGACCTCGTGATCCGCCTGTCTCGGCCTCCCAAAGTTCTGGGATTACAGGCGTGAGCCACCGCACCCGGCTAAAGACAGTCTTAATAGCTGTGTTTGGATGTGAGGATATGGTTAGTTGAACAAGTGGGATACAAAATTAATATCTGATAGTTATTTAAACTGGGTGAAAATATAGACATGCATTTTCTTTTTTCTTTTTTTTTTTTTTTTTTGAGCTGGAGTCTTGCTTGTCACCTAGGCTGGAGTGCAGTGGCGCGATCTTGGCTCACTGCATCCTCCGCCTCCCAGGTTCAAGCAATTCTCCTGCCTCAGCCTCTCGAGTAGCTGGGATTACAGGCACCCACCACCACACCCGGCTAATGTTTGTATTCTTAGTAGAGATGGGGTTTCACCATGTTGGCCAGGCTGGTCTCGAACTCCTGACCTTGTGATCCGCCCTCCTTGGCCTTCCAAAGTGCTGGGATTACAGGCGTAAGCCACCGCGCCTGGCCTAGACATGCATTTTCTTAAAAGCCTGGAGGAAAGATATGAAAAGGTTAACAGTAGATGTGAGTGATGGGATTATGATGTTTTCCCCTTCCTATGTTTTGGATTTTCTGAATATTCTGCTATAAAAATGTATTATACAATAGGAAAAAAACAGCTTTAGAAAAAAATATGAGTGGGGCAGGGTGTCGCAGGACTGTAGTTCCAGATACTCAACAGGCTGAGGTGGGAAGATAGCTTGAGGCCAAGAGTTTGAGGCTGCAGCGTGCTATGATTGCACCTGAGAGTAACCACTGCACTCAAGCCTAGGCAACATAGTGAGATCTTGTCTCTAAAAAAAAAGAAAAAAGAAAAGAAAAAATATCTTATGGAAGATAAAATTTGTCTATTCCTTTTCTTTTTCTTTCTTTTTTTTTTGAAACAGAGTTTCGCTCTTGTTGCCCAGGTTGGAGTGCAATGGTGTGATCTCAGCTCACACAACCTCTGCCTCCCAGGTTCAAGCAATTCTCCTGCCTCAGCCTCCCGAGTAGCTGGGATTATAGGCATGTGCCACCACACCCGGCTAATTTTTTGTAATTTTAGTAGAGACGGGGTTTCTCCATGTTGATCAGGCTGGTCTCAAACTCCCGACTTCAGGTGATCCGCCTGCCTCGGCCTCCCAAAGTGCTGGGATTACAGGCTTGAGCCATCGCGCCCGGCCTGTCTATTCCTTTTCAATTGAAATATTAAAATACTTGGTAAAGTTAATGTGAGAAACCAAGGCTTTTGATTTTAAGTAGCTAGGAACATGTTCATAGTAAATGAAAAACATCTATATCATAATCTGTGAAACAGAATCTTACATTCTGAAAAGTTACATAATTAATTTTCAACGAAGCGATAAGACAATAAATCAGTTCCTTTTTCTTTCATAATTTATTTTATACACATTACACACATGTGCCTCTGTGTGCGTGCGTGTATGTATGAATATATATATTCTAAGGCACAAAAAGTGCTTCAGAAAAAGATAATGCTTTTAGATCCCTCATAAATTGGAAGTATATTTGAGGTTTTCCGGTAGTGGTGGTAAAGTTGCATGCATCTGAGGCAGGCGGATCACTTGAGGCCAGGAGTTCGAGACCAGCCTAGCCAACATGGTGATACCCCGTCTCTACTAAAAATACAAAAAATTAGCAGGGTGAGGTGGTGCATGCCTGTAATTCTAGCTACTTGGGAGGCTGAGGCATGAGAATCACTTGAACCGGGAGGCAGAGGTTGCAGTGAGCAGAGATCATGCCACTGCAGTCCAGCCTGGGCGACAGAGCGAGACCCTGTCTCAAAAGAAAAAAAAAAGTTACATGGATTCAAACACCCATTCTGGGGAGGGTAACTGCCTATTTCATAGCTATTTAGAGAGGATGTCAAGTTGCAAGCCACAGATAAATTTGGAAATAACTTACAGTAAAGGCATTGTTTGTCCCCCCTTTTTGTTAGTTACTTAGAGTTTTTCTTTCATATTTAATTTTAGACAAGCCATCTATGATGCATTTGACCGCTTCCTCCATAAATACGCTAACTAGTTGGATTATTATATGTAACCAGTGTGGCCATGATGTTTCTTACAAAAGGGAGCTTCATCCTGTGATCATGTGAAGGACAAGCAGACAGCACTAATATATCTAATCGCTATCAATTTGGTCTGGAATTCATTGTTACACATCAGTTAACTATAAACTTCGAATACATTTGAATAATTTCAAGATAATATTTGAAGTAAATAATGTTAAAGTGTTTTTACTATTGTTTATTGGAATCCCATATATTCAGTGTTTAGTCTGTTGTTACTGTTTATGAAAAACTAAATTTTTAATCATGAATAATTTATTAAATTAAATAAATTTATTCATAGAAACTTTTCTGGGTTTTAGTAAAATTGCTAAATCAAACCAAGATTTTAATATATCAGCATTTACTTTGTACCCTTATAACATTTCACTCTTGACTTGATTTGAGAAACATGTTTATTTTTTGAATGTTCTTGTGTTCAACTAATTTTCTGCTGTGGAAATAAATACTTATGATATATAAAATCAGTGTTAACTTTGAATTCTAAAATATCCTGATAGCTTCATAGATAAGTGCTTTTCTTTTTCTTTTTTTTTTCTTTTAACATGTACCTCTACTTGAATGTAAGTGCTTTTAATAATCAAAGTGAGTGGCAGGGTGCGGTGGCTCACGCCTGTAATCCCAGCACTGGGATGCTGAAGCGGGCAGATTACCTGAGGTTGGGAGTTCAAGACCAGCCTGACCAATATAGAGAAACCCCCTCTCTACTACAAATACAAAAAATTAGCCAAGCATGGTGGCGCATGCCTATAATCCCAGATACTCAGGAGGCAGAGGCAGGAGAATCGCTTGAACCCGGGAGGCAGAGGTTGCGGTGATCCGAGATCACACCATTGCACTCCAGCCTGGGCAACAAGAGTGAAACTCCGTCTCAAAATAATAATAATAACCAAAATGAGTGTTCTGCAGATAAAATGCATTAGACTTTGCTAGACTAAAACTTTACTAAAGATTAGGGTTTTTAAAAAATGCCAATAGGCCGGGTGCAGTGGCTCATGCCTGTAATCCCAGCACTTTGGGACGCTCAGGCGGGCGGATCACAAGGTCAGGAGTTTAAGACCAGCCTGGCCAACATGGTGAAACCCCATGTCTACTAAAAGTACAAAAAAATTAGCCGGGCATTGTGGCGTGTGCCTGTAATCCCAGCTACTCAGGAGGCTGAGGCAGGAGAATTGGTTGAACCAAGGAGGCGGAGGTTGCACTGAGCTGAGATTGCGCCACTGCACTCCAGCCTGGGCAACAGAGCAAAACTCCATCTCAAAAAAAAAAAAAAAAAAAAAAAAAAATTAAGCCGGGCATGGTGGCAGGCACCTGTAATCCCAGCTACTCGGGAGGCTGAGGCAGGAGAATTGCTTGAACCCGGGAGGCAGAAGTTGCAGTGAGCGGAGATCGCACCACTGCACTCCAGCCTAGGAGAAGGAGCAAGACTCTGTCTCAAAACAAAACAAAATGCCAAACTTATTTCTCCCTACTAAAAAGTTTCAATTCACAAAAATGGAAACATTGGAAGACCTGTTGCATTAACTGACGGAGTGCAGTGGCATGATCTTGGCTCACTGCGACCTCCGCCTCTCAGGTTCAAGCGGTTCTCCTGCCTCCACCTGAGTAGCTGAGATTACAGGTGCCCGCCACCATGCCTGGCTAATTTTTGTATTTTTAATAGACACGAGGTTTCACCATGTTGGCCAAGCTGGTCTCGAATTCCTGACCTCAAGTGATATGCCTGCCTTGGCCTCCCAAAGTGCTGGGATTATAGGTTTGAGCCACCACACCCGACCTGACATTTTATTTTTATTTTTTTAATTACATTTTTCTATATGCTTATTCTTTGGATTGCTAACCATCTAACTACCCAAATACTTAACAGCCTTGGCTTTTAATTTCAAAATTTAATAGACACATATGCAATTGATTTGTCCCATATAAACTTTATTTTACAGAAAATATTTAAAGTTTTATGTAATAGCTATTAACTCTCTTAAATGGGGTTTATATGGCTCGATTTGGTGCTTTCTTTTTATGTTAAACTTCTCTAGCTGTCAGCTAAAATGTTAAAAAAGTCGAAAATATTTTAGGGTATTGTGTGAAGTTTTACAGTAGGTATTTTTGAGTTTTGTTTGAAATCTGTGTTGTCTGTGAATTATTTTTAAATAGGGATTCTTAGTCTACTAACGATATTTGAATTATAATGTGCCTTTGCAGTCTTTTTAAAGGAGATTTCATTTGTCACCTCTATGCCTCTATCATCTTAATTTTTTACAAATATTTAAAAATTATTAATGTGAAGTTATTGATGGTAGACAAAGTAGTAACTTCTTTCAAACTACTTTGGCATAACAAGCCAACACTGTACAGCTCTTTGAGCTATAAGCAATTTTACATGTTCAGATGAGAACCTTTAGTTTTAACCAAAAGTATAACATCTACTAAAGTTCTTCCACAAAATACTTTTTAAAATAAAACTTGTCAACTGAATTACGATTTTCTTATATTATGTATATAGTGAGGTTATATGATTGAATGCTTTTTGAACAATGGTTTTAGTAAAACAAATACTTTATTATTGTTCACATAAACATTTCTTACTAAGCAATAATGTACTATGTTGTGTGAATTTCTATTGTTAAAAAAATGAAATGTTGATTTAGTTTTAATTCTTAGGCATAACTAACTTTTCTCAAATAAAGTGTGAAAGAAAGTATTTTTAAAATTTCATCTCTTAACCAGATGTTTTAAGAATATATCCCTAGGCCGGGTGCAGTGGCTCACACCTGTAATCCCAGCACTTTGGGAGGCCGAGGTGGGGGGACCACCTGAGGTTGGGAGTTCGAGACTAGCCTGACCAATATGGAGAAACCCCATCTCTATTAAAAATACAAAATTTTTAAAAAAAATACAAAATTAGCCAGGCGTGGTGGCACATGCCTGTAATCCCAGCTACTCAGGAGGCTGAGCCAGGAGAATCGCTTGAACCCGGGAGACGGAGGTTGCAGTAAGCCGAGATTGTGCCATTGCACTCCAGCCTGGGCAACAAGAGCAAAACTCTGTCTCAAAAAATATATATATATCCCTAAAACTACCTCAGTTGAAGAATTCAAAGTGCAAAATAACTTTTCTTAGGATTTTTTAATCTATTCCCCCCAAAATGGTGGCTTAAGTGTTCTCAAATACATAAATATACACATATACGTATATGTATACGTTTTATATATATATACACACACACGTATGTGTGTATATATATGTATGTACGTATATATATGTATTATATATACACACATATGCATATATATATATATATATATATATATATATATATATATATAATCTCAAAGAAGTGCGGTCTGCCATTTATCTGCCATTTTGAGGATTTAGGTACTACATAAAATATTAGAAATTCATTTAGACCAGATCTGTAAACTGGTAGTTCACATAGGCCAGTTTGACCCACAGTTATTTTATTAGATGTACATAATGTTTCAAAAATGTTTGAATTTGAAAAGTCTTTTGATTGGGTGTGTGTTCCCCAGTTTGCCACAGCCTACTGGACTTCCCTCTTATATCAGACAACTTCTCTACTTTGTAGTTCCTGCTCAGCCCTGAAGACCTCTAAGTTTGAGACCCCTGATTTAGATCTGTAATTAGAAAAAGGTTCTGAATTTCATGATTTGCTAATGTAATTACTATTAAGTCATTTTAGCATGTGCATTTTAGAGTCCTTCTTTGTATTTTTGTAATGTGGTGCTTTCTCTCATAAAGATAATTGAATTGTTAACACTGTAATTGAAATTTTAAAAATCATTTCCAAATCTTTTATTATATTTCACAGTAAAAGTCTATTTAAAAAGCTAATCATTTGTGCTTTTTTTCAAGAGGTATTATTGTAAATACGGTAGACACATGTCACATTTGATTAATGTACCCAAACTTGAACTGAGTGTATATGTTCCCTCTTTGTTATTATGCCCTAAACAAGGTAAGACAGAAATAAGCAAGGGAGGCTCTAGCAGAACAGTATCAGTATCTCTATAAAAATAACCAAAATTTTCCCCAAATATGTGTGATCTGAGGGAAATAAACATTCTTACAGACCATAGTTATCTCAATGTTGCTCAATGTTGAATGTGATTACATTTACACTCATGAATAAATATACTGCAAACAAAATCTAGGTTAGACTGGGAATGGGAGTCTTAGATAGAGTCTCCTATATGTTAATAATAGTAACTGCGTTTGGAAAGGTGAGGAAAGATTATGGTAGATTAGACAAAGGGGAAAAAGGTCATTTGGCCACTTTGCAGTAAAATAGCCTAATTCTATGAATATTCTTATAGACAAAATCCTAGGAAACCAATGACTGTATGAATTATAAGCCAGGAATTGAATCGGCCAGCACCTTGGTGGACTCCCCAGCTCCAGAAGTGTGAGAAATAAATATCTGTTGTCTAAGCCACCAAATTAAGGTATTCTTTTATAGTAGCCCAAACAGACTGAGGTAACAGGTCATGTGAGCAACCATTAAATAAGAGTATAAAACAGCACTGTCCAATATAACTTTATACAGTGACAGAAAAGTACTCCATCCACTCTACCCAACACAGTAGTCATTAGTCACATGTGGCTGTTGATCATGTGAAATGAGGCAATCATAACTGAGGTACTGAATTTTTTTTTTGTTTTTTGAGACGGAGTTCTGCTCTTGTTGCCCAGGCTGGAGTGCAGGGGCACGATCTTGGCTCACCACAACCTATGCCTCCCAGGTTCAAGTGATTCTTCTGCCTCAGCCTCCCAAGTAGCTGGGATTATAGGCATGCGCCACCACGCCCGGCTAATTTTGTATTTTTTAGTAGAGATGGGCTTTCACCACGTTGGTCAGGCTGGTCTTGAACTCCTGACCTCAGGTGATCCACCCACCTCGGCCTCCCAAAGTGCTGGGATTATAGTGTGAGCCACCGCGCCTGACCTGAATTTTTTATTTAACATTCAAGTGTTAAAATTTAATGTGAATAGCCACATGTAACTAGTAACTATTAGATAGCACCGATACAAAAAATCTGAAAAGTGGCCCGGCGCAGTGGCTCATGCCTGTAATCCCAGCACTTTGGGAGGCGGAGGTGGCTGGGTCACCTGAGGTCAGAAGTTCAAGACCAGCCAGGCCAACATGATGAAACCCCATCTCTACTAAAAATACAAAAGTTAGCCGGGCGTGGTGGCGGATGCCTGTAATCCCAGCTACTTGGAAGGCTGAGGGAAGAGAATCGAACCTGGGAGATAGAGGTTGCAGTGAGCCAAGATCGCACCACTGCACTCCAACCTGGGCAACAGAGCAGGACTCTGTCTCAAAAAGAAAAAAGAAAAAAAGTTAGGCATAGCAGGGCACAGTCTTGTGTGCCTGTACTGCCAACCACTCAAGAGGCTGATGCAGGAGGATCACTTGCACCCAGGAGTTCAAGGCTGCAGTGAGCTATGGTTGCACTACTGCATTTCAGCCAGGGTGACAGAGCAAGGCCCTCTCTAAAAAACAAATAAAAATAGCTGGGCGCGGTGGCTCACGCCTGTAATCCTAGAGAGAACCGTTAAGAAAGTACATAGGCTGTGCGCAGTGTCTCACGCCTGTAATCCAACACTTTGGGAGGCTGAGGCGGGCGGATCACAAGGTCAGGAATTCGAGACCAGCCTAACCAACATGGTGAAACCCCGTCTCTACTAAAAATACAAAAATTAGCTGGGTGCGGTAGCATGCGCCTGTAATCCCAGCTACTCAGGAGGCTGAGGCAGGAGAATCGCTTGAACCCTGGAGACAGAGGTTGCAGTGAGCCGAGATCCCACCACTGCACTCCAGCCTGGGCGAGAGAGTGAGACTCCATCTCTAGATAAATAAAAATAAACTGATGTTGACTAAAAAATTTATAGATGCACCAAAATTTGACAAAATTTAGATCTGCAAATTTGACCTACAAAAATCAGTTAAAAAAAAGATTTTCAAAGAAAACTCAAAATACAAAATTAAGAGGGATGAGAATTGATCCCAAGAAAATTAGTTAACAATTAGTATGGGCCGGGCTTGGTGGCTCACGCCTGTAATCCCAGCACTTTGGGAGGCCGAGGCGGGCAGATCACGAGGTCAGGAGATCGAGACCAGCCTGGCCAACATGGTGAAACCCCGTCTCTACTAAAAATACAAAAAATTAGCCGGGCGTGGTGGCAGGCGCCTGTAGTCCCAGCTACTTGGGAGGCTGAGGCAGGAGAATCACTTGAACCCGGGAGGTGGAGGTTGCAGTGAGCTGAGATCGCGCCACTGCACTCCAGCCTGGCAATAGAGCGAGACTCTGTCTCAAAACAACAACAACAACAACAAAAAAAAAACAATTAGTATGAAAGTGGAAATGGGCTTAACTGCATCATGAAGAAATTGATCAGAGTTTAACTTGTTTAGCAAAATTTGTTCCTGAAAATACTTTGTTAATGAAGTGCTATAACTAGATTATGCAGGGTCCTGTAGGATTTTAGTCTCTATGCAAAGAGCTACAGGAAGACATTAAAGGTTTTTCTCCATTGATTTAACATGTGTCTTAAATACATTTTAAGATGTATTTGGGACAAATTTAGGATTAGGACAAATACCTAATGCATGCAGGGCTTAAAACCTAGATGACAGGTTGATGGGTGCAGCAAGCCACCATGGCACGTGTATACTTATGTAACAAACCTGCACGTTCTGCACATGTATCCCAGAACTTAAAAAAAAAAGATTGTCAATTGATCATTAGAAAAAATGTATCTGGAAAAGCTCATTCACTCTGGCTGCAATGAGGAGAACCAATTGAAGGGGGCCTATAGTTCATGCAAATGTTTCAACTAGAAGGTCATCAACGTGGCCAGGTGAAACATGATGATAGCTAAAACTAGGATGGTGGCAGTGGATATGAAGAAATCTGGATGTATTTCAGAGATAATACAGGTGATGAGATGATGGTAGGTTGGGGGGGTGAGGGTGGTACTTTTCAAAGAGATAGAGAACCCTGGAAGAAAACTAGTGTGAGAATACAGATTAAAAATCTAGTCTGGCACATACCTTGGTTTTTTTTGGTTTTTATTTGTTTGTTTGTTTTGTTTTGTTTTTTGCCAGAGTCTCACTCTGTCACCCAGGCTGGAGTGCAGTGGCACGATCCTGTCTCACTGCAACCTCTGCCTCTTGGGTTCAAGCGATTCTCCTGCCTCAGCCTCCTGTGTAGCTGGGACTACAGGGGCCTGCCACCCGGCCCCGCTAATTATTTGTATTTTTTAGTAGAGACAGGGTTTCACCATGTTACCCCAGGCTGGTGTGGAACTCCTGAGCTCAGGCGATCTACCCACCTTGGCTTCCCAAAGTGCTGGGATTACAGGTGTGAGCCACCGCGCCCGGCCCATACAGATTTTTATATGTCTAAAACTAGACAGTAACATGGCAGTTGGAGGCTCAAAGCAGAGGCCTGAACAGGAGATAAAAACTCCTAATCACTAGTATTTAGATGGTAACTGATGTTACAGGCATGGGTGAGATTTTGAGGACAGCCTAGGAAAGGAAGAGGACATTGGACAATGGTTCTCAAACTTTTTCATCTAAGAAATCCTTTAACTCTTTTTTTTATTTTTTTTGAAGACGGAGTTTTGCTCTTGTTGCCCAGGCTAGAGTGCAATGGCACGATCTCACTTCAACCTCCGCCTCCCGGGTTCAAGCGATTCTCCTGGCTCAGCCTCCTGAGTAGCTGGGATTACAGGCACATGCCACCACGCCCAGCTAATTTTTTTATAGTTTTAGTAGGGACGGGGTTTCGCCATGTTGGCCAGGCTGGTATCAAACTCCTGACCTCAAGTTATCCGTCCGCCTCGGTCTCCCAAAGTGCTGGGATTACAGGCGTGAGCCACCACACCCAGCCTGAACTATATCTATTTTATAAAAAGAAAACACAGTGAAAGGCATTCAGGTACTTGATGAGATCCTCACTGTTAGTTTAATGGTAGAGCCAGAACTCTTCCCCTTCCCCTCCTTTTCAATCAGCCCTCCAGAGATTTCTCTTAGCTGGGGCTAAGGCCCCTAATTTTGTTATTTCTGTGACACTTAGTACTTTCCTTTATCACAGCCCTTATTTCATTATATTTAAATAATTAGTTAATTGTGTCCCACCCCCTCCATACCCAGTCTGTGAAGGAAGCAGATCTTACTCATTTTTATGCCCTCAGTGCCTGGCACGGTTGGAGGCATTACTAAGTGTTCCATCAAAGTTTGCAGAATGATTTGAAGTGTAGTGTTCTTTTCACTGTTCCAGCTTGTAGTTTTAAACCATATTAGAAAGGAATTTTAAGCAGGAATTTTAAGCAGAAATTTTATGATCTTCTCCAGTGGTTTTCAAACTGGGTTCCACATGCTTCTGAGAGTTGTTTTTTAGAATTAAAAAATTACGGCCAGGTGAGGTGGCTCACGCCTGTAATCCCAGCACTTTGGGAGGGCAAGGTGGGTGGATCACCTGAGGTCAGGAGTTTGAGACCAGCCTGGCCAACATGGTAAAAACCCGTTTCTACTAAAAATACAAAAAGTTAGCCGGGCGTGGTGGCGCACGCCTGTAATCCCAGCTACTCGGGAGGCTGAAGTGGGAGAATTGCTTGAACCTGGGAGGCGGAAGTTCCAGTGAGCCGAGATCACGCCACTGCACTCCAGCCTGGGTGACAGAGTGAGACTCCATCTCATTAAAAAAAAAAAAAAAAGTACATGCTTTCGTCTTAATGACATTCTAAAACAACTAGTATACAATCTTCTGCATCATTTAGGCCAATAGTTCTCAATCCTGGTTACGGATTTGAGTCTCAGCAGAAAGCTGTTAATAAATATTGATGTCCAAGCTATACTCCAGGCTAATTAAATCAGAACCTCTGAGAAGGGGGCCCCCTACAAGGGCATTTTTTCCTCAAAAAATCTTGAGGTGATTTAAATGTACAGTCAAGGCCAGGCATGGTAGCTCACGCCTGTAATCCCAGCATTTTGGGAGGCCAAGGTGGGTGGATCACCTGAGGTCAGGAGTTCGAGACCAGCCTGGCCAACATGGTGAAACCCTGTCTCTACTAAAAATACAAAAAATTAGGCAGGCGTGGTGGTGGGCACCTGTAATCCCAGCTACTCAGGAGGCTGAGGCAGGAGACTCACTTAAACCTAGGAGGCAGAGGTTACAGTGAGCCAAGATCACGCCATTGCACTCCACCCTGGGTGACAAAAGTGAAACTCCACCTCAAAAAAATAAAAAATGTAGAGTCAATGTTGAGATTTACCATGATCTAGATCAAGGGTTGGCAAACTTCACCTATAAAGGGCCAGATAGTAAATATTTTAGGCTTTGCAGGCCAACACCCAAAATTGAGGCTATAATTTAGGTACTTACATGAGGATGAAAATAAATGCCCACAAATTTTTATTGATGAAATTCAAAATATGATAATAATTATTGTTTCTACTATAGCTCTACTAATGAGAAGAATGGGATTCTTTTTGGAGGAGACAATTCACTTAGTTGAGGATCAAGATTTGTTTTCCCTATCATCAAAATCTGTTGGAAATATTCATCTGTTAATACTGATCTGTAATGAAATTTTACATATTTCAGCTTTGAAAATGTCTCCACACAGATAGGTACTGTCAAATACTGATATCAATCTAAAAGCAAATTTTTTTTTTTCTTTTTTGGAGACAAGAGTCTCGCTCTGTCGCCCAGGCTGGAGTGCAGTGGCATCATCTTGGCTCACTGCAACCTCCGCCTCCCAAGTTCAAGCAATTCTCCTGCCTCAGCTTCCTGAGTAGCTGGAATTACAGATGCCTGCCACTATGCCCAGCTAGTTTTTGTATTTTTAGTAGAGATGGGGTTTCACCATAATGGCCAGCCTGGTCTCAAACTCCTGACCTCAGGTGATCTGCCTGCCTCGGCCTCCAAAAGTGCTGGGATTACAAGGGTGAGCCAGGGCGCCCAGCCAAGAAATTTTTTTTTTTTTTTTTTTTTTTTGAGACAGAGTCTCGCTCTGTCGCCCAGGCTGGAGTGCAGTGGCGCGATCTCGGCTCACTGCAAGCTCCACCTCCCATGTTCACGCCTTTCTCCTGCCTCAGCCTCCCGAGTAGCTGAGACTACAGGCGCCCACCACCACACCCAGCTAATTTTTTGTATTTTTAGTAGAGACAGGGTTTCACCGTGTTAGCCAAGATGGTCTCGATCTCCTGACCTCGTGATCCGCCCGCCTCGGCCTCCCAAAGTGCTGGGATTATAGGCATGAGCCACCGCGCCCAACCAGGAAATGCTTTTAATTGAACATATTCACCATTTGAAAGGCAATTTATAGAATTCTATTTGATTCTGTTCCTGTTATTTGCCCTTCTTTATATTGCCTTTTTATTGCCTTTTTGCAGCAATATAAAGTGACGATAGCACAACATAAAGTCTCTGTTACCACTACTCAACTCTGTTGTTGTAGTGTGACAACAGCCATAGACAATACATAAATGAATAAGTATGGTCTTGTTCCAACATCATTTAATTTATGGAATTGAAATTTGAATTTTGCTGGGTGCAGTGGCTCATGCCTGTAATTGCAGCAGTTTGAGAGGCCAAGGGTAGTGGATCACCTGAGGTCAGGAGTTCAAGACCAAACCTTGTCTCTACTGAAAAAATACAAAAATAAGCCAGACGTGGTTGTGCACACCTGTAGTCCCAGCTACTCGGAGGCTGAGGCAGGAGACCCGCTTGAGCCTGGGATGCTGAGATTGCAGTGAGCCAACATCGAGCCACTACATTGGTTGAATTTTAAGACTCCATCTCAGAAAAAAAAAAAAAATTTGAAATTTATGTGTTTTTTTACGCGTAACAAAATACTGTGTCTGGAAATGAGGGTTCTTGGTCTCACTGACTTCAAGAATGAAGCCGCGGACCCTCGCGGTGAGTGTTACAGCTCTTAAGGTGGCGCGTCTGGAGTTTGTTTCTTCTGATGTTCTGAGTTTCTTCCTTCTGGTGGGTTCGTAGTCTCACTGGCTCAGGAGTGAAGCTGCAGACCTTCGCAGTGTTACAGCTCTTAAAGCAGCACGTCTGGAGTTGCCTGTTTCTCCCGGTGGGCTCTTGGTCTCGCTGGCTTCAGGAGTGAATCTGCAGACCTTCCCGGTGAGTGTTAGGGCTCATAAAAGCAGTCTGGACCCAAAGAGTGAGCAGTGGCAAGATTTATTGCAAAGAGCAAAAAAACTAAAGCTTCCACAGTATAGAAGGGGACCAAAGCGGCTTGCCACAGTTGGCTCGGGCAGCCTGCTTTTATTCTCTTATCTGGCCCCACCCACATCCTGCTGATTGGTAGAGCCGAGTAGCCTGTTTTGACAGGGCGCTGATTGGTGCGTTTACAATCCCTGAGCTAGACACAAAGGTTCTCCACGTCCCCATCAGATTAGTTAGATACAGAGTATGGACACAAAGGTTCTCCAAGGCCCCACCAGAGCAGCTAGATACAGAGCGTCGATTGGTGCACTCACAAACCCTGAGCTAAACACAGGGTGCTGATTGGTGTATTTACAATTCCTGAGCTAGACATAAAGGTTCTCCAAGGCCCCACCAGACTCAGGAGCCCAACTGGCTTCACCCAGTGGATCCCGCAGCGGGGCTGCAGGTGGAGCTGCCTGCCAGTGCCACGCCATGCGCTCGCACTCCTCAGCCCGTGGGTGGTCGATGGGACTAGGCGCCGGGGAGCAGGGGGCGGCGCTCGTCGGGGAGGCTCGGGCTGCACAGGAGCCCACGGAGGCAGGGGAAGGCTCAGGCATGGCGGGCTGCAGTCCCGAGGCCTGCCCCACGGGAAGGCAGCTCAGGCCCGGCAAGAAATCGAGCACAGCGCCGGTGGGCCGGCACTGCTGGGGGACCCAGTACACCCTCTGCAGCCGCTGGCCCGGGTGCCAAGTCCCTCACTGCCCGGGGCCGGCAGGGCCGGCCGGCTGCTCCGAGTGCGGGGCCCGCCAAGCCCACGCCCACCCGGAACTCCAGTTGGCCCGCAAGCGCTGCACACAGCCCCGGTTCCCGCTCGCGCCTCTCCCTCCACACCTCCCTGTAAGCTGAGGGAGCCGGCTCTGGCCTTGGCCAGCCCAGAAAGGGGTTCCCATAGTGCAGCGGTGGGCTGAAGGGCTCCTCCAGTGCCACCAAAGTGGGAGCCCAGGCAGAGGAGGCGCCGAGAGCGAGCGAGGGCTGTGAGGACTGCCAGCACGCTGTCACCTCTCAATACTCTTTTTTTCTTTTTCTTTTTTTTTTTTTTTTGAGACAGAGTCTCGCTCTGTCGCCCAGGCTGGCTGGAGTGCAGTGGCACAATCTCGGCTCACTGTAACTTCTGCCTCCTGGGTTCGTGCCATTCTCCTGCCTCAGCCTCCCGAGTAGCTGGGACTACAGGTGCCCGCAACCAAGCCCAGCTAATTTTTTTTTATTTTTTTTTAGTAGAGATGGGGTTTTACCGTGTTAGCCAGAATGGTTTCGGTCTCCTGACCTCGTGATCCGCCCGCCTCAGCCTGCCAAAATGCTGGGATTACAGGCATGAGCCATCGTGCCTGGCCCCTCTTTTTTTATTTTCTTAATCATTAAAAAAAGTAAAATTCATTCTTAGTTTGTTCCTGTATAAAAATAGGTGGTAGGCTGGGCGCAGTGGCTCACGTCTGTATTCCCAGCACTTTGGGAGGCCGAGGTGGGTGGATCACGAGGTCAGGCGTTCGAGACCAAACTGACCAACATAGTGAAACCCCTTCTCTACTAAAAATACAGAAATTAGCTGGGCGTGGTGACACATGCCTATAATCCCAGCTACTTGGGAGGCTGAGGCAGGAGAATTGCTTCAACCTGGGAGGCGGAGGTTGCAGTGAGCCGAGATCGCGCCACTGCACTCCAGCTCGGGCAACAGTGTGAGACTCTATCTCAAAAAAAAAAAAAAAAAAGGTGGTAGACAGATTTGGCCCATGGGCCATAGTTTGCCAAGGCCTGATCCAGACAATCTATATGACCTTGAATTGTTTTCTAAGTAGTATATTTTTACTAGTGCTTATGATTGGAATCAGTTATATAGTAATAAATATGGTTGTTCATATATGTGACATATAGTAATAAAAACATTGTAAGTCAGAAAAAAAGCCAGTAGTCTTCTTACCCTTCATGTTCCCTATGTATGATTTTGTAATTAGAAAAATATTGGGTCACTGAGTTATGCAGACCTCCAAAATGTTGACACATTTCATTACACAACATCAAAAATTAGGTTCATTAAAATCACTACTGAGCTCATCAGAAAATCTTTAAGCACTAGGAAGCTGTTGAGTTCATGGTAATGGTTAAAAGTTTTCCAAGCTTCTCATTTTCTCTTGAAAACTTGAAGGTTATCACTGACAACAAATATTGTCTAGTTGTTGCCACTGATGTGACAGGCTCATTTCATTCATTTTTTAGAAGATGTCTGCCAAATTACCTAAGCACAAGTAAACCTATTTTGTTATCAATAGTTTTTTTCTTTTTTGTGTGTGTGACAGAGTCTCGCCCTGTTCCCTAGGAGTGTAGGGGCGTGATCCCAGCTCACTGCAACCTCTGCCTCCTGGGTTCGTGTGATTCTCCTGTTTCAGCCTCCGGAGTAGCTGGGATTACAAGCACCCACCACCACACCCAGCTAATTTTTGCATTTTTTAGTAGAGACGGGGTTTCACCATGTTGGCCAGGTTGGTCTCGAACTCCTGACCTCAGGTGATCCGCCCGCCTCGGCCTCCCAAAGTGCTAGGATTACAGGTGTGAGCCACCGTGCTCAGCCCCATTTGATCTTATTTCTAGGGGATCATGACACTGAAACCACAGAGAAGGGAATGCAGTCCTCTCATACTACATTGTTCTGCAGTAAGAGATAGCTATAAACTCAAAATAACATAAAGCTGTTTGTGGATTCTTAAATTTTCAGACCAATCTATGAACAAAGCACAAAGGTATATTATGGTTACTCAATAGAGTATAAGTGATTACTCCTGACAATGTAAGGAAAAGGAAGAAATGTCCAGGATGTGGAGACCTCTCATACGCTGCCAGTGGGTGTGTGAATTGGTACAAGAGTTTGGAAAATGACTTGGCAATATTTGGAACAAATGAAGATATGCAGATCCTATGACTCAGAAATTCTATTCCTAAAATGATACCCTCAATAAATTGGCACATGCACACCAGAAAAAAAAATGTTCATAAAAGCCATGTTTACAGTAGTCCCAAATTGGAAGCCGAAAAATTCATCAACAATAGCATAAAAAATTGTGATATAGTCATTCAATGAAATACACATACTATAACAGAATAAATGACCTACAGCTACTCTCAACTTGTATGAATCTTAAAAACATAATATTGAATGAAAGAAGCAAGACGGAAAGTAGCATATGATTCCATCTACATATAGTTTTAAAAATAGGCAAAACTATGGGATGCATGTTTAGTGACAAACCATAAAGAAAAGCAAGAAATTTGAGGAGGCCAAGGCAGGAGTATAGCTTGAGCCCAGGAGTCCAAGACAAGCCTGGGCAACGGACACCTCATCGCTACAAAAATTGAAACAAATAAAAAATTTGCCACGGCCGGGCACAGTGGCTCACGCCTGTAATCCCAGCACTTTGGGAGGCTGAGGCAGGTGGATCACGAGGTCAAGAGATCGAGACCACGCTGGCCAACATGGTGAAACCCCGTCTCTACTAAAAAAAAAATACAAAAATTAGCTGGGCATGGTGGCATGTGCCTGTAATCCCAGCTACTTAGGAGGCTGAGGCAGGAGAATTGCTTGAACCTGGGAGGTGGAGGTTGCAGTGAGCCGAGATTGCATCATTGCATTCCAGCCTGGTAACAAAGTGAGATTTCGTCTCAAAAAAAAAAAATTTGCCAGGCTTGGCAGCTCATGCCTCTGGTCCCAGCTACTTGAGTGGCTGAGGTGGGAGGATCTCTTGAACCTGGGAGGTCAAGGCTGCAGTGAGCCGTGATCGCAGCACTACACTATAGCCTGAACAAAAGAGTGAGATCTTGTCTCGAAAAAAAAAAAAAAAATGGTGTGTGTTGGTGGGGGACACATGGGAGTTCTAATAAGAGGGTTGAATGTAAAAATAAAGAAAAGCAGACAACCGTTGGAAGGTAGAACAAAGGGTAGGATGATATATTCTCATTTTATAGAGTGGCAATATAAGAAGCTCTTTCTAAAATTGGTGAAATACTAAGTAAATGTTCAAATTACTTAAATTATTTAAAATTTCCAAGTAAACAACAAAAATATCAGAAATTGGGAGGAGAATCGAGCAGGGGCTTATGTAAGTGTGTTAAATCCTCATGTTTTATAGTGGCAAGGCAAAAGTTGAAAGATGGTAACTTTGGGGATTAGTACCTTTGTGAAGTAGAACTGTTTTTTTATTTTCATTATAAACAATATTGTACCATTTGGTGTTACCATATGCATAAGCTAATTGCATTTTTTTTTTTTTGAGACGGAGTTTCGCTCTTGTTGCCCAGGTTGGAGTGCAATGGCGCCATCTGCGGCTCACTGCAACCTCTGCCTCCTGGGTTCAAGCGATTCTTCTGCCTCAGCCTCCTGAGCAGCTGGGATTACAGGCCACCACACCCAGCTAATTTTGTATTTTTAGTAGAGACGGGGTTTCTCCACGTTGGTCAGGGTGGTCTCGAACTCCCAACCTCAGGTGATCCGCCCACCTCGGCCTCCCAAAGTGCTGGGATTACAGGTGTGAGCCACCACGCCTGGCGGCTGATTGCATTTTAAAAACCACAAGCTATTTTGTAGTATTGTTGAACAACTTTAAGGGGAAAAAAAGGCAATATAGTGTATTGTTATGGTTAAGAGTATGAACTATGGAGAACTATGAAGCCAGATTGCTTGGGCTCAAATCCTTGCTCTGGCACTTTCTTTTTTTTTTTTTTTTTGAGATGGGAGTCTTTTTTTTTTTTTTTGAGATGGGAGTCTAGTTAGCTCTGTCGCCCAGGCTGGAGTGCAGTGGCATGATCTTGGCTCACTGCAGCCTCCACCTCCCAGGTTCAAGCAATTCTCCCGCCTCAGCCTCCCAAGTAGCTGTGACTACAGGCATGTACCACCACACCCGGCTAATTTTTGTATTTTTAGCAAAGATGGGGTTTCACCATGTTGGCCAGGCTGCTCTTGAACTCCTGGCCTCAGGTGATCCACTGGCCTTGGCCTCCCAAAGTGCTGGGATTACAGGCGTGAGCCACCACGCCCGGCCCTGGCACTTTCTAATTGTATGATTCTAGGCAAGCCATTTATCCATTTTGCCTCAGTTTCCTCATTTAAAAATGGGGGCAATAATAATCTGTATTTTATATAGTTGTTCTTAGGATTAAATGAATTAACACATGTAAAACACTTAGTGTCTAGCATATGTGTGTTAACTATTACCTACCACTAGGTAGTTAATTGTGAAAAATAAAGCTGAAAGGAAAAGATGAAGACTGAAAATTACCCAGTAGACTTATTAACATGTAAGTCATTTGATATTTTAGTGACACGGTTGAGTGATAGAGCCAGAAACTGGACTGAAGAGGGAGAAGTGAAGAAACAGATGCATACTCAATTTTCCATGAATCATTGATCATACTCCTTACATTTTTTTCTTAACTCCTTTGACTTTCCCAAAGATAACTACTATCTTTTTTTTTTTTTTTTTGAGATGGAGTCTCGTTCTGTCACCCAGGCTGGAGTGCAGTGGCACAATCTCGGCTCACTGCCACCCCGCCTCCCCGGTTCAAGCAATTATCTGCCTCAGCCTCCCGAGTAGCTGGGATTATAGGAACATGCCACCACGCCTGGCTAATTTTTGTATTTTTAGTAGAGACAGGGTTTCACCATCTTGGCCAGCCTGGTCTTGAACTCCTGACCTCGTGATCCACCCGCCTCGCCCTCCCAAAGTACTGGGATTACAGGCGTGAGCCACTGTGCCCGGCCTGATAACTGCTATCTTTACTTCTAACACAATAGATTAATTTTGCTCTTTTTGAACTTTAAGTAAATTTAACTCTATACAAATCACAGTGTATTTATGTGTGCCATCTTTTATGTTTACCAGCCTAACACTATGCCTTTGAGATGTATCCATATTGTTGCCTGTAGATGTAGTTAATTTTTCAAAGCTGTATATTATTTCATTATATACTGTATTAGTCAGGGTTCTTTAGAGGGACAGAACTAATAGGATATGAAAGGGAGTTTATTAAGGAGAATTGACTCACACTATCACAAGGTAAAATCCCAGGATAGGTGGTCTGCAAGTTGAGGAGCAAGGAAGTCAGTGGTAGATCAGTCCCCCAAAACCCCAAAAGTAGGGAAGCAGCCTTCTGTTTGTGGCCAAAGGCTCAAGAGCCCCTGGCAAACTACTGGTGTACATCCAAGAGTTCAAAAGCTGAAAAGCTTGTAGTCTGATGTTTGAGGGCAGGAAACATCCAGCATGGGAAAAAGATGAAGGTCGGAAGACTCAGCAAGTCTAGTCCTTCCACTTTCTTCTGCCTGCTTTATTCTAGCCATGCTGGCAGCTGATTAGATGGTGCCCACCCAGATTGAGGTTGAGTTTCCCTCTCCCAGTCCACCAACTCAAATGTTAATCTCTTTTGGCAACACCCTCACAGGCACACCCAGGAACAATTCTTGGATTGAAGGATTTTTATTCTTCAATCCAATCAAGTTGACACTCAATATTAACCATCACATATACCATGCCACTATTTATGTATTCTACTGCTGGTAGGCATTTAGGCTATTTCCAGTTTAGGGCTAGAAGAATGATAAAGAATGCTGGGGTTTTTCTGTTCATGTGTTTTGGTGCACTTGTGCACACATTACTGTTGGAGCAAAATGGCTGGGTCAGAGATATGCTCATATTCAACTATACTAAGTACTGCCAGTTTCCCACAATAGTTGTACTAATTTTGGTAGTGTCACACTGTTTTTTTTCTTTTTTTTTTTTTTTAATGTCATCTGGTAAGTTGTAGTGTTTGTTTCTTTGTTTCTTTTTTTATTTTTTTGAGATGGAGTCTTGCTCTGTCGTTCAGGCTGGAGTGCAGTGGCACAATCTCGGCTCACTGCAACTTCTGCCTCCTGGGTTCAAGCAATTCTCCTGCCTCAGCCTCCTGAGTAGCTGGGATTACAGGCATGAGCCACCACGCCCGGCTAATTTTTATATTTTTAGTAGAGACGGGGCTTCACCATGTTGGTCAGGCTGGTCTCAAACTCCTGACCTCCTTGATCTGCCCGCCTTGGCCTCCCAAAGTGTTGGGATTACAGGTGTGAGACATTGAGCCTGGCCAGGTTGTAGTGTTTTCTCTTTGTGATTTTAACTTACATTTCCCTGCTTTCTTTTTTTTTTTTTTTTCTGAGACAGCATCTTGCTCTTGCTCTGTGGCCCAGGCTGGAGTGCAGTGGTGTGATCTCGGCTCACTGCAACCTCTGCCTCCCAGGTTCAAGCGATTCTCCTGCCTCAGCCTCCTGAGTAGCTGGGATTACAGGCACATGCCACCATGCCTGGCTAATTTTTGCATTCTCAGTAGAGATGGGGTTTCACCACGTTGGCTGGGCTGGTCTCAAACTCTTTGACTTCGTCATCTGCCTGTCTTGGCCTCCCAAAGTGCTGGGATTACAGGTATGAGCCACCGTGCCCCGCCCCATTTCCCTGCTTTCTAATGAGGTTAAACATGATTTTGTTTCTTTTTTTTTTTCTTTTTTGAGACAGGGTTTCACTTTGTTGCCCAGGCTAGAGTGTAGTGGTATGATCGCAGCTCACTGCAGCCTCAATCTCCCAGACTCAAGTGATCCTCCCACCTCAGCCTCCCTAGTGGCTGAGACTGCAGGCATGCCACAATACCGGGTATCCATGAAAGTGTCAAATTCTGTAAAATATTTGAAGAGATTTATTCTGAGCCAAATATGAGTGACCATGGCCTGTGACACAACCCTCAGGAGGTCCTGAGAACATGTGCCCAAGATGGTAGGGGTGCAGCGTGATTTTATGCATTTTAGGGAGGCATGAGACATCAAGTACATTTAAGAAATACGTTGGTTTCACAGGAAAGGCAGGATAACTGAAATTGGAGTTGCGGGGGTGGGGCTTCCAGGCTATAGGTAAATTTAAACCTTTTCTGGTTGACAATTGGTTGAGTTTCTTTAAAGACCTGGGAAAGCAGCCAGGCATAGTGGCTCATGCCTGTAATACCAGTACTTTGGGAGGCGGGGACGGGCGGATCACCTGAGGTCAGGCGTTCGAGACTAGCCTGGCCAACATGGTAAAACCCCAACTCTACTAAAAATACAAAAATTAGCCGGGTGTGGTGGTGGGTGCCTGTAATCCTAGCATCTTGGGAGGCTGAGGCAGGAGGATCACTTGAACCCGGGAGGTGGAAGTTGTGGTGAGCCAGGACCGAGCCATTCAGCCTGGGCAACAAGAGGGAAACTCCGCCTCAAAAAAAAAAAAAAAAAAAAAAAGACCTGGGAAAGAAAGGCATTTTCCTTTCGAAAGAAAGAAAATGTTGAAGTTAAGATAAAAGATTACGGAGACCAAGATTATTTTTGAAGCCTTATAGTGGCTACGCTTAGAGACAATAGATGACAAATGTTTCCTATTCAGATCTTTAAAAGGTGCTACACTCTTAGTTAATCTCTTTAGGATTTGGAGGGCCTGGAAGAAAATACCTAGCTATGTTAATATAGATTCTTTACAGATGCAAATATCCCCCCCTACAAAGGACAGCTTTACAGGGCCATTTCAAAATATGGCAAAGGAAAGAAAAAAAAAATAGGCCGCTCGCAGTGGCTCAAGCCTGTAATTCCAGCACTTTGGGAAGCCCAGGCGGGCAGATCACCTGAGATCACTGAGATTGAAGCCAGCCTGGCCAACATGGTGAAACACCAACTCAACTAAAAATACAAAAAACTATCCAGGCGTGGTGTCGTGCACTTGTAATCCCAAGTACTCAGGAGGCTGAGGGAAAATAATCGCCTGAACTCGGGAGGCAGAGGTTGCATTGAGCTGAAATCGTGCCACTGCACTCCAGCCTGGGTGACAGGGTGAGACTCCATCTCAAAAATAAATAAATAAATAAATAAATAAATAAATAAATAAAATAAAACAAAATATGGCAAAGAAACATGTTTTGGGGTAAAATATTTTGACTTTCTTCTTTGTTATGCCAGAGTCACACTAGAAAGTAAGTCACAATATATAGGGTTAAATAAAACCCATCTGATGAGAATTTATGGTTTGTAGGGCATGACTCCCCAGACCCCTCAGATAGGAATTTGGGCAAGATGAAAAAAATGAGAGCTTAGTCCTCACTGGCCATATATATATATATATATATATATTTTTTTTTTTTGTAGAGACCGGGTTTCATCATGTTGCCCAGGCTAGTCTCAAACTCCTGGGTTCAGTCTCCTGGGCTCAATCAATCCACCAACATTGGCCTCCCAAAGTGCTGGGATTACAGGCTTGAGCTACTGTGCCCAGCCTATGATTTTCATATAAACATATGAAGCATTTTGATTCTCTCAGATTTTACACTCAGAATACACTATCTACAGTTAATTCTGAACTTTTTCTCCTACTTAATTATATTATAAGAATACTAAGAAGATGAGCTGAGATAGGGTCTTGCTATGTTGCCCAGTCTGGTCTCAAACTCCTAAGCTCAAGTGATTCTCCTGCCTCAGCCTCTCAAGTAGCTGGGACTACAGGCAGCTGCCACTGTGCCCAGCTTTAGGCAGAAATTTAGAACTTGATCTCTTTATTTCATTTCTCATATCCATTAGATTAGCAATTCCTGTTAATGAGATCATTCCCAAAATGTATCTCAAATCATTCCATTGTCCTATGCACTGCCACCTCTTAAGTCCAGACCATCATCATATCATTCTTGGAATACTACAACAACTTCATGTTTTTCACATTTTGCATTTTGTCACTGCCCATTCCACTTCATTTTCCGTATTACAGCAACAGGGGTATTAACTCTTACATCTTTTCAGTGTTTTTCCATTGCTCTGATAGAATTCAAATTCTGTCATAATCCAGAAGCCCCTGCAGGCTCTGCCTTAGGCTATCTCTCTAACCTCATCTTTACTCATGCTTTGTTTTTTTTTTTGTTTTGTTTTTTTGTTTGTTTGTTTTGAGACAGTCTTGCTTTTTCACCTAGGCTGGAGTGCAGTGGGGTGATCTTGGCTCACTGCAACCTCCGCCTCATGGGTTCAAGCAATTCTCCTGCCTCAGCATTCCCAGTAGCTGGGATTACAGGCACCACCACCACACCCGGCTAATTTTTGTATTTTTAGTAGAGACGGGGTTTCACCATGTTGGCCAGGCTGGTCTCAAACTCCTGACCTCAAGTGATCCGCCCGCCTTGGTCTCCCAAAGCACTGGGATTACAGGCTTGAGCCACCACGCCTGGCTGTTTTCTTTTTCTTTTTCTTTTTTTTTTTTTTTTTGAGACAGGGTCTCGCTTGAACCCGGGAGGCGGAGGTTGCAGTGAGCTGAGACGGCGTCACTGCACTACGGTCTGGGCGATGCAGCGAGACTGTCTCAAAAAAAAAAAAAATTAAATTAAATTAAAAAGTTAAATGGAACTGAATAGATCATGTAAGAATGTCTTCATAGCCCAGCGCAGTGGCTCACGCTGTAATCCCAGCACTTTGGGAGGCCGAGGCGGATGGATCACCTGAGGTCATGAGTTCGAAACCAGCCTGGCCAAAATGGTGAAACCCCCATCTCTACTAAAAATACAAAAATTAGCTGGGCGTGGTGGCGGGCGCCTGTAGTCCCAGGTACTCAGGAGGCTGAGGCAGGAGAATGGCGTGAACCCGGGAGGCGGAGCTTGAAGTGAGCTGAGTTCGGGCCACTGCACTCCAGCCTGGGTGACAGAGCAAGACAGAGGCGGTGGCTCTCACCTGTAATCCCAGCACCTTGGGAGGCTGAGGCTGGCAGGTCACCTGAGGTCAGGAGTTCAAGACCAGGCTGGTAAACATGGTGAAACCCCGTCTCTATTAAAAACACAAAAATTAGGGACAGGCGCGGTGGCTCACGCCTGTAATCCCAGCACTTTGGGAGGCTGAGGAGGGTGGATCACTTGAGGTGAGGAGTTCAAGACCAGCCTGGTCAATATGGTGAAACCCTGTCTCTACTAAAAATACAAAAAATTAGCTGGGCATGGTGGTGCATGCCTGTAGTCCCAGCTACTAGGGAGGCTGAGGCAGGAGAATTGCTTGAACCTGGGAGGTGGAGCTTGCAGTGAGCTAAGATCCTGCCACCGCACTCCAGCCTGGGCAACAGAGTGAGACTACATCTCAAAAAAAGAAAAATTAGTCAGGCATGGTGGCACATGCCAGGAGAATCGCTTGAACCCAGGAGGAAGAGGCTGTAGTGAGCCAAAATCGTACCACTGCACTCCAGCCTAGGCAACAGAGTGAGGCAACAGAAAGAGGCCTCTTTCAACAGGCCAGGCGCGGTGGCTCACGCCTGTAATTCCAGCACTTTGGGAGGCCAAGCGGGGGCAGATCACCTGAGCTCAGGAGGTCGACACCAGCCTGGGCAACAAGGTGAAACTCCGTCTCTACTGAAAATACAAAAACTTAGCTGGGCATGGCAGCGCATGCCTGTAGTCCCAGCTACTCGGGAGGCTGAGGCAGGAGAATCTCTTGAACCTGGGAGGCAGAGGTTGCAGTTAGCCGAAATCATGCCACTGCACTCTAGCCTGGACTCCAGCTCAAAAAAAAAAAAAAAAAAACCAACAAAGAAACAAAAAAAGAAAGATATTTATGGCTGGGTGTGTGGCTCACGCCTGTAATCCCAGCACTTTGGGAGGCCGAGGTGAGTGGATCACTTGAGGTCAGGAGTTTGAGAGCAGCCTGGCCAAGATGGTGAAAACCCCTTCTCTACTAAAAATTCAAAAATTAGCTGGGTGTGGTGGCAGGCACCTGTAATCGCAGCACGACACCACACCCAGCTAAATTTTTGTATTTTTAGTAGAGACGGGGTTTCACTGTGTTGGCCAGGCTAGTCTGGAACTCCTGACCTCGTGATCCGCCAGCCTTGGCCTCCCAAAGTGCTGGGATTACAGGCGTGAGCCACCTCGCCTGGCTGATGGCAGTGTTTTGAACCAAATAATTTGTTCTTCCAGACCAGGTGAACACCCTACCCAAGGGCAGATAATCCACAGATTGGCTAATGAATTGTATAATCTGGCTGGAAAAAATAAGTAGGGTCAAGCAGTCTTTTATCCTTAATTTTGAACTATGAAGCAGAGGAAGAGTCTGGCACGTAGCTGCAGAGGCAGAATGAAGTAACAAGATAGAGGTTAATTACAGCAAATTGGGTCAGTCAGATGAAACTAAAATCAGACGGAACGCTCAAATTTTGGAATTTTAAGTTTATTATTAAAAGGACACTTTACAGAGGTGTGAGGCTAGGCGTGGTGGCTCACGCCTGTAATCCCAGCACTTTGAGAGGCCAAGGTGGGGGGATGACTTGAGGCCAGGAGTTCGAGACCAGCCTGGCCAACATGGTGAAACACCGTCTCTACCAAAAATACAAAAATTAGCCGGGTGTGGTGGTGGGCGCCTGTAATCTCAGCTACTCGGGAGGCTGAGGCATGAGAATCGCTTGAACCCGGGAGGCAGAGGTTGCAGTGAGCCGCGATCGCGCCACTGCACTCTAGCTTGGGCGACAGAGAGAGACTACCTCTTAAAAAAAAAAAAATGCCGGGCGCGGTGGCTCATGCCTGTAATCCCAGCACTTTGGGAAGCCGAGGCGGGTGGATCATTTGAGGTCAGGAGTTCAAGACCAGCCTGGCCAACCTGATGAAACCCCGTCTCTACTAAAAATACAAAAATTAGCCGGGTGGTAGTGGCGCGCCTGTAATCCCAGCTACTCAGGAAGCTAAGGCAGGAGCATCTCTTGAGCCTGGGAGGCAGAGGTTGCAGTTAGCCGAGATCACGCCACTGTACTCCAGCCTGGGCAATAGAGTGAGACTCTGTCTCAAACCACCACCACCACCACCATCACCACCACCAATAAAAAATACAAAGCGCCACTAATAACAGAGCTAGTAAAGATGGATGGGAATATAGGTGGAAGTACAATCCCCTTTTAATTGCAACAAGGTTCGCCAGGTTGCTTAGGGTTGGGCAAACTGGAGATCACTGACACGGAAAACAAGAAAACCCTTATTGTTTATAGCTGTTATGTATGAATAGGTTATTAGCCTTAGGAAAATTATTTGTGCCGAATACGGCTTTTGAGTAAGCAAAAAATATTAACGTCAAGTTGAATGTAATTGAAGCGACTTATTGGGCGTGGGGTGGGGGGTGGGGGTTGAAAGCCCAAACATAAGGCGAGCACAGATAATTTATTTAACAAGGCTATGGGGTTGGTGGGGGGCTCGGAAAAAAATCAGCGGCGGAACCTGCTCTCAGCCACCTTGCACCAGGACACAAACACTGACTCAAAAATGAAACGAGTATCATCTCTAAGTGAATGTGAGTGCCAAGTAGAAAGCTCGTATCCGATTTATTATCAAAACGTCTTTGTACCATTTTAACATCCATTCCAGGAAGAAAAAACCTATTGGGAATATGGTTAATTTGTAATTAAGTGCTATTTACCCAAATTAAAGAAACAGGTAACAAAAAATTTTAAAAGCCGGCGAAATACTATTTAATTTACTCAGGAACGCTTTAGAACTCTTTTAGTTGGTGGGTGGGAATGCGGGCGGGGAAGCGCACTAAGCCGAACGCTGGGGCAAAGGTTTCCTAAACAGTTACCGAGAGGTAACTCCCCCTTCATCTGGGACGTGGCTCAAGATTACAGGTGATCGCGGTGCCCCGAGGCGCCAGGAGGCAACTTTCACCTGGGGGAGGCGCCGGGCGCCAGCGGGCCAAGCGGCCGGGCCGCGGAGCCCACTTCACTTGGGAGCTGCCCCAGGCCGGGGGTCGACACCGCGTCCCCTCCCTTAGCCTAGCTGCGACCCAGCTTTAGGGCCTAAGGGCAAATCGAGCGCTCGGTCCTCCCAGCGCCATGTGCGCGGCCCGCCCAGGCCCTTGGCCGCCGTCGCCGCGGGGGCAGGCCGCGAGCCAGCCGCGAGCCACAGAGGCCTGGTGCGCGCTCCGCCCCTGAGCCTGCAGTCGGGGCGGCCTCAGCCAGTGAGCCGGGAGTCGTCCCCTTCGTCCTCCCTCGCACTCGGAGGGCAGCTGGGGCGGGGCAGACCCTCGGGCCGGGCGGCACCCGGGCGGGCGAATCCGTCAGCTCCCGCGGGAGGCCCGGCGAGAGAAGGACCCGGTGAGTAGCCACGTCACGCTCCTCAGGGAGGCCCCGCCCCGTGCTCTCGGGCCGCCCCTCTTCGCCGTCTCCACGCCTCCGCGGGCAGTTACCAGCTTTGGCTGCTCGCGCCTCCCCAACTCGGGTAAAGCTCCTCGGCCTCGGCGTGCTGCGCCTCCGCGGCTGCCCTGCGCCAGGTGAGGGCTCGCGGCTCCCGGCTGCGGCTCCCGGCGCGTGGTGGCGGGCTCGGGGCGTGCGTCGCGGAGAGGACGGGGCCGGCGGGCGGTTGGCGCTCCGTTCGGTGCGGGGAGGGGCGTCACGCCGGGCGCTGCGCGGCCTCGGCGGGCGGCGGCAGCGGCGGCCACGGCCGCCGGGCTCTCGGGTTGTCTGTCCCCAGTTGGAGCCGGCCGGTGTCCCGGCGGAGAGACGGGCAGTCGGGTTCCCTGGCCTCGGGGCCACCCCGGCTGGGGCGGCTGGGGCAGAGGGACGATGTCTACTCGCGCCCCGATGCCCGCCGCCCATTCTCGGGAGGATCCGCCCGCGGTGACTGCTGAGAGGGAGTCGCTGTTGGCCGCGGCGAACCGGCCGGCCGAGCAGCCGCCCCCGCCCGAATGTGAGGGCAAAGAGGCGGCGAGGGAGGAGAGGGCCGCGGCCGCCACTAGCGCTGGGGCGCGGGGAGAGCCGTCGCCGGCGCTGGTGCTGGGACGCAGCGTGCCCCAGGCGGCTGTCCCCGTGAGGCCCCTGGCGCTGCACCTGGCGCACAAGGCGCGTGGGCCCGGGGGCCCTTTCGGCGGGGAGCCGCCACCGCCACCGCCGCCGCCGTCGCCGTTGCCGCCGTTGCTGCGGGATCCGCCGGCCGAGGACGCCCGGGAAGAGGTGGCAGCTGGCCCTGCGGAAAAGCGGCAGCCGCCGCTGCTGCCGCCTAAGGGAAATCCCTGGACCAAAAAGCCTCCCCAGCACCTGTCCCCAGACACGACAGGTCCGCCACCGCCCCCGCTGGAAACCCTGGAGGCAGGTCTGTGGTTGCTCTGCGTTGGGCACTGGCAGGGTGCGGGCAGGGGCGACTTGCGGGACTTGCCGGCGCGTGGCGGCGGTAGCGGGCACCAGGCCCGGGTAACGGCAGGCCTCCCCTCCCTGTCAGTCGGAGGTAATTTGTTCCAAGGTGTCATTCACTCTGCCTATTTACAGACATGGGCATCTGGGAAGGGAGCGGCAGGAAGAGGTGGGACCTCAGGTTCTCCTTGCCTGATGGGGGCACGGAGGTGGTAGCTTGGCGGCGCATCCCTGCTGGCGCGGTTGCGATTGTGTTTTGTCCCCAGTGTTAGTGACTTGGGAAAGTAGCTAACTTTAGATACTGCAGTGCTTCGTATGGGAAAGTTTTGGTAGACTTTTTTTTTTTTTTTTTTACATAAAAGGATTGAAGCAAGTCAGAGCAAGGGGATTTATTCGTAAGTGGAAGCGCGATTGTAGTCTTTTGTGAAATAAGATGAAAAAAGGTTTTCAAAACACTGCTGAGCAGTCATATTAAAAATGAGACTTTAAATGTGGTTTTTAAAGTGCTTTATGGGGGGAGGGGGGAGGGATAGCATTAGGAGATATACCTAATGTTAAATGACGAGTTGATGGGTGCAGCACACCAACATGGCTGCACATGTATACATGTGTAACCTGCACGTTGTGCACATGTACCCTAAAACTTTAAGTATAATTAAAAAAAATAAAGTGCTTTAAGTTATAAGTGTGCTGGAAAATAATTGAAATAGGATAGTTGACATGCGAGCGTGGATTGCACGTTAGGTAAATGGTTTTCTAACATTGTCAGCTCTCCTTCCCTTTAGAGGAGATAAGATTATGCCACTATATTTGAATGCTGACCAATGCTGTATGGCCGTCGGTGCTTTATTTTGATTGTAGTAACTGCAACTTAAGAAAGTAAAAATGGGCCGGCGCGGTGGCTCACGCCTGTAATCCCAGCACTTTGGGAGGCCGAGGCGGGCGGATCACCTGAGGTGAGGAGTTCGAGACCAGGCTGGCCAATATGGCGAAACCCCGTCTCTACTAGAAATACGATCATTAGCCAGGCGTGGTGGCGGGCGCCTGTAATCTCACCTACTTGAGAGGCTGAGGCAGGGAGAATCGCTTGAACCCGGGAGGTGGAGGTTGCAGTGAGCCGAGATCGCGCCACTGCACTCCAGCCTGGTCGGCAGAGTGAGACCCACTCTCAAAAAAAAAAAAAAAAAAAAAAAAAAAAAAGTTAAAATGGAAATAAAAACCATGACAAAAAGCAGTATCTGGCCGGGCGCGGTGGCTCACGCCTGTAATCCCAGCACTTTGGGAGGCCGAGGCAGGTGGATCACCTGAGGTCAGGAGTTCAAGACCATCCTGACTAACATGGAGAAACCTTGTCTGTACTATAAATACAAAATTAACCTGGCGTGGTGGCGCATGCCTGTAATCCCGGCTACTGGGGAGGCTGAGGCAGGAGAATCGCTTGAACCCGGGAGGCAGAGGTTGCAGTGAGCCGAGATCGCGCCACTGCACTCCAGCCTGGGCAACAGGAGCGAAACTCCGTCTCAAAAAAAAACACAAAAAAACAAAACCGTATCTTTCTAAATTAAGTTGTAAATGACTTGAACTTTTTATATGCAAATGACAGCTGTTTACTTGCAAGTCTTCATTTTTATTTAAAATTAAAGGTTAGCAGCAGAACAAGAAATATTTGAGCGTGTTTACTGGCTTGTGAGGATCAAATGCGATGAAGAGGTGGTATAAATGTAAGGCGATTGGCTGTGCGCGGTGGCACACGCCTGTAATCCCAGCACTTTGGGAGGCCGAGGCGGGTGGATCACCTGAGGTCAGGAGTTCGAGATCAGCCTGGCCAACATGGCGAAACCCCGTCTCTACTAAAAATACAAAAATTAGCCGGATATGGTGGTGCGTGCCTGTAATACCAGCTACTCAGGAGGTTGAGGCAGGAGAATCGCTTGAACCCGGGAGACGGAGGTTGCAGTGAGCCAAGACTGAGCCACTGTATTCCAGCCTGGGTGACAGAGCAAGACTCAGTCTCAAAAAAAAAAAAAAAAAAAGTACGGTGATTGTTACAAGCACCCATTATGTTATGTTAACATTTCTTCAGAGGAACTCTCCAAAGAGGGAGATATGTGTTGAGTTAATTCATTCATTTGCCTTTGCACAGAAATACTCCTCATTAATTGTTGATAAATTTTGACACTTGCAGAAAAAAAGTTTGCTCTGGATTTAATATTGGCATAATTCCTTCCTCGCTATAAAGAGCTGTTTGTTTACTCCTATTACTAACTAAAGAGAACATGGTTAAGTGAAGACCTCATAAAGTTTTTCTTTTTTTTCTTTTTTAAAGCCCAGTGGCAAGCACTCTAAAATTTAGCAAAGAAAGAAAACCCTAGTGAATCATCTTATTTGCTGTTTCACCTCTCTACTTCTAGACTTACAGACAATTAAGTGAATTACCAAGTAGGAACTCTTTGTTGATCATAAAACCAGTATCATAGATTTTAAAACTTCGAAGCCATACATGGTAGTGTGTGCCTGTAGTTTTAGCTCCCTGGGAGGCTGAGGCAGGAAAAATCAGTTTTGCCCAGGAGTTTGAGGCTGTAGTGTCCTGTCATAGTGCCTGTGAATAGCCACTGCATTCTAGCCTGGGCAATATAGCAAGACCACGTTTAAAATAATAATATTAATAATAATAATAATGATAATAGAACTTTAAAAACTGTCAAGGTAAGCCTTGGGAACTTTAATTGCAAATGACCTGTGAAAAATATTTAACAGTTAAGCTATTGGTGCCTTCATTCTCCAGTCTTCACTGGAGATTAAGAACACTGTGATACTAGTTGTATGGTATGGTTCATGGAAATTTCAGTTTTGCTGTTGTCTTGTGTAGGCAACTCTTTCTGTCTTTGGATGGAATCCATTCTGCACTGGCAGGAAGACCATCTTTCAGACCTGGCATAGTGTAGTAACCATGGTCTCTTCCCAACACTGACTCTGCACTGTTCTCCCACAATTAATTTCTTTCTTTCTTTCTTTCTTTCTTTCTTTCTTTCTTTCTTTCTTTCTTTCTTTCTTTCTTTCTCTCTCTCTCTCTCTTTCCTTTCTTTTCTTTTCTTTTCTTTTCTTTTCTTTTCTTTTCTTTTCTTTCTTTTTTCAAGAGATGGAGTCTCTCTGTGTTTCCCAGGCTGGTCTTGAACTGCTGGCCTCAGGCGATCCTCCTGCTTCCCAAAGTGCAGGGATTACAGACATAATCAGGCTTTCTATTTTCTTAAGCAAATTTACAACTTCAGGAGTAAAGAAACAGGACCACAGTCTATTTGCAGTTAAATAACTTAGGTAACTTAGATAAAAGAGATTGTGGTGTAGAAACATACTGTTTTGAGAGACTTGGGTTCTAGTGCAGGTATTGTTACTAACTGGCTAGTTGACTTCTGGCAAGATTTCTGGGCATTATAAATGAATAACATGGATAGACTCATTTCCTCTGGTTCATAATACCAGAGTGCCACTTATAACCTGGCTGCCTTGGCTTCCATTTATATATTTATTTAATATTATTTAATTCATTTAAATAAATACATTTTACATTAGTTTATTTAAATAGGTAGATAGATTGTCAGTCTTGCTCTATTGCAGTGGTGAGATCATAGCTCACTGCAGCCTTGACCTCCTGGACTCAAGCAATTCCCCTGCCTTGGCATCCCAAGTAGTTGGGATGACAGGCACGCATGTCATTCCATGGAATTAGCCATGCCCGGCTAGTTATTTTTAATTTTTTTTTGTAGAGACAGGGGCCCCCTTTGTTGTCCAGGCTGGTCTTGAGCTCTTGGGGTCAAGCTATCCTGCCTCAGCCCCCACAAAGTGCTGGGACTACAGGTGTAAGCCACCCTGCCTGGCGGCTTTCTATTGTCTATTTTCTTTCTTTCTTCTTTTTTTTTTTTTTTTTTTTTGTTATATTGAGACAGAGTCTCGCTCTGTCGCCCAGGCTGGAGTGCAGTGGTGCAATCTCTGCTCACTGCAAGCTCCGCCTCCCGGGTTCACACTGTTCTCCTGCCTCAACCTCCTGAGTAGCTGGGACTACAGGCGCCTGCCACCATGCCCGGCTGATTTTTTGTATTATTTTAGTAGAGACGGGATTTCACCATCTTAGCCAGGATGGTCTCGATCTGCTGACCTCGTGATCCGCCGGCCTCGGCCTCCCAAAGTGCTAGGATTACAAGCGTGAGCCACTGCGCCCGGCCTTTTTTTTTTTTTTTTTGAGATGGAGTTTCATTCTTGTTGCCCAGGCCGGAGTGCAATGGTGTGATCTCTGCTCACCGCAACCTCCACCTCCTGGGTTCCCCCGATTCTCCTGCCTCAGCCAGCCAAGTAGCTGGGATAACAGGCAAGCGGCACCATGCCTGGCTAATTTTTATATTTTTAGTACAGGCAGGGTTTCTCTATGTTGGTCAGGCTGGTCTCGACTTCCTGACCTCAGGTGATCCTCCCACCTCCACCTCCCAAAGTGCTGGGATACAGGTGTGAACCACCGTGCCTGGCCGGGCTTTCTATTTTCTTGCCATTTTTTTTTTTTTTTTTGAGACAGAGTCTTGCTCTGTCACCCAGGCAGGAGTGCAATGGCGCGATCTTGGCTCACTGCAACCCCCCACCTCCCAGGTTCGAGCAATTCTCCTGCCTCAGTCTCCTGAGTAGCTGGGACTACAGGCGCGCGCAACCATGGTTGCCCGGCTAATTATTTTTTTTTAATTTTTACTAGAGATGGGGTTTTACCACGTTGGCCAGGCTGGTCTCGAGCTCCTGACCTCAGTTGATGCGCCCGCTTCGGCCTCCCAAAGTGCTGGGATTACAGGGGTGAGCCACCATGGTTGACCTCAGGCTATTTTCTTAAGCAAATTTGCAACTTAAGAAGTAAAGAAATAGGACCAGAAGTTGTTTAAAGTTCACAGTGGGTACCTCTAAATCTATTAGTTATCTATTAGTGATTGTATAATTTATACTATATAAATTGTATAATTCTACAAAACAGGATGCTCTTTGAGAGAGAGAATTGTATTGAAATAACAGACTTAAATCAGGTCTATCCTGCTCAAACTTGGATTTACTGTTACTCTGTTAATGAGGTAAAGGAATTCCATCCACAGAATTTTGCCAGGAAGTTTATTACTACAGTTAGAAACATAGGAAACACAGGGGAGAATATTTCAGGACAGAAATTATGAATTTTCTCTACATTACAACCTGCACATCTAAGTGAACCAGATTCTTGATGCCTCGGCCCTTGTGAGAAATTTTCTTCCACTTTTAGGATGATTTTGATCATGTGTTGCTGTTTCTAGAAATCCAGATGAGGCACTCTTCAGCCAAAGTTGCTGCCCACCCAAGAGGCCTTTTATCTTGAAATTTAGTCATGAGACCAGAAGGAACTTCTCCCATCTGTGTCCTGACTTGGTATTAGTTTTATTTTGGATACCTCCTTTTTTTTTTTTTCTTTTTTTGAGATGGCGCCTTGCTCTCGTCGCTCAAGCTGGAGTGCAATGGAGCAATCTCATTGCAACCTCCATCTCCCGTGTTCAAGCGATTCTTCTGCTTCAGCCTTCCGAGTAGCTAGGATTACAGGCGCTCGCCACCATGCCTGCATAATTTTTGTTTTTGTTTTTGTTTTGAGATGGAGTCTCGCTTTGCCACCCAGGCTGGACTGCAGTGGCACAATCTCGGCTCACTGCAAGCTCCGCCTCCCGGGTTCACGCCATTCTCCTGCCTCAGCCTCCCGAGTAGCTGGGACTACAGGCGCCCGCCACCTTGCCCGGCTAATTTTTTGCATTTTTAGTAGAGACGGGGTTTCACCACGTTAGCCAGGATGGTCTCGATCTCCTGACCTCGTGATCCACCCGCCTCGGCCTCCCAAAGTGCTGGGATTATAGGCGTGAGCCACTGCGCCCGGCCAATAATTTTTGTATATTTAGTAGAGATGGGGTGTCACCATGTTGGCCAGGCTGATCTTGAATTCTGGACCTCAGATGATTGACCCACCTTGGCCTCCCAAAGTGATGGGATTGCAGACATGAGCCACCACACCCGGCTTTTTTTTTTTTTTAAGAGACCGAGTCTCACTTTGTCACCCAGGCTAGCGTAGGAGTACAGTGACACAATCATAGCTCACTGCAGCCTAGAACTCCTGGGCCCAAGGGATCCTCCTGCCTCAGCTTCTCAAGTAGCTAGGACTACAGGCATGTGCCACCATGCCTGGCAAATTATTTTATTTTTGTTTTTTAAATTTAAAAATAGAGACAGTATCTTGCCATGTTGCCTAGGCTGGTCTCAGAACTCTTGAACTCAAGCTATTTTTATTTTTTTTTTGAGACAGGGTCTCACTATATTGCCCAGGCCCAGTCTTGAATTCTTGGCGGCCTCAAAGGATTCCCTGCCTCAGCCTCCCAAAGTGCTGCTATTACAGGTGTGAGCCTGGCCTGGCAGATTCCTTTTTTTCCCTCTTTTAAATAATTTATTTTAAACCTATTATATCACACAGTATGTTTTATACACTGACATATAACCCCCTAACAAGATAAAGCAAAGACAAAAAAGTTTATCTTATTAGAAGGAAGATACACCATCACTTATTCTCTTCAAGCATTATTGCACTTTAACTTTTCTTAACTTGACAAAGCATTCATGAAGCAGTCTGCAGACTAGTTTTAACAGATAAATAATACCTGTAAGCAGACATGATTGTCCTAAATTGTTTATTAGGTATGAATTTTACAAACTTTACTTATATTGGCTGTAACGGTGGAGCTGGAGAGTATTGCGCCTTCTCCAAGCTCCCTGGTGAGAACCACCAATAGTGTGGTGGCACTTAAGGCCCTTTCCAAGGCTATGGCTCTTTCGGCCTGCAGATGGCAGCCCATGCATCTTCCTATGCTTGTGGACTGGTTTGGTGATCCATTGGGTGTCAGGATTTCTTCTGATAGCTTTATGGAATGGATCAATGAGGATAACCTCAAAAAACTTGTATGTGGAATCTTCACCAACCCAGTGAGAATTCAGGACTTTTAGAGCCCCACAGTGGCATCCAGCTTGCCGCTTTGCAATGGACTGAAGACTTTGAGCAAACTTTAGCTGGTTAACACCATGATGGACAGGCTTGCCATAAGTTGCACCCTTAGGAACTGGGTGCTTTCGGCCACCATGGCGAACACGAATCCTATATATAACATAAACTTGGTTGGCCTTGTAGCCCAGCTGGTGCGCTTTATCAAGCCAGATGGGGTGGGGAGCCCTGTGGAGAGCAGAGAGCTGGTGGTACTGCCAGCAACCAACTCTCAGAAGAAAGTGCATTTTCTCCATAGCTCCTGGATTTACTTGTATGCCCCCATCTTGGCTTACCTGATGGCTGCTGCTAGACAGAAGGGGCACGGATTCTTTTATTAAAATCACAATATGGGTTTATTAATCCCTTACTTGTATTTATGGTTGTTTTTTGCCTATTAAACATCAGCATTCTAGTATAATTTCCATTCTTTTACTCATAACAATATGATGTTTAAAAAATACTGATTTTTTTCTGTCTTTTTTATTCTTATTTTTCTCGAACCCTATGTTCATCATCAACCTCTTTTCTCCTACTATTTGGTTCATCAACCTTATTTTCTCCTGTTTGGTTCCTAGAAACCTCAAGTAAGCTTACTGTTGTTACCCTAATGAAATACCATTTTAAGTAAGTTATATAGAAAAAATGCATAAATATATTCTCCTTACAAAAATGAAAAACTTTGATGTCATCTTAAGATAATTTACTGAGGCCGAGCGCAGTGGCTCACACCCGTAATCCCAGCACTTTGGGAGGCTGAGGTGGGCGGATCATGAGGTCGGGAAATCGAGACCATCCTGTCTAACACGGTGAAACCCTGTCTCTACTAAAAATACAAAAAAAATTAGCTGGGCGTGGTGGCAGGCACCTGTAGTCCCAGCTACTTGGGAGGCTGAGGCAGCAGAATGGGGTGAAGCCGGGAGGCGGAGCTTGCAGTGAGCAGAGATTGCACCACTGCACTCCAGCCTGGGTGACAGAGTGAGACTCCGTCTCAAAAAAAAAAAGAAGATAATTTACTAAATCTAAACTCCTTTTAAAAATTGCTGAGGACTGCCCGGGCACGGTGGCTCATGCCTGCAATCCGAGCACTTTGGGAGGCTGAAGTAGGCAGATCACCTGAGGTCAGGAGTTCGAGACCAGCCTGGCCAACATGGTGAAACCCTCTCTCTACTAAAAATACAAAAATCAGCTGAGTGTGGTGGCTGGCACCTGTAATCCCAGCTACTTGGGAGGCTGAGGTGGGAGAATTGCTTGAACCCGGGAGGCGGAGGTTGCACTGAGCCAAGATGGTGCCATTGCATTTCAGCCTGGGCAACGAGTGAAATTCCGTCTCAAAAAGAAAAAAGGCTTAGGATGACCGGCTGTAGTGGCTCATACCTGTAATCCTAACACTCTGGGAGACCAAGGTGACCGGGGTTTGAGGACAGGAATTTGAGATCAGCCTGGGCAACATAGTGAAACCCTATCTCAATTAAAAAAAAAAATAGCTAAGGAGTGGTCCTAAATATGGCTGACATAGTTGATTTAGAGATTTACCTGTTGATTATCTTGATTTTTTTCATTTTTGTATCTAGAAGAAACTGAACATTTTTATACATATGTCTTATATCCATGTGTGCCTTTCTCTAGGGTAGATGCTGAGAAGTAGAATTGTTAGGTTATAGGGCATTTTTTAAGTTTATGAGTCACTTTTTATTTATTTATTTTTTAATGTTTTTATTTTTATTTTTTATTTTTTGAGACAGAGTCTCGCTCTGTCGCCCAGGCTGGAGTGCAGTGGCGTGATCTTGGCTCACTGCAAGCTCCACCTCCTGGGTTCATGCCATTCTCCTGCCTTAGCCTCCTGAGTAGCTGGGACTACAGGCGCCCGCCACCACACCCAGCTAATTTTTTGTATTTTTAATGGAGACGGAGTTTCACTGTGTTAGCCAGGATGGTCTCGATCTCCTGACCTCGTGATCCGCCACCTCGGCCTCCCAAAGTGCTGGGATTACAGGCGTGAGCCACCGCACTGGCCTTTACAAGTTGCTTTTTAAAGTAACTGTATAAACTGATACTCCCACTATTAGAGTTTGAGAATTGTCTTCTTTCACAATTTTTTTTTTTTTTTTTTTTGAGACAGTCTCACTCTGTCGCCAAGGCTGGAGGGCAGTGGCACTGTGTCGGCTCACTGCAACCTCCGTCTCCTGGGTTCAAGCAATTCTTCTGCCTCAGCCTCCCGAGTAGCTGGGATTACAGGCGTCTACCACCACGCCCAGTTAGTTTTTATATTTTTAGTAGAGATGGGGTTTCACCATGTTGGCCAGGCTGGTCTTGAACTCCTGACCTCAGGTGATCCACCTGCCTCAGCCTCCCAAAGTGCTGGGATTACAGGCATGAGCCACCGCGCCTGGCCATTCTTTCACATTTTAAAAAGCACTAATTTTTACCACATTTTCCCTTAAATATGATAAGATGTGAAATATTGATATCATCAGTGCATTTTCTTAATTAAAATTTTGCCAAAAGATTATGGTCATAAGAATTAAGCTGAGTGAAATAGGCTCTGCTGTGTTGTAGCTTTTGTTTAAAGTATCCTAGCCCTTAAAAATATATTATTTTCTTTAACTATTTACAGTTATTTCCTTGTAGGTCCCAGGGTTTAAGGATAACGTTTTATTATTTATTTATTTTTACTTTATTTATTTATTTGAGATGGAGTCTCGCTCTGTTCCTCAGGCTGGAGTGTGGTGGTGCGATCTCGGCTCACTGCAACCTCTACCTCCTGGGTTCAAGCGATTCTCGTGCCTCAGCCTCCAGAGTAGCTAGGATAACAGGCACCCGCTGCTATGCCTGGCTAATTTTTGTGTTTTTTAGTAGAGACGGGGTTTTGCCATGTTGGCCAGGCTGCTCTCAAACTCCTGACCTCAGGTAATCTGCCTGCGTTGGCCTCCCAAAGTGGTGGGATTATAGGCGTGAGCCACTGTGCCCGGCCTAAGAGTAACATTTTAAAGATAGTGAAATAATGCTCAAAAAAGATGTACTGGTATATAGTGTCTGTCTTACTAATGATGTTTGAAAAATGGAGATATGTTTTAAATTTTTAAATTTAAAACAATTTCCTCAACTGGCTTGCTATTTCAGTCTTAGGTGTTCTCTAATGACATGCAGCATGATTTCCTCCATGTTAAAACATGAGAAAATGAAAAATTTCCTTTCTTAGGCTTCTTTTACTTGTAATCTGTACGTATATATAATTTTTTTTTTTTTAATCAGAGTCTCACTCTGTTGCCCAGGCTGGAGTGCAGTGGTGCAGTCTCGGCTCACTGCAACTTTCACCTCCTGGATTCAAGTGATTCTCCTGCCTCAGCCTCCTAAGTAGCTGGGATTACAGGCATGCGCCACCACACCTGGTTAATTTTTGTTTTTTTAGTAGAGATGGGGTTTCGTCATTTTGGCCAGGCTGGTCTTGAACTCCTGGCCTCAAGAGATCTGCCTGCCTTGGCCTCCCAAAGCTGTTTGGATTACAGGTGTGAGCCACTGAGCCTGGCCTGTATATATAAAATTATATTTAAAACCTGGTGGACTTCTTTCCATGTCAATACATATACAGCTTTGTCTGATTTCTAAAAGTTATATAGTATTCTGTGTATTATTACGTAGAGACTGTTTAAATAGGATTATCAACAAAGTTGCACTGAACATCCTATATGGACATCTTTGTACCTTTTCTTGATTCCTAGATAATTTCCTGAAAATGGAATTCTTTTATTAAAAGTTATATACATTTTAGATGACAGATTACCCTTGAAAGATATACTACCTTGGCTGGGCGCCGTGGCTCATGCCTGTAATCCTGGCACTTTGGGAGGCCGAGGTGGGCGGATTACTTGAGGTCAGGAGTTTGAGACCAGCCTGGCTAAAATGGTGAAACCCTGTCTCTCCTAAAAATACAAAAAAATTAGCCAGGCATGGTGGCAGGCGCCTGTAATCCCAGCTGCTTGGGAGGCTGAGGCAGGAGAATGGCTTGAACCCCGGAGGGGGAGGTTGCAGTGAGCCAAGATTGCGCCACTGCACTCCAGCCTGGGCGACAGAGTGAGAAGATTCCGTCTCAAAAAAAAAAAAAAAAAAAAAAAAAAAAAGAAAGAAAGAAAGAAATACTACCTCATACTCTTACCAACAGCAAACAGCATGAGAGAAATAAAGAGACTCTGTCTCAAAAAAAAAAAAGTTGTATTTGTAATTTTCTCCTGTTATATTGTTGTCGTTTTTTTTTTTTTTTTTTTTTTTTTTTTTTTTTTTTTGGACAGAGTCTAGCTCTGTCGCCCCAGCTGGAGTGCAGTGGTGCAATCTAGGCTCACTGCAACCTCCACCTCCCAGGTTCAAGCGATTCTCCTGCCTCAGCCTTCTGAGTAGCTGGGACTATGGGCATGTGCTACCACACTGGGCTAATTTTTCTATTTTTAGTAGAGATGGGGTTTCACCATGTTGGCCAGGCTGGTCTCAAACTCCTGACTCCAGTGATCCGCCCATCTTGGCCTCCCGAAGTGCTGGGATTACAGGTGTGAGCCACCAGGCCCAGCCTATATTCTGTTAATGAGAGGATTGTTCTGTCAGTTCAGTGTAATACGCTGTGTTTTTTTTTGTTTTTTGTGGTGGAGTTTTGCTCTTGTTGCCCAGGCTGGAGTGGAATGGCAAGATCTCAGCTTACCGCATCCTCTGCCTCCCAGGTTCAAGCGATTCTCCTGCCTCAGCCTCCTGAGTATCTGGGATTACAGGCATGTGCCACTGTGCCCGGCTGATTTTGTATTTTTAGTAGAGACGGGGTTTCTCCATGTTGGTCAGGCCGGTCTCGAACTCCTGACCTCAGGTGATCCACCCACCTCGGCCTCCCAAAGTGCTGGGATTACAGGCGTGAGCCACCCCGCCCGGCAACACTGTTAATATTTCTTACTTCTTGATTTGGAGACTGAAGATCACCTTGAATCTATGTGTCAAATGGGGTTGATTTTTTGCTAGGAATTTAAGTCTCAGAACCTTGGATTTTGGTTGGAAATGATGATTATACTGATTTACTGAAATTGACATAATAGTTATTTTGTTGAATTTATTGAATGAAGTAGTTGTAAAAACAATTCTATATATTTTCTTTAGAATTCGGTTCCCTCAAAATTATAAAGGCAGGAAAGCTCAAGACAAAGAAATCCAACAAGGTATGTCTTCATAGGAAATAGTTCTTAACTGTATTGATTTTTGAAAATTGAGGCTAAGAACTCTTAGGTTATTATAAGTGTATTTTTCTTCTAATTGTATTATTGGTATTAGATTAAAGTTAATATTATGGAAAATCATAACCTTTATCCAAATCTCTATATATGCCTTTGTTATCATGTATAACTCAATTTAATGTTATTAAATAGTGGTGAAAGTTTTATCATAAGATTAAGCCATTCTTATTTCAAAATGTTCTATTGTTTGCAGAAACTTTTTGATTAATTTGGCAGATGCCTGCATATAACTGAATATAAATGATTATTTAAAACTCCTTTCACTTTTAGAAAATGTTTTTTTCCTGCTTAAAATTTCTAAAAGTAATTTCAGACCTAACACTTATTTGTTACTTCTTAGGCTAGTGATTTCAGTGATATGGAGAATTGGCCAACACCAAGTGAATTAGTGAACACTGGAGTGAGTATTGTTTTAAAGTTTTTTTTTTTAAAGAAAGGAAAATGTATTCATTTCGACATGCAGAATTTTATTTTACTTAAAATGTAAAGAATTGTCATACTGGGGGACAGATTTTTTTTATTTTTTTGAGACAGGGTCTTGCTCTGTCTCCAGGCTGGAGTGCAGTGGTGTGATCACAGCTCATTGTAGCCTCAAACTGCTAGGCTCAGGTGATCTTCCTACCTCGACCTCCAGAGTAGCTGGGACTACAGGCACGCACCACTGTGCACAGCTAATTTTTGTATTTTTCATAGAGACAGGATTTTGCTGGTCTCCAACTCCTGAGCTCAAGTGATCCTCCTGCCTCAGCCTCCCAAAATGTTGAGATTACAGTATGAGCTACCATTCTGGCTGAGGAACAGATTTAAAAACTTGATTCATCAAGAAGATTACATTTTGTTACTTTAATTTGCAGTTATTCTTCGATGCTGCCAGTAACATTGGTAATGAACTTGTTGTCTTAAGCTTTACTCATGGGAAGCTTAACCTAACCTATTATTTCTTTCTTTCTTTTCTTTTTTTTTTTTTCCTTTGAGATAGGGTCTCACTCCATTACCCAGGCTGGAGTGCAGTGATGTGATCACAGCTCACTGCAGCCTTGGCCTTCCAGGCTCAGGTGATCCTCCACCTTTGCCTCCCAAGTGACTGGGACTACAGGTGTGTGCCACCACACTGGGAGATTTTTAAACTTTTTGTAGAGATGGGGGTTTGGTCATGTTGCCCAGGCTGGTATCAAACTCCTGAGCTCAAGCAATTGGCTCGCCTCAGCCTCCCAAAGTGCTGGGATTATAGGCGTTAGCCACCATACCTCGCCTATTATTTCTTTAATAATGAAGACATATTATAAATTGTAATCAAATTTTTATATTTGTATAAAATCACATACATTGATAAAGAGGTGCTGAAAACGTGGCAGCTATCCTTTTGATAGTTTACCCGCTTTTCAGATAACCTAATTTAATTCATCACATTTCCCTCATCTGGTTATATTCTTTTTTTGAGACAGAGTCTTGGTCTGTCGCCCAGGCTGGAGTACAGTGGTGGGATTTCAGCTCACTGCAACCTCCGCCTCCCGGGTTTAAGTGATTCTCCTGCCTCAGCCTCCTGAGTAGCTGGTATTACAGGCACGCACCACCACATCTGGCTAATTTTTGTATTTTTAGTAGAGACAGGGTTTCGCCATGTTGGTCTCGAACTCCTGACCTCAGGTGATCCACCCACCTTGGCCTCCCAAAGTGCTGGGATTACAGGCGTGAGCCACTGCGCCCAGCCTCATCTCGTTGTATTCTTAAGAGGTAATCTTATATTTGAGATTTGCATTTTCTAGAATTTTATATATGTGGAAGCATTGAGTAGGTACTCTTTTTTTTCCTGGCTTGTACTCAGCATTATTTTGAGATTTACTTGTGTGTCAGCAGTTCATTCTTTTTTCTTACTGAGTAGTATGGATGTAACACAGTTTGTCCATTCACCTATTGTTAATGGACATTTGGATTAATTTTACGTTTTGGTTGATACAAATAAAACTGCTATATGAACGTTTGTGTAGAAAATTTTTCATTTTTTCTTGGATATGTAACTAGGTTGGATCACTTAGTAGCTACCTGTTTTAGCTTTTTAAGAAACTGCTGAGTTTGCACTTCTATCAGCAGTGTACATGAATTCCAGTTACTCCACATCTTCACTCACTCTCTTTTTTGTGTGTGTGTGTGAGACCGGGTCTCACTTTGTCACCCAGGCTGGAGTACAGTGGCATGATCTCAGCTCATTGCAGTCTTGACCTCCTGGGCTCAAGTGACCCCCCCACCTCAGCCCCATAAGTAGCTGCGACTATAGGCATGCACCACCACGCCTGGCTAATTTTTTTGTATTTTTTGTAGAGATGGGGTTTCGTCATGTGCCCAGGCTGGTCTCAAACTCCTGAGCTCAAGTGATCTACCTGCCTTGGCTTCCCAAAGTGCTAGGATTACAGGTGTGAGCCACCGAACCCATCTTTACTCACCGATAATATGGTCAAGTTTCAAAAAATATTTTAGCCATTCTAATAAATGAGGAGTGGTATCCCATTGCAGTTTTAATTTGCATTTTTCTGATGAATGAATGCAATAATCTTTTCATAGATTTGCCATCAGTGTATCTTTTTGATGAAGTATGTGATCAATCTGCCCATTTAAAAAAATGGAAGGCTGGGTGCAATGGGTCATGCGTGTATCGCAGCACTTTGGGAGGCTGAGGACGGTGAATCATTTGGGGTTAGGAGTTCGAGACCAGCCTGACCAACATGGCGAAACCCCCTCTCTACTTAAAAAAAAAAAAGAGTTAGCCAGGTGTGGTGACATGTGCCTGTAATACCAGCTACTAGGGAGGCTGAGGCAGGATAATTGCTTGAACCCAGGAGGTGGAGGCTGCAGTGAGCCGAGATCGTGCCACTGCACTCCAGCCTGGGCAACAAAGTGAGACTCTGTCCTCCCGCCCCCGCCCCTGCAAAAAAAAAAAGTGGTATTGATTTGTTGTTACTGAGTTTTGAAAGTTCATATGTATTTGAGGTAAAAGTTCTTTATCAAATACTTAGCAAATACTTTCTCCTAGTCTGCAGCTTTACTTTTAACTGTCTTTTGAAAAGTAATTTTTTGCCTTTGATAACAGTTTTTGTCATTTGTTTTGCAATTTTAGGTTAGGTATATTGCCACAAATTTTTGGGTATGTTAGTGAAAATATTAATGGAAATCATTTCATTCTGAAAACCTTTTTGCAGTTTCAGAGCGTCCTCAGCCAAGGAAATAAAAAGCCACAAAATAGAAAAGAAAAAGAAGAGAAGGTTGAAAAGAGAAGTAACAGTGACAGCAAAGAAAACCGGGAAACAAAATTAAATGGTCCTGGTGAAAACGTCAGTGAGGATGAGGCTCAGTCAAGTAATCAACGTAAGAGAGGTCAGTTTGTCCATATCTTTATTTTGATTTTAGTTTTTGAAGAAAGTTGTAATGAGGAATTACATTTCATTAACTGATCTCTGGTAGTCAAAAATGTATAGTTTGTATTTCTTCAGGATAAACAATCTGCAGAGGTAACTCATTTGCTTTTGTAACATTTCTGAACTATTAGACTTTCCTTTTTGTATGTAACTTGTATTCTATGCAAGAAAATGGAATGGAGTTCCACTTAGAGGTACAGTTGTAGATACATTCTTGGAAAGTTGTGTGATAATTATTGTTCTTTTAGATCTGCATTGGAACTGCTCCCTATATTTAGGGAGTACTGTGAAAATTAAATACATTTTTTTCCTAAGAGAAAAGTGAGAATAGGCTGGGCGCAGTGGCTCACACCTGTAATCCTAGCACTCTGGGAGGCTGAGGCAGGCGGACCACTTGAGGTCAGGAGACATGGTGAAACCCTGTCTCCACTAAAAATACACAAAAAAATTAGCCGAACATCGTGTTGCGCACTTGTAGTCCCAGCTACTCGGGAGGCTGAGGCAGGAGAATTGCTTGAACCCAGGAGGTGGAGGTTGCAGTGAGCCGAGGTCGCGCCATTGCACTCCAGCCTGGGCGGCAGTGCAAGACTGTCTCAAAAAAAAAAAAAAGTGAGAATAATTTTAGTCAATCTTTTCCCTCATAGCATTCCCCTGTCAAAATTACACTTTGAAGGAATGAAAATATTGTCTTCATATCCTTTTCCATTTTCTTTTCTGAACTTTTCGTGTGTCTAGGGACAGTTTATGATTTACATGCTTTGTAAATCAGTGCTCGGAGTCTTCGTAAAAGTGTCTTCAGGCGCTTCTAGGCAGAAAAGGGCTTTAAACTGTTAAGTTGTCAGTGACTGAAGCAAGGTGATTTTCTGGGAGAGTAGCAGGAGGTGAGGTTAGAGACATAGATAGACAACGTCCATGGTATACAGGGCCTTGGAGTTATGATTCCATTTTGAATACCATGGGAAACCATTGAACCAAGATTCTCTGGAGGTGATATGGCATGGGAGGGAACATTTAATGGTAAAGTTGTTGCCAACTTCTTTAACACTTTAACTTTTACCGTAGACTGATCACTTACTTGAATAGTTTGTCTTTTTTTTTTTTTTTTTTAAGAGACAGAGTCTTGCTCTGTCACCCAGGCTGGAGTGCAGTGGCCCAGTCTTGACTCACTGCAACCTCTGCCTCCCGGGTTCTAGGAATTCTTCTGCCTCAGCCTCCTGAGTAGCTGGGATTACAGGCCCATGCTACCATGCCCAGCTAACTTTTTGTATTTTAGTAGAGACGGGGTTTCACTGTGTTGCCCAGGCTGGTCTTGAAATCCTGAGCTCAGGCGATCCACCTGCCTCGGCCTCCCAAAGTGCTAGGATTACAGGCATGAGCCACCGGGCCTGGCCGAATAGTTTGTCTTTTTAATAAATAACTAATCCTTAGTGCAGGATGAGCATTATATTCACTTGATACAATGAATAAAGGCTAATTGCTCAAAAACAGTGACAACAAGACAAACAAGTGGTTGTTAGAAAAATTTCTTCCTGTTTCTTTTTTTTTAATTTTTAAATTTAAAAATGTTTTTAAAATTTTGAAACAGGGTCTTGCTCTGTCACCCAGGCTGGAGTTCAGTGGCATGCTCGTGGCCCACTGCAGCCTCGATGACCTGGGCTCAAGTGATCCTCCCACCTCAGCCTCCTGAGTAGCTGGGACTACAGGCATGTGCCACCATGCCTGGCTAATTTTTGTATTTTTTTGTAGAGACAGGGTTTTGCCATGTTGGCCAGGCTGGTCTTGAACTCCTGGGCTCAAGCGATCCATCTGCCTCAGCCTCCCAAAGTGCTGGGATTAGAAGTGTGCGCCACCATGCCTGGCCTCCTCATTTCTTAACTACTTCGTCACTTAACTGTTCCCTGCTTCCTACATACGTAAGTAGTGTTCTTGACTGTCTAGAATCCATACAGATGACAGATTTGTTATCCTGATCTAAAATTTGTCTTTTTTTTTTTTTTTGAGATGGAGTTTCGCTCTTGTTGCCACGCTGGAGTGCAATGGCGCGATCTCCAGCTCACTGCAACCTCTGCCTCCTGGGTTGAAGCGATTCTCCTGCCTCAGCCTCCCAAGCAGCTGGGATTACAGGCACCACACCCAGCTAATTTTGTATTTTTTTTTTTTAGTAGAGACGGGTTTCTCCATGTTGGTCAGGGTGGTCTCGAGCTCCCAACCTCAGGTGATCTGCCCGCCTTGGCTTCCCAAAGTGCTGGGATTACAGGCGTGAGCCACCACGCCTGGCAATTTGTCTTTAATTGCTTCAATTAAAACTGGTCAGTCAACAGTAAAACCCAGGTGTTTTGTAGTTAGAACAATTGGTATAATCAAGCTTTTAATTGATCTAGAGTACAGATTTTTGACTTTAAAAGAAGGGCTTCTTTGTGTCAAGGAATCTCGTTGACATAATTTATAGTATAAGATTAAAAGCCTTTTTAGATGCATTTATATTCACTTTTCCTCATTTGATCCATAGTTTGCAGGATTTATAGGATATCAATATTGTAGTTGCACACTAATATTTATTTTTAAATTGCCTTGGCAGTTTTTTCATTGCCATGAGTCTTTATTTTGGTAGAAAATTTAGATTGGGCAGAATACTGAACATTTTGAAACCTGAGCTATGGCATTCATGAATAGATGATCTTCAGAATTTCACTATAGAATAACCATAAATAATTAGTTACATTGTCATTTAGTCATCAAGAAAAGTTAAACTGCTTGTGTTTTTTTTTCCTTAGGAAGATGCATAATAGCTGTAAAATGTTCTGTCAAGTTAAACAAATTTTATACTTATCCCTCTTCCCTCTTATATTTTGAGAAACCTCATTCATTTGTAAAAATCCTGGGTAAATTAATATTTTAGGCAGTGATGTGGAACTAAAAGTGCTGCAAACCTAAAGCCTAACTTTCCAAAGTATACATTATAGCGTTTTATCAGATATATCCCATTCTAAAGCCTAAGAATTTTAAATTAAACAGATTTTTTTTTAAAAAAGCCTAAGAATCAAGTACTAAACAGGAATGTTATGTATATATACTTTTTTTTTTTTTTTTTTGAGACAGACTCTCGTCTCTGTCACCCAGGCTAGAGTGCAGTGGCACGATCTCGGCTCACTGCAACCTCTGCCTCCCGGGTTTAAGGAATTCTCCTGTCTCAGCTTCCCGAGTAGCTGGGACTACAGGCATGTGCCACCATGCCTGGCTGATTTTTGTATTTTTAGTAGAGATGGGGTTTCACCATGTTTGCCAGGCTGGTTTTGAACTCCTGACCTTAGGTTATCTGCCCGCTTCAGCCTCCCAAAGTGCTAGGATTACAGGCATGAGCCACTGCGCCCGGCCTTTTTTTTTTTTTTTTTTTTGAGATATAGATATTGGACTGTTAATTGTCATTGAAGTATTTTGGTCTGAGGTAGGCTTATGCAGAGGAGAATGTTTTCATGTTACTTATATTAACATTGTTTCTTCTACGAAATGACAGATTGGTCCAATGTGATGTAAGGAGTTCAGTTGTGTGTTTGGGATTTTTGGGCGGCTGGGCGTCGAGCTTGAACGCTTTGATGGCTGCTTTTAGGCCAACTATGGGGATTGTACTTTTTACTCTCTTTACAAGGTTTTTTCCTAGTGTCTAAAGAGCTGTCCTTCTTTAGACTAACAGTTAAATTTACAAGGGGATTGGGGGTTCTGTAGGCAAATTTAAAGTTGAACTAAGATTCTATCTTGGACAACCAGCTATCACCCAGGCTGGAGTGCAATGGCACGATCTCGGCTCACTGCAAGCTCCGCTTCCCAGGCTCAAGCTATTCTCGTGCCTCAGCCTCCCGAGTAGCTGGGATTACTGGCGTGTGCCACCACACCTGGCTAATTTTTGTGTTTTTTAGTAGAGACAGGGTTTCTCCATGTTGGTCAGGCTGGTCTTGAACTCCTGGCCTCAAGTCATCCGCCCACCGCGGCCTCCCAAAGTGCTGGGATTACAGGCATGAGCCACCGTGTCTGGCCTCTTTACAAATAATCTTAAAATACACATTAAGTGTTTCACTTATTTGATTAAAGTTCAGAGTGCTTTCAAATTGCAAGGGTTTAGTGAAAATTGTACATTTGTCCTTAAATGATTTTGTTTTCTTCAAGCTAATAAGCACAAGTGGGTACCACTCCACTTAGATGTTGTAAGATCAGAGAGTCAAGAAAGACCTGGATCCCGGAACAGCTCAAGATGTCAACCTGAAGCAAATAAACCAACACATAACAATAGGAGAAATGATACACGAAGTAAGTTACCATTCTAAGACAAAAATGACTAAGGAAAGACTTAGTCTTAATGCTCGTTATTTTAGTAACCACATGTATAAACCATTTGAGAATAAGTTGAAGACATCATGTCCCTTTAACCCCAAATACCTTCAGGGTATATTTCATAAGAACAATATAACCGTAATGCAATTAACAACAATGAAACTTAACATTAATACAATGTGATTGTCCACAGGCAGATTTTTCTCAATAAAGTCCTTTATAGTCGTCCCCTCCCCTGCTCCAAGGATCCATTCTGGGATCACCCATTTAATTTAATTTTTTTTTTCTCTTTAGGCTCCATTAATCTGTAACAGTTCTTGCTTTTGTCTTTCATGACATTGATTTTTTTGAAGATTGTAGGATAATCGTATTGTAGATATCCCTTACTTTGGGTTTTCTAATGTTTCCTTATGATTGGATTGGGGTTGTGAATTTTTGGCAGGAGTACTGTATAAGAAAATATATCATTTTCTTCTTTTTTTTTTTTTTTAATTTTTATTTTTTTTATTGATCATTCTTGGGTGTTTCTCGCAGAGGGGGATTTGGCAGGGTCATAGGACAATAGTGGAGGGAAGGTCGGCAGATAAACAAGTGAACAAAGGTCTCTGGTTTTCCTAGGCAGAGGACCCTGCGGCCTTCCGCAGTGTTTGTGTCCCTGGGTACTTGAGATTAGGGAGTGGTGATGATTCTTAACGAGCATGCTGCCTTCAAGCATCTGTTTAACAAAACACATCTTGCACCGCCCTTAATCCATTTAACCCTGAGTGGACACAGCACATGTTTCAGAGAGCACAGGGTTGGGGGTAAGGTCATAGATCAACAGGATCCCAAGGCAGAAGAATTTATCTTAGTACAGAACAAAATGAAAAGTCTCCCATGTCTACTACTTTCCACACAGACACGGCAACCATCCGATTTCTCAATCTTTTCCCCACCTTTCCCCCCTTTCTATTCCACAAAACCGCCATTGTCATCCTGGCCCGTTCTCAATGAGCTGTTGGGTACACCTCCCAGACGGGGTGGTGGCCGGGCAGAGGGGCTCCTCACCTCCCAGTAGGGGCGGCTGGGCAGAGGCGCCCCTCACCTCCCGGACGGGGCGGCTGGCCGGGCAGGGGGCTGACCCCCCCCACCTCCCTCCCGGACGGAGAGGCTGGCCAGGCAGAGGGGCGCCTCACTTCCCAGTAGGGGCGGCCGGGCAGAGGCGCCCCTCACCTCCCGGACGGGGCGGCTGGCGGGCAGGGGGCTGACCCCCCCACCTCCCTCCCAGACGGGGCGGCTGGCCGGGCGGGGTGCTGACCCCCCCACCTCCCTCCCGGACGGGGCGGCTGGCCAGGTGGGGGGGCTGAGCCCCCCCACCTCCCTCCCGGACAGGGTGGCTGGCCCGGCAGAGGGGCTCCTCACTTCCCAGTAGGGGCGGCTGGGCAGAGGCGCCCCTCACCTCCTGGACGGGGCGGCTGGCCGGGCGGGGGGCTGACCCCCCCACCTCCCTCCCGGACGGGGCGGCTGCCGGGCGGAGACGCTCCTCACTTCCCAGACGGGGTGGCTGCCGGGCAGAGGGGCTCCTCACTTCTCAGACGGGGCGGCTGCCGGGTGGAGGGGCTCCTCACTTCTCAGACGGGGCGGTTGCTGGGCGGAGGGTCTCCTCACTTCTCAGACGGGGTGGCTGGGCAGAGGTGCTCCCCACATCTCAGACGATGGGCGGCCGGGCAGAGACGCTCCTCACTTCCCAGATGGGATGGTTGCCGGGAAGAGGCGCTCCTCACTTCCTAGATGGGATGGCGGCCGGCAGAGACGCTTCTCACTTTCCAGACTGGGCAGCCAGGCAGAGGGGCTCCTCACGTCCCAGACAATGGGCGGCCAGGCAGAGATGCTCCTCACTTCCCAGACGGGGTGGCGGCCGGGCAGAGGCTGCAATCTCGGCACTTTGGGAGGCCAAGGCAGGCGGCTGGGAGATGGAGGTTGTAGCGAGCTGAGATCACGCCACTGCACTCCAGCCTGGGCACCATTGAGCACTGAGTGAACCAGACTCCGTCTGCAATCCCGGCACCTCCGGGAGGCCGAGGCTGGCGGATCACTCGCGGTTAGGAGCTGGAGACCAGCCCGGCCAGCACAGCGAAACCCCGTCTCCACCAAAAAAGTACGAAAACCAGTCAGGCGTGGTGGCGCGCGCCTGCAATCGCAGGCACTCGGCAGGCTGAGGCAGGAGAATCAGGCAGGGAGGTTGCAGTGAGCCGAGATGGCAGCAGTACAGTCCAGCTTCGGCTCGGCATCAGAGGGAGACCGAGAGGGAGAGGGGAGAGGGGAGGGGGAGAGGGAGAGGGAGAGGGAGAGCGGAATTTATTCTATCATTTTCTTCTTAGCGAATCACATGGGAGTATGACCTTGATTTGTCCCATTATTGAAGATACTAACTTTGATTACCCCTGTAACTTTGATTATTAGTTTGATTACAACATTGATTAATATTAACTTTGATTACCCCTGTAACTTTATTTGATTATTAGTTTGATTACAACATTGATTATTATTATTATTATTTGTTTTTTGTTTGAGATGGAGTCTCGTTCTGTTGCCCAGGTTGGAGTGCAGTGGCGTGTGATCTGGGCTCACTGCAACCTCTGCCTCCCGGGTTCAAGCAATTCTTCTGTTTCAGCCTCCCAAGTAGCTGGGACTACAGGCACATGCCACCACACCCGGCTAATTTTTAAATTTTTAGTAGAGATGGGGTTTCACCATATTGGTCAGGCTGGGCTCGAACTCTTGACCTCAGGTGATCCACCCACCTCGATGTCCCAAAGTGCTGGGTTATAGGCTTGAGCCACTGCGACTGGCCACAATGATTATTAACCTTGATTACTTGGTTGAGGTAGTGTACTCTAGACTTTTAAAAAATTTTTAAGTTTCTTCAGCTTTTTTGTTTAATTTCTTTTCTCCCTTTGTAATTACTGTGTAATTTGTGGAGAGAGGCTTTGAGACTGTGGAGATAATAATTTTCTCAGACTTTTCAAACAAGCCTTAGCTTCCTTTTTTTTTTTTTTTTTTTTTTTTAAATAAGTGATGGGGTCTCATTCTGTTGCCCAGGCTGGAGTGCAGTGGGACAGTCATAGCTCACTGCAGTCTTGAACTCTTGGGCTCAAGCGATCCTCCCACCTCAGCTTCCCAAGTAGCTATGATGACAGGTGCGTGCCACCATGCCCGGCTAATTAAAAAAAAAGTTTTCTTTAGAGACAGTCTTGCTTCGTTGCCCGGGCTGGTCTTGAACTCCTAGCCTCAAGCGATTCTCCTGCCTCGGCCTCCCGAAGTGTTGGGATTACAAGCATGAGCCACCGCACTTAGCTTCTCCCTCTTTATTGCCAAATAATATTCTGTTGAATGCATATAGCCCTTTGTCTTTTCATCTGTTGATGGATAAGTGGCTTGTTTATAGTTTTTGGTCTTCATGAATAACGCTGATGAATAGTTGTTTACAAGTCTTTGTGTGGAATGTATGTATTTCTCAAATGCCTGTGAGTGAATTGATTGGTCATATAGTAGCTGTATATTTAACATTATAAGAAACTGCTACTTGTAGCATTTTACATTTCCATCAGCAACTTTTTTTCTTTTTGCTATGTGTTAAGTCCCATGTCTAGTGGAATTCCTGTATTTTGGATTTGGCTGATTGCTTTGTCATGGTATTCTTTTTTTTTTTTTTTTTTTTTTGAGACTGAGTCTCGCTCTGTCGCCCAGGCTGGAGTGCAGTGGCGCGATCTCGGCTCGCTGCAAGTTCCGCCTCCCTGGTTCACGCCATTCACCCACTGAGTAGCTGGGACTACAAGCACCTGCCAGCACGCCCGGCTATTTTTTTTGTAGTTTTTAGTAGAGAGGGAGTTTCACCACATTAGCCAGGATGGTCTTGATCTCCTGACCTCATGATCCACCCTCTTTGGCCTCCCAAAGTGCTAGGATTACAGGCGTGAGCCACCTCGCCCAGCCGCTTTGTCATAGTATTCTTTGGCATTTGCATGTTCCTTTTTTTGAGACAGGGTCTCACTCTGTCTTCCAGGCTAAGTGCAATGGCATGATCTCGGCTCACTGCAACCTTCACTTCCTAGGCTCAAGCGATTCTCCTGTCTTAGCCTCCTCAGTAGCTGGGACTACAGGCATGCACAACAGTACCTGGCTAATTTTGTATTTTTTTGTAGAGATGGGGTTTCCCCATGTTGCCCAGGCTGGTCTCAAACTCTTGGGCCCAAGCGATCTTCCAGCATCAGCCTCCCAAAGTGCTGGGATTAGAGGTGTGAGAGCCACTGTACCTGGCCTGCCTGTTCCTTTTGTCTTTTCTTTTTATAACTGGCAATAAGAAGGAGCTAGGTTGATTAGATTCAGGCTTATTTTTTTGCTTGGAATACTGCTGTGTGTATTTCACTTTCAGTTGTGTTAATATTGAGTTAGCTCAGGTGTTAGGTTGATCAGTCCATTATAAATTATTCCATTAGTCTTTTTTTTTGAGACAAAGCCTCACTCTGTCACCCAGGCTGGAGTGCAGTGGCGCGATTTTGGCTCACTGCCTTCCAAAGTGCTGGGATTACAGGTATGAGCCACTGCACCCTGGCCCATTAGTCTTTACTGAATGGTTTTACTTTCATTAAAATCATTGGCCAGATACTTTTTTTTTGTCTTGAGACAGAGTCTCGCACTATTGCCCAGGCTGGGTTCTCCTGCCTCAGCCTCCCGAGTAGCTGGGATTACAGACATGGGCCACCATGTCTGGCTAATTTTTGTGGTTTTAGTAGAGGCAGGGTTTCACCATTTTGGGCCAGGCTGGTCACGAACTCCTGACCTCAAGTGATCTGCCTCCCTTGGCCTCCCAAAGTGCTAGGATTACAGGTGCGATCCACCGCATCCGGCCCAGATACATTTTTTCACAGGGATTGCTCAGATTTTCAGAAAGCAGAGGATAGGATATGTGGAAACAATAGGATGAGCATTTGTTTTTATAGTTTTCTGCTGAAATCTGATAAGTCATGTCCTGTGAATGGATAAGAAGGCCTAAGGAAATTTTACAGACTTAATATTAGCATTCAAAAATTTTAAATATACCTATGTAGAGGTAAATGTATTTTGATTAAAAAAATTTCCAATATATTATGAAAAACTTTAAACATACAAAAAATTGAAAGAATTGTTCAGTGAATACCTGTCTAGCCACCATCTAGATTAATAATTTCTCTGTATTTAATTCATTCATCTGCTGAATCCCTTGAAAGTAACTTGGAGATGTTGACGCTTTATCACTAATGTCCTAAGAAAATGCATCATCTAAGAAAATCACACTAGTTTCCTAGTACCATCTAAAATCTAGTCAATAGTTAATTTTTCTCAATTGTCCACAAAATATGACTTTTAAATTATAAAACTTTAGCTAAATGCAGTGGTGCAAGCCTGTAGTCCCAGCTACTTGGGAGGTTGAGGCAGGAGGATTGCTTGAGCCTGCGAATTTGGGGCTGTAGTGCACAATGATCATACATGTGTGGGGGGGAGCATATATATATATATGCATATGTATAAAACTTGTCTATAGAAAAATTGACTTTTTTTCTATTGTTTTTCAAAATGTCATTTTAAGTTTTTATTCTAAAAGTAATGGATTCTCATAATTTCATTAATTTTTTTCTTATTAAATATTGAATATATAAGAAAATAGACAAAGTTATACAGAACAACAATATAATGAGCTGAGTATGGTGGCACTCACCTGTAGTCCCAGCTACTTGGTAGGCTGAGGTAAGGAGGATTGCTTGAGAGCCCAAGAGTTCCAGGCTGCAGTGAGCTATGATCATGCCACTGCAGCCTGGGTGACAGAGTGAGACCCCATCTCTAAAATCAATAATAATGATGATGATGATGATGAACAGTGGAAACTCACCCTGTTTAAGAAATGTATGTTACTATTACTTTTAAACTTCGCTTTGTGCACTCTGCAATTTCATCCCATTGTCTCGGAAAAAATGAGCTTAAGTGCATTGGTTTCTTTCATGTTTTGAAATCGCCATGCAATGTGACTTTATCAACATTCTTTGGCAGGAATTTTTGTTTTTTTAATTCAGCCTACTTTTCTTTAGATTAATGCATGTTGGTTGTATTACTGTAAGTCTTTTCCTGCTGAAAGGCTGTTTCACTATTTGATAAAATCTGTACTAACGGTGGGTATTTGGATTGTTTCCAGTTTTTTTGATATTAAGGTACTACCACGAACATTTTAATGCATGTTTTCCAGCACACAAGTACAAGAGGCTCTCTATGGTAATTTTTTCAGACTGCAGACTACACTCTGTGAGTGGGTTATGAAATCAGTATATTGGTTCATGATCAGGTTTTTAAAAACCTAGAGTGCTTCACATAGTAAATTTTTAAATGATATGTGTTTATAAAATTTTTTGTAAGTGTACTTGTATGTAAAATAAATAAGGCTTACTTACAGATTAAGGCAGAAATGTTTGAAAAAGTGGCTGGACGCAGTGGTGCACACCTGTAATCCCAACACTTTGGGAGCGGGAGGTGGCTTGATCTGGGAGGGGGAGGTGGGTGGATCGCTTGAGCTCAGGAGTTTGAGACCAGCCTGGGCAACATAGTGAGAACTCATCTCTGTTAAAAAAAAGGAAATGTTTGAAAAAGACTGTTTTAGGTCTAAGCATTGAGGATGGAACTATGGGATCTAGGGTAATGTTCTCAGTGAGGGTGATTTTTTTTTCCCCAAAGAGTCATTTGGCATTGTCTGGAGATATTTGTTACTGGTTGTCACAACTGAGGGAGTGAGTGGGTGCTACTGGCATCTAGTGGGTGGTGGTCATGGATGATGCCAAACATCCTGTAGTCCACAGAACAGGCCCCCACACCAGAGTCTAAAGTGCTAAGGTTGTAAAACCTTGTCTCTAGGATTTGCATATCTTCACATTAATTAGATTATTCCAAGTTGATTTTCAAAGTAGATATACCTATTTTCAACCTCATTAGCAATATATGAATGTTCTACCTGTTTTTTGAGACAGAATCTCACTCTGTTACCTAGGCTAGAGTGCAGTGGCGAGGTCTCGGCTCACTGCAACCTCTGCCTCCCAGGTTCAGGTGATTCTCCTGCCCTAGCCTCCCGAGTAGCTGGGATTACCGGCGCCCACCACTATGTCTGGCTAATTTTTGTATTTTTAGTAGAGATGGGGTTTTGCCATGTCGGCCAGGCTGGTCTCGAACTCCTGACCTCAAGTGATCCACCCACCTCAGCCTCCCAAAGTGCTGGGATTACAGGTGTGAGCCACCGCACCCGGCTAATGTTCTACCTTTTTAAACTTTGTCAACATTTCATATTAGAGACATTAAAATATTTGTTGTACTGGGGTAAAGAGCCTTTCATTGTCTTAATTTGCATTTCTTACAGTCCATAAGGCTGAACACTGTTTTCGTTTTTCTTTTTTTTTTATTCTGAGACGGAGTCTTGTTCTATGCCCAGGCTGGAGTGCAGTGGCAGGGTCTTGGCTCACTGCAACCTCCGCCTCCCAGGTTCAAACAATTTTTCTGCCTCAGCCTACTGAGTAGCTGGGATTACAGGCACTCCACCACCACGCCTGGCTAATTTTTTGTATTTTTGGTAGAGGCAGGGTTTCGCCATGTTTCCCAGGCTGGTCTTGAACTCCTGAGTTCAAGCAATTTGCCTGTCTCAGCCTACCAAAGTGCTGGTATTACAAGTGTGAGCCACCACACCGGGCCTCTTTTTTTTTTTTTTTGGAGAGGGAATCTCGCTCTGTAGCCCAGGCTGGAGTGCAGTGGTGCAATCTTGGCTCAATGCAACCCCTGCCTCCCGAGTTCAAGTGATTCTCCTCCTTCAGCCTCCCGAGTAGCTGGGATTACAGGTGTGTGCTATGGCACCCGGATAATTTTTGTATTTTTAGTAGAGGCGGTATTTCAGTATGTCAGCCAGGCTGGTCTCCAGCTTCTGACCTCAGTTGATCCGCCCCCCTTGGCCTCCCAAAGTGCTGGGATTGCCGGCCTGAGCCACCGCGCCCGGCCTTGTATGATTATTGACCCATTGGTAGGCACCGTTTTCTGTATTTATTGTCCACTTGCATTTTTTTACCTTGCTTGTATTTTAGATATTTTTCCCATTGAGTGGTTGTGTCTGTGTGTGTTGCATGAGAGAGAGTCGTATGAGTTCTTACATGTACTCTAGATAGAATTTCTATATTTCGCTTCAGATATCTTTTCTCAATTTGTTTTGTGTTTTCATTTCCTTTTTACTTTATAAGGAATGTCATTTACTTAAATAGAACCATCCTTAAATATTTCGTGAGAAATGTTTTTTAGCAGTTTTATGTAGTACAAACTTAGTAGTCTTGGAACTTCTTGAATCTTTAACAGCACAATCTTAATAAAACTATCTCTTTACCTTTCTAGTATGTTATTTTACTTGTTAGAATGTATTCTTCATGTGTCAGTACCTTTTAGGCTCTGTTTTATGCTAGAGATATTTTTGATAAATTCTTATTGGATCTCTTCAGTTTGTATCCATCTGAAAAATGCCTGGCTACTGTTCATTAGTTACAAAGTGGAAGAAGGTGGCTATTATGTTTTCATAAAGACAATCATGTTATTTTACTTGGCAAATCGAAGTATATAAAAATATTTTTATTTTTAAAAGGTTGGAAGCGAGATAGAGAAAAAAGGGATGATCAAGATGACGTTTCCAGTGTGAGAAGTGAGGGTGGTAATATCCGAGGTTCCTTTAGAGGTCGAGGAAGAGGCCGAGGACGGGGAAGAGGACGAGGCAGAGGAAATCCTCGATGTATGACATAATTTTTGTTTCGTTAAATTAGATAAACTTTGAAAAAAATAGAGCAACTATCCTCTATTATGTTTTAACTAATTTTCTTTGTCTGATAATAGATGGTTTTATGTTTGTTAACCTTTGAAGTTCTTCACTTTATCCGTAGTAACTATTTTTTTCTAATATGTGATTACCTTTCTTTTTCTTTATTCACATCAAGTGAACTTTGATTATTCATATGGTTATCAAGAACATGGTGAAAGGACTGATCAACCATTTCAAACAGAACTTAATACCAGTATGATGTATTACTATGATGATGGTACAGGTGTACAGGTGTATCCTGTGGAAGAAGCATTGCTTAAAGAGTATATTAAGCGTCAAATGTAAGTGGATGTTTGATGTAAGCAGACGGGATAGCAAAATCTGTTGCAATATGAACTTTAATGTCATTGATAATGAATATGCTATAATTTTTTTTTTTTTTTGAGACAGAGTCTCACTCTGTTGCCCAGGCTGGAGTGTAGTGGTACGATCTTGGCTCACTGCAACCTCTGCCTCCTGGGTTCAAGTGATTGTTCCGCCTCAGCCTCCTGGGTAGTTGGGATTACAGGCACATGCCACCACACCTGGCTAATTTTTGTAGTTCTGGTAGAGAACGGGTTTTGCCATGTTGACCAGGCTGGTATTGAACTCCCGGCCTCAGCTGATCTGCCCACCTTGGCCTCTCAAAGTGCTGGGATTATAGGCGTGAGCCACCATGCCTGGCTGTTTATAACATTTTTAAAGCTACTTATTTGTAAAGGTTGGAAAATGTTAAAAATTATTTTGATTATATATTTTTAGGGAATGTGATTAAAGTAGGTGTTTTTAAAATTTTATATTTGGTTTATGTTGTTTATATAAGTCTCCTGGCTTCTATAGTATTTAGATATTTTTCTCCTTAAAGGAGATTAGGTAAAATGTTATTGCATAATATGAATAAATATAAGACTGTAAAGCTTCTCTATATATACTTGAAACTGAACAAGTAAAATTTGGCTTATTATTTGCCAATAGGTGTTTATATTAGAATTTGCAAATTAACATAAATAAAAAATGGTGGTATCTTTTGATTTTCTTCTTAGCAATTGACTTCTGAATTCTTAAGTTTTTTTTATCTTCTAAGTTTTTCTTTGTGACACAATTAAATGGGGACTACCTTATATTTTAGTTCAGATTTCTTACTCTAGTTCTCATAGTAGTTGCTTTCTGGGTACTGAATGTGAAGTCAGGAGAATATTAGTTCTATTTTCTGAAAGAAAAAACAAACCCTATGCATATTAGTATTGTATAGGATATTTTGCTTATTTATATAGTATGTTTTTATAGAGGCAAGAGAAAAATGTTGCCAAGTAATTTGCATAACCAATTTGTTAAAACTTGAAATTTTTCTCTCCTTACAAGGTGAAGGAAAAGGGCTATTTTTGAAAGGGCATAGGCATTTAAAAATCATCTGTTTTTCCAAAATAAAATAGACTCTACTCTGTTACTAGAAAATTTCTTTATCATCATCAGCCAGGCACCTTCCTGGGTTGCCTTCATGGTGGATCCAATTTGCTTACAGTGTGGAGCAACTTGTTTATATTGTTCTTGCTTCTTTTGTTACAGTTGATGCAAACACTGAAGAAAAGGGCCTTTTTGTGGGCAGAAAGTGCTTGACATGTGGCTGTCAACTTCATACCACTATTACTGTCTTTTTTGTAACTTTTGCTGCCAAGTCCCTTCTGAGACCTGACAGTGGACATGCAACTCCATGTCAGGATAATCGGCCTCCAGTGTGCTCATACAAGTGAGGGAGGAGCAGAGCTACTTCAGTGTTGACAAAATTTCTGATCATGCAGTGTAGAATCCAGAGCCTCTAAGGTAGGACTTGATGATGTCCCTAGGACACTGAGCAAAATGTCAGACATGGCATTGGTCATGCCTCTTTTTTTGTTGTTGTTCTAGCAGTAGGGATTTTGGCAAATGTTAGTAGAGCACTAGGTTTAGTGTGGCTTGTTATTATTATTACCATTCTTTGATTAGTGGAGATGTGGCTTTGAAGGAGTCGTGCTTTTTACTTTGTATTATTTGGTTTCTAATATATAGATAGGCTGATTGATTGAGGTTTTGATTTTCTTTTTGAGAAGTCACTAAAAGTTTTCCTGGCCAGGTGCGGTGGCTCACGCCTGTAATCCTAGCACTTTGGGAGGCCGAGGCGGGCGGATCACGAGGTCAGGAGATCGAGACCATCTTGGCTAACACAGTGAAACCCCGTCTCTACTAAAAATACAAAAAATTAGCCGGGCGCGGTGGCGGGCGCCTGTAGTCCCAGCTACTCTGGAGGCTGAGGCAGGAGAATGGTGTGAACCTGGGAGGCAGAGCGTGCAGTGAGCCGAGATAGTGCCACTGCAGTCCGGCCTGGGCAAAAGAGCCAGACTCTGTCTCAAAAAAGAAAGAAAAAAAAATGTTTTCCTGACACCTGTGGAAAAATGATGCAAAATGTATCGTACAGTATGAGGCCTAAACGTATTCAAAATGGTTGAGGGGTTTTTTTTAAACTTTTTTTTTTTTTTTTTTGAAATGGAGTTTTGCTCTCGTTGTGCAGGCTGGAGTGCAATGGCACGATCTCGGCTCACTGCAACGTCCGCCTCCCAGGTTCAAGCAATTCTCCTGCCTCAGCCTCCCGAGTGGCTGTGATTACAGGCATATGCCACCACGCCCAGCTAATTTTTGTAGTTTTAGTAGAGACGGGGTTTCATCTTGTTGGTCAGGCTGGTCTCAAACTCCTGTCCTCAGGTGATCCACCCACATCAGCTTCCCAGAGTGCTGGGATTACAGGCGTGAACCACCGTGCCTGACCTTTTTTTTTTTAAAAACATTTTAAAAACTTTTTATTGCAGTCTACTTTTTTTTAACTTTTTAAAAATTTTTTTGAGATGCTAATTTTTGTATTTTTATTAGAGACAAGGTTTCACCACGTTGGTCAGGCTGGTCTCGAACTCCTGACCTTGTGATCCGCCGTCCTCGGCCTCCCAAAGTGCTGGGATTACAGGCGTGAGCCACCACACCTGGCCTACTTGTTTTTAACATTTTAAGTGAAAACTTGTATTAATTGTTTGTGATGTCAGCATTAAAATGTAAAGATCTTGATTATTTCTAGCTGTGATAATCTCTCTTGGCACTCAGATGACAGCACTCTGATAGATTTGTAGATCTTTAGAGGTTTTTTCCTTTTTTCTTTTTCTTTTTCTTTTTTTTTTTTTTTTTTGAGACATTGTCTCACTCTGTCGCCCAGGATGGAGTACAGTGGCGCAATCTCGGCTCACCTCAACCTCTGCCTCCCGGGTTCAAGTTCAAGCAATTCTCCTGCCTTAGCCTCTCGAATAGCTGGGATTAGAGGCACGTGACACTGCGCCCAGCTAATTTTTGTATTTTTAGTAGAGACAGGGTTTTGCCATGTTGCCCCATCTGGTCTCGAATGCCTGAGCTCAAAGTGCCTGGCCAGGACAGTTTGTTATTGATTTAGGGAAGTTCACATCTCACAGCTAAGAACAGTTGTAACTTGTGACTAAATTAAATGTCTTAATGTCTGAAATTTTAGAATTTTTTTTTTCTTTTGAAATGGAGTTTTGCTGTTGTCACCCAGGCTGCAGTGCAATGGTGCAATCTTGGCTCACTGCAACCTCCGCCTCCCGAGTCCAAGCGATTCTCCTGCCTCAGCCTCCCCAGTAGCTGGGATTACAGGCACGCAACACCATGGCCGACTAATTTTGTATTTTTAGTAAAGTCGGGGTTCCACCATGTTGGTCAGGCTGGTCTCGGATTCCTGACCTCAGGTGATCTGCCTGCCATGGCCTCTCAAAGTGTGGAAATGACAGACGTGAGCCACCGTGCCCTGCATGAAATTTTAGAATTTTAACACATGTATTATGTATCTGCCACATGCCAGACACTATGAATAAGGCTTTTGAGGTGTAACAACCATCAGAATCTTCATTGCTTTAAGACTTCAGTGTTTAAAATTTTTTCCTTTAGTGTTTAAAAAGAGTAAATGAGGCCAGGGCATGGTGGCTCACTCCTGTAATCCCAGCACTTTGAGAGGCTGAGGCAGGTGGATCATCTGAGGTCAGGAGTTCGAGACCAGGCTGGCCAACATAGTGAAACCCCGTCTCTACTAAGAATACAAAAATTAGCCGGGCATGGTGGCACACACCTGTAGTCCCAGCTACTCAGGAGGGTGAGGCAGGAGAATCGCTTGAACCTGTGAGGCGGAGGTCGCAGTGAGCCGAGATCATGCCATCCCACTCCAGCCTGGGCAATAAGAGTGAAACTCCATCTCAAAAAAAAAAAAAAAAAAAAAAGTAAATGATTTACTAGTGTTACTGAGTGAGATGTCAGTAGTATTTCAGTAGTCTTTGAGAGAGCTTTGCACTCTGACAATTGGGTAAATATCAAACTATTAAAGGAAAATTTGGATATTTACATTCTTAAAATAAGTTGATTTATTTTCTTCCCCTTCAGTAAAAGGTAGCTGAAAACAAGTTTCCAGTTATAGATGCCTTTTTTTCAAAGATAGAATTTGGCCCATATACTTCAAGGGCATCTTTAGTCACTGAGTTTTATACCCCAAAATGTGAGCTGGTTTGTTTTCTCATAACTTGTATTCCATGTTTGAAAACTTTCTCTGTGATTTGGAAATAGTGTGGGATTATTAAACTGTAGGCCCCATCATCATTGATGTTATGTATTTCTTTTGTATCATTCTTCTCTATATTTTCCCGTTTGTCTTCTTCTCTGTCTTTAAAATCCTCATACTCTCATTTACATATATGGAGGCTATAATTTTTTTTTTTTTTTTTTTGAGACGGAGTCTCGCTCTGTTGCCCAGGCTGGAGTGCAGTGGCACGATCTCAGCTCACTGCAAGCTCCGCCTCCCGGGTTCACACCATTCTCCTGCCTCAGCCTCCCACGTAGCTGGCACTACAGGCGCCCGCCACCTTGCCCGGCTAATTTTTTGTATTTTTAGTAGAGACAGGGTTTCACCGTGTTAGCCAGGATGGTCTCGATCTTCTGACCTCGTGATCCGCCCGCCTCGGCCTCCCAAAGTGCTGGGATTACAGGCGTGAGCCACCGCGCCCGGCCTATGGAGGCTATAATTTAAACATGTATTTCTCTCTCTTTAACCTTTCCTATGGTGTGGATAAACATGTATTTCTCAAAGGCTATTATTAAATGTATTGTGAATATTATCTTTATATCTTGGGATTTGTAGTTACTGATCATACTGACAGTTCATCCATTTACATTTCTCTCGGAAAGGTTAAGTGGGTTTGTGTTTTTCAAGAGAAGATAAAACATCTAATCATCTTCTATATTTTTGCTTCCATGTGCCTCATGGTGTCAAGGATATTCCTTCTTTAGCTATATTCTGTTCACCCTTAATGTCTTTCTTTTTTTTTTTTCTGTTTGAGATGGAGTCTCGCTCTGTCGCCCAGGCTGGAGTGCAGTGGTGTAATCTTGGCTCACTGAAAGCTCCGCCTCCCAGGTTCACGCCATTCTCCTGCCTCAACCTCCCGAGTAGCTGGGACTACAGGCGCCTGCCACCACACCCGGCTAATTTTTTGTATTTTTAGTAGAGACGGAGTTTCACCATGTTAGCCAGGATGGTCTCGATCTCCTGACCTTGTGATCTGCCCGCCTCAGCCTCCCAAAGTGCTGGGATTACAGGCGTGAGCCACCATGCCTGGCTAACGTCTTTTATTATTGTTTTTAGACAGTCTTGCTCTCGCCCAGGCTGGAGTATAGTGGCACCATCCCTGTTCACTGCAACCTCTGCCTCCTGGGTGCAATTGATTCTCCTGCCTCAGCTTCCCGAGTAGCTGGGATTACAGGCACCCGCCACCATGCCCAGCTAGTTTTTGTATTTTAGTAGAGATGGGGTTTCCCCATATTGGTTACGCTGGTCTTAAACTCCTGACCTCAAGCGATCCACCCACCTCAGCCTCCGAAGGTGCTGGGGTTACAGGCGTGAGCCACCTCACCGGGCCACCCTTAATGTCTTATGGTCTGTCTATCAAAGAAAGAAGCATGGAGAACTTGAATCGTTCAAAATATATATGTGCACATATGCCTGTGTGTTCACTAAGTTTTTTTTGTTTTGTTTTGTTTTTTTTTGAGATGGAGTTTTGCTCTTGTTGCCCAGGCTGGAGTGCAATGACGCGATCTTGGCTCACTGCAATGTTTGCTGCCCGGGTTCAAGGGATTCTCCTGCCTCAGCCTCCTGAGTAGCTGGGATTACAGGCATGCGCTACCACACCCGGATAATTTTGTGTTTTTAGTAGAGACAGGTTTTCTGCATGTTGGTCAGGCTGATCTTGAACTGCCGACCTCAGGGGATCCACCCATCTCAGCCTCCCCAAGTGCTGGGATTACAGGCATCAGCCACCGCGCCTGGCCATGTTCACTGAGTTTTTAACTAAGAATTGTGCTGGTTACTAGGCTTCAGAAGTATTAAACATGGCAGTACTTTGTCAACTTAGAAAACAAAATGAACTACTTTTCTGTATGTGAATTTGACAAAGGATATTTCCAGTATACCACTCTTCTCAGCGACTGGGAAAAAGGTGGAAGGCATTATGCTAACATGGGATTAGCTTTGTTATCTAATGCTTAAATGAAACAAGTAGAAGTGGCTTTGTAAAGATTTTCATCTAATTAACTCATTAAAAAAAATTATTGAACTATTTTAAGGTAAAATGAGCAGCTTAATTCTTTATATTTAGTGAAACTGATCTAAATAGAAGTTATTAATTTTTTGGAAAATAATATTTTAAGTTTAAGAGAAATTATTAATTCAGTAGAGTTTTTTGCTATCTTATATGTTTACCCTATCTGTGTTGTATTAGAGCTATACATATTGTTAACCAAATTACAATATTTTCATGTTAATGATTGGTTTTCACAGTTAATGTGGGAGCAATAGAAATATTTATTTCCTACTAAATAAATGGATGAAATTCTGATTTCTCTTTTCAGTGAATATTACTTCAGTGTAGAAAATTTGGAACGAGACTTCTTTCTTCGGGGAAAGATGGATGAACAAGGTTTCTTGCCTATTTCCCTGATTGCTGGTTTTCAGCGTGTTCAGGCTCTCACTACAAACCTTAATCTCATCTTAGAGGTAATTGCTCATTTGATGAACAATTTGTACTTTCTGCTCAAATTTCCTTTGTACCTAAAACTTCTCTGAAAAACAGAGTACTAAAAACAGACAATCTGTAGTTGCTTGAGGCTCAGACAGCATTCCATGATGTTTTTCTATTTTGTAAAACCTTCATAAATGTCTAACCTTGGAAACCCCTGAAAGTATTGCTAACGATGTTACTGTGTATTTTCTCCTTCCCCTCCCCCTCAATTAGTCAACCTATTTTAAACCTGATCCTTCAAACTTTAACCCTTTTGAACACCCTTGGTCCTTAAAACTTCTTCAGGGCTGGGCGTGGCGGCTCGCACCTGGGTGATAGAGTACAACGGCGCAATCAAACACAAATTTCTTCAGGTTACTGTAAAAAAGCATGTGTTCCTGTATATGTATGTGTATATATATATATATATATATTTTTTTTTTTTTTTTTTTTTTTTTTTTAAGACAGTGTCTCACTCTGTTGCCCAGGCTGGAGTGCAGTGGCATGATATCGGCTCACCACAACATCTGCCTCTTGGGTTCAAGCGATTCTCCTGCCTCAGCCTTCTGAGTAGCTGGGACTACAAGCACGCACCATCATGCCCGGCTAATTTTTGTATTTTTATTAGAGACTTGGCTTCACTATCTTGGCCAGGCTGGTCTCGAACTCCTGACCTTGTGATCCGCCCACCTTCGCCTCCCAAAATGCTAGGATTACAGGTGTGAGCCAGCACTCCCAGCCGTTCCCACTTATTGAAAGGCTAATTTCAAATAGTCCTTCTGGCTGGGCATGGTGGCTCATGCCTGTAATCCCAGCACTTTGGGGAAAAAAAAAATCTCTCATCTGGTCTGTTTCTAGAAATGCTTTCAACATCTTTTTTTTTCTAGCCAATTTCTTTCCCTACACACAACCCTTGGTAACCACAATCACTAATCTGCTTTTTCTTTTTTTCTTTCTTTTTTTTTTTTTTTGAGACAGAGTCTCATTCTGTTGCCCAGTATGGAGTGCAGTGGCACAATCTTGGCTCACTGCAACTTCTGCCTCCCAGGTTCAAGGATTTTCCTGCCTCAGCCTCCCAAGTAGCTGGGATAACTGGAGTGTGCCACCATACCCAGCTAATTTTTGTATTTTTAGTAGAGACAGGGTTTCCCAATGTTGGCCAGGTTGTAGCCTTTTGTTTCTGATTTTTCACTTAGTATTGTGCTTTTGAGATTCACCTATGTTGCATGTAGCAGTAGTTTGTTCTTTCATATTGCTGACTAGTATTCCATGGTATGGATATACCACAGTTTATCCATTCACTTGTTGGTGGACATTCAGATTATTTATGGTTTTGGAGAGTGTGAGTAAAGCATGAAGATCTTTATAGGGATATATATATACACACACACACACACACACATATATATTTCTGTTGGATAAATATCTAGTATTGTGATTGCTGGAAAGTATAGTAAGTATATGCCTATCTTTATAAGAAAATGCCAACCTATTGTCCAAAGTGGCTTTACCATTTTGCATTCCCACGATTATCTATAGGACTTGTTCCTCAGCCTTATCATTGCATATATTGTCAGTTTTTTGAATAATAGATATATAGTGGTTTCTCATTGTGGGTTTTTTATTTTTTTGGGACAAAGTTTCAGTTTTGCTCTTGTTGCCCAGGCTGGAGTGGAGTGCAATGCCATGATCTTGGCTCACTGCAACCTCCACCTCCCGGATTCAAGCAATTCTCCTGCCTCAGCCTCCCAAGTATCTGGGATTACAGGCGCCTGCCACCACACTCAGCTAATTTTTAAATATTTTTAATAGAGACGAGATTTCACCATGTTGGCCAGGCTGGTCTCGAACTCCTGACTTTCAGGCGATCCATCCGCCTTGGCCTCCCAAAGTGCCGGGATTACAGGCATGAGCTACCGCGCGCCTGGCCTGATTGTGTTTTTTTGTTTGTTTTTTGAGACAGAGTCTCTCTCTGTCGCCCATGCTGGAGTGTTCTGGTGCGATCTTGGCTCACTGCAACCTCCACCTCCTGGGTTCAAGTGATTCTCCTGCCTCAGCCTCCCAAGTAGCTGGTACTACAGGCGCACGCCACCAAGCCTATCTAACTTTTGTGTTTTTAGTAGGGATGGGGGTTTCACCATGTTGGCCAGGATGGTCTTGATCTTTTGACCTTATGATCTGCCCGCCTCAGCCTCCCAAAGTGCTGGGATTACAGGCGTGAGCCACCACGCCTGGACTCATTGTGGTTTTAATTTGCATTTCACTAATGATTAAAGTTGTTAGCAGTTTTTCATGTGCTTTTTTGTCTGCATACCTTATTAGTGGAAATGTCTGTTCAGATTTTTTATTCATTATTATTGAAGTGTTTTTTAAAAGATAATTGTATGAGTTCTTCATTCTGGATACAAGTCCATTATGTATTTTGCAAATATTTTTTCCTAGTTTTTGTCTTTTCATTTTCTTTTCTTTTCTTTTTTTTTTTGTTTTTTGTTTTTGTTTTTGAGACAGAGTCTTGCTCTGTCACCCAGGTTGGAGTGTAATGGTGTGATCTCAGCTCACTGCAACCTGCGTTTCCTGGGTTCAAGCGAGTCTCCTGCCTCAGCCTCCCGAGTAGCTGGGATTACAGGCGCCTGCCACCATGCCTGGCTAATTTTTGTATTTTTTAGTAGAGACAGGGTTTCACCATGTTGGTCAGGCTGGTCTCGAACTTCTATCTCAGGTGATCCACCTGCCTCGGCCTCCCAAAGTGCTGGGATTACAGGAATGAGCCACCGCGCCTGGCTTCATTTCTTAACAGGCTTCTTTGAATAGCAAGTTTTTGAACACGTGTGCTTCGTGTTTTAAAAATCAACTACAGGGCTGGGCGCGGTGGCTCATGCCTGTAATCCCAGCACTTTGGGAGGCCAAGGCCGATGGATCACTTGAGGTCAGGAGTTTGACACCAGCTTGGTCAACATGGTCAAACTCTGTCTCTACTAAAATACAAAAATTAGCTGGACATGGTGACGTGCCTGTAATCCCAGCTATTTGGGAGGCTGAGACAGGAGAATTGATTTTACTATAGTAAAGTCCATGTTTTGAAAATAACATAAAATAATGATTTGTTGGTGTATAATTAATGATTCTTGGTTTCATGAAAATAATTACTGTAAGCAATGTCATTATTGCATTTGTTTATAGATAAGTATATAAGGTTTCTATATATTGTAATTAACAGAGAAAATTAGTTTTTTTTTTTTTTTGCAAAATTTGCTCTTAGAGCAAATATTATGATTCATAGTAGAATGAGTTTATTTATTTACTTATTTATTTATTTTCATTTTTTAGTAGAGATGGAGTTTCACCACGTTGGCCAGGTTGGTCTCGAACTCCTGGCCTCAAGTGATCTTCCTGCCTCAGCTTCCCAAAGTGCTGGGATTACAGGCATGAGCTACCGCCGCCGGCATTAGAATGAGTTTATTAACTGCTGCCATTGTGCTATAGCAAAGTGCTGTAGCCAACTCAGCTGCCGTTTTTTATGAAGTTGTTGCCATTTTTTCCCTGTCTACTTCTGTACGAATGTAGTTGTAATTTTATTATTGTATGCCTTTTTGGTCTGTTTGTAGTCCCATTAAATCCTCAAGCACAATTTTAAGATCATTGACATTTTGTTTTTACAACCTACAGCAGTAAGGAAGGATTTTTAAAAGGAAGCTTTGAGCTACTGTTATGGTTAGCACTGATACAGTAGCTAATGATACAGTAAAAAATAATACCACTATTGAAAAGCAGAAACACATAAGCATAGCAATTTAGAAGAACATAAGTCTGCATTCACTTAACATTCATTATGCACCTACCATTTGTAATAGTAGGAAAGGTGTTCTTTTTCTGTTGAGAAAGTAAGGCTTCATTAGGCATTGTAGTGTTAACATATCAAGATCATGGACCTATGAATATGTCCCTTGTAGCTCTGTGACTATTGTCAGTGTCCTGAGACAGTAATATATATTTCCTAGGGTTGTCATGAGGATGAATTGTGTTAATGAAAGTATCTGGCAAATGTAGTAAGCTCTAAATAAGTAAGCATTTGCTATTATTGTTAGTCTTAAACGATGTCGTTCTGTTGATAACTCCTTTATCTTCATGCATTTCATTTTAACCAGCTTCTTCCCATATGTATTTGAATATGCTCAAGTTTTTCCTTTCTTGAAAAACTCTCAAGAGAAGCAAAATAATTTAGCTGATACCCGTATCTGCCCTGGTTGAGTATGCAAACGCAAACCAAACTTGTTGAATCTGATTCTTCTCCGCTCATTTATTTTTTAGCTTACTGCATTCTCGATGTCTTCCCCATAATTGAAAGCTTTTTGTGTCTTCCATTTGTTAGAGCAAATTGATCTTGGTTCTATAGCTTACCAGTTGTATAACTAAGCAATTAACGTAATATCTTCATGCTTCAATTTTCTTGTTAAAATATAGCAAATAATACTTAAGCTATAATAGAGTATGAGGATTTAGAGGAATAATTAATATAATATCAGCCTCAGAACTGTGCCTGCTACTTTCATCTCAAACCTTGTTTTCTAAATTGTCTGAACTTGTGGTTCCTCAAAACTTGTGCTCTTTTCTTTTTATCTCCAGGTCTTTGCACATTCAAGTCTTTCTCTTACTACCAGGCAGTAAGAATGCAACATCTATGTATTCCGGCATTGGTAGTTATTCATAGTAGTAGGTCTGTATCATTAAGAAAAGAACCAAAATTAATAGCTAAGTCAGTTAAAACCTCAGATACTGGAAAATACTGATGTACCCAGTAACTCATTGTTTAGGAGTTCAGGATTACCAAGGCTTGGTTTTATAACTCGATGTTTCTTCTAGGTCTTTACCTTAATTTTGTGCATGGTGTAATTTTTATATGATCCTTTTATGGCCTGAGTGATGAATGTTTCACTTTATGTGTTCTTCATTTCCCTTTTAAATTTATTATTTCTAAATAGGAAATAAATTACACAAAATTCAAAACTCAAAAGGGTATATGGTTATCTTCCAGTGATTGTCCAAGGAAAAAAAAGGTATATGGTAAAAATTTTTTTTTCCCCATTTTTCCACCAACAATGAATGAATTACCTGCCTTGGTAGTGGTCAGTGTTACTTCTTTCTTGTGTCTTCCTCCTGAGATAGTTTGTTTATGTAAGAGAATACTATGATACCTTACTACATACAATGTTTGTTATGCCCCTTCCTCTTTTTTTTTTTTTTTTTTTGAGACAGAGTCTCACTCTGTCACCCAGGTTGGAGTGCGGTGGCATGATCTTGGCTCACTACAACCTCTGCCTCCTAGGTTCAAGCGATTCTTCCGCCTCAGCCTCCTGAGTAGCTGGGATTACAAGCGCCTGCCACCACGCCTGGCTAATTTTTGTATTTTAGTAGAGACGGGTTTTTGCCATGTTGGCCAGGCTGGTCTGGAACTCCTGACCTCAGGTGATCCGCCCGTCTCGGCCTCCCAAAGTGCTGGGATTACAGGTGTGAGCCACCATGCCTGGCCTCCTCTTTTTTTATTTTTTATAAAAAACATGTGTTGGAAGAGGCTTTAGTAGCTGTACATAAAGAACTTTGAGCTTTTCATCCCACAAGTTTTTCTTTAAATATTTTCTTTTAAATTGAGGCATAATTTATACATTATTATTATTTTATTTATTTATTTATTTAGAGATGGAGTCTCATGATCTGCCTGCCTCAGCCTCCCAAAGTGCTGGGATTACAGGTGTGAGCCACCGTGCCTGGCCTTTATACATTATATATTGTAACTCATAAGATTAGAGATGATTTTTTTTCCTATGTATACGGTCAGGTAACTGCCATCCAGATTAAGATACAGAACATTTTCAAGACCCAGGCAAGCTGCTTTCTGTACCCTCCTAGTCAGTACCACTGCTTTCCCTTTTAAGAGGCCTCTCTCCTGTTTTTGAACTTCACATAAATGGTGTTATGACTTTTATATCTGATTTTATTTCTGAAGTTATTTCTGTGAGATTTATTCATATTGGTGTATAGCAGTTGTTTACTTTCTGTTTTTTGGTAGTTTTTCCATTGTATGAATATAACAGTTAATCAATCTTTCTTTTCTTGCTTTCTTCCTTTTTTTTGAGACCGCTCTCACTCTATGGCCCAGGCTGGAGTTGTACTGACCTGATCTCAGCTCACTGCAACTTCCACCTCCCAGTTTCAAGCGATTCTCCTGCCTCAGCCTCCCGAGTAGCTGGGATTACAGGCACCCACCACCAAGCCTGGCTAAGTTTTTGTATTTTTGGTAGAGACAGGGTTTCACCATGTTGGCCAGGCTGGTCTTGAACTCCTGATCTCAGGTGATCCACTCACCTCGGCCTCCCAAAGTGCTGGGATTACAGGCTTGAGCCACCGTGCCCGGCAACAGTTAATTTTTCTATGCTCCTATTGATAGACATATTTGGGTTCTTTCCACTTTGGGTCTTTGATGCTACTGTGAACGTTGTCATAGATATTTCTGGGTGAACATAAGCATTTATTTTCCTGGGAAACTGGTGGGTAACAGGGCATAAATGTGTGATTACCTTTTGTAGATACTGCTAAGCATTTTTTTAAAGTATCAAACCAATCAAAACCACCACTATTGGGAGTTTGACTTGCTTCACATTCTAACCAACACTACTAGCAGTCTTTTTCCACAACTTTACTTTGGAAAATTTAAACATATGGGAAAGTTTCAAGGAGTTTTTTTTTTGTTTTTTTTTTACATTCAGGGATAGATAATACATGGTAAAATACAGCGATCTTAGATGTTCACTGTGAGTTTTGAAAATTAAACATAAGCATTACCCCAGGCAAGATGTAGAATACTTTCATTATTCTAAAAACTTCCTTCATGGCTCTTTCTAGTCAGTGTCACACAGCCTCTCCAACAACTTTTCTGATTTTCATATCATAGATTAGATTAGTCTGTTCTTGGCATTTGTGTAAATTGATTTCTTCTGTCTCTGAGTTCTTTTCATTGGTAGTTTTTGACATTCATCCATGTTGTTGCAATGGTCTGGATGCTGGGCATACTGTTTGCTACTGGGGTGTCATTGCTTCTAGGTCTTTCAGTGGACAAAATGAGGAAAATATATGTTGGGAAAAATACACTGATTTTACTCATCTAAAGCTTTCACCATAGGATTCTTTCCTATCTTTCTCCATTTTATATTTCAGACTCCCTTCTCAAAGGAGTTTCATTTAAAATAAGTCCTAATTGTAATTTAAAGGAATCCCCAATTATGGCCAGGCGTGGTGTTTCACACCTGTAATCCTGCATTTTGGGAGGCCGAGGCGGGTGGATCATGAGGTCAGGAGTTCAAGACCAGCCTGGCCAACTTGGTGAAACCCCGTCTCTACTAAAAGTACAAAAAAATTAGCCGGGTGTGGTAGTGGGTGCCTGTAATCCCAGCTACTCCGAAGGCTGAGGCAGAGAATTGCTTGAACTTGGGAGGCGGAGGTTGCAGTGAGCCAAGTTGACAACACTGCACTGTAGCCTGGGTGACAGAGTGAGACTCCGTCTCAAAAAATAAAAATAATAATAATAAAAAAAGAAATGCCCAGTTATGGAAAATATAACTTGAGAGTTAAGTACCATACTAATATTAAGAGCAAGAGTAGGTTCTTTTTTCAAAATCTGTTCATTTCTGAATGGATAATGTTCTTTTTTTTTTTTGAGATGGAATCTTGCTCTGTCTCCAGGCTGGAGTCCAGTGGCGCCATCTCGGCTCACTGCAACCTCCAGCTCCCTGGTTCAAGTGATTCTCCTGCCTCTGCCTCCCAAGTAGCTGGGATTACAGGCACATGCCACCATGCCCAGCTAATTTCTGTATTTTTAGTAGAGATGAGGTTTCACCATATTGGCCAAGATGGTCTCAATCTCCTGACCTCGTGATCCACCCGCCCCGGTCTCCCAAAGTGTTGGGATTACAGGCATGAGCACCTGGCCCGGTTAATGTTCTTAATTATATACAGCATGTTCTCCAGCTAAAATGTAGTGGGCTTTAATTTTTATAAGTTAATGTACATATAACTTTATATTGTTTTTATATTATACATTTTGTATTTATCCTAATTTCTAAAAGGTGAGTACTCCTGTATTTCAGTGAGAAGTTAAACCAATAAGGATTTAGTTTGTATCTTGAAGAAATTTTGGCCTAGTTTTGTTTTATCCTTGTAGTACATATTGGGGAGGCACCTTTGCCTAATGGCTAAGACTTTTAGTTGTAGATAGATAGTGGTTTGAGTCCTGGTGTTGTCTCATACTAGATCTGTGATCTTTGATTAAGTTTATTTCTTTGAGCCTCAGTTTCCTCATCTATATGTAGGGGTGATACCTTCTTTATGAGGTATTGTGAGGAATCATGAGTACATGTAGTACTTATTATTCAATAAATTGTGGTAATTATTACAATAATAAAATGCCTACATTTTATTTGGTAATATTTTAATGGAAGACAAGGAAATATGAGAGAGAAGAAAATAGTAAAAGTCAATTTGCTTCTAGCTGATTCAGTATTCCTTAAATGACTGTTCTAATTGTGAAAAATATATCATCTGAAGTTAAATAAGTGGGAGATCAGGATATTTGTTACCTTACAGGTGCAAATGATTTTAAAACTTGTGTTCTATGTGGTTAACTTATGGATTTTTTAGAATCTTAACTGCAAATTAGTTTGCTAATTTCAGGTTTTCAAATTTTTAGGTTCTTAGAAGTATAGCACAGACAGTGAAATAGCTCATAATTTTAATAGCTCAATTTCTGTTAATAGGCACTGAAGGATAGCACAGAAGTAGAAATTGTGGATGAGAAAATGAGAAAAAAGATAGAACCAGAAAAATGGCCAATTCCAGGCCCTCCTCCACGCAGTGTGCCACCAACAGACTTCTCTCAACTGATTGATTGTCCAGAGTTTGTACCAGGCCAAGCCTTTTGCTCACATACAGGTAACATCTTTTCTTCTAGAGCAAACGATGTAACAGTGGGTTATTTGGTCCAATTTACTTACTTATTTATTTATTTTCAGTTTATTTAGATTTGATAGGAAAATTAAAGCTAACTGAAAGACTTTTGAGTCCCATTTTGTATTCATATTGCCTCACTCACAGAGTTACAAATTAAATAAGGATTTAAGAATTATGAGGAAAGCTGTCTTATGTTTCTTGTTCTTAAATTATATGTGTACTTTGTCATGTATGGAGTTTCTATCTTTTATTTTTACTAAATAACTATAGATATGTATCGTTTTCCCCTGTAAAATTGGAATAGTATGATTGGATTATTCTAAAAAGGTCTTATACTCAAGAGTGGGGTAGTCTTCCTTTAATTTTGTTACCAATACGCTTTAATCTTGTCTTGGAAAGATAAAATGACCTGCATTCTAAATTAGAATTGGGGTTCTGTTTAATTTGGTTGTGTTTAGAATTTCCAAAAGATTTAATGTTAATAATTTTTTCCTGGATCATTTTTAAGACATTCCCTCTTGGGAAAAAATGTGTGCTTAAACTTTTTTCAGTCAGGGTGATGATCTTCTGAAGCTCTTGGATGTCATTTGATCGGAATATGCAGTGGAATAGGTGACTCACTGAAATGCCTTTATAAATACTGGAACAAATCCTGCTGCAAAAATGAAAGCGATCAGACTGTCTTCTGTTCAAGAATGTCTATTCCCACCTCTTGGTGGAGGAAGTTGGGCCAACACTGCAGTGGAGATAACCACCTTTGCGATAATGAGAGACAGACCAGAGGACTGCTACTCTTTTTATAGGAGCTGCCTATTTCTGTGTAATTGGCCTGGGCTGCATGGGCTGCTTTTATTCATGGTGGGAAAGTTAATTATTATTATTCTGGAAATACCGCAAGATTATGTTTTCTGTTTCCAGGGTTATGTACTTGTGTCCAGATGAATAAAGCAGAAAAAGAGGGGATTGAGTAGCATTTCCCAGATTCTTAAGTACTTTGCTATTCGATTTGCCTTTCAGTGTAGTGTACATTGTAAAACTCAGATATTGTCATGATGTTTCACTTGGACATAAGACTTATTAATGTGGTCACTTAAGGGGTAAGGAATTTAAGAACTGGATGAGGTTATTTCTTCCTTTACTCTTCAAAATGTATTTTTGATACATCAGTATGAGAGGACGTCCCATCAACAAAGCATCGATGATGGACAGTCTCACACTATTTTTATCATATGTTTCTTTGTCAGCCTTCTGCTTCTAATCCCAGTAAGCAACTTGGACAGGCATTTTAAAAGCTGAAGAAAAGTGACATTATTTTAGCTAGTGGTTTTTAATTTATTTTTTGTTAAGATATAATGGGTGATTATATAAGTTAGATTTATTTATGATATCAACTTGGGTCCAAGATGATAGTTTTAGCTAGCTTATGAACATTGGGTTCACAAGGCATTGGGTAAGTTAGATAAAATAGCATATACTTTCTCTGCAGGGTAGGTAAGATAGGTCAGTCAAGTTGGTAATGCCTGTCCATTAACCATTTATGCATACTAATAAAATTATAAGAATAAAATCATAATGTTGTACATTTTTGTGTTTTTTAATATACACTCAGATGCATGCACATACATATTGTCTGAAACAAGCCAGTATATATTAAAATGTCATAAATTTTAGGTTATTTAGATTACATATCAGAAACTAGATGGTTAATGAAGAAATATAGGAAGATGGAGGGTTCTTAGAATTATGCTGATTCACATTAGGTCATAGGAATAAATATGTAAATCACCTCTTTCCATGAATTCCCAAATTTCTGACCTTAATAATTTCCTAGTGATAAGAAAGCCTAGTTTCTTTAAGTCAATGGAGAGTAGTATGTCACCAAAAATTTGAAGTGGAAATAGAGATAAGAAGCATAGACTGTGCTTATATGTATCTATGAGTAGAGAAAAGTAGTGAAACTGTATATCATTTTAATCTCAAATTTGAAGACCTTAAAATTTTAACAACATAACTCTTTATGATTTCTGAGGGATTTGTATGGTAAAATATTCTAACATAATTGGTCTTCTTCATCAAAGAGATTAAAATTTCTATTTTTTTTCCTATCTGGAGGTTGAATTTTCTAATAGGGGTTGAACTGAGCAGAAGTCTACCTTTATGCACCAGAAAACATTGATTATGGGAATGGTAAGATTACTTCTGAAACATAGGTTTTGCAGTTTTATGGATATTGTTAGTATTTTACTATTAACTCTTAAATGAAAGGATTTCATTCATCAGAATTGAAAGGTCAGGTACCTGACAATGTTGGGTTTTTTTCTTTTTTTAAATTTTAATAATCTTCACAAGGGCACTGTAATGTAGTGTTTTTCTTTCTTTTCTTTTTTTTTTCCCCTTGACTCTTAGCACCACTCAATGAAAATTTTAAAAAGTGCCACACATAAAATATATAATCCTTTTTTCAGGAAACCTTTTTAATTACCCAGAACTGTGATCCTCCCAAGGTACAAAAAAAAAATCATACCAGAGATGAAATGTATATGGTGATTTATCTTTGGAGAGTTCAGTTGATATTTTTTTTGTTGTTGTTGAGACGGAGCCTCACTCTGTCGCTCAGGCTGGAGTACAGTGGCGCAGTCTCGGCTCACTGCAACTTCCGCCTCCTGGATTCAAGCAATTCTCTTGCCTCAGCCTCCCGAGTAGCTGAGATTACAGGTGTGTGCCACCACGCTTGGCTTATTTTTGTATTTTTAGTAGAGATGGAGTTTCACCATGTTGGTCAGGCTTGTCTCGAACTCCTGACCTTGTGATCAGCCCACCTCGGCCTCCTAAAATGGGATTACAGGCGTGAGCCACTGTGCCCGGCCACTGATAATTTTCAGTTAATAAAAGCAGCAAAGATAAATTTTCTGTGTTCTTACAAATTAAAACAAGTATTAAATATATGTATCTAAATTTTTTTTGTTTCTAAGTAGTTTAATATCAGGTAATCTAAGTCATTTAAACTCATTTTGTCTTGGAAGATTAGGGTTTACTATTACCCTTAATCCGTTCAGATGTATAGTTTGAAGTCTTTTCATTATTAAAAAAAAAAAGATTTGGGAGGCCGAGGCGGGCGGATCACGAGGTCAGGAGATCGAGACCATCCCGGCTAAAAAAAACGGTGAAACCCCGTCTCTACTAAAAATACAAAAAATTAGCCGGGCGTAGTGGCGGGCGCCTGTAGTCCCAGCTACTTGGGAGGCTGAGGCAGGAGAATGGCGTGAACCCGGGAGGCGGAGCTTGCAGTGAGCCGAGATCCCGCCACTGCACTCCAGCCTGGGCGACAGAGCGAGACTCCGTCTCAAAAAAAAAAAAAAAAAGATGCAGCAGACCACACAGAGCATATATGTAAATTAATTATGAGGTTAACACCTTTACGAGTCTTATTCTAAGAATTGTACGTTTTCTTGTCTTACCCAAATTCTTTAGTGTTTTAATGTCATTTCATTTCTAAGCATATGTGTTGGCGAATATATTGAAATACTTTACTTCCCAGTAGAAGTATTTAAGCATAATTCAAGCTTAAATAACATTTAGAGATAATTTTATAAGAAGCATCTGAGTGTGGGGGTGTACACCTGTAGCCCAGCTACTTGGGAGGTTAAGTTTGGAGGATACTTGAGCCCAGGAGTTCCAAGGCCAGACTGGGTGACATACCAAAAACTCATAATTTTTTTTTTTTTTTTTTTAAGAGATGGTGTCTTGCTCCGTTGCCCAGGCTGGAGTGCAATGGCACGATCTCTGCTCACTGCAGACTCCGCCTCCCAGGTTCAAGCAATTCTCCTGCCTCAGCCTCCCGGGTAGCTGGGACTACAGGTGTGTGCTGCCACGCCCGGCTATTTTTTTGTATTTTTAGTAGAGACGGGGTTTCACCATGTTGGTCAGGCTGGTCTCGAACTCCTGACTTCAGGTGATCACCTGTCTCGGCCCCCCAAAGTGCTGGGATTATAGGCATGAGCCACCAAGCCCAGCTCTTCATCTACTTTTAAGGCTTTATTTAATATGAACATTGATAATTCATAGTATTAGAAATAGAGTTCTCTGGGCCAGGTGCAGTAGCTCATGCCTATAATCGCAGCGCTTTAGAGATTGAGGTGAGAGGATTGCTTGAGGCCAGGAGTTCAAGGCCAGCCTGGGTAACAAAGTGAGACCCAGTCTACAAAATACATGTATTTTTATGTTGACTGGGTGTGGTGGTGTGCATGTGTAGTACTAGTTATTCAGCAGGCTGAGTTGAGAGGATTACTTGAGCGCAGGAGTTTGAGGCTGTAGTGAGCTATGATCATGGCACTGTACAGCTGTAAGGGGCCCTGTCTCTTTTTTTTGTTTTGTTTTTGAGACAAAGTCTTGTTCTTGTCCCCCAGGCTGGAGTGCAGTGGCTCACTGCAACCTCCGCCTCCTGGGTTCAAGTGATTTTCCTGCCTCATCCTCCCAAGTAGCTGGGATTACAGGTGCCTACCACCACGCCTGGCTAATTTTTGTATTTTTTTTTTTTTTAGTAGAGACGGGGTTTCACCAGTTGGCCAGGCTGGTCTTGAACTCCTGACCTCAGATGATCTGCCTGCCTCGGCCTCCCAAAGTGCTGGGATTATAGGCATGAGCCACTGTGCCCATCCTCTGTCTCTTAAAAAAAGTTTCATGTATGGTTCATTAAAAAGAAAAAAAAAAGTGTTCTCTGGAGTTAATATTTTTCCCATTCCTATAACTAGACAATTAATGTTCATCCAAAGCTTGTATTTCACTTGTACTTTTTTTGTGAATGAATTGGTGATATATGTAGTGTTAATAAAGTTACAGAGCACCACTGTCCAATAAAAATGTGAGCCATGTATATAACTCTAAAAATTTTAGTATTCTTAAAATTATAAAACATGAAATTAATTTTAATATTTTAAATAGATATTTTAATTTAACTTAATAGATCCAAATGTTATATGCTCAGTGTAAAAATTAATGGCACTATTTTTTTTTAGCGGGGTTGGGAGTACCTGGTCTTTAATACCTGGTGTGTATTTTACTCTTGTCCTGAGCATGTTTCAGGACTAGCCACATTTGAAGTGATAGATAACTGCATATAGCTAATGCTTACTCTATTTTTTTTTTTTTTTTTTTTTTTTTGAGATGGAGTCTTGCTGTGTCTCCCAGGCTGGAGTGCAATGGCGTGATCTCAGCTCACTGCAACCTCTGCCTCCTTGGTTCAAGGGATTCTTCTGTCTCAGCCTCCCAAGTAGTTGGGATTACAGGCACCCACCACCACGCCCGGCTAGTTTTTGTATTTTCAGTAGGGATGGGGTTTTGCCATGTTGGTCAGGCTGGTCTCCAACTCCTGACCTTAGGTGATCCGCCCACCTCGGCCCCCCAAAGTGCTGGGATTACAGGCATGAGCCACCACGCCCAGCTGTGCCTACTGTATTGAACAGCACAGTTCTAGAGCTTTTCCTGTTATGAAACAATATATAGTCTTTTATAAATAATACAGTAATCTAGTAGTTGAGTCCTGGTTGAGTCCATGTGTCCAAGGGGAAGATATTAAAGCTATCTGATTTTACTCTCATCTATGTCTAGCATGTAGATGAATGTAAAATCTTGAAATACTCTTCTTAAACCCATTCTTGAAATGTGCCTTTCATTTAGTAAATATTAAACAAAAGATTGCTGGTGTTAATTTATTTCAGCTTTCTGCATTTAACATTTAACTTCTCAATATTTTCAGTGAATTGACTTAGAGGAGTTAATGATGTTAAGAATTTTATGGTATACATTTTTGAAAAATAAATTTTATTGTGTATATTTGAGGCTTACAACATAATGTTACAGAGTACATTTTTTGAAGACACCTTGTGTTCAAAGCAAGTTCATATTGCATCTTCAGATCTAAACATGAATATAACTTAAAATATTTAAATATTCTTTGACTTTTGAAAAAATATTTATAAAAGAAGCCATTTGATTTTTTTTCTTTTTCTTTTCTTTTTTTCTTTTTTTTTTTTTTTGAGACAGAGAGTTGCTCTGTCGCCCAGGCTGGAGCGCAGATCTTAGCTCACTGCAACCTCTGCCTTGCGGATTCAAGCAATTCTCTGCCTCATCCTCCTGAGTAGTGGGAATTACAGGTGCTCACCACCAGGCCTGGCTAATTTTTTTGTATTTTTAGTAGACACGGAGTTTCACCATCTTGGCCAGGCTGGTCTTGAACTCCTGACCTTGTGATCCACCCGCCTCAGCCTCCCAAACTGCTGGGATTGTAGGTGTGAGCCACTGCGCCTGGCTGCAATTTGAATTTTATCATTTTGATTAAAAATAAACCTACAGAAGTGTACTGTATAGAAAGACCTTTTAAGTTCCAACAATTTTTAAATGCTTTTAATGTTATTGCCAGGGCTGTGTGCGTTAGTGATGTGACATTTACTCTTTTTTTTTTTTTTTTTTTTTTGAGATGGAGTTTCGCTTTTGTTGCCCAGGCTGGAGTGCAATAGCGCCATCTCGGCTCACTGCAACCTCCACCTCCCAGGTTCAAGCGATTCTCCTGCGTCAGCCTCCTGAGTAGCTGGGATTACAGGCATGTGCCACCACGCCCGGCTAATTTTGTATTTTTAGTAGAGATAGGGTTTCTCCGTGTTGGTCAGGCCAGTCGACACTTCACTCTTTAAAGTATTTCAGTATGAGCCAAAGTAGTAAATGACTACACTGCATTTATTGCAGTAGACAAACCTTGCTGAGCCAAGGAAATGTGAAAAGTAGGAGTAATAATGGCTTTAGTATAGACCCTAGTAGAACAAGAGACTAATTTTACCTTGAATAAGATGTGCATTTAGCTTAACTATGGCTTAATAGCAACTGAGATGCCATAATTTCCTTATAATTTATAGATTTTAATCTAAGATTTTTCAGAGAACTTGACTTCCTAATAGTTGTACTGTCATAATTAGGAAGTGACTCACATTGATATTTTTGAGAAGTTTACATGAATGTAGTGGTCTGTGTAAGACTTGGTGACATGCTTTAATTATTCAGTGGCTTCACTTTTGAGTAAATCTTATGAGCCCTTCAGGTTTGAAAATCACTGGAAAGCTTACAGTTGAGACTGATCATGTTTTTGTGAAAAAATATCAAGCCCCAGTTAAGGAAAAAATGAAGTGTATTTTGTAAGTAAGAAAAGCCATTATCATTTTAACTATAGAACTAACTTAAAATTTTAGAGTCTGCCCCAAATTCTCCAAGAATTGGAAGCCCATTGAGCCCAAAGAAAAACAGTGAAACAAGTATTCTTCAAGCAATGTCTAGAGGTTTGTCTACCAGTTTGCCTGACTTGGACTCAGAACCTTGGATAGAAGTTAAAAAAAGACATCAGCCAGCCCCAGTGAAATTGAGGGTAAGTTGTTACAGACTGAGTGAAGTGTGACATACCCTGGGTGGAGTATAAGGTCAGTGCACTTTATGTTTGTTAGGTACATATGTAAAATTTGGAAAAGTTTAGCACAATTTTAACTTTGTAATTGTTGGCCTTCAGTAGACACTTATGGGTTATTCTATGAGGAAAATAAGTTGTATCAATTTTTAAAATGTTATTTATTTTTTTTTTTTTGAGATGGAGTCTTGCCCTATTGCCCAGGCTGGAGTGCAGTGGCGCGATCTTGGCTCACTGCCACCTCTGCCTCCCAGGTTCAAGCGATTCTCCTGCCCTGGCCTCCTGAGTAGCTGGGATTATAGGCGCGAGCCACCATGCCCAGCTAATTTTTGTATTTGTAGTAGAGACGGGGTTTCACCATGTTGGTCAGGCTGGTCTTGAACTCCTGACCTCATGATCCGCCCGCCTCGTCCTCCCAAAGTGCTGGGATTAGAGGCATGAGCCACTGCACCCGGCCTTAAAGTATATTTTTTATTTCTGAACATGATTTAAGAATTTTGGAGGCTGGGCACAGTGGCTCATTCCTGTAATCACAACACTTCGGGAGGCCAAGGCAGGAAGATTGCTTGAGCGCAGGAGTTCGGGGCCCCCTGGGCAACATAGGGTGACCCTGTCTCTACAAATAATTCATAAAGTTAGCTAATGCTAATTTTTTGGTGGAATGTGCCTGTGGTCTCAGCTACTCAGGAGGCTGAGACAGGAGGAACACTTGAGCTCAGGAGGTCAAGACTGCAGTGAGCCATGATCACACCACTGCACTCCAGGGAGGGTGACAAAGTGAGACCCTGTCTCAAAAAAAAGAATTTTGTCTTGGTTTTTCTACTTGTGACTAATTTTAACTTGAATAATATTTCAGTTTTTTATGAAGTTGAAAAAATATGACTTTTATTTTTTGAGACAGAGTCTCGCTCTGTCGCCCAGGCTGGGGTGCTGTTGCTGCCATGTTGGCTCACTGCAGCCTTTGCCTGCTGGGTTCGAGAGAGTCTTGTGCCTCAGCCACCTGACTTACTGGGATTACAGGGTCACTCCACCATGCCCAACTATTTTTTTGTGTGTTTCTGGTAGAGACGGGATTACACCATATTGTCCAGGCTGGTCTCAAACTCCTGTCCTCAAATAATTTGGCTGCCTTGGCCTCCCAGAGTGCTAGGATTACAGGCGTGAGCCTCTGCGGCCTGGCCAGAAAATGTATAAATTTTGAAGTTACACTCATGTTAATTATTTATAAGGTTTATATAAGTGTTGGTGATTTATATATCTGGTTTATATATGTTTTGGTGATTTAATGTGCAAAAGGAAAAGAAAATTGAATTTTTGGTGGAGGGTACATAAGAGAGTGAGATGGTTATATTTATAAAAAGAGAAATAGGAGATCCTTGTGGTGGTACTGCTCTGCATTTTTCACTGGTGGTAGATACACGAACTTACATATGTGATAGGATTGCTTTGATCTAAATCACAAATGAGTGCAAGTAAAACTGGGGAAGTATAAGCTAAGATTGATTTATATCAAAGTCAATACCTTGTTTGGGATGTTGTAGTATATTTTTGTGAGATGTTAACATTGGGGGAAACCAGGATATATGAGATCTCTATTATTTCTTACAACTGTATCTGAATGTATAATTATTTCAAAGTAAAAGTTCACTAAAAATAAACTTGGGGAGAATGCCACTCAAAAGATTCAAATATTGAAAGTAAGCTCTCTAAAGGGGATGGAAGGTATTGAGAGGATTGTGATGTGGAGGACCAGCAAATTGGTTCTGGTAGCTGGTTTTAAAAGTATAAGGAGAACTGTGTAGTTTTATGGCCAAACAATGCCAGTATATCTGAAATGTATGGTATTCTGATGCTACAGACTGAGGATCTGGCCTGGAGGAAACATGGCTTTAGGTTCTGGGGGCCTAGATATTTCAGAGATAACTGTTGAGGTAGCTCAGTTATTGACATTATTTTTAATATACTTTTAAAAAAGTGATCTTTTAAAAACATTCTAGAGTGGGTATACAGATCTTTGTTGGGCATCATTTTTCTTTGGAATTCTAAAAGCATTTTTCTTTTGTCATCTTGGTTTCTTTTGTCATCTTATGAAAGTCAGTCCATTCACATTCTTTTTATCAAGTGATTTTTTTTTCCTCTTGAGTTTTTTTTTTTTTTGAGTCTTGCTGTGTCGCCCAGGCTAGAGTGCAGTGGCGCAGTCTTGGCTCACTGCAACCTCTGCCTTCTGGGTTCAAGCAATTCTCCTGTCTCAGCCTACCGAGCAGCTGGGACTATAGGTGTGTGCTATCATGCCCAGCTAATTTTTTGTATTTTTAATGGAGATGGAGTTTTACCATGTTAGCCAGGATCTCCTGACCTCCTGATCCGCCTGCCTTAGCCTCCCAAAGTGCTGGGATTATAGGGATGAGCTGCCATGCCCGGCCTGAGATTTTTTTTTTTTTTTGAGACAGAGTCTTGCTCTTGTTGCCCAGGCTGCAGTGGAGTGCAATGGTGTGATCTTAGCTCACTGCAACCTTCACCTCCTGGGTTCAAGAGATTCTCCTGCCTCAGATTCGTGAGTAGCTGGGATTACAGGCACCTGCTACTACACCCGGCTAATTTTTGCATTTATCTATTTATTTTTTTCAGACAGAATCTCACTCTTTTGCCCAAGCTGGAGTACAGTGGCGTGATCTCGGCTCTGTACAACTTTCCCCTCCCGGGTTCAAGCGATTCTCCTGCCTCAGCCTCCAGAGTAGATGGGATTAAAGGCACAGGCCACCACACCCAGCTAATTTTTATGTTTTTAGTAGACGGGGTTTCACCATGTTGGCCAGGCTGTTCTCGAACTCCTGACCTCAGGTGATCCACCCGCCTCGGCCTCCCAAAGTGCTGGGATTACAGGTGTGGCCCACTGCACCTGGCCTAATTTTTGTATATTTAGTAGAGACGTGGTTTCACTATGTTGGCCAGGCTGTTCTCGAACTCCTGACCTCAGGTGAACCGCTGGCCTCGGCCTCCCAAAGTGTTGGGATTACAGGTGTGAACCACCACACCTGGCCTTGCTTGAGATTTTTAAGATCATTTCTTCATCCCCAGCTCTTGAAATTTCAAGATGATGTGCTTTGGTGTAGGTCTAATTTTAAACAGAAAATCTTTTTTTTTTTTTTTTTTTGGCAGAGGGTTTCACTCCCTTTGCCTAGACTGGTGTGCAGTGGCGCGATCTCTGCTCACTGCAGCCTCTGCCTCCTGGGCTCAAGCGATTCCCCTGCTTCAGCCTCCCAAGTAGCTGGGACTACAGGCACAAACCAACAGGCCCGGCTAATTTTTTTTTTTTTTTTTTTTTTTTGTAGAGACAGGGTTTCTCCTTGCTGCCCAGGCTAGTCTTGAACTCCTGGGCTCTAGTGATCCACCCACCTCGATCTTTCAAAGTGTTGGGATTACAGGCATGAGCCACCTTGCCCAGTCAGGTCTATTTTTTTTTTTTTTTTTTGAGATGGAGTCTTGCCCTGTCACTAGGCTGGAGTGCAGTGGCGCGATCTCGGCTCCCTGCAACCTTCACCTCCCGGGTTCATGCCATTCTCCTGCCTCAGCCTCCCAAGTAGCTGGGACTACAGGCGCTTGCCACCACGCCCAGCTAATTTTTTTTTTTGTATTTTTAGTAGAGACGGGGTTTCATCGTGTTAGCCAGGATGGTCTTGATCTCCTTACCTCGTGATCCGCCCGCCTCAGCCTCCCAAAGTGCTGGGATTACAGGCGTGAGTCACCGCGCCCTGCTCTGTCTGGTCTATTTTTATGCATTGTGCTGAGTATTCATGTCCTTCATTTGGGAGAAACTAATGTTTCTCTTATTTCCACTTTCTGGTATCTGTTTTCATCTGATGTTGGACCTCCTTGATAGATCATCTAAATACTGGGCCTTGGGTGTTTAAAAAAAGTTCTCTTCTGATATTTTCATTATTTCCATCATTGTTTTGGTTGCTTTTTGAATGCTTTCTTAATATCTGGCGATTTTTGGTTGATAGTTCATATTAATATTAGTAAATATGCATGGTTTTCTTGTTTGATCTAATCTGCTCATCTAGTGGGCTGTTTTGTTTAATGTGAGGTATGATTCCACAGTCTTTTTTTTTTTTTGAGACAGAGTTTCGCTCTTGTTGCCCAGGCTGGAGTGCAATGGCAGTGTGATCTCGGCTCACTGTAACCTCCGCCTCCCAGGTTCAAGCAATTCTTCTGCCTCAGCCTCCCGAGTAGCTGGGATTACAGGCACCCGCCGCCATGCCCAGCTAATTTTTTTGTGTATTTTTAATAGAGATGGGGTTTCACCATGTTGGCCAGGCTGGTCTCGAACTCCTGACCTCAGGTGATCCACCTGCCTCGGCCTCCCAAAGTGCTGGGATTACAGGCGTGAGCCACTGTGCCCAGCTGATTGCACGTTCTTGGTAAGTGAAAACGTCCTATGGACTTGGACACCTAGGCAGAGAATAGGGATGCTGGCTCTTTTTCTCCAAAATTGCTAAAACAAAAAAAGCAGTACTTTTCTCTGGGATGTAGAATTTCTTAGTGTATCTCATTCATTGGTGAAATTACCTTTTCTTTTCCTCCCCCCAGCTCTATTTTAGAGGTTCAGAATAATGCTAGGATGTGTTCAACTTCTGTTCAGCCCCAGTACACAAAACATGAGCCCTCTCTTGTCAAATCTTATTTTGTTTAGAAAGTAATTCTTGGGCTTTTAGTTGGGAGCGATCTTTATATAGTTTTATATTCTGAGATAAAGGGATTGGATTGACTGTTCCAGCTGTGTTCTATAGTTGGTTTTCCAAATACCTATTTTGATTGCCATCCAATAGTCCATTCCTACTCCTTGTAACTGCCATCTCAAAACTTTCTAGAACCCTGGCGGGATCAATGGCTTTTGCTTCCCCTTTAACCTTTGTATCAGTTCTAGGTTGCTGTTTTCTCTGCTTTTGTTTATTATCAATACAATCCCATTTATTTTCTGCTTTCCCGAAAGTCATAAAAGTCTTTGATCTTCTGATAGTAATACTTGTTTTCAGTATTGATGTGGATTTATTGTTTTTATTCTTTGCACTGTGTATTATTACTGCAAATAAGCATGCAAACTTAAGTCATCTTCAACCCCTAATCTCTTAATAATGGTCTTTTCCTCAGAAATTACAAAAACAAATTTAACAGTTTGTTTATTCTCTTAGACTTTTATCATGTACCTGCAAATGTGAAAAGCAATGTATATTGTTTAAAATATATCATCAGTATTTTAAAAAATATATATTCACAGTGTTTTACAACTTGTCTTTTTTTAGTAAAAACATCTTGGGTAGTCTTCTGTTTACTAGAATGTGAGCTCCATCAGGGCATAGTTGTTGTTAAATTTATTGCTGTCTGTCCCTGCCTAGAACAGTGCCTGGCTCAGAGGAAGCACTCAGATAGTTATCGACTAAATGAATATGGATCTACATTATTGGGAATTTTGAAAGGGAGGAATTGTTTTTTTCCTAGACATAGGAAGTTAGCATGAACTGAAGGGTAAAATAGGCCAGAGGACGAAAAATGAATGTAACACCAAGTAGAAACTACTTCCTTCTGTTGGGAGTTTTAAACTAGTTTACATGTTATAAGATCTAGGATCTAAAAGCTTAGACTTTTAATGTAAACCAACAACTGTTTTAAGTTCTTTTTTTTTTTTTTGAGATGGGGTCTCGCTCTGTCACCCAGGCTGGAGTACAGTGGCACAATCTCAGCTCACTGCAGCCTCCGCCTCCAGGGTTCAAGCCTCCGCCTCCAGGGTTCAAGCGATTCTCCTGTCTCAGCCTCCCGAGTAGCTAGGACTACAGGTGTGTGCCACTATACCTGGGTAATTTTTGCATTTTTAGTAGAGATGGGGTCTCACCATGTTGGCCAGGCAGGTCTTGAACTCCTGGCCTCAGGTGATCTGCCCATCTTGGCCTCCCAAAGTGTTGGGATTACAGATGTGAGCCACTGCACCTGGCCTAGCTGTTTTAAGTTCTATAGAAGGGGTAGACAATTTTTTTTTTTTTTTTTTTTTTCTTCAGACAGAGTCTCGCTCTGTCTCCCAGGCTGGAGTCCAGTGGCGTGATCTCGGCTCACTGCAACCTCTGGCTCCCAGGTTCAAGCAATTCTCCTGCCTCAGCCTCCCGAGTAGCTGGGACTACAGGTGCGTGCCACCACGCCTGGCTAATTTTTGTATTTTTAGTAGAGACGGGGTTTCACCATGTTGGCCAGGCTGGTCTTGAACTCCTGACCTTGTGATCCACCCGCCTCAGCGTCCCAAAGTGCTGGGATTATAGGTGTGAGCCACTGCACCTGGCCTGAGGGGTAGACATTTTAACATTTGCTGAATATTAGCATGAATTTGACATGAAAACTGGGCCATGTAGAATGGGGATGAGGATAGAGTAGAGGGATTAGCTCAGAAACTATGTTATTATCATTGTGAGGTAAAAAGGTTCGGAATAGGGAAGACCATTGACTCTGAAAATCAGAAGACCTTGATTCTATCTATCTGTCTATCTATCTATCTATCTATTTATTTTTTGAGACAGAGTTTCGCTCTTGTCGCCCAGGCTCTAGCGCAATGGCGCGATCTTGGCTCACTGCAACCTCCCTGCCTCCCAGGTTCAAACGATTCTCCTGCCTCAGCCTCCCGAGTAGCTGGGAATACAGCAATCCACAACCAGATAATTGGTTCTGTTTATAATTATGAAATCATAGGCAAATACTTTCATATCTCTAGGCCTTTGTTTTAATCAGTAAAATGAATCAGTGCAATGTAATGGATGATTAAGACTATTCCAACTCTAAAAGAGTCTTTAATGTAATCCTTTCTTTATTCAACTTTGTGTTTTTCTTTAGTCTTAAATTTACTGGGCCAAAATAATACTCACTTGATTTTCTTTTACAGTTTGGCTGTTAAACTAGCAATTGAGCATAAAAGCTTGATATTACTTACTTGTAACACTGTTTTATGACATTTAATTTAAAAATGATAGAAAGTTTTTTATATAAATTACCAATTTCTTCCTTCAGGAATCAGTGTCTGTCCCTGAAGGGTCATTAAATCAGCTATGTTCTTCAGAAGAACCAGAACAAGAAGAACTTGATTTTTTGTTTGATGAAGAGATTGAACAAATAGGACGAAAAAACACATTTACTGATTGGTCTGATAATGATTCAGATTATGAAATTGATGACCAAGACTTAAACAAGATTTTGATTGTAACTCAGACACCACCTTATGTGAAAAAACATCCTGGAGGAGATCGAACAGGCACCCACATGTCTCGGGCAAAAATCACATCTGAACTTGCTAAAGTTATCAATGATGGCTTATACTATTATGAACAGGATCTATGGATGGAAGAAGATGAAAACAAACACACAGCCATAAAGGTAATTGTTTCTGGCCAACATCTTTCTACTGATGCTTTGTTTTGATTGTATGTTGCTGTTTATATTTTCTCAAACTTGAGGCTCTATTTTATGAAATGTTGAATATAAATACATTGTATTTAACTTGAAAAATTCCTGGAAATATACCTGATAATTACCACCTGAGGAATCGTTTTATTTTATGAAAGTAACAGCGTGATGAATACTGTAATTACAAAAGAAAATTAGTACTCACTGACTTATACCCTTGTTTTTTTTTTTTTTTGTTTTGTTTTTTTTTGTTTTTGTTTTAGGTGACAATACTGAGAACGCCCTTTCTCGTATGAAAGAATAAAAACAAGTTACTGTGGACAGGCTTAATTTATATGCTCATTGCTTACCTGGCTCTCACCGCAGCTGTATGAGCCAGTGGCTTTAGAGAGCACTCTTCTTGCCTCTTTCTGTTTTCCCCACTTAGTCTATGGTGCATGATCTAAGGTAGTGGAAATGGTTGTGGACAAACTATAAATGACTAAACTGGATGATTATCTCTCTTGGTCTAGTCATTACTGTGGTGCTAGGGTTACTTTTTACAATCTTGTTCTAATTTTTTTTAACTTCTTGCATTTCATCCCAGATCCTGGTTCCTATCCTAGTTATTAAGGTAAAATAGAGAACCAGAATAGTTTATCAGGTATCTGCATTCCTTCAATATGAATTATAATGGTACAGATATGGGGATAAAAGGAATCTTTTTCTGCTATTAAGTTTATCAGAAAAGCCCCAATAGTTAAATATTTGTTTTCAGTAGAGGGTATAATAAGGGAAAATTATATAACATTATATGCCAAATAGGAAACTGATCTTGGTTGGAAATAAAGTTGTAGGAAGAAAAGCTAGCCAATTAGTGGCTGAGTAGAGGGGACTGCCTGTCGGTGGGGCTTCATATCATCAACAAGAAGTGTGCTAGCCTTCTTGGCTCCTCATTTCTTTTCTTCCTGGAATCCCCAGTACTGCTTTTAGCCTTCTGTAACCACTGCCTTCTTGGAGGACCTGCCTCAGGCTATGATAGCTTGTTACGTGACTTAGAGCCTTAGCAGTTCTCTGCCTGTCCTACTGCTGTGGGAAAGGAAGTGTGTTTTTATAATGCTTCTCAGTTGAAAGTCTTTCCTAGTGTAAGCATTGCTATTTTATTTGTAATACTTAGGTTCGGTAAGTAATACCTATCTTAAATCCTTTTAGAACAGAGATACTAGTACATTCTACTAATAATCAGTTAAAATTATCCTTCCCCCATTCTCTATCCCTTTACCCAGCTTTGTTTTTCACCATAGCATATATCATTATCTATAATTCTATATATTTTACTTACTTTTATTCTCTTGGAGAAAAAACTATGGATGTAATACCAATGACAATAGGATTTTTTTCTATTTGTTCATTACTATTGTATTTCTAGTGTTAGAATAGTTTCTGGCACAAAGAAATGTTCAATTCATGTTTGTGGGTAAATAAATTATGGAGTAAACATTATGCATTAACCAAAGGAACCCAACCATTGTGTATAATATTTGTTCTGTGGGAAATGTTTTCAGTCTGCCAAGTAACAAATTTGTAAGCCAACTTGAGAAACATCCTATTTGTAGGTGATTATTTCCTTAAATTATAGACAATAATTAAAAGCCATGTATTGAGTTCTTGAGGCATGTGCTGATCTTATTCATTAAATATTAACGGAAAGTAATCTTGGCTTATATAACTTTAACCATTATAATTGCAGATATGTCTTACTTTGACCTGATTCTTATGTACATTCCCATCATTTAACTCATCCCCTTTGGTTCTGATTCTGTCTTCTACATGTAGTATCTCATTAGACTTGTACTTTTCCTGTGGGTCTGCTTAAAGGGAGAGAAATCAGTCATTTAACATATACTCATTGAGTGCTTACTATGTGCCAGACACTGCTTAGAAACTGGGCACAGAGTGAGAAGGTAACAAATAGGGTTTCTACATGCCTAGAACCTACAGCTAACTGGGGGAACAGACTTAAAAATAAACCCACAATAAGTACTTAATCACAAATTACAATAAATACTCTAAAAGAAAAAAACAGGATGCTATTTCATTGAGTAGTCAGGGAAGGCCTCTGAGAAAGTCAGTAATAGTGAAATCTGAAGTGGAAGTAGGACATAACCAAGCAAAGAGTAGGGAAACAGTATTCCAGGAAAAGGGAACAGTAAATGTCAAGGATCTGGCAGAAAAGATTTTGGTGTATTTGAGGAACTGGAAAAAAGGTCAGTTTGCCTACGGTATTATATAAAATGTTAATTATAGATGAATAGGCAGGAGTCATCATTTATGCGCCATGTTAAATAATGTGGAGTTTATCTAAAGTTCAAATCCAGTACCTTAGGTTTTGCAAAGGCAGTGTGACATCTAATTTTTATTTTTAATAGATCACTCTGGTTGTTTTGGCACAGAATGGATTGTACAGGGACAAGAGTGGGCAGAAGAAATCCAGTTAACAGGCTGTCCATATAGAAGATGAATTGGTCGGCCAAGACAAACAGGTGGCAGAGGAAATATAGAAGTGAGAAGACCTGTCTCATCTGAGCCTTGAGGAATGATTATATAGGAGTTGTATAGGAAAGTGTGTTGTTGTGGAAGTCAAAAGCTGGCTCTAAGAGAAGAAAATAATCAGGTGTGTCAGCAACTTTACAGGTTGAATTAGATAGGAATGAAAAGTATGCCAAATTGATAGGGCAGTTTAGTACTCATTTTTGACCTCTGCAAAAAGAGTTTTGGTGGATCCAGAAGCTATGTTGAACTGGACCAAAGAGTGAGTAAAGGCTTTATTCTGTTTTTGGCATATATTTACTGCTGAAGACTACTAAAATGATAGGCTTATAGGTAAGAAAATATCTGCTTAAAATCTTTGAAGATATGCTAGGTAAGTTATTATCAGGATAAAACTATACAGAAGTGAAGTACTGAAACTTAGTTTTACCCTTAGGACCCTTTGTAGAAGCTACCCAAAACGGGTAAAAACCATAAACTCAGGGACCATTCAAAACTGTGGATTCCCATAGGATTCCTTTTCCCATTTAATTGGTACCCAAAAGTGCACCAAGATCTCACAGATCACTACTAAATAACTTACTCGTGTAACCAAATACCACCTGTTCCCCAAAAATCTATGGGAGAAAAAAGATACCCCAAAAGAATACACTTACAGTGGAAGAACTAAACTTGCTTCCTACCTGCTCCCCAAGGGACTCTGTAAAGAATATTTTTCTGGCTGGCGCAGTGGCTCACGCCTGTAATCCCAGCACTTCGGGAGGCCGATGTGGGTGGATCACGAGGTCAAGAGATTGAGACCATCTGGCCAACATGATGAAACCCCATCTCTACTAAAAATACAAAAATTAGCTGGACATGGTGGCGCGTGCCTGTAGTCCCAGCTACTCGGGAGGCTGAAGGCAGGAGAATCACTTGAACCCGGGAGGTGGAGGTTGCAGTGAGTGGAGATCACGTCAATGCATTCCAGCCTTGTGACAGAACAAGACTCTAACTCAAAAAACAAAAAACAAAAACAAAAACAAAACAGAATGTTTTTCTGGTTGTGCTGAGCAGAATAGAGAGGAAAAAATTGGGCTAGAAGTTGTATTCATGCAACCCAAGTTCATACTCTGGGTGACTAAAGGAAGCACTAGTTGTAAATTTGATGTGATTGTGGTCTCTTAGTTTCCCAGACACCTAGCATATGAAAATAAAGATTTTTTGTGTATGAAAATATTCACCTTTATCTTAGACCTCCTTTATTCACATTATATTGCAAGGAAAGTTAGCAGCACATAAAGTGAATAATCTAACAAGAAAGTGAGATCTCGCATGTGAGAATGAGCAAAAGTAACAGGCAGCAGAAACATACCTTAAAATAATCTTTTTTTTTTTTTTTTTTTTTTTTTTGAGATGGAGTCTCTCTCCGTCACCCAGGCTGGAGTGCAGTGGCACCATCTCAGCTCACTGCAACCTCCGCCTCCCAGGTTCAAGTGATTCTCCTGCCTCAGCCTCCAAAGTAGCTGGGATTACAGGCGTGTGCCATCACACCTGGCTAATTTTTTATGTTTTTTGTAGAGATGGGGTTTCACCACGTTGGCCAGGCTGGTCTCGAACTCCTGACCTCAAGTGATCTGCTTACCTCGGCTTCCGAAAGTGCTGGGATTACAGGCGTGAGCCACCATGCCTGGCCCCTTAAAATAATTTAGATAGTCAGATTATTAAACAAAATATGCAGTAGCTAGGCTTACTGTGTTTAAGGAAATAAAAATATGTGTAGAGAAGAAGAAATCCTAAAGAATAACGATAGAACTGGAAGTAAAAACAATTATGATTAAAATTAAGAACCAAATCAATTGAAGGGATTAGCAACAGATTAGACAGAATTAGAGAATTAGTCAATTGGAAGACTGTTCCCAAGAATTTATTCAGAAATTTCCACAGAGTAGCAAAGAAATAGAATATATGAAAAGAGGATACAGAATGATTTTCTACAGTCTTTGCTATTGGTTGGTAAGTTTTAATCAAGTTTTGTAATTTAACATCTAGTAGATTTTATTATAAAGCTTTTTATTTGTTTTTGTTTTTTTTTTAAAAAAAGGTAAGCAAGAAACTTGGAATATAGGATAACGGAGAAGGTCTAAAATATACATTTAGTCAGAGTTCCAGAATGAAAGGGTAGAGAGAATGGGGCCAAGTCATTATTATAAGAGGCAATTAGGACCTCTACAGAACTGAGGAGAGGTGTCAGAGTTTAGCCAGAAAAAAAAGAGATTACTTTCAAGAAAGAAGAATCATTAGACAGCTGATAGCTAGTTTCCCAACAGTGACAACCAATAGACATTGGAATGATAGCTTTAATTTGCCAAGGGAAAATAACTATCAACTGATAATTGTAGGCCTTGCAAAAATATCTTTCAGTAAGAGTGTAGAATATGAGAAATGGCCACCAGCAGAGTCTCATGAAAGAAAGTCCCAAAGGGTAGAATAAAAGTGATTTTACCTATCAGAGACACAGAAAGGACTGCAGAGCAAAACAAGTAATAAATACATGAATAAACCTAAGTGAATATTAACTGTATAAAGCAATTATTATGTCTTATAGATTTACTATAACAACACAAACTGGGAGAGAGAGCAGTAAATGAATCTAATATTTAAATGTAACTTCATATCTGGACAAAGGGTACTGATTAAAGTTATTAAAGTTTGCAAATTGCAGTTTGAAGGATACACATTTAATTGACAAGGTGATCTAAGTTCATTTGGAAATTTCAGGAATCCATAGTAGTCAAAACACTCTTAAAAAATAACAAAATTACGGCCGGGCACGGTGGCTCACGCCTGTAATCCCAGCACTTCGGGAGGCCGAGGTGGGTGTATTACCTGAGGTCAGGAGTTGGAGACCAGCCTGACCAACATGGTGAAACCCTGTCTCTACTAAAAATACAAAATTAGCCGGGCATGGTGGTGTGTGCCTATAATCCCAGCTACTTGGGAGGCTGAGGCAGGGGAATTGCTTGAACCCCGGGAGGTGGAGGTTGCAGTGAGCCGAAATTGCGCCATTGCAATCCATCCTGGGCAACAAGCGTGAAAACTCGCAAAACAAACAAAAAACAAAATTGAAGGACTCATATTTTATGATTTCAAAACTTACTACAAAGCTGCAGTAATCAAGATAGTGGTGCTGTCATAAGGATGAACATATAGATCAATGGAATAAAATTCAGAGCCCAGAAATAAACATGTCTATTTTCAACTGACTTTGCAACAAATGTGCCTAGACCATTCAGTATGGAAAGAATAGTTGTTTCAACAACTGGGACTCTGTCAACTTGATATCTACAAACAAAAGAAGGAAGTTGGGTCCCTCCCTATCTTACATCATGTATCAAAATTAACTTGAGTTAAATTCATAAATTTAAGAGGAAAAAGTATAAAACTCTTAGAATAAAATGTGTAAAATCTTCATGACCTTGGATTTGATGGTGGTTTTTCATATGACACTAATAGCACAAGCAACAAACAATAAAAACAGGTAAATTGGACATCAAAATTTAAAAATTTTGAATCTCAAAGGACACTATACAGAAAGTGAAAAGCCAGTACAGATGTTCCTCAAATTATGTTGGGGTTACATGCTTATAAACTCATCATAAATTGAAAATACACTGTTAAACTGAAATGTATTTAGTACACCCAACCTACCACACATCATAGCTTAGCCTAGCCTACCTTAAACATGCTCAGAGCACTTATGTTAGCCTTAGTTGGGCAAAATCATTTAAACACAAGGCATATTTTATAATAAAGTATTAATAGCTTATATAATGTATTAATTATTATACTGAAAGTAAAAAACAGAATGGCTCACTGCTGCTGCCCTGCATTGCAAGAAAATATACCACGTATTGCTGGCCTGGGAGAATTTAAAAATTTGAAGTACAGTTTCTTCTAGTAAGTGCCTCTTGCTTTCACAACATTGTAAAGGCAAAACCATAAGTCAAACTATCATAAGCCTGGGGCTGTTTGTACAAAAAAACACAATACAATTTACATTGGCACCCAAATACATGAAATAGTTTATAAATCTGACAAAATATGTACAGGATCTATCTGAGGATTACTACAAAACCCTGATGAAAGAAAAAGGGGCTGGGCGCAGTGGCTCACGCCTGTAATCCCAGCACTTTGGGAGGACGAGGTGGGCAGATCACGAGGTCAGGAGATCGAGACCACCCTGGCTAACATGGTGAAACCGCGTCTCTATTAAAAATACAAAAAAATTAGCCAGGCGTGATGGTGGGCGCCTGTAGTCCCAGCTACTCAGGAGGTTGAGGCAGGAGAATGGCGTGAACCCGGGAGGCGGAGCTTGCAGTGAGCCAAGATCGCGCCACTGCTCTCCATCCTGGGCGACAGAGCGAGACTCTGTCTCAAAAAAAAAAAAAAAAAAAAAAAAAAAAAAAAAAAAAAAATTCAGCCGTGCGTGGTGGCGCGTGCCTGTAGTCCCAGCTACTGGAGAGGCTGAGACAGGAGAACAGATTGAACCCGGAAGGCGGAGGGTGCAGTGAGCCGAGGTCACACACTGCAGCCTGGGCGACAGAGCAAGACTCCGTCTCAAAAAAAAAAAAAAAAGGAATAAGTAAATAAATCGAGAAACATTCCTTGTTCATATTATAGATAGGAAGACTCAATAATGTCATGTCAGTTCTTTCCAACATAACCATAGATTCTGTGCAGTTTATGGTCTTGTTAAATTGAGATGCATTTAGTATACCCAATCAAAATCCCAGCAAATGATTTTGTGGATATCTCCAGAGGCAAAAAACACCTAAAAAACCCAGAATAGCTAATACAACATTGAAAATTGGAAGACGACACTACCTGACTTCAAGATTTACTGTAAAGCTGCAGTAATGAAGGCAGTACGGTACTGGTGAAAGAATAGACAACTAAATCAATAGAACAGAATGGAAAGTGCAGAAATAGACCCACACAGATGCAGTCAACTGATGCTTGACAAAGAAGCAAAGGCAATACAATAGAGAAAAGTCTTTTCCACAAATGGTGCTAGAACAGCTGAGCATTGAGGTGAAAAAAAAAAAATGAATCTTCACCCTTCAGAAAAATTAAAGTGGACGGACCATCGTCCAAAATGTAAAAGACAAAACCATAAACGTCCTAGAAGATGATCTAAGAGAAAATCTAGATGACCTTGGGCTTATCATGACTTTTTAGATTCAATACCAAAACAATCCATGAAAGAAATAATAAGCTAGAATTCTTTAAAATTCAGAACTTCTGCCCAGTGAAAGATACTGTCAAGAGAATGAGGAAGGCCAGGTGCAGTGAGTGGCTCATGCCTATAATCTCAGTACTTTGGGAGGCTGAAGTGGGAGGATTGCTTGAGACCACGAGTTTGAGACCAGCCTGGGCAACATAGTGAGACTGTCTCTACGAAAAATTTTTTTAAAAAAGGAGAGAAGCCATTGACTGCTAGAAAATATTTACAAATGACAAATTTGATAGAGGGCTATTATCCAAAATATACAAAGAACTATTAAGACTAAGAAAACAGAACCCAATTTAAAAATGGTTCACTAAAAAATGGTCGATAGACCAGTTTATTGAAGAAAAAAAGAAAAAACTTGAAAGACCTGAGCTGACACTTCACCAAAGAAGATAAACAGCAAATATGCATATGAAAAGATGCTCAACATCAAATATCATTAGGGAGCTGCAAGTAAAAACAACAATGAGATACTACTGTAGATTCATTAGGAGTGCCAAAATCCAAAACAATAACCAAATGCTTGCAAGGATGTGGAGCATTAGGAAATCTCATTCATTCCTGGTGGCAATGCAAAACAGTACAGCTTCTTTGGAAGGTAGTTTGACAATTTCGTATAAAACTGAACTAAACTAAACTCTTACCAAAGGATCTAGCAAATTTACTCAAATGAGTTGAGATGTGTAGCCACACAATAACCTGAACGTGGATGTTTATAGCAGCTTATCCATAAATTGTCAAAACTTGGAAAAACCCAAGGTGTCTTTGAATAGGTGGATGGATAAACAAGCTGTGGTACATTCAGACAATGGACTTACTCAGAGCTCAAAAATGCATGAGCTATCAAGCTGTGAAAAGACATGGATTCATACAAAGACTGAGTTTATATTGGGTGAAAAAAGCCTATTTGAAAAGACTACATACTGTATGATTCCAACTACGTGGCATTCTGGAAAGGGCAAAACTATAGTAACAGTAAAAAGATCAGTGATTGCCAATGGTTGGAAGGGGAAGAGATGAATGGACAGAGCACAGGTTTTTTAGGGCAGTGACAGTATTTTCTATGATGTTCTGATGACGATACATGTCATTGTACACTTCTCAAAACCCATAGAAAATGTACAGGACAATTTTGATAATACTGTCAGTGTTTTCATCTATTGTAACTAATGTATCACTCTAGTGCAGGATGATAGTGTGGGAGGTTGTATGTGTTTGGGTGCAGAGGGTCTATGGTATACTCTGTACTTTCTGCTTGGTTTTGCTGTGAACCTAAAACTTCTAAAAATACCTAAAGAAAGATAACAGGTTAGGAGAAAATATTTGCAAATCAAAGGAGGGAGGGGCAAAGAGCTTATTTTCTTCTAAAAATTTTTCTTTAAAAAAAGTTTTTACCAGTCTGTGTGTGTTGAAAAATATTTGTAATATGCAAAGAGCTCTTACAAATCAATAAGACAAATAACCTAATTTTAAAATGGGTAAACAAGAGTTCAAGGCCAGCCTGGGCAACTTAGTGAGACCCTGTCTCTAAAAAACGTAAAGATATAAACTAGGCAGGTGTGGTGGTGTGTGTCTGTATTCCCAGCTACTCCAGAGGTTGAGGCAGGAGGATTGTGTGAGCCCAGGAGTTTGAGGTTACAGTGAGCTGTGATTGTGCCACTGCACTCCAGCCTGAGCAATCAAGCAAGTCCCTGTCTCTAAAAAATAATACATAAATTAAAATGGGCAGAGAATTTGAGTAGACATTTCTTCAAAGAAGATATACATGGGGCCAATAAGCACTTGAAAAGTTGCTTAACATCATTAGCCACCAGGGGAATTGAAATAAAATCGTTGTTATACCATGTTATACCCAAAAGGATAACTATAATAAAGAAGACAGATATACTGACAAGTGTGAGGAAAGGGAGAAATTGGAACCCTTATACTCTGCTGCTGGGAATGTAAAATGGTGCATCTGCTTTGGAATACAGTCTGGCAGTTTTCAAAAGGCTAAACATAGGGTTACCATGTAACCTAGCAATTCCACTTTTATGTATGTAATCCAAAGAAACAAAGACATTTGTCCACACAGATGTCATGTTCTTGTACATGAATGTTCATTTCAGCATTTCAAAAAATGAACAGAACTCAGATTTTTATTAACTGATGTTTGGATGAATGTGGTATATCCATACAATAGAGTATTTGGCAATCAAAAGAAATGAAGTACTATTTGTTTTTGATTATTATTATTGTGTTTTGAGACAGAGTCTTACTCTGTCGCCCTGGCTGGAGTGCAGTGGCGCGATCTTGGCTCACTGCAACCTCTGTCTCTCGGGTTCAAGTGATTCTCCTGCCTCAGCCTCCCAAGTAGCTGGGATTACAGGCACGCCCCACCACGCTTGGCTAATTTTTGTATTTTTTGGTAGAGACGGAATTTCACCATGTTGGCCAGGCTGGTCTCAAACTCCTGACCTCAAGTGATCTGCCTGCATCAGTCTCCAAAAGTGCTGAGATTACAGGGGTGAGCCACTGTGCCCGGCCAATTTTTAAATTTTTATTTTTTGTCTTAAGATCTTTTTTCTCTAACCTGCTTCAGAGAAAGAGAAATGAAGGACTAATACTTCATAATGAAGCATTATGAAGACAGTATGTGAAAGGAGCCATCATAAAAGACTACATATTGTAGAGCAGCGGTCCCCAACCTTTTTGATACCAGAGACTAATTTTATGGAAGACAGTTTTTCTGTGGACTGGGGGGCATGGTTTTGGAATAATTTAAGCACATTACATTTATTGTGCACTTTATTTCTGTTATTCATTATAATATATAATGAAATAATTGTGCAATTTATCATAATGTAGAATCAGCAGGAGCCCTAAGCTTGTTTTTCTGCAACTAGATGGTCCCATCTGGGGGTGATGGGAGACAATGACAGATCATCAAGCATTAGATTCTCATGAGGATCATGCAACCTAGATTCCTCGCATTTGCAGTTCACAATAGGGTTCATGCTCCTATGAGAATCTAATGCTGCCACTGATCTGGCAGACGGTGGAGCTCAGGCAGTAATGAGAGCGATAGGGAGCAGCTGTAAATACAGATGAAGCTTTGCTCACTTGCCCACCCACCACTCAACCGTGGTTCCTAACAGGCTACAGACCAGTACTGGTGAGTGGCTAGGAGGAAATGTGGAGTGACTGTTAATGGTTACCAGGTTTCTTTTGGAGGTGATAAAAATGTTCTATAGTTGATTGTGGTAATGGTTGTGAAACTCTGAATATATGAAAAACAATTGAATTGTATACTTCAGTGAATTGTACTACATGTGAATTACACATTAATAAAGCTGTTATGAACAACAAATAAATGGAAAGTCATCTCATGTTCATGGATGACTTAATATTATTAACATGTCAGTACTATCCAAAGTATCTACAGCTTCAGTGCAATGCCTATGAAAATCCCAATGGCATTTTTTGCACAGTTAGAAAAAGCCACCCAAAAAATTCACGTGGAATCTCATGGGGCCTTGAATAGTCAAAACATTATTATTGAAAAAGAAGAAATTTGGAAGCTTCAGACTTCCTGCTTGTTACAGTAATCAAAACCTTGTGGTACTGTCATAAAGACAGACATACGGACCAATTGAATAGACAGTCCAGAAATAAACCCTTAAGTATATGGTTAAATGATTTTTTTTTCTTTTTTGAGACAGAGTTTCGCTCTTGTTGCCCAGGCTAGAGTGCAGTGGTGCGATCTCAGCTCACTGCAACCTCCGCCTCCCAGGTTCAAGTGATTCTCCTGCCTCAGCCTCTCGAGTAGCTGGGACTACAGGCCTGCACCACCATGCCCGACCATTGTTTGTATTTTTAGTAGAAAGGGGGTTTCACCATGTTGACCAGGCTGGTCTTGAACTCCTGACCTGAAGTGATCCACCTGTCTCAGCCTCCCAAAGTGCTGGGATTACAGGCGTGGGCCACTGTGCCCAGCCCAATTTTTTTTTTTTTTTTTTTAAGACAGTTTCTCACTCTTTTGCCCAGTCTGGAGTATGGTGGCATCATCATGGCTCACTGCAGTCTTGACCTCCTGGGCTCATGCAATCCTCTCACCTCAGCCTCCAGAGTAGTTGGGACTACAGGCTCACACTGCCACACCTGGGTAATTAATGAATTTTTTTTGTGTGTGTGGAGGCAGGGTCTTGTTATACCTGGTTTCAAACTCCTGGCCTTAAGCAATCCTTCCATCTTGGCCTTGCAAAGTATTGGGATTACAGGTGTGAGCTACTGAAGCTGGCTGGGTAAATGATTTTTTTGACAAGTGTATCAAGACCACTCAATGGAGAAAGGATAATCTCTTCAACAAATGATATTGGGAAAATTGGGTATCCACATGTAAAAGAAGGAAGTTAGATCTTTACCTTATACCATAAATGAAGATTAATTAACCTAGATTAAAGACTTAAACATATTACATAAAATTATAGAACATTTAGAAGAAAGCCTTTGGGGAAGGCCTTCATGATCTTGGATTTGGCAGTGGTTTCTTGGATATCACACTAAAATCACATGTTACAGAACAAATGTAGACAAATGGAATTCTTGAAAATTAAAAATTTATGTGTATGAAAGGACACAGTTAACAGTAGGCAACCTATGGAATGCAGAAAAATATTTGCAAATTATATATCTGATAAGGGATTAGTATCCTGAGTATATAAAGAACTCCTACAAATCAACAAAAAATATAACCTGATTTTAAAAATGGACAGAAGACTTGTGTAGATAGTTCTCTAAAGGTGATATGAAAATGGCTAATAAGGCTGGGCGCAATGGCTCATGCCTGTAATCCCAGCACTTTAGGAGGCTGAGGTGGGTCAATCACTTGAGGTCAGGAGTTTAAGACCAGCCTGGCCAACATGGCGAAACTCCATCTCTACTAAAAATACAAAAAATTAGGGTTGGTGGTGCATGCCTGTAATCCCAGCCATTCAGGAGGCTGAGGCAGGGGAATCGCTTGAACCCCGGAGGTGGGGGTTGTGGTGAGCTGAGATCGCACCACTGCACTCTAGCCTGGGTGACTGAGACTTCATCTCAAAATAAATAAATAAATAAATAAATAAATAAATAAATAAATAAATAAAAAGGATAACAAACATTTGAAAAGATGCTCGAAGTCACTACTCAGAATAGAAATGCAAATAAAAAAATCAGAGGATTATCACCTCACACTGATTAGGATGGTTACCATTTAAAAAAACACACAGAAAATAGTTGTTAACAAGGATTTGGAGAAATTAGACCCTTGCGAACTCTCATGTGAATGTAAAATGGTGCAGCCCTTATGGAATACAGGATGGCAGTTTCTCAAAAAATTAAGGATAGAAATATCATGTTATCCAGCAATACCAATTCTAGGCATATATCCAAAAAAATGAAGGCAGGATCTCTAAGAGGTATTTGCGTGTCCATGTTCAGAGCAGCATTATTCACAATAACCCAAGAGGTGGGAGTAAGCCAAATGTCTTTCAGTGGAGGAATGGATAAACAAAATGTAGTATATACATAACAATGGAGTATTATTCCACCTTAGAAAGGATGGAAATATTGCTGCAACACGGATGAACCTTGAGGACTTTATGCTAAGGGAAATATTCAGTCACAAAAAGACTCAGTCGAAGTATGTTTCCACTTATAGGAGATAGCTAACTAAAGTGGTGAAGTTTATAGAAACAAAGTAAGAAGGTAGTTGCCAGGAGCTGAAGGGAGGAGAGAAACTGGGAAAGTGTTGCTTAATGGGTATAGGGTTTTATTTTTGCTAGATGAAAGTTTTGGAGATCTATTGCACAGCAGTGTGAATATATTTAACACTACTGAATTGCACACTTTAAAATGGTTAAGATCGTAAATTTTGTGATGTGTTTTTTAACATTATTAAAAATTATTTTAAAAATCCAACTACATACCAAATTAAAAAAAAAATAACCAAAAGAAAACTTAATACACATAGGCCAGGTGCGGTGGCTCAGACCTGTAATCCCACCACTTTCGGAGGCCAAGGTGGGCAGATCACCTGAGGTCAGGAGTTCGAGACCAGCCTGGCCAACATGGCAAAACCCCATCTCTTCTAAAAATACAAAAATTAGCTGGGTGTGGTGGTGCACGCCTGTAATCCCAGCTACTTGGGAGGCTGAGGTAGGAGAATTGCTTGAGCCCAGGAAGTGGAGGTGGCAGTGAGCTGAGATTGCGCCATCGTACTTCAGTCTGGGAGACAGAGCTAGACTCCATCTTAAAAAACAAATAACAGTCTCAAGAAAAACAAAAAAACAAAAAAACAAAACAAAAAACAAAAAACAAAACTTACATATTAGTAGCAGATGGAAGACTTACAAAGTTGACTTAGAGATAAAAAGCATTACTAGTGTGAAAGTGTCATATAATGATAAAAAGTGAAGTTTATCAGAGGAGATAACTTCAAATTCAATGTATTTAATATTAAAGCTTCAAATATATGAAACAAAAGTTGGTAAAACAAATCCACTGTTGTAATTTACTCTCTAAGTGATTTACTCTCTAAGTAAACAAGGCATAATCAGACAATAAAAAGTAATTTCAGAAACGTTTTGCCTAAGAATTGCAGAGCATTGTTCTTTTTTAGTATATACATGGTACTTAGACCTCCACTGGTATATAAAGTGAATTCCAAGGCATTTATATTACACAAAGCACATTATTAGTGGAATTAAACTGGTGATTTTATTTGTTAATTTTTAAATATTTTTGTAGAGATGAGGTCTCACTATGTTGCCTGGCTGGTCTTGAACTCCTGGCCTCAAGAGATTCTATGGCCTTGCCCTCCCAAAGTGTTGGGATTATAGGCATGCCACACTGCACCTGGTCAAGCTAGTGATTAATAATAATAATATAAGTGAACGTAATAAATTCCCATATTCCCCAAAACAATGATATGTTTTTAAATTAAACAACTCAGCATTCAAAGAAGAAATTAATGGAAATTAGAAAATATGAATTGAATGGTAACTAAAGTTAAAAAGTGCAGCTAAGGCAATAGGCTTAAATGCAAATATTAGGAAAAACACTTGAAATTAATAGTCCAATTACCAATATTATCTTGACTTTAATTAAAAAAACTCCCCCGACAGGTTGCAGTGAGCAGAGATTGTGCCACTGCACTTCAACCTGGGCGACAGAGCAAGAGTCCATCTCAAAAAAAAACAAAAAACAAAAACTCCCCCAATTCTCAAAGACAGAGCAAAAGCATCTCATTCATGTTACCTGATATTGGCTGTGGGTCAGCTATTACAGCTCTGTATATTTGGTTCTTCTCCAATTGTCTTCTCATTTGGGGATTAATTCCAAAACAGCAGTTCCTATACATTACATGCTTATTCATGTGGCAGAGGGGAAGAACAAGAGGCAGAGCCAAATCTTAGTTATATTTGATGTTGCTGCTTATATGTGCTTTATGTGCATTTTTTATATTCCATTGACTATATGGCCAAGCCTATATAGGCTGGGGAATATATATTTTTTCCTTCCATTTGGTATTTATTTTTTAGTGATACATAATAATTGTATATATTTATGGGATACATGTGATATTTTGATACATGCATACAATGTGTAATGATCAAATTAGGGTAATTTATATATCTATCACCTCAAACATTTATCATTTCTTTGTATTTGAATGGGGAATATATATATACATACACACATTATATATATACAGAAACGTGTGTGTATACATATATATATATATATATATATTTTTTTTTTAGGGGGGTTGGTGACAGAGTTTTGCTTTGTCTCCCAGGATGGAGTTCAGTGGCATGGATCTCAGCTCACTGCAACCACCGCCTCCTGGGCTCAAGCAGTGCTTCAGCCTCCTGAGTAGCTGGGACTACAGGCATGCACCACCAAACCTGGCTAATTTTGGAATATATATTCTTAAAAGGCAGGTGACAGTGTTGAATATGCATAATCTTCTCTTCTGGGGAATATGAGGATTGAACAACATAACAGAATCTGTTATAGCATTGATCTCAAGAAGTTAGGAAAAGAATTAGCAATATAAACTCCCATAAAAAATATGGAAGGAAATAAATAGCAGAATTTAATTAATTATATCTAACGCACAATAGAGGATTAATCATATCAGGACTTAATTTTTCAAAAAGGCTAGAATTAAGCTTATCATAACAAAAAAAGAAAATAGATATTTTACATGGAATGCAAGAGGGGATATAGTTACTAACCATACAGAAATTTTAAAATGTAATTTTAGAGCAATAAATTTGAACTTTTTTATAAAGACAGATTTCTAGAAAAGTATATAACTTCAAAATGGAGTGGAAAAGAAAGTCTAGATAGTGCTATGACAATTTAAAAATCTTCAAACTCTATAATAACTTCAAATATAGATATTTTATTAACATATCTTTTTATGATTGGAATGAATAATTTCAGGAATGCACAAATATTTCCAGAGAATAGAGCTAATAATAAGTCAAATATTTGTGGAAAGGGTAGTGGTGGGGGAGAACACTTATGAGAAGAACATATCTTTGGTACCTGAGCTGTACATAAGAAATTAGAATTCATGAGAACGTGAATGAGAGTCAGGCATTACCTAGGTATAAAAAGGCTAAACAGCTGGGCATGGTGGCTCATGCCTGTAATCCCAACCTTTTGTGAGGCCAAGCCAGGTGGATTACCTGAGGTCAGGAGTTCAAGACCAGCCTGGCCACCGTGGTGAAATCCTATCTCTACTAAAAATACAAAATTAGCCAGGCATGGTGGTAGGCACCTGTAGTCCGAGCTACTTGGGAGGCTGAGGCATGAGAATCGCTTGAACCTGGGAGGCAGTTGCATTGAGCCGAGATCATGCCACTTCACTCCAGCCCGGGTGACAGAGTGAGACTCTCAAAAAATAATAATAATAATTTAAAAAGGTCTAAACAATATTTTAGTAAACCAAATATAGCAGTTTTTTAAAAAACAGATAACCAAGTTGTGTTCATTTCAAGATCATGGATTAATTGTACATAAGAAAAGTTAGTAAAGGAAATTCACATTAACGGATTGAAGAAAGATTGTGATCACTTGAATAAAAAAGAAAAAAATAGAAGAAAATAAAGAAAAATATTTGAGGTGATTGATATCCCCATTACCCTGATGTGATCATTACACATTGTATACAGGTATCAAAATGGCACATGTACCCCAGAAGTATGTACAACTAATATACATATATCAGTTTTTTTAAGAAGCATAAAAAGTCCCCAAACCAGTAACAGTCTAGGCATTAAAGAATATCTGTAAGTCAGGCATAGTGCTGTGCACCTGTAGTCCCAGCTATTCTAGAGGCTAAGGCAGGAGGATCCCTTGAGCCCAAAAATTCAGTGCTGTAGTGTGTGATGATCACAGCTGCGATGTAGTGTGCACCTGTGAATGGCCACTGCACTCCAGCCTGGGCAATATAGTGAGGCCCATCTCTTAAAATAGAAGAAAAGAATCCATAAAGTAGATTTACTAAATGCTTGTAACTGTATAACTGTTAAAAAAAAAAACAAAAAAACAGTATAAGATCGTGCCATTGCACTCCAGCCTGGGCGACAGAGTGAGACTGTCACACACACACACACACAAAAGATTCAGTATACTGCTTATAAGACATGAACAAACTTTTTACAAAAGAAGAAGTCTAAATGACTGAGAACATGAAAAGATGTTCAACATTATTAGTCAAGGAGATGAAAATATTTCAATGAAATAGTTCATAAAACTTATATTAGCAATGTTAAGACATCAGATGGTAAGTAGAGTTTGGGAGTATTTGGAGCAAGAACCTCAATCTGTGGGAATAAAAAATGGTAAACCATATGCTATGATCCACCATTTCCACTCAGGAATATATTCTCGAGTTGCATTGTTTAGTAGACATTAACCACATGTAGTTATTGAGCCCTTGAAATGTGGCTAGTCCAAATAGGATGTGTTTTAAATGTAAAATACTGGATTTTGAAGACTTAGTAACAAAAAGGAATATAAAATATCTCAAATTTTAATAATTATTGCATGTCGAAATAGATTATTTAAAATGTACATCTTGTATATTTTTTGTAGTTATGGGAAATTTAAGATTACATTGTGTTTGTATTGGCTGGCACTACCCTGGAGGAATTTAGATGTGTTCACCAGGAGCAGTATGTAATAATGTAGCAGAATAATTCATTATAGTCACAAATTGAAAATATTTGAAGTATCTATCAGTAGCTGACTATGTCATCATTATAGTAGTGAAAAGTAGCTATATAGTAGAGAAAAAAATGATTGCCATACACATCTTTATGAATACATCTAGAAAACAATGCTGAATGAAAGAAGTGAGGGTTCATACACAATATGACTCCACAAAACTCAAGAACAGATCAAATGAAACATGATTTTTTAGGTACACTTAACGTATATAGATGGTTGCATAAAGAAAAACCTGGAATAATTACTACGTAAGTCAGAATTTGTTCATTGTGGGGGCTGGGGGGAGGTGTAGGATCCTCAGAAGTTTCTAAAATACTAACAGTTGTGTTTCTGGTAGTTGTTACATGAATGCGTTATAAGTTGCACATGTATATTTTATGCATTATTCTAGGAGACATATTTCATAACAATACTAAAAGGCTAGAATTAAAGGGGGATGGGTAGTACAAAAGAGGCAAGCCAAAGCTGATTTATTTACTTCTTGAAGCTGCCACATTGTTGTTCCTTGGTCTAAAGTCAAGGTAGGTTAATTGTCTCTGTTTTTTTTTTTGGCAGAGTCTTGCTCTGTCGCCCAGGCTAGAGTGCAGTGGCGTGATCTCGGCTCACTGCAACCTCCGCCTCCCGGGTTCAAGCGATTCTGCTGCCTCAGCCTCCCAAGTAGCTGGGATTACAGGCATGCACCACCATGCCTGGCTAATTTTTGTATTTTTAGTAGAGATGGAGTTTCATCATCTTGGCCAGGCTGGTCTTGAACTCCTGACCTCGTGATCCACCTGCCTCGGCCTCCCAAAGTGCTGGGATTACAGGCATGAGCCACCGCACCTGGCCAATTGTCTCTGCTTTTTTGCGTCCAGCTATTTGTCTTCCTTTCCAGTGGTCTGCTTGAGTGGTATAAATCTGTACAGTATTGAAGACTTTGTTAACATAGGATGTAGAGATCAGACGTCCATTCCAAAAATGTGCTGATAGGCCTTTACATCTTATCATTGGTATCATTGGCTAGCGTCTGGGCTCATGAGCTCAGGAATTTCCTGGTCCACTATCTCATGATACCTTCCCCTAACTATAAATGTTTAATTTGTATCTACAGAATAAGAGAGAAACACGTTACAACGAGTTGCTCAGTATTCTATCCTCTGCCCAAGTTGCTTGTGTAGAAACTCAAATATGCTAATGTGTTTATCTCCAACATTTTAGGAAGAACCTTCAAATTTGAAACTTATGAATCACATCTGCTAGTCACTTAATCTCATCGTTAGGCTCATTGCATTTACAGTAGTGAAATATACCAGTTTTGTCCAGTACTACTTATAGTATTATCAGGTGAACTTAACACTCCTCACTGGTGGCCTAAACATCAGTTCCCAGAATTTTTCTTGGAGGTACTTAGCTTTGTGGTATTTGAGAGAACATTTCCAGTTGTTAGATGATTGAGACCATCAGCAAGCACGTTGTTGAGAGGTTACACTCTCAACAAGAAAGCGTACCTCTAGTGGCTTTCTTCTGCCTTGACCCAGACAGCATTCTGGAATTATTGGGGTCCTTGAGCCTTGGAAGACTGGATAGCTCTCATTCACTTTGACTTTGCTGATTACTTCACTCTCTTATGCAGCATTCCCCCTTACAAATGAGGCAAGTCCTTACCTGTATTTATTTCAGATAGTGAAAGGAACTTCAGTTGTGGCAGAGTATTTGGTATAAAGGTGGACATGCTGTACACATTTATCAGGAGATGGCTGGCAGACAGAAACAATAGCTTCATACTGACTTGTCAAGAGGAGAGTCATGTAAACTTCCTGTCTCCTCACCACCACTTGAGCTGACCTTTTCTCATTAGAGAAGTGCACCAAGTTGAGAACCTGTCTGGCAAAGCCTGTTCTTGACCAGCAGTCAACTATGTGCAAGTTCCACTGGGAGTGCAGTTCTGGACCAACACCTAACTTCTGTGAATCTCAGGTGGGGATCATTCTTACCCTGTCCACCTCATGAGGTTGTAAAGAATTTGAAAACTGTAAAAAACTGGGCATATATGAAGAAAGAACAAAGACCAGATGGTTATGTGGGACCAGAAACAATGCTACAAATGGAGGAAAGACCAGGAATTTAAGGAATGTAGAAGCTTAGGCAGCCTTTACATAGAAACTGTGCCATCAAAGTACAGTCTGTGGAGTTCTTCCAGGTGCCACAGTTCCATTATTAGTCCTCTTATGTTGTATATTTCTTTCTTTTTTTTTTTTTTTGAGATGGAGTTTCGCTCTTGTTGCCCAGGCTGGAGTTCAATGGCGCGATCTCTGCTCACTGCAGCCTCTGCCTCCCGGGTTCAAGCTATTCTTCTGCCTCAGCCCCCCGAGTATCTGGGATTACAGGCATGCGCCACCACACCTGGCTAATTTTGTATTTTTAGTAGAGACGGGGTTTCTCCATGTTTCTCAAACTGGTCTCGAACTCCCAACCTCAGGTGATCTGCCCGCCTTGGCCTACCAAAGTCCTGGGATTACAGGCGTGAGCCACTGTGCCTGGGTTATGTTGTATATTTCAAAATACAAAATTCTTTTACACTCTTCCTAACACCTTACTCTGAAAGACTTCTCAGATCGCTTTCCTTTCATGGACAACGTGAGCTCTCAAGTTAACTGTAGTCACTCTCTCTTTAGAAATGGTTTTGAACTAAAGTTCTTTCTGCTGGAGAGTCAAGTGAATCAAGAGACCTGATTTTAGAGGCCAGGCACGGTGGCTCACGCCTGTAATCCCAGCACTTTGGGAGGCCGAGGCAGGCTGATCATGAGGTCAAGAGATTGAGACCATCCTGGCCAACATGGTGAAACCCCATCCCTACTAAAAATGTAAAAATTAGCTGGGTGTGGTGGCACACAGCTGTAGTCTCAGCTATTCGGGAGGCTGAGGCAGGAGAATCACTTGAACCCGGGAGGTGGAGGTTGCAGTGAGCCAAGATCATGCCACTGCACTCCGTGACAGAGCAAGACTCCGTTTCAAAAAAAAGAGACCTGATTTCAAGTTTTGCCTCATTATGTAAATTCTAGCCATAATCCCTTGCACAAGTTAGTACTATATTTCAAATATGGCAGCCTTATAATAAATTGACTCTGCCAGGGATTCATTCATTAACATATATTTGAGTGTCTGCTGTGTACCAAACAATGTTGGAAGCTGGGAATTTGGTAGTGAACATGACTGACAATTGAAAATACAATCTCTAAATAATTCAAAATGGTGGGGTGGGTGGAGCTAATTAAACTGGAAAATCTAGGCAGAAGAGAACTATCATAATTGACCACTGAATTCAGTTTTGAGCCTCTTGATAAACAAGAGAGAAGAAATGTGCTGAGATATCTCAGTGGAACAGTGGTGGGGGAGAGTGTGAATGAATTAATAAGCAGAAATATGAGTATGATACATTCAAATGTATGAGTATATTGCACTCAAATATTGAAACTTGGTATAGGTATTGGAGAAATGACAGTATCTGAACATAGATAAGTTAAGGCACAGGGTGTGTGTGTGTGTGTGTGTGTATCTATATTAATATGCTTTTAAAGAGTGAAAAGTACTAGAACATTTTACATGGTGATGGGAACGGTCCAGTGTAAAGAGAGAATGGAAGATACAGTTGAGAGTAGATAATGGGGCTAAGTTCCTGAAAATACGAGACTAGATAGGATTTGGAGCATGTAGTACAGGGTTTCTCAACCTCAGTACTATTAACATTTCGAACTAGGTGATTCTTTGTTGTAGAAGCTGTCTTATAAATCATAGGATGGTTAGCATTATCTCTAGTCTCTACCCACAAGATGCCAGTAGCATCCCCCCACCCCAATCCCATGACAATGAAAAATGTATGGTGGAGGTGTGGACAAAATCAAAACCCAGTTGAGAACCACAGAAGTCAGCCATTATTTGTATTCTTGTCCCCTTGTATGTAATGTGTTGTTTTCCCCTCTGGCTTTCAAGATTTTTACTTTACCATTGATTTTCAGCAGTTTTACTATGATGTGTCTTGGTTTGGTTTTCTTTGAATATATCCAATTTGAGGTTAACTGAAACTTTTGAATTAGTAATTTGATGTTTTTCATCAAATTTGGGCACATTTCAGTCATTAATTCTTCAAATATTTTTTATGTTCCTTACTCATTTTTTACTTGGGAATTCACTTATAGATATGTTATACTATTTGATAATATTTCACAGGTCCTTGAGGTTCTTTCTGTTTTTTTTGTTTTGTTTTTTTGAGATATTACCCAGACTTTTTGTGAAATCCTAGGCTCAAGTGATCTTCCCACATCAGCCTCCTGAGTAGCTGGGATTTCAGGTGTGAGCCGCCATGCCTGGTTCTTTCTGTTTTCTGGAATATTTATGTTCTATAGATTGGACTGTATTTATCATTCTGTCTTAAACTTCACTAATTTTTGTCTACCATTTTCATTCTATTTTTAGGCCCGTCCAAGTAAAAGTTTTTCAGTTCTGGAATTTCCATTTTTTATAGTTTGCATTTTTTGGGCTGCGATTTCCTATCTATTCACTTATTAAGACCATGTTTTTCTTCTGTTTCTTCATATATATTTATAATAGTTGCTTTGAAGTCCTTGTCTTAAAATCTGACATTTGACATTTGAGAGATCTTGTGATAACATTTGAGCGATCTACTGACTGCTTTTTTACCTTGACTATGGGTTACATTTTCCTATTTATTTTCACTGCTAGTAATTTTTAAAGTTTTATACTGTTCATTATACATATGCTGTAGAGATTATAGATGTCATCTTCCTCTGAAGGATGTTGAGTTTTTTGTTTTATTGGGCGTTGTAGGCTACACTTGGAATTGTGTAGACTTATTTTACTCTTTCGTTAGGTTAGATCTGTGGAAAGCCTCTTTAACTTGACAGAACTTAACCTCCAAATTCTGTGTCTCCTCTAGATCTTATGAGGTTTTATATTAGGCTTTGCTAGTGAGTCTAGAGTAGGTCTTATTCTCTAGACTCGAGTGTGGACCTTATTCTGTAGCATGGCTTCATTTCTAAGCTGTATCACACATGAATGCCCAAAGGGTTAATGAGTAGCTTACAAAGGGTATCCATTCTTAACTGGGCTTGTATGCTCACCATCCCCCAGCACTACTGGACCTTTAGTATATCTGTTCAGCTTAACCACATAGCAGTCACTTTGGGGTATGTCTTAGGTAGTCTTATCCTGAACATATGTGCTCTGCCTCCAGCCAAGGACACACAGCAGCCTGACCCTCACATGGACTTATTGCCCCCCTCTTCCCTGCATAGATTGTCTCCAGCGCTCTATTCCACAGGTTCCACTGCTTCAACTGTACTAAACTCTAAAGCACTACCTTCTCAGCTCAGCAGGACAGTTATACTTTGCTTGGGCTGAAGCTTACTGTGCCATGGTTAGGAAATTGTACCCAGAAATAGAGCTGGAGTGATCGTGGAGCCCATCTTGTGAGCTCTTCTCTCAGAGATCACAGTCTTACATTGCTTTTGTTCAATCCCTAAAAATAGTTGTTTCATAGTCATATCAGTTTTATGGTTATTTACATTAGGAGGCACAGGCTGGTATTGGTTGCTCCGTCATAGCCAGAAGCAGAAGACCATACCCATTACATCATAAAATTAAAAAGTCTGACAATATTAAGTCTTGGTAAAGAAGTGGTGCAACATGAATTCACACATCACTATTGGTGTTAAATTAAATTGTTACAACCAACTTTAGTATTACTTATTAAAGTTGATTGTTTATGTATCCTAAGAAGCATCAGTTCCATTTCCACATGTACATATGTATACATGCATTTTTCTAATACACATCAGTTCCATTTCTAGTTATGTCTATATGTGTACGTGTGTGTATCTTTTGTAGAGAAACTTTTGAATGTGTGGACTATGAGACACATCCATATTGTTAAATCTAATAGCTTCATTATGTCTAAAATGGTATTATATATGTTTTGTATACAGTGGTATGGTATTTAACAGTGAAATAATTGGTATAGAAATGAAGATGATTTTAAAAACAATGCCAATATAGATCAAATAAGAGAATGGTAAAATGGTGATAGTTGTTGAAACCATGTGATGTGTATATAGGACTTTGTTATACTATTCTATTTTTGTATATGTTAGAAAAATTCCAAAGTAAAGAAGTTTTAAAAGTTTGGTGGATGTTAGCCATATAATATATGCAGAAAATATGATTTTATTAATATACAGTTCCAAAACAGGGGAAATGAAATATATTGCATAGGGAAACTTTCAAAGGTAATAAATGAAAGAACAGTTAGGAAATCGGTCTTGCTAAGGTCAATATGGTGGTTTTTCTGGAGAGAAGGAGGGGAATGGGATTGGGCAGGGGCAAAAAGGGACTTCCAGGATATTGGCAGTGTCCTATTAACATAGATGGTAGTAGCATGTGGTGTTCATTGTATTAATTTTCATACCATACACATAGGTTTTATACAAGATATTTCAAAGCAGAACAGTTATTTAAAAATAGCTGGATGAAAGAATTTTGAGAGTTTTAGGTTGGCATAATCAAGGGAAGCATCCTAGAGAAGCCTAGAACTTAAAACTAGGTCCTAAATAACGAATATTCTATATTATAAAACATCTGATCTAGGACCCACTGTTATGCTTAGTATTCCTGACCAAAAATAAAGGACACAGAAGATAACTTCCATTGCAACACATTCTCCTTGATGACAGTGTCTATCCCATTGGTTCACTCATTCATTCATCTATCCATTTATTCATTTAACAGATATTTGAGTAGCTGTTAGGTGCTAAGCATAGTGATAGGCAATTTGTGAACAGTGTTGAGGAGTGATGGAGTTTCCAGTCCCCAGATTCTTTATGATTCTCAGCTTTGTTAGCTGGGACGAGAGACCTCTTTTGTATATTTGCTTTGAGGTGTGAACTAGTTAGCCCCAAACAACTGGCTGGCTTCTTTCTTGCCCTTTTTCTAAGATCGCCTGGTTTCTTTGCTCAGATTTCTGTGACAGAGTCTTTCCCTTTTTCTCACTGCTAAGACAGCGATTGAAAAATTTGCTCTTTTATACATTCTTTCAAAAAGTTCTCCCCTTGATGCATGCAAGAGTTTTGCCTTGATTATTAGGCAATATTTGGATATATGTACAAAATCAAAACAGAGAATAAGTAGTCTAGCTAGAGAAGGTAGCTGGTGGGTTTGATTTATGAAGGGGAACAGTAAAAAAGAGAAGTTGAGGACAGAAAGTAGTATGGGGTGCTCTAAGTGGGTAGATTGCCTCTTAAATAATGAAATCTGGATGTGGTTATTGCTAGAACAGTGGCTGAAGAAAATCTTGTGTTTCAAAGAAAGTGGATTGAAGAGTACTTTTTGTGACCCAGAATTCAAAATTAAAAACTTATAAAGTCAATAAATGGAAAACAAATGAGTTTCTGAAGTGTCTTCATCAAATAATAGAATTATGGCCAGTAGTAAAAAAAAGAAAAAAGAGTTATGGCCAGTAATTACAATATAATTTATAAAGTTTCTAGTCACTCCTTCACTGATAGAATACAGTAATATGTAAGCACGAATGTGTTTATTAATAGCCTGTTGATATAATTTATGAAAAAAATACAGAGTTTACAACTTTTTTTTGAAATTGGCTCCTGAGTAATAAAAAGTTTCTTGACATTGATTATCTAATGAGAGCTAAGTATGTGAATTATCTAACAGAGTTCAATATTATTTGGGAATAGGTTTTAGAGCCCTTTTAAGTTGAAAATTGAGAATGATCAAAACATTCCTAATTCTCTTAAATCACCAGTAAAATACGTATCACTTTATGCATAGCCTTACACCTTAATATGCATCTAAAGCTGGGCGCGGTGGCACATGCCTGTAATCCTAGCACTTTGGGAGGCTGAGGCAGGTAGATCACCTAAGGGCAGGAGTTTGAGACCAGCCTGGCCAACATGGTGAAGTCCCTCTCTACTAAAAATATAAAAAACTAGCTGGGCGTGGTGGTGGGCGCCTATAACCCCAGCTACTTGGGAGGTTGAGGCCGGAGAATCTCTTGAACCTGGGAGGTGGAGGTTGAAGTGAGCCGAGATTGCACCATTGCACTCCAGTCCAGCCTGGGCAACAAGAGTGAAACTCTGTCTCAAAAAAAAAAAAGCTTCTAAATATATATGTAGTAATGTAGCAGGATCATATTTATAAAATAAAGTATTGAAGTGCTTGAATTTTGAAGTACTTGAGCATATTTATAAAGATTCTAATTTGATGGGTCTTCCTGTCCATAGTCATCTTTCTCTTTAGAAGCTGATTTTTTTTTAAATTTTATTATTTTACTTTATTTTATTTATTTATTTTTGAGATGGAGTCTCATTCTGTTGCCCAGGCTGGAGCACAGTGGCGGGGTCTTGGCTCATTGCAACCTCCACCCTCGGGGTTCAAGCAATTCTGCTGCAGCCTCCTGAGTAGCTGGGATTATAGGTGCTCACCACAATGCCTGGCTAAGTTTTGAATTTTTAGTAGAGATGGGGTTTCACCATGTTGGCCTGGCTGGTCTCGAAGTCCTGACCTCAAGTAATCCACCTGCCTTGGCCTCCCAAAGTGGTGGAGTTACAGGCATGAGCCACTGCACCTGGCCAGAGGCTAATACTTAAAATAATTCTTTCTACTTTTAGTTGTTATTTCCCTATGCTTTTCAACATTTTTGAACATGAAAGGATATGGTAAAACTATACTTGTTTGGGCACTTTTCAGTGGTCAGGACATTATCGAAATGTATTCATCCTTTCGTTAGGTTTTTCTTTCTGTGCATTAACATTAGGATTTGATTACATCAATGCATACATTCATTGAGTAGAATAGCAGTGGCATTGCTGGCCCATTTAAAAAGTATTATTATTGCTAAACAAGTATAATTGAATTTCTGTAAGTTAAATGTTAGCACTACAGTACTCTGAAGATTGGGTAGGTGAGGTGGGACCAGATTGCAAAGTGTCTTGAAAGCTTTATAGGAATTTAGAATAAAGAGCAATTGCAGTTTTTATAAAGAAAGTGGAATGATCAAAATAGTGGTTTAATAGGTTTATATATGTGAGGCATTAACCTAGATCAGAATAGGGGAGGACAGAAGTTGAGTTAAAAAACCCACTTATAGTAATCCAAGGGTGAAATGAAGAGCTGAACAAAAGGAATATCGTTTATTTTCTCAACATTCATTAATAACCTACGTGAGAATGAAAAAGTGCCAAAATTGGGAAGCGATTTTAAAGAATCTGTTCATAATACCTTGTGAAAGAAGTAGGGACATTAGCAAGGAAAACCTAGGAGAGAATGATCTTAAGATCAGATTTGGAAATGTTGAGTTGATTCATGGTGTCTATTTATGTAAAATGTCTTTTGCCCTCTCTCTAAATCCTAGAGATGATAAGAAGGCCAGAAATGTAGATTTTGGAGTATTTAGTAAAGAAGGGAGACTTAAAGCAGGAAAAGTGATTGAACTTTTTAAGGTATTAAAGAAAAGGAGAGGGAACAATTGAGACAGGAAGTCCACTAGTGGTAATTTGGAGGAAAAAAATAGGTGTGGGCTGGGCGCAGTGGCTCACGCCTGTAATCCCAGCATTTTGGGAGGCAGAGGCAGGCGGATTACAAAGTCAGGAGTTCGAGACCATCCTGGCCTACATGGTGAAACCCTGTCTCTACTAAAAATACAAAAATTAGCCAGGCATGGTGGTGCACACCTGTACTCCCAGCTGTTCAGGAGGCTGAGGCAGGAGAATCACTTGAACCCGGGAGGCGGAGGTTGCAGTGAGCCGAGATCGTGCCACTGCACTCCAGCCTGGGCGACAGACCAAGACTCCATCTCAAAACAAAACAAAACAACAACAACAAAAAAGGTGTGGTTATTATATATAGTTTCACTGAAGAAGCCAAGAAAATAAATGGTGTCTGAGATTATGACCCATAAAGGGACACATTCTATCTCAACTATAGCTTTAATTTTTTTCTTTTTTTTTTTTTTTTCAGACAGGGTCTCACCCTGTTGTGCCTAGGCTGGAATGCAGTGGTGAGATCATAGCGTACTGCAGCCTCAAACTCCTGGGCTCAAGGGAGTCTTCTGTCTCAGCCTCCCTAGTAGTTGGTACTACAGGCATGTGTTACCACACCTGACTAATTTTTTACTTTTTTGTGGAGACAGTGTCTCACTGTGTTGCTCATGCTGGTCTTGAATTCCTGGCCTCAAGTAATCCTTCCACATCAGCCTCCTGAAGAGCTGGAATTATAGATGTGAGCCACTGCACCCAACCAGCTTCATCTTTTTTCCCCCACTGACTTCTTATTTTAAGGCAGAGAAAATTGCTTGAACCCGAGAAGCAGAAGTTGCAGTGAGCCAAGATTGCGCCACTGCACTCCAGCCTGGGCAAGACAGCAAGACTCTGTCTTGGGAAAAAAAAATAAATGAAGAAATGTAAAATAAAAAAATAAAAATCCCTTACTGCTGACCACCTTGGACCTACCATCAGACTGTAATTCACATTGACATGAATGGGAAGTGAGAAAGTTGAAGCACCAAGGGTTCTTTCAAGCAATTTGGCTGAAGGGAAATCCTTGTTGCTTAAGCTTCTTCTTTCTAGTCAGACCAATATGAGTTGCAGAGAAATGTAGACTTTGAAAGACAATGCCATTTTCTCACTTAATGTTATGAATATTTTTCTGTATCAGTAATATGCATCTATATTTTATTCCCTCCAAGTCTTCATTTTGAAATACTTCAAACCTTCAGAAAAGTTACATACATAATATGAGGAATGCCAGTATATTGTTCACCTAGATTTGGCAAACATCTTACCATATTTCCTTTTTTTCTATGTATAAATATATAGGTGCATATATATACATTTTTTCCTGAATCATTTGAAAGTTAGTTGTAGACATTATGTCAGCTTATCCTAAAATACATCAGCAAGTATCTCCTAAAAACAAGTACACTCTCCTACATAACCACAATTATCAAAAACACAAGAAGTTTAACATTGATAGAATGCTATTATTGAATATGCAGTTTATATTTACATTTCTCCAGTTGTCTCAGTTGTCCTTTATAATTTCTTTTATTTTTTTCTAAGTCAATTCCAGACAGGAATCACACATTGCCTTGAGAGTCATATAATTTTAATGTTCTTTCATTTAGAATAGTTGTGCTGCCTTTTTTTTTCTTTTTGGCTATTCATGACATTGATGTTTTTCAAGAGTTCAGGCCAGTTGTTTTGTCCTTCAGTTTGGATTTGCCCGATATCTTTATATGATTAGCTTCAGGTTAAGATTTTTTTTTTTTAAGGTGGAGTCTCGCTCTGTCACCCAGGCTGGAGTGCAATGGCGTGATCTCGGCTCACTGCAGGCTCTGCCTCCCGAGTTCAAGTGATTCTCCTGCCTCAGCCTCCTGAGTAGCTGGGATTACAGGCATGCACTACCATGTCTGGCTAATTTTCTGTATTTTCAGTAGAGACAAGGTTTCACCATGTTGGCCAGGTTGGTCTCGAACTCCAGACCTCAAGTGATCTGCCCACCTTGGCCTCCCAAAGTGCTGGGATTACAGGTGTGAGCCACCGCGCCCAGCCAGGTTAAGTATTTTTGACAAGAACATTACATAGGCAATGTGCCTTGTTTAGTATATGCTCTCCAGAGACATGTGATGTCAGTTACAAAATTTGATGTGGTTAGAATTGGTGATTTGGTCATTTGGTTATGATGATATCTACCAGATTTGCTCACTGTAAATGTACCTTTTCTCTTTTGTAATTAATAAATGATCCTTGGAGTGATATTTTAAAACTGTGTTCCCCAACAGTCTTTATTCAGTATTTTAGCTTCCATTGGTGATTTTTGCTTGAATCAGCTATTATGCTTATTATAAGATGGTGATTTTTTTTTTTTTTTGAGGTGGACTCTCGCTCTGTCCCCAGGCTGGAGTGCAGTGGCGCAATCTCGGCTCACTGAAACCTCCACCTCCCGGGTTCAAGCGATTCTCCTGCCTTAGCCTCCCGAGTAGCTTGGACTACAGGCGCATACCACCACGCCCAGCTAATTTTTGTATTTTCAGTAGAGACGAGGTTTCACCATGTTGGCCAGGATGGTCTCGAACTCCTGACCTCGTGATCCACCTGCCTCGGCCTCCCAAAGTGCTGAGATTACAGGTGTGAGCCACTGCGCCCGGCCAACATGGTGATTTTTATTTATTTTTTATTTTTTTATTTTTTAGGTTAATGTTTTTTATTTTTTATTTTTATTTTTTTATTTAGATGGTGATTTTTAAATTTGTTATTCCCTATATGTCTGTTAGTATTCTTCTATAAAGAAGAACTTTCCTCTCCACTTCATTTTTTTATTTTTATATTTTAATTTTCTCCCTTTTTAGTGATAGTATGGACTCCAACATGGATTTCTATCCATTCTTGTCCTCATTCATTTTGATGTTCAGAATATCTCAAACCTAGTCAGGTTAGAGCTCTCTCAAGATGGTTCCTGCTTATAACCAGCATGTTGTCATCTGTTCAGCACATTTATATTTTATGGCACAACAAAGTGGTCTTGTTGCCCTCTTCCTTTTTTACTTTTGTTTTTTAATTGTGATAAAACACACAACAGGATTTATTATTTTACAGTTTTAAGTTTACAATTTTGGTTTGCCTTTTTTTTTTTTTTTTTTTTTTTTTTGAGATGGAGTTTTGCTCTTGTCACCCAGGCTGGAGTGCAATGGTGTAACCTTGGCTCACTGCAACCTCCACCTCCTGGGTTCAAGCGATTCTCCTGTCTCAGCCTCCCCAGTAGCTGGGATTACAGGTGCCCGCCAGCACACCCAGCTCATTTTTGTATTTTTAGTAGAGACGGGGTGTCACTATGTTGGCCAGGCTGGTCTTGAACTCCTGACCTCAGCTGATCCGCCTGCCTCGACCTCCCAAAGTGTTGGGATTACAGGCATGAACCACCACGCCTGGCCTTGGTTTGCCATTTATTTATTTATTTATTTATTTATTTATTTATTTATTTATGAGACAGACTCTCAGTCTGTCGCCCAGGCTGGAGTGCAGTGGCGCGATCTTGGCTCACTGCAACTTCCGCCTCCCGGATTCAAGCGATTCTTCTGCCTCAGCCACGGACTACAGGCGTGCACCACCACGCCTGGCTAATTTTTGTACTTTTAGTAGAGATGGGGTTTCACCATTTTGGCCAGGCTGGCCTCGAATTCCTGACCTCGTGATCCATCCGCCTTGGCCTCCCAAAGTGCTGGAATTACAGGCATGAGCCACAGTGCCTGGCCAGTTTGCCTTTTAAAATGTGGTCTTCCCTGGTTTATCCCTGGCCTACTTCTCTTATTATTTTGATAGCTTGTCTAGAAATGATAGACTCTATTCTTAAGTTTTGGGTTTTTATTTATTAACTGTATGCTAATGACTCCCTTGTGTCTTTGTGGGACTCTAGAACTATATTACCGGTAGCCTACTAAATTCTCCAGTTATTTGTCTTATGTTTCATAGGCATCTTTTTTATATTCTGTCTCTCATTTTAAAAAATGAAAGAAAACCCACCCCAAACCTATATTTTTTATTTTGCTTGGATGCCTTAGGAATCCCCATCCACTTATCGTAACTTCTAACATGCAGTTTGTCACTAGGTCCTATCAGTCCTTTCATATTCATTCCTACTGCCATGCGTCATCTCTCTATAGAAGTTTTATAGGATGTTCTTGGCTCTAGTTCATTCTCTTTCTAGCTTAACTCTTGTCAGAGTAGTCTTTCCTCCTTATTTCTCATTTCATTTTTTTTCCCTAGCAAATTAGATAATTTACTACAAGTCCAAGAAGCAGTTCTTGATTTTAGGCAAGGCTTTGTATAAGACACCAAAGAAAGACTTTGCTTTTCTTTACCCCTATCTTTGGTGTACTTTGCTCTGTGTTAGCTTCATTTTCAGTTACGCTTTCTCTGAGTGGGAGCAACAGTGGCCATTGATGGTTTCAGGCTTTCATTATTTTCAAAGTAAATGATTCCAAGGAAAATCCTTCATCCTTCTAAAATCCTTCATCATCGTAAAATATAAATATGATTATTTCTCTGTTTTTCTTAATTCTATTCAGTGGTTCCTCACCCCCTTCAGGATAAAGTTCAAATTCTTTGGCAAGCAAGAATTCATGAATTCTTGATTTGGCTTTTACATATTTTCATTGTCCTGTTGCTCTCTGCTTTAAAATTTGTATCCATAAATACCAAGTTGCATGTGCAGTTTCCTCTGCCTGCAGTGGCTTTTCACATTGTTTACTTGCCAAATTCATTATCTTTTAGCTAAATAAACCCCAGTTCAGATATTACTCTTCCAGGAAAATCTTATTTGATAAATTTTGTGCTCAATCCCAGAAAAATTACTCTCCTGTTCTACCTTTGCACCACATATGTATGTTTGTTTTTGACTTATACTGAATTGTAATCTGTTTACAAAATTTTATTTTTTTTGAGACGGAGTTTTTTGCTCTGTCACCCAAGTTGGAGTGCAATGGTGTGATCTCGGCTCACTGCAACCTCCGTCTCCTGGGTTCAAGCAGTTCTCCTACCTCAGCCTCCTGAGTAGCTGGGACTACAGGCGCCCACCACCACGCCCAGCTAATTTTTATATTTTTAATAGAGATGAGGTTTCACTATGTTGGCTAGGCTCCTCTCGAACTCTTGACATCAGGTGATCCACCTGCCTTAGCCTTGCAAAGTGCTGGGATTACTGGTGTGAGCCACTGTGCCCAGGCTACAAATTTTTTTATATCCATTAGATCATTAAATCTCTTTGGTCCCTTTTTGAACAAGGCAAGGTATAAATTTATTAAAAATAACAACAACAACAAAAACAAAAACCAAAATTAGGCTTTGGTTGTGCATCCAGTTGTGGTAGACTGGCTAATTCAGATGAACCCTATTGCTGAGAACAGCTGAAAAAGTAGGTTTAAAAAATCTGTGTGAAGGCACAGTAGAGGGCCAAGACAGTAAAACATCATGTGGTCAAAATCTGGAAAGAGAGTCGGAAGCCAGCGGCCGTGGACCACGCGGAGCCGCCAGCCCGGGGCATGTTCTGAGACTTCAGGGAACCCGGCCCGAGCTCCGGGAATGGCGTGGGTATGGCGACCCCGCGCAGCCCCCCGGCCGCAGTGCAGGCAGCCCAGCAGAAGTTCCACCTCGTGCCAAGGATCAGCAACATGAGTGGCAGTGAGGAGCTGCAGTGGATGGTACAGCTTCATTTTCTGGGGCCCAGCAGTTGCCCCAGGCCTCTGACCTACCCTTAGTCCAGCCCCCTACAACCCCAGCCAGGAGCCATCCGGGCCCTGGGGCCGCCTCCAGTGGTGTGTCCAAGGCCTTGTGAACAGATCAGCCCGGAGGAAGAGGAGCGCCGCCGAGTAAGGCCCGAGCGGAACAAGCTGGCTGCGGCCAAGTGTAGGAACTGGAGGAAGGAACTGACTGACTTCCTGCAGGCGGAGACTGATAAACTGGAAGATGAGAAATCAGGGCTGCAGCGAGAGATCGAGGAGCTGCAGAAGCAGAAGGAGCGCCTGGAGCTGGTGCTGGAAGCCCACTGACCCATCTGCAAAATCCCCGAAGGAGCCAAGGAGGGGTACACAGGCGGTACCAGCGGCACCAGCAGCCCGCCAGCCCCCTGCCGCCCTGTACCTTGTATCTCCCTTTCCCCAGGGCCTGTGCTTGAACCTGCGGCACTGCACACCCCCAAGCTCATGACCACACCCTCCCTAACTCCTTTCACCCCCAGCCTGGTCTTCACCTACCCCAGCACTCCTGAGCCCTGTGCCTCAGCTCATCACAAGAGTAGCAGCAGCAGCGGAGACCCATCCTCTGACCCCCTTGGCTCTCCAACCCTCCTCGCTTTGTGAGGCACCCGAGCCTTACTCCCTGCAGGTGCCACCCTAAGCAACGTCTGCTCCCCTTCCCCCACCAGTCCAGCTGGCCTGGACAGTATCCCATACCCAACTCCAGCAGCTGCTTCTCCATCCCTCTAATGAGACTAACCATATTGTGCTTCACAGTAGAGCCAGCTTGGGGCCACCAAAGCTGCCCATTGTTTCTCTAGAGCTGGCCTCTCTAGCACAATTTGCACTAAATCAGAGACAAAATATTTCCCATTTCTGCCGGAGGAATCCTGGAAGCCCAGAGACTTTGTAGATCCTTAGAGGTCCTCTGGAGCCCTAACCCCTTCCAGATCACTGCCACACTCTCCATCACCCTCTTCCTGTGATCCAACCCTACCCCCGTGACAGAAGGTGCCACTTTACCCACCTAGAACACCAACTCACCAGCCCCACTGCCAGCAGCAGCAGGTGATTGGACCAGGCCATTCTGCCGCCCCCTCCTGAACCGCACAGCTTGGGAGGTGCCCATGGCTTCTGTGATGAGCTGATCTGCAGATCTCAGCTTTGAGAAGCCTTCAGCTCCAGGGAATCCAAGCCTCCACAGTGAGAGCAGCTGCTATTTATTTTCCTAAAGAGAGTATTTTTATACAAACCTACCAAAATGGAATAAAAGGCTTGAAGCTAAAAAAAAAAAAAAAAAAAAAAAAACTGGAAAGAGAAGAAAACCTAGAGAAATAAGGCTGGCATTTGGGTCTTCATTTCCCTCAGACTCATCTGCCAGTTCCATCCTAAGCCTCAAGCTTTTAGTAATAGTGTCTGATCCTCAAAAAATAATTAGGAATATTAGAAGACAATATGATATGATAGAAAAAAAACAAAAGAAACAACAGGAAATAGAAACAGACCCCTAGTGATCCAGAAAATAGAGTTATCAAGCAGACTTTGTTTTTAATAAGTTAAAAAATAAAAGATAAGATGGAGAATTTCAGTATAGAGCCAGAAACTTTAAAAAATAATCAAGTGGAAATTTTAGAAATACAAAATATGATAATCAAGTGCAATGGGTAGGCTTAATAGTAGATCAGGACAGTGAAGAGATAATTATTAAACTGGAAGATGGATCAAAAGAAAAATCCAGAGTGAAGCATTGAGCAAAAAGATGGAAAATACAGAAAAGGGTGTAAGAGACATAGTCTAACACATATCATTGGATCCTCCAATGGGGGAAGAGAGAGAGAATAAAGCGTAAGTAATATTTGAAGAGATTATGGGTAAGAATTTTCCAAAACTGATGAAAGACACCAAAGGACAGATTCTAGTCCTAAAAACTTCAAAGAAGATAAATACAGAGAAAACCTCATCAAGACCATATAAAACAACTGAAAACAAAAGCTGGATAAAAAGGACAGATTACAAGCATTAATAGTAAGACTTACAGCTAACTTCTCAGTAGAAATAATGGAGGTGAGGGAACAAAGGGATGATGTAGTTACAGTGCCTGAAAGAAAGGGAAAATAGTGTTCAAGAATTAAGGTAAACAAATAAGTGAATTGTACGCTTAAATAGGTGAATTTATGAGATGTAAAATAAAGCTCTAAATAAACCTGTATAAAAATGAAGGTAAAATAGAGATATTATCAGAGAAATGAAAACTATGAAAATTTATTTGCAGCAGATCTGCTTTAAAGAAAATACTAAAGGGAATTTTTCAGGCAGAGGACAATGATTCCAGAAAGAAGGTTGGAGATGCAGGAAGAAATGAAGAGCAATGGGAAGGGTAAATATGTGTATATATTTAAATAAATAGTGGCAATAAACACAACAACGCTGGTGTAACTCTATTTACTCTATCAGGCAAAGTAGGTTTTTAAGGCAAAACTTATTCAAGATATAAAGATGGATATTTTATAATCATGACAAGTTTCATTGCCTTAGAAGATATAATATTTCTAAATTTGTGTGCATCTAATAATGTAGCTTCAAAGTACATAAAATTTGCAGGCAAATAGGTGCATTCATAATCATAGTGGGAGATTGTAACACACACCTTTCGTATAAAGAAAGGTGTAAGATGGAGCAATCAGAACCAAAAAATCAGTAAGGTTATACAAAATGTGAATGCAGTTTAGAAAAGTGAATTCCAGATGGATTATAGTTCTAAACGTGAAACACAAAATAATAAAACTTATAGAAATAATAGCTCAGTAATATTTCAGTGGGGAAGATTTATTGAACAGGAAGCACAATGAAGGAAATGATTGATAAATTGCACTACATTAAAGGACTTCTTTTCATCAAGATACTATAAGAGAATAAAAAGGCAAGTTAAAAAAGTGTCAAAAAGTATTTACAATATTTTATAAAGAACTCTTACAAATCAATAAGAGAAAGACAACCCTATAGAAAAATGAGCAATAGTATTGAATAGTCATCTCAACAAAAGAAGCTATCCAAATCAGCAAATATACTCAAGCTTTTCAGCCTCATTAGTAATCAGAGAGATACAAATTAAAGCTGCAGTGAGATAACACATATACCTACCAGGATGACTACATTAAAAGCTTTTTCTGAATATTTATTTTGAGATATTTATAGATTCACAGGAAGTTGCAAAAAGTGTACAGAGAGGTACTGTGTACCGTCACTTCCCTTCAAAAGTCACATCTTATATATAACTATATATACATCTTATGTAACTATAGCACAATGCTGGGCAAGGTAGCTCATGCCTGTAATCCCAGCTGTTCTGGAGGCTGAGGCAGGAGGATTGCTTGAGGCCAGGAGTTCAAGACCAGTGTGGGCAACATAGTGAGACTTCATCTCTTAAAAAAAAAATTAAAAAAAAAAATTAGCCTGTCATGGTGGCATGCACCTGTAGTGCCAGCTACAGGTTGAGGTGGGAAGATCACCTGGGCCCAGGAGTTCAAGGCTACAGAGAGCTGTGGTCGTACCACTGCGTTCCAGTCTGGGCAACAGAGCAAGACCCTGTCTCTAGGGAAAAAAAAAAAAAAGGAAATATGTTGTGTAATATTAAAACAAGAAAATAGACATTTCTTATCACAAATGTATGTGTATAGTTTTGTGCCATTTTATCACATGTAGATTCATATAACTATCACCACAGTCAAGACACTGAACTGTATTATTACCACAAAGTTCTCCCTGTGCTCTCTAAAGTTACCCCTTTAGAGTCTAACCCACCTGCCTCACCTCCACTATCCCTAACCCCTGGCAACCACTAATCTGTTCTTCATCTCTATAATTTTGTCATTTTGAGAATGTTACATGATGGAATCACACATTTCTTAGAGCAATTTTAGATTCATAGCAAAATTGAGCAGAAGATAGATTTTCCATAGATCCTCTTCCCCTACACAAGCATAGCCTCCCGTATTGTCAACATCCCCTACCACAGTGGTACATTTGTTGCAGTTCATGAACCTACCTAGATGCATCATTCTCACTAAAAGTTTATAGTTTACATTAGGGTTCATTCTTGTTCAAATGGCTAAATTTTGAGACTGAAAATACCACACATTGGTGCAGATGTAGATCAACAGGAACTTTAATATACTGCTAATGGGGATAAAAATAGGTACAGCCACTGTGAAAAACTGGCATTTTCTACTAAGGCTAAATAGAAACCTACTGCTCAATTCAGCAATTCCACTCCTAAGTAAATATCCAACAAAAATTTGTGTCCCTGTTCCCCAAAAGAAGTTTTTGTAAAAACGTATTTATAGGAATTTGTTTGTAATAGCTATAATCTGAGAAAGGACCCAAATGCTCATCAATAGCAGAATGGATTTCTTAAAAACTTGCAGTGTATTCATATGGTAGGATAGAGCAAGGGTAGACAAATATAGTAAATATCTTAGACTTTGTGGGTCATACGTTGTCTGTGGTCATACATTGTCTACCTAACTGCAGTTGTAGCAATGAAGTAGTCATAGGCAATATGTAAACAAATGAGTGTGGTTATGTTCCAACACAGCCATTTATAAAAACAGGCTTTAGCCTTTGGGCCTGTAGTTTGCTGACCTCTGCTGTAGAGCCACAAACTGTGGTTACATGCACGTACATGGATCAGTCTCATAAACATAATTTTGCATGAAAGAAACCATGTGGTGTAATTCAATTTTTATAAAGTTCAGAAACATGCAAAACACCTACTGTATTGAAGGTGTATGAGCTATTTTGGGGGAGAAAGAGGAGATCCTGACCAGAAGGGACATGAAAAGGAAGCTTCTAGGGTGCTAATAATTGCTTTACCTGAATGGTGATTAAGTCTGTTTACCTTCGATTATTCATTGAGATATATACTTATGATTTGTACACTTCTTGTGTGTGTGTGTGTGTGTATGTTATACATTAATGAATTAGTTAAAAATAAAAATAAACAAAAACATACACAACTTGTGTTTCCATCAGGGTAGAATTGTGTTATTTATCTCTGGCATGTAGTAAACATACAATAATTATTTATAGAATTGGGAGTTGCTAATAGCAAGCTCTGTAGCAAGATAAAGGACAAGAGGAGTGAGCAATGATTCTGATTTAGCCTGAAGAGCTTATTGAAAACTTTTGAGGAAGAAATGTTGATAAATATACATTTTGATGTAATTAAAGGTACTTTAGTGAAAAAAGATCATAATCTAAAAGGCTAACATTGGGATTTAATAAATGGTTTGAGCTGACAAGTGACTTCATCTTTGAAGACAGAAGGAAAAGATTCTTTTGTTATTAAGAGCAAGCTACAACTATTTTGTAATGATATTTAATTTCCTTCCTGTTTTAAATTTGCTTCAACCCGAAAAATTCTTTCTTATGTTTTTTACTTGCTTAAACCCGCTTTGGATGTTGCCCTGTAAAGATTCATGTACCCATTAGTACCATGTGGAGTAGATGTGATATAGGGTTTTATTGGGAAAAACTTAGAAGAAATAGTGGAGTGTAAGCAGTCCCTCAAACTCCTTTTTTATCTCACAGTTTAGGCCAGACATAGAGGGTCTTTATGGTTCACCTGGGTGAACCATAGGGTTCAACCTTTAGGGTTCAACCTTTAAGTTCACCTGTGGCCAAGTGAACTTCCAGTAGAGAATGACCTCTACCCTCTGTAATGCTCCACACATTTGTAGGTCAGGGCCGGAAACACTTAAGTGACTATGCAATAGTAGTTACAAAGGGGAAGCCTCCAGAACCCCAGAGGCAGGGAGGGGTCTATTCTTCCTTTGAGCTAACAACTCAAATATACTGAGTCTCTTTGCTGCAGCTATCCAGGGCCATCCAGATTTATCTTTATCACATGCATCCCATTATTATAAAACAAAGTGAAATCTTCTTGACCCAGTATTAAAGGTCTTCTAGTAGCTTTCTCCAACTTCCTCATCAGTCCTCTTTGCCACTGGTTCTACACAGATTTTCTTAGTCACTTAATTACTTTGTAATAAACACATTGCTTTTTCCAAGCTTCTTATCTTTGCTCTCATTACCTATTTAGAATGTTTCTCCCTTTCTCTAAATTCTCATCCTTCAAGAGGTGCTTTTGTCCCATCTCTCCTGTGATGGCTTCCTGATGATCGTAATTCTTACACCAATATCGCTCTTCACATACTACCTAATATTATTTATTTTTATGTGTTCATTTCTTCCTTTTCATCTAACATATAAATTCCTTAATGGTAGGGAACATGTATTAGATTACTTTGTAACGTCTGTAATACCTGGTAGTCTTGTATGTAAATGCTCAACAAATAATTAATGATTAGTATGTGTGGTCTTATAATGTTTTTTAATTATAAAATCATTATAATATTTTAGGGTGTTATATGCCTCTTAGATTCTGAATGTTGTTATTAAGTATAATGCTAGACTCTTTATTAGAACGTCTTTTTCACTCCATTGTAATTAATCCCTGTTTTAGAAGTTCATTTTTTTGAGGTTGGTATCAATTATTGTCTGTTGGTTACTCTGTTAGCCAGTTTAGTAATTAGATTCCTCCATTCTACTTCAGCAAGAAGTTGAGAACTTTAAGAAGCTAAATCTCATTAGTAAAGAGCAGTTTGAAAACCTAACACCTGAACTTCCTTTTGAGCCAAACCAAGAAGTTCCTGTAGCACCTTCACAGTCCAGGCAAGGTATGTAAATCTGCTTTTGTGTAAGTGTCTGAATAGTATTAAAGCAGTTCTGAATTGTTTTTAAAAATTGCTCCTTTTTTTTCTTTATTTGTGGAAAATCATTAGGTAAATGGTAAAATGCTAGAATTTTAAAACTCAACTTTTATCCTTTTGTGAACTTCTATTATCACACCAGATTATGCTCAAAGCCAGAGGCTTACTTAGAAGTAGGCAGAATTTGTTGGTTCTTTATGTATCTGATGTGATTTTAAGATTGCTGGGAATGTTTCTCTTCCCAAAATAAAATTTTTCACTGACTCACTGATCCTTAGAATGCGCTAGAGTCATTCTTTTGTTTTAAGGGCTTAGCTCTGTGTGAGAGTGTAAATAAATACATTGGGAGATCCATAAATTGAATCTGACATTTCAGACAAGTATAACTGATTTTATTATAGCCTTTTCCTGAAGGTGGTTAAAAAAATGATTTATAAAAAGTCACACATATACAAAGATAGAGTGAATTTTATAATAAAACTCCCATGTACCTGCTATACTTAATCATCTCATACCCAATTTTGTCTCGACTCCAGTAACTCCTATACCTCCCTGTGGATTATTTTTAAACAAATTCTCAATCACATGATTCATATTTTTTTGTCCTTAAAGATTTCTGTATGTGTCTTTAAAAAGATAAGGGCTATATCTTTTAACACATAAATAGCAGGACATTATCATATCTAAAATTAACAGTAATTCCTTAACGTTAGATATCTAGTGTTCAAATTTCCTCATTCATCACTTTTTTTTTCCAGTTTCTTCAAATAGATTGCAATAGATTGATATGTCTTTTTTAGTCTACAGGTTTCTACTATTTTTTGCCTTATAATTTATTGGTCCTTGCAATTTGGTATTGAAGAAACTGGGTTGTTTGTCTTGTAGAATTTTTCACATTCTGAATTTTGCTGATTGCATCCCCATGGTTTCATTTAACCTGTTTTCTAGTCCTGAATTATCTATAACTGTTAGTTCAGCATAGAGACTTGATTAGATTAAGACTCAAATCTCTGTAAGAATATGTCATATGTAGTATTGAATACTATTAGGAGATACATAATGCTCTATTGTCTCTTTTTGTAATGTTAGCAGTCATTGATGATCAGTGAGTGAAGCTTTTATTTTACTAGGGGTTGCAAAATAGTGATGATTCTATTTTTAATCATTACGTCTTACCTTAATAGGTAGAATACTTTTATAAAGAGAACTTTCCCCAGAATATTTATTTATTCTGAGATAGAGTTCTTACAGGAAAGTGAGTCAGTGCTGAATTATTTCCCTTTGTTTACTAGTTTCAAAGTACTAGCTGGTTCCTTAACATTCTTCGCTGGTGACTAATGAAGTTTTTGTTTGTTTGTTTTTAAATGATCATTGTGAACTCATAAATACATGAGATGGGTTTCATTCTATTACAGTTATTATTATTATTATTGATACCTATGCCAGTTATCAGTTTATTGACTTTTAGCTCTAAAGCCACCTTTCATTTTCTTGCTCAGTAATAATGGAGTTGGACTGTTAACTTTAATGTTTCCCACCCCACAGAAGGTTGAGCCCCCACCAAGGTTGAGCTTTGTCAGTACCGGATCTGCTACTCAGTTGGTCCTTGTTTCTAGGCCTTTTGAATAGAAAGAGCTAGGAAATTTTTTAAGGAGAAAAATATATTACGTATTCATGTTGATATTTTCTGTCTAAATTTAAGATTATAGGTTTTAATTTTAATTTCTTTGATTTTGTAGTTGTATTGCTTTTTACTTATATATAAAAAATCTTTCTTCCTAACCACAGTAACATAATTATTTATTTGCTAATCCTATGATATAATAGTTCCAGAATAACAATAACATTAAATAATAATATTATAAATACTGAAAGGTAACTTCTTTTAGAGTTCTTTAAACTGTAAACTTTTAAAAACTTCATACTTTAAAGCTTTCTTTAAAGTTCTTAGTGTGTCCCACTAGGGCTGTTCAGTTAAATTGCTGGATTTTTTGCCTTGTTAAATTTGAATACTTTAAAATTGAGAATGTATATTCCTTTGCACATCATAGAAAGCATACAAGTCACAAATAAGGAGATAAATTTGGCATTGCATGACATTAACAAAGAATTAATATCATAGAAATCTAAAACCTTAAAAATTAATATGAAAAATGGCAAACATGAATAGAAAAAGTAGTAAATGAAACATGAACATCAGTTTCATATTTGGGAAGACCAAATGGCCAATAAATATGAAAAGAGGCTATTTTTACTGAGGTTTTCCAATTAAAACCATAGCAATACGCCATATTATAACCCAGCAGTTTCATTTCAAGAGATACTGTTGCAGGCCATTGTGGCTCATGCCTATAATCCCAACACTTCGGGAGGCCAAGGCAGGAGGATCACTTGAGCCCAGGAGTTTGAGACCAGCCTGGGCATACTGTTGCAAATGTTTACCAAGAGAACATTTGTAGTATCATTGTTCATAATAGAAAAAAGCAAATGAAAACTAAAAAATGCCCAGTTATAGTAGAATGTATTATAAGATGTGGTGTAGTCATACGTAGGAAAAATAGGCAGCAGTGGAAAATGAAAGAACTAATGTTACATGTGACAAAATGTGTTAATCTAAAAATATAGGAAAAAATAAAAAAATAAAAAAGGGATGTATAAAATAAGCTAGAACAAAGAAGTTCATTCAGTGTAATGCTATTACATAAAGTATAAAATTCATGGATAGATGCATAGCACATAGGAGCCATGAAGAGAAGCAAGGGGAATTATTAATATAAAAAATTAATATATTAATTTACTCCTGAGGGTGGGGGAAATCCCATCTGGAAGGTCTGCACATGTGTTTGCTAGCATCTGGAATTTATGTATGTATTGGTCTAGTTGGTCGGTATGAGTGTGTATCAGCTCTATTTTAAAATTTATATATAAATTTATTAATTTTTATTTGTGTGCTATAATGTCTAGTTTTTAAATATATGAACAGAAAAATATAAAAATAAAGCAAAAATTTAAAAGATAGAATTTGACCAATATATTGCTATGACAGGAAATGTTGAATAGATTAATGTTCAAATTAAAAGATAATTTTAATCTTTAAATTAATTGGACTTAAAAAAATTCACTCTATGCTAGTTATATGTCATAACATATGGAAAGATTGGAAGGTAAAGGATGGGAAATCATATAAAAGAATGATCCTAATAGAAAAGAGTTGGTATTGCTATTACGATATAGAATTTAAGGCATAAAGAAGGAGTTTATTTTCACTGTCTTCAGTATCTATATTCCTATTTATTCCCTATACCTGCTCCAAACAGGCCTCTGTCCTCCACATCCCAAATCAGCTACTGATAATACCACCAGAAATCTCCATATATAAGAGGGGTCAAATCAGTCCTCATCTTACCTGACATCAGCATTAGATCAAATTAATCGCTCTGTCCTGAAACACATTTTTACTTCCTGGATACTTATTCACTTATTCTCCTTCTGCCTCATAGAGTCTTTTTTGCTAGTTCTTCAGTGTTTCCCTAACTTCTAAAATTTGGAAGCTTTAGGACCCAGTCCTCAAATTTCTCCTCTTTTGAATCCTCAATAACTCCTTGTGTAATAGCATCAAGTCTCATGGGTTTTAAAGAGCATTATTATACTAATGAGTATCAAATTAATATGTATAGACCAGACCTCCATCCTGTATTTCAGACAAATATTCAACTGTGTGGTTAACAGTACCACTTGTATATTTTATAAGCATGTTAAATATCATATGTCCAAAATCTAAGTTCTGAATTCCCACCCCTCTCCAAGGACTCTTCCTCCTAGACTTCCACATCTCTAAATATTACCTCCATTTTTCCAGTTGCACAGGTCAAAACGTTTGTGTCATTTTTGATCCATTTGTTTTTTAAATTCCGTATCTTATTTATTGGAAAGTTATATTCATATATATTTAAAATATATCTAGAATCTAACCACTTCTCACTTTCTCCATCTCTATCACCCTGTAAAAGTCACCAGCGTTTTCTCCTTGGTTAATTGTAATGAACTCCTAGCCTGTCTCCCTCCTTTCATTCTGATCACCCTACAAATATCCAGTTATATTTTTTGTTTCCTCTTAAAAATATATATAAGGTGTACAACATGATGTTTTGATATATATATAGTGTAATGGTTACAATAGTTAAGCAAATGAACATATTCATTATCTCACATAGTTACCTTTTTTTGTGGCAAGAGCACCTAAAATCTCTCTTAGCAAAAATACCAAATATAATATAATGTTATTAGCTATGGCCCTCAGGTTGTACATTAGATCTCTAGACTTATCTATCCTACATATCTGCAACTTGGTATTTTTTTACCTACATCTCCCCATTCTCCTTCATCCCACCCTTGGTAACTACTGTTTTATTATCTACATCTATATACTTTTTTTTTTAAAGATTCTATATATAAGTGACATTATGAAGTATTTTTCTTTCTGTGTCTGGCTTATTTCATTTAGCATAATGTCCTCCAGTTTCATCCATGTTGTAGCAAATGGCAGGATCTCCTTTTTTAAAGGCTTAATTATATTCTATTCTCTCTCTCTCTCTCTCTCTCTCTCTCTCTCTCTCTCTCTATATATATATATATATATATATACACACACACATATATATACATATATACATACACACGTGTGTACGTATATATACACACACACACACATATACACACACACACACATCACCATTTCTCTGTTTATCATAAGTGGACTCATACTTTAGTTGTTCCCATATCTTATATCTTGGCTGTTGTGAATAATGTGGCAATGGACATGTGAGTGCAGATAGATATCTTTCTATGGTGATGATTTCATTTCCTTTGGGTATATATATAAGGTGTACCCAGAAGAGGGACTGTTGGGTCATATGGTAATTCTACTTTTAATTTCTTTACAAATCTCCATACTGTTTTCCACAATGGCTGCACCAGTGCACCTTTTCATATACCTGTTGGCATTGTTATGTCTTCTTTGGAGAGATCTCTAATCAGGTCTTTTGCCCATGTTTTAATTGGATTATTTGCATTCTTGCTATTGAGTTGTCTGAGTTACTTATGTATTTTGGATATAACTCCTAATCAGATGTGTGGTTTGCAAATGTTTTTTCTTATTCTGTAGGTTGTCTGTTCACTCTGTTGATTGTTTCCTTTGCTGTGCAGAAGCAGCTTTTTCATTTGATGCCATGTTTGTTTATTTTTGCTTTTGTTGCCTGAGCTTTGTGGGTCATATTTTTAAAAAAATTAAGATATAGTTTACATTCAGTAAGTTTCACACCATTTATGTATATTATTTTGGGAACTTTGACAGATGAATGCAATCATGTAAACACCACCTAGTTAAGTTACTGAACATTTCCATTGCTCCCTGAGAATTTTTCCATGCCTCTTTGTATTCAACCCAGGCCAAGTTTTTGGCAGTTTGTTTTCTATTTTCTATCCCTATAGTTTTGCCATTTCTAGAATGTCATATAAATAGAATCATATAAAATACAGACTTTTGAGTCTGGCTCCTTTCATTTAGCCTAGTGCCTTTCAGATTTATTCATGCTTTTGTGTGTATTACCTTTTTATTGACAAGTAGTATTCCATTGCATGGATGTAAACAGTTTATTTATCCACTTATTAGTTGAAGGCATATAGGTTGTGTTCCTGTTTTTGGTGATTATGAATAAAGCTGCTATGAGTATCAAGTTGCTATGTGAATATATGTTTTCATTTCACTTGGGTAAATGCTTTTGAGGGCACTGTTGGATCATACAGTAAGTATAACTTTTTAAGAAACTGTCTAACTTTTCCAAAGTGGTTGTGCCATTTTACGTTCTTACCAACAATATATGAGGGTTCCAGTTGCTCTACATCATCACCAGCATTTAGTATTGTTAGTTTTTTTTTTAAAAAATTTTGCCCATCTAATAGTAGTATCTCATTGTGACTGATGCTGTTGAGTATCTTTTTATGTGCTTATTTGCCATCAGTTTATGCTTGGTAAAGTGCCTGCTCAAATCTTTGGACATTTCTTTTATTGAGTTGTTTCTTTTGTTACTGAGCTTTGAGAGTTCTTTACTCTGGATACAAGTCCTTTGTTACATATGTACATATGTAATTTGCACATATCTTCTCAGAACCTGGGGCTTATATTTTCATTTTTTAGGTATATCTTTTGGGCCAGTTGCAGTGGCTCACGTCATGTGGCTTGTCTTAATTAGTCTGTTTGTGTTGTAAAGTACATTGATTGGTTTTCAAATGTTGAACTAGTCTTGGATTCTCAGGATAAGCCTCATTTAGTTATTATATTATCCTTTTATATATTGTTAGACTCAGGTTGCTTACATATTTTTTGAAGCCTTTTGTACTATATTCATGAGGAATATTGTTTTTTTTTTTCATTGTCTTGGATTATATTTGTCTGATTTTGGTGTCAGAGGAATGCTGGCGTCATAAAATGAGTTGGTAAGTGTTCCTTCTTTTGTATTTTGGAAGAGTTTGTCCACAATTGTTTATTTCTTACACATTGGTAGCATTCCCAAGTGATGCCATCTGGGCCTGGAACTATTGGAATGTTTTAAACTACACATTTATTTATTTAAGAAACATAAGACTAAGTAAGTCTTTTTTCTCAGGTGAGCTTTTGTACCTATTGAATTTATTCATTTCCTGGAATTTATAATATGCTCTTTTTCTCCTTTTACTGTTCGTAGGTTCTGTAGAGATATCTCTTCTTTCATTCCTACTATTTATAAATTTGTGTCTTTTTTGTCTTGATCGATCTAGCTAGAGGTTCATCAGTTTAATTTTTTTAAGTTTTATTTTCATTGATTTACTTTATTTTTATTCCAGGTTTATTAATTTTTGCTCCTTATTATTTCCTTTTTTCTTATTTTGTTCCTCCTTTTCTAGTTTGAGTGGAAGCTTAGATCATTTATTTGACACCATTTTTCTTTCCTATTATAACCATTTAATACTACAAATTTCCACCTAAGCAGTATTTTAGGTGTTATTGTATTTTGATTTTCATTCAGTTCTATATATTTTCTAATTTCTTTTTAATTTTTTGATACATCAGCTATTTAGAAGTGTTTTTGTTTAATTTTTAAAATTTGGATATCTTCCTGAAATCTATTTTTTTGAAATCTAATTTTTAAGGGAGAGTTTAAATTATTGATTTGAGAGTTTCTTTTCTGATATAAGCATTTAATATTCTCTCTCTATCTCTATTTCTATCTTTATCTCTATCTATCTATATATTTTTTTAAGACAGAATCTCGGAGTCTCGCCCTGTCGCCCAGGCTGGAGTGCAGTGGTACAATCTCGGCTCACTGCCACCTCTGCCTCCTGAGTTCAAGCGATTCTCCTGCCTCAGCCTCCTAAGTAGCTGGGATTACAGGTCTGTGCCACCACACCTGGCTAATTTTTGTATTTTTAGTAAAGACCAGGTTTCACCACGTTGGCCAGGCCGGTCTCAAACTCCTGGCCTCAAATGATCCACCCACCTCGGCCTCCCAAAGTGCTGGGATTACAGGCATGAGCCATGAGCACAGCCCTTAATTCTATGTATTTTTATTTAAGCACTGATTTAGCTGCATTCCACAAATTTGATATGCTGTATTTTATTAATTTTTATTCTTTTCAAAACATTTTCTAAATTCTTTTGAGACTTCCTCTTTATGGATTATTTAGGAGTGTATTCGGTGTAATTTCCAAGTGATTGGAATTTTTTCAGTTACCCCTCTGTTATTAATCTTATTGATATATAGTTTAATTATATTATAGCCAGAGAACATACTTTACATTATTTTAAAATTTAAAATTAATTTGTTAATTTCAAATTTGTTTAATTAATTTGCTAATTTTATCACCCACAATATAGTCTGTCTTGGTGAATATGCCATATGCATCTGAGAAGAATGTTTATTACACTATTTTTGAGTAGAATGTTCCATATTGTCTGTTCAATTCAGTTGGTTAATGGTGTTGATGAGTTCTATATCTTTGCTGATTTTTTGTCTACTGGTTCTGTCTTACTGAGAGAGGAGTGTTGAAGTCACCACCTATAATTGCAGACTTGTTTATTTCCTATTTCAGTTCTGTTGTATTTTGCTTTATTTATTTAGAAGCTCTTTTGTTAGTTCACCTTATACCCATTGGTATATTGTGTCATCTTGGTGAATTGGCCCTTTCATTCATATATGTTGTCCTTGTTTGCTTTGAAATTTAGTTTGTCTGATTTTAATATAGCCATTCCAGCTTTCTTTCATTTCTTTCTCATGGTATGTGATGTATCTTTTGCCAACTTTTTACTTTTAACGTACCCATATCATTATATTTGAAGTCAGTTTATTATAGATAGCATATAGTTAGTTCATGTTTTTTATTCAGTCTGACAGTATATCTTTTAATTGGTATGTTTTGACTAATGTAATTATTGGTATGTTTGGATTTAGGTCAACCTTTTTATTATTCATTTTCTTTTTCTTTTCTTTTTTTTTTTTTTTTTGGCTTCTATTGCCCATTTTGTGCATTCTTTGTGTTGTTTGTAACTTTTTCCATTACATTTTAATTTATGTACTATGAATTTGGACATATATATCTTTTTTTGTATAATTGTTTTTAGTGATTGCTCTAGGGGTTGCAAAACACATACTTTTCAGTTTATTTGGAATCAGTATTTTACCATTTCAATAAGAATGTAGAAACCTAACCTCCATAGAGATTTTTTTTTTTTCCTTTCTCTCCCCACCGGCCCCACCCCAAGAGATAGGGTCTCACTCTGTTGCCAAGGCTGGAGTGCAGTGGTCTAGTCATGGCTCACTGCAGCCTCATACTGCTGGGTTCAAGCAATCCTACCACCTCAGCCTCCCGAGTAGGTCGGACTACAGGTGCACGCCACAAAGCCCAACTAATTTTTTTATTTTTTGTGGAGACAGGGTCTCACTACATTGACCAGATTGGTCTAGTACTGCTGGCTGGCCTCAAGAGATTCTCCTACCTCAGCCTCCCAAAGTGCTGGGATTATAGGCATGAATCACCACACTCAGCTGAAATTTCTTTATGTAATAATTGTCTTATATATCTTCATATGTTAAAAAGCCCATCAGACAATGTTTGATTGTCTTTCAAGCGTGTTTTACTTTCAAGCGTGTTTTAAATAACTTAAAAGGAGAATAGTCTATTATATTTATCTGGACCTTTACCGTTTATCTTGCTGTTCCTCTATTTGTGATGTTTCAGGTTTCCTTTGTTATCATTTTCTTCTGTCTGAAATACTCAGGTTAGCAATTCTTTTAGAGCAGTTCAGTTGGCTATGATTTATAGTTTTCTTTCTTCTGAGAATGTCTTTATTTCACCTCATTGCCAAGGATATTTTCACTGGATAAAGAATTCTGAACTGACAATTGTTTTCTGTTAGTGATTCAAAACTGTTGTACCACTCCTTTCTGTCCTCCATGGTTTTTGGTATAATAATTTATAGTCATTCAAATTGTTTCCCTACAAGTAATGCATCTCTAGCTACTTTCAAGATTTTTTTTTTTTTTCATCTGACATTTACAGCAAATAGAGTGTGATGTGCCTTGGTATGGAGTTCTTTGGGTTTATCCTGGATGGGATTCTCTGTTTCTTAAATCTGTAGGTTTGACTTTAGACAAATTTGGGAAGTTCTCAGCTATTATTTCCTCAAAAAAAATTTTTAGCCCTGCATTTCTTCTCTCCTAGACCTTTTGTTGTCTCACAGGTTCTTAAGGATTGGCTGATTATTTTTTTTCAATTTCTTTTTTTTTCTGTTGTTGAGGTTGCTTTTCTGTTTTCGGTTCAATTTCTGTTGATTCTGGCTGCTTTTAATGTTTCCTCTGTCACCTATTTTAAGCACCTTAATTACGATTGCTTTGGTGTACTTTTCATGTTTCTTGTGCTTGAACTCACTGGATTTTTAAAATATGTGTGTTTATACATTTTTAATCAAATTTGGAAAGTGTTCAGCTGTTCCTTTAAATTTAAAATTTTAATTAAAAAATTAATAGGCTGGGTGTGGCAGCTCATGCCTATAATCCCAGCACTTTGGGAGGCCAAGGCGGGTGTATCACCTGAGGTCAGGAGTTCGAGACCAGCCTGGCCAACATGGTGAAACCCCATCTCTACTAAAAATACAAAAATTCGCTGGGTGTGGTGGCGCACACCTATAATCCAAGGTACTTGGGAGGCTGAGGCACGAGAATCACTTGAACCCGGGAGGTAGAGGTTGCGGTGAGCCAAGATCAAACCACTGCATTCCAGCCTGGGTGACAGAGTCAGACTCTGTCTTAAAAAAAAAAAGAAAAGAAAATTAATAATGTTTTCTTGTTACTTTTTTCTCTTTCTCTCAAGACTCCAATTACATTTAAAATTTATATTAGGGCACTTGAAGTTGTCCCATACTTCACTAATGCTCTGTTTTGTTGTTGTTGTTTTTCAGTCCTTTTACTCTGTTTTTGTTTTAGGTAACTTTTATTCCTCTCTTCAAGTTTATTAGCCTTTTCTTCTACAGAGTCTATTTTTAATCCCATCCAATGTGTGTGTGTGTGTGTGTGTGTGTGTGTGTGTGTATGTGTATGTTTTAAAATCTCAGCTGTTGTCCTTTTCTCATCTAGAAGCTTGATTGGGTTCTCTTTTATACTGCCTATATATATATTTTAATATGCTTATGTTTTTCTGTGCTTTATTGAATACACAAAATATAGTTATGATTTTGTTTTTTTGCTAGCAAAGTGTGAATCCAGGATTTGGATTCATATCTATCTGACCGCTATAGTTCAGTGGCCAGCAAATTGTGGCCCATTGGCTGAAACTAGCCTGCCACGGGCCAATGTGATAACGCTGGTCATTTACATATGGCCTCTCGCTGTTTTTATGCTACAAAAGCAGAGCTGAGCTGTTTCAACAGAGACCTTATGTCTTGAAAAGCCAAAAATATTTACTATCTAACATTTGTAGGAAAAGTTTGCTGAGTTCTGCTTTAGAGGCATTTTTATTTATAAAAAACCTGAAGTGCCAGTTCTCATGTAGCATTTTTAATTTTTGACGTTCACTAAACACTAACAGCATAATATTGAGTTTTATTTTTATAAAGGCAGTAGAGACTGCAGACAAGGCTCATATGGTTCAGGTATGAAGCTGTGCAATGATCTGATTTGGTAGTGATAAAATTTGGAAAATCTTAGATAGTAAAATAGTTAGCACACCCCTTCAGTGGTTTTTACATTTAGCATGTTTAAGGTTCACCTGGAAAGCTTGTTGAAACAGATTAAAGGACTCTGTATCAACTTTCTTATTCAGTAAGTTAGGTGGGATATGAGAATATACATTTCTAACAAGTTCCCAAGTCATGCCAATAGTTCTGTTTGGGACTATACCTTGAAAATTACTGCTCTAACCCTTTTTAAGTGTATCATTTGAATTTCAGTAGATGTATAAAATTGTATACCAGCACCACAGTCCGGTTTTAGAACAATTCCATCATACTAAAGAGTTCCTCATGCACATTTGCAGTCAATGCCAACATTCCCCTTCAGCCTGAGGCAACTAGTTATCTTTCTTTCACTATGGTTTTGCACTTTTCAGAAATTTTATATAAATGGAATTATATGATACATAGTTATATACTTGGAATGTTTCACTTAACATAATATTTTTGAGATTCATCTATGTCATTGCATGTATCAGTAACTTTCTTTTATTGCTAAGTATTATTTCATAGAATGAGCATACTACATTTTTTTGTCCATTCAACATTTTATGGACATTTGGATTGTTTCTAGTTTTGGCTATTATGAAAAATGCTATTATGACTATTCATGTTCAAGAGATGGCATATGCTTTTGAGCAGAAGGAAGTTATAATATCTAGATGATATTCATATATTATCCTATGCTTGTAGTTGACAAAAAATGTTAATATATTCTTGTTTCCTAATATATTTCCAATAATAATATTTTAATATTTACTATGAATATTTTATGTTCTTGCAATGAATATTTGATAATTTTATGTCAAAATATTATAAATTGGTATATGATAGTCTATAAACATTTTGTAAAATGTTTCTTTTGAGATAATCAACATACTCTATAGATGTTGATCTTACAAAATTAATATATCTACTCTTATTGGTGGGCAAAATTCACCCTGGAATAAAATAAGTATAAAACAAATAAAACTTAGCTTTTGATGTTGGAAATGTTCAGATACAGATAACAGTAGGGAGAATTGTTTAATGAAATCCCCATGTATCCATCTCACCTAATTTCAACAATTGTTAATAGTTTGACATTCTTTTTTAATCTGTACCTTGCCTCCCGATCTATTCCTGGTGTTCTATATTGAATCTCAAAATCATATCATTTCTCCTGGAAATACTTCACTATATATTGCAAACTGATGAGGACTTACGAAACAAGTATGTATGTAAATTTTTACAGCACCATTAATTCACCTAACAAAAATAGCAATAATTTGTAATATCATCTACTACCCAGTATATGTTTAGTTGTCCCTAATTGTGTGACGTATATTTTTCAAATTGTTTGATTGAACTAGGATGAAACAAGATGCAAACATTGCAATTGACTGATAACACCGTTAAGTTAATCTTAATCTATAATGATTTCTCTTCCCTTGTTTTTCCATGACAATGATTTGTTGAAGAAACTGGTTAATTTGTTGAAGAAACTGGTAGGATTTCTTATGATCTGCATTTACCTGACTGTATCTTCTTCATATCATTTAGTATATCATTTATCCCATGTATTATTAATGAAGTATAAGTACAAAGGATTTAGATATAGGACTGAGTATATTCAGGTTTTGGCATGGTTTTTTTCCTAGTAGCAAGGATATTTCTTAGGAAGACTTGTCTATTTCCTATAGCATCATAGCATATCTGTCACTCCCACTTTTACTGATGCTGTGATTCATGATTTGATTCAGGTGTTGTCAGCCTGATGCTTTCATTATCAAGTTTCCCTCCAATCTTTTACCAAATGGTTTTAGCAGCTATTGATGAATATTCCCTAGATTTCCTCTATTTCAGTAGAATTGCAAAATGGTTATCTTCTAATTCCATCATTCCTTCTGCAATCCTTACATAAAATTTTTCTGTGAAGAATGTTCTTTCATCAACTCTTTGGTTACCCTGAAATTCAACCTTTACAGACAAGGAAGGATAAATGCTTGCTTCTTTCTTTTTATTCAGTTTATTGGTTTTCAAAATAATGAGTTGGTGCCCTAGGACACTCTAAATGTGACTGAGTTTTAAAGTATCATTATGAACTCATGGAGCTTATTTATTCAATGTGTTTATTAATCCATTTCGGTCGTTGTTTTCAGTGGTCAAATTGTTTTATTTTTGACTGGTGGACCTCTAAGATTTACTCTTGTGTCCTTTGATTTATGCTAGTATTTTTAAAACTACTTTATTGCCTTTTGCTCAAGATTTCCCAGGCTCAGATTATACATTCTGTGCTCCAGATGTTATTTTTTTGAGGAGAACTAATTAGTGGGAATTGGAATTTATAGACCATAATCTAGGTGCTAGGAAGCTTACTCTTTCTGGGTTGTTACTGTTCCTAGATCTTTGAAAATTTCTTTCACAAAGGTACTGGATTTAACACATTTTTCAGTATATGTTCATGTTTTTATCTCTAGGATTGTCTCTGTCTCTCTCTCTCGATATATATATATACACACATATATATACACATATATGTGTGTATATATATTTATATTATATATATAAATATATATATTATATATAAATATATAAATATATTTTTATATATTATATATTTATATATAAATTTATATATACATTTATATAAATATATACATTTATATATATACACATATGTGTGTGTGTGTGTGTATATATATATATATATTTTTTTTTTAGATGAAGTCTTGCTCTTGTTCCCCAGGCTGGAGTGCAATGGCATGATCTCGGCTCACTGCAGCCTCCACCTGCCGGGTTCAAGCAATTCTCCTGCCTCAGCCTCCCGAGTAGCTGGGATTACAGGCGCCTGCTACCACGCCTGGCTAATTTTTGCATTTTTAGTAGAGATGGGGTTTCACCACATTGGACAGGCTGGTCTCGAGCTGCTGACCTCATGTGATCTACCCGCCTCGGCCTCCCAAAGTGCTGGGATTACAGGCGTGAGCCACTGCACCTGGCCAGATTGTATATATTTTTGGCATAAGGAAAACAGTATTAACACAATTCAATTAAGTTTAGCATTCCTTTGATGAGGATACATTTTTTCCCAAACATTATGTATGGTAGGCACTAGTATTCGATGCAGTTGTGGTAGTTGCTTTCTGGGAAGCAATGAGACTTACTCTTGGCATCTATGGGATGATATGTAAGAAAATAAATTTTAATTTAATAAATGAAACAATAAATGGATAAAATGCAGACACAGCACAAAAAGGGACTAATTAACTCTCTTGGCAGGAGGTGTTCAAGGAGTGCTTCACATTCCCAAGAAAGGTAACATCTGTGGTGGGTATTAAAGGGAGGCTATGATATCCTTTGCATTGGGTATACAAAAGATGCAGGAAAGGGACTTTCAGACAGAAGAAAAAGCATATGAAAAGATATGGAACAAGGAACAGGACTGACAGTTTGGTGCTATTTGTGTCACCAAGAACAAAGTGGAAAATGACAACAGATGAGGCAAAATCAGCAAAATCTCATATGCCAGGGTAAAGAGCCTAGGCTTATTCTAGAGGCAAATGGGAAACACTGAAGGATGTTAAGCAGAAATATGAAATGATCTAATTTGCTCCTCAGAATAATCATTCTGGTAACAGTGAAGAAAATGGATTGGGAGAGGAAATGGCAAATGTGTAAGTTCACTTTTGACTTTACAAATTCGTGCCTAGAATAGTGCTTGGCAAATAGCGGGCACTTAGTATTTGTTGAGTGAAAAAACAAAAAGTTGTTATATGAATCAAAAAAAGTCGATAAGTCTGAAGAAAAACCACACAGAAATAGTGCCTATTTTTTTTTGTTGCTACTGCTTGATTCATCTGCTGGCTTGTTTGTTATCTTACCATAAGATTTTCATGAACAAATCAGTAAGTAAAATAACCGAATAAAAAAAACAGTCAAAGGATTTGAATAGCAGGCTTACAAAAGAGGAAGTCTGAAGGGTAACTAGAAATATGAAAACATGCTCAATTTCACTAGCAACAACTAGATCATTTAAATCCCATGAGATGGAAGAATATTTAAGAGTTTGCACAAAACCCAGTCTTCACCAGAATGTTGAATTGGAATTCTCACATGCTGCTGGTGAGAGTGTAAGTTGGTGAAATCATTATGGAAAGTGGTTTGGCTGTCAGTAGTCATTAAGTTAGAAGATGCTTATCTCTTTTGACTCAGCATTTCCACTCAGATATAAACCCTAGAGAAATGCTTGTACCTGTACAGAGACATGTTCAGCAATGTTGATCACAGCATTGTTGATTAAACAAAAAACTTTGAAATAACATAAATGTCTATCTGCAGGAGAATGGATAAATTGTGATATATTTGTACACCACATACTATTCAGCAATGAAAATGAACAAATTAGAGCTATGTAAATAAAACATGAAAAAAGTTTACAAAGTGATATATATATATATATATATATATAGCATTATGTTACATAAAGTTAATTATGCAAAATAATATTACATATATGTAATAAAAGATCAAAATTCCAATTTAAGAGGCTAGTTATCTCTGAGAAGGGAAAGCAGGAGGGAAATGGGATTAGGGGAGGTTACACAGGAAGCTTCACCCTTTCTTTAAAAGAAAAAAAGGTCATAAACAGATATAGAAAAATAAAAATTTTATAAAGCTAGATAATGGTCAAAAAAGTATTTGTTATTTTTGTTTTTATATATTTGAAATGTTTTCAGTGAAAAATCCTTTGAGCTTAGAGAATTACAAAATTATCCTTATTCTCAAAGTAAAATATTTTCCTAGCATCTAAATAATTTTAAGAGTTTTTTATTTTGCAGATTTGACTGATGAATTAGCTCAGAAGTTATTTGATGTTTCAGAAATAACTTCAGCAGCAATGGTTCATTCGTTGCCTACAGCAGTTCCAGAATCTCCTAGAATTCATCCTACAAGAACACCCAAAACACCTCGAACACCTAGGTTACAAGATCCTAACAAAACACCAAGATTTTATCCTGTTGTTAAAGAACCAAAAGCCATTGATGTAAAGGTATACAAAACAACCAGGAATATAAGGCTTGCATTTTGTATCCTTTAACATTACAGAATGAAACGTTTTAGTTTCTATCACATTGAAAAATGTGTGTTATAACTTGTAATATTTCACTTAAAAATCATACTTTACCATAGTGATATTTTCTCTGGTTAGGAAATTTTTCGGTTGGGCACGGTGGTTTATGCCTGTAATCCAACACTTTGGGAGACCGAGGCAGGTGGATCGCTTGTGCCCAGGAGTTGGAGACGAGCCTGGGCAATGCAGTGGGACCCCATCTCTAAAAAAATACAAAAATTAGATGGGCGTGGTGGCGTGTGCCTGTAGTCCCAGCTACTTGGGAGGCTGAGGTGGCAGGATTGCTTGAGCCTGTAGGGGTCAGGGCTGCAGTGAGCCATGATCATGCCACTGCACTCCAGCCTTGGCAACAGAGTAAGACCCCATTTAAAAATAAACAAACAAACAAAAACCTTTTTTACAATTGGATAGTGTAATTAAAGACGAACAGAAAGTATAATGAAGAATCACACTAAGCTGCACTTCATTTCATCTTTGTGTCACAAACCTACCAAAGGACTTTATTTATTAAGTTTTGTAACTTGTGTGTGAGATTTTTGAGTTTTGTGACTTCATATGATTTCACAATGTGTTATCTACAGTATGAAAATGTTTGAGTTCATTTATAGTCAGAGGGTTTTAATTTACTTGTGAAGTTCACACTATTGAAACTAATTGCAATGCTTGACTTTATTTTCTTTAGAGTCCAAGAAAGAGAAAAACAAGGCATAGCACAAATCCCCCTCTAGAGTGTCATGTTGGTTGGGTAATGGATTCCAGAGACCGTGGGCCAGGAACATCCTCTGTCAGGTACTATATTTCTCAAACATTACTTTTTTGTTCGTGATTTGAAGTTTTTTGAAAACAGTTACTAATTGGATATTTCAAAATATTTAAAAATTAATATGTTAGCAAATTATAGAGCAATGAAAATGGTACAAAGAAGCCAAAGAAGAGATAAGTTTTACAAGTATGTTAAGGAAATAATCCAGTTGGACAGTTTTTTTTTCCCATTTAAATTATTTTTCACAAATGTGAACTCTTAGATTTATAAGCTATGTAGGTCTATGAAAGTTATTATCTTTGGAAAGTTCCCAGAGTCTTAGTGGCATTTAATAGGTTCTTAGTAGATATTTATTGAGGACATTAATGTGCTAAACAAACAACTCAAACTGTATAAATAATATGGAAACGAAGCATTGTTATTTTGCTTTTTTCCCCCTTTTTTGAAAATCATTAAGATTAGCTGATTATTAGCAGGAATTTTTTTTTATAAGAAAGAAGAAAATTAATTAAAAAAAGAAGAAGTCTAGAGCAAATCTCTTAGAGTGCCAGTGATCTGCAAAGCACTATGGTATGTTTTGTCCTTCAGAGGGGTTGCAGAGGTGATTTATTGCTCGTTGCTTTGTGATGCTTTTTTTAAAATAAAAATAGAGACAGAATCTTGCTCTGTTACCTAGGATGGTCTCAAACTTCTGGCCTCAAGCAGTCCTCCTACCTCAGCCTTGTAAAGTGCTGGGATTACAGGCATGAGCCACCTCACCCAGCCTGTGTTTCTTAAAAACCATTTTGTGTTTATACTAGATATTTTCAGAATAATTAACTGATAGTTTTTCCATTTGAAAACTTTGGGAAAATATGTTTTTGACTGGTTACTAGAAAAGAAGGATTAGTTAGTTTCATGAAAAGAAATGCTAGGGAGTTTATCATGCTCTCAAAACCTTGAAATCTGTCTTGTTAGTGATACACATTTGATTATTTTACATTGTTCTTACTAGCTATATTGTCTCTAAAAGATAAAAAGTGTGTATGTTCTTCTGCACACCTGTGGTATACTAATAGTTATTTTGGGGTTATAAGTGATTTTTCAGTTTTTTTCCCCAGAGTATTTCTTTTTATTGGAGCAGTATATGTAGAGATCAACAACAATGGAAAATGTTTAATTTACCTAATGAAGGACATCTTGTCTTTGTTGCTTCCAAGTTTTGGGAATTATGAATAAAGCTGCTATAAACATCTATGTAAAGGTTTTAGTGTGGACATATTTTTAAATCCCTTAGATAAATACTAAGGAGCATGATTGCTGGATTGTATAATAAGAATATATTTAGTTTTGTAAGAAACTGCCAAACTGTTTTCCAAAGTGGCCCTATCATTTTGCATTCTCACCAGTAATGTTTCTTTTTAACCTTGGTAATGTCTTGTTTTGAAGTCAGCCTTGTCTGATATTTATATAATTATGCCAACTTTCTTTAGATGAGTGTTTGCCAGTGTATCTTTTTCTACCTTTTTACTTTTAAGCAATCTCTTTGTTTTAAAGTGGGTTTAATGTAGGCAGCATATATTTGGGTCTTTCTTTGCTTTTTATAACCCAGTCTGATAATGTGTTGTTTAATTAGTATGTTTAGACCATCCACATTTAGTGTAGTTATTGATGTGGTTGGATTTAAATCTATCATTTATTTTTCTCATCCATTCTTTTTTTTTTTTTTTTCTTTTGAGACTGAGTCTCACTCTGTCTCCCATTCTGGAGTGCAATGGCATGATCTTGGCTCACTTCAACTTCCGGCTCCCAGGTTCAGGTGAGGACTCAACCTCCTGAGTAGCTGGGATTACAGGTGCCTGGCACCACACCCAGCTAATTTTTGTATTTTTAGTAGAGATGGGGTTTCACCAGGTTGGCCAGGCTGGTCTCCAACTGCTGACCTCAGGTGATCCACCTGTCTTGGCCTCCTCAGGTGCTGGGATTACAGGCATGAGCCACACTGCGCCCAGCTGTCTCATCTATTCTTCATTCTTTTTTCTCTTTTTCTGCTTTCTTTTGGATTGAGTTTTTATAATGATCCTATTTTATCTCTACTATTGACTTATTAGTTATGTCTCTTTTTTATTTTTTACTGATCCTCTAGGATTTACAGGTATACTTTGTTTTGTTGTGCTTCATAGATACTGTTTTTCACAAAGTGAAGGTTTGTGGCACCCCTGTGTTGAGCAAGTTTATCAATGCCCTTTATCTAACAGATGTACTCAATTCATGTCTCTGTGTCACCTTTTGGTAATTCTTGCAATATTTCAAACTTTATTATTATTATGATGTCCTTTTTTTTTTTTTTTTTTTTTTGAGACGAAGTCTCGCTCTGTCGCCCAGGCTGGAGTGCAGGGGTGTGATCTCAGCTCACTGCAAGCTCTGCCTCCTGGGTTCACGCCATTCTCCTGCCTCAGCCTCCTGAGTAGCTGGGACTACAGGTGCCCGCCACCACGCCTGGCTAACTTTTTTTTTTGTATTTTTTTAGTAGAGACGGGGTTTCACCGTGTTAGCCAGGATGGTCTCAATCTCCTGATCTCGTGATCTGCCCGCCTTGGCCTCCCAAAGTGCTGGGATTACAGGCATGAGCCACTGCACCCGGCCTTTTTTTTTTTTTTTTTTTTGAGACAGAGTCTCACTCTGTTGCACAGGCTGGAGTTCTGTGGCACAATCATGGCCCACTGCAACCGTAACCTCCCAGACTCAAGTGATCCTCCCACTTCAGCCTCCTGAGTAGCTGGAACTACAGTTGCATGCCACCATATCCAGCTAATTTTTGTATTTTTTATAGAGATGGGGTCTCTGCTGTCTGGGCTGGTCTTGAATTCCTGGACTCAAGCAGTTCTCCTATCTCGGCCTTCCAAAGTGCTGTGATTACAGACATGAACCACCATGCCCAGCTACTATTTTGTATTTTATGGTGATCTGTGATTAGTGATCTTTGATGTTAACTATTGTAATTGTTTTGGTACACCATGAACCATGCCAGGATAAGACAGTGAACTTAATAAATATTGTATGTTTTCTGGCTGCTCCACTGACTGGCCATTTCTCCATCTCTCCCCCTCTTCTTGGGCATCCCTGTACCCTGAGAGACAAAAATGTTGAAATTAGACCAACTAATAACCCTACAGTGGCCCCTAATTGTTCAAGTGAAATTAAGAGTCAAAATTCTTCAAAATTAGGAATGTCATCATTAATGAGGAAGGCACGTTGAAAGCCCCAAGACAGGCTGAAAACTAGATCTCTTGTGTCAAACAGCCAAAATATGAAGGCAAAGTTTTTGAGGGAAATTAAAAGTGCTACTCCAGTGAATACACAAATGATAAGAAAGTGAAACAGTTTTATTGATGATAGGGATAGAGTTTGAGTGGTCTGGATAAAAGATCAAACCACCCCCAATATTCCCTTAAGCCAAAGCATAATCCAGAGCAAGGCCCTGACTCTCTTCAATTCTCTGAAGACTGAAAGAGGCGAGGGAGGTGCAGAAGAAAAGTTGGAAGCTAGCAGAAGTTGGTTAATGAGGTTTAAGAAGCTGTCTCCATAATATAAAAGTGCAAGGTGAAGGAGCAAGTGCTGATGGGGAAGGTGCAGCAAGTTTTAAGGAAGATCTAGCTAAGATAATAAAAGTGGCTACATTTCTGCAGGTCTAGATCTGAAAAAAAAGTGTGGCTACCTTAAACAATAGATTTTCAGTGTAGACAAAACAGCCTTCTATTGGGAGAAGAAGCCATCTAGGACTTTCATAGTTAGGAAGGAGCAGTCAATGTTTGGCTTCAGAGCTTCAAGGGATGGGGCTGACTCTCTTGTTAGGGGCTAATGCAGGTGGTGACTTTAAGTTGAAGGCAATGCCAGGGCTCTTTTGAATTATGCTGAATCTACTAATCTGCTTATGCTCTATAAATAGAACAACAAAGTCTATGTGACAGCACATCTACTTACAATGTGGGTTACTAAATATTTTAAGCCCACTGTTAAGACCTACTATTTAGAAAAAAAGATTCCTTTCAAAATATTACTGCTCATTGACAGTGTACGTCATCACCCAAGAATGCTGATGAATATATACAAGGAGATTAATGTTTTTTTCATACCTGCTAACACATTTATTCTGCAGTCCATGGATTCCAAGGAGTCATTTTAACTTTCTAGTCTTATTATTTAGAATATTCATATATAGTATATTCATAAGGCTATAGCTGCCACAGCTAGTCATTCCTCTGTTGGACCTGAGCAAAGTAAATTGAAAACATTCTGGAGAGTATTCACCATTCTACATGCCATTAAGAACATTGGTGATTCATAGGAGGAAGTCAAAATATCAACATTAACAGGATTTTAAAAGAAGTTGATTTCTACCCTCATGGATGACTTTGAGAGGCTCAGACTTCAGTGGAGGATTTAATTACAGATGTGGTGGAAATAGCAAGAGAAGTAGAATTAGAAGTGGAGCCTGAAGATGTGACTGAATTGCTGCGATCTCACGATAAAACCTGAAAGGATGAGGAATTGCTTCTTATGGACGAGCACAGAGAGTAGTTTCTTGAGATAGAATCTACTCCTGGTGAAGATTCTGTGAACATTGTTGAAATGACAACAACAGATTTAGAATATTATATAAAGCAGTGGCAGGGTTTGAGAGGACTGACTCCAATTTTCAAAGGAGTTCTACTGTGGGTAAAATGCTATCAGGACAGCATCCATGCTACAGAGAAAACTTGGGAACAGAAGAGTCAATCAATGTAGCAAATTTCATTGTTGTCTTATTTTAAGAAATTGCCACAGCCATTCCAACCGTCAGCAACCACCGCTCTGATCAGTCAGCAGCCATCAGCATCGAGGCAAAACCCTCCACCAGCAAAAAGACTATGACTTGCTGAAGGCTCATATGACCATTAGCATTTTTAGCAATACAGTTTTTAAAAAAATTGATACATAACAGTTGTACATATTTTGGGGGTGCATGTGATATTTTGATACATGCATACAATGTGTAATGATCAAATCAGGGTAATGGGGATATCAATCACCTCAAACATTTTTCTTTATTCTGTTCCATTTTTTTCCTTTTCTTTTTAAGATCTTTTTGCATACCAACCTTCTAGCTATTTTGTACTATACAATATGTTATTGTTAAGTATGGTTATTCTACTGTACTATAAAACACTAGGTCTCATTTCTGGTATTAACTGTATTTTTGTACCTGTTAAATAACTGCTTTTCACCGCCCTTCCCCCTACCCATTCTAGTCCCTGGTAAGCACTAATCAACTCTCTTATCTCTATGAGATCTACTTTTTTACCTCCCACTTATTAGTGAGAACATGTGGTACTTATCTTTCTGTGCCTGGCTTATTTCATATAATATAATGACTTCCAGTTCTATGTTTCTGCAAATGACATAATTCTTTTTTATGGCTGAATAGTATTCCATTGTGTATGTGTGTATGTTTATGTATGTGCCTATGTATGTATGTGCATATATTTACACATATATACATATATACACATATACATACATGTACATACACATATATATACCCATATATAAAATTTTCTTCATTCATCCATTGATAGACACTTAGGTTGATTACATGTCTTGGCTATAGTGAATAGTGCTGCAATAAACATGGAAGTGCAGCTGTCTCTTTGATATACTGATTTCCTCTATTTTGGATATATATCCAGCAGGGAGATTTCTGGATCATATGGTAGTTCTGTTTTTGTTTTTTGAGGAACTTCTATTCTGTTTTCTGTAGTGGCTGTACTAATTTACATTCCCACCAATGGTGTGTGAAGCATTCTCCTTTCTCTGCATCCTTGCAACATCCATTATTTTTTGTTTTCTTGATAAAAGCCATTTTAACTGGGGTGAGATGCTTTATCATTGTAGTTTTGATTTTCTTTATCTTCTTGATAATTAGTAATGTTGAGCACTTTAAAATATACCTGTTGTCCAGTTGATGTCTTCTTTGGAGAAATGTCTATTAGATCTTTTGTCAGTTTTAAAATGGGATTATTTGTATTGTTTTTTTTTTTCTACTGAGTTGTTTGAGTTCCTTGTATATTCTAGTTATTAGTCCTTTTTTGGATGGATAGTTTGCAAATATTTTCTCCTATTCTGTAGGTTGTCTCTTCACTTTGTTGATTCCTTCATGTGCTGTGCAGAAACTTTTTTGCTTGATATAATCTCATTAGTCTATTTTTGCTTTTGTTCCTTGTGCTTTTAGCATCTAACACAAAACATCTTTGCCTAGACCAATGGCCTAGAGTGTTTTCCCAATATTTTCTTCTAGTAATTTCATAGCTTTGGGTCCTAGTTTAAGTCTTTAGTCCATTTTGATTGGCTTTTTGTAGAGAGGGGTCTAGCTTCAGACTTTTGCATTATGGTTATCTAGTTTTCTTAGCCCCACTTATCGAAGTGACTGTCCTTTCTTCAATGTATGTTCTTGGTACCTTTGTCAAAAATGAATTGGCTGATAATGTGTAGATTTTTTTCTAAATTTTCTATTTTGTTCCATTGGTCTATGTGTCTGCTTTTACACCAGTACCATGCTACCTTGGTTACTATGGCTTTGTATTATATTTTGAAGTTGGGTAGTGTGATGCCTCCAGGTTTATTCTTTTTGCCCAGAATTAATTTGATTTTTCACGGCCTTTTGTGGTTCTGTATAAATTTTAGGATTTTTTTTCTATTTCTGTGAAGAAATTTTGATAGGGATGGAATTAAATCTGTAGAAGTTGCTGCATAGTATTGAGATTTTAACAATGTTAATTTTTCCAATCCATGAGCATGTGCTATCATTCCCTTTCTTTCGTGTGACCTCTTTAATTTCTTTCATCTGTGTTTTTTAGTTTTCTTTGTAGAGATCTTTCACTTTGGTTACACTTATACCTAGATACTTTATGTATTTTTGTAGCTGTCTTGATTTCTTTTTCAGTGTGTTTGCTTTTGGCATATATAAATGCTACTGTTTTTTTGTATATTGATTTTGTATTGTGCAACTTTACTGAATTGACCCAGATTTTTGGTGGAGTCTTTAGATTTTTCTAAATATAATATCAGATCATCTGCAGGCAAGGATAATTTGACTTCTTCTTTTCCAGTGTGGATGCTCTTTCTCTTGCCTAATTGCTCTTGCTAGGACTTACAGTACTATGTTCAATTAAAGTGGTAAAGTGGACAACCTTGTGTTATTCCAGATCTTAGAGGAAAGGCCAAGTGCTCATGTCTAAGACAATGAGAAAAACACCTTGTAGGCATTTTAGAGACCTCCCGCCGCAGGACCAGAGGCCTAGGAGGACAGAATGGGGCCCTGTGCAACCTTGGGAAACTGCTCCCTGCATTCCAGCTGCTCCAGCTGTAGCATGGCTAAAAGGGGCCCAGATACAGCTTGGGGCTGCTGCTTCAGAGGGTGCAAACCATAAACCTTGGCAGGTTCCATGTGGTAGTAAGCCTGCAGGTGGTGCACAGAATGCAAGAGTTGAGGCTTGGGAGCCTCTGCCTATATTTCAGAGGATGTATGGAAAATCCTGGATGTCTAGACTAAAGCCTGCTGTAGGGGCAGAGCCCTCATGGAGAACCTCTACAAGGACAGTGCAGAGAGGAAATGTGGGGTTGGATCCCTCATACAGACTCCCCACTGGGGCACTGCCTAGTGAAGCTTTGAGAAGAGGGCCACTGTCCTCCAGACCCCAGAATGGTAGATCCACTAGCAGCCTGCATCCTCAGCCTCGAAAAGCCACAGGCACTCAGTGCCAGCCCTTAAGAGCAGCCATGTGGGCTAAACCCTGGAAAGCCATAGGCATGGAGCTGCCCAAGGCTTTGTGAGCCCACCCCTTGCACCAGCATACCCTGGATGTAACATATGGAGTCAAAGGATATTATTTTGGAACTTTAAGATTTAGTGATTGCCCTTCTGGGCTTTGGACTTGCATGCAGCCTGTAGCCCCTTTCTTTTGGGCTATTTCTTCCTTTTGTGTATTTACCCAAGGCCTATACCTCCATTGTATCTTGGAAGTACCTACCTTGTTTTTGATTTTACAGGCTCATAGGTGGAAGGGACTAGCCTTGTCTCAAATGAGACTTTGGACTTTTGAGTTAATGCTAGAATGAGTTAAGACTTTGGGGGATTGTTGGGAAGACATGACTAGATTTTGCAATGTGAGAAGGACATGAGATTTGGCAGGGGCCAGGGTAGAATTATATGGTTTGGATCTATGTCCCCACCCAAATCTCATGTTCAATTGTAATCCCCAGTATTGGAGGTGGGGCCTGGTGGGAGGTGATTGGATCACCGGGGCAGTTTCTCATGGTTTAACACCATCTGCCTTGGAGTTGTCATTGTGATAGTGAGTTGTGAGATCTGGTTGTTTAAAAGTGTGTGGCACCTCCACTGTCTCTCTTCCTCCTGCTCCAGCTATGTGAAGTGCTGCTCCCCCTGCCTTCCACCATGATTGTAAGTTTTCCTAAGGCCTCCCTAGAAGCTGAGCCAGCATCATGCTGTACTGCCTACAGAACCATGAGCCAATTAAACCTCTTTCCTCTATAATTTACCCAGTCTCGGGTATTTTTTTTTTTTTTTGAGGCGGAGTTTTGCTCTTGTTGCCCAGGCTCAAGTGCAGTGGTGTGATTTCAGCTCACTGCAACCTCCGCCTCCCGGGTTCAAGTGATTCTCCTGCTTCAGCCTCCTGAGTAGCTGGGATTACAGGCATGCACCACCATGTCTGGGTAATTTTTGTATTTTTAGTAGAGATGGGGTTTCTCCATGTTGGTCAGGCTGGTCTCGAACTCCCAACCTCAGGTCATCCGCCCGCCTTGGTCTCCCAAAGTGCTGGGATTACAGGCATGAGCCACTGCGCCTGGCTGGGTATTTCTTTATAGTAATGTGAGAACAGCCTAATACATCTAGCTGAAGGTTTGTTGATTTTGTTTATCTTTTCAAAAAACCAACTTTTTCATTTCATTGATTTTTTGTACTTGTTTTAGTCTCAATTTTATTTATTTCTGCCTTGATCTTTATTGTTTCTTTCTACTAATTTTGGGTTTGATTTGTTCTTTTCTAGTTCTTTTAAGTACATCGTTAGGTTGCTTATTTGAAACCTACTTTTTTGATGTAGGCATTTATTGCTATAAAATTCTCTCTTAGTACTGCTATGCTGTATCTCATAGGTTTTGGAAAGTTACGTTTCCATTTGCATTTGTTTGAAGACATTTTGAAGTTTTCTTCTTAATTTCTTTATTAATCTGTTGATCATTCAGGAGCATGTTGTTTAATTTCCACGTTTGTGTAGATTCCAAAATTCTTCATGTTATTGATTTCTATTTTTATTCTGTTGTAGCCAGAAAAGATACTTGATATGATTTTGACTTTTTTAAATTTGTTGAGACATGTTTTGTAGCCTAACATATGTTTTATCCTGGAGAATGTTCCATGTGCTAATGAGAAGAATGTGTATTCTGCAGTAGTAGGTGAAATGTTCTATAAATGTCACTAGGTCCAGTTGGTCTAGGTGTAGTTTAACTTCATTGTATCTTTGTTGATTTTCTGTCTGGATGATCTGTCCATTATTGAGAGATGGGTGTTGAAGCCCCCTGCTATTATTTGTATTATAGTCTATCTCTCCTCTAGATTTATTAATGTTTACTTAATATATCTGGGTGCTCCAGAATTGGGTGCATATATTTTTAAATTGTTACAGCCTCTTGCTGAATTGATCCTTTCCTTTATCATCATACAGTGACCTTCCGTGTCCTTTTTTTTTTTTTTTTTACAGACTTTCACTTGTTCTATTTTGTTTGATACAAGTATGGCTACTTTTTTTTTTTTTTTTTTTTTTTTTTGCTTCCATTTGCGTGGAATGTCTTTTTCCATTCTTCACTTTCAGACTATGTGTGTCTTTATAGGTGATTTGAGTTTCTTGTAGGCAATATATAGTTGGATCTTGTTTCTAAAAGTTTTTCACTCAGCCATGCTTATATCTTTTGGTTGGAGAATTTAGTTCATTTACATTCAGTATTATTATTGATAGATAAGGACTTACTACGCAGTATGTCATTACTTGGTTTCTGGTTGTTTTGTAACTCCTCCCTTACTTCCTTCTTACTGCCTTTGTTTGTGATTAAGTGGTTTTTCTCTGGGAGTATGTTTTAATTCATTGCTTTTTATTTTTAGTGTATCTATCATAAGTCTTTGCTTTGTGGTTACCATGAGGCTTACCAAAGCCATAGCTGTAAGTTATTTTAAACATATGACAACTTAACTTTGATCACAAAGAAAAGGAAAGAATCAAGGGAAAAACTAAAAAACTCTACACTTCAACTCCATCCTCCCACATTTTGACATTTTGTTGTCTTAATTTACATCTATTTATCTTCCCTATCTCTTAACAGGTTGCTGTTAATATTTTCAGTAGATTTGTCTTTTAGTCTTCATATTAGAGATATGAATGGATTACATGTAACAATTACTGCATTAGAGCATTCTGAATTTGTCTACTTTTACCAGTGAGTTTTATACCTTCAAACATTTTTGGTTTTGCACATCAAAGTTTGTTTTCTTTCAAATTAAAGAACTCCCTTTAGCATTTCTGAAAAGATGGGTCTAGTAGTGATGAATTCCCTTAGCTTTTGTCTAGGAAAGACTTTATATCTCCTTCCTGTTTGAAGGAAAACTTTGCTGGGTACAGCATAGTTGGTTGGCAGGTTTTGTTTTTGTTTCCATTTATCCTGTAGCACTTTGAATGTGTCACTTAACTCCCTCATGGCCTGTTTGGTTTCTGTTGAAAAGTCTCTTGCCAAAAAAATCAGAGCTCTTTTATATGTTCTTTTATTTTTTTTCTCTTGCTGTTTTAAGGATCTTCTCTTTGTCCTTGACATTTTCAGGTTTGATTATTATTTGCCTTGGGATACTCTTATTTGGATTGAATATTGATATGGTTTGGCTTTGTGTTCCCACCCGTCTCATCTCGAATTGTAATTCCCATAATCCCCATGTGTCAAGGGAGGGACCTGGTAGGAGGTGATTGGATCATGGGGGCACTTATCCCATGCCGTTCTTGTGATAGTGAGTGAGTTCTCACAAGATCTGATGGTTTTATAAGTGTTTGACGGTTTCTCCTTCACACATACTCTCTCTCACCTGCTGCAGTGTAAGGGTGCCTGCTTCCCCTCCCACCACGATTGTAAGTTTCCTGAAGCCTCCCCAGCCATGTGGAACTGAGTCAATTAAACCACTTTCCCTCATAAATTACCCAGCCTCAGGTATTATTTATAGCAGAGTGAAAATGGACTAATAAAAATATATTTGGTAATTTCTGACCTTCTGTACCTAGATATTTATATCTTTCTTTAGATTTGGAATGTTTTCTGTTATTTCTTTGAATAAGCTTACTACTCCTTGCTCTTAACTCATCATTGAATGCCAGTGGCTCTTACATTTGTTCTTTTGAGATTATTCTTTATATCTTGCAGGTGTTCTTCATTCCTTTCTTTTTCTCCTCTGACTGTATTTTCCAATAGGCTGTATTTGAGCTCACTGATTGTTTCTTGCAATGTGAGAGCCTGTAATCCATTTTTCAGAAAACGTATTTCTGAGTTCCAGGATTTTTTTTTTTAATTTCAATCTCTTTGTGTTACATTTCTCTGATAAATTTAATTGCTTCTCTGTGTTATCTTGGATTTTGCTGAGTGTCTGTAGAACTGTTATTTTGTTCTTGATCTGAGACCTCACACATTGCTTTTCTTCTCCCTGACTCCTTGCTTTGTGCATTTGGGGATGTCATAGTTCCGTGTTTGCTGTTGTTTCTCGTGGATGTACATTTGTGGCTTTGCTTTAAAGGATTTATTATTTATCCCAGTCTTTGCTGTCTTGCTTGTTTTGTCTTTCTAAGGTATGTTTTCTTAGAGATTCTTTGCAGTAGCGTGTGAGTTCCCTTAATACTATTGTATATCAGTGCCTCCTTTTGGGCACTAGATGGCGCCTTAAGCCCAAGTTTGCCTTGGCTCTCACAAACATTGGAGCACTGCCTGTCAGATGGTGGGGGTGGCAAAGGGGATTACCCCAACTGTGTGGTAAGGCTGGCAAACGGTTTGTACCCAGAAAACTCATGGATCATACCTCCTACAGTGTGGTCCTGCTGAACAGCCACTCTGATATGGCATCTCTTTTGGCTGAAATAAAGAGGAGAATTTCAGGGCTAGGGTTTCTGTTCCTGCTTCCCCTCTTTTTCTGCCTTCATGATTTTTTTTTCTCCCTGCTAGCCCTCATGATATTATACTTCTTATGGGTTGAGGCAGGAACAGTTTTCCTGCAAGGGAACCCAAGATGGTGGGAAAGCTGGCTGTCCTCCTCCATCTAACTTTTTCCAATGAAGAAGCTGAGTCTGGGAGGAATTTTTCATGCACAGGGCCTGGCAGATTGCAGAAAAGGCATCATGCAAAGAGAAGGCTATTTCTCTTACTGTTTGCTTGGAGTTTTTCAGTTCTCTGTGGCTCACGGGTACTATCAGCCTCAGATTTGAGTTCTGGGATATTGCTGATGATAAGCTTTGTGCTAGATATTTGTTTTTGGCTTTCTGTGGGAGAGTGAAGCCAGATTGCTTCTACTCTGCCATTTTGGTGACATCATTGTCTCAATAAAGTATTTTTAAATTAAGGTATGTACTTTTTTTAAGTCATAATGCTATTGCACACTTGGTAGAGTACAGTATAATGTAAATATAACTTTTATATTTACTGGGAAGCCAAAATATTCATGTGACTTGCTTTTTTGCAATATGTGCTGTTTTGTGGTGGTCTAGAATTGAACCAGCAATATCTCTGAGATATGCCCATATAATTCAGCTGTTCCTTGAATTATGATGTGGTTACATCCTGATGAACCCTTTGTAGCTTGAAAATATCATAAGTTGAAAATGCATTTAATACACCTAACCTACTGAACATCATGGCTCAGCCTAGCTTACCTTAAATGTGCTCAGAACACTTATATTAACCTATAGTTGGGCAAAATCTAGCACAAAGCCTATTTTATAATAAAATGTTGAATATCTTATGTAATTTATTGAATGCTTTGCTGAAACTGAAGAACAGAATGGTTGTATGGTACTTGAGCTATGGTTTTTACTGAATGCATATTGCTTTTGTACCATCATAAACCTGAAAAACCGTAAGTGAAACCATCTTTTAAGTTGAGGACCAGCTTTATACATTTTAACGTACCACAGTCTACTTTCAAATAATCTTATCCCACTTCATGTGTAGTATAAGCACCTTACAACATTAAATTTTCATTATTTCTCCCCATTTCTCTGTTTGTTTCTTTGTTTTTTTTTTTTAAATTAGAGACAGAGTCTCGATCTTTCACCCAGGATAGAGTGCAGTGGCAAAATCTCAGGTTACTGCAGTCTCAAACTCCTGAACTTAAGCAGTCCTCCCACCTTAACCTCAAGTATCTGGGACTACAGGTGTGCACCACAATAGCTGGCTAATTTTTAAAAAAATTTTTGTTGCGACAAGATCTTGCTATGTAATTCAGGCTGGTCTTGAACTCCTGGGCTCAAGCAATTCTCCTGCCTTAGCCTCCCAAGGTGTTGGGATTACCGTTATGAGTCACCACACCCAGTCCCCCATTCTTTGTGCTATACTTTGTTATTATTTTTCTTTAGACAGTTATGTGTACATGTATATACACATACATATATGTGCACATGTGCATACACACATACACACATATAGTTTGAGTAGATAGTTTAGCACATTAAATCCTTCATATATATCTATTAAAAACTTTCTAAATGCCATTGAGAATCTGGGAGATTTCTTTAGTAGGTTCGTAATAGATATTTGCCTGTTATTAATACACCCACACACAAACACATACACACACCTATAAAGTATCCTGCTCTGGTTCTCTGATGGTTTCAGATTTATGGCTTTTTAAATTGTTAGAATAATTTTTGACTCATCATAAATTTTTTTGCCCTGTTTTCTTTTTTTCCTTCTTCTGGGTTTCAAATTACATATATGTTAGACCATTTGATAATACCCATAGCTGTTGGATGCTCTGATCTGCTTTTTCTCCTACTCCTTTTTTATTTTATTTTTTTATTTTTATTTTTATTTTTGAGACAGAGTTTCGCTCTCGTTGCCCAGGTTGGAGTGCAATGGAGTGATCTTGGCTCACTGCAACCCCTGCCTCCTGGGTTCAAACGATTCTCCTGCCTCAGCCTCCTGAGTAGCTGGAATTACAGGTGCAAGCCACCACGCCCAGCTAATTTTTTGTATTTTTGGTAGAGACAGGGTTTCACCATGTTGGTCAAGTTAGTCGTGAATTCCTGACCTCAGGAGATCCGCCTGCCTTGGCCTTCCAAAGTGCTGGGATTACAGGCGTGAGCCACTGCGCTTGGCCTCTTACTCCTTTTAAATTGTATTTCACTTTGTGTAATTTTGATTGATTTATATTCAGGTTTCCTGATTCTTTCCTTAGCTGTTCTAGTGTGCTAAGAAGTCCATCAAAGAAGTATTCATTTCTGATATTGTGTTGTGTATATTTTGCATTACTGTTTGACTATTTATTTATTGAGATGCAGTTTCACTCATGTCGCCCAGGCTGGAGTGCAATGGCACGATCTCAGCTCACTGCAACCTCCACCTCCTGGGTTCAAGCGATTCTTCTGCCTCAGCCTCCTAAGTAGCTGGGATTACAGGTGCCCGCTACCACACCCGGCTAATTTTTGTATTTTAATAGAGACAGGGTTTCACCGTGTTGGCCAGGCTAGCCTTGGACCCCTGATGTCAGGTGATCCGCCCACCTCGGCCTCCGAAAATGCTGGGATTACAAGTGTGAGTTACCGCGCCCGGCCCCATTTGACTTTTTAAAAATAGTTTTCTTGGCTGGTCGCAGTGGCTCACGCCTGTAATCCCAGCACTTTGGGAGGCCGAGGCGGGCGGATCACGAGGTCAGGAGATTGAGACCATCCTGGCTAACACGGTGAAACCCCGTCTCTGCTAAAAATACACAAAAATTAGCCGGGCATGGTGGCGGGCGCCTGTAGTCCCAGCTACTCGGGAGGCTGAGGCAGGAGAATGGCGTGAACCCGGGAGGCGGAGCTTGCAGTGAGCCAAGATCTCGCCACTGCACTCCAGCCTGGGCGACAGAGCAAGACTCTGTCTCAAAAAAAAAAAAAAAAAAAAAAAAAAAAAGTTTTCTTGGCTGGATGTGGTGGCGCTCACTGGTAATCCCAACTACTTAGGAGGCTGAGGCAGGAGAATCGCTTGAACCTAGGAGGTGGAAATTGCAGTGAGCTGGGATGGGGCCACTGCACTCCAACCTGGGCAACTGAGTGAGACTCCATCGCAAAAAAAAAAAAGTTTTCTTTTTTTCTGCTGAAATTCTCCATCTCTTCATGAATGTTCATCTTTTACATTAGAGTCTTCAACATATTAATCATGGTTATTTTAAAGTTCATTTGTGATTATGCTAGTACTGAGTTATCTGTAAGTCTGGTTCTATTCATTGTCTCCTGAATTTTATTTTTTCTTTTTGTGTGTCTTATACATTTTGATTGAATTCTAGATTATTACTTCTAGACTTTTTTTTGTTGTTGAAATCTTGCCAAATCCCAGTCTGAATAAATCCAGCTTTCTATTATATTTGCTCCTAGTCTACTGAATGTTGCTAAAGTAAGTCCTAGGCTTATTGATAGTAATATAGATTCATGTGCTGTAATTATAGTTAGAGCTTCGATGTTATCTGCATTTCTTTTACTAATCTAAGTATTCGATATTAATTTTATCTTCGTTCTTTCCTTTTGATTGAGGAATTCTTTATCTCTCATTGTTCCATCTTTTGAAAACTGTTTTCAAATTTCTATTTGTTAGTCTTCATTTTGATCTACCTCTTTGCTTCCTTCTGGCTCCCTGTGATAAGTATGCCAGTAAGGTATATTTATTCATTGTGGAGAATTTATTTAATGATAGCTACCACTTTTATATGCTTTCAATAAATGTTCCAGGCACTGTGCTCAACATTTTACATGCATTGTTTCTCTATGTCTTCTTTAGACAATAAGTTCTTTAATGTAAAGAACTTCTCAGTACCTGTCATACTTTGCAGTCAATAAATAACTACATGAATGAAACTACTGATTCCATATAGAGACAGGGAAGTTTATAGCTGTAAATGCCTACATTTAAAAAAGAAAAAAGATCTGAAATCGGCAACCTAGCTTTATACTTTAAGGAACTAGAAAAAGAAGAGCAAACTAAACCCAAAATAGTAGAGAAAATCAAGGAAACTAAAAGTTGATTCTTTGAAGAGATCAACAAAATTGACGAAACTTTAGCTAGACTGACAAAGAAAGAGAGAAGATGCAAATAACTAGAATCAGAAAAACAAACAAACAAATGGGATATTACTACTGGTTGACCTTACAGAGATAAAAAGGATATGAGAATACTGTGGGCTGGGCGTGGTGGCTCATGCCTGTAATCCCAGCACTTTGTGAGGCTGAGGCAGGTGGATCACAAGGTCAGGAGTTCGAGACCAGCTTGCCAATATGGTGAAACCCTGTCTCTACTAAAAATACAAAAATTAGCTGGGCATGGTGGTGGGCGCCTGTAGTCCCAGCTACTCAGGAGGCTGAGGCAGGAAAATCACTTGAGCCCGGGAAGCGGATGTCACAGTGAGCCGAGATCATGTCACTACACTTCAGCCTGGGCGACAGAGTGAGAGTCTGTCAAAAAAAAAAAAAAAAAAAGAAAGAAAGAAAGAAAAAGAAAAGGGAAAAAAAAAAACCCAAAAATTAACACCCAGCCTGCGCAACACGGTGAGACCACGTCTCTACTAAAAATCCAAAAAATTAGCCAGGCATAGTGGTACTTGCCTGTAGTCTTAGCTACTTGGGAGGCTGAGGTGGGAGGATTGCCTGAACCCAGGAGGTTGAAGCTGCAGTGAGCCATGACCATGCCACTGCACTCCAGTCTGGGCGACAGAGCAAGACCCTGTCTCAAAAAAATAAAAAGTAAAAAAGAATTAACACCAATCCTTCTCAAATTCTTTCAAAAAAATTGAAGGAATTTTTGTTTTCTGTTTTTTTTTTTCGGACACGGAGTCTCACTCTGTCGCCCAGGCTGGAGTGCAGTGGTGCAATCTCGGCTCACTGCAACCTCTACCAGCTATACCACTCTTAGTTATATATCAAAAGTATTGAAAACACATATTGTATGCCCATGTTTGTAGCAGCATTATTCATGATAGCCAAAAAGTGGGATTCTCAACAAAAGACTGGATAAGCAAGTATCCAACAACAAATGATTAGATAAACACATACAATGGAATATAAATATTCAACCACAAAAAGGAATGAAATTTTGATTTATGCTGCTACATGGATGAGCTTTGAAAACATTATGCTTAATGAAACAAGGTTGACACAGAAGGATAAATATTATACGATCCCACTTATATGGAGTACCTAGAATAGTCAAATTTATAGACAGAAAGTAGAATAGAGGTTACTAGGGCTGTAGGGAGGGGTAGAGGGGTAGTTTTTATTTAACAGGTACAGTTTTTGATGGAGATGATGAAAAAATTTTGAGTCTAGATAGTGGTGATGATTACAGAATATTGTGATTATATTTAATGCCTATTAATTATACACTTATGAATAGTGTTTAAAATGATATATATTATGTTAGGTATATTTTTACCACACATGTACACACAAAAACTCCTAAAATTCTTTTTTATTTCATTAGAAAAGTCTTTAAGTATTGGTTGTAACTGTCAGGCTCTTAGTGACAAATACAAGATTTCCAAAATTTTCATTTTTGCTTGAAAGCTCAAATTTTATCATTGGAAAAAACAGTTGTTTTCCTTGACATTAAAAACTCATTTTTTTATCAGCTGGGCGCAGTAGCTTACGCCTGTAATCCCAGCACTTTGGGAGGCCGAGGCGGGCAGATCACGAGGTCAAGAGATTGAGACCATCCTGGCCAACATGGTGAAACCCCATCTCTACTAAAAATACAAAAATTAGTTGGGTGTGGTGGCAGGTGCCTGTAGTCCCAGCTACTCAGGAGGCTGAGGCAGGAGAATCGCTTGAACCCAGGAGGTGGAGGTTGCAGTGAGCCGAGATGGCGCCACTGCACTCCAGCCTGGCAACAGAGCGACACTCTGTCTCAAAAAAAAGAAAAACAAAGAAAGAAAAAAAACCTATTTTTTTTCATTTTCAAGGAAATATCTGAGAAATAATAAAGTCTGAGTAACCATAGTTTGTGGGTTGTTCTTTTAGTTAAACATGAAAAAAGTTGCTAGTTTGCCTTATAACTTAATCACACAAGTGCTTTGCTTTAAGAAAACGATTGTAGCTTTTTTTTTTTTTTTTTTTTTTTGAGATGGAGTTTTGCTCATCACCTAGGCTGGAGTGCAATGGCATGATCTCTGCTCACTGCAACCTCCGCTGCCCGGGTTCAAGTGATTTTCCTGCCTCAGCCTCCCGAGTAGCTGGGATTACAGGTACATGCCACCACGTCCAGCTAATTTTTGTATTTTTTATAGAGACAGGGTTTCACCATGTTGGCCAGGCTGGTCTCGAACTCCTGACCTCAGGTGATCCGCCAACCTCGGCCTCCCAAAGTGCTGGGATTACAGGCGTGAACCCACCACACCCAGCCCCATTGTAGTTTAATATGCTGCAAAAATGCTTTGTGTTTTCTTCTCATTTTTAAAAAATTGTAAAAAAATGTATAACATGAAATTTACCATCTTAACAGTTCTTAAGTGTACAACTCAGTAGTGTTCAGTATATTCACATTGTTGTGAAACAGATCTCCAGAACATTTTCATCTTGCAAAACAAGCTTCCATTTCATGTTTGTCACACACAAAAAGATATGTACTCATGAGTGAGATTTTATAATTTTTTGGCTTTATCAAGGATATTTTTAAGTTGAAACTGGAATTGTTTTATTTTTTCTAATTGCAAGTGCATAACAATGAAGGATGCAGTCACAAGTAAGTAAAGTTTGGTGCCACTGCCTCAATTCACATCAGTTTTACACACCATTGCTTTTGTACCATCAGTAGAAAGGTCAACATAGAGGCAAGGGCCAACAATGTCTTCTTATTATGAAATCAGTTTTGACTTTGTAGACTTTCTAGAAGGTTCTTAGGAACCTTCCAACAGTCCACAGACCACTTTGAGAACCACTGATTTAGATAAATGTTTTAGGAAGATAACTTTGGTGGCAGGATAGAGAAGGGACACTTGGAAAAACAAAGAGACTGGTTAATTCAAGTGAAAGAAGAGAGACTGGTTAATTCAAGTGAAAGAAGAGGAAGGTCTAAATTTGAATTTAGGTCTATATTTGAATTTGAGTGCAGATGAGAAGGAAAAGACAGATTTAGGAGATAGATCAAAAGTGGAATTGATTTAGAGAATTGCAGGTTCTGTCTTACTTTTGATGCCTTTAGAAAAAAAGAAAATTGCAGGTATGTCTTTGAGATAATGAAATTATTGCCCATCTTTGTGCCAGATTTTATCCCTAATCTCCATGTATTCAATTTACATCACTAACCTAAATTATTCAAGATAAGTTGAAAGTTTCCACATAATAAAAAACTAATCTAAATGAAATTAATAATGATTTGGAGGAGGAATGAGCTATTCAGTTATCTGCTTCTGCTTAAACTGTGTTAGCTTGAGAGTTTATGACCATGCTTTTTATCAGCTTCTGAATTTACATATGTGTATTGAACATAAATAGCACTATATGCAGATCTGTATGTCATTAATTTAGGAGAGTTTTAGGGACTACTGTCTTTTCCACTGCTTAGACCCCCAATAATGAAAAAAATAGTACAAATTGGTTCATATACTTGGTTCTTGATTTTTCATTTTGAAGGCTTTTTTCCCCTTTCTCAAACAGCACTTCAAATGCTTCACCTTCAGAAGGCGCACCACTAGCAGGAAGTTATGGATGTACTCCTCATTCATTCCCAAAGTTCCAGCATCCTTCTCATGAACTTTTGAAGGAAAATGGCTTTACCCAACAAGTGTACCACAAGTATCGTCGAAGATGCCTAAGTGGTAAGATGCTTGTCCTTTATCTATCTAATATATTTAAAATTAAAATATAATTCTAAAAAATTTAAATGTTGTCATTTAATATCAGGTTAAGATATTCTTTTATTGTTAGACTATACATAGTTTTACTTTAAACATGTTTACATATATTCTTTATTCATGTACTTTATAACTTAGACACATTAGGAAATAAAAATTAATATACTCGGCTGAGCATGGTGGCTCATGCCAGTAATCTCAGCACTTTGGGAGGCCGAGGCATGCAGATCACTTGAGGTCAGGAGTATGAGACCAGCCTGGCCAACATAGTGAAACTCCATCTGTACTAAAAATACAAAAGTTAGCTGGGTGTGATGGCAGGCGCCTGTAATCCCAGCTACCCAGGAGATTGAGGCAGGAGAATTGCTGGGACCTGGGAGGCAGAGGTTGCAGTGAGCCAAAATCGTGCCATTGCACTCCAGCCTGGGCAACAGAGTGAGACTCTGTCTCAAAAAAAGAAAAAAAAATTTATTATACTCTTCTTGTTGCTATTGAGAGATATTTATAATTTAAGCAGTGAGTCAAAAAATGGGTTAGCATTTGTCAGCTGTTTCAGCAGTCCTCAATCTTTTTGGCACCAGGGACCTGTTTCATGGAAGACAATTTTTCCATGGGGGATGGTTTTGGATAAAACTGTTCCACCTCAGATCATCAGGCATTAGATTCTCTTAAGGAGTGTCCAGTCTAGATCCCTCACATGTGCAGTTCACAGTAGGGTACCAGTCTGTGGCCTGGAGGTTGGAGATCCCCACTCTATTTAGAAGAAACCTAAATACACTTTGAGGATTAATATGGTTGAGCTTTCTTCATTTTATATATAACATCTGCTGTCTTGTCTTTAAAAAGTATGTTTAATAAAATAATATTTTATTTAACTTTTTTCAGAGAGAAAACGCTTGGGAATTGGTCAGTCCCAAGAAATGAATACCCTCTTTCGTTTCTGGTCCTTTTTCCTCAGAGATCACTTCAATAAAAAAATGTATGAGGAATTTAGACAACTTGCTTGGGAAGATGCAAAAGAAAATTACAGGTCAGATATTTTCTTTTACACTTCAAGGGAGTTTTATTATTTTCTTCTTCTTTTTTTCTTTACCCAGGTAGATCCGATAGAGGGAGTTTTTAGAAAATAATTTTTAAAACTAGTACTGAAGTAGCCTGATTTTGAACCGTGAAAGTAGCACAATATAACTAGAGGGAGACCTGTATTAGTTTTCTATTTCTGCATTGCAAATTACCCCAAAACTCCATAGGTTAAAACAATAAACATTTGTTAGTTCACAGCTTCAAAGAGTTGAGACTCCAGAAACTGCTTAGCTGGGTGGTTCTGGCTTATGGTTTCTCATGAGCTTGCAGCCAAGATGTTGAAGTGGGCTGTGGTCTCTGAAGACTTGGCCTGGGCTGGAGGATCTTTTTCAAGCTCATTCACATGGCTCTTGGCAGGAGGCTTCAGTTCCTTGCCACACTGACCTTCCCTAGGGCATTTTACAATACGGTTTCACCCTGAATGAGTAGAGCTTCCAAAATGGAAGCCTCAGTATTTTATACAACCTGCACTTGGAAGTGGCATACCATTATTTCTGCCATATTGTATAGTCCATACAGACCAGTCCTGGTACAGTATAGGAGGGTACTACACAAGGTTGTTAATACCAAGAGATGGGATCATTAGGAACCATCTTAGAGGCTGGCAGAAGGGCTGAATGAAATTACAAAACTTTTCTCTCCCATGCTCCCACCATTACAGACTTCCCTTGCATGTACATATACATACCCCAATTGATATGTGCTTAGAGCCAACCCAGTTCTTAAGATTCTTTGAGAAAAGAAAAAGCAAGGCCTCTCACAATATGTCCTTTGACTCACCTTGTCTAATTTTTTCCCCGCTAGTCCTGTAGTACTCTGGGCAACAGTGATACTGAACTACATATTCTTCAAATGAACCAAGCTCTCTAGCCTCTGGACATCTGTGCATGTTCTTAACTTTGCTTCTACTTCTCTTCGTCCTCCCTGTGCTTTTCTAAATCCTATTCTTTTTGTCCCAGCTTAGACCTTGCTTCCTTCAGAAATGTTCATGGAAAGTCTTGAGAGTGCCTGTAGGGCTGAGTGAGGGCAGACAAAGAGGGTAAGAAGGAACATGGCGTGGACTCATGAAGGCTATTTATTCATGGGGAAAAGGAGAAAGGAACAAGAGATGGAGAGAAGGGAAAAAGATGATTTTTCATTCAATCATATTTACCTAAACTTACCCTTCTTTAAGTTCTGAAAATGGATTCCTCTTGTAAATATCAAATAAGAATATATTGTTTACCAGATATTGTGATCTTTGAGAAGAATACAAGGTGTGCTACAAATACATTTTTCTGATTAAAATCACAAAAATTTCTTTGTGTTGACTTATGTAAAAACAAAGCCCGTTTAATTTTTATCTGTTATCTATATCAGGAACAGCAGATCCATGGCAGGTGTACTTCTATTTCTTTTTCCTCTATTACTGATATCTCTAATCAATCCCAGTTATGTTTTATGTTCTTTCTTACCACACTTTTAAGATTTATACTCTTCCTTATGACTTTAATAGCTACTGCCAGTTTACCAGAGTTGGCATAAAAAGCAAAATTTGCCATTCCTAATCTCATTGTTCTTATTCAAACTGTGGTTTGCTACCTATTCGTCAATTGTAAAATCAATTGAGTGGTTCTAACATGCTTTAAAAAATACAGTAGAAAATACCAGACTGCACTGAGCATAGTAATTCATACATATGAATTTAATTCATACCCATATACATACAAATTTAAGAACTGTTTTGCAAAACATATATCTTTTTATGTACACACATATAGAGACATGCATATTGATTTAGTTATAAGGTAAAATATTTTTCATGGTATTGGACCTAGTCAGAAAAGTTTGAAAGCCATTGTTTTAATTGATCTCAGACTATTTTGCTATTTATGCAATTTCTGTTTGTTCCTTAAGACTTTCTGATAACTTCTCTGATTCCATTTCCACCCAAGTCTAGGTTGGGAGTTCCTCTTCTGTGTTCCTATACACATACCTCTGTGTATGTTTCTAATACCTTTGTAACACAGTTTCCTACCTTTGGTTCTGTTTCTGCAGTATTTACCACTAGACTGTATTAGCTACTTCTTAGGAAGTAGTGGTTAAGCACCTGAAGTCCTTGAAATCAGGACTATGTTTGAGTTGCAGCCATTAATTTACTGTGGCCTTGGCAGATTATAATCCCACCAGGCTTTAGGTTCTTTATAAAAAGTAGGTTAAGCCAGGCATGGTGGCTCACACCTGTAATCCCTGCACTTTGGGAGGCCGAGGCAGGCAGATCACTGAAGCCAGGAGTTCGAGACTAGCCTGGCCAACATGGCAAAACCCCGTCTCTTCTAAAAATACAAAAATTAGCTTGGCGTGGTGGCCTGCGCTTATAGCTGCTTGGGAGGCTGAAACATGAGAACTGCTTGAGCCTGGGAGGAGGAGGTTGCAGTGAGCCAAGGTTGTGCTACTGCACTTCAGTCTGGGTGACTGAACAAGACTCTGTCTCAACAAAAAAAAAGGTTAAATTGTGATAGATACTCTCTCATGGGGTTATTGTGAAGATTACACAAAGCATTTAAAGGGCTTAACACATTAACTTATGTATAGTAAGTGCTTGACAAATGATTCCCTCTCTCCCTCCCTCCCTCCCTCCCTCCCTCTTTTCTTTTCTTTTTCCTCCCTCCCTCCCTTCCTTTCTTTTTTTCTTTGAGACAAAGTCACACTGTTGCCTAGGCTGGAGTGCAGTGTCGCGATCTCGGCTCACTGCAACCTCTGCCTCCTGGGTTCAAGCAATTCTTCTGCCTCAGCCTCGTAAGTAGCTGGCATCACAGGTGCCCACCACCACACCCGGCTAATTTTTGTATTTTTAGTAGAAATGGGGTTTTACCATATTGGCCAGGCTGGTCTTGAACACCTGACCTCAAGTGATCCACCCACCTCGGCCTCCCAAAGTGCTAGGATTACAGGTGTGAGCCACTGTGGCCGGCCAGATGATTATTGTCATTAGGGAATTGTTACTAATTCTGTCCATTGGTTGAAAGTAGTAATAATGTGATTACAGGAAGGAGGGAGAGAGCTAACATCGCTTACATCTCTTCAATGTGCTAGCTCTGGTCTAGAGGGTTTACAAATATCTATTTTCGAAAAATAGGATCTAATTGACTCAATTTTCAGTGATATAATGACAAGCCCATGATTCAAATATAGTTCTTTCTGGTTCTAAGCCTCTAGGTTTTCTACTCCTCTGAGCTGTCTTGCAGTTAGTGGTAAATGAGTAAATGACAACTGAGAAGGCTGATCATTTGCCTTTGTCCTTCACTCCAGCAGTTATGCTGTGTATTTGGGTTGTGTTATTAATGTCATACTTTTGGTCTTTGGAATAGTTTGCTAAGAAATAAGAGTAAAAATCCAAATATTGCCTATTCAATATAAATGTTGTATTGTCATCCTTTATCAATAATCTAAGAATTTCTATATTCCTCTAAAATATGATTTACTTGATAAAAACCAAAAACTTACTTCTCCAGAAATAAAGAGAGATACTGAGGCTTCACCTCAAAGATTCTGGTTTTGGGTACAAAAAAAAAAAATGGTTGGAAAGAATGAGTAAGACCTACTATTTGATAGCATAATAGGGTGACTATAGTCAATGGTAGCTTAATTGTACATTTTAAAATGGCTTAAAGAGGCCAGGCGTGGTGGCTCATGCCTGTAATCCCAGCACTTTGGGAGACCGAGGTAGGTGGATCACATGACATTAGGAGTTCAAGACCAGCCTGGCCAACATGGTGAAACCCCATCTCTACTAAAAATACAAAAATTAGCCAGACGTGGTGGCAGGCGCCTGTAATCCCAGCTACTTGGGAGGCTGAGGCAGGAGAATCACTTGAACCCAGGAGGTGGAGGTTGCAGTGAGCCGAGATCGCACCACTACACTCCATCCTGGGCAACAAGAGTAAAACTCTGTCTCAAAAAAAAAAAAATTAAAATTAAAAAATAAATAAATAAAATGGCTTAAAGAGTATAATTGAATTGTTTGTAACTCAAAGGATAAATGCTTGAGGGGATGGATACTCCATTCCCAATGATATGCTTATCTCACATTGCATGCCTGTATCAAAACATGTCATGTGCCCCATAAATATATGCACCCACTGTGTACCCACAAAAATTTTAAAAATTAAAAAAAAAGATCCTGATTCCATTGGTTTGGAGCAGAGCCTGGGCATCAGTATTTTTAAAAGCTCCCCAGATGATTATAATGTGTAGCTAAGATTGAGAACAACTGATGTCGGTATATGATCCCATAAGAGGAACATCAAAGCAAGTTTGTCATTCTGAACTGTGGTTCCTTTAGTCTTTGATCTCCTTAGACTTCAGTCATGCAAGCTCAACCAGTAGCATCACTTAAGGCTATGGGAGCCAAGGGCTCAGGTTGCTGTATAAGTGTGTAGTTGGCAGTCCTGCATTTCTCTTGTTGGCTTGCCAGACCATCACTCTTCGTCTTGTAAATAAGCTGGTTGCAAAAGAGACACACAATCACATACCCTGCTTCCTGTGACTGACAGCCAGTTAATATTATGTTAGCAGAATGAAGAGGTTGTAACCTTTCTGCTGAGGTACCCAGAATGACTTAGGATTCTAACTTAGGAGTGTTTTAATTGTGGTATCTTTTAGTTGAGTCAGCTAGACAAGGTCTTTTTGCTGCCATCTTACAGCCTTGTTTCACTCTCATGGGTTCTGCTCATCACCTGTGGTTGAAGGTTGAGCCTATATAGTTTGCTGATCTACTGAGCAGAACTCCTAGATTCTCAAGATAGTTATAGACAGAAACAAGGAAATTTGTTTTCTCATTTACGTAGTGATTATAGCTCTATTAGCAATATATCTACTATTAATTGTACTTTATAATGAAAGCAGGGAGGCTCTCTTAACCATTTAATTATGTTTGTACCATTATAGTTGAATGGGACAGCCACACCTGGGATCTAGGGCACAGCCGTACAGTCTTTATCTTCCTAGAGTAAAGCTTACATTCAAGAGTATTTATTTAATGCTGTGTACAAAGATACCATTATAAATTTTGGTTTGGGGAAAATCTAACACATCCCCAATTTATCACTAAATCTTTTGGCCAGTTCTTCAGAAATACCAGGGAGAGATAATGTGTGCATCTAAAGAGGTCATACTGAACTGTCCAAGGGCTGCCTTTCATGCAGCAGGTTCTCAGTATACCTTCATGATGTGCTACGGCTGAGTCAACAAAAATAGCAAAGCCAGCTGTAGATTACTAATTACCAGTTCAGTTAAAAATCTGCATACCGGCCGGGCGCAGTGACTCACACCTGTAATCCCAGCACTTTGGGAGGCCGAGGCAGATGGATCCCCTGAGGCCAGGAGTTTGAGACCAGCCTGGCCAACATGGTGAAACCCCGTCTCTACTAAAAATACAAAAAATTAGCTGGATGTGGTGGTGGGCACCTGTAATCCCAGCTACTCGGGAGGCTGAGGCAGGAGAATAGCTTGAACCAGGGAGGCGGAGGTTGCAGTGAGCCGAGGTCGCACCATTGCACTCCAGCCTGAGCAACAAGAGTGAGACTCTGTCTCAAAAATAATTAAAAAATCTGAATGCTAAAATTTTATTTTTTGTTTAGGATTAGTTGTGCCATGTTTGCTTATATTGATGTTACTAACTATAGAGATATTGTATTTTATTATAAACCTTTTATTTTCTCTTTATAGGTATGGGTTAGAATGTCTGTTCAGGTTTTATAGTTATGGACTGGAAAAAAAATTCAGGCGAGAAATTTTTCAGGATTTCCAAGAAGAAACCAAAAAAGACTACGAATCTGGTAACAATAACATCAGAAAACTTGTACTCTAATTGGAAATTGTAAACCTGAGTCTGTCAGTAAATAGGGAAGGAGTTCATAGTTTTTTTCTTCAGGGCAAACCATTTAAGATCTTCATGCTATTGTTGTGTTTCTTGATGAAGGATGGGGCACCAGGTAGTAAGAAGGCCTTTCCTGGGAGGTGTTGGAAAGTAACTACTCTCAAGTCTTTCTTTTATGGAGGTATATTTTGTCATTATCCCTTTGACAAACGTGGCTACTCACTGATGTTCCGTTACATGAAAATTCTATGCAACATCAGCAGGTAAGCTTGGAAAGGCAGAAATAGCACAGTGGTTAAGAGTGCAGGCTCTGGGACAGACTGCTAGGTGCAAATTCCCTTTCCACTATTTAGAAGCTATGTGATTGTGGGTAAATTGCCTACCCTTGCTAGCCTCAGTTTTCTCATCTGTAACATATATGAGAACACCCATCTTTTGGGTTGTATATGGTTCAAATTAGTTTGATGCATAATAAAGCACTTAATGCTTGTTACATAACAAATGCTCAATAAATATTAGCTGCCATTATTGGTTAATTCATTACATGTCTTATTCTCAAGATCTAGAGTAAGCATATATTGGAAGATAAATTGTTTATTGCTGATAGGATTATATTTAATGTGAATAATTTTTAAAATTTCATATAATTCATAATGTATATTATTCTTTGTTATTAGGTCAGCTGTATGGACTAGAAAAGTTTTGGGCTTATTTGAAATATTCTCAATCTAAGACACAGTCTATTGACCCAAAACTTCAGGAATACCTCTGTAGTTTTAAGAGGTTAGAAGACTTCCGTGTTGATGTAAGTTTTAAGTCATTTCCTCTATTCTTTTTATTATCCATATATTTCAGTCTCTTATCAGTGACTTTTTAAGCTTTAATTTTGTAATTTTTATTTTTTAACTTTTTAGTTTTAAAATTAAACTTTGAAATAGATATAAAAATAGTTCAGAGAATTCCCATATACTCTGTTCACTCAGATTTCGCAAATGTTAACATCTTGTATAACCACAGTGCAATTGTTAATTCAATTTAATTTTCATATGCTGCTATAATTAAACATTTTCTAGATTTATTAATTTTTACCTGATATGCTAATTTGTCACTAGCAATGTGAAAACTTTTCACTTTTTAATGATCTTTTATCCATATAATTCCTGTAACATGTGCTGATATGGATTTAGGGTACCTGCATAATAAAATTAAGGAGAGAATGTTGTGTGCATGTGTGCAAGCACAAGAGTGGTGTCTTTTAGTTGAGTCAGCCAGACAAGGTCCTTTTGCTGCCATCTTACAACGATGTCCACTCTCATGCGTTCTTCTCATCACCTTTGGTGGAAGGTTGAACTTATATAGGCTTTATCCATTTGATTTCAAGAGGAAAAGAAAAGCATTAAAAAATGTCACGAATGTAAGAAGATAGAGGAAAAGGAGGAAGAAGATAAATAAAAAATAAAGGAAAAAGCCTGGGTGTGGTGGCTCACACCTGTAATTCCAGCACTTTGGGAGGCCGAGGCGGGTGGATCACCTGATGCCAGGAGTTCAAGACCAGCCTGGTCAACATGGCAAAACTCTGTCTCTACTAAAAATACAAAAATTAGCTGGGTGTGATGGTGCACGTGTGTAATCCCTGCTACTCAGGAGGCTGAGGCACAAGAATTGCTTGAACCTGGGAGGTGGAGGTTGCAGTGGGCAGAGATTGTGCCACTGCACTCCAGCCTAGGCAACAGAATGAGACTCTGTCTCAAAAAAAAAAAAAAAAGGGAAGAAGAAAAATTTTAAATTTAAAAATAGGAAAGAAGTAAAAGGAAGGCTAGGTTCATCATCTCTGCTTTGTGTTGTAATTTGTCTTGCAGTTTTGTGTAAATGGACTTGATGACCCAGGGATAGGGTTAATAAAAGTGCCTGTCTCTGGAATTAAGAGCTATTTTTCTAGAGTGGCCTAGCCAGTTCTGTCACAAAGACATCCTTGCTCTATATTTGAGACTCTTGCCCCATCTGAACATAAGCTAAGAATTCAGGCCTCCTTCTTTAAGTACAACGGAAGATTGGATGAGGAGGTTACTATCTTAGTTTAGCTCCACATAAAAATACTAGTTCATTGGTGTCCAGTTCTGGGCTCCCAAATCTTGGTAACTGGAAAGGCATAAAAAGCTGACTTTTTTTGAATGCAGGATACCTTTTCACTGGGTACTTAAACGTTTGAAGATGTTTAAATTTGGTGCCATCAATAATATTCTCCAGTCTCATCATAGGAATTCTAGATAAACCTTCAAACTTGCTAACGATAATTTAACTTGGCATCTCTTTTATTCCCCTACTGCTTTCATTTATCTGTTATTTAAACATTTTCACTTAAGCAAGCCTGGAATAGGAGTTTAGGATTGAGAAAGAGACTGGAAATACAAATCCTTTACAGTTGATGAAATTAATAAAGAAGGCAAATAGCCTCGCTGAAACATTTTCTTGGAGCCAAGGAACCCAGCCTTATAGTTATGCCCCATCAGATAGCTCAGGCCCTAAAAAATGAGAGAAGCTTAGTAAACATGTGTTGAGGCCAGGCATGGTGGCTCATGCCTGTAATCTCAGCACTTTGGGAGGCCGAGGCGGGTGGATCGCCTGAGCTTAGGAGTTTGAGACCACCCAGGGCAACATGGTGAAACCCCGTCTCTACTAAAAATACGAAAAAATTAACTGGGTGTGGTGGCTTGCGCCTCTACTCCCAGCTACTTGGGAGGCTGAGGCAGGAGAATCGCTTGAACCCCAAAGGCAAAGATTCCAGTGAGCCGATGTGGCACCACTGCACATCAGCTTGGGCTACAGAGTGAGACTCTGTCTCAAAACAAAAACAAAAAACAAGCAAACAAAAAAAACACTCGGGCTACAGAGTGAGACTCCGTCTCAAAAACAAAAAACAAAAACCACAAACATATGTTGAGTAAAAGAATGAGCAAATACTAGTAGGCTGATTTAGTTAGGAAGGAAATTTAAGTTTAGTACCTTAAGTTGCTGTTAAGTTTTTGTTATACTAATACAATCTGTGAGGCGGAAGAATGGCGTGAACCCGGGAGGCGGAGCTTGCAGTGACCCGAGATCGCGCCACTGCACTCCAGCCTGGGTGACAGAATGAGACTCCATCAAAAAAAAAAAAAAAAAAAAAAATTATACTGAAGTGTCCATTTAACTTACTTTTTTGGGGAAAAGTCTAGCCTTAGATTCTGAAGGGAGGAAAAACAGTAAAATTGTCAACGGTGTTGCCTTTCATCATTTGCAGCCCCCTATTAGTGATGAATTTGGAAGAAAAAGACATTCCTCTACTTCTGGTGAGGAGAGTAATCGTCATAGACTTCCACCTAATTCCTCTACAAAGCCACCAAATGCTGCTAAACCTACATCTACCAGTGAGCTTCAGGTACCAATAAACTCTCCCAGAAGGAATATTTCACCGGAGTCCAGTGACAATTCACATTAAACAGTGCTGCCTGTGTCCTGTGGTCTCAAGAAATGGTGAAATGCCTGAGAAATAGACTCTTATGAAAGTTCTTTGTCCTTGAAGTCAACATTTACATCAGTATTTATTTGGGGAAAATCTTCTGGTGTTTAATTGTGATAATAAGAAAGAAGAAAAAGAAAGAAAAGTGGTAGCATTTTTTCTAACAAGATAAATTCTAAAAATGTTTTCCCTGATTTCACAAACAAGGATAGTCTTGGTGACCTTTTATAGAGATCTTCTAGTAATGTATTTTGATCTCAGATTTCTTTTTCAAAGCCATGGTTTTACAAAAACAGCATTCCTTAAATATATTTAAAAAACAATACAAGGAATGCCTAACATTTCAGCTCATACTTCTTAAAGAAGATATAGTATGTTGTATTCTCTTCTTAGAGCTTTCTTAAAGAATCCACAATCCAATTACCCCACTGTCAATTCATATTTGAACTTACCAAAACAAAGGAGGATTACGTATATGTTTTTTAAATTCAAAAAAGAATATGAAATTATACCTTTAGTATCCCTTTGAGACATATAGTTTAAAGAAAACTTTTTTTAAAACAAAAGTAGGAATATATAGTAAGATTGTAGTTACAATGAGTATATGCACTTTTGATGCTAGGTTTTGCTTTTCTCCCCCCAGTCATATCTCATGATTTCCACAGTTGTTGTATTGGTGTGGAGTTTTCTGAATTGGCTATAAGCTGATTACATATTAGAGGTTTATTTTTATGATTCTATATAAACGTGCACGAGTAATTTAAAACCTGCATTGGGATTGATTGGAATATTGTCCTAAATTAATTAAATCTTGCACTGTTTTGAATGCATCTGCTATTTATACATCTGCAAGTGGGTATGTCATAAGGAGTCAGATTATCTTTAATTTAAAATGAATACTTAGTTTTACCTTTTTGTTTATTTTTTGTTTAATTTTGTTTTTATAAATGTTTTCAAGAGTTATAGCAAATTGATTTCTAATTTTTATTGCTATTACAACTGATGTAAATGGTAGTTTCAGTTTTTGTGAGATTTAAAAAAATAAAGCACTTATTCTGAATTTTTTGAATTGATTTTTAATTATTTTTATTTAGAATATAGTTGAAAAGCTGTAATATTCAGTTTTGCTAGTAAAAGACCATTTTTTTGTGTGAATGAAGTTTCAATTATAAACTTACATTCACTTTATTGAGCACTACATAATTTACAGATATTTTGTTGTATTGGCAAAAGCAAGTGGTTTCCATATGCTAAATTAATTGTATTTTCTTTTTGAGCAGATTGGATATCTTGTTCTTATAAATTATAATATTGAAATACATATAATCTTTGGATGGATGGGCTGTTAATTTGTAAATAGGTTTTCATTAAGTTATTTCTCATGATAAGTAATAATCAGCAGTTTTATAATATTTACTATTTGGAGGGTCATTTTGATGCTTTAAATTGCAGAAATAGTCAAATTTGAATATTCAGAAAATAAATTTATTTAGATATATTGTAAAGAGGGTGCAAAACAAGCAATGGGTTAGAATAATAGATCTTCAAGTCTTTTCTTAAATGGGGTATGTAGTTCCAGCTTTTCAGTGAGAAATTTCCAAACCGTGCTTATTAGCTTTAAATGGTCTCTTGAAATGATCATAAATTTTTCTCAGTGTCCTTTTTGTGTTGAACACATATATCTGAAACCTGTATTTAACCAGATATTTCTACTCAACTGAATATACAAGTGTAAATTTGATTGGAAAATTGTATATTATAAATGAAAATACAATAATCAGGAGTTTTGTGGTTTGTATTAATTAGTAGTTTTATCATATTTTTATTATAAAAGTAATACATGTACATTGGGAAATTTAGAAAAGCACAAAGAAGAAAATAAAGTACTTGTTATAAAAAGAAGAAAAACCAAAATTGGTGTCAGGCTATATATAGTGTTATAACCTGCATTTGTCACTTAATGGAGTTGAACATTTTCTGATGTCATTAATATTTCTCATTACTTTTTTTTTTTAAATTGTAGAGATGGGGTTTCACCATGTTGACCAGGCTGATCTTGAACTCCTGGTCTCAAGTGATCCACCTTCCTCGGCCTCCTAAAGTGCTTGAATTACAGGCATGATGAGCCACCGTGCCTGGCCAGTGATGTCATTAATATTTCTATTTCATGGCTTTTACTAGTTACATAGTATTCCAGTGTGTGAATATGCCGAGTTTACGTAGCTAACTGCTGACTGTTGAACTTTGGCTGTGGCTAGGTTTTAGCTGTTACAAACAACAATTAATAGGCTGGGCATGGTGGCTCATGCCTGTAATCCCAGCACTTTGGGAGGCTGAGGCGGGTGGATCACTTGAGATCAGAAATGCGAGACCAGCCTGGCCAACATGATGTGAAACCCCATCTCTACTAAAAATACAAAAAACTAGCTGGGCGTGGTGGTGCATGTCTGTAATCTCAGCTACTGGGGAGGCTGAGACAGGAGAATCGCTTGAACCCAAGAGGCAGAGAGGTTGCAATGAGCCGAGTCCGCACCACTGCACTCCAGCCTGGGCGACAGAGTGAGACTCTGTCTCAAAAAAACAAAAACAAAAACAAAAAACAAACAAACAACAATGAATAGTATCCTTACAGATAAATCTTTGTGTATAAAAGAGTTACTGTCAAGAACTCCTAGAAGTTGGAACTCTAAGTAAAAACGTGTCTCCATTTAAGACCTCTAGGAAGGTTGCACAGTTTACACTTTTATCAACATCTGCTTCCCTACATCCTTATCAACACCAATTATGATAAATCTTTCTCTTTAGACTGATAAGCAAAAAATCATTTAAATCTCTCTCTTTTTTTTTTTTTTTTTTTTTTTGAGATGGAGCTTTGCTCTTGTTGCCCGGGCTGGAGTGCAATGACGCGATCTCGTCTCACTGCAACTTCCACCTTCCAGATCCAAGCAATTCTCCCGCCTCAGCCTTCCGAGTAGCTGGGACTATAGGCATGCACCACTATGCCCGGCTAATTTTGTATTTTTAGTTGAGATGGGGTTTCACCATGTTGGCTAGGCTGGTCTCGAACTACTGACCTCAGGTGATCCACCTTGGCCTCCCAAAGTGCTGGGATTACAGGTGTGAGCCACTGCGCCTGGCCACTAAATCTCATTATTAATGTCACCATTTTAATCATTTTAAATGATTTAATCATTTTAATCATTTTAAATAGTGACCATTTTAATCAGGTCACTAATGAGCAATAATTTTTATTGCTTATTAACCATATTGTTTGTAGATTGCTTGAAAATACCCCTTACGTTTTCCTTTTGGAGTGATTATCTCTTTCTGATAAATTTATGGAGTGTTTTCACTTATCAAGAATATTAACCCTTTGCTTTCTAATTTTGCTTATGTATGCTTGACATGGTATGTACTTTTTTTGGGTAAAATTTTAAAAAACTATACCCCTTAAAGAAATTCTGAATGTAAAGCTCAAGCAAATAAAAGCACTGCTATTTAATGAAAAGAAAAACATTATTGACTATAAATCTAAATGGCCCTACCCAAAATTTATGAAAGTCCCTACAGACCTTAGGGCTTCCTTTTTTATTATTTTGCACAATTTTCAATATCAAAAAAGGCAATGCTAAAAATGTTATTCAAACTCCTCCTCCTCCTTTTAAGAGATTAGTTGAAGCTGTCTTTGACATTTTCTATATAAAAGGAATTAGTGGGGGGAGGAGCCAAGATGGCTGAATAGGAACAGCTCCGGTCTACAGCTCCCAGCGTGAGCGACGCAGAAGACGGGTGATTTCTGCATTTCCATCTGAGGTACCGGGTTCATCTCACTAGGGAGTGCCAGACAGTGGGCGCAGGCCAGTGTGTGCGTGCACCGTGCGCGAGCCGAAGCAGGGCGAGGCATTGCCTCACCTGGGAAGCGCAAGGGGTCAGGGAGTTCCCTTTCCGAGTCAAAGAAAGGGGTGACGGACGCACCTGGAAAATCGGGTCACTCCCACCCGAATATTGCGCTTTTCAGACCGGCTTAAAAAACGGCGCACCACGAGACTATATCCCACACCTGGCTCAGAGGGTCCTACGCCCACGGAATCTCGCTGATTGCTAGCACAGCAGTCTGAGATCAAACTGCAAGGTGGCAACGAGGCTGGTGGAGGGGCGCCCGCCATTGCCCAGGCTTGCTTAGGTAAACAAAGCAGCCGGGAAGCTCGAACTGGGTGGAGCCCACCACAGCTCAAGGAGGCCTGCCTGCCTCTGTAGGCTCCACTTCTGGGGGCAGGGCACAGACAAACAAAAAGACAGCAGTAACCTCTGCAGACTTAAGTGTCCCTGTCTGACAGCTTTGAAGAGAGCAGTGGTTCTCCCAGCACGCAGCTGGAGATCTGAGAACTGGCAGACTGCCTCCTCAAGTGGGTCCCTGACCCCTGACCCCCGAGCAGCCTAACTGGGAGGCAGGGGCACACTGACACCTCACACGGCAGGGTATTCCAACAGACCTGCAGCTGAGGGTCCTGTCTGTTAGAAGGAAAACTAACAACCAGAAAGGACATCTACACCGAAAACCCATCTGTACATCACCATCATCAAAGACCAAAAGTAGATAAAACCACAAAGATGGGGAAAAAACAGAACAGAAAAACTGGAAACTCTAAAACGCAGAGCGCCTCTCCTCCTCCAAAGGAACGCAGTTCCTCACCAGCAACGGAACAAAGCTGGATGGAGAATGATTTTGACGAGCTGAGAGAAGAAGGCTTCAGACGATCAAATTACTCTGAGCTACGGGAGGACATTCAAACCAAAGGCAAAGAAGTTGAAAACTTTGAAAAAAATTTAGAAGAATGTATAACTAGAATAACCAATACAGAGAAGTGCTTAAAGGAGCTGATGGAGCTGAAAACCAAGGCTCGAGAACTACGTGAAGAATGCAGAAGCCTCAGGAGCCGATGCGATCAACTGGAAGAAAGGGTATCAGCAATGGAAGATGAAATGAATGAAATGAAGCGAGAAGGGAAGTTTAGAGAAAAAAGAATAAAAAGAAATGAGCAAAGCCTCCAAGAAATATGGGACTATGTGAAAAGACCAAATCTACGTCTGATTGGTGTACCTGAAAGTGATGTGGAGAATGGAACCAAGTTGGAAAACACTCTGCAGGATATTATCCAGGAGAACTTCCCCAATCTAGCAAGGCAGGCCAACGTTCAGATTCAGGAAATACAGAGAACGCCACAAAGATACTCCTCGAGAAGAGCAACTCCAAGACACATAATTGTCAGATTCACCAAAGTTGAAATGAAGGAAAAAATGTTAAGGGCAGCCAGAGAGAAAGGTCGGGTTACCCTCAAAGGAAAGCCCATCAGACTAACAGCGGATCTCTCGGCAGAAACCCTACAAGCCAGAAGAGAGTGGGGGCCAATATTCAACATTCTTAAAGAAAAGAATTTTCAACCCAGAATTTCATATCCAGCCAAACTAAGCTTCATAAGTGAAGGAGAAATAAAATACTTTATAGACAAGCAAATGCTGAGAGATTTTGTCACCACCAGGCCTGCCCTAAAAGAGCTCCTGAAGGAAGCGCTAAACATGGAAAGGAACAACCGGTACCAGCCGCTGCAAAATCATGCCAAAATGTAAAGACCGTCGAGACTAGGAAGAAACTGCATCAACTAACGAGCAAAATCACCAGCTAACATCATAATGACAGGATCAAATTCACACATAACAATATTAACTTTAAATATAAATGGACTAAATTCTGCAATTAAAAGACACAGACTGGCAAGTTGGATAAAGAGTCAAGACCCATCAGTGTGCTGTATTCAGGAAACCCATCTCACGTGCAGAGACACACATAGGCTCAAAATAAAAGGATGGAGGAAGATCTACCAAGCCAATGGAAAACAAAAAAAGGCAGGGGTTGCAATCCTAGTCTCTAATAAAACAGACTTTAAACCAACAAAGATCAAAAGAGACAAAGAAGGCCATTACATAATGGTAAAGGGATCAATTCAACAAGAGGAGCTAACTATCCTAAATATTTATGCACCCAATACAGGAGCACCCAGATTCATAAAGCAAGTCCTGAGTGACCTACAAAGAGACTTAGACTCCCACACATTAATAATGGGAGACTTTAACACCCCACTGTCAACATTAGACAGATCAACGAGACAGAAAGTCAACAAGGATACCCAGGAATTGAACTCAGCTCTGCACCAAGCGGACCTAATAGACATCTACAGAACTCTCCACCCCAAATCAACAGAATATACATTTTTTTCAGCACCACACCACACCTATTCCAAAATTGACCACATAGTTGGAAGTAAAGCTCTCCTCAGCAAATGTAAAAGAACAGAAATTATAACAAACTGTCTCTCAGACCACAGTGCAATCAAACTAGAACTCAGGATTAAGAATCTCACTCAAAGCTGCTCAACTACTTGGAAACTGAACAACCTGCTCCTGAATGACTACTGGGTACATAACGAAATGAAGGCAGAAATAAAGATGTTCTTTGAAACCAACGAGAACAAAGACACGACATACCAGAATCTCTGGGACGCATTCAAAGCAGTGTGTAGAGGGAAATTTATAGCACTAAATGCCTACAAGAGAAAGCAGGAAAGATCCAAAATTGACACCCTAACATCACAATTAAAAGAACTAGAGAAGCAAGAGCAAACACATTCAAAAGCTAGCAGAAGGCAAGAAATAACTAAGATCAGAGCAGAACTGAAGGAAATAGAGACACAAAAAACCCTTCAAAAAATCAGTGAATCCAGGAGCTGGTTTTTTGAAAGGATGAACAAAATTGATAGACCGCTAGCAAGACTAATAAAGAAAAAAAGAGAAGAATCAAATAGACACAATAAAAAATGATAAAGGGGATATCACCACCGATCCCACAGAAATACAAACTACCATCAGAGAATACTACAAACAACTCTACGCAAATAAACTAGAAAATCTAGAAGAAATGGATACATTCCTCGACACATACACTCTCCCAAGACTAAACCAGGAAGAAATTGAATCTCTGAATAGACCAATAACAGGCTCTGAAATTGTGGCAATAATCAATAGTTTACCAACCAAAAAGAGTCCAGGACCAGATGGATTCACAGCCGAATTCTGCCAGAGGTACAAGGAGGAACTGGTACCATTCCTTCTGAAACTATTCCAATCAATAGAAAAAGAGGGAATCCTCCCTAACTCATTTTATGAGGCCAGCATCATTCTGATACCAAAGCCGGGCAGAGACACAACCAAAAAAGAGAATTTTAGACCAATATCCTTGATGAACATTGATGCAAAAATCCTCAATAAAATACTGGCAAACCGAATCCAGCAGCACATCAAAAAGCTTATCCACCATGATCAAGTGGGCTTCATCCCTGGGATGCAAGGCTGGTTCAATATACACAAATCAATAAATGTAATCCAGCATATAAACAGAGCCAAAGACAAAAACCACATGATTATCTCAATAGATGCAGAAAAAGCCTTTGACAAAATTCAACAACCCTTCATGCTAAAAACTCTCAATAAATTAGGTATTGATGGGACGTATCTCAAAATAATAAGAGCTATCTATGACAAACCCACAGCCAATATCATACTGAATGGGCAAAAACTGGAAGCATTCCCTTTGAAAACTGGCACAAGACAGGGATGCCCTCTCTCACCGCTCCTATTCAACATAGTGTTGGAAGTTCTGGCCAGGGCAATCAGGCAGGAGAAGGAAATAAAGGGTATTCAATTAGGAAAAGAGGAAGTCAAATTACCCCTGTTTGCAGACGACATGATTGTTTATCTAGAAAACCCCATCGTCTCAGCCCAAAATCTCCTTAAGCTGATAAGCAACTTCAGCAAAGTCTCAGGATACAAAATCAATGTACAAAAATCACAAGCATTCTTATACACCAACAACAGACAAACAGAGAGCCAAATCATGAGTGAACTCCCATTCACAATTGCTTCAAAGAGAATAAAATACCTAGGAATCCAACTTACAAGGGATGTGAAGGACCTCTTCAAGGAGAACTACAAACCACTGCTCAAGGAAATAAAAGAGGACACAAAGAAATGGAAGAACATTCCATGCTCATGGGTAGGAAGAATCAATATTGTGAAAATGGCCATACTGCCCAAGGTAATTTACAGATTCAATGCCATCCCCATCAAGCTACCAATGACTTTCTTCACAGAATTGGAAAAAACTACTTTAAAGTTCATATGGAACCAAAAAAGAGCCCGCGTCGCCAAGTCAATCCTAAGCCAAAAGAACAAAGCTGGAGGCATCACACTACCTGACTTCAAACTATACTACAAGGCTACAGTAACCAAAACAGCATGGTACTGGTACCAAAACAGAGATATAGATCAATGGAACAGAACAGAGCCCTCAGAAATAATGCCGCATATCTACAACTATCTGATCTTTGACAAACCTGAGAAAAACAAGCAATGGGGAAAGGATTCCCTATTTAATAAATGGTGCTGGGAAAACTGGCTAGCCATATGTAGAAAGCTGAAACTGGATCCCTTCCTTACACCTTATACAAAAATCAATTCAAGATGGATTAAAGATTTAAACGTTAGACCTAAAACCATAAAACCCTAGAAGAAAACCTAGGCATTACCATTCAGGACATAGGCGTGGGCAAGGACTTCATGTCCAAAACACCAAAAGCAATGGCAACAAAAGCCAAAATTGACAAATGGGATCTAATTAAACTAAAGAGCTTCTGCACAGCAAAAGAAACTACCATCAGAGTGAACAGGCAACCTACAACATGGGAGAAAATTTTCGCAACCTACTCATCTGACAAAGGGCTAATATCCAGAATCTACAATGAACTCAAACAAATTTACAAGAAAAAAACAAACAACCCCATCAAAAAGTGGGCGAAGGACATGAACAGACACTTCTCAAAAGAAGACATTTATGCAGCCAAAAAACACATGAAAAAATGCTCATCATCACTGGCCATCAGAGAAATGCAAATCAAAACCACTATGAGATATCATCTCACAGCAGTTAGAATGGCAATCATTCAAAAGTCAGGAAACAACAGGTGCTGGAGAGGATGTGGAGAAATAGGAACACTTTGACACTGTTGGTGGGACTGTAAACTAGTTCAACCATTGTGGAAGTCAGTGTGGCAATTCCTCAGGGATCTAGAACTAGAAATACCATTTGACCCAGCCATCCCATTACTGGGTATATACCCAAATGACTATAAATCATGCTGCTATAAAGACACATGCACACGTATGTTTATTGCGGCATTATTCACAATAGCAAAGACTTGGAACCAACCCAAATGTCCAACAATGATAGACTGGATTAAGAAAATGTGGCACATATACACCATGGAATACTATGCAGCCATAAAAAATGATGAGTTCATGTCCTTTGTAGGGACATGGATGAAATTGGAAACCATCATTCTCAGTAAACTATCGCAAGAACAAAAAACCAAACACCGCATATTCTCACTCATAGGTGGGAATTGAACAATGAGATCACATGGACACAGGAAGGGGAATATCACACTCTGGGGACTGTGGTGGGGTGGGGGGAGGGGGGAGGGATAGCATTGGGAGATATACCTAATGCTAGATGACGCGTTAGTGGGTGCAGCGCACCAGCATGGCACATGTATACATAGGTAACTAACCTGCACAATGTGCACATGTACCCTAAAACTTAAAGTATAATAAAATAAATAAATAAATAAATAAATAAATAAATAAATGGAATTAGGAAGGGGGTTATGTTTATATTATTTTAGCTTTGAAATACATTTTATTTTATTTTATTTTTTTGAGACAGAGTTTCGCTCTTGTTGCCCAGGCTGGAGTGCAATGGCACGATCTCGGCTCACTGTAACCTCTGTCTACCAGGTTCAAGCGATTCTCCTGCCTCAGCCTCCTGAGTAGCTGGGATTACAGGCATGTGCCACCACGCCCGGCTAATTTTTTATTTTTAATAGAGACAGGGTTTCTCCATGTTGGTCAGGGTGGTCTCAAACTCCCGACCTCAGGTGATCCACCCACCTCAGCCTCCCAAAGTGCTGTGATTACAGGTGTGAGCCACTGCTCCTGGCTAGATTTTATTTTTTAAGCTTATGTTAGTTTGGAACTCCACTCTGACATTCTGTATGCTTCTTGCCATTTTACAAAGTAGTGTCACCACTTTCCTTTGTGTGTTTAATCTTTTCCTTCAACTAATTTCTTGGCTTTTATGTAACTATTATTTTTATTTTATTCTTGCATAGGAGGCTGATCCGATAGAGTAATACCTAATTATATCACCATGAGATGGCAAAACGGAATGTCAGATCTGTAGACTTTTGACAGGAAAGTGAGTATGTGTGTGTTTTTGAGACCTCTTACTCCATCTTGTGGTGATATCATATAATTATATCAATTACTCTTGCATTCCTAATAGTCATATGTGTGTCTCACAACTCGTTACGTGGTTAGGCATTGCCCTAGTTATTGGTAAATTTGCATTAGTTATTTGGTTATTAGTAAATATATATGATAACATTAAGACTTGTGTATAGTTAAAAATGGAAATACTTTTGCTTTGGTATTGTCCTTTCACTTAAGAGTTTGAAGTACTTCATTAGCATTATTTTTTTAACTCTTGAGATGTGAACAAAGCAAGCAGATTTTAAGGTATATCTCCTGGCTAACCTAAGCCATGTAGTTAAGTCACACAGCAAGTTAATGAATGGATCCTACCTAAAACACGATAAACTTAAAACTAGTTGTTAATCTTGTAACTAGAACAAAGTGTTATCACACAACTAGTTGAATGGCTGAGCTAGCGTTTGAACTCCAGTAGTCTGGCTTCAGAGCCCAGGCTCTTCATCTTAACCAGATTGTTCTTTAACAGCGTGAAATAGAACACAGAACCCCTGACTTTCGAACTCAACTGCAATGATTCTTAAGTATTATAAATCAAGATTGGATTCTTGTGGTTAAGACTGCATTTTTTTTTGATGATAGGCATCCTCTGCAGTAATGGAGGGTCTAATGGAGTATTTAAAAACATAAATTATGTGATAAATGATTTACAATATATGCTAAATCTTTTGGGAGGAAATTTTGATTAGGAAACAAATATCATCCATGTGTTTAAATGTTTTCCTAGAATTAGATAAGGTAAAATACAAATGAAACTGAGCATTTTATTTAGAATTTGCTTAGAAATTTTGCATTAGTTTATTTAGGGTTATTATTGACAACTGAAGATTCTGAACTGTTCGGCTTGAAGGAAATATCCCACAAGGTTAATTGATAGGAATCAATTCTGACTTTACACTCTGTGTCAGTTTTCTGAGTTCTTTACAATAAGCCTGTTTTTTCCTTGCAAATTGAGAAATACTTTGGTTAATAGAATGGTTTCTAACAATATACTGCACGTATTAGCTTCAATAAATTCTAGAAACCAGAATCCGCTGCTATTGTTTTGTTTTTTTCCAGATAGTGTTCCAAGTCTACAAAATTGAGTACCTTTCTCCATGTGTTTTAAGATTCATTAGACTTTTATTGTAACACAAACATTATCACAGTACTGTAATGCTTAATGTTAACATTTTCTGGTTTCCAGTTGAATGCCTTTAAGTATAATCTGAGGTGAGACTTATTTTAATGAGTCAGTGGATGGACTTTAAGGGAAAGGGTCTGTGAGAGCCAAAATTTAGTTAACTGCTGCTCTAGAGACAGCTTATTTGTTAGAAACATGAGTTGAATCCTGGCCCCTCTCACTAAGTTACAGTCCTTTATCTACAAAATTACACTTACCTCATAGTGTCCTGAAGAATAAATGCACAGCATGTAACACAGTGCATGGTGGTACAGTAAGCACTTAGTAAACATGAGCTATCATTAGGGCTAAGCACTGGACAAATTATCTCCAGGTATTGCAAGGTATTTTCTCCAGTAGGCTGTGAATATAATTTTAAATTTTCATGGGAAATTAATCTACTTAAAACATTTTAATTAGTAAGGAAAAGTCTGATTTTAATTGTTTTATTGTCCTAACATAGTGGTTTATGAATGCTTTTCTGCCCTTGTGGTGGTTCACTGACTTCCATGTGAGAAGTAGTAGAGTTGCTTAGATGCCGTTATTTCTACTGACCTTGACCAAGTGACAAGAGCATGATTTCCATGAAGCAGTTACCATGAATCTGAAATCACACCTTCAGTTTTAGTTCTTTCCCTTTGTTTTTTAACAATTTTGCTTATTATGTTTTCCCAGAATCACCATGATCGATTACTTCTGCTCATCATAAACATCTAGTTCCTAAGCAGGATATGAGAATCTGCCTTCCTGTGACCTCTCCTGGGCTCAGTGACACTCCAGTCGCCGCCCCACCCCACATCAATGCCACTTCCAAGTTTGACTTGCATCTTACAAACCATATTTCTGTTTACTTTTTTTCTGCCCTGGGACATTTTTAATAACTTTTAGATAACAACTTCAACAAAAATTTACCTCCCACCAAGAGAAGTTGTCTTTATTGTGAGAAGTTGTCTTTATTCCCAAGAAGGGGAATAACTTACTCTTTAAGTCAGTTTTATTACAGGTAAATTTGTACCAGCTTTTTCCTCTACTTGTGTTAAGACCTGTCTCCAATAGACATTCCAATTGAGGATTGTGGAAATAGCAAATTACATTGGTGTCTGCCCACCACTGAAGGCAAAAAGCTGGTTTATCTAGGCCACAGGCAGAGCCCGCAGGGGAGGCAGGTAACTTCTCGGACCACCAGATTATCTTGATCTTCAGCCAGCTTTATTGTTGTTCTACATTTTAATAAACACTACATGTTTATTTTATTTTATTTTATATGTGTTATGTTATGTTATGTTATTTTTTTTGAGGCAGAGTCTCCCTGTTTCTCCCAGGCTGGAGCACAGTGGTGAGATCTCGGCTCACTGCAACCTCCGCCTCCCAGGTTCAAACGACTCTCGTGCCTCAGCCTCGCGAGTAGCTGGGACTACAGACATGCACCACCATGTCCGCCTAACTTTTCTATTTTTGTAGAGATGGGGTTTTGCCAGGTTGCCCAGGATGATCTTGAACTCCTGACCTCAATTGATCCTCTCTCCTCAGCCTCCCAGAGTGCTGGGATTACAGGCGTGAGCACTGCGCGCCTGGCCTGTTTTATTATTTTGAAGATTACAGTATAGGTTTCTAGGAAGCCTGGATGGAGGTTCTCATATTCTAGGTAATATTTAGCTATTTAATAAAAATTTATTTTCAAAACCTTAAAGTTTGTGGATTACATACAATACAGTTTTTGACTTGGTGCATGAATGTATTGAAATGAACTTGATACCATTATATTCACTTTAAAGCATATCGGCACAATTTCCTAGAACCAATCTCTAATGACTATTCCTGAAACTTTTCATACTTGTCATATTTTTCCATTCAACTATGTTATTTACTTATTTATTTTAATTTTTTTGAGATGGAGTCTTGCCCTGTCACCCAGGCCGGAGTGGAGTGGTGCGATCTTGGCTCACTGCAACAGCCTGCCTCATGGCTTCGAGCGATTCTCCTGCCTCAGCCTTCTGAGTAGCTGGGGTTACAGGCGCACGCTACCACACCTGGCTAATTTTTGTGCTTTTAGTAGAGACAGGTGTCATCATGTTGGCCAGGCTGGTCTTGAACTCCTGACCTCAGGTGATCTGCCTGCCTCAGCCTCCCAAAGTGCTGGGATTACAAGCCTGAGCCACTGCACCCGGCCTTGACTATGTTATTTAAATCACTAGTGCCTAAACTTTGCTAAAGTGATATAGTAATAGCTCAAATAATCGTAATAAGGATATTTTCAGAATAAAAAAGAATATCATGGAAGTTATTACCCAAGTAAAACTTCATTCCAATCTTTGCATTTTACCTTCTCTCAACTATGAGAAGTCAGGAATATTGTCTATCTTGGTTACCATTATATTTCCAACAAAGAAGAATAAAAGAAAGAGGGAAAGAAAAGAGGAGGAAAGATGGAAGGAATATCTTGAAATCCTGTCATCTAAAATAACTATCATGACATCTGGCATATATAACATAATATTTTGCCTAAATTCTTAAACTATACAAGGACAATATATGTAAGATATTTTATTTATATTTATTTATTTTTAATTTCTCAGCAAAAGCCACATTCAAATATGTAAGGTATTTTAAACAATATCACAAGTGCTGAAGAGATAAAACACATAAGAGCCAAAAGAGTGAAGACTGATAGAAGGCAGGCTGTAACTAGAAATCCTTCTAGCCATCATCCAGGGAATGGAACTGTATATGAGATTGAAGTATGGTTATAGCTAAACATACTTGCTTGATTTTTTAAAGCTTTACACAGTTGATTCAGGGTAATTATTGTGTTATCTTTGGGGGATTCTTGATCCTGAACAAAGCTTCATTGTTAGTACTACTACGTTAAAAGTCCTATTGAGTGAAACAGAGGATATAGTCTAATTCAAGGGCCAAGGGAAGGCATCAAAATATTTAATTGGTTTGTCAAAAACTCCCACCTTTAGAAACTCCTGGGAGGTGCAGTGGCTCATGCCTGTAATCCCAGCACTTTCGTAGGCCAAGGTGGGAGGAACACTTGAGGTCAAGAGTTCGAGACCAGCCTGAGGAAATAGCGAAATCCAGTCTCTACAAAAAAGGAGGAAGAGGAGAAGGAGAAAAGGTGCACAAATTCCTAATTTTTTTCCTCCACTTTATAAAAGAAAGGCATTGTCCTGACCTATCCCAAATACTGCTGTAGTTATGCAAGCTGTCATGGGCCACACATAGGTGAAATCTTCATAGTAATTCATTGAGCTATCATAAACCCACAAGACTTGCTAAATTTCTCTTCTTTATAAATATTTATGGGTAAAGCTTTGTATATTGTGGCTAGTGTACACTGTATTATTCAATGAGGGATTTAGAACACATTTTTATCAAATCATAAAATATGCATTACAATTACTATGAGTCCATCCTACAAAATGTTTAAAATTGTTAACTTTTTATTTACAAAATATATTATTTTAAAAATAGCTGCTAAATTTGTTTTTAGTAGACTAAAGCATTCTGTTTCATTAGATTTATTTTAAAAGTTGAATCATGATTTTTCTCAAGACAGGCATTTCCAGTAAATCTGTGGCCAAGATTGTCGAGCTGTTTACCCAAAGCATTTCTAGAATGCTAGACTGCATTCCTGTCCTCCTGCTCTTTCAGGTTTGCCAATATAATTGGTTCTGGTTATTGGAAAGCAGATGAAGTAAGGGGCTCCACTTCTAGACTTGGCCACGTGCCATCTTCATGCTCATTCCTTTCTTCTTCAGCTATACAGAAGCCATATGTTGAAAACAACAGAGCCCTGAGGAGTAGCCCTGAATCACTACCTAGTCCTTTTGGGGACTCTATATTAAATCAAGAAATAGCTTTTAATTATATTAAGCCACAAGATTTTGAACTTTATCTGTTACAGTAGCTAATATTAACTTAAGTGATAATAACAAATTTACTACTTATGTTTAATAATTACCAAAATGTGTATATATTGTTGTTGTCTCGATCAATTCTATATTAATATTTGTAATAACTCAAGAAAAGTTTTTATCAACTAGAACCACTTATAGTCAGAGTAAAGTAAAATTTTAAATTATGTACTTATTTTTGTTTTAATACATTTACATATCTGGTCAATAATATTTTCAAACATAAAAACATTATGATAAAAATCTGGAAAAAATGGGATAGAATACAAGCTCAAGGAGAAAAAGGAAAGATGTAAGCTTTCTAAAAGTTAAAGAATAACTTGCTCATATATTTAAAAAAATAGATCCAAATGTTATATATTTGGATTTCGTTGGATTCGCTTAAAATGAAATTTATAATATGCTGGAAATTATGACCTATGCAATTATTTAAAATTATAAAAAGCTTAGATGTCAGCTTAAAGCTTCATGAGGGATATATAGCTTATGAAAATTATTTTAGGGGGTTTTCAAGCAAAAAAGTGTAAATGCACTGACAAAAGGGGGAAGGTGCATGCTTTGGAGTTAAGTAGCCCTGCATCCAAACTCTGCTTTTGCTATATGACTGGGCAAGTTAGATTAACCCATTGGCCCTTATTCTGCTCAATAAATTAAATGAAAATACATGTAAAGTGCTATCTGGCACTAACCTGCTCTTGCTATTAAAAATCTTAAGTACTTCTAGGAAGGAAAAATTAGCCACTCAGGTGAAAATTAATTAATCAGAGCCCATATTTCTGAGAGTAGATTAAAAAATTAGGTACAGAGGGGAAAGAACTTATTTGGGAGAGAAAGGATAATTTTAGAACATGTAGTATAAGCCAAGAGAAGAAGCTCTGTTACATGGCAGAATGATACTGGATGGGACCCTATTTTGGAGGACATCCGGAAAGGTTGGCGAGGCTGTACATAAAGGAAAAGTGAGAAGAAAGCATACATTTGCTTTCATTTGCCTTGGTTCTAGTCTACCATGCAATGAAAATAGCTCTCATATTTTAAAGTCACTCAAAAGATTGCTTTTAAGTGGGTGTAATGATTTTATATGTACCCTAAATTACAGCATGTGCTTTATGAACCTCCTCCCTTGTGTTCCACGTGACTCCTATTTTAAGTAGATTCAAAGTGATTCCAGAGTTAACCAGGTCAATTACCACCTGTGCTTGTTTCCTTTAATTCTTTTAAATCCCTGAGAGAAAATAAGACATTAAGTTAGCAATTTCTTTTTCTAATACCCCTGATTACAGTGTGTACCTATTGAGACATCGGATAAACGCTAGCGGCCATGGCTGGAACGGAAGCTAGGGAAGGCTGTGGAGTTGCAAAAGTTCCTGCCTGCTAAACAGGGCAGATGCAGTTAAAATAATACCTGGCATTGTCTGACCGTTCTATTCCTTCATGAGCCACCTTAAAATTCAGATTTGTTGCTAGAGTTCTTATATTTAGGAAGGGATCAGAGAAAGTCACAAGAGAACCATATTTTGAAAAACAGTAGCCAATGTTGGTAGAAGTATAAATTGGTAGAAAACCTCTATGGTTAAAAATTTAGCAATAGCTTTCAAAATTTTAAGTGCATTTGCCATTTGACCTGGCAATTCCACTTCTAGGAATTTACCCTGCAAATAAAATCTTTGCACATGTGTGCAAAGATGTAAATACTCATATAGTCATTACTTTAAATAGCACAAGATTATAATGAGTATTTGTCAATAAAAGTGATTAATTTTTATTGTATGGTCATATAATGGAATTCCATGAAGTATGACAGCTCAACAGTTGATAAGGAAGAATGGAATATTCCTTAAGGAGTGATCTGTAAGATATATTAACTAAAAAAGGCAAGGCACACAGCATTATGTCTTCCACCTTTTGGTTAAAAAAATATACAAATATGTTCATACTGTATACATGAATATCCTTACAAGGATAAATAATAAAGTGATAATAATGGCTGCCTGTAGAAAGAGTTATATGAGAGAGAATTTTTATCCTATCACCTTTTGAATTTTGTGTTATATGCATATTTAAAAAAAAATTTTTTTAGAAAGTTCCTAAACTTCACGAGGCTGAGAAACTAAGATGTATTGCTGTTGCCTGGTCTTAACAGCCCAAATACAATATAGAAGACAATGTGTGGTGCAAAAGCATTTGGTTTTGTTATAAAGACAAATAGTACAGCATCTATGTATATCCTTCTGGACTTGTGGGTGTTGGGATTTTAAGCAGGAGATAATAAATTATGCCCCCTTTGTTCCCCTTCAGTGTGCTGCAACAAATCAGATATACCCAGGATGCAGACAGAAAGGGAGCAAAATAGCCATCACTACCAATAGTGCTGGATTTGACAACTGGGTTTAATACCTATGCCTTTGCTCAGATAATTAAACTTGCCATCCAGAGACAGCTGGACAAATGCAGGCCTCTCCTTAGAGGCAACCAGCTTAACACTTAGAAGAGGAGGAAGAGATGAGGGAAGATCAGTCAGTTCCACAGGGAGTTATGGCTGGTAAGAGGAAGGGAGAGAATTGCTGAGCAGGGCAGCTTGGTTCCTCTGCCAGTCTCATCAATCACTCATACATGGGGAAGAGTTGGGAGCAGCGGGGAGGAGGAAAGAAATACTTTTTCCAGTACAAATGCCTGAAGGGTTTCAAATTTCTATTCTGTGGACTCTGGCAGGAACACTGGGAGGAGGACAGACTGGTTTCTCCTGAAAGCAGCCAGCACTGCTGCCATCCAGGGCTCTCCTTGCTGCCTGTCACCTGTGCCAGCTGTTCCCTCACAGTTCCCTTGCATCACCTGTCTCCTTTGCTCACACTGGTTTGATTACTGCCCCTTGCATGCCTTGCACAGTTTCCTACCTTTTGCACTCAAAATAGTAATGATCCCCTTTTCTCCCCAATTGGCTCTTCAGGTCCAAATCGAGCTCTAGCTCTGGCAGTCCCAGGGACAGCATCTTTGTGCTCCTCTGAGCCTTTTCAGAACTTGTTTTCTGACCCCTGTTTTGGCCCCAGCATGTGCTGCCCGTCTTGTTACATTTCTCTTTATGATTCCAGGCTTTACTTTCTTTGCTTTTCAGTCCTAAAGTAATCCATCAAGCTTAACTTTTTAAAAAAGAAACCCTATGGGCTGCAGTTATACAATATATACCTGGATAACTAAGATAAATTTGGACTCATTTTCATATCCCAAATATTGTATGGAAGACAATGTGTGGTAGAGGGATTAAGATGTCCTTTCCTAGACTGTGGAACTTAGTGTGCAATGAGGGAAATTTAATCTCTCTCCCTGCCCCCATCTCCTGTTTCCCAGGATACTGTGGCAATTGTTTGTTCATAGATGCCTCATAAGCTCTTGGAGGCGACTGAGAATTAAGTTGCTTATTAATTCATTTAGTCTTGACCTACATATGGTTGAATAATCACAGGGCCATCTGTCCTCCTTAATTAACATGCAGAGATGAAGAGATTTCTTTCTACCTTCTGTGGATTGTGTGTGAATCCTGTCAAGAGGGCCCCAAAACGACTGCTGCCAGAGTCCTGGCAATTGCTTATAAGTGAAACCAACAGCTAATGGGGAGGGCTTTTGTTGTTTTCTCTTATTTTGTCTTTTTTAAGAGCCCTCCTGTTGTGATTAGCCCTTGCTATTTCACCAGCTGAAGGCAATCTCATAAATGAATCAGCAATAGTATATCTCCTTTCAGGTTGGGAAGATAGAATGAGAGGCTTTCCCAGATGCCTGTGAGTTTCATCTCTCACAGGCTTCCAGGCTTCTCACAAAGCCCTCACCCTTGGCTGTGTGAAATAGACGGATTAAAACACTGTATTACAGAGCATTGCTTCTTCTTGGTTGTTGACATGAAGTGTGATGGGTTAAGAAGCTGTCAACTAAAACCAGACAAACCCTTATTGATGAACCTTGGAGTATCTGTGAACTTTTATGACCAGAAAATTCTACTTAACAGTTATCAAGGACCTGACCAGATGCTTCATAGCTCTTGGGACGGATGATTAATAGTTGTGTGAGTAATAATAGCTTCTGTGTTAGAGTGCTTTACAGTACACGAAAACCTGTTCACACACTTTACGTCACTTGAGCCTCAAGATATCTCTGTGAGGTAGGGCAGGTAGTATAATCCCCATTTTACAGATCAATGAAAATAAAAGCATAAGTAAACTGAGCCTTAGAGCGCTAAGAGAATTATTAAGGCCCACTCCTTTTAAATGCAGAGGCAGGACTAGAATTCTGATTCTGGTCCCCTTGTGCAGTGCTCTTTCCAATATTGTACCCTGTTGGAGTTTTCATACATCCCTTAATTACAGTGCCATATGCCATGTCCATTTAGCTGTAATGTGACCACAAGCTGCAATATACTGTGAGGAGTGCAGGGTGGACCATTCTGACCAAAGACATTAAATGGGATCTTGCCAGAGGTGGAGAACTGTGAGATAACCTGAATTTTGAGTTTCCCCTTTTTCTCTTGAATGTGTCCACCACATACCCAAATTCACCTGCATAAAAATGATGACTACCAAAACAATCTTGAAAAAGAACAAAGTTGGAAGACCCACACTTCCCAACATCAAAACTTACTACAAAGCTACAGTAATCAAAACAGTGTGGTGCTGGCATGCAGACAGACATATAGACCAGTGGAATAGAATGGTGTGTCTAGAAATAAGTCCTCACATATACAGGCATCCACTGTAGGATGACATTTTGGTCAATGATGGACTGCGTGTACAACAGTGGTCCTATAAGATAATGGAGCTGGGCCGGAGGCGGTGGCTCATGCCTGTAATTCCAGCACTTTGGGAGGTCGAGGTGGGCAGATCACCTGAGGTCAGGAGTTAGAGACCAGCCTGGCCAACATGGTGAAACCCCCTATCTATTAAAAATATCAAAAATTAGCTGGGCATAGTGGCGGGCACCTGTAATCCCAGCTACTCAGGAGGCTGAGACAGGAGAATCGCTTGAACCCGGGAGGCAGAGGTTGCAGTGAGCCGAGATCACGTAATTGCACTCCAGCCTGGGCAACAAGAGTGAAACTCCGTCTCAAAAAAAAAAAAAAAAAAAAAGACAATGGAGCTGAAAAATTCCTATTGCCTAGTGATGTCATAATGTCATGACATTACTCATGTGTTTGTGGTGATGCTGGTATAAACACACCTACTCTGCTGCCAGTCATAAAAGTATAGCACATTTAGGTACAGTACATAGTACTTGACAATAAACAACTATGTAACTGGTTTATGTATTTATTATACTTTTCAATTATCATTTTAGTGTTTACTCCTTCTACTTATTAAAAAAACAAAACAAAACTATAAAACAGCCTTAGCCAGGTCCTTCAAGAGGCATTCCAGAAGAAGGCATTGTTATCATAGGAGATGACAGCTCCTTGTGTTTCATTGCCCCTGAAGACCTTCTGGTAGGACTGGATATGAAGGGGAAGACAGTGATATTGATGATCTTGACCTTATGTAGGCCTAGGCTAATGTGTGTGTGTCTTAGTTTTTATAAAAAAAAGTTTAAAAAATTAAAAAAATAAAAAATTTTAAAAACAGAGAAAAGCTTATGGAATAAGGATATAAAGGATTTTTGTCTTTTTTTAAAGTTTAAAAAGTTAAAAAAAAATTTTAAAAATTGAAAAAAGCTTATAGAATAAAGATTAAAAAAACTCTGCACAACTATTTTTGAAACTTTTTTATAGTATGTGTTTTAAGCTAAGTGTTATATCAAAACATTAAAAATATTGAAATGCTTATAAAGTAAAAAAGTTACAGTAAGCTAAGGTTAACTTATTGAAGAAAGACAAATATATTTTATAAAGGTGTAGCCCAAGTGTACAGTGTTTATAAAATCTACAGTAGGGTAAAGTAATATCTAGGCCTTCACATTCACTCACCACTCACTCACTGACTCACCCAGAGCAATTTTCAATCCTGCAAGTCCCATTCATGCTAAGTGCCCCAAACAGGTATACCATTTTTATCTTTTATACTTTATTTTTATTGTACCTTTACCATATTTCCTGTATAGATGAGTCTACTTTTATGAGCTACTTAGAATAGGCAAGTTCAGAGACAGAACCTATATCAGAGATTCCTGTCTAGATATGTTTAGATACACAAATACCTGTGTTACAATTGTCTACAGTATTCAGTAGAGTAACATTTGTGCAGATATGTAGCCTAGGAGCAATAGCTTTACCATATAAGCTAGGTGTGTAGGAGGCTATACCATCCAGATTTGTCTAAGTACACTCTATGATGTTTCCACAATGATGAAATTGCCTAATGACACATTTCTCAGGACATATCCCTGTTGTTAAGCAACACGACAGTATAGTCAATTAATTTTTGACAGTAGAGACAAGACCATTCAATGGGGAAAGGATTACCTATTCAACAAATGGGGCTGGGAAAGCTGGGTATCCACATGCAGAGAATGAAGTTGGACCCTTAATTATACCACATACAGAAATTAACTCAAAATGAACCAAAGACCTAAATTTAAGACACAAACTATAAAACTCTTAGAAGAAAACCTAGGGGAAATCTTCATGACCTTGAATTTGACAATGGTTTCTTAAGTATGTCAACAAAAGCACAGGAAACAAAAGAAAAAATAGATATTAGACATCATCAAAATTAGAAACTTTTGTGCATCAAAAGATACCATAAAGAGAATGAAAAACAATTGTGGAAGAAAATATTTACCAACCACATATCTGATCAGGGATTAGTATCCAGAATATATAAGGAACTCCTATAGCTCAACAACAAAAAAAACCTCAGTTCAAATATAGATGAAGGACTTGAATAGGCATTTCTCCAAAGAAGATATACAAAAGACCAATAAACACATGAAAAGATGCTCAACATCATTAGCCATTAGGGAAATGCAGATCAAAACCCAAATGAGAAACACTCGAGTTATTCCCTAATAACTAATGGGCTTTTTTTTTTAACTCCTCTTACTATTATTCCCAGTTGAATGGGCTATTCTAAAGCAAACTAAACAAAACAGAACCAGAAAATAACAAATGGTGATGATGTGGAGAAATTAGAACACTTACGTATTTCTGGTGAAATATGAATGGTGCCTCCCCTGTGGAAAATACTTTGGCAGTTCCTCAAAATATTAAACTTAGAGTTACTATATGATCAGCAGTTTCACCCCTAGGTCTGTGTTAAAAAGAATTGAAAACAGGGACTCAAACACATACTTGTACACTAATGTTAGCATTATTCACAATAGCCAGAAGGCTGAAACAACCCAAGTACCTATTGACAGATGACTGGATAAGAAAAATGAGGTCTATCCGTACAATGGATATTACTCAGCCATAAAGAGGAATGGAATTCTGAAACACACGACAACATAGATGAGCCTTAAAAACAAGCTACACGAAAGAAGCCAGACATGAAAGGAATATTTTATGATTTCACTTTGTAAAAAAGCAATTATTTTGGGTACATATGATTCCACTTTTATGAGATACTTAGAATAGGCAAGCTCAGAGACAGAACTTAGATTAAAGATTACCAAGGGGTTGGGGGAAAGGGAAATGGGAATTGTTGCTTAATGAGTATAGAGTTTCTGTTCGGGGTGATGGAAAAGTTTTGGAAACAGGGAGCAGTGATGGTTGCACAATGTTGTGAATGTATTTAATGCCACTGAATTGTACACTTAAAATGGTAAATTTTATGTTATATATATTTTACCACCATAAAAACAGATTTGAACATAATTTTTAAAAAATTACAGACCAGGTAACTTCATAGAGATAGAGAAGCAGAAATTCACAGCTGCTCAGAAAATAATCATAAAGCTAGTTGGAAAGAAGGGGACAGGATGTGAGTGGCTGAAACCAAGAGGGGTGAATTGGAGACAGCTTCAAGGAAAAGCCTGTGGAGTAAGAAGGGAAAGAGCACGGTTGTTAAGTGATCATCATTTGGCAGACTCCGCAGGGAAAGCTTTTATGTACTTTTCATTTCATCCTCACGGCAATTGTGTGTGGTACATCCTGTTAGTAACCTGTTTCATATGAAGGAACAGAACCTTAAGTTAATTAAGTCACTTGCTCAAGGACTCACCCAGTGAGTGGCAGAGCCAGAAATCAAAACCCAATCTGTCGCTTCCAGAACCCATATTCTAATTTTGTCAATCTCAACTTTTTTGGTTAAGAACTGGAACAGGGCTGGGTGCAGTGGCTCACATCTGTAATCCCAGAGCTTTGAAAGGCTGAGGCGGGTAGATCACCTGAGGTCAGAAGTTCAAGACCAGCCTGGCCAACATGGTGAAACCCTGTCTCTACTAAAAATACACATTAGCCGGGTGTGGTGGTGGGCACCTGTAATCCCAGCTACTCGGGAGGGTGAGGCAGGAGAATTGCTTGAACCCGGGAGGTAGAGGTTGCAGTGAGCCGAGATGGTGCCATTGTACTCTAGCCTGGGCAGAAAGAGTGAAACTCCATCTCAAAAAAAAGAAAGAACTGGAAACAATATCCACCCCACAGAGTTGTTGTGAGGGTTAAATGAGAAGTAATTTTTAAACTAGGAAGTTCTAAGTATAACAGGATTTTGCATTTTTTTTGACTGCTTTATCCTCTATGCCCCCATAGGAGGCTGAGACCTTTTTTTTACAGCCCTCTATACCATAGTAGATTGTTCACTAAAGATCGTTCTACCATTTGTGCATTTCACAATGGCAAAAACTCTATTTTATTAATTGTTAAAAAGGTATGTGATTTTTTTTTTCCAGACGGAGTTTTGCTCTTGTTGCCCAGGCTGGAGTGCAGCGACGCAATCTTGGCTCACTGCAACCTCTGCCTCCTGAGTTCAAGTGATTCTCCTGCCTCAGCCTCCCAAGTAGCTGGGATTACAGGCGCCCACCACCACGCCTGCCTAATTTTGAATTTTTAGTAAAGACAGGGTTTCACTATGTTGGACAGGCTGGTCTCGAACTCCTGACCTCAAGTGATCCCCCACCTCGGCCTCCTAAAGTGCTGGGATTTCAGGCATGAGCCACTGCGCCTGGCCCTAAATGTTTTTTGAGTGAAGGTGATGTTTGAGTAGAATTTTGAGATGAAAATCATGGCAGAAAGGATGGGCAAGGATACCTATAACAACTGCATTTGAAGGCCAAACAGGCTTCTCATTGGAGTGGAGGGCCAGAGCTGGCCTATTATATAATAGGGAAGAAGAGAGTTGAGGCAGGGAAGCAATTAGTGAGAAATTTGGATCTGAACAGCCTTTGGGACTCAATGTAAGATTCTGGGAAGGAGACGGATCTCTGGAGAACATGGGTGACCTCACTGTGTAAAGGATCCTTTGGATGGGAAAGAAATGAAAATCGGCAACAAGATCAGCATTCTGAACTAGACCAGTGGTTGTCAGGTGGGGGAGATGGGATTTTGACGAGTCAGCATCAAACATTGCCTCTGTGTGTATTACTCCAAAGCTTCCTGAATCCCTACTGTACCAAATGGTATCATTGCATCCTCATGGTCCTCACCATCATGAATGCTATTATCTTCAGTCACAGCAATAATAACCACAGTAGCAGTGAATATGCTATGAGACCCTAATGGGTGGAAACCACTAACCAGAGCTACAAACAAAAGTTTAAGCCTCCACATTCTTTTTTTTAAAGATGGAGTTTCACTCTTGTCGCCAGGCTGGAGTGCAATGGCACGATTTCGGCTCACTGCAACCTTCGCCTCCCAGGTTCAAGCAATTCTCCTGCCTCAGCCTCCGGAGTAGCTGGGATTACAGGTGTGTGCCACCACACTCAGCTAATTTTTGTATTTTTAGTAGAGACGTGGTTTCACCATGTTGGCCAGGCTGGTCTCGAACTCCTGACCTCAGCTGATCCACCCACCTTGGCCTCCCAAAGTGCTGGGATTACAGGCATGAGCCACCATGCCCGGCCGAAGCCTCTGCTTTCAAAGTATCTAAAAAGGTGCTAGATCCTCCCACCACCTTCTACCCTGTCCTCTGATGCCAGACTCTATTTTCTTAAATGCCACGTAAATAAATAATGTCATTCAGTGTTGCTGAAAAGAAAACATCCTAACTCCTTAGCATTTAGGCCTTCCAAATTGGGATCTTAATTTTTTAAAAAATAATTTTAATTCTTTTTAGAGTAGATTTTATAGTCACATGGCTCAAAAAAGCACCTAGGTATATGGTGAAAAGTCTTCCTTTCCATTTTTATTTCAGTTCCCCTATTTGTTTCCTGTGTGCCCTTCCAGGAGGGCTTCTAAATATGTCTTTTTAATGTTTCCCGCACCACCTGCACAGTTTTCCCATCGGATCATCCTGTCTTTGAATGTGCCTTTGCTGTTCTTCTTTCTGCCTGTAAAATACTCCTTCTACCCGGCTATGAATCTATTAAACCAAGAAATATCCAAGATTTCTCCAGGGTTGTGATTTATTGACCAATAAAAAGAAAAGGAGAAAAGAGGAAAGGAGCTAGCTTCTGTATTTTGGACCCAGGAAGTCAGGAAGAGATACCCAAGCTGGAGTGCAGTGGCGTGATCATGGCTCACTGTAACCTTGAACTCTTGGGCTCAAGCCATCTTCCTGCCTCAGCCTCCCAAGTAGCTGGGATTACAGGTGTGCACCACCACACTCAGCTAATTCATAGACTTTAAACATCAATTAAGATTGGGGGAGCTGACAACCTTTATAAAAACTGAAGGCCTAGTATCATGAGGATGCTTTTGACTGCAACTTCCAGAGAGCCCAACTCAAAAGAACTTAAAGACCTGGGTAATTTATTTTAATATTTCCTGTTTTTGAAAAATTTATTTAAAGCTATAAATTTCCTTCTGAGAAATGCTTAGGCAAATCTCAGATTTTGGCATGGAGTTTTTCTATTATCACCTAAAACCCTTGTGTTTAGTAAACATTTCAGTTTTAAAAAGGTATCCTTTGGTTGTTAACATCTAATTTTATTGCATTATGGCAGGTTAATTTACACTATTCATAATAGCAACAAAAACTTTATAGGATTAAGACAAGAATAAAATATTCTAAGACAAAAATATAATATTTCTATGAAGTAAACTTTAAAGTGCTAGTAAGGGACATAGAAAGGGATCTGGCTAAAGCTGACCACAGTGGCTCACACCTGTAATCCCGACACTTTGAGAGGCCGAGGAAGCCAGATCACTTGAGGTCAGGTGTTCGAGACCAGCCTGGCCAACATGGTGAAACCCCGTCTCTACTAAAAATATGAAAATTAGCCGGGTGTGGTGGCACATGCCTGTAATCCCAGCTACTCAGGAGTCTGAGGCAAGAGGATTGCTTGAACCCAGAGGTTGTAGTGAGCCAAGAGCACACCACTGCATTCCAGCCTGGGAGACAGGAGACAAACCCTGTGGCAAAAAAAAAAAAAAAAAAAAAAAAGTGGGGGTGGGGGTTAAATGGAGAGATATTCTTTTTTTTTTTTTTTTCTTTTTGAGATGGAGTCTTGCACTGTCACCCAGGCTGGAGTGCAGTGGTGTGATCTCTGCTCACTGCAACCTCCGCCTCCCAGGTTCAAGAGATTCTCCTGCCTCAGCCTACCTAGTAGCTGGGATTAGAGGTGCCTGCCACCATGCCCAGCAATTTTTTTTTTTTGTATTTTTAGTAGAGACAGGGTTTCATCATGTTGGCCAGGTTGATCTGGAACTCCTGACCTTGTGATCCACCCACCTTGGCCTCCCAAAGTGCTGGGATTACAGGTGTGAGCCACCGTGTCCAGCAGTTCATGAATTCTAATAAATGCACCATACTAATGTAAGATGTTAATAATGTGGGAAACTGCATGTGGGGTATGGGGAACTCTCTGTACTATATTCTCAATTTTTATATGTTCAGAAATCTAAAATGATTCCAAAAAATAAAATCTATTTAAGAAAATACATATGCAGACAAAAAGATTCTCATGGAAATGCAGCAGATAGGAGTAGAGTATGGGGATACAGAGAATAAACAAGTGGAACAGGAGTAACGCGCAGGGTGCCATGGTGACTGTGTGCCTCACAATAAGGATGGTCAGTAAACAGATCCTTTGTGCCACAGGTCCAAAAACAAATAAATAAAAGAAAACAGTAAGCAGGCAAACAAAAGCAACAGTCAATTCTCACTCCTAATCTCACTGGACTTGGCAGCATTTGAGTCTTTTCTTCTTGAACCACCTTATTCGGGTCTCTCAGTCCACCCTCTCCCCACACAATCTCCTTTTGGCTCTCCCTTCTATCTCATCCTCTAAAACAGGGAGGCTTTTGCAGTTTGTAGTGCTATGGACTCCTTTGGTAATCTGTTGAATCCTAGGCACCCTTTCTCAAAATACGATTTTTAAATGTACAAGATAAAATACATAGAATTACGAAGAAAACCAAATGTATATTGGTTTGATTGGTGTATATATGTGTGTGTGTGTGTGTGTGTGTGTGTGTACATGGTATACACATAGATATACCATTGTATATGGTATGCCATATAAATATACACACACAAAAATTATATATATATATATATATACCATTTTGTAAACAGAAATTGATTCTGAGCCCCCCCTTCTCAAAGCCTTCTAGTCCATTGTCATTTGGATAAACAAAAGTGCTTGACTGTGCCATTCCTGCACACCACTCTGATGGACTTGATGACTTGACATAGCATAGTCTCTAGAATAGGCCTCCTTTATTACAGAAGAAAATAAATTATATTGAAATATAGTATCAAACATTTAAAAAATTATTACATATTAATATAAAGGCCTAATTGTTAACTCATTAAACAATAAGATCTAGGAGTCTGCCTACTAACTACCATCATTTAGAAGCTGTAATGAATATAAATTTTATATATATATATATATTTTTTTTTTTTTGAGATAGAGTCTCACTTTGTCATTCAGGCTGGAGTGCAGTGGCACGATCTCAGCTCGCTGCAACCTCTGCCTCCCTGATTTAAGTGATTCTTCTGCCTCAGCCTCCAGAGTAGCTGGGACTACAGGTGTGCGCCACCATGCCTGGCTAATTTTTGTATTTTTAGTAGAGACGGGGTTTCACCATATTGGCCAGGCTGGTCTTGAACTCCTGACCTCATGATCCACCTGCCTTGGCCTCCCAAAGTGCTGGGATTACAGGCATGAGCCACCATGCCTGGCCCATAAATAATATTTCATGAGAGATAGTCTCTCAGCCAACCAGGAATAGAAGGAAACTTCCTCAACCTAACAAAGGGGTTCTACAAAAACCCTGCAGCGGTATTTTACTTAATGGTGAAAGGTTGAAATGTTTTCTATCCAAAATTGGGAACAACGCAAGGATGCTTGCTCTTAACCACTCGAATTCAACATTGTACTGGAGGTTGTTAGCACAGTAAGGCAAGAAAAAGAAAAGTCATCAAGAATGGAAGAGAAGAAGCAAAACTATCTTTGCTTGCAGTTAGCATGATTGTTTATGTAGAAAATCCTAAGAGAGCTACAAAACACAAAACAACTCTCATAATATGATAGACAAGGAAATTAAATATGGGCAAAAGATTTTATCAGATACTTCACTAAAGAAATGTGTAAATCACCATTAAGCACAGGAAAAGATGCTCAAATGCGTTATTCACCAGGGAAATGCAATGTGATATTACAATATGTCCACCTACCAGAATGGATAAAATTGAGAAGCCTGGTAGTACTGAATGTTAGTGAGGATATGGAGCAACTGGAAGTTGCATATACTATGGTGGAAATATAAAATGATACAACTACTTTGGAAATACAATTTAGCAGTTTCTTATTAAGTTAAACACACACTTACCATTCATAACAGCAATTCCATTCTTAAGTATTAATCCAGGAGAAGTAAAAACTTCTGTCCATGTAAAGATTTATTCAAAGAAGTTTTATTAATAATAGCTGCAAATAAGAAATAACCCAGACAGGTGAAAGAATGAAGAAGCTGTGGTATATGTGTACAAAGGAATACTAGTCAACAATAAAAAGGAATAAAGTTTTTATTGCAACAACATGCATGAAACAATGTGGATACATCTCAAAACATTATAGTAAGTGAAAAAAGCAAAACATAACATATCGGTTAAAGAAAAAGGCAAATCTAATCTAAAGTGAGAGCAGATCAGTGGTTACTTAAGATCAGGCAACCTAGGCAAGAGAGAACTTTTTGGAGTGAGAAAAATATTCTTTCTCTTCACAGTGGTAATGGTTGCATTAGTATATATAATTGTCAAAAGTCATTGAACTGTATCCTTAAAATGAATGTATTTGTTGTATGTTACTTATATATCAATAAAGTTGATTTAAAGATACTGAGTTTTGAAACTCAAGACAGAGTTAGTTGACTGGAAAGAAAAAGAATCTTTGAGTTCTGAGAGCCTAGATGTTTTCAGTCCTGAACTGAAATCCTGGTCTAAACAATAGACATCAGACTGGGTGCAGTGACTCATTCCTTTAATCCCAGCGCTTTAGGAGACCAAGGTAGGAGGATCACTTGAGCCCAGGAGTTCAAAACCAACCTGGGTAACATAGTGAGATTCCATTTCTACAAATAATTTAAAAATTAGCCAGGTGTGGTGGCACCTGCCAGTGGTCCCAGCTACTTCAGAGGTTGAGGCAGGAGGATCGCCAGAGCCTGGAAGGTTGAGGCTGCAGTGAACACTAAGATCACACCACTGCCCTGCAGTCTGGGCAACAGAGTGAGGCTATGTCTTGAAAAAATAAACCAAGGAAACAAAAAACAATAGTTGTCGAACCTAGAACAGAACAAGAGCATAGTCTCGTTATCCCCGGTAGCCCAACTTTGTCGAAAAACTTACTAGGCTGGGGAATGCGGAGAAGAGTTCAATAGGAAAGAAAGTGAGCTATTGGTTGGAGTCCCAAAGAAGGGGTCCTATATCACCCTTGTGCCCCTTCATCCTCCAGCCAAGTCAGATCAGCTTATAGAGACAAGCTGGGAGAGTCCACTTGCTTGTGAGAAGTAGCAAGGCCCACAGGGCATTCCTGAGGCCACTGTGGCAGGGAAGATCAGGTGGGGCTCTGGCAGTCTGAGGGATGTCCTGTATGCTCAGCATGCTTGGAAGAGTGGCTGGCAAAAGCCTGAGAACAGGAGATCTGGAGGGGCCTCACAGCTAGGAAGCGGGGAGACTATTATATCAGTGGCTGCAGCATAGGCTGCGTGGTTGGAGATACCATTGAGGAGACAGCAACAGTGGACAACCAAAAGGGAATTTATTTTGGTGGATGCTAACATGAAGGGGTTGATGACAGAGCAATGGCACTGATGCCGTGAGCCCACAGAAGCCTTGTGGAACTAACTTGCCACTTCAGGGACAAGGCTGTGGGTGGGGAATGAAGGCAGGGAAAAAATTCATTTGAAAAATGCTCTTTTGGCCTCTCTTGGAGTAGCCTGGCTTTTGTCTCTGCTAACACATCAGACCAGCCCTGTCCTCCCCAGGATTCTCTGGGGACTCTGAGATGTGGTGTAGGGGACAGATTGGATCCCTAATTTGCTGCCGACCTCCTTTCTGCAAACTCTTTGGGCTAGATCAATGTGAGCGCTGCAAGGTGTAAGCAAGGGAAGCCATCATCGATAGCACACCATTTCCACTTTCATTCTGAACTCTTAACTGACACATTTACAGAACCTCTTACAAAAATGAAAAGTTCAAATATCCCTCTGTTGTAAAGAAACAAGATGGGCCCAGTGGAATAGTCCATCTTGTTTCTTTACTCTTTACATTTGGATGAAGAACCACACCATTTGGTCTTGGGATCCACTTGAAAACTCTCCAGGACTCAGATTTCTGTTCTTATTTCTCATAAGGCACAGTGTACGTGTGTCATCCTCTGAGCTGTCTGTGATGTTTTCCACCTGACCACAGCTCATGCTGTGTCTCCCACCATGGTCTGGTCAGGCAAGCTGTGTGTACACTTCTTGAGAAGGCTGATTGTTGTGAAAACCTTTGCCACAGAAACAAAAACGAGGGGCTGCCTCTTTCAGATACATTCGCCAGCAGCTTTTCTCTTATGACCTCTGGAACACAATTGCATCAACTCAGACATGTGACTGGGCAGAAATACCAGCTCAAAGACCATCTGGTTAAGAATGAGGCATACTTCCCAGCTTGGTGGATGGCAAAATGTCAAAATGCCCCAGGGGGATCTGCCTCATCTCTCATTCCTAAAATATTCACAGGCTGACTGTTTCTGACCCAGCCTCAAAAAGGGGGGTTTTCCCTGGCAGAAGCTGAAGTGATCCTGGCCTCAGGTTCTATGTCTTTTGGAGCACTGTCAGGGGCTTCTGTGTTTCTGGAGCTAATCTAAGGAATAAGTGTTGTTTTAGGACAGTCGTAATTCAGTGAAATTTATTGATGCACTCACTAAGTGAGCAGATACTGTCCTGGGGGTAGGGATACTGTTTTAGTCTTCCTGTGCTGCTATAACCAAATACATGAGACTGAATAATTTATGAAAAACAGAAATTTATATTCTCACAGTTCTGGAGGCTGGGAAGTCCAAGATCAAGGCAGGTTCAGTGTCTGGTGAAGGCCACTTGTTCATAGACAGTACCGTCCAGATGTCCTCACTTGGCAGAAGGGACAGAAGAGCGAAAAGGGGACAAACACTGTGTCCTCATGGGCAGAAGAGTGGAAGGGCAAACTTGCCCCTGCAAGCCCTTTATAAGGCACTAATCCATTCATGAGGGCTCCAGCCCCATGGCCTAATCACCTCCTTATAGCCCCACATTTTAATGCTGCTGCATTGTGGATTAAGTTTCAACATGAAATCTGGAGGGGCACAAACATTCAAACCACAGCAGGCACAAAGATAGTCAATTTCTGCTCTTAACAGATCAGGCAACGCGGGGAGGGTCTAAGAGAGGGAGGAAAGAGACAATAGATTAGATGCTGATGACACAGGGTGGCCATGCTATGACAGAGGTAGGTGAGCATAGCAGGGGAGAACAGATGAGGCACACCTCACCCCAGAGGGCTCATGGGAGTGGTGTTAGTAAAGGCTTTTTGAAGAAAAGGATCCTTGGACTCAGTCTTGAAGAAAAAGTTTGGAATTCGCTAGGCAAAGGTTGAGAGATTTCCTAGAAGATGAGATGAGATGTGCAAAGGTGCAGAGGCAAGAGAGGGCCTAGGGCACTGTACCACCTGGAGCGCATGATGAGAGATCAGATTGAAGATGGCAGTGGAGGCCCAGTGATGAAGGGCCATGAATGTAATGCTAACAGCTTGCAATTTGTCCTCTGGGGACAGGGAACCATTGGAAAGAGAGCCATTTTGTCAGTGGAGCGATCTTAAATGTGTGCTTAAGAGAATATATGGAACTGCGGGGACAGATCCCTGAGAGGGAGTGGGAGGTGAAGAATTGGAGAGGCCTTCTAAGATGATGAGGAGTTATATTTGGCAGAGCTGGGTGGGTGGGTGGGTGGGTGGGTGTGGAGTAGAGAGCATGGGCCAAGGAAGACTCCAGGTTTCTGGCGTGGGTGACTGAGGACAGTGCTGTTGGCAAACGGGAAGGCCAGAGGATAGATGGTTTGTTTTCTTTTTTAGTGGAGAAGCTGATGAATGCCTTGAACACACTGAACCGGGGGAACCTGTGGGCCATCACGAGGAGGGACTCAGTGGGCCAAGGGCACTAAGGTCTGTGCCTGGGACAGAGTCATCAGTCCAAAGATGGAGGTGACAGTCAGGGGAGTGGCAGAGATTGCTCAGGTGTGTATGGGAGCGAGGAAAGAAGAGGCCCACAAAAGCTGGGGCAGCCACTCTTGCGTTGGCTGAGGAAGAAACTATGAGGCCTGAGGTAGAAGCCCAGGGTGGTGTGGAGTCCTGCTGTCAAAGTCAAGGAGAATGCAGTGGTGGCCATGTGGCAAAATAAGGGCAGAAAAGTTTTTCTGAGAATGAATCACAAAAGGAATTGCAGGTCCCTGGAGCTTGCCCTGAAAAGGAACAGGGGCTGGAAATTCTGGCCCTCTGGGTGGGCCTCCCTTCAGCAGCCTCTGAGTCCGTTTCTGGAGCCCTGCTCACTCCCCTCCAGGAATCAGCCCCCAGCAGGACTTCTACCCAAGGCGTGCTGCACTTTATCAGAAGCTTCCAAGGCCAACAGGTGCTGGGAGCGAGTCATGTCTTTTTAGGTTGTTAGAGTGCCCGTCAGCAAATCGCTATCCTTTCCAGGTTATTTTTTTCCTTCTAGTGTATTCCTCTCCTGATACCTTTAAAAACACACAAAAAAATTTCGTTTTTCCTCACATAATTCTATTATCTTAGATGTTTTTCTGCTTTTAAATGTCTATGTTGCTAGCAGAACCCCTTCCCCAACCTTTTAAAAATGTCAAATACACTTTGTCCTGATAAGGTAAGTGAAGGTTCAATCAATTTATTGCTTTAATCAGTAAACATTTGTGGCATGCCTGCTTGGTACCAGGCCCTGTACCAGGTGCTGTGGCAGCAGAAAGACCACCTGAGGGACAGCCTGAGGGGAATGAATGCTGAGAAGATCAGAGGAAGGCGTCTCCCACTCTCCCCTGCCACAGTGCCCTTTTATTTTGTCCTCCCCAGTTTTTGAGGTGTGAAAGACCCGTACAGCATGGATGCCAAGAGCACGAGATGAAGTGGCAGCGGTTCCTAATCCTTTCTGGGTCTGGAGGAGGCTATGCCCTGGAAGTGGACTCTGAAAGCAGGTCCCCAATGTGCCTGTCACCTTACCATGTCAATCATAGACCTCCCCTTGCCTTTCTTTAAATACACATGCAGCTTCCACTCTTTGAGCTTGTAAGAAACAAACAAGCAAAAAAACAACCAAACAAAAACCAAAACAACCCTACACATGTAGGTTCATTCAAAGTAGTGAAGCAGCAACTTAAGTTGCTGGCAGGGAGAGGTAGGACAGTCAGAGAATGGTAGCTTTCCCTGCTACTCTGCTGTGCATCTCTGGTGAGTCACTGTCTTTAGGAAATGCAAGCAAGACTCAAAGATGAACGGAGGCTACCATGAGTGGTAATGGGTCAGTCCCAGGCAAAGCAGACGCTTCTCACCTCCTTCCCCATTGGACACCTGGTAAAGACAGACATACATTAACATTTCCATAACACATTTTAGTTTATCATGCACTTCCCCCCTACTTTAGTTCACTGAATCAAAAGAGGTAAGCTGTTGTGGTAAATGTAGACATTTCTTTTAGGTACTAAGGAACGGTTTGAAATCATTATATGGAAAATTAGACTTGAAGTAGTTAAAAAAAAAAGAGGCAAATTTTACCTGTAATACTGTGGAACTATTTCCAAAATACATTAATGAATTAAACAAACAAGTCTGCAGAATAACATACAGTAGGATGCCATTGATGTTAGGAAAAAAAGAGGAGGATGATAATAGCTAATAGTTTATAGTGCTTATGATGTGCTAGACACTGTTCTAAGTGCTTCACATGCATGAACTCATTTGATCCTCCAAACAAATCTACAAATCTGGCACTATTATTATCTTCATTTTACAAATTTGAGAACTAGGGCACGGAGAGGGTAAGTGGCTTGCCCAGTCATACAGCTAATAAGTGATGGAGCAAGGATTTATACCTAGGCAGTTTGTCTACAGATTCTGGACCATAAGCTCTACAATATTTCTACAGGTATAGCTATATGAATATAAATGCTGATATGGTTTGGCTGTGTCCCCATCCAAATCTCAACTTGAATTGTATCTCCCAGAATTCCCACCTGTTGTGGGATGGACCCAGGGGGAGGTAATTGAATCATGGAGGCCAGTCTTTCCTGTGCTATTCTCGTGGTAGTGAATAAGTCTCACGAGATCTGATAGGTTTATCAGGGGTTTCCACTTTTGCTTCTTCCTCATTTTCTCTTGCCGCTGCCACGTAAGAAGTACCTTTTGCTTTCCACCATGATTCTGAGGCCTCCTCAGCCATGTGGAACTGTAAGTCCAGTTAAGCCTCTTTTTCTTCCCAGTCCGGGTTATGTCTTAATCAGCAGCATGAAAATGGACTAATACAAATGCTTAGAAAAAAGGTCAGTCATGTCCCCAGATGTTAGGCAAATGTGACACCACTGGTATCCAAATGACTATTCAGCTTTTGCAGCTGATAAATCCTTACTCTCTCTCTCTTCCTTTCCTCTCCAAAGCAGTTAACCTAAGACCACTTCATGTTGAAGTCAATGCAATTTTCTGTGATGCTACCTTTCCAAGCTGGGATATGAGAAACAACTATATTTGGGGAAGGGTTAAATACATGTGACTCTGACTTTCAAATCAAGTTGTTGTTTTTTAAATTTTCCTCAGTCATGTTATAAAGTGATGAAATAGGGAGGAAAATTCAAATGCCAAACAATGAATTGTGATTGATGAGAGATGAAATCCCTAACGTTCTTAAATATTTAAGAGTAAAATTAAATACTGTCTGTTATTTCATATACTTTTCTAATATAGTGGCTAAAGTCTACTTTTCTACATTTTTGTAGTCTACTTTGGTTACTAAAATCCTACAGAAAAAAAGATAAATGAATTAGAGACTGTGAACCCTGAAAATCTGAGACAGGTCTCAGTTAATTCGGAAAGTTTATTTTGCCAAGGTTGAGGACATGCACCTATGACACAGCCTCAGGCGGTCCTGATGATATATGCTCAAGGTGGTAGGGGCATAGCTTAGGTTTATACATTTTAGGGAGACATAAGACATCAATCAATATGTGTAAGATGTACATTGGTTCAGTCTGGAAAGGTGGGACAACTCGAGATGAAGGCAGGACAACTTGAAGCAGGGAGGGAGCTCCCAGGTCATAGGCAGATAAGAGGCAAATGGTTGCATTCTTTTGAGTTTCTGATTAGCCTCTCCAAATAAGGCAATCATATACGCATTTGTTTCAATGAGCAGCAGGGTGACTGAATAGAATGGGAGGCAGGTTTGCTCTAAGCAGTTCACAGCTTGACTTTTCCATTTAGCTTAGTGATTTTGGGCCCCGAGACTTATTTTCCTGTCACATTTCCCCCTTTTTATTTTTAAAAATCTTTTGGAGAAAGAATTTTAGGAGAAAATGAGTCTCTGGTCTCATGTTTCCTCTGATCTGTCATGGCTGGGATGGTTTATTCCTAGATTGGTAGGTCCTGAGTTATTAGGAAAGTTCATTGTTAGCAGGTTGTGAAGTCTCATGTCCTGTAAAGAAAAAGTAGGGGGAGGAAGGAAGAAAAACAACAACAAGCCAAAGAACAATTCTGGAAGGCCAGGTGTGGTGCTAATGCCTGTAATCCCAGAACTTTGGGAGGCCAAGGAGGGCTGATCATTTGAGGTCAGGAGTTCAAGACCAGTGAAACCCCATCTTTACTAAAAATACAAAAAATCAGCCAGGCACAGTGGTACGTGCCTGTAATCCCAGCTAATCAGGAGGCTGAGGTAGGAAAATCACTTGAACCTGGGAGGCAAAAGTTGCAGTGAGCCGAGATCGTGCCACTGTACTCCAGCCAGGGCAACAGAGCTAGACTCTGTCTCAAAAAAATGAAACACAACAAACAAAAAAAGAATAATCCTGGAAAATCAGTATAGGCCACATTACTCTGAATTCCATACATCAGTAGGCAGGTATGAAAGTGGCTTGTGTATGTAAATAGGTTGCTATTATTTTCTTCTGAAGTTTAAGTTGTCTAGCTTCAGTTCACAGGGCTTTATGAAAGCACAGCTTAGTTTTCAGTGACTCCAAATTAGGAAAAATGGGGAAAAAAGAAGGAAAAAAATGGAAAACATTATTCTGAAGACTTATAGCCAAGAAAAATTAGAATTCAGTTCAAACTGCAGAAAATAATTAACACTGAAAAACATTAGGCAAGACTAGAATCTAACAACTGGTGTACTGTAGTTTTTGGAAAATAATTTTTCTATCTCCAGTTTTCCATTTTTAGTAAAGACAAAGCATGGTAGGACCGGTTTGCTTTGTTTTACTTGGCCTGATTATTTGTATACAGTGCAGCAGGAATAATTATTTTCTTACATAGGCTTTTAAATTGGCTTTGATGGAACTTTGTTCTATAGAGGGAATCTCAGAAAAGACTTTTTTTTAAAGCCGAGTCCAACCATGGATTTATAACATCAAATACCTATAAGTTGGGTGAATTCCTCTCCTCTTGAGATTCCGAGATAAACTTGGGGCTCCTGTGCCTGTCAGAAAATGACATTCTTTACTTACCACAGGTCAGGAACCCTGTACAGAGACTGTATGTACAAGGTATGAGGGCAGTTTTCCCATAAGTCAAGTTTGATTCCTTAAAGGAAAGCACAGCATTCCAGTCAAAGCCTTATAACCAGTTTCTCCAGTTGTGTTCTGTTATAAATGAAAACAGATTCTTATTGCATTTATACAAATAACTATATTGCCATTAGTTAAGAATACTCAAAAATAGTTTCCAAATTCTGGAGAAATCAGGTAGAGCGAAGTCAATATGTTCTAAATTTTGTTCACAGGAGCATACTAAATTATTAAAAGCATCAATATCTCAAAAGAAAAGTTTCCTTTACTCTGAAAAAATAAAACAAAGGATCAGCAATGTCTTAAGCAAAAAGTCAAAAAGATTGCTTCTGCCTGCTATTAGTTCAGTCCATGTAGTTAATTTCTGTTCTGCTTGATATTCATGAACATTTCTGTTCTCCATGAGTCCTAAAAGTTTTTCTTCTATCCTGATGTCACAATCGCCAAAGTTTTCAAAAAACTTGTATTCAAAAGCACCTGTTAGAGTTTTAGAGCTGATTATAAAACCACCTTCCAAAGAGGACCAAAACAAGACAACGATTGTCCATGGATGACAAAAAGTTTTAGGGCAGCCATAGTTGAGAACACAATTGACAAGGAAATTTTTACCTCTGTGGCACACAAAAATTTAACATAACAATTATAATTATTACTGATAATGTATACTAAGTCATATCAGAATTATAGGAGTTTCCCATAATTTTGGAGAACATACCAATAACATATTTATACAAATACAGCCCAAAAAAACCAAACACCATTTCATATTTGACAATGTTTCCTGTATAATTTTTATACCAAATAAACCAAATTATGTCATTTTTGGACTTCAGGGAACCTAATATCTTAAAGATTTAATTAGGTCAGAAAAAGACATAATTTATAGTTTGCTTTTGAAAGGTTTGTCAAATATCAAAGGTTTAAAACACTTGATATCACAGGCCATTGTAAAATAAGTCATTAATTTGACCAAAGTGCTAACTTGAGGATTTAAAAAAAAAAAAGCAAAAACCTTCATTTTTTGAGAGAGGAGACTTAATTTTCCAAATAATAAGCCCTAATAAAAACAGCATGAAGCCAATTAAATTTGTTTTTCAAAATTTTATAAACAATCTATAAAATTTTAATCTTGATTGTAAGATATAACTTCTATAAGCCTTTTATAACCTTTATAACCTTTATTAAGGAGTTGGTTAATGCTTCAAGAAAACCTTGTTAATCTGACATAGGGGCCCATATGCTGATCTTGTATCACTGTGTCTTTACATTAATGATTAATTTATAGGGAAACTGAACTTATTTTATCTCTCAAAATTGGCCTTTACAATCTCACATGTCCATCTCTTCTGCTATAGTCCTGGGGCCTTGAGGAGTTGAATAGCTTTATTTTCTGGCCCTGTGTCTCAGGAATGTAGTATATTTTGATTGGTATCTTCTACTGGGCCTGAAGATGAGGCTCTAATTGCTGTCAGTGTTTAAGATTTAGCAGGAATTGGTGTCCTTTCTAGACCCAGGAGTCAAAACCCTGTAACTCAATTTCACAAGTACTTTAAAAGCACACACAGAAAGATACATGGACATAATAACCTTCATTAAAAAATTTTTTTTTCTCTTTTCTTCCTAAGCAAACCAAAACTTAATAATAATGGCATAGGAATTGTTTTGATAAACCATAAAATCTTTTGGGCCAGTTACCAAAAGGCAAAAGAAAAGACCTTCTGCATTGCACAGTATATTATGTTGAAAGAAAACATTTCCTTTAGACCTTTAAGAAAACATTGTTAGCATCAGGCCACAACAAATAGAACTCGAGGAAAAAATCTTACATGAACCGAAAATGAGTTGAAGGGGAGTGTTACTATTTTGTACCCTTTAAAAGGGGAGAGAAAACTAAAATTAGGGAGATGCAATAAAAGTTGAACTTTGGGTTTAAAAAAATTAATTGTTCTAACAAATTATTTAGCATATAAGTATTTTTTTTTTACCTCAAGCGTAATCTCTAGAAAGACCATTATAATTTCTCTTTAATTAATAGACAGATTGATCACATAAAAGTTTCTGCTTTTTTAAAATAAATCCTCTTGTGACTTACACAGACCGTTCATGATATGCTTGGACTTTCTGGTTTGTCCTGAACATCCTTCTTTCTTCAAAAATAGTCGTTTTATTCTAGGACTAAATCTACCATACAAGATTCTTTCTCACATAAAATTATTTCTCTTTAAGCTTTCTTCCCCCCAAAAAAACCACCTCTTTATTTTTATAACTTTCTTTAAATTTCTCTTATTTCCTGGTTCCTTTTACCTTGTCTTATACATAAAATTTATATAAGCTTTGATTTAGACAAAAATTGTTAACCTTTTTAAAATGAACACACCTTTTTTAGAAAGAATGTTTCCCTACAAATATATTTTTATTGGAAAAAATACTCAAATAATAAAATATCTATTATTTAATTTAACTTTAGATTCTAAATTATGATGAGTTTGTCTACGTATATTTATCCCATTACATTTACCTAATTATTTTATTTTAATCATTTACCTAGATTATTTATGAAAACTGCAATAGTCATCATTTAAAGTTATGGAATTGTCATTGCAAAATTATAACTGAGACAGTGAAAAAGATCTGACCTGACTCCATCTTGTTTCTAACCTCCAAGCTATCCTTGTTCATTTCTGGGCATAGGCCAAACTAATTTTGGGAGGAACTTTGCTGATAGTTTAGCTTTGAAACAAATGGTAATAGTCCCTTCCCAAAACAAACCTTACTACCTTTGGACTAAATTTCATAAAGCCACAAGATTAGAAGTTGCAGTAATTTTACTAAATTCAAGATATAGCTATTTTTCTTAAACGAATATCAATGTCTTATTTATTATAGATTACACAAGCAGAGATCATTCTGTTTTGGGCTGGATTTATAGTTTTGTAACCACTATGCCAAATTTTGAAACCTTATAGTATTTGGCAGGTATAAGTATGAAATTGCTTGTTTAATAAATGCAAACAAAAATGTATGCTGGCAATTCTTAAGACATTTATAATATTACTTTACCAGTAATTTCAAAGATAGCTTATTTATTAAATATTTTACTTAAGTTATTTAAATTTGAAAAAGCATTTGACTAGTTTTGTCTTTTTTCAATAAAGCTTTTGATTCAGACACTTTTGTTTTCTTAAGCCAATTAATTAGAGCTCTTTATATATTTTCAGTAGTGAAACATTGTGTACACAACACTTAAATACATAGACATATTAGACATGTCAATAGAACTACATCTTACAGAGTCATAAAAACCTTTTTAATTCTATCTTAGACTTTCAAATTATTGATAACCTGCTTTACTACCCCAGGCAGTTGTCAGCTAAATAGCCTTAAATTTGCATATTAAAGGAAACAACTCAGGTGAAAATCAAATAGCAAAATTTACTTCATAAGGTACAGAGAGAAGAAGTGTGGTGTGCTAGAGAAAAACTAAAATGGATTTAATTGCCAATTAAATATAAAATTATAGAAATTACAAAGGCCTTTTAAATATATACACAAACACATAAATACACACACACAAAGATCCTATAGCTTTTACTTCAGAACTTTAGCCATGAGATAAATACAAACTCACTGGCTTGCAAAAAGAATCTGTTGGATCCAAACAGTGGTTTTTATCTTAATAAAAAAATAACAGCAGATTTAAAGCAGGCAGAAAAGAAAAATGAGAAAAGAGAACTTAGGAACTCTGTAGTTTGCAGGTCAACCCCAGGGCTCTTTTTCCTTAATGTAAATGTGCACAAAGACCATATTACTTCCATTTTACATAAACTCTGGCAAGTAGAGTTGCCATAAAACCTACAGAGTGCTTGAAAGGGGGTCATTCTCCTTTTCTTCTCATTCTTAGATTGTTTCCCACTTTTTTTTCTTAAAAGGAAGAACTGATGCGGGGCACGGTGGCTCAAGCCTGTAATCCCAGCACTTTGGGAGGCTGAGGTGGGTGGATCACGAGGTCAGGAGATCGAGATCATCCTGGCTAACACGGTGAAACCCTGTCTCTATTAAAAATACAATAATCAGCTGGGCATGGTGGCACATGCCTGTAACCCCAGCTACTTGGGAGGCTGAGGCAGGAGAATCGCTTGGACCTGGGAGTAGGAGGTTGCAGTGAGCTGACATCGCACCACTGAACTCCAGCCTGGTGACAGAGCTAGACTCTGTCTCAAAAAAAAAAAAAAAAAAGAAGAACTGAGGAGTGGCCTAGAATTTTTGTGTGGTGGATCAATGTGTGCTGCTTGTGGGCACACATAGTGTGTCGCCACTGAGCCGTTTCTGCCCTCTTACATGTCTCGGTTTCTCTCTCCAAAGGTCTATCACCTCTGAGAGGGCTCAAAACATGAGGTGATCAGCTCTTATATGCGTTTCCTGGATGACTCTTTTTTTAACATTAATTTTTATTGGGGATTTCGCTGTGGGGCTGCTGCATGTCACAGGGGGTCAGCTCCCCAGACACTCCCATAAGGCTCTTGGTCACCCAGGGGTGCCTTTTGGCTGGGAAGAGCAAATGCCCTTTCTTTTTGGAGCTGAGAAAACTCAGTCTCTCATTTACCTATGAACAACAGTTTAGTTCCTCATGCAAGTGTGCACAGACAAGCTGAATCGAGATTAATTTTGAGAGAAAAAGCAACAGAGAAGACCCCTTAGAATGCACCTCTGAACTAGAATTAGGATGCTTAAAGAACAGCTTTTTGGGAGAGAAAAAAGGCCAGCCAAGACCACTTCCTGTAAACCGTGCTCAGCCACCCCTACTTTGTAGCTCTTGTCCGCCATTACACATGCTAAAGTCAATTCCTCTCACAGTACGAGGTCATCTCTGGTACCCCCAGAGCCAAAGAGGTCAGGTCATGCAATATAGGAAAACAGAGCTTTATTGCCCATGACCCTTGAAACTCCACAAAGATAACAGAACACCCCAAAGGGATGAGTGGCACCTTTGTTCTGAATTCTTTAAAGGGGTTCAAGTCATTAGAAGCCTTCTCTAGATTTTTTGGTACTGCAGATGGCAAAGGGGAAGGAGATATAGGGTGGAAGAAAAGTAAATGAACATTTGTTTTCTCTTTTTTTCTAAAATAAGAAGCAAACACAGAAACCAAGTGCGTGATTTCTTTGGGGTTTTTTGTTTGGCTTTTTTCTCTTTTGCAGCTGTGAGAAATTTTGGCCAAATTGAGAGGTTTTGTCACCCATAATTTGGAATTCTAACTTGGATTTGACCAAATCAGGTAGAGTTGGTCAAATCTGATAGAAGAAAGACTGGAATGAACACCACCACCACCATCACCCAACAATATGGTCACCTAGTGCTCTAATGGTAAGGAGAAATTAAAACCAGCTGGTTGTTAAACTTTAGCCAAGACAAAACCCCAACTCAGCTACTTACCTAGAAATGGGTCTCAGGCTGAAGACTGCTTTCTATCATCCTAGAAGCAGGAAAAAAAAAACCAAAAAAACCCTCAAACTCGTGTTGCTTTGCTGGGAGCAAGCTCAAACTCCAGAAACAAGTTACCTGCCTTCCATCATCATGGAAACAGGAAATCTTGCCTTCCTTCTTGGAAGCAAGTAAAACCCCAAAAGAAGGGAGTTGTACAGCAAAATAAACTTTAGATCTCGACCAGATTTTAGGAGACCAGGGATTCAATGGAGGGGTACCCCCCGACCTCAGCAAATTGTCCTATTTGTTTGAGCCATAAAGTTAGCTCATGATGGTACCAGGCACTGATAGGATATTCATCACAGGTCAGGGGTATCTCCACTCAGAATCCCTTCATGGTTACCAAAATGTGAACCCCGAAAATCTGAGACAGGTCTCAGTTAACTTAGAAAGTATATTTTGCCAAGGTTGAGGACGCGTGCCTGTGACACAGCCTCAGGAGGTCCTGATGACATGTGCCCAAGATGGTAGGGGCACAGCTTGGGTTTATACATTTTAGGGAGACATAAGACATCAATCAATATGTGTAAGATGTACATTGGTATATTGGTTCAGTCTGGAAAGGTGGAACAACTTGTGGTGAAGACAGGACAACTTGAAGTGGGGAGGCGCTTCCGGGTCATAGGTAGATAACAGAAAAATGATTGCGTTCTTTTGAGTTTCTGATTAGCCTCTCCAAACGAGGCAATCAGATATGCATTTATCTCAGTGAGCAGAGGGGTGACTTTGAATAGAACGGGAGGCAGGTTTGCCCTAAGCAGTTCCCAGTTTGACTTTTCCCTTTAGCTTAGTGATTCTGGGGCCCCAAGATTTATTTTCCTTTCACAAGACTAACCTGTAGTTTTCTTTGAAATATGAATTGTTTGTCACCTTTTTCATTCTCAGCTGTGCTTCTTCTTACTATATTTATCCAATATCCCAGATTTCAGGAGTTCATATGTTCCTTAACAAACATCAGATAGATTTCTTCTGTATAGAGATGCAATGTTTATAATTTGGCTTGTTATTAAACTTAAAAAGTCAGTGTTTTTTATATATACATGTTACAGTACGTAGCAAGTCAGACATGAGCAGGGCAGGAAAGGGCTCCCCTGCACTCCCCCTCCCGCCATACACACACACCAGGAATGTCAGGCGACCATCAGGTGATGGTCAGGTGGTTGTTAACAGTTTCTCTAAAATAATAATTCGTCTCAGCATCAGGGAAAGTCAGTCTTGCTATAGATAGAAAAAACCTGAAACTGGTGATCAGCAGCTTCCCGATAAGATCTCAGGAGCTGGGCGAGTGAGCGCAAGCATGTGCATTAAGAGGCAAAATAGCAGAGTTTAACTGGTATATGACCTCCTAGGGACATTTGGCTGGAAAGGGAAGAATGCCTCAAGTGAGCATGCCTACAACTGCAGTAAACAAACTATGCATGCTCCCCTCCCAAGTGCTGGCAGCCACTGTGCATGCAGACAGCCCACCCATTCCTCTCTAAGGGAAGAATTAGGGGAGAAGGGATGGAAGACCCTAAACGTATGCCAACATATAAAACCCCAAGTCAAAATGTCAAACAAAAATGTCAAGTTGCCCGCTTGGCCCCCTTCCAGGTGTACTTTCCTTCCTTTTGTTCCTGCTCTAGAGCTTTCTAATCAACTTTCGCTCCTGCTCTAAAACTTGACCTTGTTCTTTTTTTCTGCCTCATGTCCCTCAGTTGAATTCTTTCTTCTGAGGAGGCAAGAACTGAGGATGCTGCAGACTCATACAGATTTGCCTCAGGTAACATACACACATATATATGTCATTTCTATTACACACACACACACACATACACACACACGTAATTAATTGTGGCATTTGCTTCTGTATATCAGGAAAGGATTTGAAGGAGTGAACAGTAATAATGAAATATTTGGTGTGGGATGTAATGAATCATTTATTTATAAAATGCAATTCAAATTCATGTTAAAAGATCAAAATGGTTTTACACTAAAATGGTTACACACTAAACCGAAAATCACGGTCATCTTTGGAGAGCAATCAGGAATTGGAGATGAGGCAGGGTTAATTCAAACATTCCATTAGCTGCAATGTTTGAGGTTTTTTGGTCCCTCCATCGCCAGAGAGAAGGATTTCACGTTACTTCTGTTGTTAAACGTATTTACAATTACATTTTAAAATATTTTAAAAAATCATTCTTGGGGTCAACCTAAGTGATTCTAAATAAAATTATTATATTATGCTCCTCAACCTATATGTCACAGGGACTTTGGTGTCATTGAGATCAGAAGTATTAATCATTTCATCTTTGCTCTTGGAGAGTCTCATGACATCTGATGAAATATTATTTTAGAGAATTAGATGAGAAGATATTTCAGATTTTATCTGGAATAATGGGAGGTATATTGGTAAATGTATTACATTTTAGGGCTGAAATGTCTTTCATAGTTCAGAAACTGAAGCCCAGGTGGCTATATCAGATCAAGTATGAAGTATTGAACTAAGAGGGTTTTGTTATTTAATTACAAAAATGAAGTAAAACTTTAAAAAATCTTATAGTGTACTACTAACGATATAGTATATTAGGGTATTCAGAGAAACAGAACTAAGAGGAGATGATAGATATCTAAATATGTCTCTGTCTATATTTGTTTAAAGGAATTGGCTCACATGATTGTCAAGTCTGAAATCTGTAGAGCTGGTTGGCCGGAAATTCAGGTAAGAGCTGATGTTTCAGTCTTGAGTCCAAAATCTGCAGAGCAGGCCAATAGGCTGAAAACTCAGGCAGGGCTTCTGTGTTGAAATACTGAGGAAGAACGGCTTTTTTTTTTTCAGGAAACCTGTTTGCTCTTAAATTCTTCAACTGATTGGATCAGGCCCATCCACATTATGGAGGGTGATCTGTTTTACTTTACTTAAAGTCAAATGATTATAAATTTTACCACATCTACAAATATCTTTACAGCGACATCGAGACTAGTGTTTGACAAAACACCTGGGCACCCTAGGCTAGTCAAGTTGATATAAAAATAACTAGCATGAGCAGATTCCAATTTGAACTAAATTCTGTCTGCTCAAGAATATGAGTCTAGTGATTGATTTTTTTCCTATTTCCAAAGAGCAGTGATTTTTAAAATTTAGGATGACTGAAGTTTTAATTTGCTTTAAGACTCAGTTGACCAGTCATTTGAGGAAAATCTTTCAACAGTATATTTGCAATGTATTTAGCCATTCTAATCAGTAGTTTTGCTTAACACAAGGTGGCTTGTGAAGTGATTCTGAATTATTTCATGATGGTTGAAAGGAGGCCAACTATAATAAAACAATGCAAACAAATTAGTGAAGCTAAACAGGAAACACACTGGTGAACTCACTGCCATCATCTGGCATTTTCAATTTTGCTTCCAATTTAAAAATAGCTAACATGCACAATGTACTGTACTGTTCTACAGTGAAGATGGTCAGTAATGAGGTGTTTTCACAATTCAATGTAATCTCTCACTTCCATCTCTGATATTTCATTTACAAATGAATCAAGTCATGCAAATGATTTCAGGATAACCCCCACCCCACGAGTCCCTAGTCTTAATGAGTTGTGAGTTGGGCATGTAAGAATATTAATAAATGTGGAAACGGTGACTCCTGGCATTGTTGCTAAACTTTAATATTGCATAGATGCTGTGGGACTAAATGTAAATACATCAATACTTTGTTGCTGACAGATTAACTGTGGGAAAGCTAGTGATTATTTTTCAGACTTAGAACTATCAGTATAATTAACAAAGGGTTATTCAGATTATTTTAAATAAGACAATTATATATTACCTAAAAATACTTAGAACTAGTCCTTTTCCATGCATGTGGAAAATTACGCTCAGCCAAGTTATGAAACTTGCTCAAAGCAGCAGACCCACTCCAGGGCCTGCTTTTCACTACAGATTCTGAAACACAGAAGGAATTAAAATGCTTGCTCTTGATAGCCTGGGCTGGGAGTTAGTGCATATCATCAGCCATCCATCTAATGTGATTGCTAAGATGTACAGGATAGGACAGCTTAGAATGAGTGCCTTGACACCCACATATGGCTGCATTCCATACCTCAGTGAAGAAGCTGAAGGATGCTGACACACAGTGATGTGGAGGGCATTCGGGAGAAACTTTTGCAACAGTGTATTAATGTGATTGGTTTTCTTTTTGTTTTAAGCTAAACATCTAAAACAAATTTCAAGTTAACAGTACATACAACTCAGATTTAGTATTATTGTTTATCATAAAACATATTATGTTCCTAGTTTTAAAAAGACCCAAACTATGATTAATATAATTTATTGGCATTTTTGCTGAATAGGTTTAAGTCAGATAATAGATTTTAAAAAAGCAAATGAGGCAATGTATCAAAACTTAATGTTTCATTATAAAAATAGATACGTTCACTTAAAAAAAATAAAATAAAATGCTTGCTCTTACATTTTTTTACATAAGAATGGTTACTTATTCCTACCTTGTCTACCTTATCTTGCTTTTGTTTTCCTTTCTCATTGTTAGCACTATTTTAAAGGCGAAAGGTCTTTCCCTACTAAAAAGGCATTCCTTCCCAGGAAAGCCTTGTCAGGTTGGGCCATTTTCATTATACTCTCACTACATTGCAGTTTGTCTTTGGGAAGATCAAATTTAAATCTTCTTCTCATTTTAGCTGGTCTTTTTCTAAATCGCAAGTGGAATAGACTAGCAACAACAAGGAGTGCCTCTGTGATGGGGGTGGTGGGGCTGGAGGCCAGGGACACAGTGGAAGGGAGCAAAGGGCTCCCCAGGTAGGATTTCAAAGGCATTGAAGAGTGTTTTGTTAAAAGAAAAACAATTGGGGGTCCTCTCCCCTCCTGCAATGATGCCTAAGCTGCAGTTGCTGCAGAACAATTTTGACTACATAGGCACTCAGGTCAGGGTTGCACTGTGGTTTCCACCTTCATTCAGTTATCAGGAAGACAAATCTGTGTTTTGCAGTCATTGAGCTATGCTAGCGATTTATGACTGCATGGTTCTGCTCTTGAATTGTACTCATAAACCGAAAAAGTGCCAGGTGCGGTGGCTCATGCCTGTAATCCCAACACTTTGGGAGGCCGAGGTGGGCAGATCACCTGAGGTTGGGAGTTTGAGACTAGCCTGACCAACATGGAGAAACCCCATCTCTATTAAAAATACAAAATGAGCCAGGCATGGTGGCGCATGCCTGTAATCCCAGCTACTTGGGAGGCTGAGGCAGAAGAATCTCTCAAACCCGGGAGGTGGAGGTTGCGGTGAGCCAAGATCGAGCCATTGCACTCCAGCCTGGGCAAAAAGAGTGAGACTCTGTCTCCAAACAAAACAAAACAAAAACAAAAACCATAACTGAAAAGGTACCAGAGGTCATTGAGTCCCGTGGTTTTCTAACCTTTATTTTTTTTTTTGGTAGCATAAAAACCCTTAAGATTCTTAATTGTAAACCCAATAAAAACCAAACAGGAAAAGAGGTACTGCTCTAATGCAGCTCCTAGGCTCTCTTCTCAGACATTGATGTTTCCTTGGAGGTTGGTATAAAAACTACTGTTACTGGTCTACCCTCTCATTTTATCAACTCATTTAACAAAAATATTTTGAGCAAACACCGTGTAGCCAGCAGTATATTAAGTTTGGGAAAAACACTGGGCCTAAAATGAGTATAAATCCAGTCCCTAGCTTATCAGAGGAGACAGATAATTACAACATAGTAAATTCAACGATACGAAAGTACCCCTATGATATTATGAAAGTACAGAATGAGGGCTCCCTAATTCATTCTGGGGACATTGAGTCTGAGACTGAGTCTCTAAGACTGAGCAAATTAGCAAGGAAGGCACTTAGCTTGAGTGTGGGGAAGAGTATAATCCAGACTGAAGAATGGAGTAAGCAGCTAGGGTATATTCTGGAAGCTACCCCAGAACCAAGTTGGAAGTGGCTTTATATAGCAGACTGTGCAGTGGGAACTGGTGAGGAGGTGGGCATAGAAGGCTCTGAGCCTTGTCTTGATTCTTTAGAAGATCAGCCGTTACTGAAGGCCTTTAAGGAGGGAAGAAACAAAGCCAAATTGGAGTTTTAGATTAACAGGAATCATACATTTAATGAGAACAATGAGATGCAGGAAGACCTGTCAGGGGAGTATAGAAGCTCACTAACAGACTATAATAGCAGAAGCAAGTTATCTTGAGGTTCCAGGAACAGTCAGGTAGCGATACCCAGTAAGACTGGATGGGTATCTTGAATCTGAAATCTTGGAGTGTCTAAATATGCATTATAATCTCATATACATAGAAGGGGATTGGAGAGAAAAGGGATTTTGGAAAAGGCTAACTTAACTCTGATCTTTGGTCAATTCTTATTTTCTTAATACTTTTCTGTACCATGAACATATATTCATTTTATAACCAAGCAAAACCATGATTATTTTAGAGTTAACTTTTAAACTTTGCTCTCCTTCAATTTTCTTTTTTAACCAAACTGGACCATACCATATATAGAGTTAAGGGAGGAGACCACTCCTCATATTGTCTTATGACCAATTTCTGCCTCAAAGAAAAAGTAGGAGTTAAAGAAAAGACAGAAGTGAAATCGGTAGTCAGATAGCCCGGTGCTGCATTCCAGGCCTGGTAGTTAAAGACTGACCCCTGACCTAACTGGTTATGTTATCTATAGATTCCAGACATTGTATGGAAAAGCACTGTGAAAATCCCTGTCCTGTTCTGTTCTGTTCTGATTACTTGCAGTGAATGCAGCCCCCAGTCACGTACCCGTGGCTTGTGAAAAGCACTGTGAAAATCCCTGTCCTGTTCTGTTCCATTCTGATTACCTGCAGTGCATGCAGCCCTCAGTCACATACCCATGGCCTGCTCAATTGATCACGACCCTCTCACATGGACCCCCTTAGAGTTGTAAGCCCTTAAAAGGGACAGGAATTGCTCACTCGGGGAGCTCGGTTTTTGGAGATGAGAGTCCACCGATGCTCCCAGCTGAATAAAGCCCTTTCCTTCCACAACTCGGTGTCTGAGGGGTTCTTGTCTGTGGCTCGTCCTGCTACATTTCTTGGTTCCCTGACCAGGAAGTGAGGTGATTAGTGGGAGGCCGAGTCAGCCCATTACGCAGCTTAGGCATACCCTGTGGAGCATCCCTGTGGGGGACTCCGGCCAGCTTGAGTGATGCAGATCCTGAGAGCGCTCCCCAGATCCTGAGAGTTCTCCCAGGTAGGCATTTGCCCTGGTGGAATGCCTCATCAGAGCGGTGCATGGCAGGCCCCCGCGGAGGATCAACACAGTGGCTGAACACCGAAAGGAACTGGTACTTGGAGTCTGGACATCTGAAACTTGGTAAGACTGGTCTTTGGAACTTGCTCACTCCATTTGAGTGGAAGTGTAGCCTGATCACCCATGACGTGCCTGTACCGGCACTTTGGTTTTTGTTTTTGACTTGACTTGGATTGCTTGATACTTTGGTTTTGGTTTTGACCTGGCTTGGATTTCTTGATACTCTGTTTTGATTTTGATTCTGGTTTGGTGTAAACTGTAAAAGTGTGTGTGTGCCCTTTTTACCCATTCTTTGTTTTGTGGCGTGTGTGTGGTGTGAGCGTGGTGTTTTGTCTCAAGGAAACATAGGTCAGGCACAAAGTAAGCCCACCCCACTAGGAACTATATTGAAAAATTTCAAAAAGGGATTTAGGGGAGACTATGAAGTTACTATAACACCAGGAAAACTTAGAACTTTGAAATAGACTGGCCAGGATTAGAAGTAGGTTGGCCATCAGAAGGAAACCTGGACAGGTCCCTTGTTTCAAAGGTGTGGCACAAGGTAATCTGTAAGTCAGGGCACCCGGATCAGTTCCCATATATAGATTCCTGGTTACAGCTGGTTTTAGACACCCCCCTCCCACCACAGTGGTTGAGAGAACAGCAGCATAAGCGGCTGGCAGAGGCAAGGAAAGACCAGCAGAGAGACAGAGAGGAAAGACACAGAGAGGAAAAGAGGCAAAGACAGAGAGGAAGAGACAGAGACAAAGAGGGAGTCAAGGAGAGAGAGAGAAAGAGAGAGGCAGAGAGAGGGGAAGAAACAGACGCAAAAGGAAAGTCAAAGAGAGAGAGAGAGAGACAGAAAGTCAGAGAAAGAAAGACAGAAAGAGAGAGATATACAAGTAGTTAAGAAAAAAACAGTGTACCCTATTCCTTTAAAAGCCAAGGTAAATTTAAAACCTATAATTGATAATTAAGGGTATTCTCCGTAACCCTATAACACTCCAATACCACATTGTTGTCAGTGTAAACAAGGGCGTATCCCGAAAGCACTGAGGCCACTAATAACGCATAGCCTTCCTATCAAAAATCCTTAATCCAGTGACCCACGGATGGCCCAAATGCATTCAATCTGTAGCAGCAACTGCTTTGCTAACAGAAGAAAGTAGAAAAATAACTTTTAGAGGAAACCTCATTGTGAGCACACCTCAACAGTTCAGAAGTATCCTTAAAAAAAAAAAAAAAAAAACAAACAAACCAAAACCACACAGCTATCTATACCAATTCTAAGTTAATTTGGACTAAACAAGATCTTATTAATAGCAAAGGATAATTGAAATCCCAAACTTATAAGGTTTTCAACAAAAGTAGAGTTAGCTAAAAGTTAACAGTGTAACATGTATTATAGTAACTTCTAATCTGTGGCCTTAGACAGTGTAGTCCACAGACATAAAGGAAGTTTGCTTTGGAAAAGAATGGTTATCATCTTTCAAAAAAAGGGAAAAAAAGGCGGAGCAGAATTTATGTAAAAAGAATGTTATATGGTAAATTCTTGTCCTGAAATAAATTAACTAGTTGTTTAAAGAAATGTTTGTAATAAGTCAGAAAGTTGAGGCATGTCAAAGAATTGTCTGCGAAAGTTGTGAAAGAGAAAAAAAGTTATAAAAAAATTTATGCAAGAAATATTGTATAATTTAAAAGTAATTAGGCCTCCTGAATGTAAAACTATTAAAAAAAAACAGTTTATGTGCAAGGTATATAAGAAAAGTAAAATATACCTTTGGTAAAGGGATTATAAGGAGGCATAAGAATGTGGAGTTTTACCTACATTAAAAGGTTAAAAAAATTGTTTTGAAGGTTTAAGCAAGTTTTAAAACATTAATTGTAAAGGAAATTCTGTGTGTAAACATATTGGCTAAAGTCAAAGAGGTATCATCCAGTTTTTCTGTGATCTGAACATTAAAATAAAAACACAATGGGTTTTTCTTAAAGCATTAACCTGCTCTTTAACAAAAATTATAAAAGGTTAAAAAGAGTCTATAGAAATCTTACCTTATGGTGAAACATTAAAAACTGAATAAATATGTCTACAAAGTTTTATTAAAACTAAGTTTAACATTAATAACACACTAATATAAAAATGAAATTTAGCTTATCTGGTATAAAAATCATACAGGAAGCATTGTCAAATATAAAATGGTGTTTGGCTTTCTTTGGTCTAAAAACTAATAAAAATAGGTGCTAAAGGAAATTTCTCAGTAGAAAGGCATGAAGGACTACAAAGTCTACTGCTGATGTCCCACATTTAAAACAAAAGGTCAATTTCTTAAAAATTATATACTTGGTTTATCTTCCATTTTCCTTTCCCTCAAAACTAAAAGCCTTTCAGCACATGTACCACCCCTAGAATTTCCGGTAAACCAGCACCAGCCTGAAGATCATGTTCTCATCAAAGGGTGAAAAGAAGGGAAACTCGAGCCAGCCTGGGAAGGACCCTACCTTGTGCTGCTAACCACCGAGGCTGCTGTTCGGACAGCAAAAAAGGGTTGGACTCATCACACCCAAGTCAAGAAAGTGGCACCCCCTCCAGAGTTGTGGGCCATAGTCCCAGGGGAAAACCCTACCAAACTAAAGCTAAGAAAAATGAAACTCTTCAATCTATTCTATTACTCTTTCTTCTTTCCTTGCTCTATTGCTGACCATCTAGTTCTTAACATAACCAAGTCAATTTTGCTTCAAACCATTGCATTTAATGCTTGCCTTGTTATACACTGTGGGCATTCACCAAGTCAAAGACAGCTCTCTACTTCAGAAAATTACCTATGTCCCTCCTGACTCCCCTCAGCTGGGCTTTAGTAAATTAGGACCATTTAATCCAGGGAGATTTCGATAAAGACCCCAGTGTCAACTGGGAGTCCTGCCCCCCAATGTAGAGCTTTTATGCCATAGTTGGCCCAACGTTCTGTGGACCACTAAAGAGCAAGGATAGACTGCCCCAACCATTTTTTGTAATTTCCTAAAATCATACATTCATTTTACTAGAGGATCATAGAAGTTAAAGACTTAAAACAAACTTTGGCAATTAAGACAGGATACCAAGATGTGAATGCCTGGTTGGAATGGATCAAATATTCCGTCTGCACATTAAACAAAAGCAATTGTTATGCTTGTGCACGTGGCAGGCCAGAGGCCCAGACTGTCCCCTTTCCACTAAGGTGGTCCTCCAATCAACCAGGTGTGGGCTGCATGGTAGCTCTTTTCCAGGATTCTACAGCCTGGAGTAATAAGTCATGCCAAGCTCTCTCTGCTATATCCCGAAGTCTGGCACCCTGTGGGTCAGCCCCTGAGGACCATCCAGCTTCCATCTCCCAACACTAAGTTCAGTTTGTGTGTCTCGTGACAAGGAGGAAACTTAGCATTCCTTAGAGACCTAAAGGGATGTAGTGAGCTTAAAAATTTTCAAGAGCTTATCAATCAGTTAGCCCTTGTTCATCCCTGAGGGGATGTGTGGTGGTATTGTGGTGGACCTTTACTGGGCACTCTGCCAAATAACTGGAGTGGCACTTGTGCTTTAGTCCAATTGGCTATCCCTTTCACCCTGGCATTTCATCAACCAGAGGGAGGAAAAATAAGACATCATAAAGTGAGAGAAGCCCCTTATGGGTCTTTCGACTCTCACGTCTATTTAGATGCAATTGGAGTCCATGGGGAATACCAGATCAATTTAAAGCCTGAAATCAAATAGCTGCAGGATTTGAGTCAATATTTTGGTGGGTGACAGTTAATAAAAATGTAGATTGAATAAACTATATCTATTACAACAAACAGCAACGAGCTTTTCATGAGTTAAAACAAAAATTCATGTCGGCCCCAGCCCTGGGACTACCTGACCTGACAAAACATTTTACACTGTATGTGTCAGAGAGAAAAAAAAAAGGCAGTTAGAGTTTTGACCCAGACTGTGGGGCCCTAGCCAAGGCTGGTGGCCTACCCCTCTGAACAACTAGATGGGGTTTCTAAGGATTGGCTCCCGTGTTTGAGGGCCTTGGCAGCAACAGCTCTGCTAGCACAAGAAGCAGATAAGCTAACTCTTGGGCAAAACCTAAACATAAAGGCCCCTCATACTGTGGTGACTTTAATAAATACCAAAGGACATCATTGGCTAACGAATGCTAGACTAACTAAATACCAAAGCTTGCTCTGTGAAAATTCCCGCATAACGGTTGAAGTTTACAACACCCTAAACCCCGCCACCTTGCTCCTGGTATCAGAGAGCCTAGTTAAACATAACTGGGTAGAGGTTTTGGATTCAGTTTATTCTAGCAGGCCCAACCTCTGAGACCATCCTTAAACATTAGTAGACTGGGAGCTTTATGTGGATGGAAGCAGCTTCGCCAACCCCTGCAAAGTGACTCTGAAGAAGACGACAAGCCCTGCTCCAGTCACACCCGGAAGCTAACTGGTCCCCGCATGGCCAAAGAATGAGGAAAGTCATTGCAGGACTCATTTCCCTTAAAATTTGGACTTGTACAGTAAGGACTTCAAATGACCTTCCTCAGACTGAGGACTATTCCCAGTATATACATCAAGTCACTAAGGTGGGACTATCAGGGGAACTAGCCCCCAATATTTCAATGTAGTTCTTTCCTATTTTCCCTAAATGTCGGCTGGTCTGAGAAATAAAAAGAAAGAGCACAAGAGAGAAATTTTACAGCTGGGCCACTGGGGGAGACATCACATATCGGCAGGTTCTGTGATGCCCCCTGAGCCACAAAACCAGCAAGTTTTTATTATGGATTTCAAAAGGGGAGGGGTGTATGAATAGGGAGTGGGTGACAGAGATCACATGCTTCAAAGGCAATAAAATATCACAAAGGCAGAGAGGCAGAGTGAGATCACAAGGCCAGGGTGAAACTAGAATTACTGATGAAGGTCCATGTCCTGCTGGGCACACATTGTCATTGATAAACATCTTAACAGGAAACAGGGTTTGAGAGCAGACAACCAGTCTGACTAGAATTTCACCAGGCTGGAATTGCTGGAATTTCCCAATCCTAACAAGCCTGGGGGCGCTGCAGGAGACCAGGGCATATTTCATCCCTTATCTACAACTGCATAAGACAGACACTCCCAGAGTTGCCATTTTAGAGACCTCCCCCTGGGAATGCACTCGTTTTCCCAGGGTTATTCCTTGCTGAGAAAAGAATTCAGTGATATTTCTCCTATTCGCTTTCTGAAAGAAGAGAAATATGACTCTGTTCTGCTTGGCCCTGCAGGCAGGCAGACTTTATGGTTATCTCCCTTGTTCTCTGAAAATCGCTGTTATCCTGTTTTTTTCAAGGTGCCCAGATTTCATATTGTTCAAACACACATGCTTTACAAGCAATTTGTACAGTTAACGCAATCATCACAGTGTCCTGAGGCGACATACATCCTCAGCCTATGAAGATGACGGGATAAAGAGATTAAAGACAGGCATAGGAAATTATAAGAGTATTGATTGGGGAAGTGATAAATGTCCATGAAATCTTCACAATTTATGTTCAGAGACTGCAGTAAAGACAGGTGTAAGAAATTATAAAAGTATTAATTTGGGGAACTAATAAATGTCCGTGAAATTTTCACAATTTATGTTCTTTTGCCATGGCTTCAGCCAGTCCCTCCATTTGGGGTCCCTGACTTCCCACAACATAGGACAAAAGGTTGCTACAGTCCTATTATTTTATGGTTACCATAAGTGTACAGGGACTCTAAAAGGAACTTGTTTGTATAATGCTGTTCTATACAAGGTATGTAGCCCAGGAAGTGACCAGCCTGATGTGTGCTATAACCCGTCCTTTTTCCTACTGCCCATAAAAACAGGCAAACTTCTAGGCTTCCCAGTCTATGCTTCCCGAGAAAATAGAAGCATAGATATAGGCGACTGGAAAGATGATAAGTGGCCCCCTGAAAGAATCATACAGTAGTATGAGCCTGCTACTTAGGCACAAGATGGCTCGTGGGGATACCGGACCCCAATTTGCATGCTCAACTGAATCATATGGTTACAAACTGTCTTAGAAATAATCACTAATAAAACTGGCAGAGCCTTGACTATTCTGGCCCAGCAAGAAACTCAGATGAGAAATACTATCTATCAAAATAGATGGGCTCTCAACTACTTGCTAGCAGCTGAAGGAGGGGTCTGTAGGAAATTTAACCTTATTAATTGCTGTCTACACATAGATGATCAAGGGCAAGTAGTTTAAGACATAGTTAGAAATGACAAAACTGGCACATGTGCCTGTGCAAGTGTGGCATAGATTTAATCCTGGGGCCATGTTTGGAAAATGGTTCCCAGTGCTAGGAAGATTTAAAACTCTTATAATAGGAGTTATAATAGTAATAGGAACCTGCTTACTGTTCCTTTGTTTGCTACCTGTACTTCAAATGATAAAAAGCTTCATTGCTACCTTAGTTCACCAAAATGCTTCAGCACAAATGTGCTATATGAATCATGACCTGTCTTGCAAGAAGACATGGGTAGTGAGGATGGAAGTGAGAACTCCCACTAATGAGTGAGGTTCTCAATGTGGGGGAATAAGGGAGGAGACCACCCCTCATATTGTCTTATGACCAATTTCTGCCTCAAAGAAAAAGTAGGAGTTAAAGAAAAGAAAGAAGCAAAATCAGTAAGACAGCCCGGCACTGCATTCCAGGTCTGGTAGTTAAAGATTAACCCCTGATCTAACCAGTTATGTTATATCTATAGATTCCAGACATTGTATGGAAAAGCACTGTGAAAATCCCAGTCCTTTTCTGTTCCATTCTGATTACCAGTGCATGCAGCCCCCAGTCACATACTCTTACTGCTTGCTCAGTCGATCACGACCCTCTCACACAGACCCCCTTAGAGTTGTAAGCCCTTAAAAGGGACAGAAATTGCTCACTTGGGGAGCTCGGTTTTTGAGTCCGCCGATGCTCCCAGCTGAATAAAGCCCTTTGCTTCCACAACTTGGTGTCTGAGGGGTTCTTGTCTGCAGCTCATCCTGCTACAGAACTTCCTGCATTTTCATTAAAAACTTTATTATTTGGGAACAATACTATGCAGCCACTAAAATCATGCTTTCAAAGTATTTAAAAGCATATGCAAATATTGGTCTTCTTACACTAAACATCATGATGTGGTTTTCTTGGATCTTGTGTGGATACTGTAAAAGAAAAATTTTAGGAATAAGCCAGTGTTCATAGCATGTCAAATGCTCTCTTGAATGGAGTAATTACAGGCAGCCCAAATGTGCTCTCAGCCACTAGTGGTGGTAGAACAAATGCAAAGCTGGTACTCAAAGTGACTCAGGAGTATGGCAATTTTTCTGTACGTGCTTTTCTAACAGTGCCTAGGAATGATGGTTTTTGCCTAAAAACAGGAAAGTTGGGTCGTCTTTATTGGAGCTTTCTTGCCATAGTCAAATAGAAAATAATCAGTGATGAGTATCATCTAACAAATTGATGGCTGACCTTAATGGAACATACTCAAAAGCTATCTTTTAAGCATTTGCTACTTTAATTAGAACAATTCATTCAGTATCACTGTTACAATATTCCATGACTCTTATTTTCAATATACTCAAAGCAACTTGAAAGTTTTATAAATTCTTTACTACAGTATTACCCGCTTATTCTGACACATAAAAGCTCTGTAGTTACACACTGTTAACATGTTAATGGCACATCTTACTAGCAACTTGCTGCACTTCTGTTATCAATAGAGGTTATGTGAAATACTTGGATAAGGACAGCCTGATTCTGTAGAAAATATCTGTTTTCTATAGAACAAAATATCTCCCAGTGGTAATTCAGCAAATTAGGTTCAAGAATGTGGGTAAAGGTAGGTGTAATGTTGGATTCTGAAGATCTACCTGCAGAAACAGATCTACCTACAGAAAGGCACGTAGAATTACTGTTAGGAAACCTAAGCAGCCTTAGCACCATGGTCAAGGTTTTAAAAACCTGATCTGTAACTGTTATGGGTTCATTTCCTAATGCAGAGAAACTGGCTAGTACACACAGTGTAGATTTAATGTGGGAAATATGACAACTTGGAAATGCTACCCAAAGATAAAAATCTAAAGACTATCAAAATTTGCTGTTTTCTAAAATCATACATTAGAATTTTGTGAAGTCTTCTGAATGACACAAAACCAGATGAAGGGAATCAGACCAAAATTACCTGAGTAAGGCCATTTCAAGTGCCTAACAAAGATGGTCAATATTAACTTGAAAAACCAGTGTTTCCTAAGTGTTCCTGATCAGAATTACCTGAGGTATTCCTTACAAATAAATTCTGAGGCCCATTCTCTTAAAGATTCTGGCTTAGCGGGTGGTACGTCTGGATTGAAGGCTAAGAATCTGTACCTTAAGCAATTCTAATTATCAGGCAAGTTTCGAAAATAGGGCTAAGCAGGAGTGTGTGTGTGTGTGTGTGCATGTGTCTGTCTGTGTGGAGGGGGGAGCGGGGAACAGGAACAAAGGAACAATACCAGCACTGTCTGGTCCCCTCATTCAAATACTGCCTGAAAAACTACCTGAGAATGAGAAACATTCAACTGAAGTTGAGGAATTATCTACAGAACACTGTTTATTTCAAGTCCAAAACACAAATTACTCATTTTTCTTAACAGACCGCATAATTTTTTCTGCATGAATATTTAGGGTTTCTCTATTCACAAGTACAGTTTATTACTAGACTTTAGGCTTGAATGATTCATATATATAGATATCAGTTTACTACAGAGGACATGTACTTTTAACATTTTTTGTTTAGAAAATATTTTACATAAAAACACAAAGCATTTACCAACACTCCACAACCAGTCTTCAGCAAAGATTTGGCTGAAGATAACTTTCTACAAAACACTCCAAGACTGAATAGAATGTAGTATTTTACATACTTTAGCTTATTGTTGCAGTTAAAAGCTCCCCCTTGTTTGATGGCTTCTGCATGTATCTACAAAGCAGAAGTCTTAACTGGTGACCTGTTAAATAACATTGCCTTTTTAAGTGAACTTGTCCCCAGCCCGGAACCTAAGTAGTCATAATGAAATAAAGTAATTGATATATGAGGGGCTTTTAGTAAGGGCTTTTTCAACCTAATAAAATAATAATTTAGTATCTATCAGTGCAATATTCTTTTACTGTTTTGTGTTCAATAACCACCTGGAGTGCTAATTGTCTAGTATAATCAGTTGGCATCAAAATAGAAAGTAAAAAGATGTACATTTAATATACCAATTCTTACCTGAATAATCTTGGATTTCTGGAGAATGTTCCACAAAGTGGAATTTCTTCCTAAAGTTATGCTGAATGTGGTACAATGTGTACAACTTGGTTAACCAGTGCCTGCTTTTCATTTCCAAGATTTTTCCTTATCTTGAATCAAATGCACAATCTTACAACTGTATCATAATGCACTGGCTTACAGTTCTGTATATAAAGTCCAACTCAAGCTTATTTTGGTTTATTGTACATGCTTTATTAAAATGGTACTTGTATTTACAGTATCTGCAGAAAGAGTCCCTTCCAAGGCCTCACACATTCAGACACATCCATACTGACACCCACTCCACAGCCCCATGCACCCACACCAGTGAGATGTGGAGGGTCAGACTCCTAAAATTAGGCAGCTGTTGGGGATAAGAGTTGATTTGTTTTTCAATTTTTTTGAAAACAGAAAAGCATGGGGGAATGCATTTGGCCATTACAATGCTAATTGAGTTTGTGTATATTACATATATGGCAGTTAACACTGTAATATTCCTTTTACATTCTATATACACAGAATGATATCAAGGTTTTATGGTCAACAGAATATTCCAACTTCAGTCTTAATGCTGCTTGTAGTGATTTCTGAATTCATTATAGGGGCTTTCCCTAAAAATAATTCAAGTCTATGTTAAGTGAAATAAGGCACAATTAATATTGATTTGATTTAGGGAAAGGGAAGGAAAGAGAAGGGATAAAAACTGGTTTCAAATGATCTTTCTGTTGGGGAACTAGCTCTGACTTAAACCCACCTGAAATTCCTTCTCCTAATTTCCAAAGATTTCTTTATAAAGATATTTTTCTTTTCCCTGACAAAGCCAAAAAGAAAAGTTTGGGAATTCACATTTTAATGTTTCAGTAGCCTGAACAACTCAAATTGATGTGTACCCCCACCTCCCCTGATCAGGTCGCCTCCCTCACCCATGTTAAAATAAAAACACAGTATGTGACACAGGAGTCCCTTGATGTTTCTTGAGGAGATCTGTACACTTGAGTAGCAAATACATATCTGGTTGTCTTCAATATATTTTAAAAAGAAAGAAAGAGAAAGAAGAAAGGAAAGAAGGAAAAAAGGAAGGAAAGAAGTAATATTGTGACTTTCTTGCTCTTTAAAAAAATCCCTGTCTCCTTCTTTTCAGGATGATGAAGCCCCACTAGACATTACAAACAACTGCAACAAATGAGTTTGGCAGCATAAATAATGTCTAGTTATTCAAATCTTCATAGTGAGATTAATTTATCTTGTACACAATTTGTTGAATGTTTTTCGCAGCAGGTGAATCAAACCCAAAGACTCCGGACAGTCTGTGAAAGGGAGTAAGAATTGCAGTTCTGAAGGCCCCTGACTTTGGTTGTTTACAAAGTTCAATCCTGTTTATTGTGATCCTTGGTATCTTCTTCATCTGTATATTCTGATGGTTCTTCTCCTGGTTTTAGGAGTCTGCCTACATAATCATATTTTTCTGAAAGATACATCAAAAGAAAATCAGTGGTGATCAAATTTGTTTCACTATTCCATTATACAGAGAAAAGGCATTTGTCTGTTTTAGAATCATATAAAATATGATTATTAGAATATTATCTAAATATTCTAAAATTGCTTCACCATGGCTGGTCTTTATACACATGTAAAGCCTGAACAAAAGAAAACAGGATTAGGGAACTTATAAGGCTTGGGAATTCTTTGCAAGAGGGTGTTCTGTACCAGTGATTCTTAGTTGGATACTGCATCAGAATCACTTGGAGATCTTTTTTAAAAATGAGTAAGTCCAGGACCCATCTCAGTACCCAGCTAAACCAGAACAGCTGTTCCAAGGGACCCAGGGGTCAGATAAACAGCTGGGACAGCATCACACAAGTGGTAAAAACTGATGTTATGAGGGCATAAGAAAGGGGAAAGATATTTTTTATCTACATTTCGAGTGTTAAGATCTGTAAAATCATTTTGGAATAAATTATAGTATTGAAATCAGTAATCAACTCAGTTTTAAATATAAGCCTGTATTTTTAAAAAACTAAACCTTAATGAAGAAGCTGACTGTAAGTATCACAATTTTTGAGGCTTAGAATTTGTAACAAGTCATTTTTTTAAATATTGATTTTCAAAATAATTATCACATGTAACAATCATATTTTTATTTAGCTATTTTTTGCAATTTCTTTTTTTGGACAAGTCTCACTATGTTGCCCAGGTTAGTCCTTGAACTCCTGAGCTCAAGGGATTCCCATCAGCAGCTAGGACCACAGGCATGTGCCACTTCACCCAGCTTTAGCTATCTTTAAAAATATTATCAAATAATGATGGCAATGAAAACGGATGACATCCTTAGGCTCTTAAAGCATGTAAAATAGTATATATTTTCTTTGAACAAATATTTAATTTTCCAAAGAATCCAACAAAATAAAAATACCTTTAAACTGCATTTCCCATTCTCGAACACTCTCCATTTGTACTGCATTCAAATCTGAGAGATCATCATATTCATCTCTAAGTGCATCTTTATCTAGGCAAAATGTGGCCAGTCCTCTGGAGGCATCCCTACCAGCAAATATTCCATATGGACCCGCTGGAAAAAAGAAAATAAATTATTTAGATCACCTAACAATATTTTAGAATGTCTCAAAGGAAAAAGTAAAAAAAAAAAAAAAAAAACACAACAAAGAAAAAAACCCCTCATAATTCACATTTGTATATACCCTTAATTTCAAAACATGTACAGATACTAGATGGAATAAGAAAAGAAATTTGTTGGAAATCTGCCTTTTGACCCAAGTAAAGCTTTTCACTTAGATCTTAAAACCCTCAATTTCAATTACTTCAGATATCCCCAAACTTAATATTCAAAATGAAGACTGTGAGGTAATGAGGGAGAAGAAGAAACTTAAGTGGTTAGGTTTAGAAGCCAGTCTGCTTGAGGGGAAATAATGTTTACTGGTTGCTGTTAATAGTGGCATCAAAAAAATAAAAATAATCAACAGAACATCATGTATTATGTAAAGACTCAGCTGAACTTGAATCTGTAACATTTTTCTTTCTGCTATCCTTATGAAGGTTGTAATTCTATGAGAAAAGAGACTGTATCATCTTTGTGGTCCCAGTGACTAGTTCAGTGCTCAACACGCATTTAATAAATCTTTGCTGAGTGGTTTAATAAAAAAAGACCCATATTCAAAATAAATCATCTGACTACCATAATATATATACAATGATCTATATAAACTAGGAAAAGTCATTAAGGAAAATAATAGCTCTTACTTGTCATGACTTTTGGAAAACAGAGGAAGTAGCTATAAGGAATAATTCTTCTGGACTGACACATTAAGCAATAATTAGCATTTTATCCAAGGAATTGGGTACCATTCTCTCTGAGGAGAAATGGCATGACTGATGTGTTGACAAAAACCATTCCCAAGGTTTGTCCTTGAGAACAGCAATTTGTTCATCAATTGAGGATTTGTATCCTCAATGCCTAGCACTGTGCCTGGCATAAAGTAGGAACGTAATAATTTTCTTCCAAATGACTTAGCTGTAGTTCCGAATAAAAAGAAACTCAAGATTCTGTAAACAGATTCACTTATGGTAGGCAAAGACACTATTATGAACAACAACAACAGAGTGGTGAAAAACAGGGCTTATAAATAAAAGAACAAAGTATGTTCTGATAAGTAAACAAGCAGAAAAAACTAGAAATTCCTTGATTTTTAAATGAGCGAAATGATTATATTCATATATAAAAGTATTTAGGAAACTGAAAGTTATGTGTCAAAAAGTCTCTGTACCTTCTGAGAGTAGAAATCGAGGTTTCACTTAAATAGATATCTAAGCATTTATGAGTATTAATTTGAGTTGCTAACAGCACTGTACTATAAAGTTAACCAGATGTGAAATTCATTCTCTGAAAAGTTTACTGCATGGAACTAGAAGTAGCATTAGCAATAATTTTAAGAGTAGCATTCATAGGTATTGATACAGTAACATGAAAGTAAAGCTAACAGTTCCAGTAAAGTACATTTGTATTCTGCTTTTCTTATTCTTATTGCATTTTCCATATTGCTACATCGTATCACATGACTATCAACAATTATTTATCATTGAATGGTTATATATTATCCCACTGAATGGATGTGTACCTGTAATTTATTTAATCAGTCTTATTAACATAGGCTACCATTTTATACTTTCAAATGTGTCTTCTATATAAGAATATGGAACACAATTTACCACTGGCCAATATTCGTAACCTTCAAACTTTTTCTATCATCTCAACTGACATTCAAAAGGGTATTAACCAGGCCAGGTGCGGTGGCTCATGCCTGTAATCCCAACTCTGTGGCAGCAGTGTTGAGGTCAGCAGTTTGAGACCAGCCTGGCCAACATGGTGAAACCTCATCTCTACTAAAACTACAAAAATTAGCCGGCTGTGGTGGCGCACGCCTGTAATCCCAGCTACTCAGGAGTCTGAGGCAGGAGAATTGCTTGAATCCAGGAGACGGAGGTTGCAGTGAGTTGAGATCATGCCACTGCACTACGGCCTGGCCGAGAAAGCAAGACTCCTTCTCCAAAGAAAAAAAAAAAAAAAAAAAAAAGGTATTAACCAGTTATGTCTGTGTGTGTACATGCACATGTGCGTGCAAAATTCTACACACTTTGTGGCAATGGGTGTTTTCAGGAGGACAAGGAGAGAGACAGAGACAGAGAACTAGTGTGTTTAAAAATAAAAATTTCTAAGAAACAATGATAAAAAAAATCTATAAACATTATATTTACCCTTAATGCTGACTAGACCAATGCTTATAAACTTAAAAAAGCAAAAAGTGAAACATACAAAAGGAAAAATAAAACTAATAAAGGCCATAACAATCTACAAATGGAAAATTATAGGTTCAATTTTTAAAAGAATTTTCCAGCAACCTCACTTTTCTCTCTCAGAGTTTCCCAAAGTGGAAGGGACAGACTGCCTTCCCCATTTGGCAGATAAAAAACAGGAGCGGAGGCATTCAGTGTGATTTGCCTAAAATTACTGACAGAACTGAGAGTACTATTTCCACTTTCCTAAATCCTCCAGTGTACCTCAAGAAAACACATAGAAGACTCACAAGCCCAAAGATGGAGTAACGACCATGAAAACTGGAGCATTTTACTACTTACAAAATTTCAAGGGAATGAAAATTTTAGAATACTTATTAAATCAAAATGGAAGAGAATTAACAAAAAAGCTCTACTTAATAGCTTTTCTAAGCATTCTATTATAGTATTTATCTCCATGGCCTGCAAACATTAATCTACTTCAGGCACTTCAGAGTATAAGCCATAAAACACATTTAAATGATACAAAGGAGAGAAGATAAAATCATTATAAAAACAGCAATCAGAAAGCCCTCCATCTTTGAGTATATTAATATATACCAGTGCATTCTCTATTAATTTCTCTACCAACTTCCCTAAGAAAGCTTCAACACTGAATGAATAATAATAATAAAAAATTTCATAAAATATGCTCTTTCTGGGGTACTGGGGGTAGGGAATGATTGACTTGGTAAGAGTGAACTTGAGTCAACAGTTAATAATCCAAGCCAAATTCCAGACAAATGATGTTCTGTTGACTCTTGAATAGAAAAGAATAATTCAGTGATTAACATATTCCCCCACTCCCTAAACTATATTAAGCTGTCTTCTCCATATGTTTAGAATTTCCCTCAGGAAGCATTTAACTTCTGCAAAGGTCTTTTTAGTAATAATTTTCTATGCTCTTTCCTGTAAGACCATTAAAAAAATTTTTTTTGTTGTTTTTTGAGACAGGGTCTTACTCTGTCACCCAGGCTGGAGTACAGCGGCTCAATCATATTTCACTGTGGCCTCTACTTCCTGGGCTCAAGTAATCCTCCTGCCCTAACCTCCCAAATAGCTGGGACTAGAAGCATGGCCCACCAGGCCTGCATAATTTCTTTTATTTTTTGTAGAGACAAGGTCTCCCTATGTTGCCCAGCTGATCTTGAACTCCTGGCCTCAAGCAATCCTCCTGCCTTTGCCTCCCAAAGTGTTAGAATTACAGGCCTAAGCCACCATGCCCAGCCTTCTGTAAGGCCATTAAAGAATATAACATTAGGAACTAAAGTTGGAACTGGATGGGTTATTCTGAGGAAGGATTTGATGTCTAATAAAAGGAGATTTCCCTGCATTCATAATACAACCAGGAGCTTATCTGAAAAGTCAGCAATACCTTCCCATTCCGTTATCCCCTTACATAAAAAACCTAAATATTTACCAATTCTAATATTTGGTAAGTATACTTGGCTATTCATAATACTAAAACAATAGGGAGCTCCCCAAATAAAGCCAATTTGAAATGGTTTAAGTCTGTTGCATGGTATAATTTATTTATTTGTATTAGTATTTTTTTTTGAGACAGAGTCACACTCTGTGGTGTGATCTCAACTCACTGCAACCTCTGCCTCCTAGGTTTAAGTGATTCTCCTGCCTCACTCAGCCTCCCAAGTAGCTGGGATTATTGGGTGTGGCACCACGCCCAGCTAATTTTTATATTTTTGGTAGAGAGGGGGTTTCACCATATATGGTGGACAGGCTGGTCTTGAACTCCTGACCTCAGGTGATCCGCCTACCTCAACCTCCCACAGTGCTGGGATTACAGGCATGAGCCACTGTGCCCAGCCTAATTTATTTTTAAAAAGGCTAGTTTACATGATCTGGTTATTTTTTATTATTAAGGCTCATTTAGACACTAACAGTTCAGTAGTAACTAGAAGAATTAAATTCTGTTGCTTTATCAAATATTAAAATATAATGCTGATCCAAAAACAGCCTCCCAATTTTAAGCAAATTCGTGCTACAAAAAATGAACAGCATTATTCAGTCAAAGCAAATACTCTGAAATATACTTACATAACAAATATTCAAGGACATCATTTTAAAGATAAATTTTATTTCAAAGCTATTGTTAAATATACCAACAAGAGGCAGGCGGATCACGAGGTCAGGAGATCGTGACCATCCTGGCCAACGTGGTGAAACCCAGTATCTACTAAAAAATACAAAAAATTAGTCGGGCATGGTAGTGGGCACCTGTAGTCCCAGCTACTTGGGAGGCTGAGGCAGGAGAATGGCGTGAACCTGGGAGGCAGAGCTTGCAGTGAGCTGAGATCTCGCCACTGCACACCAGCCTAGGCGACAGAGCGAGACTCCATCTCAAAACAAACAAACAAACAAACAAACAAACAAACAAAACAAACCCAACATGAAGTACTATACTAGTCAGAATTCAGATTTCATTTAGTTTTCAGTGTCAATCCAACTTGTGGTCAAGATATTTTAAAGTTCAATAAACCTATTTGTTACCGTATCCTAAAACTGCTTACTTTAATACAATCAGTTAGAATGAGGTGACATATTCTTGAAACAGCAACAACATATGCTCATTGTAAAATGTTTTAAATATTAATTTAATAAACAGAAAATTCCAGGAGGAAGTAAATATGTAGTAACAGATAATTTTGTGATTATTAGGATGATTATATAGCTACCTTAGTGTTTCTAAAGGGATATTTTAATTATTCTCACAGTTTAAAAACCATATCTCTCAGAGATGAACTTTAATTAATTAAAGTTTATCAACAGTGCAGTTTTCAGGCCTGTTTTGACAATAATCTTTTGTGATTATAAATTGAGTAACTAATAACACTTAGTATTGGGTAATTTATTTCAAATAAGATTATAATCAGCCTATCAACAAATGAGGCAATATGTAAAAGTGATTAACTGAACTAATAAATTTTTTTATGCTTAGGTCCAGTAAGTCCCAAGACTTTTAGAGAGAATGCAGTATGGTAAAACTGAAATAATACCTCTCAAGAAGACAGATACTTGGGTTCTAGAGGATCCACTCACAATCAACAAGTCTCGATTTCCATAGTCCTTAGATCCCTCAAATATAAATTAGGAAAATTATTTTACCTGCCTGAAGTTGAGACCAAACTAAATAATCTCTTGAATAGTATGATTCTATAAGTGACTGAAAGTGCAATCTTGCTTCTGAAATTTGAGCTACTGTCAAAAGCGCTCAGCAACATTGTGAACTGAGCATATGGCCTTAACTCCAGGGTGCATGGGTAGGCTGGGGTAAAGAAAAGACAGAAAAATTAAAAGCCCAGGCCCGTGCCACTTATGGGAGTGGGGCCTGAGTTTATGCAACCCATGCAGAATGAAAATTCCAAGGTGAAAAAATAGTATGAACTCAAATATCTATAAGAATTAATGAACACTAAAGATAATACTTCAAGTATTAGGAAAAAGGGATTATTCCCCTGTTGGGGAAACATGTTGGGACAACTAGATAACCTTCTGTTAAAAAACACAACCCCTTGGGAGGCCAAGGCGGGTAGATCACGAGGTCAGGAGTTTGAGACCAACCTGGCCAAGATGGTGAAACCCTGTCTCTTATACTAAAAATATAAAAATTAGCCGGGCACGGTGGTGGGCGCCTGTAATCCCGGTTACTCAAGAGGCTGAGGCAGGAGAATCGCTTGAACCCGGGATACGCAGGTTGCAGTGAGCCGAGATGGCGCCACTGCACTCTAGCCTGGGTGACAGAGCAAGATTCCTTCTCAAAAACAAACAAACACCCACCACCCCACCAAATTTGGACTCTAATTTCACATCTTAAAGCAAAATCAATTTCAAATGGAACTAAAAAACTGAGACCACAGAAGTACTAAAAAAACTACAGATTTTTAAAAACAATTTTAAGTGCATAAAGTCTTTAAATATAATACATAACTTAGCAGCTATAAAAGAAAAGATAAATTTGAATACATAAAACCAAAACTTTGTGTGGTTCAAAAAAACACCATAAATAAGTAAAAGGACAAACTAGAAAAAATATTTGCGGCAAAGGCTGATTTACTTTATAAAGAACACCTAAAATCTGTACGATCAATATGATGATTGAAAAACTGCAGCAGGGCTGGGCGCAGTGGCTCATGCCTGTAATCTCAGCACTTTGGGAGGCTGAGGTGGGCGGATTGCCCGAGGTCAGGAGTTCGAGACCAGACTGACCAACATGGAGAAACCCCGTCTCTACTAAAAATACAAAATTAGCTGGGTGTCGTGGCGCATGCCTGCAATCCCAGCTACTCGGGAGGCTGAGGCAGGAGAATCGCTTGAACCCAGCAGGCAGAGGTTGCAGTGAGCCGAGATTGCATCATTGCACTCCAGCCTGGGCAACAAGAGTGAAACTCTGTCTCAAAAAAAAAAAAAGAGAAAAACTGTGGCAAAGGATATATGAATAAACAATTTGTAGAAAAGGCATCATAAATGACTCAACTTTTTAAAAAGAAGTCCAACCTCATTAAGTAAATGAGAAATGTAAATTTAAACAAATATTGAGATACCATTTTAACCTCTCAAGAGTGACAAAGACCAAGAAGCTTAATACCACGTTTTTGGCAAGAAGTGAGAAACAGGCATTTTCATCAAGTGTAAATTGGTCCAACCTCTCTGAAGGGCAGTTTAGAAACAAGAATCCAAATTAAAAATATCCATACCCCAAGCCTCGGTAATTTTATTTCCAGGAATTTACTTTATAATCATAATTTTACACACATGTGTAAAATGACATGTACATATTTATTGCAGCATCATGCAATAACAGGAGACTGAAAACAAATGTTAACAGTGGACTGTTAAATTATGACTTATTCATAAAATAGAATATTATGCATGTATTCAAAAGAATAAGATGGCTCTCTATACTGATGTCAAAGGCTCTTGTGATATTAAAATATTGTGAAGGGTATGCATAGTATACTATAATTAGTGTGGGGGGAAAGGAAGATATCCACATGCTTGTACTTGCACCCAAAATAGCTCTAGAACAATACGTAGACTGGTGCTTTGCTGCTATGGAAGGGAACATGGTGGCTGGGACTAGTTGTGGGAAGTAGACTTATTTTTCACTGTATATCCTTTTGAATTTTCTATTTTGAGCATGTATTACTTAATTTAAAAAATCATTGTTTTAACTTACGTGAGGCCCTATTTTGCAACATACCCAAAGCACTTTACCTCTTTCACAACTTAGGGCTCATGGAATTTTACAGGAAATACTCCAAAATTAAAAAAAGTAACTACTGAAGATAATAAGTTCACAATAAAAAATATAAACTACATGAAGAAACAAACCATCATGGAGGAGTGGGCACATATAACAGATACAGAAGCAGATTAAAGAACTAAAGTAAATTTGCTTAAAATTATTAAGAAATGGTACAAAAGGAAAGATTAAGAGACATTAAGAATAGAATGAAAACCTAATGTATATCTATTAACAGTTCCAGAGGAAGGAACAGAGATAATGGAAGAGGCAATAAGTAACAGCAAATTTTCTGGGAAAAAAAAAAAAAAAAAAAAAAGGACAATATATCCACAGACTTGAGTAGAGTTTGGTACATGGTAAATAAAATCAAATCCATACCTGGACAAATCCTAGTAAAATAGCAAAACCCCAAAGACAAAAAGATCTCAACTACAACCAAAAGGAAGAAAAAGATTAATAAAAGTAAAGAGAAACTACAAGCCGACTCCTCACCAACAAGTGGAAGACAGTGGCATAACGCTACTCAAGAGTTGAGGTATAATAAGGTCAATTTACATTTTTTTTTGAGACAGGGTCTTGCTCTGTCACCCAGGTTGAGTGCAGTGGTGTTATCAAGGCTCATTGATCTTCTGGGCTCAAGCGATCTTAATACCTCAGACTCTTGAGTAGCTGGGGCCACAGGTGCATGTCACTATGCCTAGCTAATTTTTTATATTTTTGTAAGAGACAGAGTCTCGCCATATTGCCCAGGCTAGTCTTGAACTGCTGGGCTCAAGCAGTCCTCCCACCTTGGTCTCCCAAAAATGGTAGGATTATAGGCATGAGCCACTGCGCCTGGCCCAATCTACAATTTTATATTCTAAACCCAAACTATTATTCCTGAGTGAGGAAAAATAAAAAATTTTTTCCTGCCAGTGAAAAACTATAGGACACACCTCACTAAAATAAAAAGTGAACCCCAAAGAAATGAGATGCAAGAAACAACAGTGAATTAAAAAAATGATAACCATGTTAGTAAATTTAAACAAGGACTATATTAAAAAGATAATAATTTCATCAATTTTGGGGTGGAGTTTGAAAAAACAAAGTGAAGCTAAAGTCTAATAGTGATACTGTGGAAAACAGGATGGGGGAGGAATCAGAGTTAAAGCTTTCTAACCAGGGCCTCAACATATGACTATGTACAACGCAGGGGATACTATCCATATTTGTAGTCATGGCAGTTTTGCTTATTTATTAAGAAATAATCTGTCAAATGTCAGTAAAGTATCTTAAAGAGGCAGCTTTTTCAAATTGACACTAAAATGATGTTTGGCTAAAATTCTTATATTGTTCAGAAGCATAGGATAGTCATCTATAGCAAAAACTTAAGGAAATCACTAAAAGGATAGAAATAGAATACATCCAAATCAGTAGAGGAGAGAAAATGGAAGAAATAAAAAAATCAATCAGAGAAGGAAAAATAGTGGGAAAAGAGGCAAAGAAAAGTAAGGTGAAGAGAAATCACAAAATAAGATGATAGAAATAAACCTAAATATACCCGTAATCACAAAACATATACACTAATTAAGCTATTAAAGGACATAGTGCTAATATTAAATGAAAAAATCCAGCTATATGTCATTAATGTGAGAAAAATAAAACAACACAGATTGACTAAAAGGGATGGAAAATGAAATATTGTGTTAATACTAATCAGATAAAGGCTGAAGTAAAATCTGAAAATCAACAGTGTTAAAGAGGTTTCTAGTATGATCAGTTCTAGATCTACTGCTAGATGGCTTTGCTCGGTATAGAAAGCATAGTAACAATCTCACTTCAGAACATTCTCATACCCAATCTTTGTATGGCTGGCTCTGTTAGGTTTTTGCTTAAATGTCGAGCCCTTTTTCTCGAGAATCTAACATAAAAAAGGTAACCTTGCTTAGCCACTTAATCTAAATAAAGTCCTTTGTTACCCTCTATTCCCATTCTATTAATTTCTTTTATAGCATATTACAGATTATAATTACATACTGAAATCCTTGTTTACTGCCTCTCTTCCTTAATAGACTATTAACTCCATGAGGATAGGAACACATCTGTTTTGAAGACTCAGTTAACTCCATTTCTCATCTCTTAAGCTTTTACTGTAATGAAATCCAGGGAAGTCTTCCTCAGTATTTAAAAATGGAGCTGAAATCCTATTATTAAAGATCCTGAGACTGGATATAGGCTCCAAAAGAATACAGGAGTTATACAGTCATGTCTGTCTTGGGTGCACAGGGAAAGGAGTGGTCTATGTCAGAGTGTTGAAAAAACAATTAAAAGAACTTGAATGGCTAATTCCAGATGTTATTAAATCTACTCCTTTCTTCCACCCTGAATAACAGCTTCTGGTTTCAAGCTATCCTTTTATAATATGCTTTAGGATTTAACACAAATACGATTCCCTCAAAGATTAAAAACAACGGGATGATGTTGAATTCAGAGCCAACTAAGTAGTTATAATAGAAATAACTAGTAGAAATTTGAGCAGAATATAAAAAATCATCAGAAAACCTAGCTAATCCTTTTATCTTACTGGTAGGTAATAGATGCATATGGGCATTAGCCCAAACAACAAAGCCAGTTGGCTTCAAAGCAAGAAGCTGGGATGAGAGGTGGGCAGTGGCAACTTTAGGACATCCATGAAGAAATAGGTAAGATTGGGTCCAGTTTTTATGATGCAACTCTGCAAACACAGAGTTTCCAATTCTGCAAACTAAAGTGTTAAATAAAAGTGAACAAATTGAAGATAAAGTTTAAAATGGAGGAAAAACACTTCAAGGTACATGTGTTCTTTTCCCCAACCTCCTAAATATTAGGCATCTCATGGGGTTCTTCTTACGTGACTTTTTTCTTTCAGTGGAATTTAAAAGGTAAGTTGGAAAAAATATAGCTTTGGTATATGTCAAAGAATACTCCACCTGGAATAAGGGAGCAGCAGTATTGCAAGGTTCAACAACGCAAAATAAACTATCAAAAAGTCAAGTGTATAATTTTTTGCCATTCCAAAAAAATAAAAGCACTGTTTTGGTAAAGTTCCATTGCAGTAATATTAAATAAAATTGTTAAAAATTATACTAGCTGTTTGAGTCTTCAAAACTTATGATTCTGTAAACATGTGAAACTGAATAGACTATGTTGTAATACAATGGGAAGGATTGAAGCTATGAAAATCTGGATTTAATTTTTAGTGTTGCCACCTACTAGATATGTGGCTTTGGGCAATCTCATAGGGCTGTTTGAAAATTAGCGATACTAAGCTCAATAAATGGAGTTTCCTCCTTCTCCTCCTCTGACCTTTAGAATCAGTGTTGTTTTCAACAACTCTCTGGGAAGACAGAAATACTCTAAGAGGTGCCTTGTTAGTGCAGTAGGTGGCACGCCAGTCTCACAATATGAAAATATACAAAGTGCACTGTCCAAAATGGTAGCCATGGTGGGCTCAGCACTTTATATGTGGCTAGTGTTACTAAGGAACTCAATTTTTAATTATATCTAATTTTAATTAATTTACTTTTAATTAGCCACCTGGGGCCACCATTTTGGGCAGTATAACATAAAGCCATAAAAGCATTTTTTTTTTTTTTTTGAGACAGAGTCTCGTTCTGTCATCCAGGCTGGAGTGCAATGGCGAGATCTCAGCTCACTGCAACCTCCACCTCCTAGGTTCAAGTGATTCTCTTGCCTCAGCCTCCCCAGTAGCTGGGATTACAGGCACCCACCATCAAGCTCAGCTAATTTTTTTTTGTATTTTTGTAGAAACAGGGTTTGGCCATGTTGGCCAGGCTGGTCCCGAACTCCTGACCTCAGGTGATCTGCCCGCCTTGGTCTCTCAAAGTGCTGGGATTAAGGCATGAGCCACCGTGCCTGGCCTTTATTTTTTTATTTTTATTTTTTTTTTTTTAGTAGAGATGGGGTTTCACCATGTTGGACAGTCTGGTCTCAAACTCCTGACCTCAAGTGATCCGCTTGCCTCAGCCTCCCAAAGTGCTGGGATTACACGCGTGAGCCACCGTGCCTGGCCGAAAGGCATGTTTTTTTTGAGGCTTTAAATCCTTGGATTTATGGGAACCAGGGAAGAGTATAAAGAAAAACAACAGTAAGATTCTCTACAAGTTTATCACAGGATGCAGTTTACTAGAAATAGTATAGATAAGCTGTGTGGTAATATCCATCTGGATTTATTAGACATACATGTAATCCAAGCCAATTTACCTAAAATACCTAGACCTCAGACTCCCCACCTGTAGAGCAGGAATACTTACCAACTTCACTGAGGAATTATGGAGATAAAAAAATTAATGGATCTGATATTGTGGGTGCTTAACGAATCTGGTTTTCTTTCTCCTCCTGTATTCAGTTTTTTACATGACCAAACTTTCCTCACCTGCTGGCCAAGTGCCTGATCTGTTACTAAATTTAATATTGGCAAATACAGTTAATGCCAACTGTTTGCCAAAATGTGTATACTCCACCAAATTACACTGTCAATATTTAATTAAGAGCCTGAACTTTAAAAATGTATGACTAAAAATAAACACATGTTTAGCATTATGGAAAAATCTCACAAAATTTAATCCTAAAACCATTATTGTGAAATTAGGGTAGATATTGGCTAGGCATAGAAACTAACAATTACTGCTTCTGAATTATTCTGCTACAAAACTGCTTAATTTATGAGGATGAAAATAAAAATTAAAAGCAAAACTGAACTTGTATCTGTTTTATAGCCAGAAATTTGGCTTTAAGATTTTTTGAAAAGTACTACTTATTACATTTTCTATTAATATGCAATATCAACATATTCTAAGCCCATAAAATGATCTGGCTTTCTTTAAGGTTCCTTTCAATAATAAAATATTCAAATATCTGTTATGTTGTTGATCAACTGTAGAATACTAACTGTATATCACTCTTAGGCTGTTCAACAGAACCTAGGAACTGGCAGAAACTAATCTAAAACTGACTTCTCCATTGTAATCTCAAGAGCCTCCCTCAGTGCACATACCATAAAAAAGCAATCTACCACCTATGACTCTTAATTTTTAATTTTTTTTTATACCGAGTCTCTCTCTGTCGCCCAGGCTGGAGTGCAATGGCGCAATCTCGGCTCACTGCAACCCCCACCTCCCGGGTTCCAGCAACTCTCCCTGCCTCCGCCTCCCGAGTAGCTGGGATTACAGGCACCCGCCACCACGTCTAGCTGATTTTCTTGTATTTTTAGTAGAGACGAGGTTTTGTTATATTGGCCAGGCTGGTTTCGAACTCCTGACCTCTGGTGATCCACCCGCCTCGGCCTCCCAAAGCACTGGGATTACAGGCATGAACCACCACGCCTGGCTTTAATTTTTAATTTCTATCACAGAACAAACGTTTGCCACTGGAGGCTGCCAAACTGTTTCTATGACTGTCTCTCTTAGCTATTTTCAGATACTGCCAAGGCATAATGTGTGAGGACTAATACGATTCTTTGTACTAATACTTTGTTTTCTTCAGTGGCAGTTCAGACAGGGTACAAAAGCTGATCTTTTAGCTGGGTAAGGTCTATATTAAAAATTTAAACCTGTACAGGATTTCTAATCACTTAACACATTTTAATACCAATGGGGGAAAAGCTTGAACTAGGTATAAAATGCTGTCTAAATCCTTGATTTAAAAAAAATTTACTTCGCTTGGCCTGTTTAAATACTGTACTTTGGCCCTGTTCTCTTGTCCCACGTGTGCTTAAGTAAACAAAAATGTATTAACCATTTCAGTTGATATAAGTAGGCAGACACCTTGTGTTCACATTTATGTAACCAGAAGCAAAAACTCTGTAAGCTATGTATTTACTTGGTTGGATTAAATGTGTATATATACACAGAAGTACAAACAACTAAGAAATAAATTACATAATTCAACACCAAAAATCTCCTATTTCTTATCCCTATTCCAATGAACAAACTACAAACCAAAGCACTTCTAAAATATCTTCCAGCTATCAAGCACTGAAATCAGAAGTATATATTTTTAAGTGTCAATAAATCTTATACACCTACAGATTAAATTAAGGAGAAAACCAGCTTACTTCCAGACTGCCAACCCTATGACTTTAAGGCTTGGAGGTACTCTCTCCAATAACAGGTCACTTTAGGTCTCTAATTTAATTATTTATTCTTATTGTAGTCACCACTTTTTTTTAAAGCTTAGTATTAATCAGTGCACAACCAGGATGCACAATGTTGCTCAACTGTATGATATACCAACAGGTTCCATGAGTCTGGGGTTTATTAACATAATCCAAAATGTATGCTACAACCACACTGTAAAAAAAGGGCGTCTAAATCAACTACCCTACACAAAGTTCCCTGAAAACAAAGTTCTCTCAAAACAAAGTTCTAAAAATCTTTAACTTGCATAACTGGCACATGGGGGTATAAATCTACAACTCTTCTAAGTTTTTTCTCCTTAGTTCTGCTAAGTGAAAACACAAGTCATTATCAACGTGTACTTGAAAAGAGAAAAAAAAAGAAAAAAGAAACCAGAGACACGCCTGCTGGGTATAGGAGCTCCACCCCCAAAACTCAAGGTGAATATCCTTACCAGTCTTTAATAAGCTCTGCATTCTGGTCTGTTCTCATCCCACATACCTTGTTAATCATGGAAAGCAACTCCGAACTAAAACTGGTTTAAAGAGAGTCCGAGGTGTTGCTTATACGTCTGGACTTCAGAGACTGGAGGGTTGGGACTTTACATGCCCCTAAACGTGGCCTTACGGAGTAATACAGCGAGGGAAAAAAGGAGATCAGTGGCAAAAAAAAAAAAAAAGGGGGCAAGGAAAAGAAAACGGTGAATTACAGAGCCCAAAACTTTAGTTTAGGTCCCAACTTCAGAAATCTCCCTTCCCTGGTGCCCCATCCATCCCAGGAATCAGGAGACTCAAAAAAGGTTAAGGGCCAGCGTTGACCTGTGACAACTAAAACGATTTTGAAAAATCCAGCCAAAGAAACAAAAAAAAAAGGCTGCGAGGAGAAATGGGATGGAAGAAAGATGAATGCTGAGAGCTGGTCTCTGGGGCGCCACCGGGGACCCTGGTTTCGGGGGAAGAACTGGAGGTGCCCGTAGCTGCGGGGGGACGGTGTGTGTGTAGGGGCGGGATGGGCCGTCCCAGGTGCGGCGGCCGAGGCGCGGGGGTCCCGGAGACGAGAAGGCTGGGCAAACTAACCCGGTGCCCAGAGGCCTCCCTGTCCGAAGGGGGTTGTGCTTCAGCTGCAGGGGGTCCTTCCCCTCCCCTTCCAACTCCTCACCCGGGCCGTAGAACTTGCTGCCTTTGGTCACGTCGAAGACTTTCCCATTGACCGCGAGCAGGATGCGCGGGTTGCGGGAGCCGTCGTACTGGCGCAGCTGCTCCAAGCTGAAGTCCCGCTTCTTCATGCGAGGCAGAGAGGTGGCGGGGCTCTCCTCGCCCGCCCCGGCCCCGGCCCCCAGACCCCGCCGCCCCCAGCGCACCCACAGCCGGTAGGCCCCCAGCAGCACCAGAGCCACCAGCGCCACGTTCAGCAGCATTTCCCCGCCCCCCGTCAGAAGCGCCAACGCCGCCGCCGCCCAGCCTCCCCCTTCCGCTGCCGCTCCCGCGTCGCCTGGACTCTCGCTGCCGCCGTCGTTGCTGCTCTCGCTGCCACTCCCCAGGGTGCCTAGCTTCACGTCCCCATCACCAGCCGCCATCACTGCCCGCCAGCGCCTTCCTCCTCCTCCCCGCCCCCTGCCCTCCCCAACCCCACGGCCGGCCCCGCCCATCTGGGGGCCTCTCAGCCAATAACGTGAGAAGAGGGGGCGGGGTCAGGCCGGCTCCTGATTGGGTGTTGACGGGGTAACGTTGTCTCGGATCTCCCGCCCCCTCCCTTCTTTCGCTGGCCGCGCACGCGTGCAACGCCCCGCCCACCTCGCCCCACACTTCCCTGCTCTCACTCCAAGCCTCCGCTAGGTTAAGTAGACGAGCCGGGCGGGTCTGAAGAAAAGATGCTACGACGGCCGCGCGGACGCTCATGGGCGGGGCGAGACCACAGCGCGTGCGCGGGCTCCTGAGCGCCACGCGCTCGCCTTTCGTTCGTAACCCCTGCGGGAGGCACGCCCCGCCCAGTCTCCAGGCTCTGCGCGTGCGCCCTGGAATCGCTTCCCTTCCTAGGCCTGCGTTCGCGTCCGCAAACTCCCGCCTCCTTGCGCTCCCCCCGCCCGGGAGCTTCACGTGCGCCTTGGCGGCCGCGGGGGCAGGTCCGGGCTGGACGCCTGGCGGAGGACGCGGGCAGGTGGCTTGTGGGAGGCTGGGGCATAGTTGAGCTGCAAGGCGCAAACCGATGAGGGGCGTCTGCTTTTCACCAGGGCGCCGTCGCTTTTGTCGGGAAACCGGCAGCGTAGGCGCGCAGACCGGGAAGCGGCAAGAAGATTTGGCCACGAGCTGGGGTCTTCCTGGAACGGAGAGAAAGCACGGAACCCGCACCGGGCTTCTCTGGCATCGGCAGTCTACGTGCTCCTCGCGCTGGCACCGAGCAGCCACTCCCCGCTGGGTTTGGCAAAGGCTGCTCTTGTAGAATTTTAAAGGATTTAGAGTCTCATTATTCCTTGAATCATAACTTCTGCGGCCGTAGGGAAGTGGACAGGTTGAGGTGGTCTTTCTATTCGTCATTCACTCTTATTTGCAGGTTCTGTTTCATGTACTTGGACGTCTTTTAGCCTCTCACACCTTGAAATTCTAGTGTGAAAAAGTGACCTCTGAAGTCTCACGCACTCAACTCGTTTGACGAACTCGTTTGACGTGTTCTCTCTTGCCCTTTGTTGTCTGTTGTCTTGAGTCTCATAGAATAGGTTTGAACCTTTCACTGTCGGTTTTGTAGGAGTCACTGAGGATATTGACGAGGCAAGTGACAGGGTCGACACTCTTGTAGAGAGGCTGTATAGCAACCAGGTGTCTGAAGGATTAGAGGCTGGGGAAAGAGTGGGAAAGCAGTTAGTAGGCTAGGGTATTTGTGCGTGAGGTGAGGAGACTCAGAGCTAGGGGAGACATTAGAGCAGGGGTTGGCAAACATTTTTTGTAAAGGGCCCGATCATATTTTAAGTCTCTGCCTTAACTACTCAGCTCTACCTTGTAACGAGAAAGCAGCCATAGACAATACTTGAATGAGTGTAGCTGTCTTCAGTAAAACTATGGACATTGAATTTTTAATATAATTTCAGGTATGAAATATTCTTTTGATTTTTAAGAAAATCATTGAAATATGTAAATTTTTTTTTTTTTAGTTCTGGAGAGGTGCAAAAACAACTTATAAGCCATATTGCTGAGCCCTGCATTAGAGGTACCTGAGGGAGAGCGACACAATTGGTAGTAAATGACCATATACTCTATCCTTCAATATGGAACACTTTTGGAAGTAAAGTAGGGCATTAATAATTATAGCCAGAGACCAGGAGTTATATCAGTTTTATCCCAGGCAAACCTAAAGGAATAGTCACCTTAAGGTTAAGGGTTAGGAGAAGTCAAAATTGCTTTAGGACTTGGTAACAGAAAATGGGAGGTGCCAGTGATGGAAATAGGAAGATAAAGAAGAAACTGGTTTTGAGGAGAAGATAGCTGTAGCAGTCCCAAGAGCTGTATACAGTTGAGACAACATTGATAGGAAGGAAGAAAGCACCCCAGAAGCAGGCCACTCCTTATATCTTATTGACCAGAACTGGGCTATTAGCTGTCCCTAAAGCAGTAACAGACAAGGAGCATGGGACATCCATGATTGCCTAGTGTTTATCTGGCTTTTTTAATTCTTATTCAGGACTGTGTTGAGCATTGCTGGACATTTACCATCTCTGGTTCCTTCCAGCTAAATGTCAGTACCACACCTCAGGCATTGTGACACCGTAAATCAACCGTTTTTCCCTCCCACCCCCCAGAGGTGTGGTACTGGTTGAGAACCAGTAGCTTAGACCCTCAGGATTTACCTTGGGGCTGAATTAGTGTGTGTAGGTTTCTTTTCCAGTTGGTTTGGAGGGAAGAGAGGAATTGGACAGTATTAAAGTTCTGCTGTCAAGGAAGTGGGCTGGGGAATGTTGGGTAGCTAACCAACATTGGCTGCCACGTGAAGTAAAAAAGTTTTCCTTTATATCCTTGATAAAATAGTGTCTCGACTTCTTCACACTTGAAGCCTTCCCAAAACCCCAGCTTTTTTGATTCTCATTGTAAGCCCCTTGAACTGGACTAGTTGGAAGTTCTTATTTTCCACCCTAAGTAACAAGCTCTTGTCCCAATAGGATACTCTTGCTTTGAGTACTGCAATAACTTTCCAATTGGTGACTTGCCGTCAGTCTTTTCCTATTTCATTCCTACACGAAGAGACTAGAACTGTGTTCTGATTTCCTTTGCTCAGACACCAATCTCCAGGGGTGCTCTGTAATTTGAAGAGGACAACTCAGAAAGCACTCAAGGGCCTCCATAAGTCCCTGAGTGGCTTCCCTGCCTTCCCGTTCCCCAGCAAACAATCCCTTGGATACCCTCTATTAAATGATACGTTTCCCCTTACAATACCTAGTCCCTTGCCCCATATATGCTATGTGTATTGCACAGTCTAGGACTTGACTCATGCTGTTTCCTCACGGAGCATGCCCTTCTTATTTCTAACCATACAAATTCCATGACCTATCCATTCTTTCAATTCTACTTCCACCTGAGGCCTCTATCAGCCCACATTAACCTACCTTCTTTGAATTTCTGTGTGTTCCTTACCTGTACCACCCATTTTGGCCTTTTATTTTATGCTCTTCTTGACTATTCTGTTATTGAAACTGTCCTTTAGATCCCAAGATTTCTACTTTTTCCCTGCGGATGCTTTTTTATTTTTTTTATTTTTGACTTCTTTCTACCCTCCTTTTCCTCTTACATCCCTGCTTTGCCTAGAGGACATCTACAAGAATCGTCATGTACATTCTTTTCTCCTGTTGTTAGCTTTTTTCCCCTGACACTTCATCTATTTACTGATTTACTTGTAAATCTCTGGAAGATATTAGTACTAGCCACCAAATATTTCTATTTCTTTTTCCACACACGTAGATTTGGATTTCCCTACTCCTTTTACCTCAAGAATGGCCAATGAAATGTGATTGGAAGTGACTTGTGTCATTTCCAAATAAAAGCTTTAAGAGCCTGTGGACATTTATCCTGCGCTGTTTCTTCCTGCCAACAGTGATGAAATATTTTAATTATCTATTGTCCCATGACAAAGCACCTTAAATCTTAATGGTTTAAAACAGTCACCATTTTATTATGTGTAACAGTTTTGTGGGTTGACTAGGCTCATGGGCAGTTGTCTAATCTTGCTCAGGGTCTCTCATGTGGTTCCAGCCTGGTATTGTTTGGGGCTGGAGTTTTTGGAGGCTCAACTAGGTTGCTAGAGTAGCTGAGCTTTTCTATTTACCCATGCCGTTCCAAAGACTCTCTGATTCACATGGCTTCTTCAGCAGAGTAGCCTGACTTCTTTCTTGCATGGTGGCTTAGGATTCTCAAATGCAATAAAAGCAAAAACTTCGAGGTTTTGTAAGTCTTAGGTCTGGAAATGACATGTTGTATTGGTAAAAGCAGTTACAGGGCCAGCTCAATTTTAAGGGGAGAGGAAATAAACACTTGATAGGGGTGGAGGGAGAGTGACAAAGAATTTGTGGCCATCTTTATTACAAAAATTTTTGTCAACCACAGAGTTACAGGAAAATGTGGCCATCTTTAATCACTACTCCAACGATGTTTCAAATTGAGTGGGCTTCCATCAGCCAGGGTCTCGGAGACAGGACAAAGTGGAAAACAGCTCCCAAATAACATACCTAGGTATATGAATAAGAAATACATCTCTGCTGTCCTGAGTCACTTAGCTATTTGGAGTTGTTTGGTATCAACTTTTGCATACTAATATAAAAATTGGTACTGGAAATAGGGTGGTGCTATAACAAAAATCTAAAATATGAGTCACTGACATATATAATAATTGAGTTAGAAATACTAGTGGTTGGTTGTTAGGCAGCATCCAGCTTTGACTCACTTATGCATTTCCCAGTGAACCTAGCTCAGAAGTTTGCACCATGATATTCAATAAATAATTCTTAAATAAGAGAGATTGTTTCTTGTAATTTTTCCCTATTTTAGGGAAAAACTTTTTTTTTTTTTCCATATCACATTTTTCTTGAAACATTGGAGTGCCACGAACATATCATTTGATGCTCTGTTTGAGTGCCACCAGTGAGTTTCCCGATGTTTAAGTTTGGCTCGTGGGCAGCCCACCTTCTTCCTCTCCACTTTCTCTTGGGAGCCATCCTGCTCATGGAAAGTGTGCTTTCTCCTCTGCTACCTCACACAAGTTTCAAAGGAGCTTGCTCCTGCCAGGGGAGGCTTGGGGTAAGCCAAACAGCATCAGCTCCCCGGGGGAAGGGAAATTTCAGGTTTGGAGCTAAGTTCACTTCCAGGGAGTGACAAAGCCTGTTTGAACTTTAATTCACAGAGTAAAAGAGTTCAATGTTGGCCATTAATGATTTGGACTTTAACATGAAGTTGGTACTGATTACTTTGGGCCATAATTTAGAAGGACAGAGTGATTTAATCTCTGAACTTTTAATTTCTCTCTGGAAAATTAATACTGGGAGAGGGTTAAAATCAAATTGAGAACATCTTGTTGGTTCTTAGTTATTAAAGTATTTGATCACATTTTAGAAATTCTGATAACTTTGGGCAAGCTGACAGGACATAGTTTGAGATGGCGATAGAACATATTGTGAATTACAGCCTTGGATACAGAATAGCATTGGAACTGATTTAATCGATAAATTGTTCTGACCCATTCAGGGCATTTTGGGGACAGACTCTACAGTTTACTAGTGGCCCCAGGACATCCTGCAAAAGAGGTGAAATCAGTATTGGAGAAGTGGTCTCATGAAGATGGGAGCACGACTACTACAATTGACTGCTGACTTCTCACCCAAGGAAGTAACTGTATCCCAGCCTAATCTCAGTGGATAAGCCCACAGGGTTAAGGTAATGGTCTTCATACTTTTGCTGACACACCCCTAAAATAGTTTTTAAGTTGACATGTAAAATATTTTGACCTTAGTGGCAAAACATGTAATTTTTTGCGTAATATAAATGTGAATATTTTAAAATAAAAAGGGTTATGTTACCTAAAATGCAATCTAAATGAAATCTAAATCCATAGAAAAGGAATACTCACCATCATTTATTTTCACAGAAATTTTACATTATGCCTTTTCCTATTTGAATTTGTATTTTCATTCTACTTCCCTAACATAATTTTATTTTAATGTATTTTGTGCCCAAATATATTTTATTGCTTACTCTATTATTCTTTTCCACAATAATAAGTTGTTTATAGGCTGGGCATGGTGGCTCATGCCTGTAATCCCAGCACTTTGGGAGGCTGAGGTGGGTGGATCATCTGAGCTCAGGAGTTCCAGATCAGCCTGGCCAACATGGTGAAACCCCTGTCTCTACTAAAATTAGCTGGGTGTGGTGGTGGACACCTGTAATCCCAGCTACTTGGGAGGCTGAGGCAGGAGAATCACTTGAACCTGGGAGGTGGAGGTTGCAGTGAGCTGAGATCATGTCATTGCACTCCAGCGTGGATGACAAGAGTGAGACTCTTATCTCAAAAAAAATAGTTTGTAATTTAAAAAAATTCCTATGACTATAAGGTTCTAAATGTCAGAAATTTCTTTTGAATGGAGTTATCATTACAATTATTGTTAGTACATAATAATCATAACTACATTATAAATTTTTACAAATAATTACTAAAGAGAACTAAAATTTTATTGGAAATATATCTCTCAACGAAGTGAATGGAGCTCCCTTCTCAATTACTTCATGTATTTATAGGTAAATGTAACTTTTTGCTAGGCAACAAAATGGGAAAATATGTTGGGTGATAATTAGGTATAGGGCTTACACAAGCAAATAAATGATTGTTGTTAAATGTGTTGTTTAAAATAGAAAACAATATATCTAAATCTAAGTCTATTACATGAATGGTAGGAATGAATAATGAGGTGAGAAATGTTTAACAAATAACACTGAGCAGACATATTTTGGTAAAAAAATGAATATAGATTTACTGTATTCAATAATCTTTTGGCAAAAATTAATTAGAATATTTTCTTCTAAGATCTGAATATCTATTAAAGAAAATGAGAAACATTAACTTTCTAGTTATATATGTTCCTTTTTCATGTAACATTGATATATTGAAAGGAAATTTGGAATTTTTTACATTCTTTTCCTTGAAATCATTTGGAATTTGCATCTGAGACACAGGAGAATGAGATTTTACATCAAATGCTCTCATTCCGGAGTAAGTGTGCCTTGTAGCTAATTGGTATTTCCCAGAATGATTTTCACAAATCTTGCATATCCAAATTCTGAGATGTATATGTGGAGCATGGAACCTGACTGTGAGTTTGTTATCTGGATGAAGTAGGGTACAACCTCCTTTAGTATTTTTGTTTGCTCTCTCACCCGCGTTCTTTGACATCATCAGGAAATGGAAGAGGAAATGGCATTGGACAAAAATTAGCACAGCACCCGCCCTTGTCCCAGTGTATGTATACTCAGAACACCTCAACATAGACCAAAATACCCAATTTCTAGCACCAGGCTCTTCTCTTAACTGAAATATATATAAGGAAAGCCAGGAAATCCTCATGTAGGTTTCTTATACCCTGATTAAATCAAATTTTGATTTCAAGACAGTATTTGGAATTGTTCCTTTGTATGATGCCTTAGAGGTTTTTTTGCACACCAGAGCAATTTGCTATAGAAGGATCTGGGATGGATAAGAAGATGCCTGTCTTTTATAAGCGGGAAAAGAATGATTTTTTTTTTTTTTTTTTACTTGTCACTGACTTGAAGCTTAAAGAATGATTTTTAAAAGGAGTTGTAAAAATAGAATTGATGTGACATCTCAACCTCAGTCATATTTCAGGCAGCTCAATTTTGGGAAAGAATAGGTGAAAGTTGAATAAATGGAATAGATTTCCTTAAAATTTCCTATGTCTGTATTCTCCTTAGAAAGTACCCATGGAATCACAGGGTAGACTTATGCCAGAGTGAAGACTACTAAATTAAGAGAATAAAATTGAGTGGGGAATGTGATGTAGTTACAGGGGGTGCTGTTAACACTCCTGGCCTCTTGGGTCACCCCTTCCTCTTCTCCATGAAGTAAGATACCTGATGGTGAGAAACTGTGAGAAACCTTGGCCTCTTTGGCCAGTCTTACTCTTGGGGCCAGGCTTCTCTCAGGAATCATGCCTTCTGGCCTATTTCTTTGGGCTGCAGATTTTACAGGGATAGGCCTGTGGAGTGAGGGGAGGGGAGGATTGCAGTTGCCCTGCACTACCGGTTAGCACCTCAGTGTAAGCCTGCCTCATCCTACAGTTTGGTGTTGGGAGGCCCATTGTTGCCATGCAATCTCCAGCATCAGCTTTATCAGTAGCCGTGGTAGTTTTTGGCTGTCTACTCTTTTGTGTTAGACTGAATTATTTACAGATCTGTGAAACATATACAAAATATTGACAAGCTGTACTTCGTTTTGATACTGAGTGAAAGTTCTCCAGTAGAACAACTGACTTTTAGCAGCATGCAGGTGCAGAAATTTCTGATGAGAAGAACCAAAAGATCATAACTTTGATTCTTTATTTTCTCTCCTCTCCAGTATCCAATGCAGTCTCTCAGGTGGTTTATACCTTGGTGGGAAAGAGGAGTGTGGTTTACTCCCAAGCCCTAAATACTCTCAGTTCTTAACAGTACTGTGCATATTAATACAATAAGTACTGTGAATTTTCCTAAGGTCACTTTGGCTATGAGGATATGTTCAATCCTGCTTTTTCCCTTTAATAATATTTTATATACATTTCATAGATTTGTACATAGTAATTATATTTTCAAAATGTTGTTTTGTAAGAGTCTGTTACTGGGACATATATATAAAGCATCAAAAGAGTTAGGTTCAGGAGAAAGAAAATTGCTCTACAGCCTTAAACAGTTAGTTCTTTGAGATTCACTATTGCCGGAGTTTCACAGAAGATGAATGAATACATTAAGGTTTGACTCTAAGGAAGTCAGCTTGCCATTCTGTTTCTTCCTGTGCTGTAAGCAGCCTGGCTTGCTAAGCCTTGGTTTTAACATTCATAAAACTATGATATGAAACACGGCCATCATATGAGAAAATAAGACTAAAAAGCAAAATAAAGACGTGATTACTGTAATAGAAGCTATGTGCCTATAGATCTCTAATATAGAAATGGTGCTTTTTAAAGGGGGTACAAATCGATGTTGTTTTATAAGTACTTGGGTCTTTAGAAAATGCAATCTGCTTTTCAGATTGCAAAAAACAAACAAACAAAAAAACCCCTCAGAAGCTAAGAGCCTTAGTTTAATGCAAAATAAACTGTTTTTGACTCCTCTATAATAAATTGGCACACATAATTCGAGTATTGTCATGCAGAAGCAGAAATTTTGACTAGCTTTACATTGTTATGGTTGCTGAATGAAAGATCTGCAGTAGAACAACTGACTTTTAGCAGCATGCAGGTGTAGAAATTTCTGATGAGAGAACCAAGAGATCAAAACTTTGATTCTTCTTTTTCTCTTCTTTCCAGTATCCAACTGTCAAGTTCCACTGGCCTTCCAATATATTGTCCCAAATCTGACTGACCACCTTCCATGTTTATAGCTACTATCCTAGTGCACGCCATCAGCAGCTATCATCTGAACCATGACAACAGCTTCTTGACTGGCGTCTTGGTTTCCACTCTTGCCTTCCCAGAGTTCATTCTCTGTTATTAGCCATTTAACAATATAAATCAGACCTACCACTTCCCTTCCTATACTTCACTAATGTCTTTGCCTTGCAATTAGAATAAAATCCAAACTCTTTATCATGGCCTATATGACCTATTCTATACCTTCCCTTTGATTGCTCTCAAATCGCCTTCCTTGCTCATTATGATCCAGTCATATTGATTTTCTGTCTTTGCTTGAATACTCCAACCTCATTCCTAACTTAGAGATTTTGCATTTGATCTTCCTCTGGGTCTGGAATTCTCTACCCCATTTCTCATGGCTGACTTGTTCTCATCACTGAAGTCTCAGCTCAAATATTCTCTCCTCTGAGAAGCCTTATCCTGACCACCTGTCTAAAGAGCTCTCACATCCTCTCCCCCAACTTTAATCATTCTCTATCCTGCTTAATTTTCTTCATAGCATTTAGCACTACCTGAAATTATCTTATTTTTTACATGTTTATTATCTGTCTGTCTGTTAGCCCCTAGTAGAATGTGGAATGTGATTTCACGGTGGTAGAGCTTTTACTGTCTTGTTTCCTGCTCTATCCTCAAAGCTTAGAACAAAGGTTGGCATTTGGTGGGGATTACTAAATATTTGCTGAATAAATGAATAAATCAAGGCCCTGATGTACCCAGAAAAGGCCTTTCAAGGGGCTTTGATCATACTAATTTTTCATGGTTCAGAGTTGTGGCCTTTCATTTTGAATGCTAAGAAATCTGCTTTTGCCAGCACATGGAAATTTTTTTTCTCCAGGAAAGAACTTTCATGAACTGAGTTGCAAGAGTGACATATAAAATCCCTAAGCCAATTTATTAGTTTCTGGTGAGCAGTATAACTGTCACATGGACTCAGAGTTGCACCAACATGATGTGTTGAAAAATCTCTGCCTATGGGCTGACATATAAAGGATAGTGAATTGAATCAGAAAGCTTTTTGAAAAACATTGAATACTAGAAAGGGAAATTAGTTAGATGGCTCATATATTTAAAAGCATTCATTTATTTCACAAATATTTCAAGATCTCTATCTTTTGTGTGGTGTGCTAGGTATTGAGGAGTCAACAGGGAATCATATCAAGTACCAGTCCTTAAAGATTTGCAGTCTAGTTGGGGAGGCTAACAATAAGCTGACAATTATAAATCAATGTCAAAATATTTTTTTAGGATAATCTTAGGGTAATATGGGAGGATTTAGATGGGAAACTGAGCCTTAGGGAATTGAGGTGAACTCTGAGGAGTTAGTGCAGCATGAGGAGAAAGAGCACTGTGTGCAGAAGCTGTGACCTGAACCAAGGTGTGGACCCGGAGAGGGCAGAGTTTTCTAAGAAACACAGGTAGCTGAGTGCGGCGGTAGTGAAGAGCTGTAGGGTGAGGTGAGAAGGCTGCAGATAAGGCTCATGGACTTAGGCTTGGACTTTATCCCTACATAGAGTAAAGAGGAGCCACTGAAAGTTTTGTTTCAGTGGGGAGGTAGAATCTATTTTTTAGGTTGCCGGAGCACAGCTGATATTTTGCATTCCTTTCTTCCTAAGAACTTTCCATGAATATCTGGCTAAAGTCTACACTCCCTCCCTTGAACACATGACCCTTCCTTTATATGTACTCTCCAGCCTTATATCCTACTGCTTTGCAGCACATGATCTGTGCTCCAGACACACCAAACTTCCTGGTTTCCAGATTCACTCCCGTCTTTAATTATGCCTTTGTATCCCCTGCACTTGTGAAGCATGCTCGTCTACCCCACTTCCAAAAAATGTTACTGAATCATTTTTCCAAATGACGGAAGTAAGACATGTTCTTTGTAACAAGCCAAAGGACAGAGAGATGTGGAAAGAAAAAATTAAAACTTTCTCCTTTCCTCTCACCACCACCACCACCACCACCACCATACCCATACACACAGAGTCCACTGTATAAAACAGTTTTTTTTTAACTTAAATAGATTCATGCTATTCATTTTGTGCAGTCTCTCCGTCTCCCAACAGAATCTCATGGACATCACTCTAGCACCTGCTGGGTGCCAGGCCCTGTGCCTCACCTCATTTACCCTACAACTACCATGGCACTATTGTCCCCAGTGGGTAGACAAGGAACTGACATGTGATTAATTTGCCCAAAGTTGCACAGCTAGTGATTGTGGGAGCAGCAGCTGGAACTTGGGCAATCTGGCTTTTGAGTCCAAAGTGCTACCACTGCCTTTTACTGTCTCCCAAATTAATGCTATTTTTGTTCTTTTTAATAACTTTACAATATTCGTATGGATGTCTGGAATATATTCAATTATTTCTCTTGTTGATGAATGTTGAGGTTATTTTTTGCCACTGCACTTCTCCAAGGAGGGACTTGAGATCAAAGAACATACTATTTTTATTAAGCATGGCCAAATTATATTCCAAGGATTATATAGCCCAAGCAACATAGAGGCATATCTGTTTCCTTATATTCCTGCCAGTCCTGGGTGATGCTGATATTTTTAGTTTTTTAGTTTGTTCGTTTGTTTTTTTACCCCTGGCTGTGTGATCAGTAAAAACAATACATCTTTATTTTGATTTGCATGTTTTCTGACTACAGGTGAGATTGTGAATTTTTCTGCATGTTTTTGGGATGTTTGCATTTCCTGTTTCATGATTTGTCCATGAATTTCCTCTCCTGTCTATTTTTTCTGTTGGGTTGTTTGTCCTTGATCATTTTTGGTGGAGGGTATGGTATATGTGTATGTGGAGGGATGTTTATAATATAATAAATAATTTTAACCCTTTTTCTCACATAGGTTCAAATACTTTCTCCTTGTCTATATTCATTCACCTTTTGAATTTGCTATGGGATCTTTTACCTTATAGAAGTGTTTACTTTTTATGTGGTCAAATCTGTTAGTCTTTTCCTTTTGGCTTTCCTGGAATTCACAGGTTTTAGGCATTTCTGTTCATTAAGGATTGGGACACTTGGCCAAGGCTCTCCCTGGAGGTGCTTGATGGGCTTTGAAAACTTTTGTCTCAGACTCTTTTACCTTTGTTTCTACTTCCCAGTCTCCTTCTGAGAGATCTGTTCTTTCTTGGAATTTGTTATTACATTCAACTAGACTAAAGCAAAGTATGTCTGGGCTGGGAATCATTTGTCATTGTAAAAGTGTGTTTGCATGTCTTTTCTCTGATTCACTATGTTTTAATTTTCTGTTTCTCTCTCCTTGTTTTAAGGAGTAATCATCATGCTCCATTTCGTTTTTGAGCCATCTTCAGCCTTTGAGTCCTTAAGCTTTTTGGAGACAGTTTGTGGAGAAGGTATGCCCTTGATACAAGGCCTATGGATAGTGATGACGATTGGTTTTGAGGCTGTGGATTTGAGAATGAGTTAGTCTCTGTCTTTGATTATAACTGTATAATCCTGGGAAGTTGTAATAGGTCTCCAGGCCCTTTTCCATAAAATAATAATACTGCTCTGAAGCTACTTTTTGACAGTGCAGGAGAGGACTCTAACCGTTAATTTAAATGTTTCGTCCTTGTTGGTCGCATTTCAAGAATATTTTAATTTCAAGACTTGTGCTTACGCCTTCACAAATTACCTTGGTGTACCCCTCTTTTCATTCACTGTTAGCCCATGAAAGAAGGATAAAATTTGTTTGCCTTAATGACTGGTGTCTTTTATAGAGTCTCTAGAATGAACTGCCTATTTCACTGTTGAGAAGAGAAACATTTAAACTCTTCGTGGAAGTTAAATTTGGGGTCATTTTACACAAACCATGGCTTTGGTCCAAGGAACTGAGATAGATCATGTGAGTTGGGAGTGGACAAGGGAAAGAGTCTGGCCTGCATTGTGGTAGATTTTTAAAAATTTAAATCTTTATGTTTAATTGAGAAATAATAATTGTATATATTTATGGGGCACAATGTGATGTTTCGATATATGTATGCATTATGGAATGATTATACCAGGTGAGTTAACATATCCATAACCTCACATACTTACCATTATTTTCTATTGAGAACATTTAAAATATATTCTTTTGACAAATTTGATATATAAAATACAGTGCTATAACTATGATTAATAATACATAATAATAATGCTACTGTATGATAAATTTCAAAAAATTATTCCTCCGTCTAACCAGTCTAACTTTGTATATCCTTTGACCAACATCTCCTCAGCCACTCCCTAGACTCCCAGCCTCTGGTAACCACCATTCTCTACTTTTATAAGTTCAACTTTTTTATATTCCACATGCAAGTAAGATTATTCAGTATTTGTCTTTCTATGCCTGGCTTATTTCACCTAGCATATTTTCTTTTGGATATGTCCACTTTCTTTTGTCCATTGGTGGACACTTAGGTTGATTTCATAACTTGGCTATTGTGAACACTGCAGCAATGAACACGGGAGTGCAGATATCTCTTTGACATACTGATTTCAATTCTTGTGGATATATGCCTAGAAGTGGGATTGCTGGATCATATGGTAATTTTATATTTAGTTTTTTGAGGAACCTCCATATTGTTTTCCGTAGTGACTTTACTTAGTGGATTTTGAAATGCACACAGAATTTGTTCCAGGTTTATTAATGGGCTCATAGAAAATAAAGCAAGAAGAGACATAAAGTTATTACCCAGGTGTCCCCCATGCCCTCAGGCTGGTGAATAACAAAACCAATCAGTGAAGGCAGTTTGTTGAATTGCTCAGTTGATAATACTCTTGGATGGTAGCTAATTTTAGGGGATTTGGGGATAAGTACTAGGATTGAGAAGCTAATTGGACAAGTGGATCTCAGGAGAACTCATGGCTGACCCATTGATCTGGTTCATTCTTTGCCTCCCATCTCCATGAGATTTGAGGCAGCATGGCCCCCCTGCTCTTAGCTGTGGATCTGTTAGGTAAGAGGAGATGACTACACCAACTCCTTGCTTAAAAGTCTTTCTGTCCCTTATCCTCAGGCCTTGAAAGTTTTAGGTTGTATGCAGAAATTAAAATCAATTAATATATTTAAATGCTATGTGCAAGACATTGTATGGGATGGTGTGTGTGTGTGTGTGTGTGTGTGTGTGTGTGTGTGTGTGGAAGAGAGAGGAGAGAGGGAGAAAGAGAAGAGAGTGCTGTATTAGGTAAGGCAGAGTTCTTGCCTCCAAGGAGCAGAGGTTGCTAACTCAATTGCCTAGGAGGCCGGGTAGATTCAGTCAGTCACATGGCTTTGCATGTGTAAGAAAAACAACAGAGTTAGCCAGATAAATGACATCAGATTCTTACTTGTGTCACTGACAATAGGAGGTGGTGGGTGCTATGGCAAATGGGAGTTGCACACCCTATGTAAAGAGAGCAGCCCATACAAAGATCTAGCATAGTGGTGTTCAAAGTATGGGTCCCTGGACCTGCAGCATCAGAATCACCTGGAAACCTGTTAGAAATGGAAGATTTTCAGCCCCGTCTCAGCCCACTGATTCAGAAACTCTAAACATGGGAGCCTTGCAGTCTCTGCTTTAATACACTTTGGCGATTTGAGAACCACTGTTGTACCATGGTGTTGCCTTGTGGGAATTTAGATCCAGTGTTGCTAGATCTTTTGATTTTTTTCAAGGGAAGCTATAAAGCTAAATCCTTATGGAATCTACTGATTTTTAAATATTAGAAGTTGTACAGGATATATGTAATTTTGGGGAGCATGAGAAGTGGGAAGAGGTACCCTGTACAGGCCAAACTGCAGGCTAAAGAAACCACATCTGTGAGCCTCGTGGCCTCCAGGCCTCCAGTATGAACTTAGAATAATTAAATGTCTGCTTCATTGTTGGACTAGAGCAATGATTTTCAGAGAGAGAGAGAGGAGAGAGAGAGAGAGAGAGAGAGAGAGAGAGAGAGAGAGAGAGAGTGAGAGTGAGTAGACTTGAAAGGCAAAAGGGGGCTTGTAAAGGCTGCACAGAATCTGATCCTTCCAGAGCATCCCTCAGGTATGTTAATAAGGAAGGAAAGAAGCCCCTGCTATGGCTCTTGAGCACTGTGGATTATAAACTGTGTTCACATCTGTTCTTTCATCAGGTCCTCACAACATTGTGCAACAAGTGTGAAAGATGTAGTCTCCATTTACGGCTACTGAAATAGGCTGAGAGAGGGTAAGTGATTTGCCTAAGGTCACATAGCTTGTGAGGCTTAAATCTGAGACTAGATACCTAATTCTATGCTTTCTAAACTAGAGTTTCTCTCTCATACATAGTTATGTATATTTATGTGTGTTTGTGTATCCAAACACCACTAATTCCTGAAAAGATCTGGTGTGGCTCACTGGTGACTGGTTTTTGTCCTGTTCCTTATGACTGAGCCTCAGCTGGTCCCCTCCCTGGGGTGGTGTGCTGCCTCAGGCCCCAGATTTTCTTCCTTTTTTCTTCTGTGAACTCCTTAGTACCAGTTGTCCCTCTTGGAACCTTTCTCCCACACCAGTTCTGCTCCTGGACTCTGACTACTCGGGGTCCCAGATTTCCCTGTTCTGGCCTGTCTTGCCACCGACCGAACCTCACTGGGACACTGGTTCTAGATTTGTCCCCTGTATGGGTGATATGTGACCCAGGCATCTGCCATCTGCAACTAGACTGAGTGTCCTGACTCATTTTCCATAGGCTGCTGAGCTGCCACCAGAGTAATGGCTTTCTGACATGTGGCAAGTTTGGATAATAAATGATGTATATTATTATATTAGGAGAGCTAGAGTATAGGATTCTTTCAAGTATTTTACCTCATCTAGCTTAAAATGCAACAGGCATGTATCCAGATAGCACTACCAGAAAAATTTTAGTAGTTTGAAATTTCTGGGGCCTGTTAAATATGATATTGATGAATTCTGCATTGTGCTGGGTATGGGGTGGGCATTGTGACAGTTTTAGATACAGTCTTTTGAAGGGGCTATTTCTTCCATGTTCGGAAACCAAGTGCTGGGGAGGGATGATGGGGGAGAGCTGGTGGTTGCTGAGTGTCCAGGTGTTTACAACAGGACCCTGCGTGTGCAGTGAATCAGAAACTGTTCAGTCTTCTCTTTCCTCGCCCTCACCCCAAACCATCCATGTAACTGTCTGTGTGTTGAGGGGGGTGGTGTTGGGGGTGGGAGAGAGATCTAGTGACTATGAAAGCACTAGGGTGCAGAAATGTCTTGGTACAGCGCTGCTGTGGATATTGATAGGAGGAAATAGAGAAGGTACCTTTTGCAAGGACCTCACGTAGCCCAGGGTTGGCTTCTATTAGTTAGTTTTTTTTTTTTTTTTTTTATCAGAGAATAACAGATCACTAGTGGGAAGGGTGTGTTTCAGCCTTATCTTGGATGCTTCCTTACTTTATTTGACTTAATTCAGAAACTATGCAATAGTTTTGTGTGACTTTTGCCATTTCCTTTTCACGTAATGAGTTTTATTTAAAGTCCTCATAACCGTTTTTTTGTTTTGTTTTGTTTTCTATGGTAAGAGTAATCAAATGAGAATTGTAAACAGTTTTGGGGCCATTTTTACTCGACAAAACTGTTCTCCTGAGCCAGACCTCTTTCTTTCTCTGAAACACTTAGGGGCAGGAGAACCAGACTTTTATAGGAGAAATATGAATTCTTGTACATTGTCACAAACTGGTTAATAAATAATTTAAAAGCAGAAAGGGTCCTATTGAAATATTGGACTCCAACTTTGTCCAGTAGACATACTGAGTACCAAGGATTTCTCAGCTTATTTGAACAAATGTAGGAAGATATTTAAAATTTCCCTCAGTGACCACATAGAATGTCATTTCTCTATCTGCTTCAACACAGAGCTGTTGGGTAGAAAGTGAAGGCTGAAGGTCACCTGGAATAATAACAGTAACAGCTTATTTATATTGTTTTGTACCAAAGCTGTTCATATATGTTTGTGTGTTGTGTGTGTACAGGTATATCCATATATATGTATACACACATACACACTACACATGTATATATATATATGGATATACCTGTACACACACAACACACACACACACAAATACACCTTTAATCCTCACAATAATGTATGGGTCAGGTACAATTATTATCACTATTTTACACATGTGGAAACTGAGGCACAATGATGTTAAGCCACTCTTCTAAGCTCACACAGCTAGAAACTGATCATTTGCATCCAGGCAATCTATACCATATCAGTTCCCTTGACATATTCTTGCAGGACTCACTGAGGATCAAAGTTCTCCAATCCTGGAACCTGTGCTAAAGCTACCCCACAGGCTGGTTCTGTTGTGTGAGACATTGATGCTATCACTCACCAATCTGCCTAGACCACAGTAGCTGACATTTACTGAGCACTTACTATGTGCCAGGTAATGTGGAAAGTACTTTGTATACATCATCTTACCAAATCCTCCCAGCAGACTTATGAAGTAGGGGCTGTTTTACATATGAGGAAACTGAGACCTGAAGAAGTTAAGTAACCTGCTCAAGATAAATGCTAGTAGGTATAGGCTCAAGATTTACCACTATGCTCTTCTGCTCTCTTGCTCAGGAGCTGGGCTCCTAACTTTGTGCTCCCAGTAAGGACTCTGCTAGTGCACATTTTCTCTGTGTCATGACTTTTGCTACCAGCCTCCTGAAGTCAAGGGTTAAGGGTGCTTTCGAGAGGAGAAAGCCTGGCTTAACAGGGAATCTGGAAGAGAGGTGACAGGAACTCTTCCCTTCAATGGGATCTGAGCAGTGCGTTATAGTGAGTTCCTGTGGGGGAAGGGCATTGATTGCTAAAATGGGAGCTCTTAAATATTCATTATGGTTGGTTACATTTTGGCCTTCACTCTTAACAATTACTATTTGATTCCACTTTATTTAATATATGACCTTTATTTTTCTTTTATTTATTCATTTGGCCACTGTTGATACCTTGAATATTTTAGCTGCCTACTATAGTCAAAGAGCTCTAGCAGAATTACTTGAAAATAGAATCAATTCATCTAAATTAGCCATCAATATTATGTTGTAAAAGGGATAATTATAGTAATGCCATTATATAAAATGAAAGTATAAATATATATAATAGATTCAACATGAGAATAATAGATGTTTAATTCTGGCATCTTCTCTAGATGTCTCTTATTTCAACACTCCTTAAGCTCCTACTCTCTGCTAGCCACCCTGGGAGGTGCTGGGATTATAAAGATAATAAGCCATGGACCTTGTCTTCAAGGGATATGCAGTCCCTGCTGGGAGACAATTGATAAAGAGCTATGAGAACACTAAGGGCGGATGCAACCCAGAGCAGAGGAGGTGGGGTGGAAATGCTGGCCAGGAAGGCTACTTGGAGGAGGTGATCCCAGAGCATTTAATATTTCACACTGGTGAGAGCAGGAAGGCTTGGTAGCTCAGCACACGGGGTCTGGAGTCAGGGGTGTTCAAATCCTGGCTCTCTTGCTTGCAGTTAAGTTTGTTTACTGTGGTGTTGCAGTTTCTCAGCTCCATTATACTCTTCTTTTTTTTTTGAGATGGAGTTTTGCTCTTGTTGCCCAGGCTGGAGTGCAGTGGTGTGATTTTGCCTCACTGCAGCCTCCGCCTCCTGGGTTCAAGTAATTCTCTTGCCTCAGCCTCCCAAGTAGCTGCGATTATAGGTGCTCGCCACCATACCTGGCTAATTTTTGTATTTTTAGTAGAGAAGGGGTTTTACCATGTTGGCTAGGCTGGTCTGGAACTCCTGACCTCAGGTGATCCACCTGCCTCAGCCTCTCAAAGTGTTGGGATTACAGGCATGAGCCACCACACCTGGCCCATTATACTCTTATGGAACCACTGTTGTGTATGTGATCTGTTGTTTTACTGAAACATGATGTGGCAGCACATGACTGTAGAAGGAAATACAACCACAGGAGAGGGTGTTTGGGCTAAGGTGTCATGATGTCATGGAAGAGTCTTACCCATTGATGTCCAGAGTCTCATGAAAAATTGAAGGATATATTCTAGATGAGTGTTTGGAGAAATCTGATGGACTCTTGGGAAAGTAAATTATAAAATTAAAACATATTTTTTTTTCAGTAAAGTGTAAAACTGGTCATCCTCCACCTGAAAGAGAATACTAAACTTTAAACCAAAATATAAAAAGAAAGATTGCTAGTTGTTTTTTATCTAATCCTTTTTGGTGAAAATATTAGTTTGAAAATTGTTATCTAAGGTCCCTGCCATCATTTGGAAAGTCAAGTGAAAAAAGAAAGAAAAAGTCTTCTGAACATTAGTCTGAATTCCAAACCTCATCATAAACTCTGGGAGAAAGGTGAAAGTTCAGCTTTTCCTATTGGCCTGGACTGGAATATCTGCCTTTCTCTTGCAGTTATATCTCTATTAGCAAATTGTCTGGAAGCAAATATACTTTAGTCAGCTGTGGTCAAACATGAAAATGCTCATGAGATATGCAAAGCAGGGTAGCCTGAGCTCAGCCATGATGGCTGAGAACAGCCTTAGTCTGTCTGTCTGTTTGGGTGCCTGACTGCCTGCACTCAGCTACAGAGCAGTGGGGCTGCAAGTCCTCGTGGTTTCTCCTTGGGGCTTTTATCTTTTCCTTTTCCCTCACTTAGCCAGGATTCCCCCCACCATCACAGGGCTGGTCTTAGCCCCTCCCTCTGATATCAGCCATTCCCACTCCACTTTCAGCAGCCTAGCATCCTGTTTGTGATCATTCTCCCAGTCCCACCATTAGGCAGTTGCTCTACCCCTTCCCTCTATCAAAGCATGAAAGGACCATGAGGCCCAGATGCAATGGTTCCAATGTACATTTCTATTTCCACCAGAGAGCCTTTCTGTCCTGGGGTGCCTGGGGCTAACCACAATGCGTTTCCTCAAGGCTCTGGCCCCAGCCTTAGGCAGTGAAAAAGACCAAAGCCTACCTGTACCAAGGAAATTCCTGGGCTGTTGGCCTCTTCCACCCTGCTCTTACTTCCTAACCCTCTCAACCCTAACTTCTCCCTTCTCTTTACCTCAGAGGCTTCTGTGGCATATTTTAAGTTTTTCCAGAATGTCCAGTGCTATTTTAATAAGCATTGAACTCCATTTTCATAGTGTATGAAATGCTTTTTCCAAAATTGAGACATGAGTCTCAGTGCCTCTTATATTGTTTTCATGTCTGAAAATGAAGTTTATGACAGAGGAATGTGTTGATGGAATATAATATCTTCATGAATAGAAGCATTAGTAAACTGGCTCAGTTGTCATTAAGAAATACTTTCATTTGCTTTTTGACAAAATAGTCATGAGTGAATAGCAAGTAATACATTAAAAACTGCTGATTTCTTATTGCACTCATTCATATTAAAATAACAATACAGAAAATAAATATAGAAAAACTTCACTTACAATCCTATCGCTCCATATAATTACTGTTTTATTTTCCTGTGTTCCCTTTCAGGCCTAGGCCATGTATTAGGAGGCTGCTGAATGGGGCTCTGAATACAGCTAGCTCCGTGGTAAAGGAATTCTTGTGAAAAGTTGTGTTCCATTTGTGTATTGTACTTCAAACTAGCTCTGGGCACTACCCACATTTTAACTTGCTGTGTTAACCAGCTTTAGTTTATTATCTCAGAACTCTGGCTGCACCATTATAGTAGCAACATTCATCTTTTTTTTGGCAGTGGTGGGGCCTTTACCACCAGCATATCAAGGAATATCACAATAAGCTCCACGACACTAGATTTTTTTTTTTTGAGACGGAGTCTCACTCTATCATCTAGGCTGGAGTGCAGTGGCATGATCTTGGCTCACTGCAACCTCTGCCTCCCAGGTTCAAGCGGTTCTCCTGCCTCAGCCTCTCGAGTAGTTGGGATTACAGGTGTGTGCCACAAATCTGGCTTTATTTTTTTTATTTTTTTTTATTTTTAGCAGAGATGGTGTTTTGCCATGTTGGCCAGATTGGTTTTGAACTCCCGGCCTCAAGTGATCTGCCCGCCTTGGCCTCGCAAAGTGCTGGGATTACAGGCGTGAGCTACCGTGTCCGGTCAACACTAGATCTTAATTGCATATTTCCAAAAGGTTAGTGAGTTTATGGATATTAATAGGCCTTCGTACATAAGAGCTGAATTCCCTCTTTATCTGGGATTCTTATGTTCTGTTGATATTATGGAAAGTTCTCAGCTCAAGACAGGCAATGAATTGGGCCTGAAGTCATACTCTATCCTCTAAACGGGGCAGCAATGCATATTTCCAAGCTCAAGAAAGAAATGACTCCCTCTGGCCTCTCCCCCTTTCTAATTTTCTTCCTGAAATTGTAGACGTCTTATCTTGGTATTTATAGCATATGCCTGATTACAAAAGTAATCTGAAGTGTTGATGAAAAACACAATTTCCTGGGGCCTTTCCAGGCCTATTGAATCAGAATTCTGTGGAATGGCTTGGTTTAAACAGGCACCTTGGGTGATTTTTACAATCCAGGCAGATTTGGAAACAGTTGTTTATTTGAAGGCAATCCATAGCTACCAGCTCACACATGTGCTTAGCACACTTTTGAGGAAAAGTAGCCAGTCGTTCCATCCTCGGGGGATCAATGGTTGTGTAGGCCTTTGTCCTTATTCCATCCTAAATACGGCATGGTCACGGCTATACAAAATGTAGGACGGGGTGGCAGGCCAATGTGGGAAGATAATCTTCTCTGTCAAGGTCATTATACATAATACTGCCACAGCCTTCACTTTGTAATTGGGAATTATATTCCTTATCTAAATTATAATTTGTACATGATGGGTGTGTGTGTGTGTGTGTGTGTGTGTGTGATTTTTTATTATGCTTTTTTTCATGTGATCACTGGGTTTTAAATTCAGTTTACTGAAAAAATGCTCTCTCATCAATCACTGTGGTATTAATTTGAAAGATAAGCAGATTTTATGCAACTCTAGGTCATGGCCAAGATCTGGAGTGATATTCCCTGAAGTAGGCTAGTCCCATAGTTGTGAAATAATGGGGCTTGTTTTGGATGTATGCTTCCTTGCTGGATTCCCCACTCACCCAGATTGATCCAGGCCCTCCTGCTGTCTGCCAGAAGCCCACCCTTTTTACTCACCTCCCTACCCTTCCCAGCAGGGCCCTATTCTCCCAAATCACCCTTCCTTCCCTCATAAGTTCATCTCTTGAGTCAAAAGATAAAATAAGAACAATAAAACATAACCCAACTCTCCTCCTCTAGATTTGATGATCTTAGCTGGTAGAAAGAAAGGGATGGATGAAACAAACTCATGCCGTAGCAGGAATGACTGATGGATCTTACTGCATTAGCAAATGGTCCCAAGGACATTTACATCTTAAGACATGATTGTTAAACTAAAGGAATAAGTCTCAAATACAGTGTATCAGACAGTTTAAAAGGAGAGTGAGGTGAAATGTGGGGCAGAGGGATCTTTAAATCACACAAGGGCCATAGTTCACTGCTCCCCGAGGCCAGCTGTTGCTCTTGGAAATGTGTTGATAATGGCATTTAGCCAAGAAGGCCAGGGAAACATTTGGGTCTGGTTAAAGGGCAAGCCCCGGTCTTTCGCTCTACCCTTCGTCTCTCTCATCTCCAACAGGGCACTGCATGGGTGTGCTCTCTGCACGGTGGGTTGTCATGGGAGCAAAAGGATCATCTGCCAGAGCAGGGGCCACCCCAGCAGAGGGAGCATCTGTCCTGGAGCAGTGCAGGAATGGTGCAAACCCAGAGTCAGGGCCCTTGACTTTTCATTATTGAAGGCTATTGACTTGTGGACTAAGTGGCTGTCAGGTATAGCCCTTTCACGTAGACAGAATCAAGAACCTTTGGCACAGGCTCTTATCACTGTGTGTAAAGGTAAAAAATTGATTAGGCTCAAGTGGAAGAAAACGTGATACTTTATTTTTTCTCAGTTGAAACTTTAGTCTCTGTGTCTTTCTGTGTCAAGAAAATAGTAAAATCCAAATCTAACCAGGCAGGCTTTTCCCCCGCTTGATTAAAGGATTTTTTTTTTTTTTTTTTTTTTTTGAGACAGAGTCTCGCTCTGTCACCCAGGCTGGAGTGCAGTGGCATGATCTCGGCTTACTGCAACCTCTGCCTCCCAGGTTCAAGCGATTCTCCTGCCTCGGCCTCCTTGATTAAAGGATTCTTAATTAAGAAAGGAAAATCTATTATAGAATAAATGCTAAATGAAAATAAAGCAAGCACATTGAACCCTCATTCCTAAGTTAGAAACAAAGCTCAGATATTCATCACAGTGTGTTTAGCCATGTTATGCTGTCGGTGTCCTCGGGTCCCTAGGTATCATGACTGCTTAATGATTTTCAGTGATGGGACAAAACTATAGAGACAAGGCTGGACATAGCTCTCTTCAATTTTATTTTTCATCCCTCCCCCCACCTACTAAATATTTCCCATATTAAATAAAAATCTGAAGTGTTAGTAACATAACTTGATGAGCCTGACTTCCCTCATCTGCAAGGTTTATCAGATGATATCAAAGAAGACTTTGGTCTCAAGATCAATGATTAAATATTCCAAGAGAAGAGATCTATTTTCCTGAGTGCATTTGTATTTCATGTTGCTCTTTGAGTGACTTTCTTGAGTTAGGATATGTGTTTAAATTACTTATTCTTCAAATGAATTGGTGAAGAAGTAAGTATAGATATTTTATTACAAAATAGCTAAAAGTTTATCAGTAATAACTGATACTTCCTGGGTGCCAGGCTCTGTTGTGTGTTTTATATGTACCATATCTAATCGGCACAACAATCTCCTGAGTGGTTGCCATTTTTGTTGCTGTTTTTAGTTCGGAACTGAAGCATAGGGAGTTTGGATGACTTCAGCAGGGTTCTACACTGGCTAGTGGTTTTACTGGGTTCTGGATCTGGGCAAAATTATTCCTCAGTCTTTAAGACTGAAGAGTCACAGAGGCTAAAGCTAAGGCTAACAGCCACAGAGCCATAATACCTCTCCTGCATTAACAACAAAGAAACCTAGAAGAATACACTGCAAGCTGGTAAGACAGGTTTCCTCTAGGATTATGGGAAGGGTGCCAGGAAAACTTTGGCCTTATCATATCATTTGAATTTCTTTTTATAATTATAATGTATCCATGTATTACTTAATATAATGGATAAAACTTTAACTTTTACAGTTAAAATTGCCGAAGTCCTAAATCAGATTAATAATTTCCATAAAATCATTACTACTTAAAAAAATTTGTCAATGAGACTCTTAAAGCTGGTAGGGAACTAAGAAATCATTCATCATAATCTTGTTTTTCAAATGAGGAAACTGAAGTTACATGATTTGCTTAAACTCACAGTACTAGTTAGTGATAGAACAGGTCTGCTACTGCCCAACTTTGTGTGCCTCTGCTGCACTTTTCAACGTGTACTTTGGAGCAAGACTTAACAGATCTTAAGTGAAAAGTCTGAGAGTTTCAGCAAAAGCTTGTATGCACATAACCAACTCCAGAGCCAAGATATAGATTATTTCCATTACTCCTGAATGTTCTCTTGTGCTAGGCATCTCTTTGAAAACTTTGCCTTGCCCGTTCATGTGCGCTGGTAAGAATTCAAGTGCTTATATTTCCTATATATTCACACATTTTACAGTTCCCAAAAGAGACACACCTTAGTGTGTCTGTGTACTTCCTTAAAGACAGAAACAGGGTTTTAACAAAGTTCCATGCTCTTCTTATCCTTTACAAACCAGTTCCTAATTACTGAAATTGCTAATTGCTGTTCCTTGTTTACAAACATTAACTCAAGTTGGTCTTTAGCCTGACATAATTATCATTACATATAAAATTATTTTTTAGTCATTTAATTCTGAAAGCTCCCCAGACACATTTATAATCAGAGTACATGTCTTTTTTTTTTTTTTTAACTGAGCAGTTTCTATATTACAATCCTGGAAGCTCTAAGAATAAGACATATGGCCGGGCGCGGTGGCTCATGTCTGTAATCCCAGCACTTTGGGAGGCCGAGGCGGGTGGATCACCTGACGTCAGGAGTTCGAGACCAGCCTGGCCAACATGGTGAAACCCCATCTCTACTAAAAATACAAAAATTGGCTGGGCATGGTGGTACGTGCCTGTAATTCCAGCTACTGGGAGGGCTGAGGCAGGAGGATCACTTGAACCTGGGAGGCAGAGGTTGCAGTGAGCTGAGATCATGCCACTGTATTCCAGCCTGGGCAACAGAGCAAGACTCCGTCTCAGGAAAAAAAAAACCACAAATAACAGAAAAAGACATATTTACTAAAACCAGTGCATCTGAACATGGGCAAATTTGATTTTCTGTGCTTTGTTTTAACTGGATGAAGCTTTCCAGCTGAGTTGGCAATGGTCTTCTGGCAATCATCAGTCAGCCCTGCCCCTGAGCATCTTCCTCTTTTCCTGTTTGGTTTGCTCCTTGGTCTTGGTGAATGGTGTGTGTGTGTGTGTGTGTGTGTGTGTGTGAGAGAGAGAGAGAGAGAGAGAGACAGAGAGAGACAGAGAGCTCGCTGCAGTCTGGCAATGGTACCAATGTGCTGATGATTAATTTTTGAGAATAACTTCATATTCACAAACATGGAAAATGTCCTCTGGCATGAGTGGATCTCAATCCATATAATTTTAACATCTAAAACAGAGTACAGTCCTCGTTTTAGATCTTGTTCTGCAAAATTATTCCAAAATCCCTAGGAAATAGTCCCAAAAGATATAAAGTAATTTTTATGAATATATTCATAGCAGTGAATTACAATTGTGAAAACTAGAAATAATGGAAATTGTTCAATAATGGAAGATGCTGAAAATGATAGAGAACTATATAGTTACTAAATGGGATTGATATGTGACCAAGTGGATACATGGAAATATTTAAATTAAATAAGATAATATTAAGTGAAAAAGAATATTTTAAAATTTGAAGTACTATATAAATAGTAATTTACAGTCATGGAAAAATATTTATACCTTAATAGAACTTGGTTACTTTCCTACCTGAAAGTAATTTTGATTTTTTTTTTTTTTTTTTTGAGACGGAGTCTCGCTCTGTCGCCCAAGCCAGAGTGCAGTGGCGCGATCTCGGCTCACTGCAAGCTCCACCTCCTGAGTTCACACCATTCTCCTGCCTCAGCCTCCTGAGTAGCTGGGACTACAGGTGCCTGCCACCACGCCTGGCTAATTTTTTGTATTTTTAGTAGAGATGGGGTTTCACCATGTTGGCCAGGATCGTCTCGAGCTCTTGACCTCGTGATCTGCCCACCTCGGCCTCCCAAAGTGCTGGGATTACAGGTGTGAGCCACTGTGCCCGGCCAGTAATTTTTATTTTAATGCTTTCTAGGGTCTTTGTTTTTTTAAAAAAGGTTCTATTTCATAATAACTTCAAACTGCAGAAAATGTACAAGAATGGTGTCAAGATGATGTCAAGAATTTCCCCTGACCCCACGTACCCTTTACTCATATTCACCGATTTTTAACTCTTTGCCATAGTTGTTTTATTATCATTTTCTCCTTCCATATACACATATTACTTTTTCTGAATAATTTGAGAGTAAGTGGCATACATCATACACATTTACAGTAGTTCCTTTTTTTTTTAAGACAGCGTCTTGCTCTGTCACCCAGGCTGGAGTGCAGTGGTGGGATCTCAGCTCACTGCAACCTCCGTTTCCCAGGCTCAAGCCATCCTTCCACTTCAGCCTCCCAGGTAGCTGGGACTATAGGTGCGTGCCACCACCACACCCACTAATTTTTGTATTTTTTTTAGAGTGGGATTTTGCCATATTGCCCAGGCTGGTCTTGAACTTCTAGGCTCAAGCGATCCACCTGCCTCAGCCTCCAAAAGTGCTGGGATTATAGGCCTAAGCCACCACGCCCAGCCAACAGTAATTCTTCAATGTGTCTTTCCCAGAAACAAGGATATTCTCTATGTAACCACAGTACAATTATTAAATTCAGGACATTTATATGGGTACAATACTTAAGAAAAATCCCTACAGTCCAATATTGTCCTTTCTAGCATTTCCCTCCTCCAGCTCAGAATGCAGTCCAGGATGATGCCATTATGTTTAGTCATGCTATCTCTTTAGTTTGGATGAACTCACCTTTGTTTTTTTGTTTTTTTTTTCAGTCTTTTATGACACTGACATATTTGAAGAACATGGGCCAGTTATTTTATTTTATTTTAATTACTATTTTTGTGACAGTCTTGCTTTGTCACCCAGGCTGGAGTGCAGTGTTGCAAATAGGACTCACTGCAGCCTCAAATTCCTGAGCTCAAGTGATCCTCTTGCCTCAGCCTCCCCAGTAGCTGGGACTACATGCATGTGCCACCATGATTTTTACATTTTCTGTGGAGACAGGGTCTCTGTGTGTTTCTCAGATTGCTCTCAAACTTCTGGGCTTAAGTGATCCTTCTGCCTCAGCTTCCCAAAGTGTTCAGATTACAGACATGAGCCACCACACCAGGTTAGTTACTTTATATTTCTCAGTTTGAGTTTGTGTGATGTTTTCTTTTGAGTTTCAGATAATACACATCTGCTAGAAAACTACAAAAGGGATGTTACATCTTTTTCAGGGTATCGCATTTGGAGTCACATGCTGGCTGCCTGTATTTCATTGGCTGTGTTAATGTTGATTATTTGATTATGCCATTGTCTGGTTTCTCCACAGTACAGTTACTATTTTTCCCCTTACAATTGATAAGAAATCTGAGGAGAGATGCATTAAAAGCACATAAACACCATGCTTCTCATTCCACTCTCTCCCCTAGACCTAGCATCTATCTTGACTCCTTTTAAAAGCCACGTTGCCCAAGACTTATTTACATGTACCCTAGGTAAACAGGAAAACCTGGGTGATTTTGCTGAGGTTGTCCCTGTGCCTGTAATACCCCCATTCAAGCTTATTTTGTACCACAATTTAAGGCTATCTCAAAGTGCTGTCTGTTTCCCTGTCCTTAACTAAATTTTATGTCTTCCTCTTCAACCTCTAGGAGCACTTTGTACTTTTCTTGGGGCACATATTAACTTCTACTTTGTGGTTGTAAGTATTTGTGTATTTCCTTTATCCTAGTCACCAGACTAGGATAGCATGATGCCTTGAGGGCACGGACTGTGTCTTAATCATTTTTGCATACTCTGCAGAGCCCAGAAGAGGCTTTCAGTGGGAGGCACATGATCAGTGTTCATGAAATGCATATTTATACTCCTAGTACTTACCACTTCTGATGTGCTAGTTGAATACCCAATTGTGTATTTCAAGAACTCCTCAATTTCATCTGCTTAATATCTCTGCATCTCCTATTTAACAACATGTTGCTATTTTGCCCTTCAAGTAGAAATGGAAATCCTTCAGTGTCTGTCATTTCTGTATTCTTAGCTCAGGTGTTAAGAAAAGTGTTGTCGAGTGAAGAAGTTACTTCCTTACCATGAGGATTTGTATTTGTGTTTCTGTCTGAGTTTCTTACAAGGGCACTGGGCCAGATTCTTATTGCTTGACAAGAAGGTATGATGAGTCTGCTCCTCCTCTGGGGCATTCTTCTAACACTAATTAAGGATAACTTTGTATGTGTATTGATAGGAGAGTGTATCCTTACCCAAAGATTCCCCTGTGTACAGGCTTTAGAATCTGAAGGTATAACCTGCCAAAATCACAGGAGTTAGGAGCCAAGGTTATTAATTTGCTTAGATAGTATTAATTTGTTCTGCCAAGACATGTAAGAACAAGCATTAATTTAGTTTGTAAGTTTAATGAACGATTGGAAGAACCAAAATTCTAAGTAGGTCAATCAAATCTAATGGTACAACTAACTTGCAATGTTGGAAAAACATGTCCAGACAGATGACACTGGGATGCTTGTTACTTTATATAGGAAATGTACAAAACACATAAAACCTTTTTCTAAAATGTAATTTTTTATAAGCTTTTGAAATTGATGAAGCCATGTCATTCTTCACAGTGGGGCTTTCCTTTAGAATAGGAACTGATCTATTATTATTTTTTAAATACATTTTTAAATTTTAGAATAGTTTTAGATTTCTAGAAAAGCTTCAAAGGCAGTTCAGAGAACTTCCATATACCCTCACTGCTTGCCCCTATTGTTGTCATTCCACATTACTATGTACATTTGTGGCAAGTTAGAAACCAACATCGGTACATTATTATTAATAACTAAAATTAATGCTTCATTCCAATTTCACCAGTTTTTCTTTAGCATCCTTTTTTATTGTTGTTGTTCTAGGATCCCATGCAGGACATCACATTATATTTAGTCATCATGTGCAATGCTTAGAATGTTTTCCCCCTCCAAAACTCATGTTGAAATTTAATTGCCATTGTGATGGTATTGGGAGGTGAGACTTTTAAGAGGTGGTTAGGTCATGAGGGCTCTGCCCTTATGAGTGAACCAATGATGTTATCGCAGGAATGGGCTTGCCCCCTCTTTCTCTCTCTTGCCCTCTCTTTGTCCTTCTGCCATGTGACCCCTTCCACCATGTTATGATATGGCAAGAAGGCCCTCACCAGATGCTAGCACCTTGACATTTTACTTCCCAGCCTTTGGAATTGTAAGCCAACAAATTTTTGTTCATTATAAATTACCTAGCCTAGGGTATTCTCTAGCCTAGGATATTCTGTTATGGCAGCACAAATGGACTAAGACATCATGTCTCTGTAGCCTCTTCTGGTCTATGACAGTTTCTCAAACTTTTCTTGTCTTTGATGACTTTGTCAGTTTTAAGAAGTACTGATCATATTTTCTGTAGAATGTTCCTCACTTCGGGCTTCTTCAGTATGTTTCTCATGGTTAGATGGAAGTCACGGATTTTTGAGAGGAGGGTGCACTACATGTCTGTGGTCCAATTACACACACACACCACATCACATTAAGGTTACATACTATCACGTCATATTAAGGTTACATACTATCCACATGATACATCATATTGATGTTAGCTTTGATCACCTGGGAAAGACAATCAGGTTTCTATACTATAAAGTTACTTTTTCCTCACTTTCCATACTCTGCTTTTTGGGAGCAAGTCGCTATGCCCACCAGAATACCCTAAAGGGGGTAAGTGGGTGGGAAGTCAAGTTCTGCCTCTTGGAAAGGAGAGTATCTACGTAAATTATTGGAATTGTTCTGTAAGGGAGATTTGTCCTTTCTCCTATTTATTTATTCAACCATTTATTTACATCAGAATGGACTTTTGGATCTTTATTATGCTTTGGGATATAACTCAATATTATGTTTTTTATTTTGTTGCTCAAATTGTTCCAGCTTTGGCCATTGAAGCCTCTTTCAGTTGGCCCTTGTGTCTCTTTGGTGTGCCCCATTGTTTTATTTTTTGAGTACTTCCTTGCTTTCTAACACTATAATACAACATGCTCCAGGCTTATCTTATGTATTTTCTGCCCCAGCGCTAGAATCAGCTATTTCTCCAAGGATCCTTTGTTCATTTTATAGAACAATGGTGTTAGAAACCAAGATCTGGTTCAAATTTTGACAATATGATAATAAATTTTGGAAATGAAAATGAGAGATATGGAGAGTTAGAAAGCATTGGCTTTGCTGACTGCTACTGACTTTGAACCACAACTCTGCCATGAATAGGAGAGCCAACCATCCCAGTTTGCCTGGGACTGAGAGGTTTCCAGGGATGTGATATTTTCAGTCATAAAACAAGGATGAATTGGCCGCCCTTGTCATGAAATTGGTTATGTCTCTTGGTTGCAAGGGACAAAAAAACAAATAAAGCTCCCTCAGTTAAAATGGAAATTCAATGACTGATTTAACTGGAAAATCTAAAGATATAAGGGGTTCAAGCCAAGCTGGATTCACAGGTCAAATAATGTAATTAAGTCTCCCACTCACTCCATATTTCAGTTCCATTTTCCTCTATGTGATAATTTCTTCTTGGACTGTGCATGTGGTGGGAAAAGGGTGGATTTTCTTTAATGGAGAACAGTTGTCCTCATCCCCTAGTGCAGTGCAGGAATCAAAACCGAAATACCTAGAGGGTCAAGGCTTGCAGTGTCAATGAGTAAAGCAGGCTGCTTGGAAGACAAGAGGAAGTAATGGGAACATTAAGGGGAAACTCTAGTCACTGGTGCTATGCAGGAATGCAGGTCCACTGTTGCCAGATACGCCAATTTTCCATTGAAGCCAGAATGTGAAATTCTGATTTTTAAATTTTGGCAACTGATTCAATTAAACAACAACAATAACACCATTCATACAGAGAAAATATACTCATGGGGCATACAGCTTGTGGGTTATCAGTTTGTAAACTCTGCCTTTAAAAGTCTAAGGCCATTTCCTGGCTGCCTCAGGTCATACTTGGGCACATATGTACAGAAAGTGGTTCACTAAGTGTGCTTGGGATACATTTACTGTTTTTGAAAATTGACCTCATTTAAGTTAATAATCACTAAGTTTATCAAGTGCTTGCTATGTGCCAGGCATGGTGCAAAGCAGTTGATACATTTCTTTATTTTCTTACAATAACCCTGTAAAAGAGTTACTGTTATCATCATCATAACCTTTCTATAGATGAAGAAACTGAGAACAGAGAGGTCATGTATCTTCCTCCATTTCATGCAGCTGGAGTGACCAAGGATAGGATTTGTACCCCAGCAGTCTGACAGTAGTACTTAGATTCTTCACCCCTTTGCTTCAGATGGCTGCAGATGGAGATACATATCTTAGAGAAAGTCATGGATAAGGCCAGGCGCGGTGGCTCACGCCTGTAATCCCAGCACTTTGGGAGGTCGAGGCGGGCGGATCACAAGGTCAGGAGATCGAGACCATCCTGGCTAACACAAAGAAACCCTGTCTGTACTAAAAATACAAAAATTAGCTGGGTGTGGCAGCATGTGCCTGTAGTCCCAGCTGCTGGGGAGGCTGAGGCAGGAGAATGGCGTGAACCCGGGAGGCGGAGCTTGCAGTGAGCCAAGATTGCGCCACTGCACTCCAGCCTGGGTGACAGAGCGAGACTCCGTCTCAGAAAACCAAAACCAAAACCAAAACAAAAAACAAACAAACAAAAAAAAACACAAAACAAAAAAGAAAGTCGTGGATAAAAGGAACCTTACAGATCACCTAGTATGTTAGCCTCCTTATTTTACAGATAGAGAAATTGAGGCCAAAAGCAAGGTGTAACTTTGACAAGGTCTCATAGCCTGTTAGTGGGTAAGCTGGAATAAGTCCAAAGCCCTTTTGCTGCACCATGAAGCTCTGGGACTTGCTAACTACAAAGACTGAAAGTCCATGGTGGGTTTGACAAAGCATTCTAAAGTATTGACAAATTATTTCTGCCATTGCTGTTTCTGGATTGATATATTCTTCATCTTTCATAAACCAGACTCTTCAAGGGGGAAATATTTTCTTGTCTTTTTAACCAGCAAAGAAGATTAAACAGTTATTTTTCTCTAAACTGATCATTTCATCCATAAGCTCAGCCATCACTATGGTTTGAGAGAGAGGTTGAAGGGGTGGGAAGATGCTTCACAACCATATTTTTCCTTCCTTACTTCTCTTCTCTTCTCTTCTCTTCTCTCTTCTCCCTCCCTCCCTTCCTTCCTTCCTTCCTTTCTTTTTCTTTTATTTTGTCTTTCTCTCTTTCCCCCCTCCTTCTCTCTCTCCCTCCCTCCCTCTTTCCTTCCTTCCCTCCCTGCTTCCCTCCCTCCCTCCTTCCTTTCTTTCTTCTTGTCTCACTCTGTCACCCAGGCCGACTGCAGTGGTGTGAACACAGCTCACTGCAGCCTCAACCTCCGGGACTCAAGCGATCCTCCCACCTCAGCCTCCTGAGTAGCTGGGACTACAGGCATGTGCCACTATGCTTAAATAATTTTTTATTTTTTTGTAGAGATGGGGTCTCACCATGTTGCCCAGGCTGCTCTTGAACTCCTGGAGGCAAGTGATTCTCCTACCTCAGCCTCCCAAAGTGTTGGGATTACAGACATGAGCTACCATGCCCAGCCAAATATCTATTTTCTAAAGCCTTTTTGCCAATTCCTAAGAGATATGTCACCGAGAAGCCTTGAAAGCTGCATTTTGTTTACATGGACAAATGGTCATAATGAGCAGTTTCAAAAACACCAAATTCCAATATGTGATTTCTTAAAGATATATACATGTAAATTTAACAGATATGTACAGGTAGTTTTCTTATTGTTGTTTTTTTTGTTTGTTTGTTTGTTTGTTTTTTAACTCAGGCTGAAGTGCAGTGGTGCGGCCTCAGCTCACTGCAACCTCCACCTCCCAGGTTCAAGCCATTCTCCTGCCTAAGCCTCTGGAGTAGCTGGGATTACAGGCGTGCGCCCCCACTCCCAGCTAATTTTGTATTTTTAGTAGAAACAGGGTTTTACCAGGTTGGCCAGGCTGATCTTGAACTCCTGACCTCAAGTGATCCACCTTGGCCTCCCAAAGTGCTGGGATTACAGGCGTGAGCCACTGCACCTGGCCAGCAGAAACAGATTTGAGAAGAGTACGGAGGGGATGGGGAGTTCTGAAAAGTCTAATTGGAACACTGGCTGGATTATAGGTCTGTGTGTGTTCTAAAGTGGTTCTAAACCTAACTACCATAGGCAAACATAGCTCAAGTGTGTCATACCATATAAATATTTTGGAATACAGAATGGAGCTATTGTACAACAATGTCTGGAATGCTTAGTTTGGATCAACTAATCAAGGAACAATGAACCTGAAAAGGCCAGGGGAGATTTTTTTTTAATGGAACAAATGTCATTATACATCAACATTGTTTTAAAAGTTATGGTAGCTATATAAATAATTCTATGCCCTGGAGAAATAATTCTCACTTTTTTGGGTAATTTAACATTCTTTGAAATGCTGTAGAATTTAAAAAATTTTCCATTTTGCTTGGATAACTGCCATACTAGCTTCAAAAGGTGCAGAATAGTTGTGTGTGTGTGTGTGTGTGTGTGTGTGTGTGTGTGGTGTTTAAGGGAAAGTAGAGGAAGCCTTATGGGCCACCCAGGGGGTAAACTCACAATGGGAATTCTAAATGAGGGCTCCTTAGCTGGTTGTGTTTGAAGCTCTGATCCTGACTCCCTTCCTTAGCTGCCATAATCCACCGATGGAGCCTTACCTCGAGAGACAATGCCAGTTTCTCCTCATTGTTATGAGAGTAACCCTGATGTAAGAACCTCATTTTCCAGGCAAGATCAGGATTTAGCTTCTATTTAAACAGGTCTTTGGACTAGAGCTCTGATTTTTGCCTCCAAACAGATTCTTCTAGCTTTGGGTTTTTAAGATCAGTTCTGATTGAGAGGTTAGGAAGACAGTTTTCAGTGTGCCTTCTAATGCTCCCTTTAGGCCTTTCCTAATTCAAATCTGCATTTGTCTGGGAGCTGTAATAATTTTTTGGATGTGGAAGTTGGGGAATTGGGAAATTAGTTTTAGTTTTGCTGATTATGTTTCTAAATAAGATTATCCTTTTGATAAGATTGTAGAATTGAATTATTCCAAAGAATATCTAGACATTTTACCAGCCATCAAAGGGATGACCAAATCTGTCCTCTTCTCTCCTTACCACTCCCCTCCCCACTCTTCCTCTTCCCTTCTCTCATTTATTTATTATCTATTTGTCTATCTATCCATCTGTATGTCTAACCTCAATCAGTCATCTGTGAGTCATGTCTTTGTCTACTTTGTTTTGTTTTGATGGAATGGCAGCAAAGGATGATAAGAGAGCAGTAGTTGTCTGAAGTCTCAAATATCACTGGAGTTTGTTCAAAGTGTTGCGTGAAGGTAGTTCAGTCATACCTAGCTTGTATTATTTGTTGAAATCGTGGTCAAGGAAGAAAAGGACTTTTCTGGGGTTGAAAGAGGCAAAATTCAGGGTAGTGAAACTTGAAAAATGGAGCAAAGAAAACTTGGTTAAAGATAAGGCTGTAATGCCAGATGACAAAAACAAAAACAAAACAAAACAAAACAATGAAACTCCTTTTCTCTTTCCAGAGAGAGAGACTAATGGCCCCAGCTCCTCATGTGGTCTCATTTTCCAGTTGCCCCAAAACTTTCTGCTCTGAGACCCACTATGGCTCTTCTTTCTGCACCTCTCACCTGGTGAAGCGACCTGTGGCCCCACTGATGCTCAGGCTGTGACAGTACTGCAATGAAAAGAGAGACCAGGGTCTGGAGGTCCCAACAGCAAGTAGTGCTTCTAGAGAGAACTCCTCCCCAGCCAGCACTGCTCATTGAACAGCTTACAACCCATGATGAGCTGTTTTTCTAGGAGGCCCTCTTCCATTCCCCAGGCCCAAACGCCTCTGTGAGATATGGGACTAAACAATGACCCACACCTCTTGGCTAAACACTCTGGATAACACTGGTTACTCAGCTTCCTCTAGCCTTCCAGGACAGCTCACAACATACCCCACATTCCAATAACCTCAGTGCTAGAAGTCCACACCTCCTAGATCATTATCGCTTGTCTCAACACTGCTTTTTACCTTCCCCACTCTATCTTGTTTATGCTGCTCTGCAATCTCAGACTCCTCCACTGCCCTCTATAATTCTTGGTTTTCCATTACCAAACTTTTCTACATCCCAAAACTGCTCTCTGAACATTTGCTTCCCCTTCTTCCTCTAACTGAAACTTGGCTGTTCCCTGAGGAAATTTCTTTCCTAGAAGCAGTTTCCTCCCAAATGGAAGATGTCTTGTCTTTCTGTCAGAGGTGTTCGAGCTAGAGTGACTCCATCATGAGCAGGGGCTGGATAAAATGAGGCTGAGACCTACTGGACCACATTCCCAGGAGGTTAGGCATTTGTAGTCACAAGATGAGATAGGAGGTCAGCAGGACTGGTATCACAAGATTCAGGCAAAACAGGACACCATAAAGAAGCCAGCCAAACCCCACCAAAACCAAGATGGCAGTGAAAGTGATACCTGGCCATCCTCACTGCTCATTATACACTAACTGAATGCATTAGCATGCTAAAAGACACTCCCACCAGTGCCATGACAGTTTACAATACCATGGCAACGTCTGGAAGTTACCTTATACATTCTAAAAAGGGGAGGAACCCTTTTTGGAACCATTCTGGGAATTGTCTGCCCCTTTCCCAGAAAACTCATGAATAATCTACCCCTTGTTTATCATATAATCAAGAAATAATCATAAAAATAGCCAACCAGTAGCCCTTGGGGCTGCTCTGTCTATGGAGCAGCGATTCTTTTGTTTCTTTACTTCACTCATGAACTTGCCTTCAGTTTACTCTGTGGACTCACCCTGGATTCCTTCTTGCACAAGGTCCAAGAACCCTCTCTTGGGGTCTGCATCGGGACCCCTTTCTGGTAAACCTTTATTTGGCTGTAGGTAGAGTAAGTATCTTTTTTCTTCCTATTGATCCTTCCAAACTATCTATCCTTCTTTTGACTTTGAAAACCCTAAGTCTGTTGAGTTCATGTCTTCAGACTTTACCACCTAATCTCTCTTCTAATAGTTGTCATCTTTCAGAATCTCTTGCTGTCTCTCATCATTCTTTGATGACTTTATCATCTAGTTTATTGTATTTGATTTCCTCCATTATTCCTACAATCCTGTTGGTTTTGCTGTCCTTGTAGATTATCCACCCAGTACCCTGGTCTCTCAATTTCTTGAACTTCTCTACTTCAAATATCTTCACTCCACTGCAACCAGCCACTGCCATTCTTACAGCCACACCATAGACATTATTAACAGTCAATACCAATAGCCTTTAAAATCTCTGGACAGCAATCACTATCCTGCTGTCTGATTATCACATTTTGAGTCTCTATCTCACTCCTACCAGTTCCCTTGGAACTGTTCTTTGACCCTATAGGGACATTCAATCCATTGATCCTGCTGATTTTATTTTTTAATTTCCCTAACTTTCATATTGTTATTTATCTTCTTGTTAAGCTAGCTTCCATGGTCTGGCACTTGAGCCAGATTCTTGCAGAAAACCTGAACTTTCTTGTTTTCCTTTCTCTCCACTGAACACATCTGAAAAAACTCACCCCTTGTGAAACCCAGTTATCCTCCTATGCTGTAACTACACCTGAGAAACTAATGTTACTAGAGGAAATTCATACAACCATGATGACTGGACTTGCCTAAAGTTTTCCACTGTAAATCCCAAATGGAATCCAATGCTGCTAGATGATGCTGTTTCACTTCCTTGGTACATTCACCCTCCTACACTCTAGGACAATCTTTCTTCTAAAACCTCCATTCTTTCATCCCATTCACTCTCAGCCAATAACCTCGGCCAAGGAAATGTAGCTAACTTAGAATTGCCTCATCTTCCCATCACTAAACCTACCAATCTACTTGCATCTGTACCCTCCATGTATTTTATGTTTCTTTCTGAACACTGGAAGTAGTGTTTCTACTTCTGATGTCCAGCCCCTCTGTTAGCGTCTTAGATCACATCACATCCACATTTGTTTACTCAAGGACCTCAATACTGGAGTTACCCTCTCTCTTCTTAATTATTGTTTTTTTTCATCATGGAATTATTCCTAATGATATACAAACATGTTTTATTATTAATCATCCCTTGAATCCCATGATTTGAGGGAACCTAAAAAAATAAAATAAAATAAAACTATATCTCCCTTGACGTCACATCATCCTCATATGTTTTATTTCTTTCCCTCTCTTCACAGTCTTCAAACTATTTGTTTATACTTTCTGTCTCTACTTTCTCATTTTTTTCCTTTCATATGCCCATTCCAAGTACACTTTTTTGTACCCACCACTCTGTTGAAATAGATCCTATCCAGTTTATCAATAGCATCTAATATAGTGGTCAATTTTCTGTCTGAATCTAATTCAGCCTCTCACTAGCATCTGACACAGTTGATCTCTCTTTCCTTCTTTTTTTCATGCTTAATGATGTTTATTGTTTGCTTCACAAATGAAACATGTTAGTCAATAATTCTGAAGTTATGATTATTAATAGATAATGAAAGCCTATTCAAAATTCACTTTACTCTTCAATGATGTAACTTTTCATTTGGAAATTTCTCTGCAGTCTCTCAATAATTTACACATGGAGATAATTGAATATATGACATGTTTTGAAGGGTAACTTCTAATTGAGTAGATACATATCTCCTTTTTTGAAACCCTTTCTTCTCTAAGCCATCACATTTTCCTCCAGATTTTATCTGATTTTCCTCTGGCTTCCCTTTTCAGACCTTTGCTTGTTCTGGAAAGGGAAACCAGTGAGGTAGGAATAAAATCTTTACTGCACTTCTGTGTTGGAATGTCCCTGCATTGGGAGCACAGACTCTGGAGTCAAATTGCTTGAGTTTAAATTCTGATTCTATTACTTCCTAGCTATATGACCTTGAGAAATTTATTGTATCATTTCCCTTTTTGAAAAATGAGGAAAAATCATAGTACCTGTTTCTTAGAGATGTGGTAAAGATTAAATGAGTTTGGCTGGGCACGGTGGCTCACACCTGTAATCCCAGCTCTTGGGAGGCTGAGGCAGGCGGATTGCTTGAGCCCAGGAGTTCAAGACCAGCCTGCAACATGGCAAGACCCCATCTCTACAATTAAAAAGTCGGGTGTGGTGGCCTGTACCTTTGGTCCCAGCTGCTCAGGAGGCTGATGCTGGAGGATCACTTGAGCCCAGGAGTTCGAGGCTGCAGTGAGCCATGATCATGCCATTGCCATCCAGCCTGGGCAACAGAGTGAGACTATCTCAAAAAAAAAGTAAATATAGACCATCTTAGTGTCTGTTTATAGTAAATGCTATATTAATGGCTATACTAATGGTAGCTATTGTTATTTCCCAAGCTTTTAAATTTGGTGCTGAAATGGAAGGGGACTCGCCTTTTGGGTTATGGAGCTGGAAAATGCCAGTTAATGACTGCTGGTAGTCCTTTCCCTACCATGTGGAAAAAGTCTGCATGAGACGAGATTGAGGTTAACACATGAAAGGAGTCAAGAAAAAGGGAGGAGTATAATAGTCAACATTCTTGATTATGAACAACAGATCCATTCCAAATAGTCCAAAAATAAGCAAAAGTGGATTTATTAAAAGATATTAGGTAGCTCAAGGAATTTCCAGAATTGCTGGAAAACAGGCTTGATAGTTCATTGCCATGGACATTGAAGCTAAGAACACTGGCTGATCTTGCTGAAAAATTATACTGGCAAAAACATCATTCCTACTACCTGTTGCCAATTGATATGGCACCAACCCTGAACCTGAAGCCATAATCTGTGTTGCTGTTGCCCCAAAAGAACTAGATTCCTTGACCACTGTCCTTGTCAGGAAATCAATCTCCCAGTGTGGGGCCATCACTGATTATAACTCCCCTCCACATTCAAGTCTCCTGTAGTTGTATCTGTTTGGCAATGCCTAGATCATACACCTTTACTCTAAATGCAAAGAAATCCAGTAAATGTAATTTTTTATATTCTACTTTTAGAAGAAATAATTCACAATATGGAAAACTATAAAAATGTGAAAATGTTTTTCAGCAGCTATAAATAATATGTTTTCAATATAGATTCCTGTGGTAGAGAGGGGGAACTGTTGACTTCATGTGAAATCCTTGGATCCAGCTGGACCTAAGACTACTCTTTGGAACTTCATGTTTTATGAAACAATAAGTTTCTTCCTTTAGTTGAGAGAGTTTGAGTTAGCTTTTTGTCAGTTCTATTTAGTGTTATTATTAATGCAGCTTCCAACCTTTCTGATCCAAGGTTCACTACTGCAATATCCCCATAATTGGTCTCTTGCCCCCCATACCCACCCTTCTATCTTTTCTCTTCTCTAGAGTCAGGTAATTTTTCATAAATATAACTATTTATGTCATCCTTCTGCCCAAAACTCTAAATGGCTTTCTGTTGCTTTTTGATGAAAACCAAGGTTCCAACATAGTATATACTCTCTATAACTGGGCTTTGTTCACTTTTTCAGGCTTAACCTTTTTGCTGATTTTTCTGCTCAAGTCTTGCTGGCCTTAATTTTGTTCCTTAAACATAGCAACTTCTCATCTTATCAAGGCCTTCAGACAGGCTGTTTCTTGCCCCTAGAGAGCTCCTTCCACTCTGTCATTCTCCCTTATCCTCCTACTGCTCAATCCCCAGCAATCTCCTCTTTATCTTTTGTCTTTTGACTTAGATGTTACTTCAAGAATGTCATTAGAATGGGAGCTCTTTGGAGCCAGGGAATTTGTCTGTTTTGTTCACTGTTGTATGCCCACTGCGTAGAGCAGTGAATGTTGAATGAACAAATGAGGGAGGAAGGGTTTCATCCTCCCAGTCCGTGAGATTTCTTCTTACTTTCCCAGCATGCCCAAAGCCTGTAATTTTTTGTTTAAATCGGCATTCACATCAAAGCACACTGCTATAGTTAGGATGTTTGTCCCCCAAACCTTGAAATTTGATCTCCAGTGTTGGAGGTGGGGGCCCAATGAGAGCTGTTTGGGTCATGGGGGCAGATTCATCATGAATGGCTTGGTTCCATCCTCACAGTAATTAGTGAATTCTCGCTCTGTTAGTTCCCACCAGAGCTGGTTGTTAAAAAGAGCCTGGTACCTCCCTCCCCTCTCTCTCTTGCATCTTCTCTCACCACGTGATATCTGCATGCACTGGCTCCCCTTTGACTTCCACCGTGCACTGGCTCCCCTTTGACTTCCACCGTGAATGGAAGCAACCTGAGGCTTTTATCAGATGCCCAATCTTTCAGCCAGCAGAACCATGAACCAAATAAACATTTTTTTCTTTATAAATTATTCAGTCTCAGGTTTTCCTTTATAGCAATGCAAATGGACTAAGACAGAAACTATCAACAGAATGAAAAAGCAACCATGGAATGGTAGAAAATGTTTGCAAATCTTATATCTGATAAGGGATAATATCCAGAGTATATAAAGAACTCCTAAAACTCAACAATAACAACAAAAAATCCAATTTAAAAATGGGGAAAGGACTTAAATAGACATTTCTCCAAAGAATGTATACAGGTATCTAATAAATGTGAGAAGATGCCCAACACCACTAATTATTTGTAAATGAACATCAAAATCACAATGAGATACCACTTCATACTGGCTATTATTAAAAACAAACAAACAAAAAACCAGAAAATAACAAGTGTTGATGAGGATATAGAGAAATTAGGGCACTAGGACATTACTGGCAGGCATGTATAATAGTGCACCCTCTGTGAAAAATGGCATAGTGGTTTCTCAAAAAATTAAAAATAGGCTTACCATATGATCCAGCAATTCCACTTCTGGGTATATTCAAAATATTGAAAGCAGGGACTCAAACAGATAATGGTACAACAATGTTCACAGCAGCATTATTCACAATAGCCAAAAGATGGAAAGAACCCAAGTGCCCATCAATGGATGAATGGATAAACAAAATGTGATATTTACATATAACAGAATTATTCAACCTTAAAAAGTAATGACATTCTGATGCTTGCTACAACCTGGGTGAACCTTGAAGACATTATCCTAGGTGAAATAAGCCAGAAACGAAAGGACAAATATTGTATAATTCCACTTGTGTGAGATATCTAGTGAAGTCAAATTCATAAAGACAACAGATAAAATGGTCAAAAGAGGTGGGGGGCAGAGGGAAAAGGAGGATTATTATTTATTGGGTACAGAATTTCAGCTTGACAAGATGAAAAGGGGTCTGGAGATGGATGTTGGTGATGGTTGCACAACAATGTGAATGTGTTTAATGCCACTGAACTGCACACCTAAAAATGTTCTAAAATGGTACATTTTTGTTATGTATATTTTACAATAAAAAATGTAAAATTAATAAAAGAAAAAATGTAAAATCTATATTTTCTGCTAAATGTAAGTTTAATTGGGGCAGGAACCTTGTCTTTTTCACTGCTGTATCCCCGGCATCTAGCATAGTGTTTGGGGCATAGTAGAATCATTTGTTGGAATTGAATGAATGCCCGAAGTTGGGGAGAAACCAGGTTTCCATTCAGGGAATATTGGACAAAAGCCAACGTAGCGTTTTGTGGCATATCTCCTGCTGTGCTTCTCAGAAGTCACTAAGCCAAATCATAACTTCTCAGGATCTTAGTTTCCATGTCTAAGATTTGGTGGATAGTCTTTGACCAACCTTTTGGTGGGATTCTTGAGAGAACTGAATGATGCACTCTGGAGGGGATCTTGTAGTACATGGAATTACTCAGCTGCCTTTTGCATGTGTCCCAGTCCTGGGCTCTTCCCTGAGGTGCCCAGTCACCCCTGTCCTTGCTGCCAGTCACCATCCACCCCTTCTCCACCCCATACGTCTCAGCTGCTGCCATTCTTTCTCCTACGCTGGAGGCACTGGGGCTGCATTGTGCTTTAAAACGATGGACCATAAAGCCTTTGTTAAGTTGCCCGTACATCCTTTATGTCTCTACATATATCAGATTGTAAGCCCCCAGAGGAGCAGAGCCAAGTTGTTAACTCACATTCACGGTTCTAAATTCAGTGCAGTGAGCAGATCGGGTTTATCCTCATGATGATGAAGAGGAATTGGAAGACTTTTCTTCCATTATATCGAATGCAGCTACTGAATTTTATAGGGTCCTCTTAGAATTTTCTGGATGGTTTCCTTTTTTTCACTTGAATACCTTATTCCCCTGGAGTGAAATGCATAGAGATAGAGAGGTAAATGGTCTGAAAACAAATGTACTGTAATACATTCACTTTGGCTGCAAAAATAAAACAACCCAAACCTAGTTTTTCTTGCAGTCTTTAAATCCAGATGGTAGTAAAATTTGACATTTCAATTCTGTTTGTGAAATTCATTTTGTTTTTAAATTGGGAAGAACTATAGAGCTAAAAATTGTCTGAAGCACTGGGAAAGCCTGGTGAGACCTCTTTAGGAGTGTTATTAATAAGGACTTGGTATTTTAAAGTGGATTTGGAGGCACTGTAGATAGACACTATCAACAACTACAATGGATTTGAACAAGGACCCTGATACCAAGAAGCCACATCCCTACTCCATACCTAAAATGACAGAGACAGAGGATTGGCCTGGAGAATGCAAGGAAAAAAGAAATCTGGACAAAAATAGAGACTGTTTTGGTAGCCAAATTTAGTTAATATTTTTTTAAAGAACCAATTCCCTAGTGGGCTTGCAGCTGAAAATTTAGCATTAGAATTCCACTTTTAGTTGGCACATAACTATTTACATTAACTGTATAGTAAAATATTTATAGTTCTCATTCCATAAGGTAGGTTATCATTCTCAACAAGTCTGTCTTTATAAAGTTCTGAAATTAACAATCATGTAAGGCCTTTTTACAAATAAATTTCTGTACTATAAGGATTCAGCTTAATTGAACTTAAGATTTAGGGGCCCAGAGTGGTCAAAATCAGGTAAGATGCCCCCCTTACAGAATAGTTTATTGGCTAGGCTTATTTCTGATGGTGTCTGCTCTCTCTATATTCCTGGAGAAAAGCATAGAAACAAACCAGTGTCTATGTTGTAAGCAGTGTACCAGTTAAGTTTCTTTTGGTTGAAAGTGAAGGAAGCTCAACCAAATGGAATTAATCAAAAAGGGAATTTATAGGCATTTGTAACTGGTCCGCTTGAAGAGCCTGGTTTACCTGTTGCTTGACGCAGGTGCCCAGAGACATTTCCAGCACCAGGTCTCACCTCATTTTCTCTCTCTTCCACATGTTGGCCTCATTCTTAGATAAAGTCTCCCCTCATGGTTGTAAGAAAGCTGCAGCCTTCCGAGACTTCACACTCCCAAGACTTCAAGTCTATTGAGGAAGAGAGGACATCTCACCCTCAGCAGATAAATTCATAAAGACAGAAAATAAAATGGTGGTTGACAGAGGCCCCGCGTTTGGTTCTCAGTAGCCTGAATTAGGACATGTGCCCATCCCTGAATCAATTATTTTGTGTAAGTGGATTGAATCTGCCGATTAACTTAGTTCAGTCATGGCTCATACTGGATTTAAGAGTGGGATAAGCCATCCAAACCACATGGCCCAAGATTGGTGGAAAAGTGGAAAAGTGGTTCCATGAAGGAGAATTATGATAGTTATAGGGACCAAAACAACAGATATCAGCTATAAAGTTGCATTTAATAAAAGTACTCAAGATTTTTATAGAATATTTACAAATATTGACTTTATTATTTGCTAGGATATACAAAAAATGCATAAAAAGTCTCTTTTTGGTTTCTTATGGCATGAGAAACCATCTAATTCTTAGAGTTGATACATTATAAGAGTTTTATGCTTCCTGATTCTCATGTGTTTAATTATGAAGGTCTGAGTACCTGACTGCTTTGATATATTGTAGAAAAATATGTTAATGAGCTATTTTCTCCACACCTTTTTCCTGGGAAATGTACATTCTTTGGATTTGGAGAGAATGAATTTCTTCAGAGTCTCCTTCCTTTTGCTAACCACATTCTATATTTAGACCAAAAGGAGAAAGAGTTATTTCTGGCACTGGGCTGAAGAAAATCCTTCTGTGTGTGAGTATTGCTACCATATACATAAACTGTGTATTTGTGTGTGCAGTGACAGTTACATCTTCCTTCACTGGCTCTGGTACAGGTTCTTATTCTCTGATTCTTTCTCTATTTCCTTACATGTCTCTTCTTCCTCTCCATAATGCATAATACATATATGTATGTGCATGTATATGTACATGTATGTATGCATGTATATGTATACACAGGTGATATTAAAAAGTATTTAACAAATAAAATTACATGAAAGTCTACCAGTCAAAGTGGATGTCAGCCATAAACAACCAATATCACTGTACAGGGACACAGGAGCTGAATATAAGCCTATATGGGCCTTATATCATGGGAACAAAAAAATTATTAACAGGTGAATTTCCAAAGATTCCTGCTTCAACTCTCCCAGTGAAGATGGGGAGGGGAGTGGAGAACAGAGAGAGCACAAGAATTGGATGAATTGTCCTTGGGAAAAAAGGAGTAAAACAGAAAAACGTCCATTACTTGTTAGGACACTACACATCAGTGGTTGTGATACGATGGGAGAAAATCTGTTTAAAGGTGAGAGGAATTAGAGGTGAGGAAGAAGAAGCAAGAGGAGGAAGAGATAGTGAGAAAATTGCATGGATGAGAGAGTTTCTTGGGGTTGGAAAAAGAGAGTCTCCAAAGAGTTTCAGATAGAATGAAGTGGCAAGATGAGAAATTTTAATGTGTTTCTCTGGATTATGTGTTTGATTTTTCTTTCAATATCCTTCGAGAAGTGCAAGAATATTGCTCTAATATTTCCCTGGAACTAGATGAGTTGGGTCTACAGGTTTGTAAAGGATTATACACCAAAAAGAGATGTGTTAGAGCTTTTGGTAATTCTGTTTCTTTGCCCATCGTTTCTGCTGAAGGGGTGGGACATGGTGGCCATGTTTTGTGCCTGCCTACTCCCACCTTGTTATGACTTACTGAACTAGGGAAGGGTTCCTGGCTCAGGCATTGGCCTTAAATTGGCCAGCGACTATGGTGTGATCTGGTAAAAAAAACAAAAACAACAAAACAACAACAACAACAACAACAAAACAAAAACAAAAAAAACACGCTGGTCCACTCAGCTTTCTCCTTTGGGGAATTTGTACCATGAATACCAGTGCATTCATTCAGTTGTTCAACTATGGTTAGTTACAAGTACCTAATGTCCATCGACGCTCTCCAGGGTACTGCTAATGACTAGGAAAGAAGGGCAATTTTAAATACACAAATAAGGCAATTTCAGGTGATGAAAACTGCTCTGAAATAGTTAAAGTGGAGATTTCACAGAATGTTGTTGGGACAGTGAGCTACTTTAGCTAGGCTGGGCAGAGAGGGCTTCTCAGGTGGTGGTTGAGCTGAGACTTGAATAAGATAAAGAGCCAGAAGATTTCTGTGCCAGGCAGAAGGGACAGCAACATTAGAGGCTCTGAAGTGGGAACAAGTTTGGCATGCTTGCCTGGAGAGTGAGTGAATGGCAGTGGGGGAGGTGGGTGGTGGCATGACTGTGAAGAGGAAGCCAACGCCTGATGTTCCAGAGTCATGAGGGCCCTGGTCAGGAGTTTGGATTTTATTCTAAATGCACTGAGAAGCCATGGAGGGTTTGGAGCAGGGCAACAGCATGGTCTGTGAATAACGAAGACATTTACTGAGAAAGGAACACATCTAGGGGAGAAATCAAGAAGGAAAGAGTTTACAATGGGAGCTACCACTGAGAGCTCTGATGGGAAATATATGTGTACACCAAGACAGTGAAGAAGCAGAAACCATGCTTTAGATGAAGAAGCAGAGATTCCAAGCTAGAGAGGATAGGCTGAGGGAGCCAGCCAAGAGGAAGAGAACAGCAGAACTAGGTTGTGAGTGAGAGTGAGGTGGAAAGAGTGCTCAATACTTTAGCTGTTTCTGTGGTGGCTTCCTAGTTGCCCTGAGAACTGTATGTATCACAGTTCCTCTAAGATCCCCTTTTCTGTTATTGCTCTATTGATTCTTTCAGTAAAACACCCCTTCCCCTTTAAAAGCTACCTTGAGGGACTTTGTTACTAGAAACTAAAGCTAGCTAACTAAAACGAATGGGATCATACTATACATAGCCTTTTGTAACTTGTGTTATTCCCTTATCATGATGGAACAGATGTCTTTCATGTCAGTAGATGATAGAACTGCACCATCACTTTTGTGGCACATAGTTTTATGTTGGACACTTCTTACTCTCACACTTCACATCTTCTCAGTTTTACTCTGGCCATTGCATAGGTGTTACCTTACACGTACCTGCTTTAGCTGCACCATGTATTTGTCAGTTTCTGCCCTGGGGCTTCTCACACCCCACATGGGAAACTTGTGGGGACCCATTTAGCACTTGAGTCTGTGTAGACTTGGAAGTGTGAGGGTGTTAATCCTCATGGGAAAACCCTTGATCGATGGGAGATGGGAGCCCGTGGCTAAATGCTTCCCAATTCTGTCTCTTAGGTTGACAATTAAAAGGGGCACATTCTACATGGTTTCTTAGAGCCCCTCATTTGAATCAAGCTCCAGTTTCCCATACTTTCTAGTTTGATAGTGTACCTTAATAGTGGATTTTCTTTCTTTCCTGTTCCATTTCTCCCAGTTTCCCACTACTTTTCCTTGGGTTGACACCCTAAAATAAACTACCTCCATGCAAGTTCCTGCCGTCTGCTTTCTGGCTGAAACCTAGGCTAACATAGTATTGCATTGCCTGAATGCATCCAAATGTAGTGTTTTTTTATTGATGGACATTTAGATTATTTCCTTTTCTCATTGTTATAACCAATGTTGTGATACATTCTTATGCGCACATTTTTGTATATTTCTTTGCATCTTTATTTCATTACAAAAAATTACTATAAATGAAATTGCAGTCTATTACTGATAAACAGCAGGAATGTACATCTTCTTTGTTTGTTTGTTTGTTTGTTTGTTTGTAAAGACCAGATCTTGCTCTGTCACCCAGGCTTGAGTGCAGTGGCACCATTATAGCTCACTGCAGCCTTGACCTCCTGGGCTCAAGTGATCCTCCCGCCTCAGCCTCCTGAGTAGCCGGGACTACGGGTACGCACCACCACGCCCAGCTAATTTTTAAATTTTTTTCTAGAAGAGTGGTTTCCCCATGTTGCCCAGGCTGGTCTTGAACTCCTGGGCTCAAGCGATTGTCCCACCTCAGCCTCCCAAAGTGCTGGGATTATAGGCATGAGCCATTGCACACAGCCCCACGCATATACATCTTAACGGCTTTTGGTACTTGCTAGAACCAAAACATTTGTATTTAACAGTTTCACATGTTTGTGGGAAAAATTAGCCACTAATGGGAGGACATTGTCTATAAAAATTATCCTAAATGACTGATTACATGTTGAGGGCTGGCTGCATTCCATAACTATAAGCTAATAACTCAGTTGTGACTAAGGTAGAGAGACTTACTTCACTTGGTTCAAATCAAACGTAACACTGAGTTCTTTGGGCTTGACTTTGAGTCTTTTTAACACTGTGAAGTAAGAAGTGGTGAGAGATCAAAAATTAATCTGAGAGAGTCACTTTATATATTTTAAGATGATTGCACTGGTGATATCACTGCTCAAGAAAGTTTGCAAGCACACAAAGACCTTTAATCTCTAATGCTTAAGCTTACTATAATAACATTTTTCTTAAGAGAGAAAAAGGGGCACCAACAATTTAGAATTCCTTATATCATTAACACTAAAAAAAGTTGCCCTAGGACTTCTTTTCTCAAAGAAGCTGTCAAAATTGACCCAAGGTAATCCTCCTAAACTCTATGTCCTTGGGGTGAAGGTGTATCTCACCTTTACTTTTACTGTAGTGAAAATAAAGTGGAAGTTACCAAGTAAGCAGAGAAAACTGTGTAATAACGTTTGATACCATATCATATTAAATCTGTTCTAATCTGTTCTTATAATTGTATTGCTTTGATTACTTAAATTTTAGAAAGCCTTGTATTTCACAGTGCATAGGTAGGTGGCTTATAGTTGATAATATTTGGTGACTGGTTTCCAAAAAGGGTTGCTCAGTTGACACTTGCTTAGAAGTATAGCTATTTCAACAGTAAATAAGATTCTACTTACATCATTTTGGCTTACAGCACTTTTCCCACTATCTTTTTTTTTTTTTTTTTTTAATTTGAGGTAGGATCTTGCTCTGTCCCCCAGACTGGAGTGTAGTGGCATGATCTTGGCTCACTGCAACCTCCACCTCCTGGGTTCAAGTGATTCTCCCTGTCAGCCTCCTGAGTAGCTGAGATTATGGGCATGCACCAACATACGCAGCTGATTTTTGTATTTTTATTAGAGACAAGGTTTCATGATGTTGCCCAGGCTGGTGTTGAACTCTTAGGCTCAAGCGATCCACCTACCTCTGCCTCCCAAAGATTTTTCCCATTATCTTGACATGTAATAAAAATGTTGGGCATTAGCCTCTTGGTCAAGAGTGAACCTCTTTATAATAGCATTGTTTCTATGGAAAAATTAAAGTCTATGTTTTGTTGATTTGAAATAACTTTGACAGGAACTTAACTCACATAAATGAAAAATTGCTTGTCTTATAGGTCTTTTTTCTCTTTGTGTAAACTTATGGGATATGTGATCACAAACATTAATGCAGTTTAAAGTTGCTTTTAAGTAGTATGCCTTTTAATTAAGTTTGTACAGAAGAGGTGGATCCAGAACTTGGAGGCTGGGACATGCCAGTCTGGGGAGTTTGAGGTGGGCTGTGTGGAGCTATTGAAGCTTTTGAGAATTTAAGTAACCAGAATGAATCAGAATTTTTGAAACTATAATTGGGTCATTGAAAGAAGACGGAGATCTGTTAGAAAACTGGTTTAGGGATGAGATAATGAAGGCCTGAGCTAATGTGCTGGCTTAGAAAGCAAACATAAAGGGGGAAAGGGATAAAGGCAATATCTGAAAGGACCTAGGATGCTGAATAAAAGTGGGGCATGAGGGGAAATGGTAAGAAGGACTGCAATTTTGTGTTTGAGGGAGTGAGGGTAGGGATTTGGCTTTTCTTTTCTTTTTCTTTTTCTTTTTTTTTTTTTTTTTTGAGATGGAGTTTTCACTCTTGTCGCCCAGGCTGGAGTGCAGTGGTGCAATGTCGGCTCACTGCAACCCCTGCCTCCTGCGTTCAAGCAGTTCTCTTGTTTCAGCCTCCTGAGTAGCTGGGATTACAGGTGCCTGCCACCACACCCAGCTAATTTTTGTATTTTTTAGTAGAGATGGGGTTTCCCCACGTTGGCCAGGATGGTCTCGAACTCCTGACCTCAGGTGATCCACCTGCCTCGGCCTCCCAAAATGCTGGGATTACAGGTGTGAGCCACCACACCTGGCCTGGCTTTTCTACCACTGTATCTACAGGTCTACAGCAGTGCTTGGCATGTAGGAGGTACTCAATAAATAGTTGCTGAAACAATGAAGGGCATTTGTATAATCAAACATGAGATAAAGTTACCCATATGACATTCTCAAATTGATTCCTCCCTTAATATTTGTGTAACACCCATCTGGCACTCAGTGTGAATATTTACCAACCATATAGTATGGCTTTTTCTCTCACCAGCAGGCCTAATTTGGCAGACTGGTTTTGTAGCATGGTAGCCCTTCATCTTCCTCTTGGAGTGAATTTTAGCTTCCCTAAAGGGTGATGTTTGCATAACTCTTCCTTCATCTTTGGAACAAGAACATCATTTGCTAGTAGACCTTGCTACTCATTTCCTTCCTCCGTAAAGTCGTTAAGAGCAATGTGTTGCATTAGTATTTGCTTGCTTTGTGTGGTGTATGGGAACTGGAAGGAAAGGGTTCACTTGCAGAGAGGAAGCCTAAGGAGCCAGGGCTTATGCCCAGAAATCCTTCATCAAATAAGGATTTATGGAATACAAGGACAGTCTAGAAGGGTAGAATCCCTGTCCTTGGGAAAGTTAAGTAGAGGAGGCCAAAATGGTATAGTGGAAAGAGTCTAAACAGGAAATAAAGAAAACTCATGTGACATTGAACAACTTAACATTTTCTTGGGTTTTATTTCCTTCATATGTTAAAAAAGAGAGACTTGGGTTAGATAATCTCAAAGACTCTTTCAAGCCCTAAAGTCTATAATTCTTTTTCTGACCTTAAATGCATTGATGAACTATCATTTGTTCCTCACCATCTCTTCTGTCTAGCTTCCTTCTCAATACTTCGCCTGTGTTGCATGTTTCTCCCAGCAATTTCTTTAAGCCCTAACCAACATTCTGATTGTGTTTGTAGCTATAATCATGGCAGCAAGTCTTCCTCATTTATTCAGACTTAATAACTTAGTCTATTTAAGTTAGGCAAAACATTTGTTGTGTTTGAAACAGCTAGTTTGGTAAGATTGTAAAAGGTGCCAGAAATTTATTAGGAGCTGCCTCAGATACATCAGCCTGTTTGCTGTTAGTGTCTGTGACCCACATATTTACACCCCACTCTGTTTCCTCTGAGTCACAACATTCCACTTAGGACTTGGTGGTTGTGGTTGGCCTTATCAACTCTAGGCCATCACTTGGAATCATTTTTCTTGCCTAATGCCACATGGACACATAGTCCTATCATAAGCATTAAAGAGTAAGCAGATGTCTTGTTAGGTGGCATCTCTTCTTGCTGTTAAGGAAGGCCTGAGCTCGCTCTTATATTCTTTGTTCAACAGATTTGTTACCGGACCATTGCCTATTCTGTTTTTAAAAAGCTATTACAGCATTTTTCCTCTCTGAGAAAACTCCTTGATAAATACATATAGGAATGTTGACATCAGATTCTTATGTGTTTATTAAATTTGAGAAGTGGAGCTTAACAAGGAGGGCATGGTTTTAAGCTGACAATGTAGTGCTATAAAATACAGGGGAAGGCTCGGAATGGTGGCTCATGCCTGTAATCTCAGCACTTTGGGAGGCCAAGGTGGGTGCATGGCTTGAGCCCAGGAACTTGAGACCAGCCTGGGCAACATAGGAAGATACTGTCTCTATAAAAAACGAAAAATAAAATACAGGTGAAGACCAAACTAGAATGCAGGCCCTGAGTAGAACTTCTAAACTTTGTTTATAAATGCAATAGTATTGAGTCCCTAAAAAAAGACACTGTCTTTGAGAAGAACACATAAATGTTTAGAGATACCATATACCCAAAGGGAAGTATTACTCTGTTTTTCGTTGTTGTTGTTTCAGATGCTTGGCTTACTGTCTGGAATTAGTAGCTATCGCATCTGGGTATTTATAGAGTTCTAGTGGGAGCTGTTAATGAACCCTTCATTCAAATCTAAGACTAACCAAGACTTTCAATTTCAGAGCTTTTTTCCTAGGAGAACTGATTTAGAAACTTAGAAAATACATTTCTTCACAAACATGGTATAAACTTTCATAATATATGGACAAAAACAAGTCTCATTAAGGCCGAATGCCTTAAAGGGTGCTTACTTGGGTAACTATAGTCAGATAGAACCCACCCAGTCCAAGTGCCTGCGATTGGGGCAGATTTAACTACTATCTAGTCTCATTCAAGTTCACATGTTGCTCAGGGCTTCCGTTTCTTGACCTAGTGCTCCCCTGGGTGTCATGGACTTATGAGTTTCTTGGAAAGTCCTCAAGAGGCAGTTTATATGGGATTTAATAAGCTTTTGAGGATGAGTAGATGTCCATCTGTTAGATGCTGCAAGGGTGATGTGTAGGCTTTTGTCAATGGTGGACTCTCACTCTACAGCTCCTCAGCTTGGCTGATACGTGGTTTTCATTAGAATAGTGCTGGGTGGTTGATGAGTATTGGCTCAGATTCCTTACAGTTCTCTGGTATTAGTTATCATGTAGTTCTTCCATGTCTATTCCTCTTCTTTACCAGCACAGTCACCCACCACTACCATTTTTCTTTTAATCACAGCCCAAGTGATCCTCAGTTAACCTGGGAGATGGAGAGGGGATCATTTGCCTCTCTCTATTCTGTTTCCAATCTATTATTATGACATAAACTCCATGCCCTGCTTCCTTCATTTTTGCTGTAGCTGTTCAAATTCTCTGTAAGGCAATATGGGTGCCTCAGATTGAGTAGGATAGGGTCACTCCAAGGAAGTGCAGAACATTTTTTTAAAAACCACAAAGGTGGGTTGGGCGCGGTGGCTCACGCCTGTTATCCCAGCACTTTGGGAGGCTGAGGCAGGCAGATCATGAGGTCAGGAGTTCGAGACCATCCTGGCCAATATGGTAAAACCCTGTCTCTACTAAAAATAGAAAAATTAGCTGGGCGTGGTGGTGGTGGGCACCTGTAGTCTCAGCTACTCAGGAGGCTGAGGCAGGAGAATTGCTTGAACCCAGGAGGTGGAGATTGCAGTGAGCTGAGATCACACTACTGCACTCCAGCCTGAGCAACAGAGCGAGACTCCATCTCAAAAAACAAAAACAAAAACAAAACAACAAAAAAACCCCACAAAGGTTAGTATTTCAAGATACTACTTCACTGTGTATCTCAATACAATAATTCCTGGAAGGGATTCCTTAACTTGGAGTTTTATGAAGATGTCAAAAGTAGTTGTTGAAACCGTTGAACCTAGATTGTCAAAAGAAGCCCTCCTGGTGATTAAAGCCTATGAATTAAAAAAAAAGAGGCCCTCTTTTGTAGAGGCCTTTTAGGGGTTCTGACATCCCTAAGAAGTTGATGAGAAACTATAATTTGTGTGGCATAGAGAAGAGATTACATAAGGATTCTGTTCCTCTTTTTACATGTGGTCCAGAGAATCCTCTTCTAGACACTGAGTCCTTTATTCCTAATTCCTGTCTGATATGGTTTGGATTTGTGTCCCCACCCAAATCTCATCCAGAATTGGAGGAAGGGCCTGGTGGGAGGTGATTGGGTCATGGGGGTGAATTTCCCCCTTGCTGTTCTTGTGATAGTGAGTGAGTTCTCATGAGATCTGATGGTTTAAAAATGTGTGGCACTTCCCCCTTCATCCTCTCTCTCTTTCCTGCCACCATGTGAAGAAGGTCCTTGCTTCTTCTTTGCCTTCTGCCACGATCATAAGTTTCCTGAGGCCTACCAGTCATGCTTCCTGTTAAGCCTGTGGAATTGTGAGTCAATTAAACCTCTTTTTTTTTTTCATAATTTACCCAGTCTAAGGTAGTTCTTTGTAGCAGTGTGAAAATGGGCTAATACACGGCCTTTACTTGTGCATTGGCTTAAGTCTGGCATTAAGCCCTGAGCCTTTATCAGCTGGCTTCTCTGGGATGTTTTACCTCTCTGTACTGCTCTACCAGAACTGGCAATGGATATGCAACAACACGATTGTCTTTCTAATGGGCTCAGTGTCAGTGTCTGTGTCCTCCTTAGCAGATTAGTTCTTTTTGAGGGGTCAGACCCTTTTGTTCCACTGTGGTCAAGAGAGAGAAGTTTTACAGCTTTTTCGGTGGCTGTCTCGCCTTTTTTTTTACTATGCATATTCTGCTTATGTATGGATCACCTTTCTTGAAGTCCCCCTTGTGGTCAGTAACATAAGACACTGGAGTCCAGTGGCATGGTCTCAGCTCACTGCAACCTCCACCTCCCAGGTTCAAGTGATGTTATGCCTCAGCCTCTTGAGTAGCTGGGATTACAGGCCCATGCCACCACGCCTGGCTAATTTTTGCATATTTAGTAGAGATGGAGTTTCACCATGTTGACCAGGGTGGTCTCGAACTCCTGTCCTCAAGTGATCCATCTGCCTCAGCCTCCCAAAGTGCTGGGATTACAGGCATGAGCCACTGTGCCTGGCCAACATACCACATCCTGAGCAATAACTTTATACATCTCCTGGGTATCAGTGGCTTGGCACATTGGCTTTTCATCACTTCATTTTTATTCTCCCATGAATTACGTTTATTCTGAAGAGCTTGGCCTCAGTTGAGACTGAGAAGTTAGTCACCTTGACTACTTCTTGGTATTGTCATTGTAAATGTTATTTCCCAATGTGAAAGATGAGAACCTAGCTTTCTCTTACTTATCTCCCCTGCGCCTATCACATATTTGCTCACTTCCCATTCCTCCATCCTCCTAATATGGATATGTGGTGGTTTTAGTAGCATCAATATTCAGTGATTACATGATTATGATTATATAAATATTCAGTGATTACATGATATGATTATGTATATAAACCCATTTATCTGAGCCACGATAATATTTTCTTCTCTGTACAACTTTTTATTTTCCCTGAAACTAATAATTTTCATGTTTATACATTTTTTGTCTTCTTTGTGCTTATCTGCATATATCAGGGGTCAGCAAACTGTCTCGTGGGACAAATCCAGCCTGTTACCTGTTTTTGCAAATAAATTTGGTTTGCTTATTGTTTATGTCTGCTTTTGCCCTACAACAGCAGAGTTAAGTAGTGTGATGGAGACTGTATGGTCTGAAAAACCTAAAATATTTATTATCTGGCCTTTTATAAGAAAAATTTGCAACCTCTAGCTTATTATAATTCAACCTCAAACTACAAATTTTTAGTCTCTCTGCAACGTATTCAGAAACATTCAGTATTCTACTGACTTCATTTCCTGGGGCAAGCTCTTCTGGAGCCTTCTGACTTGTTTCTGACCTTTCAATTGGTCTGGTTGCCCTATGGGCCTGGGACACAGTTGTCAGGCTGTGTCACCCTTTATCATCCATCTGGAGATTCTCTTTGCTGTCTTCTGTGGTGGATCCTTTGTTAACTGTATCTCATGTCTTATTTCTTTTCTAGTGCTACTCTTTCATTTCAGTAGAATATATTCTCTTGCTTCCTGAAAAAGGATGAATGGAAAGTCAATTTTTTGAGACTTTGTCTGAAGATGCTTTTTAAAAAATCTTTCCTTCATATTTGACTAATAGTTTGGATTGGTTTAAAATTCTAGGTTGGGGAAAATTTTCTTCTGCTTTTTTTTTTTTTTTTTTTTTTTTGAGAGGGTCATACTCTGTTGCCCAGGCTGGAGTTCAGTGACAATCATCAGTCATAGCTCACTGCAACCTTGAACTGTTGGGCTGAAGTGATCCTCCCGCCTCAGTCTCCCAAGTAGCTGGGACTACAAACATGTGTCCATCACGCCCAGCTAATCTTTTATTTTTAGTAGAGTCAAGGTCTCTCTCTATTGCACAGGCTGGTCTTGAATTTCTGGCCTCGAGCGATCCTTCTGCTTTGACCTCCCAAAGTGCTGGGATTACAGGCATGAGCCACTACACCCAGTTTCTGCTTTTGAAGCCATTGTTCCCTTATCTTCTAGCTTCCAGTATTGTTGTTGGGATGTCTAAAACCATTTTGATTCCATTTGTTTTCTATATGACTTTAAAGGAAGTCTCTTCAGTGTTTATTGGATTGTCTCTTTTTCCCAATCCTCTGCCATTTCGTAATGCTATGCCTTGCTGTGGATCTATTTTCATTACTTAGGCAGGCATTTAGTGAGTCTTTTTAACCTGAAAATTCATGTCCTTCAGTTCTGAGGATTGTTCTTAAATTATGTAATTGATGTTTTCCTCCTGGGACATACTTTAAGGCAGAGCTTTTTTTTTTTTTTTTAAGAGAAAATATATTAACATTTATTAAGTGGAAGTGGATCATCATAAACTTCTTCAGGATGAGTAGGCTGAGGAGGGGGAAGAGGAGGGATTAATCCTGCTGTCTCAGAGTGGCAGAGGCAGAAGAAAATCTGCATATAAATGGACCCACACAGTTTAAAGCTGTGTTGTTCAAGCATCAACTGTACATGTATGTTACACCTGAGTTGGGCAATACCTACAAGTCCTTGGGCTACACTCTTGCCTTTGACCATAGGAACCACGAGAAAATCTCAGGCATTTCTTCAGGCTCTGCCTCTCACCCTTGGGTTTGGATCCTTTTTTTCTTTTTGGTAAACTTTTTTATTATTATACTTTAAGTTCTAGGGTACATGTGCACAATGTGCAGGTTTGTTACATAGGTATACATGTGCCATGTTGGTGTGCTGCACCCATTAACTCATCATTTACATTAGATATATCTCCTAATGCTATCCCTCCCCCTTCCCCCACCCCACAACATGCCCCGGTGTGTGATGTTCCCCTTCCTGTGTCCAAGTGTTCTCATTGTTCACTTCCCACCTGTGAGTGAGAACATGCAGTGTTTGGTTTTTTGTCCTTGTGATAGTTTGCTGAGAATGATGGTTTCCAGCTTCATCCATGCCCCTACAAAGGACATGAACTCATCGTTTTTTATGGCTGCATAGTATTCCATGGTGTATATGTGCCACATTTTCTTAATCCAGTCTATCATTGATGGACATTTGGGTTGGTTCCAAGTCTTTGCTATTGTGAATAAGTGCCGCAATAAACATACGTGTGCATGTGTCTTTATAGCAGCATGATTTATAATCCCTTGGGTATATACCCAGTAATGGGATGGCTGGATCAAATAGTATTTCTAGTTCTAGATCCTGGAGGAATCACCACACTGTCTTCCACAATGGTTGAACTAGTTTACAGTCCCACCAACAGTATAAAAGTGTTCCTATTTCTCCACATCCTCTCCAGCACCTGTTGTTTCCTGACTTTTTAATGATTGCCATTCTAACTGGTGTGAGATGGTATCTCATTGTGGTTTTGATTTGCATTTCTCTGATTGGCAGTGATGATGAGCATTTTTTCATGTGTCTGTTGGCTGCATAAATGTCTTCTTTTGAGAAGTGTCTGTTCATATACTTCGCCCACTTTTTGATGGGGTTGTTTGTTTTTTTCTTGTAAATTTGTTTGAGTTCATTGTAGATTCTGGATATTAGCCCTTTGTCAGATGAGTAGATTGCAAAAATTTTCTCCCATTCTGTAGGTTGCCTGTTCACTCTGAGGGTAGTTTCTTTTGCTGTGCAGAAGCTCTTTAGTTTAATGAGATCCCATTTGTCAATTTTGGCTTTTGTTGCCATTGCTTTTGGTGTTTTAGACATGAAGTCCTTGCCCATGCCTATGTCCTGAATGGTATTGCCTAGGTTTTCTTCTAGGGTTTTTATGGTTTTAGGTCTAATATTTAAGTCTTTAATCCATCTTGAATTAATTTTTGTATAAGGTGTAAGGAAGGGATCCAGTTTCAGCTTTCTACATATGGCTAGCCAGTTTTCCCAGCACCAGCACCATTTATTAATTAGGGAATCCTTTCCCCATTTCTTGTTTTTGTCAGGTTTGTCAAAGCTCAGTGAGTCCTCTGCAACCATGACACTTAGTTGCTGGCTGACTTTGGGCAAGTATTAAATAGGGATAATGATGATGGGAATGACGATGATGATGATGGTGAAAAAGTAGCTTGGGTTTTTGTGAGGTTAAATTTAAAAGTGCCTATCAAAATGCCTGGCAACATAGTAAGTCCCAGACTTTCTCTCCCAAACCCCTACATGTGATAAGAAAAAACAGATTAGTATTAGGATTGTTTCTACACTTTAAGGGAACATGTAAACTATAGCCTGTGCTGTATCAGAAGGACAGTGAATACCATGTAGTGCTCTGGTTTTGAGTAGTTCATACTTCACATTCTCACTGCCCTTGAGAGCTTGGTTTATACTATGTCAACTCACACGTGTTTAGCTCTTATGTCACATTATAATTGCTCTCAGATAGTTTTGATGGACATTTTGCCTACCCAGTCAGATGATAAACTACACAAAGGCAGGGATACCTTCCATTAACTTTGAATCATCCATAGTTCCTGGAACAGGGTTCTGTAGATGAAACATTTCTATTCTTAGTGATAACAGCTTGAAATGAAACATTTACTTATTCTTCTTATTGGTTGAAGGGATAGAACGTGAATAAAACAGAGCTTAGGGGTTTTGGAGAATGTGATTACCAACTCAAATATCCAACAAGATGTTTCTTAGCAGTTGTCTGGATGACAACATGATGATCCTGATTTATTATTGCTTTGCTTTAAATACCACTTAGGAGATAATAGCAATTTACTGTTGGCTCTGGTTTCCTATTCATCCCTTCACTGGTCTTGGGTAATGTTATTGTCATACACAAAAATTGCAATATGTAAAACATGCATAGTTTCTATTTTATTCATAAGATCCATTAGGGCAAGAACCTTGCCTTAGTAGCTTTCATATTTCCAGTGCCTAGACTAGTGCCTGACACATTATAAGCACTCAGAATAAATTATGTTGGATGACTCTTCATACTTATACGTAATGCTAAGTAAGGCTATAGGCGAGTACTTTGGGGTGCTGAGAGTGTGCTGGTTTTCAAAATAGAACATTAGTTTTTCTCAGACTTCTGAGAGTTTGTGGTCTTCTAGGTATTCTAGGTATTTGACCACAAATAATCTATGATCATTTTATGTTATGAAATTCACCAAATATCTTCTATTTTTTTTTTTTTTTTTTTTGGAGACAGAGTCTCACTGCGATGCCCAGGCTGGAGTGTAGTGGCGTGATCTTGGCTCACTGCAACCTCCACCTCCTGAGTTCAAGCAATTCTCATGCCTCAGCCTCCTAAGTAGCTGGGATTACAGGCACCCGCCACCACACCCAGCTAATTTTTGTATTTTTAGTAGAGACAGGGTTTCACCATGTTGGCTAGGCTTGTCTTGAACTTCTGACATCAAGAGATCTGCCTGCCTTGGCCTCCTAAAGTGCTGGGATTACAGGCATGAACCACTGCACCCAGCCCCCTATTTTTAAGTTTCTCTGAAATTTTACTGAAAGAGTTAACTTATTTAGTTATAGAACAATTAAGTTAGATCTAATATTTGATAATTCAAGCAGTGTACACATGCATATATTGATAAGTATGTTTTACTCAAAAATATTTTCACTGTGGAATATCCTAGAATTGCATCACATTAAAAAAATTATTTAACTGACAAATGATTTTTTATTGTAGTAAAATTCAGTTAGTATAAAATTTACCATTTAAATCATTTTTTTCCCTACTGCCTGTAAAATTGCAGAGTCATCTTTTTTTGTTGTTGTTGTCCTTTTAAAAAAAAAAAAACCAGGGTCTTACTCTGTTGCCCAGGCCTGAGTGCAGTGGCACAAACAGAGCTCACTGCAGCCTTGACCTCCTGGTTTCAAGCCTCTGCTTCTCAAGTAGCCGGGACTACAGGTGTGTGGCACCATGCCCGGCTGTTTTTTATTTTTTATTTTCTTTGTAGAGATTAGGTCTCTCTATGTTGGTCAGGTTGGTCTTGGACTCCTGGACTCAAGTGATCCTCCTGCCTCAATCTTTCAAAGCGCTCAGGCTACAGGTGTAAGCCACTGTGCCCAGCTTAGATTAAGCATTTTTAAAGCATACAATTCATTGGTATTTAGGACGTTCACATGGTTGTGCAACTACCACCACTATCTAGCTCCAGAACATTTTCATCACCCCAGATGGAAACAGGAGACAATAAGCAGCCACTCCCCATCCTCCCCTACCCACAGCTCCTGGAAACTACTAATCTGTTTTCTGTCCCTATAGATTTGCCTATTCTTGGATATTTCATATAAATGGTATCATACCATTTACAGTCACAAAGCCTTTTGTGACTGGCTTTTTTAACTTAACATGATGTTTTCAAGGTTCATGGATGCTGAGGCATGTCTCAGGACTTCTTTCTATTTTAAGGCTGAAAAATATTCTATTGGATGGTTATACCATGTTTATTTGTTCATTCATGAATTGATGGACATTTGTGTTTTTTTCTGTCTTTTGGCTAGTAGAAATAGTGCTGCTGTGAACACTGGTGTACAAGCATCTGCTTGACTCCCTGTTTTCAATTATTTTGGGCATATACCTAGGAATGAAATTGCTGAGTCATATGGTATTTTATGTTTGACTTATTGAGGAATCACCAAAAGGCTGCACACTTTACATTCCCACCAGCAATGTATGAGAGTTCTGATTTCTCCATATACTCATCAGCATTTACTGTTTTCTGTTTTTTTTTAATTATAGCCAATCTACAAATGATTTTAAACTTTGTTACAAATTCTTATCCCTCTGTGGGAGCATATTTATAACCCCACATTGCATATTTCTGGGACAGTTTTGATGTTTGATCTGCTTGTTCTCCGGGCAGAGGGAGTGTGATTTCTGTAATGCTAACTGTGCTCTCCAGCCGCCCGGCATTGTGTTGTTTGGGTGTCTGGGAGTGTCAGACTTGGAATGTTACTGTTGATTGCTGTGGACAGTTTTCATCTCTGAAGGGAAGATATACAGGTTTGGGGCTAGAGTGAAGACTGTTCTTGGAGATATTTTTAACCACGTCCAAATAACTCCATGCCAACAAATATAAAATGAGTAATCATTCTTTTTGTTTTGATGTCAAAAAGAATACATTTGTAATAACTCCACTCTTTTTCTAAAAAGGAGTAGTGTCTTCTTCTGTCAGAAAATGATTTTAGATTACAGTATTTGGCAAGTTTTAGAGCTTCACTGTCTATTTTATGATAGTATAAACGTTTTCTTCTTTGAAAGACAAATTTACACAATAAGATATGTAAGAAGTAGAGTAAAGCAGCAATGTTTAAATACATTGTTATGTTCAGGTTTTAGATCCTGACCTGAATTTTAGAATAAATATACAAAAAAGGTGTTTTTTTAAGTTCATCTAGGGGTGATTGAGGCTACAAAATTTATGCCATGTTTTCAACTGTCAAGGCTGCTTTTAGAATCCAGAGGAGGCCTGTAAGTACAAAGATGTAGAGATGAATAAAGAAAGACAGTGGCCCATTCTTTCTGTTTTTTCACAGTCTCCCTTAGGGTGTGAGTTAGGTGCTTATGTGCAATTAAAAAAAAATTATTGATTGGCCGGGTGCGGTGGCTCACGCCTGTAATCCCAACACTTTGGGAGGCTGAGGTGGGCGGATCACCTGAGGTCAGGAGTTCGAGACCAGCCTGACCAGTATGATGAAATCCCATCTCTACTAAAAATACAAAAATTAGCTGGGCATGGTGGCATGCGCCTGTAATCCCAGCTACTCGGGAGGCTGAGACAGGAGAATCGCTTGAACCCGGGAGGCGGAGGTTGCAGTGAGCTGAGATGGTGCCATTGCACTCCAGCCTGGACAACAAGAGCGAAACTCTGTCTCAAAAAAAAAAATTATTGATTGATTAGGGATGTGGGTTAAATGGTAGGCTGGTAGGCTGCTATTAACTTTCTCATGTACTTCCCCAAAGAAGCCCATGAGGTAGAAACACAAATGTATGGATATCATTTTAACACTATACTATACTATTTGGGAAACATTTTAGTTTTATTGGGAGGGAAACATTTATTAGTATCTCAAAAGATGCCAGTCTTCAAAGTACTCTCCTACCTGTGACAGGAACCATTACATAAGAAAATTAACGAAAGACCTGTAGAGAATAAAAGGTAAAGAAATACTGTATCTAATAGTTTCTAGCATATAAACACTGGATTTTAGGTAGCATTATTGTACAATGATGTGCATAGTAGGCTTTCAAAAAGCGTTTGTAGAATTAATGAAGGAAATGAATAATTCATTAATGAATAATGAAGAAAGAAAAAAATTGTATAAACTGAACTGAACTGAAATATTTAACTTAAAGGACCAAATAATCTAAAGAGGAATCTTTATTTGTTTCTGCTCCCAAAGAGCTCATGTTTTGTATTTAGTTATAGTTCAACAATGTTTATTTAATGCCTTCTACATGCGAGGCACTGAGATGACGTAAGGAGGTTAGATAGGGGATGAGCGGAATGTAAACAAAGATGTGTAGTAATAGAAGTACTTCAAAGGTCAGAACAGACAGGATGATGAAAGAGGAGGAAGACATTAACTCTGCCAATGGTGGCATATTAGAAGAAATTAACAAAAGAATTGAGCTCAGTTTTGAAGGTAAATGCTGGTTTATCAGGATGACAATGGGCATGGAAATTCTGGGTAGCAGGAACAACATTGATAGTGACAGGAGGCAGTCAGATGCCTAGGCAGATAGGGGTGAGTCCCCAGCAAAATCCCACCTCCAAGTCGAAGACCATGTAAAGCCTGAAAGCCAAGTTACAAGTTAAATGCTGGGACCAGATTGAGAACCTGTCTTCCCATTTGGTGTGCTTTCCTCTGATTGGTCTCTGCCTTTCACCCATTTTACATATACCTACCCTTTCCTAATTGGTTTTCTACATTGTGGTGCCCACCTTTGAGTGGTGTCTTTGCTTTAAACTTTTTTGCATACTCACAAACCAATCAGCATGCACTCCCCATTCTGAGTCCATAAAAAGCCCCAGACCCAATCACACAGGGAGAAACCACCCGACTGTGGGGGCGGGGGTACCTTCCTCCCACCCTGCATCCCCTCTCTTCTGAGAGCTGTTCTGTCACTCAATAAAATCCTCTGCTGTCATCACCCTTCAGTCATCAGTGTGATGTCATTTTTCTTGGTTGCTGGACAAGAGCTTAGGACCCACTGAGCACAGGTACTCTGAAAAGCTGTAGTACTGGCCCTTGCCCTTGCCAGCAGAGAGCAGCCACCCTGCACAATGGAGCAATGGACCGACTGAGCTGCTAACATGCTGCCATAAGGCTGCGGACAGTGGAACTACAAGAGCTAATTATCACACTAACACCTGCTCTGGGGCTTCAGGGTCAAGGGCATCCCTCCCTGGGCACTGCCCTATTCCCTTCGAGGTAACATGCCTGGCTTGGCCATGGGCCCTGCACAGAGCTTGCTCCTGTGTTGGTGGTCAGAGTGGCTGGCCAGGTTCCACACTTGCTCGCTCACATGCTCCCTCCTGCAAGGGGCTGAGCATGGCAGGCCAAGTAGAGGGGGCACCCCTGCTGCGAATCCAGCAAAGGGGCTGAAAAAAATCCTTCTTTGACATGGCTAAGATGTCGAGGCATGAACCAATGTAGTGTGCTCAGGAAATACAAATAATTTGGCACTGGTGGTTCTGAAACTGTAAGGTTTAAGGAGAAATAGGGAAATATGAGGCTGGAAAGATACTCCAGGCCTGTGTCATGGTGCCTTATATTCTATAATAAGGGTCTTGGGATTTATCTGGTAGTCACTGGAAAGCCATTCAATTGCTTTAAACAAAGGACTGACCACTGAGATTTGGAATTCTTGTTGAGATTTTTTTGTGGAGCAGTATTTCTCCCAAGAGCACATACATTAAAATCTTCTGTTGTGCCTGTTAAAAATTCAGAGCCCTGAACTCCATCCTGGTATAAAGCAAAAATAAAATTTTAATCCCCTTGACCATCCCAATGGCCCCTTCTCTTGGCAAGGGCATTCCAAAGTTAAATGGAAAAACTAGTTTTAGACCATGATGGGAAGGGGGTGTTGGAACTCCTTCCTTTTGGAATTACTGATAGAACAGACTTTTTAAGTCTGATAAGAAACATTTACAATCTATTCTCAAAGTCTGCTACCAGGAGGCTTCACCTGCATGATAAAACCTTGGTCTCCACAACTCCTTATCTTAACCCAGACAGTCCTAAGTTTTTAGACAATAACCTAACTGTTTCAATCCATGCCAATCAATAAGTCTTTAAATCTGCCTATGACTTGGAGGCCCTTCCTTCCAAGTAGTTGTCCTGCCTTTCTGGACCAAACGAATGTACATCCTATGTGTATCTGATAGATGTCTCATGTCTCCCTAAAATCTGTAAAACTAAGCTGTACCCCAACCACTTTGGGCACATGTTCTCAGGATCTCCTGAGGGTTGTGTCACAGGCCGTTGGTCACTCATATTTGGCTCAGAATAAATCTCTTCAAATATTTTACAGAGTTTGACTCTTTTTGTCAACACTGGGTTTACTGAATCAGAATCCTGGTGGAAAACTTTGGAATCTGTGTATTTAACCTTCCAAGAAGATCCCCTTGCACCCTGCAGTTTTGAACACATTGCTCTCAGGGGTACGGGGTTGAAAAGGTGGGCAAGACTGAATGCAGAGAGGTCATCTAGGAGGTGATGTCACTCCAAGTGAGAAAGTTTGAAGTAGTGTCAATGGGGATAGAAGATAGAATATGATAAGCTTGAGAGATATTTTGGGGATAAAATCACATGTAGTTGGTGCTTGGATAGACTGAGTGAAGAAGAAGGTTTCAAGCCAGGTTTCTGTCTTAATTGTCGGGTGGTGCATTAATAGTTATTATTAAAGTTTTAATAAGTTATACTTTTCCTTTTATATATAATTTAAAAAATTTGATACATTCCTAAATTTGATTATTGTTTCCTTTCAGGGCCAACTTGTTTTGTTGTTGAATTTTATGGTAGAAATAAAATGAAAAAATGTCACTTCATTAAAATCTGTTATACTCAACTTGTCAGGAAAACATTTATTTATTCAGTTGTAGATCCCAAAGTACCTATTTGTCAAAGTACCTAAAATGAATAAATAGCTTTATTTCTGATATCTCTGGAAGAAATTATACTTGCAAAACTTAAAGTCTAATTCAGCATCCAGCCAAAGTTATTGGAAGTATCAGCCAATGAGCTGGAGACACAGCAAGGCTTAGTAGATAGATCTTTCAAGTCAGGCAGAACCCAATAAAATTATTAAATATGTATATATGTCTCTGTCACTGTCCCTTTTCCATCTCTTCCTTTCTGGTCCTGTCCTGAAGAAGAGACTCCTACATACTACTTGTATCTATTGTTGCTACTAATTCTTGTTAACTGATGTGCTGACAAATAAGAACCAAACATAGAATTATTTTGGGAAGGTGGTGGATATTATAAAGCCCACCCATTTCTGCACTTCCCTACATTTCTCAGACTCCTGTGCAGTTAGGTTGGCCATGTGACTGATTTCTGGCTAATGGAATGTGGGTGGAAATGGTGTTCTCTACTTGTAAGCTTCTTGATCTTCCATGCTCTGAATCTGAAATATCCTGCATATCTACCATGCTCTCCTTATCTCATTCCTGGTCCTCTAAAATGGCTCCAGACATCTGCATCAGACTTTGCATGAGCAAGAAATACTTTTATCATGTTAGTCTGCTGAGATTCCAGCTTATTCTGTAACATAGCATTGCTGACTCTGATCAATGCATAGGGGTATTCTCAATTTTATGGGTGACTACTAACGGTATTTAAGTTAAAAATGGATGAAACTAGGCTGGGTGTGGTGGCTCATGCCTGTAATCCCAGCACTTTGGGAGGCCGAGGTGGGTGGATCACAAGGTCAGGAGTTCAAGACCAGCCTGGCCAATATGGCGAAACCCCGTCTGTACTAAAAAATACAAAAATTAGCCAGGCGTAGTGGTGAGCACCTGTAGTCCAAGCTACTTGGGAGGCTGAGGCAGGAGAATCGCTTGATCTCGGGAGGCGGAGGTTGCAGTGAGCCAAGATCGTGCCATTGCACTCCAGCCTGGGCAACAGAGTGAGACTCTGTCTCAAAAAAAAAAAAAAAAAAGGGTGAAACTAATGATGGAATGATACGCATTGAGGTGACTCTTTAGGGATAAAGGAGAACTCTTCTGGTACAGACTTAAGTTACATCATAAAGATACCCTCCTTGAGCCCTAAGGCTGTTTCTTGACATCAGAACTTATCTTTTATGTGCCTGGTCCTGCTCCCATCATGTTTTCAGTTTTTTTCTTTTTTTTCTTACTTACAGAGTGGGGTGATTAATACCCATGTGATGGAATTATTGTGGAGATTAAAAGAGGTGCCATATGTAAAATGTCTAGACCAGCGCCTAGCACATAGCAGGCGCCAGAGCCATCCTGGGAGAGCATCAGAAATGCGATCCCATAATTAACTTTGTAAACTTCTGATGTGATTCACAGATGGGTGTTATTTACATTAGTGACATCTAGTAGTTTTAAAGTTCTTACTTAAAATTTGAACTCTCTAAATTTCAGTGTCATAGGGCTCTGACTACTCTGCCCAAGTTGCTGCACTGATAAGTGTCCAATAAATGTTAGGTATCTATTGTTGTTTTCCTATTGTTCTTCAAAAGGAGGTGAAAGTAACATTGCCATTGTGGGGATTGTTTGTTCTACAGGCTTGGGCTGGGAAGGCCGGATCTCCATGGCCAGGCTGTTAGCTGGGCAGTGGTGTGCAACTGATTGGACTGGTGCCAGTCTGACTGACTCGTTTTAAAGGTCAGAACAACTAGACTGAACCATGGGCATAATAACTATATGTTCTAATCATGCTTATCCTCAAATTGTTTCTTTCTGTAAACAAAAGCAGGAAGAGCATCACATGGGGGTGGAATGGTGCATTTCGAAAGACCTGAGATCAGACCTCCATAGTTCCCAGCTTTGCTGCTGTGTGACAGTGCAGACTTATTTAACCTCTGTGGCTTCATTTCCTCACCTTTGAAATGAGAGCATTAGACTAGAGGATCTTAAGGGTCCTTTCTCTAACCTACCAGAACCTAAACATAGTTGAAGTTCCACATGACTCAGCCTCTGTGAAAGAATGAATTCAAAGGAATGGTCTGGTATCTAAATGGTAATTAGGATTCTTCAAATATTTTTGCAGTCTCTCAGTAAACTGCCAAAGTGGAGTGTGCATTTTTTTTTTTTGGAACGGAGTATTCTTTTTTAAAAAACAGCTTTATTGAGGCGTCATTTACATACCATACAATTCATCCATTTAAAGTATACAATTCGATGTTAGTGTGGGGTATGCATTCTTACTATAGAAAAAGCATCTTAAAATCTACTTTACTGTTATCTTCATTTTCTTCCATATGGATATCAGGTGATCCCCAAAGCTCTTAATCTCCAACTATTATCTCACAAACCCCAAACTCCCTGGCACCTATTCCACATGATTTTCTGGTCTCTCTCCCTCCTTCCTCTTGCTGCCTCTCTCAGCTCTTTAATATATACACAAACGGGGATTTCTCCACTCTTCTGTTTTCCCTCTATTTGCTCATTATTTAGATTCTGAGCAACAAATGAGAGTCCAAGAGCAACCTGAGCAGGTGAGACATTTTCCCTATTAGACATGAAAAAGAGGCATGGATGTGAAGTCCCACACCTAAATATTCTTTTAAATTTCTATTGCCCTATGGGCACACCGTGACTTACTCTTCCACTTGTTCTTCCTCTGGGCAGTTCCAGTCAGCTTTGCCATTGTGCATAACAGGAAGTGGAGTGCTCTTGCAAGGAAGGCCTAGAGTTTCAGGAGACAAACCATTGAGTTAATTTCTAACAGATTAACACAGATTCCACTTGTCTCGTTCATGCTATAAAACTGCAAGCCTACAGTTGCCTTTGTTTTCACTTCTACCTAAGATGAGCAGGGCTCTGATGCTATCTCTGGGATGGCATGGGTGTGTCTGTGCAAGGGCAGGCCTTCCTTGTCTGCCAGAGCAGGCCCCTGCCTGATAAGGCCACGCCAGGCCTCTCAGCTCCCTAGGGAGTCATCCCATGCATTGTGAAAATTTTACCATGACCCAGTTTGTTCCGTGTGTTGTTTTATTGAATTTCATACTGATGAACGTCAATTATTATTAAGTACCTGCTGTGTTCCAAATATGCCCTAAGCATTTTGTGTAATACAAGGGGGTCCTCAGCATCATGTAGTTTTAAAATGGAGATGTATAATGATAATTGACATTATCATATTAGAACTAAATAGAAGCTTATCTTTTAGGGCAAATTTGAATTCTTTTTTAAAAAAATTGCAAGTGTCTTTGTAATTGATTAATAAACAATACATTGTTTATTGTAAATTTTTTTGTAATACAGAGATGCATGAAGAAGAAAGTATAAAGGATGAGAAATTCTGCTTCCTAGAAATAACTACTGTTAGAGTTTTGATGAACATTCTTTGAGACATCTTGCTATACATACACACACATATATATTATACATACATAATTTTACATAAATGGATTTATAATATGCTTACTATTTGTAACCTGCTTTTTTTTTTCCACTCAGCAGTATGTCAGGAACTGGTTTCCCTATCAATAAATGTAGACCCACCTAATTATATCCAAATGTAGCAGAATGTTCAATTGTATCACCATAAGTTATTCAACTAATCCCTTATTAATGGAATTTAAATAATTTCTAATTCCTTAAAATATTATAAGCAATCATTGCACCTGTCTGCAGTTATACTCTTAGCACGCATTCCCTGGACGTGGATTTGCTGGGTCAAAGGATATGAGCATTGAAACTTTTGAGACGTAATGCCACACTTGGCTCAAACACCAACCCCCTTGATTCAGATGCTGTTGATGACCCACTCATATCTTCTTGGTCCACTCCGGAGGTCTCTCAGATGGAACAAGTTTATAGCCTGTTGAGTGTCTCCACCAGGAATATTTGCTAGCTGTGGAGCCCGTTCACAGGCAGGGAAGCATGAAGTGCTGGAAGTGCACTGGGAGTTAATGTGACCCCTAACTACAAAATGATGGGAACTGGTGGATAAATGCTCCAGTTTCCTTTCCCCGAGGTGGGACTATTCTAATGTGTGTTGTACACAGTCCCTAGGAGAATTTAGTCTAGTTGCCTGTAGTAGTATCCTGCTCATTTAACTCACAAGTTATTTGCTTTCCTCCCTTACTACCTGACTGCCCCACTCCTTTACTGGGCTTCGTGGGACTTCTACTCAAATCCTAGTCTCAGGGTCTGCTTTTGCAGGAGCCCAAATGAAGACATCCTTCATATTACAGGTGAAAGTTGTGGTAGGTACAATAATGGCCCCTTAAAGATATCCATATCTTAGATCGCTGGAACTTGTGAAAACATTACCTTACTTGGAAAAAGGGACTTTCGAAATGTAATCACATATGTAATCACATCTTAAGAACCTTGAGATAGGAAAGTTATCCTGTATTATCTGGGTGGCCCTGGTATGATCACAAGGGTCCTTAAAAGTGGAGAAGAGAGGCAGAAGAAGAGAGTCAGAAGGAGATGTGAAGAATCAGAGATGCAGCATTTCTGGCTTTGAAGATGGAGGAGGGCCATGAGCCAAGGAGTGTGGGTGGCCTCTATAAGCTGGAAAAGGCACGAAAACAGATTTACCCCTGGAGCCTCCAGCAAGGAACCTAGTTCTGCTGACACCTTGAATTTAGCCCAGTGACTTCTGTATTGGACTTCTAACCTACAGTACTGTAAGATAATAAATTTGTGCCACATTTGTGGTAATCTGTTATGGCAGCAATAAAAAACGAACACAAAAAGTTAAACAATACAAGGCAACTGGTGCCAGAAGCATCATATGGCAGTGCCTATTGTTCCAAAAGAGGAGCGTGAACAGTGAGGCTGAGAGAAGGATGAAATCATGAAACTTGTTCCTTCCTCTTGAGCACAGAGTGGTTTGCCTGTGGGTGTTTAGAGTAGTGGCTTAATGACCACTAAATATAGGCCTGTGGCCAGAAACCCTCCCAATGAGCTGAGGGTTTGTATGAATTTTAATTTACTTGAAAATTCCATCAGATTTCTGAAAATTTTAGTGTGTATAAAAATTATCTGGGAAAATAAAAAGTTAAAAAAAAGATCATCTGAGGAATTTGTTCAAAATGTAGATTCTTGGATCCCATTTGCCTGAGGTTCTAATTCAAAGGTCTGGAATAAGGTCCAGGAATTTGCATTTAAAACCAGGTTACTCTGACACACATTGCTTTAGGGGACTTTCCTACTAGAACCCTCTGCTCTTTGGCAGTTGTGGGGGAGGTCTACACGGCACCCACTTTGTCAGGCATTTGCGTAGGTAAGGTGAGAAGAGAAAGGAATCACTAGAAATTGTCTATTATTGTATCACATCCAAATATCCTAGTTTTGTTTCTGTTTGGGGGTGTCAGTCACAACAGTCATTAGCATCAACCAGAAGCCCGAGTGTAATAGATGGGGTGGCCTGTGTCACCAGAGGCAGAGCATCTGGGCCCTGGGCCCCTGAGGATTGTCTGATCTTATGATTGGTTTGCTTACAATAGCATTTTCTCATTTGGCTGATGGGCAAATTGTTTTCAGATGACCTTGGAGAGCCAGGGTAGTTTGGCTGTTACTAACTGGAAGCTGCACATTCAAACATTTGGAATATCCTGAGGATTACAGATGTGCTGAAGGGTGTCTTGGATCTCCTCCAATGAGGGTTTCAGAGGTCATCTGAAAAGAATGCTCGCCTCTGCCTCATGCCTTTTAGAAGGAGGCTCTGTGCTTGTCTAGCTTTATGCAGCTCTCTGAAATGTCAGAAGATAAGAAATGCCTCTCAGCACGAAGGCTTCCAGACACATATGTGACAAGAAATTTGGCATCAGCTTTATAAGTGTCAGATGTCTAGGATAAAGCAATATGGGTATAGTATTTCTGGTGCTATTTTGGTGCCTTGTGCATGAGCCTGCAGCATTAGAAAAACTGCTTTTCAGCTTTGGATGGTAGCCTTACTGGCGCTCGGCATGCATGTCTGAAAGTACAGTTGGGTCATATTCTAGTTATGGTCCACAGCAAGTCACCTAGAGTTGTGATATTGAGCTTTAACGGAGTGCCCTTGAGGCACACGGGCATTTCACAGCCTTTGACAACTTGAGTGGCACAGCCACAGAGACTGTCATCAGATGGTGCCATATAAGCCTTAATCAACTCTTGCAACACCCGTGCAAAGTTGGTAAACACTCTTATCCTTGCTTTTCAGGCAGGGAACTAAAGCAAGGAGAGGTCCAACAGACAGGGTCACAGACTCAATCAGTTCACTTATCTGACTGTTGAATGATCTCAGGTGAATGAGATCAGAACGAATTTCTACTTTCTCTAACTCAGGAAATTTGTCTTCTGGCGAGAGAGCATTTTTGGCACTTTGTGACTTGCTGAAAGACTTGAAGTTTCCAGTCTGGCTCTGGCTGTTCATTGGTTAAGAGCAAATGCCTGGGGCACTTGGCTTAATGACTGTCATAAGCAGTGTGAAAAAATGTGTAAGAAAAAACAAAATATGGTAATGTAGAGAGGTTGTTAAGGCAGTAATATCCAATAGCAATAATGTGTATAAAGTCTGAGTGATAATACAACCCTTTTACCCAAGGTATTTGATACTGGCTGAGGCCTCTTTTATTTATTTAAAATCCAGTGATGAGCTCTAAACACCGTAGTTTAAGAAGGTAAAAAAATACTTGCAGTGCAGAGTTTTCTGAATGATTCAAAAATGGAAGTAGAAGACCCATGAGAAAAGATGAAAGCATTGCTCTTAATTTGTGGAAAGAAAGTTGATGAAAAATTACAAGGTCTATAAATGTATCACAAGGTTTTTAGAGAAGACAAATTAATTTTCCACTGATGACAAAACTTGAAAAAGTGGGTTTATCTTAGAGATTGAAAGAGTCATAGGAAAGAATCTTCTGGTGTTGAGAATGGTTAAAAACCAGATGAGGCTACCTAGAAAGGAATTCCCCTCTTCTGAAGGTCCTTAGTAAATAGGCTAAACCAGCCCAGCATGATCAAGGTTAATGATGTCAGCTGGTGTCTCCAGCGCCCTAAGGTGGGCTGCCAGTAGTGATCATGGTAGGATTACTTTTCTTTCAACTTTTTAGTTTGAAGTAACTTTAGACTTACGGAAAAGTTGCAAACTAGTATGCAGAGTTCCCATATATCCTTCACCCAGCTTCTCTTGATGTTAATATTTTACACAACCATGATCAAATGATCCAGTGATCAAAACCAGTAAATTAACATTGCTGCAAAATGGTGGTAGGGGCTTTGAGGGGAGGGAGAATAGGTAGGACTGTGGACTTTCACAGTCCTTCCCTGGAGCAGACCACTTTTATTTGTTTATGTTGGAATTCCACATACTATTTTATTTAAACAAATAGTTCTATTGCAAAAATTTGAAAACCAAGTTTAGGAAGAGAGATAGTTTAACTGACCTCTACCACTAAGATTTTGTGCTTTTGATAATTATATCGTTTGTCAGATAATTAGAGGGTAAATGTGTTCGGTAAAGACATTTATGGACGCAACGTAATGCTACATTTTTGTTCGTTTCTTGATCTATTCAGGCTTGTTCTGTTGTAAGCAGGTTATTTATACTTGCTTTCTCTCCAGCACCAAAAACCATGACTGGCATATAGTCTATGCTTAATTAATATTTGTTCAATGGGCCGGGTGCAGTGGCTCAAACCTGTAACCACAGCACTTTGGGAGGCCGAGGCAGGTAGATCACCTGAGGTCAGGAGTTGGAGACCAGCCTGGCTAACATAGTGAAACCCCGTTTCTACTAAAAATATAAAAAATTAGCCGGATGTGGTGGCACTAAAGCGCCTATAATTCCAGCTACTCGGGAGGCTGAGGCAGGAGAATCACTTGAACCTGGGAGGTGGAGGTTGTGGTGAGCCGAGATCACGCCATTGCACTCCAGCTTCGGCAACAAGAGCGAAACTCTGCCTCAAAAAAAAAAAAATTGTTAAATGGAATCAAATTGGCATGTTCACCCTTTTCTCATTTCTTCACATGCCTTGCTCCTTATTCAAATATCTGCGTAGGCCTTCCCTGACCATCCAAACTAAAATAACCTTTTTTCTATTATCTCTCACATTCTCTCTCTTTTACCTGGCACTATTTTGTTGTTGTTATTCAGAGCACTCGTCATTATCTGAAAGATGATTTATTTGTTCATATGTTTGTTAAAAGTGTATGGTCTGTCTCCTACTAACAGTAAGCTCCTTGAGGACATTGACATTGTCTTGTTGAATCTGTCTTGTGGGTTCTAGGGAATGGTATCTCATATCTGAAAGTTTATATGAAATATGTGTTGAAAGAATGAGTGAATGAAGACATGGTCGCCTATACTTTGAAGATAGAGGTAAGTTAACTTCAGAAATCTTCACTTAAACATCTTTCAATTCACAATTTGCATATTTGGAAATAAAAGATGTGATTATTTTTTCAGTTAGAGCATTGCATTTATAAATTTCTTTTTGCCTTTCACTGATGTAAGAAAATTATTTCTTATTTTAATCTCAAATAGTGATCCTGCGGCTGGTAACCCTGTAGGAATATTTTTGAAAGAAAAAGGATAAATTCTGTGAAACTCTGAGCTCTAAGAAAGATGATAACTGCATTTGAGATAGTTGTATTGTCATGATTAATTAGTGTTATACAAAAGTGAGAGACTCACACAGCCCTGTCAGTGTCATGGGAATCACAGTGCCTCCTACCATGTTAATAGGAACCAGATCCAGTTAAGCAAATTAAAATAATTTAAAATATTATGCATGTGGGCATCCCACAGTATGACAACTGGCCCATTTCTCAGGGCCAACCTCATCTATACACAGAGAAAGACTCAAAATTGTCATGTTATCTGTGTATGTGTATGTGATTAAGGTGTTACAAGAATATCTGCTGTTACATTTTTTTGTGTGCATATAGGCAGCAGAGTGGCACAATGCAAGAGTGCTGGGCCCCAACAATATTTTATGCACAAAGGCAAATTAAAAAAAAACAAAAAACCTCATCATGACTCAGTTGTGCAAGATTTCAGAGAGGGTGATTTAGGGCAGCTCAGTCTGGAGCTCTATGTTTTCCTGGTGGCATTTAAGGCTTAAGAGCTGGATAGAGGTTTCCAAGTAGTTACTGAGTGTGGTGGGCAGAATAATGGCCCCCCAGAGATGTCGTATCCAAATCCTTAGAACCTGTGAATATGTTAGGTTACGTGGCAAAGGGGATTTAAGGTTCAGATAAAGTCAATGTTGCTAATCAGCTGACCTTGAGATTGGGAAGTTATCCTGGATTGTCTGGGTGTGCCCAGTGTAATCACAATGGTCTTTAAAAGTGAAAGAGGGAGGCAGAAGAAAGTGTGATAGTATAGGGATGTAAAGAAGACTCAACCAGCCCTTGCTGGTTTTGAAGCTGGAAGAGGGTCGTGAGCCAAGGAATAAGGGCAGCCTCTAAAAAGCTGGAAAAGATCAGAAAATGGTTCTCACCTACAGTCTCCAGAAAGGAACACCGTCTGGCCAACACCTTGATCTTAGCCCAGTGAGACTCATTTCTACCTTCTGACTTCCAGAAGTTTAAGGTAATCAACTTTTGTTGTTTTAAGCCACTGAGTTAATGGCAATTTGTTACAACAGCCATAGCAAGCTAGTATACCGAGTCTCATTCTTACCCTTATGAGACCTTCCACAATTTCATCCCATCCAACCCACCCAGCAATGTCTTCTGCTTGGGTCAGATCAGTTTCCTCCCTCCTTCCAGATACATTATGCTCATTCCCACCTCCTAGTTGTTCTCCCTTCTGTGGGTTTCTCTGTTGGGAAAGAATTTCTCCCTCCTGCTAGTATAAATCTGTGTGGACATGGTTTCTCCGTCCCATAAACTGCTAGACCAACCTTGATCACCCAAACTCTTCAGGTGATCAGATGTTAAAATATTTCAATCAAAATGGACTAAATTTCTAACGTGGGCTATAACTGATGTCAAGAAGATGAGGAGGATTTAAAGGCTTACTTTAATAGACATACACATTGACTAGTTGAGGAAATATAGACAAAAGCAGTTTCAAAATAGTATGCTGTATGCTAGAACTGAAATGTGTTTAGGGTACTGGAGGAAGGAAGAGAAAGGATGCCTGATTGCCTAAATTGGGGCAGTTGTGAGGGTCACAGATTAGACTCAGGTAAAACCTTTCAGAGAAGAGGATTCCTGGGTTGCCTTATGAATGGTGAGGAGTTTGTGAGGCAACACAAGGATGGGAAAGGCTACTTCAGGCAGAGAAAACAGCTAGTTCAAAGGAGAGAGGTGTAAGGTGTGTTTTATGCAGGAACTACAAGTTGTTTGGCATAACAATAGTGGGTTAAGAAGAAAGGGACAAGAAATTAGGTTAGAAAGAGATAGAAGGCAGATAGCAAATGGTTTTCTAGGTCAGGCTAAGTGGTTTGTAGATAGAAGGATTTAAGCGATAACATGATTTGCATTTTGGGAAAATTCCTCTGATTGCAACAGGGACAATGGATATGAAAGGGTTGAGGCTACAGGCAGAGAGAGAACTTCTGCGAGGCTGTGGTCTAGAGGGGGAATCAATAAGGCCTGAACTACGGCATTGATAGGAGATCAGGAGTGGGGAATTGGCACGAGAAATAGAAGGGAGAATCAACAGTAAAGAGGCCATGGAGTGAGTGGTGGTACCCACTCTTTGGGATAGGAAAATTGACTTCATGAGGAAATAGGTATTTAGTTAAATGTTGAATTTAAAGTACTCACAGAGTGTAAAGATGGATACCGCCCAGCACCCAGTTGGTATCAACTTCAGGAAAAGCATTTAGGATCTAGATAATTTTGGAATCATTCGTATATAGGTTGAGTGTGCAAGAAGAGAAGAAGGGAGAACCATGTAAATATGTGGGATGAGAAAAAATGGTTCAGGAAGCTTGAGGAGACCCAGGAGATAATGGTGTCCCAGTGTCTTAGTTTGGCCTGCTATAACAAAAATAGCATAGACAGGTGACTTCCACTACAGAATTTATTTCTCACAGTTTGGGAGCCTGGGAAATCTAAGATCAAAGTGCTGGCAGATATAGTGTCTGGTGAGGACCCTCTTCCTGGCTTGCAGATGGCAGTCTTCTCGTTGTATCCTTAAGTGGCAGAAAGAGAGAGAAAGCTGCTCTTTTGTGTCTTTTTATGAAGGCACTAATTCCATTGAGGAGGGCTTTGCCCTCATGAACTAATCACCTCCAAAAGTCCTCACCTCCTAATACCATCACCTGGGGGGGTTAGGATTTCAACATATGAATTTTGGGGGGACATAAACTTTCTGTCCATAATACGCAGGAACAGAGGGAGGAGAGTGTGACAAGGAGAATGCGACAGCATGGAAAGCTACTGAGAGATCAGGTGTAACGACAGACATTTTTGTTGTATTTGTGTGACCTTGTTGCAAGAGTTTCATTGAAGTATGTGAGTGAGCATCAGAGGTTGAGAGTGAATAAGAGGTGAGGAAGTGGGAAAACCCATGGTGACCGCACTTCCAAGAAGCTGGGCTGTGGGAAGTCAAAGGTGGAGAGCAATGTCCAAGTTAAGAGAGAGTTCAACAGTCTCTGGGAAGTGCTGAGCGGGAACAGCCTTTGAGAAGACGCTATTAAATATACAGGAGAGAGATAGGTAGAGAGAGAGGAAGGAGGAATTGTTATTGGGAAAAGAAGACTAATAATCTAGTATAGGTAGAGAGTCTAGCTTCAATGAGTGGAGGATTCCTTTTAACTGAGATGTGATGCAGGTTAGTTTATAGGTTGTGGAGTGGAAACTGGATATAACAAGCTGGTTGACAGGATTCACAATCAGTAGCCACCATATAGGAATTGTGGGTCATTTTTTAAGGGGCCAGGGTTTGGGGAGGAGGCTTGGCAGCGAAGACAAGCTTTAGGATTTGCCCATGGAACTGAATTGGGAACTGGAGTCTAAAAAGTCAAGGAATTTTCTGTTTTGGGTGTTGGATGGGTATTTCACATGGATGTTTATTTTGCCCAAACTGACGTCAGTATTAGAGTGGAGAGGAACTTGGTGAGTCAGGCGATGAAGCTCTCAGTAAGTGCACTCAGGTGGTGATTTTGGTCACCTCTGTAAAAACTCAGCTTTACTCCCTGTAAGGAATTGACGGAAGCCAACCCTGACAGTGTAACAAAGCTCATCTGCTGGTAACAGTGCTTTATCCGACAACAGCGAGGCGATTATGGGAAGGAATGGAGGAATGTTGTATGTGATTTCAAAATTGGCTTATAAGATATGAACTCTGAATTTCTTGTGCCTTTCCAGGAAGAAAAAAAATATCAATATAGATAATTTCTACCTGTTGGCTGCTGCACCAAAAACTCGCTTAACCTCAATGATAATTCCTATTTGTTGGAGCCAAGAGAGTAGCATTTTTGAAAGACTGAATTATTGAAGATAAGATTGAGATCATTGTTCCAAGGGGATCAAAAGAGATAAAAGTCTTTCACTTCATGAACTCTGTGTTCTCTTCTTATGGCTGCTGTAATTATGTTGGCTGGAAATAACAAAAGTTTATTCTCTTACAGTTTTGGGCCAGAAGTCCAAAATCAAGGTGTCAGCAGGGTCCTGCTCCTTCTGAAGGCTCTAGGGGGGAGTCCTGCCTTATGTCTGCCAGCTTTCGGTGGGACTAGGTGTCCTTTGACTTGTGGCTGATAGCTCTAAACTCTGCCTGCCTCTTCACAGGGACTTCCCTGTGCTTGTGTCTTCTCCTTTTCTGTATAAGGACACTGGTGATTGGATTTAGGACCCACCTGGATAATCCAGGGTGAGCTCACCTCAAGATCCTTAACTTAATTATGGCTGCAAAGACCCTACTTACAAGTAAGTCACTCACAGGTTCTGGTTGGGCACATCTTTTGGGTGGGACCAACATTCAACTCACTACAAAGCCCAAAAGATTTAAAAATTTGTATCAGTGAACCTGATAACCTCTCCAAAGATATATATATATATTTACTTCAGAGTGCCTTGTCCTTTCCCATAAAGCAGTGTAGGGTACCCATTGCTCAGTAACTAGGTTTTGGGTTGGTATAGAATTATGTAGAGTCCATGCTGAGAAAACAGGTGTTGTTTTAGATGACAGTAATTCAGCAATGTCTAACTTCATTGATAACAGACTTAATCTACTGATTTGGGTCGACCCCTTGCATTTAGGGAGCCAAAGGGAAAAATCTTACAGGGTGAAAATATCTACATCTAAGGCCTCTGCTTCATGTATAGCCTAAACATATGCTCTAAATCTGAGAAAAGTTTTAAGATCTTTGCTTTGCCTTGGAAACTATAGCTGGCAAGATCTAGCAAAACTTACAGAATAGAAATTCCAGCAGGACCTACAGAACAGATCTGGAGCCCTGGCAATGCTTTTCAGGGGGCACTAATATAGTTTGGTCAATGCAGCGGTCCCCAAATCATTCTGTATGCAGGCAGATCAAAGATTGACATGTGCAAATGAAGTGATTCTGACAACATTAACATGCTGATTGCAGCTAAGTGCACTGCTTGTTCAACAGTTCTTCAGTAGACTAAAAAATATTTAATTGAAGTAATGAGAAACCAAAAACATTTCTTATTCATGATATTATACAAATATGTTCCGCACGCCTTCAGCTAATAGTTCTGTATTTGTGATTCTCAAATATCTCTGTCTCTAGTCATTAATTCTCATTTGTACTTCTGTCTCAAATTGAAAACTGCTTACAGGACATTTCTAATCAGAAGTTCTGCCATCAAGTCAGTATTTACATTTTCAAAACTAAGTTAATATTATCTAAGAACCCCGGCAATCTTTCCCCAAATCTTAGTTTCTGTTATTGATGACATCTGTTATTGATATTATAGTCGCTGAGACTTCCCAATTTGAGAGCAAGTTATAGCAGAAAAAAAGTCTGGAATAAGTGTTAGGATTTGAGAGTTTAGTTTAAATTTTGCTGCTCATATTTTCATAATTTTGGTTAATTCACATAACCTTTGGGATCTGTTTTCTGATGTGCAAAGTGAAGAGCCTGAGCTGGCAGCTGGATGACTTATACATGTATTTAGCAAACTTGTTTTCTGTGTCAGTAGGTCGTTTACAGAGCCAGGTGTGGGAATTCAGTGTTTACTGGGCCTGGTTCCGATCCTAACATGGTGGACCTGTTCTCTGCTAAAGCTCTCCTGCATCAATCTTTCACTGAACTCCACTGATTCTGCTTTGGCCCTTCCTTCTCTCTCCCGCTGCTGGCCCTTCAGTCAAGAATGGGGGGCACTGCAGAGCCACCATCTGGCTCCAGCTCCACACTGAGTTGTGCTGCACAGGGTACTCTCATCAGGTCGCTTTTCTCTTCAAGGATCTGATGCTTGCAGCTGGGTGCAGTGACTTATACCTATAATCCCAGCACTAAGCTCAGGAGTTCAAGACTGGCCTGGGCAACATGTCTCCACCAAAAATACAAAATATTACCCAGGCCTAGTGGTGCACACCTGTGGTCCCAGCTACTCGGGAGGTAGAGGTGCAAGAATCACTTGAGCCCTGGAGGTGGAGGCTGCAGTGAGCCAAGATTGCACCACTGCACTCCAGCCTGGGTGAGAGTGAGACCCCCCACAACAACCATCTCAATTAAAAAAAAAAAAAATCTGGTGCTTCCTATTGCCCCTTGTAAGTGATGTCCCAGTTTAGACTGTTGTCAAGGGTCCTCTGTAAACTGTCCTTGTCTTCATGTCTTATTTTATCTCTATTTTGCTCTATGAAACCCCTCCTTAGTTGGGTAACTCTCCTTATTCTTCCCCTCAAGTCTACCTGTCTGCACTTACTGAGTCTCCCTCCTGAGGTACTTTCCCCCCACCTCACCTCCTGACTAACCCCAATCAATGAAAGCCACAGATTCCTGAGGAAGGTTTCCCCAGAACCCACAGGCCACCATCCTCACCCCTGGGCCTATCGCATATTTTGCATATTTTGGACATTTGATTACAGAGTATTATAGCATCCTTACATGTTAAACATCTTGTAACTTTGATATGTTTCAGAACTCTTAGGTCTTTCGTAGCCTAGCCCAGGCCCAGAAACCTGAGAGTAGAGGTTAAGACTGAACCCCCTAAGTCAGGCTTCCTGAGTCCTTAACATGGCTTCATCTTTTCCTAGCTGTGTGACTGTGGCAATTTACTTATCCTCTCTGAACTTCCTTTTCCTTACTTGCACAATTGAGACAACAATATTGCCTGCCCCAGTTACTCACTAGTTCACATGAATAGTTATTAGTTATTTAGTTAATACGAGTAAAGTGTTTAAGACAGATTTTGGTATGTAGTGAGTGATTAAGAAGTGTTAGTTACTGCTGTTTCATTGGATTAGTGTAAGAATTAAACAAGATAATTCATTAAAAAACCCTCAGTGTAGTACCTGGCCTGTAGTAAGAATTCAATATTTTATTTAACAGTTGATGAGGCTTGGGGGAAAGAAAATGACCATAGTCATTGTATTAGTCCATTTTCATGCTGCTGATAAAGACATACCCCAGACTGGGAAGAAAAACAGGCTTAATTGGATTTACAGTTCCATGTGGCTGGGGAGGCCTCAGAATCATGGCGGGAGGCAAAACGCACTTCTTACTTGGCTGCGGCAAGAGAAAAGGAGGAAGAAGCAAAAGCAGAAAGCCCTGATAAACCCATCAGATCTCGTGAGACTTATTCACTATCATGAGAATAGCACAGGAAAGACAGGCCCCATGATTCAATTACCTCCCAATGGGTCCCTCCCACAACACATGGGAATGCTGGGAGATATAATTCACGTTGAGATTTGGGTAGGGACACAGCTGAACCATATCATTCCACCCCGACCCCTCCAAATCTCATGTCCTCACATTTCAAAACCAATCATGCCTTCCCAATAGTCCCTCAAAGTCTTAACTCATTTCAGCATTAACCCAAAAGTCCACAGTCCAAAGTGTCATCTGAGACAAGGCAAGTCCCTTCCACTTATGAGCCTGTAAAATCAAAAGCAAGCTAGTTACTTCCTAGATACAAAGGGGGTACAGGCATTGGGTAAATACAGCTGTTCCAAATGGGAGAAATTGGCCAGAACAAAGGGGTTACAGGGCCCATGCATGTCTGAAATCCAGCAGGGCACTCAAATTTTAAAGCTCCACAAGAATCTTCTTTGACTCCAGATCTCACATCCAGGTCATGCTGATGCAAGAGGTGGGTTCCCATGGTCTTGGGCACCTCTACTCCTGTGGCTTTGCAAGGTACAGCCCCCCTCCTGGCTGCTTTCACAGGCTGATGTTGAGTGTCTGTGGCTTTTCCAGGTGCATGGTGCAAGCTGTCGGTGGATCTACCATTCTGGGGTCTGGAGGACGGTGACCCTCTTCTCATAGCTACACTAGACAGTGCCCCAGAAAGGACTCTGTGTGGGGCTCCGACCCCACATTTCCCTTCCACAGTGCCTAGCAGAGGTTCTCCATGAGGGCCTGCCCTTGCAGCAAACTTTTTCTGGGCATCCAGGCATTTCCTTACATCTTCTGAAATCATGGTGGAGGTTCCCAAACCTCAATTCTTGACTTCTGTGGACCCGCAGGCTCAACACCACATGGAAGCTGCCAAGGCTTAGGGCTTCCACCCTCTGAAGCCACATCCCGAACTGTACATTGGCCCCTTTCAGCCGTGGTTGGAGCATCTGGGACACAGGGTACCACGTCCCTAGGCCACATATAGCATGGGGACCCTGGGCCCAACCCACAAAAACCACTTTTTCCTCCTGGACCTCCAGGCCTGTGATGGGAGAGGCTGCTGTGAAGGTCTCTGACATGGCCTGGAGACATTTTCCCCGTGGTCTTGGGGATTAACATTAGGCTTCTTGCTACTTACGCAAATTTCTGCAGCCAGCTTGAATTTCTCATCAAAAATGTATTTTTCTTTTCTACTGCATCGCCAGGCTGCACATTTTCTGAACTTTTATGCTCTGTTTTAAAATGGAATGCTTTTAACAGCACCCAAGTCACCTTTTGAATGCTTTGCTGCTTAGAAATTTCTTCTGCCAGATACCCTAAATCATCTCTCTCAAGTTCAAAGTTCCACAAATCTCTAGGGCAGGGGCAAAATGCCGCCAGTCTCTTTGCTAAAACATAACAAGAGTCACCTTTGCTCCATTTCCCAACAAGATACTCATCTCCATCTGAGACCACCTCAGCCTGGACCTTATTGTTCATATCACTATCAGCATTTTTGTCAAAGCCATTCAGCAAGTCTCTAGGAGGTTCCAAACTTTCCCACATTTTTCTATCTTCTTCTGAGCCCTCCAAATTGTTCCAACCTCTGCCTGTTACCCAGTTCCAAAGTCACTTCCACATTTTCGGGTATCTTTTCAGCAATGTCCCACTCTACTGGTACCAATTTACTGTATTAGTCCATTTTCATGCTGCTGATAAAGACCTAGCCCAGACTGGGAAGAAAAAGAGGTTTAATTGGATTTAACAGTTCCACATGGCTGGGGAGGCCTCAGAATCATGACAGGAGGCAAAAGGCACTTCTTACATTGCAGTGGCAAGAGAACAGGAGGAATAAGCAAAAGCGGAAACCCCTGATAAACCCATCAGAACTCATGAGACTTATTCACTATCACGAAAATAGCATGGGAAAGATCGGCCCCCATGATTCAATTACCTCCCAATGGGTCCCTCCCACAACACATGAGAATTCTGGGAGATACAATTCAAGTTGAGATTTGGGTGGGGACACAACCAAACAATATCAGTCATAATTATTGTCAAATAATTAAAATCTGTGAGTTAGCATTATAATGATCTCTATTTTTTTTTTAAGGTGAGGAAACTGAGGTTAAGAGAGGTTAAGTAACTTGATGGGTCACATACTTAGAAACTGAGTGGAGCAGATTAAACACCCAGGAAGCCTGACTGCAGAATCTGTACCTTTTAAACCATTATTCCTATGCTTTGGTCCCAGACTAGGCAGTGTGGGGGAAATTTTGATCTGCTGGTGAAAACAAACATGGAATTTGGGCTCACATAATCCAGGTTCCCATCCTGTCTTTACCACCCACCTGGGCAGGATATTTAATCCTTCAGCGGTTACATTTCCTTATCTGTGAGATGGGGACAGTAATACCTCCCTTGTATGACTGTGATGGGAATTAAAGAGGCAACATTAAGTAAAGCTCCCAGCACAAGGCCTGGACTTTAGTAGGTATTTAATACATTTTAGACTTCTTTCTCTCCTCTTTCAAAATTTGAGCTGAAAACAATATCTTTTAGTGCCTTTAATTAGTCTGTGATATGGATTAAATGCAATGTATGGCCTGCAATACATATGACACAGCCTGCAAGACCAGGCATTCCATTGCCCTGACTTGGTGTTATAAATAACCAAACATGGCTGGTATTAAGGACATGTGAACACCTGGCACAACTTATTCACAACCACTGTCAGTGCAGTGTTTCTAATTAGTGGAGTTCTTCCTAAAAGTTGTGGCACGTCTCGGTAGGGAAAGTCTTTTGCCAAGCAGGTGGGAGTGAGTAAAGAATTTGAGATTGCGAATAGTCTGAGTTGGGAATGCTCAGAAGGAGCAGAGAATGCTGGGCCTTTGCACAGGCATTTCAGTGAGCCTTTTGAAGGTCAGAGCCTGCTGATGAGAATGCTGCTGGAATTTTCCAAGGATTGTTTTATTTTAGTCTTTGGACTGAGTGTTGGCGATGACACAATCTGTGGTTGAAAATAGCGTGAATAATTAGGTTAGAAGCAACTTAATGTCCCAAGATGTTAATAAAGCCAGCTACTTGGAATTCATCTGTAGGAATTCCCTTCCCAAACTTGATTCCTGAGTAGGCACAAGTTACATGATATGCTTCCACAGCCAGTAAGAGCAAACATTGGCCTCTTGCATATGTTGTAACCTTCAAGTAGGCAGAACAGAGGTTACACTTTTCTTCCTTTTAAAAATTTAATCAAGACGTGTTACCTTACACAGAGTGGATGATCTCTTGTGACTTCACTGCTCGCTCTGAAGGACAACTGCTGGCCAGTGCATTGAGCAAGTATGATCGGCACCTTGGGTTTCCATGTGCTTTCCTGTTCTGTTTTCCTTCTGAACTCTCATTTCAAAGATGTTTCATAGTAGAAGTCTATCCTGTTTTATGGGGTTAGTTTAGGAATGCAATTATTTCCTACTTAATACTTTTCATCAATACATTAGAAATACTTCATATTCATGATATAATAAAAGCAGTTGACCCTTAAGAATAAAACCCTCAAAATAGCTACATGAGAAAAATATGGGTGATTTTCTCAGCTAGATTAGATTAAACAAGTAGGGCTCAGAAGCTGGACTTAGATCAAATTCTGGCTCTGCCACTTATTAGCTGTGTCATCTTGGGCAACCACTTATCTTGTCTAAGCCTCATAGGGTTGTCATGAGAATTATATGAGACAATGTATGTAAAGCCATAACGCAGTGCCTGGCATGGAGTACCTTTCAATAAATGTCTGCTACTTATATTATTATAAACGTGAATATTACAAAGATTTGCAAGGTTGGACTCTCCAAGAGGAGAATAAGACAGCATTAGAAAAGCCCCTCAACTTGACACTGGCCAAGCATATTATTTTGGGGAAACTTGATAAACTGTAAAGAACTTGGTTGAATGGAGGAGCCTGGAACTCCTTTCATGCCCCTTGAGTGGCTAGAAGGACCACAAAAGGAAGGAATAGGAGAAGTTAATTGATGCTATTGCCATCTCTGTAATCTTTAAGCCTGATTGGAATTCAGTGAAAAGATAGTACTGTAAAATGAGAAAAATTCAGATTAGATTTGCTCAAGGGCTCTCCTTCTCTAAAGTCTGAGGATTCTATTAAATCCATTCATCCAGACATTTGTTGATCACCTGCTGCATTTCAGGAAACTGAGCATTTTGCTGAGGTTACAAAAATGAATAAAACCAAGTTTTGGCTCTTAAAGCATTTACAGACTAGCTGGAGAACCAGATATATAAACAATGGTCTTAAAAATAGTAATAGAGGAACATAAAAAATACCAAGGAACTCAGAAAAAAGTATGGCTTTTATTAGGCTGTTCCTGATTTCTTTCTTTCTTTCCTTCTTTCCTTCTTTCTTTCTTTCTTTCTTTCTTTCTTTCTTTCTTTCTTTCTTTTCTTTTCTTTTCTTTCTTTTTCTTTCTTTCTTTCTTTCTTGAGATGGAGTCTTGCTCTTGTTGCCCAGGCTGGAGTGCAATGGCACGATCTCAGCTCACTGCAACTTCCATCTCCCAGGTTCGAGCGATTCTCCTGCCTCAGCCTCCCGAGTTGCTGGGATTACAGGTGCCTGCCACCACGCCCGGCTAATTTTTGTATTTTTAGTAGAGATGGGGTTTCGCCATTTTGGTCAAGCTGGTCTTGAACTCCTGACCTCGTGATCCGCCCATCTCGGGCTCCCCAAGTGGTGGGATTACAGGCTTGAGCCACTGCACCCGGCTGGCTGTTCCTGTTTTCTAAGCAGTTTGCAAATGCAGATCCATTACTGTAGTAATAAGAATTTTTGACTAAAAAGAAGAGATTTGTCCACATCAAGTGAACACATCTGTTGTAATGAAACATTCTGACTCTGGAAATGAGAATGAGTAAAAAACCTTGTACTTTGTTCGTAAGAGAATACAGAAATTGAGAGAAGAAATTCTAGAGGAGACTCAGATCATCTTTTCAATGTGCCCGTCTATCTTCATTAGGGGAAGAACTTCAGCAAGGTCTTGCTGGGATTTAGCCCCCTGAAGTATCGAAGATGACACTTGCTGACAGTGGAGGAAACCGAGGAGGCAGCACAGAGGATGGTGTTTGTGCACAGAGATGAGAGGGGTGCAGCTTTCACCGACAAGGGGAGGAGGGCACATTCCCAACCCCAGGGAGTGTTCCATGCCAGAGACGGAAAGGGACAGCTCAGACATTGTCCCAGACCCGTCCCTGTCTCCTCCAAATAAGGAGGCCTCCAACTCCAGTTCAGGAAGTTAGCGGCTCATAAAGGATGAGTTGATTTAGAGCCTTTCCCTGTGAAGAAGCTTGGAAGAGCCAGGGTTCAAAGCCTTTGAGATAAACCAACAACTGTGCCCCTGCTGGGAAGTCATTAGTGTTTGAGGGTCCCACCCATTACTTTTGTAAAGACACATGCTTTGTGGACTTATAAATAAAACTTCAAAGGTGATGACAGTCCAGCAGCTGTGTAGATGGTTGCATCCTTATGAACTGTGGACAGAAGCTGAAGTGGGTAGGAGTCAGGGCAACTTTCTGGACAGCAGATTAAACCTGTGAGTGTGTTGCTGATTTCAGTGTTAACTGTAGCACCAATGAGAAGGTCTCAAGTTTTCCAAAGTGTGAGAGAGGCACCATGAATTAGTGGAGAAAACTGGGACTTTGGACAGCTATTAGCTGTTCTTTTGTATAGGCAAATTAACTCTGGGTAAGTCACTTCTATGAACCTGTAAAAACAGTGATAACGATATTTATTTCAGTGTTTGTGAATATTAAACTATATGATAGGGCCTAATATAATGCCTGGCAAAAAAGGATTCACTTTTAGGGTTTCCCTGCAGTTATGTCAGCCAGCCATTAAATCATATGTTAGAGCATAACTCTAGTGATTTATTCTCAGGGTGTAATATAATAATAATGAACATTTATTGAGTGTTTCTTATGTGCCAGAAACTATACTAGCTACTATGTACCTTACTGCATTCACTCTTTGCAATAAGCCCCAGTTGTATCATCCCCATTTTACAGATAAGGAAGCTGAAGCTAAGAGACAGGCTCAGTAATTTACCCTAGTTCACAGAGTTCGTGAGTTTTAGAGCCAGAATTCTCTCCTAAGTGGTCTGACCCTGGAGCACACATATCTAATCACAATATTATGACATATGTGGACTTGGTAGGTGAGGACACCAGGACTGTGGCTTTGCACTGTGAGGACCACTGTGTGGCTGGGGTCAAGAGCATGGAAGGGAACCACTTTGGCATCTGGTGGGTACCATTTTGGCATCTGGTGGGTTTATAGGTTTGTGAACACTAGGCATACAATTTAAGGCAAGGAATTAGGATCTTCATGGATGGGCTTGGGGCTGCATTCTGTGACTTTAAGTGTAGTGTAAAGGGTGGGCAGAGAAAAGGCCATTGGAGGACTGTCTGTGGTCACATGAGTGACAGCTAAAAAGGTGGCACAAAAGAGGCATTGTTGAAGTTCTTCATTATTCAAATCACAACAAGCCAGTTAAGGGGGAGGTACTATTATCACTGACATCTCATGTGTACCCATAGGCTGAAAACTGTAAGTTTAGATTAAATGGTTTTTATTACTATATATATATTTTTAACAATAAGAAGCATCTCTCCTTCTCATTGTATGTTCTCACTGTACGTTCTCATGGACCAGTGAGAACACTGGGCTGAGTAACTCAAGGAGGCTGGTTCACTCTGTCTGTGTAGTCTTATTTTGTCACAGTAGCTGCAAATTAATTGCTTTTATTGGAACAATTAAAATTTTCTTATAATTTAGCCTTTAGTTTGAGAAAGAGACTTGGTTTATTCTTTTTCCCTGAACTTGCATTTATTGATACCAAAGATATGCCTGATCAGATGGATATCAAACATCTACTTAGGCCTATTGCTATACCAGAGATTGTGCAGGATATGAAGGAAGTGCAAGCCACAAACCTGTCTTTAAGGGCATTTTAAGCTTGATGAAAAAACAATCAGAATACTACTAGCTGAGATTAATTGCTGTTTTAGGGATTAAGATCACATCTAACAAAATGGAGTTAATTGAAACACTTTATGTGGAAACTCATGAAATTTTACTGGCAAAATTATTTTAACATTTACATGTCTGAACTCTTGACATTTGTATGTCAGCCTAACTGAATGTTTATGAGCAGCAAGTGATGGTTAATAACGATTTCTCCAAAAAGGTTGAAATGTTTGAGAGAGATGAAACAAGGCTCTTTTAAAATTTAACACATTTGCTAATAGCTAGATGAGAGGATAAATAATACATAATAAAAGTAGCAATTGAAACCAATCCGTGATATTGAGAAGCAAATGGTGCTGCGTTGCCTTTATGTCACCTCAGGAAAGTCATTTGATATCTTTGGACTCAGTTAAGAACTAGAACTTTAAAAAATGTGTATTGAAAGCTTATTATTTCCTAGCATTTGCGAACAGATTTACTTATGTCATATCATTTGGTTTTTACAGTAAACCTCTAAGATATATTATTATAATCTGCATTTTAACCCTGAGGAAATTAAGGCTCATAGAAGTAAATAAGCCTGCCCAAGGTTGCATGGCTACTAAATGGCAAACCCAGAATTCTAATCCTTGATTCCCTGACTTCAAAACCAATATCTTGTTTATCTTTTATTTTTAGTTGTACATACTTATGGGATACAATGATATCCCATATCCAGAATGATACATGTATACAATGTGTAGTGATCAACTTAGTGTGTTAGTCTGTTTTCACACTGCTATAAAGAAATATCTGAGACTGGGTAACTTATAAAAGAAAGAGATTGCATTGACTCACAGTTCCACATGGCTAGGGAGGCCTCAGGAAACTTACAATCATGGTGGAAGACAAAGGGGAAAGAAGCACCTTCTTCACAAGGCGGCAGGAGAGAGAAGAGTGAAGGAGGAACTTCCAAACACTAATGAAATAATCAGATCTTGTGAGAATTCACTCACTATCATGAGAACAGGATGGGGGAACCACCCCCATGATCCAATCACCTCCCTCCCTCGACATGTGGGGGTTACGGCTTACTCCCTCGACATGTGGGGATTACAATTTGCGATAAGATTTGGGTGGGGACACAGAGCCAAACCATATCATTCTGCCCTGTCCCCTCCCAAATCTCATGTCTTTTCACATTTCAAAACCAACCATGCCTTCCTGACAGTCACCCAAAGTCTTAACTCATTTCAGCATTAACTCAAAGTCCACAGTCCAAAGTTTCAACTGAGACAAGGCAAGTCGCTTCCACCTATGAGTCTGTAAAATCAAAAATAAGTTAGTTACTTCCTAGATACAGTGGGGATACAGGCATTGGGTAAACGCTCCCATTCCAAATGGGAGAAATTGGCTAAAACAAAGGGGCTACAGGCCCTATGCAAGTCCAAAATCCAGCATGGGAGTCATTAAATCTTAAAGCTCCAAAATGATCTCCTTTGACCCCATGTCTCACATCTTGGGCATGCTGATGCAAGGGTGGGCTCCCATAGCCTTGAGCAGCTCCTTCATGGACTGGCATTAAGTGTCTGTGGCTTTTCCAGGTGCATGGTGCAAGCTATCGGTGGATCAACCATTCTGGAGTCTGAGGGACGGTGGCCCTCTTCTTGCAGCTGTACTAGGCAGTGACCCAGTGGGGATTCTGTGTAGGGGCTCCAACCCCACATTTCCCCTCTGCATGGCCCTAGCTGAAGTTATCCACAAGGGCTCCACCCCCTGCAGCAGACTTCTGCTTGGACATTCAGGCATTTCCGTACATCCTCTGAAATCCAGGCGGAGGCTCCCAAAGCTTGACTCTTGTCTTCTGCACACCCATAGGCCCAATACCATGGAGAAGCCACCAAGGCTTGGGGTTTGCACCCTCTGAAGCAACTGCTCAAGCTGATACCTTGACCTCTTTTAGCAGTGGCTGGAGCTGGCGCATCTGGGACACAGGGCACCATGTCCTAAGGCTGCACACAACAGCGGGGGCCCTGGGCCTGGCCCATAAAACCATTTCCTTCCTAAGCCTCTGGGCCTGTGATGAGAGGGGCTGCAACGAATTTCTCTGACATTCCCTGGAGACATTTTCCCCATTGTTTTGGTGATGACCATTCGTCTTCTCGTTACTTACGCTAATTTCTGCAGCCACCTTGAATTTCTTTTTGGAAAATGGGTTTTTCTTTTCTACCACATGGTCAGGCTGCAAATTTTCCAAACTTTTATGCTCTTCCTCCCTTTAAAACATAAATTCCAATTTCAGATAATGTCTCTCAAGTTCAAAGTTCCACAGATCTCTAGGGCAGGGGCAAAATGCTGCCAGTCTTTTTGCTAGAGCATAGCAAGAGTCACTGTTATTCCAGTTACCAAGAAGTTCCTCATCTACATCTGAGACCACCTCAGCCTGGACTTCATTATCCATATCACTATCAGCATTTTGGTCAAAACCATTCAACAAGTCTCTAGGAAGTTCCAAACTTTCCCACATCCTCCTGTCCTCTTTTGAGCCTTCCAAACTGTTTCAACCTCTGCCCATTACCTAGTTCCAAAGTTGCTTCCACATTTTCAGGTTATCTTTATAACAGTGCCCCACTCTACTGGTACCAATTTCCTGTATTAGTCCGTTTTCACACTGCTATAAAGAAATACCTGAGACTGGGTAATTTATAAAGGAAATAGGTTTAATTGACACACAGTTCCATGTGACTGGGGAGGCCTTAGGAAACTTACAATTATGACGGAAGTTGAAGGAGAAACAAGCACCTTCTTCACAAAGGTGGCAGGAGAGAGAAGAGGGAAGAAGGAACTCCCAAACACTTATAATGAGAACAGCATGGGGGAAACTGCTCCCATGATCCAATCACCTCCCTTTCTCAACATGTGGGGATTACAATTGGAGATGAGATTTGGGTAGGGACACAGAGCTAAACCATATCAGTTAGCATATCATCACCTTGAATATTTGTTATTTCTTCGTGCTGTGAACATTAAAATTCAGCTTTTCTACCAAAGCTAATATTTTTAACCACTTCTCCCATGTATTTCCTGAGGATGGTAGTTGGGAGTAATGTGGGCTTTTTATAGGCAGCAAACCTCAAAGACAGGGTTCCAAAATTCTGAATAATGAAGATTTGATGTCACTCATCTGGAGGTGAATGAAGCTGTTTCTCTGGTCAGCATTAGCCCCCTTGCAAACATCCCACAGGTGCACATGTTAAATCCCATGCCCTGAGCTCAGCCAGACATGGTGGACAGAGGAGACTCCTAGCACTAGAAGTAGAATCCAGTGAGAGGCCATGGCTGTGCAGTGGTGAACTACTTAGCCAACCATCTCTCCGCTGGTTTGCCGTGGCCTTTCAACTCAGATGGATTACATCTTTGGCCAGAAGTACTTTTCAGCCTCTGGTGTTTCTTAATTCAGTAGAGTATTTCACAAGCTTAAGAGTTAGAGGCATAATCAACATGTCTCAAAATCAATTCCCTCCTTCAGAGGCTACTGACTGGTTTGTTTACTTTTGGATTCTGCGGATTAAACACCATTTCAAATAGTTCTTTGAGGGTTTTTTTTTTTCCATTCTGTGCTTTTCTCTCTCTCTCTGCCCTTCTAATTCTTCCACCGTATCATCAAATGTACGCCTTTTCTGTTCCTTCTTGTTATGACCTTTCTTCCTGGTGGTCTCTGAGAGCTAGTGTTGAGTGACTTTGTGGGTGCCATGTCATAACCCAGATTCCTGCACTGAGCGGATTTCCTCATGGCTTCTTGAATGGAGATGTGCTGAAAATGCTAAGTATACCATGCAGGTATTTGACTGGGCTTCCCATGGACATACTTCAAACCAGCAGTCTCTGAGCTCTTGTGGTTCACACTGGTATTCAGGCCTGAATACAAATCAGGCCTCCATGTTCTTCAAGAGGTGTCAGCATTCATGAAAGTTGAATATGAGTGAGCCACTCTTATTTTTATAATTTCATTTAAATAATATAATTTATTATCATAAATTTACATGTTACTCTACTGCAAATTAAGCCATACCAGGCTTAGCTCCAAGCACAAAGTATACCCCTTGTGAATATTATTCTTTTCATAGAGACTCTTAGGAAGGACATAGATTATATTTAAATATTTTAAGAAGTCATTTATTTTCAGAGAATTCAGGGACTTAACCACTGTGATATTTGTCCAGCCTTCCCTAGGTCCTACAAAGCAGACAATGTCAGGCTAGATGGGATAGTGCAGTTCATTTATTTATTCATCACATTTATATTGAGTACCTCTGTGTTCCAGGCGCTGTTGCATGTTAGAGTCGGGGGAGAGTAGAGATGGACTCAGGCCATGCCTTAACTACAGATTATGTCACTTGACTCCACAGCAGAGGCCAGGTGTTCAGAAGTAAACCCACTTAGCAATGGACACAGGGGGAAATGTCTTCTCACAGAGTGACTGGTTTGACACTGAGGAGAGATTTAGGACGGAAACACAACAGAGCCTGTGGACGTTCTGGCTACTCTGGGATCTCCTGCCTTGGGGCCGCCTGCCTGAAGCCACATCTGCCCTCTTACTTAGGACTGGGGGTTCCTGCAGGTGCTGCCACCCAGAGGGCCACCAGAGGGTGCTTTCCTCTTTTCAGGTTATGCCTTTTTGAAATGCAGCTCCTCATACTTTTTAAAACTGAGCTTCCCAGGCCCTGGAAAGTTCAGTACATTGCACTGCAAGCTGAAAGACTTGATTCTAGGTGAGAGAAAGGCACAATCTACTGTGTCTATATTTCTGTGTTTTTTTCAAATGTCTGTCTCCAATGACTGTAGTCTGAAGACAAGGTCTTGTCTTGGTGCTCCTCCCTCTTCCCTGGGATTCACTTCAAGTTTGGCACATGAGGGGCCCTTCGTAAATATCTGTGAGTTTAAAGAACCAATTTGACTGCAAGTCCTAACTCCAGTTTTCAAGTGTTCTGACCATGAGAATCATCCGGGGTCAACCCGCCCTGAGATTCTTACCCAGTAGGTCTGGGGCGGGGCTGGGAATGTGATTCAGGGAAGAAGCCCTCTTGTTCTGACTTGAGGACTGCTGCCCAGCTGTTCCTGCCCTGCTCATGGCTGCTCAAGGGTAAGAAACACATCCCTGCTTCCTGGACCTGCCACTGAGAGCCCTTCAATGTGACCCAGCCAGCCTTCCCCCCCTCCCCTTCCTGTTCCTCTTCTCATGAGCATCTCTTCCTGTCACCCAGTGCTACAAGGGGAGGGAAACATTCCCAGAGATGCCTTCACCTGCTGGTCCTGAGAGGGCACCAGGGAAGATACCTCCAACATAACCAGGTCTTGGTTACCCCCCACCCCACAGGGTTGACCTCTTCTGCAGGCTGGTACTCAGGGTGCCACCTGCTTCAGTGACACTTAAATACTTAAATGAACATAGATGCTAGAAGCCACTCTGAAGTTGAGGAGGGCCTGCCTCATACACCAGAGACTTATAATATTGCCTCCTAAGAAACCTATTTTCCAGTCTTTTGAGAAGAAGATGCATGTGCATCATGATGACTTTGGTGGAGAATAACTTTTGATAAAGAGGACTCCTTTTGTTCTGTGGTTTGGCCTTGCTGGAGTAGTGTTGGTCATATGAAGAGCTTGGGACTCAGAGTCAGGTGGTGCTGCACAAACCTGAGTGAGTGTGCACTTCATTGAGTGTGTCTGTGGACACATCAGTTAACCTCTTTGAGTCTTATTTTTTTCCTACCAGATTAGAGAACAATATCCACTTCACAGGGTTATATGTAGACTTGCTTTTAGTTAGTTGTAAAATTGTCAGCTTATATTCAACGTCAATATAAGAAATAGCTTTTGAAATGTGTATTTGAAACTCTATTTATGGATGTTGTGGAGGGAGTTGTTTTGTCCATCATGTATGGTTCCTCTCCACTGGAGAAATGCTTATTTGGCCTTTATACCAGGAATAGCTTCACATCTCTTGCTGTGCTTTAATCTTATGGATTTGGTAATTTGCATAACTGACTGGTTTTCTTTGTTTGAACTAGCTGCTAGAAAGCCTAGAGCCAAGTGTGCGGTTCATCAGTATCAAGTGTGCATGTCATTATGTTATACATTTTTGGCCTCATACATGGATCAGTTTACACCGTTGCAATTTTTAAAAAAATTGCTCTCACTTTTTATTTATTGTATTTTGTGTAGTTAAGTATTCCTCTAAGCTGCTTTTATCTTTCTGAAATGAGATAGGATAAAATAAAAATAAATTTGTTACCAAATAAATGAGCAAATACATTTAAAGCAGTTTTCACAGTGCCTGGCCAACAGTGAATTATATACCACAATGGTTAGTTTTAATCTTCCTTGTAAATGAGCCTAATTATCCTCTGTGGATCCCAATTTGCCCCTCATGGATTATATTATAAAGGGTGCGGTAAGGTGATTCTCACAAGGACAAGTTTCCCAACCTGGAAAGGTGTTACTGCATTAGGTCATAGCAGGTAGAACTCTAAAACAAGCTGAGAGCCCAAATGGCCAATCTCTGCATGGAATTTCCTATAAATATGCCCAGCCTAAACCAAACGTAATTTAAGTGATTTTAATCTTTACACAAGCCTCTCAAAACACATTAAAGGAGAACTTGTTCTTATCTGCCAGCTATACATCATAAAATCTTGTTTCTTCTCCTTTCTAATTCTCTTTGAATCACTACTTCCCAACATGTCTACTGACATCCCCCCTTGTGCCCTGCATCTCCCAGCTCTTTCTTATGTAGACTGACCTAGCTTCTCTGGTTAGTCTCCCTGTTTTCTCACACCTCTCTGGACTTCTTACCCATTCTCTGATTCTGTATCATAAAAGATTTACGAATGGGCTGACAAAGATAATTCTACTTGTGGGTGGATTGGGGCATTTTCACATGCTAATAAATCTTTGCTGTCATCTAGGAACTAAAGGGCGATGAATGCTGTGTGGTAGAAGAGGAGAGAACTCTGGCATGTGGCTTTATGTCAGGAGTACACACTTGAGCTATGGGATTTGGAAAGAGGCATGTTGGGGCAAAGATGACAGAACTTTGTTCTTCTGGTCCTGCCTCTATCCAGGCTTCCCTTGCCCCAGGATAGGGGACTTTATGGAGAAGGTAACCTGGAAGTGGAGTCACGATGCGTTTGTACTGAATAGGGCTGAAGGGATTGGTGCAAAGTTAGGGGATAATGACGGAGCGAATGATCCATCCTACTCTTGGCTTCCTGTGGACTGTGTGGGAATGGCCATGCAGACTTGTCTGCCCTCTGGGTAGAGGAAGGAGGAAAGAAACAGTCTCAGATTCATTAGACACAATTTCCTGATGAAAATGGAAGTATCCATATACTACTTGTTTTTTTGGTTTGAGAAATCCAGTAAATATTAGGTTGATGCAAAGGTAATTGCGATTGTTGCCATTACTTTTAATGCCATTACTTTTAACGGCAAAAACCGCAATTAACTTTGCACCAACCTAATAGTATGTCAATGTATTGCAAACCTATATACTTATGTGTGTTACATCAACTTTAGGATCCCTGATCAAGTCTTTGGTGTAAGGATCACACTTGAGGCTGGGCTTGGTGGCTCATGCCTGTAATCCCAGCACTTTGGGAGGCCAAGGTGGGCGGATCACTTGAGGCCAGGAGTTTGAGACCAGCCTGACCAACATGGTGAAACCCCGTCTCTACTAAAAATACAAAAAAATTAGCTGGGCATGGTGGCTAACACCTGTAATCCCAGCTGCTTGGTATGCTGAGGCAGGAGAATTGCTTGAACCCAGGCAGCAGAGGTTGCAGTAAGCCAAGATGGTGCCACTGCACTCCAGCTTGGGTGACGGAGTGAGTGAGACTCCATCTCAAAAAAAAAAAAAAAAAAGGGATTACACTTGAACAGAAATAGAACCAGAGACAGGCCAAATCAGAAGATAGAGCCACAAAATTATTGACCCAGTACCACAGGATTAATTGATATAATTGCTTTGAGGCCAGGTGTGGGGGATCATCCCAGCACTTTTTGAGGCCAGGGCAGGACCGCTTGAGGCAAGGTGTTCAAGACCAGCCTGGGCAACACAGCAAGACCTTGTCTCTGACAAAAACATAAAAAATTAGCTGGGCATAGTGGTGCCTGCGTGTAGTCTTAGCTACTTAGGAGGCTAAGGTGGGAGAATTGCTTGAGCCCGGAAGGTTGAGGCTGAAGTAAGCCATGATTGTGTCACTGTCTTCCAGCCTGGGCAACAGAGTGAGACCCCATCTCTAAAAATAAATAAATAAATAAATAAATAACAAAATAAAAAATTAGCCAGATGTGGTAGTGGGTGGCCTGTAGTCCCAGCTACTTGGGGGACTCAAGTAGGAGGATCTCTTCAGCCCAAGAGTTTGAGGCTGCAGTGGGCTATGATTGTACCACTGCATACCAGCCAGGGTGACAGAGTGAGACCCTAATTCTAAAACAACAACAACAACAAAAATTTTGAATTGAATGGATGGGTTTTGCCCTCTCATTTTAGATCCCATTCTTTTTTTCACTGAATATTTATTGAGTGCCTATTATTTGCCAGTTCTGCTAAGTGCTGAGGACATTAAGATGATAAGGCACTGGCCCTTTCCTTGTAGGAGCTATCATGTAGATAGTAAGGGAGACAGACATTGTGAAAAAGGATAATTAGACCACAATATCTTCCATGCCATCATTGAGGTATGAAGAGAATGCAGTGCGACCCAGAAGATGGAGTGACTGACTTGTCCTAGGAAAGTCAGGGAAGGAGGGAACCCTGGGGCTGGGATTTAAGCATAAGGAGTTTACTCATTTGCTGAAGTTTTGTTTCCCAGATTTTAGTTTGATCACACTACCTCATAAATGTTAGAAAACATCTTCTGGCCAAATATGGTCTCAGCATTTGTTCTTTTGGTTCTGCAATTAGTGACAGACCATAGTACCATAGTAGCATCTCTGGAATGTTCTTCTGAGCCGAAGAATTTAAAAGATGTCATACATAATCAGAGATAAACTGCATTCTTGAGGCTTAGCAGATAAATGCTCCAATTTGTTAAGAAGTTTTATGGGAGACTTTCATTTTGGCCACCCAGTATTTACTTCCTGTGGCAATAACGCCATGTTAAACAAATTATGAATGGGAAAGATGATCATTCTGAAATGGGAATGTAGAAGCTCTAGGTCTGGGCCAGATGGATAGAAGCTGCTGTCACTTGGTGTTGGGAATGATTTGGACTCTGCACACACAGTTGGGATTCCCTTCAAGGTTATTGGACTACCTTAGACCAGAGGTTTGGCTTGATGGTTATGTCACCATCACCAGCGGGAAGGGCAGCATGGTGGCACCGTCTCTCAGTGGCCTTCCCGACGCCTCCAATGCGATTTCTGTTCATCTTTAAAGAAATAAAGTCTGATTTAGAGCTTTGTATTTCTTTCTTAGTGTTCGTTATAAAAGTGACCATTAAATATGAGGTTTTAGTGACTAAAACAGTTGGAGGCTACAGCTGGGCTGACAGCTTTAGTGGAGAGTTTATTTTCTTTCTTTTTTTCCCTCCTGCCTGGCTTCAGCTTTAAATTAGATTGTAATAATCATAACAAAGCTTCTCCCTGCCCTTAGTTGAAAGCACATTGCAGACCTGAACTCTTTCTGAGACTTTATTTATGACGGAATCCCACACCATTTTAGAGCTTTCATCTTCCATGTGCTCAGCATTTTATGGGTCTCCGTTTTCTGTAGCATTTCTGAAACCATGGTTCAAAACAATGTCAATTCCCTCAGGCACCAGAAAGATCTAGGAAGAGTGTGTCCCGCTCTCCTCATTGTTTGCATAGATGTGTTGACACTGTCATTGTGTTAACTCTGGAATACACAGTAAAGTGGGTTAGTTAAGGCTTTAACTAACTTTGACTAGTATGGCTTTGCAGCCTTATTTCCTGGGTATATTCCCAACTTAGGTACTTATTAGCTGTGTGACCTTAGATACCTTAGCAAACGTTTCTGTATTACATCTTCCTAGTTGTGAAGAGAGAACAATGGTAGCACTGACCTCCAAGAGTGGTTGCGAGGATTAAACGAGTACTTTCAGCACTTGGAAGAATTCTTTGCAGCAGTAAGTGCTTAACAAATGTGAGTTGTTGGTATTATCCCAGAAGTTCATGAATTGATGAAACTGGATGGTCGAGTAGTCATAAAATAATCCTCCTTTACTTGGTCTGCTTGTTTGTGCTTGCTAATGGTATGGTTAGAAGATTTTAAAGGTTAGACAACCACAGTCAATTGGTGGCTACACTGAATTATCATTTCCTGGAGACAGCAGGAGGCAGTGTAGTTTAGCTGTTAAGAGCATTGGGTTTGGAGTCAGAAAGCCTAGTCGAGCATCAGTTCTGTTTCTTACATGGCCTCTTAGTGGCTCAGTTCCCTCATCTGTAAAATGGAGCTAATTCCTCACAAGACCTTTTGCAAGAAAAATGTATGTGAATGTCTGGAGCACACATTAAATACTCAAAAAAGTTGTTGTGGGTGAGGGGAGGAGTGAGGGGAAGAGAGATTGATTTAAGGTCAGATCTGTTTGTTTATCATGAGTTCCCTGGTAACAAGCAATGGAGATGGGAGTTTGCTCAGAGCCGTCAGCATCCAGCTGTGAAAGGGAAACACTCAGGCTCTTTTAACTTTGAGAATGTTGACATAAATTACAAAACCAAGAAGGACAAATGGCAATTTGCTGCTGTCAGTATTATAAACATCAGTGTGAGGGTGGACAGTTTAGCTCAGATGAGTCATTCCGGGTCTGTCCTGTCTTGTCCAGAAGCTTCACTTGCATAAGATGGGGTACCATTGGCAGAGGAAAGAAGCAAGCTAAGGACCCAGTCTGTCTTCTTACTGCTGGAAATAGTGGCAGTGGCTGGGCTGTCCCAGGGTTTATTCACTGTTACAAGGTTCTGAAACTTTAGGGGGTATAAAACTCAAGTGGGGAACTTGTTAAAAGGGCACCTTCCAAAGCCTTATTCACAAACATTTCAATTCAGTAGGTTGTTGGTAGGGCCCAGGAATCTGCTTGTTTTCTGGCTCTCTAGGTACTTCTAACACAGGTGCTTAGAAACTACACTTTGAAAAAGACAATTCCAGTGAGATTGGGCAGAGTAAAGTTTCCGTGTAGGAGGAGCTGCCTCTGCCAGGCTTTTCCCCAGCATTATGGTTTGCTTCTAAAAAGGAAGCAAACAACCAGAAAACAAAAAAGCCAAATTTGCTTTATTTTGAGTCAAAGCACCACTTAATAACTTGTGTCAATTGTTTCTCACAACACTGCATGAAAGACTTAATATTAATTCCATTTGACATTAGAGGAGTCGGGGACTTTTGGTGCAAGCATGAATTAGAGGCAAACATTGCACAGGTTCTTCAGTTTGTCTCCAGCCATCTGGGTATTGCTAAACACATCTGTTTCTTCTCTTGGAGAGGATGCCCCAGTGTTGTCACATGATTTAAATTATGGCAAGAGTGGAGGTTCCGTTTGTCCACTTCCCTGGTTTGCAGGGATGGCTCGGGGGAGCCTTGCTTTGCCGTGACTGGCATTCATCCAGGGCCCGGGCATTTAACTCTGAATTTTGATTTGGGCATTTGCCTGGTGTGATATTCTGCCAGGGCCTTCCCAGTCTGTTCTCTGCTGTTTTGCTCCTGAAGATTTATGGCTAATGAAGGGATAAAGAAAGGTCGTGGCGAGAGGCGGCAGCATGTGGTGGTGACTCATGGTCTGGGCCTGGTGTGGAGCCAGTTTGGGTGGAACGCTCCACTGGCTGCTGTGCCTGTTTTCACGTGGCTCTTTGCCACAGCCCTGCAGGAGGCAGTTTCTTGCCTGTCTCTGGTCAGAGAGGCCTGGTGATTCTGCCTGTCTCCTGCTGTTATGGACTCAGGTCAGGGCACTAAAGCCTGGCGGCCTTTTGACAAACAGTCTCACAAATGGGAGCTCAGGAGACAGTGGGATGGGCCGGTCCTGGGAAGGGCTCCAAAGCCACTCCAACGTGGGGGACACAGTAGCAGCATGGGCCGAAGGAAGTCAAGTGAAGCTACTAGCAGGACAGGGTTTCTCAGCCTTGGCACTGTTGACATTTTGGACAAGATAATTCTTTATTGCGGGGCTGCACTGTGCATTGTAGGATGGTGAGTGGCATCCCTGGCCCCTACTCACTAGAGGTTAGTAGCCCCACAGCCCCTCTCAGTTAATGCAACCAGCAAAATCACCCCTGGTTGAGAACCACTGTGGTAGGTTGGGTTCCAGGCATGTGGCCAGGGTTAAGAAGATCCATCCACCATCCTGTTTTTATTGAGTACTTACCACGTGGCAGGCATTCTTTGCATTCATTATCTCATTTAATCCCCATAACAACCCTAAGATGAAGGAACTCTATTGCTCCCATTTTCTGGATAAGAAAACTGAAGTTTATAAAAGTAACTTGCCCAAGGTCACATAGTGTGGGGCTCATATATGTGTCAGATGCCCTTTCCTCACCCTGTGGCCATATGTAATGAAGCCATAATATGGAAGCCTGGGAGAAAAGCTGCAATGCGTGACAACAGCTGGCATGTAGTGTAAGGGGGTGCTGCCTGTTGAGCTCCAGGGCTGAGATTGAGGAGTCTAATTACAAACCCTGTGGAGATAGTTAAGGGCTTACATGAACTTGAATACCAGGTGGATGATTCAGATAGAGATGGAGCTACTGGAAATGCCATGTAGGTTGGGGGTTGGTTGCAGGTAAACTTTTACCTATGCCCAACTGTTGTCCCTCACTTGTTCATGACACTGGATCCCCTGAGATATGACTCCTGATGTGAGCCCAAATGTGCTTTTTCCACTTCAAATACTGCTCATTGGACTGGGGTCTCTCACCCCAACCTCCATTCCTCCTTAGGGACCAGCCCTTCTCTTGCCTGAATCTTAGCTTCTTCCACTGACACCACGCTGCCTTGGGTTGGGACATGCCTGAGCTATGACATGTACATTGAAATGACTAGACAACACGAGGTTGCTCGTCACCTCTGGCACAGTAAAGACCCTGGGACATGACAACTGAAGCTGGTGTGATCTCCAGTGCATGTAAAATACTTGTAGTTTATAGGAACTGATGATTCTGAATTGAATGCCAATCCTTGGGAAGGTTTTTAAAAGGAAAGATCAGAGTTTCTGATATTGTGGTTTCCTCAATATCAAAGGCACCAGGTGGAGGTGAGAAAGATGTTACCTGAAATCCAGGTGAGCCTCTTCAATGGGCTTTTTAAGGATGTTTTCCCATTAGTGGGGCAGGACAGGTTTTGGAGTGCATGATTACTTTGTAGTCTGGCTGATATCTAGAACCAAATGGGCTTCAATTTGGAAAATGACATTCACAGATAGCATTAGCTTGAATTACATGGATTTCTCCTCTATTTACACCCAATTAATTAGCACTTAAACACATGTGCAATGTGAATACTGGGAATACCTTTGCAAAAAGGAAAATTCTGACTGAGTTGCAAAGCCTGCTTGGGACCTGCAATTGTTTGGGGGGTCCTACTGCTCATGGACCTGATAGACGCTGATGTCCCACAGAGCCTTCTCAGTGTGACATTTTGCTCAGCACAGTCACTATGCAGGTTTTAGCATTTCTGCAAGACTGTGAAATAATCTCTGTGATTCCCCTGTGTTCTTAATCCCTTTTGCTCTTCTGTGGTGGTCTTGCCCTTTCTCAAGAATATTATCGTTGGTACTTGTTGGTTCAAGGGGGTGTCATTTGAAGGAACATCATATAATATAGCAAGACTGCTCTCTGGAAATTTTTTGCTTTTGCTCACTCTGTTTTTATTCTTATTTTGAATACTAGAAAAATAATATATGTTTATGGAAGATGAATTAGAAAATACAAATAATCAACAAAGAAAAAAGAGGAAAAAATTACCTTGTAATCATGCAACCCAGATATAGCCATTATTAACATTTTGGTTATGTCCTTGTGTTTTTGTTTCACTTTTAACAAAAGGAGAGGATAGAAGAAATTATCAGAACACATGTGGCATTTTTTTAGTAGAATTTTAAAAAATGCTTCAAAAAACCTTTTGATTTATTGGCAAATAGGTCCTGATGACTGTCAATGATGTACACAGTTTTGGAAATATACTAAGAAATGCCATATTAGTCTCCTTGCTGATAAAGGGTATATCTATAAGAGAAGTGTGTGTGTGTGTGTGTGTGTGTGTGTGTGTGTGTGTGTGTGTGTATGTAAATGAACTCTCTGTGGCTCCTGAAAAAGAAATTCTGTTCTGGATTTGTTGACTCACTGCCAAGCTCTGCTGCAGGCAGGGAGCAGATTCTAAGTTATTCAAGCCAAATATTTTCGCCCTCATGGTTTATTGGCTACTGTGACAGACTTCTCCTCACACCTCACCTCCTCACTGGCACGTGGACATATCAGGCATTTTGTTCATTTTGCTTCTCGATCTCTCCCTATTTCTTTCAATTACTCCTTAGCATTTCTTGAATTTATACGAGTACCACCCCAACTCGCTAATACACGTTAGAAATACCCAGACACTTCCTTCTTGAGGTCGCTGCAGGAATCCACCGTCTCCCTCTAAGACTTTGTTCATGTGTGAGCCTCCTTAGGGCTCCTAAGCTGTTATGAGGGAGCAGCTCCTCTCAGGGAGGGAGCACCACTCACCTTCATTCATTCACAGTCACTCAGAATAACACTGTTTCCTTTCCATGCCCAACATGAGATCAGGGTGTATGACTGAACTCAAGGTTCATCACACCCTTAGGGGGACAGGCTTGGGGGGATGAGAGAGAGAGAGGAACTGTGCTGCTTCAGTGAAGAACTCCTCACTCTCCTGGGTAAAAGAGAATTTTGTACAGGCTGTCATGACCAGTAAGCTATTGCTGAGAAGATGCATCCTAGGATGATAGTTTTAAAAAGTTAAAAAAAGAAATGTTTAGCTCCAGTTGGCAAAAAAAACTAGACACAGGAAAAGATAGTGTAGCCTGCTTTAAAGGATCACAAAGTATGAAGGAGACTGGATGGGTAAGGGCTTTATATGAAGAGCTTGCTTTCCAGCTCCATGGTGTTTCCCTCCTTCTGCTTTCAGTGTTTTTGGTGTGTTGTTTGAAATGTTTGGAAAAGATCCTAAGTCAAAATGAGGCTAACGGTAATTGCTTTCTAAGTTCCAAGCGCTGTTGTAAGCACTGATCATGTAGTCACTAATTTAAACCCTACAACAACCTCAGGGGAGGATCCATCGCCACTGTTTTACAGACGTGAAAACGTAGTACAGGCTTTAAGAAACCTACCCAAGGTCATACAGCTGGTAAGCTGCAGAGCCAGGATTCAGGCCAGGAAACCACACTCTCTGCTCTGCCTCCTCTTGCAATGAAAGTGGCCATAGGACTCTGAGTTCTAGTCAGAGCTCTGCTAATAATTTGCTGTGTTATATCTTTGGGCCTCAGTTTCATCATTTGGCTAAAAAATTATACAATCCTATAGATATGTTTATGCTATTCCCCTCCCCACTCCTACAAATCTTGAATACATCTAGAGAGATAAATGCAATTTGCCTCAAATGAAATTCAGATTGAATTTTGCATCTTGCTCCTTCCTCTTTTGGTCTTGATTCCACTTTCTCTGCAGGAGAGAATTGCTGTACTGCAGTCCAGTCACTGTTATAAGCAGAGACAGTTTCCTTGGAGCAGCTGACCTCATTGGGCCAGTCCTATTTAGTAATAAAGAGGGGTTTGTTATAGCTTTCCCATGAAAAGATTTAAGAGGAGCAATTCAGAGAAATGGAAACATTCTTAATTAGCAAGCACATCATCTCAAGTTTCCAAGATTTTTTAATCCATAGAGCAGAGACATGTTTAAAAGGAGAGACAATATGGTTTGAAGGACTAAGCACCAAACTGACCGAGGGAAATGCCTTTATCCTACTGATTTGCCACATGTTCCCAACAAGTCATTTGGCCATTTAGGCTTCTGTTTCCTTGGTGAGGTTGCTATGGTAAGGCCTGAAGAATCACCTGTAAAACTCGCTGCAAATATTGACTTCTGATGATCTTGTTCAACCTTGGGAGGTAAGGTTTCTCAGCATCTCATCTGTTTGTATGTCTCCTGGAAGCCTTGCAACCCTGACCCTACTGATAGAGCCCAGCTGTTGTCTCTTACCTGTTCATGACACCCACCTTCCTTGTTAACTGTCTGATGATAGGCTCAACGGAGACTGAGGTGTTTGTAACAAGGGTGATAGCAAACATGGAGCATGGTACTATTGTGGTGACTTTGTACTGACTCATCATCATCAATAAAATAACTTACTTCGTGAGGAACTCTGCACATATTTCCTAACATCTAGTTCTGTTCTAGGGGTTATCTTAAACTTGGGACCAACTTTCTAATTTTTTATCTCTCAGGGTGAAATGCATCCCTTTCTTCTTTATCCCATGCATAGGTAAACATTACCCATAGTCATGTTCTAGCTTTTAGAAAAAAAAAAAATTCTAGTCTGAATTTTCTCTCCCATTCTTTAACAGTATCTTTGTTTTCTGGCTTTTGCTCCGATATTCCACAATTCACTCTTGTCTCTGCTTCTGACCTTTACTGGTGCTGCCTCAAGACTCAGCTTCCATTAAATGAGATCATTTGTTCTATATTTAACTGAATATTAAAAAGACAATGGGCCTAGGAGGAGAACAAAACTTTGCCCTAATATCGGAGAAGCTGAGCACAAATATGGTGCTCAGGTGGAGGGGTAGGGGATGATGCCAGAATGGAAGATCGGAATCAGATTGCAAAAAGTCCCCTATGTCACATTGAGAAGTTTCAATTTTAAGTTTAAAACAACAAGAAATTCATAGAAAACATATATATGTGTATTCACATGAGATCAGATCTCTTGTTTAAAGAGGTTCAGTTCGTAGTTCAACAGAAATGTTTGATAAGCACCAATTTTGTGTCAGGGTCTATGGTAGGTGCTTAGGATACAAAGATGGGTAAAACATGCTCTTACTCTCAAGGAGGAGATGGAACTACAACATGACAAATAATAGTACAGGAGGAGTCAAGATTAATTTCTCAGTCTTTATGCTAACAGAAGTTTTTAGGCAGAAGAAGGACAATGTTTAAAAGTTAAATAAAAATAGCTCTGCTGGCTGGGCACAGTGGCTCACACCTGTAACCTCAGCATTTTGGGAGGCCAAGGCGGGAAGATCACATGAGCCCAGGAATTTGAGACCAGCCTGGGCAACATAGTGAGACCCTATCCTTATATTATTAAAATGATAATTTTTAAAAAAGTTCTGTTGTCAGTGTGGAGGGTAAACTAGACAGTAGAAACAGGGAAAGTGTTGAATGTAAATTTCCATTCAGTGTTAGTTGTCTTCATTATAATAATGATTATCGTCAACTTTTGTCCTTTTCACATGTGAAATCACACTTTGGGGACTCTTACCTAATACATTTCTTTCTAAAATTTAGTAACTGGCACCCATTTGGACAGATAAAACACAATGATGGTACCAAGACAGCAAGACAGTTGGTGAAGGCCAGATTTGCTTTACATACCAAGAGTTCTTGCCTGTTTCCAAATGTTTTGGGTGGATGTAGTTTCTTTGGAAATTGTCCAGCTAAGGCTTCTTATGAATAAAAAATGTTGCTCTAATTAAAATCATTCAGGCCCAAGTTACATTTTTCCAATAATTCACTTGTGATTTATAATTGGAGATATATACAATATCAAATTACCTAAGTGGGGAGGGGGAGGGAGGAAAAGAAAACTAAGCTCTGTTGTAAGAATCAGTTCAGAATATTGCTGACTTCATAAACGAAACCACTCAGGCTTTCTCCCAGGCAGCAGTTGATATATTTATAGCCTTGTAATTTGGTTACTTATCACTTAGCTTATAAGTGAGTCACCCATGAAATACATGCACAGAGACCAAACGTGCTAATTACAAAGGTAGAGTGTAGATGGGAGGGCCCTGTTAGGACCCCTGTTTAATAGCAGTGGCAAACTGTTGGGAAAGGATCATTTATCATGAAATGACATGAAGGCTCAAATGGCAGAGCTTTCGAGTCTGGCTTTAAAGAGCTATTCAGCTTTGCTCCTGTCAAGTGGGACTCCTTGTCTCATCATCACTGCCTTCCAGTTTGATATGCTGTGTTTGTTTCACGGAGGGGTGATGGGCGGGCAGCAGGGAGGGAGAGCGGTGGGAAGGATGGTAAGGGAGGCTCAGGGCAGGGAATAGCTGAGCTATTTGAGAGGAAGTGTTTGTGTTAACTTACTTTTTACTTCAGAAGTGACATTCTGACAGAGCTGTCAGAAATTACATTTATTTATTTTAAAATTTCCACATTATTTTTTTCCTGAAATGATTTCCCATTCCAGACTCTACCTGGTGAAATCTTGTTCATCTCTCAAAACTCATTTCAAAACCGACTTCCTCCATGGGAACTCAAAGGCCTTAAATTTTCTTTCAAGCATATCCTAGCATATTAAATTTAAATGGAAGGTGCTACTTTTAGGTGTAAGAAAAATTTCAAGTTATCAGCCAACACATTGTCCTATATCAAACAAAGGTATATTTAAGCTTATTTCATCAATTATTTCCAAAGCTTTCTTTTGTGACTAAAATTGTGGCTTCACCTAGCATTAAGAAGAATGAATTAGGCGGGGCATAGTGGCTCACGCCTGTAATCCCAGCACTTTGGGAGGCCGAAGTGGGTGGATCACCTGAGGTCAGGAGTTCAAGACCAGCCTGGCCAACATGGCAAAAACTGCATCTCTACTAAAAATACAAAAATTAGCCTGTAATCCCAACTACTTGGGAGTCTGAGGCAGGAGAATCGCTTGAACCCAGGGGGTGGAGGTTACAGTGAGCCGAGATCACACTACTGCACTCCAGCCTGGGTAACAGAGTGATAATCCATCTCAAAAAAACAAACAAACAGACAAACCAACTAACCCGAAAAAAACCCAAGAAGAATGAATCAGTTACTTTCAGGACCAATGGCATTCTTTCATTCTTTCCTCCCCCTATCCTTGTCCTTAAAAACAAAAAACAAAAAACAAAAAAAAAACAGATATTGGGAAATTTTCTTAAGCAAAGTTATGTATTCAAAAACCAGCTAGACCTGGAAAATTAATTCACTCTGCTCTGAATTTGGATGCACTCTTTTATCTCTCGACTTAACTCTCTGAGTGGTCCATTTTATCTATGGAAATCTAGTTTCAAGATGTTCTGGCAGCAAAGAAACTCAAAGCCAGATTAATTGCTAAATTACAAACACGAAGCCACAGTATTTAAAAGCAAGCTTCACACAAAATAATGTTTTCATGTTATTTAAAAGATATACTCCAAGTCTCCGTTTGGAGATTGGATGGTTTAATAGATCCTAACATGTACAGAGGGAAAACTACCCATCAGTACTTGGATACTCTTGTGAAGCTAGAGTCATATCTGGGCACAGGGAGGATGAAGTCTCTGTGGCCAGTGCTGAGCGTGGTTGCTGGCAGGTTTTGGTAACAGTGATTCAGAGGCTGCTGTTGATCACTGGGAGATATCTAGAATTACCGCCAATGCCTGACTTCAGGGCTCTTGGATTGGAAAGACTCAGGCGCATCCAAAAAACTCACCCCACTGTACCCTCCTCCACCCACATTCCTTCATTGCACAAAAAAAGACATCATTTGAGACTTAGGCTGAAATTGAGATGTCATTTCTTCATTCATTAATTCATTCAAGAGATAGTTCTTAGATGTATATTGTATTCTGAATACTGTGTGAGGTGGAAAAAAAGATCTATTTCAACAAAGCTCCTCTCCTATCCAGGCTAGTGTGGCATGAATTATTCTTGGTGAGCATATAAGGGGTCCTAGAGATAAATAGCAGCTTTTTCTGAACTACTAATGTATCATTTGAAAAATGATTTTTTAAAAAATTTAAGTAATTCATAAACATGGTTTAAAGCATCATGTAGTGTGGAAGGGCTTATACTGAAAATAATCATTATTCTGTCCTACTCCTCCCTTCTCAGAAATCCTCACCTTTAACCATTTCTGCTTTCTTTTGTTGGTAATGCCTGTAACTTTAAAAACATGCTTACTATGAATTCTTGGTTCATTCATTGTAGACACTATTGTAGATGAGAATTTTGCTCATTCTCCACCCCCATCTCTCTTCTCTTTTGTAATATAATATCACTGTTTTTAGTTCTTCTAAAGTTAACTTTTGTAACTCAGAATAATGTACTTAAACTCCTCTTTTTTGTTCAATCAGCTATGAACATAATCTCTTGACCATCCACTTTGTAGGATAAGGATATTCATATTCCTATCCTTTCTGCCACTTTTTAAATGCCTCCTCACCTTCTCTTTTTTCTCAGCTGTAATTTTGCCTTCACTGTGTCAAGTTGATAATATTTACACTTTGTCTGTAACATAATTATTTTCAAAAGTCATATAAAATTATCCATTGTAGAATTTTCTGAGGACTTATGTCAAGCTCAGTGGATCATTATTTCCAGAGTTGGAAAGAGCAACTCTGAAAAATTGGAGCAGTGTTCTGGCCTTTCTTCTACAGATTGTGATTCCTCACAAGGTTATTAATGATGGTCTGAGCTCAAACCTGAAAGTCCTTTTATTTCCTTGCATTAGAAATGTGTCTGGCTTAGAGTTTTGAGTTAAAGTTGCTTGATGATCTTTGCTATTTTCTCACCCAATCTTCTTAGGCAGACCTCATTTTCCTCTTAGTATTTCCATACTTCAGACCATCCTTGGTGGAGAGGAATGTTGCCAAGTCCTTTTACCATCTTCTACCTCTGTTATAGTGATAACACTATAAGACTACCTCTGTTATAATGATAACACTGTGCCATATTCCCCAGAGGTACCCTTCCCTTCCTTATTCATCTTGTCCAAACACATCTTTATTTTTTATTTGCTTATTTAAAAAAATTATCCAAATACTTGTTTTTGATTTTTGAGTTTAGGTTCATGGGGTACATGCACAGGTTCATTACAAGGGTATATTGTGTGATGCTAGGGTTTGGGCTTCTAATGATCTTTTTGCCCAAATAGTGAACATAGTACCTGAGAGGTAGTGTTTCAACCCTTTCCCCCCCCATCTCCCCTTTTGAGTTCCCAGTGTCTATCGTTCCTGTTGTTATGTCTGAGTGTACCCAATGCTTATCTCCCACATATAAATGAGATCATGTGGTATTTGTTTCTCTGCTTATATGTTAATTCACTTAGAATAATGGCCTCCAGCTGCATCCATGTTGCTGCAAAAAACATGATTTCATTCTTTTTATGTCCGTGTAGTAGTCCATGGTTTATATGTACCACATTTTCTTTATCCAATCCACTATCGTTGGGCACCTGGGTTAATTCTGTGTCTTTGCTATTGTGAATAGTGCTGTAATGAACATATGAGTGCAGATGTCTTTTTGGTAGAATGATTAATTTTCCTTTGGGTGCATACCCAGTAATGGGATTGCTTGGTTGAATGGTAATTCTGTTTTTAGTTTTTGAGGAATCTCCAAATGCTTTCCACAGTGGCTGAACAAATTTGCATTCCCACCAACAGTATATAAGTGTTTCCTTTTCTCCATAATCTTGCCAACATCAGTTTTTTTTAAAAAATTTCAATAGGCTTTTGGGGAACAGGTGGTGTTTGATTACATGGATAAATTCTTTTGTGGTGATTTCTGAGATTTTGGTGCATCCATGACCTGAGAGTGTATACTGTACCCCATGTGTAGTCTTTTATCCCTCACCACCCTGCCACACTTCCTCCCGAGTCCCCAAAGTCTGTTGCATCATTCTTATGCCTTTGCATCCTCATAGCTTAGCTCCCACTTATAAGTGAGAACATACAATATTTGGTTTTCCATTCTTGAGTTACTTCACTTATAATAATAATGGTCTCCAATTCCATCCAGGTTGCTGCAAATGCCATTATTTTGTTCCTTTTTATGGCTGAGTAGTATTCCATGGTGTATATATATATCACATTTTCTTCATCTACTCATTGATTGATGGGCATTTAGGTTGGTTCCATATTTTTGCAATTGCAGATTGTGTTGCTATAAACATGCATGTGCAAGTATCTTTTTCATGTAATGACTTCTTTTCCTCTGGGTAGATACCTAGTAGTGGGATTGCTGGATCAAATCATGGATCGTTCTTTAAGCAATCTCCATACCGTTTTCTGTAGTGGTTGTACTAGTTTGCATTCCCATCAGCAGTGTAAAATTGTTCCCTTTTCACCACATCCACACCAATGTCTATTATTTTTTGATTTTTAAACTATTGCCATGCTTAGAGGATTAAGGTGGTATCTCATTTTGGTTTTGATTTGCATTTCCCTGATCATTAGTGATGTTGAGCATTTTTTTGATGTTTGTTGGCCATTTGTATATCCTCTTTTGAGAATGTCTACTCGTGTCCTTAGCCCACTCTTTTATGGGATTATTTGTTTTTCTTGCTGATTTGTATGAGTTCCTTGTAGATTTTGGATGTTAATCCTTTGTCAGATGAATAGTTTGTGAAGATTTTCTCCCACTCTGTGGGTTGTCTGTTTTTTTAAAACAATTTATTATTATTTTATTTTTCCATAAGTTATTGGGGTACAAGTGGTATTTGGTTACATGAGTAAGTTCTTTCGTGGTGATTTGTGAGATTTTGGTGCACCCATCACCTGAGCAGTATACACTGCACCATATTTATAGTCTTTTATCCCTCACCCCCCTCCCACTCTTCCCCCCAAGTCCTCAAAGTCCATTGTGTCGTTCTTATGCCTTTCTGTCCTCATAGCTTAGCATCCACATATCAGTGAGAACATACAATGTTTGGTTTTCCATTCCTAAGTTACTTCACTTAGAATAAGAGTCTTCAGTCTCATCCAGGTCACTGCAAATGCTGTTAATTTATTCCTTTTTATGGTGTAGTATTCCATCGTGTGTGTATGTATATGTGTGTGTGTGTGTGTGTGTGTGTGTATATATATATATATATATATATATATATATCACAGTTTCTTATATATATATCACAGTTTCTTTATCCCCTTGTTGATTGACAAGGATTTGGGTTGGTTCCACGAATTTGCAATTGTGAATTGTGTTGCTATAAACATGCGTGTGCAAGTATCTTTTTGGAGTAATGGCTTCTTTTCCTCTAGGTAGATACCTAGTAGTGGGACTGCTGGATCAAATGGTAGTTCTACTTTTAGTTCTTTAAGGAATCTCCACACTGTTTTCCATAGTGGCTGTACTAGCTTACATTCCCACCAGCCCTGTAGAAATGTTCCCTGATCACCACATCCATGCCAGCATCTACTGTTTTTTGATTAGTTTATTATGGCCATTCTTGCAGGAGTAAGGTGGTATTGCATTGTGGGTTTGATTTGCATTTCCCTGATCATTAGTGATGTTGAGCATTTTTTCATATGTTTGTTGGCCATTTGTATATCTTATTTTGATAATTATCTATTCATGTCCTTAGCCCACTTTTTGATGGGGTTGCTTGTTTTTCTCTTACTGATTTGTTTGAGTTCATTGTAGATTCTGGAGATTAGTCCTTTGTCAGGTGTATAGATTGTGAAAAATTTTTCCCACCCTGTGGGTTGTCTGTTTACTCTGCTGACTGTTCCTTTTGCTCTGCAAAGCTCTTTAGTTTAATTAGGTGCCATCTATTTACCTTTGTTTTTATTGCATTTGCTTTTGGGTTCTTGGTCATGAAATCCTTGCCTAAGCCAATGTCTAGAAGGGTTTTTCCAATGTTATCTTCTAGAATTTTTATAGTTTCAGGTCTTAAGTTTAAGTCCTTAATTCATCTTGTGTTGACTTTTGTATAAGGTGAGAGATGAGGATCCAGTTTCATTCTCCTACATGTGGCTAGCCAATTATCCCAGCATCATTTGTTGCAAAGGGTGTCCTTTCCCCACTTTATGTTTTTGTTTGCTTTGTCGAAGATCAGTTAGCTATAAGTATTTGGGTTTATTTCTGGGTTCTGTATTCTGTTCCATTGGTCTATGTGCCTATTTTAATACCAGTACCACACTGTTTTGGTGACTATGGCCTTATAGTGTAGTTTGAAATTAGGTAGTGTGATGTCTCCAAATTTGTTCTTTTTGCTTAGTCTTGCTTTGGCTATGTGGGATCTTTTTTGGTTCCGTATGAATTTTAGAATTGTTTTTTCTAATTCTGTGAAGAATGATGGTGGTATTTTGATGGGGATCGTGTTGAATTTGTAGATTGCTTTTGGCAGTATGGTCATTTTCACAACATTGATTCTACCCATCCATGAGCATGGGATGTGTATCCATTTGTTTGTGTTGTCTATGATTTGTTTCAGCAGTGTTTTGTAGTTTTCCTTGTAGAGGTCTTTCGACTCCTTGGTTAGGTATATTCCTAAGTTTTTTTTTTTTTCCAGCTATTGTAAAAGTGGTTGAGTTCTTGATTTGATTCTCTGCTTGGTCACTGTTGCTGTATAGAAGAACTACCAATTTGTGTATATTAATCTTGTATCTGGAAACTTTGCTGAATTCTTTTATCAGTTCTAGGAGCTTTCTGGAGGAGTCTTTAGGGTTTTCAAGGTAAATGAGCATATTGTCCTCAAACAGTGACAGTTTGACTTCCTCTTTACCTATTTGCCCTAAATTTTTCTCTTTCTGATTGCTTTTCCTAGGACTTCCAGTACTATGTTGAAGAGGAGTGGTTAGAGCGGGCATCCTTGTCTTGTTCCAGTTCTTAGAGGGAATGCTTTCAACTTTTCCCCATTCAGTATTATGTTGGCTGTGGGTTTGTCATAGATGGCTTTTGTTGCATTAAGGTATGTCCCTTGTATTATGCTGATTTTGCTGAGAGTTTTAATCATAATGGATATTGGATTTTGTTGAATGCTTTTTCTGCATCTATTGAGATGATCATGTGATTTTTGTTTTTAATTCTGCTTATGTGGTGTATCCCATTTATTGACTTGCATATGTTAAACCATCCCTGCATCCCTTGTATGAAACCCACTTGATCATGGTGGATTATCTTTTTGATATGTTGCTGGATTTGGTTAGCTAGTATTTTGTTAAGGATTTTAACATCTATGTTTATCAGGGATATCAGCCTGTAGTTTTCTTTTTTTGTTATGTCCTTTCCTGGTTTTGGTATTAGGGTGATGCTGGCTTCATATAATGAATTAGGGAGGGTTCCTTCTTTCTCTATCTTGTGGAATAGTGTCAAAAGGATTGGTGCCAATTCTTCTTTGAATGTCTGGTAGAATTCTGCTGTGAATCCCTCTGGTCCTGGACTTTTCTTTGCTGGTAATTTTTAAATTACCATTTCAATCTTGCAGCTTGTTATTGGTCTGTTCAGGGCATCTAATTCTTCCCAATTTAAGCTAGTAGGGTTGTATTTTTCCAGGAATTTATCCATCTCTTCTAGATTTTCTAGTTTATGTGAGTAAAGGTATTCATAGTAGCCTCGAATGATCTTTTTATTTCAGTGGTGTCAGCTGTTTCATTTATTAGTGAGGTTATTTGGATTTTCTCTCTTCTTTTCTTGGTTAATCTTGCTAATGGTCTATCAATTTTATTTATCTTTTCAAAGAACCAGGTTTTTGTTTAGTTATCTTCTGTATTTTTTTTTGTTTCAATTTCATTTAGTTCTGCTCTGGTCTTGGTTATTTCCTTTCTTCTGCTGGGTTTGTGTTAGATTTGTTCTTGTTCCTCTAATTCCTTGATGTGTAACCTTAGAATGTCAGCATGTGCTCTTTCAGTCTTTTTGATGTAGGCGTTTAGGACTATGAACTTTTCTCTTAACACCACCTTTGCTGTATCCCAGAGGTTTTGTAGATTGTGTCATTATTGTCATTCAGTTCAAAGAATTTTTAATTTCCATCTTGATTTCATTTTTGACCCAGTGCTCATTCAGGAGAAGGTTATTTAATTTTCATGTATTTGCATGGTTTTGAAGGTTCCTTTTGGAGTTGATTCCCAGTTTTATTCCACTGTGGTCTGAGAGAGTGCTTGATGTAATTTCAGTTTTCTTAAATTTATTGAGGCTCATTTTATGGCCTACCATATGGTCTATCTTGGAGAACGTTCCATGCGCTGTTGAATAGAATGTGTATTCTGCAGTTGTTGGATGAAATGTTCTGTATATATCTGTTAAGTCCATTTGTTCCAAGGCATAGTTTAAATCCATTGTTTCTTTGTTGACTTTCTGTCTTGATGACCTGTCTGGTGCTGTCAGTAGAGTATTGAAGTTCCCCACTATTATTGTGTTGCTGTCTATCTCATTTTTTAGTGATTGTTTTATAAATTTGGGAGCTCCAGTGTTAGGTGCATATATGTTTAAGATTGTGATGTTTTCCTGTGGGACAAGGCCTTTTACCGTTATATACACTTTTAACTGCTCTTGCTTTAAAGTTTGTTTTGTCTGATACAAGAATAGTTACCCCTGCTCACTTTTGGTGTCCATTCACATGAAATGCCTTTTTCCAACCCCTTTACTTTAAGTTTATGTGAGTCCTTATGTGTTGGGTGAGTCACCTGAGGCAGCAGATAGTTGGTTGGTGAATTCTTATCCATTCTGTGGTTCTGCATCTTTTAAGTGGAGCATTTAGGCGGTTACATTCAATGTTAGTATTGAAATGTGAGGTACCATTGCATTTATTGTGCTCTTTGTTGCCTGTGTAGTTTGTTTTTTTTTGTTTTTTGTTTTTGCTTTTTAACTTGTATTTTTGTTTTATAGGTCCTGTGTGATTTGTGCTTTAAAGAGGTTCTGTTTTGATGTATTTCCAGATTTAGAGCTCCTTTTAGCAGTTCTTGTAGTGGTGGCTTGGTAATGATGAATTCTCTCAGCATTTGTTTGTCGAAAATGACTGTATTTTTCCTTCTTATATGATGCTTCATTTTGCTGGATACAAAATCCTTGGCTGATAATTGTTTTGTTTGAGGAGGCCGAAGATAGAGCCCCGATTCCTTCCAGTTTGTAAGGTTTCTGCTGAGAAATCTGCTGTTAATCTGATAGTTTTTCTTTATAGGTTACCTGGTGCTTCTGTCTCACAGCTCTTAACATTTTCCTTAGTCTTAACTTTGGTTAACATGATGACGATGTACCTAGGTGATGATCTTTTTGTGATTAATTTCCCAGGTGTTCTTTGTGCTTCTTGTATTTGAATGTCTAGGTCTCTAGCAAGGCTGGGGAAGTTTTCCTTGATTATTCCCCCAAGTATGTTTTCCAAGCTTTTAGAATTCTCTTCTTCAGGAACACCGATTATTCTTAGGTTTGGTCGTTTAACATAATCCCAGACTTCCTGGAGGCTTTGTTCATATTTTCTTATTCTTTTTTCTTTGTCTTTGTTGGATTGGGTTAATTTGAAGACCTTTTCTTTGAGCTCTGAATTCCTTTCTTCTACTTGTTCAGTTCTATTGCTGAGACTTTCCAGAGCATTTCACATTTCTAAAAATGGCCAAAGTTTCCTGAAATTTTTATTGTTTTTTCTTTAAGCTATCTATTTCTATGAATATTTCTCCCTTCACTTCTTGTATCATTTTTTTGGATTTCTTTGCATTGGGTTTTGCCTTTTTCTCTGGTGCCTCCCTGATTAGTTTAATAACTAAACTGAATTCTTTTCCAGTAAATCATGGATTTCTTCTTGGTTTGGATCCATTGCTGGTGAACTAGTGTGATTTTTTCGGAGTGTTGAAGAGCCTTGTTTTGTTATATTACCAGGGTTGGTTTTCTGGATCCTTCTCATTTGGGTAGGCTCTGTCAGAGGGAAGGTCTAGGGCTGAAGGCTGTTGTTCAGATTTTTTTGTCCCATGGGGTGTTCCCTTGATGTAGCACTCTACCCCTTTTCCTATGGATGTGGCTTCCTGTCAGTTGAACTGCAGTGATTGTTGCCTCTTTTCTGGGTCTAGCCACCCAACGAGTCTACCCGGCTTTGGGCTGGCACTGGGGGTTGTAGAGGGACCTGCAGTGGGCAGGGCCCTAAAACTCCCAAGATTACATGCCTTTTGTCTTCTGCTACTAGGGTGGGTAGGGAAGGACCATCAGGTGGGGGCGGGGCTAGGCATGTCTGAGCTCAGACTCTCCTTGGGTAGATCTTGCTGCTGCTGCTGTTGGGGATGGAGGTGAGATTCCCAGGTCACTGGAGCTGTGTACCTAGAAGGATTATGGCTGCCTCTGCTGAGTCATGTAGGTTGTCAGGAAAGTGGGGGAAAGCCAGCAGTCACAGGCCTCACCCAGCTCCCACTCAAACTGAAGGGCCAGTCTCACTCCAACTATGCCCCCACCCCCACAACAGCCCAGAGTCCGTTTCTGGGCAGTGGGCAAGAGGGGCTTGAAAGCTTGCCCCAGGCTACCTGCCTCCCAGCTGCTAAAGAAAAGGGGTTGGTTCTTCTTCTGTGGAATCTGCACATGGGATTCATGCCCTCTCCCGAGTTCTGGCCAGCAGGCTTCTTGCCCCTTGCCCCATTCAAATTGTTACAAAGTTCAGCTAGAGATTTCCTTGTCCCTGTGGAGTTTCACTCCCTGTTCCTCTGGCCGCCCTCCTGATGAATCCCTGTGTTGCCAGCAGGAATGGCCCGCTTGGGGACCCAGTGAACTCCCAGGGCCTTTCTGCTGCTTCCTGTACCCCTGTATTTCACTCCGCTCTCCACATTGACTCAGCTCCAGGTAAAGTCAGAAACTTCTCCTGCAAACAGACCTTCAGTTTCTCCAGTGGGGGTGTGTGTTTGGGAGAGGTGGGTCTCCCTTTCTCAATTCTGCAGTTGGGGCATTCACAGTATTTGAGGTGTCTCCTGGGTCCTGCAGGATCAGTCCGCTTCCTTTAGAGGGTGTGTGGGTCTTCTCGGGATTGATGCTTTGTTCTTGCAGTTAATTTGAAGCTAAAATTCACAGTGTGAGTCTCCTCATGCTGCTCTGTCCAGAGCTGCAATCTAGTCCTGCCTCCCATCTGTCTTGATGATCAATATCTGATTGTCTGTTTACTCTGCTGATTATTTCTTTTGCTGTGAATAAGCTTTTTAGTTTAATTAAGTCCCATCTATTTATCATTGCTTTTGTTGCATTTGCTTTTGGGTTCCTGGTCATGAAGTCTTTGCCTAAACCAATGTCTAAAAGGGTTTTTCTGATGTTGTCTTCTAGAATTTTTATGGCTTCAAGTCTTACATTTAAGTCTTTGATCAGTCTTGAGTTGATTTTTGTGTAAGGTGAGAGATGAGGATCTAGTTCCATTCTTCTATTAAGTGGGTGCAAACATAATTGTGGTTTTTGCTAGTACTTTTTAATGGCAAAAACTGCAATTACATTTGCACCAACCTAATACATGTGGCTTGCCAGTTATCCCAGCACCATTTGTTGAATAGGGTGTCCTTTCCACACTTTATGTTTGTGTTTGCTTTGTCAAAGATCAGTTGGCTGTAAGTATTCGAGTTTATTTCTGGGTTCTCTATTCTGTTCCATTGGTCTATGTGCCTATTTTTATATCAGTACCATGCTGTTTTGGTGACTGTGGCCTTATACTATAGTCTGAAGTCAGGAAATGTGATGTCTCCAGATTTGTTATTTTTCTTAGTCTTGCACTGGCTCTGCAGGTTCTTTTTTGGTTCCATATGAATTTTAGGATTGTTTTTCTAGTTCTGTGAAGAATGATGATGGTATAATATTTTGATGGGAATTGCATTGAATTGTAGATTTGCTTTTGGCAGTATGGTCATTTTCACAATATTGATTCTACCCATCCATGAGCATGGCATGTATTTCCATTTGTTTGTGTTGTCTGTGATTTCCTTCAGCAGTGGTTTGTAGTTTTTCTTGTAGGATTATTTCACCTGCTTGGTTAGGTATATTTCTAAATATTTTATTTTATTTTATTTTATTTTTGCAGCTATTGTAAAAGTGTTTGAGTTCTTGATTTGATTCTCAACTTGGTCACTGTTGGTGTATAGCAGTGCTATGGATTTGTGTACATTGATTTTGTGTTCCGAAACTTTAGTCAATTTATTTATCAGATCTGGGAGCTTTTTGGATAAGTTTGTAGGGTTTTCTAGGTATATGATCATATCATTGGTGAACAGTGACAGTTTGACTTCCTCTTTACCAATTTGGATGCCCTTTATTTATTTCTCTTATCCGATTGCTCTGGCTAGGACTTCCAGTACTATGTTGAATAGAAGTGGTGAAAGTGGGAACCTTGTCTTATTCCAGTTCTCAGGGGGAATGGTTTAAACTTTTCCCTATTCAGTATAATGTTGGCTTTGGGTTTATTATAGATGGCTTTTATTACATTAAGATACATCCCTTCTATGCCGATTTTGCTAAGGGTTTTAATCACAAAGTGCTGCTGGATTTTGTCAAATGTTTTTTCTGCATCTATTGAGATGATCATGTGATTTCTGTTTTTAATTCTGTTTATATGGTGTATCACATTTGTTGACTTGTGTATTTTAAACTATCCCTGCATCCCTGGTACGAAACCCACTTGATCATGGTGGATTATCTTTTTGATATGCTGTTAGATTCAGTTAGCTAGTATTTTGTTGAGAATTTTTGTGTCTATGTTCATGAGGGACATCAGTCTGTAGTTTTCTTTTTTTGTTATGTCCTTTCCTGGTTTTGGTATTAGGGTGATCCTGGCTTCATAGAACGATTTATCTTCTTTCTCTATTTTTTTGGAGTACTTTCAATACAATTGGTACCAATTCATCTTTGAACGTCTGATAGAATTCAGCTGTGTATCCATCTGGTCCTGGGCTTTTTTTTGTTGGTGATTTTTTTGTCATCATCTCAATCTTGCTGCTTGTTATTGATCTGTTCAGAGTTTCTATTTCTTCCTGGTTTAATCTAAGATGGTTGTATATTTCCAGGAATTTATCCATCTTTTCTAGGTTTTCTAGTTTGTGCATGTAAAGGTGTCTGTATAGCCTTGAATGATCTTTTGTATTTCTGTGTTATCGGTTGTAATATCTCCCATTTTGTTTCTAATTGAGCTTATTTTGATATTCTCTCTTCTTTTCTTTGTTAGTCTCACTAATGGTCTATCAATTTTGTTTATCTTTTCAAAGAACCAGCTTTTTGTTTCATTTATCTTTTGTATTTTTTTGTTTCAGTTTCATTAATTCTGGTCTGATCCTGGTTATTTCATTTTTTCTGCTGGGTTTGGGTTTGGTTTGTTCTTGTTTCTCTAGTTCCTTGGGATGTGACCTTGGATTGTCTATTTGTTTTCTTTCAGACTTTTTGATGTAGGCATTTAATGCTATGAACTTTCCTCTTAGCACTGCTTTTGCTGTATTCCAGAGGTTTTGATAGGTTGTGTCACTGTTATCATTCAGTTCAAAGCATTTTTAAATTTCTATCTTGATTTCATTGTTGACTCAACTATCATTCAGGAATAGCTTACTTAATTTTCATGGTCTTGAGGGGTCCTTTTGGAGTTGATTCCCAATTTTATTCCACTATGGTTTGGGAGAATACTTGATATAATTTCTATTTTCTTAAATTTGTTAAGTCTTGTTCTGTGGCCTATCAGATGGTCTATCTTGGAGAATATTCCATGTGCTGATGAATAGAATGTATATCTTGCAGTTGTTGGGTAGAATGTTCTATAAATATTTGGTAAGTTCATTTGTTCTAGGGTGTAGTTTACGTCTATTGTTTCTTTGTTGACTTTCTGTCTTGATGACCTGTCTAGTGCTGTTGGTTGAGTATTAAAGTCCCCCACTATTATTGTGTTGCCATCTATCTCATTTCTTAGGTCTAGTAGTAATTGTTTTATAAATTTGGGAGCTCCAGTGTTAGCTGCATATATATTTAGGTTTGTAATATTTTCCTGTTGGACTAGTTCTTTTATCATTATATAATATCCCTCTTTGTCTTTTGTTTTGTTTTGTTTTGAGACGGAGTCTCACTCTGTTGCCCAGGCTGGAGTGCAGTGGCATGATCTTGGCTCACTGCAAGCTCTGCCTCCCAGGTTCATACCATTCTCCTGCCTCAGCCTCCCGTGTAGCTGGGACTATAGGTGCCCACCACCACGCCTGGCTAATTGTTTTGTATTTTTAGTAGAGATGGGGTTTCACCATGTTAGCCAGGATGGTCTCGATCTCCTGACCTCATGATCTGCCCACCTCGGCCTCCCAAAGTGCTGGGATTACAGGCATGAGCCACTGTGCCTGGCCCTCTTTGTCTTTTTTAACTGTTGTTGCTTTAAGGTCTGTTTTGTCTGATATAAGAATAGCTACCCCTGCTTGCTTTTGGTGTCCATTTGCATGTAATATATTTTTCCACCCCTTTACCTTAAGTTTATGTGAGTCTTTATGTGTTAGATGAGTCTCTTGAAGACAGCAGATACCTGGTTGGTGAATTCTTATCCATTCTGCCATTCTGTGTGTTTTAAATGGAGCATTTAGGCCATTTACATTCAACATTAGTATTGAGATGTGAGGTACTATTCTATTCATTGTGCTAGCTGTTGCCTAAATACGTTTTTTTCATTGTGTTATTGTTTGATAGGCCCTGTGAGATTTATGCTTTAAGGTTTTATTCTGGTGTATTTTGAGGTTTTGTTTAGCAGCTCTTTTAATGCTGGCTTGGTAGTGGCAAATTCTCTCAGCATTTGTTTGTCTGAAAAAGACTGTCTTTCCTTAGTTTATGAAGCTTAGTTTCACTGGATACAAAATTCTTGGCTGATAATTGTTTGGTTTAATGAGGCTAAAGATAGGACTCCAATCCCTTCTTGCTTGTAGGGTTTCTGTTGAGAAATCTGCTGTTAATGTGATAGGTTTTCTTTTATAGGTTACCTGGTGCTTTTGCCTCACAGGTCTTAAGATTCTTTCCTTCATCTTGACTTTAGATAACCTGATGACTATGCACCTAGGTGACTATCTTTTGCAGTATATTTCCTGGGTATTCTTCAAGCTTCTTGTATTTGAATGTCTAGATCTCTAGCAAGGCCAGGGAAGATTTCCTTGATTATTCTCTCAAATAATTTTTCCAAACTTTTAGATTTATCTTCTTCCTCAGGAACACCAATTATTCTTAGGTTCGGTTGTTTAACATAATCTCACACTTCTTGGCAGCTTTGTTCATTTTTTTAAAATTCTTTTTTCTTTGTCGTTGTCAGATTGGGTTATTTCAAAAGCCTTGTCTTTGAGCTCTGAAGTACTTTCTTCTATTGTTGAAACTTTCCAGTGTACTTTGCATTTCTCTAAGTGTGTCTTTCCAGAAGTTGTAATTTTTTTTTTATGCTATTTCTTTTGACATTTTTTCTTTCATATCCTGTATTATTTTTTAAGTTTCTTTAAGTTGGTTTTCATTTTTCTTTGGTGCCTCCTTGAGGAGCTTAATAATCAACCTTCTGAATTCTTTATCTGGTAATTCAGAGATTTCTTCTTGGTTTGGATTTGCTGGTGAGCTAATGTAATTTTTTGGGGATGTTAAAGAACCTTGCTTTGTCATATTACCAGAATTATTTTACTCGTTCCTTCTCATTTGGGTAGACTATGTCAAAGGAAAGATCTGGGGCTCAAAGGCTGCTGTTCAGATTCTTTTGTGTCATAGGTTGATCCCTTGATGTGGTACTCTCCCCCTTCCCCCTAGGGATGGGGCTTCCTGAGAGGTGGACTGCAGTGATTGTTATTGCTCTTCTGGGTATAGCCACCCAGCATAACTACCAGGCTCTGGGCATGTACTGGGGAATATCTGCAGAGTCCTGTGATGTGATCAGTTTTCAGGTCTCTTAGCCATGGATACCATCACCTGCTCCAGTGTATGTAGCAGGGGAGTGAAGTAGACTCTGTGTGGGTCCTTAGTTGTAGTTTTGTTTAGTATGCTGGTTTTCTCAAATGCTGGTTGTGCTAGGAGTGAAGTTATCCTGTGGGCAGACTCAGGACCTCTGGTTTGCCAGGATGTTATAGGCGGTGGAATTAGCTATTGTTTTCTCCTTTCTTGGAACAAGGTTGCTTTTTTTTTGAGTTGCTGTAATGGCTTGAATTGGTTGACTTCCAGTCAGGAAGTGGTGCTTTCAAGAGAGCATCAACTGTCGTAGTATAGTGGGGATACAATTTTGCCCTGAGGTTGTCTGGATAAGTATTCAGGTTTTGGCTGGGCACGGTGGCTCACGCCTATAATCCCAGCACTTTGGGAGGCCAAGGCAGGCAGATCACCTGAGGTTGGGAGTTCACGACCAGCCTGACCAACATGGAGAAACCCCGTCTCTACTAAAAATACAAAATTAGTCAGGTGTGGTGATGAATGCCTGTAATTCCAGCTATTCAGGAGGCTGAGGCAGGAGAATCACTTGAACCCGGGGGGTGGAGGTTGCAGTGAACCGAGATTGTGCCATTGCACTCCTTCTTGGGCAATGAGAGGGAAACTCCATCTCAAAAAAAAACAAAAACAAACAAACAAAAAAAACGTATTTGGGTTTCTCAGGTAATGAGCAGGGCCATAGAGCTTCCAAGAGATTATGTCTTTTGTTTTCTGCTACCAGGGTAGGTAGAGAAAGACCATCAAGTGGGGGCAGGGGTAGGCATGTCTGAGTTCTGGCTCACCTTGCTGTGGCTCTCAGTGGGGGATAGGGGTGTGGTTCTCAGGCCAATGGAGTTATGTTCCCAGGGGGATTATGTCTGCCTCTGCTGCAACATACAGGTCACCAGGAAAGTTGGGGAAAACCAGCAGTGACAGGCCTTACCCGGCTCCCATGCAGCCAGCTAGGCTGGCCTCACCCCTACCATGCCCCATCAACAGCACTGAGTTTATATTCAGGCAGCTGGTGAGTAGGGCTGAGATCTTGCCCCAGGCTATAAGCCTCCCCACTGAAGAAGCAAGCAGGGCTTTCAGGACTCAGTTTCAACCCTCCCCACCTGCCTCAGCTTCTGTGCTTATATCTGCACTTTCCGTTCACTCCCTCTACTCCCAGGAAAATTCACGTTCGATGGAAATTATTACAGAGTTCGGCTGGGAGTTTCCTTCTCCCTGTGGTCCTTCTCCAATTCCACTGGCAGCCCTCCCCAAGGACTCCTGAGGGATAAACTCAGAAATGGCCACCCGGGTTTCCCTGGCGACCAGGAGTACCTACAGGGTTCTTCCCATCTTCTACTTTTATATTTTGCTTGGTTCTCTAAATTCATTTCAGCTATAGGTAAGGTTAAATCATTCTCCTGTGATCTGGATTTTAGGGTTCCCCAGTGAAGATGTGTGTTCGGAGGTAGACTTTCCGCCTCTCACACTTTGGGCACTCACAATTTTTTGGCTGTCTCACTGAGTTTGCAGCACCAAGCTGCTTCTTTCAAAGGATCTGTGAATTATTTCGGTTTTTGCAGTCTGTTCCTGTGGTAGTTCTTGGAGCAAAAGTTCACAATATGAGTCTCCACATGCTGTTCTGTCCATCCAAATGAAACCTGCAAGTTAGTTCTGCCTCTTATCCACCATTTAAAAATATTTTTTGACTTTTTAGTATTAGTCATTCTAACTTGTATGAGATATTGTGGTTTTGATATGTATCTCTCTAATGATTAGTGATGAAGAGCATTTTTTCATGTTTTTTGGCTACTTATATCTTTTGAGAAGTGTCTGTTCATGTCCTTGGCCCACTTTTTAATGGGGTTGTTTCTTTTTTGCTTGTTGTTTAAGTTTCTTATAGATTCTGGATATTAATACTCTGTCAGATGCACAGTTTGCAGATATTTTCTCCCATTCTGTAGGTTGTGTGTTTACTCTGTTAATCATTTCTTTTGCTGTGTAGAAGCTCTTCAGTTTAATTAAGTCCCATTTGTCTATTTTTTATTTTATTGCATTTGCTTTTGGGGTCTTCATCATAAATTCTTTGCCTAGGTCAATATCTAGAAAAGGATTTCCTAGGTTTTCTTTTAGGATTTTTATAGTTTGAGGTCTTGCATTTAAGTCTTCAATCCATCTTGAGTTAATTTTAATATATGGTGAGAGGTAGGGGTCCAGTTTCATTCTTCTGCATATGGTTAGCTAGTTTCCCCAGCATAATTTATTGAATAGAGTATCCTTTCACCATTATTAATTTTTGTTGACTTTGTTGAAGATCAGTTGGTTGTAGGTGTGTGGTTTTATTTTGGGGGTCTCTATTCTGTTTCATTGGTCTACATGTCTATTTTAGTACCAGCACTATGCTGTTTTGGTTACTATAGCCTTGTAGTATAACTTGAAGTCAAGTAGTGCGACGCCTCCAGCTTTATTCTTTTTACTTAAGATTGCCTTGCCAACTCAGGCTCTTTTTAGGTTCCATATGAATTTTAGAATAGTTTTTTTCTAATTCTGTGGGAAATGATATTGGTAATTTAATAGGAATAGCATTGAATCTGTAGATTGCTTTGAGCAGTATGGACATTTTTAATGATATTGATTAATGAGCATAGAATGATTTTGTATCTGTTTGTGTCATCTATAATTTCTTTCAACAGTGTTTCACAGTTCTCTTCATAGAGATATTTCACCTCCTTTGTTAGATGTATTCCTAGAGATGTTTTTGTGTGCGCCTATTGCAAATGGGATTACATTCTTGATTTGGCTCTCAGCTTGAACATTATTGGTGTATAGAAATGTGATTTTTGTACATTGATTTTGTATCCTGAGACTTCCCTGAAGTCATTTATCATTTCTAGGAATCCTATGGTGGAGTCTTTAGGATTTTCTAGGTATAGAATCATATTGTCAGTGAAGAAAGATTATTTGACTTCCTCTTTTCCTATTTGAATGCGTTTTATTTCTTTTTCTTGCCTGATTTCTCTGGCTAGGACTTCCAGTACTATGTTGAATAGAAGTAGTGAGAGTGGACTTGTCTGGTTCCAGTTCTTAGGGAAAAAAAAGCTTCCAGCTTTTGCCCATTCGATATGATGTTGGCTGTGGGTTTGTCATAAATGGCTCTTATCATTTGAGCTATGTTCCTTTGGTGCCTAGTTTGTTGAGAGTTTTTATCATGAAGGAATGTTGAATTTTATTGAAGGCTTTTTCTGTGTCTAATGAGATGTTTATATGGTTTTTGTTTTCAATTCTGTTTATGTGGCAAACCACATTTATTAATTTGTATATGTTGAACTCTCCTTGCATTCCAGGAATAAAGCCCATTTGATTGTCGTGAATTAACTTCTTGATGTGCTGCTGGGTTCAGTTTGCTAGTATTTTGTTGAGGATTTTTGCATCTCTGTTCTTCAGGGATATTAGCCTGTAGTTTTCTTTTTTGTTGTGTCTTTGCCAGATTTTAGTATCAGGATGTACTGGTTTCATAGAATGAGTTAGGGAAGAATCCCTCCTCCTTGATTTTTTGGAATAGTTTCTTCAGGTTTGGTACCAGTTCTTCTTTGAACATGTGGTAGAATTAGGCTGTGAATCCATACAGTCCAGGGCTTTTTATTGATTGGTAGGTTTTTTATTACTGATTCAATTTCATTACTTGTTGGTGTGTTCAGAATTTCTTTTTCTTCCTGGTTCAACTTTGGGTGTTTGTATGTTTCCAGGAATTTATCCGTTTCCTCTAAATTTTCTAGTTTGTGTGCATAGAGATGTTCATAGTCATCCCTGAGGATCTTTTGTATTTCTGTGGGATTGGTTGTGATATCACCTTTGTTGTTTCTCATTGTGCTTATTTAGATTGTCTCTCTTTTTCTCTTTGTTAATGTAGCTAACAGTCTATGAATCTTGCTGATTCTTTCAAAGAACCAGCTTTTTAAATCTTGATTCTTTGTATGTTTTCTTGGTCTCAATTTCATTTAGTTCTGCTCTGATTTTAGTTATTTCTTTTTAGTGCTAGCTTTGGGTTTAGTTTGTTCTTGCTTTTCTAATTCCTTCAGGTGTGAGGTTAGGTTGTTAATTTGCAATCTTTCTATATTCTTGATGTAGTCATTTAGCGCTATACACTTTCCTCTTAACACTGCTTTTGCCACATCCAGGGGTTTTGGTATGTTGTGTCTCTATTTTCATTTCTTTCAAAACATTTTTAAAATTTCTGCCGTTAGTTTTTACCCCCAAATAATTCGAGAGCATGTTTTTTAGTTTCCGTATGTTCATGTACCTTTGAGAGTTCCTCTTGGTATTGATTTCTACTTTCATTCCACTATGGTCCAAGAAGATCATTGGTATGATTACAATTTTAAAAAATTTGTTGAGACTTGATTTATGAATGAGCAGCTGGTCAATATTAGAGTATGTTCTGTGTGCAGATGAGAAGAATGTATATTCTGTGGTTGTTGGGTAGAATATTCTGTGGAGTGTTCTGTCTATTAGGTCTGATTGTTCCAGTTTATATTTAAGTCCAAAATTTCTTTTTTAGTTTTCTAGCTCAATAATCTGTCTATTGCTGCTGGTGGAGTGTTGAAGTCCCCCCACTATTATTGTGTGGCTGTCAAAGTCTTTTCTTAGGTCTAGAAGTAATTATTTTATAAATCTGGGTACTTTAATGTTGGGTGCATATGTATCTAGGATAGTTAAGTCTTCTTGTTGAATCGAACCCTTTATTATTATGTAATGCCGTCTTTGTCCTTTTTTACTGTTGTTGGTTTAGGGTCTATTTTATCTGATACAAGAATAGTGATTTCTGCTCTTTTTTGTTTTCCATTTGCATAATAGAAATTTCTCCATCTTTGAGCTTATGGGTGTCATTACATGTGAGATAGCTCTCTTGAAGACAGTAGAAAGATGGGTCTTATTTTTTAAATCCGATTTTCCATTCTGTGTCTTTTAAGTGGAGCATATAGGCCATTTATGTTCAAGGTTAATATAGATATGTGAGGTTTTTTTTTCCCTGTCATAGTATTGTTAGCTAGTGCTTTGTAGTCTTGATTGTGTAGTTGTTTTATGGAATTAATGGGCTATATGTTTGTGTGTGCTTTTGGGGTGGCAAGTATCATTCTTTAATTTCCATGTTTAGAACTCCCTAAGCATCTCTTGTAGGGCCAGTCTGGTGGTGATGAATTTCCTTAGCAATTGCTTGTCTGGGAAATACTTTATTTTTTTTGTTGTTGTTTATGAAGCTTAGTTTGGCAGGATATGAAATTCTATGCTGGCATGTCTTTTCTCTAAGAATACTAAAAATGAGCCCCCAATCTCTTCTGGCTTGTAATGTTTCTGCTGAGAAGTCTGCTGTTAGTTCTGATGGGTTTCCCTTTATAGGTAATATGAGCCTATATTATCTTTTTCTCTAGCTGCCTTTAAGGTTTTTTTCTTTCATGTTGACCTTGGACAGTCTGATGACTATCTGCCTTGGGGATGGTCATCTTCTATAATATCTCACAGAAGTTCTCTGGATTTCTTGTATCTGCATGCTAACCTCTCTAGCAAAATTGGGGAAATTTTCCTGAATTATATCCTCAAATATGTTTTCTAAGTTGCTTACTTTCTCTTCTTCTCTCTCAGGAATGCCAGTACATCATAGATTTGATCACTTTACATAATCCCATGGTTATTGAAGGCTTTGTTTATATTTTGATTATTTTTAAACAAAGTTTTGCCTGACTGGGTCAATTCAAAGGACCAGTCTTCAAGCTCTGAAATTCTTTCTTCACCTTGGTCTGTTATTAATGCTTCTGTGTTTTAAAATTCCTGAAACAACATTTTCAATTCCATAAGGTTCTGCTTGGTTCTTTCATAATATAGCTATGGTGTCTTCTAAATTTTGGATTATTTTTCTGTTTTCTTTGTGTTATATTTCAACTTTATCTCAGCATTGAGTTTCTTTGCCATCCATATTCTGAATTCTATATCTGTCATTTCAGACATTTCATTCTGGTTGGGACCCATTGCTTGGGAGCTAGTGGGATCCTTTGGAGATGATAAAACACTCCGGCTGTTTTTATTGTCCGAGTACTTCCACTGATTCCTTCTCATCTGAGAGAGCGGATGCTGCTGCTGCTGCTGCTGCTTCTCCTTCTCCTCCTCCTTCTCCTTCTTTTTGAATTTGCTATTGTTTGGATGGGGCTCCTTGATTTTTTAATCTTTTTTTTTCCTTTGGTTGTATGGCTGTGGTATTTGTAATATATATATATGTAATAGATTGGCTGCATTTCTGGGTGCTTTAAGGGTCCTAGCTCTGCACAGGTTTCTTGGTTGCAGATAGGTTCATGCAGTGGCTTTCTCAGATGGGGCTTGTTGTAGCAATGCAATTTTCTTTGGTTATGTAATTCAGGCTGCAGTCTAGTAGATGGAGCTTAAGGGTAAGAGCCAGCAGGTAAAGATGGGAGCAGAGGAAACAGAGAAGCACAAAAAATACTCACTCCCAGTGCACATTAGCCTTCAGTGGAGGTGGAGCTACTAGAAAAGCCTGAGAAGCAGACTATTTCAGCTCGTGCTCCCTAGGCCCTGATGGGAATAGGTTGCTGCTGAGTCTGTGACAGTGCAATGAGGAAGGTGGGGTGAGAGAAGATTCCTCTCCACATCTGTTTTTGGGCTACAGTGGTGCTGCCTCCAGTGTCTGGTGCTGTGCTTGTGTTTCTTTTGACCCAAGGGGGTCTTGGGTGGGCTGTGCTCTCTCCTCCCTTAGGGGTAGTCTGTGCTAAGGATTAGATTTCCTCGGGAGTGGGGTCCGTCTCCCTCCTGCTCCTTGTAGCTGGTAGGGCCCTGTCCCCCAACTGACCAAGGGAGCAGGCTGGGGGACCTAGCAATGACACACTCAGACTGCTTCCAGATCACAAAGCTGTCTCTGCTGCAAGTCTTGCAGCCTGGGAGAAACCTAGACTTCAGCAACTCTCCTCCCATTCCTGTCCTGCAACAGGAGAAAGTCTAATTCAATGCCTACTGCTGGGGCACTCTCCACACTTGCCACTTAATTCTGGCTGTGCGGGTCCTTCGCCAGTTCCAGAGCAAGCACTGGAAACTCTGGCCCAAGACTACAATGAATGTTGTAGCCACCACTACCGGGTTGCCAAACGACATCTCTAAACTCCCCAAATGGTTCCAGGTGTGGATTTGTGACTGGAGACGGTGGGACTCCTCTCGGGTGAGCAGCATGGGCAGGAAGCTGTGGGGAGTGCAGTCCACTAAATTCTTAGTCTCACAGCAGCCTATAGCAAGGCATTGGGTATTTTCCTAGATACGTATAGGGGAGCCTGGCTTGCCTGCCCCTCCTTGGCTGGGTGGTGACCACATCCTCGTCAGCCTGAGTTCAGGTTGAAGGTAGGGTGCAGCCTGGGATTAAACTCTCAAAATGGCCCCAGAACCTGGGACTGGAGAGGGTGGGGCACCATCCAGGCAGGAAGCATGAGCAAGAAGCTGAGGGGAGTGTGGTCTGCTTGCATCTCAGTCTCAACAGCAGCTCACAGCAGGGTGGCAAGTACCCTCGCGGGGGTGCATGGAGGTACCTGCCCTCTGGTCTCCCTCCTTGGAGCAGTGCAGTGGCTGTAGCTATGTCTGTAAATCCCTGGTATCTAGGCTCAAATCAAAATGGCTTCCAGCTGAGGCTGCTCCAGGCTTGGATGCCTGTAGGATTCTGTGTGGGTTTTCTTTCTGGAGCAACATCTCTGTGCAGTCTTTAGGCAGCTCTGTATGTATGTCAGGCACAAGGGGCTAGTGGGCAGAGGGTTTCTCTCAGAGCTAAGATCATAAAAGCCTGTTTCGGAGCTCTGGAATTTCTCTTTTACTGTTTCCCCATGTCCGGGAGCCTCTCCCGGCTGTCAGTCAGTTCCTGGCTTGGCAAGCTGCCTCAGACTTTTTCCTAACTTACTTCTGGCACTTCCTATGTCTTCTCTGATGAATTCAAGCATTCTCTACAAATGATATGTTTGAAAGGTAAGTATCTACTTGCTATTTTGGCTTTTATCCATGGAGCAGACATATGCTACCTGTGTCCCCTCCTCTGAACACTTCAAACACAGCTAAACATCCCTCATCTCAGGCCTTGGTTCTTTCCTGGTGAAAGTGAAGGCTTGGGGCAATTGTGTGTCAATAATGAGAAATTTGGGTTTGGGATTTTTATCTTGCTGGATTCATATGATGAAAATAACACTATTAAAAAAATACTTGTTGATGCAAAGTACTTTTCCTATACTATCTTATTTAAATCATACACTTGAGTACAGAGAGGTCAAGTAGCTTGAATAAGATTGCAGCTAATATGTGATAAAGCCAACCCAGCTCCTCAGACTTGGGACCTGACCCTCTTCCCCTTCTACTTGAACATGCTGTTTGTATAGGTTCTCATCACCAGGAACTTTTTGTAAGAAACCCAAATCCCACTTGCTGTAATATGAACCTATTTATTTTTGTTCTATCCTCAGTGAATATAAAAAAGAATACTCAATCACCCCCAAATTAGAGGTTTATTCCAAAGTGGTAGGTTTACCTCATATAGTGTTAGGATAATAAGGCCTTAAGTAGAAAACATTGAAAGAGACTAGCAAGTTTTAAAAGAGGCTTTAATCATGTGATCGCATTTCTCATTTCCAAGCAAAGTGTGTGCACATGTGAGTGTTTGAGGCTGACGTGATAGCCCTGTGATTGTCCCTTCTTCCACTTCTATCCAACATGCAGAACATTTTCAACCTAAAGTATAAAACTGTAGTGAAGGATGTAAAAGTGTAAATCTGGGTGCTCACAAGTATCATCAGCTCCTGGAAGAAATATCGTATATTTTCTATTTCTGTTCTGCTCATGGATCACCCACATGTCACCTTTTCTCCACCCTGTCCTCGATGATGTGTGCTTTTTTGGGCTGAGCTCTGAGAATGAGGTGTGTAGATTAAAATTGTACTGGGACTCTGGCCTGGCCTAGAAGAAAGTTCAGGAGTGAGTGTCAATGTTGTGGTTGGGACTCAGTCTGGTTGGAGGGGAAATAGTTGACTAATGGAAGGAGGCAAAGGCAAATCCTGAAACAGGCAGGCTTGGGAAGCAGGGAGGCCCTTAACCCAGAGGCAGGAGAGAAAAGTCTTGATTTAAATGTTCGAAAAACGGACTGAAAATAAATCAGTCTCTTTTATTAGTATACGGCCTAAATTTACACTTCTAATGTCACCACCAAAGAATAACCCATTTGTTCTAAAAGGCTGGCGTCTTTAGTTGGCTTGGTTATCCAGTGAGGGAGATGTCTTTTCTGGGTAGACATCCTTGGTACATTGTGGATAATGCTGTACCTTCCAAGTGGGTTTACATCTTTTTTTGAGGAGCTCAGATTTTTATTTCACCTTAACTTGGAGCAGGTAGATTATTTAGGACTTCTGCTTCTCTTCGTTTTGGTTTTCTCTTTGGGAATTTTGCAGCTCCTGGACTGGAAAGGGATTGGGCTTGGTTTTGCCAGGCTTCTCTATGGAGAAAATATGACATGCCTTGATGCTCATTTCTCTGAGCCTGAAACATATTTTACATCATAATTGGCTTTGAGGGTTTTAGAAACAGGACATGACCAGCTTTTTTGAAATTAGAATGTTTGTCAGGTCATACCTGATGAAGAAAATATCAGAAATATGAACACTAAGGTAGAAATTACTTTAGAGTGAATGTTGGTTGATGGAGTCATTCGTTGCATTAAACAGATATTTATTGAATGCCTGATACTGGGAACTGAGTAATAAGAAAAAATAAGGTGTTTTCTGTTTTCTTAAGAGGCCCACAGGAGCTGAGAAGGCAGCCAATTACCTGTAGAAAGCATGATAAGTACTATGGACGTTTTGCTTTGCGTTAGGAATTTCAGTACAATGCTGCAGACAAAGGTCTCTCTAACCAATATTGTCCTCTAAACAGGAGTATTTTTCATGAACAATCTCATATGTTAGCCAAGGTTATGTTTGTTCCTGTAGGTTACCCATTTCACAGAGTGTAGTTGTTTTGATCTATGTCAAAAACAACCTATGTGCCCTGTATCCCAAAAGACATTAAAATGGCTTGGCCTGTTTTCCCCACACAGGCTTAGAAGCATTACAAATACTGTATATTGTTAAGTTTGAAATGCTAAAGAGAAAATTTTCAGTATAGAATTTAATCAGCCAAACTTAATTTCTTCTGGAAGAGCTAAATATATAAGCTATTGTACAGTTTTAGATTTCTGGGAAAAATAAAACCTTACTTTTTATTAATTAGCATGATAATTTTTTCAAAAGTGACCAGACAATTGTTTTAGGATAGCTCCTATTTAATATAGTTTCCAGAGGGAATATTTGCTCTGAGATGTGAGAGCTTCCTGTTTCTTACTGGAAGCCCAAATGAGAATTCAAAGTATGTATGTGTGTGGTAGTGATGGTGGGGGCACCCATTACTTTCCAATATATCAGTATAACTCCTTATTCTTATTCATTATTATTCACTTGGTTCCTCTTACAATATGAATAGAAGGAGAAAAACATTTATAGATTACTTAAAACATTTTATGAGAAGAAAGGGAACAAATTAGCCCATTTGAATCACTAGCTTTGCAGAGGAGAATGGGCAGAAGATATATTTAATCTTTCATCAAAGACTTTATTCGAAATTACTAATATACAGTTTCACTCAGAACAGCACTAAATGAGTTATTAGGACATTTAAACAAGATCATCATTGTTTTTATTAGCAGCATTATTCCTTACTCCTTTTGTTAGAAAAACACCCTGCAGTGTGTGCAAATCTGTTTAATTGCAATGCTTTTACATTTTCTTTCAAATGTAGTTGACTTATTTTATAAATATTTCAAGTACATAATTGCTATTTTGCTTTAATGAAATCACAAATGTATTTAGATAATCTAAGAGGTTAGAATACATTGCTCCTATGTCAGGTTTGTAGAAGAAGTAAGAATGACTTATTGACTTTATTGACTATGATCCTGAGGGAGAGTCTTTCACCCTATGATCCTCCTTTGTAGTAAACATCTGTGGCATTGCATACACCTGGGCTTCAAGCCCAGTTCTTTAACTTACTAGTTGGTGTGATCTTAGGTAAGTTCTTTATCTTCTTTGAGCTTCCAGAATGTTCTGTAGATTTTATTGAGTATAGTAATATGAACTTGCCAGACTGATAGGAGGATAAATAGATAATAAAGTACCTAAGAGAGGGCCAGGCAAATAGTAAGTACTCAATCAACGTTAATTTCTTTCCTTGTCAGCTCCTTTTGATTGATAGAGGAGACTTGCTAAAGAGATTCTTGAGGTTCTGATCCCAGTTGTCAGTAGAGATCCATCTTCTTTTCTTTATTACTGAAGTTAAGAACTCTAGATTTAATCCAAGACCATTCCTTCTATGTGCTGTGCAAAAAAAAGCATGTCTTTAGTCATATGCATCCTGTCTTTGTGGTTCAACAGTGGTCACAATAGCAAACGTGAAGATATCGTGCTGATCTGGAATAGAGAAAAGTGGAACAGATGTAGAATTTGGGGCTTGGCTAAGGCTGCTGGGAAATTTGCATTAGGTGGCCTAGCTGGGAATCCAGAAAAGCAGGTGTTTTTGCAAGGATATGACCTGGGGTGGTGGTGGTGGTAGTGGCATGGGGTGGTCCAGGAGGCCACAGGGTACAGGGCCTCTGCCCCCCTTTTACTGGGGCAGAGGAAGCTACGTGCATCCACAAAGAATCCATTCCACAGCCAGTGATCACTATTTGCTCCTAGAAAATATCTAGGAAATTATCCATGTTCTTATCACTTAACCCTATAACTCTAAGTCCACACAATGCTCATTGACACATTGAAATGAAACCAGTTGCTTCAGTTAATGATGTAATCCAGTCACTTCCCATATAGGCACATCTTTCTTAAAGCCTCATGCTGGAGAAGATGGGTTGGCATGATTGTGTGGCTTTCACGTGATACTGTCCTCTGGGGAGGCATAGGAATAACGTCGCCTCGAATGTATGACCTTGAAAATGTGTGATGTACAATGCATTCCTTGGTACTGTTGCCTAGAGAATAACAAGAAAGTACTTAATGTGGTTGTTATTTGTTCCTTGCTACTTCCCTGGGCAAATTTCCATTCCACCTTAGAGGTATGGTGGAAACAGAGGCAGCAAGGCCAAATCTTGACTGTCCATCAGTCGTTTCTGAGATTTGGAGCAACCAAAGGCTGACCTGGGCATTTCTGCTCATTCCAGGATGGGCTTAGAGATTCACCAGGCCTTCCTGAGAATGGAAGTCTTTTCTGTACTTCTCACAGAGCCCAGAGTGGCATCTATACCACAAAATAGTTGCTCACTATGGATCAACTTATTGGATGAATAAAAGTTTTTCTGAGATAAGCCCTTTTTATATTTGCCACTTATACTTGTGGACAGTTGTGCCTTGCATTGTTATCATCATCAATATCATTGTAATTGTCATTAACAGGAAACACCTGTAAGGCAATATCCAAGGTGTTATGCAAAAAAGAATGAGAGACACAATCAAAATAGAACTTTTGAGGGCAATGACCAAGTCTTTTTTTGTTAACTTTTATTTTAAGTTCAGGGGTACATGTGCAAGATGTGCAGGTTTGTTACATAGGTAAACGTGTGTCATGGGGCTTTGTTATTTCATTACTCAGGTATTAAGCTTAGTATTGGTTAGTTTTTTTCCTGACTGTCACCCTCCACTCTCCAATAGGCCCCAGTGTGTGTTGTTCCTGTCTATGTGTCCATGTATTCTCATCATTTAGCTCCCACTTATAACTGAGAACATGTGGTATTTGGTTTTCTGTTCTTGTGTTAGTTTGCTAAAGATAATAGCCTCCAGCCCCATCCATGTCCCTGCAAAGGATGTGATCTTGTTCTTTTCTGTGGCTGCATAGTATTCTATGGTGTATATATACCACATTTTCTTTATCCAGTCTATCATTGATGGGCATTTGGATTGATTCCATATCTTCGCTATTGTGAATAGTGCTACAATAAACATACACATGCATGTGTCTTTATAATAGAACGATTTATATTCCTTTGTGTATATACCTAGTAATGGGGTTGCTGGGCTGAATGGTATTTCTCTTTAGGTGTTTGAGGAATCACCACACTGTCTTCCACAATGGTTGAACTAATTTACACTCTCACCAACAGGGTATATGCATCCCTTTTTCTCCACAATCTCGCCAGCATCTGTTACTTTTTAACTTTTTACTAATAGCCATTCTGACTGGTGTGAGATAGTGTCTCACTGTGGTTTTGATTTGCATTTTTCTTTTCTTTTTTTTTTTTTTTTCAGACAGAGTCTCATTCTGTCGCCCAGGCTGGAGTGCAGTGGCACAATCTTGGCTCACTAAAACCTCCGCCTCCCGGGTTTAAGCAGTTCTCTGCCTCAGCCTCCTGAGTAACTGGGATTACAGTCGTGTGCTACCATGCCTAGCTAATTTTTGTAGTTTTAGTAGAGACGGGGTTTCGCCATGTTGACCAGGCTGGTCTCAAACTCCTGACCTCGTGATCCACCCATCTCAGCCTCTCAAAGTGCTGGGATTACAGACGTGAGCCACCGCATCCAGCCCTTGATTTGCATTTTTCTAATGATCAGTGATGTTGAGCTTTATTTATCACATGTATGTCTTCTTTTGAGAAGTGCCAGTTCATGTTCTTTGCCCCCTTTTTAATGGGGTTGTTTGCTTTTTGCTTGTAAATTTAAGTTCCTTATAGATACTGGATAATACAACTTTGTCAGATGGATACTTTGCAAAATTTTTCATCAATTCTGTAGGTTGTCTGTTTACTCTGTTGATAGTTTCTTTTGCTGTGCAGAAGCTCTTTAGTATAATTAGATTCCATTTGTCAATTTTTGCTTTTGTTGCAATTGCTTTTGGCATCTTCATCATGAAATCTGCCTGTGCCTATGTCCTGAATGGTATACCTAGGTTGTCTTTCAGAGTTTTTATAATTTTGGGTTTTACACTGAAGTTTTTAATCCATCTTGAGTTAATTTTGGTATAGACCAAATCTTAAACGACTTTTTATTTCTAGAGCTTAGCCCAGTGCTTGTTGCATAGTACTGGCACAGTAAGTTGTTGAATGATGACACCTGAAAAAGTGAATGTGTATGATAAGAACAGATCAATAAAAGAGCTGCAATAGCTGAAGAGCTATATCTTACACCCCATTTTCCCTTTTATTTAATCAAACCACCTCCCCAGCACTTCCCACCCCACATCTGAAATAACTCTCTTTTTCTTTCATTTGAGAAAGGAGTGTATATTCTATCCCAGTGCTGTTACTTGGATCTATTAAGGGAAGCACAGGCTATAGTGCTGCTGTAATGCTAGGATTTTGGCTGCCTTGAAATTTAAGAGAAGAATTCTTTCTAATACTAGAAATAGATCAATATTGAGCTCCTGCTTTTTCTCTGTGCCCAGAACACCTACTGAAATCAGGAGGACCTGGCAGTGTGTGGGAACAGTGGAATGGGGGCCTTTGTCTGTTAATTTGATTTTCATTCTTTCATTTCACTCCAAAGGTGATTCTGAAAAATAAATGCATTTATAAGGCTATTAATAACCATATTTTCCTCTTGATCATTATGATTAAGTTGTTGGTACTGCCAGGTGCCTGCTGCTCCCATCACAAAGCCCTGAACAATTTTGCTTCATCATTTGACTACACTGAGTTACTCTATGTTGGAGGAGTTGCTGCTGATTTTTTCCTTCTCCTGTCAGTTGATTTAAATTCACACTGGAAACAGAGAATCAAGTTTAAAATAATATTCTAAATCATAAAAGTCATTCTTTGGTTAAGGAACAATAAGTCAGCTTTCCTTTTATTAGACTATTCCCAAGAAGGGTTTCATGGTCAAAATGTCACAGCTGGGTTTTTTTCCACATTTTTTCTTCTTCCATCCTGAGTGTCTCATGATCCAGTTGTTCGTTGAAGCCTGCAATCCCTGAATAAATATTCTCCTCATTGTATTTACTGCAAAAATGTTCCACAGATCTCCATGAGTTAACTCCCCAGACCCCAATATTCCAGTTCATGCTTTGCAGTGTCATGGAGCAGATCAGAGTACACACCCTGCAGAAAGATGCCCAGTTTTGAGCCCCAGCTCTGCCCATCTACTTGCTGTGAGATTACCAGCCTCACCAAACCTTTGTTTCTTCTTATGAAAATTAGAATCATAATAGTATCTACCTCCTCAGTTGGTGATGAAGAGTAAAACTTTCCTGGAATACTGACAGTGCTCAATAGATGGTAGTTTTATTATTGTGAGAATGAGAAAAGCAGTTCCCAACATCCAGCAGCTGGACAGACAGCAAGAGTTCTTGGTGTTCTCCTGCTGAAATAAACATTTTCACAGGATATCAGCATTAGACAAGGCCACTCTGTGATCGTGAAGGATAAAGAAAAAAACCAAGACCATTGTGTAATTATGTTTCAACACAGATAAATTATGGACATTGTCCAAGACACAAAACTGACCAAACATCCCTTTATTCTGGCTAATATGAATGACTGCTGATTTTTTTAAACCAATTATGGCTTTAGCCTGGCTCTCTTCATCCCTTTTTCCACATAAGATTTATCACGATACTTAGTCATAGAAGTACTTTTGCTTCCTGATAGTATCCAATCAACAGCAAAGTCCACTTCCTTAAACCCTCCCAAAAATCACCTAACAGGACCAACATTCTACACTAAATCCTTTCTAATACTTTCTTACTGAGACACTCCATGGTTCCTCACTGTGTGTGTTCTCTCTTGCCACAGCACATGATTCAACTACACGTGTATTTCTGGTAGTCTCTGTCTGCAGGGCATTGACAGCTACTCCTTTTGAAAACCACAAGTCACAGGATTTAAAGTCATATAGCAAGGAAAGGACATTTTGTGACCTTGGATAAGTTATTTAATGTCTCTGTTCATTTTCCCACTTGTTAAAATTAGGGGACTGAGCTCATGCATTCTATGTGCCTTTTTAGCACTAACATGCTATGGGTATCTGTGTCAGACACTTACCAACATTAGGAGTGCTGTGGAACAGAAATACTTAATGCAGGAATGTCCTCAAATTCTGATCTTTCCTAGACTGCCAAAGAAAATCCTGTAATTCCAAATTCAATTTATCCCCTCCTCCCACCTCTTCATGAAAAGGAGCTCTTTCTTTCTGGGAAATAGGCTAATATGCTGAGAGTAGAGGAAGGAGAAGAAGGAAAGAAAACCACGTAGGCTGGGAATGGAGAAGGAGATTTTCTGGGAATCACAGAGACTGATAGAGACATGGAAACACCAGAGAGAAGTGGCTGAGAGGAAACAGGAAAATAAAGCATTGTGTAGATCATGTATTTGTATCCCTTTTATTGCCTTTAAAAAGTAGCAAGTAAATAATAGGATTGATTATTGAGTAATCTGGGTTGTTGAATAGTGTGTCCTGAAGAGAACATTCATCAATAATTGAATGTGAGTTTATAGGATTTGGGGAACACATTTGTTATATAGTCAGAGAACCCCCCAAAGAAGGCCTGTTTCTCCTGGAGAGCTTGCCACTTTATAGTTAATAAAGGTAAGAAGAAGCTTCTTTTTCAAACATTTTCAGGATTTAACCATTCACAGCTTCTCCTGATCTCCATTCGGAAGGACCCATAGAGTCCAGCCCTTGTGTGGGCGATAATGAGAATGTGCTTACATGGAGCTGGATGAAAGAGGCAGAAATCAGTATCACTAGTTTAAAGGTTTATGAGGCTTAGTTAATTAAAGCTTTTAATTTGCACGGGAACCCAAAGAAGCTAATCTTTGTCAGATCCAAACAGTAAGATGACTAGCCATTCTGGTTTTCCCATAATGATGAGGTTTCCTGAGATGGAGAACTTCCAGTGCTAAAACCAGGACATTCCTAGGCGAACTGAGATCAACTTAGCATTCCTCTTCCTCACAGACTCAAGTTTTCTTCCATTTAAAATGCTGTTACAGACTGAATGCTTCTTTCTAACATGTTCCCTGTGCATCAGATCTCTGCTAAATAATGGAGTCCTAGAACTGGAAGGGATGCTTAGATGTCATGAGGTCATCCACTGCCTTCCAGTAGGTTTCATTCAGCTGGGCTGTTTAGATCATCTGCTCCTAAAAAACGATGTGCTGGGAAACAGAGTCCACAGATAGTGTAGAGTCTGATACTTAGTCTGTAATTTTATAATCCTTACTATTTGCTATTTGAATATCTTTCATATTATGTGGTTTCTTTTTTTCTTACACGTTATTATAGGATTGAGAGGTGTGGCTGCCAGTTTCTGCAGAGGAATTATGGAGGTTGAGTTTAGAAGTTCATGGTTCTAGCAATAGCCATGGTTTGGGGGGAAATTACTGCTTTGTTTTGGCAAATGTAAATATAAGTTTTCAGGAAATATGTGCCTAAATTAAGAGTGCAGTGTTTAGACGGTTCCCCCAAACTGCTGTTAAAACTATAAGGAGATTGGCTTGTCTCATTGATAAGGAAGAAAGTTGCTAATATTTTATTTCCTGCTTGTTTTATTAATTCTTTATATTTGATATTCTCTTATATCCTACTCAAATATGTGTATAGATCTCAATAATTCTAAAAGTTCAGGGAATGGAATTCATTTTTTTTGGTAAATATATTGCCGTTTTCTATCTCATTAGGGTAGACAATTTGTCTATCTCAATTGGCCAAACTGCTATTGGGTCGCAGTCGCCTTAGCTTGTGTAAACTATAAAGAACTGGTTCAGATACTCTATATGGAACTCTGTCAAATTCTGGTTCCCAAACCTTGGCTCAGTTTAAGACTTCAAGATACACACATAAATGTAAATAAATAAATTAAAAGTATATATATATATTTATTGTTGTTGTTGTTATTGTTAGATAGATTGTTTTGTCCCAAAGGTATAACCAGTACGTGGTCACTATAGTAAATACATAAATTACAGAAAAATAATAGGAAGAAGAAGAAAATTACTCTGATTCCACCTAAAGATAGTGATTGATTTGGGGGTATTTCTTTTTGCTCTTTATTTCTATGTAGTGTTGTTTGTTTCACATATTATAATATTGCATCCTACCCTTTTCACTTATAATTATAACACAAGCATTTTTCCATTTAATCATGAACTCTTTTTAAATAACATGTGTAATGGTTGCACAACATTCCATGGCATGCTGTAGCATTTCAGTAGAACATAGCTCGGTGGAGGAGACAACAGTATACACATAGAGTAAGCTTAGATTATGTTCTCAAATTAGTTAGGCAAGAATGTAAAATCTGATGGGCAGCAAGGTGTCCTCAGAGGATGGGAGCAGATGCAGGATAAATCAGCATGGCTTCTCTTACTCTGTGCTGATCCTCATGAGGCACGTGGCTGCAGCTGATATCCTTCATAGCGGGTCTCTGGATCTGGAAAGCTCCACAATCCTTTCACCACCCTTTTATATGCTTCTTGGAAGAATTTACACCAACAAACTATGCATTTTTGTTGAAGATAATTATTACAACATTGAACTTTTCTGGAACCAAACTCAGCAAAGAATAGGTGATGTTCTCGTCTTGAAGGACATATAGGGTATCAATTTATTGCCTCACAGCTACAAATTCACTCTTCATTGCATGCTCTGAGAAAATGGATATGGGCCCTTTAAATATTTTTCTTTGCCAGATGGCACCATGTTAATCTTTGTCGGTAGAGGGTGCATGAGAGACATGATAGGAGGAACGGGCTTTGCTTCCTGGTCTGACCATTTTTATATGCAAGCTCCTGGAATGCCTGTGGTTTCTCCAGCACCTGGGTCCTGCTGGCAACCAGCAGCACCCAGTGGCCAGCAGCGTACTCTTTCACCTCTTCTTGGGTGACTTTGTGGAATGCTCCAATGTGACATCTCCCTGTGAACGCCTTTCCTGACACCCTAAAAAGTGTCAGGAATTTCCAGCAAGTTCCAGAGAGCAGGTTTCCAGCAAGTTTGGTCAGTATGACACCACAGCGATATCTCTGCCATTCACTGAACTTGGATTCTTCCTTCTTCAGTGAGGTATGGATTTCAACCCTGGATTGGGAAGTGGCTGGGGACCCTTCCCTGGGCACTGTATCCCAGCCCTGGGGACAGTGGCTGCTTCATATTCCCGTATCCATTAGCATTCTCTTCTTTTTTTTTTTTTCCTTTCCAACTTTTATTTTAGGTTCAGGGGTACATGCGCAGGTTTGTTACATGGGTAAACTATATGTGATGGGGGTTTGGTGTACAGATTATTTCATCACCCAGATAATAAGCATAGTACTTGACAAGTAGTTTTTCAATCCTCACCCTCCTCTCACCCTCCACCCTCAAGTAGGCCCAGGTATTTAGTTTCCTTCTTTCTGTCCATGTGTACTCAATGTTTAGCTTCCACTTATAAGTGAGAACGTGAAGTATTTATTTTCTGTTCTTGCATTAAATTGCTTAGGATACTGGCCTCTAGCTCTATTCATGTTGCTGAAAAGGACAAGATTTCACTGTTTTTTATGGCTGCGTAGTATTCTGTGGTATATAATATGTACCACATGCTCATTATCCAGTCCACCATTGATAGGCATCTAAGTGGATTCCATGTCTTTGCTATTGTGAATAGTGCTGTGATCAACATATGCATGCATGTCTTTATGGGAAAATTATTTATGTTCCTTTGTGTATATACCCAGTAATGGGATTGCTGGCAGTTCTGTCTTAAATTCTCTGAGAAATCTCCAGACTGCTTTCCACAGTGGCTGAACTAATTTACGTTCCCAACAGCAGTGTGTATGCATTCCCTTTGCTCCACAACCTCACCAGCATCTGTTATTTTTTGACTTTCTAATAATAGCCATTCTGACTGGTGTGAGATGGTATCTCATTGTGGTTTTGATTTGCATTTCTGTAATGATTAGTGATATTGAGCTTTTTTTCATAGGCTTGTTGGCTGCATGTATGTCTTCTTTGGAGAAATGTCTGTTCACGTCATTTGCCCATTTTTTAATGGGGTTGTTTGTTTTTTGCTTGTTAATTTATTTAAGTTCCTTATAGATTCTGGATAGTAGACCTTTGGTGTATGGTTTGCAAATATTTTCTCCCATTCTGTAGGTTGTCTGTTTACTCTGTTGATAATTCCCTTTTTTGTGCAGAAGCTCTTTAGTTTAATTAGATCCCACTTGTCAATATTTGTTTTTGTTGCAATTGCTTTTGAAGTCTTTGTCATGAAATTTTTGCCAGGGCCTATGTCCAGAGGGTACTTGCTAGGTTTTCTTCTAGGGTTTTCATAGTTTTAGGTTTTACATTTAAGTATGTAATCCATCTTAATTTGTGTATATGGTGTAAGGAAGGGGTCCAGTTTCCATTTTCTACATATGGCCAGCCAGTTATCCTAGCACCATTTATAAAATAGGGCATCCTTTCCCCATTGCTTGTTTTCATTGACTTTGTTGATTATCAGTTGTAGGTTTCTGGCTTTATTTCGGAGTTCTCTAACCTGTTCCATTGGTCTATGTGTCTGTTTTTGTATCAGTATCATACTGTTTTGGTTACTGTGGCCTTGTAGTAAAATTTGAAGTTAGGTAGTGTGATACCTCCAGCTTTATACTTTTTCCTTAGGATTTCTTTGGCTATTTGGGCACTTTTCTGGTTCCATATGAATTTTAGAATAGTTTTTCTAATTCTGTAAAAAATGTCATTGGTAGCTTGATAGGAATGGCATTGAACATATAAATTTCTTTGGACAGTATGGCTGTTTTAACAATATTGATTCTTCCTATCCATGAGCATGGAATATTTTTCCATTTCTTTGTGTCATCTCTGATTTCTTTCAGCAGTATTTTGTAATTCTTGTTGTAGGGATCTTTTACCTCCCTGTTTAGCTCTATTGCTAGGTACTTCTTTGTGTTGCTTTTGTGAATGGGGTTGCATTTTAAAAAATAATTTAAAAAATTTTGAGGGGTACATATTAGGTGTACATATTTATGAGGTACATGAGATGTTTTGGTACAGGCATGTAACACATAATAATCATGTCATACAAAATTGGCTATTTATCCCCTCAAGTATTTATCCTTTGTATTACTCTTTTAGTTATTTTAAAATAACTAAAATTATGCTTTTAGTTATTTTAAAATGTACAATTAAATTATTGTTGACTATAGTGCCCCTGTTATGCTGTCAAATACTAGGTCTTACTCTTTCTTTCTATTTTATTTTGTACCCATTAACCAACCCCACTTCTTCCCTGCCCTCCCACTACCCTTCCCAGCCTCTGGTAACTATCCTGTTCTCTATCTCTGTGAGTTCAATTGTTTTGATTTTTAGATTTCACAAATAAGTGAGAACATGTGATGTTTTTCTTTATCTGCCTAGCTTATTTCACTTAACATGATGACAGCCAGTTCCATCCATGTCGTCGCAAGTAACAGAATCTCATTCTTTTTTTTGTGGCTGAATAGTACTCCATTGTGTATAAGTATGACATTTTCTTTATCCATTCTTCTATTGATGAACACTTAGGTTGCTTCTAATGTTGGCTGTTGTTAACAGTGATACAACAAACATGGTAGTGCAGATATCTCTTCAGTATACTGATTTTTTTCTTTTGGTACATACCCAGAAGTGGGATTGCTGGATCACATAATAGCTCTATTTTAGTCTTTCAAGGAACCTCCAAACTGTTTTCCATAGCGGTTGTACTAATTTACATTTCCACCAACAGTATATGAGGGTTCCCTTTTCTCCATATCCTCACCAGCATTTGTTTTTGGCTGACTTTTGGATAAAAGCCATTTTAACTGGAGTGAGATGATATCTTGTAATTTTGATTTGCATTTCTCTGATGATCAGTAGCATTGACCACTTTTTCATATGCCTGTTTGCCATTTGCATGTCTTCTTTTGAGAAATGTCTATTAAAATATTTTGCCCATTTTTAAATCGGATTATTAGATTTTTTTCCTATAGGGTTGTTTGAGCTCTTTATATAGTCTGCTTATTAATCCCTTGACAGATGGGTGTTGCAAATATTTTCTCCCATTCTGTGGGTTGTCTCTTCACTTTGTTGATTGTTTCCTTTGCTGTGCAGAAGCTTTTTAACTTGATGTGATCCCATTTGTCCATTTTTTTCTTTGGTTGCCTGTGCTTGTGGGGTACGACTCAAGAAATTTTTGCCCAGACCAATGTTCTGGAGAGTTTCCTCAATATTTTCTTGTAGCAATTTCATAATTTGAGGTCTTAGATTGAAGTCTTTATTTTATTTTATTATTAAACTTTAAGTTTTAGGGTACATGTGCACAATGTGCAGGTTTGTTACATATGTATGCATGTGCCATGTTGGTGTGCTGCACCCATTAACTCGTCATTTAACGTTAGGTATATCTCCTAATGCTATCCCTCCCCCCTCCCCCGACCCCACAACAGGCCCTGGTGTGTGATGTTCCCCTTCCTGTGTCCGTGTGTTCTCATTGTTCAATTCCCACCTATGAGTGAGAACATGCAGTGTTTGGTTTTTTGTCCTTGCGATAGTTTCCTGAGAATGATGGTTTCCAGCTTCATCCATGTCCCTACAAAGGACATGAACTCATCAGTTTTTATGGCTGCATAGTATTCCATGGTGTATATGTGCCACATTTTCTTAATCTAGTCTATCATTTTGGACATTTGGGTTGGTTCCAAGTCCGCTATTGTGAATAGTGCCGCAATAAACATACATGTGCATGTGTCTTTATAGCAGCATGATTTATAATCCTTTGGGTATATACCCAGTAATGGGATGGCTGGGTCAAATGGTATTTCTAGTTCTAGATCCCTGAGGAATTGCCACATTGACTTCCACAATGGTTGAACTAGTTTACAGTCCCACCAACAGTGTAAAAGTGTTCCTATTTCTCCACATCCTCTCCAGTACCTGTTGTTCCCTGACTTTTTAATGATTGCCATTCTAACTGGTGTGAGATGGTATCTCATTGTGGTTTTTATTTGCATTTCTCTGATGACCAGTGATGATGGGCATTTTTTCATGTGTCTTTTGGCTGCATAAATGTCTTCTTTTGAGAAGTGTCTGTTCATATCCTTTGCCCACTTTTTGATGGGGTTGTTTGTTTTTTTCTTGTAAGTTTGTTTGAGTTCTTTGTAGATTCTGGATATTAGCCCTTTGTCAGATGAGTAGAATGCAAAAATTTTCTCCCATTCTGTAGGTTGCCTGTTCACTCTGAGGGTAGTTTCTTTTGCTGTGCAGAAGCTCTTTAGTTTAATTAGATCCCATTTATCAATTTTGGCTTTTGTTGCCATTGCTTTTGGTGTTTTAGTCATGAAGTCCTTGCCCATGCCTATGTCCTGAATGGTATTGCCTAGGTTTTCTTCTAGGGTTTTTATGGTTTTAGATCTAACATTTAAGTCTTTAATCCATCTTGAATTAATTTTTGTATACGGTGTAAGGAAGGGATCCAGTTTCAGCTTTCTACATATGGCTAGCCAGTTTTCCCAGCACCATTTATTAAATAGGGAATCTTTCCCCCATTTCTTGTTTTTGTCAGCTTTGTCAAAGATCAGATAGTTGTAGATATGTGGCATTATTTCTGAGGGCTCTGTTCTGTTGCATTGGTCTATATCTCTGTTTTGGTACCAGTACCATGCTGTTTTGGTTACTGTAGCCTTGTAGTATAGTTTGAAGTCAGGTAGTGTGATGCCTCCAGCTGTGTTCTTTTGGCTTAGGATTCACTTGGCAATGCAGGCTCTTTTTTGGTTCCATATGAACTTTAAAGTAGTTTTTTCCAATTCTGTGAAGAAAGTCATTGGTAGCTTGATGGGGATGGCATTGAATCTGTAAATTACCTTGGGCAGTATGGCCATTTTCATGATATTGATTCTTCCTACCCATGAGCATGGAATGTTCTTCCATTTGTTTGTATACTCTTTTACTTCACTGAGCACTGGTTTGTAGTTCTCCTTGAAGAGGTCCTTCACATCCCTTGTAAGTTGGATTCCTAGGTATTTTATTCTCTTTGAAGAAATTGTGAATGGGAATTCACTCATGATTTGGCTCTCTGTTTGTCTGTTATTGGTGTATAAGAATGGTTGTGATTTTTGTACATTGATTTTGTATCCTGAGACTTTGCTGAAGTTGCTTATCACCTTAAGGAGATTTTGGGCTGAGACGATGGGGTTTTCTAGATATACAATCATGTCATCTGCAAACAGGGACAATTTGACTTCCTCTTTTCCTAACTGAATACCCTTTATTTCCTTCTCCTGCCTGATTGCCCTGGCCAGAACTTCCAACACTATGTTGAATGGGAGTGGTGAAAGAGGGCATCCCTGTCTTGTGCCAGTTTTCAAAGGGAATGCTTCCAGTTTTTGCCCATTCAGTATGATATTGGCTGTGGGTTTGTCATAGATAGCTCTTATTATTTTGAGATACATCCCATCAATACCTAATTTATTGAGAGTTTTTAGCATGAAGGGTTGTTGAATTTTGTCAAAGGCCTTTTCTGCATCTATTGAGACAATCATGTGGTTTTTGTCTTTGGTTCTGTTTATATGCTGGATTACATTTATTGATGTGCATATGTTGAACCAGCCTTGCATCCCAGGGATGAAGCCCACTTGATCATGGTGGATAAGCTTTTTGATTTGCTGCTGGATTTGGTTTGCCAGTATTTTATTGAGGATTTTTGCATCGATGTTCATCAAGGATATTGGTCTAAAATTCTCTTTTTTTGTTGTGTCTCTGCCAGGCTTTGATATCAGGATGATGCTGGCCTCATAAAATGAGTTAGGGATGATTCCCTCTCTTTCTATTGATTGGAATAGTTTCAGAAAGAATGGTACCAGCTCCTCCTTGTACCTCCGGTAGAATTCGGCTGTGAATCCATCTGGTCCTGGACTTTTTTTGGTTGGTAAGCTATGAATTATTGCCTCAATTTCAGAGCCTGTTATTGGTCTATCAGAGATTCAGCTTCTTCCTGGTTTAGTCTTGGGAGGGTGTATGTGTCAAGGAATTTATCCATTTCTTCTTGATTTTCTAGTTTATTTGTGTAGAGGTGTTTATAGTATTCTCTGATGGTAGTTTGTATTTCTGTGGGATCGGTGGTGATATCCCCTTTATCATTTTTTATTGCGTCTATTTGATGCTTCTCTCTTTTCTTCTTTATTAGTCTTGCTAGCGGTCTATGAATTTTGTCAATCTTTTCATAAAACCAGCTCCTGGATTCATTGATTTTTTGAAGGGTTTTTTGTGTCTCTATCTCCTTCAGTTCTGCTCTGATCTTAGTTATTTCTTGCCTTCTGCTAGCTTTTGAATGTGTTTGCTCTTGCTTCTCTAGTTCTTTTAATTGTGATGTTAGGGTGTCAATTTTAGATCTTTCCTGCTTTCTCTTGTGGGCATTTAATGCTATAAATTTCCCTCTACACACTGCTTTGAATGTGTCCCAAAGATTCTGGTATGTTGTGTCTTTGTTGTCGTTGGTTTCAAAGAACATCTTTATTTCTGCCTTCATTTCGTTATGTACCCAGTAGTCATTCAGGAGCAAGTTGTTCAGTTTCCATGTAGTTGAGTGGTTTTGAGTGAGTTTCTTAATCCTGAGTTCTAGTTTGATTGCACTGTGGTCTGAGAGACAGTTTATTATAATTTCTGTTGTTTTACATTTGCTGAGGAGTACTTTACTTCCAACTATATGGTCAATTTTGGAATAGGTGTGGTGTGGTGCTGAAAAGAATGTATATTCTGTTGATTTGGGGTGGAGAATTCTGTAGATGTCTATTAGGCCGCTTGGTGCAGAGCTGAGTTCAGTTCCTGGATATCCTTGTTAACTTTCTGTCTCGTTGATCTGTCTAATGTTGACAGTGGGGTGTTAAAGTCTCCCATTATTATTGTGTGGGAGTCTAAGTCTCTTTGTAGGTCTCTGAGGACTTGTTTTATGAATCTGGGTGCTCCTGTATTGGGTGCATATATATTTAGGATAGTTAGCTCTTCTTGTTGCATTGATCCCTTTACCGTTATGTAACGGCCTTGTCTCTTTTGATCTTTGTTGGTTTAAAGTCTGTTTTATCAGAGACTAGGATTGCAACCCCTGCCTTTTTTTTGTTTTCCTTTTGCTTGGTAGATCTTCCTCCATCCTTTTATTTTGAGCCTATGTGTGTCTCTGCATGTGAGATGGGTTTCCTGAATATAGCACACTAATGGGTCTTGACTCTTCATCCAATGTGCCAGTCTGTGTCTTTTAATTAGAGCATTTAGCCCATTTACAGTTAAGGTTAATATTGTTATGTGTGAATTTGATCCTGTCATTATGATGTTAGCTGGTTATTTTGCTCATTAGTTGATGCAGTTTCTTCCTAGCCTCGATGGTCTTTACAATTTGGCATGTTTTTACAGTGGCTGGTACCGGTTGTTCCTTTCCATGTTTAGTGCTTCCTTCAGGAGCTCTTTTAGGGCAGGCCTGGTGGTGACAAAATCTCTCAGCATTTGCTTTTCTGTAAAGTATTTCATTTCTCCTTCACTTATGAAGCTTAGTTTGGCTGGATATGAAATTCTGGGTTGAAAATTCTTTTCTTTAAGAATGTTGAATATTGGCCCCCACTCTCTTCTGGCTTGTAGAGTTTCTGCCGAGAGATCCACTGTTAGTCTGATGGGCTTCCCTTTGTGGGTAACCTGGCGTTTCTCTCTGGCTGCCCTTAGCATTTTTTCCTTCATTTCAACTTTGGTGAATCTGACAATTATGTGTCTTGGAGTTGCTCTTCTCGAGGAGTATCTTTTTGGCATTCTCTGTATTTCCTCAATTTGAATGTTGGCCTGCCTTGCTAGATTGGGGAAGTTCTCCTGGATAATATCCTGCAGAATGTTTTCCAACTTGTTTCCATTCTCCCTGTCAGTTTCAGGTACACCAATCAGACGTAGAGTTGGTCTTTTCCCATAGTCCCATATTTCTTGGAGGCTTTGTTCGTTTCTTTTTATTCTTTTTTCTCTAAACTTCTCTTCTCACTTCATTTCATTCATTTGATCTTTCATCACTGATACCCTTTCTTCCAGTTGATCAAATCGGCTACTGAGGCTTGTACATTCGTCACGTAGTTCTCATGCCATGGTTTTCAGCTCCATCAGATCCTTTAAGGACTTCTCTGCATTGGTTATTCTAGTTAGCCATTCGTCTAATCTTTTTTCAAGGTTTTTAACTTCTTTGCCATGGGTTCTAACTTCCTCCTTTAGCTCGGAGTAGTTTGATCGCGTGAAGCCTTCTTCTCTCAACTCGTCAAAGTCATTCTCTGTCCAGCTTTGTTCCATTGCTGGTGAGGAGCTGCATTTGTTTGGAGGAGGAGAGGCGCTCTGCTTTTTAGAATTTCCAGTTTTTCTGCTCTGTTTTTTCCCATCTTTGTGGTTTTAGCTACCTTTTGTCTTTGATGATGGTGACATACAGATGGGGTTTTGGTGTGGATGTCCTTTCACTTTGTTAGTTTTCCTTCTAACAGTCAGGACCCTCAGCTGCAGGTCTGTTGGAGTTTGCTGGAGGTCCACTCCAGACCCTGTTTGCCTGGGTATCAGCAGCGGAGGCTGCAGAACAGTGGATGTTGGTGAACAGCAAATGTTGCTGCCTGATCATTCCTCTGGAAGTTTTGTCTCAGAGGAGTACCTGGCCGTGTGAGGTGTCAGTCTGCCCCTACTGGGGGGTGCCTCCCAGTTAGGCTACTCGGGGGTCAGGGACCCACTTGAGGAGGCAGTCTGTCCGTTCTCAGATCTCAAGCTGTGTGCTGGGAGAGCCACTACTCTCTTCAAAGCTGTCAGACAGGGACATTTAAGTCTGCAGAGGTTTCTGCTGCCTTTTGTTTGGCTATGCCCTTCCCCCAGAGGTGGAGTCTACAGAGGCAGGCAGGCCTCCTTGAGCTGCAGTGGGCTCCACCCAGTTTGAGCTTCCCAGCCGCTTTGTTTACCTACTGAAGCCTCGGCAATGGTGGGCACCCCTCCCCCAGCCTCGCTGCTGCCTTGCAGTTTGATCTCAGACTGCTGTGCTAGCAATGAGCGAGGCTCTGTCGGCATAGGATCCTCCGAGCCAGGCATGGGATACAATCTCCTGGTGTGCCGTTTGCTAAGGCCCTTGGAAAAGTGCAGTATTAGGGTGGGAGTGACCCGATTTTCCAGGTGCCATCTGTCACCCCTTGTCTTGGCTAGGAAAGGGAATTCCCTGACCCCTTGTGCTTCCCAGGTGAGGCCATGCCTCGCTCTGCTTTGGCTCACGCTCGGTGTGCTGCACCCACTGTCCTACACCCACTGTCTGACAATCCCCAGTGAGATGAACCGGGTACCTCAGTTGGAAATGCAGAAATCATTCATCTTATGCGTCACTCACACTGGGAGCTGTAGACTGGAGCTGCTCCTATTCGGCCATCTTGGCTCAGATTTAAGTCTTTAATCCATTTTTATTTGATTTTTGTATAAGGCGAGAAATAGGGATCAAGTTTCATTCTTCTGCGTATGGATATCTAGTTTTCCTGGCATCATTTATCAAAGAGACTGTCTTTTCCCCCAATATGTGTTCCTGGCACCTTTGTTGAAACTGAGTTCATTGTAGGTGTGTGGATTTGTTTGTGGGTTCTGTATTGGTCTATGTGTCTGTCTTTATGCCAGTACCACACTGTTTTGGTTACTATAGCTCTAGCTCTGTAGTATAATTTAAAGTCAGGTAATGTGATTCCTCCAGCTTTGTTTTTTGTTTGTTTGTTTGTTTGTTTTTTTGTTTGTTCAGAATAGCTTTGGCTATTCTGGGTCTTTTGTGATTCCATATAAATTTTATGATTTTTTTTCTACTTCTGTGAAGATTTCATTGGTATTTTGATAGGGATTGCATTGAATCTGTAGGTTGCTCAAGGTAGTATGGACATTTTAGCAAAATTGTTTTTTCCAATCCATGAACATGGAATATCTTTGCATTTTTCTGTGTCCATTTCTTCCATCATTGTTTTATAATTTTCATTGTAGAGGTCTTTCATTTCTTTGGTTAATTCCTAGGTATTTGGAATTGCATTTGTGATTTGGATCTCAGCTTGAATGTTATTGGTATAGAGAAACGCTACTGATTTTTGTACATTGTTTTTGTATCTTGAAGTTTTACTGAAGTTGTTTACCAGATATAGGACCTTTTGGGCAGAGACTATGGGGTTTTCTGGGTATAAAATAATATCATCTGTGAAGAGAGATAGTTTGACTTCCTCTATTCCTACTTGGATGCCTTTTAATTCTTTCTCTTGCCTGATTGCTCAGCTAGGACTTCCAGTATGCATTTAATATGAGTGGTGAGAGTGGGCTTCCTTGTCTTGTTCTGGTTCTTAAGGGGAATGCATTCAGCTTTTGCCCATTCAGTATGATGTTGGCTGTGGGTTTGTCATAGATGGCTCTTATATTTTATGCATAATTTGTTGAGGGTTTTTAACATGAAGAGATGTTGAATTTTATTGAAAGCCTTTTCTTTGTCTATTGAGATGATGATGTGGTTTTTATTTTTCCTTCTGTTTATGTTATGAATCACATTTATTGATTTGTGTATGTTGAATCAACCTTGCATCCTAGGAATAAAGCCTACTTTCTCATGATGGATTAGCTTTTTGATGTGCTGCTGGATTCGGTTTGATAGTATTTAGTTGAGGATTTTTGCATCTGTGTTCATCAAAGATATTGGCCTGATGTTTTGTGTCTGTGTGTGTCTGCTGGGTTTTGGTATCAGAATGGTGCTGGCCTCATAGAGTGAGTTAGGGAGGAGTCCTTTTCCTCAATTTTTGGGAATAGTTTCAGTAGAATTGGTACTGGCTCTTCATTATACATCTGGTAGAATTCTGCTGTGTAGCCATATGGCTCAGGGCTTTTTCTGATTGGTAGGTTTTTTATGAATGATTCAATTTTGGAACTCATTATTGGTCTGTTCAAGGTTTTAATTTCTTCCTGGTTCAATCTTGGGAGGTTGTATGTTTTCAGTAATTTATTCATTTCTTCTAGGTTTCTGGTATGTGTGTGTAGAGGTGTTCATAATAGTCTCTGAGGAGTTTTTCTATTTCTGTGGGGTCAGTGCTAATTCCCCCTTTGTCCTTTCTGATTGTCCTTTTTTGAATCTTCTCTCTTTTTTTCTATATAATTCTAACTAGTAGTCTATCAATCTTATTTATTATTTCAAAAAACCAACTTTAGGTTTTGTTGATCTTTTGCATGTTTTTTCACATCTCAATTTTATTCAGTTTGGCTCTGATTTTGGTTATTTGTTTTCTTCTGTTAGCTTTGGGGTTTTTTTTTTCTTGTTTTTCTGATTCCTCTAGGTGTGACGTTAGATTGTTAATTTGAGAGCTTTCTAACTTTCTGATGTGGGCATTTAGCACTATAAACTATCCTCTTAACACTTCTTCATTTGTGTCCCAGAGATTCTAGTATATTGTATCTTTGTTTTCATAAGTTTCAAATAATTTTTTTATTTCTGCCTTAATTTCACTGTTTACCCAAAAGTCATTTATGAGACAGTTGTTTAGTTTTCATATAATTGTATTGTTTTGAGAGATCTTATTAGTATTGATTTCTGTTTTTATTTTGCTGTCTTCCAAAGGCTTGGTTGGTATGATTTTGATTTTTCTGAATGTGTTATGAATTGTTTTATGGCCAAGCATGTGGTTGATTTTAGAGTATGTGCCATGTGCAGATGAGAAGAATGTATATTTTGTTGTTGTTGGATGGAGTGTTTTGTAGATGTCTGTTAGGTCTATTTGGTCATATTGTGTTTAGGAATATGTAACAAATATGTAACAAATATCTTTGTTAGTTTTCTACCTTGATGTTCTGTCTATTACTGTCAGTGGGGTACTGTATTAGTCTGTTCTCACACTGCTATAAAGAACTACCTGAGACTGGATAATTTATGGAGAAAAGAGGTTAAATTGACTCACAGTTTGCAGGCTGTACAGGAAGCATGACTGGGAGGGCTCAGGAATCTTATAATCATGGCAAAGGCAAAGGGGAAGCAAGCACATCTTACCATGGCAGAGCAGGAGAGAGAGAAGGGGAAAGTGCTACACACTTTCAAACAACCAGGTATCTTGATAACTCACTCACTATCATGAGAATAGCAAGGGGGAAGTCCACCCCTCATGATACAATCACCTCCCACCAGGCCCCTCCTTCAACACTATTAATTACAATTTGATATGAGATTTGGGTGAGGACACAGTGTCAAACCATATCATTCCACCCCTGGCCCCTCCCAAATCCCATTTCCTTCTCATATTTCAAAGCACAATTATGCTTTCCCAACAGTCCTGCAAAGTCATAACTAATTCCAGCATTAACTCAAAAGTCCAAGTCCAAAGTCTCATCTGAGACAAGGCAAGTCCCTTCTGCCTCTGAGCCTTTAAAATCAAAAGCAAGTTAGTTACTTTCAAGATATAATGGGGGTACAGGAATTTGGTAAATAGACCTTTTCTAAGAGGGAGAAATCAGCCAAAACAAGGGGGCTACAGGCCCCATACAAGTCTGAAACCCAGCAGGGCAGTCATTAAATCTCAAAGCTTTAAAATAATCTCCTTTGACTCTATGTCTCACATCCAGGCCACATTGATGCAAGGGGTAGACTCCCAAGGCCATGGACAGTTCTGCCCCTGTGGCTCTGCAGTTCCCACAGCTGTTTTCATGGGCTGGCATTGAGTGCCTGCAGCTTTTCTGGGCATGTGGTGCCAGCTGTTGGTGGGCCTACTATCCTGAGGTCTGGAGGATGGTGGCCATCTTCTCACAGCTCCATTAGGCAGAGCCCCAGTGGTGACTCTGTGTGGGAGCTTCAACCCCACGTTTTCCGTCTGCACTGCCCTAGTTGAGGTTCTCCATGAGGGCTCTACACCACAGCAGACTTCTGCCTGGACATCCAGGCATTTCCATACATCCTCTAAAATCTAGGTAGAGACTCCAAAACCTCAACTCTTAGCTTCTGCACACCTGCAGGCTCCGCACCACATGGAAGCCATCAAGGCTTTGAGCTTTCACCCTCTGAAGCAATGGCCCGAGCTGTACATTGGCCCATTTTAGCCATGGCTGAAGCTGGAGTGGCTCAGATGCAGGGCGCCATGTTCTGAGGCTGCACAGAGCAGCAAGGCCCTGGGCCTGGCCCATGAAACATTTTTTTCCTCCTAGGTCTTCAGGCCTGTGATAAGAGGGGCTGCCATGAAGGTCTCTGAAATGCCCTGGAGACATTTTCTCCGTCGTCTTGGCAGTTAACATTCAGCTCCTCTTTACATATGCAAATTTCTGCAGCCTTGAATTCCTCTTCAGAAAATGGGTTTTTCTTTTTATATTGCATGGTTGGGCTGCAAATTTTCCAAACTTTTTTTTTTTTTTTTTTTTTTGGAGACAGAGTCTCACTCTGTTGCCCAGGATGGAGGGCAGTGGTGTGATCTTGGCTCACTGTAATTTCCACCTCCTATATTCAAGTGATTCTCATGCTTCAGCCTCCTGAGTAGCTGGGATTACAGGCATGCACTAACACACCTGGCTAATTTTTGTATTTTTAGTAGAGATGGAGTTTTGCCATGTTGGCCAGGCTGGACTCGAACTCCTGGCCTCAAGTGATCTGCTGGCCTTAGCCTCCCAAAGTGCTGGGATTACAGGCATAAGTCACCACACCCAGCCCGAATTTTCCAAACTTTTATGCTTGCTTCCCTTTTAAATATAAGCTCTAGTTTTAGGTCATTTCTTTGTTTATGCAAATAAGCATAGGCTTTTAGAAGCAGCCAGGTCATATCTGGAACACTTTCCTGCTTAGAAATTTCTTCCGTCAGAAGAAATTTCGTCTCTCTCAAGTCCAAAGTTCCACAGATCTCTAGGGCAGGGGCACAATGCCACTAGTCTTTTTGCTAAAGCATAGCAAGAGTGAAAAATAATTATTCCAGTTTCTAGTAAATTCCTCATCTCCATCAGAGACCACCTCAGGCTGGACTTCACTGTCCATATCACTATCAGCATTTAGGTCACAACTATTCAGCAAGTCTCTAGAAAGTTCCAAACTTTCCCTCATCTTCCTGTCTTCTGAGCCCTCCAAACTATTCCAACCTCTGCCCATTACCCAGTTCCAAAGTCACTTCCACATTTTCAGGTCTCTTTATAGCAATGCCCCACTTCTCTGGTACCAATGGTGGAATGGCTTTTTGAAGTCACAATCACAACGCCAACTAGGTGTGAAAATACTTTACAAGGTTTGGGCAAAGTTCTCCAGAAGGCTGTGTATGCTTTGAATCAGCATCCAATATATGGTACTGTTTTTCCCATAGCGGGATTCATGGGTTCAGGAATCAAGGGGTGGAAGTGGAAGTGGCAGCATTCACCATCACCCCTAGTGACCCACTAGCAAAATTTTTACATTCTTTTCCCACAACATTATCTTCTACTGGCCTAGAGGTCTTAGTTCCAGAGGAAGGAATGCTGCCACCAGGAGACACAGCAATGATTCCATTTAACCGGAAGTTAAGATTGCCACCTGGCCACTCTGGCCTCCTCTTGCCTCTAAGTCAACAGGCTAAGAAGGGAGTTACAGTGTTGGCTGAAGTGATTGACCCAGACTATCAAGATGAAATAAGACTACTACTCCACAATGGAAGTAAGGAAAAGTATGTCTGGAATACAGGAGACCCCTTAGGGCGTCTCTTAGTATTACCATGCCCTGTGATTAAGGTCAATGGAAACTACAACAACCCAATTCAGGCAGGACTACAACTGGCCAGAACCCCTCAGGAATGAAAGTTTTGGTCACTCTACCAGGTAAAAAACCGTGACCAGCCAAGGTGCTTGCTGAAGGCAAAGGGAATACAGAATGGGTAGTAGAAGAAGGTAGTTATGAATACCAGCTATGACCACATGACCAGGTACAGAAATGAGGATTGTAATTGTCATGACTATTTCCTCCTTATTTTGTTATAAATATGTTTGTGCATACATACACCTGTACTGAGAAAGTGTCTTCATTTTATTTCCCTTCTTTTTCCTTTATCACGTAACGTAAGATTTATTGACTTCATATCAGCATTTAAGTGTTGTTAACTTTATTTAATAGCATTTAGGTTAAGGATTAGTGTGCTTCTTGTTGTATGAAGGATAGTTGTATTATGTTAGGCATAATTATGACCTATTATTTTCTTTATTTGGAGATTAAGTGTGATTTCAGGAGATGTGTATGAGTGCCAAGTTGACAAGGAGTTGACTTGTGATAGTCAATATGAGGTGACAACCTGATTGGATTGAAGAATGCCTAGATAGCTGGTAAAGTATTGTTTCTGGGTGTGTAAGTTAGGATGTTGCCTGAGGAGATTGACATTTGAGTCAGTGGACTGGAAGAGGAAGACCCACCCTGAATGTTCAATGGGCACCATCCAATTGGCGCCAGTGCAGCTAGAACAAAAGCAGGAGGAAGAAGGTGGGATAAGACGGCTTGCTGTGTCTTCTGGCTTTCATTTCTTTCCTGTGGTGGATACTTCCTTTTGTTTCTCCTGCCCTTGGCCATCAGACTCCAAGTTCTTCAGCCTTTTGACTCTTGGACTTCTGCCAGTGTTTGACGAGGGGCTCTTGGGCCTTCAACCACAGACTGAAGGCTGCACTGTTGACTTTCTTGCTTTTGAGGCTTTTGGACTCAGACTGAGCCACTACTGGCCTCTATCTTCCTCAACTTGCATATGGCCTATTGTGGGACTTTGCCTTGTGATAGTGTGAGCCAATTCTCCCTAATAAACTTCCTTTCATATATACGTATATCCTGTTAGTTCTGTCCCTCTGGAGAACCCTGACTAATACAGGTACTGATGTCTTCCGCTATTATTTTGTGGTTGTCTAAGTATCTTCCTAGGTCTCTTAAAATTTGTTTTATGAATCTGGGTTCTCCAGTATTGGGTGCAGATATACTTAGGATAGTTAAGTCTTTTCGAATTGAACCCTTAATCATTATGTAATACCTTTCTTTGTCCTTTTTGTCATTTGTCAGTTTAAAGACTATTTTGTCTGAAATTAGAATGGCAACCCCTGCTCTTTTTTGTTTTCCATTTGCTTGCTTGATTTTCTTTTTCCAGTCCTTTACTTTGAGCCTAAGGATATCATTGTATGTGAGTTGGATCTCTTGAAGGCAGCATACAGTTGGGTCTTACCCCTTTAGATTCTTAATTCTTCACCTTTTAAATGGGGTGTTTAGACCATTTATGTTCAAGTTTAATATTGATATGTACAGATTTGATTCTATCATTGTGGTGTTAGTTGGTTGTTATGCAGACTTGATTGTATAGTTGCTTTATGGTGTCAATTGTCTATGTACTGAAGTGTGTTTTTGTGATGGCTAGTAACAGTTTTTTGTTTCCATATTTAGCATGCCCTTAAGGACCTCTTGTAAGGCAGGTCTGGTGGTAATGCATTCCCTTAGCATTTGCTTGTCTGAAAAGGATTTTTTTTTTTTTTCATTTATGAAGCTTAGCTTCACTGGGTATGAAATTCTTGGTTGGAATTTTTTTCTTTTGAGAATACTAAATATAAGCACCCAGTCTCTTCTGGCTTGTAGGATTTCTGCTGAAAGACCCACTGTTAGCCTGATAGGGTCCCCTATGTAGGTGACCTATCCGTTCTCTCTAACTGCCTTTAATATTTTTTCTTTTACTTTGACCTTGGGAATCTGATGACTATGAGTCTTGGGGATGGTCATCTTATATAGTATCTCACAGAAGTTCTCTGAATTTCCTGAATTTGAATGTTTACCTCTCTAGTAATGTTGGGGGAGTTTTCATGGACAATATCCTCAAATATGTCTTCCAAGTTGCTTGTTCTCCCTCCCTCTTTTTCAGGGATACCAGTGAGTCATAGGTTTAGTCTCTTTACATAATATCATATTTCTCAGAGGTTTGTTTATTTTTTTTCTTTATTTTGTCTGACTAAATTTTTTTTAAGAACCAGTCTTCGAGCTCTGAGATTCTTTCCTCAGCTTGGTCTATTCCGCTGTTAATACTTTTGATTTATTATGAAATTATTGAAATGAGTATTTCAGATCTATCAGATCAGTTTGGTTCTTTCTTAAAATGTCTATTTTGTCTTTTAGATCTCTTATCATTTTATTGGACTCCTTGGATTGGGTTTTGGCTTTCTCCTGAATCTTGATGCTCTTCTTTGCTATCCTGATTCTGAATTCCTTGTCTGTCATTTTAGTCATTTCAGTATGGTTAAAAACAATTGCTGGGGAGCAAGTGAAGTCATATGGAAGTAAGAAGACACTTTGGCTTTTTGAGTCGCCAGAGTTCTTGCACTGGTTCTTTCTTATCTATATGGGCTGATGTTCCTTTAATCTTTGAAGTTACTGCCCTTTGGATGGGTTTTTTTTGCTTTCTTTGATGCCCTTGTGGTATAAATTGGATTCAGTTAACTGGCTTCATTGCTGAAAGATTTCAGGGGGCTACAGCTCAGCTCAGCACAGCTGGGCTGTGTGCTGTAATCCTAGGCAGCTGGTAGCAGGCCCATGGCTTTATTCTCTGGTACTTCAAGGTTAAGCACCTCCTGCACTGGAGGGGCTGAGGTGTTCCCGGCCTGCTGGCAACAACGATCTGATGGGGGATGCTGGCAAAACTGCTTCTTTGGGGTATGGCAGCAGGGTCCTTGCATGTATGTGTGCACTGGTGGGAGCAGGGCAGCAGAGTCCGTGCACACACATGCTTGTGCCAGTAGCAGCAAGGCAGTGGAGTGCGCATGCACATGCACGGGCAGGGCCTGTCTCACAGGGTTCTTGTGAGGGTTAAGGGAGATAATACATATAAATTATTTGAAACCGTACCTGGAACATAATAAGTATTCAATAAATATTATCTGTTGTTATAAGTTAATCTGAGTGGATCTGAGATTGAATTTGGTTGGAGGGCCACAAAGACAAATGTAGTGCCTGACAGGAGCATATGCCACAGTTTACTTAGCCATTCCTGCGTGGCAGACATTTTGTTGTTTTTGATGTTTTACTGTAATAAACAATGCTATTATTAACATATTTGTGTGCAAAACCCATGTACTTGGGAACTTTATTTATAGTGGGGAATGGCAAGTCATTTATCTTTAAGGAGGTGCTTCATAAACCAACATAGGTTTTGGCCTCACCCAATACAGCAAGTAGAATTATTATAAAGTATAGAATAAATCTTGTTGAGGATCTTAGTGACTCAAAGTTTGCCAACTTGTCAAGAACCTCTTTCTAACTGCTTCTTAACATGTGACAAAGCAAAGTTTTTCTTTTGAGAAAATAATAATATTCAATACACAGTAAGTAATCTTATCATAGTTTTTAGGATGTCCTTTGGCTCTAAGTTAGGCACATTGAAAATGCCCATTCTGAGTTAGTTAGTTAATTAAGTTAATACTTATTCAAATGTCAAATGGTTTAGAAATTAAACAATTTTGGGATGGGACTTCAGGAATGACTTAATAGTTATATGACCTTGGGCCAGTTATTTTAACCTCTGTGAATTAAGCAATTATTTTGGCCTCTCTCAGACTCAGTTTCCTCATAAGTATAATAAAAATAATAATGCTTATGTTAATTTTTATGCAACAATTATATATTGAGTTTCTATTACATGACAGGTACTTTTCTAGGTGCTTGGGATGCATCAGTGAAAAAAATCTCCCTGTTCCAAAGGACCTTACATTCTAGTGGTAGCAAGGACAGATGATAAATGATAAACATAATGCTTAAATAAATTATATAGCATATTAGAAAATGGTAAATGCAATGGAAAATGGAAAACACAGTGTTGGATAAGAAGGATCAGGTATGCATGGAAGGATCAATATTTTTAAAAGTGCAGTTAGGGTAGGTCTCACTGGGGTAATATTTGAACAAAAATTTGAAAGAGGTAAGGCAGTCAGCCATGCAGCTATGTGGGGAGAGGTATTCCAGGTAGAGAGAAGCAAGTGGAAGGCCCTTAGGTGGGAGCATGACAGGCATATTTTAGGAATAGTAAGGACAGTGTGGCTGAAGCAGAGTGAATGAGGGGGAAGATGGTTGGAGACAAAGTCAGTGAGGTAACAAGTCCCAGATCATGTTGGACCTTCTAGGCATTGTCAGAGCTTCAGATTTTGCTCTGGGTGAAATGGAAAGTCATGGAGGATTCTGAACAGAGGAACAGTTGAACTTATGTTTTATCAGAATCATTCTGACTCTTGAGTGAGGATAAACTCTGGGGGTGCAGCTGATATTGTCACTCCTTCTCCTTCCTGTTCCCCTTCCCATGGAGGATACAGCCTGGCAGCTGAAAATGTGAGGCAGCGAAGGGGTTGGGGCAGCCATGCAGAGGCATAGGCTGGGGTTGGGGAGCTGCAGGCTGTGGGTCAGAAGCTGAGGGGGTGGTGTGGAGGTGGTAGGTGGAAGACACAGCCAGCATGGCGGGTGGTAGAGTGGGGAGAGGGAGTTGGTCACACTGAGCAAATTAGTAAATTGATGGTGAATGTAAGAATAATGGGAGCCAAGTTTTTCACTGCTGGAGAAGGAATTTATAAACAGAAATGAGGAAGGCTAGAAGGAACTCTGAAGTTGGACAGGAATTGGAGGTATCAGTATGAACATATGATTGTCTGTCTAGCTAGCTTTGTAATTATAGATGTTTAAGTGTGTGCCATATATATACACATCATGTCCAAGCTCTGTTCACCGGGAGGGCTTAGTAGCAATAACACCTTAGTAACAATTAGTACAATGAGCACCCAGACATTGGTTTCTAAAAACCATCTTTCACTGGAAGATACCAAGGCTCCTTGGAGTGATGGCCAATGGCTGATTCCAGGTTGGTTGGGGTGGGAGTGGGGAGACTTGGAAAGTGTAAGATGAGCCTGCAACGTCTTGTACTGGACAATAAGGAAAGGCTCAGTGAATGGTGGGAACATTTCAAAAGGACACAGGGGCTCCTATTGGTCAAATCAGGGAGAATTTTTGCATTAAAGAATAATAATGGATTACAACTCATTGAATAAAATAGGAATCTGTGAATCCATTCCGATGCGAATGAATAAATGAATGAAAAGGGTAAGCTTGACTTTACTATAAAATGCCAACTAATAAATGTATAAACAATAATGTTTGGCAACTTTCACAGATGTAGTTTGATTTGGGCTAAAGTCATCGATGAAGTCTCACAGAGGATGGATGCTAAGGCTGAAAGGTGAAGGTTTCATGAGGAACAGGATATTCTGACATATTCTGAGAATACCTTCCCCTAACATATAAATCAATTACAAAGAAAAAATGGTAAATTTAAGTGGAGAAAGCTGGCAGACATCAACATGACCAGGAGACCAAGGTGGGATAGGTTGACATTGTATCACTTCTGATGTGATGCCCTGAGAAGAGAATGTCATTGTTTCTGTGGAATTCTTGCCCTGGATGAAGTGCCTGAGTCTGATCGTAAGGAACCATCATCCTACAGGGGGTGATCCTACCGAATGTAACACTTCCTACTGTGCCAAGTGCATGGAAGATGGGGAAAGACTGAGACACTTCCAGATCAAAGGATTCTGAAGAGATATAACAGCTAACTGTGATGTGTTCGTGAAAAACTCCTGAACCACAGAGGGAAAAGAGACATTTTAGGGAAATTAGCAACAGCTGAATGGGATTTGATGGTAGTGTATCGATGTTAATTTCCTGATTCAAAGAGTTGTATGCTGATTATATAGGACAGTGTTGTTGCTTTTGGAAAATCCACACTGAAGAGTACTTTTGGGGTGACAGAGCTTACCCTCAAAAGCTTCTGATTATGTAGTTAAAATTATTTTTAAATACTTTTATTTCTAAAAGAAGGCTATTGGAAGTGAGAGATAATGATGATTTAGATCAGGGAGGTGATGTGGCAGTGGTGGGAAATGGTCAGACTCAGGATATATTTTGAAGATAGAACCAATAGAACTTCCTGATGAATTGGATATAGGTTATGAAAGAAAAATAGGGGCAAGAATGATTCCAAGGTTTTGGCCTGAGCATCTGGAATGATAAGTAAACTGTGGGTGAGACAGGTTTTTGGAGGGAATATCAAGAGTACCATATTGGATGAGTTGAGTCTGAGACACTCTATTAGACATCCTCCTAATTAAGATGTCAGGGAGGCAGTTAGAGACAAGAATTGGAAGTTCAGGAAGGGATTTGTGCTGGAGATAGAAATTTGGGAGTTATCAGAAAGCAGATGGTATTTAAAGTCATGAGGGGATGAGATCACCAGAAGAGGAAATGTAGAGAAGAGGGCATTCTCAGGACTGCTTGGCAGGGGTATTTTCAGCCTAGGTAAACTCACTGAAAAATTACTGAAAAATGTCCAACTATGTAAAAATCCACGGCTAAAGTCTTCAAAGAGGTAACAGTTTGACATATGCAAAGAGGATTAACAACATAAAGAACAAGATTATTATAAACATTAACATTTACATTGTGTTTACTATGTGTCAGGCACAATGTTGCTTTATATAGATTATCACATTTAATCTTCATCTCAATCTTGTGAGAGGGGTAATATCATTTCTAGTTTTCATGTGAGGAAACTGAAGCTCAAAGAATTTAAATAATGTGTTAAAGGTCTCACAGCTAGTAAATAGTGAGCCTGGGATTCATATCCTTGTGATCTGCCTACACTACCTTCCATTCTAATGGCTGCACTATCCTGCCTCAAGTACTGGACGAGGACAGAAAGAAGCCTGTCATGGGGCTCTAGACCCCTCTTGACTGCCCAAAACAACCACATCAAACCAACATTTTCACACACACCACACCACACACACACACACACGTGCACACACAATCAAGAGCTGAAGCCTTAGAAGATATAAGAACATTCCATCTTTCAGGCTGACTGCCCCTCACTTACGGCCATGTCAGCTCCCTGAGAGAGGTCTTAGAAATTTTAGTGTGTTGGAGGAAGGACTTACAGTGGAGTAAACCCATGTTTCCAAGGACCATGGTCCAACAATAGGCAGTGGAAAGAGTATCCCAGGCTCCAAAGAGCAACATCAGCGTCTGGGTTATGAACACGACCAACCCTGTGTTTTTAAGAGCTCCATCTTTCCTGAAATATCCTTCTTTTGGCTTGCTGTTATTTGCCACTTTTATAAGCTACTGAGCCACATCACTGGTGTGAACAGTTTCAAAGCTTACATATTTCTTCTTGTAATCAGTTTAGTCGATCTTGTAACTATAAAGAGTGAGATGGTAAATCCTGAGCTCTCATTCTGAGTCAGAATTTATGATAAGAACAACGTGCTTGTGCCCAAACAGAACCATGCATGTATGGTAATATGGCACTTGAAATTTATGTACTTCCTTTTATCCAAGGAACAGAAAGTGCTTCTGTAAAATGGATTTAGAGCCAACTGTCTACAGCAGGCAATGGGAACAGTTCAAAAAAGGACTGCCGAGAGAATCATTTAATTTATGCAAGGCCAGGGTTCACACTAAACAACCATGTGCCCCAATTTGTTTCACAGAAATGGTTCCAGGAGACCACTGCCATTTCAACCCCTGCTCAACAGGGATGAATTCAACTGCATCTTTGCCCACCAGTTGTATATGAAGACATTCTTTCATCCCTGCGGTTTAGTGCTGGTTGCTGCACAGGACTAGCCCCTGGTATTAGCTGAGGAGATCACCAGCAGAATGGGTCCCATCATTCCTTTCCACTGACTAACTGGTTGGCTCTTCTTCTTAGTAAGGGAGAGCCTTTATGATTAACTGTGCTAGCATGAAAAAACTCTAGTCTTGTAGGTAAGCCCACTATAATTTATAACCCCACTATAAAATATTATGGCTTCTCTCTATCACACACTTCAAAATGCACATGCTACAGTAGGTCCTTGTATTAGTTACCTATCGCTGCATAACAAATTATCCAAAACTTAGTGCGTTAAAAGGTTTATTATGTCCCAGTGTCTGTGGGTCAGGAATCCTGACATGGCTTGACTGAGTCTTCTGCTTCAAGGCCTCTCTCAAGATCTTACCCAGGGCTGTAGTCATCTCCAGGCTAGACTAGGGGAGGACTTGCTTCCAATCATGAGGTATTTGGCATGATTCAATTCTTTGAGGGCTGTGAGACTAAGGCCCCAGTTTCTCACAGGCTGTTGGTTGGAGGTCTCCTTCAGTCCCAAGAGAGAGCACCAGCACGAATGAAGTCACAGTCTTTTGTAACCTAATCACAGAAGTGACATCTCATCACCTTTGCCATATTCTATTTGTAGAAGCACGTCACCAGTTCACATTTACGGGCAGGGGCTTACCCAGGGCATGAAAACCAGAAGGCAGGAATCATTGGGAGCCACTTTAGAAGCTGCCTGCCACCATCCGATGTATATTGTCACACTTGTCCTTATAATGATCCTCCAATGCAGCGTTAGTCCTCTCATTTCACAGATGGGGCAAGTTCTCAGACTTTAGTACTTGCACCTACTGACACATTTATCTTTAGTGACTCATCGTGTTCATTCATGTATGCATTTATTCCACGACTATGATGTGAAAGTACAAAATATTAGGTATGCTACTGTGCTAGGTGCCAGTAAGTTTTATTCTTGGTAAACTATAGGTGTATACAGCATCCTAGTAGTTCTTCAATGAGTATTTACTGAGAGGAAGAACTGTTCATTATATATGTATATATATATATGTATATAGTAGTGCCTAATTTATTGTGTTATACCAATAGTAGATGGTAGTAGTAATTAGTATTTATATTATTAAATATAAAAATTATATTTTATGTATTATAAGAATATAATAATTCTCATGAGTTGTTAATCTATTTTTATAATTTTAAAATATATAACTGGGAGTACTCTTCTGGTTTTTGAGGGTCTAGGATTCAATAACTTCTGTTTCAGAGATGAATAAATATAGATGAATAGTGGTTATGATATAGACGATGCCCCAGAAACTGAAATGGAGAATTTCATTCCAGTCCTATTTGTAGCCCAAACTCTATGTACAAACTACATGGGAAAAGCTGACATGTAACTTGAGTCAGCTCCACGTTAAACACACATTGAGTACCTGCCATAGGCATTAGCAAGGCTCATCATTGTATTGCTGGTGAGATCATGTACAAAAATAATTTTGCAAATTGAAAAATACACATAAATATAAAAGAATTTTTTAAATTGTTTGTGCTGCTTCCTTAACTCAGGGAAGCCTACAAGGTGCCAAGTTCTGTGGTAAGTGCTTCTTAAAATGTTACTTAATCCTTCTCACAACTGCTCTGAAAAGCAAGGTCAGAGCTCCTGGTTGCTGGTGGTTCAAAAAGGGTTCATTTCTGTCTGCTGAGAGGGCTCTGCGATCTGTGAGTTCGTGGTGGCCAAACATAGGGAGACTTCCAAGTGAAACCCTCGTTGATGACATAGTGAAACTGTGAGTTTATTGAAGTGGGAATACACCCCCTCCTAACTTACCCCACACAGAAACAGATCTGTGCAAACATGCTTGTCCTTTTTAGGATGATACAATAACTTTTGAGATAATGGAAGATACTCTGGAATCTTGGAAGTCAGTGAGAGGAACTACTGGCATAGTAGTTCTTGACTAACAGAAAGGCAGGAGTTCTCACAGACTAGGGTTAGCTGAGAGACAGTGATTTGGCCATCTCCAACCTATGCAATTACTCAGGGGCCAAAGGAAAGACAAGCCCAGTTTAATAAAACCCAACAGCAGGGATGTAGAGAATCAATAAATGTTGGTTGATGTCCACAGGGCAGCTTGGAAGCAACTGGAAGACCTTTTACAGCTGGTTATTTTTGAACAACAATCTAAGATGTATAAAAGCAGAAATAAAAATAACTGAAGAAAGGAGCCCTGACTTGCTGCCTTGAAATCATGAGTGTGCTGTGGTTGATTTGTAGCTTTTTGCAGTATGGTCAAGATGACCCCTGATTCAATACCTCCTTTTCCTACCACCTGCCTCCCCTGGGTGGGGGAGGGGAAAACCGTGCTAAAATATTCTATAGAACCAGTACTCTAAGAAGCAGCCTCTATAGCAACCAAGCAGGTAGGAGGTAGCTGCTGTAGTTTCTATCTTTTACCTTTTTCCTCCAAATATCCAGATTTCTAAGGGGTGAGAAAACACAAACACCAAAAACATCATTGGAATTTTGGATTAAAGACAAGACAGCTATCTGTCTTGTCTCATTTTTGATACACCAGCTGATAATTGGGCTATATCTGAGTCTAAAAATAACACATAGTACATTAAAATAATATTCCTTGGCTACAATTCCAAAGTGGTATTCTGGGATTTCTGTGCATTAATCCTGTAACAATAACAGGATTTGGGCTTTTAACTCCCCTGGTGTAGCTTTGAAAATCTAGCCTAAAGCAGCTAATGTTGCCGTTTAAATCATCCTCTCACTATCCTTAGGGAAATGTGGAGATTAAAAAAATGACAGCCCAACTGCTCAAATGACCTATACCTGGGAGAATAAGAGAAACAACCTATTTCCTCTCAGGAACTGGGCCGATCAATATAAATATTTCAAAAGGACCATCATGCAATAAAGGCCTTGGAATTTGTATCCTACATCAGAGCACCCTAGATATTTCCAACATAGACCTATCAGGTTTTCCACAAGGGAGGGAGACATTGTAACAGTTGAATAACTGGAACTGAACTGGGTTGCACGTGTGTGAGCCTCTGTGTGTGTGTGTGTGTGTGTTTGTGTGTTTAGGAAAGGAAGGGAAAGGAGGCCATTATTATTGTGTATGTTTCTGGTAAACATTCTTTTTTTCCCCTACTGAAACTTGGGCGTATCCCAGAAATTAGGTGCTGTTAATCGTGTCAGCTAAAAAAAAAAAAAAAAAAAAAAAAAAAGCATGTTCTAAAATATGCACACAGTTCTAAATTGAAGCTCTAAATAGCTTTAAATTGAAGTGGCAGGAGTTTTTCAATGATACCATTAATTGCATTTCATTAATTGGGAAAAAGAGCTTTTGTGTAGCTGTGGTTATGATGGGCTGGATTTAATCAGTGTAGGTACCACTAACAGGCTGGCACTGCTTTCGGCCTGCAATGCCTTTGAAATTCTAAAATGGAAAAGGAGGCCAACACACTGAGCAATTATTTCAGAACAGATTGCCCGTTAACATTTCATAATATCACCGAAATACATCCTTTCTGGGACAGAGACTTGCTTTGGCTATGAACATCCAAGAGGTGGCAGCACCCCATGCTCCGTTGGCTTTCTGCATCCCTCCAGATGAGAGCTCACCGCAGAGGTCTCATCATTGCGTCACCTGAAAGCCAGTTAGGAGGGCGGAGGTGGGGGGGAGGTGATGGAGGGAAGAGGTAGCGTTTTGTATTTCAGTTCTTCTGGAAGAGTTCAGGAAACAGCTGCATGGATTGTTTTAAATGGACTTGAAAAGGTTTTTCTTTTCTTTTCCTCCCTGAAATCTACTGCCCTGTGCAGTATCTCTCTATGAAGACCACATGAGTGCACTTACGTGTTCTCTGATTCACTCCCTGAGGGAGGAAGGAAGAGTTTCAATTGCCTGGGATCCCCTGAGACCTCATTTTCAATTCTCTGCACTTGTCTTTTATAAACACAGGAAGGTGGGATGAAGACGGCATTATTGACAATTATTTTTTGAGCATGTATGTGGGCAGGGCACTGACCACATCATCAAGAATGTGACACAGTCGGCTGCTAGGATAATTCTCTTCTTCCCTAACTGTTCCTCCAGGTCCCCCATACACATAGAAATCTCATGCTAAAAATATTTTACACAACAAATAGCTGTTGAGATCGCATCAAACCCTGAACAATAAGGAGCAATATAACCTTACGTGCTAGGTGTCATGTGCCTGATATGAGAAGCATCTGGTGACATGGGTGAAGGAGTGTCAGGGCTGGTCTAGCCTGGCCACTGTCCAACTATCTGTGGAAACTGGCCCTCGTCATGCTAGGAAGTGTGAGGGCAAGAGCTGGAATACACTGAGGCAGCCTTGCTGTTGGGGGTTATTGGCAGCTGTTGGGGGTTAGAGACAGGACTCTCATGGGTAAGTAGTGTGCAAAATGCCACAGGAGGCTGGAGCTGGGCTCAGCAACAGTCTAGGGTCCAGCACAGCTCAGCTGTGGGCCTATCCCCATCCTATCCAGCACAGGGACTTGGCCTCTGTGTACACCACTACGGCTGCTTGGCCTCACCTTCAACTCTGTGTACCTTTTCCTTAACTCATTTCTTCAGCTTAGTCTTGACCTTGACACCCTCATACCCTCTGTCCCATAGCTTTCCTACATGGCACCTGCTCTCTGGGTACATCTTTTTAGCTTCTGGTCCCACTAACAATTCAGAGACTATTTTCCCTGTATTTCCTGGTTAATTTTGAGGGAAGTGTGGAGGGGGAAGGGAAGGAGGAAGGGAAGAGAGACTCATTGGCTGAGTTAATTGCATTCTTCCTGTCTGGACAGAGCTTTGGAGGCCAGGCCATCTCCCAGGGGATGAGTTAGGCTCTGCTTGGCCACCTTTGAGTCACTTTTAGACCTGTGCAGGGCTGTCCCCCAGCCTGGGCTATGGGCATGGTTGTTCCCTTCAGGAGGACCGTGGATGTGGTAGACACCAAATTTGACATATTGTCCCTTTCCCCATACAAAGGAAGGCTCAACGATGCTGGATATCCTGCTGTCAGGGTACTACCCTGGTGAGTTGCTCAGACTCTAGGAAGAGAGAAAGGAACCTCTTTTCTTCTTTACAAGAAAGCAGTCATGAAGCTTGGAGAATACACATAAGAGTGATAATTTACACTCAATCTTCAATGATTCCAGAAACTTGGGGAAAGAGGTACAGATCCTTCATTTGAACCATGATGCCATGTATTTTGCATAGCGCAGCTTGGTTTGGACTAGGCTGAGGGAGGGGAGTGGCTGAGTTAGATACCAGTCTCCTTGTTATAGTCAAGTCTTCCTTAATAAGGTCTCAAGCTTGCATTTTAATCCAAAGACAGATTCTCGAGTGCTACCTCTTGGTGCTACTTCTAGGCGCCATGACATATTCAGCAATGAGCTCCTCACCTGTTGCCCAGTGCATTGGCAGCATCCCTGGTTGATGCAGCCAAGCCATCTGGAGCAGGGCAAGGGGGGCACACGGGGTATGAAAGCCAGATAGCTGCCAGATGCTGCAGTTTCTTGGCTGTGGCCTTGGCCTTCCTCTAGTCCTTTCACTATTATGCTGAGGGCATGTGGCAAAACAAGGCAGGCCCCACGGGCAGCTTATTTGCTTTTGGCTACTTCCAGTTGAGCCACCAAGAACTTGAGGAGCTTTTTCTTCTTCAGCTATTTTTCTTGAGAGCCTGAACATCCCCTCCATCTCTTCCACTTGTAGCGCTTGTAGTCAGCCTCAGCCATAAGCCACTGACAAGAGTGTATTAACTGCAGATGTGAGGATGAAGCAAGGGCAAACTATGGTTAGTTTTCAGAGGTGACTGAGCCCCTTCAACATATAGATAGGGATTTCCATATATGGTGAATTTTGTCACTAAGTGCTTGGCTTTGTGGCATCCTATTTACCAGTATTTGAAGCTTTTATTTAACAGTTTTATTATGTGGTTCTCTCTGGTGTTGAGTTTGAGCTCACTAATTAGATCATTAAGTTCCTTGAAAGAAAGACAGGGCTTCTATACTCCTAAGCATTTCCTGCAATGTGTAACACAGCACTGTCATTGTACAAGGAATTGGCACTCAATGGGTGTTTGTTAAATTGATTTGACCCAATCTCAATTTCATGTTCAGCTCAGGAGATTTCTTATTAAGTTCTAAGGAGTTTAGATCCTTTCTGGTCATCTATACCTGAAGGTATAAATTCATTTTGACCAATTTTCCAACTTTAATTTTCTCTTGTGCACTTCAGGAAGAACAGCACCCCAGACATGACTTTTTCAGGGACTTGGAATTCCAGATTTCCCCTGGGATTCAAGGCATCTGGGAGTTTGACTTCCTATTTTTTACTTTTCATCTCTGTCCTCTTGAAGTTAAGCATGGTGATGTGACTTACTTTGGCTAATGAAATATCAGATGTAATGTGTGTTAGCCTCCTCTGCCAAATTAATCTCCTTTCCTAGAAGGATAGGTGAAGTTATGCAGTGGTAACAACAGCTTCCAAAACTTAGTCGAGATTCTGTTTGACAGAGTGACTCAGGGACCCAATTGACAGACAGTCTGTCATCTCAGTGTGTGCTGCCGGGATCACTGTGGCAGGGGAAGCTGGCATGGATAATCGTTCACCAACTCTTAGCTAACTCTTCCACCCTGAAGTGACACACATTACAACAGATAGTTCATTCAAGAGGATGGAGAAGTGCAGTCCTTTCCTGGCTCTGGAAAGAACCAAGAGCCAAAAATACTTGTGACCTCTGTAGAACTGACCACACCTCCTCAGAGAGCCCAGAAGTTGCTGTGTTTCAGTTCATTCTTTAATAAGGCATGGGACGACCCTTGGGAATAATATAAATACTTTATCCTTTGAGGTTCACAGGAGTTAAGAAACAAACCCGTATTAAAGATGATTTATGTATTAATAATTAAAGATTAGATTTTTAAATATTATGTAAATATCAGGTTATTTTCCACCAAATCAGTGATCAGCAGTACTCAGTTGTAGCACTCTCTAAATGCCATAGAAACAGATGGCTGATGGAAGTGATTGGACGTGTTTAGAGTTGCCAGCCCTTTTCATGCTTCTGATGCTTCTTACACCTCACAGTCACTCAAAGGCCCAGCAGCTCAGAGCCCTTCTCCATCATCAGAGTCACTTCAGACTCCTGGGCTCTGGGGATCTGATCTTTATTCCCTGCCCTGTGATTGACTCTGTCAGTCACAAAGCAAGACTCCAGGTTCTTCAAAAGCAAACAGGGAGTCATCCTGCCTCACTTAGTGGTCCTGTGTTCCACACTCACTCGATAACTTCCCTCCTTCCAAAGATACAATTCTAGGCCAGGCTCAGTGGTTCATGACTGTAATCCCAGCCAGGGCAGGGGAGGCACTTGAGGTCAGGAATTTGAGACCAGCCTGGCCCACGTGGTGATACCCGTCTCTACTAAAAATATAAAAATTAGCCAGGCATGGTGGTGCACGTCTGTGGTCCCAGCTACTTGGGAGGCTGAGGTGCGAGAATCGCTTGAACCCAGGAGGTGGTGTTTGCAGTGAGCCAAGATCGTGCCACTGGGCGACAGAGTAAGACTCTCTCAAAAACAAACAAACACAAAACCAAAAACAAAGATACAATTCTAACCATAAGAACCAGGAGTTTATTCACAAGTGTAATGAGTTTAGTAGTCAATGCTCTTTTAGCCCAAGTCAATGGACTATTATTCCAACATGCCAAGTAAGAGCCAACCATGATATGATTGAAAGAGCTTTTGCATTAGAATCTAAAGACTGGTTCAACTCCCGGCTCTGCCATGTTCTAGCTGTGTTACCTAGGAAAAATCACTTGGCCTCTCTAAACCTTCACTGGTAAAATTAGGATAATTACACTTACCTTCTAGGATGGAGTTTCCTACTGATAAAATGTAAATTATAATGCCTACCTCTTGGGATCATGGGAATTTAAATTATTTTGACAAAGATAATTTATGGGAAAAATATATATGTATAAGTATGTATATCCCAAGCTGGGAACTTCTTCCCTCCTTTTTTGCTTGCTAATTAAGAGTCATAAATAAAATGCTGATGAGCTGCAGTCTGCCGTCTGTGCTGTAGCTGGAGGGCTGTTTTGACTTAGCCTGACAAATGGCTAACCAGCCGCTCCCACTATGCCCAACTCAAGTGTTCAGCACTGAGAAATCCAGCTACTGCCAACAGCATCTTATAAACTTGTCACTATTTACTTACTTGGTGACAGTGTTTTTGTTCAGTGATCATCCCTGAGATTTTACTCGTCAGGGTGTGTCTGTTTCTCTCAAAATGCCAAAATGCCAAAATGCCATTTAAATATAATCCTTTCTCAAACCACATGAAAATAGTGAAGGTCTCTAAATGAGACTTTGATGCCCTTATAGTTCATCCCCATTGCAGTGCAGTTGGGGTGGGATGTTGTCTTTACAAAGCAGTAGCTGCATGTGCACAGGGCTTTATTAAATGGACACAAACTTCAGAGCTACTTCAATAAGCTACTAGTCAGGATTTCCAGGTAACCTGTTGAGTGGTGTGCTAGAGACAGCTCATACAAGCTTGGAAGAACTGATTGTTACATTTTCAGGAATTTTGCAAGGTGGTTGAAATCATGTTGGTAGACTGAAATTGGCCATGGTGAGAGTGTTTACACCATGGAAATTAGCAAACACTACAAAATCAGGCAGTTTCTCCCAGAGGGCTGGTTGCTAAACATTTACCAGCTCACCAATCTTTGAGCACCTGGGTAAAACACAGATGTGACTGAGAATGGGAGAAGGGGCATCCCAAATCGGAAGTATAAATAAAACCATGATGCAGGACTCACTTCTCTCGAGTCCCTGCTGTGTGCTAAGTTCTATGCTAGCCTAGATTGAGACTGACATATATCAGGAGGTACCTAGCAAATTAGCGATGTGGGGCCTACCAAAAATGTATTCATATGAAGGACAGAGAGCCTGCTAGGAGCTTGACTGCAAGCTGGTCATGGGAGAGAGGGAATAATGCTAGATGTAACATGGTACTTGTCACTCAGGTTTCAAGCCAGGCCCTAGCTGAGATTTGTAGAGGGTGGGTTGGGGAAAGCTTTAAGTAAAAACAGAAAAGGCTGCTTTGGGAACACTCTGTAGGACAAGATGGCATTGTTTGGATTTGACATCTTGTTTGTTCCAGGACCTCAGCTGCAGTAGTTTTGGGACAGCAGAGGCTTGGCTGACCCACACAGTGCAGTGGGGTGGGCTCCCTTGCAAGCTCTTTTGCAAGAGCACTTTGTGGAGGACCACAGTGTGAACAAAGAGGGGGAAAGGGACAGTAGAATTTATTTTGATGACCCCATATGTACTGGTAAGGCAAAGGGGAAGCTGGTTGCATATACATTTTCTCAACTTATCCTCACAACACCCTTATGAAAAAGGCATTATCATATCCTCTTTGTAGGTGAAGAAACTGAGGCTTGGAGGGTCCGAATAACTTGCCCAATATCACAGAAAGTAAGTAGCAGAGCTGGGATTCACACATGAGGCTGACTGCAAACCCTTCTTGGGGCCTCTGTGACCACCCTGAATTCATGTCTGCATATTCATTTATTTTCTTCTAATTTGGGGGGAAGAAGTCTCTCTCTTCTTTCCAAGGTCAACCTTTCCACTCCTGCCCATAAATCCTGTACCTTCCTAATTCCTGCTCCAGAGTCTTTGTAAAGCACCGCATTGCTCTGTTGTGCATCTTTAGCCTTTCTTCTGTCAGTTTATTCATTAATCTTTGCCATCTTTTAACAGAAATGAGTGACTGTGTGGGGACTTTCTTAGCCTTCTCTCTTAGCCTCTGTGTTGTACTGAACACAGAACACATTCTCCTTTATTCTTGAAACTCTCTACTTCCCATCTTCTGTGATTGGTTTTTCTCTTCCCTCTCAGGTTTTTCTTCTGATCACTTCTGGCTCTTCTCCCTTTCCCAACCCATGAAATAGAAGCATTACTCCAAGAGTCTAGTGTTGGCTCTCTTCTTCTTGTGGTCCCCATGACCTCAGCACTCTATGCAGACAAATATATGAATATATCTACAGCTCTAGTTAGGAAATGGGCAGAAGTAACTCAACCATGTCCCCAGGACCAAGAGCAGTCTCTGGCATGTAGTGGGTACTCAGTAAATAGTAGGGATTTCAGATGAAGAGAACATTGTGAACAGAGGCTGTGCATGTATGTATTGATTTATTTGGAGGATACCCCTTTCAGGCTGCTGAACTCCTCAAACTCAGGAACTGTGCTTTTTCCTCATTTTTAATTTCCTGATCCAGCATAATACATAGTAGCTGTTCAATACATGTTTGCTGAATGAATGAGTGAGTCCAAGGTCGATGATAAATTGATGCAAAACTGTGGCAGTCCTTATATAGGAATTTAGGCTTTACTGTATGTGCAGTAGGCTTGCAGCCATGCAAGGCTTTTTCTCATTTGAGTAACTCAATTGAAGCTGAGCTCCAGGATGACTCATGTGGCTGCCGTCAGCATTGAAACCTTGTGCCGTCTTCCTCCCTTGCCCTTGCTGTTCCATCTCTAATCAGTAGCCCAATCTTGTTGATTTTACTTCCACGTGTGGCTTTATGGCTTGTATTTGTGTTTTTGTTTCTATTCTCATGGCCACCTCCCAAGGTCAGCTCTAATTACCTCTTGTCTGGATGTCAGCATAGGTCACTCCCCACTCTGGTTGCTGTTGATCCCTTTTCTGTAAGCCACGGCCTTGGCTATGCTACTGATGACTGGCTCTGTTTGAAAAAAAGAAAACAGAACAAAGCAGAATTGGTTCTGGGAAAGCAAGGATAAAGAGGGCTAAAGTAACACTCCATTATCTGCCTTTAATCCCACAGGCCCTTAAAGCTGTTGCCTGCTTTGGGTTTTACCCTTGAGTTGCTTGAGTGGGCTTATCCCCTCATTGCTCCTTATAACAAAGAGTAGGATCCATTCTCACAATAAAGTTAAATTGTAGGGAAAGAAAGCGGACCAATGGGAAGCTTGTGCTTGACTATGTTGTTGAAAAGAGGCAAAGGAAATGGAAGAACAATCCTTTAGAGAAGGGAGAACAAGAGAAGGGAAAATGTAAAAGAGGAGATAGGAGAAGGCCATTAAGATAATAATTCTAGAGGGAAGGAAGAAAAAAAGGAGAGAAGACCAGAGCTGAGCTCCTGCCATTTTTCATAGCTAATTATGATTAAATGGGCCGTTTCTGAAAATGCTCAATAAATGTGCACTATTACCTTAAGGTTTTGCTCTATTGCTATGCAATGCATGGGCATTGCATGAACTTTATCAGTCCAGAATTTTACCTAATAAAACAGTGAGCTAATGGACTTTAGGGGGCCTCTCTGGGGACTCTTGAGCTTAAGCGATTTAGGTCAGTGTTATGCAAAGTGTGATTTGCCTCCTGCAAGGAGGTAAGTACAGAAATCCACAGTCTGTATTTAGAAACTTTATAGCATTGCACATTGCTACAATGATGTGCAGGAGGTGGGTGGTACCAGTCAAGAGAGCCAGAGCCAGAGAGATCGTGGGCATTTCTTCCCATTTTTGCAGCTCAGTAACTTCACTGTGGTAGCTTGAAATCAGCCATAATGGGAGGTATTTTTATCATGCAAATTGACAAATGCTACAAATCAGGACTCCTCCCACCCTTAAGAACCGGGTACTAAACATTTGCGGCACGCCACTGCTTGGCTGAGAAGTCCAAGCATCTGATGAGGAAATACTATGGAACGGCATGTTGTTCCACTTTCTTGGTGAGTTACTTGTGACTGGAGCTGCCTACCCAGACGTGCATGGTAGGATCACCTATCTGTCACTAAAGGAATAGAGGAAATTGGTCCTTCACCATAGGGAGTTTGAAATGCACTGCCCTAGATCACCTTCAGCTTGTTCTGAGATCCAACAGAGTATTTCAACAGAGGTCTTCATGATAACCAAATGTAATAGCCCACTGGTTTAGAAACCTCCTACTCCAGATTTTGAGTCCTATAAGACAGTTAGGATCAAGGGTAGCTGTGGCAGACCCAGCTGGGGCAGAGAAGCCAAATGTGAAATAGCAGAAGGTATGTGTATTAGTCTGTTAGGACTGCCATGAAAAATACCAAAGAATTGGTGGCATAAACAACAGAAATTTTTTTTTTTTCACAGCTCTGGAGGCTGTAAGTCCAAGATCAAGGTGTTGGCAGACTTAGTTTCTCTTGAGGCCACTCTTCTTGCCCTGCAGATGGCCGCCTTCTTGCTGTGTCCTCACATGGTCTTTTCTCTATTTGCATGCAAATAGAGAAACCCTGGTGTCTCTTCCTCTTCTTACAAGGACACCAATCCTATAGGATTAGGGCCCCACCTTTATTACCTCATTTAACTACAATGATCCCTTAAAGGCTCTATCTTGAAATACAGTCACCTTGGGGGTTGGGACTTTATACAAAATTTGGGAGGACACAACCCAGTCTGTGTCAGTGTGTCACTGTGCTTTACCTGTCGGGGCTCACTCTGCATTCCAATCAAGCATGGTATAGTGGGTCACAAGACTGGAGCCAAGGAGGCTTGACCTGACTCCCAGGTCTACCTTCCCATTGGCTGTGTGGCTTTGGGCACCCTAATCTTTCTTATCCTGCATTATTCATCTGTAAGATGAATATAATACAAGAGCTTCCCTCACAGTGTAGTTATGAAGATCAAGTGAAGTCATGGAGGTAAGCTTTTAGCACAGTGTCTGGCCCATGATAGGTGCTTAATAAATGTATACTTTTAATTTATGGTTTTGCTCTATTGCTGTGCATTTCATATACAGTATATTTTTAGGTCTCAGAGGAGGCCTAGGTGTGGAGAGCTGATGCAAAGAGTCTTGTATCTCATTTTTAGATCCCCAGTCTATCGTCCTCATCTCCAATATCATGGGTAAGAAAAGGCCAAGGTTTTTCTGACACCCCCTGTTTTACACATTCACTCTGAACTTGCTAAGGCCGACTTTGAGTGGAGAGCCATGATTTCCTGAAGATCAATAATGCCAAAGAATCCAAAGGCATCACTTGTTAACCAATTTCCCAGTGGCCTGGCCTGCAGTGGGGTGAGAGGCATCAGAAAACACACAGGAACTGAGAATCAATGCACTGGGAAGAAAACCAGCTCCCTCAAAGGGGCTAATTTTCCCAGTGTGTAAATAAATTATGTAAACAAATATCTGATCATATTTATAACCTCTACTTCTGAAAGATCCACCTAGGTGAATTTATTTGACTTTTACCCACTAGAAGAAGTTTGTTTAAACAATATTATCAAGAAAAATCATGTAGTCAAATTGTTAGACTTTAAAGTCAAAATGGGCAATTTTATACATGAGGAAACTGATATGTTTTAAAAAAAATCTCCTGGTGTATTAATTTGAAGACGACAAGCTTTTAATTAAAAACACAAAAATAAGATTCTTAGATGAAAAATAAAGTATATTATACCTGGTTCAATATTCTTTTGGATAATTCAAATTTTGGTGATCAGAAAAAAGATGCATAGGCTTTTGCTGCATAAGATCTTGCCAAGATGCTTTTACTGCCTGGCATTGATTTTCCCTCTCACCCACTCCAGGCATTCTCACTTCTGTTGGATGCCCCTTCCACTTTCTAGCAATCTCCAACCTCATCAAGGGCTATCCCTCCTCCAGTTCCCCCTGGAGTCCCATCTCTGTTCTTGTCTTCCCTGACTACTCCTGCTTGAAAAGAAATCTTCCTCACCTGAATCACTCTAGCACTTTTACTCTGTATTGTTAATTTGCCAATTAATCACATCCACCTTTGCAATGCCTTTCATGATATGACCTTGAATTGCATGGTTTTAGGGCTTGTCTATCTTTTTAAGCTGCAGGTACCCTGAGAAAGGGACCTCATCTTACTCTTTGACACTCCTCCCCCGTTTAGTGATAATTAGCTGTGTGCCTTTTATAGAGTAGGAAGTCAATGAATATCACAGAGTTATCTGCTTTTTCCTGAAATGGTTAAGATCATTTTATGTTAATAAGTGTGTGTCTAGTCAAACTTACAGCAGTAAGCACTGAGGCTTTTTCTTTTTTAATTGTAGATATCAAGCTGGAATTCTCTAGTAAATGCTCCTGGAATGTAATCTGGGGGTGCCATTGTTCCAGTGAGTTACAGTAATTTTTAAATCTAACTCTGGTGTAAAAGAGACCTGGGTTGAGTTCTAGTTTTCTTGGTTACCAGCTGTCTGACCTTGGGTAAATTACTACCTCTCTGTGATGGTTAATTTTAGGTGTCAGCTAGGTTAAGGGATTCCCAGACAGTTGGTAAAGCATTATTTCTGGGAGAGATTGACATTTGAGTCAGTGGACTGAGAAAGGAAGATCTGCTCTCACCCAGTGTGGGTGGGCTCCGTCAAATCAGCTGAGGGCCTGGAGAGAACCAAAAGGCAGGGAAAAGGCGAATTTGCTCTCTCTTCTGGAGCTTCTCCTGCCTTGTACATGAGGACTTCAGGGTCTCTGGCCTTCAGACTCTGGGACGTTTGAACCAGCAGCCCCCAGGTTCTCAGGCCTTTGGCCTCTGACCAAGAGTTACATCATTGTCTTCACTGATTCTGAGGCCTTGGAACTTGGACTGAGCTATACCACTGACTCCTCTGTTCTCCAGCTTGCAGACTACCTGTCATGGGGCTTCTCAGCCTCCATAATCACATGAGCCAGTTTCCGTAATAACCCTGCTCTTGTCTGTCTGTCTATCTATCTATCTATCTATCTATCTATCTATCTATCCATCCATCCATTCTATTGGTTCTGTTTCTCTGGAGAACTTTGACTAATATACTCTCTAAAGCCCAGTATCTTCCTCTGTTAAGTGTGAGTAATAATAACACCTTATCTCATAAGGTGGTGGCAGAGGAGTAAAATAGAAATAGTAGCACTCAATGAATATTAGATTTTTATCATTAATATTATTGTGACATACAGAGGTCAAAAAGTAGAAACCTTACCCATGGCTATCAGTCTCCATTCGTCTGAACCAAGGGTAAAGAGTAAGACCGGTGGCCGGGTGCGATTGCTCATGCCTGTAATCCCAGAACTTTGGGAGGCCGAGGCGGGCAGATCACGAGGTCAAGAGATTGAGATCATCCTGGCCAGCATGGTGAAACCCCGTCTCTACTAAAAATACAAAAAAAAAAAAAAAAAATAGCTGGGCATGGTAGTGTGTGCCTGTAGTTCCAGCTACTCTAGAGGGTGAGGCAGTAGAATTGCTTGAACCTGGGAGGTGGAGGTTGCAGTGAGCTGGGATCGTGCCACTGCACTCTAGCCTGGCGACAGGGCGAGACTCTGTCTCAAAAAAAAAAAAGTAAGACTGGCACACCAGTGGCGAATTGGCCATGCAGGAGCTGGGTCTTTACTTCCCTGTGCCCAGTGCTGCTGGATAAGGAATATAATATTTCCTGTGCAGAATTCAGAAGGAGCACTTTCCTATCTAGGAAGAGGTGACTTGTGAACCACCTTTGGCCTCATGTTGTCATCACCTCCCCAATTCCCACTTCCCTTTGTAAAGCATAAAACATTTTAATACCTACAAGACACTATATTTTGTGTTGTTACTCTGGAGTTGGGCAGGTTGCACTGCCAGTACAATCATATTCATTAAAGATAAGTCAGCAGGACATTTGGCCTGGAATGAATGATGAAACCAAGTCAAACCATATTCAATGTTTTCTCAGAGATGTTCAAGAAAAAGAACAACTTCAGTGGAAGAAGAAGAAGATAGGAGCCCAGGTCCTGTGTTTCACCAAGACAGCCGTGCAAAGCAGATGCTGCCAAAAAGGTGCAAAGTGGTTTGTCAGCTCTTCTGCATGTTCTAACAAATTAGACATGCATCCCAAAAGGTATACTACAATATTAAAGCTTATTTATACACACTGTAAAGTTTCCCCTGAGTGTCCTGGCAGGCACTTGCATGGCTGGGCAGTATCCGTGGACTGATTCCTTTGTGAATTACATGGAGCTGACAGGGCTGAAACCCACAGCTGACTCGGAGGAGGATGGAAGCTTGTGCTGGGCAAGGGGCTGAAGCCCCTCTGTGTAAGTCATATTAATCTCCTCTGAGCAGAGTGCTACAAAATTACTAAAGCTGCTTCTTGAAGACACTTCTAATGCAGTACCTAATGAAAATGTCAGGTGCGACAAGTTATTAGTTGCTGCACTGCTGTTCTGAAGTCCCAGGTATTTCTCTACCTGTTATCCATGAATGTGAGTTTTGTGGGGAAGGCAGTCACAGGCTGAGGAAAGCATCAGCAGTCATGTGTGCTGTCAGGCCTGTAAAGTGAGTGAGGACAATGAAGCTGGTTGAAGTGCCCCAGGAAATGGCCAGACTTCCATAGTGGAGGTGAGGTGAAGAATTGAGTCCGGGCAAAGGTGTGTGGGGAGAAGAAGCTGCCTGGTGTACGATGCTGAGTAATGATACAACCCAAATCATCTGACTCTGCAGATTTGAAAGTTGCCGTTATTATTAAGAATTCAGATGGGAAAAGAAATATGGTTTGGGTTATTTCCATAGTCATTCCAGAAATCCAGGCTCAGTTTGGCATTTATTGACATAACTGTTTATATTGGATCTGTGTAGAAGTTTGTATCTTTCTGACTTGCATGATACTTCAGCCTTTCCTTGGAGTCTCTGTGGCTTCTCTTCCTCCTTTGCTCACCTCCAGTCATTGTCAAATGGCTTTGTGCAAGTTACTCTTTCTCGGCCTCCATTTTTTTGGATCCTGCCTTTGCCGCCCTCCTTGCCTGTACTCTGTCCAGTCCAGGCCCTCTGGACCTCTTGCCTGGACCTCCAAGCTCTCCCTCCTCCCATCTCTTCCCTTTCAACCTTCCTACCCAGAGCACAGCAGTAGTAACAGCTAACACCATTTAATAGGTATCCTTTCTATGCCAGGCCCTGGGGTTGCTATGTCACATATATTATTTGTAATGTTTGCAATAACCCTGGAAATGGTATTATTACCTCCATTGTACAGTTTGGAAGGCACCAAAAAAGGCACATGGGCCCACATTCATGCAAGCTAATGAGGGGCAAAACTGGAATGAGAACCCAGGGCCACTGGGTCCCTCAGCTTATGCTGTTCCCTAACCATACTGCTTCCTCCACTCAGAATCCTTTAGTGGCTCCCATTGCCTAATAGATCAAGTCTGGGCTCCTTATCTTGGCTTCTGGGTCCTCTAAAATGTAGTCTGCTAGGTTTCCAGGCTTTCCTCTCCACCCCTCACACATCCTACTCTTTAGCCAAAAAAACAGACAAAAACCCTAAAAACAAAAAAATCCATTTTTTTATTTATACCCGTGCTTTCTTTCCTAAGTGCTTTTATATGTGCTATTTCTCCTGCCAGGAGCAGAGACTGTCATGCTTTCCTCTGTATAAGTAAGTGTTGCCCAAGAAAACATTGAACAGAGGTGGGCTAGAGATCCATTTATTTTCTGGTTCACAAAGGGCATATTGGATCTTTATTAAATAGTCTAAAATGTCCTTTCAATAATGTTTTTCTTTAATATCTTTTTAAAAGACATTTAAAGTGAATCAGAAAGCAATTAAATGATTAATTGCTGTGGCTGAATTCTGCTGCCCTCAGCCTCTGTGGATGCTATCTCACCGATTAACCTCCATTTCTAAGCTCTGTCTGATTGAGGGAAGCAATGACAGAAAACGCTTGGCCTGTCACATGACTGATCCTTGCTGTCATGAGCCATCGTTTTCTAACTGCAAGCTTTCATTTTCAAAGCCCTGGCATGATTTCAGGAGCTGTAAACCCTCATGTGAGTAAGTGAGCAGTAAGAACTGGCAGTTTTTCAATCTTAAGTCTCTCCAGCTTTAAACCCACATTTAGCTGTGATTCTTTTTTTCTCCTTAAGTTGGACATTTTTTTAGTGAATACTTTTTTGATAAATAAAGTGGGGTGAAGGTGAACTTGACTGAGACAGATATGGGTTGGTCCGTTTAGGGCTGACCCTGGAAAAAAAAAGTTATATCAGTCTTGACATTAATTCCGTAGTCAGAGTAGGTGAGAGAGGAGTAGATTAGTATATAGGGTTCCCAGCCTTCCCAGTACAACCATGGACTCAGAGTTGGGGACACTAAAAATGTACATGAAGTTTATGATTTCACTGGTAGAGATGGCCCACAATGCCAGTTTGGACAGGCATTACTCTAAACGTGGTGGGGAAGTCAGGAGACATCTACTCCAAGGCATAACCTCTAGGACAGTTTGTGGGGTATCAGGGAAGGATATATCATTGGAAAGATTTCTAGTTGCCATACACAAATAATTGGGCTTCAGTTTAATGCATAATTAACTGTTCTCAGTGTGTTATTAGTTGGACAATTGGATTATTACATTATTTACATTAGTGTTTATAGGTAATCTGAAAACAAAAATGTGAATATAATATGAACTACCTCAAAGATTTGTCTCTGCTTAATAGTTTTATTTCAAATTTGTATATCAAATGTTTCATTACCCTTTTTTCATTTTATTTTTTAGCTTTCAAAACAAATTAGCAAGAGGAGGAAAGAGGAGAGGGAGAAACTGTGCACACCACCAGAATGTTATAGTAGGCGATATCATGAAAGCAATGTTGGAACTTTATACTCAGGTTTTGATTGTGCATCTATCTCTTTGTTGTCTTATCCTTTATCTTCATTTTTACCAAGTAATTATTGACCATCAAATGCCATTATGGTACCAACTTAAGAAATGGATGTAAAGAATTCTACAGGGAAAAAAAGCACATTGTCAGTGTATGAAATTTATTTAGAAGACAGTTACAGACACATATAAAAATGATAGCAGCTTATGTTTGCGAAGCACTCACTATATGCCAAGCACTTTCTGTTAGCTAATAATAATATTTGCTCATTTAATATTAGCTCACATAATAATATTAATATTATTAGCTCATTTAATCCTCTCAACAACTGTCTAGGGTAGGTACTATTATCCCTATTTTATGGACAAGGAAATTAAGTCAACAAGAGATGAAATAATTTGTTTACAGTCACATAGCTAGGAAGTGGTAGAGTCATAAGTTGAACCCAGGCAGTCTGAATCCAGAATAATAATAATAAAAAAAGGTATAACCAGGGTGGAAACTTATTTTGCTCTTTTCAGGTTTCCTAGACTTTCCATCACCACCAGTGAATTCTGAGTGACAATAGTGTGGAATTTGGAAGAATGGAAGAGAAACTGAAGTGGAGAGATGGTGAAAGAGAAGAAAAAATGAAGAAAGATGCTTGCAAAAATACTGCTGTGGGTCCTGAGATGAGGATTCTGGGAGGGTAGGTGTGGCAATATCTCCCATTCTGTGCTTACCTGGGCCTCGACTGGTACCAGCAGACAGGGATGGGCAGTCAGTTAAGGAGTGTGGCTAGCGACTGTTGTGTCATGCATTGCACTGGTTTTCTGCTCCTCAGGCTGAAATGGATGCCCCTGACAGCTCCCTTTGAGTTCCTGTTCATCTGAAGTACACCAGCTTTCTAGATATGCTGTCACTTTCCTTCTGCAGAGCCACAGTGGTGTCCTGTCTTCTCAGACCTCTTCTCACCTCAAATCACTTAGGACTCGGCCACCAGACAGATTTGGGATTTCAGAACTTTTCAGATGTTAGAAAGGTAAATGGTATATATTGCATATGTAGTATTTCCAGTAGAGTCTGGGTCAGCACCTCATAAGCAAATGTATTAATATTTTGACCACAACATATATGCATCGTCATCCTCAGGTCAGTAGTGACTATGTAGAACCTCATGTCAAAAAGGTCAGATTTTTTGCCACCTATGGAGTTTTTATGTCAAATATGTGAAAAACTTTTGGTTGCAGGGCTTTTGGGATTTTGGAACTGAGGATAAGGTATTGTGGACCATATCATTACCAGTTCCTTCCTCTTTCATCAAGGGCATGAGCATGAAGATGCTGACAAAGCTGTTCCTACACTTCCTGTGCTGGCTGGGAAGGGATCTGATTCGGGCTGAGCCTTAAGAATCACAGTTCCAAGCTTTCTTCTCATTCCAGATTTTAGTCGGGAAAGTAGGCATTCTGGAAGTAGAGTCCGTATCTATACTTTATATGTTCCCCTTAGGTTTGATGAGCAAAAAGTAATAAAGGAAACACAAACTCAGGAAAGAAAAGATTTTTCTAGGAAAGATCTATTTACACTACTTAGGCCTCTACCCTTCTTCCCTTGGGAGTTTCTTAGCTTAGCTTGGAAGATCACAGATTAAAGTACAATATAGCAAGTATTATTAAAAACAACCTGTAAAACTGCATTATCCCAAAGATTTAGCAGCTAATTTTCTGTTGCCTTTAGTTCTCACATCATTTTTTTTTTCAGGGTATAACCTTCTTTAAATTTTATGCCCTGCTCTCAAATTCCTTCTGGGTTTAATGACTAATCTCTTTATTTGTGTTTACCCTGGTGAAGCCTGTAGAAAGAAAATCATAAATTAATGGCATATATTTGCAGCTATAAACGGGACAGATTCAGAAATATACAAACATGCCTAGTAACCAATTTCCTGAAATTGCAATGCTCAACTCCCAATTAACCTTAGAATTTACAAGTCTAATCAAATGGCCCAGTCCATTTCCATTGAAAAGCTGTGCACTGTGTATAATCTTTCACTTGACCTAAATCTGTAGTAGACTTTGGGAAATAAACTCCTTTGTGGAGCCAGTTGTTCTATTGGATGAAGTCAATGTCCCTTTTTAGGAACTTGAGCTACCACTTTATGTACTCTAAGACACAGTTTGCAAAGGACCAGTCTGCCATACCCCATGCAGGAGGAGGACTGTGTTGGCTCCCACCACAGGGTGTGTTCTGTGGTAATGGAAGGCTGTGCTGAGTCACTTACACTGTGTCCCTGGGTCTTCCTTAAGGACAGTGTATGGTTTTAGAAGATAATAGTAGCAAACATTTATCTACCACCTCTCTAGATCAGCTAGGCATTCTTTTTTTTTTTTTTTTGACATAGAGTCTCACTCTGCCGGCCAGGCTCGAGTGCAGTGGCATGATGAACTTAGCTCACTGCAGCCTCTGTCTCCCGGGCTCAAGCAATTCTCCTGCCTTAGCTTCCCGAGTAGCTGGGATTACAGGCGTGTGCCACCATGCCTGGCTAATTTTTGTATTTTAATAGAGACGGGGTTTCACCATGTTGGCCAGGCTAATCTCAAACATCTGACCTCAGGTAATCTGCCCACCTCGGCCTCCCAAAGTCCTGGGATTACAGGTGTGAGCCACTGTGCCTGGCCGGGTATTCTTCTAAGCCCTTTCTGCTGTGAGCTCATTTAATCTTCTTAACAAACAAAGGGGCAGGAACCATTATAATCACTGTTCAAGAGATGAGAAAACTCAGGCACAGAGAGGTTAAGTAAATTGTCCAATCAGCCTCAGCTAGTGACTGGGGGAGTGGGGCTTTGAACCTGACAGTCTTTCCTAGGATCTATCCACATAACCATGAAGTCACATTGGTTTCTGGGATATTGCATAGCCTATGGCAAAACCTGAATGGTGTGGAGCTTGCCACACGGGCTTCATTAGAACGTACCCTATCCCGGTTGCAGTGAGCGGAGATCACGCCACTGCACTCCAGCCTGGGCAACAAGAGAGAAACTCCGTCTCAAAAAAAAAAAAAAAAAAAAAAAAGTACCCTCCCCCAGGGCTTTTCAAACCTTGGGGCTCTGCAGAATCCCTGAGGGTCATGGGAACAAGAGGCAAAGGAGGCTCTGGACTTCTACGCCCACATCAGCCAGAACCAGTCAGCGTTTTAAATGTTACTTGCTAGCACTAAGAGTTTATCTGAGTAGGGGGCTCTGCAGCTCACAAGAAGCTTAAGAACTATAGCTCTAAACAATCAAGCCAGTTAACTCATACAGGGGTCATACCAGTTGCAAAGGGAAATGAGATGTAGAAACCCTGACCCCAGTGCTGTGTGTTGCTGTCATACTCTTTCTTACTATAGTCAGTGTCATAGTTGTGAAGTCAGTGTGCATTTTGGTGATGACATTTCAGGGCAAACCAGAGGCTACTGCCTAGGTGCCACACGGTGGTGACCAGATCAGGTGCTTTCACAGTAGAAGATGAAAAAGCCCAGCCAATGTCTAGGGAGGGGTAGGAGAGATGAGGCAAAAATGCTCAACATGGTAGGAAAGGCATGAGATTAAAAAAAGTGGTGAACAGAGCCAAGGGCAGGTGCTGAAATGAGGGTCCATACTCTGTGAATTAGATTGTTGAAAGTAGGGCTGGGAGCAGCAGAAGAGAAACAGATTGAAGATGGCAAGATGAGAAAGACAGGATGGAAACTTCCCAAGGAAATTGTAGACCACAGAGGACCCCAGGAAAGAGACTCTTGGGTGAAGAGAAATAAAAAGCTAGGCGGTAATTTTTTTGTTAAAGTTTATGAGATTGGTATATCAGAGTAAAACAAAGGATTACCACAAAGCATTTTACCAAGTACCTCACCAAGTTTTGAATCACCTTGATTAGGTGGTTTCAAAACTGGCTAAGTGAACTTTATCCAAAGCTGCTGCCTACTGGGAGACAGACCATCTTGGAGGGCAGGTATGGCTCTGAACTCTTCAGCCTTATTTTGTAAAGCAAATGCTCTGGGGCTGGCACAGTGGCTCATGCCTGTAATCCCAGTGCTTTGGAAAGCCAAGGTGGGAGGATTGCTTGAGCCCACGAATTTAAGGTCAGCCTCGACAACATGGGGAGACCCCCATCTCTACAAAAAATTTAAAAAATTAGTCAGACCTAGGGGCGTACACGTGTAGTCCCAGCTACTCGGGAGGCTGAAGTGGGAGGATCTCTGAGTCCAGGAGTTTGAGGCTGCAATGAGCTGTGATTGTGCCATTGCACTCCAGCCTGGGCGATAGAGTGAGACCCTGTTTCTCTCAAAATAAATAAATAAATGCAAATGCTCTGACAAGGCTCTGACACTATATGTTACTAAAGAATGATGTTCTCTGATTTGTCCTGTGTGTGTCTATTTCCTCATTGTTTATAGTTGTTAATATGGGATTTCTGGATGAGCCTAGAGGGCCCATGAATCCTCTGAGATTATTATACTAGGAATATCTACTTACTTTTCTGTCTCTCTTGCTAGAATAGGAGCAACTTGAGGAAGTGAAACAAGTCAGAACTGACCAAAGAAAAGTAGTGTACATATTGATCCATGGTTGAGCTATAATTGATTCGTGCAATACTTATTGAGTATCTCAAACATGCTTGCGGTTGAGAACTAGGCACACAGGAAGAGGGATATGAAGAAATTAACAAACAGCAAAATAAGAATTATTGTTGTAATGTGCTTTGATAGAGGAAGCACACATGAAAGGCACCTGCTGTAGCCTGAAGAATGAGAGTTTTCTTTCTGAAGAGGAAACATCAGCTGCTTTTGGAAAGACACATGAGAGTTGGGCATCCTGTAGGAGGCAAGGAGAGGGGGTTCCAGGACAGAGATGAGAAATAGCATGGTGTATGTGCTAAAATGCAAGTTGTTTGGGATGGGGATGGTGAAGGGCACCTGTGAGGGCCGAGGTAGACAGGTCCAGGTGGAACAGGCTTCTATACCATATTAAGAATTTAGATTTTTATCCCCAAATTAGATGTTAATGGCCCCAAAGCCACTGGGGCCATTAAAAGATTGAAAGTAGAGAGTGGCATGATGGAATTTCTATTTTGGAACAATTATGCTGGCAACAGTGTGAAAGATGCAATAGGAAGGGGCAAGATCATGGACCAGGGAACATTGTAGAAGGCCACTACAGTAACTGGGGTGAAAGACTGTGTTGCCGAGTGGGTGCTGTCACTCTGTGTAGCTTCTATTACCACAGGGACGGTCAGCGGGGAGCGGGATCGTCTTAGACCATGAGGGAGGATGAGGTGCTGAGAGCTGGAAGAATGAAGAGAAAAGTGGCCTGATGAGGAGGTGGAGGTGTGAGAAGTGACAAAGAGTCTGTGAGGAGAATGAGGAAGGGCAACCCGAGAAATCAAGAAAAATCAGGAGACAAATCTCCTAGAAGCCAAGAAGATGGTGGTAAACTAATAAGTGATGAGAGCAGTGAAGGAAAAAAAGAACTAGGAGGGCTGGGCGCGGTGGCTCACACCTGTAATCCCAGCACTTTGGGAGGCCGAGGAGGGCGGATCACGAGGTCAGAAGATCGAGACAATCCTGGCTAACATGGTGAAACCCCGTCTCTACTAAAAATACAAAAAATTAGCCGGGCGTGGTGGCATGTGTCTGTAGTCCTAGCTACTCAGGAGGCTGAGGCAGGAGAATGGCGTGAACCTGGGAGGCGGAGCATGCAGTGAGCTGAGATCGCGCCACTGCACTCCAGCCTGGGTGAGAGCAAGACTCCATTTCAAAAAAAAAGAACCTGGAGTGTGTTTATATTGCTGGCAAAAAGAGTTTGCTTTCAATTGCCTTGTTAGCACACCTGTGATCTGACTAAGTTACATCAGTGGGAGGCACAGGATGAAAGGATGCCGGCCTCTGAGACCAACTTCAGTTCTTTGAGTGTTTGAGAAACACTTCAAGTCTTAGCCAATGGCTTTGGTCAACAATGGGTGCCTCATGTTGAGGATGACCCCCTGAGGGCTTTCACTGCAGAGACAAGCCGACTTGTTCAAATCCATTCTCAAATGGTAAAACACAGGCAAAGGTACAACATGCAGAACTACTGCACCATGATCAAAACATGTACTCTGTCACATCTAATGACTTCAGGCCCTCCTTGAACTTTTGAGTTAGCAAAAAAGGGCAAATAAATATGAAACTTGCCTTTCAGTTCTCCTTATGTGTTTTTTAATTGTTTCCTCCTTGGTTCCTCTGCAACAGCCCTGTGGTCTCTGTCTGCATGTTCAGTGCCATGTGGGGTGACCCACACTTGTCTCAGCATCTTCAGGGGAGTTGAGAACAGCTGGCCCAGCCTTCTGTACTTGTCAGGCATATGGTGGGGGAGACATAGCCCTGGCACTCCAACCTCTTCCCTGATTTAAAGTGTCAAAGCATTTTGGAATTCAGGTCTCGGTGTTAAAAACTCTCCATGAACTCTGATAGGCTTCAGTGGTAGTCACTACCTTAGGATGCTGACGAGGAACAACTGCTATCCTGCCCATGGTGACGACCTTCGAAAAGCCCATGAACAGAACTATTTTGAATCATGAGTAGGAAGATTAGGGAAAGGCCGGGCGCAGTGGCTCATGACTATAATCCCAGCACTTTGGGAGGCCGAGGCAGGCAGATCACGAGGTCAGGAGATTGAGACCATCCTGGCTAACACGGTGAAACCCCATCCCTACTAAAAATACAAAAAATTAGCCGGGTGTGGTGGTGGGTGCCTGTAGTCCCAGTTACTCAGGAGGCTGAGGCAGGAGAATGGCATGAACCCGGGAGGTGGAGCTTGCAGTGAGCAGAGATTGTGCCACTGCACTCTAGCCTGGGTGACAGAGTGAGACTCTGTCTCAAAAAAAAAAAAAAAAAAAGAAGATTAAGGAAAAACTAATCTCTGCTATTTGCTTATTCTCTGTCAGAGACACAAGAATTTGTATGCATCTTTTCACCCTCTCCCCCATCTTCTTGCAGCTATTTAAAGTATTTTACAAAGGAGACATTCCAAAAAGGAGCTGTGACTAAAAGGTATCCATAAAATTCAGATGTCTTTTGGTACAGCCATTACAGAAAACAGTATGGAGGTTTCTAAAGAAATTAAAAATAGAACTACCATATGATCCAGCAATTCCTCTTCTGGGTATATACCCAAAGGAGATAAAATCACCACCTCGTAAAGATATCTGTACTCTCATGTTCATTGCAGCATTATTCACAGTAGCCAAAATGTGGAAACAACCCAAACACCCAACGATGGATGAAAGGATAAAGGAATTACAGTGTATATACATATATATACACACACACACCACAGACGTACCACAATATAAATTTATATATACCATAAAAGAAGCATATATATATACACCATAATATAAACTTTAGTATGTGTGTAAATAAGTAATATTGCATTGTGTGTATGTATATGTCTTTATGTATACAATGGAATATTATTTATTGTTGAAATATTATTCAGTCTTTAAAAAGAGGTCCTGCCATTTGCCACAATACGGTTAAAGCTTGAGGGCATTATGCTAAGTAAAATAAGCCAGACACAGAAGGAAAAATATTGCATGTTCTCTTTTATGCGTGGAATAAAAAAAAGAGAAGCTCAAGCTCAAATACACAGAGATAGAGAATGAAACAGCAATTACCATGGGTGAGGGGTGGGGAGAATGGAGAGATACAGGTCAAAGGATACAAAATAGCAGATACATAGGATGAACAAGTCTAGAGATCATGTGGTACATGAGAACTATAGTTAATAAAATTGTATTAGGGATTTTTGTTAAATAAGTAGATTTTAGCTGCTCTTGTCACACATACGCAAAGTAACTAAGTGAGATGATAGATATGTATTGGTTTCACTATAGTAACAATTTTACTATCTATATGTGTCCCATAATATATCTGAAGCCTCAAATATACATAATGAAATTTATTAGAAAAGAAAAAACACATTCAGAGTTTTTTTGTTTGTTTTTTTTTGCTGTAAAGTTCAGGGGGCTCTCCTGGCATTGACAAAGACCTAAATAACAAATGTTTTCGCCTCACTTCCTGTCATTGCTGTAAAGGAAACAGTCCCAGCATCAGAGCAACCTTTCTTAGTGTTCTCTGAAGGGTCATTTGTCAGTTGAGAGTAAGGCACATGCTTGAAGAAGTTTCAAGTAATTCTCGTTTGCACTACTTATCTTTAGTCAATCTGGGGATTAACCGAAGATTAGAGATAGGCCTACCCTGGCTGAGCTCCCAGCTGGTGGATGCCAGCCATGTACATGAACCACCTTAGAGAGGCGTCCTTAGGCCCAGGAGAGTCACCCCAGCTGATGGTCAATGACACAGGAGCAGAGATGACAGGTCCCTGCTGAGCCTTGCTTAAATTGCAGATTTCTGAATAAAATAAATGGTTGTTATTTTTAGATAAAAATTTTAATTGACAAATAATATTTAGGGAGCACAACTGTAATGTTTTGGTATGTGTATACATTATAGATTAAATCAAGCTAATTAACATATCTATCATCTCACATACTTTTTTTTGGTGGTATGGGCATTTAAAATCTATTCTCTTAGCAATTTTCAAGAATACAATACATTATTATTAGCTATAGTGGTCATGCTGCACAATAGACCTCCAGAACTTATTCCTTCTGTATAACTGATACTTTGTACCCTTTGACTGGCAGCTCCATTTCCCCTCTCTCCACCCCCTGCCTCTGGTAACCACCATTCTGCTCTTCTATTTCTATGAGTTTGATTTTTTTAGATTCCACACATACATGACATCATGCAGCATTTGTCTTTCTGTGCCTGGCTTATTTCATCTAGCATTGTGTCCTCTGGTTTCATCCATGTTGCTGCAAATGACAGGATTTCCTTCTTTTTAAAGGCTGAATAGTATTTCGTTGTGTCTATGTACCACATTTTCTTTATCTGTTCATCTATTGATGGACATTTAGGTTGATTCCATAACTTGGTTATTGTGAATAGTGCCGTGATGAACATGGGAGTGCAGGTATCTCTTTGACATACTGATTTCAATCCCTTTGGATATATACCCAGAAGTTGGATTGCTGGATCATATGGCAGTTCTACTTTTAGTTTTTTGAGGAATCTCTATACTGTGTATAATTGTTATATTTTTAAGCCATAGAGTTTTGGGGGTGTGTTATGCAGCAATAGACAGTCGGGACGCTTGATTTCCAGGATAGCATGCTTCTGGTTTTCTTCCTGTTTCACTGGCACTCTTTGTTGGCCTCCTTTGATTGTTCTTCTTCATCCCTCTGTCTTTGTTTTTCTCCTGTCATTATGCAAAATTTTAGCCATACACATATTAGACAGCAAAGTATAATGAAACTCCTTGTGCCCATTACCCAGCTTCAGTATTTATCTACTCAGAGCCAACCTTATTTCATCTACGCTCCTACCTACTTCCCTCCACCCACTCCATATTACTTTTAAACAAATTCCTCAGACACTCTCTTCTCTGTTATATTCCCTTGGTGATCTCACCTGGACTCATAACTAAATATCGTTCACATGCAAAGACTCCTAAGTTTATTAATATTACCTGTGCTGTAGCATTGTGGCTCAAAGCATGAATTCTGGTACTTATATTCCTGCATTCAAATCATGGCTCTTCCACAAACTACTCTTGTGACCTCAGGTAAGTTCCTTAACCTCTATGTGGTTCAGTTTCCCACCCTGTGAAATAAGAGATGATAATATTTCCTGCTATGTCTTGGGGTTGTTGTGAGGATTAAATAAGTTACATATGTAGAATGCTTAGCACAGTGCCTGCCATATGCAATTATTGCATTTTTTTAATTGTATCTTCAGGCCAGACCTGCCTGAACTGCAGGCGTATATATCCAATTGCTTACTTGGCATTCTCACTTAGATGCCAAATAGACATCTCAAGCTTATTATTCTAAAACCAAACTCCTGATCTCCCCCGCAAACTCCACGTAGCTCTTCTCTGTCTCCCATTTCAGCTAATGGCAGTGCATTCCATCTTTCCTTTCCTTAGCCCCAAATTCCCTGATGTTATCCTTGACTTCTCTCTTTCTTTCATATCCTACATCAAATCCTGTTGGATCTGCTTTCCAAATATATTATAACAGAGCCATTCACCATTATTACCCTTGTAGAAACCTCCATCACCTCTTGCCTCTAATACAGCTTCCTAACTGGGCCACCTACTTCTGCCCTTCACTCTTCCTCTCCACCCCCTCCTCCAATAATTGATTCTCAAACTCCTGGCCTCAAGTGATCCTCCCCCTTGGCCTCCCAAAGTGCTGGAATTACAGGAATGAGCCACCACACCTGGCCAATAATCTACTCTCAGTACAACAGAGTGGTCTTTTTAAACACTTAAGTCAGATTATGTCACTGCTCTGTTCAAAAAGTTCCAATGCTGTCTCATGATACAAAGTGAACACCAAAGTCCTTGCAATCCTCTCTGATCCCATTACTGTCTACAGTGGCTCATTTTGTTCCAGCCTCACTGGCGTCCTTTCTGTTTCTGTAACATTATGGTAGGGCTCCCACCACATATCTTCAATTCAGCCATACCTCTTAAAATTCTCTGTGCTCAGATCTTCATGGCCAACTCCCTTCTTTGTCTTGGCTTCAGTGTTATCTTCTCATCTAGTGAACATTCTGATCAATAAGTCTGAGTCCTGGCCAGCCATCCCCCTCCTCCCATCAACACTCTCAATCCCTCTTACTCTGCTCTACGTTTTCCTTTTTCCATGATGTTTATCACTTTCTAACATATTTCATGATGTACTCATTTACTTTGTACATCATTTATTCTTTGTCTCCCTCTACTAAAACGTAAGCTTCATGAGGGCATCTTTATCTGTTTTGTTTATTGCTGAATCTCAAACACCTAGGACAGTGCCTGGCACAAAGTAGACAATAGATAGACAGATGGATAAACCTGTTTTAGAAAGATCACTCAAAAAACAATATACAGGATAGTTTGAAGGGGAGAGAGAATGGAAGCTTTTAAGATCTGTGCAATAATCCTTGCAAGCAATAATTATGAGAGCTTGAGCTAGAAAAGAAGCAAGAAGAGAGATGAGTGGGTATTTTGTTGGTAGAACCAATAGAAATGGATGACATTCTGATTATGCGGTGGGAGGAAGAGAGAGAGAGAAGTCAGTGTGACTTTCAGGTTTCTGGCTTGGGGGTGTCACATGAAACAAGTTTTAGGAAAAGTCACATGTGAAAGTATCATGTTGGAAGACTGTGGAAGAAAATATAGACCTGGAATTAGAAATGGATCTTTACAATTAAGCACTTAATCGCATACTTTAAAAAATCCTATTTCAATTAATGTATGTGAATAGTCTTTTCTATTTAGATTGCCACCTCATTTTTTTGTTTCTTCTACTCACAATGCTGAGCTAATAGCAGGACTTTGACAAAGAGTTGTGATTGACTGATAGGCTAAAACATATATTTTTTAAAACTTAGTTAACTACTTCCTCCCCAATATTTGCTAGAATTACAGATTTGACACACTGCTAGATGATTTACAAATTCATTTTCCCCTTCTTCCAGAGTAATAGAATTTTATCTGGACACATGATTACTCAGCTAAAAACTATATTTTCCAGGTACGCTTTTAATTGGATGAGGCCATGTCACTGAGGTCAGGCCAAGCAATGATAGTGGAAACAATATGTGCCATTTCCACACCTTAGCCTAAAAAACAGGACTGTGCTCCCATTTGATCTGGTCTGAAGTGAAACAGACCCTTTTGAGACCCAGCTTTGACATGAAGATTAAGTAAAATGCCTTGGGGCATAGTAGAGAAATGAGTTGGAAGGAACCTGGATCCTTGAATGACCTGGTGGAGCAGAGCTGCCCTGCCAAGATAGGCTTGCCCGACTATTATTTAGGAGTGGAAGAAATATGTATCTTATTTAAACCTCTGTATTTTGGGAGTTCTTTGTTTTAAAAACTTAACCTTCATTCCGACTCACAATAGATAAATGCCATCGATGTCTTTTTTTCTTGGTGTCCTCTGTTATTCAAACAAAAGATGAATACATTGAACTGAGTTTTTAAAACATTAATAAAATACTCCTAATTCTGCTCTTTGTGTTGCCCAATAGTTCTTTTCTAAATGTGATGAGGAATTACGGAATCATAAAATGGAAGCAGAGTTAAACTCAGACATGTGGGCACTCAAGGTAGGTAAATATTCTGGTATTCATGACAGGTTAGTCATTTGACACATCAACAAACTGATAATCTTAACTTTCTCCCCATAGTATTCAGTATTTTTCTTACAGTTTTAACTCATTCCTCTCTTTAATTTTTAAAAACATTCTTATTTTATAGATTGTTGCACATTATTTTACTATCTCAACTCTTTGGGCCTGCTAATTCTCCCCATTTTTAAGTCTGCTGACTCATTCTCTCTCAAGGTAGATTATTTCTGCATGTGCTTTGTGAGCTCATCTTCAGCAGGGTTGTTTTCTATAAAGTCTGTGTGCCCTAGAGAATGGTTTGGATTTGCTTCTGCTATGTGCCAGTCTGGAACCAGTTTTTGTATTAATTTCTAGCATCTTTTGACATAAATTTGGACTCCCAACCTGGACAAAGCACAGGCCTGGATTTTTGATTTTTCACCCAAAATCTCTAGGAAGAGACACACTCCTTTGCTTATGTGTCACTTCCCTGGTCTGATGCACAGATGTTTTAATCCCTTTCATTGTGGGTGTGTAACTTTGACATATCAGCTTTATTTAGGAGTTTCAGTTCTGGCTCTCTATTTCACATGAGCCCAAGGCCATGTCTCTTGACACTCATCATACTAAAAACCTACCACTTAACAGATGAGGCTCTGTAGTTATTCCAGTCTCCTCCCTGGGCCACCGTTACCACTTCAGTTTTATGTTTCCTTTGCATTTCTGATACCTGGGATAGCCTGTCTTTCAATTTCAACCATTTTGAAAACATTGCTGGTTATATTATGTGGCTCATTTTTAGTCTATAACATGAAGGGCATTGTGCGTTTTGCTTAGTTAGCTACTTTGGGGGCATGAGATAAGTTTAAGTATTTTTCAATATTCATTTAGCAGATCTCAATAAAGCTGGAAAAAAATGAGAAAACCTCAAAAAAAAAAAGGCTGAGGTCTTTTTTTTGCCGTTTTGTGCACTGTTTTATCCCCAGTACCTCAAACAGAACATATATTAATAATAATCACTCAAAACATATGTATTGACTGACTGACTGACTGACTGACTGAATGAATGAATGAATGAACAAACGCTGGGTGACAGTGTTCAGCCTGTCCTGTGTAGTCCAGCTCTGGATCCAAATATACAGACCACACTCTACCAAAGAAGAGCCCTGTTGCCATCCCGACCTTACCTCCTTAGAACACAGTTGAGGACTCATCAGCCGTAACGTTATCACACCCTTTGGCGGTCTCTTTCTCTTAACCCAAGCAGATTATTAAAGCATCCCTTTCCACCACATACACTCCCTGAGAGGAGGCCTGATAAATGTAATTTTCTGCACTCTCAAGTTATATTTCCAGTGGAACTTGAGCTTCCAATCATGCTATAGTACTCACAAAAGGCTGGAGTCCTGGGCCACTGCCCAGCTGGTCTGTTGCTTGTTCACCTCTGAATGGTGGAAGCCATTGTCTTTCCATGCCTTTGTCCATGCACAGTTCCAGGAAAAGAGGATTAATTTGTAGTCAGCAGGTTTAGTGCTTTCTGTATAACTATAAGAGCTGAATCAAAAATCTCCCCACCAGGCAATTAGGAGCTTTCTGCGATGAGAAAGGGATCAGACTGATCCTTAAGACTTTATGCAACCCCAGAGTATTGCAGCCACCTGCATGCCGAAGGTGTCAAGAGTGTTCTCACTGCTGCCTATAGGAGGGTCTTCAGCCTCCAGTGATCCAAAGTACCAGGTAAAATATTTAAGCCAACAGAAAGAACGTGTTTTATTGTGTTTTACATGTCATAAAGCATTCTCTATCATGAGATATCACTCTGTATCGGTAAGACAGGCTTGAATTTCTGTCTTGGTTCTGCCACTGACTAGCTTTATTCCTTAGGCTAACCTGTTGGAATCTCAGTTTTCTCACTGTAAAGTGAGGATAATTATTTTATGAGGATAGTTATGAAAATTAAATAACATAATGGTTGCAAAACACTTAGCACAGCACTAAGACACAAAATAGACAATAAGTGTTAGTTACCTTTATTCCTGTCCCCTTTCCTATCCAGACAAAGGCTCAGTATAAGGACAAATATTGTTTAGAACTTCTTTTTAAACCTACGAGCCTTACCTTTCAAGAACCGCAGATTTGTTCCTGAAAGTTACCTGTGTAGTGAGGGTTTTATAAATCAAATTTTACTTTCAATGTACAGAGGAGCTCTTTGACAGAGTCCCTTTTCCTGAGAAGTCATTGTGGGTTTGGCATCCTGTTCAGCCTGGCTGGGGCCAGGGGAGCTGAACTGTAATGACAAGCAGATGTACTATTGTTCTATGAAAATAGTGTCTGGCTCCAGATGGGGTTTAGGAAAAAGTAGTGATGATTTCTGTTGAGGAGGATGGGAATTCTGACCCACTGAGCTAGCTGGTGAAGAAGGAGAGTAAGACATGTGGGTAAATGCAGGTTAAGAAAAAGGACCTCTAGATCAACTGAAAGCCTACTAGAAGAACATTAAAAGCAGATAAGAAAACAAGGAAGCAAACAAAACTCGACAAGAGAAAGAAGAGACCATTAGGAAACATCCAGGATAATTGCTGTCATCATTAAAGCTCCCATTTGTTAATCTGTTACATATGAGGCCCAACACTGGATGATTTACCAACATTTAACCTATCCTCTCACTTTTCAATGAATTGGATATTGTCAACCCCATTATTAATGGAAAAATGGGAGCTCTAGAATATTGAAGTCACTTGGCTATTAAGTGATGGAGCCAGGACTGGGATTCAGAATCCAACACTCATATTCTTTCCATGAGGTGTAGATTCCATTGAGAAGAAGGTGTGTGCCTAACACCGTGAGAAAGTCTTGGCCCTGGTAATGCTGGTGAGGCCAGTGGCTGAGAAAAGAATAGCTCTTACCTAAGGCTGAGAACAGAAGACCCAAGGTTGTGGAAAACTGACAGTGGTGCCCTTCCTCACACAGAGTGCAAAGATTGGTGGCTTACCTGCTTCAGACTCTTGGACGTGCTCTTAAATGCAGATCCTGGCAGTCAGAGAGGAAAGGCTGAGAAAAGTTCACTCTTTGCCAAAGTAATAAATCCTTCTCTTTGATCCCTCAAAAGTTGATAGACGAAAACTCCTCAAAGCACCTAGGGGTAGGAACCCCACTTGAGAGTTGTGGGTTCTCCATTTCATCACAGGGATTTGCTGTGAAGGAATCCTGTGGTAAACTCCATAAGAAAATGTAAATAACATCCCCTCTCCAATTTATCTTTTCTGTAAATCTGGCTTTTCATATATTAGGTTTCTTTACAGTAAGTTGAAACCTTAAGAATAGATTTCAAAATATTTAGGAAATGGCCTATTTATTTTGAATGATATTCAACACCATTAAACTAGAGTGTTGGGAGAATATTTGGACATTCCATAATGATTTGACTTGTAACTTAATATAACAGAACTAAAAACAAAAACCACATGATCATCTCAATAGATGCAGAAAAGGCTTTTGATACAATTCAACATCCCTTCATGTTAAAAACCCTTGACAAACAAGACATCACAGAAACATACCTCAAAATAATAAGAGCCGTCTATGACAAACCCACAGCCAACATCACACTGAATGGGCAAAAGCTGGAAGTATTCCTCTTGAGAACCAGAACAAGATAAGAATGTGTCCTATTCAACATAGTACTGGAAGTCCTAGCCAGAGCAATCAGATAAGAGAAAGAAAAGGCATCTAAATAGGAAGAGAGGAAATTAAACTCCTTTTGTGAATATAACATGATTTGATACCTAGAAAATCCCATAGTCTCTGCCCAAAGGTTCCTAGACATATAAACAACTTTAGCAAAGTTTCAGGATACAAAATCAATGCACAAAAATCAGCTGCATTTCTATACACCAACAATGTCCAAGGTGAGAACCAAGTCAGGAACACAATCTCATTCACCGTAGCCACAAAAAGAATAAAATACCTAGGAATACAGCTAACCAGAGAGGTAAAAGATCTCTACGAGAATTATAAAACACTGGTGAAAGAAATCAAGAGAAGACAAACAAATGGAAAAACATTTCATGCTCATGGATAGGAAGGATCAATATTGTTAAATGGCCACACTGCCCAAAGCAATTTACAGATTTGGTGCTATTTCTATCAAACTACCAATAACATTTTTTATAGAATTAAAAAAAAACTATTCTAAAATTCATGTGGAACCAAAAGGAGCCTGAACAACCAAAGCATTTCTAAGCAAAACAAACAGACGAAAACAAAAAACCCAAACAACAACAACAAAAACCAGAGGCACACTACCCAACTTCAGACTGTACTACAAGGCTACAGTACCCAAAACAGCATGGTACTGGTACATAGACACATAGACCAACAGGTTAAAGAATCTAGAAATAAAACCATACACCTACAACTAATTGATATTCAACAAAGTCAATGAAAACAACCAATGGGGAAAGGACTTTCTATTCAATATATGATGCTGGGATAACTGGCTAGCCACATACAGAAGATTGAAACTGGATCCCTCCCTTTTACCATATGCAAAAATTGAGCCAAGATGGATTAAAGACTTAAATGTAAAACCTAAAACTATAAAAACCCTAGAAGAAAACCTAGGAAATACCATTCTGGACATAGGCCCTGGCAAAGATTTCATGACAAAGACTCCAAAAGCAGTTGCAACAACAACAACAAAAATAGATAAATGGGACCTAATTAAACTAAAGAGCTTCTGCACAGCAAAAGAAATTATCAACAGAGTAAACAGACAACCTACAGAATGAGAGAAAATACTTGCAAACTATGCGCCCAACAAAGGTCTACTATCCAGAATCTATAGGGAACTTAAATAAATTAACAAGCAAAAACCAAACAACCCCAATAAAAAATGGGCAAAGGAAATGAATAGACACTTTTCAAAGGAAGACATACACGTGGTCAATAAGCCTATGAAAAAATGCTCAACATCACTAATCATTAGAGAAATGCAAATCACAACCACAGTGAGACACCATCTCACACCAGCCAGAATGGCTATTATTAAAAAGCAAAGAAGGCTGGGCATAGTGGCTCATGCCTGTAATCCCAGCACTTTGGGAGGCTGAGGCAGGTGGATCACGAAGTCAGGAGATCGAGACCATCCTGGCTAACACAGTGAAACCGCATCTCTACTAAAAATACAAAAAATTAGCCGGGCGTGGTGGCGGGCACCTGTAATCCCAGCTACTCGGGAGGCTGAGGCAGGAGAATTCCGTGAACCCAGGAGGCGGAGCTTGCAGTGAGCTGAGATTGTGCCATTGCACTCCAGCCAGGGTGACTGAGCAAGACTCCATCTCAGAAAAAAAAAAAAAAAAAAAAAAAAAGCAAAGAAATAACAGATGCTGGTGAGGTTGTGGAGAAAAGGGAATGCTTATACACTGCTCTTGGGAATGTAAATTAGTTCAGCTACTGTGGAAAGCAGTTCGGAGATATCTCAAAGAACTTACAACAGAACTACCATTTGACCCAGCAATCCCATTACTGGGTATATATCCAAAGGAATATAAATTGTTTTCCCATAAAGACACCTGCACATCGCAACACTATTCACAACAGCAAAGACGTGGAATCATTCTAAATGCCCATCAATGGCAGACTGGATAAAGAAAATGCGTTACATATACATTAAGGAATACTATGCAGCCATAAAAACGAATGAAATCCTGTTCTTTGTAGCAACATGGGTGGAGTTGGAGGCCATTATCATAAATGAATTAATGCAGGAATAGAAAAATAAATACTGAATGTTCTAACTTATAAGTGGGAGCTAAATGATGAATACACATGGACACAAGAAGTAATAAACACTGGAGCCTATTTGAGGGTGGAGTGCAGGAGTGAGTGAGGACTGAAAAACTACATATTGGGTACTGTGCTCGTTGCCTGGGTAATGAAATAATCTGTACACCAAACCCCCATGACACGCAATTTACCTATGTAACAAACCTGCACATGTACCCCCTGAACCTAAAATAAAAGTTGGAAAGAAAAAAAAAATGAACCTCTGAGACAATATTATAAAAATTAGCACATTCAAACCACGGAAATTGTCAAAGTGTAGCTAAAATATTAAACCTTTTAGATATGTTGTCTAGATATAATTATCCCATTTTATAGCCAGTGTTATGGACATCCAAAGACAATGTCAATTTTGCTAATAAACTGCATCAAATAAGTGCATGGGAAAAAATAAAAAGTTGATACATTAAAAAAATGTTTTTGATACATAACTTTTATTTTGAAAACTTGAAATAAATTGCCATTGTGAATTTGGCAGCTTTTACCCTGGCATGCCTACAAAGAATGTGATATACATTTAATCACGAAGAATGCCACCCAGTGATAACAGTGGTACTGGGGTTATGATTATGTTTTAATTTGTTTTGTGCAGAAAGGCATGACCATTTGCAAAGCTGTCCTATGAAACGTATCATGTACTAGTCACCTCATGTTATCAGCATGCTCCTGGAGGAGTAGGCAATGGATTTTTTCACCAGTTCGCACTGTGCAATCTCTTCCTCATGTGTGTGAACTTTGTGGGATGTCAAGTACCCCATTAAAATTGAATGAAGTATTTGAGGGGCTCCCACAAACCCTCTAGTGATCTTCTTTCAACAAACAGCATTTTATTGTGTAAATTAGAAAAACAACACAGAGTCTGGCTTAAAGAGGATGGAAAACTGGCATTACACCAAGAAAGAACCTGAACTTCAGTCTTTGACCTCAGGAGACATCCAAGTATTAAAACAGAATTTTTTTTTTTTATTTACATGGAAACCCTGATGGACCAGGAAATTCTTTATAATGTAGAGTCTGGTGCTAAGTCTTACTTTCAGGTGAACCCAAATGAAGATTATTGAACTCACTGTTGAATCTCATCCCCTGTCTTTTTAACAGCAGTAAGACCCCTCTTGGTCAGCCACAATATGGGGAAACTCCTCAGCAGCTGCTGTTATCCCTAATATTATTGATATCACTTCTACTTGCTCTTGCTATGTTTGTTTCTTTTCAGCAGAGCTTTCACAGTACTCTAAAAAGTAGAGGCTCTTAACATTAAAAGTTTCCTTAGCCTTTTCAATAACCCTTTCCTGGTTGTCTATGCTGGTGGCAGCCTCAACCTGAACCTGAGTGAATTTGTTTTTCTGGCCTGAGCTTTGCTGAGCCTCTTAAGGGGTAGACCGTCTATGTGTGTTTCTTTTATGTGAGATAAAACGCACAATTTATTAAATATCTTCTGATTCTTAGACAGGATCTCAAGGGTGGAGCTACTCCAGGGCTCATTGATTTTCATGGCTTTTTGGCTGTTTGAAAAAGAGCCTCCTTTGACATCATGTGGGTTTTTGCTATTTCTATTTAAGGGTATATCTTACATGTCAGATATATTATTATTGCTGTTTTAGTTCTAGACAGCAAGTGATATGAGCAAACAACAAAGCTTCCATGCTGTGAAATTATGCATTTATTAAAGCTATCAGTTGACACTTAGCTTTGAATTATTTATATTTTTCTATAAACTGTCGACAATCATAACGGGACCAGAACCATAGGTTCATATGGGAAGGTGATTTACTCATCTTCCTTTCTTGCCCTTAGGAGGAGTTGCAGACAGAGTATTATCTTTTTTTTTTTTTTTTTGAGACAAAGTCTTGCTCTGTTGCCCAGGCTGGAGTGCAGTGGCGCAATCTCTGCTCACTGCAACCTCTACCTCTTGGGACCATGCCTGGCTAATTTTTGTATTTTCAGTTGAGACGAGGTTTCACCATATTGGCCAGGCTGGTCTTAAACTCCTGACCTCAGGTGATCCATCTGACTTGGCCTCCCAAAGTGCTGGGATTACAGGTGTGAGCCACCAGGCCTGGCCCAGAGCATTATCTTTATCATGACTTTTTCCTTTATATGTATTGACTATTTGCAGGTGTATCACAACTACAGGAGACAGAAAGGGAAGCGGTATACCTCTTTCTGCATGCCTTGTGTTTAAAGCGTGCCTAGATTCTGATAAAGGCTTGCCTGACAGAAAAGGCAGAATGCCAGGGGTCTATCCCAAGATACTGAGTCATTCCTGTGTCCTTAAATGCCAAAGAGGTAGGATCAAAACACCAGATCTAAAACTTGACAATATAAGTTGTTAGACTTAATCTCCACCAGACTCAACTTGTATCTCAGCTTCTCACTAATCTCCTATTTCTCATTCACTCACTGGTACCTTCAGCTTATTCTCTGTTTTCTCCTTTGTTTGTCAGGTTTTGGCATGATATCTCAGACACTTTTTTTCTCCTTGCTTCATTCAGCCAGCCCCAGGTGATTTGCCTTCCCAGACCACTGGCTTTCTCCTGAAAAGAGAAGACACAATTGACTTCTGGTCTTTCTTGCTGTCCATACTACATAGATTGTTATTCCAAAGCTTGGTCCAGGCTGAGTTCTTGGACACTGCTTTAAATGAGTGGCCCTTGACCAGAAGGGAGATCTAGAAACAAACACAATTTTCCTGGGGAAGCTGAGGCATTGTGTTTGAGGCCCACGTATCTTTGTACTCCTTCCGTCCTGTGATCCAGAAGTCTATTTATGCCAGTCTTGCTTCAACCTCTCTCACAATTGCAGGGGAAAAGTCTACTGAAGGGAGAGAACATTTCAGCTAGGGGATATAACTTAAGGTGAGAAATAAAAGTGAGACGAAGAAAACATGTTTGGTGAACTGGTTTGACCAGAACTCATGTTTCAAGTTGGAAATGTTCAAATAGGAGGAAGATAACTAAGGTAAAAATATTAAAGACTACTATTAAAAATTTGGAATTCAATAGTTAAACACCACAATTAGAGATATTTTTATGACATTACTGATATTAGGATTGTCATTTACTGAGAAAAGTGTGTAAAAATCTCCCACTATGATTGATAATAGAATGTTTATTTTCCTTGAAGTTATTTCAATTATTACTTTATTTATTTTCGAGACTGTGTTATTCATTGCATACAAGTTGAGGATTGTGATATCTTCCTCGTGAATTGACTTTTGTCATCATATAATGACTTTCTTACCTGGAACAATGCATTTTGCCTTTAGGATTACTTTGTATGATATTAATACTTTGTCACCAGCTTTCTTTTGTTTAATGTTTGCCCCATAGTAAAATATTATCTTGCCTTTTGGAACATCTTGGAATTTTTCCTCCTGCCTTTCTAACCTATCTTCACTGTGTCCTTCTATTTCTTCTTTTTTTCCTCCTACTCCTGATTACCCCCAAAACCCAGGCCTTGAACATAGGGGTATATCTGTGTGTGTACGTAGATGCACGTGCCAACTTTTTTATCTCAAGGCTTTAACTGTTACTCTATCATTGAAACTGCATTTCACACCTTCTCTTTAGTCTCAAATTCCCAACTGCCACTCATCATCTTCCCTTCCCTTGCCTATATCTCTACTCTATTCTCTTTTTCTCTTGGGCTTGCAGCCTTGGAGTCAACCTTTTTTCCGCTTTATGCTCTATATTAAGCTGTCATAAATGCCATGACCTTTGCTGAAATGCCTAACAGATTCTCAGCAATAAGCTCACAGGGAAAGGGCAAAGCCAGGAGTGCAGGACGAGGGGAGGATCAGTGGCAGCCATCCTGTAGATTATCTACTGAAATTCTTTCCATTCCTTTGAATTTCTGCTCCTTTGAAGCCCTGGATTATAATAATTATCTTGGAAAGTTTTTCAGTCCGAGATCCAAAAATTCTTAATTGGGACCTCTTCAGTGAAAATGACATTCAGTGAAAATCCCTGGCAACATTTTCCTAGATGAGAAAAAGAATTAGGAATCAGATGAAGACGTGAGAAAGCCATGACTTCACAATGTGTAAAGCATGTGCTGATAGCTTGTGGAAGAGTGTCTTAGGAGGTCCCTGTCCCAATGAGGATAACTTCTTAATCAGAATCTTGTTTCCAAGTTCTCCCTCAACTCCAGGATAAACTTTAAAAAGGAAAACAAAATCCTTGCTAGAAAATTTTCCATCATTTTTCTCTTTTCTGTATGAGTAGCATGGATGAAAGAGTTCTGTGACTGAGTTGAGGTTTGCATCTAACTATTGAGCCATGGCAAAAAATATTAAGCATCACTATTTGTTGTCATATAAGGAATTTAGTGGGGTTTGAGGTTTTAAATGTTATTGTTTTTCTCTATAGTAATATCCCTTCAATCCCCTTGGTTATCTTTCTAGAGCAATATAAAATGACCTGACTTCTGTGAGAAGTCTTTAGCTTTTGGAAATCCTCACCTAGGTTTCTTTCACCTAGAGAATTGGTTTCTGAGAAAATCCTCCTTCCTTTTACTGAACAGTGAACTGGGAGCCTTTAAATGGAGTGGAGGTGGAGGAAGATGGAAGTGAGGCAGGTAGAATTTGTCATTCTGTCCCCCTGGGAGAATGAGGAAATTAGCATCCAGTTCTCTAGAACCTAGAGTTTCAGGGATCTATTTGAGTGGGAAAAAGCATTCCTTGTTTTTTTGTGACCTACTTAAACATTCTGTGAAAGTTGTAATCATTTGAGGTTTTCTAAGAAAAGAAAAAAAAAAGTCTAAATATAATCCTAAAAGGGAGCTAACCTAACAACAAAGAACACCCGGTTGCAGAGATTATTTCTCTGGAAATTGGCAAAAAGAGACAAAAATCTTCCCTGGCGATTACTGGCTATACCTGCTGCTACACCTGATTTCATGCTTTTTATTCCTGGCAGCACTATTGGCCTTCTCCAATGTGGGCTTCTCCAAACTTCACACCCAGGGGCACACAAATCCTATTTCTCCCATCTGGAAAGCTCTGCTCACTTCTTCCCAAGTCCGCTTCCCACCTGCCTTTGAAATGCAGCTAAAGACCACTTCACAGAGATTCCCTCAATGCTAGCTCTTCCGCTATGCCCTTCATTCTTTCTCTTAAACCCCTAGAACTCTTAGAACCTGTTAACAGTGTATGACATCCTAAGTGCTCTAATTCAGGGACAGCAGAGAATGCAGTCCAGGCTCCTGGTCCAGTAGTGGGGATGGATTGTGCTGGTCCACCCGCATGCTGCCATTCAGTCTGCTTTATCGTGAGCACTTCCCATTTGCCAGCAGGGGCTAATGGTGTAGGCCAACCATGGAAGAACGTGAAGCTCATCTCAGTTTAGCTGACTGGATGCAGCCTGCAGCAAGCATGTGTTGTTGTTTCATACATTCCTGTCTTTGCTCTGTGTGCACATTTGGGTTTCATCTTTTCCTCCTAGCGGCACACGTTCCCATAGACTTTGTGCTTGCATGTATTAAGGAACATTGCGTTGTCAAAAGGTAATAATAAGAGCAGCTAAAAATTATTGAGAACACGTGATGTTGTAGGCACTCTTTTAAACATTTTTATATGCATTTAATCCTTGCAACAATACTGTAAGGTAGTTATTATCCCATTTTATGGATGAAGAAAATAAAGTACTGAGAGGTTATGTTACTTTCCCAGGGCCACATGGCTAGTAAATTCTAAAGCCCAAGCTATTGACCTTGAGCCTATGCTCACTCCAGGCTTTGGAGTTGTAGGAGATGTGCAAGGCTTAATGAACACTGAGTGAACTTATGAGGCAGTTCAGTCATCTGACATCCTCATTAAATCTGATTTGAAGAAATGACAGAGAGAAAGTTGATAGAGCTTAGAAATTTGGTTCTAGGTGAGACCTTAAAAGTCATGTCACCAAGGAATAAGAGACCCTCAAGAGGTTAGATAAGTCCTCTGTGCATCATTTCCTCCTGACCTGTATCTCAACGTCAAAGCTGTCAACAAAAATGAACAGGGAGCAGCACTTAGTTTGTATGATGTATTCATAATGTTTGGGGTGCCAAACAGAAGTCTTATGACATGGTATTTTTGCCCGGCTAGGTTTTTCTATACTAGGGCATGGCCATGGTTTTAATGCTTTATTTATTAAAGTTATTAGAAGATAAATATGTGCAATCATTGAAACTTTTCTTATTTTCAAATAAGAAAGGGAAACTTAAAAAATTTAGATTTAGCAACTAACTTTTATTTAGAACTGCCATATGATCTAACATAAAGTTTTCTTACAATCTGAATTTGAAACATTCAGGATTATTTTACTAAGATCTGAAAAGGTAATTTGACATACTATCTATAAAAGTGTGAATTACCCTGGGGATTAGGAGGTGAGGTTCTGTAGTAATTAGGTATGCCAAAAATAATTTTTTACCCTCCTCCCCCTCTTCCTTCTTTCTTTTCTGCATTTACATGTATTGCTCTTGGTCTCTCATGTCATTCTTTCAGGATTTTCTAATGTAATGAATTTCTCTTTCTCTACCCTAGAGAGTACCATTATTTCCATTCTTTCATGGAACTGTAAGTGTGTGCAATTTGTTGACCTCGTGGTATTTCAAAGAACTGTAAAATCTCAATTATCAGGAATGCCCAGGGAAAGGGGCTTTTAATGGAATGGATTTTTCTCTTAAACTGAAGGTTAATCAGGACTCTTCTCTCCCCCCCGTTTCAAATTTATTGGTTGCAATTTTTTTTCCCTAATCTGTGAGTGTACTTTCTGGGCTTTGCTGAAATGGGAGGTTATCTGATTGACTAGCAATCATAAGCCCTATGTTTAAGTCCACATTCTTCCATTTGCCAGCTCTATGGTTTGAGGAAGTTATGACACTGAGCCATTTGAAAAATGGAGATAGCAACACTTGTCCTACCTATGTCACCTGGGCTGTTTAGTGTATCAAATTATATAAAGACAATGGACTTGCTTTGTACAAGTCTTAAGTTTTATTTTAATGAATTATGACAACTACCAAGTTCTGAGTGCCTAGGGGCCAGGTGCTCCATACACATTATTGTTATTTCCACAATAAACCTACTATATATATAGATGTATATAGATGAGAAAAGTAAGGCTTGGGAGATAAGTGACTTGCCCAAGATTATGTAAATAACAGTGGAACTAAATTTCTTTACAGCAAATTGATACCTTGATTAATCAAAAGTCTTTATTCTAAGTACCATTTCTTGTGGATAAAGAGAGTATAGAAGATTGCCTAGAAGCATACTGACCTTAGGATGCATTGTTTTGCTTAGGGTTCTTTTAGTTATAAGGAACAGAGATGTTAGGTTTCAGAGGGATTTCAGAGAAACCCAATGACAGAAATTGAATTATAGTTGGGTGTTAAGGAAGCTGTCATGAATCAAGCCTACTCTTGCCTCTCCTCTTTCTTCTCCTCTCCTTCCTTCTTTTCGCTCTCTCTTTGTCCACACAGGCAAAATCTTCCTTACATATGTGGCCTTCACTCTCTTTTGTCTATTGACTGGCTTCCTCATAACTGTAGCTTGCATATGGTTCATCATATGGTTTGGGTCTGTGTCCCCACCCAAATCTCATGTTCAATTGTAATCCCCCATGTTGGAGGAGGAGCCTGGTGGGACGTTCCTTGGATCATGGGGATGGTCCTTCATGAATGGTTTAGCACCATTCTCTTGGTGCTGTTCTTGTGACAGTGAGTGAGTTATCGTGAGATCTCGTTGTTTTAAAGTATGTGGCACCTCCCCTGTCTCTCTCTTCCTCCTGCTCCAGCCATGTGAAGTGCCTTGCTTCCCTTTTGCCTTCTGCCATGATTGGAAGTTCCTTGAGACCTCCCCAGAAGCTCCTGTATAGCCTGCAGAACCGTGAGCCAATTAAACCTCCTTTCTTTATAAATTACCCAGTCTCAGGTATTTCTCTATAGCAATGTGAGAATGGACTAATACAGACCGTAGTAGGGACTCTACACCTCCATATAGCATAGTATCTCTTGATCTGTCCATTTAGCTTTTGCCCTGTTGCTTACTGGAAATTCTCTAGGTCTTGTGATTCAGATTCCTGAAGGAGGATTCTTACTGGCCCAGCTCATCTATTCTAGTCAGATCCCAGGTCACTGACTGCTACAAGCTCATGGATTGGCTGCTTTTGCATCAGGTGTCCTGCTTTGGTGCTGCCCACTTAGCAAAGCTAAGGGAAGACTAGGAAATAAAAGCAATGTGACAGCTACATCTATCATCACTATTAAAGAAGGCTATATATCACGATATATTTGTTTTTGTAAAAATCCTTAATATTTTATTGTTATCTTTTAGTTCTTATTCTCTTCTTTTCAACGTAGTCCCTCGTCTTTCAAAATATTTCTCAGTAATTGGGTTCCTGTTGACTCAAATTTTATGACACAGAACCTTGTTTATAACCTCCTAACTTACCATTACTAATATCAGTTCTGTAGTCATATATACCACAATTTTATATGTTTTTGAAGAAGGTAGTAGGAAAATATGTCATAGTTTAAGTTTTATACTAAGCATAAGTCATGTCATAGTAGAAGTCTTTTTTCTATTAATAGAAGATGTCATGTCTCAAGGTTATTGTTGGAATATACCGTAATTAATTTTTTTAATCCTTAAAATAGGAGAATTGAGGGTTTCCGAGTAGTGTGAATACATGAAAAGTGAAAAAAATGGGTCATCTTCTAGGAAGGCCTGCAGAACTTAAAACTGAGAACAGGCCTTAGACTTGCTTTCTTTCCTCTCCTGGCACTTCCTGGGTTTTGTTTTCCTCCCTGCTGGTAGGTTTTGATGGGAAGGCATTATATTTCTGTTTATCTGAATATCTATTTTACTCACAAACTTTTTTCTTTTATCATAGCTGATATGAAGTGAAAACATGTATCACTTGGCTCAGCCTGAACTGCTGTGTGATAGGATGTCCCTGTATCAACCATGAACCAGAAGTGGAACAGGGACCTAATTAATATTTATGCTGACCTTGGTGGCTGTTGTAAAATAAACTACCATACATCTAAAACCTCACCACACTGGGTTGGATAGCTAAAACTTCTATACTATTCATGGCTTAACTTCTGAGATTTATATGCCTCTTGAAGAGAAAGTACTCATCACTGCTGAAAGTTTAACTTTCTATTTTTGTTATGGCCTCCATTACATTTCCAAATATTCCTTTACTTAATTTTATCCATAAACCTGAAGCCTTCACTTTCTTAGTGAGGTACTAGATTCTTTGTATATAAATTTGACTGTATTGGAAAGCCTGGGTCCATGTGTTTTTAGTCCTTAACTCTCCAGTCCTTGTAGATTTCCTTGTATATAAACACTTTAACTGAGTTATAGAACCTCTTCCTCTGTGAACTGGTGTCAGGCTCTGGTGGTAGGTCCTCTTCCTACTCTACATGCTGCCTACCCTCTTGTATGGAAAAAGATTAACTGTTTTCCTCACACTCAGCGCAAAACACTTCTGGTCACCAAAACGTGTGGGTTTCTCCCACACAAAGCAATTCTCTGACACCAGCTGGATATCCTACAGTTCAGTTCAATTCTGTGCTAACTGAAGTTGGCACAGACTCCACGTGTTAAGGGCTCAGCCCCTCAAGACTGTCCCCGGCTTCAGATGTCAGTCACTAGTGGTAGTTTCCCATGTTACCCATGACTTGTGTCAGACTTGGCTGTAAACTGGAGGGTCCCAAAGCCCCCTTCTCTGGTTTGATCACTTGTTAGAACAGCTCACAGAATGAGGAAGGTGCTTTACTTATTATTAGCCATTGATTATAAGATGATATAAGTCAGGAACATTCAGAAGGAAGAGATGCACAGGTGAAGGTATGTGGGAAGGGGTGTGAACTTCTGTGCCCTCTCTGGGACCACCACTCTCCAGGTACCTCCTCCTGTTTGGCAACCCAGTTATGGAGGCTTCATTACATAAGCATGATTGATTAAATCAGGCCACTAGTGATTTTTTAAAAAATTTAATTAACACCTAATAATTGTACATCTTTATGGGGTGCAATGTGATATTCCAATTTATGTATACATGTGTAATAATCAAATCAGGGTAATTAGCATATCCATCACTTCCAACATTTACAATTTGTTTGTGTTGGGAACATTCAAAACCTCTCTTCTAGCTACTTGAAAATATATAATAAATTAACGTTAACTATAGTCATCCTACAGTGCTAATAGAACGCTAAAACTTTTTCCTCCCATTTAGCTGTGATTCTGTATCTGTTAACCAAACTCTCCCTCTTCCCTACTTCCCCCTACACTTCCCAGCCTCTAGTAACTACTATTCTACTGTCTATTTATATAGGATCAACTTTTTCAGCTCTCACAAATGAGTAAGAACATGTGGTATTTTTCTTTCTGTGCCTGGCTTGTTTCACTTAACATAACGTCTTCCCAGCTCATCCATGTTGCTGTGAATGATAAGATTTTGTTCTTTTTTATGGCCGATTAGTATTTCATTGTGTACATATACCACATTTTCTTTATCCATTCATCTGTTGATGGACACTAAGGCTGATTCTATATTTTGTCTAGTGTGAATAGTGCTGCAATAAACATGGGAGTGCAGATATCTCTTCAACATACTGATTTCCTTTCCTTTGGATATATACCCACTAGTGGGATTACTGGATCATATGGTAGTTCTATTTTTAGTTTTTTTTGAAAAATCTCCATACTGCTTCCCATAATGGCTGTACTAATTTACATTTCAACCAACAGGGTATAAGAATTCCCTTTTCTCCACATCTTCACCAGCATTTGTTATTTTTTTGTCTTTTTATAATAACCATTCTAACTGAGGTGAGATGGTATCTCATTGTAGTTTTGATTTGAATTTCCCTGATGGTTAGCAACGTTGAGCATTTTTCACACACTTGTTGGTCATTTGTATGTCTTCCTTTAAGAAATGTCTATTCAGATCATTTGCCCATTTTAAAATTGGGTTATATGGTTTTTTTGCTGTTTGCTGTTTGAGTTCTTTGTGTATTCTGGATCTTAATCCCTTGTCAGATAAATGGTTTGGAATTATCTTCTCCTGTTCTACAGGTTATCTCTTCACTCTGTTGATTGTTTTCTTTGCTGTGCAGAAGCTTCATAGTTTGATATAATCCCATTTGTCTATTTTTGCTTTTGTTGCCTGTGCTTTTGAGGCCTTATCCATAAAATCTTTGCCCAGAACAGTGTCCTAAAGTGGTTCCCCTATGTTTTCGTTGAGTAGTTTCATAGTTTTTATCCTTACTTTTACATCTTTAATAAATTTTGGGTTGATTTTATATATGATGAGAGATAGGGGTCTAGTTTTATTCTTCTGAGTATGAATATCCAATTTTCCCAGCACCATTTACTGAAAAGGGTGTTTTTTCTTCAGTGGATGTTTTCAGTGCCTTTGTTGAAAATCAGTTGGCTATAAATACATGAATTTATTTCTGGTGCCATTTGTCTATGTGTCTTTTTATGCCAGTACCCTGTTGTTTGGTTACTATGGCTTTGTAGTGTATTTTGAAGTCGGGTAGTGTGATACTTCCACCTTCATTCTTTTTCCTCGGGATTACTTTCACTAGTTGAGGTCTTTTGTAGTTCCATACACATTTTAGGATTTTTTTTTCCTACTTCAGTGAAGAATGTTAAAGGTATTTTGATAGGAATTGCATTGAATAAATAGATTGCTTTAAGTAGTATGATCATTTTAACAATATTAGTTTTTCCAATCCGTAATCTTGGGATGTCTTTCCATTTTTTTGTGTCTTCTTCAATTTCTTTCTTAAGTGTTTTATAGTTTTATAGTTTTCAACGCAGAGATATTTCACCTTCTTGGTTAAATTTGTTCATTTTTTTTATAGTTATTATAAATGGGATTGCCTTCTTGTATTAGTTTGTTTTCACACGGCTATAAATAGCTACCTGAGACTGGGTAATTTATAAACAAAAGAAGTTTAACTGACTCACAGTTCCACATGGCTAGGGAGACCTCAGGAATACAATCATGGCAGAAGGTGAAGGAGAAGCAAGGCACATCTTACATGGTGGCAGGAGAGAGTGTGTAGGGGAAACTGCCACTTTTAAACCATTGGATCTCATGAGAACTCCCTCACTATCATGAAAATAGCATGGGGGAAACCGCCCCCATGATCCAATCACCCCCCAACCAGGTCCCTCCTTCAACATGTGGGGATTACAATTCAAGATGAAATTTGGGAGAGGACACAGAGCCAAACCATATCACTTCTTGATTTCTTTTTCAGCTAGTTAATTGCAGTATAGAAACACTATTGATTTTGGTATGTTGATTTTATAACTTGCAATTTCACTGAATTTGTTTCTTTTCTAAGAGTTTTTTGATGGAGTCTTTCGATGAAGGTTTTTCCATATATAAGAATATGTCCTCAGCAAACAGGGAAAATTTTACTTCCATCTTTCCAATTTGGATGCCCTTTATTTTGTTCTCTTGCCTAATTGTGCTCTGGCTAGGACTTTAAGTATTATGTTGAGTAAGAGTGGTGAAAGTGGGCTTTGCGTCTTATTCCAGTTCTTAGAAGAACTCCCCCCAACCGCCATTCAATATGATGTTAGCTGTGGGTTTGTCATATATGGCCTCTATTGTGTTGAGGTATATTATTTCTGTACATAATTTATTGAGAGTTCTTGTCATGAAAAGATTTTGAATTGTAGCACATGCTTTTTCTGTGAATACTGAGAGGATTATATTAGTTTTTATTCTTCATTCTGTTGATGTGATGTGTGATGTATATTGATTTGCATATTTGAACCATCCTTGCATCCTTGAGATAAACCCCACTTGATCATGGTGTATAATTCTTTTGATGTGCTATTGAATTTCTTTTGCTAGTATTTTGCTGTGGATTTTTGCATCTATGTTCATCAAATATATTGGTCTATAGTTTTCTTTCTTTGTTGTGTTCTTTTCTGGTTTTGGTGTGAGAATAATTCTGGCCTCGTAGATTAGGTTTGGAAGAATTCCACTCCCCACCTCCATTTTTTGGAATAGTTTGAGATGAATTGGTGTTAGTTCTTATTTAAAAGTTTGGGGAGTAACAACAGCATAATGTTAGAGGTGCCTAGTATTCATTCCCCTTACAAGAAAAAACCAAGGCAATGAATACACAGCTAAGATTTGACTGGAGTGTGGGAAGGAGCACCTTGGAAGGCAGCAAAGAGGTGGAGATGCACCTGTGGTAAATGGAAGTCCAGGAGGGCAGCACGCAGGCACTCAGCCTCTGAAGCTCTGTCTGCCCCACCCAGATTAGATATGTCTGAAGTCAGGAGACACTTCCTGTTCTGGCAAAAATCTGAGTAGAAGACCCTTGCCAGCTTCCATTGCCACTGCCAATACCTACAGTCCTTATAACAAGAGAATTCCACAATCCTTTCAAGCCATGAGCCCAATTGGGAGAACTGTGGGGATTATACTAAATTAGCAGTACAAGGTGTGCACTCTCCACCCCCTGCCCACTCCCTATGAGCCAGGCTGCTGCAGCATGGTGCCATCTTGAGACCAGAGTCACCTCTGGTGTGCACCCTGCTCTGGGAGCCACTAGCCACTGTGCCTCACAAGCACTGGGACTCCATCTTCATCCCACCAAGCCCATAGGTCATTGAACCCCACAACCTCATCTGTGCAGAGCCTGGGCCCAAGATCAGCTATGACTCCTGCACTACAGGGAAACCAACTCCTGCTGCCTTACCTCCAGCTGAAGGAACAGTCTGATTGTCTCATCCAGGGTGAACCCCCCCTTAAGCTGGCGAAAACACTACATGCCATCCTTCAAACAGGAGAAACTTTCAAGCTTCCGTGTAGCTGACATATCCCTGAGTCAGTGGAATGACTATAGGCCATACTCAGAACCTGAGAAACAATGTAGCAGTGCCACTGCCCCAAGCAGACACACCCCTTGTCTGCCCAATGGCCCTAATGATAGGGACAGGAGATAGCGAAATACTGGGTAGAAGAGGGTGGTTCCCTGGCAAAGGCCCCACCCTCAAGCCTGGAAACCCATGGCCCTAAATGGGAACAGGCATTCCTATTTTTGCACCCAAAAGTTCCCTTTTGGCCCACCACACTCTGCATCCTGAACCCATATAAACCCCAAATCCCAGGCTCCACGAGCAGATGAACAGAAGAGCAGAAGAGCAGCAGAGAAGGAGAGAAGAGAAGGAGCATCTGAACGTTGAGAGGAGTTCAGCTGGGAATGATTGGAGATGAGATCGGCGCTAGATGGCCAAACTCCAGGGGAAGATCATCTTCCCACTCCATCCCCTTTCCAGCTCCCCATCCATCCTGTTGAGAGCCACCTCCACCAATCAATAAAACCCTCGCATTCACCATCCTTCAAGTCCGTGTGTGACCTGATTTTTCCTGGATGCTGGACAAGAGCTCAGGATACAGAAAGCCCTTGCAAAAAGGCAGAGTGTTCACTGAGCTGTTTAACACTTAAGCTGTCCATGGACAGCAAAGCTAAAAGAGTGCGCTGTAACACATGCTCACTGGGACTTCAGGAGTCGCAGACACCCACCCCTAGATTCTATTGTGGGGCCGGAGCCCAAAAGTGCTCACACCAGCTTCTGCACCTGCCCATCTGCATGCTCCCCGTCATGTAAGGGGTTTGAGTGCCAGTAAGCCATCATCCTTTTACTTATTTAACATTTAATATGTATATGGTGTTGGTGCATGATAACATCATGGACCAGATATAATGTTTGTCTCCAAAGAGCTTGTATAGCTATAGGGAAATAAGACTTAGACACTGGGCAGAGGGAGGTAAAACTGACAATGAGTTGTGGGATATTACAGATAGGAAAGAACATAGGTGTGGTGTTTTCATTTTTGTCTGCAGGTTACAAAGCTATGCATAAAGAATAGTAGGAATAGTCTTCTGCTCATTATATTGACAAATGTGATTTTTAAAAAGCCAAGGTAAATTGATGTATTTTTAGAAACATGAAAAATACTTACAAAAATACTTTTAACATTTAAAAAAATATTGCTAGCATAAAGAAAGTGGGAGAGTGGTCCTTCTGGCCAAAAATGCCATTTGACTTCTTGTCATGCAGCCACTGGCTACATTTTTTATACCTTTTCTGACCCTCCAGTTTCCACTTCTGTCACTACATTTTTCCATTTCTAATATCACACTGCATGCTGATTTTTGACTTTTGGAACTGATGGCATTTTCACCCTATAAAAGTGTCATAAAGACACATTAATATTCAAATGATCACTTATTTTGTAAATAGGGAATTTTTGCATATATTAAACCAGTAGCTTTCACTTCACTTCACATAAGTCATGTTTCTTTGTGGTTGTCCATTTTCAAATCTGTGCCACAAGACTATGTACTGGGAAGGAGAAAATGAGAATTACCACAAACAAAAAAAAAAAGTGATAGACTCTGAATCAGAGTTCACTTTCTTGACCTCTCTAGTGAGATAATAGTCTTGAAAGGCAGGCTTCGTGGAAAGAGAAATTTCTTTTCATTGTTTTATTTTTTCCAAATCTATTTTTTAAAACTTTTCTATTTAGAAATAATTTTAGACTCAAAGGAAAGTTGCAGAAATCAGAGTTCCTGCATACCCTTTAACAGCTTCCCCCAGTGTTAACATTTTACATTACCATAGTAAGAGTATGAAAACCAGGAAATTAACAGTGACATAAAACTGTCACCTTATCTATGAATCTTTATCCAGTTTCACCAGATTTCCTATTAAAGTGTTTTTCTTGTCAAGGATCCAATCCAGGCTCCCACATTGCATTTGGTTGTATTGTCTCCTTGGTTTTGTCCAATATTAGACCCACCTTGAGTCTTTCCTTTCTTTCTTTTCTTTTTTTTAAATTTCATGGCTAACACACTTAAAGAGAACTGGTCAGTTATTTATAGAATATCCCTTAATTTGGAATGGTCTTTCTTTTAATTATTACATTGAGGTTGTGCCATTTTGGCAAGAATGCCACTGAAGCGATGTGCCCATCTTAGCTCATCATATCAGTGGGCACATGATGTCGATATGCCTTATTACTGGTGATGTTAGCCTGTGTCACTCAATTAAGGTGATGTCTGCCAGGTTTCTCAATTATGAAGCCACTATTTTTCCCTTGACAATCACTGAATATCTTCTGGGGAGATACTTGAAGACTATGCAAATATTTCACTTCTTGCCATATTTTTGCACACTAATTTGAGCAGCCATTGATTGTTCTTGCCTGCAACATTTATTACTGTGCTGTTGCCTAATGGTTATTTTTTATTTTCCCTACTTCTAAATTTATTCATTGGTAATCCATTGTAAGAAGTTGTCCCTTCTCCCTCATTTACTTATTTATTCAATTATTTGTTTACATTAGCATGAACTCATGGGTCATCATTTGATACTATCATAACTTACTTTGTTGCTCAAATTTAACTAGCTCTGGTCTTTGGGAGATCCTTCATGTTGCTTCTCTGTCTTTTCAACATGTCCCCAGATTTTTTTGAGTACATTCTCACTTGGCAACATGAGTTTTCCTGGATTGTCTTTTATTTCCCTTGCCCTAGCTCTGGAATCACCATTTCCCTGGAGTTAATTCTGTAGCCTTGATTTCTTTTATTCAGGAATGGTATTTACAGCTAAGATCTGGGCAGATATGCTATTGCTATAAGGGGTTATTGAAACAGGAAATCTTCCCTGACCCCTTCACAGGACTTGTGAAGGGGGTAATTCATTTACTGAGCCCACAGCTCTCAATCCCTCATGGGATGGGGAGCATGCAGGTGAGTGGGTACAGGGGCTGGCATGAGTGCTTCTGGGCACTGGCAGGAACAGAACTTCGTGTGGCCCTGTAGCAGCATCTGCAGGGGGTACCTGTGACCCATGGAGCCTTAGAAGGTGTGTGTTACAGTTGTGCTCTTTTAGCTTTGCCCTCTGGTGATGGCTTAAGTGTTTAACAGCTCAGTGTGACAGCCCTCTGTATCCTGAGCTCTTGTTTGGTGTCCAGGAAGAAGCAAGTTGCATGAACGAATTGAGGATGCTAAATGCAGGGGATTTTGTTGCCGATGAAAGTGGCTCTCAGTATAATGGAGAGCTGGAAAGGGGATGGAGTGGGAAGGTGGTTTTCCCTGGAGTACAGCCATCCTGGGCCAAACTCTTCTCTGAGATCCCACCATCAAGCCGTCCCTCTGAAATCAAGCTGCTTCTCCTCAACATCAAGCTGCTTTTTCTCTTCTTTCCTTTGCTGTTGCCAGTGGAGCCTGGGGTTTTTATGGGTACACGATAGGGGGTGGAAAAGGCAACATTCAAGAGGGAAAACAGGAATGCATGTTCTCACTTTGGGCTGAGGTTCCAGGCTTGAGGGTGGGGCTTCAACAGGGACCCCACCCTCTTCTACCCACTATTTTCCCTGCCTCCTGTCCATATCAGTATTGTCTCTAGTCCTGCTCAGTCAACAGAAGTAGGATATATATACATCCATCCGTAAGTATACATATTAAAAATTATACATTTATACCTCTGATTCCAACCCAACACCACTGGTTTCATTCTAGCCTTTCTGTTCTTTGTAACTTCTTTTGCTGATAGTGAGGAACTAGCTCATTATATTTACTTAAGTTTTGATCCTAGTATATACACAAACTAGTTTTGGAATAATCAACCTACATTAGCCTAGAATACAGAATTTGGGTTCAATTTTTTTTTGTCATTAGCCTTACAGTATTCATGCAAAATACTCTTTTCCAAAGATATTTAGATTAGTTCTTTCTTCACCACTCTCTTCACTTTGATTATGTTAGTTATTTGTGATATAGTTAGGTTCATTTGTCACTGTTTGTCTTCCATTTGAGGTTCCTATCACATCCTGGTTTATTTTTAATTATTTATCGTGTGTGTGTGTGTGTGTGTGTGTGTGTGAACCATTACCATGGTTCTAAGAATCAGAACTATGAAAAAAAAAGTATTCTCAGAGAAACATTTCTTCCGCATTCGGCCTTGTCCTATTGTTCTTTCCACCCTGTTCTCACTCACCCCCTCTAGGTAACCAATCTCATTAACTTCTGGTTTATCTTTCCTGTGTTTATTTTGCATTTGTACAAATGAGCAGATATGTGTATATTTTCTTTCTCCTTTTATACACAAAGGTTAGCACTATAGATAATCTTTTTTACTTTGCTTTTTTGTAAAAAAATAATAACAGTATATCCTGGAAATCACAGACATTTTCCATATTCTTTTTTACTGCTGCATAGTGCTCCATTGTATGAAGGTAACTTCATTTATCCAACAACTGTCCTCTGTATAATAATTTTGGTTGCTTCCAATTTTTTTGCAATTACAAACAATGCTGCAATGACTAACCTTGGACATATTCGTCTGTGTGTGTGTATGATTGGGGGTGTATCTGCAGGGTAGATTTCTAGAAGTGAGATTGCAGGCCCAAAAGGTAAGTGCATGTGTAGTTTTGTTAGGTTTTGCCAAAATTCCCTCCAGAAAGCTTCTACCAGTTTGCATTGTGTGAAATTATCTATTTCCTTATAGCCTCCTGACAGAATATATCCTCACACTTTTTTATTTTTTCTGATATAAGAAGTACAACATGGTATCACAGTATTGTTTTGATTTTATTTCTGTAATTATAAGTGAATTTGAACGTTCTAACCTTTTAAAAACATTTCTGTTCATGTATTTTGCCGTCTTGCTATGAGGTTTTTGTCCTTTGTCTCATAACACTTTGATATATTTTCTCCCGGTTTGTCCGTTGTCATTTGACTCTATTTACTCTTGGTATGTAATTTAAAAAACATTTTTGTAGTCAAAATTTTTTTTTATTTTATTGCTTCTGGATTTTGAATTATAGTTAGAAAGCCTTTCTCATATCTAGGTTGAAAAGCAATCCCCCCGTGCTTTTTTCTAGGATTTTTATGGTTCCGTCCCTTGTTTTCTATTTAGATTCCTAATCCTCTTGGAGCACATTTTTGTTTATGGTGTAAGTTACAGATCTAATTTTATCTTTTTTCCCCAGTGGATGCCCAATTGTTTGAGCACTATTTATTATTATAAAGTCCATCTTTGAGGCCAGGCACAGTGGCTCACACCTGTAATCTCAGCATTTTGGGAGGCCAGGGTTTGAGGATTGCTTGAGTCCAGGAGTTCAAGACCAGCCTGGGCAGCATGGTGAAACCCCGTCTCTACTAAAAATACAAAAATTAGGTGGGCATCATGGTGCAGGCCTGTAATCCCAGCTACTCAGGAGGTGGAGCCACAAGAATCGCTTGAACCTGGGAGGCAGAGGTTGCAGTGAGCTGAGGTGGTGCCACTGCACTCCAGCCTGGGCGACAGAGTGAAACTCTGTCTCAAAATAAAAAATAAAATAAAATAAAATAAATAAAATAAAGTCCATCTTTGTACCAGTCATTTGAGATCCCACCTTTATCACATATTACATTTCCAGATTAACTTGTGTCTATTTCTAAGCTTTCTATTCTATTCCACTGGTCTATTTGTTTATTCTTGTACTAGCACCACACTTTTAATTATAGAGAATTTATAGTATGTTTTAATTCCTGATATATGACTTATCCCCAAATTGATTTTTCTTTTGAGTGTGTCCTGGCTACTGTTATGTGTTTGTTTTTCTATATGAACTGTAATATTAGCTTGTCTAACTTCATGAAGAAGCTTGTTGGTATTTTCTTTGAGACTGTCCTAAATATATAAATTGATTTAGGGAGAGCTGACATATTTATAATATTGAGTTGCATTATTCAAGAACAGAAGATGTCTTTCCATTTGTTCAAGTCTACCTGTCTATTCTTGATACTTCATGTCTTTCAAAAATGCTTCTTGTCTATTCTTGACTCTTTACTCTTCCATATGCATTAGAATTAACTTGTCAAGTTCTGTTAAAAACTTGTTGATTGAAATTACATTAAATTTATAGATTAACTTGATGATAACTGAGATCTTTATGATTTTAAACTTTCTAATTCATGAATAAATATATATCTTCATTTATTTCACTTTTCTTTTAGTCTTAAATATATTTTTATAATTTTTATAATAATAAAAAATATATTTTTATAATTTTCCTTCATAGAGTCTTGTATATCTATTGCTAGATTATTCCTAGGTCCTTATTTGCATTTGCTTTTTGTTGTTGTTATTGTAAATGGAATCTATTTTAAAATTACATTTTCCTAATTGTGGCTGATGTATAAGAACGTTATTTATATATGCATGTTGATATTTTAATCCATCAGCATTGCTGAACTCACATCATCTATGAATAATTACAGTCCTGTTTCTTTCTTCCCAATCCTTTACTCCTTTTATGCCTTGTCTTATTGTGCTGTTTAATATCCTTTAGAACAAAATTAAATAGAAGTGATTATAATGGGTATTCTTCCTTTGTTCAGAACTTAAACAGGAGTATTTCTGAATTTCATCATGCAGTATAATATTTGCTGTACAGTTTTGGTTGATAACCTTTATTAGTTTAAGAAAGTTCCCTTCTTTTTTTGTTAGCTATCAGTTTAATCATGAAAAGGTTATTGAAGTCTACAAAATATTTGTTCTGCATGTATTGAAATGTGTATATATTTTCTCTCTTTATATAAAATTGTGTTTTTAAATAATTATATTATAGTTGTGAGTTATTAATAATTTTAAATATATTAACATATGTTAATGTAATTAAATACAATGCTGGAATCCATTTGCTAATATTTTATTTAAAGTTTTTTGTCTTTGCTTTGGAATGTGATTGGCCTTTCAGTTTTGTCTGTTTATTAGAATCAAGGTATATCTGCCTCATGAAAGGTATGTGTTTGTTTGTTTTTCCTTTCTATTCTCTGAAAGAGTTTTGGATTATCTATTCCTTTAGTGTATGGTAGAACACTCCTAAAAAACTTTTGGGCTGGTGTTTTTTAATGGGTAGATTTTAATTACTGATTCAGTTTCTTTGGTTGTTCAATAGTTTATTCAGATTTTCTGTTTCTTTTTTGAGTTAGTTTTGGTTCTACATTTGTTTTGAAGAAATTGCCTGTTTTACTTATTTTCTAATTAATTTGTAATATAGTTGTTCAAAGCATTATTTTATGATTGTTAAATATCAACCGTATTTGTAACTATGTCTTCTTTTGTTCACAGCACCTTTTTTTTTTTTTTTGTCTGAGTCCCACTCTGTCGCCCATGCTGGAGTGCAGTGGCGCGATCTCGGCTCACTGCAAACTCCACCTCCTGGGTTCAGGTGATTCTCTCACCTCAGCCTCCTGAGTAGCTGTTCACAGAACCTTTTATTCTTACTCTTTCATTAAAAATCTTGCTAAAAGTTTGTCAATTTTCAATGAAACAAATTTAGGATTGTGATACTTGCTATTGTTTCATTGTCTTTAGTTCATTGATTTTCAGTCATATCTTTATCATTTTCTTCCCTCTATTCAACTTGCCTATCGTGGATACGTTTTTTTTTTTTTTTTTCCCTTCTAATTTCTTGGGTTGTATGTTTGGCTCATTAATTTTCAACTCCTTTATGTCAAAGGCAGGATTTTAAGACAATAAATTTTCCTTTAACTGTAACTATAGCTGCACCTCACACATTTTTACAAATAGTTTCAGTTACAACTCAGTACTAGATATTTTTTAATGTCTGTTATCATTTATTTCCTGTTTAATTAATGATTTACCTAAAAGCATTTTCAAAAACTTATTGCCATAAATGTATTCAGTCTTTTTCCTTTTCTAATAGCTTGAAACTAGAAGTTGAATAAGATCTTGCCCAGAAAAAAAGCATGTTTTTAAATCCCCAAATTTATAGAGTTCTTTTTGCTTTTTAAAAGATTATTGATTTATAACTTAATAGCATTATGGTTGATGACTTGGTTTATATGATATCAGTTCTTTGCTATATGTTGAGATGTGTTTTGTGGCCTAAAATGTGGTCAATTTCTGCAAACGTACAATGTGCACTTAAACAGAACATACATTCTTTTTTTATTAGGTACGGAAATCCATATATGTCAATTTATATAAGTGGTTCCAATCCTTTTAATGACATCTCATATATAGAAAATTCTAATATTTGTACAGCACAGTAGCATAAGTTGGAGTTGATTTGAAAATGTCTTGCAGGGCTTACTAAAATATTTATTGTACCTTTTAAAATTTTATATAATTACAAGGAAAAATACAAAGTATTAGATAAGACATTGTTAAATTTTTATAAGCCTAAATAAAACACTTTCAGAATTTTACTTGAGAAACTTGAGTTTGCTTTCATGAACATAACTATTTTAATCAGATTTTATGTTTGAAATAGCTATAGATCATTCCTGATTAAGATGTTTTAATAATGACCTTTTCTAATCTCCTCAAATTCATGGTGTTGAAAACCCAATGAAAATATTTGTCCAAATAAATTACCAAAATCATGTTACAACATTTTAAAAACAATTCAAACCGTTGATATTATATAGGAAGCATCTAAAGTTCTTCCTTAATTTCACTGAAAAAATGTAATTTGAAATTTCTTGTGACAGGGCATGGTAGCTTTGTAACGTGTCCACTTGGCTAGTTGAACTGTGTCTCCCAGAAGCCCTTTCCCTATGTGTTTTCAGTCAGGATGGGCTTCAGGAGGCATTTTTGCATGAGATTTGGAGGGCAGAAGTGAAGCAGAAGCCATTCTGCTTTGTATGCTGGGAAGGTTGGAGCAAGGGCGTTTTAAGGCTCACACGTGTTGCTTTATCTGTCGGCTCACCTCATTTGCTTAGGGTAGCATCTGGGCTGGAACTGCTGCACCTTCCCTTAAATCTAACTTTGGCTTCTCCAGTTCCTGAGCCAGGTGTGTGTTTATGTGTTTAGCTCTGGGAAAAAGGGCATTAGTGTCTCCTGCAGGACACTCACTTCATCAAGGCTGGAGACAGCAAGAACTGACACTGGTTCCAGGCCATCCTTGTAGGTTACATCTTGACCTTAATCTCTCCTATTTATATGCACCTTGCCTGCTCTTGGGTTTCAAATCCAGCATTAGACGCAAAAATAATAGCGTAATAGAAACTGTTCAACCACAGCAAAGCACGGTGGCTCACGCCTGTAATCTCAGCACTTTGGGAGGCCGAGGTGGGTGTCTCTTGACCGAGGTGGTCAAGAGTTCGAGACCAGCCTGGCTAACATGGCGAAACCCTGTCTCTTTACTAAAAATACAAAAAATTAGCCAGGCGTGGTAGTGGGTGCCAATCGTCTTAACTACTCAGGAGGCTGAGGCAGGATAATCACTTGAACCTGGGAGGCAGAGGTTGCAATGAGCAGAGATTGCACCATTGCACTCTATTTAGCCTGGGCAACAAGAGCAAAACTCTGTCTCGAAAAAAAAAAAAAAAGATTGTTTAATCAGCTCCCACAGTTGCATAAGGTGAAATCCTTGTCTGTCTATCTATCTATCTATCTATCTATCTATCTATCTATCATCTATTAATCATCTGTCTTTTTCTCTATCTAGCTATTTGGATGTCTGGCCATCTTATCCCCATAAAGTTCCGCTTCTCTGTCTGAACTCTGACTTATACACAGGACAAATAAATTTCAAATCCAAATAAAATTTCACATACCAAGTATTTTTAAATTCTAGTGAAGTTTTACTGTGAAAATCTACTGTTAGAACAGTTACCTCTAGCTTGCAGGCCATTCAAGTTCATATTAGTCACAAACAGAAAAAAGCATCAATGGTGGATTAAAGAAAACTGCAAATTCTTTGATATTTTTCCCATTTAGAGGCGGGGTCTACTTTCCCTTTTCTTGAATCTAGGCTGACCTGTGACTGCTTCGGCCAACTGAATAGGGAAGAGTGATGCTGTGCTGTTTCCAGGCCTGTTCTTTAAAAGTACTTGGAAGCTTCTGCCTTGGCCTCTTTGTGCCTGAGTTGCTGTATAAGAATCTGACTACCTTGCTGGAGAGACCTTGTGGAGAAGACTTGACCTTATATGCAGAGGTAGAGGGGCCCTGGTTAGTCCAGCCATCTAGCCATCCTGTCAAAATAGCAGGTATGTGAGAAAAGCTGTCTTGATTCCTCCAGCCCAGCCCAGCCACCAACTGAATAATACCAAGTATATGTACCTCAAATGGAGGAAAAGAACTGCTCAGCTAAGTCCTGCCCAACGTCCTGACTCAGAAGATAATGACAGATAATGAAATGATTGTTGTTTTAAGCCACTGTGTTTTGAGGTAGTTTATTACACAGCAATGGATGACAGAATAGTATTTATATATATATATATATATAAATATATATAAATATATATATTTATATAAATTTATATATATTTATATATATATATGTAAAGACAGGTATTTGGGACCAATGCCTGGATTAGCACTTACCAGGAGTCCCCTTTCCCCATCTCTCCATCCCATGCTGCAGTTTGGGTTGTATTCCTTGCTCCTCAGTCACCTGGAGCATCCATTCCCCTGGAGCTCCATGAGCCCTTTGGACTCAAGAGGGCAGGGGTTTGCCCTGCAGTGCCTGCTGAAGTACATCTCCAGGTAGTAGAGCACCTTGGCCATGCACAGTGCATCTGGCAGAGCAGTGAGGGCTCCATTTTGCTCATTGCACTCAACATCTCCAGGGACTGTGGGGTTCCCTGTCAGACCTTGCTCTTCTCCATCCTCCCTCCAAGGAGCCTTGGATAAGGCTTCTAACAGCCTGGAGGCTCCAGGCAGCCAGGCCCTGCCAGACTGCCCTGAGGGCCAAGGGGATTAATATCTCACAGCACATCTGTAACTGATTCTTGGCATTCCAGGGAGTCTGGCACAACTGTGAGCAGCTCTGAATTAAATCAAGCTTCTTAATTTGTGCAGCTCAATTTTTTTTTTTATTTATTTTTTTGAGAGGGAGTCTTGCTCTGTCGCCCAGGCTGGAGTGCAGTAGCGCGATCTCGGCTCATTGCAAGCTCCGCCTCCTGGGTTCACGCCATTCTTCTGCCTCAGCTTCCCGAGTAGCTGGGACTACAGGCGTCCACCACCACGCCCGGCTAATTTTTTGTATTTTTAGGGAGACGGAGTTTCACCATGGTCTCGATCTCCTGACCCTGTGATCCGCCCGCCTTGGCCTCCCAAAGTGCTGGGATTACAGGCGTGGGCCACCGGCGCCCGGCTGGCTCAAATTTTTAAAATTCTTACTAATTTTTTATTTGCTAGATCACCCCCTTTCTATCTTGTCCTTTATTATCCATTTAATCCTATCCTTTTTTTGAAACCCTAACAGTCATTATTGTTGTGCTAATCAGCTGCCTTTGCTTTCAGATCCATTTCCTGCCCTTCTTTTATTCTACTCTGTATTACAGCCAACCACATTTCCAGGCTCCCTTGTCCTCTGCTATCTAGGTGAGTTTTGTCAGTGGAAGACATTGGTGGAAGGTTGGATGCTTCTTCTTCTAGCATCTCTGGTGGTGGCTGTGTTTCCTCCCTGACTCCAGCTCCCACTGGGTGTCATTCACTTTGTGGTTTTGGTGCTTGCCCAATGGCCTGGCTTCTGAGCCCTGCTTCTGCAGCCCAGGGAGAGTAGCAGCAGTCTGCTGTTTTTAGTGTCTGGGTTGCCACTCTTTTCCTGTTTGACCTCTCTGGGCTTCCATGACCCACATAAGTCATTAAATTCCCTCTGTCAAAAAGACTTAGGTTCCTGTTTCATGACTGGATGCTGACTGATATTGTTATTACCATTGTAACTATTATCGTTGTTATTGTTTTTATTATTTTATACTGCCAATGCCTGTTTAAATTTACCCATGTGTTTTCAAATTACTTTGATCACCTTGCATTTTGCATTCCACTTCTATACTTTTGGTTAAAGTTTTCTTCTTTTTGCAACATATCCCTAGCATTTATTTCTATAAAGGTCTGTGTTTTAGATAACTTACAGATTCAAAATTTTAAAATATGGCTTTTTGTCATTTACTTAAGATCTGTATGCAAGAAGAAATGAAAAAGATGAACAGGTAGAGTCCAGGACTACCTACCACAGCTCAGGTCAACATTAATTTTATGATTTAATTAATTCCATAAATTCTCTTTTCTGTATGAATATAAGGTTCCTCCCTCCCTGTACTCACACATCTACCTCTTCTAGGAGTTGCCTTGGGATCCACAAAGAAATTGAGGTGGTCCAGTACTCATAAGCCAACAAACTTCAAAGGAGAGTCAAATGTACATTTTCAAAATAAGAGTACTGAAAAGCATTGAAATAAACACACAAAAAGAGATTCAAATGTACATCTTAAAAGGAGGAGGAGATTCTTTGAAGAAGTAGGGGAATATGACGTTGAAAGTCTCTGAAGAGGTTGTGATAGTTGTTTAAGGGAGTAGAACATTAAAACATTTTTGTCTGTTCAATCTTAATTTTTAAAAATGATAGCATAGAGTTTGGCCAATTATGGAGGGGCTGATTTCATCACTATCAATGAGCAGTAAACTTTCTTGGTCTTTTATTTGGGGAATGTATTTATTTTACTTTCACTTTTGAATGAGACTTAGCTGATGCAATGGACTGAATTGTGTTCCTCCAGAATTTGTATGTTGAAGCTGTAAGGGCAAATGTGACTGTATTTGGAGGCAGGGCCTTTAAAGAGGTAATTAAGGTTAACTAAGGTCATAAAGATGGGGCCTAACCCAATATCACTGTCCTTATAAGAAGAGACACCCGGGATGCATTTGCACAGAGAAAAGGCCCCAGGAAGACACTGCAAGAAGAGGGTGCTCTTCAAGTCAGGGAGAAACCAAACCTACTAACACTTTGATCTTTGACTTCTGGGCTCCGTAACTGTGAAAAATAAGCTTCTGTTGTTTAAGCCACCTAATTTGAGGTATTTTGTTATGGCAGCCCTAGAAAACTAAATACAGCTGGGTATAGAATTCTAGGTTGATGATTTTGCTTTTATAGTATTTTTATAATATTTTGAGATGTGTGTCTTTGAAGTTCTGCAGTTGCATTATATTGTGGCTTGCTTTGGATTTGTTACATTTAAGCTTTATTTATCCTTCCTGGAATTCATTACAGTTTTTGAACTTCAGGATTCAAGTGTTTTAATCATTGATGAAAACATTTCAACCATTATCTCTTCAAGTATTGCCTGTCTTATTTTCCTCTATTTCGCATTCTTGGAATTAAATCTGTTGGTTCTCCTTTTCCGTCTTCCATGTCCCTTAATCTTCCATATTTTCCAGATCTTTATATCTCTGTGCCTATTGAGTAATGTCTAAAATCTGTTTTCCAGTTTATAAATTATCTTGCTATATCAAATCTGCTATTTAACCTACTCATTTAAGTTTTCAATTTCCTTGACATATACCTATGTGAATGGGTGGGTTTTTACTTAGACTACCTTTTCATGTAGAATATGTAGACTACCTTTTCATGTAGAACCTAGCTTCTATGCAAGGTTCTCAATTCCAATTTCCTGTCCACTTGGGCCCAGTGCTTACCTCATGTTTCCACATGAGCGTGAAATCACAAGCCCTTGGGTGAACAGAATCAGTAATCACTGGTCGGGTGCAGTGGCTCATGCCTGTAATCCCAGCACTTTGGGAGGCTGAGGTAGGCGGATCATGAGGTCAGGAGTTTGAGACCAGCTTGGCCAACATGGTGAAATCCTGTCTCTACTAAAAATACAAAAAAAAAAAAAAAGTAAATAAATAAAATTAGCTGAGCATGGTGGCATGCGCCTGTAATCCCAGCTACTTGGGAGGCTGAGGCAAGAGAATTGCTTGAACCCAGCAGGTGGAGATTGCAATGAGCCGAGATCACCCCACTGCACTCCAGCCTGGGTGACAGAGCGAGACTCCATCTCAAAAAAATTAATAAATAATAATAATAGTCACCCTTCCACCTCCATAGCACAGCTACGTCATGAACTGACACCTTAAAACTTTGTTCTGTTTTCAATTATCTCTTGGTTTCTGATGCCTGGGTATTTCTTTTTCTTTCTTGAGAGCTTAAGCATGAATATAAAACATTTCAAATTTTATATTTTATCCAGTATTTCTAGCTTTTTAATAGTGAGATTTATCTTACTCTCCCATTTTATTAAAACAGAAAGTCTTGAGTAACATTTTAATACTGAGAAAAAAAGCCTCATTATTAGTTTTAGAAAAAGAGAGACAATCTGTGTTGTTCTGGAACCAAGACAAAGTTCTAGAAGATTCTCTCTTGATCCTTAAACAGCATAGAAAAACCAGGTAAGTTGACTATGTTCACGTTTAGGAGTATGATGGCCAATGGATCCAAAACCTATCCTATATCTACATGTTGGTGGCCACATTAATCTGACATCTGACAGCAAGAGCGATGATTGGGTTCACTGGAAATCTTTGTGAAGTACGAGTGAAGTCCTTGTGAAGTCAGAGTAAGTATCAGAACTTTGAGTTCTAGTCTTGGCTCTAGACTGATTCAAAAGGTCAGGGCCTAATCAATTTACTCATTAACTTATAATTGTAATTAATTAGATTTTATTAATACAAGAATAAAAGAATTGTCCAGCACCTACTAAGCCAAATCCTAGAGATATGGAGAAGCAGATAAAAGTTGCTGCTTTCAAAGAACACAGTTCACTAATAGGAGACTGGCTTGGAATCATCTATTCTATAAGTGAAATTTTGATGGATTATTGTTGAGGTGCAAAGGATGGAGCAGTCAGTTGAATCTTGCTGGGGGAATTGTAATCAGAAAGCTCCGAGAATAGTAAACGAGAGTTTTGGAGGCCTAAGATCTTGGAATCACATGTGTAGAAGGATATTTAAGGTGTGCAGGCTCCTCCATGAGTAGCCCCAATGCCTTGAGTGGAATGGATGCAAAGGTACGGACTTCTTGCATCCTTCCCAGGATATCAGGAGGCTTAGAGCAATATCTGCAAAATGTTGGCGATTGCTGAAACGCAGCGCTACAGCATCCATGGGGTCTTGCCCTTCTTCAACCATTCAGTAAATAGCACTCAGTAGAGATTCTGGCTGAGGATGCTTGTTTTCAAAACAACAGCCCTGAGCCAACCTTTTTAAGTAGTTCCATATGTTTTTATGGAGAGTTTATGGATTGTGGCCTTCGGAATTCTTTTGTTTATCACTGGGAATTCAAGTCCTGAAAGCTGCTAACTAACCATGAGGTCTGCTGGTTATACAAGCTGTTGGACCTCTTAAGGACGTTGACATAAGGACCACTTTCTGTGAAATAAGAATTAGTGGTTTAAAAAGAGTGCACTTAACAGTATCATGTAAGTATCAGTTTCTGTATGTCATTACTAGCCAGGCTTTTTTTAAAAAACTGGACTGTGCTGCCTTGTGTGTACATTTAAATGAGGCCCTTAAAGGGAAATCTGAGCAATGTCTTCAAACAAAGACTTATAATCAGAAGGGTCTTTTTAAAAAAAAAAAAAAAAAAGAATAACTATCTTCAGCAGACCTAAAACCAGGATGGAAAGGTGGATACTTCCCCACCTGGGCCCCAAAGCAGGGCCCTTCAAAATACTGAAGGTCCAGCATTCCCTGGGCAATTCTTCCTCCTTCTCTGTCCTCCCCACCCCCATCAATACCCAGCTTGCAGTGATATTCTTTTACCCTTTACTAATCTAATGCCAAACACATGTAGGTTCTATCCTGTTTCCAGGAAAGAGGTTTCCATGAATTGCCTCATCAGCCTTACTAATAGCTACAATATATGGAGCACTTTGTGCCCAGCACTCGATTCCTTTTATACTTGATCTCTTTTCATCCTTTCTTCACAATAGCCCCATGAGGTGGGTGCTATAATTATTTCTAATTTTACAGATAAGGAAACCAAAGCTCAGAGAGTCTGAGCAATTTGCTTAAAGTTGCTTAACAGCTGTATTAGCCTACTACTTATAATTCGACTACCTGTGTCCAAGGCTACATAAATTCAGGTCGCCTGACTCAAAGCTCTTATTCAACGTGCTAGCCTCCTTCCCACTAGATCTCATAAGATCTAGCTTGATCTCTAAGGCTCCATTCCAGCTTGGAAGAACTATGGTTCTTCTCCAGTGTCAGTTGTGTTGCTGTTCATGTTGTTTTCATGTAAAACAATGTAAGAAAGAGGCTGATAATCTCCCTCCATGAAACAGTTCTTCACACATTTAAAATCATCCATGGCTGATCATAAATGCTTCTCCAGAGAGTGAATGGTCATGGCTGGTGCAGAAGGGTAACACTCTGGAAAGGCGGATGTGAGACCTGGCAGCTCTGCCTGGGTACACATAGCTTAGGGCTGACAAGTGAGTCAGCAGAAGTGAGCAGACAATACTGCATTGGGTTTTAACGTGATGAGTCAGCCTTGCTATCTGGCCAGCTTCAGTGCAGCCCCCTGAAGTTTTAACAGAATATTAATTGCCCTTTCACTTCCCATTCCACACAGCTGGGTGGGATTGCTACCAGCCACACTGTTGAGAAGTTACACATTTTAGCCCAGCCTAGAAAGGTTTCCTGTGGTGGGTGAAATGACAACATGCACAAAGGTCAAACTCCAGATGTGGGAATCTGACCTTTTCTCCTCTTGGGGAAAACATTGCCTCATTATAATCTCAAAAGATTTTTGGTACAGGTTTAAGGCTAGAGTCTACTGAAAGATCCAAACTCCTCTAACATAGAGGATGCCAGCCTGTTTCATGTAAATTTATCCAAGGCTTTGAGACCACCTACAAAATTCCTGAGCCAAGGGACCAGGGAATGTAGGCGAATGTTTAGGCATTTCTGAAGGAGGGAGCTAGACCTAGAAGTTGCTGCTTGCTCCTAGAAGTTGGAAGGCATTTCAAGATGAGGAATGAGTTGTTTCTGGATTGATGCCTTCACTGGCTAGAAATGCCAGCGGGTGGTGGGAAGAGTACATGGCAGGATGATGAGGAGTTTCGCATTCATTCATTCATTTATTCATCTGTGTATTCATTTTACAAAAATTCATATCAGATTTGCAAAATTCACTCACAATACACTCAGAGATAATAAAAAATGTAACAACTTTTTTTATTAACTGGTGGAATATTTCTCTCAAATTTCCACCACTGGACCCCAGAGTGGGAATTCAATTTTAGCCCAATCTTGTAAACTTAGTTCCAATGTAATTATCTAGGTTGAGCTAAAAGTTTCTTTTCATCTTTCAGGTTTCCTCTTCATGCCTCTACTCCTATGCAGTTTGACCTCTCAGTGTGCAGCTGGTGATAGATGGAAACCCTTGTTCATAAGCTTTGTGGCACTGTCGGCAGGATGAGGGGACTTCTGGATCCTCACTGGTCACTGTGGCAGAGTGGTTGGTGTTGTCTGCTCCCTAGACAGGAACCCACTGAAGAATCTGACATTTTTTGATATGCTGGCATTCATTGTTACAGCCCATCATCCCAGCCATCAATCCAGGACATGGGGTCTGTGCCCACGGTGGGAAGGAGGAGGGGGAAGCTGGCTTTGTTCTGACGTTGGGCTTCTTCTGCTCCACCAGTACTTTCTGTGGGGGAAATAGGTAAAGAAATGGCTGTTCAGATGAGAAGATGTGTCAGTAAACTTTTGCTACAGTGATGCTGCAAAACAAATCACTGGTGACTTTCAGTGGCACACAGCAATAAACATTTATTTAGCTCAGGGATTGACAATCTTTTTTTTTTTTTAAAGGGCCAAATAGTAAATATTTTAGGTGTTTCAGGCCATACAGTCTCTGAACTCTGAACTTGTAGCACAACAGTAGCCTTAGATGCTATGCAAATGGAGGAGCATGACTGTGTTCCAATAAAACTTTATTTATGGACACTAAAATTGGAATTTCATGGAATTTTTATATGTTAAGAAATATTATACTTTGATTTTTTTCAACCACGAAGTTGAATGGTCTGTGAGTTTTTTTCACAAGTCATACAAAAACAGATGGTGGGTCAGACTTGGCCCATGGCCATAGTTGGCTGAACCTTGATTTAGCTCATGAATCTGCTCTGGGTTGGGCTCGGCTGCTCTGCGCTGCACTCATCTGCAGTCGGCTGTGAGTTGGCTAGGCAGCTCTGCTGGTGGTGCCAGGGCTCATTCACATGTATGGGGATTGTTTGCCATTGGCTGGTCCACAGTAGCCTTGGCTGGGATGGCTGCGGCACGTTGGCTCTGCCGTGTGAGTAGCCAAGCAGGTCAGCCTGAGCATGCTCTCTTAGCAGTGGTGGAGACACATGAATCTAAGTGGAAATGTGCAAGCACTTTCAGAAACCTCTGCCTGAATTATGTTTGCCAACATCCCATGAGACAAAATCAGTCACTAGGCTAAAGCCACAGTCAGGTGAGTTGGGGCAGAATGCCCCTCAGATTGAGAGGGCACTGCCAAGGTACATGGCAAAAGTGATGGATGTGCTGGAGCCATTAAGACACTCAACCCACCAAAGGACCTAAATTGGGGATAATTTTTGTTTGTTTGTTTGTTTGAGATAGGGTTTCACTCTGTCACCCAGGCTGGAGTGCAGTAGTATGAACACGACTCACTGCAGCCTCGACTTCCCAGGCTCAAGTGATCCTCCTGCCTCAGGCTCCCAAAGTGCTGGGATTATCAGCATTAGCCACCACACCCAGCCAGTTATTTTATATTTGACTTTTTATTTTCTTAGAGATGAGGTCTTTACTCTGTCACCTGGACAGGAGTGCAGTGGCACCATTTTAGCTCACTGCAGCCTCAAAATTCAGGACTTAAGTAATCCTCCTGCCTCAGCCTTCTTAGTAGCTGCGACTACAGGCATGTGCTACCACATCCAGCTCAGTTTTTAAATGTTTTGTAGATTTGGGGGTCTTACTATTTGCCCAGGCTGATCTCAAACTCCTGGGCTCAAGTGATCCTCCCACCTCAACCTCCCACAGCGCTAGGATTACAGATGTTAGCCACCTTGCCCAGCTAAGAATTTAAAAAATATTCTACTTGTGATCCTTTCTCATGTTGTGATGCTAGACCAGCTGGGGTATGATTGTGAAACATGTAAGTGGGGGACACAGACATGGTGAAACAAATAAGTGTGATCAGAGAGGGGACAATGTGTGTGCAAAGGCACAGAGGCAAGAAAGAGCTTCTTTTTGGTGAGACAGTGCTAGGTGGAGTGAGTATAATGGTTGGAGAGGAGAGTAGGGAAGAGCGGGCAGACTTCAGAGTGGATCTGATAAAACTCAGTAGTATTTTGGTTGCAACGGGCTGGGTCATGTCTGAAGAAGCAGCCATTTGAGAATGAGCAAAAATGAGGATCCTGGTTTTTAAACACCTTAGCAGTAGTGTGGTCCTGTGGTAGGGATGTGCAAAGCACTGGACTGCCCGCCTCCTTTTTCTGTTCGGTGAAGGGTGGGGTGAGGAAGAGCGCTCAGAGTGCACAGATGGATTCTCAATTCAGGGTGAAACAGGATTTTAGATCCAGTTTCCTTTTATAGTGGTTTTAGAGCAAAGAATCAGGGACTCTGCTGTTTTCTGGTATAAAATGAGAGCAGCCATACACTTCCTATGCCCTTGAATCAAGATCAGACAATTCCAGGGAAGAGCTAAGTTTTAACCTTTGATCTCTAGGGGTAAAGTTTTTCTTTACTTTCTCCCTCCCTCTCTTCCTCCTTCCTCTCTTCCTCTCCACCCCTTCTTTTTTGTTTACGTTTTGAGCTGAATAACAGGGGAAAATGGGGCCTGATATACTACAAACTCCAACTAGAGTCCTTGGCATCATGGAAAATTCCTTGACTTGTTTTGCAAAGGTTGGCTGCACCATGAGATTCCATTGTTTCAAAGTGGAGTCATGTATATGACATAGGTTTTGCATTAGGACTCTGGGGGATTTTCCTTATGAAACAAAATGTGCAATCTGCTTAGTTTCCCAGTGGCAAAGCAGAAAACTAGATCTATTTGTTATAGAACTTTACGCTTCAGTTTTCCCCTCATAATTACAGATGTGACTTTGAAGCTCACTGCAGCAAATTCAATGAGACCTTACAATTTAAAATGAAAATAAAATATATTTAGAATGAAGCATCATAGGTTTAAGAATAGAATACTTTAAAAACGCAAAAAACAAGAAGTTAAATGTGTATGTTACCTAAATGTTAATGGGTTTCCCTTTTCCTTATCTCCTAAGTCCTGCTGTCCAAGATCCCTTGATTCTTTGCCTAGAATCAATGATGTCATTCAAAGGGAATGTTTGGAGGCACTGTCCTAGTTCACCCGCAGCATTTCAGATGGCATTAGCGTCACTAGGAAAACAGACTTGAAACCAGGTTCAAGAAGAATAATAATTTGCATTTTGCTTTTATAGTTTGCTGTCTTCCCCTCTAGATTATCTAGTTTAAAAAGGAACTTTCATCATCCTTGAAGTTCTATGTTGATCAGACATTTTGTCCCTATTATTTCCTCTTTCTTCACATTACGTCAATGAGAGAGTTGAGAATAGGTCTGAAAGAAGTCAGGTTATGAGCTAACAGGATACTGGGGAGTGATACATTAGAGGCGGTCAGTTCTGTGAAAGATGCTATTGATGCTGAGTGCGTCTGCCTAGGTGGTCTCATCCAGAGTTTCCATGCCACAAATACGCTGCTGACTCCTCAGTCGCTATTTCTTCTTATGCCTTAGATCTCCGTATTCGAACCATTGTCTGACATCATGAGACTGTGCATGTCAACCTCAAACTCTTTGTGGCTAAAAGAGGTTCTGCATTCACCTGACCCCATCCCTACCCTTCCCAGATTAGTAAATAGCACCACCATCCACTCAGCTGCTTCCTGGAAATCTTCGGAGTCACCTTCATTCCTTCCTCCCTTCCTTTATTTCATACCTCACCTGCAATCCATCAGCAGGTCCTGCAGCTGCACATGGTATCCCAAGCTGATGACTTCTCAGCACCTCCTGGCTGCAGCCCAGCCAAGGCATGTAGCATCCTTCTCACTGGCCTCTCTTCCTCCCCCATAGCCAATCTTCGGACCACAGCTAGAAATATTTTTTTCAATGAGTGAAGATCAACCTACTCCCCTGCTTCAGCTCTTTTTATGTTTCCCTTTTCTCACTTAAAATAGAATGTAAGCTTCTTACCCAGGGCTACAAGGATACACAACTCAACCTTCCTCCCATTCCCCACTCAGCCTCTATCTCTACCTACACTCGCTGTCCCTTGACCTTCCAAATGTACCGTGTGTCAAGGCTTTTGCTCTTGCTGCTTGAAATGTTCTTTGAGAAAATCCCTGCCTTTTTTCTCAGCATTCAGGTGCCAGCTCAAATATCAGACCCTCAGAGAATCCTTCTCAGATTATCCTAGCAAGAGCAATAATATTGTCCCTGCTCCACTCTGTTTGTTTTTTATTTTTATTATTTTTTTTTTTTGAGATGGAGTCTCTGTCACCCAGGCTGGACTGCAGTGGGGTGATCTCGGCTCACCGCAACCTCCACCTCCAGGATTCAAGCAATTCTCCTGCCTCAGCCTCCTGAGTAGCTAGGATTACAGGCTCACACCACTGCTCCTGGCTAATTTTTGTATTTTTAGTAGAGACAGGGTTTCACCATGTTGGCCAGGCTGGTCTCGAACTCCTGACCTCAGGTGATCTGCCCATGTCGGCCTCCCAAAGTGCTGGGATTACAGGTGTGAGCCGCCGCACCCGGCATCTATCTGTTTTAATGGTTATTTTCTTCTTCACACTTAAAATTCTTCAAAATACCTGCATGTTTATTGCCTGTCTTCCCTACTAGAATGGAAACTTCTTGCAGACGTGGATTTTTGTCTTGTTCATTGTGGTGTGCCTCGCAGCTAGACAGTGCTTAGTACAACACAGGTACTCAATAAATGTTTGCTGAATTAATGAAAAAACACTAATAAGGTAGGATTTACCTTGATGATCTGGTTTTTTAAAAGCCCGCAATGAGTGTTGAATTCCACCAGGTTCAGCTACCCTTCTTCCATTTCTAGCTCATGAGGCCCAGGCCCATGTTGCCGAGCCCTGGTTCCTTCTGGTCTGTACTCTCATCATCCCCTCTGGATCAGCACTACCTCCACCAAATACTTGTCCAGCTCCTATTATATGACAGGTGTTGTTCTGAGCCTCGGGAGACAGAACTGAATAAAATGCACACAAGCATCTACTTTCACAGAGCTTATATTCTATGTTTTGGCCCAAATCTACCTTTGTACCACACAAACATGATAGAATCAGCTCTGCATCAGGGTGGCCTTGATGGGAATTGGTTCAGACAGTTTACCAGTTTCTCCTATTTGTCAGAAATGTAAGGGGTTCCTCAACTGGATTGCTTGGTTGTCCCATAAAAGAAAAGTGAAGCGGAGCCTGGCCTAGGATAATGCCAGGATGGCCTTAAGAATGGAGTACAAATAGCAAAGAAATGGAATCAACCTAGGTGCCCATCAACATGAATTAGATAAAGAAAATGTGGTATATATATATATATGCCATAGAATACTGCACAGCCATAAAAAAGAATGAAATCATGCTCTTTGCAGTGACATGGATGGAGCTGGAAGCCATTATTCTAAGCCAATTAGTGCAACAATAGAAAACCAAATAACATGTTCTCGCTTATAAGTGGAAGCTAGACATTGAATACACATAGACATAAAGATGGGAACAGTAGACACTGGAGACTGCTAGATGAGGCGGGAGGGAAGAGGACATGGGCTGAAAAGTATTGTGATAGGTACTATGCTCACTACATGGGTGACAGCTAATTTGTACCCCAAACCTCAGCATCATGCAATATACCCGTGGAACATACCCCTTAATCTATAATAAAAGTTGAAAATTTTTTAAAAAAAGAAAGAACGGGGCACAAGCAGGAGAACAACAAGGTCTGCTTGGCACCCACTCAGGGCCTCGCCCTGCTAGCAGCTGAGTCAGCCCTGTTTAAGAGTTATGGGTGGACCTAACGCAGTGACCCAGGCATAGGCATTCCAGCATCTACTTCCTGACTGGAGAAGGAGGGCCTTGGCTGGCCCAGGCTGGCTAAAGCTGGCCGTCCTGGGTTTGTCTTGGCTGTCTGTGGGCAAAGCTGCATTTTAAACTTGAAATAATGGTAAATTCACTAGTAACACTGTTAGAGACAATGTTTAATTCGAAAACTCCTGTGCAGTCCAAGTAAATTAAATTATGAGGATAAAGTTTCCATCTCAAAGAACAACTAACTGCTAGGATGACTTCCAACTTAAAAAAAAAAGAAAAAGAAAAAGTACATTCACCATATTTAGAATCACTTCATTGTCCTAAAGAGTCAACTTTTTCCTACAAAAAAAAAAAAAGAAACATTCACTTGACAATATCCCATGAGACCGCCATTCTAGGGAACCTGAGTGATAGAGTGGCAGAGTCCTCTGAAGTCACCCCCTTTTCACCTGCACAGGCTGACTGTTCCATGGGCCCTACCCCACGACCACCCCCTCCTTGTAACTTCACTGCCTGGCAAGTTAAGCGTGATCCTAAGGGCTGAGGGAAGTTCTGGAATTTAGGGTGAATGAGAAGTGTATTCCCAGATGAGCTGCTCCTTGTAAGTGATCAAGCTTCCTAATATTTTAAGTATTTGCCGGGTGCGGTGGCTCAAGCCTGTAATCTCAACGCTTCGGGAGGCCAAGGCGGGAGGATCACTTGAGGTCAGGAGTTTGAGACCAGCCTGGCCAACATGGTAAAACCCCATCTCTACTAAAAATACAAAAAATTAGCTGGGTGTGGTGGTGCACGCCTGTAATTCCAGCTACTCAGGAGATTGAGGCAGGAGAATCACTTGAACCCTGGAGGCAAAGGTTGCAGTCAGCCGAGATTGCCCTCTGCACTCCAGCCTGGGTGACAGAGTGAGACTTTGTCTCAAAAAAAAAAAAAAAAAAAAAAAAAATTTAAGTATTTGTCATCTCCCTTGAGACAGAGCAGATTAATAATGGAAAAGTGCGGGGGCGGGGGGCGGGGTTCTCTCTACGTCCTGCAGCTACAGTCAGAGCTCTTCCTCTATATTTGCCATGTCACAGCCACTTGCACATAGAAGTCCCAGTTGTCCTGAATACCAGTGTGCCCTTCTCAATCTTAGGTTTGAGATACTGGTGTCTGCTGTAGGCTCTTTCGCCTTGACTTTGGTAGGTTACCTCTGAATAGTCCTTTATAAATAAAACAAAAGGAACACTACCTATGGTGGCTCTAGTTTTAGAAGGAGGGCAGATTCATGGCTTACACTTGGAGACGCTAGATTTCCTTAAGTTCGTTGTGCTTTTTAGTAATTGCTGAAATGTCTCACATAGAGGCTAAATTCAGTCACTATATTACTGAGTGCCTAAAAATTTGGCTTTATGCCTTATTTTTAAATCATAGCAATGTATAATTTTGGTTATGTCATATCCATGTAAAAGTCTCCTTTTCTCTTTGTAGATGTCTTTTAAGGCCTCTTTCAGTTCTAAACATTTGGAGATTCCAAATAGTTTGCATTTGGGGTTTGTTTGGACTGTTGTTAATCTGTGGAAATCCTGAGGAACAAGAATGGCTTGTTTCTTTGTTTACCTTTAAGGTGGTTTTCCTCCTGGGTGCCTGTTCACCTCCTGAGGAGGGAAAATTGGGTCATCTCTATGTTATTTAAGGCTGCTCACCTTAAGGGTACTCCCTTAAATAGGTTGTTATTCCACATCTGTCATCTGTACTAGAACAAAAGTAAATTCTCACACTCGACTTCAGAGTAGGGGTTTGCTCAATTGCTTCTTATCAAAGTTTCTAAGAACTGAGTTTTTTCAGTTATTTCTTGAGTTTACACATTCCAGTTTTATTTAATCAAAGGAACTGTGTGGGAAAACAGCAGTGTATAAAATATTCATTCACAGCAGTGATAGTGCAATTGAGTAACAGCAGCAGCTGCCCTGAACACATGGCTGTGAGAACACAATTAAAATTTCAACACACTTTGTGAAACACTTTTCTATACAGCTCAGCTTTCAAAGTCATGAGGGAATGTATATGGTGCTTAAGTGTAAACTCCTACTTGGAGTCCTGTTGGTGGTTTAATGATGAAAAATATCTTTTCTTTAATTCAAATATATTGACCCTATATGTATTTTGATAGCTGCTAAAATTCCTAGGGTTATTCTCAAGGTAGACCTTCAGAATATAAATGCAAAGATTCTGAAAATTTCATGTACATAAGAGACAACCAGTAAATATGTTAAAAAGGCAGATTTGGATCAATTGTTGATACACTTTTAGGTAGTACCAGGTTTTGGGCTATTTTGTGTCTTTTTGGTGAACATATGTGTTTCTGTTGGGCATCTAGGAGTAGCATTTCTGCATTTAAGGTAGCCATATATTCAGCACTAGTAAATACTGCCAAAAGTGTTCCAAGATGATTTTATCAACTTATAGTCTCACTGCCATGTTAGTGTTTAAGAGTTTCGGTGGATCCACGTTCTTACCAACACTTGGTGTTTTCTGTTTTTATTTTAGCCATTCTATTGGTTATACAAAGGTACAGTCATGTGCCATAAAATGATATTTTGGTCAACAACGAACCATGCAGACAATGGTGGTCCCATAAGATTATAATATATTTTTGCTGTATCTTTTCTATATTTAAGTATATTTACATACACAAATACTTCCCATTGGGTTACAACTACCTACAATATTTAAGACAATAACATGCTGTACAGGTTTATAACCTAGGAGCAATAAGCCATACAATATAGCCTAGGTATGTAGGAGATTATATCATCTAGGTTTGTGTAGATACACTCTGTGATGTTCACACAATGACAATACTGCCTAATGATGCATTTCTCAGAATATATCCCCATCATTAAGTGACGCATGACTGTATTTCATTATAATTTAGATTTAAATTGAATGGATACATTTTGGTATAGTCATGCAATAGAATACCATTCAGCCAAAGAGAGTGAACAGTCTATAATGACATGCAACAATGTGGATGAATCTCACAATCTGTGAAAAAAGCCAGACACAAAAGAATGCAGACTGCATGAGTCCATTTATAGACAGTACCAAAAAACCCAGGTGAAAGTAATCTATGGCATTAGCAATTAAGATACGGGTTGGCCTTGAGGAGAGTGAGTAGACTGTGCGTGGAGAGAGCAGAGGGGCTTCTGGGATATCAGTGATATTATTCTTGATCTGAGTGCTGGCTTTGCAGATGGGTTTAGTTGTGAAACTCCAGCAAGCTGTCCACTTTATGCTGTGTGCACTTTTCAGTATGTATATTATTCTTTATTTAAATTTTTTTTTAGAGTACAGATTTCTAGGCCTTTACTGTGAGATGTGGTCCTTTGATGGGACCTGGGAGTTTACATGTTTGACAAGCACTCAGGTGATTGGGATGCAGGTGGCCTCAAAGTGCACTTTGAGAAACATTGGTAATTGCATTCAGTGCAGAGATTTTTAAAGCATTCATCAGCTCTTCAAAATAATTTAATCAGCTGCTTTATATACTGCAGCTATTTTTGGTCATTTCAGAGATGGTTTCACTCATCCCACCCCCATCCCACTTTCACCTTCTGAGAGCGAATCAATCCTGGAAAAATGAAAACCCCAAGTGAGCCCCACGTTGGAAAGAGTTGCAGCTTATACTCAGTGAGGAAAGGACAATCAAGTGAGAAAGAAATCCATTGGTGGGGAAAAACCCCATCAAGTGCAGGAATCATAGAAACCCTCTCTGGGAGGAGAACTGACCTTTTCTGATGAAAACTCATTTCATTTATTTAGCCACGGGTGACAGAGTGTATCTGAGTCTGAGGCATTTGGTGGAGGCTCTGTAAAAACTAGGTTAAGGACTGAATCAAAATCTCTTCCAATTACACGAAGGAGGAAGCTAAGAATGCAAATAACTGTAAAGCTATTGCTTGTTGTGACTAAAAGTCCTCCACATAGTAAGGCCTAAATCAGCTTTCATTTTATTGCTATGGGGAAGGACAGAGCTACCCAACACAATTATACAGACAAGTTTTTAAGGGAACAAAAACAGTGAAAAAAAAAATCACTCAATGCTTGTTTAGAGCTTGCTCTATCCGCCCAAGTGCTGAGAAAGTGTTCTCAAAAGTCAAGAGGGAAAGAGTTCTTACTTGATAAAAAACTGTTGGCTTTTAAAGGGTCAGTTATTCTCCTTGAAGACACAGGGGTATGTACCTGATTTACCTATAGGCAGGCTGGTATTAAGTTGATTTCACTGGTATGTCTACCCCAATGATTAAAAAATCTGAAATAATTTTGTACTTGTTGGAAAATAGCCCCAGCCCAGGGCTCCTTGAGAACCCCCCATTCACTGTCCACATTGCTTGGCCCTCCTCTGGGATTCCTCAGAACTCCCGACAGTACAGCAACTAAAGGGTTAATGTCCAGCAATTGAGAGACCTCCAACCCTGTCCAGCCACAAGCTACCTTAGAGGTCATTGCTTTGTGGTGATACCTGTGAAGGGGAGAAATGGCCTTTTTGGGTCAACTGCGGAACCCTATCCATGTTCTTCTCTTACTCAACAGCTTTTCACTACCCTCCCCCCAGAGTGCCCCAATTCTATTTCTCTTGTAATTTTTCATTCTTTGGTAACTTCTCATTCAAGGCAATGAAAGATCACTAATTAAATGTAGATGTTTTGTCATTAGATTAACCTTCTAGTCTGTCACTCCTAAACATCCAAGGGCTTCCAGAGGCTCTCTGATTCATCGGCTCCTTCACTCTCTCATTCAGCAAACATCTCTGGAATGCCTGCTACATGCCATCACTGTGCTTACTGGTAAGACTCCATCCCCCTCAGCTTAAATGAGAGCTCACAGTCTGGTGGGAATAATCAACCTGTAAATAGACAATTCTGGTGCAATCATGGAGCTATTCGAGTATGATGGGAACATAAAGGCTGGCAAAGGTAGATCATGGTGAGTCAGGGAAGACTTCCTGGAAGAAGTGGTTTGAGCTTAGTCTTTTTTCTTTCTTTTTTCCTTTTATAGATTTAGAGAGTACAAGTGCAGTTTTGTTACAGGGATATATTGTGTAGTGGTGAAGTGTGGGCTTTTAGTGTCCCCATCGCCCAAAGAGTGAACAATGTACCCAATAGGTAAATTTTCAGCTCTCACCACCCCCCCTTTTTTCTCCCCTTTTTTGGAGCGCCCATTGTCTGTTATTTCCCTCTCTGTGTTCATGTGTACCCATTGTTTAGCTCTCATAAGTGAGAACATGTGGTATTTGATTTTCTGAGTTATTACACTTAGGATAAGGGCCTCTAGCTCTATCCATGTTGCTGCAAAAGACATGATCTCATTCTTTTTTTGTTGTTTTTCTTTTCTTTTTTTATTTTATTTTTTATTATATTTTAAGTTCTGGGGTACATGTGCAGAACGTGCAGTTTTGTTACATAGGTATACATGTGCCATGGTGGTTTGCTGCACTCATCAACCTGTCACCTACATTAGGTATTTCTCCTAATGTGATCCCTCCCCTAGCCCCCCACCCCCTGACAGGCCCTGGTGTGTGATGTTCCCTCCCTGTGTCCATGTGTTCTTCTTGTTCAACTCCCACTTATGAGTGAGAACATGCAGTGTTTTGTTTTCTGTTCTTGTGATAGTTTACTGAGAATGATTGTTTCCAGTTTCATCCATGTCCCTGCAAAGGACATGAACTCATCCTTTTTTTATGGCTGCATAATATTATTCCATGGTGTGTATATGTGCCACATTTTCTTTATCCAGTCTATCATTGATGGGCATTTGGGTTGGTTGCAAGTCTTTGCTATTGTGAATAGTGCCACAATAAACATATGTGTGCATGTGTTTTTATTGTAGAATGATTTATAATCCTTTGGGTATATACCCAGTAATGGGATTGCTGGGTCAAATGGTATTTCTAGTTCTAGATCCTTGAGGAATCGCCACACTGTCTTCCACAGTGGTTGAACTAGTTTACAGTCCCACCAACAGTGTCAAAGTGTTCCTATTTCTCCACATCCTCTCCAGCCCCTGTTGTTTCCTGACTTTTTAATGATTGCCATTCTAACTGGCATGAGATGGTATCTCATTGTGGTTTTGATTTGCATTTCTCTAATGACCAGTGATGATGAGCATTTTTTCATATGTTTGTTGGCTGCATAAATGTCTTCTTTTGAGAAGTGTCTGTTCATATCCTTTGTCCCCTTTTTCATGGGGTTTTTTTTTCTTGTAAATTTGTTTAAGTTCTTTGTAGATTCTGGATATTAGCCCTTTGTCAGATGGGTAGATTGCAAAAATTTTCTCCCATTTTGTAGGTTGCCTCTTCACTCTGATGATAGTTTCTTTTGCTGTGCAGAAGCTCTTTAGATCTCATTTATCAATTTTGGTTTTTGTTGCCATTGTTTTTGGTGTTTTAGACATGAAGTCTCTGCCCATGCCTATGTCCTGAATGGTATTGCACAGGTTTTCTTCTAGGATTTTTATGGTTTTTGGGTCTTACATTTAAGTCTTTAATCCATCTTGAGTTGATTTTTGTATAAGGTGTAGGAAAGGGATCCAGTTTCAGTTTTCTGCATATGGCTAGCCAGTTTTCCCCACACCATTTATTAAATAGGGAATCTTTTCCCCATTGCTTGTTTGTGTCAAGTTTATCAAAGATCAGATGGTTGTAGATGTGTGGTGTTATTTCCGAGGCCTCTGTTCTGTTCCATTGGTCTATATATCTGTTTTGGTACCGGTACCATGCTGTTTTTGGTTACTGTAGCCTTGCAGTATAGTTTGAAGTCAGATAGCGTGATTCCTCCAGCTTTGTTCTTATTGCTTAGGATTGTCTTGGCTATGCAGGCTCTTTTTTGGTTCCATATGAAGTTTAAAGTAGTTTTTTCTAGTTCTGTGAAGAAAGTTACTGGTAGCTTGATGGGGATAGCATTGAATCTATAAATTATTTTGGGCAGTATGGCCATTTTGACAATATTAATTCTTCCTATCCATGAGGATGGAATGTTTTTCCATTTGTTTGCATCCTCTCTTATTTCCTTGAGCAGTGCTTTGTAGTTCTCCTTGAAGAGGTCCTTCACATCCTTTGTAAGTTGGATTCCTAGGTATTTTATTCTCTTTGTAGCAATTGTGAATGAGAGTTCACTCATGATTTGGCTGTTTGTCTGTTATTGGTGTATAGGAATGCTTGTGATTTTTGCACACTGATTCTGTATCCTGAGACTTTGCTGAAGTTGCTTATCAGCTTAAGGAGATTTTGGGCTGAGACGATGGGGTTTTCTAAATATACAGTCATGTCATCTGCAAACAGAGACAGTCTGACTTCCTCTCTTCCTATTTGAATACGCTTTATTTCTTTCTGTTGCCTGATTGCCCTGGCCAGAACTTCCAATACTATGTTGAGTAGGAGTGGTGAGAGAGGGCATCCTTGTCTTGTGCTGGCTTTCAAAGGGAATGTTTCCAGTTTTTGCCCATTCAGTATGATATTGGCCATGGGTTTGTCATAAATAGCTGTTATTATTTTGAGATATGTTCCATAGATACCTAGTTTATTGAGAGTTTTTAGCATGAAGCGTTGTTGAATTTTGTTGAAGGCCTTTTCTGCATCTATTGAGCTAATCATGTGGTTTTTGTCATTGATTCTGTTTATGTGATGGATTATGTTTATTGATTTGCGTATGCTGAACCAGCCTTGCATCCCAGGTATGAAGCCAACTTGATCATGGTGGATAATCTTTTTGATGTGCTGCTGGATTCAGTTTGCCAGTGTTTTATTGAGGATTTTCGCATCGATGTTCATCAGGGATATTGGCCTGAAATGTTCCTTTTTTGTTATGTCTCTGCCAGGTTTTGGTATCAGAATGATGCTGGCCTCATAGAGTGAGTTAGGGAGGATTCCCTCTTTTTCTATTGTTTGGAATAGTTTCAGAAGGAATCGTAGCAGCTCCTCTTTGTACCTCTGGTAGGTAGAATTTGGCTGTGAATCCATCTGGTCCTGGACTTTTTTTGGTTGGTAGGCTATTAATTACTGCCTCAATTTCAGAACCTGTTATTGGTATATTCAGGGATTCGACTTCTTCCTGGTTTAGACTTGGGAGGGTGTATGTGTCCAGGAATTTATCCATTTCTTCTAGGCTTTCTGGTTTATTTGCGTAGAGGTGTTTATAGTATTTTCTGATGGTAGTTTGTATTTCTGTGGGATCAGTGGTGGTATCCCCTATATCATTTTTTATTGTGTCTATTCGATTCTTCTCTCTTTTCTTCTTTATTAGTCTGGCTAGCGGTCTATTGATTTTGTTGATCTTTTCAAAAAACCAACTCCTGGATTCATTGATTTTTTGAAGGGATTTTTCTGTCTCTATCTCTGTCAGTTCTGCTCTGATCTTAGTTATTTCTTGTCTTCTGCTAGCTTTTGAATTTGTTTGCTGTTGCTTCTCTAGTTCTTTTCATTTTGATATTAGGGTGTCAATTTTAGATCTTTCCTGCTTTCTCTTGTGGGCATTTAGTGCTATAAATTTCCCTCTATACACTGCTTTAAATGTGTCCCAGAGATTCTGGTACGTTGTGTCTTCGTTCTCACTGGTTTCAAAGAACATCTTTATTTCTGCCTTCATTTCGTTATGTACCCAGTAGTCATTCAGGAGCCGGTTGTTCAGTTTCCATGTAGTTGTGCGGTTTTGAGTGAGTTTCTTAATTCTGAGTTCTAATTTGATTGCACTGTGGTCTGAGAGACTGTTTGTTATGATTTCCATTCTTTTGCATTTGCTGAAGAGTGTTTTACTTCCAATTATGTTGTCAATTTTAGAATAAGTGCAATGAGGTGCTGAGAAGAATGTATTTTCTGTTGATTTGGGATGGAGAGTTCTGTAGATGTCTATTAAGTCCACTTGGTCCAAGCTGAGTTCCAGTCCTGAATATCTTTGTTAATTTTCTGTCTTGCTGATCTGTCTAATATCGACAGTGGGGTGTTAAAGTCTCGCACTATTATTGTGTGGGAGTCTAAGTCTCTTTATAGGTCTCTAAGAACTTGCTTTATGAATCTGGGTGCCCCTGTATTGGGTGCATATATATTTAGGATAGTTAGCTCTTCTTGTTGCATTGATCCCTTTACCATTATGTAATGCCCTTCTTTGTCTCTTTTGATCTTTGTTGGCTTAAAGTCTGTTTTATCAGAAAGTAGGATTGCAACTCCTGCTTTGTTTTGCTTTCCAGTTGCTTGGTAAATATTCCTCCATCCCTTTATTTTGAGCCTTTGTGTGTCTTTGCACATGAGATGGGTCTCCTAAATACAGCACATTGATGAGTCTTGACTCTTTATCCAATTTGCCAGTCTGTGTCTTTTAATTGGGGCATTTGGCCCATTTCCATTTAAGGTTAATATTGTTATGTGTGAATTTGATCTTGTAATTATGATGCTAGCTGGTTATTTTGCCCATTAGTTGATGCAGTTTCTTCATAGTGTCAATGGTCTTTATAATTTGGCATGTTTTTGCAGTGGCTGGTACCAGTTGTTCCTTTCCATGTTTAGTGCTTCCTTCAGGAGCTCTTGTAAGGCAGGCCTGGTGGTGACAAAATCTCTCAGCATTTGCTTGTCTGTAAAGGATTTTATTTCTCCTTCACTTATGAAGCTTAGTTTGGCTGGATATGAAATTCTGGGTTGAAAATTCTTTTCTTTAAGAATATTGAATATTGGCCCCCACTCTCTTCTGGCTTGTACGGTTTCTGCTGAGAGATCCGCTGTTAGTCTGATGGGCTTCCCTTGATCGGTAACGCGATCTTTCTCTCTGGCTGCCCTTAACATTTTTTCGTCATTTCAGCCTTGGTGAATCTGACAATCATGTGTCTCAGGGTTGCTCTTCTCGAGTAGTATCTTTGTGGCATTCTCTGTATTTCCTGAATTTGAATGTTGGCCTGTCTTTCTAGCTTGGAGAAGTTCTCCTGGATAATATCCTGAAGAGTGTTTTCTAACTTGGTTTCATTCTCCCTGTCACTTTCAGGTACACCAATCAAACGTAGGTTTGGTATTTTCACATAGTCCCATATTTCTTGGAGGCTTTGTTTGTTCCTTTTCATTCTTTTTTCTCTAGTCTTGTCCTCTCATTTTATTTCATTAAGTTGATCTTCAATCATTGATATCCTTCCTTCTGCTTGATGGATTCAGCTATTGATACTTGTGTATGCTTCACGAAGTTCTTGTGCTGTGTTTTTCAGCTCCGTCAGGTCATTTATGTTCTTCTGTAAACTGGTTATTCTAGTTAGCAATTCATCTAACCTTTTTTCAAGGTTCTTAGCTTCCTTGCATTGGGTTAGAACATGCTCTTTTAGCTCAGAGGAGTTTGTTATTACCCACCTTCTAAAGCCTACTTCTGTCAGTTCGTCAAACTCATTCTCTGTCCAGTTTTGTTCTCTTGCTGGCAAGGAGTTGTGATCCTTTGGAGGAGAAGAGACGTTCTGGTTTTTGGAATTTTCAGCCTTTTTGCGCTGGTTTCTCCCCATCTTTGTGAATTTATCCATCTTTGGTCTTTGATGTTGGTGACCTTCGGATGGTGTCTTTGAGTGGATGTATTATTCCTTTCTGTTTGTTAGTTTTCCTTCTAACAGGCTCCTCTGCTGCAGATCTGCTGGAGTTTGCTGGAGGTCCACTCCCGACCCCGTTTGCCTGGGTATCACCAGCAGAGGCTGCAGAACGGCAAAGATTGCTGCCTGTTCTTTCCTCTGGAAGCTTCATCCCAGCAGGGCACCTGCCAGATGCCAGCCAGAGCTCCTGTCTGAGGTGTCTGTCAGCCCCTACTGGGAGGTATCTCCCAGTCAGGATACACAGGGGTCAGGGACCCACTTGAGGAGGCAGTCTGACTCTTAGCAGAGCTTGAACGTTGTGCTGGGAGATCTGCTGCTCTCTTCAGAGCTGTCAGGCAGGAACGTTTAAGTCTGCCGAAGCTGCACCCACAGCCGCCCCTTCCCCCAGGTGCTCAGTCCCAGGGAGATGGGGGTTTTATCTATAAGTCCCTGACTAGAGCTGCTGCCTTTTTTTCAGAGATGCCCTGCCCAGAGAGGAGAAATCTGGCAGTCTGGCCACAGCAGCCTTGCTGAGCTGCAGTGGGCTCTGCCCAGTTCCAACTTCCTGGCTGCTTTGTTTACACTGTGAGCAGAAAACTGCCTACTCAAGCATCAGCAATGGCGGACGCCCCTCCCCCCACCAAGCTCAAGCGTCCCAGGTGGATCTCAGATTGCTGCTGTGTTGGCAGTGAGAATTTCAAGCCAGTGGATCTTAGTTTGCTGGGTTCTGTGGGGATGGGACCCACTGAGCCAGACCACTTGGCTCCCTGGCTTTAGCACCCCTTTCCAGGGGAGTGAACAGTTCTGTCTCGCTAGCATTCCAGGTGCCACTGGGGTATGAAAAAAAAAAACAAAAAAACTCCTGCAGCTAGTTTGGTGTCTGCCCAAACGGCCGCCCAGTTCTGTACTTGAAACCCAGTGCCCTGGTGGAGTAGGCACCAGAGGGAATCTCCTGGTCTGTGGGTTGCGAAGACCAGGGGACAAGTGCAGTATCTGGGCCAGAATGTGCATGGCTCCTCAGGCTCAGTCCCTCATGGCTTCCCTGGGGTAGGGGAGAAAAATTCCTCTACCCTTTGCGCTTCCGGGGTCAGCCAACGCCCCACCCTGCTTTGGTTCACCCTCCATGGGCTGCACCCACTGTCCAACCAGTCCCAATGAGATGAACTGGGTACCTCGGTTGGAAATGCAGAAGTCACCCACCTTTTGCGTCGATCTTGCTGGGAGCTGCAGACCAGAGCTGTTCCTATTCAGCCATCTTGCCAGCAATGATCTCATTCTTTTTTATGGCTGCATAGTATTTCATGGTGTGTGCATATACACACACACTCATATATATTTTATACACACACACACACGCCCCACATTTTCTTTATCCAGTCGTTTGTTGATGGACACTTAGGTAGGTTCCATGACTTTGCTATTGTGAATAGTGCTATAATAAACATGCAAGTGCAGGTATCTTTTTAATATAATGATTTCTTTTCCTTTGGGTAGATGCCCAGTGGTGGGATTAAGCTTAATCCTAATGGCAAAATAGAAGTTAGTCAGGTGGGGATGGCAAGTAGAAGAAATGTTGGGCAAAGGAGACTATGAACAAAGTAAGAAACAGCATGATATGTGCAGGCACCTGAGGGTAAAGTGTGAGACCAAAGGTGGTAGAAAGTGAGGTGTGAGAGGAAAGCAGGGATGGGGAAGCTGAAATGGGATTTTGTAAGGAAGAGGTTTTCAGCCTGGGAGTCCTAACTCACTGGGGTGCAGCCAAACAATGTGTTACTAATAATAAAGTGTTAGGTTTGTAATGGCTTTACTCCTTTAGAAACCTAAATTAGAGCAGATTCAAGGTTATCCCTAGAATATGGTGACTGTCCCCCACTGGCATTCCATATGCTTTCTTGAGAGAGAGAAAGGGATGGAGCGAGGGCTAGAAGCCAGTGCTTGAGCATAACTCTTTGTTCACCTTATCCAAGCAGCAAGCTAGTGGCTACAGTAGTAACAAACTGCTGCTGTGCTTTACTTCCTTACCAGGTCTTTCAGGTTTCATGAAATCTAAGTGTACCCAGAAGACAGTACACCTCTGTGCAAGCACATCGCCCATCTTGATAGTCACAGAGGATGGCAGCTGCGTAAAATGGGGAGCCATGGAAATGTTTCCATGCTGTGGGCTGTGTGCATTTTGTGGTGGCTCCTCTGGCTCCAGTGATTGAACATCCTGTGGGTATGGAAATCTCTGCTGCACACTCCCAGTGTACTTATATTTCAAATCAACTATATGCTTATTGCTCCACTAATATATTATATCTATTTAAAAACATTGTCCAAAATATAAACAGTAAAAGGATAAAATAGAAAAGGGATTAAAGCATTTAAAATAATTTTATTTACTTATAATAGACAAACCTAATGATTGAATACACCTAATTATTCTGTTTAAGTTTTGGTTTAATACTTGCAATACAGTGATTTGCAGGTCTTGTTCTCAGTGTATTTCAGTTCTTGCTTGTAGTGGCTGATATAGCTGGAAAAGGCCTTATAAAGATATGGAACTCCAAATGGAAGCACACTTACTAATCATGAGACTCCGTGCTCAATTCTATTAGTAATGACACAAATGTCTTTGATGAAATTCAAGTTGGTAAATATGTTTCATCCCTGATATCAATCAGTTGTTCTTGCAGGCTAACTGGAAGAGATATGTACTTTTTGTCGTGTTAACAAATAGTTGCCGTTATCTGCTGAACCTCTTTTCTAAAAAACGTAAAATAGGTTAGTAAATGCCAAGCTTTTAAAGTGTTCTGATACCCATGTGTGTACACATGACCCCCTTACGTTATTTTTGGCAATAAAATCACAAGATGATGGAACCATTTTTAAACATCTATTTTTAAAGTTCTCTTCGATAGGGGTTTCTTTTGAAAAGTAGTTATTTTTTCATTCATTGTTAAAATGTTATCTTTACCTTGAGGAAACTGAGTAAGTGTATTTATTTTTTAAAAAACAACTGCAAGATAGCATACTGAGGATTCATCAAAGAAAAGGGCAGCATATGTGGAAGAAAAAATATGCCTCTTACTTAAATTTGGCAATTTGAAAATTGGCCTGATTGGATTTTGGAACGAGTGAGAGAAGGGAGTCCAGGATAAATTCCTAGCTTTCTAGCTTGGACAACTGCTTGAATGGTGGTGTCACCAAATGAAGTAGAGAGAGGAAGAAAACAGGAGCCAGTTTAGGAAGATGATGAAAAAACAAGTTGAACTGGTAGTTGATGAGTTCAAGTGCCCACAGGACTTCCTGCTATTATTTCATGCCTGACATACTGAAAATCAAACTCATCCTTGGCTTTATGTCCTGAATTTACATTTTCTCTCTGTTCTCCTATCTCTGTCCATGGCACCAACCTCTCTAGGTACTTAAGGGTAAACATGTTGGAGCCATATATTGAAACGGGAAAGGTTCCCTTGTCCCCCTTGCAGGGCGTGCAAGGGGCGTGTGGCTTGCTTCTTCAGTGCCCCGCTCCTCAGAGCTCTAGGGGAGCATACAGACTGGCAGGCTGTGGGGCTCCGACCCCACGGCAGTGTCTAGGGGTAAATGTTTACAGCTCCTCAAGCCCCAGTGGGCATGTGTTAAAGGGTGCTCTCTTAGTTTGCCGTCTATAGGCAGCTTGCGTTAACCAGCTCGATGAACCTTGTGGCAAGGGCAGAGGGATTTCCATATCCCAGGGTTTCTTGCCTTGATGTACCGGAAGAATCGGATCACACATGGGCTTGGAGAATGAATGCAAGGTTTTATTGAGTAGAAGTAGCTCTTCGCTGATGGACAAGCCAGAAGGGAGATAGTTTTCCCCTGGAGTTGGGCCGCTGGGTGCCCTTGCTCTCCTCAGAGTGCCCTGGCTAAGCTCCACCTCGACCTGCAAGTCGATGGCCTGCAGTGTCTGTCGGTGTGCTCTTCTGCCAGCATGCTCCCCTCGATGTCCTCTCGCCATCCAGCCACTTGTGCCTACTTCCAATGACGTGTTCCTCTCGACGTCCAGCCACCTCTCTCTGCCTCGCTAGGGTCTCAGGTTTTTGTAGGCCCAGGATGGGGGTGTGGTGGGCCAGGGTGATCTTGGGAAATGTAACATTTGGGCACATAGGCAGAAGTGCCTGTCCTCACCAAGGTCTGTGGGGGTGAAGCCCTAGCCAGGGACCCGCCCTCCTCTACCCAGCACTTCCCTGTCCCTCTTCCGTATCGTTTAAAGGGAACACACTCTTCCCTTCCCAGCACTCCTGATTCATCCTTCTGTTTCCTTCTCTATCCAATGAGTAACTGAGGACTTTCCAGTTTTATTTGTTCCTTCTATATGTATTTATTGAGCACCTCCTGTGTGCCAGGTACTCATCTAGGCCCTGGGAATGTAAGTGGGCAGAAGACAGACAGAGTGCTGGTTGTCATGGAGCTTATATTCCAGGTGGAGAAAATAGATGATAAATAAATATGTAAACATGTAAATAAGAAACTCATGAAATTTTGTTAAGTGCTCAGTAAAGAATTGAAGCAAAGTCATATAATGCTGCCTGGATGGCGCTATAGATGGGGTGGGCACAGAAAAGCTCTCTGAGGTGGTGCCATTGAATGGTGAGCTCTGAGTCCTTGTACTATCAGGGGAAAGATCTTTTCGGGCAGAAGGGCCCAAGCTCTCCATGAGCACAGTGAGTTGTAGGAACAACGGGAAAGCCAGGATGGCTAAGGCTTGGTGGTGGTGGAGTGACCCAAAAGTTATGGCTTTTCTTGAATCACTGCTACTCTGTTCCCATGCTCACCACTTCATGCCTGGCCTGTTAAAATGTCCTTTAATTTCTCCCCACCTTAACTCTCTCCTTGAAATTATTTTGCACATGAGTACCTGGTTTGCCTTCACTATGCCGTGATAAAAAGCCATCAGTAGCTGGAAGCTGTAGGTTGGCCTTTGGGGGTCAGGAACACACATACACAGCTCTTCAACTGGGGCTCCTGTGAGGTTTCCAAGAGGCTTCGGGAGGAAATGAAGTCTCTTGTTACCCTCTCATGTTTACCCACCCTACATATTGGTTTTCAATTACTCTTGTAACAAATGACTACAAACTTCGTGGCTTAAAACAGCATGGATTTATTCCCTTACAGTTCTGGGGCCAGACATCTGAAGTGGGTCTTATTAGGCTTAGAAGCAATGTCCTCAGGACTGTGCTTCTTTCAGTAGGCTCTGTGGGAGAATCTGTTTCCTTACCTTTCCCACCTCTAGAGGCTGCCTGCGTTTCTTAGCCATGGCCCCTTCCTGCATCTTTAAAGCCAGCAGGGCAGCCTCTTCCAGTCTCTCTCTGACTCTGACCCTCACTCTCTTGCTTCCTACTTTCACTTATAAGGACCCTTGTGATCACGTTGGGGCATCTGGATAATCCAGAACAGGAAAATCTCCCCATCTCAAGGTTAACCACTGATTAGTAACAATATACTTCATATATATGAACAGAAATGTACATATGTATACATGTCTATGTTATATTACCATATAAATATCATATCTCATGTGCAAAAAGAATGCATTCACAGGTTCTGAGGATTGGGATGTGGGCATCTTTAGGGGTTCATTATTCTACCTAGCACATCCTGCTTCTTTGATGTATTGGGTTTTATCAGATATTTGTGGCTCATAAGGACTTCCTTCAAATGGAAAGGCCACTACTAAGACTAAGAGGAGGCCTATCATGGAATCTCAGTAGGAGATTGCTTTGACTTTGTGAACACGGTGGAGCTCTGCCCATCAATGAGGCAGGATTACTTGCTTTTCCTGCAAGGGCAGCTGAATGTGGGATGGTGGGAATAGCAGTAGCTATTCCCTTGTATATTCTATCCAAGGCTATTGGCTATTCTATGCTTTGGGTAGAACTCGAACAGCAGAGAATATTTATTTATCTCATTTATTTTCTATCCTGATGGAGAGGTGGATGAGTTGGCCTTTAAGGTGCCCCCAGTCTTGAGAGTTTATTATTTTCCTGTCTGATGAGATGGCCTCCAAGACAAAATGAATGGCTGAGGGATATGGAATAGGAAATCACGTTAGGTAGCATAAGTGCTAACCTCTTGAAAGAGATTATTAAATTTAATTAGTGGACATATTCTGTCTGCTCCACACTTGAGAATTTATAGGAAAAGAGATACCAGAACGCTCCTTAGTGAGACATTCTTTTGTTGTCTTCAACCTCTAAGTAATGTCTACCTGCCAGAAAAGCTATTCTTTGGCAGGAAATGCAAGTAAAATCCCATTATATTGATCTCCATTGGACAATGACCATATGTACTGAATTTCTGGAATAGTTCTCATTTCATGTATTTTATTCTTTTCAATAAGGAATTAATTAAATGTATAACTAAATGTAATTTAATTTTATATCTTGGTAAGACATTTCATACAAATAATTTCACAAATCAGGAAAAGATTTTCTGTCTTTATCTTAGTTTTTATTTTGGGCAAATGCAATTGAACATCTATTTTCCTGGTGGTGAAATTTTTTGCCTGGATAATTATACTGCTACAAAACACCCGTCATCTGTGGAGCTAAAGACAAACAAAACTTATTTCCAGTCTCTGTGTATAAGCAGCAAATTTGTACCTGGTAATAAATTTACCTTGAAAAAAGTAAAAGAAATGAAAAAAAAAGAAATGCTAAGAATAATGACATCCAATGTGTATCAAATACTCACCATAATGTAGGCACTGGAATAAGTACTTTACATGTATAGCTTTGTTTCAGTTTTAAAAATGAAAGCTCTGTGAAGTAAATATGTTCTCCCTGCCCTTATTGTAGAGGTGGAGGCTGATAGGGCACTTGGAGCAAAGTTGTCCTAACAATGTACAGAGTTAGAAAGGAGAGAATTGATATTTGGGTTAATTCACTGCGTCAACCCCAAGCCTTTCTTCCTCTAAGCATCCTAGGGATAGATAGGTAGGTTTTGAGGGAGGAGGTGTGGTTGGGGTGACTGAAGTGGAATTACGGTGATGGTCTATGAGAATTAGAGCCCTTGGACTACAGAGAGAACCAAGAGTTTCTCAGCAGATCAGGTTCCAAGAACCTCGATGTCTGGGGCTGCAGAGTTCTTGCTTTGACGTCTTCTGTGATAAAGATCTGGTCAGTCATTCCAATCTGCCCTATTCCAGAAAATGGCTCACCATCCATGCAGCCACTGAAACCTAAGCTAGGAGTCATCTGAAATTCTTTTTTTTCCACCTCAAATCCTATGCATCAGCAAGTTCTGGGCTGTCCTACTACAAAATACATCTAGAATCTGGTTCTTCTATTGTCTTAAGTTTGTTTGTGCAGCTAAAACAAAAGACTACAGTTTGAGCAGCTTATAAACAATAAACATTTATTTCTCATGGTTCTAGAGGCTGGAAGTCCTGCATCAAGGTGCCAGTAGATTTGGTTAGGGCCCACTTTCTGATTCATGGATGGCACCTTCTTGCTGCTTCCTCACCTGGTGGAACAGGCAAACGAGCCCCTCAGGCTCTTTTATAAGAGCACTAATACCATTTATGAGAGCTCCCCACTCATGACCTAATCACCTCCTAAAGGCCTTACCTCTTAATATGATCATATTGGGGATTGGATTTCAATGTATGAATTTTGGGGGCCACAAACATTTGGACTGTAACATCTGTCCATCCTAATGACTGTCACCCTCCCAAAGGTTCATCTGCTCTCTCTCCTGAACTACCACAACAGCTTCCTAACCAGCCTCCCTGCTTCCACACAATCCCACCCCAAAGTCATCTTCTAAAAACATAAATCAGATCAAGCTCTCCTCTGCTTGACCTTTGTCAACATCTTCCTTGTGCCCTTAGAATAAAAGCCCCACCTCCTAGCATGGCTCACAGGCCCCAAATGAACTGGATCCTGTCTGTGTCTCTAAACTCATATTGTATCCCCTAGGTTCTTTTCCACCTCAGGGCCCCCACCATCCCCTCTACTGAAATCACCTTCTTCCTTAGGTATTTAACATTAGCTCTTCAAGAGGGCCTCAGACAAGCATGCCTCCACGTGCATCCCTCAAATACTCTGTCACATAACCCCTTCCATTTTTTATGTGGCAGTTATTGCAATCTGTTATTATTTTGTTTGTAAGTTGGTTGTTCTTTTGTTTATCTCTCCCACTAGAGGGCTGGACATCATCTGCCTGAATCCTCAGAGCCTAGCACAGTGCCTGACAAATTAGGGGTTCATTGATTATTTGTGAAATAAATTATAGAATGCATCATGATGATTTTTTGAAGTATTATTATGCTCTTAAGGACAGGTGCATATATTGGATGCACTTTGGTATGTCTGTCCAGCTTGTAATAACACTCTTAATTGGGTGCCTGGAGTCAGAGGAAATGGCCCCCAGGAACATCTAGGTGCATGTGCCCCTGACCTCTGGCTCCAGTGGATTGGCAGCTGACCCAGATGGGGTCAACTGAAATTGCAACTCTGGTAATTTGCATTTGGGACTGGAGAGAAGTATGGTTGGACTATGAGTCCTCAGGAGACCTGGGGCAGTCATGAGCTCTGCTCTATGGGCTGGGACCAGAGAAGGCTGGTGAGCAGAGGAAGAGAGGAGACTGAGCAGATGTGCAAAGAGAAAGGGTGACGTGAGACCCAGGGAGACAGTTGGGATGGATTTCCAGTATCTTCTTGCTGCTCATCTGACCTCCTAGCCTTGGGTTGAGGAAAATATCACCTCCCTGCCCTCCAAATGCCATTCCGGGGTAAAGCCAGTGTGTTAAGGACGCTTCGGTCCATTTGACACTTTGTGAAAACAAATTCACCATTTCCATGTTGGTTCTGCTTCAGCACACATTGCTCCGTGCCACTTTCACCTCATGTGATGATAGATGGCTTGCTCTTGAGCTGGAAACTGTGTGTAAGTGACAAGGTTTCTTGAAAAAGAAAATGGAGAAAAAGAAGTGAGAGGTGAACATCTCTGTGGCATCCCCTGTAAGGAGAGAGGGCCGTGAGCTATGAAAAAGCAGGTGCAGTAAGCCGGGGAGCTGGGAACGGGAGACTCAGAGAATATAAAATGTCTGGTTACAAGATATGAGTTTCGAAGCAGCAGAGTGAATCTCCTCAGGTGATGGATCATTATGCTGAAATCAGTCTTCACAATGGAAGACAATGTTAGCAAAAATGAAATATTCCCTCTGAACCAGGGGTTTAAAGTATAGTAGGCCACTCCATGGTAGTGACAATCAATGTCAACTCAGTTTAAGAACATACAATCTTCTCTTAGCCTGACCTCATTAAACCTGATACTAATGAGAGACTAAAGTCCAACAGCCATGCATGGGAGTTTAATATTGCTACAATCACAGCGATTCAAAAGTCCTTTATCAGCAAAGGCATGGGGAAAAACATGTTGGCTTCTCAGCATTGCAACCGGCTGTAAAGTATCTCTCAACGAGTCCACCAAGGTGTGAAAATCAAAAGCCCAGCAGGAGCTATTTATATTGGAAGATTATTAGGCATTAGCCGCACAGAGGAATTGCCTCAGAAAATGCTGCGCCTGACTAGATACTTCCATGGTAAAACCCAGAAAACACTGAGCTCTCCAGAATAATTTTCATTCTTACAAGAACGTGCACCTCTGCTTGGAGTGTCATCTCTCCTGCCATGTGTGCCTGGACAGGCTGGGGAGGGAAAGTGGACTCCAAGGACATGGGGGAGTTGAATATCAGTTAGTTTTGTACACATCAGCAGACCTCCTGCTACTTCCACAACAAGGACTTTTAAAACCTGAGGTAAGGCTGGTATATACAGTTCATGTGTGCTTATGAAGACGTGCACAAGCATGGCCTGGAGAAGCGTGGCCCCAGGAAAAGCTAGGCATCTGCTCTGGCATCCTGGCCCTGCTGGAATAATAGCCCCAAGTTTTGGCTGGGGCGAGTCTGTTTGCCAAAAGAGAGGTTTTAAGGCCTAGAGCAGTGTTTCCGAAACAGACCTCGACTGGGTGTTAGTATGTGTAAGGAGATAAAAGGATTACATGGGCAATGTCTGTGAGATACTGAGCTAAATAAGTTAAATTAAAAATTAAAATGAATGCATGTAATATTAATGCATACAAAAAATTTACACACACACACACACGCACGCACACACACACACAATAAAGAACAATAAAAACCCAGCTTAACAAATACACTACCAATCCCAGAGAATCCCCTGGTTGCCCCTTTCTGATTGTAGCCTCCTCTTTTCCCCAGAGTAATCAGTATTCTGAATTTTGTGTTTGAGTTTTGTTTTTCATAATGGTTCTACTATAGGTATATAAATATATATCGTTAAATAATATATTTTAAATTTGTATATGCTTTTGGGCTGGGCATGGTGCCTTATACATGTAATCTCAGCAAGGTGGGAGGATTGCTTGAGGCCAGGAGTTCAAGACCAGCCTGAGCAACTTAGTGAGACCATATCTCTATAAAAAATTTTTGAAAAAATATTAGCCAGGCATGGTGGCACATGCCTGTAGTCCCAGGCTACTCAGGAGGCTGAGGAAGGAGGATCACTTGAGCCCAGGAGATCAAGGCTGCAGTGAGCCCAGATGGTGCCACTGTGCTCTAGCCTGGGTGACAGATCAAACCCTGTCTCAAAAAAAAAATTTTTTTAAAAAGCTTTTGAATTAGCTTTATAAAAAAGCATGCAGTGGATATTCTTCTAAGACTTGTCCTTTATTCCATTCTGTGTTTCTGGACTTCATCTCTGTTGATAAACATAGCTGTAGTTCATTTTCATTGCCATTATTCATTTTGTTTATGAACAATTCATTTGCCATTTAGTGTCTGATTAATATTATTTTGGCTTTGGTGTTTTGCCATCACAAACAATGGTACTAGGAACTTTCTGGTAAACGTTTTTTAGAGCACATGTACAAGAATTTCTCTAGGGTATGTATCAGTGGGTGTGAGGGTAGGTACATCTTCACCTTTATAGGATAAACCAAATTGTGATCCAAAGGGATGGTTCTAATTTTCATTCAGTCTAACAGGCTTTAAATGTCATTGCTCCGTATCTGCGTCGACACTTGGCAGTGTCAGACTTGAATTTTTTGCCCATCTCATTGTGATTTTGGTTCTCACCTCCTTTATTACTAGTGAATTTCAGCATCTTTTCATATATTTATTGGTTGTTTGAGTTTCCTCTTCTGTAAATGCTATTATCCACATTCTTGCCCAATTTCTAACTGGGTTGTCTTTTCCTTATTGACTTTTAGGGGTTCTTTATGCTTTCTTCATTGTAATTCTTAAGTTACGTATTTGAAAAATTTTTTCTGTCAATTTGTGATTCATGTTTTCACTTTCTTAATGATGTTCTCTCATGAAGAGAAGTTTTACATTTTAATAGAGATGAATGTATCAATCTTTTATGTTATGGTTGTGCTTTTGGGGTCCAATTTAAGAAAGTTTCCCTACAAGAGATTAAAAATATTGTCCTAAATGTTTTATAATCTTGCTTTTCCCACTAAGTCTCTAATCTCTGTTTTTGTGCGTAGATTTCTTTACAAACTCAGGACTTCCCTCAGTTGCCAGTATGCATTGTGGACCCCCGCCCCCTGAAGGAAGACAGAATACAGCATTTTTCTGTTGTATTTGGCCTTGGATTTCTTTTTCAGAGGCATCTCTAGGGATATCTTAGAACATACTCTGGGAACCACTGTTCTGTAGAGTAGAAAAAAATTAAAACTCACTTTCTACCTACATTCTTGACTGATTCTGGGATCCTGAATCAATTGCTGGGTCAATCGTTTGTGATTTGTTTTACTTATTTTGAAAATAAAGACCTTATTACCTAAACTAAAAGATAAAAGACAATATAATTATTAATATGCATAGAGAACAACAGCTAGAGTGAAAGTATTAATGTGCAAAAAGTGTTAAAATTATGTGCGTCTGTGTGTGTTTTGTTTTTTTTTTCAGACAGGTCTCACTCTGTTGCCCAGGCTGGAGTGCAGTGGGACGATCTCAGCTCACTGCAACCTCTGCCTCCTGGGCTTAATCGATTCTCATGCTTCAGCCTCCCGAGTAGCTGGGATTACAGGCATGTGCTACCACGCCTGGCAAATTTTTGTATTTTGGGTAGAGATGGGGTTTCACCATGTTGGCCAGGCCGGTCTCAAACCCTTGACCTCAGGTGATCTGCCTGCTCAGCCTCCCAAAGTGAAAAATATGAATGTATGAATATTCTCCGTCTCTTCATTCTACACCACTTGCTTGGGGATAGGAGTGTTGCATGGAAGATTTTTGCCTGCTGGATTCCCCCTAGGCTTTTCTGGTGGAGAATCTGGGGCATAGCTGTATGGAAGGAAGGCAGAAAGCCAAAATGATATATGCAATAAAGAGCTTGAGGAGAAGAGGTGGTACACAGGGGATGGGGGAGAAGACAGATATAGACAAGCTTTAAGTCCTGAGTGTTGGAGAGGGGTTGGGTGGAGAGTTGAGAGGGAGGAGTTGATAAAGAGGCTCCAAAACAACCACATGTGAGAATGTGAGAGTGTGAGAGAACTTGAGAGGTACAGTAAGGGGGGGACTATCAGAAATGTGCTGTGAATTGGCCAAGCATATGGCTCATGCCTGTAATCCCAGCACTTTGGGAGGCTGAGGCAGGCAGATCACCTGAGGTCAGGAGTTCAAGACCAGCCTGGCCAACATGGTGAAATCCCGTCTTTAGTAAAAATACAAAAATTAGCTGGGCATGGTGGTGGGCACCTATAATCCCAGCTACTTGGGAGGCTGAGGCTGGAGAATCGCTTGAACCCAGGAGGTGGGAGTTGCAGTGAGCAGAGATCACGCCATTGCACTCCAGCCTGGGTGACAAGAGTGAAACTCAGTCTCAAAAAAAAAGAAAAAAAGAAAAAGAAAAAAAAGTGCTATGAATTATAAATTAGATCTCTTTTAATACTCTTTAAAGCTACAAATAAATTTCAGAATAACTTTAACTTTCAGTTGCTGGGTTTCTTTTTGTTGTGTTTCTTTTAGTGCAACAACACAGGATGACTAACCAGTTAGGGTCCCAGATTTTATAATATTCTTTTATACACATGACTTTAGCTCATCATAATGATACTCCAGTGAGATACATAGGGGAAATGTTATTTACCCCTATTTAATATCTGAAAATACTGACTTAGAAAAGTAAAGTTACTGACTAAAGACAGTCTGAGGGTGGTTAGGATTCAAATCCAGACTAAGAAATGCAGTGTCTGTTTTCTTTCCACTGCACTATGCAGGCTGCAGGGAAGACTCACATATGATGCTCTTTGCAAAAACATTCACACAAAAATCAGCCAACTCTAAATGAAATGGCAACTTTAAATTATTTGGACCTAATAATCACAATTTCTTAAGAAATGCTATTCAAAGATTCCTAGGGAAAAAAAACCCTATCATATATAATTTACTGAGATAATTTTGTTTAACTCAGCACTTGTCGGTTTAGCTTACATAATGCTGACCATACTTTTTAAGTGTAGGGGACATTTCCATAGATAAGAAGAGTAATTTATTCACAGATTCATAGGCATATAGTTCAACCTTTTCTCTATATTCCTAAGAAATTGATGACATGATGGCCTTGGGAGAGATAACTCAAAATTTGTATTCAAAAAAAAAAAAAATTAAAAAGTTAACCATTCCTAACAGGTCAATGAAATCAAACCAGAAGTCTTCATTTTTTGAGGAATGTACTTATTATTGTGGCTGACAGTGGGTCTCATTTTTCCATTTCACAAAATATGTATGTACGCTAATGTGAACTCCCATTTCCATCTTAAAACTGGAAATGAACGTAACTTTATTTCCCGATATCACAGGGCACTGACAAAATATTTCAAGAGCAGGAAATATTTGAAGTGATGATTATTATTTTAGTAGCATAAGGTCTCTTCTACTTCTAACAGTTAATTTTCATCACTTCCAGCTGAAGTTATAGATTTGCCCCCGTCCCCCCTTTTTTTTTTGATTGCTGCAGGTTTTTTTTTTCTTCAATAACGTGCTGGGGAGTCCATTTCTTATAGTAGCACCATCTTGGCTGCAGTGTGTGTCATTCTGCAAGCCCAGAGGGGTTCTTAAACTGAAACTTCCTTCTTGATAGCATTGCTGTCAAGAGTTCTGTCATCTCCTCTAATGAATGGAGTAAACCTGTGAGCATACACACCAATGAAAAATATATAAAGTCAGATCTGTGGTCCCAATATAATAGCAACAAAGATGATTAATTGTTTGTTTTAATGAGGTAACTGGTATTTAATAAGTTATTGATTTTTCTTAGCATCTTACTAAAATGCTTTGGAATGTGAACAAATCCTCCACTCATATAAGGCAGTATATAGATTAGGTATGAATTCATACATTGGGATTCTAGATGCTCTGTTATCTCAGGGCCAGGGCGTATTACCTGATTAGTATTGATTGCACTGTGGCCATCAGTGAATTCTCAAGGCATCGTTTTTAGTCAAGGAAGAATGTTCGGTGTGACCCTGAAATCACTTTGCAGCAGATCCAGAGAAAGTTAAGTTGTTGATGATTCAGTGCAAGTTGCTATGGCTTTAACTCATTGAACTGGATTTAATTTGTACCCATGGCTTCAATATTATTGTTATGCTCAGGAGATGTTCTCTGTTGATATTCTTTTACTTTGTTTTTCTTATACACTTTTCTCTGCCTGGTATAATTTTTCTCCTATTTTCTGCTTTGCAAACTCCTACTCACGCTCCAGGACCCAACTCAAAATTCATTACCTCTGTGCCCTTGTTCCTGATTCCCTTGGAAGATTTTGTCTCCTGGGTCTTCTCATCATCCTCAGTTGTAATGACACTTCATATAGAGTGATAAATGCCAGTAATTCAGTAATTATGTCTTTATATCTTCTCCCTCCTAAACCATGAGCTTCTTTTGGACAGGGCTGTAGATCATCTCTTACCATTGCTTATTCTTGTTGGAGCCCGCTATCCAAGAAGAAGGTTCACAGCTAGCTATGTGTAAATGCTTGCTGCTGTTACACATTTGGTGGATATTTCTTTTCAACACTCAGATTCTGAAACTTCTGGCCCCATAGGATGTAAATGGGCTTTCAAATCCTACGTGACCAGAAGTTTCAGAATCTGAGAAGTATGGGCACCAAGCACTTTGTGACTTCTCCACCACCACGATTTCTGTGGCTTGTGTGGGTCACACTCTGCTAAACACTTGAAATACAAAATCGCATTAATTTCTCACTATGGAGCAAGATCATTGTTATGTTCTCCATTTTACAGATAAACAAAGTGAGACAATAAATAATTTTTTTCAAGGTGACATCACTAGTAAATGGTGGGTCAGGGAGTCAAACCCCGGTCTGTCTGACTCCAAAGCTGTATCTACAAAGTGTACATGAGACACTCTGGAAAAGGCCCACCCAAACCAGGAGCCTGAAATTTCACCTGTAGAGATTAACTTTGAGGGGTCTTGAAGGCTTTACAGAAGCAGCAGGGATAAGAGGGTAGAAGTCATTAATGAAACACACCCAAATGAAATAGAGTATTCTAATACACCAGAAATAGTTGATGAACCCTCATACTTTAAGTTCTTTCCAACTAATTTCTTAACACAGAGCTGATAATTAGAAAAAATCTTTCCTTTAGGAATCATTCATATGGGAAAGAGACACAGAGCAGAGAGCCAACAAGGTGCCACAAGAAAGAGTGTCATAAAGGAAAGTTAAAAAATTTAAAAAATAAAACAAACAAAAACAAAATCCAAAAAGGAAAGTAGAAGACACTAAAGACCAACGGTGGAGGTTAATGGTGGGTGTGGGCAGTGGGAGCAGATCATGCTGGAACAGGCAATAAGAGGTGCACTGCCTATGAGAATTTAAAAACAACAAAACCCACTAAAAATCTGCTGTGGTGACCCTTAACAATGTCAGTGATAAAACACTCCTTCCCAAAAGGGTGGACCACTCCTGCCAAGCCCCACCTTGGTACACGCTGGTCCAACTCTAGGTTATGGGTCTCGGGATTACACCTGCTCTCCATACCAGAGAGAACTGCAGAAGCATCTGAATTCTGTTGTTTTTGCTTTTATAAAGACTCTAACCAGCACTGAGGTAATGGACTACTTTGAGTAGATCAAAATGAGGTGGGGAAATGTGATCCCCAGCTAGAACACTGTAGTGATTTCCTCTTGGTACTGTAATAAATCATCACAAACTTAGTGGCTTAAAACAACGCAATGTATTCTCTTACAGTTCTAGAGATCAGAAGTCTGAAAGGGTCTCATGAGGCTGAAATCAAGGCATTGGCAGGATGGCATTTTTATGGAGGCTGTAAGACCGATTTCCTTACCTTTTCCTGCATTTAGAGGCTGCCTGCATTCCTTGGCTTGTGTCCCCCTCCTTCATCTTCAAAGCCAGTGGTATAGCATCTTCCAGTCTCTCTCTGACTCTGACCCTCACTCTTCTGCTCCCTCTCATACTTATCAGGCCCCTTGTGATTCCGTTGGGCCACCTGGTAATCTCCCTATCTCAAAACCCTTAACTCAATCGTATCTGCAAAGTCACTTTTGCCATGTAAGGTGCTGTATGTACAGGTTCTGGGGAGTAAGAAGTAGACATCTTTGGGATGCATTTTTTCTACCTACAATAAGTGTGTTAGAGTGGAAATTAGAGATAAGGAGACTGAGTTCCAATCTCCACGCTGCCATTGAGGAGGAACGTGCCTTGAGGCAAATCTCAACTCCCGGGCCATTGTTTCCTCCTGGTCCCTATGTAGACCCCGTTAGGATATTCTCTTTGAGAAGTAATGCCTTTTCCTAAACACAGGGAGATATGGCTCCTGCTAATTAAAAGCCAGACCTGTTTTACACACTTACAAACGACACCCTAGCATTTGTTTAAGGCCACTTCTGAACCATGCCATTAGTCCTTCTAATGGCGTTTCTGCAGGTTCTCAGCTGATTTCTGCTTACCATCCTACATTTACTTACACCTTGCCTACAGAGCGTGTAAGTTTTCAATTTCTCATTTTAAATAGAGGACTCCAATTCTATAGCGTGGCTGATGCATTAAATATCCACAGCCAAATTGCTTAACGCCCAGGTTTTTTATCCCCTTCAAATTAAAGCTTTTAAAACACCCAGACTCCATGCTGGCTGAATGACATACACAGACTTTCTGCCGGCTCTGGGGGGCAGGCGATACTGGTTCCTGTCAAGTTCTAAATCTGGATGCTTTTTTATAGTGGAACAACTAAAAGGAATTGCTGCCTTATGATATATAACTACTACTTATTATAGATTGATCCATTTTGCAGCAGGGAGGTGGAAGGCAGGGAGCTGTAGGAAGAACAAGAACCAATCTTAGACCTGAGAGAAAGTAACCTTCTAATTGCCTTTTCCATGACAGCATCGTAAGCTTCTTTCTGGCAGCTTTATTTCACAGTGACCTGCCACACTGCTGTAATTTTCCTGGTGTCACTCATACAGGTTTAAAAAATGATTGGTTTTATGGCTTTTATTTGGGAATTTGTCAAGGTTTCACATTTGTAGAAGCCTTGAAGCAGTGGCCTAATAGTCCATAATTTGGTGTTTAAAGGGATATTGGTGGGTAACCTGCTTGGGCCCACAGGTGCCTACAGTGATCGCATCCTTATGCCTAGCGGGGAAATCTCCATAATTTCTGTTACGCTCCTGTAATCCTTTGCTGTCAGAAAACTCCATTCCAGGTTCCAGCGGACTCCAGTCATCCTGAGATGGGAGAAAACCTTTCAAGCTTTGTGATCAGGTTGATATTTAAAGCTAATTCTCATGAAATGTACTTCAGGTGTTCATAAACCCAGACTTGGGTCAGCGTATTCTGGCGATAGGGATTTACGTACTCCTTTTATGACTCACAGTCTGGAAATGAAAGTGCTGGACTCTGAGCTCTCTCTCTCTCTCTCTCTCTCTCTCTCTCTCTCTCTCTCTCTCCGTCTCTCTCTCTCTTCTAGGATCTCAACGCTGCCAACAGATGTTTTTAAAAGCCTCAGTTTCGAGGACTGTTTTGGCCTCCTGCCCCTGTGTGTACTCCTAGGTTTAATGAAAATTGGTGCCTCCGGAGCTCTCCTCCCGGGGGGGAGAGCAGCTCCTCTCGTGGTGCGGTTGCTTGTTCTCGCAGCCAGAACACACTGGGCCAGGGCTGTTGTGTGTAAACACACACACGCACACACACCTGCTTCATCCCGGCTCCCTTCTCTCCGAGTTGCCTGGGTTGGCCTCCATTTGGAGCCTACCTGCTGGTGTTTATCACAGTCGGTGTTTTCCCCCTTCCATGTTCCTCAGCAAAGCTGGTGCTTATCTGAGCAGCGGGCGATTTTTCTGAAGTGACCTCCGCCGAGCGGGAGATTTATGGTGGCGTTTGCTTTCATTATGTGTGGAGGCTGCCTCGTGAGCTCGCTGCGTGGCTGTCGGAGGAAGAGCAGAACGCTTCCCAGAATAAGCCTCCGGTATTATCTTTGAACATATGTTCTTGATTAAATGAGAAGAGGAAAGTCTCTTCGTTTTTTCCTATTTGGAGGTTAAAGTGGAGGGTTTCTCTAAAAACAGATTGCAGTAAATTGTGGGTTTATTTGAACAGTATGTCAACATTATTTACTCACGGTAAAAAAAAATCTCAAATTGATAGGTTTCTTTTAATTACCTCATCCTGAAAGCTGCTCTCAACAAACAGCAAATATTTCAGAAGCCATTTGGATAAGTCTGGAAATGTTGAATTATTGGAAACCTGCCGAGAATAATACCTTTGAAAATGTTTCCATAGTTCTGAGTATAAGAAAACTTGATTAGCAAACAGCTTGTCTCTGAGCAAACTGGGTATTGCCTTCTGTGATCTTGCTGGCCTCGTAAAAGATGGCTTGCAAGATTTTTGTGTAATACTGATCACACCACCCTGGAAAACAGGTACCTTTCTGGGGCTCGTTATTATTGTCTGTCACTCAGACTAGAGTGACCTTGTTTAACCCCACTACAATAATATCTTCCTCTTGAGTTCTGTCCAGGAAACACAAAAGCTAAATGAAAGAAGATTCAGTAATTGAGTTCTCAGCAAGTCCAAAGAGCTCTTCTAGCAAATCCAGGCCAAAACATATTTGACCAAAGAATGTTCTTTGACTTCATTGCTCGGTCTCAACTAGATGGAAAGATGGGCTGCTGGGCAGAATCATTCCTAGAGCCCAAACCTGTTTGAGGATGGGGTAATTTTCCTGGTGTCACTCATGCAGGTTTAAAGAATCTCAAAGCTCCTAACAGATGTTTAGGTGAATGAGGTAGCTGAGAGAAAGACAGAGACTCATATGTAAGCCAAGGACCCTTATACACATACACCCTTAGGCTCATGTTCTTCTGTAATTTTCTTTTGAGAATTGCTTGTGATGTTTGCCTTGTGTATGCATGCGTGTGTGTGTGTGTGTGTGTGTGTGTGTGTGTGTGTGTGTGTTGAAGGGATGGATGAGTTGGCAGGGGTAGGGGGTATGGGGCCTATAAATGAGAGATTGGGGTGGGTGGATTGGGGACCTACACACTATGATTCAGTGTGGGCCCCAGGTTCCCAGGGCACATCCCATACTTTGGGTAACATTTCCTGCACCAGCATATAAAACTGAGTTTACTCCTTGGGATACTTCTAAACTGAGTATCTCATTAAGAGTATTTCATCTGAAATGGGCATATGCAGGCTTGATTTTAGGACTGCTGTATAAGCTAGTAAAATGTACTAGTTGTTAATTATTGAAATATCCATTAGTTGGTAAATCACTGCATGAGACCCACTGAATACTCTACACCACCCCAAGTGTACCCTGGCCTTCACTTCTAGGACCTCCTCCCTGGCCTCCTCTAAATCCAGGAACTAAAGACTTAATGGCCAGCACTTTGGGGGACCTCCAGGGCCTGATTTGGCACTACAACTGGCCCTTGAACCTCATCGGCAGACAAGAATTCTGAATGTAGGCCCCGGGTATATGTACAATTGTCAGGAGCCTGAGCCTCAGAGCAATTCTCCTGGTGCCTGCCCAGATGTGGACCCTCAAGGCAGCCAGAGCTCCTAGCTCCCTTGACCATGGCTTGGGTTTATATAGAGGAGGTCAGGCAACAGAGACTTGCCAGGGCAGTGTTCCCGGTCATGCCAACAAAAATCACTTTTTAAAAGAAGTTCTGAGCCATTGGGAGATCAAAGCTTCTTTCTTTCTACCCTTGCAAGTCATTTCCTCCACATACCAGTGTGGAATCCAGCAGCCTTCACTGTGGAGACCAGTGCAGAAACAGAAGATGTAATTCTAGTCCCAGCTCCAGCACTTAATACCTCCATGACCTTGGGCAAGGGACTTAACCTCCTCACACTGCAGTTTTCTCATCTGTAGAGTATTGATGTTTGACTCAATTCCTTCCAGCTGTAATAACAAATAATTTTGAGTCCTTAAATTTATGTTTACTAGCCCATTCACCCACCCTGTCAATGGATATGCCAGTAATCTTCAAAAAGAAAGATATCATCTGCTAACAAATAATGTTTTGAACACAAGTTAAGGTAAGAATGATGCCAACTGTCCAGTGCAGTCTGAACAAGGGCACTGACATGCACAAGATGAGGCTGGCTTGCCCCCCTCCTGTTACCACATCAGTAAACACATATGAGCTCTCCAGCTGCACTCGGTTGATGGAGCATCACACTAATGGGGCCATGACCATTGATTCAATTCCTGCTCACTTAAAGATAATTTTAACCATCTTTAAAAAACATGTTGTGGCTTATAAAGGGCCCCTAAAAAGTAGGTTATTTTCCCTATTAATAATAACAGGTCAATGCAAATCCATTATTATTATTAGGGGAAATAATCTCAACATATAAGCATCAATTACATAAACTTCAAAATTAAGGTGACATTACATTATTAATGGTATGTATTTGGAATGTTTTTCATTCTTGACTCATTTTGAGTATTGGTAGCTATAATTTATACATTATAACATTTCTTTAAGATTTTCTTTGGTTTCTCAAATTGTAAATTTTTTATATCTTCAGGGTAGAGAAGGGGAAGGAAAGGTTCCATCTCTTACTTTAGAATAAATATCAGTTATAACTTAGGAGCTAGTATACAGAAATGCATTTTGTAGATTTTTATTATCAAGCTCTTCACTACATGGAGATTATACTTCTTGATGTTACACTATAGGCATCAATGAAGATGACTAGGATAAAAATACGGTGATACTGTTGTTTGCAATTGGGAGGATTATTGTTTTAGACTTGTTAAGGACAAAAAATCAGTGCTTTTCAGAGAAGTTTGAGTTCTGGCCTGGCCTATGTGTCTACATGATTCAATGACACAGTCTTGATAGACAAAACAGTTGTGATGGCTTTGGGGGTCACTCTTGCTGGTTTTTAAGAAAGTGAATTCTGAATGTGGATTCTCTTCTCATTCACCTCTTTCATTTTGGCTTCCCTTCTTATCCCCGTAAACAAAAATGCTACTGGACTCAAACTCCCAGCTCAGTTTTAGGAATTGTGGCCACTTTTTTTTTCACAAGCAACACTGCAGACACTTATTTAATAAAATAATTTAAGCTGTGGAATTTAATACTCTTGATTTAGGAAACTGAGGATTTGTCCCTATTAAACATCCTATTTAAGCACTAAAAAAATGATAAATGGTATTTCCAGATGATGTACTACTTCAAGATCTACAAATAATTGCCAAAGTGCAACATGAATAAATTACTATTCCTTTAGCAATTTAACCTCTGTCAGGGTCTCATGAGAGTTTGTTAATTGTTGTTGTGTTAACATTTTAGGTTTTGTCCAAACTTTCTTATGATGCCAAATTTACTGACTCACGCCCTATTCTTCCTTACATGTGTGTAAAGGAGCTTTCAAGACCCGCTGGTAAAATTGAAGACTAATCCATTAAGGCTTAGCAACGAAGAAAGAATCTGCACCTTGGGAGGAACAGCTAAGTATCATGGCCAAAACTTGTTCCTGGGGTTCCTTTTTCCCTTGAGGGTTTCTTGCTTATGGTGCTGTTGTCCCCACATTAATCTCTGCAGAACACTCCTCCAATAATGTTTAATCCAAAGGTAAACTCAACTGTCTCCTTTATTTTCCAAAACACACAGCATGGCTGTGACCAAACTGGAACTATTTTTTTTTTTTAGGCAGGGTCTCGCTCTGTTCCCCAGGCTGGAGTACACTGGCACAATTATAACTCACTACAGCTTTGAACTCCTAGACTCAAGTAATCCTCCCACCTCAGCCTCCCGAGTGGCTGGAACTACAGGCATATGCCACCACACTCAGCTAATTTTTTCTGGAGAAGGGTTCTCACTCAGTTGCCCAGGCTGGCCTCGAACTTCAGGCCTCAAGCAATCCCCCCACCTTGGCCTCCCAAAGCCTGAGATTCCAGGCATGAGCCACTGTGCCTTGCAAACTAGAACTTTTAAACAAAATTTTTAGGCACCAAAAAGTTTGGGATAACAAAAGAAAACTACATACTAAGGAGAACATAAAAATGGACTATCTGGTTTGCAAGACTCAACTCTTAACTGTGTTTCTGCCTCTATTGGAGGAAATCATCAACCTCTACCACTTAGCCATAGGCCAGGTCCCAGAGAGTGATGAGTCTTCCCTTTCTATCTATCTCAGGCTCCCTTTTTCCATCCAGGGACCCCTTTTCCCTGGATAAGAGATAGGGGGAATGTCTGCCCCTTCAGCAGACATTCAAGCCCTCCTTGGCAGAGCCTTATTCTATGACCTCTGCAAGCTCAGGAGGCACCTGGATTGCTCAGCAGCCCCAGGAGACACACCAGAGCATAAGGGGTGTTGATGTTTGGGACACTGTAGGAAAGTCAGGACCAAACCCAAAATGCTTTCTTATAACGATGCTTCTTACCCTTATTTGTGTTTATAACATATTTGCAAATGTTAAGACTCTTATCAGTGTATTTGAAGAAATTAAAAATGAACAAGTCAACAACAATTATAAAACAATCATTTTGGTTGGGCGCCAGGGCTCAGGCCTGTAATCCCAGCACTTTGGGAGGCTGAGGTGGGCAGATCACTTGAGGCCAGGAGTTTAAGACCAGCCTGGGCAACATGGCACAACCCCATCTCTTCTAAAAATACAAAAATTAGCTGGGTGTGGTGATGCACACCTGTAGTCCCAGCTACTTGGGAGGCTGAGGCAAGAGAATTGATTGAACCTGGGAGGCGGAGGTTGCAGTGAGCCGAGATCGTGCCACTGCACTCTAGACTGGGTGATAGAGCGAGACTCTGTCTAAAAAAAAGAAATTTAAAATAAAACAATCATTTCTATAATATAAAAACTTTATCACTTTTATCAATAAATTTTATCAATTTTAAAGTGATAAGAAAAGTGATAAGCTTTGCTACTGTTGAATAGAACAATGTATTGATCTGACTTATATTCTCCAGGCCTCATGTGGTCACCACCTATGTTCTATTCCCAGAAGTTGCTCCTTTGTTCTACATCATGTTGCCTCTGCTCATTGAGCTCTGTGGTCCATCTGATGGACATCGTAAGAACAGGCTTCCTACGCAGATGTCACCAAAATCAATGTTGCATGTTGTTCAAAATTTGTTAGCACACTTACAGAGCTTTCTCAGACATACCAAAGTGCCCATGACCTTAGTTGACAATCACAGTACTACATTCTTAGGGTAACTTGAACAAGGTCAGAATTTTTATATTACGTAATTGTGACTAATCTTGTTATATGAACTTGCTTTTAGTATACATATATAGGTATATGAAAAAATATTTGCATTTAAATTTCCTCCATGTGTGAATTTAGATGTATGAGTTTAGGGGGGTGTGTGTGTTTTATATAAACAATATGGCAAGGAATGCTGGCTAAAATACAAAGATCTACAGATGACTCTCTCAGGATGGGCCCTTGGGTGTTGTGGTGTGGTGACTACCTCAAAACAAAGGGAAATGTTTTGCTATGAATTTCCTGTTCATGGAAAACTATATGGTTGAAAAAAAAAAATCTTCTTTCCTCTTGAGAACTGTCCGTGTGCCAAAGTAAGAAGAAGCTCCTGAAAGGATTACTCAAGCTTCCCCTCCCCCACATCTTCTCCTCATCCCCAAAGCCTAATAATTCTGAAAAAGATGAAATGGAAGGGCACTTGTCACTAAACTTCTTAGCACTTTAAAATAGCCAGACGCATTGCCTGAGACTATGGCAAGTTTGGACTCACACCAGCCGTGAAAATACTCTGTCTTTTTTTAGGAAGTAAATTGCATACACATCACAAAGAGTATTCTGAAAGTGGTTTTCTTTCTGCTTTGTCTGAACGACTTGCACGTCAGCCTTAACCATGCTCTGAGCTCATAAACATGTTCTTCAGCTTGCCAAACTCCCCAACCTCTGCTCAGTTGCCAGAGTGGCGGCATTGTATTACTCCGTTGCTAGGAGGGCAAGACAGCTGAATCCTAGGCCTAGAAAAGATGTCGAGATGGTATATGTAATGTCCTTGTTTTATAAATGAGGAGCTTAAAGCTCAGAGAGACTGCATGGCTTGCTGGAGGCCACAAGCTTGTCTGTAATAGTCTTGGAGCTGGTTGATTCTGCCTCCTCAGTTGATTCAAGGCTGTAACTCCTGCACCATTACTGAAGCCCTTTGAACACTGCCAGATACTATGTAAATGTAAGGTATCTGTGGAAGGCTGAAGCTGCCAGACGTTTGTCTGTCGTAACGAAGGTTTCAGGGTAAGAGGAACTCTTTCCTTCAGCCAACTCCCTCTGTCTCTTCTAAAATGACTGAGAATATACAAGAACCTTTTAGCCTCATTATGTGAAGCCTTGAGAATATAAAGTTTGTGAGCTGGACACAGTGGCTCATGACTGTAATCCAATCGGAGCTACTCTGGAGGCCGAGGAAGGAGGATCGCTTGAGCCCCCGTTCAAGACCAGCCTGAGCAACATAGCAAGACCCTATCTCTAAAAAGTTAAAAAATAAATTAGCCAGATCTGGCAGCACATGCCTGTAGTTCCAGCCACTCGGGAGGCTGAGGTAGGAGGATTGCTTGAGCCCAGGAGGTCTAGGCTGCAGTGAGCCATGATCATGCCACTGCACTCCAGCCTGGGCAACAGAGTGAGACCCCATCTCTTTTAAAAAAAATGTAAAGTTTGGGGTAATTTAGATATGAGGACATATTCTTACAGAATAACTTCAAACTAAGCATTTATTTTCAGAATGGTGAGTACTTATAAGAGGAGTTGTGTCTAAAATCAGTAGTTCAGAAATGATTTCATGAAAATAACTTCATCTTCTAGGTTTAGCATCTAATTCTACAAAGAAAAGAAAATATTATACTTATGACATATTACTATGTAACATCCTGAGGCCCACTGACTTGTGATTGGTTTTATTCATTTCATTCACATTAATCTTAGTTTTTATCCTTCCTTCAAATGTGGGCTGGATTGTTTGACATTGTGATCACACAGAAGTAACAACATACATGATTCGCTCCCCTAATTCTATAACGAACTCTCACACAATTGCATTGTTCCATTAAACCCATCACTTGCCCTTCACCCCTTCTTTCAGTGCTTCCAAATTTTTGAGGTTCAAATATGCATTATCTTATCAATAAAGACAAAAATCTACCAGAAATGGAGGAAATATAGCAGAGCCATTTTCTTTATGACAAAAAAAAAAAAAAAAAAAAGGAATCATCTTTTGCTTTAAATGGGTTACATCAGACAACTTTTAAAGCATATTTCCTGTGGGTCTGATTTGGGTTGTGATATCTACACAGACCGTGTAAACACAGACCGTGTAAACACAGACCGTGAGATTTGCTTTCTTTGTTTGGAGAAAAGATTTCCTGAGTTCCTTGTCCCAGGCTAATTTTTAGGGCATCTTCATGGAATCTCATCAAAGTTTACACACAATCATGTGAAACAATTATATCTGAAGTAACTTATTTACTGATTGGCCAGAACTCAATGGAATTTATTCTCCTGTCATTGCCTGCAATCATGCTCTTGGATCTCTCTTCCTCATTCATGGCTTTGCAGTTGCTTTTAAGTGTAGTATTAAGGTCTGCTGGAGTTAAATCTCCCTGCTCCCATATCAGGCCTCACCCTGATATGGGAGCTTCAGTAATCTCGGTAGGGAAGGGCAGCGTAGTCTTTCCTTTCTTGTTTTTGTTTTTTCTTTCCTTGTTCCTCATTTGTCGCCCCTGGTTCTCTCTTCCTTCTCTATGTGGCACCAGGGAGGAGGGATTAGGAAATGCCTCTTATCTGTCAGTGTTGTTCTAATCTCCATCTCTGTATCCTTGGAGTTCTCCCAGGGCCCTAGGCTGTGGCTATTTACTGTGACCTTTGGTAGTATACCTACAGCCTGGGCTCCTTTTACCCTGCTCTATCTTGGAATCTAATCTACTCTCTAGCCCCAAATCAATGCCTGGACCATCTTTAGCTTCTATCTTTTACCGGTGCACATTCACTTGCTGTGGTTTCAAATCAAGAGATTTATTTTAGTTAGGCATTGTTTTTCACCCTGGGTGCTTTCTCCTATTTCATTTGAGTCTAGCCATGTAATTTAAATTTTATTTTATTCAGGATCTAAATGTTTTATAGTAGTAGGGTCCCCTGGAGTACCAGGTCTGTTCTACTGGAAAGTAGAGGTTAGACCTATGAGTTTGGGAAGCTTTGCAAAAACCCAGGTAAGGAGTAAGATGACCAACTCTTTATTGCATGCTTGCCTGTCCCTATGAATGTGTCTCTTGAGATAAAGTATCAGACTTCTCTATACCTACATAGTTTCTTCAAATAATCTTATTTTTAAATTTCTAATCTTATATAGTCTAGACAGAATGATAACGGTTGGACTGCTATTGCCATGTGTTTTTAAGTCTTTTAGATTTTGTGTGAGTACTTAGTACTTATTGTCCCCAGCTTTGGGGCTCTAAGTCAAAATTCTAAGACAGTAGGGAACATCCCATCTTGTTCTGTGCATGTTTGAGACCTTGTGTTTTTAGATCATAGTTCTTAGCCTCACTGAGGAATCTAAACATCCCTTAAGCCAGTCAATCCCAGCCCTACTGAGGACCTGAATTCTACCATTATAGAGTTGTCTGGTGAGAACTGTAGTTGGGTAAAACTGGTTATATGTTTGACTTGAGATTTCTGGTGCCCTCTTTACAGGATCTAAGGATTTAGAATATACCACTGTGGCATGTTTGGGATCTTCATTAAAATTTTGGAAAAGGAAAATCAGAGCAATACATCTTACAGTGTCTTCACCTTGGGCTTGGACTTCCTCCCAGGCAAGCTGTGTGTCACATGGACTTAGTAGTAAACTATTAAAGAAGGTGGCGTGAATGAGACAAGCTCCCGGAAAGTCAGGATAATGGCCACCATAGCCATTAAGGGCAAAGCCGCTGATGTCTAGTGGTTTCACAAAATTCCCCATCCAGAGGTTTCCCAAAAGTGTTAGGGAAGTCTTGGGGAGGCTTCAGCAGCTCAAAGTACATTGAGCTGTATTGTAACTACCTGATTACCACTCAAGCATTATTAAACTCTAGAAATGTTTGAGTTCTGGTAAGATTTCTAAACACAGATATCTAAGGGGTAACAGTTTGGAGTGTCTGTCATCTTATTCTAATTTTCTGAGTGCTCACCACTACTCCACAGCCATATTTTTGTGCGATGCAGTTCTCTGTGTTTGTTTGTTTGTTTGTTTGTTTGTTTTTTGTGACAGAGTCTTGCTCTGTTGCCCAGGCTAGAGTGTAGTGGCATGATCTCAGCTCACTGCAACCTCCACCTCCAGGGTTCAAGCGATTGTCCTGCCTCAGCCTCCCAAGTAGCTGGGATTACAATCGCCTGCCACTGTGCCCAGCTAATTTTTGTATTTTTAGTAGCGATGGGGTTTCACCATGTTAGCCAGGATGGTCTCAAACTCCTGACCTCATGATCCGCCTGCCTCGGCCTCCCAAAGTACTGGGATTACAGGCGTGAGCCACCATGCCTGGCTGTGCGATGCAGTTCTCTAGCCATAATTGATTAGCTTGGAGTGGACAACTTGACTTCTAGGCTCGATCTTTATTTCAAGAATTTGGAATTGGCACTGAGAATAATTTGCCCTTGTGGTTGAAACTTGATACAAACTCGGAACTTTGCATGGAGGAAAAAAAAAAGAGAGAGAAGAAAAGACAGATGGTTTCTTGTCCCCTGAGGGTTTTCCAGTCTCCAGAGCACTACATAGCTCTTGGCATCCTTCTAATGAATTTCTCTTTTAGGTAAATATAGCTCGAGTTGATGTCTCTTATTTAAAACCAAGATAGCTTTGACTAAGACAAAGAACCCTCCAGTTTTTTTTTTTTTTTTTTTTGAGACAGAGTCTCACTCTCGCCAGGCTGGAGTGCAGTGACACGATCTTGGCTCACTGCAACCTCTGCTTCCTGGGTTCAAGTGATACTCCTGCCTCAGCCTCCCGAGTAGCTGGGACTACAGGCGCGTGCCAACACACCCAGCTAATTTTTGTATTTTTAGTAGAGACGGGGTTTCACCATTTTGGCCAGGATAATCTTGATCTCTTAACCTTGTGATCCGCCCACCTTAGCCTCCGAAAGTGCTAGGATTATAGGCGTAAGCCACCACGCCCGGCTCAGTTTTTTTGTTTTTTTTTTTTTAATTATGATTTCCATGCTTACACTTTTGTTTATGTCGTGAGAGGAGGGGGAACAGGGATAATGGAGAGGGGGTTGCTGCTTTGGTCAGACTTCGGAGTTTCAGACAGCAGGCTCCACTAGAGTCAGTCTAAACAGAAAAGCGTATGTTAAAGAGTATTAGATAGTTCACAGAATCTCTGAACAGAAACATTCTTAGAAGCTCCATGACCAAGAACAGAGCAGCCAAGTACAACACACCCAGAAGACTGCCCGACTAAACCATGGGATTGTTCTTAGCGGCCCGTGTGATAGGGACTGGATGGCAGACATATTTCCACAGCTACCCCAGGGAAACCCAAATGCTTCTTTCACTACTGTTATTGGAAAAGCCTGTCTCACTGAGAATTCAGCCATTTCCTCAAATTACTCACTTCCACCTCCAAGGGTCTCATTGGGGTGGGCTGGGAGTGGGTGTAGAGCTTAGGTCACATGCAGATTCCTAACCACAAGAAAGTATGGAAAATACAATTCTTTTACCTTCCAGCCTGTAGTAGATAGAAAGGCAAACTAGGAGAGCGTTGGAATGAGTGTTGAGTGAACAAATATACAATATCTTCCTCAATGTCCATCACTGTGCTGTGGAGAAAGAAATGTGAATTCTTCAAATGTCTTTCAAACTATCAGAAAAATATGCATCATCATAGCTTTGCAGGGAGAATGGGGAGGGAAGGCACAGAGTGTGGGCTTAGGAAGCACTTATAGATTTGCCATGGGAATGAAGTAGTTTTGAAATATATTAATATATGTTTCTTTTTTGAACTTCCTTTTGTGTGACCGTCCTCATCCAGTTAGAGGTGTTTATTGTGTCAGGAATGATCAATATTGTTGAAATATAAAGGAAAACAAAGTGTCAGCTTTAGTTTTTGTCTTCCCAAGTAGCATTTAATCCAAAGAAAGATAATAATATTGTCTCAGCTAGCCTTTGCTGAGAGAGAAAAGGAGTTCTTTTTTATTCTCAGACCTCTCTTTCACATACAAAACCCAACTTGGATTAGAGTTTTACTATGAGCACAGCATAGAGAGGACAGAAGATACAAGAAAGGAAGAATCAGTAGAAAGGCTTCCTCTGTGAGAGAAAGCAGAGAGATTGGAGGGAATTCGCTCAGGGTGGGGATGCTGTTAGGTCCCTGGAAAGGCACCTCCAACTCTCCAGACTTAAATCAAAGGGCGAAGAAGAGGAGGGTGATAGAAACCACAGATACTGCGGGTGCGAGAGAGTCTGAGAATGTCCAGTCTGATGGATGTTCAGATAGATTGGCCTGAGATGCTGTCTGGTAATAAAGATTTTCTGTTTGACCAAACTTTGGTCAGGCTCTTCTGAGTCCTTTTCTTGACTAGACCTTGACCTTGGTCTCATCCTGACTTTGGGCTGCATAGCCCAGTCTTAACGAAGGATCTTGCTGAATCATTCCCCACCCTAGATATCTGATCAAGTTCCTCATCCCTCACTTTGATGTGTAAGTCCTTAGCCTGCCTTTAGCAAGAATTCTGTAAGGCCAGTTTAGCAAGAGTCCCCCCTACTCTTAATATCTCTTCTTAGTAATTTTTCATCCACCGACTCCTTCACTCTGCTCATTGACTATAAATCCTAAGCTATCTCTACTGTATTCAGAGTTGAACCCAATGTCTTTCTCCTATTGCAACAGATATCATCTCTACTACAGCAGTCTTGAATAAAGTCTTCCTTACCATTTTTACAAGTGTCTGGATAATTTTTCTTTAATACTGGTCCCCAGCGTCTCCAAATGGTATGTAGGAGAACCCAGGGTTCCACATGAACCTGGAAGGGGTTCACAGAAGTTTTGATAAAACAGTGACTGTGCAGAGGCCTAGGGACAAGACAAGGTAATCACAAAGGGTAGAGGCTTCACATCTTGAGGCAATGGCAGGGACCCCAGAGTCCAGCAGTGGGCCAGGCACGACTAGCCACACCTTGGCGGATACCAGCAGAGGGCATCAGAGACCAGACCAGCCTGAAGAAGACCTGCTCTCTGGAGAACTAATGTGCCCACTCTCAACCTCCCTCACTCCTGAGAGGCCGTCTTGGAAAGGAAGAGGGAAAAAAGGGCCCCCTTGAGAAATTTGAAAAAATCAGCACTGAGAAGGAATTTAACTTTGAATTGATTGAATATTTACCCCCAAAAGAATGAGTTAAACTGAAAGAGACTTTCCTAAAAGCAGAAGAGACTGAGGTTTAAGTTTTTTTTTTTAATTGTCTCTGCTACTGACTGGGAATGGGGCCCCATAGCAAGTTGGGATAGATAATGGAAAATAAGAAAGAGCTACATATTTTTTCTTTTTTTTGCACATCTGAGTTGTAATGTTTACATTTCAACCTCCCTGAGTGTAGACTGAGAAAACTGTACAACCCTTTGGAGCACGTCTGATGGTGGTTTGGAAAAGGCTTGGTAGCCTAATGAGAGTCCAGAGAGGATGATATGAGTTGGAAAGGATAAAGGTAGTCCTTTTCTTTTCCTGGGAGCCGAGGTTGGCTTTGCAAGGACTCCTGGGTTTCTGGTGGGCCTAGAGAGAAGACCAAAAGCCTGCTCGGCCAGCTAAAGGTACTGAGTGCCAAAGCTGGGGCAGTGGATGGCTGGGGTGAGGGTCCACAGGACGCTCAATGCCAGCAGAAGGGGACCTGTGGGGGTATGTCCAATACCTGTGGAAGAGGGGCCCCGATGGACACTCGTGACCACCGTCTCGTGGCATGAGGCAGCCAGAGGCAGGATGCTGCCAAGGCCAGAGACCAGCCAGGGAAAGAGACCAACTGAGAACAGACTACAGAGCTTCCCAGCAGTAGATGTCCACCCACTGCTCAGGGACCAGTACAGCCACCAGAAGCCCCTCTCCCATAAGTGTGAGGACCTGACTGAGCATTTACTCAAAAGAAATTGATTTCATTTGAAAGTGTAAACCTGAGATGGGCAGATCATGTTAATTGGCAAGTTTAATTCTATTTCCCACAGTTTAGTATAGTGACAAAGAGCATAAAGTCTTGAGTCAGATGACCTGCTCTTGAATTGGCACTGTTTGCTAGCTATGTGGTCTTGGGCAAATAACTTAAATCTCTGTCACTCGCTGCTCATCTTCTAAATGGGGATCCTGATAGTACTTCCTCCTAGGAAGTGTAAGGATTAAATGGTTAATATATCTCAAGCACTGAAAAGAGTGCCAGGACACACAGCAATCACTGTATAAAGGTTCGCTATAACAATTGCCCTACAGGATGTGGATTCACAAGGAAGCTGGAATCTGTTATAGAAACATTAAAAAAAAAAAAAGCTCCACATGTTTGCTCCATCTCATCCGTGGTGTGTAAATTTTGGACCCCATCATAGACAGATCCTTGGCTCCAATAGCATCACACCTAAGGCAGCGGCCCCAGGGGGTAGTATGTCAAAAGTCCTGCTTCATTCAGGAGGCTAAACTCAGAAACCTCAGCTTCTGAAGTCTGTCAATATGCACCCACACACCCCTCTTTAGAGTGATTTCTTTTAGCATTCAGGATGGTTTTCAACCCAGAGACAACAGGCTGCCCCCCTGCCTTGGTCTGACTGCCCGTTTTAGTTGCTATTCTTTTATCTCTCACAACTGGGTGAAGTTGCTCCCTGAATTTTTATAGCACTTCAGGAAGAGGCAGGCTATTGTTACAAGAAGAACGTTTAAGTATATTGTTCACTTTTTTTGAACAGAGATTGTCGATGTTATTTTTAAATTCTAAACCTTTGGGGGCAGTAAGAGTTTTAGGGGAACAAACTCTTTAATGCATAATGAGACTGGATCTGCGCTATTATAAAATGGGAGAGCCCTGGTGTCAATTGCCTGTGGTAGAGTGTGGCATTAACCAAACTAAGGTCAGGCTTCTATTTTAGCATGGGCTGAGGCTAACTGTACCCCCTGCTCCCTGGAGTCAGGCTCTCAGATGGCTGCCTATGGATTTGTTCAGGCATTTACTCATTGAGGAGGTAGTGGGGACAGGAGGAGAACTCACTATGCAACTACCATTTGCTGAGTGCTTGTCACATGCCAACATTGTACCGGGCACTCTGTATTAAATACTGCATTGGTTTCCTAGGACTGCTAGAACAAATCACCACAAACATAGTGGCTTAAAACAATATAAATTTATTATCTGATAGTTCTAGAATCTAGAAGTCTGAAAATAAGTTGTCAGCAGGGCCATGCTCCCTCCCAAGGCTCTAGAAGAAAAAGAAATCCCTTCTTTCCTCTTCCAGCTTCTGGTGGGTCCAGGTGTTCCTTGGCTTGTGGCTGCATTGCTCCAGTCTCTGCCTCTGTGACCACATTCCCGTCTCTTCTTCTTTGTGTCTTCTTCTGTCTTAGACACTCATTATTGGCTTTAGGCCCTATCTAGAAAATCCAGGATGATCTCATCTCAGGATGCTTAACTTAATTATATCTGCAAAACCCCCTTTTCCCAAATAATGTCACATTCACAGATTCTGAGTTTGGAACATAGATATATCTTTTGGAGGGTTCACCATTCAACCTACTGCCGATACCTCTGAAATTCTCACAAAGTCTGAAATCATCCATCATTATCTCAAAATTGAACTTCAAAAAGTTTTCTTCAGTTATTCAGGATTACACGTTTCGTAAGTGACAGAGCTGATTTAAATGCGGGATTGTCTGGTTTCAAAGATGTTGTTCTTTCTACTGTATGATACTAAAAACGACAACAATAATCAATGATCTTAGCTGGCATGTCCTGGATGCCTATGGATCAGGCACTATGCTGGTATTAAAAGTATTATTTCTAAAGTTTCTAATAATCCTACAGTAACGTCTTCTTATTCACAATTTATAGATGAGGAAACAGAGAGGCTCAGATGAGTTAAAAAGGCTCAAGGTCATACATATAATAAGCAGGAATTTGAAATCAAAGGGAAACCAAGTCAGATGACTTTAGAAAAATCTTCAAAGCACTGAGGAAACTGACAGATAGTAGGTTAGCAGCATTACTTTGGGCAGATGAAGAATTGGAAATGTCTCTTCGAAGGGCATTAAAAATTCCTGAAACATTTGGGATCAATTTAACCCTACCTGGTGCAGTGTGTTATGGGGCGATTTCCACACTGTAAGGGAAGCAGAGATTTGGGGCATTTGCATTTTTTTCTTTTTCCAGCCCTCAAGCCATTCTCTGTTGTCAGATCCAGTCCATGCCTTGACTTTGCCCATTTATAGAGGACTGTTTTGATGCTACAGAAAGCACGATCACTCTACTTTGAAAAGCATTTAAGCATTTTCAGAGCTCAGTCTCATTTCATTTTGCTCTTAGAACAGTCCCTGAGGTTGGTAGGGTGAGTATCATTATCCTCATTTACAGTCCAGGAGCCTGAGTTTCGAAGTGAGTTGTTACTATTTGCTTCACACAGAGGCAGAAGCAACTTGAAGCCTGACTATTTGAATGCAATTCTAATTCTTTTTCCAGAGCACCAAGCCTGTTTTAGATTAAGAAAAAAATTCCAAGAAAAAAAGGAAAAAATTGGCTACCATTAGCTTTAGGTAGGTAACACACACACATATTCTCTCTCTCTGTCTCTCTCTCTCTCCTGCTCTTTCTTTCTGTCTCTCTCTCTCTCTCTCTCACACACACACACACACACACACACACACACACACACAAAGTGATAAAAAGGTCTCCTTTCTCTTTTCAGTCTTGAGAATAAATGACTGCATTTCCCCACTGGTACTCAGAAGTGATTTGCAATTGAGAATTCTTTTTTAAGGGCAGAGGGCTCTTTTGTATGACCTTATTTTCCTTGTAGTTCCAAACAAGTGGGCTAAGCATGCTCTATTATGTCCAGACTGGTGTTTATAGTCTCATCTTCAGATGATAGATGTTACTTTATAATGCTAAACCTGATATTACACAATTCTCAACCCCTCTTCCAAAGACTGGGCTGCGTATGCCAAAACTTTATGATGACAAATCATAGAATTGGAAGGAAAGAAATGTGATACTCAAACTCTACTAACTCAGATAATATACAGAAATATCTGTAAGCCAGTGGTACTCAGTCTTCATTGTTGAGAGGGAGGCGATTTTCTAAATAATGTTACAGAGAAAAGAATTTAACCCAAGAGCATGATAGCCCACCAAAAGAATTCTTCTCTGACTGAAGTATGAAGGGTCCTTCTTTTCTCTTGAATCATTATCTCAACACAAATCTTCTGTGCCTCCTTAGACACTGTGGCCACTGTCCACTTCTAGGACCTTCAACTACTCAACCACCATACCTGCCCAACACAGTTCAACTGGCTGGGACTAATCAGGGACTTACCTTAGAAGTCCCCTTAACTCTCCACCCCTCAACCACACACACACACACACACACACACACACACACACACACTGCCAAGCCACCTAGTACTCACCTAGAGGTTCTGGCTCTTCCCCTCATTTCCAGGCTTGGATGAAACAGGAACACTATACATACATCAGGTTTGGGGTTTGGGGTCCCATGTAGTTGGAGCAGTCATATGATATAAACTTGGAAATGTGAAGGAGTTAATTCCTAGTGGGACAAGTTTTGACCAATGAAAAACAGGCAATGGGAGGTAGGTGGGAAGATAAACTTCTCCTTTATTCTTCCCAGAGAATGCTAGAGGCATGGTCCCTCCCTGCATCCACTGCAAGATGTCCCACATGCCAAGGGAACAGACCTGCTGAGCCTCCCATGCCTCATCAGCCAATGGCTCATCCCGAAGCAGAAGCCAGTTGTGCAAGGCATGACTGTGCATTGTTTCCTATACTCACTTCCCTTTTTTCCTTTTTCTGCAGCTTCCCTGGCCTGGGCTTGTGCTTCCCAAATAAAATGTCAGTACTTTAATCCTTGCTTCAGGCTTTTTTTTTTTTTTCCGCTAGAAAACTAAATGAGAGCACGCCTGATGGGTTGGTGTCCTCACTTCCAGTCACCGCCCCCTTTCCAATGGAATCCGACACTGAAGCATAAGTTGAATGTGGCATTTCCCTTCAGCGGGCTCCCACTGTCTGTAAAATAGAGTCCATACTCTATCATCTGGTGTTAATAGCCCTCTAGATTTGGTCTCAAAGTAATTTTCTGATTTTAGTTCAGTGATTTTTTAAATTCATATACCATGTTCTCTAACTAAACTGAACTACTTGAACCTTTTTTTATTACCCCATGTTTTCTGACCTCCATGCCCTTAATTATGCTCTTTCCTCAATCTGAAATGTCTGCACTTACATCTCCTCTCTACATTTTAAATTCTGTCCATCAAGAGCAAGCTCAAATGTCATCTTCTCAGATTAATTACCAATTCCTTCCTCTCTGCTGCCAGCCCACAAAATTTAATAATCTATTTTTTTGGAACCCCCAAATCATCTTGTCTGTGCTTCTCTTGTGGTACTTCTTACTTTTTACCCTATGTTATAGTATTTTGCTGTATTTCTTCTCCCCAGTTAGACCATAAGCTCCTTGCAGGTACATCTGACTGATTCATCTTTGTTTCCCAGAGGCCTGGCATGGTAACTTGCACATAATTGGTGTTTAAGAAAATTTTATGAAACAAATAAACAGTGGTCAGGCACGGTACCTCATGTCTGTAATCTCAGCACTTTGGGAGGCTAAGGCAGGCAGATCATTTGAGTCCATGAGTTCGAGACCAGCCTGGGCAACATGGAGAAACTCTGTCTTTACACAAAATACAACAATTAGCCAGGCATGGTGGCGCATGCCTGTAGTCCCTGGTGCTTGGGAAGTTGAGGCAGGAGGATCATTTGAGCCCAGGCTGCAGAGGTTGCAGTGAGCCCAGATCGCACCATTGTACACCAGCCTGAGCGACAGAGTGAGACCCTATCTCAAAAGGAAAAAAGAAATAAACAGTGTGCTTTTATATAAAAGCCCAGGATTGTGGTTAAAAACTAATTAAATTAAATTAAATTAAGTATTTCTTATCTTAAACCCTAGATCCTTAGTTTTTCAGGGATATACAGGAAAAAAAAATGACCACAAGGATGCTTCTATTTGTAAGTTGAAAGGTCAGGAGATATTAATAGTTTGAATGCTGTGGCTTTCTGCCTGGGGCCATCAAACAGAACATGCTGTGCATTTTGCTGACCTTGGACAGTTGGCTAAGATGCAGTACTGAATGATCTAACTTCTTAAGAAGTGACTAATCTACAAGACTTCTGAATCATTGTTCCTTCCTGAAAATGGAGGAAAAGTTTGATAAAGAAAAATTCCAGTCTGAGAGGATTGTTACAGTTTTTTTACAACATTGTAAAGCCTAACAAACAACATAGCAAAAAAAAAAGTATATTCTATTTAAATTTATATTATTTATAGTCATTCTATATTAATCACTTCTAAGATAAATGAAATCTTCATGGAAACAGCAGGCAAAAACATTGGCTGATTATTTCTCTCGTATGAAATGCTAAACTATGAAATTCAAATATATTTGGAAAATTCAATCATATATTTATTTCTTAATAACAACTAATGAACTTATAGAGAAACTCATGTAAAAATTCAATAGCATTTGAAAGGTAAATAAACAGCACTAATGAGCTTTATTATAATACTTTCCCACTTATGATGTATGTTTGTGACTAACATCTGTTGGATAGTATTTGAGATTAGGAAAACTTATTTTATTAAAAAACAGGAAAATTTTACTTAATAAGTTAACATGGATGGGAAATCTATTTGTAAGAAGTTCCATTTGTGAAAAGGTATAAATATGTGGTCACACATAGTTATATTTTGTTGATAGAAATAGATTTTATTAGATCAATAGAATCAGGCAACAATGACGTGGTCAGCAAGACATTCTGAGAAGTAGCCATGATGAAGAGAAAGAAGTCATCAAGTTTTTCATCCTTACAACCACAAAAGAGAGAAGAATGGGGTTCAGTTGGGACAACAACAGAGGTCATATAGAAATGGCTGGGTTGGGGATCAAAGGACACGGTCAGCCTATGAACTCAGGAATTCCTTGGGTAGATCTCTATCTGTGGTTTGTCCTGAGGGCACCATCATGGCCAATATAAGTAAACCAGGTGTTTGTGGATCCATGTTGTCTCACCCGTCCTGTGTGTAAGTATCACTCACTGGCATGGAATACAGGAGGGCTATTCTTTACAGGGCTTTCGTGGGTTGGTTTCCAATGGGAATCACTGTGATAGTCACTACCCAGTGGTTCTCCTTGCTCCTTATTTCTGCTAAAAGGGGATGTGTTCTCTCAGAGAAGTCAGCAACTGACTAAACCAAGTGACCACAGTCTGGGGTAGGCTCACAAAGGCCCAGTTCTGATGAATGCCCCCATAAATAAAAGGGTTACACTTTTTGCTGGCATAATTCCAAGAACTTGTGCTTTATGGCTTCCTCTTAAACTAGTCAAAAGAAGCTGTTCCATGCTTTAATACCTATGTACTAAGCTGGTTTCCCAGCCACTGTTTTGCTTTTGTTTTTTCCCAGAAAACTCGGAGGCCCCAGAGTATATGTAACAGATTCAGTGCATCCTTGGAAGACCTTTTCTACCTTCCCGATTGTGACTTTTTTTCATAGCTTCTCTGCAGTGCTTACCATACAACCAAATTAGTTCACTGAATTGAGTATGCTCTGTGTGAGATGTGAGCAAAACAAAAGCTGCTGGGAACACAGTAAGTACAAAATAAGATGTGAAATCCTTCCACCCTTACAAACAAACAAGACCCAAAACTAGGATCTTGGGTTTGATATTTTGTGGCTCTTTTAAAATTCCAAAATATTCCTTTTGCGTTAAATAGGGACAGTGTAATGCTCAAAATTGGGTTAAAGATCAAGGATTCCAAGTAAATCCAAAATAAAGATGATTGAAAAGAGCTAAAGAATTGTTGGGCTGCAGCAGCCAGGCAATTTTGGTGAATTTCCAGGAATTCCAACTTTTTGGTTGGGTTTGTTTTGTTAATAATATACCCCTTATAGCAGAAAAACTTAGGTCCAAAAGCACAACTCACAAACAAGACCTTCAGTGTAATGTTTTTATTCTTCCCAGAGGAGCAAGATTGCTGAGAGCCTATCCACTTGGCCACTTAAAAACTAGTCACCATGCAGAAAGTGCATTCTTAGAATGCCTCATGGAGTGACTCTTCTGTCTATGAGGTGTTTTTATCTTGTATGGACTTTAGTTTGGGATGCAAGTAGTCAGGAATGTCTAAGTCTACATTCTCCACAGAGTCCATCTGGTCCCCTAGAGAACAGTGAGAATTAAATATTAAACCATGGTAATAACGCTAATCTCAATGACGAATATCTGCAGTTTAATGTTTAATCCTTACTGTGCTCTAGGGCGTTTGACTCCAAATACCTGTCTGATAATGGTTAAGTGGGCAACCCCACAGTTACCTGCTCCTTTAGTTGTAATACCTTCCAATTTTATAGCTCTTAGAGTAACACTTTCATTGTAATAATCTCATGTAATCCCCATAACAACCCTGTGTGTTATGTATTATTATCATATTTCACAAATGAGGTCTATGAGATTAGGTGACTTTCCTAAATCTTACAGCTAAGTAAGTGTCAGAACTGATACTGGAACGATAACATACAACTCCAAGTCCCAGCACTTGCTACAGCCACAGTTACCTTCCAGGTAATTATTAATACTTTCAAGATACATTCTCAAAGGAACACTTTAAGAAAAGTTTTATCTATCATCACAAATTAAAGGGACTTTGGTACCTAAGACAGGTCAACCATTGTTTGGTGCTGAACGCCCTAGAATTTAATGTCGTATGATCTACCAGATTGTAAAGGAAACTGAAAAGATGGAGGAGGAGCGGTATAATTAAGGAAAAACCAAGCAGTAGATTTTTACTGCTCAGTTTTATTTTTAAAAAGCTAAATATTTAAGGTTATTTAAAGTCATTTTGAAGCTGATACCATGGTTTCAATACAATGTTTAAATGAGGCCTTTTAGGGCTATGCAAGTTGTTGGAACTATGGACCCTTTTCCACCAGCAGGGGGCAGTAGGCATTTCCCCATCGGTGTCCTCCTGTTGTATTAAGAGCCCCATGCCTGGCTCCCCACCACCACCCTGGGTGAGGAGTCTGAGGATAGCAGAATAGAGTGTGCTGACTTGGTTTAATTCCTGAAAGTCTCGAGCTCTAACACTCTCTAGTAGAATGCATCAAGGTATTGGGTTTCTCTACAAATTTTATATAAATTCCAGGAATTGGGAAGAAAAAATTCAAGGGTGTGCAATGAACTTTCGTTATTCAAGATCAGAATAAGCTGCTAAAATATTTTTGTTAATTGTTGGAAGTCCAATTTGTACTTATCTTTAATGGACAAGGAATGCCAGAGCCTGCCAGGGACATTGATGGTAATAGTCAGCTCACTTTCTATCTTTCATTTTTTTTTGAGACTGAGTGTCACTCTTGTTGCCCAGGCTGGAGTGCAATGGTGCGATCTCGGCTCACCACAACCTCTGCCTCCTGGGTTCAAGCGATTCTCCTGCCTCAGCCTCCTGAGTAGCTGGGATTACAGGCATGCGCCACCACCCCTGACTAATTTTGTATTTCTAGTAGAGTCAGAGTTTCTCCATGTTGGTCAGGTTGGTCTCGAACTCCCAGCCTCAGGTGATCTGTCCGCCTCGGCCTCCCAAAGTGCTGAGATTACAGGCTTGAGCTACAGAACGCGGCCTAGTCTGCTCACTTTCTAGAGAGAATCCTTTTCCCTCTACTCTACGAAAAGGGCTGAATAAAGAATATCACAAATTTATATCATCCTGGGCAGTTGAGTTGCAAGTCAGTTATGTCCAGGCCAGCAAAATGGCCGAATGCCTGGATAGTATGATTATTATGAATAGTGGTAAAGCCTGAGGAATGTAAGAAACAGAGATACCCCTAAAAGAGAAGCAAGGTGCACACAAAGTCCCCATAGAACCTGTGAGAATGACCTCTAGGGAATCTTGACCTTTCCTCTTCATCTCCAGTGCCCAACCCTTTCCATTTTCTCTCTCCCTAGACACAATCAGGCTGTAAAACGAAATCTGTCAGAAAGCACTGATGTATTTTAAGCTTGTAGAGGAATTTCAAGGAGAAAGAGACTCATACCTCAGGGCCCCTGGGTCTCAGGCTATGAGCTGATCCTGAAGCCAGAACCTGGTAACCCACCTAGGTAAAACAAACCTTGTTACCTTCCTAGGTTCGGTAATTGGGTCTACAAAATAAACTGATAGGCCGGGCGCGGTGGCTCACGCCTGTAATCCCAGCACTTTGGAAGGCGGAGGCGGGCGGATCACGAGGTCAGGAGATGGAGACCACCCTGTCTAACACGGTGAAATCCCATCTCTACTAAAAATACAAAAAATCAGCCGGGCGTGGTGGGGGGCCCCTGTAGTCCCAGCTACTCAGGAGGCTGAGGCAGGAGAATGTTGTGAACCCCGGGAGGCGGAGCTTGCAGTGAGCCGAGATCGCGCCACTGCACTCCAGCCTGGGTGACAGAGCGAGACTCTGTCTCAAAAAAAAAATAAAAATAAATAAATAAACTGATAACAGGGATATTAACGACACAAAAAACAAAATTTTCACTGTAATTTTTAATATTTTAAAATATGATCTAAAGTTTTAAGTAATAAATTATTTTTAACGTATTTTGTAATATTACATGCACAGAGACATCACAGGAAAAATGTGAATACACAAGTGGGGATGTTTGAGAGCTTATATACACTGTCATAAGAGGAGAAGTGGAGAGAGGTTGTAGACCACTTAGGGAAGAGTCAATGAATTTTAGGAAAGATTAATGGACCCTTAGAAGAAGAGATGAGAGATATAACAGTTTGTGACAAAGTGTGTCTGGGTGTGGTGTCAACCTCTGGTCTCCTCTCTTGTGATTAAGAATCAATCTTTCCTGGTTGATGAAACTCCTGGGGAAGGAATTTATGACAATTGAGTTCCTCTTGGAGGATCTGTCTTTAGGCAGGTAATAAGAGCTTAGAGAAAGCTTCTTGCATTTGCTGTTTTTCAAGTGCCTTAAGCTCAAAATAATCAACATACCAAAGTGGCATATTTTGGGGTGCCATGTCCTGAACTCCTTCAACCTAATTCAAAAAGAAGTCTCAGCTACTGCCACAGTGGGATTTTAAATTGAAATGTGAACGTGCCTGAAGATATGTCCCTGTGTTAGTCAGCATGGGCTGCCATAACAAAATACCACAGACTGCATGGCTTAAACAGCAGAAATGTATTTCTCACAGTGCTGGAGGCTAGGAAGTTCAACATCAAGGTGCTAGAAAGATAGGTTTCATTCTCAGGCCTCTTCTTTTGGCTTGTAGGTGGCAACCTTCTTGCTTTGTGCTCACATGTCCTTTTTGTGCAAGGAGAGAGCAAGATTTCTGGCGTCTCTTTTCATAAGGATGCTAATCCTGTCATATCAGAGCCCCACCCTTGTCACGTCACATAGCCTTTGTTACCTCCTTACAGATCTTATTTTCAAATCACCTTAAGGCAAGGGTGCCCAATCTTTTGGCTTCCCTGTGCCACATTGGAAGAATTGTCTTGGCCCACTCAAAAGATATACTAACACTAACAATAGCTGATGAGCTAAAACTTAAAAAATCACCAAAGAAAATATCATACTTTTTTTTGTTTGCTTTTTTTTTTTTTTGAGACAGGGTCTTGCTCTGTAGCCCAGGCTGTAGTGCAGTGTCGCCATCTTGGCTCACTGCAATCTCGGCCTTCCAGGTTCAAGCAATTCTCCTGCCTCAGCCACCCAAGTAGCTGGGATTATAGGCATGTGCAGCAACACCCGGCTAATTTTTGTGTTTTTAGTAGAGACAGGGTTTCACCATGTTGGCCTGGCTGGTCTTGAACCCCTGACCTCAAGTGATCCACCCACCTCAGCCTCCCACAGTGTTAGGATTACAAGCATGAGACACCATGCCGACCTCATAGTGTTTTACAAATTTGTGTTGGGCCCCATTCAAAGCCATCCTGGGCCGCATGCAGCCTACGGGCCGTGGGTTGGACAAGCTTGCCTTAAGGGTTAAGGTTCAACATACGAATTTGGAAGGTGGAGGCATGGGGGAACACAACTCAGTCCTTAGTAGCATAGAAGTCCCCTTTCCCCATTCTTTGGGGTCAATATGCCCTAATCTCAGATGTGACCAGACCTTTTAGCAGACTTATCTAAAAGCATGAGAAAAATAAAAAGTAGTGCTTCCTCATCTGAAAGGTTACAGGCCCTCTCAAGTGAATGCTGATGAGGAGGATGTGTGGCCTTGGACTTCTGGACTCTATAAAAGGCCAGAATTATTACAGAGTGGCAGTTTAAAAATGCATCTTAAAGAACAGCAAATGTGTTCCATTTGGGGGGTAATTTTAATATTTGGATAGGCATTAGTACTATGTATTGGGTGTAATTTCAAACAAAAATAGTTTCATCAATGTGCCACATTTGACATTTAATATTATTCTGTCTCTGGGAACTGGATTCTCAGTTTTACAGATCCCTCTGCAAAGTCCATGCCCCCTAGCTACCCACAGCGTGACACTAGCTCTCTACTGTCTAGCTATGTCAGCATCACAGTGAGAATGCCCTAGCATCCAAACCATTATGGGTAAAGGAGATTTTGGAAATCAGCTAGCCACAGCAAGGGAAGCAATTGAAGTCATTAACTTGTTTTCTTCCAGCACAGAAAAGGGCATTTTCTTTGTCCTCAATTGACCAAAAAAATGCTTTTAAACACTCAAGGGGAAGTAGTTTGCAAATGGCGAGCATGTTAATGGTAGTTATCAATTTGACTCCCATTTCCCAGGCTGGAGAAGCCTGTGTGTGCAGTCCCTCAACACTGCCTTCTGAAGGCGCACCTCCTGCAGAGGTGTTGACGGGAAAGACGAGGAAGAGGGGATAATGTGACCTGCTTTCACCAGGAAGCTTCAGATCATTTCCCTTTGTCTCTGTGCCCCTTTGGGAGATTTTGATCCAATTTGCTGTGGTGAGAAGAAGCTCTCAACATTACAAGGGGGAAAAAAACCCAAAACTTTCATTTTCCTCCTAAGAAATGAAATTTTATTTCTGGATGACAAGGGCTTTGGAAGGCCATGGTGTGGTAAATGAGTGATCCTTTCATAGCTGTTGAACATCAGTAGACCACACATCCAAAGTATAGAGGCAGCTCTTAAAATACCAGCCAAAGGAAGAAATTTAGAGAGCAGAATGTCTTTAAGGAACTATGTGAATGTTATTGATTCTTTCAAATAATGGTGTAACCTCTGTGATAGAGCAACAATCTTCATGAGCTGTATTTATAAGGAACTGAGTTCATGAAGACAGCACAGGGGGGTCTGGCGATGCAGGGCCCTTTGTTAGCCATTGTTCTATTATTAGTATTGTTAGCATTGCCCTGCACAAGTTATCCACTTTTTCTCCAGTCCCCTGGATATTCAGCAGAAATGCTTTAAGAATGCCTGTAACTTACTCTCCTGCCTGGCATCACCCAGGAGTTCAGGAGTGCAGTGACAGGAGGTTAACTGAGCTCTTGAAGAAAGATGCTGTGGACAGAGAGGTATAAGTCAGAGGAGTGACACTTTCCTTGATGATAGGAAAGAAGAAAGCTGAAATCCCAAGTTGCTCTCTGACATTTGCCATCCACATAAATTGATGAGAGAGTTCGTTATTAAGGGCCTTTTTGTTTAATTAGAAATCAAACCAAAAGACCCTGCTGTCATAATTTATTCTCTTGCGAAATTATGTGATCAGAGGTTCCGGCCATAACCACAGAGGAATTGGAGGTTGGTAAATGACGCTCTGAATCAAAGCTTCAAAGACATAGGAGGGGCAGAGGGAAAAAGAAATGTATCATTAATAAACAGGGTGAGCAAGTGGGCAAACATTCACCTATGATGTCACCTGCTTCTATATGATGAAATATTACGCAGCCAGTTTCAGAACACTGTGCATCCCATTTTTCATTACTTCAACAATGTGAGATACTAAATTAATGTCAATTTTTTTAATACTTAAACTAAACAAAAGCCCAATTCAATCTATCACAAGCCATAGATGAATGAACTGCATAGTATGGATGTACCACGGTTTCCTCAACTACTCCCTTATCATTGGGCACCAAGACGGGTCCCTCTTCTAGAAACAATGCTGCAACGAACATCCTTGTTCATGGAATCTTACATATTATAACTTTTATTTCTTTTTTAAAAAAGTGTCAATATTTCAAACATAGAGGAAAGAACAGATGATAACTGAAAAACACAGAAGTGTGAAACTTTTTTTTTTTTTTTTGAGACAGTTTCACTCTTGTTGCCCAGGCTGGAGTGCAATGGTGCGATCTTGGCTCACCGCAACCTCCGCCTCCTGGGTTCAAGCAATTCTCCTGACTCAGCCTCCTGAGTAGCTGGGATTATAGGCATGCGCCACCACGCCTGGCTAATTTTGTATTTTTAGTAGAGACGGGGTTTCTCCATGTTGGTCAGGCTGGTCTCAAACTCCCGACCTCAGGTGACCTGCCCGCCTCAGCCTCCCAAAGTGCTGGGATTACAGGCATAAGCCACTGTGCCCAGCCTGAAACATTATTTTTTAAAACAATTGTTAACATTTTGCCATATTCAGGTTTTTTTTTTAAAAAAAAAAAGAAAGCAAAAAAACAAGGTTGGAATTGTAGTTAAAGATCTCCTTATTTCTCTTCCATTTCATCTCTTTCTCTCTCTAATCATTATCTTAAATCAGCTATATATTGTCTCCATTCACATTTTACTATGTGTATAAAGTCCTGTGTAATTTTAAAATGTACATAACTGAGCTCATACTCTAGGTATTTTCCTGCAATTTGTTTTTTATTCAACATTATATTTTTGAAAGACTTATCACATTGACATATGTAGAGTTAGATCTTTAATTTTGACAGATATAAATCTATCTCATATCAATATTTACCTATAAAATACAATGTCATTCATATCATGCCAATTGCTATATAAATGATGCTTCATAAATCCTTCCTATACATGTCTCCTTGAGGTTCTCTTTGGTACATATACCCAGCAGTGAAGTAGGTGGGGGTGTTTATCATCAACTTCACATGGTATTGCCAAATTTATACCTATATGTACTTCTACAATATATAAGAGTTCCCATTTCCCCACATTATTACCAATCCTCTTTAATCTTTGCCAACTTTATGATATGAAATGCTGTCTCATTATAGTTTTTATTTTATTTCCCAGATTTCTAGTGAATTAAGCGTAGTTATGAAAGGTTTATTGGCCATTTGGTTTTCCTCATCTGTGAATTCATGTGCTTTGTCCATTTCTTTCTCTTGGGTTGTCTTTTTCTTATTGAATATGGAAAAATTATGTGTATTAGGTTGAGTCAGATATCTTTTTTGTTGGTCAAAAATTGTTGAATATTGGCAATTTCATATAGATAAAAACAAGTATTTCTGGATATTAATATTTTGATCATTTTATGAGTAGCAGCTATCTTCTGCCAGTTTATGACTTTCCTTTTAAATGTGTTTATGACATATTTTGGCATATAGAAATAAATACTAATATAGCCAATTTATCAACATTTTCCTTTATGGTTCATGTTTTCTCCGTTTTCTTGAGGAAACTTTTCCTACCCCATACCACGAAGAGATGGCTCTCATATTTCTACAGTATTGATTTCTCAGAAGTAGGATTTCTAGATTATAAGATATATGTGTGTGCATTTCAATCTTCCTTAAATTTCCAACACCAATGTGTGAGAGTATCCTTTTCAAAAAAACTGTCTATCTGATAAATGAGAATAAATATCATTAATTTACATTCCCTTGATAACTAGTGAAATAGAGCATCTTTTTATGAGTTTAATCACCATTTGGATTTGCTCACCTGTGAATTTTCTAGTCATATTACTTGCTATTATGTTTGTTTCACTGTTTATCTATTTCTTACTAATTTGTGGGAGTTATTTGCATTTTACTGATAGTAACATCTTATCTGACATATCCATGGCAATTTCCCCCTAATCTAGCATTTGTATATTACCTTGAACAATTGTATGTCTTTCTATACTAAAAAATTTACATATTTATATATCAAATATGTCCACATTTTCTTCTATCGCTTTTAAGTTTCTTTTGTTTGTTTGTTTGCTTGGGGTTTTTGGCAGGGACAGGGTCTCACTCTTTTGCCCAGGCTGGAATACAATGGCACAGTCACGGCTCACTGCAGCCTCGACCTCCCAGACTCAGGTGATCCTCCCACCTAAGCCCCCCCAAGAAGCTGGGACTACAGGCGTGTGGCACCATGCCCAGCTAAATTTTTTATTTTTTGTAGAGACAGGGGACTTGCTATGTTGCCCAGTCTGGTCTTGAACTCCTGGACTCAAGTGATCCTCCTGCCTTAGCTTCTCAAAGTGTTGAGATTACAGATGTGAGCCACTGTTCCTGGACTAAGTTTCTTGCTTTGATACAATGTATATAAAAGTCTCTCTGATCCATAACTTATACATATATTCTTCTAAACTTTCTTCTGAGATTCTGTTTGCTTGCTTTGTTTACTTTTGAATATTTAATCTCTCTTAAATTATTATGTCTATTGTGAGACAGATGTGGAAATAGAAACAATTTTTGTATCATTGGATACCCTGATATGTAAATAAAATCCAATCACATCCTATTGCATCACATATGTTGCATGTTTGATTTGTTCCACAGTTCATAGGTGAAAGAGTCATCGCATGCTTTTATTTTTCTAAATTCATTTCAGTAAGACTCTGTCCCTTCCATCAGGGTTGGTGGGAAGTCTAATCTGTCATTTTCTCAGGGAGCTCCTCTTACCCATTTGGCATTATACAAGAACTCTAGGACCCAGTGGTCAGAGATAATGGGGATGAAGTTCCTGGTTATCAGTTAGTTGGGTTTATCTCTGAGAACTTGGACTTCCTGACCATGTAATCCATTTGTCATGGGTAACTCCTCTGGCAGTGTTTATATTCTCCATGGCCAGGTTTTAGCAGTGTTATCTTCACTGAGAATCCCACTCAGGATGCTGAGTTCCTGGCCTGCCTGGGTTCAGGCAGAACCATGGCTATTGGCGCTCCTACCAGCTCCTGAGCTTTAGGTAAGTGCATCAATCCCATCCTACTGTCTTCTGGAAACCAACTCTCCTCCTCCCTGTCCCAAAGGTTGGGTCCTTCTCTCTCTCTCTTTTTTTTTTTTTGAGACAGAGTCTCACCCTGTCACCGAGGCTGGAGTGTAGTGGTGCAATCTTGGCTCACTGCAACCTCTGCCTCCTGGGTTCAAGTGATTCTCCTGCCTCAGACTCCTGAGTAGGTGGGATTACAGGTGTGCACCACCATGCCAGGCTAATTTTTGTATTTTTAGTAGAGACAGCGTTTCGCCATGTTGGCCAGTCTGGTCTGGGGCTCATGACCTCAGGTAATCCGCCCGCCTCGGCCTCCCAAAGTGCTGGGATTACAGGTGTGAGCCACCACACCCAGCTGGGTCCTTCTCTTGTATTCTCCAAGTACATAGACTTGATCCCAACTCCTCTAGGAGATCCAGCTTAAATTCTCATCTTTAGGGCTGAAAAACAAAAGAGTATGTTAACAGTGGGGTAGTGAGGAATGAGGGTGCAACAGGGTGGTTAATGAAGGGTAGACTTCATTAGCAAAGACTTCCTGGGTAAGAAATCTCATGCCTAATAGATATTCAGTAGCTCATCTCCCATCTACCAAGAATGAACAGCATGCTTCTTTTAAAATAGTGAAAGCTTAATAAATTGTTAACAACTCATATATCATATCATATGGGGTGCATGTGTGTGTAAAATCTTTATATACATAAACATCTGGAAGAATGTACACCTAATCTTTAATGTGGCTATCTCCAAAGTTTGAAAATTATGAGAACTTCTATTTTTTATTTCTATATCGTGAGTTATTTTTTAAATCTTAAAAATTAGAAAAATGAATATATTCAGGAAAATGTCACAAAATGATGGAAGGATATTGGCAGCAAACAAAGACCTTCTAAACAAAATTTGCAGAGGCCCTCCAGATATTTATCCACCAAACACCCTTTTCAGACACTAGGGGAAGAGGGATATAAAGGCTGAGCAGTGAGCAAGGGAGAGCTGTCCTGTATGTTCTCAAACAGCTGTTGGGTGTGACGAAAAGATCTCTGGATTAGCAATTAGGTCATTTGGGTTTTTGTCCTGGTTTTGCCATGAAATAGTTGTGTAATTTTCAACAAGTTTCTTAATCTCTGGGCTCCTGATTCTTTCCTAAAACTAGACAATCTCCAAAGTCTCTTTCGACTCTAGAATTTTATGACAAATATGATTTAGAGACTGCTAGTTGTTAGCTATGACTCTGGTTGCAAGTATCATAGTGTCTCTAGCCATAAAACATCCAACTTTCTTCCTTGAAAGGGTGGGTGTATCTTCCTTGGAAGGCTGGATGTATCTACCTGCCATTTTCTCAGCCCTTCCTAATATGCAAATAACCACTGAACCAAATGCATACAAGACCTTTTGCCTGGAAAATGCCTCACTAACAGGAGAGCTGGGATGTTGTTCCCAGTATGGTCAGGTTAAATAGACTGCCACCAGATCTAACAGCTGGGCTGGCTACTTCCAGGCAGCCTGCCAGCATGTGAGGACAGGGGCACATTGGCTGGCACTACGATCTCTACAGAACATGATCTCACCTCTGCTCACTTTGTCTCCTTAGGCCCTCGAGGCCCGAGCAGCTGTGAGACTGTGTCCTGGTCACCGAGAGAAGTGGCCTCCTCTCCATGGAGATGGCTCTGAGATATTGCCCCCTAAAGCTAATTGAGGTTCCGTGATAGATTTGTTTTCTGTTTCTACCTTTAACAGCCTCACTGAGCTCAGCCCTGGACAGCACAAATGGTTTTTGTCTCCTATTCTACCGAATTGAGTAGTTCTCAACAAGGAAAGATCTATTTCTACCTTTCCAACACCAAATCTAACCCACTGTGCTGTTTGCCTTTTAGCTGGGGCTTCTTAAAAATAGCATTTTGGAGAATTAGACTGAGGATGGTGAAAGAGAATGCTGCTTCTCCACTAGAGAATCAATAGTCTTTTATCCCTAAAGATGAAACTACTGTTATGCTAGGTAGTTTGAACTAGAAATCATGGGATTTCAGGGTTGGGTAGGATGTCAATATCACATTATCCAAATAAATTTCCATATCTTAGTTCACATTAACATATTAATATATAACCTGCCCCAGTTCCTGCCGACCAATCCAGTTTATAAACATAGTCCTTTAATCTATTAATCAATAAAAATGTACTGAACATCTGTGCCCCATTTAATATTGGATAACAAGATAGAATGTAATATGATTCTAAAGTAGTTTTTAGAGTTAGAAATGCCGGCCGGGTGTGGTGGCTCATGCCTGTAATGCCAGCACTTTGGGAGGCCGAGGCGGGCAGATCACCTGAGGTCAGGAGTTCGAGACCAGCCTGACCAACATGGAAAAACCGCGTCTCTACTAAAAATACAAAAAATTAGCCGGGAGTGGTGGTGTAATCCCTGTAATTACCCCTGTGTAATGCCTGTAATCCCAGCTACTCGGGAGGCTGAGGCAGGAGAATCGCTTGAACCCAGGAAGTGGAGGTTGTGGTGAGCCGAGAACGCACCATTGCACTCCAGCCTGGGCAACAAGAGCAAAACTCCATCTCAAAAAAAAAAAAAGGAAAGAAAGAAAGAAACCCAAATGACAGAATAATATTCAGTCTCATTAAAACCCAGTCAAGCCTGTAATCCCAGGACTTTGAGAGGCCGAGGTGGGAAGATCGCTTGCTTGAGCCTAGGAGTTTGACATTAGCCTGGCAACACAGCGAAACCCTTTCTCTATTAAAAAACTAAAATTAGCCACCAGGCATGGTGGCCCACGCCTGTAGTCCCAGCTACCGGGTGGGGTAGGTGCTACGGTAGAAAGATTACATGAGCCCAGGAGGCAGAGGTTGCAGTGAGCTGAGATTATGCCACTGCACTCCAGCCTGGGCGACGAGTGAGACCTTGTCTCAAAACAAACAAAACAAAACAAACAAACAAACAAACAAACACAAAAAAACCACAAAGGGTGTTAAGCACAAAGTTAAGAGACAAAAATTCTCATTTCTCTTGTGCTTTTGGTGAGTTTGGATGGGTGTGAGTATTAGTGGATACATGCTATGTGTTTTGGTATCCAAGCAAACTATTGTGTTCTCTGAGCTTAGTGTTATATGTGGCATAGGAATGTAGGATCCAAGAGGATGAGGAGATGATGTCCTATATGCATTTAAGATATGAAAATTCAATATATATTTCTCTCAGTACATAAGGAGAACTCATTTAATTGTGCTGGTGATTCTGCCATTTCAGTCACTGAGGTTATGTTTGGGATATGTAGCAGTTTACCACATACAGCACTATTCATGAGTAGAAATGTGGCTTTGTTTTTCTATAACTGAACACAACTTAGCTCTCAAGCCTCCATTTCTGGTAGGCAATGTAAAAATATTATTTCAAAATAACTCAGGCACTTCTAGTTTAATATTTAGTCTCTTTGGGTACACATTTGGGCACTACGGGTTTCTTCCCACCCTCCTGAGTTTCTTCACAGGGGAGACTCAACATATCTGTTGCGCTCTGCTTGCTCTCCTCTGGTCTGTGCTGACCTCAGTTGAGGTAGGACTTCTCCTCTCTAGTTTGTGGGCACTGTGACACCATCCCACTGCTGATGGTTGGCCATTCAGGCTCCAAGTCCACACTCTACACACTGCCCTTGACCCAACCCAGGCCTCTTCTGGTCTAGTGGTCCCTTCAGGATGTCTGAATCCTCCTTGGAAAGCTCAGGAACCCTCAGCTACCTTTCTTCACTACAAGGAGGGAGTAGAAGGGCAGGTGGTGGCTTAAAGGCCCATCCTCATATGATGGAAGGGATGCCTTTGACTCAGTGGTTCAGAGCTGCAGGGCCATTAGAATTACCAGATGCAAACGTAATTCATCAGTTACTATTTCAGAATATTCTACACATCAGTCTGTTGTACTGTCATTCTGACCCAGTTTATTAGATACAGAATGCAATCCTAGCATTTTAAAGGCATGTTTTTATCAACAATATTGCCTCTAAATGCAAGTCAACCGTTTAATCTAGTGCCTAACCAAAGCTAGAAGAAATGATGGCTGAGTTTGATTTACCTAGACATGGTGTGTGTTGGTTTCCAGCAGGGTACCTGCATAACTGAATTTCAAAGCTACTTGTGCTTATTCATGATTTTCACCTTATATTCTGATTTTATAATCTAGGCCTTTCAAAGAATGACTCCATATAACTTTTCTCTGCTCTTTTTTTTTTCCTGCTCTGTGCTCAATGATGTGATTGTTCAAATAAGGTACAGTGCCTAAAAGAGAACTAATAAAAACAAAATTCTTACAGCATAGCCAGAATCAGAGTTTTTCTGCGGGAGTTTTAAAAACCCCACTTAAGAAGACCAAGAAGATGTAGCATATACCTGTGGGTTGACAAGGACCTTATCTTCCTTTGAACCTCTAGGACATAGCATTGTACTTAGCACATATTATGTGTTCAACATATTTGTTGAAAAAAATGAATAAGCAAATTAACAAACCTCCAAACAGCAATTTCTATCAATGAGACATAGAATGTACTGGTTACTGAAATGAAATAGTTCAATTTGAGCAAAGCTAGTGGGCTTCCATGGGAGCTGCTTATTGTAGAGTCTCAGTATCAGAGATACTGACTTGTAGGCTAACTTGATTACAAAAGAAAAAAATGGAAATAGCATATCTTGTAGATTCTGTGGATTGGACTGCCTCTGTGAGTTTGCAAGGCGGGCAAACTCACGTGATGTTCAGCCATTCTATTTCGCGTTAAGGAATTACACTTACTTCATACAGAGGATGTTGCGGTGCCCATTAGAATTTCAGCCAACTCTACCCACAGAAACACAGACACAATTCTTAGAAATGGTCTCTCAAAAGCCCAAGGTGTGAGTGGCCCTCTTTAAGCTCTCATTCTGTGCTTATATGCCGGGTGTTTTTTAAAGGCCTATGTGTTTGGTCTCCTGATCACAAAGACTTGAGGCAGCAAACCCCAGAGGGGTAGGGAAGGCTGCTGAGGCGAGCACTCAGGCCGCAGCAGAGACGACGGCTTCTGGACGCTGCTGAAGGAAGAGGCAGCAAAACTCTCACACATAGAACCACACCCCACGTGTGGTGGACAGTTGCCCTAGCCCAGCTTCCTTTCCTTTGGAGGCCACCCTGCTTCTTCTCCATGTGGCTCTGGTGTCATCACTCCAAGCATAATGTCCTCAAACCCAGCCACCATGAGAGTGAGTGGAGAAGTGATGCGCAGCCTTCCTTGAAATGGGGGAGCACGAGCTGGGAGGGGCTCCCAAATGTGACCAGGCTGGAAGGGGGAATGTGTGGCTGCGGAAGGCTCTTCTCTAGCACATGGAGAGAGGCACATTTGGAGGTTCTTTTTTTTCTTAAAATAAAAATGGTATACATGTAAGGTGTGCTATGTGATGTTTTGATACACATACACATTGTGTAATGATTACCATGGTCAACTAACATGTCCATCACCTCAAAGTTACCATATTTGTGTGTGTGTGGATGAGAATACTTAGGATCTACTCTCTCAGCAAATTTCAAGTATACAATGCAGAATTATTAACTGCAGTCACCATGCTGTACATTAGATCTGCAGACCGTTTTCATCCTACATAGATGAGATGTTTTACCTCTTGACTAACAACTCCCCATTTCTCCCAGCCCCTGACAAACACTGTTCTATGCTCTGCCTCTATAAGTTCAGCTTGTTTAGATTGCACCTGTGACAGCAGGCAGTATTGGAAGTTCTTTATGACAAGTGACAATGAGAGTTAGAAAAAGTGTCTGGTGTTACCAGGCTGGTGCCGTCCTTTGGCCCTGGTTCCTGTTCACCAGCTGAAATAAAAACTGGGACTGCTTATGTTTTTTCCCCAGGCAGTTTGCAGTAGCTCTTGAGAGTTACACCTAATGGCCTGTATGGCTCTGGCTTCAGGCCCCTAGTTAACCTGGTCCCCAGAGGTGCTGTGCCCACCCTGGGGGCGCCTGCCTCTCCTCTGGCCCTCCTCCTATCTCTGGCCATTCTCTGCTCTCTCTAAATCCCATGCCTAGAACAACCTGCTCCCCGCTCCTTCTACCATGGCCTTCCTGCCTACCCAGGTTCCAGAATTTTCTCATGATGCTCTTAGTCCTCATCTGTTTCTCTCTTTCTTTAACTTCCTTTACCTCAAGATTAGCAGCTTGTCATATAACCCCTCCTTTCCCTGTCACTCCCTAACCTGTTACCCCTTCTGTGTTTTTCTTTGTAACACTTAGCATGCCTTGACGTACTATCCATGTGTATATGTGTGTATATACACATACTCTTGGGCTTTTCTATTTATTGTTCTTTTGCCCACTAGAATGTCAGCTCCACAAGGGCAGGGACTTTTGTTCACTGCTATATCCCAGCACCTAGAATAGTAACCTGGCAAATGATGATGCCCAGTAGGTATTTGTGAAATGAATCTGTGCTGTGCTGCTCTCTAAGGTGTGTCTTGTTTGGTGTTTCATCTTTGGAGACTCTGTAACAATGGGTTTGTGTTGTTTGGATAACACAAAAGTCAATCCACCTACGTCTTAACTGTGCCCCTCAGCTAATTGTTGACTTGAAAGCAGAGGTCAGTTCTTACTCATCTTTGCATCCTAGCAGCTCCTCATACATACAGTTCCTTCTTATATTAGACCCTATAATGAGTTTGCTGAATCTCCTGGGTGTTTGAAATCTCTCCAACTGGCCTTCATGTAGGCTACAAACAGAGGATTGCCTTGTAATTCTTGTGTGTATTTAAAGGCACCATGCAAACAGAGAGTTGCTCAGAAAAGCATCCTGACTTGCTGGAATGATGTAAATACACAAACCAAGGCATTACACACCATGCAAGGCTCAGTGCATGGCAATAGATTCAGATACACAGAAGACCGTCAGAGAAGGTGACTGGTTCCTCTTCCTCTGCAGCATGAGGCCTGAGATGTCGTGAAGACCAGACACCTCAGCAGGTTTGAACTCAGCCACCGGAGTGCACAGCCATTTCAGATTCGTTTCTCTCACGTCTCCAACAACAAAATACTAACAACCACCAACTGCTGTTGAGCACACACTATGGTGCCAGGAACTGATTTAGTGCTTTGCATACATTTTCTCAATTAATCCTAACTGGAGGCACGGACTATTATTATCTCCGCTTTTCAAAAGTGGAAACACCGGCACAGAGAGATTAAGCAACTTGCCCAAGGTCACACAGTGAGTAATTGGTAGGGCTTGGGTTCATACCCTGGCCAACTGCTCTAGAGCCTGAACTCTTAATCTCTTTGCTCTGCTGCTGCCGTGTTATGTGGTTAACACTTCCAGTGACAAAGCCTGTAGTAGCTAGGTTGGCATCTGTTTAATGTCTAACCCATAATGGTGATTGTATAATATGACTAAAAATTTTTTAAAAATCGAGCCTGTAATTGAGGGCCTCTTTAGCTACAGTGTGCAGAAAACACAGGCTGCAGGGCTCTACCTGAGTCCCATGCTCTCATGATCCAAATTTCCAAAACAAGGCTAGGCCTATCGATGTTTGAAATCTGCTTCTCAGTTCTGCGTTTGTGATTTTACAATGACTTCCGCATTCATTAGCATCCCATTAATGGGCCAGTGTATGGGAACAGTTGTACTATGAAGGGAGGGGATTTTTTTTTCTTTTCTTTTCCGTTAAAACCACAGGTCTACAGAATGAAAATGCTAAATCTAATGAGTGTAACCTGGAAAGTAATTTCATGGGCTGTAGTACTTTCATGGCAATAATTCTTGGATGTCAAAAGGATAAGGACACAGTTTTCTGCTTCTAATTTTATTCTTAAAAAATGATGGTATTGAGCTATCCATGGAGTGCTCCTGTAGATTAATTCCAGTTTTTCTTTTATAGAGGAGATTTAAGGGAAGTCTTAATCTGCTTTATATTTAACTCTTATCTCCACACTGTGAATTAAAAATAGAATGCTGGACTGTAGCCTCACCTCCTGGACTCTCTGAGGGCTCAGGTTACTCCAGCATAAGGCTGGGCTGCGAGCTGCTCCAGGTCTCTGGCTTGGTGCCCCTCCCGGACTTTCCAAACAGCTGCCTCTTTCTAAATTTTTATCCAAGAGCCACACATTAACCTGTCTAAAGTGAGCAGTCCTTATTCTGTGATTCTTAAATAACATTTAGCATTTTCCTCAGGTAATTTTCATTTTTCGTGAAACTCAGTGAGTTCTGAATCCTTCCAGAAGCTAGTTTCAAAAACTGAGTCCTGTAGTCGAGTTCTCCTAAGTCCATGCGTGAGGTGGAGTGAAAGCTAAAGAGCCTTTCCTCTTTTTTTCTCTTCATCTGGTAAAAATTTGCTCTGGAGTACGTCCCCTGATTTCCCTTCTCCTCTCTCCCACTCTTCTCCCTTCCTTTTCCCATTTCCGCACCTTTTCCTAATCCTCTTTCCCATTCCCTGTGTGTATCTCTTCCTTCCCCAAGCCTGTGTCTGAGACAGCTGGAAAGGACAGGAAGAGTTTGGGTGTGGGGAGGAGCCGGAGCCAGGGCCGCTCCTTCTCACCCACTCACCCCATTTCCAACCTGGAGCTTCAGAAATACAATCGAGGGTCAAATTCAGTAACTAATCATTGGGTCGGTCCAGACCAAAAGAGGTAAGAAATCCCTATGGAAATGTCTACTATGGCTTTGGGTTTCTGGTTTTTCCAGCCGGGCAAAGGTTGCACATCTGGTGAATCTTGCCTGTCTGGTCCAAGTGCAGGGAGAAAGGGAACCACGTGGTAAGCACAGCAGCAGAGGCACTCTGTAGATTCCGTCCTGCCTTCAGTGTAGACACACGTCCTCCAGCTCTTTTTCCTCCTTCGTCTTGCCCCACTAGCAAGTTTCAGTTCTAAAGTCTTAACCAAAAGGAGGCTATTTTACGTGCTGTTAATTGCAAAAAATTGCCATTTCTGGGGAAGCCTTTGTATTTTTCACCACCACAATCATGAGAGCAATGATAGTGACCACTTACTGAGTGGGCTGGACTGTGGGGGTGCTGAATGTATATTCAAAGAAAACAGAGCCCCTCAAAAATGTGGGGCCACCCACCCCGTTGGCCAAATGGCAACATCCTCCAGGATGATGCTTTTGAAACTGTGGCGTGTTGAGTGAGTTTCACTGAACATGAGATCAATTTAGTTGTGAAGACTGACGTTTTGAAAAATAAACTAGAAAAGAATGGGATGGAACAAAACAGAAAACTATCAGAGGATTTGGATGTGATAGGAGTATTATTTTGTGAAACTTTGGTCTTGGTTAAATACACACATCTCAGTCTGTCTACAGTGGAGAGTCTGATGGTGCTTACCAGGACCTGTGGGCTCCTCTACCTCTCCCAGCCTCGACAACCGGCCATGTGACTGAGACCCTGTTGATAGAGTATGTCTGGAGGGATATATGCCACTTTCAGATATGGCCCTTAAAACCCTCCCACACAGGCTCCTCCATGCTTTCTTCTTCCCGTATGCCACTAGATGACACCGGGACAATCTTGAAGCCACATGATCTCAGAGGCACATGTGGAAGCAGCCTGGATCCTGAGCCATTATTTGGAGGAATGTCACCCAAATGGAGTCACCTGGCCAGGGACATCAGCTTTGGATTTTGTGTAAATGAAAAATAAATGTCTATTTGGTTAAGCCAGATTGTTTTACCTGCCTTGTGCACACGTTTGTGCTTGTGGGTGTGTGCATGCCTATGTGTGGGTGTGTGCATGTGGCTTATGCCACAACATATATTTCTTAATGCAGATTTTAGTCAAAAACATGTGAAAGCAAGTGTTTTGGACAGTGTGTTTCAAAATGTGGTCCCAAATCAATTGCAATAGAATCGCTTGGGATACTCATTAGAAATGCAGATTTCTGGACCCTACTGAGATCTACTGAGTCAGGATCTTGGTCCTGGGGCCTAGGAATGTTTAAGATTTTTAACAAACTCCATGAACCTTATAAACATTAAAGTTCAAAAACTACTTTGGTCCTGGCATTGGTAGAAATGTTTTCTTGGCAACCCTGGGGCTGGTTAAATCTAACAAGCATTGTATCTATTTTCCCTTTTTTTTTTTTTTTTTTGGTCATTGTCCAAAGTGCGAGTCTCTCCTTATTCCCCACTCCACCTATACTCTATATAATTTCATCATAACAGTACAGTGTCATGATTCACATACACCTTTTCTCAGAATACCTCCCAATTATCTTCCTCTTCCTAAGCTTTTACTGCCTTTGAAAAGGCCTGTTGCATAATTAACAAATGCCCCTATCCCTACAATCTTTTCCCTAACCATTTTCTTAATCTTCTGACTCTCTCCAAGTTACCTGTTCTGCTCCTCTCTCAAGTGGGAGCTGCTCATTTTTCATTTTATGCACTCTTGTCAGAGTTGGCAAGTGGGTCAGATTTCTTCCTTAGTACCCACTGCTGCTTCCCAGCCAGGACTCTCCTACCCTTTTGGATAGGGCTGTATCAATTAGAATGCTTGTGGCTGCAGGTAACAGAATATCCAACCAGAAGAGCCATAAACAATAAAGACATTTATTATCTTACATGATAAGAAGTCAAAAGGTTGAGTGATATGTGGCTAATTCAACAGGTCTTTCCATTTTTCCACTCTGTCTTCTCCAGGATATTGTATTTAATTTTATCCTCAGGTTTGTGTCCTCATGGTTTCAAGATAGCTGCTGCCACTCCAGTCATCAAATCCCTCACTGCTACATCTGAATTAGTTTCCTATGGCTTCCGTAACAAATATCACAAACTTGGTTCTTAAAACAACAAAAATTTATTCTCTCACTGGTCTAGAAGCCAGAGGTTTGATGTGTCACTGGGCTGACATCAAAGTGTTAGCAGGGCTCTTCTCCCTCTGAAGGCTCTAGTGGAGAATCTGTTTCTTGCCTCTTCCAGATTCTGATAGCTGCCAGCATTCTTTGGCTTGTGGCCACATCACTCCAATCTCTGACTCCACCTTCACATTACCTTTGTGTGTGTGTGTGTGTGTGTGTGTGTGTGTGTGTGTGTGTGTGTGTCTTCTCTCTGTCTATATCAAATCTCCCTCTACCCCTTTCTTAAAAGGTCACTTTGTGACTGCATTTAGGGCCCACCTGGACAATTCAGGATATTCTCCCTATCTCAGGATCCTAAACTTAATCATATCTGCAAAGACCCTTTTCCCATACAAGGTAACATTTACAGGTTCCAGGGATTAGCACCTGATATCTCTCAGGGGAATTATTCAACCTGCTATAATGTCAAAACTGGAAAGTGCAATTTCTCCTCACCTACAATTTCCTAACAAGGAGGAAAATCTTTCCCCGAAGCCCCCATCTTATTGCCCCCTAGTCCTGTTGGCTAGGGTTGGGTCATGAGCTCATACATGTGATCTCCATGGGGAAGGAAGGCTCTATCAGCAAGAAAAATGATGAAAGGATGAGGTTAAAAATCACCAACATCTGCCTCAGGATTCCTGCTCCTTGAAGGCCCAGGTCATCAGGCCAAGCCCCCACTGCCCTTCCATGATGTTCTTCTCTTTTGGTTTTCTGTTCACTCCTCCTCAGTCGTTGAAGCCTGGCATTTGTTTCATATTCTTTCTATCTGACCCATCTAACCACTGAGCACTCAGTTCTCTGACCTCCTCATCTTCCAGTGATCTTCCATACCCCATCTCCGCCTTCCATTCTCACAGCTTCACCCTAGACCTGGACATCCCCCCTGAGATAACAAGTACAGATGACTGCCCTCCGGCTACATCCCCCTCCCTCCAGCTTACTCTGTTGCTCCCATCACTCCTCCTCTTTCCTTTCTGCCCATCCACCAACCACTTTTGTCTTCAGTTTCCTCCTATCCAGAACATATTACTTATATTCTAAATTCCCTTGACCCTTGATCCTTCCACTGAAGTTATCTAGCAAAACCCCAATTCTGGACGAACCCCACTATTTGCTCAAACTTTTTCATTGTCTGAATTCCCACCTCTCCCCTCAGGGCAGATAACTTTACTTCATATTTCACAATTAAAGCAGAAGACATCTGATAGAAACTCCTCAACTTTCCACCACTAAATATATTTGCCTATGTACTGGGACTTTTAACCTTTCATCCTTGTTACAATGAAGTGGAACTCTGTGTACTTCTGCCTTTAATGGACGTCTGCTTCTACTGACGACTCCAGAAGATTCCATGTTCCACTTTCCTTTCCCAATTCCTGGCTTTTCTCTCCCAGGCAGAGGTGTCAGGAGTTTGGGGGCAGGTTGGTATGAAAAGGAGAAAAGGTACTCCCATTACCCAGACCTAATTCTACTTCATTTTTGGTACCTTTTTTTTTTTTTTTTTTGAGACGTTGTCTCGCTCTGTCGCCCAGGCTGGGGTGCAGTGGCGCGATCTTGGCTCACTGCAAGCTCCGCCTCCCGGTTCACGCCATTCTCCTGCCTCAGCCTCCCAAGTAGCTGGGACTACAGGCGACCACCACCACACCCGGCTAATTTTTTGTATTTTTTTAGTAGAGACGGTGTTTCACCATGTTAGCCAGGATGGTCTCGATCTCCTGACCTCGTGATTCACCTGCCTCGGCCTTCCAAAGTGCTGGGATTACAGGCGTGAGCCACCACGCCCAGCCGGTACTTTTTTTTTTTTTTTGAGACGGAGTTTCGCTCTTGTCACCCAGGCTGTAAGTGCAATGGCATGATCTCTGCTCACTGCAACCTCCGCCTCCCAGGTTCAAGCAATTCTCCTGCCTCAGCCTCCCAAGTAGCTGAGATTACATGTGTGCACCACCACGCCCAGCTAATTTAATTTTTGTATTTTTGATAGAGATGGGGTTTCACCATGTTGGGCGGGCTGGTCTCAAACTCCTGACCTCAGGCGATCCCACCCGCCTCAGCCTCCCAAAGTGCTGGGATTACAGGCATGAGCCCCTGTGCCCAGCCTGGTACTATTCTTGTCATCCTCTCTCCCCTTATTTTTCTTGCCTTTTCTTCTCTTGTGCTTTTGTTTCTATGCTTCTTTCATCTTGGTTCGAAGTTGATCCAGATTAGAAAAGACACTCAAACTGTATATCAACGTCATCAAGCGTTTTTTCCCTGTCTCTCATGTTTTCTTTCTGGAAGGAAAATGTTAAAAATAAAGAGTACTTTGTTGTTTCATAGCCTTCCATAGGGGCACGGGAAACATCTTGAGGGGAAATATAATCTGATCATTTGTCTCAGGGTCTGAGTTGAACACAGAAGTGGTTCCTATGGGTGGGTGATTTACTTGCCCCCACCCACTCACCTTTCGCCCTTGTTCCACTTTGCTGCCCAAGAGGCACGTCTGATTGTTTATTCTCCTGCTGAAAACTTCTCAGTGGCTCCTTTCCAACTTTACCTTTCACCTCGGCTCTGCTGCACACCCTGTGCTTCCAGGGACCTTGGATCGCTTACAGTCACCTGGGCTGTTGCATACTTCTGTGGTTTCTTCAGGTTGTTCTTTTCTGGACTGACCTCCCACCCTGTTCTAGCTAATACTTATCCACCTTCAAGGTTCAGCTCAAGAATCTCCTTATCTTTTAAGAAGTTTTTCTCCCCATCACCTTCCTTCTCCAAACTGACCTTTGCCTTCATTTTGTCCTCCTCTAAAAATACCTCATGTGTCACATTTTGTTTTACATGCTTGTATCCTTTTAAAATTGTTTTACATATTTGTATCCTTTTACTTGACCATAAGCTCACTGAAGGCAGGCATTGTGCTTATTCATTCTTTCACTGCCCAAGTAATTCACAGACACTTTCTTTTTGTAAAAGAATCAATTAGTATAGAAATAAAATATGAAAGTCTGTCTCTCCTCCCCTATATTATTCATATTTGAACCTTCAGTGTCTAATTTAGTGTCTGGAACACAGAAGTCCCCACAACTGTTTCTTGAATGAGTGAATGAATGAATGAATATCCCTCTAAGGTGGTTGTCTTCCACCAGTGACACAGCTGATCATAAATCTGAGTTTAAACACCCATTCACCGCTTGTGTTTCCTCAGTGCAAGGTTATACCACATATGCGCTCTCTTGTGATTTATTTTTGCTAACTCACTGTCTGGGTCTTCAGTCTCCTCTAGGTCCTGTTTACTTTGAGTACTCAAAGCTCTGCTCCTCTGTTGGAGCAGTTTACATTTGGAGGAAGTTTTCCCACTGCCTGTGCAGTGTAAATTGGTTTCTAAACAATCTTGCCCACAGTCTCCATTAATATTGTACTGGAGAGCAAGGCAGGATACAATATTCAAAGTAGCAGGAGTTACTTTTTAGGATGATTGAATATGATGAAGGAGCCAAGGACAAAGGGTAATTTATTCTAAAGAAAGTCAACACCTTTGCTTTGCACTAGCTCTTGCAGTTAAAAAATAGGGCTGGTAATTGGACTTGCTTTATGAAAATCTCATTAGCATTAGCATATAACTAAAATGCACAGCTCCATAGTTAATTGCAATCCTGCACTGCGGTTAACAACTACAGTGATGACATTTGCATATTGCACATAAAATTAAAAATGCATGTCAGATAGGTGCTCTTTCAGGAAAAAAAAATCCTTGAATAACATTGCATTCACTACAATAATTGGAAAGATTTTGAATTTGAATGGAAATTATATGTATAGTATGAGCTTTAGAAAGACAGAGGAGCCTGATCAAAGAGGAGGGGAAACTAAATCTGAAACACTGCATAGTCAAAACTCTAGCAGCTGGGATCTTCTTCAAGGGCAGGGACATGTAATACTGAACTGTGCGTGCTTTGTGTAAATGTAACCCTTTCATCCAAAAGTCTCATTTCACTGCACAGGCGTCAGTCTCATGTTGGTGCTCTTCCTCTAGACTGTAAGCTCCTTGAGATCATGGACTTGATCTTTTTAAACCTTTGTATCCCACAATGCTCACTATGTAACAGACGTTCAATTATTTGTAGACGTGAACCAACTCAAGCCCCCTGTAACTGAATCCGATAGACACAAGAGGCTGTGTGGTGAAGGGTTAAGAGTGGGATGTTTTCATGTCTCCCTGAACCCTGGCTCTACCACTTACCTTGATTCAGTTACTTTAACTTCCCTAAGCCTCGGTTTCCTTCTCTGGAAATGGTTTCTGCCTTATAAGCTTTTTGAAAAGATTCGGAAAGATAACACATGTGAAGCACTTAGCCCAGCACAGTGCCTGGCATATCGCAAGGGCTGTTAGTCCAGCTGTTACTGTTGCTTTGGGGTTAAGGATCGTGGGAAAGGGCATGTTGAAGTTGGGGTATAAATCAGTTCATATGTCAGTCCTAATGTCAGTCACTTACAAGACGAAACAATGTTACCATGAATAATATGACTTGTCACAAGGGCTGATCACTTTTGTTCTATTTCACCAAGAAAGAAAATGAGACACTGAAAAGAGAATGGAGGGGTGAGAGACAATAATACCCATCTTTAGACCGATAATACAAAGCCCCATTTCCAGGCTTTGGGGATGAGACTCCTCTAGGAAGATAATAATAAATTGTCTGTCTCTTGGAAGATAACAGGCTGGAAACCATGGTCAGGAAAGAAAGGCAGAGGTAACAAGGTGGGATTTTCTGCAGGAGACTGGGATATTTTATCCGTTCATTTGTTCACTCATCATTCAGCTTAATATTATTGTATCCATATCTATGCAATGCACTATGCCAGGAACCCTGAGAGACACAGATGACCATGAAAGTGAACCTGACCAGTACGTGATTAGAAATTCTGGACTCGAAATAAGGTAAAGGATCAGACCTAGAGATAAAGACTTGGGTGTCATCAGCATGGAGAAGGGCTGGAACTCTGGATGCAGGTGCGCTCCCTGCGGCTGTTCACTGGGGGACGCTCCCACTTATGAGATGGGAAAGGGAATTGGTGCTAATGAAGGAAGCACAGGAGAACTGCAGGAAGAACAAGGGCAGACAGGCCTGGGAAAGTGAAAGAGGGGAGAGTTTTAGCTTGTAGTGTGGTAGTTGCCAGTCAGCTCCCTGTATAATAACATCAATGAGGATCATTGGATTTAGTGATGAGGAAATCACTGGTGGTTCTTCTTCAAGAGGGAGATTATGATAAAGTGGTACAGAGAGGAACTTGACATCAAGGCGTGGGTGAAAAATGAGAGGGTAGGGAGGAAATGCAGGAAAATGTATGCTATGCTTTAGCAGTAAAAGAAAAAGTCTCAGCCAGTAGCCTGAAGGCATAACAGAGCTGGAAACGATGTGTATAGGATTGGAGAGACCTAGACTAGAAGGAGCCAGTGAGAAAATAGAGACGATGTAGGAGACAGCTGGAGACGACCGTACCCTCCGAACCAGCTGCACCTGAGGAGGAGTCTTGTAAGCTGTTCTGTGGGACCGAGGATAGGACCTTTGCCTTTGGGGGAGGTGCCCCCTTCCCCTGGCCCTGCAGCTCTGGTTCCTACCTGTATCCCAAAACGTACTGAATCAAAATGTTCAGTTTACTCATCTGTCTCCTCCTGTGAGGAGATGCACTCCTCACCTCCTTTGATGGTGCACTCCTAAGGGCGGGAATCATGCCTTCTTGATCTCGACACTCCAGTATTTAGTTCAGGGTCTGGCACAGTCAATAGGGATAGTGAAACCTAACTACATAGGCCCACATAACCATGTGTTACATTGGCTGGAGTTCCCAGTAATTATACAGCCCCTTACCAATCCTCCCACCTCTCTCCCCACCTCGCAGATACCTGATATTGAGGTGACAGCTGCAAGAAGTCTGGGTGTAGTTCATTTACCTCCCCACCCCCATAATTGGGGAGAACAGGCCAGAATGTGTGGGAGCCTCACCTCGTGAATTGTATGAGGCACTAACTGAAAATAAAGCCAAGAGGCTGCAATCCTTTTCCTTCACAGCTTTCCTTACAGAGTCTCTCCCTGTCTTTCTACTTCTCTCTCTACTCTTCTCATTCCAGCTCATCTGTTTTGTTTTGTTTTCCGACTCTCCACTTCCTGTGTCCTATTTCCACTTTTGGAAGCCTGTTTTTAGACACAAGCCTTTCATTTGCCTTTACTCAAAGGTTTTCTGAAGACTCACTATCTCTAAGAAAATAACCTTGAACCATAATCTCACAATTGAGGTTGAGCCAACGTTTGTCACCACTCCCCATCTTACATGGGTCCAGTTCATACAGGACCTCAATACATAAGAGCTTCTGTAAAACAGTCAATCCTGGGGCCCTCAGTGTGGAGTGATAGGCTTTCGAGGAAAGTGTCAGAAATCACCAGAAGTCAAAGCTGTGTACCCAATTGTCCTGATTTTCCTCAATAAGTCAATAGCTTGCAAAGCTTTCCAATGAGAAACAAAGAAACTTTCTTCCCCCCACCCCTCCCCACCCCTGCTCATGCTTAAAAAATAGTTATTTTTCTTTTTCTGGAAAATCTTACTAGTAATCTCTTTAGGTTGCATCCCCTACTATTCCATCTGAACACACTGGCTTTCCACATGTTGCAGGATTGGGACAGCCTGGCAGTGACCCAGGAACACAAAGGGGCAAGTAAAGTGGGGTGCAATTTCATTACTGACCACTCTTCTCTAGGGGCCACTGCACACTTACCCTCCTCTGTGCTGCAGTTTGCAGAGCCTGAGGTCCAAGCAAAAGAAGCATTGTCTCACAGCTGTAAAGCATGAATTGTGTTTGTGGATTGCATTGCCCTGCTTCTTGCTCGTGCTTGTTCTTGTTTTCCTGGCACAAGTGCCTTTGCTCCTAGAATGGCCGCTTATCTCGGCTGACTGCTATTTGCTAACAATGGGCTCACTGGGTTGTTTTGAAAAGTCACATGAAGTTTATAATTCTGTCTGATGCTACCTTGGACTTATGTGTGCTAAATAAGCCTCAAACACCAAAACTGCCTTAAAACCTAAACTAAGCTCAACGAATGACTTCTTCTCAGGTATGCAGGCACCGGAAGGAACCCATACACCCTGCCCAGCTAATTCTACACCTCTTGTCTGTGTTGCTCTTCCACAGTACTGCTAGTTAGACCTTGCACTCTTCTCCATCTTGAGGCATTTGGTTCCCTCTACTTGCCCAGTGGCGCTCAGAATTTCTTGTGGAGCAGCTCAGGTGGTGAGGGAGGGAGGCACGGACACTGCCCCCCATGTCTCTGCAGGACGGTGGGGAACTGAGGGGTCCCTGACCAGCTGCCTCTCACGGCTTGATGTGTCACCTGATGGCTTCTCCCCTGGCTCGCACTGTGGGCCCACACTGTTTGCCAATCTGCCTTTCTTCCTGCCGGTGCTTTTGCTGGGGGAGAACCACAACCATCTCCAGTGCTGTTTTACAGCCTCCCACCACTCCACAGAGCCTCTGAAGAGCATACCTGAAGCCTTGATTCTGTCCACCTGATTCCCCTGAAGCTCACCAAAAAGGGAGCTGCTTGTTTATCCTGCTGTCAGCCATTTCCCATCAACGTCTGGCCCAGCGAGCTGTGTTGGGGCCAGCACTGCTTTAGTACCAATAGTCTGGCCCTCTTCCAGGTACTCATTGCTAGCGAATTCATCTTGCTCTTGAATGCGAAGTATGAGTCAGAGGTAATGCTGATGAAACCTCCGGCAGGTCAGGACAACAAGGGCAGACCCAAGCCACGGGGGGTGAGGTGGGGGGAGAGTGGGCCAGAACTCTGCTCTGCAGAGCTGTGGTTTGTCCTGAAGTCTGGTGCTGTGTTAGTGCAAACAACATCAAATGCAATTCAATTACAACTGTGTACTCATCACTGGGCCGGGCTGTCAGAGGCACAGAAGTATACGTTAGTTTCTGTAGGAGTTATGGCCAGCAGCCCAGCTTCTTAACTGGATTTAGTTTGAAAATAAATGCCTCACTGGACAGTGACACTTCTCAACTCTTTCAGGGAAGAAAATTTTTGCTTCTGGTAGGCTGATGTGTGACTTTAATAATCTTATCATTAGTCCTGAGTCGGGGGCTTGTCATTCAAAGTTGTCTTTCATCTTTTGTGTATGTTGTTTTCAGACAGTGGCAGCTGAAGAATGACTGTATCAGGGACATTCAATGATGCCCATATTTTGAGAGGTTAAATTTCCTAGAAACCAGCTTCTAGTCTTTGTGTGTCCTGGCTTGTGCTCTTTAAAGAGACTGAAAAAAGCATGTTCTACAAAATCCTGTCTTGCTCCATGGTAATGAGGTCAGACAGACCTCCCCAGGAGCCTGACTGGAGCTACTATACAACTGTGGGGTGGCCTTGGAAACTTGGAGACATTTGGGGCGTGCTGAGTCACTGCTGCAGCTCAGGCCCAGGGCTCCTGTCACCACTTTGGGGAGCTGGTGGTACAATAGAGATATCACTGTGGTGGGGCCTGGAATGAGGGCCTGTCATGGGACAGGGCACTGTAAAGAGAACAGTAAGTAGTTTTTAGTTATTTCTTATTAGAAGGAATTTCCTAATGGAAAATGCTCCTCCATTAATAGGATTTTCTCTGTACAGAAATTTATTGCTTATGACTATTGGGGTCAATTCCCATTGGCATCTGAGAGCTGGAAAATGACAGCTGTCATCACAAGTTTTCTGAGAAAAAAGTATGTTTTTTTCCTATGTTGGTCAGAAGCCAACCAATTCATTGCCAACCAATAAAGGTACAGCCAAAGGGAAAAAGAATTATTAAGAGTTTTAATTGCCCCTGAAATTCCAGATAGAAAATTTTACATTCAGTTACACCTGATGTAGCAGAAAACTCCAAGGGACTATCTAAGTTCTTTGGCCAAACCAGATTTGGTTTATTTAACATTGTCTAGAATGGATCATTGGCTGGGACTTGTACATATGTTTGTTATATGGGGATTTTCTCAGTTAAACTCAGATGGAAACTAAGACGAAACATATATATATGTGTATTTATGTCTATTTATATTTATATGAGTCTGGTGTATTAATCATAGGGTACTAAATTATTTTCAAAGACACAAACTATGTGAGGGTGTATTTTAACTAGCATGTGAAATGCAAAAATATTTTCTGGGTATGCTGGCACTTTATACCAAAAGGATGCAAAATTTAGCGTAAGAAAATAGTAAATTAGTAAACTAAGTGAGGTGAAAAATGTTGATCAGCTACAGAAAAAGGTCAGCAGTTCAAACTGTGGAATCTGGGTTATTTCTTTTTCACTGCCCAAGATTGTTATATACTCAGAGTTTTCCCCACATTATAAAGCATTGATAACTTTTCAATTTGTTACTACCCACTGGAGTATAATGTAAATTCTTGTGTGTGTTTTAATAATTCCTTGGAAACCATCCCTTGAATTGCTATTCATAGGATAAGAAGGAATTACTTGCTATGCTCCACATGTTTTTCATTAGGACTAAGATCAAGAAAATACATACATATCTATATATGTATGTGTGTGTGTGTGTGTGTATGTATGTGCACACACACACCAAGGGCTGGAAGATTTCTGGATCAGTTCAGATTTTGATAAGAGGAGACAGAAGAAGAATAGAGAAATGTAGGATGAAGGCCGGGCATGATGGCTCACGCCTGTAATCCCAGCACTTTGGGAGGCCAAGGTGGGCAGATCACTTGAGGCAGGAGTTTGAGACCAGCCTGACCAACATGGTAAAACCCCATCAATACTAAGAATACAAAAATTAGCCAGGTGTGGTGGCATGGGCATGGTGGCATAGTCCCAGCTACTTGGGAAGCTGAGGCAGGATAGTTGTTTGAACCCAGGAGGCGGAGGCTGCAGTGAGCCAAAATCACACCGCTGCACTCCATTCTGGGTGACAGAGTCTAAAAAAAAAAAAAATATGTAGGATGATAGTGGCAGTGGTGGTGGAAGCCACACCTGATATCGCAACAGCAGACTGCTTCATGGGATGGCATGCAGAGGTAGTCTTTGATTTTAGTTTATATCTGGAAGAAGAATTTTACACACTTTCAAATAGAAGGCAGCATTCACCAATCCAGTGCTGGGGTTAGCAAAAAGAGATCTGATCCTTTGTCTTTTCCGTCTAAGACTATAAGTTGATTCATTCGTTCTTTCAACAAATATTTATTGAGTACCCATTATGCCATAATAGTCTTAGAAATAGCCTGAGCATGGTGGCTCACATTTGTAATCCCAACACTTTAGGAGACCAGGCAGGAGGATGGCTTCAGCCCAGGAGTTTGAGGCCAGACCAGGCAACATGGCAGTGCACACCTGTAGTCCCAACTACTCAGGAAGCAGAGGCAGGAAGACTGCTTGAGCCCAGGACTTCAAGGCAGAGGTGAGCTATGATTGTACCACTGCATTCCAGCCTGGGCAACAGAACAAGACCCTGTCTGAAAAAAAAAAGCTGGAAATACTATTTTATAAGTTGTAATATGTAACAGATTAGTCTTAATTGTTGAATTAACAAGGGAATCTAAAGTCAAGTGTAGCTTAGAGCTCTCCCTGAGGCATACCATTTAAGCTGACTGTACAGAAATTAAAGTGGACATGCATTTTGCTATCTGGGCAGGTTGCTACTAATCAAATTACCACTATGTGTCTTGGAGGATGAATAGGTAAAGAAGGTGATCAGCAAAGTACAAGTCTTCAAAACTAGAGTGCTTTTCTTCTGGGAAATAGGGAAAAAAAAGACTTGTTTGTAGAGGGCTAGGCGCAGAAAGGAACTTGAGGAAGAGACCAGAGGGTCACAGGTTTACATAATTAAGAAGGAGGTGCACATAGGATTCAGAAGTTCAGAATCAGGACAATCTAAGTAAACCTGGTCCTAGAGTAGGTTTCCTATGATTCCTTTAAAATGCCTTACAAAATCTGAAGCTCTAGAACTAAAGCTCAAAGATATAGGAAACTTAACTACAGAGGAGGAAAATGTAACAGCAGAGTCCTCATAGGGAAGTTTACCTAGAAAGAAGTTTGCTTTTTGGTTTTGTCTAGATTATATTTCTATTAAAATATGAACATAGTATTTCTATAAAATACTTTGCAAAACTAAGGCAGTTCCTAAAATGGGGAAGTTTTCAGGATTACGTTCTCATGATTCACTGATGTTGTGCTTATCATAACTAGGTAAGGTGGGGGAGGAAGTTCTAAGAATGACGGCATTTACATGCAAAAACCAAACTGACATAAACCAGCATCATAAAAGAAACATGCCATAAGAGAATGCCCCAGGGCTAAAGTATGACTTGAATCAGTGAAAGGCAGGTGCTTCTAACTGGGAAATGATCTGATAGGCTGTTCTGTTGCAGAATAGACATGGATTAGATTTTTGCACTACTCCACACACCTATAGGTAGTAGAGTGAAAACCAAAAACCTTGGAGGTTTTAATGGCAATAATCATAATTATTGGGAAAACACTTTTTCTCCTATGTTAAAGCCACTATAAAATAATAACATTCTTTCATTGCTGAATGCACCCAAATCATTCAGCTATTTCTGTTATGAATGATCTAGATACTACTCTATTGCATTATGGGAAATAGCCCAGATAAACTTTGGAATATCTCCAAGTTCTATGATTCTCTTGTCAAGAGTACATGTAATATGCGACATATATATAATAAATACACCCAGCAAACACATATATGTATATATGTTTGCATTTTGCCTAAGACCGTCCCCCTTCAGTAAGTCCATTTTCTACTCTAAATTTTGGATCAGTTTCTGAGTTACCGAACCACCAAATATATAACAGAAACAAACCGGAGAGCATGGTGGGGAAGTTGGGATAGTGAAGCAAATGTGTGTTTCCACTACAAACATTGTTTATATTGCAAATATATTTGTACTCTTATTTTTAAGAATATGTAAGTACATGCTGATTAATGGCTATAAGTTTCAGAACATTATTGGGTTTATAGAAGCTTTTATCTTATGTGTTTTCTCATTTAACTGAATACTGAAAGTACAATTACTATAAATGGAAAGTCCTTAAAAACTGTTGATATTAGAAAGGAATTCTCAAAGTTGTTACTGAAAAAATGGAAGTGTTATATTTGGAAGGACCTTTTTGAATTTTATCTATTTTTTTCTGAGCAGGAATATTTTACAGTGTTCTAGATCATATTGTATCTGTTTCCACAAAAATTACATGCCTATATTTAATTATGTAAACCTTAAATGGGGGAAATTATAATTCTATCAATTTGAGAATATATAATCTTTTAAAAACACATTTAAGATATAAGCCATATGTTAAATTGAGTAAATCAGGTGTTGAAATAATGTGCTTTACTTTCAAATATAGTATCCCAGTATTTTTTAAGTTACAAAAAATTGGTAGCAGCCAAAGTATATCAGAATAAATTATCAGGCTCATAGCTCTGCTGGAGGAGGATATTGTTTTGACAGTTGAAATCTGACTAATGGTAACCTGATAGAACGTGAATAATGAGATGATGCTTATAGTTTGAGGACAAGGAGCTTGTCTTTGGCCTGTGAGTCAGTATTAACAGTCCTTGCACTCATTGGCACCAATGCTGGCCAAGTGGCCCTGGAAATAGGTTGCTCAGCTGACTCATTGGTGGCACCCCTAACTCCAGTAGTGCAGTCATTTTTCTTTGGGTCATGAGGATTGTCCACTGAAGATTCTTTGCAGCAATTTTAATCTGCACCACCTCCTCTTCCTCTCACAATGTCCATCCATTCATTCATTTATTGAAAAATATTTATGGTATGTCAGGAACTATGCTGGATGCTGGGGATCCAATGGTAAGCAATCAGACACAGTCAAACAATCACACAACAATTATATAATCACGAACTAAGATAGGTGCTGTGAAGGCAAGGATAAAGCCATGACAATATAACAGAGGACCCTGAAATCACATGGGGAGTTAGGGAAAGCTGTCCTAAGGAAGGTGAGTTTGAGTGAGAGCTAAAGCTGCACTGACAAAAATAGCAGCCACTGTATGTAGTTATTTAGATTAATTAAAAGTAAATAAAACTAAAATTCAGGCCAGGCATGGTGGCTCACGCCTGTAATCCCAGCACTTTGGGAGGCCGAGGCGGGTGGATCACAAGGTCAGGATATCGAGACCATCCTGGCCAACATGGTGAAACCCCATCTCTACTAAAAATACAAAAAGTAGCCAGGCATGGTGGCATGCCTGTAATCCCAGCTACTCGGGAGGCTGAGGCAGGAGAATCGCTTGAACCCGGGAGGAGGTTGCAGATCGCACCACTTCACTCCAGCCTGGGCAACACAGCGAGACTCTGTCTCAAAAACAAACAAACAAAAAAAAAATGAAAAAACACAACAACAACAACAACAACAACAACAAAACAACCTAAAATTCAGTTTCTCAGTCACACTAGCCACATCAACTGCTCAATAGTCACATGTGGCTAGTGCCTACAGAATTGGACAGCACAGGTATATAATATTTACATCACTGCAGAAGTTCTACTGACCAGCATTGGTCTAAATGATGAATAGGAATTAACCAGGAAAGTGATGAGCAAAACCATTGTAGGTTGAGAGACTACCATGGGCAAAGGCTCTGTGGTAGGGGAGACAATGTACAAACTGTTACGGAAACTACAGTCCATGGGATTTTAGCTGGATAAGGGACAAAGGATAAAAGAAGAGACCTGATGAATTGGTAGAAAGTAGAAGGGGTTACTGGGCTGAAAATCTAAATTTGGACACAAAATAGTCATGGTGGGTGGAACGGCAAAGGAGAAGCAGGTGTGGTCAAAAAGCAGGATGCGCCGGGCAAGGTGGCACATGCCTGTAATCCCAGCACTTTGGGAGGCCAAGGCGGGTGGATCACAAGGTCAGGAGTTCAAGACCAGCCTGGCCAACGTAGTGAAACCCCATCTCTACTAAAAATACAAAAAATTAGCCGGGCCTGGTGGCAGGCGCCTGTAATCCCAGCTACTCGGGAGGCTGAGGCAGGAGAATCACTTAAACCCCGGAGGCAATGGTTGCAGTGAGCAGAGATCGTGCCACTGCACCCCAGCCTGGGTGACAGTGTGAGTCTCCACCTCAAAAACTAAAAAATAAAAAAGCAGGATGCTTGAATCAGCGGTTTTGGCAATAGATCTGTTGCAGATGATGACAAGGTCCAAATGTGACCCTGAGAGTGGGTAGCTTGGATGGAGAGAAGCTAAAGGTCATTGGAGATAAGGAAGTTGGGACTCAGAGGCCAGATTATCATGTATGTCAACTTTGCATTTTGAAATTACTGCAGCAATTGGCAGAGTTTGGATTTGAGGGGAACAGTCCCAAAGAGTAAATGGGAGGCCCAGAAATGATAGCTACCAGCAGGGGGAAAGGAGGCCTTATCAGATAGCTCCACACTGACTCAGATGAGAGAGTGCAAGGACAAGGGACCTGGAAATGACAATGGGGAACAATGGGACAGCAAAGCCCTTCTCCACCTGATGTGAGAAAGCAGACGGTCACCACTTCAGAGGACTAAAGGAGAAGCAATGTCCTCAGGGAAAACTCAGGTTTTTGTTGGAGCAAAAAGGTGAAGGCATGGTTGAGAGAACAGAGTGATGACATAGGGGAGTTTGCTGAATACAAAGCAACGGTTCCAGAAGGCATGTGGAAGCCCTGAGCAAGAGAGGAGGAACAGAGGGCTCATCCAGGAGCAGTGGGGAAAATCAGGCAAAGAGATTGATGACTGAGGTGGACTTATATTTAAGCATTAACTGATTTAAAAAAAAAAAAAGTCAATGGGAATGGGAGTGATTACTGGCCCTACTGCTGCAAGGACTTGGCTCACTAGACCTGATGAAGGGGTGTTCCTGCAGGAGTTTCTGCACAGGCCACTGCTTGGGATGTTCTTGAGCCAGAGGTTGTAGTTTCAGCTCCTGTACAGCTTAGCATAACATTGGCTTCAGAGGCTTAGGCTTCAACACCTGACACAATGTTGACTGTCTCAGAGGTGAGGTGTTAAGAATACCACAGATTGAATACATGAGGTGTTAAGGACCTCAGAGGTTGGGTATTAGTTAGTTCAGTCCCAGAGAGTAGGGCAATTGGCACTCCTAGAAGATGCGTCTCTATACCTGAGCAGCCTGCGGTACGCTGGTCCCAGCAGTCTGCAAGTGATACATGCGATTTTCCAATCTTTTTGAATCAACAGCATGTTCTCATCAGTCTGTAATTGTAGATCAGAGGATACTTTATCAAATATAATCATTGAGCTCTATAATTCATGAACTCTGCTTGTAACACATCTTCAATTTTTAAATTGTGAGAACTTGCAAGAGCTGCAAGTTATGTGCTGTTTTAAATTTAGTTCTAACAAAATATAGCTGGAGGTTCTGTCATAAGATTAATAAACATACATTATTTGGGAGGTTATTTATTATTTTAATTATGTGACATTATTTTTCCCCTCTGACAAAAGCAATCAAGATGACTAAAATTGAATTGGTGAAAATGAACTGATCCCCAAAGGTTATAAATGTTGTTGAAAAATGTCAGGAATTTATTAAATTTCCCACATGTTAACCAAAAAAGGTTAGTAAGGTAGATACACAGTGGTGACTTCATGTCAGTGAAGAATCTGACTAGAAGTAGACAGAATTCTAGAGATAAATTCATCAAATCCTCTACTCTATAGATCAGGAAACTGACACTTAGGTTAGGTGCAGTGACCATTTCCAGTGACTTTGACCTTTACTGACAAAATGTCAGGGAAGACTTAGTACCACAGGCCAGGCACAGTGGCTCATGCCTATAATCCCAGCACTTTGGGAGGCCAAGGTGAGTGGATTGCCTGAGCTCAGAAGTTCGCGACCAGCCTGGGCAACATGGTGAAACCACATCTCTACAAAAAATACAAAAATTAAACAGGCATGGTGGCATATGGATGTAGTCCCAGCTACTTGGGGGGCTGATGTGGGAGGATTGCTTGAGCCTGGGAGGTTGAGGCTGCAGTGAGCCAAGATCATGCCACTGCACTTCAGCCTGGGTGACAGAGCGAGACCCTGTTTCCAAAAGAAAAACAAACAAACAAAACAAAAAACAAAGACTTAGTACCAGGAACCAGATGGAATGACAATAATATTGTAAACATTAAATCTCCAATATCACATAATTATAGGGTCTTAGACTTCAACTTACTATAGGACTGTCTGGTCCAGTGTTGAAATCCTCTTGCAGATGGTTATCTGCTCTTCCTTGACTACATGCCTTGACTGGATGTTGTATTCTTCCATGGCAGTTCATTCTGTTATGCAGTAGCTGTTTATGTTGGAAATTCTTTACACTGAGCTGGTGTTATCCCTACAATTTCACCTATGGGTTCTGACTTCTTGAGCTGAGATCTGCAAGAGTTAGCCCATGACAATTATATTTGCTCTAATTCTCTTCTTTTCCAGGTAAGACACCTCTAATTCTCAGAGTTGCATGTCATATATGAGGAAAAGTGAAGTAAAAAAAGAGGAGAAAAAATAATGTGTTGTGGGCAATTACTAGAACTCAGGGAGTTAGGTTTTACTCAGCATCATCAAATGCAAGCTTCTCATCCTTTTGAGTCAGCAGCATGTCCTTATCAGTCCCTAAGTGAGCTCTGCAAATCAAGAATTCTGGTTGCAGTGTACACTTAATTTTTAAATTGTAAAAAGAACTAGCTAGCTTGGGCATGGTGGCCTATGCTTATAACTTCAGCACTTCGGGAGACTTAGGTGGAAGGATTGCTTGAGCTCAGGAGTCTAAGACAAGCCTGGGCAACATAACAAGACACCATCTCTACAAATAATATAAAAAATTAGGCAGGTGTGGTGCCACATGCCTGTAGTCCCAGCTACTCAGGAAGCTGAAGCAGGAAGATGGCTTGAGCCTGGGAGATCAAGGCTGCAGTGAGCTGTGATTGTGCTACTGCGCTCCAGCCTGAGCAACAGAACAATACCCTGTCTTACACATACACAAAAAAGAACTAGCTCTACTGAAAAAATAGAACAATTGGCCAAGTGTGGTGGCTCACCCCTGTAATCCCAGCACTTTGAGAGGCTGAGGCAGGCAGATCGCCTGAGGTCAGGAGTTCGAGACCAGCCTGACCAACATGGAGAAACCCCGTCTCTACTAAAAATACAAAATTAGCTGGGCATGGTGGTGGCGGGCACCTGTAATCCCATCTACTCGGGAGGTTGAGGCAGGAGAATCGCTTGAACCCAGGAGGCAGAGATTGCAGTGAGCCAAGATCGCGCCACCGCACTCCAGCCTGGGCAACAAGAGAGAAACTCTGTCTCAAAAAAAAAAAAAAAAGAGAACAATTATAACACAAAGGGGAGTAATAGAATCCAATGGAATAAAAATTTACACTTTTTATTTGTAAAAAGTCTGAGATCACTAAGTTAATATAAGAATCTCTAGACTTCATATTGTGCTAAAACATAATAGTGCTCAAAACATTGCAGCTTTGTTATAAAAAATAAAATTCTTAGTTGTTATTTAACTCTATCCTTAAATAAAGAAAAAAAACCCATTTCTTTCCACCTCTTCAAATATTAAAATTCCAGGAAACAACTGATATGCTAGGATATTCTTAGCTAAGATTTAAATTAGATTTGGGAAAGTTGTGCATGTGTCATTTTCAATGGTTCGTAGAGCATAAAAGCACAAATTTACTTTGATTTTTGATTCTAATTTGAATCCTAGAAGGAACTGTTTTATTTTCTAGAAAATCTAGTACATGGATAGTGTTTATTTAAATATGTACAAATATAAATGTCCTCATGAGTTCAAAGTATAAAATAAGTATAAAATAAGTATATTTTTTAAACCAAAAGGCAGATGAACATACACACTGTGATGGTTAGTACTCAATGTCAACTTGATTGGATTGAAGGATACGAAATATTGATCCTGGCTTTGTCTCTGAGGGTGTTGCCAAAGGAGATTAACATTTGAGTCGGTGGGCTGGGAAAGGCAGACCCATCCTTAATCTGGGTGAGCACAATTGAATCAGCTGCCAGTGCAGCTCAAATAAAAAGCAGGCAGAAAAGATGTGAAGAGAGACTGGCCTACCCTCGCAGCCAACATCTTTCTCCTGTGCTGGATGATTCCACGCCTCAAACTCCAAATTCTTCAGTTTTGGAAGTCAGACTGGCTCTCCTTGCTCCTCAGCCCGCAGACAGCCTATTGTGGGACCTTGTGATCATGTGAGTTAATACTGAAAAAACTCCCCTTTAAATAGATATATCTATTCCATTAGTTCTGTTCCTCTAGAGAACTCTAATACATACGCTCATCTGACAAACCTAGCCATAACAAAGCTACAGAGATTCTGATGTTTGTTCAGAGACCGATTTACCTTTAGACAAAAGTATTTTTAAAACACAGTCTAAAAATCAGAGATAAATCAATTTGAATGGAATTTTGTTACTTACAAATTGCTTTGAGTCTGGTGGGATTTTCAAATTCTGACCCTAACTAGATTTGGCTCTATGTAAATTTGTAGTTAAAAGGTTTCACTCTGTATGGGTCTATAATCATTTATTTACCCATATATTACATGTCTTTTTGCCTGAGGAGGACTGAAAAAAAATGGACTTTATTTATTAGACTGCCCACGAGAAGAGTAAGTCCAGTGAAAACATTTTTGTTAAGCCTTTCCCATTTGTTTGCTAGGATAATAGTGATGTTAAACTTGAGAGTTGTATGTACATGCATGTTTAAATCAAATTTGGTAATTAGGTTGTTTTATACAATGATCATTGAATTTGCTTAATGCCCACTGCATGCTAGGCATTTGCAAAGTGTTGGAAGAGATTTAAAGACAAATAAGATAGTTCTTATTCCACATTGTGATTGCTGAAACTGATACCTGAAGAAATAATTATGATACAGCACGGTATCTTATAAGATATACAAATTGTTGTTGTAATATAAAATAACTTATTAGGCTGGGCATGGTGGCTCACACCTGTAATCCTAGCACTTTGGGAGGCCACGGTGGGTGGATCACAAGGTCAAGAGATCAAGACCATCCTGGCCAATATGGTGAAACCCCGTCTCTACTAAAAATACAAAAATTAGCTGGGCATGGTGGTACACATCTGTAGTCCCAGCTACTTGGGAGGCTGAGGCAGGAGAATCACTTGAACCTGGGAGGTGGAGGTTGCAGTGAGCCGAGATTGCACCACTGCACTCCAGTCTGGCAACAGAGTGAGACCCCGTTTCAAATAATAATAATAACTTATTGTAGGTTGGTTACGGTGGCTCATGCCTATAATCCCAGCACTGTGGGAGGCCGAGGTGGATGGATAACCTGAAGTCAGGTGTTTGAAACCAGCCTGGCCGACATGGCAAAACCCCGTCTCTACTAAAAATACAAAAATTAGCGGGGCATGGTGGTGGGTGCCTGTAATCCCAGCTACTCCGGAGGCTGAGGCAGGAGAATTGCTTGAACCCAGGAGGTGGAGGTTGCAGTGAGCCAATATCGAACCACTGCACTCCAGCCTGGGCAACAGAGTGGGGCTTTGTCTCAAAATAAATAAATAAATAAAATAAAATAACTTACTATAATATGGTAGAAAGATTCAAATAGAAGTTCCATGTAGAGTGAAGACTTTAAAACTGTACTGAATGATGCAAGAATTTTTAAAAGTGAAAAGAAAGTTATGAGACAAAATTACCCAACTCTTTCCAGACCTTTTATTTTGCACATTTCTGATTAAACAAAGCATATTGTGTCTCTCTCTAGTTTTCTGAGCACCTCAACTTTGCTTAAAACTTTCTAAAAGATTTTTCAGAGAACTTCATGGAAGAGATCATTTTGAGCTGAGCCTTGAGGAAATGAGGATTTTCTGAGCAGGAAGGAAGCTGAACACCATTCCAAATATAAGAAACTAGAGGTGCAAAGGCAGAGAGGTGTACTCTGGGGAATGGGAAGCGTTGGGCTGCTTATTGGGGTGTGAGAAAGGAAATAGTAGCAGGTGCAGCCAGAAAGGAGCCAGAGCCAGGCTATGAAGGGTCTACTAAACATCCTCAGACAACAGAGAAAGGACGGAACATTTTTTGTTTTGTTTTATTTTTTACTTTTATTTGTAAATAATTTCCAGTTTACAGAAAAGTTGAAAGTATGAATAGTATATGGAATGCCTGTATATCCTTTATCCAGATTCACCTATTGTTAATACTTTATCCTACTTGCTTTTTTGTTTGATCTCTCTCTCCTTTTTATTATAAATACATATATGTATGTGTGTGCACATATATATGTACATATACACACACACACAGAATTGTTTCTATACCATTTGAAAATAAATTGGATGAATCATTATGACCTTCTTCTAAATATCTCTGTTCTTTTTTCCTAAAAATAGGGCTATTCTCTTCTTAACCACAGAATAGTTATCAACTTTAGTAAATTTAACCCTAATAAAATACTTTTTATCTACCCTGGAATTCATATGCCAATTTTGTCAATTAAAGCAATATCTGTTATGGTATTTTTCCCCCTTCAAGAACAGGATCAAGTCTAACCTAAAGTATTGTACTTAGTTGTCATGTCCATTTACTATTTTAATGTAGAACAGTCCTGAAGCCTGTCTGTGACTTTTATGATGTTGACATTTTTTAAATAACATAGTCCCCCTTTTAAAAAAAAAAAAAATAGAACAATTCTTCAGAAAGGCCCTGGGGAAGAGGAAAAGCTTTTCTAGCAATTGATGTCAGCAACCCACCAAGGAACCAGTGGAAGAAATCTAAGATGGCTGACTAAATGCGGCTAGTACACAGCTCTTCTGTGGAGAGGAAAAAAAATGGCAAGTAGATATTCACACTTCAAATAGATCATCTAAGAGAAAACACTAGAATTCAACAGGAAAGTGGTAGGAAGCATCAAAAGCAAAGAAGGAGAGGGAGGCAGGGCAACCTACTGGGTCAAGATCAGCTGGAAGCTGAGAAAACCTCCCTTAAATAGGGAAAGGGTAAGTGAATGACCCCCAGGGCTCCACATTCCCACCATGGACTTCTACATTCCTAGCCACAGGAAAGCACCTTGACCTTCTTGGGCTTCAGACGAACATACAGAGCTACTTAGAGATTGTGTAGAGGCACTACTTTAGAAAGAACACTCACACTGAGTCCCACAGGCTTCTGAGCCCCAAGCAACTGCCACATGGCACCATTCTGAGCACTCAGCCCCCAGAAGACTGTCAAAGAAGAGAGGAGGATGGCACTTTTACACACACCAACGACAAATCTTACTTCCTCCTCTGCCACAGTCTGTTGTTGGACCAAAAGGTGAGAGAACTGCACATCCCATAGCTGCCTTCCTAAACTGCTCTCACTGAGAGTGGCCCCATCCTCCTCAGAGACAGGCCCACAGCACAGCCACCACTGCCCCTACCTGAGCATTCTGCCAACAGCCTGGGGACCACCTGCCTTTGCCTATTATAACCAGTGATGGAACACACTACCAGAGAGCCTGAAGTCCACTATCCTGGTCCTGTCCTCCAGTTCTCAAGCATGCTGTCCAAGGGCCTGGAGGTTGCCCTGCCCAGCCACTGTTGGCAGCTGAACACTGTTGGCAGCTGAATACTTCTCAAGTGCCATTCAAAACTTCATGTATCAGTAATAACTTTAAATGTAAATGGATTAAATTATCCACTTAATATGTATAAAGTGGCTGAATGGATAAAGAAAAAATATCCAATTATATGCTGCCTACAAGAAATATACTTTATCTGCCAAGACACATATAAACTTAAAGTAAAGAAATGGAAAAAAAATATTACACAAAATGAAAACCAAAAGCAAGCAGGAGTAGCTATACTTATATCAGATAAAACAAACTTTGAGTCAAAAACAGTAAACAAACAAACAAAACCAAAGAAAGTCACTATACAGTGATAAAGGGAGCAATCCAGCAAAATGAAATAACAATTCTGAAAACATATGCACTCAGCACTGGAGCACCCAGATTTGAAAAGCAAATATTACTAGATCTAAAGAGAGAAAAACATTCCAATAAAACAATAGTGGGGGAGTTCAACACCCTACTCTCAGCATGAGATAGATCATCTAGATGGAAAAATCAACAAAGAAGCAGTGGATTTAATCTGCGCTTTAAACCAAATGGACCTAACAGATATTTACAGAACATTTTATCCAACAACTACAGAATATACATTCTTCTCATCAGCACATGGAATGTTTTTCAGGATAGCCCATATATTAGGCCACAAAACAAGTCTCAACTTTTTTTAAAATCAAAATTATATCAACTGTCTTCTCAGACTACAGTGGAATAAGACTAGAAATTAATACCAACAAGAATTTTGGAAACTATAAAAATACATGGAAATTAAACAACACAGTCCTGAACAACCATTGACTCAACAAAAAAGTAAGATGGAAATAAAAAATATTCTTGAAACAAATGAAAATAGAAACACAGCATATCAAAATCTATGGGATACAGCAAAAGCAATGCTAAGTGGAAAGTTTATAGCAATAAACACCTAAATCAAAAAAATGGAGGCTGGGCTCAGTGGCTCATGTCTGTAATCCCAGCACTTTGGGAGGCTGAGATGGGCAGATTGCTTGAGCCTAGGAGTCTGAGATCAGCATGGGCAACATGGCGAAACCATGTCTCTACAAAACATACAAAAAATTAGCTTGGTGTGGTGGTGCACACTTGAGTACCAGCTACCCAAGAGACTGAGGTGGGAGGATTGCTTGAGCCAAGGAGAGAGAGGTTGCAGTGACCTGAGATCATGCCACTCTACTGCACTTCAGCCTGCACAAGAGAGTGAGACCCTGTCTCAAAAAAAAAAAAAAAAAATCAGGATCAGGTGCAGTGGCTCATGCCTGTAATCCCAGCACTTTGGAAGGCTGAGGTGGGTGGATCACCTAAGCTCAGGAGTTCGAGACCCGGGCAATGTAGTGAAACCCCGTCTCTACCAAAATATACAAAAATTAGCCAGGCATGGTGGCACACACCTGTAGTCTCAGCTACTCTGGAGGCTGAGGTGGGAGGATCGCTTGATCTGGGAGACAGAGGTTGCAGTGAGCCAAGGTTGCACCACTGCACTCCAGCCTGTGTGACAGAGTGAGACCCCATCTCAAAGAAAAAAAAAAAGAGAAGGATTTCAAATAAAAACCTAAGGAGACATCTCAAGGAACTAGAAAAGTGAGAATATATGAAACTCAAAATTAGTGAAAGAGTAATAAAGATCAGGGCAGAACTAAATAAAACAGAGTCTAAATGAAAAAAATACAAGGCCGGGCATGGTGGCTCACGCCTGTAATCCCAGCACTTTGGACGGCTGAGGCAGGCAGATCATGAGGTCAGGAGATTGAGACCATCCTGCCTAACATGGTGAAACCCCATCTCTGCTAAAAAAAACTTAGCCGGGCGTGGTGGCGGGTGCCTGTAGTCCCAGCTACTCAGGAGGCTGAGGCAGGAGAATGGCGTGAACCTGGAGGCAGAGCTTGCAGTGAGCCAAGATCGCGCCACTGCACTCCAGCCTGGGCAACAGAGCAAGACTCTGTCTCAAAAAAAAATAAATAAATAAATAAATAGGCCAGGCGTGGTGGCTCAAGCCTGTAATCCTAGCACTTTGGGAGGCAGAGGTGGGTGGCTCATGAGGTCAGGAGTTTGAGACCATCCTGGCCAACATGGTGAAACCCCGTCTCTACTAAAAACAAACAAAAAAATAGCCGGGCGTGGTGGCGGGCGCCTGTAGTCCCAGCTACTCGGGAGGCTGAGGCAGGAGAATGGCGTGAACCCAGGAGGCAGAGCTTGCAGTGAGCCAAGATGGCGCCACCGCACTCCAGCCTGGGGGACAGAGCGAGACTCTGTCTCAAAAAAAAAAAAAAAAAAATCATAATAATACAAAGGATCAATGAAACAGTTGTTTTTTTAAAAAAGATAAAATTGATAAACCGCTAGCTGAAGACCCAAATAAAATTAGAAATGAAAAAGAAGACATTACAACTATACAACTGATACCATAGAAATACAAAAGATCATCAGAGACTTTTATAAACAACCATACATTAACACACTGGAAAGCCTAGAGGAAATGGATGTATGTTCCTAGAGGAAATGGATGTTTCTGAAAACATACACCCGACCAAGATTGAATCAGGAGGAAATCAGAAACTTGAATAGACCAATTATGAATAGCAAAGTTGAATCAGTTATAAAAAATTTCCCAATAAAGAAAAGCTCAGGACTGGATGGATTCATAGCCAATTCATATCAAATGTATAAAGAAGAACTAATACCAATCCTCCTGAAACTATTCCAAAAAATTAAAGACAAAGGAACTCCTCCTAACTCATTCTGTGGGGTCAGTGTTACCCTGATACCAAAACTAGACAGCACAACAGAAAAAAGAAAACTACCGGCCAATATCCCTGATTAACATAGACACAAAAATTCTCAACAAAATACTAGCAAACAGACTCTGACAACAGATCAAAAGGTAATGCAACATGATTAAGTGGGAATTATACCAGAGACACAAGGATGGTTCAACATATGCAAATTAATAAACAACACACATCACATCAAAAGAATGAAGGACAAAAACCATATGATTATCTCAATAGATGCAGAAAAGGCATTTGATAAAATTCAACATCCCTTCATAATAAAACTCAACTAGGCATAGAAAGAACATGCCTCAAGGCGAGGTGTGGTTCACGCCTGTAATCCCAGCACTTTGGGAGGCTGAGATGGGCGGATCACAGGGTCAGGAGATTGAGACCATCCTGGCCAACATGGTGAAACCTCGTCTCTACTAAAAATAAAAAATAAAAATAAAAAAATTAGCTGGGTGTGGTGATGTGCACCTGTAGTCCCAGCTACTAGGGAGGCTGAGGCAGGAGAATCGCTTGAACCCAGGAGGCAGAGGTTGCAGTGAGCCGAGATTGTGCCACTGCACTCCACACTACAGCCTGGTGACAGAACAAGATGACTCCATCTCAAAAAAAAAAAAAAAAAAAAAAAAAGAAAGAACGTACCTCAAAATAATAAAGACCACATACAACAAACGCACAGCTAACATCATACTGAATGGGGAAAAGCTGAAAGCCTTTCCTCTAAGATCTGGAACAAGACAAGGATGCTCACTTTCACCACTCCTATTCAAGATCGTTGCCAGAACAATCAGGCAAGAGAAAGAAATAAAAGGGATCCAAATTGGAAAAGAGGAAGTCAAATTGTCCTTCTTTGCCAATGATATGATCTTATATCTAGAAAAATCTAAAGATTTCACCAAAAAAACTCCTAGATTTGATAAACACATTCAATAAAATTGCAGGATACAAAAATCAATATACAAAAGTCAGTAGCATTTCTGTACACCAATAATGAACAACGGGAGAAGGAAATCAAGAAAGCAATCTCATTTACAATAGCTACAAAAAAAAAATGCCTAGGAATAAATTTAACCAAGGTGAAAGATCTCTACAAGGAAAACTACAAAACACTGATGAAAGAACTTGAAGAGGACACAAACAAATAAAAAGTCATCCCATGCTCATGAATCAGAATAACTAATATCATTAAAACAACCATACTGCCCAAAGCAAACTACAGATTCAATGAAATCTCTACCAAAATACAAATGTTGTTTTTCACAGAATTAGAAAAAACAATCTTAAAATATTCATGGAACCAATAAAGCGTCAGAATAGCCAAAGTAACCCTGAACAAAAAGAACAAAGCTGAGCCAGGTGCAGTGGCTCACACCTATAATCCCAACACTTTGGGAGGCTGCAGTGGGCGGATCATGAGGTCAGGAGTTTGAGACCAGCCTGACCAACATGGTGAAACCCCATCTCTACTAAAAATACAAAAATTAGCCAGGTGAGGTAGCACGTGTCTGTAATCCCAGGTACTCAGGAGGCTGAGGCAGGAGAATTGCTTGAGCCCAGGAGGTGGAGGTTGCAGTGAGCCAAGATTGCGCCACTGCACTCCAGCCTGTGTGACAGAGCAAGACTCCATCAAAAAAAAAAAAAAAAAAAGTGGGCAAAAGACATGAATAGACATTTATCAGAAGAAGACATACAAATGGCCAACAGAAATATGAAAAAATGCTCAAAATCACTAATCATCAGGGAAATGCAAATCAAAACCACAATGAAATACCATATTACGCTGGTTAGAATGGTTATTACTAAAAAGACAAAAAATAACAAATGCTGGCAAGAATGTGGAGTAAAGGGAACTCTGACAGACTTTTGATGGGAATGTAAATTAGTACAACCAATGTGGAAAACAGTATGGACATTTCTCAAAAAACTAAAGATAGAACTACTGTATGATCCAGCAATCCCACTGCTGGGTGCTTATCCAAGGAAAAGAAGTCTGTACGTCAAAGGAATACCTGCACTGTCATGTTCATCATGGCACTATTCACAATAGCAAAGATATGGAATCAACCTAATTGTCCATCAATAGATGAATTGATAAAATGTACTCTGTAAAAACGCACCAATCAGCGCTCTGTGTCTAGCTAAAGGTTTGTAAATGCACCAATCAGCACTCTGTAAAAACGCACCAATCAGTGCTCTGTGTCTAGCTAAAGGTTTGTAAACGCACCAATCAGCACTCTGTGAAAACGGACCAGTCAGCACTCTGTAAAATGGACCAATCAACACTCTGTGAAATGGACCAATCAGCAGGACATGGGTGGGGCCAAATAAGGGAATAAAAGCTGGCCACCGGAGCCAGCAGGGGCAACCCGCTAGGTCCCCTTCCATGCCATGGAAAGCTTTGTTCTTTTGCTTTTCACAGTAAATCTTGCTGCTGCTGAAAAAAAAAAAAAAAAAGGAAAGGAAGAAAATGTGCTATATATACACAATGGGATACAATTAAGCTATAAAAAAGAATTAAATCATGTTATTTGCAACAGCATGGCTGGTACTAGAGGTCATTATGTTGAGTGAGATAAGCCAGGCCCAGAAAGACAGATACTGCATTTTCTCACTCATATGTGAAAGCTGAAAAAAAAGATCTCATGGACATAAAGAACAGAATAGATACAGCAGCTGGGAAGGGTGTATGGGTGGGAAGGGGGGATAGAGAGAGGTTGATGGGCAAAAACATAATGGCTGATTAGAAGAAATAACCCCCAATGTTCAGTGGCAGAGCAGGATGACTACAGTTACCAACAATGTATTGTATATTTCAAAGTAGCTAGAACAGAGAACTTGAATTTTTTTTTTTTTTTTTTTTTGAGACAGTGTCTCCCTCTGTCGCCCAGACTGGAGTGCAGTGGCATGATCTTGGCTCACTGCAACCTCCGCCTCCCATGTTCAACTGATTCTCCTGCCTCAGCCTCCCGAGTAGCTGGGATTACAGGCATGCACCACCATGCCCGGCTAATTATTTGTATTTTTAGTAGAGACGGGGTTTCACCATATTGGCCAGGCTGGTCTGGAATTCCTGACCTTAGGTGACCCGCCTGCCCCGGCCTCCCAAAGTGCTGGGATTGCAGGCATGAGCCACCACACCTGGCCGAGAACTTAAAATCTTACCAACGCATAGAAATGATACTCTTGGGAGGCCAAGGCGGGCAGATCATTTGAGGTCAGGAGTTTGAGACCAGCCTGACCAACATGGTAAAACCCTGTCTCTACTAAAAATACAAAAAAAAATTAGTCGAGCGTGGTGGCGCATGCCTGTAGTCCCAGCTACTTGGGAGTCTGAGGCAGGAGAATCAGTTGAACATGGGAGGCGGAGGTTGCAGTGAGCTGAGAACGCACCATTGCACTCCAGCCTGGGCAACAGACTGAGATTCTGTCTCAAAAAAAAAAAAAAAAAAAAAAAGAGATAAATACTCAAAAGTGATGGCTATCCTAAATACCTTGACTTGATCATTACACATCCTATGCAAATACTCACATGTACCCTACAAATATGTAAAATATTTTGTATCAATGAATAATAATAGGCCAGACGTGGTGGCTCACACCAGTAATCCCAGCTCTTTGGGAGGCCAAAGCGGAAGGATCACTTGAGGTCAGGAGTTCAAGACCAGCCTAGGCAACATAGTGAGACCTGGTCTCTAAAAAAATTTAAAAATTAGCTGAAGGTGATGGCTGACACCTGTATTCTCAGCTACTCAGGAGGCTAAGGGAGGAGGTTCACTCAGGCCTAGGATTTCAAGGTTGCACTGAGCTATGATAGCCCCACTATACTCCAGCCTGGGTGACAAAGCAACATCCTGTCTCTAAATAAATACATAAATAAAAATTTAAAAATATATAATAATAGAATAGTTCTCATTTTAGTGCAGAGGTTTTTATGCAGGGGACGGCATACTCAGATCTGGGTTTTAGAAAAAGTCATTCTACAGGCAATGTTAAGGATGGACCTGAAAACAAGAGACTGTTGCCATGGCAATGAGATAGGAAGCTCTTGTTGGCCAATATTCCCTTCTGGACAGGCATAGGTATAGAGCCGGCCTTGGCCAGGATCTCTGTAAGCTGGGGCAGGTATGTGAATGAAGGGAAAGGAAACCAAAGTCTGAGTTCTGGGTAAGGTTGCTGGAGGAAGAAAAGAACAATCTAAAATGCCAAGTCCAGGCCAGGCATGGTGACTCACTCCTGTAATCTCAGCACTTTGGGAGGCCGAGGTGGGAGGATCACCTGAGGTGAGGAGTTTGAGACTAGCCTGGCCAACATGGTGAAACCTCGTCTCTACTAAAAATACAAAAAGATTAGCTGGGCCTGGTAGCGGGTGCCTGTAATCACAGCTACTCAGGAGGCTGAGGCAGGGGAATTGCTTGAACTCAGGAGATAGAGGCTTCAGTGAACCGAGATCACGCCATTGCACTCCAGCCAGGGCAACAAGAGCGAAACTCCGTCTCAAAAAATAAAATAAAATAAAATAAAATAAAATAAAATAAAATAAAATGCCAAGTCGACGGGGGTTGGTAGAGAAGCAAGATCCAGATCTAAAACAGCAGGCTTGGATTTGGAATTATAGCAGAAGATAGATCAGGTAACCCAAAGATGCTTCTGAAAAAATAGCATCAAATGCATAGCTGAGTTTACAAATAAAGTAAATCCCCAGGAACTTAAAATTAAGAGAGAAGAAAAACTAAAAAGTTAGATATAAACTATATATTTACAAACATGATGGGTTTCCTGGTCTTAATATGATGTATGAAAACTCACATGGATTAATTAAATTAGGCCTTGGGTTTTAGTGAAGCAGAGAATTGGAGCTGGGGCCCATGCGTAGCACCAGAATCATTAATGACTTCAACCTTCATAAAAGAAAAAAAATCAATTATAGGCACTAGGAGATAATAAGGTAACTTGCCTGTCTTGGCCTGGGGTTTGGATGGAGTGGAGGAAAGCCTCATGTAGTATATTAGGAGTCTCCAGAGGGACAGAAAATAGGACATATATATATATATATATCCTATGAGCTTATTAAGGAGAACTGGCTCCCACGATTACAAAGCAAAGTCCCATGATAGACAGTCTGCAAGCTGGGGAAAGAAAGACAAGCCAGGAGCATGGTTCAGTACAAGTTGGAAAGCCTTAAAATCAGCGAAGCCAACAGTGCAGCCCTCAGTCTGAGGCCAAACGCCCGCGAACCCCTGGGAGACCACTGAAGCAAGGCCCAGAGTCCAAAGGCCAAAGAGCCTGGAGTCTGATGCCCAAGGGCAGGAGGAGAGGAAGCAAGCATCTAGCATGGGAAAAAAGAGCAAGAAGACTCAGCAAGCTGCTTATCCCCCTTCCACCTGCTTTGTTCTAGCAGTGCTGGCAGCTGATTGCACGGTGCCCACCTACATCAAGGGTGGGTCTTCCTCTCCCAGTCAAATGTCAATGTCCGCTGGCAACACCCTCACAGACACACCCAGAAACAGTACTTCACTAGCCATCTAGGCATCCCTCAAATCCAGTCAAGTTGACACCATCACATGTAGGTTTGGACTTGAATTTATACCTCTGAATGGTCTAAGAATCACCCTAGAAATCAACATCAAAGGAAGTCAGTGACAACATAGGTTTGCCTGGTGGACGTGAATGAAAAACTGTTTTGGTGGGACATACCTTCATAATAATCCATATGAGATTTCTACAAATAAAGCCTGGCTGTGAATTAACTCAAACGGAAACTATAAAACACATGTGGGGAATGAGGAAATCTGCCATAAGCAAGAATCCACAAAGACAACAAAGAGCATAATTCATTCTCAATAACTTTAGATAATCTAACTACTAAGGTCTATAAAGCAAGCATTTAAAACTGATTAAAAACATAAAAAGAAGTAATCTAAATCATAAGAAAAGAATAGGATTCTTTGGGAAAATAGAAAAATTTGAAATAAGATATGAACAATATAGAACTTCTAGAGATACAAAATATAGTTGTTTAATTTGAAAACTCAGTTAAATAGAAAATTATTTATAGTTAAGGCCGGGCACAGTGGGTCATGCCTGTAATCTCAGCACTTTGGGAGGCTGAGGCGGGCAGATCACTTGAGGTCAGGAGTTTGAGACCACCCTGGCCAATATGGTGAAACCCCATCTTTACTAAAAATACAAAAATTAGTTGGGCTTGGTGTCCCCCGCCTGTCATCACAGCTACTCGGGAAAATGAAGTTGGAGAATCCCTTGAACATGATAGGTGCAGGTTTTGGCGAGCCAAGATCACACCACTGCACTCCAGCCTGGGCAACTGTGTGAGACCCTATCTCAAAAAAAAAAAAAAAAAAATTACAGTTAAAAAGAGAATTAGTAAGGGCCAGGCATGGTGGCTCACACCTGTAATCCCAGCACTTTGGGAGGCCAAGGCGGGCGGATCACCTGAGGTCGGAGTTCAAGACCAGGCTGGCCAACATGGTGAAACCCCATCTCTACTAAAAATACAAGAATTAGCCAGGTGTGGTGGTGGGCACCTGTAATCCCAGCTACTTGGGAGGCTGATGCAAGAGAATTGCTTGAACCCTGGAGGCAGAGGTTGCAATGAGCCGAGATTTCGCCATTGCACTCCAACTTGGGCAAAAAGAGCGAAACTCTGTCTCAAAAAAAAAAAAAATAATAATAATAATAATAATTAGTAATGTTCTCAATACAAAGAAATGATAAATATTTGAGATGATAGATATGCCAGTTACCCTGATTTGATCATTTACAATGAAAACATGTATCGAAATATCACATTGTGCACCATAAATATATACAATTATGATTTGTCAATTAAAAATAAAGCACTGGGCATTGTGGCTCACACCTATAATCCCAGCACTTTGGAAGAGCAAGGCAGGCAGATCACTTGAGCTCAGGAGTTTGAGACCAGCCTGGGTAACATGGTGAAAACTCGTCTCTACAAAAAATACAAAAATTATCCAGTCATGGTGGCATGTTCCTGTAATCCCAGCTACTCAGGAGGCTGAGACGTTAAAATCACTTGAGCCCAGGAGGCAGAGGTTGCAGTGAACCATCATTGCACCACTGCACTCCAGCCTGGGCGACAGTGTGAGACCCTGTCAAAAAAACAAAAATAAAAAATAAATAAAATAAAGCTTTTAAAAGAAGAGAATTAGTAAATTGGAAGATAGAGAAAAGATGCCTAAAAGGTTAAGAGATCTGAAAGAATAAAAAGATCTAATTGAAATTCTGGAAAAAGAGTAGAGATAATCGGGGAGACACAATACTCAAAGAAATAATGACTGAGAATTCTTTACAATAGACATAAATTCTCAGATTCTGAAACCACAAAGGGACCCAAATGAAAATAAATATACATTTAGACACATTGTGGAGGAATTTTAAGAAAAGAAAAAAAAATCAAAGGAAAGAAATGATATTAAAAGTAGAGAGAAAAGATATTATCTTTAAATGTTCATTACACTTATGACAATAGAAGCCAAAAGACAATTAAACAATATCTTTTAAATGCTAAGAGAAAATAACTATTAAGCTATAAATCCATATCCTGATAATCATTAAACAGCAAGAGGGAAAATAATTGCTAAATATCTGTGCTATGGTTTAAATGGTTTTGTCCTCTCCAAATTTCATGTTGAACTTAATCCCCAATGCAACAGTGTTGGAAGGTGTGGCCTTTTAGGAGGTGTTTAGAGCATAAGAGCTTTGTCCTCATTAATAAATTAATGCTGCTATAAAAAGGGCTGTGGCCAGGCACTGTGGCTCCCGCCTGTAATCCCAGCACTTTGGGAGGCCAAGGTTGGCAGATCACCTGAGGTCAGGAGTTTGAGATCAGCCTGGCCAGCATAGCGAAACCCCATCTCTACTAAAAATACAAAAAATTAGCCAGGTGTGGTGGCGCGTGCCTGTAATCTCAGCTACTCCGGAGGCTGAGGGAGGAGAATCGCTTGAACCGGGCGGCAGAGGTTGCAGTGAGCCAAGATCGCACCATTGCACTCCAGCCTGGGGGACGAGCGAGACTATGTCTCAAAAAAAAGAAACAAACAAACAAACAAACAAACAGAAAAAGGGCTTGTGGCACTGGGTTTGCTCTCTGCTGCTCCTCTGCCATGTGAGGACACAGTGTTCCTCCCAACTGGAGGATGCAGCATTCAAGGACCATCTTGGAAACAGAGAGATCAGACCCTAACCGTCTGGCATCTTAATCTTAAATGTCCCAGCCTCCAGAACTGTGAGAAATAAAATTTTGTTCTTTATGAATTATCCAGTCTCAGGTATTCTGTTATCACAACATAAATGAACAAATGAAAACAGTGTGACTGAGTAAATATATTACTGAAAAACTCATTAAATTACAATGTCTAATTTGGGATTAATAGAGAGAAAGAACTAAAATTACATGTTAAACTGAAAGAGATGATCAAAGTCAAAGAAACCTGAGGTTCTGAGGTTTATAAAGTAGGTAGAGAAATTGATTATCTTTCATTTAAGTATATATATTAAAAAATTTAAGGATAAACATTAAGAGAATAGTTATAGGGCATATACTATCCAAAAGATTAGGGTGGAGAGAATAGGAAAATAATGTGGTTGATCCAAAGGAAAGCTAGAAAAAAAATTTTTTTAAACATAGAGAAAATAAGCAAAGAAAGAACCCAAAACAAGACAAGAGAAATAACTCTATCAGAAATCATAATACATGTAAAAGGACTAAATTCCCCAGTTAAAAGAGAGAGATTCTCAATTGGATTAAGAAAAAAGGTATCAGCTTTACACTCTTTAAGAGGTATACCTGTCGCCGGGCACGGTGGCTCACGCCTGTAATCCCAGCACTTTGGGAGGCCGAGACGGTCGGATCACAAGGTCAGGAGATCAAGACCATCCTGGCTAACACGGTGAAACCCTGTCTGTACTAAAAATACAAAAAATTAGCCAGGCGTGGTGGCAGGTGCCTGTAATCTCAGCTACTCAGGAGACTGAGGCAGGAGAATGGCGTGTACCTGGGAGGCAGAGCTTGCAGTGAGCTGAGATCGTGCCACTGCACTCCTGCATTCCAGCCTGGGTGACAGAGCCAGACTCCACTCAAAATAAAAAAAAAAAAAAAGAGGTATATCTAAAATTTAAGAGCTTAGACAATTTGAAGTAAAAAAAAAAAAAAAGGAACATGAAAAAACAGGCAAATTCTAACCAGAAGAAAGCTGACTTCTCTAAATTAATATCAAACAAAATGTTATTTAAGGAAGGAAATACCATTAGGGATTAAATAATAAAAGGAGCAATTCCCAGGATGATATAACAAGTTCAAATTTAAATGGGGCTCATAACATAGCTTTAAATTATATAAAGCAAAAATGTACAGAGTTGTACTGTGGGCGAAAGTACAAAAACAAGTAATAAACAAGTTGAATTTGAGATGGGTACCTGTGAAACTTCCAGTTAGAGATGTTAAAGATGTTGGACATAATTGATCTGCATCTCCAGAGAGTGGTCAAAGTGAGAGTTAAAAATGTACAGGTAGTAGAATGTATTACTCCAAATTTAAAAGAGTCTGAGCTTCTCAAGGAGAATTATGTATTCAAGTTTCAAGTCCCTCATGACTATCACAGACCCTTATAAAAGTAGTGCTCAATAAAGGTTAAATTGAACATATCCTCATAGATACTGATTTTATTTAGGATGTACACACTTTCAGCACTTGAGATTAATATTTATTCAATGAATAAGAAACCATAAGAAAGGAAACTATAAGAAAGATTTGAGACATGATTTCTGCCTTTAGGAATATTTTAATTTGGTTGGGAGATTAAAACAAACAATGCTTTGAAAAATTAAGAAGCAATAATCAATTGTCCATCATCGAGTTTTAGCTGCTGTTGTATTTAGGTGAGAAGAAAGTTTAACAGAGACTTGAAATGCTAGAGAAAGCTCTAAATAGGTGGAATTTTAGTTGGTCCTTGAAAAATGCACATCTTTGGGAAAAAAGAGAAAGAGAACATTTTAGTTTGAGGAATTGGCATGGATAAAGGCTTAGAAGCTGGAGTTTAGGTACATGCTTGTGTGACTTCAATGACACTCGTTTCAATGCAGTTTAAGTGCTGAGGAGTGGTAAGAAAGCTGGAGAGATCAGTCACATGGAGTCATGGAGGGTCTTAAACTAGCCAGAGATATTGGAATTGCTTTAGTAGATAACACAGAATTAAATAAGAATGCTCTTAAGTGGGTGTGACAATTTTTATTATATTTTCATGAATAATCTAGAAGTGGTGTGTCAGAGGACTTGAATGAAGGAGGGGACAGGAAGCAGGGAAACCTGTCTGGACACCTTTCAAGTAATCTAAGTCTAAACTTATTAGGTCCAGGACTAAGGGAAAACCAAGGAAATGGATAAAATGGGGTAAATTTGAGAGACATTTCAATAAGAGAAATGACAAAATTTGGCATCAGATTAGGAATCAGCACACAAAAATAGAAATAAGTCAAAGATAAGCCTAGAATAATAGTGATATCCTGGACAAATAGCTAATGTCAAGAAGAGTCAATAATTCATGAATTCATAGAAATTTAGAAACAGGAGCTTAGAAATGATATCTATAGACACCGCTTTTCAGAGATGAGGAAATTAACAGAGAGCTTGAGTGACTAGTTCCTGGTCACCCTGCCTGGGCGACAGATCGAGACTCCGTCTCAAAAAAAAAAAAAAAAAAAAAAAGAAAAGAAAAAAGAAAATAGCTAGAATCCTAGAGGATTTACCCTGGAAGCAGTTGGTTTAATGCTACCCGTGGGAGATCAATGTTGGATGGATGGATTTGGGAGCATCTGAAAGGCAGTTGGAGCCATGGGAGTGGTTGTGCTCTTCCAGTGAGAGATTATATAGGGAAGAAAAAAGAGGAGCAAAGATAAAGTCACAGGAAATATCTACAATTAGGGATTCAAACTAGAAGGAAGATGGTTCCCAAAGAAGTCAGGTAAGGATCAAACAGACGTGAGGAGTCCTCGTGCAGTGGTTACAGGCACTTTGTGGGGTTGAGGTGGGTGGATCACTTGAGGCCAGGAGTTTGAAAACAGCTTGGCCAACATGGTGAAACCCTGTCTCTACTAAGAATACAATAACCAGGTGTGGTGGTGCACGTCTGTAATCCCAGCTACTTGGGAGGCTGAGGCAGGAAAATCACTTGAACCCAGGAGGCAGAGGTTGCAGTGAGCCAGGATCGTGCCACTGCACTCCAGCCTGGGCAACAGAGCAAGGCTCTGTCTCAAAACAAACAAACAAATGAAAAAGCAGACATGAGGAACGATTAGAGGTGGCCAGAGTCAGATTCTGTGGCATGTTCCCTTATGATGAGTTCTGAGTTTTGTTATTTATTTTGCACAAAACTGAGTATCCTATGGCATTTCACTGTGAACATCACTATATACTCATCATGGTTTTTCTCTGCCAATACTTTGATATTCCGTGTCAGTTTTTTCCTTATGCATGGTCCTTTGATTATTAATGTTCAATAATATAATGAGTTAACATGAACAAATGTTTGTTTGAAACACTGACAATAATCCACCTGTGTACTACTCTCCCTCTTCCTGTCCCTGCCTTCCCACCCCCAGTGTAAGTACTACTCTTAGGATTTTTATGTAGTTTTATCACTGTAGGTATACCTACTAAATAATTTTTTAAGTTACTTTTTTTTTTTTTTTTAGATGGAGTCTCACTCTGTTGCCAAGGCTGGAGTGCAGTGGCGTGATCCCGGCTCACTGCAACCTCTGCCTCCTGGGTTCAAGCAATTCTCCTGCCTCAGCCTCCTGAGTAGCTGAGATTACAGGCATGCAACACCATACCTGGCTAATTTTTGTGTTTTTAGTAGAGACGGGGTTGCACAATGTTGGCCAGGCTGGTCTTGAACTCCTGACCTCAGGTGATTCGCCCACCTCGGTCTCCCAAAGCACTGGGATTACAGGCATGAGCCACTGTGCCTGGCCTTAAGTTACTTTTTTATGTAGAGGGGGTTTTATGTTATTAGTAATCTTTGAAACTTATGTTTTCATGCATTATGTTTTTAAGATTCATCTGTATTGTATGTAGCTGTAGTCCGTTCATTTTTGCTGCCTTATAGAATTCCATGTTTGAATGCCACATTTTATTTTCCTGTCAATCGCCGTTTAATTTCAAGTAGTTTAGGTTGATTTGAATAGTGCAACTATAAGCATACTTGGACATGTCTGCTCGTGTATATTGCAATGACTTCTATTGGGTGTATATCTATTTACACTGATCTTAAACTCCTTCTGTGAAGCATAACACATTAGAAAGGCATTAGGTGAATTTTCTGATTGTGGAAATTTGAGTCTAAAAGAATCAACAACTTTCCCTAAGGTGAATAGATTCAAATATCACCCTAGGAGCTGTGCATAGTGTGTACTCTAGATAAGGGTTAGTTACCAAATGTTTTCTTGGGGGCAAAATTATAAGCAACAGTTGGTGACTGATTTTTTTCCACTGACCCAATTTAATGTCAATGTTATTTTCAGGATACAAAAGGAAAACTGAAGGCTAGGGGCAAGGAAAGAGGTAACAGATTAACTGAAGCATTAGAATTGCTCTGCAGCTATTCCAGAAAAATTTACCTTCATCTCCTTTGAGAGTCCCCTTACTCTACCTAGCAGCCTTCCTTGCTGTGAGAGGGTGAACAATATGAACAAAAAGAAGCAAGGAAAAGGGCTCTGTCGGATTTGTTCACTCAGAACCAGTTGATAGTCTGCCAAGAAAAGTTTCTCACCCTCAAGAGGTTCTGAGCTTAAAAGTCTCTTTGTGAACACGTGAGAAAGGATCCTTCCCTGCTCAGGAATCCTGCATGTATTTATGTGTGTGTGCGTGGGCACGAAGGTTTGGAGGAAAGTGGACACTGGACTGATACAGTACTATTTTTTTGGAAGTGTTACAAACATCTTCTCGCTTACATTAAAATTGTTGCTATACCCTGAATTACAATAACCCTCTTGTTGAAACATCACTCATTTTTACTTGCAATAATCACACTTAGAAATTACACGTATTTCTCAGCCAAACAACGTAATTTCCTGCTTTAACTGAGCATCTTAGCCTTGCACCCAGTGACAAACCTCTCTACCTATTTCACATCCACCTCACAGAGTGGAAGGAAGGGAATGAAAATCTTATTATTTATGGATATAGAAATTGAGAACAATACAAAGGGGCCAATGAATCAGAGGTGCCATTCTGCCTTACAGTGGGGTCTTCTTTGCCAGGACCTCAGGCACGATTCTTGTGATCTCTGTCTTCTACTCATTTGCTGTATTCCCATTCTTCTTTTTTTCTTAGAAAACTGGTTTTTAAGAAAACATTAAAAGGCCGGTGCAGTGGCTCACGCCTGTAATCCCAGCACTTTGGGAGGCCAAGGTGTGTGGATCACCTGAGTTCAGGAGTTCAAGACCAGTCTGGCCAACATGGAGAAACCCCATCTCTACTAAAAAAAAAAAAAAAAAAAAAAAAAAAAAAAAAAAAAAAAATTAGCCAGGCGTGGTGGCAGGCGCCTGTAATCCCAGTTACTCAGGAGGCTGAGGCAGGAGAATTGCTTGAACCCGGGAGGCAGAGGTTGCAGTGAGCCTAGATCACACCATTGCACTCCAGCCTGGGCAACAGACTGAGACTCCATCTCAAAAACAACAACAACAACAAAACATTAAATAGTATACAAATGCCATGCATTTAAGTGGAACACAGTGCCAACACATTACCAATTATTCCAAGCACATACATGAAACATACATATAGAAAGTATTGTTTCCAAATTGGAATGTGCATTCTACAAGGAAATATTTAAATCAAAATGAAATAGCGGGGCTTCATCCTTCTTTGGACAGTACTTTAAAGCAGAGCAAGGAACCATAGCTCTTTTTCCTCACTGTATCAAATGAGGATGCATTTCCCAATTTGTTTATTCTCCCCCTCAAAGAGTGCTGGATCTAAGTTGTGCCCAATTAAGGTCTGTGCTTACAAGTACATGCCTGTAGCGTCAATGTTATTTGAAAATTCTTTATGTAAACTTATTCAGCATTTATCCAAACATAATATTAATCTTTAAGGCTTTTAGATTTAGCCCTATAAAGTACTATTATCATTGTATGTTTACCCATCTTCAGTTTCCCATAACAAAATATTCAAATTTGTCTGTAAATATGTAGAGGGTAGAAAAGGTGAATTCTTCTTGTAGAAAGAGCATTAACCGGAGCATTGCACTTCTTGTTGGGAATTAGTGCAGCAATTTTTCTGTAGATAAAAGAACCTCTTATCTTATGAAGAGCTGCATTAATTACAGCCTGAAATTCTGTTTCACGCATCCTCTTTCAGAGCCAAGGAGAGAGCAGAGAAAATGTGTGCTGTTGGAAATTTGTACTTCCATTTTCTTTTTCTTCTTGGAAAATAGCTTTTCTGAAAGGTAAATAGTACACAAATGCCATGAGTTTAGGTGGAACACAGTGCCAAAGCAATACTAATTGTTCCAACAACAGCAGCAGCTATAACTTTAAAACCAAAAAACAAATTCCAGTGTTATGAGTAACTTTGCTGATCATAATAAAAGAAGATGAAATTTAATGTCAATAGCAGTGTGAGTGTAGGAGGTAATTCTATTTCATTTTCTTTTCAAACAAAACAGAAATAGAACATGGTTATACAAGCGAATAAAAAAACCCAGGTAGTAAATGGTAGAGAGATATCTTCAATCTATATTGAAGCCAAAAGCTTTGGTTTTAGAGCTATAAAAAGCAGTTTTCACTTTCTAGAATCTATATTAAGAGCTATAGTTCTTATTTGTTCCCATTATCTTTATTGGGTGTTGGTGTCCAACAAAATAAATGGATATATAGGAGGAAAGTGAGAATAATCTATTGAGAAGACATTCACTATGACAGAAATACTATTGTACATGCAAAATTTACCAACACTTACTTCCTGTTTTCTTCGCACCTCTTCATGAACTTTGTTCTCTTTCTTATTCACCATAACCTTGCCCAAGCTTTGTTCAATGATTGCTTTCAAAGTTTGCATGCATGCAAGCCTGCTATATAGTGGTACTGCCTATCTCCTCAGGGTTGGGGAAAAGATTCTTTCCTTATTTATTTATGTGCCTATAAAGAAAGTCAGGATATTTTTTTTTTTTTTGAGACAGAGTCTTGCCCTGTCCCCCAGGCTGGTGCGATCTCGGCTCACTGCAACCTCTGCCTCCTGGGTTCAAGCGATTCTCCTGCCTCAGCCTCCCGAGAAGCTGGGACTACAGGCATGCGCCACCATGGCCAGCTAATTTTTGTATTTTTGATAGAGACAGGGTTTCACAATGTTGGCCAGGATGGTCTCGATATCTTGACCTCGTGATCTACCCGCCTCGGCCTCCCAAAGTTCTGGGATTACAGGTGTGAGCCACCGGCCAGGATATTCTTATACATTGTTTCTATAGATCACATTCTCCAGACCACATCAAGGAAAAGCATCGGGTCAAGTGGAATACCTAGAAGATGTTAAGGAATTAAAAATAGTTGCAGGCAAGCCTAATTCTACCAGGGAATTAACAATTACTATTCTGTAAAAATTCTGAGATAATTAAGCATGTTGAATTTGTTAAAATAACTGAAACCAATATGGAATTGAGTTTCTTCAAAGTAAAGCCAATTGTCCTTTGATGCTCAGAATGAGTTCACATTTACAAATGGTGTTGCCTGGTATAGTAGAAAGAACCCAACAAACCTAGGTTTGAATTTCCTATCTGTCACTGATTGGCTGGTGACCTTGGCCCAGTACCCTCCCGAGATTCAGTACTTCTCCACAATGGGAAAAATGATACTTACCTTGCAGGGCTATCAATAAGGATACAGCTGTTGTATAAAGTGTCTAGAAGAGGGCCTTTCACAGGCTCAAAAATAAGTTGCTTTTGTTGTTGTTGTCACTAATCACCTTGGCACACTACTTTTCCATCAAATGCCTCTAATACTATGATGAATAGGAAGACCCTTTTGAACTACAAATAACACATAAAATAATAAAAATGCCTTAAATTCAGAGACCACTTTTGATTCAAAGTACTCAAAACACTTTTCTGTTTCTTGTCTGGTGAGCTCTGTTAAGGGAAAGGAATAATATTTCAGAGAACATGAGAACGTACCCATGCAGGTACAGGAATTTGACAGGACATCACTGTCTGGCAACAGTTGGCTGTGCCACTTTCACCAGCCAGTTCAGGCTGAGTGAAGGCACAAAACAAAATGGCACTATGAGGAAAGTGGACAAAAGGAAACAGGGGGCAAACCCTTCACGATTTAGGCCACCAGAGATGTCTCAAATAATCTTGTCCAGGCTGGGCACGGTGGCTAACACCTGTAATCCCAGCACTTTGGGAGGCTGAGGCAGATGGATCACCTGAGGTCAGGAGTTTGAGACCAGCCTGGCCAACGTGGTGAAACCCCATCTCTACTAAAAATACAAAAATTAGCTCGGTGTGGTGGCGGGCACCTGTAATCCCGGCTACTCAGGAGGCTGAGGCAGGAGAATCGCTTGAACCCGGGAGGCAGAGGTTGTAGTGAGTTGAGATCACACCACTGCACTCCAGTCTGGGCAACAAGAGCGAAACTCCGTCTCAAAAATAAAATAATAAAATAAAATAAAATCTTGTCCGGTATACCAAAGGCAAATCAATTCACATCACCTAAAAAATTACTTACAGAAATTTGGAAAAATGAGCAATTTAGACAAAAGCAAAGAATTGAGGCAAAGATCTGGGCTCCTCTGACAAAAATCATTTTAAAAAATTTTGTCCAGAATTAGCCCAGTCATTGCTTCCATTCTCAGCTTTTCACAAGCTGTAGAAATAGAGCCAAACTTAGTTCCTTCAGGTTTCTTGTTGGCTGCAAAATGATATGAGGCCTTTCATCTCCTCCCTGATGTTGCAATCCTTTCTCTTTGCGACTGCCTCATCCACCACCTGCCTCACGCCAACACTTTGCCTACTATTTTCTCCTCTGTCCCTCCTTCCCGTGTGGCCATTTGGCCCGCTGGCCGGGCAGCAGGCGGGCTGTCACGTGACCGAATCCCAGCGGCTTTGCAGCACCCACGTCCGAGTTTTCCATGACGCACCTGCTGCCGTCACGTTGGCTCCCATGTAAATAAATGGTCAAATCTTTTCCAAAAGTGGTTTTGACAAAGAACGGCTTAAACCGCCAAAGATGTTGACAAATGGGCTGTTATCTAGGAGAGTGAGTAAAGCAACCCATTTGAACGACAAGAACAGATAAGGCCCAACTCTTTGTCTCCTTTCCTCTTTTACATTGATATTCCCGGGGAGACAAAGGGGAAGAAGAAAAGGAAAGAAAGGCAGATCTTTAGCACTGGCTGTCCCAGAGTTGATTAGGATGCTGATCTGTGTGGCAGGCTTCTAGGTTCTCACCCAACTTCTTGGCTGCTATTCAAAGGATTTAACAGTGCTCTTTGTAAATAGTGGTGTACAAAGCCCAACTAAAAATAGTACATTTCCAGGGTCTGAATCGGGTGAGTGGAATGAGTGGCAATGGCTGTATTGTACAAGACAGATTACAAGCAAGTTACTTGATGGTACTTTATATGCAGGGTTATTCACATGCTTCATCTGGTTTGGTTAAATAATGCAAACACATTTACCAACGTACATGATCGTTTTGTTTATTTATGCTCTGGAGAGCTTGTGTGTGTTTATGACAGACAAATGTACATGTTCTATTTTCTGACAATCAAACAAAGCTCTCCCTGATGAGGTAAATAGCTGAGTTAAATAGTGGAGTGAGGGCTCCTGAGAATCGCTGATGTGACACCATGGTGGTTGTTAATGACAGGTTTCCTGCTGCGCTTGCTGCCCTGAAGGATTTTTGCTGAAGGTGGGAATCAACAAGAGGCTCTGACAACTAGTGAGACTGCTAGTTCTGGCTGAAATCTCTCTGTGAACCATGAGTGTGAAAGCTTCTTCCTCACTAGGAGTTTTTCAGGATGAGAGCAACTGCATGTGTGCTTCCTTCCCCTCACCCCTGAGGCTGAGCTGTGTTGGGTGGGGAGGTGAGGTTCTCATCCTTAGGCCAGAACAGATGTTGCCTGTGCAGGCTGTGGAAACAAGGAGTCACCAGGACCTCTCAAATAAGATTCAGACTCAGGGAGAAGCCTAAAGAAATGAAGTAAGACCATTATTTTCCCAGACGAAGATACTAGGAAAGTGTTTTGCAGTCTTTTGAAAGCCAAAGCTACCCCCTCCTAATGTTTTCAACCGTAAGCAGTGGTTATTCCTGTATATTTTGAGGTGAGAGATTGTCTCATACCAAAATATAATATATTTTCTATGTAAGTAATTGTCTCTCAGGCAGTTTGGAGACTCTCTTATTTAATACAGTGTGGAAACCCTTGGGTGAAGCCCTTGGTCATTCTGGCAGGTCGATTTCCTCTTCGAAGATGGGGACTGAGAACAGGGACCGCTCTGGAAGGAGCTGGGCCAGGAAAAACATTATAGAGGATTCAAGAAACCCAGCCTGTGAATTTGGCAAACATTTATCCTACCCAAATTTCATGGGTTTAAATGGATGCATCTTGGGTGAATTGGGTCTGACAGCCTAGACTCTGTACACGTTGGCACTTGTCACTCTTCTGCATATGCTGCATGACTTTGGGAAAGTCACAGAAACTCTTTGACCCCCCAGTTTCCTCATCTGTAAAACAGGGAGAATAATGCCTACCTCATTAAGCAGATTGTTGTGAGGACTCAATTAGGCAATGTAAGTAAGGCGCTTGTCACATGGTCAAATAGATCCATTATAATGACAATGAGAGGCTATTAGACAGCATTCCTGGGCATAGCCTCTCACCTGCTTAATGACATCCTAGTGTCTCTCAAAATTGGTATCATCTCACATGTTGAACACTATGCAAATGTCTGATTCCTTTTGAGTATTGCCACCATCATCATTCTTATTATCTCTGAATGTTGAAGAATGAACACTCCAAAAAGCATTTAATGACAATTCCCATGACCTGTCATTCCCTTCTTTATCAACAAGGATGTCATAATTAGGGTTAATTTCTCTTTGAAGCTGTCTCAGAAGATAACATAAGCCATTATTTTGACCATTCTGGAATTTCCTGGCTTTTATTTCTTATGCTAAGGAATTAGAATTTTTCTTCACTAAGGTAGATTTTTGCTTACATCCCTAAAGAGCCAGGAGAGGAACAAATTTCACCTCTTGTTTGAAACTGAATTTTCGAGCCAATGAAAGACTATAACTGAATAGGCTTCTCTTTGGACACATCCTCAGGCATGAGTAAAATGAGTTCTGAAAGACCTGATGTAGTTTGGATATGTGAAGAGCCAAATGGCTTTTTCAAAGCCATGGTCATGGCACAAAACCCCACCATGTTTGTAAAGACAGCAAGGGCATGTGAGAGACGAGGTAGCCCTATGAATGGAAAAATCAAACCACGCAACACAAATGTAGATGGTAACCCTGCTTGAATCATTTGCAAGATTTGCTTTCAGTACCTGTGCTACAGCATTCTAATCTTATTCTACAAAGAAGGATCACTGTGACTACTACTGCTACTACTTTTAGTGGTTATCATCCAAAGTTAACTAAGTTCCTATAAAGAAAATCTTCTTGGCCAAATATATGAAAATATTGGAATTGACACGTTTACAAAATTTTCTCATCACTATACTTAAAAATCATATTGGAAAGGCAAAGGATTTTGAAAATTGTCCAGGTTTCACTTTCACTGGCCAAATTAAATGAATTCCTTTACTTTTCCTTCAGAAGGGCACAATCTTGCCTCTACAGAGCTTCCATTCCCAGAGGGAGAAAATGTACACACACAACAACTAAAAGAATGACACTTTCTCTTCCAGTTCATTAGAGACTTGCTTGTTTTGCTTTTTTGTTTCACTGTAAGCCTATCTGCTAATGTTTCAATCGTGTTCTAGACGTCAAGAAGGATTAAAAACTAGCCCTGTGCTCGTGGATCTTGTTGGGGAGAGGAATAACTTTCATCTAAAAACTACTCAAGACAGTACGCATAAGTGCCAATTAAATTTAATCAGCCACTAAAATAATGGCAGAGATCACCAAGGCTAGGGAAAATCAACATCAGGGTAGGATGGATGGCAAAGAAATGCTATTTGGTAAAGGTATGTGAAAGCGGCTGTTATGGGCTGAATTGTGTCTCCCCAAAATTCACATGTTAAAGTCCCAACTCACCCCCAGTACTTCAGAAAGTGACTATATTTGTAAACAGGATGTTTAAGGAGATAATTAAGTTACAATGGGCTTATTAGAATAGGTTCTAACCCATTGTGACCGATGTGCTCATGAGAACAGGAGATTTGGACGGATGCAGCTACAGAGAGAAGAGCAGGTGAAGACTCAGGGAGAAAGCAGCCATCTCCAAGCAAAGCAGAGAAGCTTCAGAAGAAACCAACCCTGCTGACACCTTGGTCTCTAACTTCTAGCCTCCAGAATGTGGAGAAAATATTTCTCTGTTGATGAAGCCACCCAGTCTACGGTACTTTGTTATGGCAGTCCTAGCAAACGGCAGTCTTGAGATTTGTTTAGGTAGAAAAAAGGGGTGAAGTGTGTACTATGCTTCTTCCTCTTCTGTTATTAAATATCTAACTCTTATTTGCATTTTCTTTTCCTTGTTTATGTCCTTGGCCCTACTGTTAGGTATAGAGGCTTGGGAGGTGATGAGGAGAAGGGAGTTGAGAAGGGAATTCAGGAAGGTAGAAGTGGGAGCAGAGAAAAGAAAGAGATGCCATCCTAGTGTTTTACTGGAGATCAGATTTGGAAGAAGCAACAAAAAGCAGCAATTATGAAAGCAGTGAGCAGTTTTGAAACTCAGGCATGGTATTAAGAATAAGGAACTACAGAGAATTTAACAAGATTATCGAAAATCTCAAATTTATCTGTACTCTATAAGGAAGACTTTATTGTTCACTTGTGGCCTTTTGATAAGTTCAACCTTTATCTTCTGAAGATAAATTCCAATATTATCATTATAGTTATGACTTATTTGATATTTATAACCCTCCAGGGTTGCCTTCCTGCCACATTATTTTTGCACTGTTGAAATACTATTTTGTCCATAGTGGATATAAGAGATGTAAATGTAATATGAAAGCATTTATATCAATTGTAAAGACATGGCAGGGCTATTTAGTCAAATAGGACTTGTCACTCAAGTGATTCTCATTACCCATTAAATATTTCTCAGTGATTCAGTGGTTTTCAATTGGTTGAGAAACATAGTGGGGACAAATGCCAATATATGAAGACAAATGCTGCCTCAAACCTAAGCTGCCAATCTAGGAAAACCCTGAAACTAGTCCAACATATTTTACCACCCAGACATAATTTGTTTTTAATGGTGATGTAAAGAAATCTGTGGTTAAGTGACCACATTTAAATTGTTGTTTCTTAAAGAAAGGGCTTATGTTTGGTCTAAGTCCCTGGGAGTACTTTAGTCTTAGTAGTGAATTTAGAAAAATGTAAGTTTCTTCTGCCTGCTATTTTGCAAGTTGTGCTGGGAGTGAGCAGGAAATAGAATTCCCAAGGATGACTTTTATGGCCTGATCTTTGCAACTAGAAAAGTATTTGGTGTGGGGCACATTGATTGTTTCAGAATCTGCTTTTTGTCCTCCCTGGCTCTGAAAGGTCTATTGCCTTCAGGGATCCCTCCTGGGCCAAGGCTTATGGGCTTTCCCTAAGGGCTTCCTGCCCTGGCTGGCTGGTGGCTTCTGGGGAGCCGGCCAGGCCCTGCCTCAGCCTGCTGCTGTGGCCTTGTTTGTTCACTGCTCTTCATCCTTTGGTTCAGATTCATGCTCTTTACTCCTCCCTCAGACTGGATGCTTTCACCTTGTTCAAATTCTCGGCTGCCCTCACCTAGTGTCACTTTGATCACCTTCCTAAAATCAAGGGACAGTCATCTCTGCTGTCATGCTGAGCCCGAGTTCCTGACATGCCAGCCTGGGTCTTCTGCTTTTCCAGGAGAAAAAGTTTAACACGTAAAACATCTTAAGCACTTCTCCGTAGCTCTGTCAATAGTATAATGTTTGGCTCAATAAACACTTATTGCATGAGAGAAAATAAAGGAAGAAAAAAGAGAGAGAGAAAGAAAAAGGGACAGAAGGAAAGAAAAGAGAAAGAGAGAGAGAGAAGGGGAGAAAGAAAGAAGGATGGGCCAGGTGCAGTGGCTCACGCCTATAATCCCAGCACTTTGGGAGGCTGAGGCGGGTGGATCATGAGGTCAGGAGATTGAGACTATCCTGGCGAACACGGTGAAACTCCGCCTCTACTAAAAATACAAAAAATTAGCTGGGCGTGGTGGTTGGCGCCTGTAGTCCCAGCTACTCGGGAGGCTGAGGCAGGAGAATGGCATGAACCCTGGAGGCAGAGCTTGCAGTGAGCTGAGATCATGCCACTGCACCCCAGCCTGGGCGACAGAGCAAGACTCCATCTCAAAAAAAAAAGAGAGAAGGATGGAAAGAGAGAAGGAAAGAAGGGCAAGAAAGAAGGAAGGAAAGAAAGAAAGTTGGCTTTACGCATAATTTCTATTTCACTTGCGTCCGTGTGAAGAGACCACCAAACAGGCTTTGTGTGAGCAATAAAGCTTTTAATCACCTGGGCGCAGGTGGGCTGAGTCCAAAGAGAGAGTCAGCAAAGGGAGATAGGGGTGAGGCCGTTTTATAAGATTTGGGTAGGTAAAGGAAAATTATAGTCAAAGGGGGGTTGTTCTCTGGCGGGCAGGAGTGGGGGTCACAAGGTGCTCAGTAGGGGAGCTTTTGAGCCAGGAGGAGCCAGGAGAAGGAATTTCACAAGACAATGTCATCAGTTAAGGCAGGAACAGGCCATTTTCATTTCTTTTGTGGTGGAATGTCATCAGTTAAGGTAGGAACCAGCCATCTGGATGTGTACGTGCAGGTCACAGGGGATATGATGGCTTAGCTTGGGCTCAGAGGCCTGACATTCCTGTCTTCTTATATTAAGAAAAATAAAATGAAATAGTGGTAAAGTGTTGGGACCGTGACAATTTTGGGGGGTGGTATGGAGAGATAATGGGCGATGTTTCTCAGGGCTGCTTCGAGCGGGATTAGGGGCGGCGTGGGAACCTAGAGTGGGAGAGATTAAGCTGAAGGAAGGTTTTGTGGTAAGGGGTGATATTGTGGGGTTGTTAGAAGAAACAGTTGTCATTTAGAATTATTGGTGATGGCCTGGATATGGTTTTGTATGAATTGAAAAACTAAACGGAATAAGAGAAAGAGAAAAACAGGTATTAAAGGTCTAAGAATTGGGAGGACCCAGGACATCTAATTAGAGAGTGCCTAAGGAGGTTCAGCATAGCCCTGGAGCAAAGATTATTTATTTACTTTAAGAGTTAAGAGTGGCAGTTTGGGGATAGCACCAGGAGATATCATCTGTGATGACTTGGAGAAACAGAGTAAACCGGCAGTGTAAACAAGAGCAGAGCATGTATGAGTAGTTGAGAATGGTGAATAGGAGTATGACTAGACAGAAGATAGTAGGGATGACAAGTTTTGGGGGGCACAGTCCAAGTTGGTCTGGTGTCTGGAATGAGACCAGGGCCTAATAAAAAGGAGCATCTATACAGGAGCTCAAATGGGCTGTACCCTGTAGCATTCTGAGGACAGGTCTGACTTCTGAGAAGGGAAAATGGTAAAAGTATTGTCCAGTCCTTTTTAAGTTGGTGGCTGAGCTTGGTGAGGTGTGTTTTTAAAAGACCTTTAGTCCGTTCTACTTTTCCTGAAGACTGAGGACTGTAAGGGATATAAAGGTTTCACTGAATACCAAGAGCCTGAAAAACTGCTTGGCTGATTTGACTAATAAAGGCTGGTCTGTTATCAGACTGTATAGAGGTGGGAAGGCTAAACCGAGGAATTATGTCTGACAGAAGGGAAGAAATGACTGCAGTGGCCTTCTCAGACCCTGTAGGAAAGGCCTCTACCTATCCAGTAAGAGTGTCTTCCTAGACTAAGAGGTATTTTAGTTATCTGACTTGGGGCATATTGAGTAAAGCTAATTTGCCAGTCCTGGGTGGGGGCAAATCCTTGAGCTTGATGTGTAGGGAAGGGAGGGGGCCTGAATAATCCTTGAGAAGTAGTAGAATAGCAGATGGAACACTGAGAAGTTATTTCCTTGAGGATAGATTTCCACGATGGAAAGGAAATGAGAGGTTTTAAGAGGCGGGCTAGTGGCTTGTACTATAGCGTAGCCTGCCTTTGCTGGTGTGTGGCGATTAGGCCTGGTGGAACTGCCATCAATAAACTAAGTGTGATCAGGGTGAGGAACAGGAAAGAAGGAAATATAGGGAAATGGGTTGAATGTCAGGTGGATCAGAGAGATGCAGTCATGAGGGTCAGGTGTGGTATCCAGAATAATGTGGGAGGCCGGTTTGAAGTCTGGGCCAGGAACAACGGTAATTGTGGGAGACTCAACAAAGAGTGAGTACAGCTGAAGGAGCCGGGGAGCAGAAAATATGTGCGTCAGGTGGGAGGAAGAAAATAGATTTTGGAAGTTATGAGAACTGTAGAGTGAGTTGAGCATAGTTTGTCATTTTTAGGGCCTCTAAAAGTATTAAAGCAGTGGCAGCCGCTGCACGCAGACATGAGGGCTAGGCTAAAACAGTAAGGTCAAGTTGTTTGGACAGAAAGGCTACAGGGTGTGGTCCCGGCTCTTGTGTAAGAATTCTGACTGCACTAACCATGCCTAGGAAGGAAAGGAGTTGTTGTTTTGTAGAAGGGATTGGGGTTTGGGAGATAAGCCGGACACGATCAGCAGGGAGAGCACATGTGTTTTTATGAGAATTATGCCGAGATAGGTAACAGATGAGGAAGAAATTTGGGCTTGATTGAAGTAATGGGGGCTGTCTGTGAAGACTTGCGGCAGTACAGCCCAGGTAATTTGCTGAGCTTGATGGGTGTCAGGGTCAGTCCAAGTGAAAGCGAAGAGAGGCTGGGATGAAGGGTGCAAAGGAATAGTAAAGAAAGCATGTTTGAGATCCAGAACAGAATAATGGGTTGTGGAGGGAGGTATTGAGGATAGGAGAGTATATGGGTTTGGCACCTTGGGGTGGATAGGCAAAGCAATTTGGTTGATAAGGCGCAGATCTTGAATTAACCTGTAAGCCTTGTCTGGTTTTGGGACAGGTGAAATGGGGGAATTTTAAGGGGAGTTTATAGGTTTTAGAAGCCCATGCTGTAGCAGGTGAGTGATAACAGGCTTTAATCCTTTTAAAGCATGCTGTGGGATGGGATATTGGCGTTGAGTGGGGTAAGGGTGATTAGGTTTTAATGGGATGGTAATGGGCATGTGATCAGTTGCCAGGGAAGGAGTAGAGATGTCCTATACTTGTGGGTTAAGGTGGGGGGATAGGAGAGGAAGATGCAAAGGAGGCTTTGGGTTGGGGAGAAGGGCAGTAATGAGATGCAGCTGTAGTCCAGGAATAGTCAGGGAAGCAGATAATTTAGTTAAAATGTCTTGGCCTAATAAGGGAACTGGGCAGGTGGGGATAACTAAAAAAGAGTGCATAAAAGAATGTTTTCCAAGTTGGCACCAGAGTTGGGGAGTTTTAAGAGGTTTAGAAGCCTGGTCGTCAATACCCACAACAGTTATGGCCCTTGAAAATAAGGTAATGTGGAGTGGGTAGCTTCCGTAGTATTTAAGAAGGGGACGGACTTACCCTCCACTGTGAGAGTTACCTGAAGCTTGGCATCCGTGAAGGTCTAGGGGGCTTCCGAGGCTATCAGGCAGCATCAGTCTTCAGCCGCTAAGCCAAGAAGATCTGGGAGGGAGTCAGAGAGCCTTGGGCCAGAGTTCCAGGGGCTCTAGGGGGTGAGTTGGACAGTCTGATTTCCAGTGGGGTCGCATACAGATGGGACACGGCTTAGGAGGAATCCTGGGCTGCAGGCATTCCTGGGCTGCAGGCATTCCTTGGCCTGGTGGCCAGATTTCTGGCACTTGTAGCAAGCTCCTGGGGGAGGTGGGCCTGGAGGAATGCCTGGCCACTGTGGTTTAGGCATTTGGAAGTTCTTGTGTGCTGGAGATGTGGCTGGGGTTTGTCTCACAGTGGAGGCAAGGAATTGTACATCTTGAAGGCCAGGTTAATTAAGTCCTGTTGTGGGGTTTGAGGGCTGGAATTTAATTTTTGGAGTTTTATTTAATGTTGGGAGCAGATTGGGTAATAAAATGTATATTGAGAATAAGACGGCCTTTTGATCTTTTAGGGTCTAGGGCTGTAAAGCGTCTCAGGGTTGCTGCCGAACGAGCCATGAACTGGGCTGGGTTTTTTATATTTGATGAAAAACAGTGTAAACACTAACTGATTTGGGAGAAGTTGGATAAAGAAAAAGGAGCATTAACCTTGACTATGCCTTTAGCTCCAGACACCTTTTTAAGAGGAGATTGCTGGGCAGGTGGGAGAGGGCTAGAAGCGGAATGAAACTGTAAGCCAGACCGGGTGTGAGGAGGGGAGGTGATAAAAGGATTATAGGGTGGAGGAGCCGAGGCTGAGGAAGAATTGGGACCTAGCTCCACCTGGCGAGGAGGGGAGAGGTCAGATGGGTCTGTAGAAAAGGAAGATTAGAAAGACTCAGCAACACTTGGGGCTGGGACTGAGGGGACAGGCAGGAGGGAAAGAAGGAAGATTTGGGATGAGTTGCATTGGAAACAGAGACTAGGGAGGGACTGATATGTAAAAGAATGCCTGGACGTCAGGCACCTCAGACCGTTTGCCCATTTTACAAGAATTATCTAGATCTTGTAGGATGGAAAAATCGAAAGTGCCGTTTTCTGACTATTTAGAGCCATTGTCAAGTTTGCACTGGGGCCAAGCGGTGTTGCAGAAGAAGATAAGGCGTTTAGGTTTTAGGTCAGATGTGAGTTGAAGAGGTTTTAAGTTCTTGAGAACACAGGCTAAGGGAGAAGAAGGAGGAATGGAGGGTGGAAGGTTGCCCATAGTGAAGGAGGCAAACCCAGAGAAAAGAGAGAGTAGAGACATGGAGGGAAGGGGTTCGGGGGTTCTTACCCTCCAGAAAAGCGGGAAAGGGGTCGGGGCATGGAAATAAGGGGTTGGGGCACAGAGATAAGAGGTTGAGGCGTGGAAATAAGGGGCTGGGACACAGAGATAAGAGGTCGGGGCATGGAAATAAGGGATCGGAGCACAGAGATAAGAGGTTGGAGCATGGAAATAAGGGATCAGGGCACAGAGATAAGAGGTTGGGGCATGGCAATAAGGGATCGGGGGTTCTTGCCCCCTAGAAAAGCAGTACTTGCCGCTAAGGGTGAAGGAGAAGGGGTTGGGGGGTTCTTGGCCCCAGAAAAGTGGAGAAAGGGTAGAGACATGGAGAGAAGGAGTTGGGGGGTTCTTGCCTCCCAGAAAAGTGGTACTTGCCGCTAAGGGTGAAGGACCAAGGCAGATGCCCCGTGTGGTCAGACACCTCTGAAACGTCGGTGAATAATCAGAGAGGTGTCCCTGCAATGATTAAACACCAAGGGAAGGCTGCCTTCCTGAGTCCATGAACCGGCACTGGAGTTTTGGGTCCATGGATAAAACGTGTCTCCTTTGTCTCTACCAGAAAATGAAAGGAATTGAAATTAAGAGAAGGGAGAGATTGAAGGGTGGCACCAAGATTGAAAGGAGAAAGTGGTTGAGGGATAGTGAGAGAGGTTGGAGAAGAGAGTAAGAAAAGGCCGCTTACCCAATTTAAAATTGGTGAGACGTTCCTTGGGCTGGTGGGTCTGAGGACCCGAGGTTGTAGGTGGATCTTTTTCACGGAGCAAAGAGCAGGAGGACAGGGGATTGATCTACCAAGGGAGGTTCCCCGAACCGAGTCATGGCACCAAATTTCATGCGCGTCCGTGTGAAGAGACCACCAAACAGGCTTTGTGTGAGCAATAAAGCTTTTTAATCACCTGGGTGCAGGCGGGCTGAGTCCGAAGAGAGAGTCAGCAAAGGGGATAGGGGTGGGGCTGTTTTATAAGATTTGGGTAGGTAAAGGAAAATTACAGTCAAAGGGGGGTTATTCTCTGGCGGGCAGGAGTGGGAGTCACAAGGTGCTCAGTAGGGGAGTTTTTGAGCCAGGATGAGCCAGGAGAAGGAATTTCACAAGACAATGTCATCAGTTAAGGCAGGAACAGGCCATTTTCACTTCTTTTGTGGTGGAATGTCATCAGTTAAGGTAGGAACCAGCCATCTGGATGTGTACGTGCAGGTCACAGGGGATATGATAGCTTAGCTTGGGCTCAGAGGCCTGACATTCTGCACTTGGCAATGTGGTCTACAGCTATAAGAAAAAGCCAGCTACTTGCCAGTAGGGATTCTATTCCTTGAGTTCCTAAGTATTTTCTTTGACTCTTAGCCCTAACCATGACCTTCTAACCCCCTACTTCCATAGAGTACTTTTCTCCATAGCAGGGTTGTTTCTGACACTATATCACCAGGAGCAGGGAATTTTCCAAGGGCGATCAGATATGTCTCAAAGAACATAGCAAGAAGCCAAATTTAGGAAGGGCAAGGAAGTTATAAAAGTACACAGCCCACCTTATTTATCCCAGTGGTGGTGGTGGTGTCAGACACCTCAATAATCCCAGTGATTTCCATTGCACTTATCCTGAGGCCCTGGATGCCCCTAGAAAAATCTGGGTAGTTGTCCCCATCTCTGCTCTTACATTAATCATATCTTGTCTGAGGGAAAGAAAAAGGAAAGTGACACCTACTAAGCCCTCATTGTGTGACAGATACTGCCCTAGGTACGTATAGAAAACACATTCTGGTGTGAGATGGTATCTCATTGTGGTTTTGATTTGCATTTCTCTGATGGCCAGTGATGATGAGCATTTTTTCATGTGTTTTTTGGCTGCATAAATGTCTTCTTTTGAGAAGTGTCTGTTCATATCCTTTGCCCACTTTTTGATGGGGTTGTTTGTTTTTTTCTTGTAAATTTGTTTGAGTTCATTGTAGATTCTGGATATTAGCCCTTTGTCAGATGAGTAGGTTGCAAAAATTTTTAGAATGGCAATTATTAAAAAGTCAGGAAACAACAGGTGCTGGAGAGGATGTGGAGAAACAGGAACACTTTTACACTGTTGGTGGGACTGTAAACTAGTTCAACCATTGTGGAAGTCAGTGTGGCCATTCCTCAGGGATCTAGAACTAGAAATACCATTTGACCCAGCCATCCCATTACTGGGTATATACCCAAAGGACTATAAATCATGCTGCTATAAAGACACATGCACACGTATGTTTATTGCAGCACTATTCACAATAGCAAAGACTTGGAACCAACCCAAATGTCCAACAATGATAGACTGGATTAAGAAAATGTGGCACATATACACCATGGAATACTATGCAGCCATAAAAAATGATGAGTTCATGTCCTTTGTAGGGACATGGATGAAATTGGAAATCATCATTCTCAGTAAACTATCGCAAGGACAAAAAACCAAACACCGCATATTCTCACTCATAGATGGGAACTGAACAATGAGAACACATGGACACAGGAAGGGGAGCATCACACTCTGGGGTGGGGTTCTGTTGTGGGGTGGGGGAGGGGGGAGGGATAGCATTAGGAGATATACCTAATGCTAAATGACGAGTTAGTGGGTGCAGCGCACCAGCATGGCACATGTATACATATGTAACTAACCGGCACATTGTGCACATGTACCCTAAAACTTAAAGTATAATAATAATAAAAAAAAAGATGACACAACAACAACAACAAAATAATAAAAATAAATAAATAAATTCTTGAAGAGCTGTACTGAAAAAAAAAAAAAAAAAAAAAAAGAAAGCACATTCTGGAGCATCTACCCAGCCCACAACAATCCCTGCAGCTCCCCTTCTCACACAGGGGCGAGCCTTTCAGCTGTGTGTGCTGCTTGAGCCTAGTGCACCCTCCCACTGTTCCAACCCCATCCACTCATGACCACAGTGAACCTATGTTATAAGGGGAAGAATCAAATTGTTGTGAGACTTTGGACTTGGGATTATGAGATTCTGGTTCCCCCTATGTTAGTGTCTTGGAAGATGTACATTCAAGAGCTCTAGGTAGCTAAATTCTGTCAGCTCTGTTGGTTTGGAGGAGAGAAAGCCAAACCTTACAAGGAGAGGAAAAAACCCCAGATGTACAAAGTAAAGCTACAATGACTCCTGATGACCTTTTATTTTTTGATTCCAGCCTCATTATAAGGCTTAGCTGAATTACTAATGTTAAGAATGATGAGACATCACTATAACCTTACAATTAATTCTCTCTCTCAATCTCTCTTGCTTTTTTTTTCTTAAACTGGCTCAGGTGGGTTTCTGTTACCTGGAATGAAAGGAATCTTAATGGGCTGGGCGGGGTGGCTCATGCCTGTAATCCCAGCACTTTGGGAGGCCAAGGTGGGTGGTTCTCTTGAGGTCAGGAGTTTGAGACCAGCCTGGCCAACTAAACGGGATTTAGTAGAAACCCCGTTTCTACTAAAAATACAAAAAATTAGCCAGGCATGGTGGTGTGCGCCTGTAGTCCCAGCTACTCAGAGGCTGAGGCAGCAGAATCGCTTGAACCTGGGAGGTGGAGGTTTTGGTGAACCGAGATCGTGCCACTGCACTCCAGCCTGAGCAACAGAGTGAGACTCCATCTCAAAAAAAAAAAAAAAAAAAAAAAAAAGGAATCCTAACGATAAAGTAGGCACATGCTTTACTTTACCTTGATTCTCACAGCACATCTGTGAGGGATTTTTTATCTCTATTTTACAGATGAAGGAACTGGTATTAAGTAAGTTGTCTTATGTTTCATAAATTTTAGGGAATGGCATTTGAACCTGAGTTTTTTCATCTCAAAACCCTGGACTTTTTCCATTGAGCCCTTATCCCTTTGGAGTTTCTCTGACAGCTGGGTGGATCTTCCCCCATGACTTCACAGAGCCACTGAAGTTGTATACTCACTGAGGTGACAAAGGCTCCAGGTACCACCACCACCCCCTGACTACTGATCCCCCTGGCAAGATGCCAGTTTCTGTCTGTTATGCCTGCTGCTTCACTTTGGGAACACAGACTGTACCTTTTTTCTGAGGCTGGAAGGCTCCACAAGGGAGCAGAGACTTCCCTAAAAGGAACAAAATCAAGTCCAAAAGAATGTACGTCCTTTAGATGTGTTTGCCAACCTCTGCCAGTCAGCAGGGTCCCATGGTACCCAGGCTTGTTACACTGCAAAATCCTCCCCCACCCCTGCCACATAACACTCAGAATACACTTGCCACTGGAAAATATGACCAGGATGGGTTGGTCTGTTCTTTCCAGAAACTAGTGTCCCTTATCTTTCCACTGAAAGTAGGCTCCCAGCTCTGTCATTCAGATTCTCCTGGAGAGGTAAGGATACTGCTGGTGTGGGACCTGTGTCCTGTGTCAGACCAGGGAAGTGCTCCCAGGCTCCCTGACTTGTCCAGGGACTTTGGTCCTTTGGTATTTACATAAGAATCTACTACATGTTAAAGATAAAAACGTATTCCCCCAGGTCTTCCTAGTGCCTTGGGTGATCATTAAAAGACTCATTTTGTGCTTAACATAGAAACATAGATTCTCTTTCCATGGATCTTGGGAGGCTGAGTTTTTGGTGTTGAGATTCCCTGCCCTCTGAGTCAGACCCAGCATAGTTCCACAGAGATGGTAGTTGATTTTTTTTCTTTCCTGTGTGATGATTAAGATGGCCATCTGATGATTGCTGTAACCACAGTAGCCTGACCAAGGTTTATAAAAAGGGAGTAATAATTACAATTTGGGGGCCTTTCTCAACTCCCATCTTCATCTTCAATTTCTTCTACCACCTAACAAACTTTGAAGCTAAGTAGTTACCAGTTCAAGAATTTGGATGAGTTGTTCATGTTCCCACTGATACTGGTTTCCTAAGTATTTGCAAGGAAAGGTAAGGGAAACTGAGACTAACATTAGGTTAATCTCACTTCAATACCTGGCACAGACTAGCCCCTGAATAATCATTTTAAAATAATGAATTACAAAACAGATGATAAAACATTTAATAAAAAAAATCTATGATATGTTATGATACTCAATGTGAGGGGAGAGCAAAAGAAAAGCTCTACTTTACAGAAGAGTAACAGCTAATAAAGAAGCAGGGATGATAGAATTAGAAGAACCACTATCTTGCAATTCCCAGTGTAATATTTTGTTCAGGGAAGGATCATCAGTAAATGGGAAAGCCATTAGGTGAAAAATTGATGGGAACCAAGTTATTCATAATTCTTAAAACATCAACTGTCAGATCACTTGTTAATTGCCAAGGGGAAAAGATACCTTTATTTTATTTTATTTTATTTTATTTTATTTTATTTTATTTTATTTTATTTTATTTTTGAGATGGGGGTCTCACTCTGTTGCCCAGGCTGGAGTGCAGTGGTGTGATCACGGCTTACAGCAGCCTCGACTTCCCCAGGCTCAGGTGATCCTCCCACCTCAGTTTTGGCATTTTCTGTAGAGGTGGGATTGGCCATGTTGCCTAGGCTGGTCTCAAACTCCTGGGCCCAAGCGATCTGCTGCCTTGGCCTCCCATAGTGCTAGGATTATAGGCGTCTACCACCACGCCTGGCCCCACGTTTACAATAGAGAATTACAGGAAATAACATTTTAACCTAGCTGTTACCCAAAATACCACCAATAATGAGACAAAGTGACATGACATGCCCCTGTTATGGTGCGATGTGAAGTACACAAAAATATCACATATTAATATTCTGCCAAAAATATGTGAACTAAATATAATTATGAGGAAAAAACCATACAGTCATAAAATTAAAAATCTTAGGCTTTCTACAAAATAAATGACCTGGGCTTTTCAAAAATAAAAATAAATAAATGTCATGAGGCCAGGCGCGGTGGCTTACGCCTGTAATCCCAGCACTTTGGGAGGCTGAGGCAGGCGGATCACGACATCAGGAGATCCAGACCATCCTGGCTAACACGGTGAAACCCCATCTCTACTAAAAATACAAAAAATTAGCCTGGCATGGTGGTGGGCGCCTGTAGTCCCAGCTACTCGGGAGGCTGAGTAGCTAATGGACCCTAAATGGACTCTAAAATAAAGATATTTTAGAGTCAATTGGGGAAATTTAAACACAGAGTATACATTAGATGATATTAATCAATGTTCAATTTCTCAGATGCAGTAGTGGTTTTGAGGTTACCCAGGAAATTTTCCTTGTTCTTAGAAGATACATTTTTAAGTATTTAATGATGAAGTGTCATGATGTCTGAAATTTATTTTCAAATAGTTCAGCAATAAAATTATACATAGAATATATATATAATGTATATGTGTGTCTAGGCACATGGGTAGAGAGAGTGAGACAGAAAGCAACTGAGGCAATATGTTAACAATTGTTGAATTTAAGTGAAGAATATATACGTATTGTACTATTCTTCCAACTTTTCTGAGGGCTTAAAGTTTTTCAAAATAAAAAATTTGTAGGAGAAAAAAGAATAAAGGATGAAAGAAATGAGGAACAAACTAAACTTCACCTTCTGAATGAATTCAAAAGCCCAAGTAGGTCTTTTCCTGAAATAGGTGAGAAAAATTGGAAAGATAAGCAGAATAAAAAGGCAATAGAATCATAGAATGTCATAAGTTAAAGGGTCTTTAAAGTCCAGTGTGTGGACTAGTTCTGAGAACCGTTTTACAAGAAAAAGCTTTTGGTAAAATAAATAAGGGAAATGCATACTCTGCCTCCCTCTTGGAGCATCGTGGTGAATATTATTAGCACACTAAATTTCTGAATAAAGAAATATGTTTAATTTTGTTTAATGTCACAATTCCTAAACTTATTTGACCATGGAATGCCTTTTTAAAAATATTACTCCTTGAATACACATGTCCATACATACATACCTACAGAGTGGAATAATCGACACTGGAAACTCCAAAAGGTGGGAGGGCAGGAGGGGGGTGAGGGTTGAAAATGTACCTATTGGGTACTACATTCACTATTTGGGTGACAGTTACACTAAAAGCTCAGACTCCGACAGTATGCTATGTGCGCATGTAAGAAATCTGCATTGTACCCTCCAAATATAACAGAGCAAGACTCCGTTTGGAGTCTGGAGTGCAGTGGCGCGATCTCAGCTCACTGCAACCTCCGCCTCCCGGGTTCATGAGATTCTCCTGCCTCAGTCTCCCGAGTAGCTGGGACTACAGGCACCCACTACCACGCCTGGCTAATTTTTGTATTTTTAGTTGAGACGGGGTGGGGTTTTGCCATGTTGGCCAGGTTGGTCTCGAGCTCCTGACCTCAGGAGATCCACCCACTTTGGCCTCCCAAAGTGCTTGGATTAGAGGCATGAGCCACCGTGCCCAGCCAAAAATAATTTTTAAAAAATTACTCCCATTAATTTCCTCAGAAATAATGTTCCTCACAATACACCTAAAGAAACCTTGATCTAGCCCAACATCCTTATTCTGGCAGGTGAAGAAATGGAGGCTCAGACCAGTTGATTTTTTCAAGGTCACAGAGAAAGAGCTCTTGTTGCCCAGGCTGGAATGCAGTGGAGCGACCTCGGCTTACCGCAACCCTTGCCTCCCGGGTTCAAGTGATTCTCCTGCCTCAGCTTCCCGAGTAGCTGGAATTACAGGCATGCACCACCATACCCAGCTAGTTTTTTGTATTTTTAGTAGAGATGGGGTTTCACTACTAAACCCCATCAGGGTTGGTCAGGCTGGTCTCAATCTCCTGATCTCGTGATCCACCCGCCTCGGCCTCCCAAAGTGCTGGGATTACAGGCGTGAGCCACCGCGCCTGGCCCCTGAAAATGTTTCTTATAAAGATCATGCGACTTGAAATATTTAACATCATTTTAACCAACAAAAGCCCCATATTTTCTCCCATTTACAGACGTTCTACATATAGGATCTGTTTTGCAAACATGACGCTGTTGTTTATAACCATGGAGACATATGTTGTTTGCGCTTAATATTGTACTGTATGTGAGAAAATGAAATGCCTTCTATATGTGATGCTAATTCAAATTTTATCTTGTTATATGGACTAAATATTACATGGAATTGTGATAGAATCGCCCTGTCTTAAGTACACTGTTTATTCTAAGAGTTGTGATAGGCTAAGGGGGGAAAAACCCCAAGTTTTATTGCTTTACAAGCCAACCACGTTAAGAGCATACATCTGCTTTAAAACTATACAATTTCTTTTCTAGTGCCCAAGTAGATTTGCTCTGGGCTCAAGCAGTTATTAAACCCCGGCGCTGTCTCTGATAGCTGCAGTTTGCATTCCAAGCATGAGCACAGTGCTGGGGCAGGACAGGCTCGGCTCAGTCAACAGATGTCAACTCCCCTTGTAAACGCAGCTGCTCTGTCTCACAACTGGCAAAGAGAACTGAAGGAGTTCCCTTCCCTTTATGGCTTTTATCTCTCTGGCTAATAGGGGATGATGCTTAAAGGAGGTAATTCTTGAGCAATAAATCCAGACTGCAAATAAAACAAGGGAAGAGGGAGGAAAATCACAATGTAAGAAGTTTCCTTTGTTTACTACGCTTAATTGGGATTCCACACATGAATGAAGAAGAGAAGACGGTCTCTCCCAGGGTGACTGGGAAAGGGAAAAAAAGGTGGGTTCCTCTGTCTGTGTGCTTTTTAATGTGCAAATTAGTCAGAGCCTTTTCCAACCCAGGAAAGCTTACAGTTCTGAGTACAGGGTCAGTGTCTTAGTAGTGCTCAGTAAATATTAATTGAAGGGGATGATGGCTTTAAGGGGTGAGCTTCATTCCATTCTCTCAGGACAGCCCTCCAGCCAAGTACCTAAAGGTCACTCTGCCTCTTGCCTCAAGCATTATCTCAATGACCCCTTTAGTTAATGAGAAAGCTCTCAGTTCTCTTGTTTGCCTTCCAACTCATCTTCAGTTCTTGCCAATTTATTCCGCCTTCTGCACTTAGAGGCCGCTGAGAACAAAGCAGGGATGAATGGCAACAACAGCTGCTGCAGCCCCACTTCTTGGGCACAGTCCTTCACCATGGAGCTCTCCAAACTACCCTCCTTGAGCTGGCATTGAAGAGGAGGGGCTTGAAGGAATAGGCTGGAGAACTGGGTAGGGGCTGCAGCAAGGAACATAGATTGTGTTTTTGTTTCCAGCAACTCACTCCCCATTCTGACAGATTACACAGACTTGTGTGACTGGTGAAGGGTATCCAGGTTCTTGGCATTTTGAACAAAGAATTGGACAAAAATGCACAAACAAAGCAACAAAAGAGAAGCACAGATTTATTGAAATGAAAGTACACTCCACAGAGTGGGAGCAGGCTCGAGCAAGCAGCTCAAGAGCTCTGGTTACAGAATTTTCTGGGATTTAAATACCCTCTAGAGGTTTTTCATTGGTTATTTGGTGTACATCCTGTGTAAATGAAGTAGTGGCCCACGATCAGCCCAATTGGTTAAGGAAAACAATCAATCAGAGGCTGAAGTTAAGTTACAAAGTTGCAACCTATGCAAACGTCTGATTGGTTGTGGAAAGTGACCAATCAGAGGCTGAAATGAAGTTATAGAGTTATACTCCTATGCAAACGAAGACTTGGCCCAAGATCAGTCTGATTGGTTGTGAGGGGGGACCAATCAGAGGTACTTTCAATTTTTCATCTACCATGTGGAAAAGCGGGGAAGGGGGTTGCAAAGGCAGTAGCCTCTCATCCTTTTGTTACTTGGGTGTGGAAAGTCAGGCTTTTCCTTTTGATTTAGTTCTAGGAAGTCAGGGTAAATCAGCCTTAGGTTCCCTGCCTCCAGACCCTATTCTCCTTCTCTTGGAGTACCTCCTATGGGAGAGTCTACAATTTCTGCACCTTTGATGTCAGGCTTGGGCACGTGAGTGACTAGGCCTTGTGGGTGACCTTGACTATGCCTCATCTGTGCCAAATCTTTAAGAGTGATTGTATTCCACCAGCTCTCTTGCTGTTTTCTCTCTGTCATAGGAATGGCATACCCCAAAATGGACTGCTCTTTCAGCCTGGATCTGGAATGAAGAAGACATAAAGCCAGTTTTGATGCACCTGTCTTCTTTATTCCAGATCCAGGATAAGTATTTGTAGTTGTAACTGAGATTTTGGGGTTGCTTGTTACAGTAGCAGAGCTGACTAATGCATACCCTGCAAGTGCAGTGGGAAAAAGAAGTTTGTGACCTGAGTATCCCACCAATACTTGTCTTTACCCATCAGGCTGCCAAACTGTGATGAATAATAAGAGCTCCTGCAGCTCTTGTACCTGCTGTTTGACACTGCCTCAACAGTCTCCTTGACTAAATAAAGCGAGTATATTGTATAATATGGCATTCCAACTGCCAACACAGCAAGCAAGGGGCTTCTAGAAAGGGAATCCCCTCTAAGGTTGGAGAAATCTTAGCTTTCTCCAAGATTCTCATGTAAAACATTGTATCATTCACTTCTCTGAGCAGAAATCCAGATAAACCTAGTGCCTTCTCCAACCTTGGAGGTACTAAGCTGCCTTCTAAGAGGAGCAAAGGGACCTGTGGTAGAGTGTCATGATGATATGGGTAACTTTGACTCATTTATACTTTGCTTTTTATCTATGGTCTTCCTCCAAAGCATATGCTTAGTGTAAATTGTAACTAAATACTGATTTAGACTAATGTCCGAGTGGAAAATAACTATCTAAAAATAAAATATTCATGAATTTGAGTTCAATTATAGCTTTATGTTGTTGTTATTAGGGACTATCCTTTGTTGGTTTAAGTCAGCTCTGTGCCTTTATGAAGATGGTTATATGAAAATATTGAATTACACAGCTTCCTTTAGGAACTCTTTGACTGTAAAATTTTCACACACTTGTGAAATTTAAGCAGATTACATTATACCAATAGATTTTTGATAGCTATCTTAAAATAATGAGTTCAAACCAAGAGACGATTATAACTGACAACAGAAATGTAACTGTGAACTTTAAAAATATGCTAATGCTTGTCCCTATATAGAAATATTAGCTTAAGTTCTTTCTGTGACATATGTGTGTTTATAATCTATTTTTGTAATAGGGTAAAAAAATCAACTCCAAAAATATCACTCTCCCCTTTGACATTTATCAGTGATAGCAATAATGCCAGCGAGCATTAGTACACTGAAGAAGTACAGAGATGCCTCCTAAGGCATATCTTTAGGTTTTATCTTTAAATGATCTCCTTATCCCTGACTTAATTTGAATGATGTTTTAGATCAAATTCATATATAATGAATGGTGACTATGTTGATCTGGTCCTGCTCGTTTTTACAGGTTTAGGGTCTTACAGAATACATAAAGCTCATAAGGGGGACTTAAAATGATTTGGGGAGACAGACAGACAGATAGATATATGGATAGATGGATAGGTGTATGAAAAACCAGATGAAAGAATGGATAGATGGGTTGCTTCTCTACTCCAAAAATAAAATAAGAAAAGAAAAATATTACGTAGTCATTTCTGTACTGATACTAATTTAATCTATTTCAGAAAGAAGGTCATATTTTCTTTCAATTTAAATAATGCAAATGCAAATAAATATAAATTAAATTGTGATAACGATTGTTATCATGGCAAAAAATTAAAATGCCTATCTCGAGGCATCTTTTGCCTTTAAGTGCTACTTTTCTCTTACTCTTGGAGGCTCAGTGGTGATTAATGATATTCTTCACACTCTCAAAGGCTTTCTTTAGGAACCCTTTCCCAGTGACCCCACAAGAAGACAAGGCTTCACCAGCTACGGAGGACATATGGTTTAAAGATCCTCAATTACTCTAAGGTAGTCACAGGCTGTGAACAAAATTTCTGTCATATTCCTGTAATGCCTTTTATAGGGAGAAGCAGGGAAATCCAGATTAGAATATAGTTTTCCTGGTGAGATTTGATGAGGTTTATAATTGTCTGAGAGTTTGGTTCCTATAGCTCCTAGACCCCTAAGGTTTTAATTATCAAATATTTGATTCAACCTTGAAAATAAGAACCTTTGAAAGAAAAGCAACACTTCCCTCCTTTGAAAAGCCTATATTGACCTTGCACCTCTATCTAGCAGCTGCCCTAGTACTGTAGCAGTTAACCCTAGTCACCACCATCCTTCTTGAACTTGACTCCTCCCCTAGCTTGTATGACTTTACTCTCTTTTTGTTCACCTCTCAAACCACTCCTTCTCAGAGTCCACTGCTGGGTCCCATCCATTGTCCACCCTTAAACGTTGACTTTCTTCAGCCCTCCTCAATTCTCACTCTGTACCCACTCCCCTGGTTTTAATTCTCACTGCTACACTGGTAACTCCTGACTCTATATATCTAGTCTTGATCTCGCCTCAGCTCCAGACCCATAGATTCGAGTGACTACAGGGTATCTACATTGGAGTGCCCATATGTAAACTCCCACTGTGCATCCTGTTTCTTGGGTATTAGACACTTTCCACTGTACTGTATGCCTGGAATTTGAAAGTCATCCTCTCTGAGCTCAATTACCAGTAGACATTAAACATCTCAGCGCTTATCTTATGGCAGCCATTGTGCTCGACTGGGAGATACAGAAATGAAAAAGACATTTTCTACCATGAAGAAACTTTTACTGTAAGGAGAGAAGAGGAAAAGCAAACAAAAAAAGGCAAACAAAGGCAGAGCAGGAGTGATATTGAAGAAGGAAAACCCTGTAAGTAGAAGGAGGAGAAGAGAGTAATCCTGAGTGAGGATTGAAGAAGAGACAGCAGCAAACTGGGCCTTGAAAGATGAATAGAAACTTCCTCCATAAAAATGGGGTAGTGGGAAGGGAGATAGTCCAAAAGGCAGGGAAAAGATGACCAGAAAAGCAGGGCGTGATTGCACAGCTCATTTCATTCATTCATTCCCCTAATTGGAGCTCAAAAACTGTCCTAAGCTCAGAGGAAAGGGAAAAATATGATGTGCCAACAGCAGTGTGTGTGTGCTGTGTAGTGGTGGGGTGTGTGTGCGCGTGTGTGTGTTGGGGAAGTCAAGGGGCATATGGTTGAAGAAACTAGAAAAGTAAGTTGGGGCCAGCCCTGAAAGCAGATGTTTGTTTCATTCACTTGAATGAAATGTACTTTGTACTTCCTGTGAGAAGGATAGGCCACTAAATTTCAGGGCTGATATTCACTTATGTATTTACAAAATAATACAAGTTGACATCAAGTTAAAAATATACTACCACGTGACTTCCTGCCATACACCAGAGAAATTCATAGCGGTAAAGTAAGTATTTAGTGAGCCAACATGTTGTGGATCTTTTTCCAAGCCTCATTGCTTTCCTGGCCAGCTCTGGACAAAAAGGCAAGTCAGGTTAAGAAGAAGAAAAATAGAACAGGGAGAAGGAAAAGGGGAAGGGGGAGAAGGGAGAAGGAGGGGAGAAGGGAGAAGGAGGGGAGAAGGGGGAAGAGAAGGGGGAAGAAGAGGAGTGGGGCAGGAAAAGGAGGAAGAGAGAGCCAAAACAAGAACAAAAAGAACAAGAACAAGAAGACCAGGCTGGGTACGGTGGCTCATGCCTGTAATCCCAGCACTTTAGGAGGCCGAGGCGGGCGGATCACCTGAGGCCAGGAGTTTGAGACCAGTCTGACCAACATGGAGAAACCCCATCTCCAAAATACAAAAATTAGCTAGGCATGGTGGTGCGCACCTGTAATTGCAGCTACTGGATGGGGGGTGGGGAGCGGGGGTGGTAGTGAGCACTGAGGCAGGAGAATCACCTGAACCTGGGAGATGGAGGCTGCACTGAGCCGAGATCGTGCCACTGCACTCCCGCCTGGGCAACAGAGCGAGACTCCTTCTCAAAAAAATAAATAAATAAAAAGGACAAGAACACCAACAACACTATTGATCATGTAGAATGCTCCTGGCCGGGCGCGGTGACTCATGCCTGTAATCCCAGCACTTTGGTAGGTTGCAGTGAGCCAAGACCATGCCACTGCACTCCAGCCTGGCGACAGAGCGAGACTCTGTCTCAAAAGACAAAAAAAAAAAAAAAAAAAAAAAAGAGAATGCTCCCATATTGAGACATTCTTAGCATGAAAAGGAATGCGGATTGAAAAAACTGGTTTTAATGGGCCCTATGTACATTGAAGTCTCACAACAGCTTATAGAGACAACATGGAAGTATGAAAACTTTTTTAAACCCAGACTGTGTTACTAGTTCTGAAACAGAAGCTATGTTTTACAAAGATAGATGATATATAATGTCTAAAAGGATCAGGCTTAAGAAGGGAACAGGCTAATGCAGACAGTGGTTGGCTTCCATGAGGAATGGGAAAACCATGGTGATAGAGCTCTGTGTTTGGTTAGTGTCATCTGAAGAGCAAGAAGAAAATGAACCAGAATTTGGGCTTCCAGGAGTTGCTGCTCAAGGGGATCAGAGCCACATCTGTGTGAAATGGCAGCTGGTGGCAAAGCAAAGTCATTTTCCTTTATTATGATAAGTAGTTGTGTAACACACAGGAGTGTACACCTTCCATCCATAGTATTAGAATTGGTTTATCTGGGTCGGGTGTGGTGGCTTACACCTGTAATCCCAGCACTTTGGAGGGCCATGGCAGGAGGATCGCTGGAGATCAGACGTTTGAAACTAGCCTGGGGCACATAGTGAGACCTTGTCTCTACTAAAAATAAAAAATATATATATAGCCAGGTGTGGTGGTGCGTGCCTGTAGTCCCAACTACTCAAGAGGCTGAGCCAGGAAGATTGCTTGAGCTCAGGAGGTGAAGCCTGCAGTCAGCCATGATCGTGCCACTGTACTCCAGCCTAGGTGACAGAGTGAGACCCTGTCTCAAAAAAAAGAAAAAAAAAAAGAATTGGTTTATCTGAACAACCTGTTAATGTGTTTGAATTGAAAAAGAAATTGTACTTATAGGCTCTATAAATGAATAAACTTGCACCTCAAAGGGTTCGTGGGGATTTATAAGGAAGGCTTGGGAATTCAAGAAAGAAACAGTGATATTAACATGGTGTACTTAAAGGATATGAAAACCAAGGGAAGTTGCCAGATTCAAGAGGAACTACTCTGTGTTCTATCCAAGCTGAACATTCCATTTTTACAAGGACTCCTTTGTTGTCATGTTTATACACAGACTAATAAATGCTTGACCTTTTTTAGTGATGAAGGAACAGTCTGTGCCTCAGGAGCATATTATTTCAAGAAGCACAAATGAAGAGAAAGTCCAAACCCTCTGGGACAGATGGACTAAATATTTTGGTATTGGAACCACATGGGGAAAGGCAGCAGTTGGGAAACAGAAACAGAGGCCTGATAAGGGAACCTGGAAACAGCATCAATCTTCTCAGAAGTTTCCAAGGACTCCAGATATGCAGGGAACTGGACACCAAGCTCACGTGAGGAAGGAATCAAAGTGAATGAAACATTGATCTTGAAGTTAGTAAAATGCAGTAAGTGAGGAAAATATCTGTGTTCTTGTGAAAGAGTTGATTTCTCAACTTTGGGGTTCTGTATAAAAATGACTAATATTCATCAAGCATTGGCTTTCTACTTAGAACAGAGTGTTTATATGAATTAACTTATGTAATCATCACATCAGTCTTATGATGCAGGCACTGTTCTTACTGCACCCACCTTTTTTCTTATATAGACAGAGAGGTAAGTAACCTCCCAGAGTCACAGAATGTTAGAGTGACTTTGACCGCGTTTATGTAGTCTCATGCCTGAGCTCACACTCTTGTGCCTCCCAGGGACTTTAGCAATCACCTAACTCTGATTTGCTTCCCTCCCCTCCTTACCCCAGCTTTCTCCCTCACTCCCTATTCTAAACAATTAAGAGTGAACTCAAGAGCATCCAAGGACCTGTGTAGTTGCCTTGAAATACCCCAAATATTTGTGTGTCTTAGGAATGACAAATCCCTGGTAATCATTACAATAATGATGTGGTATTATTATGAAGTATTTCATTAGTACTTATTCAATGGTGTTTCTAACATTGTATGGTTAAGTATCACCTCAAGAGTGAAGAATAATAATTGATGATAATGATCACGGGAAGCTGATATTTTAACTTTTGGTTCAAAAAGCCTTTACTTTGGAGAACCAGAGACCAATGATGAAATGTGATGTTCCAATTACAGGGCTGAAACCACAGGTATCTGAAATGCAGTGGAAAAAAACAATGAGAATGTGAGGGCCCTAGGTAACATGAAGCGATTGGTCTCGCTGTTGGGCATAATGAACTCCTACCTGCACTCAGTGCCACATGATGCAGAGTTTATGGTGCCTCTGAGACTGTTCGTAAAGAGAGGCGTTGTGTGGGACTGATAACAGCTCTGCTCAAGGACAGCAATGATGTCTGCCACATCCTTGGAGTTGGGAATTACCTGGCCTCGTTACCTCCTCCCCACTCCTCCCCACCCCAGGAATCTGGATGCTCAAGGCTTGACTATTTCCTCCATTCTCCCCTCACTCAAGCCCCGTGTTCAGAAGCAATCAGATAAACTCATTCATTCTGAAAAGTTTAATGTGTGACTCTTCCAAGGACAGTTTGTTTTAACAGAAAATCAAGTTTCAGAACAAATGTCCAACAGGTCCCAAATTTAACTCACTATACTCAAGAGTGTGAAAATCAAAAAAGTAAATTTTTGTTTCCCATGAAAGATCTAATCTTAACTCTCTGGCCTTCCCACACTGGGTGCTATGAAGAAAAACTCCTAAAATTGCTATTTAAAGCCATCTCAGTCTTTTCTATCTTAAGATAGTCTTAATTGGAGCAATCATCTAATCACTTACAATTTACCTCTTTTAGTTTTCTGTTGTTGCAAAAAAAAAACAAAAACAAAAACAAAAAAGCACACATACTTAGTGGCTTGAAACAACATGAATTTATTATCTTATCCTTCTATAGTTCAGAAGTCCAAAATGGGTCTCTTTAGGCTAAAATCAGATGTCAGCAGGGCTATGTCTCTTTCTGGAGGCTCTAGGGGATAATCCATTTCTGTGCACTGTCCAGATTCCAGAGGCCCCTCATATTCCTTGGTTTATGGTCCTTTCCTGCATCTTCAAAACCAGCAACAGTGTGTAGAGTTCTCACATCTCTCCTCTCTGAACGGACTCTTCCACATTTAAGGACTCTTGTGATTATACTGAGTCTACCCGGACAATCCAGGTTAGTCTCCTTATTTTAAAGTCAGCTGATTAGCAATCTTAACTCCATCAATTACCTTTTTTTTTTTTTTTTTTTTTTGAGACAGGGTCTCTTTGTATCACCCAGGCTGGAGTACAGTGGTACCTGGCTAATTTTTTGTAGAGACAGGGTTTCACCATGTTGCCCAGGCTGATCCTAAACTCCTGGGCTTAAGAGATCCTCCCACTTCAGCCTCCCACAGTGGGATTACAGGCAAGAGTCACTGTGCTTGGCTTTCCATCAGCAATTTTAATTGCCCTTTATCCCGTATGGTAATTTTTCACAGGTTATAGGTATTAGGATGTGGACATATTTGGAGGTCATGACTCTGCCTACCACACCAGCTTTTCTAACTTCTTTCTTCCCCTCCTGCTGCTCCTTCTCAAAATAGTGCATGGGTACATGAAGGTAGAGGAGAGAGGGCCTCAGACTCAACGGTTGTTTGTTCTCTGGATCCTTGCTGGTTTCTACTACTGCGATGGGCTTATTTCTGGTTGGGCTGGATCCCACTGATGAAATCTGTGACAGATGAATTTTTGTTTATTATAATTACTTTACGCTACATAACTAACCACCTCAAAACTTAGTGGGTTAAACGATCATTTTGACAATGAAAACAATTACATCTCATGATTTTGTGGATTGACTGGGCTCTGCTGGGCAAATTTTCTGTTCCACAAGATGGAGTGGATGTCACTCATATGGCTGTATTCAGCTGGGAGCTTGCCTGGGGCTAGAACATCCAAGCTGGACCCCTCCAGGGTCTTTTTCCTCACATCCTCTTACCATTCAGGAGTGTAACCTGTTTCTTCACATCACAGTAACTGGCTTCCAAGAGAACAAAAGTAAAATCTGCCAGGCTATGTCCTCAAACCAACATAACATCACTTCTGCCACAATCTTTTGGTCAAAACAAGGTGCAGTGTCAGCCAGATTCAAGGGGAAGGAAAACAGACTCCTTGTCTTCATACATCTAGGTAGAAGAGGAAATGGTAGCAGCTGTATTTGCGGGCAAACTGCCAGATAACCTGTTTCAATCTTAGCTTGGTCAGGCCTGAGGCACTGACTTTGTGACACCTGAGTGTCAGTCACTTCCCTAGCCTAGGTGGCGTGCCCTGCAGCCCTATGCCCAAGTCTCTTTCCTTCTCTCATGGCAAACTCAGGCCAGCCTCATTATCTACGTTCTGCAGCCCCAGAACTGGCAGGAACTCCTGGGCACTTTGGGTGTTCAGGCTGCTGAAGGAAGCTTAGGAATGCCAACTTAGTCTTCTCCAGTTGGAGACTGTGCTGTGCCACCATTTTTATTCTGCTCATGAGGCTTCTTGGTCCAGTGGAGCCACCAAGCGTGGTGGTCTCCTCCAGCAGTTACAGTGGGAGATACAGCTTGCCTGCTAATGAGCTACAGGAATCATGGATTTCCTGGTTAGAAGAGTGGAGTATAAACTCTCTCCGCTTTTGGATTTCTCCTCAACCCATCTCATTGCTCTTTCCTCCAGGATTTTGTCCCAGAAGGTCAGATCAGAACATCCATGCTAACTGCTTAATTTTCATAGTTTTCCGAGACAAAAGGACCTTTTTCCCCTGCCCCTTTCTACCTGATAGAGGCTTTTCTCAGGTTATAACTCCTTTTTAAAAGGTAGCATTTGTCTGGTCCATTAAGCTGCTGGGGATGATAATGGGAGACGAGGGGGATTACAAATAAAATAGTTTAATGTTTTCAAAATATACCATCCTCATAAAGAAACAAATCTCTAATTAGGACATTTAAATATCAGTCGTTCAGGCTGGTGGACTGAAGGCTCTGTCTCGGGTCTCACTGCACTAGGGCTGCAGCAGCCACTTCTCTTTGAAGATGGCTATTGCCAGTTAAGACCTTCCAGGAAGCCAAGGCATGAAAGGAAGCACAGAGCCCTGCCATGTGCCCCACCTTCATGTTCTGCTCACCACCAAGCACACCCATGCCCACCCGCACACTCTGGAAGTCCCTATCACCTGGGCCTTCCAGAAACCAGTCACCTCTCCTGCTCATGGTTCCTGGGTCTTCCCTCCCTTTCAGACAACAGAGGTCCCAGCTCTATTCATGCTGTCCAATAAGCTGGGATCAAGCATATGTTGTCAGGACCTGAAAGTAGAGATACAACTTACCTGTGAGTTACATAAGGGATACTTTCCCAATGATTCTACCCCTTTACCTTTGTTAGAGTGGTTGAAAAACACGTGATTTTAGATTTGCAGTGTATTCAACTATGGTTATACCCATTGTACAGTGATATGTATTTCTCATGACAATCCTGCTTCATTTGGAAATAATAAGTCAAAATGACTGATGTGAAATATCATTTGCCACAGCACATTTGTCATTCTAGGGAGTTCTAGACTTTATGACATTAAACACTAAGAAAAATCTGGGTGCAGTGGCTCACGCCTGTAATCCCAGCACTTTGGAAGGCTGAGGTGGATGAATCACCTGAGGTAAGGAGTTTGAGACCAGCCTGGCCAACACAGTGAAACCCTGTCTCTACTAAAAATACAAAAATTAACCAGGCGTGGTCGTGGGCACCTGTAATCACAGCTACTCGAGAGGCTGAGGCAGGAGAATCTCTTGAACTCGGAAGACGGAGGTTGCAGTGAGCCGAGATCGTGCCATTGCACTCCAGCCTGGGTGACAAGAGTGAAACTCCACTTCAAAAAAAAAAAAAAAAAAAAAAGAGCTGGAAAGAAAAGAAAAGAAAACACTAAAAAAAAAAAAAAAAAGAAGAAGAAGAATAAGACAAGTCCACAGAGCTTAGACCTAGAAAATACACTGATGTTATAAAATTTCTGGACTGTTAGAACTGACCCTACATGCTTTATACAAAACTTATACAGCCTTACTTCCAACAAGATGGTTTTGAGTTAGAAGGCTCAAGAATCATATTTTATGACACTTCAGTTCTCCTGGGGCCTGCAGACAAGTTGGGGATACCTAGATGTGTAGTGCATGCAGTTTTCACACCCAGGTGGGATAAGAGGACCAGAAGCTAGTAATAACTGGATCCACATCAAACTCAGAATGGAAACCTAGGAGAGAGCCAGAACCCAAGGTGAGAGTCCAGAGAATTTTGTCCACCAGCACATATCTGCTTTGAATTCTACTTAGCCAAGAAGAGGCAACATAACACTCTGGCAAGAATTCTGGACCAGGAGTCAGAGTACCTGGGTTTGTTCCAAGCCTTGGTTCTGACACTGACTACTCATGTGAGTATGGGTGACTCGATATCTTCCAAGCATCATTCTCCTTGGGAGAATGAGGGAGGTTGGACTGCGGGTACTTCATGGTTAAAGTCCTCCTCTAATAATATGCCCACAATAACTATACACTAGTGAGAAGGAATAGAAGAGATGAGGTCATACTAAATCCTGTTCACACTAGTTGAGATCTCTGAGGTGTTGAGATCTCTGAGGTGCCAAATGAGAAATAGTCACAAGAGTCCATTGAGATCCAAATATCTGCTTTCTTGCTGAAAAATGCTGAAAGGGAGAATAGGTCTATGGCTGAAATCAAGGCCTTTCTCCTTTGCCTGAAGTCGATTTCTTGAGACCCATAGAAAGAGCCACATTGGATCTGCCAAGCACACACTCAGGCAGCTGAATGGAGGTAGATATTCTGCTTCTCACTGTGTGACCCACCAGACCATATGGGATACCACATGGAAGCTGGAGCTAAGGGGCAGCTTGGCTTGTAGGCAGGCAGCCCTAAAGAGAAAGCCCAGAGGAGCTGAGCTATTTCAGTACTTTTCTATATCACCAATCAGATTAGTCTCTCCTTATCTTGTGGTGTCTTAGCCTGCTCAGGCTGCTATAACAAAATACCATTAAATTGGGTTGCTTATAAACAACGGAAATTCATTTCACACTGTTCTGGAGGCTGGGAAGTCCAAGATCAAGGCACTAGCAGACTCGGTGTTTGGTAAAGGCCCGTTTGCTGGTCTACAGATGGTGACTTCTGGCTGAGCCATCACATGGTGGAAGGGGTGAAAAAAAGAAGTCCCTTGAGCCTATTCTAATAAGAGCATTAATCTCATTCATGTGGGCTTTGCCCTCATGACCTAATCACCTTCCCAAAGGTCCCATCTCCTAATATCATTGCCTTAGGGTCAGGACTTTAACAGGGTTTAGAGTTTTAGACTCGTTTGGACCATAGCATTTGGGAAAAAATGAAGAAGGGGATTATAAGAAAGGGCATAGGTAAACTTTACAATAATTCTGGAAGGCAGAAATTCTCATTTTGGAAGCCAAAACTCTCCAATGTTGGAGGTAAGAAAAAATGGTTTTCCTGACAAGTGCTTCTTCCATTCTTGAATTCTAGGGATGTGTAAAGGAACAGAGTACATGACAAGCAGGAAGCATGGGATAGAAAATGGAAGTTGGGAAATGTGCTGTCAATACCAGCCCCAAACTAATTAAAGAGCAGTTTCTAGATTTCCCAGCCCTCCCCACGCTCATATACTTGGTGAGAAGTGGAAAGTTCATAAAAATTATTGAAAAAGTTTTGGCTGGGCATGGTGGCTCATGCCTGTAATCCCAGCACTTTTAGAGGCCGAGGCGGGCTGATCACTTGAGGTCAGAAGTTCGAGACCAGCCTGGCCAACATGGCAAGACCTGGTCTCTACTAAAGATGCAAAAATTAGCCAGGCGTGGTGGTGTGTGCCTGTAGTCCCAGCTACTCTGGAGTCTGAGGCAGGATAATCACTTGAACCCAGGAGGTGGAGGTTGCAGTGAGCTGAGATTGCACCACTGCACTCTGGCTTGGGCAACAGAGTGAGACTTCGTCTCAAAAAATAAATAAATAAATAAAATAAAAATAAACAATTAATAATTGGGCCGGGTGCGGTGGCTAGCGCCTGTAATCCCAGTACTTTGGGAGGCCGCAGCAGGCAGATCACGAGATCGGGAGATCGAGACCATCCTGGCTAACACAGTGAAACCCCATCTCTACTAAAAACACAAAAAAAATTAGCCTGGCGTCGTGGCGGACACCTGTAGTCCCAGCTACTCGGGAGGCTGAGGCAGGAGAATGGCTTGAACCCAGGAGGTGGAGCTTGCAGTGAGAGGAGATCCTACTACTGCACTCCAGGCTGGGCGACTGAGCAGGACTCTGTCTCAAAAAATAAATAAATAAATAGATAAATAAATAAATGAATAAATATTATTGGAAAAGTTTTGTTATACAGGGCCTTAGTTAAAAGCAACCAATATCCAAAGGATAATATCCCAAATGAGACAGATTGTGAAGAAGGGAGAAAATGAAAATGGTCAATATTTATTAGTATCTTCCCTGTGTTAGGAACTAAACTGGGTGCTTTACATACATGAATTAACGCTTGCAATGAGTTAACCCTTGCAGTGACATTAACCCTAATATAATGCTTGCAGTGAGTTCCTTATAGAGATAAATACTAAAGCTCAGAGAGGTTAAGAAAATTTCAAAGATCATGTAGTTACCATGAGACAGAAACAGGCCTAGAACTTAAGTCTTACACCAAAGTCAGTACTTTTTAAAAAATAATCCATGTTGCATCTAGAAATACTTTTATCCAATGTAAAAATCCCATATAGTACAGGGCTGGTATTTGGAGAGTGTTAGACTATGTTAGATAACTGATAGAAACATTTTGAAACTTAATAAAATCACCAAGAGAATATTATAGTACACAGGTCTGTCACTCAGTTCTATGACCCTTGAATTAGAGAGCAGGGTGCTGGATGCCTGTAACCTGGGATACAACTAAACTAGACCTGTTGGATGATGTACTAGACAAGGTGGTATGAAGGGCTGAAGAACCACTAATTGTGCTCTACACAGAAACCAATATGCTAGCCTTTCATGAATTAAAAATATTAGATGTGATAAGCTGGGATGACAGTACTTATGCCATGTGGGGAGGACAATGGTAAGAATAGAGGAAGATTAGGAGTTCAAGACGTAGGCTAGCTAAAGAGGGACCCTCTATGGAGGCTGATATAAAGCCTGAAATTGCTGAACAAAGAGGACAAAAGGCCAATCCAGTACTTGCTGAGTTGCTGAGTAGAGGGGCAAAATGATTAATGATAATATCTGGCCCTAGGCAAATGTGGACTAAAAGCAGAGGAGGTCACTGAATGCTGACAGATGTTTAAAAAAAAAAAAACACCATGAAGAAGTCACATCAACGTCTATTTCCTAATTTGAACAAAGTACTGTTCTACTCTCCATTTGCTGAACAATGCTTCTTTTCTGTCTTTGGAAATAATTGTTGTGTTGTAGTCTTAGCATACATTATAATGCCAAATGAATATGCCTAAATTAATACCTCACCAATCTGTATCGTCAGAAAGCGAGGAGTCACAAAGCATCGAGTTTTCCAGTGAACTGAAGCTTAGACAGTATAAGCACCAAACTTTTATAAGCTTTAGCCATTTTCATGGAAATCGTAATAAAATGAATTATATTCTTCTCAGCCTCATTAAACAGCGTATACTGAACATCATTTAACGTGTTCTTGATGGCTCTGAGTCCTTGCTGTGAACGTCAGCTATACTATTAGGTAGTGGTTCAAGATGCCCTCTGGGGTTGGTGAAATAGACAGGGCTTCTGTGTGTGTCCACTGCAATCTTTCCTGGACCCAGAGGTGGGAATGGGCTTCCCTGCTGGTACCATCTGATAGCTTCTCCTCTCAGCCCCAGGTCCACGTGTGTGCTGGTTTCTAGTCTTTCTGCTTTAACCAAAAGCACTCCTAATATATTATCTGTAGCTTTTATATGAAATAATAGCTGCTGTGGAAACCAAATCACCAAACTTTTTGTTTGTTTGTTTGTTTGTTTGTTTGTTTTGGTAGGACAGGGGCTGACTCTGTCACCCAGACTGGACTGCAGTAGTGCCATCATGGCTCACTGCAGTCTCAAACTCCTGGGCTCAAAAAATCCTCCTGCATCACCCTCCCGAGTAGCTGGGACTACAGGCACACACCATCATGCCCCGCTTATTTTTGTTGTTGTTGTAGAGATGGGGTCTCATTATGTTGTCCAGGCTAGTCTCAAACTCCTGGCCTCAGCAATCCTCCCACCTCAGCCTCCCAATGTGCTGGGATTGAGCCACCATGCCCAGCACCAAACATTAAAAAACTGTCACCATATTCATATAGAATTCTCTATCAGCAGGTTATAATATGAACACAGAGAAATGACCCTGTGCTTGTGCCATAAATAAATTACATAGACTTTTTGACAGGGAACTCCTTGATGTTGAAACTTTTTGACATTGGTACTTATCTACAATCACAGCTGCATTCTGAATACTTAATGATTTTTAGGGTCTGATTACAGGGTAGATAGGATATTATTGGTATTTGCAATTTTTGTTGTCCTTGTTTTCTAAGATGATGTCACCCAGCAGTCTTTTTCTTTTTTTTTTTTTTTTTTTTTTTGAGACGGAGTCTCGCTCTGTCACCCAGGCTGGAGTGCAGTGGTGCGATCTCGGCTCACTGCAAGTTCCCGCCTCCCAGGTTCTGGCCATTCTCCTGCCTCAGCCTCCCGAGTAGCTGGGACTACAGGCGCCCACCACCATGCCTGGCTAATTTTTTGTACTTTTAGTCGAGACGGGGTTTCACCGTGTTAGCCAGGATGGTCTCAATCTCCTGACCTTGTGATGTGCCGCCTCGGCCTCCCAAAGTGTTGGGATTACAGGCGTGAGCCACCACGCCCGGCCACCCAGCACTCTTGTCTCATATCATTACTTCAGAAGTGTGTCCAGAGAATAGGCACCAGAGAAAGAAATCTCATTGTATCACATCTTTTGTTGTGTAACAAACTACCCTAAAAGGTAGTGGCTTATGATAACAAACATTTATTGTTTGTTTCTCACCATTCTGTGGCTCGCTGGACAATTTTCCTAATCTGAGTAGGTTCAACTAGGGCTCAACTCACTCACATGTCTGGGGTCTTAGCTGGAAGAGCTGAGCCTTCTTCCCATGCTCCCCAGGCCATCTCTCTGTAGCAGACAAGCCTAAATTTGTTCACAAAGTGGACAAGAGAAGGTGAACACCATTATGCAAGCACTTTTTAAGCCTCTACTACGTCACGTTTGTTAATGTCCCAGCAGCCAAAGCAAAGTCATGTGACCAAATCTAAGTTCAAGGGAGAAATAGACTCCATATCTTGATGGGAGGGGCTACAAAGTCACAGTGCAAAGGAACATAAACACACGGAAGGATTTTGCACTCATTTTGCAATCTACCACATTCATATTCATAGTACTTATGTCATGGCTCAGCAAGGGCCCCACATGGGAACTCCTGGCTCCACCACTCATTTGAGACGCTGAACTAATGCTCTTTTTCCTACCACCATCAGAACTCTTGAAAGAGTTGTTTTTCTCATCCCCTCCACTTCCTTGCCCTAGATTCATTTCTTAATTCTTGCAAGCTGGTTTCGGCAGCAACTATTCTAGTAACTAGGTTAACTAGCAACTTCCCAATCATCGATTACATTTTCTCAGTCTTTATCTACCTTGAATGTTTTGTAGTTGTTAACACAACCTTTATGGAAATTCACTTCTTACAGTTTCTATTATAAGTAAATAAGAAAATACAAGTAATTTTATTCCAGTTCATTGACTGATTTTCTATTTTCTTTTCAGGGCTCTCTTCTTCCTTCCACGATTAAGTGTAGGGCTCTGTCCTCACCCTTTTCTTTCTTACGTGATCTCCATAAACTCATTCACTTTTACAGCTTCATTACAAACTTCGAGGTAAATGATCTCACAATCTGTATCCTCAGTTCCTAAATTTCTTCTCAAATTTTGGCTTCATTTTTGAAATGGCCCACTAACTGTTTCCACCCAAATGTTTTATGTATAGTTCCTCTGAAATCTATTTTGGCTGGAAACAAAGATAGTGCTGGTCACTGTATAATGCTCTTTCAGCCTGGTCATTTGATTCTACATTTTCCTACAGCTAAAAGAGGCTGGGGGTGGTGAAGGGAGGTAGTGACGGGTTAATTAACATTTGCTGAATGCCTACTGTGTGCAAGTCACTGTGGTCTCTCTTAGCTGACAGAGGACACCTTCTATATTACTTTGAAATAGTACATAAAAGGGCCAATCAGATGCTGATATGCAATCTACAAGGATAGCATTGCAGACAGCCACTGATATCCCAGTGACAATTGCAATAACACCAAAGGAAATGCGGCTGTAGACATCTCTGTTTGTTGTAATAAATAAGAGGTATCTGACAGCCTCAAATGACTTTCAAAGAGTTTCTGCTAAAGGTATCTTAGGGTTTGCAAAAAAGAAACATTCTTCCCTTAAGAAGAGTCTGGTTTCTGGGGAGAATAGATCACAAAATAAAATTGCAGTTCTCCTTTTCTCTCCCCGGTAAAAGAGCTTAGAGACTTCTAGGATCCAAACTAGGCTACTGATAACATTCTGTCTGTTCTATGAGTAGATTCTCTCAATGAAAGTCAAATTTCTGTTGATCATAAGATGGACATCCTTACATTTATTGCCTGTGCCAAATTCCTTGATTGAACTATACTGATAGACTATAGTGATTATAGTGATTATACTGACAGTAGCAGAGCTGTATATATTTGTAGCGGTACCTCCCACCATGGTGCCACTCTTCTGAGGGAACTCTGATAAGCATTATTAATCAAGTCATTAACCTTGATGTGGATCAGATTCTGAAGTTAATAAGAAAGAACACTGATGACCTGAGAATATGTTCTAAAACTATGATTTCCAGGATAATTTATTAAAGTGTAGCTGTGTCTTTCTTTAAAAATATAAAAGTGACCAGGTGCAGTGGCTCAAGCCTGTAATCCCAGCACTTTGGGAGGCCAAGGTGGGCAGATCACACGGTCAGGAGTTGGAGACCAGCCTGACTAACATGGTGAAACCCCATCTCTACTAAAAATACAAAAATTAGTCAGGTGTGGTGGTGCGCACCTATAACACTGAGAGGTGACAGCATGCTGGCAGCCCTCGCAGCCCTCACTCACTCTCCGCGCCTCCTCTGCCTGGGCTCCCACTTTGGCGGCACTTGAGGAGCCCTTCAGCCCACGGCTGCACTGTGGGAGCCCCTTTCTGGGCTGGCCGAGGCCGGAGCCGGCTCCCTCAGCTTGCAGGGAGGTGTGGAGGGAGAGGCGCAGGCGGGAACTGGGGCTGCGCGCAGTGCTTGTGGGCCAGCGTGAGTTCCGGGTGGGCATGGGCTTGGCGGGCCCCACATTCAGAGCTGCCAGCCCGCCCCGCTGCCCCCGGGCAGTGAGGGGCTTAGCACCTGGGCCAGCAGCTGCTGTGCTCAACCTCTTGCCAGGCCTTAGCTGCCTTCCCGCGGGGCAGGGCTCGGGACCTGCAGCCTGCCATGCCTGAGCCTCCCCCGCCACAGTGGGCTCCTGTGCAGCCCCAGCCTCGCTGACGAGCGCTGCCCCCTGCTCCATGGCGCCCAGTCCCATCAACCACCCGAGGGCTGAGGAGTGCCGGCGCATGGCGCGGGACTGGCAGGCAGCTCCACTTCTGGCCTCTGTGCGGGATCCACTGGGTGAAGCCAGCTGGACTCCTGAGTTTGGTGGGGACTTGGAGAACCTTTATGTCTAGCTAAGGTATTGTAAATACACCAATCGGCACTCTGTATCTAGCTCAACGTTTGTAAACACACCAATCAGCACCCTGTGTCTAGCTCAGGGTTTGTGAATGTACCAATCGACAGTCTGTATCTAGCTAATTTAGTGGGGACCTGGAGAACTTTTGTGTCTAGCTCAGGGATTATAAACACATCAATCAGCACCCTGTCAAAATGGACCAATCAGCTCTCTGTAAAACAGACCAATCGGCTCTCTGTAAAATGGACCAATCAGCAGAATGTGGGTGGGGCCAGATAAGAGAATAAAAGCAGGCTGCGTGAGCCAGCAGTGGCAACCAGCTCGGGTTCCCTCCCACAGTGTGGAAGCTTTGTTCTTTCGCCCTTTATAACAAATTTTGTTGCTGCTCACTGTTTGGGTCCACACTGCCTTTATGAGCTGTAACACTCACTGCGAAGGTCTGCAGCTTCACTCCTGAAGCCATCTAGACCACGAACCCACCAAGAGGAACGAGCAACTCTAGACGCGCTCCCTTAAGAGCTGTAACGCTCACTGCGAAGGTCTGCAGCTTCAGTCTTGAAGCTAGCGAGACCACAAACCCACCAGGAGGAAGAAACTCCGAACACATCCGAACATCAGAAGGAACAAACGCCGGACACGCGGCCTTTAAGAACTGTTAACACTCACCGTGAGGGTCCGCGGCTTCATTCGTGAAGTCAGTGAGACCTAAAACCCACCAATTCCGGACACAATACCAGCTACTCAGGAGGCTGAGGCAGGATTATTGCTTGCACCGGGGAGGCAGAGGTTGCAGTGAGCCAAGATCGTGTGGTTGCACTCCAGACTGAGTGACAGAGCGAGACTCCGTCTCAAAAAAAAAAAAAAAAAATATATATATATATATATATATGTGTAGTATGTATATATATATAAAATAAAACTATTCCTTTTTTCTGTTTTCTTTTTTTTTTCGAGACAGAGTCTCGCTCTGTCACCCAGGCTGGAGTGCAGTGGCGCGATCTTGTCTCACTGCAACCTCCGCCTCCTGGGTTCATGCCAGTCTCCTGCCTCAGCCTCCCGAGTAGCTGGGACTACAGGTGCCCGCTATCGTGCCCAGCTAATTTTTTGTTTATTTTTAGTAGAGACGGGGTTTCACCATGTTAGCCAGGATGGTCTCGATCTCCTGACCTTGTGATATGCCTGCCTGGGCCTCCCAAAGTGCTGGGGTTACAGGCGTGAGCCACCGCGCCTGGCCTATCTCTGTTTTATTTTCATATCAATAATGGACATAGAAGTTTCCCAATCCCAAAATGGAACATGGTGTGATAGAATGCAGGCTAGTAAGAATGAATGAAACACCACTCTAAGAAGAAGCAACCTACTACTAGGTTTCCATATGGCTTAAATTATATTAGTTAAACTCTTTTTGTCTTAAATGGGTTGGATAAGAATTTGTGAATGCTCCTGATTCTTTTTTTTTTCCTCCTTTTTGGTTTGTTTGTATTACTATAAATATTTCTTTTCTTTTCTTTTCTTTTTTTTTGAGACGGAGTTTTGCTCTTGTTGCCCACGCTGGAGTGCAGTAGCGCAATCTCGGCTCACTGCAAGCTCCGCCTCCTAGGTTCAAGTGATTCTCCAGCCTCAGCCTCCCGAGTAGCTGGGATTACAGGTGTCTGTCACCACGCCTGGCTAATTTTTTGTATTTTTAGTAGAGACCGGGTTTCACCATGTTGGCGAGGCTGGTCACCAACTCCTGACCTCAGGTGATCCACCCGCCTCAGCCTCCCAAAGTGCTGGGATTACAAGCGTGAGCCACCGTGCCCGGCCACCATAAATATTCTTGTAAAGCAATTGTGACTTTTCTCATTGACCATGTTGTCTGGGGATTCATTCTAGAAAACTGCTGTTTAAATATTGTGTATTGGGTATGAATTATCCTGTATTGTTCATGACTCTGACTACATTGTCTTTCTTATTGGCAATGACTGTAAGCACCATTGTTAGTGAATTTGGCTAACAGCATTTGAAGCAGATGAGATTTTAGCTCACGCCTTGATAGCTGCATTGGCTCAGTCTAAGCTAAAGCCTTATTTTCATTAAAGGGAGCAGACATGCTGAGGAAGAAGGTGCTATTTTTACATAGGGACTTTTTCTACTGAAACCACATGAGAACACTATGCTGTTAAAATGATCTCAAGCATGCTGAGTTAGCTGAAGAAACAATATGCATGTTGCCAAAATCAAAGCAGTACTATTCTGAGCCTCCTCTCTAAGGTCCTCTAGCTCTCCTTGGTGGTCATGATGAAGGGAGTAGGAGAGGAGCTGGTGAGAATGTGTAAATTACAGGTAAGTGAAGGTCACTTCCAGTTACCTAGAAGAGATTATTCAAATTCTTGGTTATTTGGTTATTGACATCAACCACTGAGATATAAGAAGTTTTATTAATTATATATTTGCATGTCACTGACATTTGTTAAGTAATTGCTTTTATTCTATATATATATATTTAAAGTAAAACCAGCATAAAACAGTATTAAGACTAACTTTAAAAATGTCAGAAACAGGCCACGTGCAGTTGCTCACACCTGTAATCCCAGTACTCTGGGAGGCCAAGTTAGGGGGATCACGCCCACCCAGGAATTTCAAGCCAGCATGGGCAACAGAACAAGACTTTGTCTATTTTAAAAATAAAATATATTTTATAAAAACAAACAAAAAACCAAAAAAAGTTAGAAACAGAAAATTTTGGCAGAAGCCCTCCAACTCCAGTTAAAACAAACAAACAAACAAACAAACAAAAACTATTAGTCTTTCTCTTTTTCTTTCTCTTTTAGAGACAGAGTCTCACTCTGTCACCCAGGCTGGAGTACAGTGGTGTGATCGTAGCTCACTGCAGCCTCGAACTCCTGGACTCAAATGATCCTCCTGCCTCAGCCTAGGACTACAGGCACACGCCAGCACATCCGGCTACGTTTTTTGATTATTCGTTTGTTTGTTTGTTTGTAGGAACAGGGCCCTGCTATGTTGCCCAGGCTGGTCTTGAACTCCTAGCCTCAAGCAGTCCTCCCTCCTTGGCCTCCCAAGGTGTTGGGATTACAGGCATAAACCACCATGCCCATCCTAAATGCTATTATTATCAGAATTTGTCATGATTGCAGACTGCCATGATTAAATATTATTATTATTTAATAATAAATTTAATATAATAAATAAATATTAAATATATGACAGGTACTATCTTAAGCATTTTACAAAATTATTTCATTAGTTCTCACAATAATATTGCAAAACAGTTCTTATCTTCATTTACAGAAAACAGTGCTTCCTTTGTGCTCCTGATAATAACTGTCATGCTATAAATTATACTCAGGTAGAAAGTAACCGAGATGGGATTCAAGCATAAGTACAAATATATGAGTATCTATCTCCAAAGCCCGTGTTCTTTCACCAGGTCATGCAGCATCTCTGAGGATGACACATACAGTTAATAAGGAAACTGCACATATAGATTCCTCTAACATAGAGCTTTTCATTCTTCACTCTCCTCCTCCCAATCCATCTTCAAAACAGTATAAATGAAAACAAGTTAAAACACACCAAAAACAGAAAAATAAAAGTCTTCTCTCTTGGTGATCTTCAATTGCTACGGGTAAATCACCATAAAATTTAGTTTCTCTTGTCCTCAAAAACTGGAAGATTCTCTCCTCACACAGCAGAATTTGAATCAACTCCTTGTTTATTTTACTCACAGACAGGTTTACTTAACAGAAAAAAGTAGTTGGAGAAGCTCTTGAACAGATAGAGATGTTAATATATAGGAGCTCACATCACCTCTCCTCTTCTATCTATAAGATGGAATTCCTTTTGTGGCCAAAGTTACTTCCCAGACTTGAGTGCAGATTCATGGATTTGGGCAAGGAGAGCACCATAGCTGCTTGATTGGGAAAGCCAGAGGTTACAGCCACACAGAAGTGAATGGCTCTGGAATATGACAAAAGACAGGAGGATGTTACCAAAGTTAGTATGCCCTGGATTTGAGGAAAAATTGGGGGAGTTTGGAGAAAGAGGAAATGAAAGATTTAGGGAGCAGCTGGAACATATATAGGAAATGGAGAGTTATGGAAAGAAAATTTTAAAACATTTACTGAGTGTTATTAATATTACCCCAACTCCTGAGTCATTTTCCTTAAAAATCTACAAAAAGGGTCAGGTGCTGTGGCTCACACCTGTAATCCCAACACTTTGGAAGGCTGAGGCAGGCGGATCACCTGAGGTCGGGAGTTCGAGACCAGCCTGACCAACATGGAGAAACCCCATCTCTACTAAAAATACAAAATTAGCTGCCCATGGTGACACATGCCTGTAATCCCAGCTACTCTGGAGGCTGAGGCAGGAGAATCACTTGAACCCGGGAGGTGGAGGTTGTGGTGAGCTAAGATCATGCCATTGCACTCCAGCCTGGGCAACAAGAGCAAAACTCCGTCTCAAAAAAAAAAAAAAAAAATTCTACAGAAAGGTGTTAACTAATGTTCAGCAACTTTTGGAGACTGGACTAGTGTTTTTTTGCTAAGATGGAGCCACAAGGTGGATGGACTTTACATGGGTTGTACTCTCAAGAATGATAGATTTTGAAAATGTTTGCAAAGACATCAGTGTTGGGGCTCAGAAAATGATACCCCAAAGTATGGTGCTTTGATATGCTGAGTACTTTGAACCAAAGAATCAGCTTCACGCCAGGCGCGGTGGCTCACGCCTGTAATCCCAGCACTTTGGGAGGCCCAGGCGGGCGGATCACAAGGTCAGGAGATCAAGACCATCCTGGCTAACATGGTGAAACCCCGTCTCTACTAAAAATACAAAAAAAAATTAGCCAGGCGTGGTGGCAGGTGCCTGTAGTTCAGCTACTCAGGAGGCTGAGGCAGGAGAATGGCGTGAACCCAGGAGGTGGAGGTTTCAGTGAGCCGAGACCGCACTACTGCACTCCAGCCTGGGCGACAGAGCAAGACTCCGTCTCAAAAAAAAAAAAAGAAAAAATCAGCTTCAGAACCAAGGTCTCTTTGATCTTCCCTCATCTCCCTGTCTCTCCATCTCTGTATCTCCTGAAATGCAGGGAGGGAAGTTCTTCCAGAAGGAACATAATTGTGTGGATCCCTCTCCCTGAAATCCACATTAACCAGAGATTAACCAGCAGGAAAAGAAACTAAAAGTCTCCAAACCGAGATGGACTTTTTACCTATTCTTCTGAAGGTTGCTATCCTAGAGACTTTATCTGCATCACAAAACAACCGTTTTTCACAGTGTGGTTCTTCCCCTTACCCTTCCATTGCTTGAGTCACCCCTTACCCTTCCATTGCTTGAGTCACCACCTCCCTTCCAAAAGCCCCAGCCCCTATTTCTTTCTGTAGTTCAAATGCAGATTTAAGTTTCAACCAGGCTGGGTGCAGTGGCTCACGTCTGTAATTCCAGCACTTTGGGAGGCCGAGGAGGGTGGATCGCCTGAGGTCAGGTGTTCAAGACCAGCCTGGCCAACATAGTGAAACCCCATCTCTACTAAAAATACAAAAATTAGCTGTGTGTGGTAGCCTGCACCTGTAATCCCAGCTACTCAGGAGGCTGAGGCAGGAGTATTGCTTGAACCTGGGAGATGAAGGTTGCAGTGAGCTGAGATCATGCCACTGCACCCCAGCCTGGGTGACAGAGCAAGACTCCATCTCAAGAAGAAAAAAAGTTTCAACCATCTGGCCCTTCTTTGAGTGTTTTACTCTGTGGGACCCCCTTGTATATGCATGTATTAATTTGTATGCCTTTTTTCCTGTTAATCTGTCTACTGTCAAATTTATTGCATAGACTCAAATTATCAAATGTCAGAGGGTGAAAGGAAAGGTCCCTTTTCCCCTATATTGGAAAAAAAAAAAAAGAAAAGTGATAGATATAATGTTGGAGCCTGGAGTGAGATTTAGGGAATTCTGGCCTTTTAGCAAAGAGGGAAGCCCCGCGGCATTTGGCAAGCTCTGCACCTGTGCAGAAAGGAGTGGATTCCCCTACCAGATGAGTAAACACTTGCCCCAGCAAATCCTCGTGACAGTGGGCATGGTGGAAGGTGGGGGAAAGCCTTCTGCTTTCTAGGAGGACCTTCTCTCTGGGCCTTCCTTTGTGGCAAGAGAAAGAAAATAACTGTTATCAACATTTCTCTAGGACATACCAATCTGTGATAAAAATAAAGTCATGATAACATTGACAAAACAATATTTCACTGGCCCATTCTTCACCACTGTGCAGAAAACCCACCCCCTCTCAAATTCTCATTTGGTTTAGCTAGATGTCTTTATTTATTTAATTTCTTTTATTTATTTTTTTTGAGACGGAGTATCGCTGTGTCTCTCAGGCTGGAGTGTAGTGGTGTCATCTCGGCTCACTGCAACCTCTGCCTCCCGGATTCAAGTGATTCTTCTGCCTCAGACTCCCAAGTAGCTGGGACTACAGGCACTTTCCACTATGCCCAGCTAATTTTTGTATTTTTAGTAGAGACGAGGTTTCACCATGTTGGTCAAGCTGGTCTTGAATTCCTGACCTTGTGATCCACCCGCCTCAGCCTCCCAAAGTGCTGGGATTACAGGGGTGAGCCACCATACCAGGCCTAGATGTCTTTAAAGTGTTGTTTTCTCAGGCTGGGTGTGGTGGCTCACGCCTGTAATCCCAGCACTTTGGGAAGCCGAGGCGTGTGGATCACTTGAGGTCAGGAGTTCGAGACCAGCCTACCCAACATGGTGAAACCCTGTCTCTACTAAAAATACAAAAATTAGCTGGGTGTGGTGCTGGGTGACTGTAATCCCAGCTACTTGGGAGGCTGAGGTAGGAGAATTGCTTGAACCTGGGAGGTGAAGGCTGCAGTGAGCCGAGATTGCACCTTTGCACTCCAGCCTGGAGCGAAACTCTGTCTCGAAAAGATAAAATAAATAAATAAATGAATAAATAAAGTATTGTTTTCTCTAAGGTCTTGTAGAATCCCTTTTAGCCTCCACTGCCACCACCATTCTACTACTGTCCAACTCTGGGTCCCTGTGGTGGGGTTTATTGCTAAAGTCATCTAATGTGTAAATGGTTTTATGAAAACTGATCTTCTTTACACACTCATGCTTAACAGGTATTTAAAACAGATTTCTAAATCTATCTTCATTCATAGTTAATCAAAGAACATTTTTGATTGATTTTAATTTCATATGAAGTAACAGATATAGTTAGGGAAAGTCTTAAAAATAAGGATGAGTTTAGCAGAGATTTATAAAAAAATGTCATTTCACAGTAAATGCCAGAAATTGCAATAAATTCTATGTCTTAGTTTCTCTGGGATTGATTCTAATGGCTTTCAAGCATCTCCACAGTCACATATTTCCCACTAAAAGATCTCCAGAAAATTTGGCCAGGCACGGTGGCTAATGCCTATAATCCCAGCACTCTGGGAGGCAAAGGTGGGCAGATCATGAGGTCAAAAGATCAAGACCATCCTGGCTAACATGGTGAAACCCCATCTCTACTAAAAATACAAAAATTAGCTGGGCATGGTGGCACATGCCTGTAGTCCCAGCTACTTGGGAGGCTGAGGTAGGAGAATTGCTTGAACCTGGGAGGCGGAGGTTGCAGTGAGCCGAGATCGTGCCATTGCACTCCACCCTGGGCAACAGAGCGAGACTTTGTCTCAAAATAAAACAAAACAAAACAGAAAATTCATCATAGATTTATTTCATATTTGGTGAAAAAAAATTTTTTTTTTTTGAGACAGGGTCTTGCTCCATCTCCCAGGCTAACGTGCAGTGGCGTGATCTCAGCTCACTGCAACCACTACAACCTCCCCTTGGCTCAAGCAATCCTCTTGCCTCAACCTCCTAAGTAGCTGGGACTACATGCGAACACCACCATGCCTGCTTAATTTTTGTATTTTTTTGTAGATACGACGTTTCACAATGTTGTCCAGGCTGGTCTTGAACTCCTGGGCTCAAGTGATCCACCCGCCTCAGCCTCCCAAAGTGCTAGGATTACAGGCATGAGCCACCATGCCTGGCGTGAAAAATTTTAAAGTTTTTCTTCTTGGCAAATATTCAAGAAAATGGCTGAATTATCACAAATATTGGCATCCTCTGATCCACTGCTTAGAGTGAGCATCCAGATCTTGGTGAAAATGACGGGGCTTCCAGCATTCCCCTTTTCATTTCTCTGGCAACAGAAAAACAACATTTTTGGTCATTTTGAAAGTTTATATCTACCTAATAGTTTGAACTTTCATCTGTTGGTTATAGTCTAATAATATGTAAAAATTTTCTAGTAACTAATGAGTAAATTTTAATAAAACCACAATTTCAGTAAAAGGTATTTAGCTAACTGCTAAATTGTGTCACTGACATCATATTTTATTTTCTCGATTTATTTTTTATTTTTTTTTAATTAATTAATTTTTTTTTTGAGATAGAGTTTTGCTCTTGTTGCCCAGGCTGGAGTGCAATGTCACGATCTTGGCTCACTGCAGCCTCTACCACTGGGTTCAAGTGATTCTCCTGCCTCAGCCTCCTGAGTAGCTGAGATTACAAACATGTGGCAACACGCCCGGCTAATTTTGTATTTTTTTTTTTTTTAGTAGAGTCGGGGTTTCTCCATGTTGGTCAGGCTGGTCTCGAACTCCGGACCTCAGGTGATCCGCCTGCCTTGGCCTCTCAGAGTGCTGGGATTATAGGTGTATAATAGTTTTAAAACTAAAAAACTATTTTTAGTTTTAAAGCAATGAACAATTGAAAAAGAATAAATTTTTAAAGTATTCAAATTCAGTAAAATATTTCACATATAAACCAAAATTTGCAGTTAACAAAAATACTGCACAAATAAAAACAAAGTGGTTGCATCAAATGGCAGAATTGAAGTAACTTAAGTCCTATTTCTTTATCTTTAAAATTGCTGTGCTATCATTATTTATTACTCATCACAATTTTAAATGCAGAAATATGAAGGACCACAGGCATCAGAGGTCTTACTATTAAAACAGACTTGTGACACTGAGCCCATGTGTGTTGAAGGCTAACTGGATAAATGGGAGTTCTTCAAATTCATTTCTAGTAGAATACAACGTTTATGAAAGGAAATGTAATAAAAATGTGCTAATTTGAAGCTTATTTATATATTAAAACTCAACAGAAACTGCAGCAATTGTTTAGATTTTAGACCAACAAAAGATTTTTTTCAGGGAGGACACTTTTATCAGTGACACTGTTTAGAATTGCAGAGAATGGTGATAATGAAAAGCAGACCAACTCTTCGTTGGCGTTATTATAGTTTTTAATTTCTCTTGACAAGGTTCCCCCTTATTGCCCATGCTGGGGGGTGGACTGCTCCCTGGTTGGCCCTTGATAAGCCACTGGTAAGCTGCATCCTTCAGCGTGTTTGCCTGAAGGATTTCTGCAACAAGGAAATGGGAGATAATTTTGAAATTAAAAGTTATAATAAATATTTAAGTGTATGTAAAATCATTTTTTTAAAGGTGGAGGCTAAGAGAGTAATTTAGTGATAAAAAATCAAAAGAGAATATTATTTTCTCCATTTTTAACATTTTAATTATGAGCCAAATTTTTGTGAAGTCTTTAAATATGTATTATAAGCACCCTGTGGAAGACAAATGCTCCCTTTGAGTGTCTAAGCAGCATTCTCCAGTGTAAAATTGAATGGGTTGGTGTAGAATTATCTTTAAGGCCCTTTCAGATCTAACAATCTGTGATATCTATTATGTTTCTTGTGAATGAAAGAACAAACTGTCTCCCCGCCCTTGCACCCCACAGTTTTCCTCTCTTTCCCGACCTCAGGGGTTTGCCTGGAGAGGAGATTAAACCCTCACATCTTTCTGTATCCCTGTAATCTCTGCAATGGAAAGATGCAGGGGCCTGGACAAAGTAGCAAAGGAAACAGAAAACAAACTTTAAATACTAATGTATTTTCCGGGTCTTTGTGAGCCTAAGGGAGTCCATGGAGAGGAGGATGGCTCTGGAATGGACCCCATTTCTTATGCAGTGGAAGATCTCAGGGACGGTCTGAGGACAAAGGGAACTGACATCGTTCTGCATAAAAATGACAATTGAGAGCTATCTCCTTTGTGAGAAGAAGCAGCTCTGAAACGATTTTGCACATGGAAAAACAAATTTTGACTCTACTATTTCTGAAAATTAGTTTTTGTCCTTGGAAAATGTGTGTGTGTATGTGTGTGTGCGTGCATCTGTTATTGTGCTATGCGAAAGACACACACTGGAGGATACCCTGAAGGGATGTGAAAGTGTGTCTTCACCTCACACTGGCAAGGAAAACTTGAGGTGGTTCAAACTCAGGGTGGCAAAGCCTACCTGCAGCTCTCCGACTGCAGGTGTCATGATGCTGCTCTTGACATAGTAACTTACACTTTAGAAAATGTCCTGCGGGAGATTGCTGGGTCCTACTGATTGTGCGGATGCCAGGAAGACAGAGGTGACTCCCAGGTTAAGATGAGAACCTAGTGTAGTTTTCTTTTCTTTCTCTTCCTCTTTTTTAATCTTCCTTCTCCTAATTTTAAAAAATTATGACATACACAAAACAAAACAGAATAGATCAATGAACCTCTGAGTTCTCATCACCACTTCACAAACTTTGGACAAACTTACATCCCCCCACCAACCCATCCCCTGCCCCCACATAATTTTAAGGAAAATTCTAGGCATCATATGATTTCATTTTTGACTAAAAAATGACTTTTACATGACCACAACATTCTTACCTCACCTAAAAAAAATTAATAGTAATTCCTCAACACCATTGTAGGAGACAAGATATGCCACTCCAAAATATGTCTTTTTGTCATAAGGATTATTTTGAGAAATAGCAGGCACAAGTGAAACTCTAAAAAGAAAGTAGAAATTACCATTTTCTTAGGAAAAATTTACATTTATAAAGCAAATCTCCATTTGTAAGGGTGTCTCCTCGGTATCAGGAAGAGGAGGATGACAAAATTACAGAAAAACTCTTGTCAATGGGAAAGTCACTGACTTAAATCTTCGTAATAAACCTTACCCTTGTTTTTCATGCTTTTCTCAGTTACCTCCCCATAACTGGTCCCAAGAGACTTCTTTCTTTGTTCAGCAGAGGATAATAGCTAAGTCTGAATTCAGAGACACTTAAATTTTTTTTGGAGAGACAGGAAGGTATACATATTGCTAAACTGATGTTTGTTTTTCCTTTGTTAATCTCTTTTGTTACAGGGGTGCATTCCAATTAAGAACTCAGAAGGGTAGAAAGTTACTTTTCCTCCTCTACATCATCAAGTATCTTGTCAATGATTGCATTTTCAATTAGCTTATAACTGTCTTTTTTTCTTAGACAGGATCTCACTCTGTTGCCAGATTGGGGTGCATTTGCGCCATCTCAGCTCCCTCCAGCCTCAAACTCATGGGCTTAAATGATCCTCCTGCCTCAGCCTCCCAGCAGTTGGGACTACAGGCATGCACCACCATGCCCGGCTAATTTTTAAATTTTTATTTTGTAGAGACAGGGGTCTTCCTACTTTGATGAGGCTAGTTTTGAACTCCTAGCCTCGAACTATCCTTCTGCCTTGGCCTCCCAAAATGCTGGGATTACAGAGAGGGGGCTACTGTGCCTGGCCTCTTTTTTTTTTTTTTTTTTTTTTTTTTTAACACATTTTGTTGTTGTTTGAATCAGGATCCAAATAAGGGTCGTACAATGTGAGTGACTGATCTTTCTTATGTCTCTTTTAATTTATAGGTTCCCTTTCCGTCTCTTCTCCCCCATTGTGGTGAGTTTTCTTAAAGGAGGCTTGCACTGAGGAAGTATACATAAAAACAGCACTATCTAATAATTATAAATGTAGTAATAACTACTTGATACAACATAAACTTTTTAATCAGCGCTAATATGAAGTAATTTACACATGTTAACTCTTTCATCCTCACAACAACTCTGTGAGTTAGATTCTATTGTTTCCCAATTTTGAAGTTGAGGAACTGGGGATGTTACTGATGGCAAATCCTTATGGGTCTACAGCAACCTCAGTTCTTGCCTCCTCTGAAGAAAGAATTCAACTGAGGGGCATAGGCCAGAAGAAGAGACCAAGGCAAGTTTTAGAGTGGGAGTGCAAGTTCATTAAAAAGCTTTAGGCTGGGCACGGTGGTTCACCTGTAATCCCAGCACTTTGAGAGGCCAAGGTGGGTGGATCACCTGAGGTCGGGAGTTTGAGACCAGCCTGACCAACATGGAGAAACCTCGTCTCTACTAAAAATACAAAAATTAGCTGGGCGTGTTGGCTTGAACCCGGGAGGCAGAGGTTGCAGTGAGCTGAGATCATGCCATCGCACTCCAGCCTGGGCAACAAGAGCAAAACTTCGTCTAAGAGAAAAAAAAAAGCTTTAGAGCAGGAGTGGAAAGAAAGGAAAGTACCCTTGGAAGAGGGTCAAACAGGCGACCTGAGAAATCAAGTTCATGGTTTGACCTTTTGACTTGGGGTTTTATACGTTGGCATACTTCGAGATCTTGTGTTTCTCTCCCCTGATTCTTCCCTTGGGGTGGGCTGTCCGCATGTGCAGTGGCTTGCTAGTACTTAGGAGGGGAGCATGCACAGTGTGTTTACTGGAGTTGTATGCATGCTCACCTGAGGCTTTCTTCCCTTACCAGCCAAATGTCCCTAGGAGGTCATATACCAGTTAAACTCTACCATTTTGCCTCTTAGTGTACATAGGTGAGCCCACTCACCCAATTCCTGAGATCTTATTGTCACAGTCTTGTTGTTCAAGGTATCCCCGAAGTTCTTTGTCCCACAACCAAGAAAGTTAAGGAGTGTGGACACGAAGGGTGAGGTTAGAGCGAGAGTTTAATGAGTGAAAGAAGAAAACTCTACCACGGAGAGGGAGCCCAAAAGAGGAATTCCATTTCACAGCTGAACACAAAGTCTTTTATAAGAAACCAAAGAGGGCTGGGCATCTCATTTGCATAAGACATGAATTTCTGGTAGCTCCACCCCATCCTCCTAGTGGGCATGTGGGCCCTTAACTTGAGTTACTCCATATTGCTTTGTTCCCCTTACTGTGCATGTGTCAGGGGATGGAATTTTCCATTGAAAGCATGTCTGGGCAAGTCTCCTGTGTAGCCTTTCTTATCTACGTGGCTGTGGACATGTCTTAGGCAAGCTCCCCTGTGCAAGTTCCCTTATCTGTGCCCACAGCTTGATTTTTCATGCTGTTCTTTTGTTTGAAAGAATTTTGCTGAGGACTCACCCTAACTGCCTGCCTGACCAGTTTCTTCCTTCCTCCTCTCTCATTATCGGGAAGCTATTGATCACCAGTTTCAGGTTTTTCCTAACTATTGGGAGACTGCCTTTCCCTGGCACCGGCTGTGACCAATTACTCACTGCAAGCTCCATCTCCTGGGTTCCAGCAATTCTGCCTCAGCCTCCCGAGTAGCTGGGATTACAGGTGCCCACCACCACACCTGGCTGATTTTTGTATTTTTAGTAGAGATGAGGTTTCACCATATTGGCCTGGCTGGTCTTGAACTCCTGACCTCAAAGAGTTACACATATTAACTCTTTCATCCTCACAACAGATCTGTGAGTTAGATTCTACTGTTTCCCAATTTTGAAGTTGAGGAACTGGGGTTGTTACTGACCTCAAGTGATCCATCCACCTTGGCCTCCCAAAGTGCAGGGATTACAGGCCACCGTGCCCAGCCACAATTATTATTTTAGAGAGACAGTTAACAACTGCCTGGCCATCACCTGATGGTTGCCTGACATTCCTGGTTGGGGGTTGTGGGGCCCTCTCATACCCTGTTCATGCCTGCCTAGCTACCTACTGTAACAGGTGCACAGAGAAGTTCAGTAACTTGCCATATGACACATAGTTTCTAAGTGGTGTGTCATGATTTGAATCCAGCTCTTAGTCACACACTGCTTCTTAACAGCTAATGTTTATCTAGCACTTACTAGTGCCAGGCACTATTCTGTGTTTTATTTGAGTTAACTCACTTAAACTTCACGACATTCCTGTGAAGTCAATAGGATCATGGTCCCCATTTTGTAGATGGAAGAGTCAATACACAGAATTGAAGCCTCCTCTCTACCCCCTGAGATTACAGTACAACTAACAAATAGTGGAGCCGAGATTTAAAATCCACATGGTTTCCTGCCACAACCTGGGCTCTTAACGTACTTTGCTTTCTTTGAGAGTAGCACATTCTCAAAGAGCTGGAAAACTAGGTTAGGATCTGGAGAATGTCTGAAGAGACTCAATATGAAGTTTAATTTTGGAGCTTTTCCTAGGATTATGGGGACAGTCATCTTTAGCAAACAGCTTACAAACTTTCCCTCCTACATTGCAGTTTTTTTCAGTTGAGTCTGACCAACATGGTCTGGAGCCTGGACTCCTTAGTGAGTCCCCACTGAGACTGAAGAGAAGTTAGTAACACCATGTGGACAGAACTATATAGATTTTGGGTCAGTTAGGATGTACTGGACAGGTGTGGTGGCTCATGCCTGAAATCCCAGCACTTTAGGAGGCCAAGGCAGGAGGATCCCTTGAGCCTAAGAGTTGGAGACCAGCCTGTGCAACACAGGGAAACACCGTCTCTTTAAAAATAAAATAAAATAAAATAAAAATGCCGGGCGCAGTGGCTCACGCCTGTAATTGCAGCACTTTGGGAGGCTGAGGTGGGTGGATCACCTGAGGTTGGGAGTTTGAGACCAGCCTGACCAACATGGAGAAACCCCATTTCTACTAAAAATACCAAAAATTAGCCAGGCGTGGTGGCGCATGCCTATAATCCCAGCTACTAGGGAAGGCTGAGGCAGGAGAATCGCTCAAACCTGGGAGGCAGAGGTTGCGGTGAGCTGAAATCGCACCATTGCGCTCCAGCCTGGGCAACAAGAGTGAAACTCCGTCTCAAAAAAAAAAGAAAAGGAAAAAAAGAAAAAAAAGAATGTAATAAGAAGGGTCTGTGGAAACACAGCTCCAAGACTCGGGAGACTCATCTTTGTCCCAAAACTACAGAAGGAGGCCCTTACAGGGAAATGGCAGAGGCTGACATTTATATTACACTTTTTGTGCCCTCTTAGTTCACCTTTGGACCTCATTTCTTGCTTCTGCAGTGTACAAGAGGAAAAATAATTTTTTCACTACCCTCTAAGGTTATTAACTAGGACTCCCTGTAACAAAAGACAGATTAACAAAAGAAAAACAAACAAAGTTTAATAACATGTATGCCTCCTATATATATGGGAGATACTGAGGGAACTCTCAAAGATCAAATCTCCAAGAATAAATCTCTAGAGTAGATCTCAAAGGAGCAGTTGAAACTTTAGGCTTAAATATTAACATTTATTGAAACAAAGAAAGGATGTAGGGAAAAGGCCGGTTATGGTTAGGGTGAGATGGTCAGGAAAAGTATGATAAACAAGGGTAAGGTATGTTAAGCAGATTTAAGTCAGTGCCTTCTCCATCTAGGAGAGCCTCTAATGATTTAGTCATCCTTCTCCTCCTGATATAGATTGGGAGACACCCTTATGAATGGAGATTTCCTTTGTAAATATAAATTTGTCTTACAAAAGGGTAACTTCTACTCTTGTTTTGAGAGCTTCTCCTATGTCTGTGGTTTCTCAAAATAACCAGCTGAAAATAATCCTTGTGCCAAAAAGGCATATTTAGGGGTGGCATATTCTGGTCTCCTACAGTTATATATTGAATTGGCATGCTCTGAACCCCTTCAGCAGACATTTCACCATTCAGAGCCAAACTTTGGAAACCATGCTGTCATTCTGAACCTTATTCTCTTCTTAAGTCCGTACTAAACATGAGTTCAAGACATTTAGAAATGACTTAACTCTCTTCAGCCCTGGAAAACCAGTTAGTGCTCAGCTGCAAGGCTGTCTACGAGAGATAACACTGCTTCAAACAAGACCAACTCAAAACATCTCTTTTTCTTGGTGTGAAAGGGAGGAACTGTCAAGTCTATAATTTTATTGCTATCCCATCATTGCATTTTACATTCTTTCATTGTTTTTCTTCATTTGTCTCTTGCAGTTTGAGTACTTGTAAGGATTTTTATGGGCAAGCAATGGCTAGACTCATGTCCTTAGAAACTCTGCATAGTCAGCCGTAGTCTAGGCAAACCTCAGTCATGGTTTTACATTACAGCAGATTAGCTGAGAGGGAGATCTGCCTACTTTGGAGGCTTGTTTGAGTCCTGGAACTTGGTCTCCTTTTACAGATGTTAGAAAAGTCTGGAGCCTCCCAGGCCAAAAAAAAATCATTAATGTTTTTGGAAGGAATTAATATATATTTACTTGAGCTTGGAATTGTTAATAGATAATTATTTCAAGGGCCCAGCAAGGTGGATCACTTTGGGAGGCTAAGGCGGGTGAACTGCTTGAGCCCAGGAGTTTGAGAACATCCTGGGCAACATGGCAAAACCCCACCTCTACTAAACATACAAAAAATTAGCTGGGCATGGTGGTGCATGCCTGTAGTTCCAGCTACTAAGGATGCTGAGGCGGGGGGATTGCTTGACCCTGGGAGGTCAAGGCTGCAGTGAGCCATGAGAGTGTCACTGCACTCCAGCCTGGGCAACAGAGAGAGACTCTGGCTCAAAAAAAAAAAAAAAAAAAAAAAAAAAGAAAAGAAAAGAAAAGAGAAAAAAAAAATAATTATTATTTTTAAATTAAAATCATGACTGTCCTACAAATATAAAATGTACAAGTGCCAAAGATTTTATGTAACTCCTTTATTAATGAGAAAACCAGTAAGATGTCACAAGTTTAAAGAAAAAATTGGAAGAACAGACACACACGTATATAGGCAATCACAAAGGATGAAATAAAATTGCTAATAGCTGCAAAACTTGTTAATAGGCCAATAAAATGTAATGGCTGGAATCATCTTTTCTACAAGGGAAAAATCAAATGGATCTCTATTGGACAAAATTCATTTGCATCTCTATGGATAAGGATCATTTGCATCACTATCCGTTTTCTACAACTTACGGAGTTGTAAAGTAGCCTAGTCAAAGGCAGTGAAAGGCACAGACCTTTATAAAATCAGAAAAGCCCCAAGGGTCTTCTAGACAAGGCCTATCTTTTCACTGAAAGGATATTCAGTAATCTTTTGACCATTCCAAAGTCTTTCACAATCTTTCTGAGAGATTTGTTCTTATTTTTCAAATACAGCAGCCAGGCAGGACGATTTTGTTAACAGATTCCTTAAAACAGTAATGATGTTTACAGAAGATCTCCATTAAGTGGTTACCACTTTCCTACCCTATCTCCTTTTTTTTTCCCCTAATATGTCTGTTTGTTTCAAATTATCATCACGGAAGATTTGGTACTGGAGTAATGCAGAAAATATTAATATTACATCCAACAAAGCTTGACTCAAGAAGAGCTAATAAATTGTTGCCATATCCCTGTTAACAGGTGGTTTACTCCTAATACTTTCAAACCACTTACTAAAAGTTGACTAACTACTCTGCCCCACTTGTTGCCTGCAAAGTAGTCTCAAAACCAAGCAAACCAGGGGTTTCTCAGCATACTTTATTTTTATTAAATAACATTGACATTTGCTATATCCAACTGTAAAATAAAGACATTAGCCAATAGATAGTTCATACGTCTGGAAAACTCACTTTCTTTCTCCCTATTTTAATGACAAAGAACATAATTGGGATATGAAACTTAACCCCTGAAGTTTTACATGTTAACCCTGATATCTCTTCCCAGACTCCAGGCTCTAGTCACAACATGTTTTTTCCATGTCTGGCTCCTGACATGCTTGGGGCAGTGTTCCATCTTCCTGGCTCAAAACTTCAACTGTGCCAGCCAATACCTGTTCCTTCCCATTCATCTGGATCTTCTTTTTCATATTAAGGGAGGAGACCACCCCTCATATTGTCTTATGCCCAATTTCTGCCTCCAAAGAAAGAAAAAGTAAAAACTAAAAGGAGGAAATGAAATCCACAAGCAGACAGCCCAGCGCCACACCCTGGGCCTGGTAGTTAAAGATCGACCCCTGACCTAATCGGTTATGTTATCTATAGATTACGGACATTGTGTAGAAAAGCACTGTGAAAATCCCTATCCTGTTTTATTCCGATCTAATTACCGGTGCATGCAGCCCCCAGTCACGTACCCCCTGCTTGCTCAATTGATCACAACCCTCTCACGCGCACCCCCTTAGAGTTGTGAGCCCTTAAAAGGGACAGGAATTGCTCATTCGGGGAGCTCAGCTCTTGAGACAGGAGTCTTGCTGATGCCCCTGGCCGAATAAACCCCTTCCTTCTTTAACTCGGTGTCTGAGGAGTTTTGTCTGTGGCTTGTCCTGCTGCAATATCAGGAGCCAGAAAATTTCAGGATCACAGTGTTAGAGCCTCCAGGAATTTCCCTTGGCTTAGGGGCAAGGGATCATGACCACCAGCAGTCAAATATTAAAATCCATGCCCAGTAGGAAAGATTATCCAAACAAAACTGAGCATGAGATATTGAAATTTCAAATAGCAGCATAGGAGCAGACTAATGCAAAGAATTCTCAAATTAAATTATGACAAGACACCATCTCTCACACAAAAGTGGAAAATACTAAAATAAAATAAAAATACCCAATGCCAATTAGGGTGTGATTGGGTATATTGGTAAAGCTGTTTGGCAAACGTAATGGCTCTATAATCAAGAGCCTTAGAATTTTATACCCCCTTGATCCAACAAGTCCTCTTCTGAGGAATAATTCAGAATACAGTAAGCCAATGATGAGCTATCTGAAAAGAAAACCAAGAAAAAATGCAATTTATAATAGCATCACAAAGAATAAAATGGGAAAAACTTAATCAAGGAGGGGAAGGATCTGTACACTGAAAACCATAAAATACTGATGAAACAAAGAAGAAACGAATGTAAAGATATCCCATGTTTGTGCATTATAAGAACTAATATTGTTTTGTTGTTGTTGTTGTTGTTGTTTTGAGACGGAGTTTTGCCCTTGTTGTCCAGGCTGGAGTGCAACAGCGCGATCTCGGCTCACCGCAACCTCCGCCTCCCGGGTTCAAGCGATTCTCCTGCCTCAGCCTCCTGAGTAGCTGGGATTACAGGCATGGGCCACCACCCCGGCTAATTTTTATGTTTTCTTAGTAGAGACAGGGGTTTCTCCATGTTGGTCAGGCTGATCTTGCACTCCCAACCTCAGGTGATCCACCTGCCTCAGCCTCCGGAAGTGCTGGGATTACAGGCGTGAGCCACCGCGCCCGGCATATTGTTAAAATGTCTGCACTACCTGAGAAATAAAAATGAATCCTAAGCTCTTCAACCAACTGAACTGCCCCCTCTTGGTCAAAGGGATTTCAGAGAGGCCGGGCATGGTGGCTCATGCCTGTAATCCCAGGACTTTGGGAGGCTGAGGCGGGCGGATCACAAGGTCGGGAGATCGAGACCATCCTGGCCAACATGGGGAAACCCTGTCTCTACTAAAAAAATACAAAAATTAGCCGGGCGTGGTGGTAGGAGCCTGCAATCCCAGCTACTGGGGAGGGTTAGGCAGGAGAATCACTTGTACCCAGGAGGCATAGGTTGCAGAGAGCCGAGATTGCGCCACTGCACTCCAGTGTGGTGACAGAGCAAGACTCCGTCTCAAAAATAAATCAATAAAAAGGTGACTTGAGAGAAACCATGGAAACTTAGTTTCCAGTCAGCTATACCTCCTTATACCCTCTTTCTCACTAACCACAATATAGGCTTTCTTCCCTAAGGGCTAATGAGAAATTAGCCAGTTCAAAGGACTCCCTGCACCACTGGTTTCAACCAACCACCTGATGCTGTCCCTCCCTTTTGTGTTTTCAACACAACAAATAACCAGTATTCCTTCCTGGTAAGAGGCCACCAGCCATGGAGTTGTTCTGGCCAGTCTACGGAGGATGTGCAGTGAAAGTTTTCGTGTCCTCTGCTTCATCTTTTGCCATCAAAGGCCCAAAAACTACTCTCAGATCAGGCTAACAAAACCATTTTTTGAACATGGGACCCACAAAGGTGCATAAAATTCAATTGTGCATGCACATGTTTCTCCTTTCATAAATATTCATAACTCTTCCTATAGCTTATTAAATGTGTATATTTGGCTATGCCATTCAGCATAAATTCCTGTCTTATTCTTCTAATTCTTGAAGTGCTAGCTTCTGATTTCTGGCTGGAGGCTACACTTCCCAGCCTGTCGGAATGGGCCACCCTACAGGCTGCAATTCTTTATGTAAGATAAAGCTCTCCTTTCCAAATTTCTGAACCTCATGATTCTTTAGTTGACATACCCAAAGTGATCTATAGTTTCAATGTAATAGCTATTGAAATTCCAATGACATTTTTCATAAAAGTAGAAAAAAGTCATTCTAAAATACTTAATGGATCAAAAAAAGACCCTGAATAGCCAAAGCAATCTTAAGAAAGAAGAACAAAAAGAAGCATCACTCTTTTTGATTTCAAATTATATTACAAAGCCTTAGTAATCAAAATGGCACGGTACTGGCATAAAAATGACACATAGACCAGTGGAACCAGAATAGAGAGCCCAGAAATAAACCCAAACATATACCATCAATTGCTTTTTGACAAAGATGACAAGAACACACAATGGAGAAAGCACAGTCTCTTCAATAAAGAGTGCTGAGGAAATTGGATATACATATGCAAAAGAATGAAATTGGCCGTTTTCTTACACCATACACAAAAATCAACCCAAAATGAATTACAAATGAAAATGTAAGACCAAAAGCTATAAAATTCCTAGAAGAAAACATGGAGGGAAGCTCCTCGACATTGATCTTGGCAATGATTTCATGGATATGACATGAAAAGCACAGGCAACAAAAGCAAAAATAAACAATTTGGACTATATCAAACTAAAAAGCATCTGCATAGCAAAGGAAACAGTCAACAAGATGAAAAGGCAACCTGTGGATTGGTAGAAAATATTTGCAAATCATATAGCTGATAAAGGCCTAATATCCAAAATATATAAGGCACTTACATAACTCAATAGCAAAAACAAACAAATCCAAAACACCAAATGACCTGATTAAAAAATGGGCAAAGGCCTTGAGTAGACATTTTTCCAAAGAAGACACATAAATAGTCAACAAGTATATGAAAAGGTATTCAACATCACTAGTTATCAGGGAAATGCATATCAAAACTGCAATGAGGTAGGATGGCTATTATTAAAAATACAAGAGATAACAAGTGTTGGTGAAGACACGGAGAAAAGGAAATGCTTATATATAGTTGGTGGGAATGCAAAATTGGTATACCCATTATGGAAAATAGTATGGAAGTGCCTCAAAAAATTAAAAATACAACTATCATATGATCCAGAAATCCCTCTTCTGGATATATACCTAAAGGGGTTGAGTCAGTACCTTAAAAATATATCTGTGCTCCCATGTTCACTGCAGCATTATTCACAAAAACCAAGATGTGGAAACAACCAAAGAGTGTCCATTGACAGATAAATGAATAAGGAAATTGTGATATATGTATATATATACACAATAGAATGTTATTCAGCCTTAAGAAAGAAGGAGCTCCTGTCATTTGCAACATGGACATTATGCTAAGTGAAATATGACATACACACAAAAAAATACTGCATGATCTCATTTATATATGGAATCTAAAAAAATGAATACATAGAAACAAAGAGTTGAATGGTGTTTACCAGGGGTGGAGGGGGAATGGAACATGAAAGAGGATGCTGGTAAAAGGGTACAAAGTTGTAGTTATGTAGGATGAATAACCTAAAGATCTAACATACTGGATGATGACTATAGTTGACAACACTGTATTGTATACTGAAAATTTCCTAAGAGTTGATTTCAGGTGTTATCACCACACCAATACTCAATGTGAGAAGTATGATATGTTAATTTGCTTGGCTATTGTATGAGTCTGTTTTCACACTGTTATAAGGAAATACCTGAGACTGGGTAATTTATAAAGGAAAGAGGTTTAATGGACTCTCAGTTCCACATGGCTGGGGAGGCCTCAGGAAACTTACGATCATGGCAGAAGGTGAAGGGGAAGCACGTGGCAGAAGGTGAAGGGGAAGCAAGCACCTTCTTTACAAGGCATCAGGAGAGAGAAAACAAAGGAGGAACTTCCAAACACATGAAACTTTTGGATCTGCTGGGCGCAGTGGCTTACGCCTATAATTCCAGCACTTTGGGAGGCTGAGGCGGGCAGATCACCTGAGGTCAGGAGTTCGAGATCAGTCTGACCAACAAGGAGAAACCCCATCTCTACTAAAAATACAAAATTAGCCAGGCATGGTGGCACATGCCTGTAGTCCCAGCTACTCAGGAGGCTGAGGCAGGAGAATCACTTGAACCTCGGAGGTGGAGGTTGTGGTGAGCTGAGATCGTGCCATTGCACTCCAGCCTGGGCAACAAGAGCAAAACTCCGTCTCAAAAACAAAAACAAACAAACAAACAAACAAAACCATCAGATCTTGTGAGAACTCACTATCATGAGAACAGCATGGGGGAAACTGCCCCCATGATCCAATCACCTCCTTACCTCGACATGTGGGGATTGCAATTCGAGATGAGATTTGGGTGGGGATACAAAGCCAAACCATATCAACTATAGTAATCATTTCACTATGTATATGTGTACCAAAACATTATTTTGTATACCTTAAATATATACAATAAAAATAAGCCAAAATATAGTGAAAAGTTTATGCATAAAAAGGTTTATTCCATCATTACTTATAAAAATTAAAAACAACCTGAATTCAAGAAAAAGATTGATAAGGAAATAGTAGTTTGAGCATATTTTGAAATAAGATGTGTATTTAATAGTATGAAAACCTTAAAAAACACAGGAAATTTTGTGAAGAGATTTTTTAAAATAGTTTTTTTTTTTTTTTTCGAGACAGTCTCCCTCTGTCGCCCAGGCTGGAGTGCAGTGGGCGCAATCTTGGCTCACTGCAAGCTCCGCCTCCCAGGTTCACGCCATTCTCCTGCCTCAGCCTCCCAAGTAGCTGGGACTACAGGCGCCCGCCACTATGCCCAGCTAATTTTTCGTATTTTTAGTAGAGACAGGGTTTCACCATGATAGCGAGGATGGTCTCGATCTCCTGACCTCATGATCCGCCCACCTTGGCCTCCCAAAGCGCTGGGATTACAGACGTGAGCCACCGCGCCTGGCCTAAAATAGTTTTTATTGTAGAAAAATTTTGAACAGGCCGGGCGTGGTGGCTCACACTTGTAATCCCAGCACTTAGGCCGAGGCAGGTGGATCACTTGAGGTCAGGAGTTCGAGACCAGCTTGGCCAACATGGTGAAACTCCATCTCTACTAAAAATACAAAAATTAGCTGGGAGTGGTGACACTTGGCTGTAATCCCAGCTGCTCCAGAGGCTGAGGCAGGAGAATTGCTTGAACCCGGGAGGTGGAGATTGAAAGATCGTGCCATAGCACTCCAGCCTGGGCAATAGAGTGGGACTTTAGAGAAAAGAAAAGAAAAATTTGAATGATACGAAAGTAGAGAAATTAGCATGATGAACCCTCATGTACCCATCAGCCTGCTTACCATTTGTCAACACAGAGTAAATTCATTTCATCTCCCCCATTCACTCTTCCACCCAGATTATTTTGAAGCCAATCCCAGATACTGTATCATTTTATATGAAAATGTTTCAGCATGTATCACTAAGAGATAAGAATTACTTTTTTTAAAAAAAGGTGATATCATTTGCCACCTAAAAAATTAATAACTTACCCATCAGAAAATAAGGCATCAAATACATATATATGTATATTATATATACATGTATACACACACAAATACACATACATGTATTCAAACAAATAATCACAATTACATTTCTCTCATCAGTTTCTTTGGTCCTATATAATTAATAATTGTTCTGCTGAGTCTTGGGTCAGCAATCTGATTTCACAAAGTTAGCAGCTTACAGACCAAAACAACGAATCCTGGACATCCTGACTTAGTTCCCTGGTACAGTCTGAAAGTTGTCTAAGGGATATCAGCTCAGAAGCTCGTATTCAGGAGTCCATTCTTTGAAGTATCAATAGTTAAGAGTACCCAGTACAGTCCTTTCTGTGAGGCTCTAAGACTTTTTTGTTGAAGATCTGATCTATGGCTTGTAACTTATAGCAGAGCCTTCAGGCAAGCATGTGAGAGAAGCAGAAAGGACCTGGAAGACGGCATGGCTGTGGTTCCTTTATTACAGTAACGAGCAATATCAGAATGGAAGGGAACAAAGTTGTCTGACGCATGAGTGTCTTGTAAGGGTTTGATCAATGTTTCCCTTGAGGGTAAGGACATATTATGGATAAAGACATTGCAAAATCATTAGGACCTTTCTGTAAAGTGTAGGCTGTCTGAGCTATTTATGTTAATTGCATTGTACCTATAAAACTTAACCAAGGGAAGGCGGGGCATCCCTTCTGATTAGACAACTTTTCCCAAGCTACTCTTACAATGTGTTGAGCTCTTTAAAAAAATATCAAGCCACTCAACAAACCTAATTATTTCTATCACTCGCTTTTTCCTAAGTTGAAAGAGCACATCTTTGTGATTTCCCAGAGGTTCTCTGGGAGTTGCCAAGGTAATCAAGTGTAAAAACATCCTGAGAATTCCATTTTTTCTGAATTTAAGGTGTAATCTTAAGAAGCCCAAAGCCACAGATTTAACAAGACATTTGGTCCACAATTAAGATAGTGTCACGAGTGCCTGAGAAAAAAGAGTGTAGTTATCTATTCATTAAAGCATCAATATAATATTTTTAAATAAGCATAGAAGTAGGTAAAACAATTTTAATGAATCTCAGCTCTTTCAGATGTGAGAAGACTTTGTTCTTTAAAACGTAATAATGGACATGATAAAATCAACACAAAGCACAGAAAATTATTCTGGTGCAGTATAAATCTCTTCTACCCGGATGGATTATTCAAAAGGTGATAATAACTGTTTATTACCCCTTGTTAAGCGCTATAAGACCAGTTTATCATTTTAATAGAGAGAAAGCCAAATTCTATTTTTGCATCAAATCAATATTTGGCAATAATGGATTCCAAGTTTCTTTTTTAAAAAATTATCTTTTGAATAAGCCCATCAAAGCTGAGGAAATGTTGCCAAATGTTAACATATTTTATTGCTTCTTTTCAGACAAGCAAGACAAATATGGTTTACTTTTTGCAAACCTTCTACAATTTTCTACATCTATCCATTTACGTTTTGTCTTTCCCTATCTTATTTCATGTTCTAGAACAGACACTTTGCCTTTAGACCAAAACTACTCACTTTTTCCTTGAGAAATGAAAAAAATTACTTCACTTTAGAAACATTGTTGTACTTCTTTACACTACTGCTTGCCCTACTGCCACTAATGCTCCTGGTATAGTCTTAATTACCCATATTAACTATAACTGTAAATCAATAACTAGCCTCTGTTTCACAGAGAAAAGTGGGAGATGAGTAATTGGTAATTGAGTTTTAAATACAGTAAAAGCAAAACTGAACACATTCATTAATATGATCCAAAGGTATGCTCCCTGTAATATAGTAAAATAAGAAACAAAGACGTATATATCTTTTTAAACTATGCTTAGTAATTAATGTTTTTGTATTCTATTATAGAAATTATCTAGGCATGCAAAGGTTATCCATTAATTAACTTGATTTAATATTAGTCCAAGATTTTGAAGTTAACTTGAGGTTATTAAAAATTATGTTTGAGCTGACATACTATAGAACATGATTGATTCCTAAAACATTGCCAATATTGTAATTCAATTTGGTTACACACATAATTTTACATTTTTCATAATCCATGGTGTTAAACTATTTTATCAATAAACTAGTATATAAAGTTCAGAAGGCAAACCTAGGTCTTCTAAAAAATGAAATGTACAAATATATTTAACGCACCCAAATCAAAGAAAAATACATTAATTTTTTTCTAAATCAAAATTATAAACTAGTCTGATTTAGCTAAAGATTTATTACATGCTATCTTATGTGTCATCCATGTGTTATACATATGTATATATACATACATGTATATGTATCCATATATTATGTATATATGGATACATAAATAACATGTATCCATATATACATGTGGTATATATAATATATGATATTACATATATAATTACATATTTACATTATCATATAAAATGTTTCTAAGTTGGCATTTTCTGAAAGAATTTTTATTAAAAAGCTAGAGTATTAAAATTTTAGTTTATTTTTTAGGAATTCTGGAAATATTGGATTAATGTAAGCACTTATTACTCCCTATAAGTCTATTAGAGCAGAGTTCTTTTAATTTAATAGACCTTGTAATCTAATTTATTAACACCCTCCAGAGGTAAGAAAGCATTTCACACATACAATGAGAGATAAAAGCTTTTCTCAATTACAGAGTTGGGTGGCTTCAGCTCTATAACCTCAGCTACAGTTCAGGAGTAAACAAATAAACAAAACTCACCATTCCAGTTTTCAAAGGACTGTTTTTCTTTCTAGTAGGCACAAAATATTTTCTCAATTAATTTGAGTTCACAAGTAGATAAACAGACAAAAAAGACTGACAACGCAGATTAGCTATTATCTCTTCCTTGATAGAAAATAGGTCCCATTGTCCACCTCCCAGAGGTCACCAAATGATCTAATCATAAAACCAAATTATCCTTAATAATCAGCTATGTGCATATCAGAATTATGTACACACAAGGCCATCTCTTAACCATGGAATCAAGACTGGCCTAGGAGTCTTGGGTCTAGCTCTAGAAGGGGACATGACCATGGCCACAAATTGCACAAGGGTACTCTTTAGATTATGCAGTTGAGACTGGCCTAGTGGTTTGAGACATGACGTGGACTCACTGTGCCTGCTATCAGTTGTGAAAAGAGACATATGGGAGCAGATATACCAGCTCTCCAAAGTAAGTCTTTTTTTTTTTTTGCAGACGGAGTCTCGCTCTGTAGCCCAGGCTGGAGCGCAGTGGCGTGATCTCGGCTCACTGCAACCTCCGCCTCCCGGGTTCACGCCATTCTCCTGCCTCAGCCTCTCAAGTAGCTGGGACTACAGGCGCCCGCCACCACGCCCGGCTAATTTTTTTTTTTTGTATTTTTAGTAGAGACGGGGTTTCACCATGTTAGGCAGGATGGTCTCAATCTCCCGACCTCGTGATCCGCCCGCCTCGGCCTTCCAAAGTGCCAAGATTACAGGCGTGAGCCACTGCACCCAGCCTCCAAAGTCTTAATGCAAGCTTATCCAACCCGCAGCCCACAGGCCACATTTAGCCCAGGATGGCTTTGAATGTGGCCCAACACAAATTCATAAACTTTCTTAAAACATGAGATTTTTTTGTGATTTTTTCTTTTTTTTCTTTTTTTGTAGCTCATCAGCTGTCATTGTATTAGTGTATTTTATGGGTGCCCAAGACATTTCTTCCAATGTGACCCAGGGACGTCAAAAGATTGAACACTCCTGTATGTATAGCATTTGCCTGTTTCTGTGGTGTAAATTCCCCCATAATAGCTATTTTCAAGCTACTGCAGAATTGGGAAGAGATGCATGTATTTGGTCCTCACCAGCCAGTATTATCTGACTTAGGACACAAATGTGCTTGACCATAAAAAGTGAGTCAAAACACACACAGACTAGCAGACTTGGCCAAGAAACAGAAATAGAAATAAAACCACAAAATATGAAAAAAGAAGGAAAACCTGAAAAAATGCAGAGTTAGCTATTTGGGATTCACTCTAGAAGACAAGTAAAGATGTGCCTGGGTTTAATTAGACCCTGAGGTCCACTTTTCAGGGTGCGCAGTTTAGTGGCAATAGCAGGTGAGTCCACTTGAGTATCTCAATGGGTCCTCCTAAATGGTACCAGTACTCAGTACTTCACATGACAGCTTGTTATATTTGTGAACAATTTTCCTAGTTAGAAAGCTTTTCTTCACACTCAGCCAAAAATCTATTTTCTTATAACTTCTAACCAGAGGGCTTAGTCATGCTCTTAGGAAATGCACAAAATAAGTCTAATCCTTCTTTTATTCAATAAACTTTCAATATTCAGTACAATTATCTTAAGATTTTAGAGCTAGTTCAACTCATTCATTTTACAGATTAAAAAACTGAGACCCAGAGAAGTTAATGACTTTCCTCAGTTCATACAGCCTTGTGATTTGTCACATTTAATGAAATCAGAGATAACACTTTAAAACTGCCATAACACATAATTCCTGTTGAATCTTTGTTCCTTAGTTCCATTAATATTTCATCTAACTTTTTTTTTTTTCTTCTTTTCTTAGAGTCTTGCTCTGTTGCCCAGGCTGGAGTGCAGTGGTGTGTCTGTTGCCCAGGCTGGAGTACAGTGGTGCGATCTCGGCTCACTGCAATCTCCACCTCCCGGGCTCAAGCAATTCTCCTGCCTCAGCCTCCCAAGTAGCTGGGACTACAGGGGCATGCCACCACGCCTGGCTAATTTTTTGTATTTTAGTAGAGAAGGGGTTTCACCATGTTGCCCAGGCTGGTCTCGAACTCCTGAGCTCAGGCAATCCACCCACCTTGGCCTCCCAAAGTGCTGGGATTACAGGCGTGAGCCACTGTGCCCAGCCCCATCTAACATGTTTTTAAGACCTCCCATTTAGTTGCCCTCTTCTTGTAGGTCTCTGTTTGGATAACATAATGTTAAAAGTGAAATGCTCAGAACCTAATCAAATGCAACAGATGTCAACTGATTAGTGAAAGGTACAATGTGTGTTCCAAATTCTGAATTAACATGTGTTCTGAATGAATGTTCTGAATTCTTAATTTTATTAGCCATTTGGATGACCATCTCGCTTTTTAAACTCACGTCTTTGTCAAATACAATTTTCAAGTTAAAAGCATGACTTTCATAGTAATACAGAATGAACACAAGTCAAAACTTTATTCAACTCATTAATTAATAAAATAATTAGACAATAAAGCTGGTTTTTAAAAATGTTTGAGGAGCTGGGACTCATATAGTCCATCAAAAAAGGCACATTGCAAAAAGATTTTTTTAAGTTAGAGAAAAAACTGAATAGTCTATAGGGCATAAAGTATACTTTGAGGTTATCTCTTCCACCAGAGAGAAATGTTTTGCATTTCTCTATCAGGTGAAAACCTGCAAGTTAACATGTGCCTTCACAATGTCTGGACTTTAATCAATAGTTAATAACAAAGTAAAACAAAGCACACTCTTCTACAAATTTTTTTTAAAAATCTCGAAGCAGGCCTGCTACACAATGCTTTCAATGAAATTGAAAGCATACAACTCTCTTTTGCTTTATCTTAAAATATCATAGAACATTTCTTAACATCCTTTTTATTTTTTATAATCATGATTAACATATATTTTATTATTTTTTATTTACTTACTTATTTATTTTTTTTTTATGTTTTGAGACAGAGTTTCGCTCTTGTTGCCCAGGCTGGAGTGCAGTGGCGCTCTCTCGGCTCACGGCAAACTCCGCCTCCCAGGTTCAAGCAATTCTCCTGCCTCAGCCTCCCTAGCAGCTGGGATTACAGGCATGTGCCACCACGCCCAGCTAATTTTGTATTTTTAGTAGAGACAGGGTTTCTCCATATTGGTCAGGATGGTCTCAAACTCCTGACCTCAGGTGACCTGCCTGCCTCGGCCTCCCAAAGTGCTGGGATTACAGGCATGAGCCACCGCGCCCAGCCTTAACATATATTTTAAATATTTCAAATCACATCTCTAAGTCAAGAATGTAAATTTGGATGGCATACAGATCCAGGCAACATCAGCTGTCATCCTAAACAGTATTTACAGAATCAATATATTTTTTATTACCTTTGAAATTTGTACCTTTTTTTTTTTTTTTTTTTTTTTTTTGAGACAGAGCCTTGCTCTGTTGCCCAGGCTGGAGTTCAGTGATGGGATCTCGGCTCACTACAACCTCTGCCTCCCGGGTTCAAGTGATTCTCCTGCCTCAGCCTCCTGAGTAGCTGGGATTACAGGCATGTGCCACCACATCCTGCTAATTTTTGTGTTTTTAGCACAGACAGGGTTTCACCATGTTGGCCAGGCTGGTCTTGAATGCCTGGCCTCAAGTGATCCACCCACGTCGGCTTCCCAAAGTGCTGGGATTATAGGCGTGAGCCACCATACCCAGCCTTGTACTTTTTTTTTTTTTTTAAATCTTTTATTCTAGGTTCAGTGATTCATTTGCAGGTTCGTTATATAGGTAAACTCCTGTCATGGGTGTTTGTTTAACAGATCATTTGGTCACCCAGGTACTAAGCCTAGTACTCAATAGGTATTTTTTCTGATCCTCTCCTTCCTCCCACCCTTCACTCTCAATTAGGCCCCAGTGTCTGTTGTTCCCCTCTTTGTGTCCATGTGTTCTCATCATTTAGCTCCCACTTATAAGTGGCAACATGCGGTATTTGGTTTTCTTGTTCCTGCATTAGTTTGCTAAGGATGATGACCTCCAGCTCCATCCATGTTCCTGCAAAGGACATGGTCTCCTTCTTTTTTATGGCTGCATAGTGTTCCATGGTCTATATGTACCACACTTTCTTTATCCAGTCTGCCATCGATGGGCATTTAGGTTGCTTCCATATCTTTGCTATTGTGAATAGTGCTGGAATATACATACGTGTACATGTGTTTACGGTAGAATGATTTATATTCCTTTGGGTATATACCCAGTAATGGGATTGCTGGGTCAAATGGTTGTTCTGTTTTTAGCTCTTTATGGAATCTCCACACTGCTTTCCACAATGGTTGTAAGGGAGGAGATCACCCCTCATGTTGTCTTACGGTCAATTTTTTCCTTCAAAGAAAGAAGGAGTAAAAACTAAAAGGCAGAAATGAAATCCAGAGGCAGACAGTCCGGCGCTGCACCCTGGGCCTGGTTAAAGATCGACCCCTGACCTAACCAGTTATGTTATCTATAGATTCCAGACGTTGTATGGAAAAGCACTGTGAAAATCCCTGTCCTGTTCCGTTCTGATTACCAGTGCATGCAGCCCCTAGTCACATACCCGCTGTTTGTTCAATCCATCACGACCCTTCACACGTACCCCCTTACAGTTGTAAGTCCTTAAAAGGGACAGGAGTTGCTCACCCGGGGAGCTCGGTTTTTGGAGACATGAGTCTTGCCGAAGCTCCCGGCCGAATAAAGCCCTTCCTTCTTTAACTCGGTGTCTGAGGGGTTTTGTCTGCGGCTTGTCCTGCTACAGTTGAACTAACATACACTCCCACCAACAGTGTATAAATGTTCCTTTTACTCCGTAACCTCACCTGCATCTGTTATTTTTTGACTTTTTAATAATAGCCATTCTGACTGGTGTGAGATGATATCTCATTGTGGTTTTGACTTGTAGTTTTCTAATGATCATTCTCTGATGCTCTCTAATGATTTATCTATTGAGCTTTTGTCATATGCTTGTTGGCTACATGTATGTCTTCTTTTGAAAAGTGTCTGTTCATGTCCTTTGCCCACTTATTTTATTTTATTTTTTTTTTTGAGACAGAGTCTCTCTCTGTCCCCCAGGCTGGAGTGCAGTGGCACGATCTAGGCTCACTGCAACCTCTGCCTCCTGGGTTCAAGCAATTTTCCTGCCTCAGCCTCCTGAGTAGCTAGGATTACAGGCATGCACCACCACACCCAGCTAATTTTTGTATTTTTAGTAGAGACAGGGTTTCAACATGTTGGCCAGGCTGGTCTCGAACTCCTAACCTCGTGATCTGCCCGCCTTGGCCTCCCAAAGTGCTGGGATTACAGGTGTGAGCCACCACGCTTGGCCTGTTTTTTTTTTTTTCGAGACAGAGTCTCACTCTGTTGCCCAGGCTAGAGTGCAGTGACGCAATCTCGGCTCACCGCAACCTCTGCCTCCCGGGTTCAAGCAATTCTTGCGCCTCAGCCTCCCCAGTCGCTGGGATTACAGATATGCATCACCATGCCTGGCTAATTTTTATATTTTTAGTAGAGGCAGGGTTTCACCATGTTGACCAGGCTGGTCTTAAACTCCTGACCTCAAGTGATCTGCCCACCTCAGCCTCCCAAAGTGCTGGGATTACAGCGTGAGCCACCGTACCTGGCCCTTTGCCTACTTTTTAATGAGGTTGTTTTAACATCTTGTTAATTATAAAACCATTGTTTGGCTAGTCTTCTATAAACTGTTAAAATCTCAGAAAACTGAACTTTACATTTATTTATATGAATTATTTCTATATATTATTCCAGTTTATCTTCCTTCACAGTATAGAATTCTTTTCTGTAATATCCATAAGTAGGCCAGGTGCTGTGACTCATATCTGTAATCCCAACACTTTGGGAGGCTGAGGCAGGTGGATCACGAGGTCAGGAGTTAGAGACCAGCCTGGCCAAGATGGTGAAACCCCGTCTACTAAAAATACAAAAATTAGCTGGGCGCGGTGGTGGGGGTGCCTGTAATCCCAGCTACTTGAGAGGCTGAGGCAGGAGAATTGCTTGAACCCAGGAGGTGGAGGTTGTGGTGAGCCGAGATTGTGCCACTGTACTTCAGCCTGGGCGACAGAGCAAGACTCCGTCTAAAAAAAAAAAAAAATCCATAAGTAACATTCCATGTTGAAGAACGCTCTGCTTCGCAAGGAGCTCAATTTATTATTGGAAGCTCTAGTTCTTAATGAGGTCTTGCTTATACTGGCAGAAATATATACAGCTGCCCTGTAACTTTTACCCACTGGAGATCTACATTAAGGAATAGACAAACCAGGCAGCAGTGTGAGCATTTATCAAAAAGGGGTGCTGAAAAATCACTAAAATCAATTGTTAAATGGTGCTAGTTAATACGTCTCCACACATCACACCTCACATAACAGAGAACCATGCGAATTTGTCTTGCTGCATGGAAATAGCGTTTTTAAGGGAAAATGTAAAAACATATATTCCTCATCTACACTAAGCTATCTTTGTTGAGTATTTTTGAGAGGCAGATGTGTAAGTAGCACAAAGCAACAAAGAGCTAGTCCCCCAATTTCAACACCAGCCCACAGGAGTCTGAAGATGTGGTCATCCGATGTTCCAAAGCCCAATTATGCAGTGCTGTTTACTAGGAATGGGTAGTTTATTTTATTATCTAAACTGTAAACCCTTTATTAGGCAATACCTTTTCCATTTAGACAATTGTAAAATAATCTAAGATGAAAATATAGTAAGCATTAGATAAAAGAAAGAAGTGGCCAGGCGCAGTGGCTCACGCCTGTAATCCCAGCACTTTGGGAGGCCGAGGCGGGCAGATCACGAGGTCAGGAGATCCAGACCATCCTGGCCAACATGGTGAAACCCCGTCTCTTCTAAAAATACAAAAAATTAGCCGGGCGTGGTGGCAGGCGCCTGTAGTCCCAGCTACTCAGGAGGCTGAGGCAGGAGAATGGCGTGAACCCAGAGGGCGGAGCTTGCAGTGAGCCGAAATCGCACCACTGCACTCCAGCCTGGGCGACAGGGCGAGACTCCATCTCAAAAAAAAAAAAAAAAAAAGCCGGGCGCGGTGGCTCACGCCTGTAATCCCAGCACTTTGGGAGGCCGAGGTGGGCAGATCATGAGGTCAGGAGATCAAGAGCATCCTGGTGAACACGGTGAAACCCCGTCTCTACTAAAAATACAAAAAATTAGCCGAGCGTGGTGGTGGGCACCTGTAGTCCCAGCTACTGGGGAGGCTGAGGCAGGAGAATGACGTGAACCTGGGAGCTGGAGCTTGCAGTGAGCCGAGATCGCGCCACTGCACTCCAGCCTGGGTGACAGCAATAGTACGTCTCAAAAAAAAAAAAAAAAAAAAAAAAAAAAAAAAACAAAAGTGTGTGACTCTATAAAAGTTAGATGAAGGAACTTTTAAATATATCTAGACAGGATTTTTAATAATATCCATGTAAGTTACCTCTACTCTTACCTAGTAAGTGTTGCGTGATATAAAAACTGGAATTTTTTTTTTTTTTTTTTTTTTTTGAGATGGAGTCTCTGTCGGCTGGGCTGGAGTGCAGTGGCACAGTCTCGGCTCATGCAACCTCTGCCTCCCGGGTTCAAGCGATTCTCCTGCCTCAGCCTCCCGAGTAGCTGGGATTACAGGCGCCCGCCACTAGGCCTGGCTAATTTTTTGTATTTTTAGCAGAGACAAGTTTTCACCATGTTGGCCAGGCTGGTCTCGAACTCCTGACCTCGTGATTTGCCAGCCTTGGCCTCCCAAAGTGCTGAGATTACACCCGTGAGCCACCACGCCAGGCCTAAAATTTTAACTTTTAAAAAATTTTTCGTGGCCAGGCTCGGTGGCTCACGCCTGTAATCCCAGCCCTTTGGGGGGCCAAGGCGGGCAAATCACGAGGTCAGGAGTTCGAGACCAGCCTGGCCAACATGGTGAAACCCCGTCTCTACTAAAAGTACAAAAATCAGCCAGGCGTGGTAGCACATGCCTGCAATCCCAGCTACTTGGGAAGCTGAGGCAGGAGAATTGCTTGAACCTGGGAGACAGAGGTTGCAGTGAGCCAAGATTGCGCCACTGCACTCCAGCCTGGGTGACAGAGCGAGACTCCGTCTCAAAAAAAAAAAAAGTTAAAATTTTAATGTTATGTTTTCACATGTAATAGATTCTTTATTTTGAGCATAAAAAGCTGCATACATTTTATTAGCAGAAAAAAAATTCTTCTGACTCTCGCTAGAGACATGTTTAACAAATATTGAAGAGATACAGGCTTGCATGGCTGCCAAATTATGAGCCCACATGCCTTACTCTGGCTCTGCTGATTGGTTTCAGTTCTAACATCTGGAGCCATGCAAAATAAGTTTAATCCAGTTTCCATATGACTGACCTTCAAATACTTGAAAACAGCCACCCCATCCTCCCGGAGCCTTTCTTCTCTTCTCCAGATTAAATAAGCACACCCCTTGTTGGGAATCGCTTCGAGATTTGTCATTTTCATGATTACCTTCCTGCGGAGGCGTTCTGGTTTGCCAATGTGTCCAAGTGTGACTCTCAGTATCGAACACAACATAACAAATGTCTGATGCCACATTTATAACAGGCAGTCATCTTGCTCAACCTGTTTTGCCAACTCTGTGGTAAAATAACAAGGGAATTTAAGGGAAAATAACATCCCACATCCCTTTAATGGAATGGCTTAGTGTCTTACATTTCCTGGAACAATTTAAAGTTTTTGCCAGCCTCAGGGGTACCCAGTCAGAGTCCGGTCAAGAGACAGAAACCACAACAGTTATTTGAAGACAGTGGATTTAATATAAAGAATTGTTAGCAAGGTATTAAGTTGTTTACTAGGTAATTGAGAGGGTAAAGAGGAATATGAAAGCATCACAGAGTAGTGACTATAGGAAGTTGCTAGCACCTTGTAGCAACCCTGCATAGCTTACCCTGTGTAGACATGAAGACAGATTAAACCTATGAGGATTCCATTAGGGGAAATACCTGTGTGGAAGGAAACGGAGGGAGGCTGGGAGAGCTGCCACAGACTGAGATGCAAGTATAACCTAGGGAAGGAAAAAGGGGCTATAAAATCTAAGAAAGTTTCAGTAAAGCCATAGGAAATTCATTGGGCCAAAGTTGTTGGTCAGAGGAGTGCCAGGTCTCCCAGGAATCTGCCTCAGTACCCCGGTGTTCTCAGTTAGTGGGAGCAGGCCCTGGGAAGTGTGGCCTCAGAGCGAGGTCTGCAGTGGAGGGGTTTCAAAGAGCAGTAGTTGGGGCCCTTGGTCAATTACACTTAGGGTTACCTAAGTGTAATTAGGTAACCAGATAGAATGTAGGACACTATTACACTATCTGGTAATTAGGATTACCAGATAGAATGTAGGACACTCAGTTAAATTTAAGTTTCAGATAAACAACGAAGAAATTTGTAGTATAAGTTTGTCCCAAATATTGCATAGTATATACATACAATAAAAAATTATTTGTTGTTCAAATTTAACTGTAATTTAATTCATTATTTTTATCTGCTAAATCCAGCAACCCTAATTATACTCCTTATAGTTGAAGTTCTATGAGGGACATTCACTTGGCTACCATACACTTCTAGGGCTGGAAAGAGCCAGGCAAGATATTGGAATTATTAAAACGTCAAAACTTAGAGAAAGCTGAAACTCAGGCATGTAAGGAAGAAGCCCCCACCAGCTGGGTGCTAGTGGGTGGTGAGGCAGGGGTGAAGCTGGTTCTGCAGGTGTTGGAAAATTACAAGGTGGATTCAGCTGCTGCTATGGGAAGGAACTGCTGCTTCAGGGAGGAAGAGGTGTTGCTGGAGCAAAGCTCACCGGATGCACAAGAAGACAGGAAGCCAAACAAGAAGCAACGAGAAAACAGACAGGAAGGATCAAGTCCCTTCTTCCTCCCACAGCCTAGCAGTCTCTCTGCACCCACTGTTGACACAGCCTAAAGGGAAGCCACTGGCAAAGCAGAATATCAAAGACTGGGATTTAAAGTTGAGAGTAAAAACTTAGTAACTGGAGGGCCGGGCGCAGTGGCTCACGCCTGTAATCCCAGCACTTTGGGAGGCCGAGACGAGTGGATCACCTGAGGTCAAGAGTTCGAGACCAGCCTGACCAACATGGAGAAACCCTGTCTCTACTAAAAATACAAAATTAGCCAGACGTGGTGGCGCATGCCTGTAATTCCAGCTACTCGGGAGCCTGAGACAGGAGAATCGCTTGAACCCGGGAGGCAGAGGTTGCCGTGAGCCGAGATCGCCCCATTGCACTCCAGCCTGGGCAACAAGAGCGAAACTCTGCCTAAAAACAAACAAACAAACAAAAAGAAAAAGAAAAAACTTAGTAACTGGCACAGATTCAAAAAATTACCAAAGATCCCACCCAGTTAATGAAATGCTGAAAAATGATTGGCCTTATATAATTTCAGCTTGACCTAAAACTTACGAAATTCATGGTTTGCTTGTTTGCAGAAAGATGCTATTCATCAACTCCCATCCACCATTTCAGATAGATTACATTAACAGCCAACTTCACAGGAGTTGAACTTGCCTTTGCTTTCGAAATTCTCTTGAAACAAAAAATGAGTAGAGATTTCCAAGTTCATCATTAAAATTGGCAAAAGGAGGCCAGGTGCAGTGGCTCACGCATATAATCCCAGCACTTTGGGAAGCCGAGGCAGTTGGATCACCTGAGGTCAGAAGATCGAGACCAGCCTGGCCAACATAGCGAAACCCCGTCTATACCAAAATAGATAAATTAGCTGAGGGCAGTGGCACATGCCTGTAATCCCAGCTATTTGTGAGGCTGAGGCAGGAGAATCGCTTCAACTCAGGAGGTGGAGGTTATGGTGACCCAAGATTGCGCCACTGCACTCCAGCCTGGGTGACAGAAGCAAAACTCCGTCTCAAAGCAAACAAACAAACAAACAAACAAACAAAAAAGATTGGCAAAGGGATAGGAAAATATAGTGGTTTTGTGCTATGTAGGAAAGAGCAGTTAATTCAAAAGACTCCAGTAAACCTTATCACCAAAAAGAAAGATACTACTAAACCCAGGCTGCCAGCAGATTCTAATCTCCTAGAAAATGGGAGACTTTATGAGGTATTACAGAATGTTAAGGAGAAGAATACCTCATACTTGTCTATGCCTTACAGCTTATAAAGCATTCTCCCAGACATGTCCTGTTTTGAGCTCTGTACACAACTATGTATGTGGGGCAGGCATTGGGGTGGGTGTTACAGGGGAATGACAGACCTCAATCTAGTATACAATAAGTAACTTTTGAAAATTTTTAAGTGAAAAGGTGATACACTCAGATCTGTGCCATAGAAGATACTTTTGTCAGAGGGCAAAAGATGAGGACTTACCAGAAATTCATTTAAGGAGCAAGAGGTCCTACAGTAAGCTAGGACCTTGAGCCACAGCAATCGGCATGCTTGGAAGCTTTTTCTCCAAGACAAAAAAGTATTTCAGAAAAGATAAAAGGTATAAAATATTTAAAGAGAATAGGGGGCTTGTACCTCTTGTACCTCACTTTCAGTTTTCTTCCTTTCTTTTTATTATTATTATTATTTGTTGGTGTTCCTATTTCATACACATCCGTGCATTCACATGCAAATAATACATATCAACCTTTCAAATGTGTACAGATGCAAGGAAAAGTAGAGATTCTGAGCATTTTTGGTGGAATTTCTGTGATTCAAATGAATGAGAATAAAATGTAAATAGCTGGGGAAAAATAATTATCTGATTGTACATTAATTGTTATTTTCATTTAGAGGGTTTCAAGAATAGAACAGTATCCTCTGCTAATTGCTGCCTGTATTCATTATCTATTATTGCATAACAAATTTCCCCAAAACTTAGTGGCTTAAAACAACAATAAACATTTATTATCTCTGACAGTTTTATGAGTCAGGAGTTCTGGAGCAGCTTAAGTGGGTGCCTGGGGTCTCTCATGGGACTAGAATCAAGCTATTGGCTGAGGCTGCAGTCATCTGAAGGTTTGATCCCCTTTCAAGATGGCTCACACACGTGACTTGGATTTGGGGGCAGGGCTCAGATTTTCTCCACATAGACTCTCTCAGGGCTACTTGAGTGCTCTCATGACCTAGCAACTGACTTTCCCCGGAGCAAGTGATCTACTAGAGTGAGAGCCAGGCAGAAATAATCCTTTTTATAACCTAGCATTGGCTATAACATGACATCACTTCTACCATGTTCTATTCATTAGAAGCAGTTCACTAAGTCCAGCCCACATTCATTCAAAGGGAGAGGAATTAGGCTACAGCTTTTGAAGGAGGTGTGTGTCTTAGTCTCTTCCAGCTGCTATAATAAAATACCTGAGATTGGGTAATTTATAAAGAATAGAAATTTATTTCTCACAGTTCTGGAGGCTGGAAATCTAAGGTCAAGGCACTAGCAGGTTGGATGTCTGATGAGGGCCCAATCTCTTCTTCTAAGATGGTGCCTTGTTGCTGGGCACTTTGGAGGGGATGAATGCTGTGTCCTCATGTTGCAGAAGAAATGGAAAGGCAAAAAGGGACCAACCCATTCCTTCAAGTTCTATAAAGGCCTTAATCCTATCCATGAAAGTGAAGCCCTCATGGCCTAATCATCTCCTAAAAGCCCCACCTCTTAATACTGTTACATTGGGAAGCAAGTTTCAACATAAAATTCGGAGAGGATACGAACATTCAAATCATAGAAGTGTGTCTAAGATTTTGTGAATCTATTTTTTTTAAAAACCACACTTTCTTAACTTAAAAAATGGGTTTGGGTACTTTGTGCTCCAGATAAAATTCCCAACTTACTGAACAGCTTCACAGAATCAGATGTCCTAGGGAACTCCCATTCTTTGGCCAACAAAAGCTTGTCAACTTACTCTGAGATGTCTCAGAGTTGTGAAGGCCCACAATAGTCATAGTTGTGTTTTTTGTTTGTTTGTTTTTTGAGATGGAGTCTCACTCTGTCACCCACGCTGGAGTGCAATGGTGCGATCTCAGCTCACCACAACCTCCGCCGCCTGGGTTCAAGCGATTCTACTGTCTTAACCTCCCGAGTAGCTGGGATTACAGGCACATGCCACCACGCCTGGCTAATTTTTGTATTTTTAGTAGAGACGGGTTTCTCCATGTTGGCCAGGCTGGTCTCGAACTCCTGACCTCAGGTGATCTGCCCACCTCGGCCTCCCAAAGTGCTGGAATTACAGGAGTGAGCCACCATGCCTGGCCCATAGATTTTTTTTTAAGTGTCAACCTTGTAATCCAAAGAGAAAAAGGAACCTAAAAGTCCAAACCACTGTAGCATCATCATTCAAATTATTTTCCTTGGATATCAAAAGAAAGAACAATTTTTGAAAGTTAAGTTTCAGTGTCAGAGGAAGGAAGAAGCCCTAACAAGTTCTGAGGAGCATAAACTGCAAATAATGTAATTACAACAATTTGATACTTATTAGAAATCAGGAAAAACACCTCCTACCTAGAAAACTGAAACATTATTACAGTCAAACAAGAAACTTTTCTACATTTAGCCAAGTGAAGAACAAAAAAGTCCTCAAGACTTTTGAGAATGCTGCCTGGGAGAACAAAAGATCAGTACCCTAATTACTTTGGTAACTTTCCATCATAATCAGTGTGGCAGTTTGTTTTGCTGCTGCTTCTCCTTTCCCTTTTAAATGATCTGCAACTTGTCTGTCTTTTAGATCTAAAAGATAGGCAACCATTTTCTTCTGTCTGTTGCTTTGATTCTTGGCTTATCAGAATTTCTCTGTATCTGAGCTGAAGTCAGGAGTCAGCTTCAGAGAACAAATCTCAGGAAGTAAACAAGTCTGCTAAAAAACAAAATAACAATTTGCAAACAGCAGCACTATTAACAAGGACCCTCAAACTGGTATCCTCTTAGGAGCAGAGTGTCTTAGTCCATTTTCTTTTGATATGACAGAATACCACAAATTGGTAATTTATATATAAATTCCCTTTATATATAAAAGGAAGAAGTTTATTTAGCATATGGTTTTGGAGGCTGCGAATTCCCAGAACATGGTGCTGGCATCTGGTGAGGGCCTTCTTGCTGTATCATGGTATGGTGGAGAGCATCACATGGCAAGAGGGCAGGAGCACGCGAGCTCAGATCACTCTTCTCCTTACAAAGCCACCAGTCCCGCCATGGAGGCCCCACCCTGATGACTTCATCTAATTCTTTTTTTTTTTTTTTTTTGAGATGGAGTCTTGCTCTGTCACCCAGGCTGGAGTGCAGTGGCATGATCTCTGCTCACTGCAAGCTCTACCTCCTGGGTTCATGCCATTCTCCTGCCTCAGCCTCCTGAGTAGCTGGGACTACAGGCACCCGCCACCACGCCCAGCTAATTTTTTGTATTTTTAGTAGAGACGGGGTTTTATCATGTTAGCCAGCATGGTCTGTATCTCCTGACCTCGTGATCAGCCCACCTCGGCCTCCTAAAGTGCTGGGATTACAGGCGTGAGCCACTGCGCCTGGCCCTTTTTTTTTTTTTTTTTTTTTTGAGACAGAGTTTTGCTCTTGTTGCTCAAACTGGAGTGCAATGGTATGATCTCAGCTCCCAGGTTCAGGCGATTCTCCTGCTTCAGCCTCCCGAGTAGCTGGGATTACAGGCATGTGCCACCACTCCTGGCTAATTTTGTATTTTTAGTAGAGACGAGGTTTTTCCATGTTGGTCAGGCGGGTCTCAAACTCCTGACCTCAAGTAATCTGCCCACCTTGGCCTCCCAAAGTGCTGGGATTACAGGCATGAGCCACGGCATCCGACCAACTTCATCTAATTCTAATTACCTCCCAAAGGCAGCCCTATCTCTAATCAACATAAGAATTTGGGAATTTAATTTCCAACACATAAAATCTGGAGGACACATTCAAACCATTGCAAAGGAGAAACATAATATCCAATGGCTATTGCTTTTTTAAAAACAAGGAGATAAATTGTCTAGTGTAATTATGGGGGAAAATTTAGTATCTTTTGGACCTGAAAAGGAAAAATAAAATGTACTTAGAGAAATGCAACCAAGATTGCCTAGTATTGGCAAAAAACCCAGAATATCTACTTTTAAATCATGGAACTTGGTGACAAAGGCACTATGGTGCTTGGTACAATCATAAAGGACAAAGTCAAGGACTGGGAAAACTGAATATTAAGAGTGTAAGAACTTACAAGTACTGAGGGATCCCAGAGGCATCCTATCCCACTTGGCCTCTACACATTCATTTGTTCTAGAAGAATAAAGGTAGCATTGATCCAAGTCATACTGATCTTCTGTCTCTCCAGATAAGACTGATTTATAAGTTTACACCATCTGTTGGGGTTAGTGATGTTATTCTCTCTAATACCAGTTAATACCTCAAAAAGGGCTCTGTTTAGCTGAGACAAACAGTAACTTCAAGGACCTAATCATAAATTTTTTGCAATTTTCACTATGAAGAAATTCAGACTTCATCTTGATCTAAACCAGTGTGCTTTCATTTGTCCCCAGACCCTCAGGGATCTGTCTTCTCACTTATGAGACATTCATTCACCACCTCCAATACACACACACACACACATACACACACACACTTTTTTTTGAGACAGGGTCTCATTCTGTCACCCAGTCTGCAGTGCAGAGGCAACATCACAGCTCACTGCAGCCTCAACCTCCTAAGCTCAAGCGATCCTCCCACTTCAGCCTCCAGAGTAGCTGAGACTACAGGCATGAACCACCATGCCGAGCTAATTTTTTGCAATTTTTGGTAGAGACAGGGTTTCGCTATGTTGCCTGGGCTCGTCTTGAGCTCCTGGGCCCAAGTGATCCACCCACCTCCACCTCCCAAAGTGCTGGGATTATAGGCATGAGCCACCATGCCCGGCCTTTTCTCTCCATTTTAAGTCACTCCCCCTGCCCCCCAACTACCATAATTCTATTAAATACTTCAAGGGAAATTTTGAAGTTGGTGTCCCTGAGCCAAACTTTTAGAAGAGGTACTTTTCCCTGTGCTAACTTCAGCCTTTTCTTTGTTAGGTCCCTTCACGCACTGGAAGGGAAGTTTGATAGCGTTTTAAAAGAGTGAGAAACTCAGTGTGGAAAGAAAAAAAAATAAAAAATAAAAACAAGAAATGTTAGCTTTCAGAAAAGCTATTTCACAATACACTGCAATAACCACAAAAATCGAGAGTTTTGCCTTACAACCCTAGGTTTACCACTGAAGTATGTATGACCTCAAGAGAGTCAATTAACTTTCTGATTCGTAGTTTCCTCATCTCTCAAATGAGAAACTTGAACCAGTTACCCTAAGGTATATTATAATTCTAAAATGACACGATTTTATATCAACATGCCCCAAAAGTTATTGACCATGTGATATTTGACACTATTATTAAGGCCTGCCAAATTATATTCTATGTGTGGACATGATTCCTTCTAAAACCAGAGTAAAAACCATTCCAAAAAGATACTTGAGAAATAATCGGGCAATTGGGGGGCACCCACATAACGTTTGGTTGTTCAGTTTCATAACAGTACCACTCTTCCCCTCCTACAACCACCACTGCTGTCCGTTTCTACTTCCCTCAATGCTTTTTCACCCTAGACTCTTAATACCTCTCCAGGGCTAGAAGTCACCATTTTCTTCAGAGCAGTCCCGATAGTATCACCTGTGTACTCTGCCTATTAGATGGTGGAGGTAGCAAAATATCTTACATGATAAAAGTAAGGATCATCTGGTGGGAGAGGTAGAGATTGGTTTTGGACGTATTTAGTTAGTCCCTTTTGCTTCTCAAAATAAACATCTTTGTGCTCAGTTAAAAGCTTTCCAAGATGTTCACAAGGGAAGAGGGAATTCTTGCCAAAAACTTAAGCCCAGCCAGACAGGGATACTAAAATTTTGCTGCCTGTGGAAACACGTGGCCACGCAGGACTTTGGCATAAAAACAGTCATCTGTGCTTAAATGATGGCAGTGTAGACTTCTGGTGGTTCAGAGGCTATGTTCAGGGCACCCAGGCACAGTGTACAGGGTCTGACAACTCCATTGGCAGTTCCCATTCAATTACAGTTCACAGCACACTCTTGTCTATTTACAGAACTTACAACTCGGCAAACCTTGGTCCTTATGGTTGGAGGGGTAAAGAGAAACACTTCTCTCACTCTTTTCACAGTTTTAGTTCTGCTTCCAAATCTTAACAGTTGCAAAATGCTTTAGAAGATCTAGGCCCAAGAGCCCATCTGCAATTTTAGTGTTGTGACCTTGGGCAAGACACTTAACCATCTCTGAGCCGCAACTTTCTTGTCCATAAAATGGTGATAATGATCCTTGTTCTACTTTGCTTACAAGAATGTTGTACAGATCAATAAAATAACATAAATAAAAATACATTAAAAAGTGCTATGTAAATACAAGATTTTTAAATTATCAGGTGCCTCCTCTTCTTCTCTGCTCTTTCCTTTATCTCATCTGTTTCTGTGTCCTTTAAGCATCTTCATGGTCTTTTCTTAGTCCAAAATTCCCCATGTGGTTAATGCTTAGCTTCTTAAACACGGGCTTTTTATCAACCAGGCAAATCTATACCTATATATGATCTACCTACCTCCCCATTCAGAGCCAATCTATTACCTTTAGTATAGTCTCATTCATTTCCAGTTGCATGAATTGAGGACTTAATGTCTCTGTGTCCTAGGCTAGGGATACAAAATTGAACGAGCAGATTCAGCCCTCGAGGAACACACCATTAGATCTAAGCATCTTAGACCAGTCAAATAGGTTCATCAGGTCTACATAAGTTGCAGTTGAACCTTCTCTCCCTGGAAGAGAACTCTGCTTCTATGAGTTTAGGTGTATCTGGACAGTTTGGGGCAGAAGTTGAACTTTGAAGTCCTTTAATCCCACTGTTCTGGAGAAGGCAGGCAACTATCCAAGCCTCCTTGAAATTATTTTTCACATTCCTTTGTTGACTGGCCCCATACTTCCCCCTCTTTTTTTCCTAATTCAATATCTTATTTAATGTTGAGCTTTTGCTAGTGTTCAAGTCCATGTTAGACAATGAGAATTGGTTCCATTAGCTTAGCTATCAGGTCAGAGAAATGAGACCACCTGTAGCAACATGACTTACTGTTTGCTCTAGTAAATTCTTGCCCAGGAAGATAAACTTGTAGAGCAATAAATAATTTCACTGTTTGTGTCAGGAAATTCCTGAAAATCAATTTATTTGAAAGTTGCTCATGTGGGCAAATGGCCCTCTTCTCAGGGCAATAAATTCACTTACCTGGGCAAATAGTTCTCTTATCAAACAACTATGCACTTATCAAGACTTGCTTTAGGACCCTCTCATTGCTGTGTCCATCAGATCTACACCTGCTGGGTGCGGTGGCTCACATATGTAATCCCAGCACTTTGGGAGGCTGAGGAGGGTGGATCACCTGAGGTCAGGAGTTTGAGACCAGCCTGGTCAACATGGTGAAACCCTGTCTCTATGAAAAATACAAAAATTAGCCCGGCATGGTGGTGCACGCCTGTAATCCCAGCTACTTGGGAGGCTGAGGCAGGAGAATGGCTTGAGGGGAGGTGGAGGTTGCAATGAGCCTAGATTGCACCACTGCACTCCATCCTGGGTGACAGAGCCAGACTCTGTCTCAAAAAAAAGAAAAAAAAAAAAAGATCACCCTACACCCTATGTATTTCTGCTTCTGTCTTCCCTTTCTGGGATAATCCTAGAACTCTGTCAAGGTGATGCTCTCCCTCATTGCAGGAGGTTCAACAAACTCAGCCGCACTTGATCAACAGATTATTCTGGTGGCTTCTTGGGGAGTTGGCAGTTGACAACTTGGTGCATCATTCAGTAAAGCAAGGGAAACAGAGGGAAAAAATGTCTTAAATTTAACATTTGCCATTTCTTTAAAAAGACCTCTATAGTCATCATCATGTGAAAAATCAGAATTTTGTTAGAGTTCCTTATTCTTTTTATATGATTTGGAATAGTCTTTATTTTGAATTACATATGAGGTGGTACACCATAATTGTTTTGTTACTTGGAGCTTCTAAAAGGCTCCATTCACTCCTGGGTTCCTCCAAAGATCTTTCTGTTACAAATAACTCCCTTTTCTACCCATTATACTTTTTATATATGTTGAAAAGTGATTAGCTAGTTGTGTTCACACTAAAGTAATTGGCTAATATTCGAGGAATTTCACTGAAAGTCTGAGAGGGGCTATGTTGGAGTTAGTTCACTGTTCACACTAAGCAAATTTGGCTTGTAATCTGGCTCTCTCAACCAGTTTAAAACCTGGAAGTTTATCAAAAATGTCACACATGGAAATGAGCACTTGTGGCACTTGTTTAAATTCATGAAATAGCAGTCATTTTAGAGAGAAGAGCTTGGTGAGTCAGAAGCCAATCTTACCAGCTCAGTCTGAGCCCTGCTGAACCTAGCCCATTTTTATAAACCTAGAAAATTGATGTCTACATAGCAATCATGATAGTTATCATGATATCATGATACCATGACTTGTATATTTTCTAAAACTTTTCAAGCCTCAGAGGAAACATTTGAGTTCAGTATTTGGCTTTTGTTGACTTCTAAAGACTAAGGCTGGGCACAGTGGCTATGCCTGTAATCCCAGCAATTTGGGAGGCTGAGGTGGGAGGATCACTTGAGCCCAGGAGTTCAAGACCAGCCTGGGTAACAAAGGAAGACCCCAGCTCTACAAAAAATGTAAAAATAAATAAATACATAAGTAAAAATAAAGACTTATAACCTTCTTTGTAAGTATGCATCCCATGGTAAATTGAGTCTTAATTTTTCCCTCATGGATGCCTTTTATTTTAGGTTTATTTCAGAAAATCCAAAGGTGGTTACTATTTTAAATTTGAGTATTTTGCATGCAGAAATTGAGCACAGGCTTGTTTCCTAAGCAGGTAAGCTGGGAACATTATCATATCATTTCTTGAGTTCTGGTGTATTCAGCAGAGACCAAGATGTTTTCAAATACATTGTGCTAATTTTGACAATTGTGTGAGGTGGTATTAATCTCCCCATTTTAAAGGTGGTGAAGCCAAAGCTCAGAATTTAAATATATTATTAAAGACTTTGGAAAAAAGTGGTAGAGTCAAAATATAACCTAGGTCTACCTAATTTCAAAGTCTGATCTTATTTTTACCTTACCACATTGTCACAGACTTTAACTCCTAGCCATTTTTGAATTGTTTTTATCTTTTAATTCTATCATTAATAAGCATTAGTGAGTGGTATCATTTTCAAAGAATGTATAAAAGATTTTTAAAGCAGAAACAAAAGCTCAAATAATATCTTTATATACTCACATGTTAATCAAGATCCAGGATATTATTTAAGTAAACAAATAGCTATCCTAAGATGTAACTATTAATGAAACTCTAATTAATGAATTTGCTCATTTGTCTTCTTTATTTGAAGACATTACTGCTTCTGATATATGCATATCCTACAATGTTATAGGGTAAAAGAGATATCTCTTCCTCATCCATCACTATGTTCCTGGTTGAGGCCCCTATAACAAAAGACATTAACAACAGAAAAACACACAAATGTATTTAATATCTTATACCTGACGGGGGGGGCTTCATTCATAAGGAAATGAAGACGTAACAAAGAAACTTGTGTATTTTTATGCTTAGGTTTGATGAAGAGTAGTCAATTGTGGAGAAATATCACTAGAGGACAAAAAAAATGATCTAATAATAATAAACTGGGGGATCTTAGTAAGGCCTGTTTGTTCAGATTCTCTTCTCTGTGTCCCTGTGTCTTCAAAGATAAAGATGTTCCTTCCCTCCAGCTATCAGGAGGGCACTTCTCACATGAGGTTCTTATGACCTGCTTCAGGGGAGAAACGCCCGTAGGTCAAAAAGTGACCTTCCTAGGTTTTATGACCTCCTTCAGGGAGGGGGAGGGGCTCGGGGAAGGTGAGAGTAACCTGCCTGCTTCTGCTGTTCTCAAATTCCTTCATCTTAAATATATTTAATATGCCAAGGCGCCATATTTTGGAATAGCATGTCTTAAAACCAATCAATGTATTTATTTACTTATTTATTTTGAGATGGAGTCTTGCTGTGTCACCCAGGCTGGAGTGCAGTGGCGCAGGCTTGCTCACTGCAACCTCCGTCTCCTGGGTTCAAGCAATTATCCTACCTCAGCCTCCTGAGTAGCTGGGATTAGAGGCACCTGCCACAACTCCCAGCTAATTTTTGCATTTTTAGTAGAGACGGGGTTTTACCACATTGGCCGGGCTGGTCTCAAACTCCTGAGCTCAGATGGTCCACCTCCCTCCCTGCCCCACCGCCTCCCAAAGTGCTGGGATTACAGGCATGAGCCGCTGTGCCCAGCAAATTAATGTATTTTTAAGTATTTCACCTTGGACTTATTACATGTGTTCTTTGTTAATCTTATTAAAAAGTTGCTTTTCTAACCTAGAAATTTATTTTGTATCCCATTACATCTTATAAAATGATCAAATGGCCAAAACATTATTTTTCAAAAATTCACTTTATTAAGTTAATATAATATGAACCTGCAGCATTTTTATTTAGAAGAACCATCCCTAGTATTACATATTCAGTACATCTGCACTTTCTTTTTTTTTTTTTTTTTTGACACAGTCTTGCACTGTCGCCCGGGGCTGGTGTGCAGCGGCGCAATCTCGGCTGGCTGCAACCTCTGCCTCTCGGGTTCAAGCAATTCTCCTGTCTCACCCTCCCCAGTAGCAGGGATTACAGGCACATGCCACCACGCCCAGCTAATTTTTGTATTTTTAGTAGAGACAGTGTTTCACTGTGTTGGCCAAGCTGGTCTTGAACTCCTGACCTCGTAATCTGCCTGCCTCTGCCTCCCAAAGTGCTGGGATTACAGGCGTGAGTCACCATGCTCGGCCTGCACTTTTTCTAACTAAAGGTTCAAGACACTGAAGACATGAAGTTGTATTCGACCATTTCTGTTTTTAAAATGTTATTTAACAAGTTATGTGAGTGATCGGAAGGGCTTCTTTTCTGCTGTTTATTTGCATCTTATGCTTTTCCTTTTTGCTCTGTCTTCTATCTCATTTCATTTTTACACCTTCTTACTTTTAAGGACATTTATCACACGCTGCAAATGCTGCTTGTGCATCTCTATTCTGTTTATGAGCAGGATAATGTCATTGGCATTTTAATATTTCACAGCAGCAGCAGTCATGACCAAACGTTCCCCTCATTGGTTTTCCTTTTTCCTTTCTAACTCTTCCTCTTTATTTTTTGTTCTTCTTAAGCCTGAACAGGGTACCTATATGAAATCAAAAGAAAGCTGTCATTTAAAAAGGGATGACCCTAGCCACTAGGGCCTAGCATTCAGGAAAAAAACAAATTCGTACCCTGACTGCTCCACAAGTAGCAAGCCAGCATGGATCCTGGACTGTGAGGCCAGTGAAACAGACGCAGCAGCTGGGATGGAAGAGGAGTTTCTGATTGGCCTGACTACTTGAGAAAGGTTACAGGGAGTGGGAAAAATCTGACCTTTCTCGAAATGAGGAATGTGCCTGGAGGATTCCCCACACGAAACAAAGAATGGTTCACTCATCACCTGTGTGTTTCCATTCTATATTCAGAGCAAAGCAGTGATCTCTTGGTTATTCTGTGACAGGTTTCTTCTACTGTGGCAAAAAGCCTGAACTGATGGCCTTCCAGATGTGTATTAAAACGATGTTTCTGAATGGGCAAAATAACATAACTGCTGTTTTAACTCAGGCATAGCATAACAGCTAAGACACCTCCACCAGGTTCTTCATTTATACACAGGCACTTCGGTCTTTCTCTTTTATCATCTTCTTACCTTGTAAACTTTAAAAGTCTCCATGGTAAATGTGATAGGTGGCATAAAGGAAAGCAAAGGTCTTGATGAGAGTAACATAACATTTACAAATTACCCTAAATTACTGCTAATAATAGTACTTTGTATTTGTGAAATTTTAAAAAATATTTCATATCGCTATCAAAACTATCCATTCATTTGTCAATGAATACTTACTGGAAACTATGTACCAGGACCTCTGGGTGATGGGGAAGAGAGCAATGTTCAAGACAAATAAGATTGCTACTCTCATGTATCTCATATTCTAGAATGGTGTGGGATGGAGGGAGACAAACAATAAACAAGTAAACAATAAATGAACAGAACATATCCAGATAATGGCCAGATATACGAAGATAATAAAATGGTATAATAAAGAATGGCTCTGGAGGGGTGACTGTTTTAGATTGAGTGGTCACAGAGTCTCTGTAAAGAGAAAATAGGACAGAATTTCTTAGACCTTGTGGAGAACCTAAACCTATCTATTCCAGTGTTCTTAGCTTAGGTAAGAAAACACAGGTCCTGGGAACTTACCAGTGAGAAAACTAAGATCAGTAGAGGTTAAAGTCTTACTGTCACAAACAAGTATACAGCTATTCTACACAGTGCCTGGGCAGACGTAGAACTGTAGGCAATTGCTTGGTCATCAGACAGCTCCTTTGTGCATATTAGAAGACAAGTGCCCCTTTCTCAGGGAAAATGCCCTTGTGCAATGCACAACCTACATAGTTAATAATGTACTATACGTTTTACAATATCTAAAAGGGAGGATTTTGTCTTCACCACAAAGAACTGATAAACATCTGACATGATAGATATGATAATTAACCTGATTTGATTATTCCACATGAGCCCACAAGTATATGCAATTATTGTTTCTCAATTAAAAATAAAATAAATATTTAAAAAAGAGAAAGGAAGTTTGGAAGTGGATAGTTTGTCAGGGACCCAACCTACTTCCATCTTTTGTTCTGCCATATTTAACTTCTATTGCTAAGATAACATTACGGCTCAAGATTATATACATATTTTAGGTAGCACTAACAAGAGACAAAGGAGATGCATGTCCTGCCTTTAAGGAACTTCAAGGAAGTTCTACAACACACTTCGGTTTACATGTCATTGGCCAGAATAAGTCATGTGACCTTTTGCAAAGGCGACTGGAACATGTAGTCTGTTAGTTAAGTGGCCACGTGTTCAGCTAAAATCAGAGTTCTGCTTTTAAAAAGAAGCAGGGCGGGGCGCGGTGGCTCACGCCTGTAATCCCAGCACTTTGGGAGGCTGAGGCGGGTGGATCACCTGGGGTCAGGAGTTCGAGACCAGCCTGACCAGCATGGAGAAACCCCGTCTCTACTGAAAATGCAAATTTAGCTGGGGGTGGTGGCATGCGCCTGTGATCCCAGCTGCTCCGGATGCTGGGGCAGGAGAATCGCTTGAACCCAGGAGGCAGAGGTTGCAATGAGCCGAGATCGCACCATTGCACTCCAGCCTGGGCAACAAGAGTGAAACTCCGTCTCAAAAAAATAAATAAATAAATAAATAAATAAATAAATAAATAAATAAAAAGAAACAGACAATGGATATTGGAAGGTAGCCAGTAGTCCCTGTCACACCATCCAGACCCAGGTCACCTGTGTCAGATCTGGGGACAGGAAGTGTCAGTTTGTGAGAAATGAAAAAGCTAGTCATTAAGAGTTATAATATCTGGGGGCTGACTCTACCACTTACTAGCCCAGTGACTTTAAGCAATTTACATATTCTCTTTTAGATTTAGATTCTTTACTCATTGGAAGAATAAAGACACTATCTAATGTTTAGGGTTTCTTGACGATTAAGAGGTAATATTTATAAGAAATAAAGCACCTGGCCAGGCGCGATGGCTCACACCTGTAATCCCAGCACTTTGGAAGGCCGAGGTGGGTGGAATCACCTGAGGTCAGGAGTTTGAGACCAGTCTGGCCAACATGGTGAAACCCTGTTTCTACTAAAAATACAAAAAATTATCCAAGACTGGTGGTGCGTGCCTGTAATCCTAGCTACTTGGGAGACTGAGGCAGGAAAATCGCTTGAACTCGGGAGGCAGAGGTTGCAGTGAGCCGAGATCATGCCATTGCACTCCAGCTTGGGCAACAAGACTGAAACTCTGTCTCAAAAATAAATAAATAAATAAATAAATAAATAAATAAATAAATAAATAAAGCATTTAACTATATCTAGCACGTGAGAAGCATTTAGTAAATATGATTTTCCTTTTTTCTATCTGTTATAAATAGTTTTCCCAGCTCTGCCTACTGCAGCTTTTTTTTTTTGACTCCTTTTTTTTTTTAAAGGTCTTAAGATGAGCCTGTTTATCTTCATCTCTCCCTATCTCCTTCTTCAACAGTCCCAAACTATGTGCACAGAAAGCAGCTTATGCTCCAGGCACGGTGGCTCACGCCTATAATCCCAGCACTTTGGGAAGCCTAGGCGGATGGATCACTTGAGGTCAGGAGTTCGAGACAAGCCTGGCCAACTGGTGAAACCCCGTCTCTACTAAAAATCCAAAAAAAAAAAAAAAAATTAGCCAGGTGTCATGGTGCATGCCTGTAATCCCAGCTACCTAGGAGGCTGAGGCAGGAGAATCACTTGAACCCGGGAGACGAAGGTTGCAGGGAGCCAAGATCACACCATTGCATTCCAGCCTGGGCAACAAGAGCGAAACTCCATCTCAAAAGAAAAAAAAAGCAAGCTGCTTATGCCTCAAAATTCCTGTCACAATGAGGCTGAGTAGGGAAGGTCATTTCTGGATGGTTCAAACATGAACTAGACAAATGCCCCTTTTGGGGTGGGACAGCCAAAGGACTGGTAAATTACAAGGCTGCCATGAAGGCATGGTTGCAGCCTGTGATCTTACGGGTTGTGTCCTGCACAGAGCACCAGATTCAGGGATAGAGCAAGGGCTGACATCTAGGCTGAAATCCTTTTGCAACAACTTGGGGGGAAAAAAGAGCTTTTTTTCTAACAGGTCTAAAGGGTCAATTCCTATGCCTGCAGGGGCCCATTTTTCTAAATTCCACAAAGGAAACTTCCCTGCTGGCTTCCCTACAGGCAGTGTCCCCAGTGCCCTGTCAGAACAGGTCCAAACTTCAGTCATTCTGCTTTCTTCAGTGCCCTGGCCACCTTCCCCAGTCCACGTGCCATCAACAAACACAGGATATAGATCTGCTTGTTCAGTGTGTACCTTTCTCTGCGCCTCCATTACCTGAGTCATGAGTATGCATAGTGGTCACTTGGCTCCAACATTTTTTTTTTTCTTTGAAAAAGGAAAAGACAAAACTTTGTGGCTTAAAAGTAGAAGTGTCAAGATGGTGTTACAATTATAGCACCAAAGTCTGGAGAAATGCCTCAGACATGGAAAGCATTAAAATATAGAAAGCTAGTTTTCTAAAATAGTTTTATGGCACTGATGTAAATGGTTTGGATTTTTCCCCTTTAAAGTTTATTTTACTTTTTTCTTCTTCTGATTGTAATCAGTCATCTAAAAGACAACTGGAAGAAGCCTTTGAGAACAGTCGTTTTTAAATGATGAGCTATCAAAATGACTTTGGGAAGAAAAAAAAAAGGAACCTACAAGTGCAATGACCCAGAAAGTAGCTACACGTATGTAAGGAGGTATAAAGCTCCAGTGCTTAGGTTCAAGGCCATTTCTTTTTGCTTAAAGGCTTGAAAACAGAGAAGAAAAAATTCCACGACCCCAAACAACAGTAACATAAAAAAACTGTCACCCAAAGTCTTTCTTCCCAGAGGAAAAATGTCAAGGATATTTCTAAGTTAATTGGACACACCATTAGAAGTGACGGTCTGTTTTAGATGTTGCCCCTCTGAAAGCCTTTTGGGTTGATATCACTAAACCACTCTCTTCATGAAGATATTTTATTTCCAACTAAACTGTGTAGTAAATCATATATTATTTTTAATTTTTAAAGTTCTTAGAGCAAATTATTTTGAGCTACCAACTCTGTTGGGTCTTCTGCTCTAGATGATCCTTAATGTGAGAAGTCACATAATCCTGAATCCTGAAACACTCTTTTTTTTTTTTTTTTTTTTGAGACAGAGTTTCACTCTTATTGCCCCAGGCTGGAGTGCAGTGGCACCATCTGGGCTCACTGCAACCTCCACCTCCCTGGTTCAAGTGATTCTCCTGCCTCAGCCTCGTGAGTAGCTGGGATTACAAGCACCCGCCACCATGCCCAGCTAATCTGAAACACTCTTGAAGTCTACTTGGCTAAGCATTTGGTCAGTGTTTTTTTGTTTAGTTGGTTTTGGGGTTTTTTGGGTTTTTTTTTTTTTTTTTTGAGACGGAGTTTCACTCTGTCCCAGGCTGGAGTGCAATGGCATGATCTTGGCTCACTGCAACCTCCGCCTCCCGGGTTCAGGCGATTCTCCTGCCTCAGCCTCCTGAGTAGCTGGGATTACAGGTGTGCACCACCACACCTGGCTAATTTTTGTATTTTTAGTAGAGATGGGGTTTCACCATGTTGGTCAGGCTGGTCTCGAACTCCTGACCTTGTGATCCGCCCACCTCGGCCTCTCAAAGTGCTGAGATTACAGGTGTGAGCCACCATGCCCGGCCGGTGGTTTTGGGGTTTTTTTTGAGATGGGGTCTTGCTATGTAGCCCAGGCTGGAGTCAGTGGTGTGATCTTGGCTCACTGCAGCCTCAACCTCCTGGGCTCAAGCAATCCTTCCACCTCAGCCTCCTGAATAGCTAGGACTACAGGCGTGTGCCCCAACACCCAGGTAATTTTTGTAAACTTTTGGAGAGACAAGGTCTTTTTATATTGCCCAGGCTGGTCTCAAACTTCTGGCCTGAAACGATCCTCATGTGTCAGCCTCCCTAAGTGTTGGGATTACAGGAGTGAGTCATTGTGCCCGGCTCTTGTGTTCATAGTTTCATGAAGAACTTGTGATTTTTTTTTTGTCAGATTCCACCATCTTCTCATTATATTAATGAATGCCACCCACAATGAAAAATTAACATTTTCGGAACTAGAGAGAGTAAAATAAGGTAAGATACTAATATTGTTGGCCATTTTTTGACTATATATCAGCACCTGCAGCATATGCCATAGCAGTTCCCATTTCATGTAAATATAGCCTCAAAAAGTGCTCTTTTTTGTCCCACGCCTACAGTGCAAAAAGATAAAAGTCAAAAACTTTAGTTTAAAGTTCACTTTTTTAAGTTTATGTAACCAACTTGTGACAGCTAATATTATAACCAGAGATAACTCAAGAAAGCCTAGTTATGGTATACTGGAAAAAGAATAGCAGATAACTGTGGAATGCACCATCAGTGATAAATGACTCTTTAAGCAAAAGTGTCAGGCAGTTCAAAAAGCAAAAAGGCAAGCTGTAAACAGCAGTAGGCAGAGGGCAGTCTTAATATGCATGCTGTTGTTTGAGGGGCCTGCAGAGCATCAATCTTTTCAGTTACAATTTGCAGATACATAATACAGAAAACCTCTATGATAAAACCTTCTGGAAAGGAAAATTGACATGTGTACAAACAGAAAGATTTCAATGACACCCCAAAATATACTAATGTGAATGGTGCAGCATTAAGTTCTGTAGGAAAAACAATTGTCCTCAGAAATCATCCATTCATTCATTCATTTAGCAAAGATTTATTGGATATCTACTAAGTACCAGGCACTGATAGGTCCTGGGACCACACAGATAAAGAAAATATGGTCCCTGCACCATAAATCTCAGGTTTTATTAAAACAAGTGCCATCTACATATACTCAAATGCATTCATATGTGCAACAAAAGGTAGCACAAGAATTTCATAAGAAAAGCTGGGAGCTGTGGCCTGTGCCTGTAATCCCATGCTACTTGGGAGGTAGTGTGGGAGAATGCCTGAGCCTGGGAGTTTAAGGCTGCAGTGAGCTATGATGACACCGCTGCACTCAGTCCTGGGCAACAGAGTGAGATCCTGTCTCTAAAAAAGAAATTAAAATTAAATTAAAGTTAAAAAAAAAAAAAGAATTTTGTAACAGCCCTATTTATAATTCCCCAAACAGGAAACAACCGAAATGTCCATCAACAGGAGACTGGATAATGGGAGAGTCATACAATGAAATACTATTTAGCAATGAAAATAAAAGCAATTGCAGCCACATAAATGAATTTTACAATGTTAGTAGATATAAAATTTTACAAAGAAGGTAGATATAAAAATATCATATTGCATTATTCCATTTATATAAGGTTTAAAAGTGGCAAAATGAATTTGATAGAGCACACGATAAGGCTTAGAGTGGAGATGAGGGGGTAGTAACTGGTCAGTGTACAGAGGGCACTGCTGGGCAGTTTTGTTTTCTGACCTGGGTGGTGGATACACAGTTATGATCACTTTGTAAAAATTTATTGATCTACACACATGCATATTCAGCATTTATCTTACATTTCTGTTAAAAAGCACATTGAAAAATAAATGCCAGCTCTTTTAAGCAATATATTTCAATGTATGTTAATTGTTGGGAGTGTTTCAAGAACGAATTTTTGGCCTTTCTGTGACTTGCCTCAATTTTCTTGTGCTTGGACTCTATCCAGAGGAAAGTGGATGCTTGAAGATACAGCATTGGAAATATCATTAAAGATCTTTAATAATTTTCTTCCAATTTTGAAAAAAATCAACCACATTTTGGTCTACTCATCGTTTAACAGCAGCTCTAAAATGTTAAGAATTCTGCTAAGAACTTACCCTAACAGCAAATTCATATACAAAAATTTTGCTAATTTTTCAAAATCAAGTTCAGATCTTAAGTTAAATTGTTATTTGACATTTGCTTTCTACATATTAAAAACCTACCAAGAGGTTTTTGTCAGCGGAGTGAATTCTGAGAGAAATCTAACGTGGGCACAAAGAAGTTACAGCCCCACCAAATACTGTTTTGTTTTTATATTTGAGTGCCTACCTGCCAATTACTGTTTATTAGCTTTTGCTCATGTGGGCAGATGCCCTTGATAAAACCAAAATTTGTTATTGAACAAAGTCAAATTCTCCAGGTAGGTACAATGTTGGAGACAGCCACATAATTCATATCTGCCCAGGGCTAGGACCTTGAGTTGACAAATTTTGCCAACCTTAACTAGTAAAGCTTAGATTTGCTACCAGGCCTTTTCACCTAGAAGTCCATGACCATGTTCTCAGAATGAAATGTACTTTCATGGGCATTCTGGAGGTACAAGAACTACTCTGTTTCATTTGTATTCTAAGCGGCCAGGCTTGAGGACTCATGCAGTCTTTAATTTATAAATAGCATTTTATAAAGCACAGAATTCCAAGAGGTAGAAAATGTTGTGTTACAGAAATGGTGAATAAGTAGAAAGTAAATAGTCCTTCAGCAATAGTGAATTTTGACAGGAAAACAATGCTAGCATAAGCCTATCCTACATAGTGACTGCCTGTGTTCTTTAAGTGCTACTATTGTATTTTGTTTGATTTAAAATAGAATGAAAAATTCTCAGCCTGTAAGTCCCAAGAAGCAGACTGACTGACATCAGTAGCATATGCCCCAGAATGAACCAAAGCAGACATTAAAAATATATTTAATTGTGAAAAATTCCAAACGTACACAAAAGTGGAGAGAATGTGCCAATTACCCAGTTTCAACAAAAATGAACATTCTATCAATCTTGCTTCATCTATCCCTTCCACCTATACCTATTTCCTTCCTTTATTTCTTTTTACTTCCTCCCTCCTTCCTTCTCTTCCCCTTCCTTTTTCTTTTCTTCTTTCTTGCTTCCTTTTCCTGAAAATTTTATTTTTATTTTTATTTATTATTATTATTTTTTTTTTTTGAGATGGAGTCTCGCTCTGTCACCAGGCTGGAGTGCAGTGACACGATGTCGGCTCACTGCAACCTCCGTCTCCAGGGTTCAAGCGATTCTCCTGCCTCAGCCTCCTGAGTAGCTGGGATTACAGGCGCGCGCCACCACGCCCGGCTAATTTTTGTATTTTTAGTAGAGACGGGGTTTCGCCATGTTGGCCACGCTGGTCTCGAACTCCTGACCTCAGGTGATCCACCCGCCTCGGCCTCCCAAAGTGCTGGGATTACAGGCGTGAGCCACAGCGCCCGGCTCCTGAAAATTTTAAAAGAAAGTCTCAGACATCATGTAATTTCCTTTGTAAATACTTTAGTAAACACCTCTAATTTTTTTTTTTTTTTTTAGACAGATGTCTCCCTCTGTCGCCCAGGCTAGAGTGCAATGGCACCATCACAGCTCATACAGCCTTGATCTCCCTGGCTTAAACGACCTTCTGCCTCAGCTTCCCAAGTAGCTGGGACCACAGACACGTGCCGCCACACCCAGCTAATTTTTTTTTTTTAATATTCTTGTAAAGATGGGGTCTCCTTGTGTTGCACAGGCTCATCTGTCACTTTTTTATGCAGAAATTTGTTATAGAAACTGGCTCTGCTGGGCACGGTGGCTCACACCTGTAATCCCAGCACTTTGGGAGGCTGAGGCGGAAGAATCACTAGAGGTCAGGAGTTCGAGACCAGCCTGGCCAACATAGCCAAACTCTGTCTCTACTAAGAATGCAAAAGTAGCTGGGTGTGGTGGTGCGTGACTGTAGTCCCAGCTACTCAGGAGGCTGAGGCAGGAGAATTGCTTAAGCCCAGGAGGCAGGAGTTGTAGCCAGCTAAGATGGCACCACTGCACTCCAGCCTGAGTGACAGAGTGAGACCCTGCCTCAAAAAAGAAAGGAAAAGAAAAGAAGAAAGAAAGAGAGAAAGGGAGAAAGAAAGGGAGAAAGAGAGAGAGAGAGAGAGAGAAAGAGAGGGAGGAAGGGAAGAAGGAAGGGAGGGAGGGAGGGAGGGAGGGAGGGAGGGAGGGAGGGAGGGAGGGAAAAAGAAACTGGCTCATTTTTTCCTGTAAGATGTTTTATTTTGCATAGGGCAGACTGTCTCCTTGTGGTTATTTCACTTGTTCCTCTATCCTCCATAAGCGGTGGTTAAATCTAGACATTGATTAGATTAGATTTGATTCATTCATTTTTTTTTTTTTAACCATCGTGGCCATTTTAGGCCTCAATTTGCTGTCATTTAAAATGCTTTTGGACTTGGCATAATTCCCTGCTGTATATTTTTGTTGTTGTTGTTTTTAGTTATTATTTAATATGGTACTTTATTCTGTTAGTGGCCTTTTGTAACCGCCCGATGGGTTCACCTTGTCCTCTGCCTAGACAGAGCTGATTTATCAAGACAGGGGAATTGCAATAGAGAAAGAGTAATTTGGCCGGTGGGGTGGCTCATGCCTGTAATCCCAGCACTTTGGGAGGCCAACGAGGGCGTATCACCTGAGGTCAGGAGTTTGAGACCAGTCTGGCCAACATGGTGAAACCCCATCTTTACTAAAAATACAAAAAAAAAAAAAAAACAAAATAGATGGGCATGGTGACATGTGCAGTTGTAGCTATTCAGGAGACTGAGGCAGGAGAATCTCTTGAACCTGGGAGGTGGAGGTTACAGTAAGCCAAGATAGCCCCACTGCACTCCAGCCTGGGGGGACAGAGCGAGACTCTGTCTCAATAAATAAATAAATAAATAAATAAATAAATAAATAAATAAATAAAGTAATTCACGCAGAGCTGGCTGTGCAGGAGACCAGAGTTTTATTATTATGCAAGTCAATCTCCCCGAAAACTTGGAGATCAGAGTTTTTAAGGATAATTTGGTGGGGGGCAGGGGGCAGTGAATCAGGAGTGTTGATTGGTTGGCTCAGGGATGAAATCATAGGGAGTTGAAGTTTTTTTCTTATGCTGACTCAGCTTCTGAGGGGAGGCCACAGAACTGGTTGGCAGGTCCAGGTGGGACCATCCAGTTGTTAGAAATGCAAAAACCTGAAAAGACATCTCAAAAGGCAGATCTGAGGTTCACAATAGTGATGTTACCTTTAAGAGAAGTTGGGGAAGTTGTGAATCTTATGACCTCCGGAATAATGGCTGGTAATATTTAGGATTCCAGCCCTTCTCATTCTAACTTGGGTGGCTGGTGGCCTTTCATTCATTTTACAAGAACAGTCTAGCTTTTGGGAAGGGCTCTTGTTATTTAAACTGTAAACTAAATTCCTTCCCAAGGCTAGTTTGGCCTATACCCAGAAATGAACAAGGACAGTTTAGAGGTTAGAAGCAAGATGGAGTTGGTTAGCTCAGGTATCTTTCAGTGTCATAATTTCCTTAGTTATAGTTTTGGAAAGGCGGTTTCACTCTTATTCCGTGAATGGACACTCAGCCTCTTATCAGCAGAGCTGGGAAGAGAACCTAAATCTTTCCAAGTCTTATGCTGTGCCCTATCTATCACAGAATGCTTCTGGAAGGAGAAGAAGAGCTCCCTTTTTGTATTTCTCACATCCACCATAATCTTTTGAAATTAGAACCCTGCAGCAGTCTTGGAAAAAGTACCATTCCACTCTTCCCAGTCAAGGACTCATAAAACCCACCGTAAGGACAATGTTAATATTACTGTTGCAGTTGAAAATTTTCTTTACCATCAGCAATTACTTTTACAGTATTTTGAACAAAATTGAATGCTGGGTCAGAGAAAACAAATTCCTAGGGATTGACGATCATCAATGATAATTCTTTCCATTTCCTAGTGTCTAATTTTTTCAGATCAGCTTGTCATATATTCATTGTGACTATCTTAATTATTGTAAGCCTCACTAGTATTAAAATTCTTTTTTCCCAAGACTGGCAAATAGAATCTAAATCTTTCCAAGTCTTATCCGGGGCCCTTTCCATCACAGAATGCTTCCGGAAGGAGAAGAGCTCCATTTTCCTATTTCTTATATCAATTACTGATCATTGATGATGATTATTGAAAATTGTTAACGTTAGATAATGTAAACCAGAAAGTATCTGAAACAGGACTCAATCAGTATAGAAAGTTATTTTGTCAAGGTTAAGGACACATCTGTGACACAGCCTCACAAGGTCATGAGGACACACATCTGAGGTGGTTGAGGTACAGCTTGCTGTTATACATTTTAAAGAGACATGAGACATCAATCAATATACGTAAGATGTACATTGGTTCCATCCAGTAAGGCGGGACAACTTAGTGGGGTGGTGCTTCCAGATCATAAGTAGGTAAAAGACAAAAGGTTGCATTCTTTTGAGTCCTTGATCAGCCTTCCACTGAATGCACAATTTAGTCTGCCTCGGTGAATCTGCATTTTTACAAAATAGGGCAGAGAAAGCAATCAGATAAGCCTTTGTCTCAGGTGAGCCTTAGAAGGATGACTTTGAGTTCTGCCTGTTTTGTCCACAAGGAATTTCCTTGTGGGCAAATTGTGCGGGAGGTATGTAGCTTTTTATCGTGGTAGCTATCTTATTTAGGAATAAAATGGGAAGCAGGTTTGCCTGACATAGTTCGCAGCCTGACTTTTCCTTTGGCCTAGTGATTTTGGGGTCCTGAAATTTATTTTCCTTTCACAATAATAAGTAATAGGGTTTGCTATAATAATCCCTCTTTTAAAATGAAATAAGATAGGCTGGTCGCGGTGGCTCATGCCTGTAATCCCAGCACTTTGGGAGGCCAAGGAGGGTGGATCACAAGGTCAGGAGATCGAGACCATCCTGGCTAACACGATGAAACCCCGTCTCTACTAAAAATACAAAAAATTAGCTGGGTGTGGTGGCAGGCGCCTGTGGTCCCAGCTGCTTAGGAGGCTGAGGCAGGAGAATCATTTGAACCCGGGAGGCGGAGGTTCCAGTGAGCTGAGATCAGGCCACTGCACTCCAGCCTGGGCGACAGAGTGAGACTCCGTCTCAAAAAAATAAATAAAATAAAATAAAATAAAATAAAATAAAATAAAATAATAAAATTGAAAATTATTATTTTCTTCTCTCATCATGCCTAAAATCAGGTGTCCAAAAGATAACAAAATCTTAAGTCAGGTTGTCATATTGACACAGAGGGTTTGGAAGCTGTCTTTTGACTCAAACAAGCTTAGGCCTCTTCTGTTGCAGAAACACCACTGTATTCATTGCTATTTATTACAACTGAACTCTGTTACTGTGATTTTAGCCTTGTCTCCACGGGAACCCATTTATTTATTTATTTTGTAAATATCTGTATTCTGTTGAAGGAAGCCCATTTATTAGCAAAAGCTGTTACACACTTTATTTTCAAAAATACCCAGTGTTTTGAAAAGACTCCCAAGTTGTGTTTTCCTCTACTCTCATACCACCACCACAACAATCATCAACACAGAAGACTTCGGTGACCAAACGTGGGGATTTTTCCCCACATGCCAAGCAGTGAACACCAGCTGGGTGTCCTCCAATTAAATTCCACACTGTCGCCGGGCGTGGTGGCTCATGCCTGTAATCCCAGCACTTTGGGAGGCCGAGGTTGGCGGATCACCTGAGGTCAGGAGTTCGAGACCAGCCTGACCAACATGGAGAAACCCCGTCTCTACTAAAAATACAAAAAAAAATTAGCCAGGCATGATGGCGCATGCCTGTAATCACAGCCACTCGGGAGGCTGAAGCAGGAGAATTGCTTGAACCTGGGACGCGGAGGTTGTGGTGAGCCGAGATCGTGCCATTGCACTCCAGCCTGGGCAACAAGAGCAGAACTCCATCTCAAAATAAATAAATAAATAAATAAATAAATTCCACAGTCTACCCAGAGACAGTGTCAGATCCCATAAGGTGAGGTTTTAGTCCCCAAAACTGCCCCTAACCCCAAACACCAGTCGTTAAGTCAGGGCCTCTGGAACTTCTGACCCATTGGCTTCAAATTGGGATTCCCAAAACCCCCTCCTCGGGTTTGATTAATTTGCGGGGGCAGCTCACAAAACTCAGGGAAATTAATTATTCTATTATGTTTACTGGTTTATTATAAAGGATATTACCAAGGATACAGATAAGGAGATGCATAAGGCAAGATATGGGGAAAGAGGCTTCCATGCCCTCCCTGGGCGCAGGACACTCCAGGAAGCTCCATGAGTTCACCTATCTGGAAGCTCCCGAACCCAGTCCTCTTGGGTTTTTATGGAAGTCTAATGATGTCAGCATTTCTTCCCCCAGTGTATAAGGCGGGACGGCTCTAGTGGGGGTCTTAAGACTCACAATCAGAAAGGCGGGAAAGATGAGAGTCCTGCCTTGGGGCAGGTGAAAGGAGAGCAGGAGGTCAGAGGCCTTCCCCTAAGGCCTAACATGCCCAACATGATAACAAAATACTCTAACAGGGGCTATGGGAGTTATGAGCCAGGAGCGGTGGACAAAAAACATTATATAATACCTATTTATGTGTATATACCATTATATATTATATATATGCATATATAACATTGCATATCATATTATTATATAATTATACACAATACCAATTAATTTATATTTTTAGTATTACTAATTAATAATATTTATTATTGATTTATATTATTATCTATTAATATTATTATATAATTATATACTATTAATATATTATATATATATAAAATCTCCTGGCCCCAAGCGATCCTCCCATGTCAGTATTTCAAGTAGCTGGCACTACAGGCTTGAACCACCACACCAGGCTAATTTTGTTTATTTTTTTATAGAGACAAGGTCACACTGTCTTGCCCAGGCTGGTCTCAATACATGTAATATAATATATAATATACATATTATATCCATATATATGCACACATAAAATAACACCACAGCCAGTAGTGAATATGAAGTCAATATTGTTCTAGATCAGGGAGATTATTGCATCCCCCAATTGCTGAGGGAAGATTACAAGGCACTTGTCTGAGACTTGCATGGTTCTACTGAAGTGAAGCAGTAGAACTCATCAGGCACATTTTTTCAAATGAAAAGAAATGTGGCATTATGCATGCAATTATGGACCTTTAAAGATAAATAAGCCTTAGAGAAGCATCAGAGCTTCTCAACTGAAATTAAAGATCCTTAAGATAGATATGGAAAGAAATTCTCCAATGCCATCCCCTTAAGCGTAGCTGAATTTCAGTGAAGAGTAATTCAAGAAGTAAAAAACTAAGTATGGGTTATCAAATGTTTCTTATCCAAAGACTTTTCTTGGATTTTGGGATTTTCTTCTACTTCTTTTTTTGTTTTTGTTTTTAACTCTTATTTTATATGGTATTTTATTCTCTTCAAAAGTGATCTCTTCAAAATCATGTAGCTTTATCCTGGGTGGGTTTGGGGCAAATCTCAGCTTCTCTTGAATCTCCTCAGGCCTTTTAAATCAGGTTCAGCATCTGTATTTTTAATATTAAATTGCATACATTAAATTCCATTATAACTAGTATATTGGCATTTTTTACTTGTTTTATTTCAATACTATTATGCTATAGTGAATGTTGAGCTAGAAGTCAGTCTCATTTTAAAAGGAGTAAATAAAACATTGATAACTTAGATGTAAGCTTCTTACTGTGTTTGAGTTTTGAAGTGAAGAAAAAGTGAGCAAGTTAAAGGAAAATGGCTACTTGCATATTAGATGAAAAATTACAAAGTGCTAAAACAGCTCATCTCTCCTCTCTGTCTTCTCCCATACAGTATTAATGGCATCTGATCACGAACTTGTGCTAGTAAAAAGTCTGTCTTTCCTGAGTAGAGACCATAGTAAATAAGCATTGTCTAGGATTAGTGATTCTGACCAGTGCAGCAAACACTTGGATCTGTTGAAAGATGGAAATTGTTTGAAAGATTCTCCCCAGGGCCTGAAAGCTTGAAGGCATGAGTAACTCCTCCCTTCTTAGGCCCAGTTCCAAGGCGCAAGGCTATTTGTGCCAGCAGCCTGCGCCAGCAAGATAGCAGAAGCAGGAAGAGAGCCGGTTAGAAGACATGTACCCTGCTGCAAGACACCTATCCCTGAAGATCGAGAGAGTCCATCCCGGTACCACAAGGCAGTTACGACAGACTGGGACACTTCCTGTTTACAGGAAGCTATAAAACCCCTCCCCCGTCCTCATTTGGGGCTGACGCCATTTTAGGCCTCAGCCTACCTGCACCCAGGCGCTCATTAAAACAGCATGTTGCTTCACTCTGCCTGGTGTTGTCTGTCGGTGCACTTTCGGGGTTCGAACCGATATAAGAACCTTACAAATAGAACTTTTTTTTTTTGAGACAGGGTCTCAACTCTGTCACCCAGCCTGGAGTGCAGTGGCAAGACCATAGCTTATTGCAACTTCAACCGGCTGGTCTGAAGCAGTCCTCCCATCTCAGTCTCTCAAGTAGCTGGCACTACAGGTGCATACCACCAGGCCAGGCTAATTTTACTTATTTATTGTAGACATGAAGTCTCACTGACTTGCACAGGCTGGTCTCGAATACCTGGACTCAAATGATCCTCCTACCTCAGCCTCCCAAAACGCTGGGATTACAGGGGTGAGCCACAGCGCCTGGCCTAAATTCTTCCTGTATTTGCTTGGTGAAAGAACTAAACTTTCCCAGCATTTTTACTTAAATGAACAGAAGTTTGCTAGAATTGGATGTTCAGGAATTTGTTTTGTATTTAGACAAGAGTTTATGACACTGGCTTACCTCAAAAATATATTTTATGGTATTAAAACATATTAAGATTTAGAAGCATTTTAACAAATTCTTACAACTACTGATCAGAAATTATCATGACAGTTAATATTTATGCTTCCCTCTGTTTTCAGTTTCATCCAATGCTTCTAATTTAACTACTGCATGGCATGTTTCAGAAAAAATTGAACAAATAAAAAATTTGTATTCCATTGGCTTAGATTTAAATTTTATATCTATTTTATCTTCATACATGTTATGATTTTCAATACACAGTAGCAGAAAACTCAGGTTGATTTTTCCTGCGCAAAACGAAAAATTGAAGATTGCACAAATCAGTTTTCCTGAAGTGTAAGTAACTGCAATCTTAAAGCAGTTGAATGCTCTGCTATAGAAAACTAGCATGTGTATGTGTATACACACATATATATGTATATAAATCTATATATTGAAATATTTGCCTTAGTAAAATCATTGGGATCTCTAAGAATGGTATCGAATGGAAAGTCTGGGAATTCTTATCAGGAATCCTCATAAACTCAAGCCCTGGTGAATAAAAATAATAGAATGAAGGCCAGGAGTGGTGCCTTACACCTGAAATCCCAGCACTTTGGGCGGCCAAGGCGGGCAGATCGATTGAGCCCAGGAGTTCAAGACCAGCCTGGGCAACATTGCAAAATCCTGTCTCTACAAAAAATACAAAAACTAGCTGGGTCTGGTGGTGTGGGCCTTTTGTCCCAGTTACTTGGGAGGCTGAGGTGGGAAGACTGCTTGAGCCGGGGAAGTCAAGGCTACAGTGAGCCGTGTTCGTGCCACTGCATTATAGCCTGGATGAAAGAGCAAGACTTTGTCTCCAAAATTTAAAAAAGAAACCAAAAAAATAATAAAAAAGTATAGAGAATTGTTTCCTAATATCATCAAAGAACAGAGGCTAGGAAGGGAAAATAGCAAGGCAATTTTATATATATATTATATATGTATTTCAAGAAGCAATAGATATTTTAAGGATTAACTAAAATCTTTATAGTCTTCGCAAGGTATATTTTATTATTTCTTTATTTTGCACTAAAACTCTTAAAAGTATAGAAGACGAATTGCAGAAAAGGAATCCAGCAAAATGGAAATATTTATGTCCTACCCTAAAGGAGGAACTATAAGTGGTAGAGCAGGTGGTAACAGCTGTAGAAAAGAGGCCCTCTAGACAAATCCTAAGGGGTTTTGGAAGGAAGAAAGAGATGTTGGCCTGAGACCTGAGATGAAAAAACTAATGAAGCTGGTATGGAGCTTTAACTAGCCTGAGGCCTAATTGCTTCCTCAATAGGTGATGGATTTAGGGCAGCAGTCCTCAGCACTGGCTGCACATCACAATAACCTATGAAGCTTTTGCAAAGTTTCCATGCTAGGGCGAAACTCTCTTGAGAGTAAGGTATAACCGGATCGAGGTGGGATGAGGGCCTGGGCCTGAGCATTTTAAAACATTGCCAGGAATTTCTGTGCTTTCAGGATTTAGAACCACTGAGGTAAGGTTTTTCTCACTTGATATGTTTATTTTTGCAAGTTCAGCATCTGAAGATGTTTCTTTTGAATTTATTATGTGCAATTACTATATCCTGCTGTTAGGTGAGTAATGATCCCATTAGTTCTTTGGGCCACGGTCTAGCCAGGCTTAAAGTATGAGAAACAGAGAAAAACAGTAGCACACTCAAATTTTTTAAGAAAAAAGTAAAATAAAATATACTTTATTAAAACAGTTCAATACATGTAGGATTACAACCCTCCAAACTAATGTTTAAACTGAGCTTGAAAATCAGTCTGATACCTTCCTCACTAATCTGTAGTTGTTAGCAATCAATGTTTATTCTCAACTTGGTTATTCATAACCATTCTTCTTTAAAATGTTTCCTTCATTCTCTAAATCCTTATCTTGGAGATAGGCCTCTTATATTGAACACTAGTATAGTCTTACATGACTGTTTCTGTCCAAAAGACATTTCTATGTTCTGGAAAGAAAGTGAAATGCTTGTTCATTGTATTGTATCTCTTTAATTTCATTTTTTATGTCTTGTGTGGGCCAAAATGTAACATGCTTTTTCCACATTAGTAGTCATAAAACAGGCAGGACACGGTGGCTCACACCTGTAATCCCAACACTTTGGGAGGCTGAGGCAGGTGGATCACTTGAGCTCAGGAGTTGAGACCAGCCTGGGCAACATGGTGAAACCCCATCTCTACTAAAAATACAAAAACTAGCCAGGCATGGTTGTGGATGTCTGTGGTCCCAGCTACTTGGGGAGCTGAGGCAGCAGGATTGCTTAAGCCTGGTAATTTGAGGCTGCAGTGAGCCATGTTCTTGCCACTGTTCCAGCCTGGGTGACAAAGCAAGACCCTGTCTCAAAAATTTTTTAAAAAGACATAAAACAAACTTATTTCTGATATATGTGTCATGCAAAAGAATGTATTTATTTTCTATAAAAACATTACACTTTAGAATAATATTTAATAAAAGAAATAATAGAAAATTACCATTTTGCAATCATCATACAAATAATTAATTCAAGCAGCAGTCATCAATGGATGCTAAGATGCTTGAGTTCAAGTTTCACAGCATATTTATCTAGTCTTAAAGTACTTCCCACAAACTAGAATAACAAAGATGAAAGTGGTAACTTTATAGTGGAGAAACCTGGCAGACACTACTTCAACCAAGAAAGGACATTCCAAGGGCACATGTCGTCAGGACCTCCTGAAGCTGTGTCATCGGCAAAAAATAATTCAAAAAAAGAAAAGAAAAAAATAAGGACATACCGGTAATTATGTGCCTCCTGATGTGAAGCACCGAGAAGGATACATTATCACCTAATATGGTGTTCCCACCAAAAATGCCTAGCCTGAAACTGATCGTAAAAAAATAATCCAACCAGCCTGGACACAGTGGCTTATGCCTGTAATCCCAGCACTTTGGGAGGCCTAGGTGGGAGAATCACTTGAGGCCAGCCTGGGCAATATGTTGAAACCCTGTCTCTTCAAAAATAGGAAAAAATTAACTGAGTGTGGTGGCACACACCTGTAGTCCCAGCTACTCAGGAGGGTGAAGTGGGAGGATTACTTGATCCCAGAAAATTGAGGCTGCAGTGAGCTGCGGTGGTACCACTGCATTCTAGCCTGGGCTGCAGAGTGAGACCAGGTGTCTTAAAAAAAAAAAAAAAAGTCCGGTCACAGTGGCTCTCGCCTGTAATCCCAGCACTTTGGGAAGCCGAGGCGGGCAGATTACTTGAAACTAGGAGTTTGAGACCAGCCTGGCCAACAGAGAAACCCCGTCTCTACTAAAAATACAAAAATAAGCTGGGTATGGTGGCATGCGCCTGCAGTCCCAGCCAATCAGGAGGCTGAGGCAGGAGAATCATTTGAACCTGGGAAGTGGCGGTTGCAGTGAGCCGAGCTTGCGCCACTGCACTCCAGCCTGGGAGACAGAGCCGAGACTCCCCCTCAGGAAAAAAAAAAAAAATTGAAGAACTGTGCCATATCAAAGTAGATTAAAAAGCATGACAATTAGATGCGATGCATGATCCTGAATCAGATTCTGGATGGAAAAGGTAATTATTTTTTCACAAACGATATTAAAGGAACAACTGGAGAAATTTGTATATGCATTGTCCAGTACCACATCATTGTTAAATTTTCAGAATATGATCATTGTGAGAGGTGAAGCCGGCTGGGCTTCTGGGTCCGGTGGGGACTTGGAGAACTTTTCTGTCTAGCTAAAGGATTGTAAATGCACCAATCAGCACTCTGTGTCTAGCTAAAGGTTTGTAAATGCACCAGTGAGCACTCTGTAAAAACAGACCAATCAGCGCTCTGTAAAACAGACCAATCAGCACCCTGTAAAACGGACCAATCAGTGTTCTATAAAATGGACCAATCAGCAGGATGTGGGTGGGGCCAAATAAGGGAATAAAAGCTGGCCGCCTGACCCAGCACCAGCAACCTGCTGCGGTCCCTTTGTGTGCTTTGTTATTTCACTCCTGGCAGTAAGTCTTGCTGCTGTTTACTCTTTGGGTCTGCACCATCTTTATGAGCTGTGACGCGCAGTGGGAAGGTCTGCAGCTTCCCTCCTGAAGTCAGCGAGACCACCAATGCACGGGGAGGGATGAACAACTCTGGACCTGCCACTTTTGAGAGCTGTAACACTCACAGCAAAGGTTTTTGGCTTCACTTCTGAAGTCAGTGAGACCATGAACCCACCAGAAGGAAGAAACTCAGAACACATCTGAACATCTGAAGGAACAAACTCTGGACGCACAATTTTTAAGAACTGTAACACTCAGCGCGAGGGTCCGCGGCTTCATTCTTGAAGTCAGTGAGACCCAGAACCCACGGGCAGGAACCAATTCCAGACACAACTGTGCTCTAGATATGTAATGCAAAGTCATGGTTTTTGTGAGACACATGCTAAAATTATTTAGGGGTAAAGAACCGTGATGTCTGCAGGTTACTTTCTAATCATTAATATTTCATCAAAGTAATAAAATAATTATATACAGAAAGAAAAAAATGACAATTTGTTAACAACTGATGAACCTAGATGACAGATATAAGGGAACTCATTGTACTATATCTGTAAGTCTTCGATTTTTTTAAAAGTAAAAATTTGAAAAATTCACATATATAGGCTGGGTGTGGTGACTCACACGTGTAATTCCAGAGCTTTGGGAGACCGAGGTGGGTGGATTACTTAAACTGAAGCATTTGAGGCCAGTCTGGGCAACATAGTGGGACCCCGTCTCCACAAAAAATACGAAAATTAGCCAGGCATGGTGGTGTCCGCCTGTAGTCCCAGGTACTCGGAGACTGAGGTAGGAGGATCACTTGAGCCTGGGAGGTCCAGGATGGTCCGGCCATGACCACCCCACTGCACTCCAACCTATGTGACAGAGTAACACTCTGTCTGAAAAACAAGCAAACAAAAAAAACGAAATCCAACAAACTCAGAGTACTCAATAGCATTGTTAAGAGACAAACATTGTTTGCGAATGTCCCTAGTATGTTTTCTTTTTTTATTCCACTTCTCCTTTTACCCACTCTTGAACACTTCAACAAAAAAATTTTTTTCTTGAGACGGAGTTTAACTCTTGTTGCCCAGGCTGGAGTGCAATGGCACGATCTCAGCTCACCATAACCTCTGCCTCCCAGATTCAAGAGATTCTGCTGCCTCAGCCTCTCAAGTAGCTGGGATTACAGGTATGCGCCACCAGGCCCAGCTTATTTTGTATTTTTAGTAGAAATGGGGTTTCTCTGTGTTGGTCAGGCTGGTCACGAACTCCCAACCTCAGGTGATCCGCCCACCTCGGCCTCCCAAAGTGCTGGGATTACAGGTGTGAGTCACCATGCCTGACCACTTCAACAATGATTTGTGAAGAGACAGACAGTAAAGCTCTAGGAAAGAATCCTACTTAAATTAAATCATTTTAAAATTGACAAAATCCTTTCATAGTTCAATAACCATTTCCTAATTTATAGGTTTAATAAATTCAGGCTTTTTGATAGTTGGGTTTTCCTGAGGTTTTTTTGTTTGTTTGTTTTTTGAGACAGAGTCTTGCTCTGTCACCCAGGCTGGAGTGCAGTGGCATGATCTTGGCTCACTGCAACCTCCGCCTCCAGGTTAAAGCGATATTCCTGCCTCAGCCTCCTGAATAGCTAGGACTACAGGTGTATGCCACCACACCTGGCTATTTTTTTTTTTTTTTTGTATTTATAGTAGACACAGTGTTTTACCATGTTGGCCAGGCTGGTCTTGATCTCCTGACCTCAAGCAATCTGCCCGCCTTGGCCTCCCAAAGTGCTGGGCTTACAGGCATGCGCCACCACACACAGCCTGAGGGCTTTTTTTTTTTTTTTGGTGATAGAGTCTCACTCTGTCGCCCAGGCTGGAGTGCAGTAGCACAATCTCAGCTCCCTGCACTGCAGCCTCTGCCTCCCTGGTTCAAGTGATTCTCCTGCCTCAGCCTCCCAAGTAGCTGGGACTACAGGCATGTGGCACCACACCTGGCTAATTTTTTACTTTTAGTAGAGATGGGGTTTCACCATGTTGGCCAGGCTGGTCTCAAACTCCTGATCCTCCTGCCTCGGCCTCCCTAAGTGTTGAGATTACAGGCGTGAGCCACTGCACCCGGCTGAGTTTGTTTTATCATAGTAAAATATATATAGCATAAAAGTTACCATTTTAACTATTTTTAATGGCATTGAGTATATTCGCATTGTTGTGCAACCCTCACCATTGTCCATCTCCAGAATTTTGCATCATCCATTACTGAAACTGTACTCACTAAACAATACTTCCCTATTCCTACTGTATATCTTTATATATTTTGCATATTAATCCCTTGTCAGATATGCGATTCACAAATATTTCCTCTCCATTTTATTGTTTGCCTTTTTACTTTGATGCACAAAGTCTTTAATTTTGATGAAATCTGCTTTGTCTTGTGTTCTGTGCTTTTGGTGTCATAGCCAAGAAATCATTTCTGTTTTGATTTTCAAAGTGGTGAATAGCCATAGGTTTTTTTTTTCCCCCTCACATTTAGAAAAGAAATGAGAATTCCAGTTATTTATCATCTGTGGCATGTGCAACTGACACATTTTGGTGGCAGCAGTGTGTAACTTCAAAATGAAAGTACATAAATTTTTTGTAAGTAAATTATCACTGACCCATTTGCTGAAATGTAGTTCCTTTTTTTTTTTTTTTTGAGATGGAGTCTTGCCCTGTTGCCCAGGCTGGAGTGCAGTGGCGCGATACCGGCTCACTGCAACCTCCATCTCCCAGGTTCCAGCGATTCTTCTGCTTCAGCCTCCCGAGTAGCTGGGATTACAGGCGCGTGTCACCATGCCTGGCTAATTTTTTTTTTTTTGTATTTTTAGTAGAGACGGGGATTCTCCATGTTGGCCAGGCTGGTCTGGAACTCCTGACCTCATGATCTGCCCTCCTCGGCCTCCCAAAGTTCTGGGATTACAGACATGAGCCACTGCACCTGGCAAATATAGTTCATTTTAAGTCATCCTTTTCTCAGGGGATTTCCTCATATGCTCCAAAACAAATGCCTCAGTTTGTTCTGTTTTGTTTTGTTTCTGTTCAGGCCTCTTCATTTTGCCTGAGTGTCTTTTGTGAGATATCCACACTGCTAGGCACAGATGTCCTCTACCTGTGCCTGTCTCTGAAGACTGTAACTTGCCCTCTGGCCAGAGGGAGAAGGAGGAAACCTTGCCTCTTCCCCAGCCCCGATCCAGGTGCCTTGAGCTTCCTGGCATAGATGTCTGTTTCAACTTCCTGCCCCAGGGTGGACATGGTGCTCGGTCCAGCAGGTGGCAGGAGGAAGAACCATTGTGAAAGGTGTCAAGACTACCACGATAGGAGAAAGAGATTAGAGTTCAATTCCAAATACAGCAAGGACAGTGGAAATTTATTAATATAACCAAGAAACAGAATGTGAGGTGTGTGCGAGGTCATTGGATGAAAAATTACTTGAGAAGAAACATCAAGGATAGAGGAAGTCTTGTTACACTGACTTAATAGGATTCTTGCTAAAGGTAGACCAAGTAATCAGACATCAAAGGTAGGTGCTTCCCTCTAAACTGATGTAGTAGCATTCTTGCTATTTATTACTGGGCCATGCAAGCCCAGCAAGCATGCGGACCAAGGTCAAGGGCTGGTGAAGAAGAGGGCTCAAACTAACTAGAGTTTAATCAAGGAGCAAATTGTCGTCAGTCTCTCTCTCTCTTTTTTTTTTTTTTTCTGTTCAAAGAGAGAAGAGTCAATACAATACAGTGGACAGTACAGCTTTTTTTTTTTTTTTTTTTTTTTTTTTTTTGTCATCCAGGCTGGAGTAGAGTGGTACGATCATGTCTTATTGCAGCCTCCATCTCCTGGGCCCAAGTGGTCCTCCTACCCCAGCCTCCTGGGTAGCTGGGAGCACAGGTGTGTACTGCTATGCCCTGACTAACTTTTTTATTTTTTGTAGAGCTCAACCAATCCTCCCCCTAGGCCTCCCAAAGTGCTGGGATTACTGGCATGAACCACTGTGCCAGGCCCAATTTGATACTTTTCTTGCAGTTCAACGTATCAAATAAACATAATTAAAAAAAAACTCTCTCTCTTTACAAGGTGAAAGAATAAATTCTTTGAGATTTTCCAGAGGCCCTTTAGGAAAACTCAAATTCCATTCAAAATCAAGATTTCATTTAGAATTTGATTTGGGGAAGACAAAATTGTCAGAAATATCAAAAGGTTTGAGCATTTGAATAGATGAAATCTATGTGTGACACTGTGAAACAATAGCCACCTATTTGACCAGAGTGACAGCAAAAGAATTCAAAAGTAGGCCAGGCGTAGTGGCTCACACCTGTGATCCCAGCACTTCAGGAGGCCAAGGTGGGAGGATACACGAGGTCAGGAGTTCAAGAGCAGCCTGGCCAATATGGTGAAAACCCATCTCTACTAAAAATACAAAAGTTAGCAGGGCATGGTGGCGCATGCCTGTAGTCTCAGCTACTCAGAAGCCTGAGGCAGGAGAATCACTTGAGGCAGGAGAATCACTTGAACCTGGGAGGCAGAGGTTGCAGTGAGCCGAGATTGCACCATAGCACTCCAGCCTGGGCTACAGAGTGAGACTCTGTCTCATAAAAAAAAGAATTCAAAAGTAAGTATGGAAGATAAAACAGCCGGGCGTGGTGGCTTACACCTGTAATCCCAGCACTTTGGGAGGCAGAGGCGGGCAGATCATGAGGTCAGGAGATCAACACCATCCTGGCTCACACGGTGAAACCCCGTCGCTACTAAAAATACAAAAAAATTAGCTGGGCCTGGTGGTGGGCGCCTGTAGTCCCAGCTACTTGGGAGGCTGAGGCAGGAGAATGGCGTGAACCCGGGAGCCGGAGCTTGCAGTGAGCCGAGATCGCACCACTGCACTCCAGCCTGGGCGACAGAGCAAGACTCCATCTCAAAGAAAAAAAAAAAAAAAAAAAAGGAAGATAAAACAACTGTAAAGGAAACATAGCTTTTTTTTTTTTGATACGGGGTCTTACTCTGTTGCCCAGGCTGGAGTGCAGTGGCATGATCTCGGCTCACTGCAACCTCTGCCTCCTGGGTTCAGGAGATTCTTTTGCCTGAATAGCTGGGATTACAGGTGCCCGCCACCATGCCCAGCTAATTTTTTGTATTTTTAGTAGAGATGGGGTTTCATTATGTTGGCCAGGCTGGTCTCAAACTCCTGGCCTCAGGTGATCTGCCCACCTCGGCCTCCCAAAGTGCAGGGATTACAGGTGTGAGCCACGGCACCCGTCTCATAGCTCTTTTAAAAAGTGAAAAGTGTTGTCTTCAATAATGAAGGACATAATCAAGGTTAACACAAAGCATAGAAAATTACTCTGATAAGACACAAAATCTTGGTTTCCTGGGCAGATCACTCAAAAGAGAAGGATAACCTCTTTCTCTTACAACCTCTTATTAAGAGCAGACCAATAATCCAAGGAAACTTTGTCATTTTTAATATAGAGAAAGCTAAATTGTAGTTTCACACCAGTGTACTTTTGGTGTACAATTTTACTCTTTCTAGTGTACTTTTTTTATTTTTTAAAGCCCTTATAAATAAACCTATCCAATCTTAGTCAGCTTTGACCACGAGATAAAATTCCTTTTCCAAGATTCCTTTTCCACAAGCACTCTACAACTTTTTATATCCATTCAGTTTTTGTCTTCTACTTTTTATCTTTCTCATTCTGGAACAACCAGTCATTTTAATCTAGGATAAAATTACTCTCTTTTTCTCTTAACAGAAACACATCCTACATTGCTTGCATACTTTTTATGCAAAGTTGCTTCTCCTCACCCTTACAATTTCTAGTAGTTTTATTTACATATATTGATTATTATTTTTAACCATTAGTAACCTTTTTTTTTTTAACAGAGAATACTAGGAAGTAGACAATTGTGGATTGTCTGTCACATACCAGCCGTCTGTGGCAGACTAGCGTATTTTATGAATATATATCATCCGACAACTTTTATAGGTATATGCTTCTTCATAGTACAATTTTCCAATGTGGCAAAAAGAACATGTTTATTAATAGATCCAAATATATTTAGCTTGGCTGTACCATATAAAAATGAGAAACCAGAAGTATATAAAATTAAACTTATGCTTAATAATGAATGTTTCAGTAGTTTATCTTACTTAGAAATGATCTACATATTTAATGGATATCTATTATTTAACTTAGCATAACTGTAAGGTTCCAAGTTACCAAAAAGATTTTGGAAACTATTTTCAGGCAGACATACCATTAAACATAGCTAGCCATCATCTCACGTTATTTCTCTGTTAAGTACTTTTATAGTCTACGCCTGTTAGGCAAGTATCGCATAAGCAAAAACCTAAAAAGTTTCAATACATTGGTTTTTTTGTTTTACTACTGTGCTTGATATGCATAAAGTAATGAATATCAAGTGACTCATTTTTACTACATCATTACTTGTACATTTGTTCTTAGAGTGAATTTATAATTTTTATAATCTTTGTGTTGTTGTTGTTTTGAGCTAGGGTCTCACTCCATTGCCTGGCTGGAGTGAATGGCGTGATCTCCTCTCACTGCAGCCTCGACCTCCCAGGCTCAGGTGATCCTCCCACCTTGGCCTCTGGGGTAGCTGGGACGACAGCCACAAGCCACCATGCCTGGCTAATTTTTTGTATTTTTTGTAGAGACAGGGTCTTACTATATTGCCCAGGCTGGTGTTGAGCTCCTGGGCTCAGGTAATCTGCCCACCTTGGCCCCCAAAGTCCTGGGATTTACAGGCATGAACCACCGCACCTGGCCAATTTTTATAATCTTAAATATCTAGTAAATATAATATTACCTCACTTGACTAGTAACCCCAAGTAGAATAAAAATGAGCATATCATACTTAATGATGAAAATTATAAGACATACTCATTTTTATTAAGCCAATAATACCAAATTAGTCTTATTTATCAAAGATTTACTCAATACATGTGAACTTGAAAAACATTTGGGTTAGTTCTTATATTTCTAAGAGTTTTAGGAATATTAACTTTACTTAAGCACGTATTTATCTCTAAGTGAATTTAAACAGCATTCTTTTATAGGATTTTAGAAATTAATTTGATGGGGCCAGGCGTGGTGGCTCATGTCTGTAATCCCAACACTTTGGGAGGCCAAGGCAAGTGGATCACTTGAGGCCTGGAGTTTGAGACCAGCCTGGCCAGCATGGTGAAACCCTGTCTCTACTAAAAAATAAGAGAGGCCAGGTGTGGTGGCTCATGCCGGTAATCCCAGCACTCTGGGAGGCTGAGGTGGGAGGATCACCTGAGGTCAGGAGTTCAAGGCTAGCCTGGCCAACATGGTAAAACCCTATCTCTACTAAAAATACAAAAATTAGCCGAGTGTTGTGGTGCACACCTGTAATCCCAGCTACTCAGGAGGCTGAGGCAGGAGAATTGCTCCAACCCAGGAGGCAGAAGTTGCAGTTAGCCAAGATTGCGCCACTGTACTCCAGCCTAGGCAACAGAGTGAGACTACGTCTCAAAAAAAAAAAAAAAAGAGAGACAGACAATAAAAATCTGTCCGTTCGGTTTTTAATTTTTAATTTAATTTAATTTTATTTTATTTTTACAGAGTTTTGCTGTTTTGCCCAGGCTGAAGTGGCACAATCTCAGTTCACTGCAACCTCCACCCCCTGGGTTCAAGTGATTCTTCTGCCTCAGCCTCCCGAGTAGCTGGGCGCCCACCACCATGCCCAGCTAATTTTTGTATTTTCAGTAGAGATGAGGTTTTGCCATGCTGGCCAGGCCAGTCTCAAACTCCTGGCCTCATATGATTCACCCACCTCTGCCCCCCAAAGTGTTAGGATTACAGGCGTGAGCCACCAAGCCCAGCCTGTCCTTACATCTTAAGAATCAAAATCAAAAGTGCTTCAACAGACTGTCATTTGCTGCCCTTCTTCAGGAGCCAGACTCATCAACGTGATCCCTAACCAGTCAGGAGTGAAGGCAAAGTCTTCAAAGGTGAACACTTGAGGTCCTGGGAGAGCAGTTTTGGGAGTCCATTGATGAATCTGATCCTATGTGAGTCACAACACCATAACAGTTCAGGAAAAAATTATTCTGACACTTGTTACAATGATAAGGAAGACTTTATTCAGGACAATTACAATAGGTATCAAGACTCAATAGAGTAGAGAGACAGGGCTCAATTCCAAATACAGCAAGGACAAATGGGGATTTATAACCAACTTTCAGAGTTGTGGAGTCTATGGATGGAAATTATGAAGATGAGACATCAACGGTAGGGAAATTCTTTTTTTTTTTTTTTTTTTCCTTTTTGAGACAAGGTCTTGCTCTGTTACTGTCACTCAGGCTGGAGTGCAGTGGCACAATCATGGCTCACTGCAGCCTTGACCTCCTGGGCTCAAGCAATCCTTTTACCTCAGCCTCCTGAGTAGCTGGGACCACAGGTGTGTACCACCATGCCTAGCTAATTTTTTAATTTTGTTGTTTTTTTAGAGATGAGGTCTTGTTATGTTACCCACACTGGTCTTGAACTCTTGGCCTCAAATGATCTTCCTGCCTGGCACTCCCAAAGTGTTGAGATTACAGACGTGAGCCACCATGCCCAGCCTACAGTAGGGAGATTATTGTTAAACCAACTTAAACAGGGCTCTTGTTAAAGCAGGCCAGGGTGATCAGGTATTAAGGATGAGGGATTCTCTCTATACTGACTTAATAGAATTCCTGATACAACTGAACTATGCAGGCCTGGCAAGGATGGGAGCCAACATTGAGGCTAATTGAAAGGAGAGGAGAATTCAGAGGATTTTTGTTTTTTTTTTTTTGAGATGGGGTCTCACTATGTCACCCAGGCTGGAATACAGTGGGTGAGATCTCAGTTCACTGCAACCTTCGCCTCCTGGGTTTAAGTGATTCTCCTACCTCAGCCACCCTTGTAGCTGGGATTACAGGTGTGTGCCACCACAGCCGGCTAATTTTTTTTTTATTTTTTTGTATTTTTAGTAGAGACAGGTTTTCACCACGTTGGGCACACTGGTCTCTAACTCCTGGCCTCAAGTGATCTGCCCACCTCAGCCTCCCAAAGTGCTGGGTTTACAGGCATGAGCCACCATGCCTGGCCCATTCAGAGGATCTTGACTAAAATTTGATCAAGGAGAGTCTTTGCCAGTCCCTACAAGGGGGATCCGTATTTTCATTTTGCACTAGGCCCCACAAATTGTGTAGCTAGCCAGTCCTGTACATAGCCCAGGTAGCATGAATACGTACGCTATTTGTTTCCTTGGGATTCTATTTCCTCAGGCATTAGCTGGCGAAAAGTTTAGCCTGAACATTCTTTTTGCCACAATCTGGTCTCCAGATCTCCTAGTGAACACATGCTTGGACAAAGCCAAGCACTTATCTCCCAAGAATGAAATAATTTTTAGCTATGGATTAGTTGCAATTCAGTTTATGCAGGAAAATATTTTCTATCTCTAGAGTGGCACGGTTCAGTTGATAAGGTGCTAATTTAAATGACTAAGCAGAATGTTAACATCTCAGTTCAAAGGATCTGAGTTTGTGTAACTTGCTGATTCATGGCTTCTTTTGAAGAATTGGGAATTAACTGGCCTTAGGTTTATATTACTAAAAAGTTCACCAAAGTGTGGCTGGGCATGGTGGCTCACACCTGTAATCCCAGCTACTCAGGAGGCTGAGGCAGGAGAATCACTTGATCCCGGGAAGCAGAGGTTGCAGTGAGCTGAGACTGTGCCACTGCACTCCAGCCTGGGTGCCAGAGCAAAACTCTGTCTCAAAAAAAAAAAAAAGTTTACCAAAGTGAACAGAAATGAGGAGTTGACCTAAGGACAAATTTCAGTTCTTTACCCCCACCCAGAATGCAGAAGCAATCCCCCAAATTGCAGTTTTCCAGCTTCAAATACTCGAAGATCCAGCCTCCATCAGCCCTTGATAGCAAAGCTTTTGCTGCTGTAATTGTTATACTAAGATTCTTTGATTTTATTTTCGCCAAGCTTTATAGTATGCACTTTTCCTTTGAGTCGCACTTTTCCTTTGGGTCACACTTTTCGGCCTTTGGAACTTGCCCTATGCTATGGTTTGAATGTGTCCCCCAAAGTTCATGTGTCGGGAAATTAATCCCCAGTGCAACAGTGTTGGGAGGTGGGGCCTAATAAGTGGTGATTATGATATGAGGGCTCTGTCCACATGAAGGGGGTTGGTTAGTTATTGTGAGAATGGGCTTCTTATAAAGTGAGTTTGGCCCCTCCTGCTCTCTCACACATGCTCTCTTGCCCTTCCGCCATGGGATAACATAGTAAGAGGGTCCTTGCCAGATGGAGGCCCTTGACCTAGGACTTCTTGGCCCTCAGAACTGTAAGAAATAACTTAAAAATAGTAATAACAAATTGCCCAGTCTGTGGTATTCTGTTATAGCAGTGGCTCATACCTGTAATCCCAGCACTCTGGGAGGCCAAGGCGGGTGGGTCACTTAAGGTCAAGAATTCGAGACCAGCCTGGCCAACATGGTGAAACCCCATCTCTACTAAAAATACGAAAATTAGCCAGGCATGGTGGCACACACCTGTAACCCCAGCTACTCGAGAGGCTGAGGCAGGAGAATTGCTTGAACCCAGGAACCCAGGAGGCAGAGATTGCAGTGGGCTGAGATCACACCATTGCACTCCAACCTGGGCAATAGAGCGAGACTCCATCTCCAAAAAAAAAAAAAAAAAAAAAAAGGCAGGGTGCGGTGGCTCATGTCTGTAATCCCAGCACTTTGGGAGGCCGAGGTGGGCGGATCACAAGGTCAGGAGTTCAAGACCAGCCTGACCAACATGGTGAAACCTTGTCTCTACTAAAAATACAAAAATTAGCTGGGCGTGGTGGTGTGCACCTGTAGTCCCAGCTACTCACGAGGCTGAGGCAGAAGAATCACTTGAATCTTGCGGGGCAGAAGTTGCAGTGAGTCGAGATTGCACCACTGCACTCCAGCCTGGGAGACAGAGCAAAACTCTGTTTAAAAAAAAAAAAAAAAAAAAAAATGGAATAAAGGACAGGTCTAGTTTTGTTTAAACAGGCCCCAGGAATAAAGACCTGTTTTTAACTGTAGGCTGCTTTTAAATTAAGTTCAGTTTTGAGAATTGAATTCATTCAGATTAACCGTAGAGACCTCAAGGTTACTAGATTCCTAAAAGCTACTCACCTCCAGAAGACCCAAATCGGGTAAGCCTGGAAGTTGACAAAGCAACAAAAGTGGATCCTGACTCTAGAAATCCAAAGCAGCTCTTGACCCTCTAGACAACTTCAGTTTCCTCCAGGACTCACATGGAAGCAAGCCAAGTAGTTATTACATATCTAATTCAGTGTTTGAGTGAAATATGAGAGTGTTGTATTGGGTTAAAGGGCATAGGAAATCCTTTTCGTCACATCACGATGGCTCTTCATTTTATATTCTTTGAATAAGGAAGATTCCAGAAGTTACCTTCTCAACACAAATCACAATGGCTTCCACGATGGGCAGTGATGCTTGAGAAATGTCATGTTGCTTAACACTCAGACTTTTTGAACTATGCATCAATGTATTTGTGTAAAATACGACTGTAAGGGCCCTTCATGCAAAGATGTCTGCAAACATTTTCATTTTCTTGTAAATAATTACTGGAAAGGGAAAAAAGCAATTAGAAAGAAGGACTTCAGCATCCTAAGTTCTTGTGCCCCGTCCAAATCTGCTTTCTAAAGTCTCTATGGGAAAACCAGAAATATCATTTTAATGGCCTGGGGGGGTTCTTGCATTATAAGTATACAGAGCAGTATGTTGAGAAAGCTGAGTGCTCTGAATCACCCAATGTACTTTATACATTTATTTAGAGAAGAATAGTTTAGTTTTAATTATTTATGATAATAGCTCTCAGTGCACTAGTAAATGTCCTTTGGTGCATATTTTGTAAAAGTAATGAAGTCTTTGTAATGTGAGCTTTCTCTTCAGCTATAAGCTGCCCTCTTTTTTTGCTGAAGAACCAGGGCAGCAGAATGTGTTTGTGTTTGTGTATAAGTGTGTGTATAAATTACCAGGCTTGAGGTTTAGCAAAATGCTATTGAACGTAATTGAGGATTTCTAAGAATTATTCCTGGATGTACTCACTGTCCCATCTCCCAATCATCCTCTCTTACAGCCATAGCCTTAGCAACTTGGCCAGAGAAGGAATCACCATGAGGGAGATGAGCAGCCTGTCTGAATATTTGTTTTTGTTTTCTTTCAGTGTTTTTCTTATTGTTCTTCCTCTGTGGCAATAATCTATGATATTGTAATAAAACACATAGCTAGAAAGAATATAAATCTATTGTATTTCCCTCTGGCCTAAGTTATATATACTATAGCTTATGGATAAGTCTTATTATGTCAAGGAATCTTCTCTTTTTTTCTTTTCTTTTTTTTTTTTTTTTGAGACAGAGTCTTGCTTTGTCCCCAGGCTGGCGTGCAGTGGTGTGATCTCGGCTCACAGCAACCTCTGCCTCCTGGGTTCAAGCTATTCTCCTGTCTCAGCCTCCTGCATAGCTGGGATTACAGGCACGCACCACCATGACTGGCTAATTTTTGTATTTTTAGTAGAGATGGGGTTTCACCATGTTGGCAAGGATGGTCTCGATCTCTTGACCTCATGATCCGCCCACCTCAGCCTCCCAAACTGCTGGGATTACAGGCGTGAAGCACCGCGCCCAGCGTAATTGCCTTATTTTCAAATGAGATCCTAAACTAATCATAGTCATTCAGACAGAATAATAGTTCTGGCAATGTCAAAATTATCCACCTACAGATTAGACATGGCTTCTGTGTGAGTGAAACATACTGACCAGCTTTGCTTCTTGTCTCTAGAAAAAAGAAATAAAGAGCCTTTCAGACATTAGATTTGAAGTAAATGGGCCACCCATGAATTAAAACCAATGGAAGAAATCAGATAATCTGGATGGAAATCTGGGGGCTGATTCTTGTGGGACAAATGCAGTGCCTGGTTCCTGAAGCAACAATGCCAGAAGGGACATGTGGGGAACATGTCAGACTGAAGGCACCCTGCTCCATGTGGATGGGCACAAAATCGGCGGCAACTTCTAAAATGCGTGGCAATGCCACCTGCCCATCAAGGTTAGAATGTCAGTTCACAGATGCAACAGAAAAGACAAGATTGATCATGAAAATTGCTTTAACACTTCTTTTCTTTTTCTTTCTTTCTTTTCTTTTTTTGAGACAGAGTCTCACTCTGTCGCCCAGGCGGGAGTGCAGCGGCACAATCTCGGCTCACTGCAACCTCTGCCTCCCAGGTTCAAGCTAATTCTCCTGCCTCAGCCTCCTGAGTAGCTGGGATTACAGGCACATCCCACCATGCCCAGCTAATTTTTGTATTTTTAGTAGAGATGGGATTTCACGCCGGGCGCGGTGGCTTACGCCTGTGATCCCAGCTCTCAGGGAGGCAAGAGGCAGGAGGATAGCTTGAGCCCAGGAGTTCGAGACCTGCCTGGGCAATATAGTGAGACCCCATTCTCCAGAAAAAGGAAAAAAAAAAAAAAAAAAAAGAAAAAAAGAGATGGGATTTCACCACTTTGGCCAGGCTGGTCTCGAACTCCTAACCTCAGGTGATTCTCATGCCTTGGCCTCCCAAAGTGCTGGGATTATAGGTGTGAGCCATTGCACCCAGCTTTAACATTTCTATCTACAAAGTTTTCTTGTTAAATGGAAGAGGACTATTGCAGTCATCTATTGCCATGTAACAGATATCCCAAAACTTAATGGCTTAAACCATACCATTTTATTTATTTGCTTACAATTCATGTTAAGATTCATTAGTTCATCATGAGATCCCTCCACCAAGAAAAAAACAAACTGTATTGATCACCTTTGGAGGATCCTAGGGAAACAACTGGCTAATTTAAAATCTGCTTAGATGCTTTTGTAGTTCATAGGCGTGGTAATTGGGTGTTCACGTGCATGTGTGAGATGTGTCACGCTCCAGCCTTGTTACAACATCAGCATGTTATCCATCTAACATGAAAACAATAAAATAAAACAAAATAAAATTGGGTTAATAGAGAGAATTAAGAATTTATCTTGTCTTTACATATACTCTACCTGCCAGCATTGAAGAAACATTTGTCGACAAAAGTATTTCAGATAAAAAAGAAGCAATTTTTAAAATCACCATTTGTAACCCCTAATTAGCTGCTGACCCTAGGCAATGACTATCAATGTCTGATAATGTCATAAGAAGAGACTTTTGAACATTGTATGTGCCTCCTGATAGGTGTGTGCAACATCACCCATTAAGTTGTGTTGCCAACAATAACAACCAAGTGTTGAATCTGATCAGGCCTTTAGTTCTAACTACCATTTCACAGGAAATAACAAGGAACACTGTAACACATTTTCTTAAAAAAACAGTATAAGGATGGAATCAGCAAAATCTAGACTATGGGAAACTCAGTAGGTCAAAAAACCAAGTTTCTTCAATAAAAAAATTTAAAAATAAAACAGAGAGTGATGGGGTGGATGGTAAATGGGTGCAGATGTGGGGAGAAAGTTAAAATACTTAGCAATCAGTTGCAATGCATGGGCCTTATTTGGATCCAAACAAAAACTGTAAAAGAAGAAGAAAGCCAGGCACAGTGGATCACACCTGTAATCCCAGAACTTTAAAAGGCCAAGTGGATCACTTGAGCTCAGGAGTTCAAGACCAGCCTAGGCACCATGGTAAAACCCTGTCTGTACAAAAAGTACAAAAATTAGCCAGGCATGGTGGTGCATACCTGTAGTCCCGGCTACTCAGGGAGCTGAAGTGGGAGAGTCTCTTCAGCCCGGGAGGTGGAGGATGCATTGAGCCATGATCATGCCACTGCACTCTAGCCTGGGTAACAGAGCAAGACCCTGTCTCAAGAAAGGAAAAAAAAAAGAAGAAAAAGAAAAATATAATAAGAAGTCATTTGGGGAAGTGTGAACAATGACCAGATATTTGATGATATTAAGGAATTATTGTTAATTTTTTTAGATGTGATGGTAACATTATAATTTTGCTTAAAAAAAAAAGAGTTTTTGTTTGGGTGCAGTGGCTCGCATCTGTAATTCCAGCACTTTGGGAGGCTGAGGCAGGAGGACTGTTTGAGCCCAGGAGTTCAAGGTTATAGTGAGTTATGATCCTGCCACTGCACTCCAGCCTGGGTGACACAGGAAAGCCCTGTCTCAAAAAATAGTTCTTATCTTTTAGACATAATACTAAAATATATACAAGGAAATGATGTATTATCTAGAATTTTTTCTAAATAATCAGGGGTGAGATTGTAGGTGGGTATATAAGTATATAGGTGAAACAAAAGTGGCTATTTATTGTTAGCTGAAGTTAGGCAACAGATACGTTGGGAAGTTCATACTATTATCTCTATTTGAGTGTGTTTGAGAAGTTCCATAGTATTTTTTTAATCAATGGAAATGACTGAAAGAAATGAAATATCATAGCTTCCAAACCAGAATGTGGAGAAAAGGAAAGAGAGGGCAGGGAGAAAAAACAAGAAAACTTTATTAGTCCTGTAGAAGGCAAGAAAGAAGAAAAAAAAAGTTACCCAAATAGTCATCTCCTAGTAAATGAGACCCCTTTTCCCAAATCTTACACAGTCATGTTTCAACTGCTCATATCTGGTCTCTGTAGTGAAAGTGCATTGAGCTAGGACAAGAGGTTCTAATCCTGGCCCTCTCTGGGCTAAGTTGTGCCTTGCATGGCTCCTCAGGCTATATTAAGAGCCTGGACATCCTTTGACCATTGGCAGCTTTGTGACAGCTGGCTGGGGCTCGAGATTCAGTTTGCTGCCACAGAAGAAAGCAAAGCCAACTGGGTCACATGAGGAAGTAATCTGAGCCCTTAGCTCCAACCTGTAAACTAAGTTTCATCTTGCCTGCTGCTGTGTGGCTGTCAGGGATAACCTGATGCCACATGACCAAAAGAAAAAGCCAACCTCTAAGACCCCCTTGCCGAGAACGTTGTCTTTTACAAATTCTTGAAATATGATTTGGCGAGTTTCTAGTAAGAGTGACTGGCAACTGACTTGAATGAAAATAAATGTCAGAGAAGGGGGAAATGGGATTGGAGGAATGAATACCACAAAGATGGCTGCATCTTAGTGACTGTATTTTTAGAGGGGATGGGAATCTTGAAGAGGAAGAAAATCTTTCTTCCCTCTCTCAAACATTGTTATGAATACATGTTACTTATTTTTTTCTTCCTTCCAGGTGCAACCCTTTCAGCTGCTTTCTAGTTATTTCCCCATATGTTCTCTATTTTTTTTTCTTTTTTGCCCTTTGATTTCTTTTTTCAAAGCAGAACTCTACTTATTGCCATCTACTAAGCACTGCATTTCTCCCCATATCTCTCCCTGGATGTGCAGCTTTCTTATCTCATTCCCCATCTCCACTCCTGTTCCCCTTGCCTCTTTGTCAAATCTTGTGCTGCTTTTTTGTTGTTGTTGTTAATCGCTCCTCTGCCTCTGCTTTTCCTCTGAATTTCTATACCTTAGTCACTCTGAAACTCAGTGCCTTGTTCTCTTCTTGCTCTTGTCCCCTCTAGTGCATATAACGTCCATGAAAGGATTATGCAGCCAGAAGCTCTCAGAGTAAGGTCAGAGTGTTCTGATGTGGAAAAGCTTCTATAGTGACTGCACTTTATTGGTGGAGGTTGTTGTCACTTTTTATCCTCCTAGAGCATTTACTAGGTATAATGTTGGGATCTTTCTTTGTTTTGCTCATAAAAATCTCTTAGGGCTCTGAAAGTCAGGTTGCTTTTTCCTTCCTAACTTCTGTCTCAATTTTATTATCACCTTAAGTGGCATCTGGTTGACAATGAGAAGAAAGAATTCAGAGAAAGAAATAGAATGGAGGAAAAAATGACCTGTGACACCCACCAAAATCCAGCTTGGGCTTAGCTAATGTTTTTCTTGAGAAATTGTGGTACACCAACACGGTAATACTCTTTTATAACGATGGAGATCTAGAACTGTTCTAAAAAGGAAACAAACAAAAAAAACTATATGAAAGAAAATTTTTAAAAAATTAGTATACCAAGTTGGTAGATTCACAAATTATTTACTTGGATAACAATACCTAAACTTACTGTATCAGCACCATCCAAAATATCTTCTATATATTCACCCATAGTTTTCTCAACAGATTTATGGGCCAGGTCCTATTATAAGCCCAATTCTGCAGGTGAGAAAAATGAGGCACAGAGAGGTTAACTCTTTTGTCCATGGTTACACAGTTAGTAAGTAGTAGTCTCAGATCTGATCCCAAGCCATCTGGCTACAGAGTTCACGGAATTGGCTGCTGTAGCATTTTGAATTTTTATAGAAATTCTTATTTGCTTTCATTAATAAAGCTCTAAATCAAGTTTAGCCCTCCAGTGTTTCAGTAAGAAGATGAGTTTCAGGATTTGGACCACCTAAAAATTTTGTATAAACCTCATCACATTCGACAGACTTCTACCTGATATTCTTAGGTAACAGGCAGTGGGAGGCCAGAGGGAAGCCAGAGGAGAAGGTGTCCAATAATAAGAAAGTCTTCAGGCTGGGCGCAGTGGCTCACGCCTGTAATCCCAGCACTTTGGGAGTCTGAGGTGGGCAGATCACAAGGTCAGGAGTTTGAGATCAGCCTGACCAACAGGTGAAACCCCGTCTCTACTAAAAATACAAAAATTAGCCAGGCGTGGTGGCGCATGCCTGTAATCCCAGCTATTCAGGATCGCGCCACTGCACTCCAGCCTGGGTGACAGAGCGAGACTCTGTCTGAAAAAAAAAAAAAAAGAAGAAAGCCTTCAGTTCCTTTGTTTGTTTGTTTTTGAGATGGAGTCTCAAAATGGTAGCCCAGGCTGGAGTGCAGTGGCATGATCTTGGCTCACTGCAACCTCTGCCTCCTGGATTCAAGCGATTCTCCTGCCTCACCCTCCCAAGTAGCTGAGGTTACAGGCACCTGCCACCACACCGGGCTAACTTTTTTTGTATTCTTTTAGTAAAGACAGTGCCATGTTGGCTGGGCTGGTCTCGAACTCCTGACCTCAAATGAGCTGCCTGCCTCAGCCTCCCAAAGTGCTGGGGTTACAGGTGTGAGCCACTGTGACTAGCCAAAAGCCTTCAGTTCTTAAAGTGCTTTTTTTTTTGAGGCAGAGTCTCACTCTGTCGCCCAGGCTGGGGTGCAGTGGCATGCTCACTGCAACCTCCGCCTCCCGGGTTCAAGCGATTTTCCTGCCTCAGCCTCCCGAGTAGTTGGGATTACAGGTGCGCACCATCATGCCTGACTAATTTTTGCATTTTTTGTAAAGACGGGATTTCACCATGTTGGCCAAGCTGGTCTCAAACTCCTGACCTCAAGTGATCCTCCCCCATTGGCCTCCCAAAGTGCTGGGATTACAGGTGTGAGCCACTGTGCCTGGCCCAGTTCTTAAAGTACTTTAAGTAGTTAGTTGTTCCTAATTATCCACCACTAGACATAATGCTAATATATCCTTATAGCATAATCTTTGTTTATATCCATGATTCTAAAAAAGTTATAATGAAGACAGTTTAAAAATAAGTCATATAATTTTCACCAGTATCAGGAAGGAATATTATAAGATCATTGTTAAATGATAGTTTTCAGAGAAAATTATTTTATATGAAAAATTCTAAGTAGAACCATTGCATAGAATACAATTCAAAAATTTTAAAAAGAACAAGAAGAGACTCAATAAGGATAAATTTTAATGTAACCAGAAATCAGACTGTATATGCTGGAAGTAATATGTGATTTTAAAATTCAACATGCATGGCCGGGCATGGTGGTTCTCGCCTGTAATCCCAGCACTTTGGGAGGCCGAGGTGGGCAAATCATAAGGTCAGGGGTTTGAGACTAGCCTGGCCAACGTGGTGAAACCCCATCTCTCCTAAAAATACAAAAAATTAGCTGGGCATGGTGGCATGTGGCCATAATCCCAGCCACTCGGGAGGCTGAGGCAGGAGAAACACTTGAACCCTGGAGGCAGAGGTTGCAGTGAGCTGAGACTGTACCACTGCACTCCAGCCCAGGTAACAGTGCGAGACTCCATCTGAAAACAAAAACAAATCAACATGCACAACTTAATTTAAAGGAATTTTAATATACAATGATATAGGCCGGGTGCGGTGGCTCAAACCTGTAATCCCAGCACTTTGGGAGGCCGAGGCGGGCAGATCACAAGGTCAGGAGAGCGAGACCATCCTGGCTAACACGATGAAACACCGTCTCTACTAAAAATACAAAAAAAAAAAAAAAAATTAGCCGGGCATGGTGGCGGGCGCCTGCAGTCCTAGCTACTTGGCAGGCTGAGGCAGGAAAGTGGCATGAACCTGGGAGGTGGAGCTGGCAGTGAGCCAAGATCGCGCCACTGCACTCTAGCCTGGGCAACAGAGCAAGAAAGACTCCATCTCAAAAAAAAAATATATATATATATCTATATATATATATATATATAGAGAGAGAGAGAGAGAACGATATAAAAAAATAGAAAGATGTAGTTGTGACATGAATGTGCTATTCATGTATTGCAGGCGAATTGTCAAGATGATATGGTAAATTTACATATGCTGGTGGTAGCAAGTATAAAACCCAGATATATAAGTCAAGGTAGGAAATATCTATCATTTGAGAAGGAATTATCTACAAAATGTAAGATTTTGACCAGGAGCCAAGAAAAAGGCTGTTGAGCCTCACTGTTAGCTCTTGCTCCTATGAGACTACAGAAAAGCTATCTCTCTTCTGTTGTTTACAGTGAATTGTCTATAATCTTTTAATAGTTGGCAATGAATTTGCTGGAATAGCTGAGTGATTATCAATTCTTATACTCTACAGATCAATACTCCATCATTAAACTTTGGACATAGCTTTCAGTTGGCTGGGAGGAAGAAGCCAACCAAGTTGCTTTTCCAAGATGTGTCATAGCAGGCAGTGTGAGAGACTAAGCTGAGATTTACCGTATGGCTAAATATCCTTTGGACTCCAAAGTTTTGAAGATTACTGCAGGACATTGAAGGTGACTGAGACTCACACCTTCAGTAACTAGTTTCTGGTCTGCCCTATTCATATCAATGTATCATATCAATGATATGTAGCCTGGAGGTTTTGATAACTGACTTGGAAATTCTGCCATAGTCTCATCCTTTTATTCCCCTTACTAATAGAGGGTTGAATTAGTGGCATTGTGGTACCAAATTCTCTGGATGCATTTGTGCAAGTGTGTACACATGCATACTCATTACCTCTTTATTTTCTTTGTGTGTGTGTGTGTGTGTGTGTGTGAGACGAAGTCTTGCTCTGTCACCGAGGCTGGAGTGCAGTGGTGTGATCTCAGCTCACTGCAACCTCCGCCTCCTGGGTTCAAGCGATTCTCCTGCCTCAGCCTCCCGAGTAGCTAGGACTACAGGCGCGTGCCACCACAACCGGCTAATTTTTTGTATTTTTAGTAGAGATGGGGTTTCACCATGTTGGCCAGGCTGGTCTGGAACTCCTGACTTCAACCACCACGTCCAGCCCATACCCATTATTTCTATTTCATATCATAAACATTCTGAAAATTTATTTTTCTTTTATGTACCCGTCAACTTTTAAAGTTTAATTTTTTAATCTTTAAATAATTTACATGATTCAAATTTTAAAAAATATAAATGTATACACTAAGAAGTCTTTTTCTCCTCTCTGTTCCCATTCTAACCAATCAGTTCTTATTTCTGCAAACAACCAATGTTGTTAGATTTTCTATATCCTTCCAGACATATTTAAAGTATATATATATAAGAAAAAATATATAGCTATGTTATTGTTTTTTTTTTTCCTTTTACTCAGGTGGCAGTCTATTTTGCATACTTTAGAGCTTACTTTTATCAGATAAAACTAAATTTTATTATGTTCAGATGCTTTATCTATCCTGGTTATCTCTCTTGTCCTACTCTCCCATTTCTCACTCCCAATATGCATTTACTCTGCACTTTTGTATGCTAGAAATACATTAGTCCATTCCCTGATTAGTTTAGTTTAGGTGTTTTTGTTTGTTTATTTGTTTGTTTGTTTTTGACGGAGTCTTGCTCTGTTGCCCAGGCTAGAGTGCAGTGGCACAATCTTGGCTCACCACAACCTCTGCCTCCTGGGTTCAAGCCATTCTCCTGCCTCAGCCTCCTGAGTAGCTGGGATTACAGGCATGTGCCACCACACCCTGCTAATTTTTGTATTTTTAGTAGAGACGGGGTTTCACCATGTTGACCAGGCTGGTCATGAAATCCTGACCTCAAGTGGTCCTCCTGCTCCCACTTCCCAAAGTGCTGGGATTACAGGCATGAGCCACTGCGTCTGGCCTAGTTTAGTTTTTATTGTGCTGAAATCTTGCATATGTTTAGCCACTCAATATTGTCTGTTTAAATGGAAACCCCCAAATAATGTGATATACACATGTACATCTTTTTTAGTACAGAATCTAGTATAATACCAAGAATAATTATGAGTTTAATAAATGCCTTTTTATGACACTGATTTCTTTTCTTTTCTTTTTTTTTCTTTTTTTTGAGATGGAATCTCACTCTGTCACCCAGGCTGGAGTGCAGTGGTGTGATCTCGGTTCACTGCAATCTCCGTCTCCCAGGTTCAAGTGATTCTTGTGCCTCAGCCTCCTGAGTAGCTGGGATTACAGGCATGTACCAACACACCCAGCTAATTTTTGTATTTTTAGTAGAGATGGGGTTTCACCACATTGGCAAGCCTGGTCTCAAACCCCTGGCCTGAAGTGATCTGCCCACCTCGGCCTCCCAGAGTGCTGGGATTACAGGTGTGAGCCACTGCACCTGGCCATATGACACTGATTTTTTATTTATTTGCCACCCACTTAGTGTTCTGAAACCAGTTCTATCTACTTTGGTGACTATTCAATTAAATTTTAGCTTGTTAATATACATGGATTGGCCAGATACTGGTAGAAGAGATATAGGACCATGCCTTTATTTAGTCAGTATGTTATAAAAAGAGATACAAAATAATTATAAATCTCTGAATTCTTTAGAATTCTATCTACGAACTTTATACAATCCAAATCAAAATACCAGTTAGATTTTTTTAGGACATTAAAAATACAGTTAGGCCAAGCATGGTGGCACATGCCTGTAATCTCAGCACTTTGGGAGGCTGAAGTGGGAGGACTGCTTGAGCCCAAGAGTTCAAGACCAGCCTGGGCAACATAGTGAAACCTCATCTCTAATAATAAACAAACAAAAAAAGCATAAATAATAAAAATATATATAATTGTATAAAAAATGAAATATATAATATGTCATTATTTGTGTAAGTTAATAATATCTGAGCACAAAATCATATACATTTTGTACCTACAACCAAAAGAATACACATTAGAATGGTTTCCTGGGGCTTGTGGGGAGGGAAAAAGAATCAAAATAGAGTATTGGGGCAAAGGAAAATAAGTAAGTAGAATAAAAGCAGATACTTACACAATCCATTGATGGTCATGGACCATGAACTGAGAAATATAATTAAGTCATCTTTCTATGCCCAGGCAAGGGGCAGGGATGGGAGGTAGATAGCAGAGACTTTATGTCTTTGGGTGAGCCTAAATTGATGGGACCCTTCCACATAAGATTTGAGACACTAGACCCAGATACCTTTAAAAAATATATCTCTTACAGCCTGAATCTGAATACTGGAGACTGACTGATTACAGATTCTTTCTTAGAATAGAAAGGGGTCACGAAGAGCTCAAAGAACAAATGAAAACAGACAAAAAATCTGCCCTCATTGATGGGAGGATGTCAGAGGTACACAGGAGCCAGCTGTAGAACTTCCAGTAGCCAATGGGAAAACAATTTAAGCAACTAAATAACAAAGTAGTATTGGACTATATAACTCAACATATCAGAGGTCGGGCATGGTGGCTCACGCCTGTAATCCCAGCACTTTGGGAGGCCGAGGTGGGTGGATCACGAGGTCAGGAGTTTGAGACCAGCCTGGCCAAGATGGTGAAATCCCATCTCTACTAAAAATAAAAAAAAATTAGCTGGACATGGTGGCACGCACCTGTAATCCCAGCTACTTGGGAGGCTGAGGTAGGAGAATCGCTTGAACCTGGGAGGCAGAGGTTGCAGTGAGCCAGAGGTTGCAGTGAGCCAAGATTGAGCCATTGCACTCCAGCCTGGGTGACAGTGCGAGTCTCTGTCTCAAAAAAACAAAAAACTCAACATATCAGTATTCATGAGTCCATACTGATATAAATAAATTATTGAATAAATTAATAAATTGAGGAGAACAAACAAATCTTTCATGCTCTCCTGCAGAAGAATGACAAATAATGTATGTAGATACTCCATCCATAATGAAGGGAGCATAACTCTGCACTCCTTGAGTGTGGGCTGCACAAGGAGTGGGGAGCTATGCTTCCCAAAGAGTAGAATGCGCAAAATGGGGATAAGGAGTAGCCGCCCGCTGGGGAAACCAGACGCTCCCTCAGCCAGGTGATCAAGGGTCACATCAGCAGTAATAAATCATGTTAATAGATGTGCCTTTGTGTGATGTGATGAAAATGGCACTGTATCTCAGTGATCTTCCCAACACCACAGAACCCCAGGGTGGCTCATGCCTGTAATCCCAACACTCTGAGAGGTCGAGATGAGAGGATCCCTTGAGCCCAAGAGTTCGATACTAGCCTGGGCAACATGGCAAAACCCCATCTCTACAAAAAAGACAAAAACTAGCCAGGCCATGGTGGCACGTGCCTGTGGTCCCAGCAACTCAGGAGGCTGAGATGGGTAGATCACTTCAACCCAGAAGGTCGAGGCTGCAGTGAGCCACGATTGTGCCACTGCACTCCAGGATGGGCAACACACTGAGACTCTGTCTCAAAAAAAAAAAAAAAGAAAGAAAGAAAGAAAGAAAAAACAGAAATTCCTTTTTTTTTTTTGAGACAGAGTTTTGCTCTTGTTGCCCAGGCTGGAGTGCAAAGGCGCAATCTCGGCTCACCACAACCTCTGCCTCTAGGTTCAGGCAATTCTCCTGCCCCAGCCTCCCGAGTAGCTGGGATTACAGGCATGTGCCACCACGCCTGGCTAATTTTGTATTTTTTTAGTAGATATGGGGTTTCTCCATGTTGGTCAGGCTGGTCTCGAACTCCCGACCTCAGGTGATCTGCCTTTCTAGGCCTCCCAAAGTGCTGGGATTACAGGCATGAGCCACCACACCCGGCTGAAAAAACAGAAATTCTGAGACTATCATATCCAAGAGGTGGCTCAGGAGACACGAAAATATAATGTACTATCCTGAAACCAAAAAAAGACATTAGGTTAAAAAGTAAGGATATCTAAATAAGTATGGATTTTAGATATTAATCATGTTTTAATATTTGTCATTAATGGTAATATACAATAATAGGTGAAACTGAGGGAGGTGGTAGAAGTGATATGGGAACTTTCTCTACTGTCTTAATTTTTCTATAAATCTAAAACTGTTCTCAAAAAAAGGGTCATCACAAAAAAAAGGGGGGGTCATGAAGTCAGTGGTCTATGAAACCCTGTAAAAATGTGACCCATCCCCCTCTATGTATAACAAAAAAGTTTTCTTTCTTGTCTTCCAGCTGAGGAAGTATTTGATTGGTTTGGTTGGTTTTTGCTAAACACAGAAGAGGTCTTTGCTCAGAGACACAGAAAGTGTTTCTCTTCTCTTCCTTTGGTGTTATGAGTGAGCTTGCCAAACTCGAAGGCAGATGTCTTAGCACCTTCCAGTGTTAATATAACTATGTATCTGGTTGGAACCTGCCCCGAGGCTCCCAAGGCAGCTAATAAATGGCCAGTAATGAACACTGATGGCCAGAGGCTTCTAACCATTAGGACAGTGGACCCATTCTTTCCCAGTCCTCAAAGTTCAACCACATGCAACTAGAAAGATAGTTTTAACCAATCCAAAGTAATGTTGGTTACAGAATCTCTTAGCACCAGTGTTCAGACAGGATTACACGTTGGGGTTTTCATCTTCTGATCCTAGCATGGTACCTAACACTCGGTAGGCACTTAACACATGTTCATTAAGTAAATGGCAATGTGTTCCTAGAGTTCAGGGCAGAATTTTAATATTTCGTATATGGGTCTAATAAAGCAAAGAGCCGTATAGCCTGGCTGGCAAAATAATTATCACCTAAAAAATTTATTAGGCATTTTCTAATTCACGAAATTTATCCGTTATTAGTTCAACTACTATAAGTTTCAAGCCTCTGAATAGCAGAACAGTTCCTGTTATGGGAATGTTGGGTCATATGTCACTTGAAAGGTATCTTTCCCTAAGTATCTATTAATGTGCTAGCGTGGACTCAAAACTGGCCTATCAGGAATATTTAATGTTTCTCTCATGAGGAACCTTGAAGCAGTCGAATTTTATAATTTTTTTGTGTATTTTTTTATTAGTTACAGAACCTTGCCAATTCACTCAAGCTAATCTGCAAGTCCTGTCATTATCACAAAAAAGTACTCTGGCAAATTAACCCCATTTCTCAATGCAGGCTTAATAGGAAAGAGAGCTATTTTGAAAGCTCAGGGGATTACAAGCACTCTTTACAAAACGTACTGCAACACACTAGACTGTGAGATACAGCCTTAAATAGTTAAACAAGTCCATCGACATAAACTGGGTACATTTCCATCCTTGATTCTTCCCTATTGACTTCATTACTTAAGATGTACCTGACTGGAAGCCGGAAAAGGCCTCTTGGGAGTGAGCAGCCCTGGTGGAGGGGAGCAGAGGGAGCCCCTTATTTATGAGGGAGAGAAGACATCATTGGAAACGTATAAGATTTGAACAACAAGCTTCACTGGAATATTATTGAGAGAGCAATACTTGGTTATATATAATCAGGGGTTTTGTAATGAATCTGTGGAAAGGTAACCAGTAATTGCTTAGTATAATCTAAAACTCTGAAAACCTTGTGATAAAATAGCTACAAAGAAATCAAATCAAAACACAGTCTCAGATGTTTTGATCATTGAAGTTGGAACAATTGGGATAGCCTTGAAAGCTTATCTCTAAAATAAGTTCTTACAGAACTCCGTGAGCAGAGACCAAAAGCAGACTTTTAGAAGAACTAACTTCAAAAAAGATTCCCTATATAATAAGAGTCATTTTAAACTGAAATGATCAAGACCTCCTAGGGATTCTAGGTCATGCCTAAACCATCACGGTCAAGTTGGACATGTATAGAGACCTGGTACTCTCACTCTTCCACCTTCGGCCCCACTTATATCCCAGGCTGGGCATTGAAGTTCCCCATCAGTCAGTTGGACGGGGGTACAGGACAGGCCCCTTTAAACGCAGAACTCCCTCAATACTGCAGAACACTGGAAGAGCTCTTGTTCAAGTGGGTAAGTGCAGCCTGAGTGTCTGGTGAGATCAAACCTGAAGAGAGCGTGAGATAAGGAGAGAGTTGAGTCATTAGTCATCTCTTTTAACTAACTCTCTGAAGTTGGCTGGCTTCACACTAGACCTGGTGATTAATGGTAAAGAGATAGCTCTTGCAATTCAACTTCTGTAAGTAGAAAGAAATTTAAAGCTTCCCCTGAGCATTCGCTTCCTCTTCGAATGCTTCAAAACAAATCTCAGCATCAGTAGGCTGATGCCAGTTCTCATCATGCCCCACAGGCCTTGATGAGGGAGACGGAGAGAGCCAGGTGTGCCCTATTGAACAGGCCCCAATGGTTCTCTGCCTTTTCATAGCAATCTCCTAAAGGGAGAACCAGAGTCATCAAATCTCAGGACAAAATGGCAGCCCTAAGAGGGCAATCCACTGTCAGAAAGCATGCATAAGCTATTATTCTGAAGAGAAGAAGATTATTTCCATTCACTATAGGGCTAGTCTGAAGTTTGCAAAGAAGTCCTTTTCATTCAATTATCCCTTGAAGGAAAGTATGTATGTAAAAGTTAAGAAAATTCAATATCAAAAATAGTTTTTGTTTTGGCTTTGAAATTTTTCTTAATATGTAAGCAAAATTCTTAGTTCTGGAGTTGCAGTTACTCAGTTATCAAAAATGATACAGATAAGATAACAAACCCCATTAACCACCCAGTTGCTCAAACAGAAATCTAGGATTCATGTTAATTCCTTTCTTCTTTCACCCCTCACACCCAATCCATTTGTTTCATTAGTTCTCCCTTCAAAATACCTTAATTCATCCACTTTCTCCATTCTCATGGCACCATTCTAATATAAATCATGTCTCACCTGAATTGTTATCATAACCTCTTAAACAGAACTAACTCTTGCTTCCATAGTCTATTTCATGGCAGCCAGAGAGAGATTTTTAAAACACCCATAAGATCTGTCCAGGCATGGTGGCTCATGCCTGTAATCCCAGCACTTTGGGAGGCTGAGGCGGGTGGATTGCCTGAGGTTAGGAGTTCGAGACCAGCCTGGCCAACATAGTAAAACCCTGTCTCTACTAAAAATACAAAAAATTAGCTGGGCGTGGTGACAGGTGCCTGTAATCCCAGCTACTATGGAGGCTGAGGCAGGAGAATTGCTTGAACCTGGGAGGCGGAGGTTGCAGTGAGCTGAGATCGCTCCATTGCTCTCCAGCCTGGGCAACAAGAGTGAAACTCTGTCTGAAAAACAAAAAACAAAAAAATTGGCCAGGCGTGGTGATGCATGCCTGTAATTCCAGCTACTAGGGAGGCTGAAGCAGGAGAATTGCTTGAACCCAGGAGGTGGAGGTTGCAGTGAGCCGAGATGGTGCCACTGCACTCCAGCCTGGGTGACAGAGCAAGGCTCTGTCTCAAAAAAAAAAAAAAAAAATAGGATCTACTGTGTCAGTAAATCTTTAATGGCTTCCTCACAAGGCCTTACATAGTTTGGCCCCTAACTACCTTTCGACTTCATTTCCTACTTTTTTTTTCCTGCTAACACCACTGGTCCTGTTTGGGGTTTCATGACTAAGCCAAGCTCTTATTTCCCCTTGTGTCCTCTGGCTGTAATGCTGATCTTCTCATAACTGGTTCTTTTTCGTTCTTCAGGTCTTAGCATAAATCATCTCCACATTTAAGATCTTCCTACTGGACCTGGCGCAGTGGCTCTCACCTGTAATCCCAACACTTTGGGAGGCTGAGGCAGGAGGATCACTTGAGTTCAGGAGTTCGAGACCAACCTAGGCAACATAGTGAGACCCTGTGTCTACCAAAAATAGAAAAAATTAGTTGGGTGTGGTGCTTTGCACCTCTAGTTCCAGCAACTTGAGAGGCTGAGGTGGGAGGATCACTTAATCCTGGGAAGTCAAGGCTGCAGTGAGCCATATTTGCACCACTGTATTCCAGCCTGGGGGATACAGTGAGACCCTGTCTCAAACAATAATAATAATAATCTTCAGGCCAGGTGCAGTGGCTCACACCTGTAATCCCAGCACTTGGGAGGCCAAGGTGGATGGATCACCTGAGGTTAGGAGTTCGAGACCAGGCTGGCCAACATGGTGGGACCCCGTCTCTACCAAAAATACAAAAATTAGCCGGGAGTGATGGCAGGTGCCTGTAATCCCTGCTACCATGGAGGCTGAGGAAGGAGAATTGCTTGAACCCAGGAGCAGAGGTTGCAGTGAGCGGAGATCATGCCATTGCACCCCAGCCTGGGCGACAAGAGTGAAACTCCATCTTAAAAAAAAAATAATAATAATAATCTTCCTTACCAATCCATAGCTTCTCCTTCCCTGGCTGTCTTCTCTTTGTTAGTATCATCCCCCGTTTGTTTTATTTACAGCACTTACAATCTGAAATTGCCCTGTTTATTTAACGGATATGCCTATTGTTGGTCTTTTCCACTCACAACAAAATCTAATCTCCTAACCACATCTGTCTTGTGACATCACCACATCTCCAATACTTAAAACAGCACCTAGAACAATGAAGAGTCATTAAAGGAATGAAGAAAAGAAAAGAAGGAAGTATATAACCAAAAGCAGATTGGCAAACTCTTTTTTTTTTTTTGAGACAGAGTTTCACTCTTGTTGCCCAGGCTGGAGTGCAATGGTGTGATCTCAGCTCACTGCAACCTCCGCCTCCTGGATTCAAGCAATTCTCCTGCCTCACCCTCCCAAGTAGCTGGGATTACAGGCATGCGCCACAATGCCCGGCTAATTTTGTATTTTTAGTAGAGACGGGGTTTCTCCTTGTTGTCCAGGCTGGTCTCGAACTCCCGACTTCAAGTGATCCACCTGACTCGGCCTCCCAAAGTGCTGGGATTACAGGTGTGAGCCACCGTGCCTGGCGGGCAAACTCTTTTGGCAAAAGGCCAGACATTAAATATTTTAGGCTTTGCAGGTCACTTAAGACTTTTGTCGCCTATTCTTCTTCATTTAAAATAATTCTTGGCTCTTACAAAAAAACGAAAAAACAAACAAACAAACAAACAAAAAAGCAGATCAAGGGCTGGATTTGCCCCAAGGGCCATAGTTGCCAATCCTGATCTAGATTAAGGAAGAAGTTTATCTATAACCCTAGTTAATGTCTAAATTCTGCAAACCTGCCAGAGTTCTAGGTTGTAGTATAATAGAAATTGGAGTAGAAGGCCGGGCGCGGTGGCTCACGCCTGTAATCCCAGCATTTTGGGAGACCGAGATGGGAGGATCACCTGAGGTCAGGAGTTCAAGACCAGCCTGGCCAACATGGTTAAACCCATCTCCACAAAAATACCAAAATTAGCCGGTCATAATGGCGGGTGCCTGTAATCCCAGCTACTCGGGAGGCTGAGGTGACAGATTCGCTTGAACCCAGGAGGCAGAGGTTGCAGTGAGCCGAGATCGTGCCATTGCACTCCAATCTGGGCAACAGAGCGAGACTGTCTCAAAAAAAAAAAGAGAGAGAGAAAGAAATTGGAATAGAAGTGCCAGTCATGACTTCCTTGCCCATGACCCCTTCTTAGTGAAACTGATCCATCCACAGTTTGGAAAGGCAGATCTATATACCTCCCGATTCCTCAACACGTCTTACTTCCTATTCATGACTGATTGTACCAGATCACCCCATCAGATGACCTCTCTATGGAATTTGAAATTGGACCACTGAAATAGAACTAACTAGATGCTGATGGACTCTTGAAGTAAAATATGTAGTTGGGTAGGTCCATGACAAACCAAAGCCAAAGGTAAACTCATATTTTCAGAGAATGGAGATAGCACAATAAAAAAGAAGTCAGTTTGTTCAAGGAAGCTTGAGAAAGAAGGAGACACACAGATAGAAGCACAGACCTGCTGCCACAGGGCCCCAAGAAGGGTGAAAGGACTAGCCTTGGGTCCTGAATGTCCAGCTCCATGTCCCATACGGTCTAGGTGTGCTTCACTAATGTCCTTGTATATCTGGGAAGTGTTCTGTTGTATCTCTTCTTTTATTTTTGAGACAAGGTCTCGCTCTGTCACCCAGGCTGCAGGGCAATGGTGCAATCCCGGCTTGCTGCAGCCTGGACCTCTTGGGCTCAAGTGATCCTCTCACCTCAGCCTCCCAAGTAGCAGGGACTACAGGCATGTGCCACCACACCCAGCCAATTTTTTAAATTTTTTGTAGAGATGGGCTCTCACTGTGCTGCCCAGGTTGGTCTAAAACTCCTGGGCTCCAGCAATCTTCCCGTTCAACCTCCCAAAGTGCAGGCGTGAACCACTGTGCCCAGCTTCTCTTCTTAACTTACCTAATTTGAGACAGTTTCTATTCCTGACCAGAGGAATGGGTGTTTCAAGTTACCGTCAAACCTATCAATGAACACACACGTGTTTGGTGGGTGTCTGTTATGTTTAAGACACTGAGAGACATGGTGGGGCAAACAAATACATGCAAAAAATAACAATTGTTTCCAGGAAAAGTAAATCTGGTAGAGGAATGAGACATAAATAACATAAAATGATAATTAACAGTGTGAGGCAGTGTATGGTAAGTACCGCATATCAGGGTTTTATGTGTCTAAGATGTTTTAAAAGTTAATTTTAATGGTATTTAGAACAAAATGAAAATAGATGCTGAGGAAATAATGACTACTATTTCAAAAGAACCACAACAGTGAATTTTGACAAATAAAATTGTTTTGATCAGAATTATTAACAGAAAATTGTTTTGATCAGACTTAATAACATTTTAACAATTTCAAAACTGCTAACCATGTGTCAAATCTATTAAGATGAACTGAGAATAAGCCATTCTGGTGTTCTTTCTGAAAGAGATAATGACTATCCTCAGAGTATCTAAAAAGTGTTTGGTCTTAACAACAAAGGACCAGATGAAGTCCCTGTTGTGTCAAAGTAAAGTCCCCAGTATTTCATCAATACAGACATCATGCTACCAGTTGCTTAAAAATGCACTGCCTGATATAGTCTTTGTGCTGACAAAACATTCACTAGGAAGAGCGATCTCTAGAGATCTATGTCTGATGTGAGTTCGCATAGGAATTAATTTTTCCTGAACCAAGATTTGTAGAGATCTTCTAGAGATGCTTTCTGCAAAATTTGCTCAACCTGAAGTGGAAATAAACTTCATGGTAAAGGCAGTAAATTTACTAGGATTTTTTATTTTTTTAAAGTAAGTTTGTAAGGGCAATACATTTATCAGGATTTATTATTTTTTAAAGTAAGTTTATAGCAAAGTATTATTTTAAAAGGAAGTAAAGATGGGAGGGAAGAGTAAGAAAATGGGTTGCCTGCTCTAGCAATGCACAGAAATTCAGTATATGTAAAATAATCTGCTATTTAGCCCCTAAACAGTGTTTTTATTCATCCACTGGGCATTTACACTTGACGCAAAACAAGGTATGAGTCAGTAATTAATTTATGTCTATGTGCCAATATTGATAGTACTATACCATTAACTAATCAGTGGCTCTCAAGCTTAAGTGTAGATCAGAATCACCTAGAGGCTTGTTGAAACACAGATTACTAGGCCCCACTCTGAGTTTCTGATTCACTAGGTCTGGAGTGGGGCCTAAGAATTTGCATTTCTTTTTTCTTTTTCTTTTTGGGACTGGGTCTTGCTCTGTCACCTAGGCTGGAGTGCAGTGGTGCAATTACAGTTCACTGCAACCTTGACCTCCTGGCCTCAAGTGATCCTCCCACCTCAGCCTCCCAAGTAGCTTATGACCACAAGTGCCTGGCTAATTGTTTTAACTTTTAAACGTTTTGCTAGAGACAGGGGTCTCACTATGTTGCTCAGGCTGGTCTCAAGGATTGCTGGGCTCAAGCAATCCTTCCCCTTGGGCCTCCCAAAGTGCTGGGATTACAGTCATGAGCCACCACCCCCCAGCTGAGAATTTGCATTTGTAACAAGTTCCCCAGGTAATACTGATGCTGTTGGTCTGAGGACCATGGAGAGAACCAATTAACTAAAAACTATTATACTGACATCAGCCCTGTCACCAGTCTGGTCTTTCCTGCTGCATATACCTAGGGAGACAACTAGAACTATATGAAGAAAGAGTCTAAGGTGGTTTTCTTATGAATTCTATTGATGAAAAATCATACAGTGGTGTGGGGGATTCTATCTCTAATTCTAATTAATTTTTAATTTTTTTTCTTCATATAAGGTCAAAGGCCAGCTGCCAGTGTTTGCTTAAGTAAAGAAGCACATATAGCAGGCACAAGCAAGGAATGAATTCAAGTGAAAATCTCACCAAAGTGAAACCGATTGGTTCACGCTGATTGTCCAGTGACAGTGCTGGGACAGTCCAGTTTTGGTGGTTGGGAAGGATTATCCAAAGGAATAAAATACTGGCACATGCTACAACACAGATGAACCTTGCAAAAGTTGTGCTAAGTGAAAGAAGCTAGTCCTCAAGACCACATGTTACATGATTCTGTTTATCTGAAAGTCCAGAGCAGGAAAATGCATAGAGACAAAAAGTAGATTGATTAGTAGTTGCTGGAGGCAAGGGGTGGTTCACTAAAGGGGAAGAGTATTCTTTCTGAAGTGATGAAAATGTTCTAATTGTGGCAATGGTTGCACATATCTGTGAATATACTAAAAACCATTGAATTGTGTATTTTAACTGGGTAACTGTATGGTATGTGATTTATACCTCAACAAAGCTGTCTTTTGAAAAAGGATTGAGCCCAGGAGTTCATGACCAGCCTGGACAATATAGTGAGACCTCGTCTCTACAAAAAACTATAAAAATTAGCTGGGTGTGGTGGCGCACACCTGTAGTACTAGCTACTCAGGCTGAGGTGGGAGAATCCCTTGAGCCCAGGAGTACGAGGTTGCAGTGATGGTGTCACTGCAAAAGAGCCTGAGCAAAACAGCAAGATCTTGTCTCTAAAAAAAAAGAAAGGATTGTCCATGTGCATACTTTGTTCATTCTCATACTTCATACCGTGCTGTCTTCTTTCCTTAGTACTTGTACAGGAACCACTATGATAAAAGACACATTGGAAGCACAGAAGAGGGGCAGGTAAATTACAATGAGGGCTCAGAGGCAGCTTCCTGTAGAGAGTGGCTCTCAAGTTGAATTTTAAAGAACAAGCATGAGTAGCTAGCTAGAGAATGAGGGGATAGGGTGTGTCAAGTGGGAGTTAAGAGCCGGAGGGGAACTTCAGCTCTGGAAGGCACCATTGGCAGTGGCCTGCCCCATTCTTGGTCCCAGCACCTGCAGAATAGAACCATTCTGGTTCTAGATTTTCCTGGGTAACCTTGACCCTTGGGGTCTGGTGACTTCATCTCCTTCTATTCCTTCAGCCTTAGGACTGGCTATTGGTAGTGGCTTGCTGTTGTTGTTAACTTCTGGATTATCTAAGCATCCTTATTGGTTTCTCAGCTCTTTCATCTCTGCTCTGAAGACCGAAAAAAAAAAAAAAAAAAAAAAAGAGAGAGAGCAGGCTGTGGGAGGCATGGAATAATCAACACCATTTCTGATGGGAAACTTCGATGAACTGTGAATGGCTGGGGTGAAGGATGTGTGTAAGAGGAGAGGAACAAATAAAATTAGAGAAGTAGAGTGTTAGGTATTAAGCTAAAAGCCGCAGGGAGCCATTGAAGGATTAAGTAGGGGATCTGATTAGCATTTAGAAAGATCATTCTGATAGCAATGTAAAGAATGGGCTTATTGCAGTTGGCCATGAACAGACTAGCAATAAGAAAACAAACATGTGGGAAACTGTTTCAGTGAGGGAGGGTGGACTAGTCAGCAATTCTCAAACATTTTGGCCTTAGGTGCTCTTCATACTCTTGAAAATTATTAAAGGCTCCAAGGCTGGGCTCAGTGGCTCACGCCTGCAATCCCAGCACTTTCGGAGGCTGGGGCAGATGGATCACTTGAGGCCAGGAGTTTGAGACCAGCCTGGACAACATGGTGAAACCCTGTCTCTACTAAAAATACAAACATTAGCTGGGCGTGGTGGCTTATGTCTGTAATCCCAGTTACTTGGGAGACTGAGGCAGGAGAATCGCTTGAACCCAGGAGGCAGAGGTTGCAGTGAGCCGAGATCGCGCCACTGCACTCCAGCCTGGGCAACACAGCGAGACTCCGTCTCAAAAAACAAACAAACAAACAAACAAAGGCACCAAGATAGCTGCCTTAGTTCCAGACATCACGTACAGACACAACAATGTGATAGAGGAGAGATTTTTCCATTAATGAATATTTCTGTTTAAGAGCCAGGATAACCTTTTTCAAAAATTCCTCAGCTCACTCTCCCAGTGCTTAAATCACAGAAAAAGGAAAAGGAGCTGTGTTTGGTTTAAACCAACCATGATTCACTCCCTGGAGCCAGGGTTGGGCATGGGGCCAGCCTCTTCTGAAGCTTATAGAGGCTCCTACTAGCAAGGACGAATGTGAAGAGGGTAAGTGCTCTTGGGTAAGCAGCTGTCAGCAGCTGCTACAGGATTCATCAATGCAGAAGTTGTCAGTGGAAGTCTGATGTCTACTGATGATTAACCAAAGAGTACTGAAGTCAGAAGAGCTGAGACAGAGGACAGGACTCTAAAGAATGCTGACACTTAGGAAAATGAGCAAAGTAAAATGAAGCTCTGAAAGAAACTGACCTGGGACATAAGAGTGCAGTGATTAAGAGCATGCGCTCCGAAGTGAGACTGAGTTAGGTGCTACTAACGTTAGCTGTCGGATCATGGGAAAATCACTTCGTTTTCTCATCTATAAAATGGGGAGGAATTATACCTATTTCATTAGTGCTGTTAAGAGGTTGGATTAAATAATAGTAATATGTGTACTTAACACAGAACCCTTAATAAATGAAGGCTACTCTATTATTAGTTTTAATATTCATGAGGATCTGCTTCAGAGATGGAAAGATAATGAGATGGAACAGAAGACAAGAGAAGATAATTTTTAAAGTGTCTCTAGTGATAAATACTGGAAAGAAGTCAAATAAGGTAAGGACCATCATGAAATGATTATAAGTGGTCCTATTCACGTTTTTAGCATCTACTATTGGCTTATATTAAACTAACAGCTAGCCAAATCCACAAAATTGCTTTTACACAAAATCCAGCCAAACTAGTTGCCTTTCTTTCTGTACCTTTGTAGCTAACTGCAGGATTTCCATTTTATACACTATGCTGTATCTAACTTTTTAGTCTAATGTTCTAGCCTGGCAAGATCAGTTTGAATCTTTGATCTATCTTTAGTACACTAAATGGCTTTTCCATTGATAATGTCATCTGTATACTTGATGTACGTGTCTTGTATATATATATTTTTTTTCTTTTTTTTTTTTTTGAGACAGAGTCTCACTCTGTTGCCCAGGCTGGAGTGCAGTGGCATGATCTCGGCTCACTGCAACCTCTGCGTCCTGGGTTCATGCCATTCTCCTGCCCCAGACTTCCGAGTAGCTGGGACTACAGGCGCCTGCCACCACGCCCGGCTAATTTTTTTTTTTTTTGTATTTTTAGTAGAGACGGGGTTTCACCCTGTTAGCCAGGATGGTCTCGATCTCCTGACCTTGTGACCCACCTGCCTCAGCCTCCCAAAGTGCTGGGACTACAGGCGTGAGCCACCACGCCAGGCCTGTGTCTTGTATATTTTTATGTAATCTTTTTATAACAAGTAAGTGGTAAGCATACTTAAAAGGAAAGTAACTTTTCTCCAAGCCGCATTCAGTTTTCTCATCTGTAAGTTGAGTATAATTAACAGGCCAGGCACGGTGGCTCACGCCTGTAATCCCAGCACTTTGGGAGGCCGAGGCAGGCGGATCACAAGGTCAGGAGATCGAAACTATCCTGGCTAACACGGTGAAACCCCGTCTCTACTAAAAAATACAAAAAATTAGCCGGGCGCGGTGGCGGGTGCCTGTGGTCCCAGCCAGTCGTGGGGCTGAGGCAGGAGAATGGCGTGAACCCGGGAGCAGAGCTTGCAGTGAGCTGAGATCGTGCCACTGCACTCCAGCCTGGGCGACAGAGCGAGACTCCATCTCAAAAAAAAAAAAAAAAAAAAAAAGCCAGGCACGGTGGCTCACGTCTGCAATCCCAGCACTTTGGGAGGCCGAGGCGGGCGGATCACGAGGTCAGGAGATCAACACCATCTTGGCTGACACAGTGAAATCCCGTCTCTACTAAAAATACAAAAAATTAGCCGGGCGTGGTGGCGGGCGCCTGTAGTCCCAGCTACTCGGGAGGCTGAGGCAGGAGAATGGCGTGAACCTGGGAGGCGGAGCTCGCAGTGAACGAGATCGCGCCACTGCACTCCAGCCTGGGCGACACAGTAAGACTCTGCCTCAAAAAAAAAAAAAAAATGAGTATAATTATATTGATTTCAGATAAAGTATCATAAATAAGTAAATGCCTAAACATTCAATCCTCAATTGAAGCCTGTATCTGGCACATAGAAGATGCTCATGAATTCTTCCTTGTCACCTTTTTCTCCTCTTCCCTGTGTCACTCCTTCCCTTCCTTTCTCTTTAAATTTCTTTAAACATTGCTTTAATATACTGTCTTGCCTAACAAAAGAAACTGCATATAGAAGGGTGCATTGAGATCCAACTGGACAGAAGAGATTAAACTGAATTTCATGCTTTGAGTTGGTGGTGGCTCCCTAACGTGAGGATAGAGACACAAATAACAAAAGATACTTCTGTCTCTTTTAAGGGAAAATTTTTAATTCCCACTCATATACTGTTGTCTTCTCCAGGTCTAGCCCTATACCTAACATCTCCTCTGGGTCTCACATCCCTTCTAGCCCCTCAAAGCACACCATAGTTATTTCACGACTAATAGAAAAATATGAATTTAGTATCAACAATAGGCACAGCATCAAATTAGGACCAAATATATGATTCTAGAGGCAGAAAACAACCTCTCTGCCACTTAGAACCTAATGAACTCTAGTACCTGGGTTTAATTCTTTTAGACTAGAGTCTCCATTTTCCTGAAAATCTACTACCTCATCCTAACACCCTGGGAAAAGAAAGAAAATTTGAGGAACCTTCGGGATTCCTGCCCCCTCTCCTGGGTAATATGGTCATGCCATTGATGTATTCTGTCACGCTGTCAACAAACATTTATTAAGCCCTTATTATGTTTCAGGCACATTTATAAATACTAGGGATGCTGGGATGAGCAATACAGACAAGGTTCTCATGGGTTTTACATTCTAGAGGGGGAGACAATCACGCAGAAAAATATACCAACAAGGCAATAGTAGAAATAAGTAAGCTGGGTGCAGTGGCTCATGCCTGTAATCTCAATGACTTGGGAGGCTGAGGTGGGAAGATTGAGGCCAGCCTGGGCAACATGACAAAATTCCATCATTACAAAGAGATTAAAAAAAAAAAATTAGCTGGATATGGTGACACGCACCTGTAGTCCCAGCTACTCAGGAGGCTGGGGAGGGTGGATTACTTAAGCCCAGGAGTTCTAGGTTGTAGTGAGCTATGATTGTAATCATGCCACTGCACACCAGCCTTGGTGACAGAGTGAGACCCTGACTCTGAAAGAAAAGAAGAGAAGAGGAGAAAAGAAAAGAGAAAAGCAAAACAAAAACAAATGTGATATGGGGCATTTGAACAGATGACATGCTGTGGGGATCGTACGGCTCCTTTAGAGTAGGTGAGCAGGAAAACCGTCTGAACAGGTGACATTTCAGCTGAGACCTGAATTACAAGAAAGAACAAGTCACAGTAAAATGTAGAGAATATTCCAGGCAGAAGAAACACCAGCACAAAATCCCTGAGATGGGGATAAAACTGCTGTGTTCAGAGGGTTGAGAGGAAGAGGAGAGTGGTGTGTGATAAAGTTGAAGGGCCAGGGTCAGGTCACACTGTCAGGACCTCACAAACCTGAGAGCTGTTTAGAATTTCCTGGGGAGCTTTAAGAAACATGTGGGGCCTTCCTCCAGAGATTCTGATTCACTTGATCCAAGGTGGGGCCCAGGCATCAAAAGATCCCAGGGGATTCCTGTGTGCAACCTAGTTAAGACTCACTGATGTCTGGGGTTCACATGCCATGGTAGGCAGCCTGCATTTTCTCCTAAGTGGGATGGGAAGTCACTAAAGGGTATGGAAGCAGAGAAGTGATGGGATTTGAGTGATTTATTTAAAAGATCTCCCTAGCTGCTGTAAGGAGAATGGATTGTAATGAATCAAGAAAGAAAGCAGGCCATTATTGTTCAAGTCTTTTTGGAGACATATGCTTTAATTCCTCTTGGGTAAATATTTACGAATGAAATTGCTGGAAATACCCCAATGTCCATCAAAAGGTGACTAGATAAACAAATTGTGATATGTTCATACAATAAAATACTACTCAGCAATAAAAATAAAGAACTACTGATACACAAAATAACATAGATGCATCTCAAAACCATTATGCTGAGTAAGACCAGCCAGACACAAAACAGTATATGCTGTACTATTTCTTTTATGAGGTTTAAGAAGAGGTAAAACTAACCTATGGTGATAGCAATAGAAGTGGCTGCTTCTAGGGGCACAAGGATTGACTGAAAGAGGGTTACTAGGGAATTTATGAGGGTAATAAAAATGTTCTACATCTTGATTATATGGGTATACACGTTTATAAAAACTCTTTGGATGGTACACTTAGGATTGGTACATTTCACTGTATGCAAATTTAAAAAAAAAAAGAACTACTACAACTACACACATAATAAAATGGCTTAAAAAAGAAAAAAAACAATACCAAGTGCTGGAGAGGATGTGGAAATCCCATGTTACTGATGGGAATACGAAATGGTATATCTGCTTTAAAAAATAGTTTGGCATGGTGGCTCATGCCTGTAATCCCAGCACTTTGAGAGGCTGAGGAGGGCTGATGGCTTGAGCCCAGGAGTTCGAGACTAGCCTGGGAAATATGGCAAAACTCCATCTTTATGAAAAATACAGAAAATTAGCCAGGCATTGTGGTGCGCATCTGAGTCCCAGCTACTTGGGAGGCTGAGGTGGGAGAATCACCTGGGCCGGGGAAGTCGAGGCTGCAGTTTAGCTGTGATTACGCCACTGCACTCCAGCCTGGGCAATGGGAGTGAGACCCTGTCTCCTTACCAAAAAAAAAAAAAAAAAAGTCTGGCACTCTTTCTCTTTTTTTTTGAGATGGAGTCTTGTTCTGTCACCCAGGCTGGAGTGCAGTGGCGAGATCTTGGCTCACTGCAACCTCCGCCTCCCAGGTTCAAGCAATTCTCCTGCCTCAGCCTCGTGAGTAGCTGGGACTACAGGCAAACACCACCACGTCCAGCTAATTTTTGTATTTTTAGTAGAGACGGGGTTTCGCCATGTTGGCCAGGATGGTCTCAATCTCTTGACCTCGTGGTCCACCCACCTCTGCCTCCCAAAGTGCTGGGATAACATGCATGAGCCACCGTGCCCAACTTCTGGCACTTTCTTATAAAATTAAACAGGTACTTACCATATGACACAGCAATCTTACTTCTTGGTATTTACTCAAGAGAATAAAATATGTCACAGAAAGACCCTTATGTGACGGTTTACAGCTGTTTTATTCACAACAGTTGATTTTTGAAAACCAGAGAAAAGCATCAGGGATTACAGTTGGGAGACTATGGCAGTAGTCCTGGTGAAAGACAGTAACTAGGTCTAGGCTGCTAGGAATGAAGATGAAGAGAAGTTAACAAATCCAGGATGTATCTGGAGAGAGAGTCTAAAGGCATTGCCAATGGTGTGAGAAGAAGAAAGGAATCCAGAATGACTCTAAGGTATTTGGTATGAGCAACTGGATGGATGATGATGCCATTTATGGGGCTGTGAAAGAATGGGGAAAGTAGGCGAGGATAGACAAAAATCCAGGGTTCTCTTTTAGCCATGTTAAGATGGCTTATTAGACTTCACAAACAGTGGAGCAGTAGATTTGGGAAAAAGATGCCTCCATCTTTTATTGTTAGAACATAAACTGTCAATCTGGTGACTAGGAGGAGGCTGTGATGATAGGTGGCAGCAGAACGCCACGCTTTGGAGTTGTGATAGTGTGTCAGGAATAGGCTGACAAGCCACAGAATTAGGTATGATCTAGAATCTCTGTAGAATTGTGGACCTAACAGATAGAAGGAATAGAAAAAGAATTCAGGATGAGATGAAACAATCAATAGCTTAATCCAAACAAATGGTGTAATCACTGAATGGAGGTTTATAGGAGCTAATCAGGCTTGGAAATTAGATAATGATATGATTTAGGTTCAAAGATGTGGGCTAATGTGAGCATTTCTTATTAGTTATGTATTGCTATGAAACAAATTACTCCAAACTTTAGAGGCTTAAAACAATAATAAATGTTTATAATTTTACAGGGATTCTGTGGATTAGGAATTTAGGAGCTGGCCGGGAGCGGTGGCTCAAGCCTGTAGTCCCAGCACTTTGGGAGGCCGAGGTGGGTGGATCACGAGGTCAGGAGTCAAGACCAGCCTGGCCAACTTGGTGAAACCCCGTCTCTACTAAAAATACAAAAACAAAAATTAGACAGGCGTAGCGGCAGGCGCCTGTAATCCCAGCTACTCAGGAGGCTGAGGCAGAGAATTGCTTGAACCTGGCAGGCAGAGGTTGCAGTGAGCCAAGATTGCACCACTGCACTCCGGCCTGGGTGAAAGAGCGAGACAACGTCTCAAAAAAAAAAAAAAAAAAAAAAAAAGAAGGAATTTAGGAGCTGCTTGATGTTTCTGGTGTTTCCTTGTTGTTGTTGCTTTGGGGGAGGAAGAGGGCAGAATGGAGTGGCTCATTTTTAATTCAGGATCCCTCATGAGGTTGCAGTCAAAATGTTGGTGTGAGCTGCAGTTATCTGAAAGCTTGGCTGGGGCTAGAGGATCTACTTCCCAGATGGGTGATTCATACTCATGGCAAGCTAATGCTGGCCATTGGTAGGAGGACTCAGTTCCTCACTACATGACTGCTCCACAGGAGTGCATGAGTAGCTGGCTTCGTCCAGAGCAAATGATCCAAGAGCATGCAAGGTAGAAGTAGAAATGTTTTTGATGACCTAGCTTCAGAAGTCACTCTACATCATTTCCACACTGTCTTATTGATTTTCCAGGTCAGCCCTGTTCAGAGTGGAAGTATCCACCCAAGGGAGTGACTATGAGGTGTGAGAGAATCTCTGGGGGTTATTTTGGAGGCTGGCTACAACTCCTTTTTAAGTTCTAAAGTTCATGTCATATTAAGAGTAAAAGGAACTCATCTCCTGGTAGTGGTGTTATGAACAGAATTCCCTAGGTATTTGTTTATGTTTGTTTGTTTTGAGACGAGGTCTTCCTCTATGGTCCAAGCTAAGGTGCTGTGCTCACTGCAGGTTTAACCTCCTGGGCTCAAGTGATCCTCCAACCTTAGTCTCCCACATAGCTGGGATCTCAGGCGAGCACTACCACATCCAGCTAATTTTTAATTTTTGTAGAGATGGGGTCTCCCTATGTTGTCCAGGGTGGTCTCAAACTCCTGGACTCAAGTGATCCTCCCACCTTGGCCTCCCAAAGTGCTGGGATTACACGTGTCAGTTACCGCATTTGGCCCCCGTAGAAATATGTGGCTCTAGACTTCGTGCAATACCAGCTTTGGAAGGTATATTCAAAAGAATTTGAGAAAAATCTTTTGTTTTTTAAAGCAATAAGTGTTTTATTTTATTTTATTTTATTTGTTTGTTTTTTGAGACAGATCTCACTCTGTCACCCAGGTTGGAGTGCCCTGGTGCGATCTGAGCTCACTGCAACCTCCGCCTTCCAGGTTCAAGGGATTCTCCTGCCTCAGCCTCCTGAGTAGCTGGGATTACAGGCACGCACCACCATGCCTGGCTAATTTTTGTATTTTTAGTAGAGATGGGGTTTCACCATGTTGGCCAAGCTGGTCTCGAACTCCTGACCTCAGGTGATCCGCCCACCTTGGCCTCTCAAAGTGCTGGGATGACAGGTGTGAGCCACCACACCCGGCTTAAAGCAATATGTATTTTAAACCTAGGTAGGTTGACAATTAAATATAGAAATGATTAAGAAAATCAAACATGCTGGGCACGGTGGCTCACGCCTGTAATCCCAGCACTTCGGCAGGCAGAGGCGGGCGGATCACCAGGTCAGGGGATGGAGAACATCCTGGCTAACACGGTGAAACCCCGTCTCTACTAAAAATACAAACAAAACAAAACAAAAAACAAAAAAACATTAGCCGGGAGTGGTGGCGGGCGCCTGGAGTCCCAGCTACTCTGGAGGCTGAGGCAGGAGAATGGCGTGAACCCGGGAGGCGGAATGGCGTGAACCCGGGAGGCGGAGCTTGCAGTGAGCCGAGATCGCGCCACTGCACTCCCGCCTGCGCGAAAGAGCGAGACTCCTTCTCAAAAAAAAAAAAAAAAAAAAAAAAAAAGAAAAGAAAAAAGAAAAATATATTAGTCGTGTAGTACTTATTTAAAACATATGATCTAAGTAATTGACTTACATTTGTGATTTTAAGTGGAAATATTTCAAAATGTAAATGTAATATTAGACATTTAAAAGAACCTAAAATTAACATATTTTTAAGATTAATCGATTGCATATATATGAATCACATAAATACTTGAAAAGGAATTTTTGTCAGTCATACAACTGAAGTACTTGACAAAATAAATTAATTACTTTAAGTTTACAAATGCAGATAAAATACTTAAAGTAGGTTAAGTAAATTTATTTATTTATTTATTTATTTAAAAAAATTTTTTTGAGACAGAATTTCAGTGTCATTGCACAGGCTGGAGTGCAGTGGCGCGATCTCGGCTCACCACAAACTCCGCCTCCAGAGCTCAAGTGATTCTTCTGCCTCAGCCTCCCGAATAGCTGGGATAACAGGCATGTACCACCACGCCAGGCTAATTTTGTATTTTTTTGGTAGAGGCAAGGTTTCTCCATGTTGGTCAGGCTGGTCTCGAACTATCCACTTCAGGTGATCCGCCTGCCTCAGCCTCCCAAAGTGTTGGGATTACAGGCTTGAGCCACCGCACCCAGCCTATTCTGTATGTTTTTATTTTATTTATTTATTTTTTTGAGACAAAATTTCACTCCTGTTGCCCAGGCTGGATGGAGTGCAATGGCGTGATCTCGGCTCACCACAACCTCCGCCTCCCGGGTTCAAACGATTCTCCTGCCTCAGCCTCTCCAGTAGCTGGGATTACAGGCATGTGCCAGGATGCCCAGCTAATTTCTATTTTTAGTAGAGACGCAGTTTCTCCTTGTTGGTCAGCTGCTCTCGAACTCCCAACCTCGGGTGATCTGCCCACCTCAGCCTCCCAAAGTGCTAGGATTACAGATGTGAGCCACCGCACCCAGCTGTTTTTATTTTTTTTTTAGATAGAGTCTTGCTGTGTTGCCCAGGCTGGAGTGCAGTGGCGTAATCTCGGCTCACTGCAACCTCTGCCTCCCCGGTTCAAGCAATTCTCCTGCCTCAGTCTCCCAAGTAGCTGGGATTACAGGCATGTGCCACCACGCCTGGCTAATTTTTGTATTTTTAGTAGAGACAGAGTTTTGCCATGTTGGCCAGGCTGGTCTCGAACTCCTGGCTTCAATTGATCCACCTGCCTCGGCCTCCCAAACTGCTAGGATTACAGGCGTGAGCCACCACGCCCCACCAATTAAGTAAATGTATAAATTTGACCAAACATTAATCAAAACCCTCCTCAAAAGTGATTAAATTTAGCTATATCTGTACAATTTATAAGTTGAATTTATAAGCTTACAGAAAAATCCTCGAAGGTTTTGATTTTGTAAAGTCAAATATTAATTTTCAAAGCCAGGCAACTTCTGAATAATTTCTTTCTTTTTTTCTTTTCTGAGACAGAGTCTCACTCTGTTGCCCAGGCTGGAGTGTAGTGGCATGCTCTCGGCTCCACTGCAGCCTCCATCTCTTAGGCTCAAGCAATCCTCCCACTTCAGCCTCCAGAGTAACTGGGACTACAGGTGCACGCCACCACGCTGACCTGAATATTAATAATTTTTTCTATTTGCAAAAGCCGCCTTTGAGGGAATATATTGAATTGGATGGCAGATAAGGAAGGGGAGGTTGGGGAGAGATTTTGGCTGATGGGTCAGGCCCTGACTGAATAAGCTTGGGCCTGTCTCTAGCTGCCTTGCGAGGCTAGCTGCTCCAGTGCTATGAGCCCCTCAGTGCTGAAGCCGCAGGATGGGGGAAGGGAAGCAGAAGCCATGCCCCTGTCTGGGTTTGTCTGTCCCCAGGAACCCCTTGTCCTCACTGTGCTCTGTGCATGTAATAAATGATGCACTGGCCTTAATACCAATTCACAGCATGATTCTTGTCTCTCCGAAGGAGCTGAGCCCGTGGCGTAATGGTCTTTCTTTATTAACTTGCTCTTTGATCGTCCAAGGGACTCCTAACTGACCTGCAGAACTAATTGTGGCTGTATTAAGCAAAGAGTACAGTAAAAACCCAAAGAGGATCCTGAGCATAAGAGCTGCAAATTCACCACATTGTAGTGACATGACTGATCAATGTACAATGAAGACATAGCCAAACACTGATTAATAGTGAGTGGCAGAGCCTCACATTTCATTTTTGGTTGTAATATATTACTGTTTTAAAATTTGCTATAACTGGGCCGGGTGCAGTGGCTCACACTTGTAATCCCAGCATTTTGGGAGGCTGAGGCCTGTGGATCACTTGAGGCCAGGAGTTCAAAACCAGCCTGGCCAACGTGGTGTAACCCGTTTCTACTAAAAATACAAAAAAAATTAGCCAGTTGTGGTGGCACACACCCGTAATCTCAGCTACTCAGGAGGCTGAGGCAGGAGAAGCGCTTGAACCCAGGAGGTGGAGGTTGCAGTGAACCGACATTGTGCCATTACACTTCAGCCTGGGCAACAAGAGTGAAACTCCAACTCAAAAAAAAAAAATAAAAATAAAAATAAATAAATAAATAAAACTTGCTGTAACTGGTCTTATTCCTAAACCCCCTGCCCAGCTTGGATGTGGGGCAAGAGTGTTCTTAAATTTCCTGTTAACTGTATTTTTCTGTCTTCTATCAAAGTCCAACTCTCAGTTGGTGCTCTTGGCTTGGGATGGTGTCCAGATGCAGGAAGGAAGTCTCAAAAGCCTGGAGTGCTGGAGTGAGGTGGCCTGCTCTCCACACTGGCACGTGCGAGGTTCCCGACTTTGCTGCCCTTCACGCAGTTTTAGCAACCAAAGATGAGCTGCCCTGACCTCTGGGTTGCAACTTTTCTCTGCAGGCCTCCTCTTCCCCACCCAGGCCCTGCCAGACCAGCAGTCCGGGGCACAGCTTCAAAGCACAGCTCCGACATTCAGGGCCCCGATACAGTACTGCGGTCTCCAGCCACAGCCGTTCCTGGCTGGCCCAGTAGATAAGGCTTATTCTCAAATCCCACCCAGGGTAGCCAGCAGGCTCAGGTCACAAGTCCAGGAATCGCTAGCCGATCAAGGCTAGAGGTACCGCTTGTCTGATAAGTGACCCAGACCACGGGTGGAATCTTGGCTTGACAAGACCCACTGCCTTTCTCCTCCCCCAACTTCATCTTCGCAGTCTAACTATACTGGATTGGGTTTCCCATTTGGCAGTAAAACTTGTGCACTCAGCCCTGAATCACTGGTCTCTCAGCATTTTTCTCCGTAACGCAGGCAAAAGCCCCGCAGCTCTTGTCATCCCAGTGGGTGATCGCCCCTCCTGATCCTTGGCATTGTGCCAAGGCTCCTTTTTCCCTACTTCTGTCTCCCACTCCTTCCTGCAGTACTCAGGGCCTAAATGGATGAACTTCTGGCAGGATGTCTTCACTCTCGTCACTAACGTCCAAGGCCCAGCCACGATGGTAGAGGGGTCTTCACTACATTATGCGAGAAGGTGTAATACAAAAAATTAGCCAGGTGTGATGGCGGGTGCTTGTGGTCTCAGCTACTCAGGAGGCTGAGGTAGGAGGATTGATTGAGCCAAGGAGACAGAGGTTTCAATGAGCCGTGATCGCCACTGCACTCCAGCCTGGATGACAGAACAAGACCCTGTCTCAAAAAAATAATGAAATAAAATAAAATAAGAGGTGCAGTTTCCAGCCTGGCCAGTATGGTGAAACCCTGTCTCCACTAAAGATACAAAAAATTAGCCGGGCATGGTGACGTGCACCTGTAATCCCAGCTACTCGAGAGGCTGAGGCAGGAGAATCGTTTGAACACAGGTGGCAGAAGTTGAGGTGAGCTGAGGTCGCGCCATTGCACTCCAGCCTGGGCGACAGGGCACGACTCTGTCCCAGAAAAGAAGGTGTGGTTTGAGCCCATCATGTGAGTTGAGAATAGTAGAAACTGGGACCTATACTGGGACTCAAAATACATTAGCATTATATGTGCAATTATATTTCCATTGAAACTAACTTTACATATTAATTGGACTTTTGAGGGGGTGGGGAGGGGGAATTATATTTGACAAAGAGTTACTGCCTGACTGTCATGTGCAAAGTACTGGACCCTGTCTACAATGACCTGACACCTTGGAGAGGAGGGGAAACATGTTTATAAGTATCTTCAAAGAAAAGACAGGGCTGGGCGCAGTGGCTCACGCCTGTAATCCCAGCACTTTGGGAGGCCGAGGCAGGTGGATCACCTGAGGCCAGGAGTTCAAGACCAGCCTGGCCAACATGGTGAAACCCTGTCTCTACTAAAAATACAAAAATTAGGTGGGCAGGGTGGCATGCGCCTGTAGTCCCAGCTACTCAGGAAGCTGAGGTAGAAGAATCGCTTGAATCCAGGAGGCAGAGGTTGCAGTGAGCCGAGATTGAGCTACTGCAGCACTCCAGCCTGGGCGATAAAGCAAGACTCCATCTCAAAAAAAAAAAAAGAAAGAAAGACAGAAGATGGCAAGTGCTGTAAAAGAAATTCAAAGTATCATAGAAGCCTGGAGATGGGTGGGATGAATTCTGAATCGGTGGACCCAGGAAGGCTTCAAGGAGCATCCATAAACATCTGAGGCTTGCTTAGGGAAAGAGAATATAGGAAGGAATAAGATATACTGTATCTGCTTTTGAGAATTCATGTTCTAGTGGCAAAGACTGACATGTTTTGTGGGAAAGGTGATGTTTAAGCCAGACCTTGGAAGGCATGTACAATTTCAACAAGCAGAGATAAAGAATAAGAGAAAGAGGGATTTCCAGAAAAAGGAAAGCATGAATATCACAGACCTATGGTTTCTTTCCCTTCCCACCCCAGCACCACTTCATCCACAGGGATGAATCATCTTCTCCATACCATGAGATCCCACCTCCTGACCACATAGTATTGGCTATTGAATATTGGCAGAATTCTTACCCAGCAAACCAATCAGTTCTTCCCTGAGACTTTTGGAACTGAAACTGAGAAAAAGTAGTCAATTTCCCTTTGGGTATGAAAGATAAACCTGGAATCTACTGATAACTATGACTTTGAGAATGCATGGAGAGAGACCGAGAGAGAAACGAGAGAGAGAGAGAGAGAGAGAGGAGTGAGAGAGAGGAAAAGAGAGAAAAAATTGAGGCAGATACAAAGGAGAGAAATGTCATAGAGAGAGAACACTGGTGGCCTGTGTGTCTCTGATTCTGGACATTCATGAGTCTTAGCTGCATTTCTGACCTTGGATTCCCTGGAATACAGTAATATCTTTATGATACATTTTTATTTTTCCTTAAGCTAAATTGAGGTTTTTGCTTTTTCTTCTTTGCCACTAAAAAATTCCTATTGTATTATTATTTATTTATTTATTTTGGTAAAGGGTCTCACTCTGTCACCCAGGCTGGAGTGCAGTGAGCTAGATCATGGCTCACTGCAGCCTTGACCTCCTGGGCTCAAGCAATCCTCCCATCTCACCCTCCTAAGTAGCTGGGACTAGAGGATGGTTAATTTTTGATTTTGTGTAGAGACAGGGTTTTACTATGTTGCCCTGGCTGGTCTCAAACTCCTGGGCTCAAGCCATCCTCCTGCCTCAGCCTCCCAAAGTGCTGGGATTACAGGTGTGAGCCACCGCACCCAGCCTGTATTAGTTTTCTACAACTACTATAACAAATTACCTATTGTTATAGGCTTGAAACAATAGACGTTTATTCTCTTACAGTTCTAGAAGGTGGAAGTCCAAAATCAAGGTGTCCACAGGGCCGTGCTCCCTCTAAAGGTTCTAAGGAGGAATCCTTTCTCGACAATTTCTAGCTTCTGGCAGCTGCCTGTAATCCTTGGCATTCCTTCGCCTATAGCTGCATCACCCCATTTCTACCCCCATCTTTACATGGCTGTCTTCACTCTGTGTGCCTCTCTGTCTTCAAATGGCCTTTCTTCTTCTTCTTCTTCTTTGTTTTTTAAATTTGAGATGGAGTCTCTGTTGCCCAGGCTGGAGTGCAGTGGTGTGATCTCAGCTCACTGCAACCTCTGCCTCCTGGGTTCAAGCTATTCTCCTGCCTCAGCCTCCCAAGTAGCTGGGATTACAGGTACGTGCCACCACACCTAGTTTTGTTTTTGTTTTTTGTTTTTGTTTTTGTTTTTTTTTCAGTAGAGACAGGGTTTCACCATGTTGGCCAAGCTGGTCTCGAACTCCTGACCCCAGGTCTCAGAGGTCTCAGCCTCCCAAAGTGCTGGGATTACAGGTGTGAGCCACTGCACCCGACCATGGCCTTTCTTCTAAGGACACCAGTCATTGATTTTGGGGCCCACACTAATCCAACTAGACCTCATCTTAACTCACGACATCTGCAAAGACACTATTTCCCAATAAGGTCCCATTCTGAGGTTCTGGGCAGACATACATTTTGGAGGAATGCTGTTCAACTCAGGACACTGCTTCAATGCACAAAGGTGCCGGGGCTGCAAGTTCAGATCCTGTTTAGAGCCAGGTACTCAGAAACCTGGAGTGTTGTGCCGGGGAGTTGGGGTTTGCTCTCTACCTAGTGAGGAGGCATCAAGTGTCCTGGACAGGATAGTATCATGGTCCTAGTTTCATGGAGGACTGCTGGTCATAGTGTGTAACCTAACTTGGAACAGGGAGGGATAAAGAAGCAGGAAAACCGGCCGGGCACGGTGGCTCACACCTGTAATCCCAGCACTTTGGGAGGCCGAGGCGCATGGATCACCTGAGGTCAGGAGTTCGAGACCAGCCTGGCCAACGTGGCTAAACCCCGTTTCTACTAAAAATACAAAAATTAGCCGGGTATGGCGGTAGCGCCTATAGTCCCAGCTACTTGGGAGGCTGAGATAGGAGAATCGCTTGAACCTGGGAGGCAGAGGTTGCAGTGAGCTGAGATCGCACCATTGCACTCCAGCCTGGGCAACAAGAGTAAAACTCCATCTCAAAAAAAAAAAAAAAAAAAAAAAAAAAGCAGGAAAACCAGTTACACTATTCAATGTCAGGTGAAAGGTAATACAGTGCCCAGTCAGGATAGCAGGTGTAGGAATGCGTAGAAAGGGACAGGCGGGAGACACACCACAGATCCAGAGTTAACCAGACTCGGCCATTTTTAACATAATTGTATGGTGGGGTGGGAGGAAGAGAGTGAAGAAACGGAAGAATTTAGATGCATTGTGCAATATGGGGGTCCATAAACATCATCGAATGGTTACCAGATGAGAGATGATATGACCTGAAGGGCTGGTATGTAAAGAGAAGGGCAAGGCTTGAGGATCACAGGGTTGGGCCCCCATAGACATTGTAAGAGGGGTCAGGGAGTTCAAAAGGCGTTCCCTCCATTTTGATTATTTACATGAAAATTATTCTGTGCTTTCATATGAGGAGTCTAGAGCATAGTCCTTACCTGCTTTTATTTTCTTTAGGAAAAAAATTTTTGATACTCTTTGCTTACATCAGGCTTCTTGTTTGAATAGTATATTTTTTTATTTGAATAGATACTGCCAGATTACTTTTCTAAAAGGCTATAACAATTTACTTTTCCACTGGTACCACATGAGTTTCCTTTCTTCCTTTTCCCTACCATTAGTAGGTATTTGCACTCTTTAATTTTTACTATTTGAAAATGTGACTTGGAGACAAAGTCTTGCTCTGTTGTCCAGGTTGGAGTGCAGTGGCGCAATCTCGGCTCACTGCAACCTCTACCTCCCGGGTTCAAGCAATCCTCCTGCCTCAGCCTCCTGAGTAGCTGGGATTACAGGTGCCTGCCACCACGCCTAGCTAATTTTTTGTATTTTTAGTAGAGAGGGGGTTTCACCAAGTTGGCCAGGCTGGTCTCAAACTCCTGACCTCAAGTGATCCACTCGCCTCAGCCTCCCGAAGTGCTGGGATTACAGGCGTGAGCCACTGCGCCCAGCCAAAATGAGAATTTTTATATATAAATCTTTGTCCATCCAATGATGCTTACAATGATGTTTATAATTAGAAAGATGACATAGGTGAAGTTTTCTCAGATTCTTTACTTTGTTGTTTGTCTTCCTGTGTGACTTTCTCCCACTTCTTTGCTAATATTTTAGGTGGATAGGGAGAGATATGAGAAAGGGAAAGGGTTAAATCAAATAAATGTTTTATTATCTTTGAATTATATTTATATATGCCTTTCCTGTCCTTCATTACAAAGTGATCTAGAACTGCTGTTAAGTCATTATTAGTTCTCTAATTTTACCTTATGCATAAAAAAATTTTTCATTTTATTGAGGGAAGAACAAATGCAAAAGAATCCTAACATTATCTGTAACCTACAAAAGCAGCTTCTTGACTCTTCTTGACTCTTTCTTTTCTTTCTTTCTTTTTTTTTTTTTTTGAGATGGAGTTTTGCTCTTGTTGCCTAGGCTGGAGTGCAGTGGTGTGATCTTGGCCCACTGCAACTTCCGCCTCCCGGGTTCTAGTGATCCTCCTGCCTCAGCCTCCTGAGTAGCTGGGATTACAGGTATGTGCCACTATGCCCGGCTAATTTTGTATTTTTTGTAGAGATGGGGTTTCTCCATGTTGGTCAGGCTGGTCTTGAACTCCCAACCTCAGGTAGTCCACCTGCCTTGGCCTCTGAAGGGTTGGGATTACAGGCATGAGCCACCACGCCTAGCCTGACTCTTTTCCTTAGACATAGAAATTCTGAAAAGCATCAACCTTTTTTTACCACAGTGAAAAAAAAAGATGAGATTTATATCTCAATACCATGAATGGTTTATATAATAATATATGAGTGGATAAATAAACATCCTTTTCTACAGTCTTCTCCTTTAAACTTTGGCTATTAGAGTCAGAATGCTTCAATTGCAGAATTCTCACTTGAGCAAAGTTTTTGTATAACATTATTCATATTCTTGGCCTTGGATAGCAATTAAGTCTCTCAAGTCTAAAATTGCTTTGTTTGCTTTTTAAAGAAATCTGCCCACCTTACAGACCTACAAGTTAACTAACCAGCCTGTTTTTCCCCCAAGAGGACTTCGCTCTGTTGGTTTCTTGCCAGCTCTTACTTTCAAATTGAAATAGTTCAGTTTCACTGTTTCTAGAACATAGAATTCATTACCCATGGATTTTTGCCAACAATGTCCCTCTCATGTTTTTTAAAACTAAGATGAATGTTACAGAGTGACCTAGTGGACTGGATCCACGACTAGAAATCAGGCAGTGATATATTAGATGTGTGCGTGGATGCTCCATTCTGGGTAGTGAGGTGGCTAGGGGGATGGGATTCTGGGAGGGTGAGGAGGGCATTCAGGGTGAAGCCTTCAGGACTAGAGTGGAGAAATATGTGTGAGAGATTAGGTAAGATTTGACATATGTGAGGCAAGACTTAGATTCTTCCCTTGCCCTCAGGTCCCTGGCGGGTCGCTACCACAGATAGGGCACAGTCATTTATTCCTTTTGGTCATTTGGGTAGAAAACAGATAGCCAGGTGACAGAGAATATTTATAAAGGGCTCTAAGAAGAACCATTCCTCTGTTGTTTCCATTTTCTCTTGCTACGTCTGCAGCTCTGCTTATCCCTCTGTTTCTACTAGTCCTGAAAGGGCATGCCTTCCTGCAACAGAACAGAAATCTCAGGAATGTATACATCAGCATAACCTATGGCCAACATGAATTTTTCATTCATGTGGCTCTGTTGAATGAAATAACGAAATTCCTTTATCTTTTAGGTTACTTTCTAAGTATTTTTAGGTTACTTTCTAGGAATATGTTAGTGTTTAAATATTTTTCTCTTCTGATTTACTATATATATATATTTAATTAAACTTTTAATTGTGAGATAATTGTAGATTCATATGCAGTTATAAGAAATAATGCAGGCCGGGGGTGGTGGCTCACGCCTGTAACCCCAGCACTTTGGGAGGCCGAGGTGGGTGGATCACTTTAGGTCAGGAGTTCGAGACGAGCCTGGACAATATGGTGAAACCCTGTCTCTACTAAAAATACAAAAATTAGTCAGGCATGGTGGTGCACACCTGTAGTCCCAGCTACTCGGGAGGCTGAGGTGGGAGAATCACTTCAGCCCGGGAGGTAGAGGTTGCAGTGAGCCGAGATTGCGCCATTGCACTCCAGCTTGGGCAACTGAGTGAGATTCTGTCTCAAAAAAAAAAAAAAAAAAAAAAAAAGAAAGAAAGAAAAGAAAAGAAAAGAAAGAAGGAATGCAGCTGAAGCCAGAAGCTACCTATTGGGTAAGGAGTGCTCTCAGCACTTAAGAGGTTTTTTTAAAAAAAAATAATAAAATAATGCAGAGAAATCTCATGTACCATTTACCCTGTTTCCCCCAATAGTAACATCTTCCAAAACTATAGCACAATGTGACAACAAGGATATTGACATTGACAGAATAAAGATTTATAAAAATTTCATCATCACAAGAATCCCTCCTGTTGCTCTTTTACAGATGTGTACACTTCTCTCCTTCCCGAGCCCCTCGTTATCCCTGGCAACCGCTAGTCTATTCTCTATTTCTATAATGTTGCCATTTCAAGAATGTTAATTAAATGGGACCATAGAGTGTGAAACCTTTTGGTATTGGCTTTTTTTAACTCAGCATAATTCCTGGAGATTCATGTATATATCAATATTTAATTGTTTTTTAGTTCTGAGTAATATTTTGTGGTATGTACTACAGTTCGTTTATTCACTCATTGAAGGATAAGTGGGTCATTTCCAGTTTTTTGGCTATTATCATTAAAGCTGCTATGAATATTTGTTTTGTGTGTGTGTGTAAGATGGAGTCTCGCTCTGTTGCACAGGCTAGAGTGCTGTAGCATGATCATGGTTCACTGCAATCTTCGCCTCCCGGGTTCAAGTGATTCTTGTGCCTCAGCCCCCCGAGTAGCTGGAATTACCGGTGCCCACCACCATGCCTGGGTAATTTTGGTATTTTTAGTAGAGACGGGGTTTTGCCATGTTGGCCAGGTTGTTCTCCAACTCCTGACCTCAGGTGATCCGCCTGCCTTGGCCTCCCAAATTGCTGAAATTACAGGCCTGAGCCACTGCGCCTGGCCTGCTATGAATATTTGAGCACAGGCTTTTATATGAACATAGATTTTGTGTCTCTGGAATATATGTCAAAGAGTACAACTGATGGGTCATGTGGGAGTTGCATGTTTAGTTTTATATGAAAGTGCCAAACTGTTTTCAAGAATGGTTGGACCATTTTAAGTTTCCATCAGCAATTATGAGTTATCTAGTTTCTCTACATCCTTGTCTGCATTTAATGTTGTCACTATTTTTATTTTAGCCATTCTGATAGTAACTGTAGTGATTTCTCATCGAAGTTGAAATCTACATTATTTTCCTGATGGCTAATGATGTCGGAGACCTTTTCATGTGCTTATTTGCCATCTGCATGTCTTCTATGAAAATATCTGTTCACGTTTTTTAAATCAATTTTCTAACTGAATTATTCGATTTTTTTTTAATTTTTTTTTTTATTTTTTAAGACAGAGTCTTGCTCTGTTGCATAGGCTGGAGTGCTGTGGCGTGATCTCTGCTCAGTACAACCTCCACCTCCGGGGTTCAAGTGATTCTGCTGGCTCAGTCTCCTGAGTAGCTGGGACTACAGGCACGTGCCACCACACCCAGCTAATCTGTTGGATTTTTAGTAGAGATGGGGTTTCACTGTGTTAGCCAATGGTCTCAATCTCCTGACCTCGTGATCTGCCCGCCTCGGCCTCCCAAAGTGCTGGGATTACAGGCGTGAGCCACCGTGCCTGGCCTATTTGATTTTTTAATTTTTGAGTTTTGACTGTTCTTTATATATTCCAGATAGTAGTTTTTTGTTGGATTTGTGGTTTGTGAATATTTTCTGTAGCTTGTCTTTTCATCTTCTTAATAGGATCTTTTGGAGAGCAAAGTTTTAATTTTGAGAGATCCAATATATCAATATTTCCTTTTATGGGTTGTGCTATCGCAATCAAGTAAAAGAACTCTTTGCCTAGCTCTAGATCTTAACATTTTTCCCTTATTTTTTTCTAAGAGTTTTATAGCTTACGTTTTACACTTAAGTCCATGGTCACATATTTTTAAGTAGGTGTTTAGATCCTGCTTGACATGTCTCATGTCTGAAATAAGCCTTAGCATGTGGAATTCTTTCTGTCCTCATTTTTTCCCTCAAGCATCTACTGAGTGCCAACTATGGCTCAAGTCACTGATACCAAATCATGTGTACAATTCCTCATTAGATAAATATTTCAGACTTTGCAATGAGTCAATTGAGTGATGTACTTCAGGGCGTGGCCTTTGGAACCCAACTAGCTTGGTCAAACCTGGTGCCACCTCTCAGCAGCTTTGTGATCTTTAGCAAGTTACTTAATACCTCTGAAACTCAATGTTTCACATCATTCACATCTCGATGAAAATAATAATACCTACATCACAGGATTGTTGTGAGAAGTAAATGAAACATTATGTGTAAAATGCTTAGCACACTGCCTAGCACATACATAGAAAACATTCAATAATTTTTAGTCCTCCTCCTTCCCATCCCCCCATGCAAAGATTTTTCTGGATACCTTCCCCAACTCATCATCTGCTTCCCCAGAGTCTCCAATTCTTTCTCTCTACTTCTGGTCTTAATTATTCTACTTCTTTTATTAAACAACATTCTCAACAGACTTTGGCATTTGATAGGATTTCCTATCTCCAATTTGTTTGTGGTATTCTTATATGTGTCAAACTATCTTTGTTTCCTGTATGTGTTATGTATCTCACCAACGACATATCTCCTCAAGGGCATGCCATGGCCCTAGTCTTCCATAGAGTCCAGCTCTATGTTGGGCAAGTGGCCCCTAATACACTGACAGTGGAGAATCTAAATTAAAACATTTTGTAGAAATGTTTTTGTAGAAAGCAATTTTTCAACTTCTGTGGAAAGCAATTCAGCAAAATGAATCCAAAACATTGAATACTTTGACCTAGTAATTTACCTTTTTCAGAATCCATCCTAAGAATGGTCAGATACTTGAATAAAAAAATTTATATATGGCTGGGTGCGGTGGCTCACGCCTGTAATCTCAGCACTTTGGGAGGCCGAGGCAGTCGGATCACCTGAGGTCAGTAGTTTGAGACCAGCCTGACCAATATGGTGAAACCCTGTCTCTACTAAAAATACAAAAAAAAATTAGCCGGGTGTGCTGGTGGGCGCCTGTAGTTCCAGCTACTCCGCAGGCTGAGGCAGGAGAATGGCGTGAACCCGGGAAGTGGGGCTTGCAGTGAGCCGAGATTGTGCCACTGCACTCCAGCCTGGGCAAAAGAGCGAGACTCCATCTCAAAAAAAAAATAAAAAATAAAAATAAATAAATAAATAAAAATTTAGAAAAATGTAAATGCATACTAATTTTAAAAATCAGGAATCAGAGTCCCAGCACGGTGGCTCACGCCTGTAATCCCAGCACTTTGGGAGGCCAAGGTGGGCGGATCACCTGAGGTTAGGAGTTTGAAACCAGCCTGACCAACATGGAGAAACCCCGACTCTACTAAAAATATGAAAATTAGCCAGATGTGGTTGTGCATGCCTGTAGTCCCAGCTACTTGGGCGGCTGAGGCAGGAGGAACGCTTGAACCCGAGAGGTGGAGGTTGCAGAGAGCCGAGATCACACCATTGCACTCTAGCCTGGGTGACAGAGCAAGGCTCTGTCTCAAAAAATAAAAATAAAAAAAATAAAAAAATAAAAAAAATCAGGAATCAGGGTAAATTCCATTTATAGATGGAATATTATACCATCAGTACAATTCTGTAGCTATAAATGCTGGGTAAGGTGTCAGAGCCCCGACATTGGGAAGTGGCGGACTAGCAGGTTGGTAAAAAGAATGTACCGACAACAGTATAGGTTTGAAAAAGGAAAGTTTATTAGAAAGAAAACACTGCAGAAGAGTGTAGCTGAGTGCCTCAGCAAGAGGACTGAGTGCAGTGGTGGATTTTTCCTTAGGAGCATTTATGGGTAATTTGGACCACATTAGCCATGTAGGTCATGATAGATGATTCCATTTGTAGACATTTTGGTGCCTTAATGTCAGCAAGGCTTGCACAACGAGTTTTGGCATGGCATTCTGGAGATGTATAGAAATTCTAGTTACTTATAAATTTTTTTGAGGGAAAGAAATCTGAAACCAGATGCCTGCTTTAGATAATAAGGAAGTCGAATTACTTCTAATTTTCCCCAGAGAAGGAGTTTTGCCTCTGGATGGCCTGTTTGATAGTCACCAGGTGGTGTTTGCTCCCTTCTAAATTCCCCAGGTAAGGAGTTTTTGTCTCCCGGGCCTGTTCAATGGCCACCAGGTGATTTTGCTCTCTTCAATAAGGATATACACTAAAGCACTCTTTATACTAGCAAACATGTAGAAATAATCCCAAAGCCCAACCCTATGGATAAATTAAACTGTCACAAAATAGAATTACAGTATAATCACATTTGTTTTAAAAAACTTAGGTACATATGGATGCACTTACACAAACATACAAAAACCAGGAAAAATATACAACAAAATTTTAGTGGTGATAGTCTGTGACTAAAAGATTTTTGGTGATTTTCATTTTAAGTATGGCTTCTTTAAAACATAATATTTGGCCGGGTGTGGTGGCTGACGCCTGTAATCCCAGCACTTTGGAAGGCCGAGGCAGGTGGATCGCTTGAGACCAGGAGTTCGAGACCAGCCTGGGCAACATGGAGAAAGCCTGTCTCTACTAAAAATACAAAAATTAGCTGGGCGGGATGGTGCATGCATATAATCCCAGCTACTTGGGAGGCTGAGGAATGAGAACTGCTTGAACCCGGGAAGCGGAGGTTGCAGTGAGTCAAGATAACGCCACTGTACTCCAGCCTAGGCAACAGAGCAAGACTGTCTCAAAATAATAATAATAATATTTATTACTTTTGCCATAAGAAAACAAGAATGAAAGTTACAATCTGTTTTTAAAATAGTGTTTTAGAGACTATTTAATTACATGGATATAATGATCATTCATCTCATTCAAAACATTTATTAAGTGCCTACCAACTGTTAGGCCCAATGCTAGGGACACACGGAGGGCACAATTAACAAAATCTTTGAATCACAGATAGTCTAATGAGGGATACAAAAAATTTACAAAACAGTGAGAGAAGTGACAATACAGGTATAGTGCTGAGTGTCATGGAAGCATAGAGAAGGGTGGGAGTTAGGGAGGTAGGATAAGGTTTTTTGTTGAAACTTGAATGAGCCCAAAGAAACATTGTAAATAGGGAAGAAATACCCAAGCTTAGGTAGGGATAAGCATTTTCAAAATTTCTCAAGGGATTCCATGAAGAAAAGTAAACAGGCATGGGACTGGAGGAGAGTTTGGAAGGAAGGCTAGCAAAAGTGAGTAGGAATCAGAAAATCAGTTCCGTATAGTCTATGTTGCTGAGTTTGGACTTTCTATCCTTAAGAGTAAACAGGAAAAAAAAAAAAAGGAAAAAAAAGGAATTAAAGGCTTTAAATGGGAATAGCATGATCATTTATGATTCTGACAAATGACATGGACTTTGCTCTAAAAAGATCACACTAACTACTGAGTAGGAAATGATTTGGAGGAAGATAAGGCTGGAGGCAGGAAAGCCAGTTAGACAGTGGTTTAGGTCACTGAGAGGATGACCCTGTCTGTAGGGATGGGGAGATGAAACTTGATGTAGAAGTGACTTGATGATAGTTTGAATTGCTGACAGTAGTGGAGGAGGTGTCAGGGAAAAGCAAGAGTCAAGAATGATGTTTTGGCTCTCGGGTTGGCAATTGCGGATGGTGGTACCACTAACTGAGACTGGAGACAGATGAAGAGGCACAAAGTGGGAGGGAAAATGAGTTCAGATTGGGAAACACTGAGTTTGAAATGCATGTGGGAAGTCTAAGGGAATGTTCGGGAGGCTTTTAGAGATACAAGTCTGAAAGTCAGGTGTGAAACTGGCTGTGTAGACATGTGTTTGGGGGGTCATGGGAGTAGATGAGATCACACAAGGGATATATGTAGAATTAGAGGATGGCTTAGGACAGAACTCTAAAGAAAACCAATGTTTAAGAGACTGAAAGTGAGAAAGAAAATGGACTCAAACCTGGTCTGGGACAGAAATTTTTTGTGTGATGTAATTTACAACTCCTTCTGGGAAGCAATTAGCATTCCTCATAAAGTGCGTGAACAGTTTTCTGACAGACTTTAATAAGACTGAAAACTCCTTCTGGGAAGCTAGGGTTACCCACCCAGCTGATTGACTAGCCTAATAATCTTTAACCAGATGTTCTTTTTTTTTGTACCCATTCTAAACATGGTTAGGGAACCATTCTTTTTTTTTTTTCTTATAAAATATCTCAACCAAAATTACTCCTTCGGTTGGATTTTTCAAAAAGCCTCTTTCTCATGTGCTCAAAACCAATTTGTCAGAAACACTACCTTAACAAAAAAGAAAAAGAAATCTGCAAGGGAATGAGCAGAAGCCAGAGAGGTAGGAGAGAAATCATCAGAATGTTGGTGTTATGGAAGCCAGGTGAAAATAAGAAAACAGGGCATGAATGGACAACAGTGTGAAATGCTGGTGAGAGTTCAAATAAAACAAGGATGAGAAATTGCCATGAGATTTAGCAATAAGAACATCAATGGTGATCTTGGCAAGAGCTGGGTGGGGTGACAGAGAGCATAAGTCAGATTTCAGTATATTCAAGTGTGAGCGTAGACCATTCTTTTAAAAAGTGTGGCTGTAAAGGGGAAGGGGGCTTTTTTAGTGGGGAACATAAGTATATTTAAATGTGTTTGAGAAGGAGTGAGTAGGAAAAGAAGAAGGGACCTGAGAGAGAAGGGCTAATCTTGAGTTTGAGACCAGCATCTTGAGTTTCGGTGTCTCAGGGACTTGGGAGGGGAATCTGGGCACAAGTGGAGGGAAGGTCAGCTTCCCACAGGAAAGAAGAGCAAGGATGGGCCTGTAAGGAAGACTGTCTGCAAGTTTGGTGCCAGAAGCTGAAGCTGAAGGCATTCTTGTTCATTGGCTTGTTACCTCCGTGATAGTGACGTAGGTTAGAAGCTCCAGTGAAAGTGCTGAGGCAGGTGGCAGGAGAATGCAGACTGAACTGACTAGGAAAACAGAGTGATTTCAGGGCATTGTGGAGGTGGGGGATAATGAGTGTATTCTGGAACCAATCAGCACAGATCTGTGACTTTCTCCAGTAGCTTAGAAGTCCAAATTCAGCAATGAAGAAGGCTAATATGTTTGAATTATTCTAGGACTGTCTTCAAGGAAACCATTGCAGCTTTGCAGCTTCCTTTGCCCATTCTTTAAATGCTTCTTTTTAGTTTCTAGCCTAGGCTCTGTTTTCTTCTCACTTTATGGAAACGTCCTATTGATCTCATCCACTCTGGTGGCCTCAGTTAATCTCTCTATGCTGATGGCTCCTAATCCAATATTTGCAACCCAGCCTTTCTCTCCAGTACCAGATTTCTTCTGGTTCCCATCTGCCTTCTGGGGCATCTTCAATTGGGTGTCTCCTGGGCACCTCAAATTGAACTCATCATATTCCCACTGTCTCCGAGAATAAAAGTAAACACTAGAAAGACAGGGGTGGATTTGTGTCTACCATTATAGATCCTGAACTCAGTGCTCAATGAGCAACTGTTGGTTGAGTAAAAAAAGAAATCCACTCAGTTCTCTAAGCCACAGACTTTGGAGTCATCTTTTACTCCAACTTCTCCTTCATCTCTGACATCTAACCCATCAAGTCTTATCTACATTTAAATATGTTTCGTGGCAGAAACACACACACTCCCTCCGACATGCACACACACACAAAAGTGAATTTTCAAGCAGTTTTAACACAGAAACTTAGCTGCTTTACCTCCTTTTTTTTGCTTCATTAACATTAGAACTAAACCAGTGGGAGAGTACCTCCCTCCCTGCTTCCTCTCCCGCCTCCCCACCAAGCCAGCTCTGCCTTAGAGAAAAGTGAACCTGGTTCTTCATTTGCTAATGATTTGGGCTCAGGTTATAATGGGCCATTAAGGTGAATTGTGGAAGAAAGTGGGGAAAAATGAAGCTTTCAGGTGGAGGGATAAAGAAACTATGGGGTGGTGACCCCAGGATGCTAGGGAGTCCTGGGATCTGATCCAGGCCTTTTGGAAGAAGAGGGGTTGGAGCAGGACCCCTATGAGGGGCCCGAGTCCTCCCCACGCACCGTCAGGGAGGCCTCCTCTGCTCAGCCATGCTGCTTGAGCCTCAGCTCTGGGTGCTGGGAGAGGACTTGGATCCCCCTGTACCAGGACTTCCACCTACTCACTGCCCATCAGGAGCTTTGCTTGTTTCCCCTACATGTTGCTTTCTGCCCCAAACACTGCCTCTGCCTTGTGGACACCCTCCTGACATGCCCCAGGGACTCTGTAAACCCCAGAGACATCCCCCAGGTACCCCTTAGAGCAGCAGCTCCAGAACTGGGGGAGCTGGAGGCCTCTGAAGAGCTGAGACAGTGTTAACGATGCCCTCATCACAGGGTGGTTTGTTTGCCTATCTGCACTCCACAATCAACAATGATAGTTCAGCCTGCCTTCAACTGTCATCTAGCCTCCTAACTAGGCTTACTCTCTCCAGTCTACAAACCCGCCGCCCTCCCAACCCATCCAGTTCCCTACCCTGAAGCCAAAGGGCTTGTAAAAAGTCAACATTTGGCCCCCATCCTCCTCCTCCTCACCTGGCTGATGCCTTCGGGTTTCAGCTTTAGTGTCACTTATTTTTAGACTGACGTCTTCTCTGACCACCCTCTTCCCACCAGGCAGATCAGGTGTATGCTATATGCCTCCCCCAAACCCTGGAGTTTATTGAAATCACTTTTTAATATTTTCTACTGGCCCGTGGACAAAGAATAGGCCTACTTGCCTGTTTTACCTTGTCTCCAGTGCCTAGCCAGCCCTGTGCCTGGGACATACTAATTGCTTAACACATTTGTCTGAGGAATGAAGAAACATTAGACAAGAAAGTTCAGAAAACAGTTGGTTAGAGGTGGTAGGTGGGAGTGAGACCTACATAAGTGTTTTTCTGATTGAGTGTGGATCAGAACTACCAGGAAGGGTTGTTAAAACACAGATTGCCGGATCCCACTTTCTGTTTCAGTAGGTCTGGGGTGGGGCTGGAAATAATGCATTTCTGACAAGTTCTCAGGTGCTGCTGCTGCTGATTAGAGACCTTATGAGTTACATCCGTTCTGTTGTTGGTAAGAAAAGGCTGGAGGGGTAGATCAGAGGACTTTCAGATAAAAAGAAGGGTAAGGTGGGATGTATAGACTTTGGAAATCTGAAAGGTAGTGGTCAAAATGGGAGATACTTGAGTTTGATAATAAAGATGGCAGAAATTTCCAGTAGTTGACAAGGTCCAGGGAGAGTAGCTATGAGAATGAATAGCCAAAGTAACCTGTGGAGGAAGGTATAATAACACAGAGGGGGTCAAAGACCTGAAATGCACAAACATTGCATAAAAGTATTTAATACCCAAATGGAAAAATTGAAAGATGTAAGTGAAAAGGAAGGATGTAAAATGGAATGTGTCGCATCATTCCAATTTTAGGAAAAATGCATAGAAAAAAGACCAAAAAATGGACAATGTTTATAATAGTTATCCATATGGTTGAGTTTTATTACTTCATTTTTCTAAATTTTCAAAATTTCATTATCATGTATTCCTTTCATGATTAGGGAAGAGCTTTACTTATTTTGAACCTCCTCAGCTTTGGTCATTTCCATCTGGTGGAATTATCTCCTGTTATCCCATTTCATACTTACTTCTCTTTGACATTTTTACTTTCACTAAAAGTATGGAAATCAACAAAATTAAAACAACCAAAATGAAAAGCAAGCAAAGGAAAACAAAAAGAAGGGGAAGAAAGAATCTCAAGAAGAAAGTAATTTAGTTGGTACTGACACCAACAAGAAACAAATATTCCATATATTTGGAGGTTGTAATGACCTGCCTGGAGGAGCTAAAATGTTGTTAAGGACTGGTGACTTCACCAACAGGTCAGACAAGGAATTCTAGTCCTAATCTCTTACCCTTCATCTCCTGTGTCACGGAGTTCAGATAGGTGTTGACTGTGGCTCTCAACTTTTCTTGTTCAGAATTATATGTACCATACATTAGGACAAGGGGTGTTAAAAAACAAAAAAGAATTATATGTCCTTATTCCTCTTTGAACTACATCCCTCCCTCATACAATATTACTCAACAAAGTTAATAAAAAGTTATTATTATTATTTTTTTGAGATGGAGTTTCGCTCTCATTGCCCAGGCTGCAGTGCAATGGTGCAATCTCGGCTCACCGCAGCCTCCGCCTCCTGGGTCAAGCGATTTTCCTGCCTCAGCTTCCCAAGTAGCCGGGATTACAGGCATGCGCCACCACGCCTGGGTAATTTCTTTTTTTTTTTTCTTTTTTTTTTGAGATGGAGTCTCGGTCTGTCACCCAGGCTGGAGTAGAGCGGCAAGATCTCAGCTCACTGCAAACTCCGCCTCCCGGGTTCAAGCAATTCTTCTGCCTCAGCTTACCAAGTAGCTGGGATGACAGGTATGCACCACCACGCCCAGCTAATTTTTGTATTTTTAGTAGAGACGGGGTTTCACCATGTTGGCCAGGCTGGTCTTGAACGCTTGACCTTGTGATCCGCCTGCCTTGGCCTCCCAAAGTGCTGGGATTACAGGCGTGAGCCACCGCGCCCAGCGAATTTTTATATTTAGTAGAGATGGGTTTTCACTATATTGATCAGGCTGGTCTCAAACTCCTGACCTCAAGTGATCCACCCGCCTCAGCCTCCCAAAGTGCTGGGAATACAGGTGTGAGCCACCACGCCTGGTTGAAAAATAAAAAGTTATTTTTTATCATTTAGTTATTAGAATTATTTTTAAAAACAACAATCTAAGCCCTCTTTAGTAACAAGACATTTTTGGCACAAAATTCCAAAAAAATTAAAGTACATGCAAATAAACTTTTAGGATACAACCCATTTTATCCAAGATTGCCCTTTTACAGTAAAAAAAAAAAAAATTCTTCTCTCTGGGTGCAGGCGCAGTGGCTCACGCCTATTATCCCAGCACTTTGGGAGAGCGAGGAGGGCGGATCGCTTGAGCTCAGGAGTTTGAGACCAGTCTGGGAAACACGGTGAAATCCTGTCTCTACAAAAAATATGAAAAATTAGTCAGGTGTGGTGGTTCATGCCTGTGTTCCCAGCTACTTTGGAGGCTGAGGTGGGGGAATTGCTTGAGGCCTGGAGGTGGAGGCTGCACTGAGCCATGTTGGGACCACTGAACTCCAGCCTGGGTGGCAGAGTGAGACCCTGATCTTGAAAAAAAAAAAAATTATCTCGTTGGAATGTATACCAACTGACAGTGGTATTTGCCAGTAAGAATTTCTTGCTCATTTCCCTAAAGGAATGAGATAATACAGGACTTTAGTGTATGCATCCCTTCATTTCAAATATGAACAATTCTGAATCTCTTATCAAGGCCTTATAATTCTTTACCTACAGAGAAGTAGATGAAATGACTAAGTAAACATTCAGAGGTTTAATCAAGTCTGGTTTCAAAATCAGGAATATGAATATAAATATCCAAATTTCTATTTCATAAAAACCCATTATTATGGAAGAAAATAATTAAACTGTTTATGACTACAGCAGAATGTACAGGATATATAGAATTGTAATTATCACCACGAACAGGAAAGACAAGAATCTTGATATTTCTATTACACTGAGTACCTTGTAGCTATTTTGTTGAATGTCTTTTCATCTCTGATAATAAGGTGTGAATTAAAAAGAACTATTCCAGAGACTAGGAAATGATGATCCGGAATGATTTGGCAAGGTAAGACAGTAAGTGACAGAGTGGAATCAGAAACTCGCTTTCCTAATTGCCAGCTTAGTACTTCTTATTCTAGGCTGTATTATCTGTGCTGCCGCAAGGCAAACCATATCATTGCCTTTCCCATTTTAGAAATAGGTTGTATAGGAGTTTCCTTTGTGGTCTGATGGCAAGAGACACCTATTATTTAAGAAATGCCAACTGCTGATCATTGATGACAAAATATTTTTACATGTTCCTTATGGATTCAAGTTGTCCGCCATTTCTTCAAATAATCATCACGTTTCTAAGTTTGGTAAGAAAATCAGAAATGACTGAATGTTAAAGAGAAAGGGGCCTTAGGCATTATTTTTCCTATCATCTCAGTGGGGAAACTAAAGCCCAAAGAGTCATATTGGGAGTTGGTGGGAGTCTCCTGACTTCTTGTCCAGGGCTATTTATAGCACATAGCACTGTTTCAGTGGATGAGTATTCTGAAGCCACGGCATAATTGAGACTCTGTACATGGCACCTTCACTCATGTTCAATGTGTCAGTGTGGGGAGTTTGTGTGCCATTTTATCCCTTTATTTTTGTCATCCATTTTATTCAATACTTTCGTTGGTGCCTGATGTTTTTGATAGAAAAAGCAAATAAAAGAGTAAGCAGCAAATGTGAGTTAAAAAAATTTTTTTTTTGAGACAGAGTCTCGCTCTGTCGCCCAGGCTACAGTGCAGTGGCGTGATCTCGGCACACTGCAAGCTCCTCCTGCCGGGTTCACGCCATTCTCCTGCCTCAGCCTCCCCAGCAGCTGGGACTACAGGCGCCCGCCACCACACCCGGCTAATTTTTTGTATTTTTAGTAGAGACGGGGTTTCACCGTGTTAGCCAGGATGGTCTGGATCTCCTGACCTCGTGATCCGCCCGCCTCTGCCTCCCAAAGTGCTGGGATTACAGGCATGAGCCACCGCGCCCGGTCGACAAAAATTTTCTTAACATGAATGCGTGAAGTAAGGCTGTTTGGAATTTAGAAAAGTTGCAATTTTTGATGGAGAGAAAACCAAGAAGGAGTTGAGTGATGGCCGAGGGAGTGGACAACCTCCTACTGCCAGGGCCTCTACTCCTGAACTGTTATGAGGTTGCCTGATTCCTCTTAACAACCCTTCAGGTTAGGGGCCAGCTGTTAACTTAATTTTATTACCAGGGAAGAAACTGAGGCTCAGATAAAGTTCTTTTATCCCACAGGCACACAAACTGCTAACTGATAGAGCCAGATCCAGCCATGTCTGGCTACAAAGCCTGTGTACTTTAACTTCTACAGAGAGTATGTGCGAGGTGAACCAGTAAAAATAACAATAACAAGTGCAATACTAAGAATAGTAATAATGATAGTTAACACAGTGCTTTACATGTGTGATCGCTTTGAACAGGATTAAGTGAACACATGAATAGGACTGGCAGGGAGTCTTTCTACTCTTCATTAGCGAAACAGGAGAGGACATATACAGTACTTAGGATTTCCACTGGCTTACTTTGTTTTCTGAAAAATAACTGAAAGGCTCAATTAGTTTTGTTTTGTCGCATTTATCAGATTATAACGTTCTGGATGTGGGTCTGGATGTGGGTAGTTGGGCTGGTGTGGGATTACATGAAATCAAACCTGATATATTCAGAAAGATTCTTCCGGTGGACACATATGCCTTTTGGGTTCGATATTCAATTTTGTAATTAGTGATCACTGTTCCTATTTATTTATTTATTTATTTGAGACGGAGTTTCGCTCTTATTGCCCAGGCTGGACCACAATGGCGCATTATCGGCTCATCACAACCTCCACCTCCCGGGTTCAAGCGATTCTCCTGCCTCAGCCTCCCCAGTAGCTGGGGTTACAGGCATGTACCACCATGCCCGGCTAATTTTGTATTTTTTAGTAGAGACAGGGTTTATCCATGTTGGTCAGGCTGGTCTTGAACTCCCGACCTCAGGTGATCCGCCCACCTAGGCCTCCCAAAGTGCTGGGATTACAGGCGTGAGCCACCGCGCCCGGCCTGAATGGGAGTTTTTAATCCGTACTTTTTTCTTATTGAAGTTGAATGTCATATACCCCTCTATTTCCCTAGATGAATCCATGAAAGAAGTATGTTGCCCTCTATATGAAAAAGCAAGCTTGTCTTCTGCAGAAAATCAGTAACCACTCCTTTTTACACATAAATACCCCCAAATGAATCTCCGATGACTGATCTGATACTAGTCTGCAATTCTAGTTTTAGCATTAGGCTCACTCCTCATATTTGGGAGAAGATGTCCAATTCTGTAGTAATGTGTAACATAAAGTGGTGTCAATTTATAAATAATATCTTCTAATGAATTAATGCTCATTTGCAATGATCACTTCCATACAAATTTAGGTAAAGATGTTATTCAGAATTGGATTCTCTCTATTTAAAAATGTCATCCTAATGTGCAACTCCCTAAAACTGTTACTACAAACAACTATTTTGCCACTCAGCCTAAAAATAAAACCTTTCACCCAAATGACACATCTTAATAGCCATATTTTAATCTACGTAATTTTAAACTATTCTGAAAGAATCCATTTCTAGATGTCAGACAAGAGTTGAAACTGGGACAGCAGTTTGAAGGGGCTAATTTAAAAACCCACTTGCTTGGAGACACCTCAAGAATTTCTAGGCTCACAAGGTGGGTGAAGTAAGGAAAGAGACTAAGAGCTGAACAGTGCCGTTCTTTGCGAGCCCCCACTGGCGCAGGCTGAGCCGGCTGCGGCTAGGGCTGCGAAGAGTTAACGAGGGACCGAGCCCCAGCGCCGCGGGCTCCCCGCATGCTCCCTCCGCCCTCCCGTCCCCACCCTCTCGTTTTGGCAAGGGATTAAAGTGCTCCCCCCTGTGGCAGCAGTGACCCAGAAATGAGTTTGATTCACATAGTCCTTCCTCCATAACAAGCCAAACGCCAGACCGAGAGTGCCTCCGTGCGCGAGTGCCCGGTGTGTGCGCGCCGGCGAGAGCAGGGGCCCGCCCGGCTCCCCGCCCGCCGCGGCCCGAACTCATGCAGCTCCGAGCGAGCGAGCGGCGCCCAGCCCAGCGCCTCGGCCGAACCCCTCCGCAGCAGGTACGCGCGCGGGCCGCGGGGGGCGCGCGGGGTGGGCGCGCCGCGCGTGTGTCCGCGCGTGTCCGCGTGTGGGTCCGTGTGCGCGTCCCGGTCCCGCGGCGGCGACGGCGGCGGCGGCGGCGGCGGCTGCAGGACGAGCCGAGAGGCTCAGCCATATTTGATGGTTTTGTTGCTTTGCTCGGGAGTTCTCGGGAGTAATTTAATGCCGAAGGTCGCTGCCTAGTGGAAATAATATAATACGTCATTAATATGGCGCCAAAAGATTGGGTTCTCGATCTGTAGCGAGGAGGGAGGGAGGCAGCCGCTGAGCGCAGCGTTACTATCCCACCAGTAACTTGGGCATTGCCGGGGCGGGGGCCGGAGGAGGAGGAGAGGATGATTTTTGGATCCTGAGAATTGATCTATGTTGGATCAGTAAGTTTTATTATGATTTTTTTTTTCAAATTTGGGGGGCTGAAGACTTAGAGCTATTTCTTCTTTTGGATTTGCGAAGAACATGCGGTTTTCAGGTGAATCATCAATTAAACGCGTTTAGGAGCAGAAGCCCAGTTTAAGTTGGCTTTAGTTTATAGGTTTTTTTTTTTTTTTTTTTTTTTTAGAAAGCCAAAGTGCATTAGGCTGCATGAAAGTGGAAAGCATAGTAGCAACTTGGTAGACAGATGGCAATGGCAGAACGCAGGTTCGCGTACATATATGAATCCAGAGTGTGTGAGACCGTGTGTGTGGTGGGACTGTATTTGTCCAAACATAGGTGTGCGTAGGTACATCTGTGTGTGGTGGCCGCAGCCCTGGCTCTTGTCACCGCGTCACCACATGTCCAAAATATTCATTGCATCAATTCAAGGGCAGTGAGAGGGGGGTGGGGGTGGGGGTGGAGGGACAGTTTGGCAATTAGATTCTTCCGAACTGGGCTTCCAGTGATCAGATCTTTTACTTACAGCGCGACTGCTTGTAAAGTGTAAAACCCCTTAATCGATGAAATGGGGTAGGAGTTGGCGTTGGTAGAGCAAAGTACCGATTAATCGTGAACTTAAAGGGGATTGCAAATTGCAACCTTTGGCACCATCTGCAAATTGTGGGGGTGGGGTCTCTTGGTCTCCTTGCTTCCTTAAATGAACGTGTAGTGTGTACCCCGGGACTGCAAGTTGCAGAGCCCTTCAGTGCACGTGTCTTGTGCCTGTGAGTCTGTGTTTGCGAGTTGGGGGCTGTTGTTCGGTAGCCAGCAGGCTTTCCGGGTTGCTCGGCATTGGCTTGCAAATGCGGGAGAGGGATGGAATGTGGAATGTTGACCGGGGAACCGAATCCTGTCGGAACGGTCCCATTTGCTGGAGAAATTCGATCCCTTCCACCTCCTTCCCGCTCCCCCCCGCCCGCCTTCGGGCAGGAGGCGGGGCTGAGGACGCGGCTGCTGCTCAAAGTGGCGGAGCGCGGCGGCGGGAGGCAGGTGCACGGCACCCGCCAGTGGGGGTGCCTCAACTTCCGCGGGCGTTTAAATAGCAGCCTCTCTCCCCTCCCACCGGTAATAGGTGACCTGGCGGCCGAGGGCGGCGGGGGAGGGAACCGGGGGAGACTCGGGAGCGAGCCTCCGCGGCACGTGGGCAGGTGCTGGGTGGCCCCGGGGCCAACTTTTGTAGCCCGCCTCTGGTGTTTGAGGAGAGGCGGCCCAGTGTGGAAATGGGGGCGGGCGGCGGCCGAGGCGCTGCTTCTCCGCTGCGGCCGGAGCGTCACCTAACGGTCCCAGCTGCGCCGCCCGGGCCGGGGTGGGGGGTTGCGGGGGCGGGGACGCCCGGCCCGCCGCGCCCGCCCCGCACAAAGCCCGCGGCGCGGGGGTGGCCGCTGCGCCCCCGCCCCGGGAACGGCCCGAAGCCCGACGCGGTCCCCGCGCCGGTTCCGGCGGGCGGCCGCAGGCGTTTGTTTGTTGGTTCCGCGCCGCCTTCCTCGCCGGATGGCTTCCTGTGACAGAGGTGATACACAGTTTCCAGAACTGTCTGGGGGCGGGAGCGGGAGCGGGAGCCGAGCCCGCTCGGAGCTCCTCGCCGCCGCTGCCGCTCCCATCTTAAAACCGTTTCTCGCCGGCGCGCCCGCCCCAGCCCGAAGGTGCCGCCCCGGAGGGACTCGGGGAGGGGGACGGCGCGGCCGTTTCCAGCGGCGCAAGTGGCTTCTGGACGCGAGGGAGCGTTTGATTTGCAACTGGGGCCGAGCGGATTGGTGCAGCTGGCGGCGGCGGGGCGGGAGGAGCTGCCGCGGCGGGGGGTGGCCACTTTCAAATGGAGAGGGCGGCGGCGGCGGGGACGCCGCTGCGGAGGGAGCGGGGCTTGGTTGCGCCACGAGAAGGTGTCATCACTGCACCGGGGCTAATTCCGGCGGAGGTGCCGGGAGTTACTTTCCCCTCCTCCCGCGCTGTTGTTTCTGTCGCCTCGGGAGGAGGAGGAGGAGGAGGATTGGGAGAGAGGGAGGGGTCGGCGCCGCGCGGAACCGCGGCCCTGCGCATTCCCCGGCGGGCGGCGGGAGCCGCGCGGAGCGTTCGCCGCTGCGGGGCGGCGGCCGAGCTCCCCCACAACCCCGGGGTGCCCCCCTTGCTGGGATCCTTAGCCTTCTCACGTCCCCTCTCACTCCGCCACCCTCCCACTAGAGCTCCTTATTCTCGAGTCCTCAACCCCGGCTTGGCGCGTCCCGGGTCTCCCCTCGCCCCAGGATTCCTCCCGCGCCAGGCTCCGCTGGCCCCAGGTTTCCCACCCCAAGCGGGTGGGGGCGGCCGCAGTCCCGGCGCCGGTGAATGCTGAGAGCAAACAAAAAAGCGGGCGATTTAAACATGCCTTCGAAACCCGTTAGGAATGCGTCGTCATCCGGAGACCGTTTAAAAGGAGCTTTAGCTTGCCTTCTAGTAACGAGAGGGCTGGCGCCCTGCCTTACTTCGGCAGGGGCGAGGGGCTGTCGCCCTCTATTTGCCCCGGCCAAGAGGGAATTTAAATTTTCTTTTGTAAAATGACAGCTGCAGTGAATGACCTGAGACAGCTACGTTTTTAGGAAAGTAGGAGAGGATCTGAGGTTTCCATTAATGGGAATGCTTAGGGGGTTCTTTCCCAAAGGTTTTTTATTAGGTGAACTATTTTTCCTTTTTATAATACCCGCCATGAAGGCTAGCTCTCTTGCTACTTGTAGCTCAAGGCTAATACCTTTCAAAGCTAATGAACTAGTTTTAAGATAGAGGGAAATTATTTCCCTGAAAGCTGATTTAGGTAGTGACTCCCCAGTGGTTACAGATTTTATAGTAAGTTGCATTTTGATCATATCACAACTGATCAAGATTTAATCACAGGTGGAGAAAGGTGGAGAAAGGAAGCATTCAATATGTCCATACTTGCATTGAGTCAACACTTTTGATGTAATAATTTGTTGTAGGTGGGCAACATACGTGGGGGGAGTTAAATGGGATGTTTTGTGAGTAACACTCTTAGCAAGTACATGCAACCCAGAATTTTTATTGTCCTTTTATCCCAAAGATCTTAGTCTCATTTACTTACGGTCACTTTTTTTTTTTTTTTTTTTTGTTCCTTGAGACAGAGTCTTTCGCTCTGTCACCCAGGCTGGAGTGCAGTGGCATGATCTTAGCTCACTGCAACCTCCGCCTCCTGGGTTCAAGCGATTCTCCTGCCTCAGCCCCCTGAGTAGCTGGGACTACAGGCGCGTGCCACCACGGCTGGCTAATTTTTTTTTGTATTTTTAGTAGAGACGGGGTTTCACCATATTAGCCAGGCTGGTCTCGAACTCCTGACCTCGTGATCCGCCCGCCCCGGCCTCTCAAAGTGCTGGGATTACAGGCGTGAGCCACCACGCCCAGCCTGCTTACGGTCACTTGTAAATCAGATGACTTTCTGCTTGGTATTTTGCTGTCTTCTTCAAAGTTTGGATACTTCTATAAGTGTCTTTTACTTGGCATTGTCATTTTAATGTGTAGAATAAATATAATTTTAAGCTGTTTAAGTGTTAGGTTTCCTGCTATTTCCTTTGGTCCCTATTTAGCAGAGATAATGGGAGTGTCTGAAAGTAAGGTAGAACTTGAACTTGATTCCACCTTTAAGAGTACAGACTGCTTACTAGTAAAAGTTGGGTTGGCTGCACATATATTTTAGCTTTAACAAAGGTAGATATGTGTTCATTTAAAAGAAAAAAAAAAAACCCACCTTCTTAGTTCTCCCCGCTTCACTTGACTGGTTTTCTGCCTGTAAACCAGTGCTGTGCTTATATTAGTTATCCAGGTTGAAAGAGTAGCTATACAGGGACAGCAATGAAAAGTATGTGTGTCTGGGTGAAACTAGAGGGAGAAAACCTATTGGAGTTTGAGGAAATGTGTTTTGTTGCTTAGCCTAGGGGGTTGGAGAAGAAAGATGACCTAAAAAACAAACTTGGAGGACTAGGTGAGAGTAAAAGCAGATTTCCATTGCGTCTTACGTATAGTAGGCACGTGACCGATATTAATTTTTGACTTTAGCTGTTAAAAAGTTATTACACAAGTAGTGTTACATGTACGTTTTTGAAAATTAGAAAATACAAGGAAACAAATATAAAAACAAATTGCTACCATCCATAGATGACTACTGTATTACTTTTCAGATAATTTTCTATGCATGTGCATGTGTGTTTTAATAAAAATGAGATACATGAATATACCATCTGTAAGGATTTTTTCTTTTTTTTTTTTTTTTGAGATGAAGTTTTGCTCATGTTGCCCAGGCTGGAGTGCAATGGTGGGATCTCACTGCAACCTATGCCTCCCAGGTTCAAGCGATTCTCCTGCCTCAGCCTCCTGAGTAGCTGGGATTACAGGCTCCCGCCACCACGCCCAGCTAATTTTTTGTATTTTTAGTAGAGACGGGTTTTCACCATGTTTGTCAGGCTGGTCTTGAACTCCTGACCTCAGGTGATCCACCTGCCTCGGCCTCCCAAAGTGCTGGGATTACAGGCGTGAGCCACCGCACCCAGCTCTGAGGACCTTTTTTTTTTCTGTCAGCTAGCTTGGTTAGTTTTAATATAATCTATTACTGTAACATGTCCAGATTTCCCCATTTAGCCCCAGACTGTAATAGAGAAGCTTTGTCTAAACCACTGCCTAATAAAGGACCATTTATTGCATTTGGTTGTTTCCCTTAAGTCGATTTTAATCTTAAGTAACTTTTTTTTTTTTTTTTTGAGACGGAGGCTTGCTCTGTCACCCAGGCTGGAGTGCAGGGGTGCGATCTCGGCTCCCTGTAAGCTCCGCCTCCCTGTAAGCTCCGCCTCCCTGTAAGCTCCGCCTCCCTGTAAGCTCCGCCTCGCGGGTTCACGCCATTCTCCTGCCTCAGCCTCCAGAGTAGCTGGGACTACAGGCACCCGCCACCATGCCCAGCTAATTTTTTTGTATTTTTATTAAGACGGGGTTTCACCGTGTTAGCCAGGATGGTCTCGATCTCCTGACCTCGTGATCCGCCCGCCTCAGCCTCCCAAAGTTCTGGGGTTACAGGCGTGAGCCACCGTGCCCGGCAATCTTAAGTAACTTTTTGACAGAATATCTGACACTGAGGAGGCAAGCCTTTGGAAATAAAGTTGCCTGGATTTTAAAAAAGCAGGAAATCCAAATGGTATTTATTGTAATTTGGAAATCTTAAATTTGGAGATCATCTGCTTGCTTGATGTTACTTTCCACAGACTTGTTGGAAAAAGATTTATCAGATGTTTGTGTTTCAGTACTGAGGTGGTTGGAACAGTAAACATCAAGATATCAAATACAGATTACATCCTGTCTCTTTAGGGTTTGGTCAGAGAAGAGGAGGCATAGGAATCTGTCACAGTTCTGCTTGCTGCTTTACTTTCTTGTTTGTGAAGCTCTTCCCTGTCATTTAGTATTATGGGGCACCTGTTACAGCATTACAGTTAATGGTCTGTCAGAATTTGCATTATAAAACTGGTTTTCCTGTGAGGTTTATAAAACAGTTATAGAGGGAAATATGACATATTAGCGAACACACCTTGCTTTTTATTTGGGTTGGCATTAAGAGGTTTAGCTTGATTGTTAAAACGGTGAAAGTTACGTCACGTTTAAACTTATTTCCTCCCTTGTACAAGCCTTTAGAGAATTGGCACCATATTCAACAATACTTTTTTTTTTTTTTTAAACATGAAGGGTGGGTTTGCTTGGAGTTTCTGGTTTCTTAGAAGGTATCAGCAATCTTAAATTAGGAAAGTATTTTAATTCCTGAGACAGGTAAGTTGTTTCCTTAAAAGTCTTAAATCTGTTTTCTCCGTTTTCAAGTCCTTGCAGCACTTTATATGACCATGTATTTACAATCTGGACAATTCTTTTTATGTTTGTGGAATGTAATATCTCAGAAGTTGAGATTTAGTTGAGTCTATTGAGTCTATTGTCCTTTGCCTAGTGTATTTCTCATATGAAAACTTTGGTTTGTGATCATGAGGGTGTATGCATTATTTTTATTTTTTCTTTTTTTGCAGTTCATAGCCCTGATGAAGCAAGTTACTCTGCTCTCCTAATAAATGCAAGAAAATGACCTTGGAGGGCCTTTTTAATTACACATAGAAGTGACAATTTGTAAGTTTAAGGTTGGGTGTCATGGAATAGAATGGAAGAAATTGATGCTAAAAACTTTGGCTATGATGGGGCCTTTCCTAGCCCAGGACTTGAATGATTATTAAGGATCCTTTCCTCACCTCAAAGCACAAACATAAAGATTACCAGACTTGGACTGGAAAGCCTTTATCACTAGGAAAGGGGCCATGTATTTTTACGTTTAATCCCTTAGACCCATAGTGTACGATGTGCACACAGTAAATGTTCAGTGACCAAATTTTGGTTACTCTAAAACGAATTCAGTATTTACTTTTTGCCTTTAGTTCTTCAGGTAGAGGTAGGACATAATGTGATAGAGAGCAGTTGAAGAAAGTTAATTTTTAAAACCTTAGATTTTTTTGGGCTTACTTGTTGAGGGAAGTAAACTACATTTTCTCTCTCTTTTTTTTTTTTTGAGACAAGTTCTTGCTCTGTCACCCAGGGTGGAGTGCAGTGGTGGGATCTCGGCTCACTGCAGTGGGTTCAAGTGAGTCAGCCTCCGGAGTAGCTGGGATCACAGGCGCATGCCGCCGTGTCTGTCTAATTTTTGTATTTTTAGTAGAGACGGGGTTTTACCATGTTGGCCAGGCTGGTCTCAAACTCCTGACCTCAAGTGACCCACCTACCTCGGCCTCCCAAAGTGCTAGATTACAGGTGTGAACCACCATGACTGGCCAGTTTTCTATTACTTTGAAAGCGCTCACAATTGACATCTGTCTCTTTGTATTTTTTGTTAGAGAGATGAGGTTTCACTATGTTGCTCAGGTTGCCCAGGCTAGTCTTGAACTCCAGAGCTGAGTCCTCCCGCCCTGGCTTCCTAACTGCGATTACAAGTGTGCACCTGTGTGGCTGGTGGAAGTAATATTTTAAACTATTGATCATTTAGTGTCTCCTGTGCAGGAGATTTTATTATTTTGAGAATTCATGGCATCTTCCATGAGAGTTTATAAGGACTTACTTTAAGTGAAGATTTCAGTGGTGTGGGTCCACACTGAGGCATAAAATAATCTTTTTGTTTGTTTGTTTCCCACTTAAACCAGGGTAAGGAACAAGAAATAGCAATGTTATTAGCAAGTTGCTTGAGGTTGAACTTCATGGCTTGCTTTAATTTAGCACAAAGTACACTAAATGCAATTTAAATTTTTTATTGATTACTCTTTGTCATAATCTTTACGAGCATCAGTTACTTCCATGTGGAAATGCCATGATGCACTTAACATATAGAGGCTGAGTGTTGGTGGTTGTAACTTTTTAAGTTGGGGACACTTGACACTGAAACCCATGGAAGCTCTCCCCCAGAAAACATGGGTGTTTCCTTAAGCACATCCTTGGATTCTAGTTTAAGTGTTTAAATTCTGGTGACTTCTTTTTATGATTTCTCTGTGATCCTTTTACTGCCACTGTTACCATGTATTGTAGTTAAAATGCCTGTTGAGAACAGTGATTTTTCTGCTTATTGGTCATTAACTTGAAAATCAAATAAGAAGCCTGTTAGAAGTTTTTAAAACTTGTGTACACTGGCTCCAAGTAGGAGCCTCAGGGGTTTTCTTTTGAGAAAAACCCACTGGTTTTACTGTGGCCTTTATTTAAGTTGCTTAGAGGTCTCCTCAATGCCTTCCTTTTGATTATTCTAGTTAGGGACTTCTTTTTTTTTTTTGAGATAGAGTCTTGCTCTGTTATGCAGGATGGAGTGCAGTGGCATGATCTGGGCTCACTGCAACGTCTGTCTCCTGGGTTCAAGCAATTCTCCTGCCTCAGCCTCCCGAGTAGCTGGGATTACAGGCGTGTGCCACCATGCCCTGCTAATTTTTGTATTTTTAGTAGAGACGAGGTTTCACCATGTTGGCCAGGCTGGTCTCGAACTCTTGACCTCAGGTGATGCACCCGCCTCAGCCTCCCCAAGTGGTGGGATTAGAAACGTGAGCCACCATGGCCGGCCATAGTTAGGGACTTCCTAAGGAGTGATTGTGTCTGATCCTTAATTTTGTAAGCTTTCGGTTGCTTGTCCAGCACCTGGTAATTGATTCACATTGAACTAAACACGCATAATGGTGGTTTATAAACATCATACTACTGATCGGTTGATTTATAGGACAGATCAGTTGCCTTTCTCTGTAAAGAGCCAGGTAGTCAATATTTTAGGTTTTGTGGGTCATATGGTCTGTCGCAACTGCTCAAGTCTGCAGTTGTGCCAGAGCAACCATGGGCAAAATGAATGTGAAAGTGATATTTATGGATATAGAAATGTAAAATTTTTATGAATTTTGTATGTCATGAAATGTTCTTTGGCCCTCTACCCTCAACCATTTCAATATGTGAAAATCACTCTTAGCTCAAAAACCATACAGAAACAGGCTGTTGACCCCTGATTGGTTGATTGATTGATTTGAGACAGGGTCTCACCCTGTTGTCCAGGCTGGAGTGCAGTGGTGTAAATTCCAGGGCTCACTTGATCCTCCCATCTCAGCCTCCCCAGTAGCTGGGACTGCAGGCATCCCACACCAGGCCTGGCTAGTTTTTTGTATTTTTTGTAGAGATGGGGTTTGCTATGTTTCTTTGTTCTCGAACTCCTGAGCTCAAAGGTTCTGCCCACTTTGGCCATCACTCCCTGGCCTCCCCAGATTTATAGTAAGACACAGCAGCTACTTGATTGTTTCTGCTGGTGGCTGAGCTCCCTTCTAGGAACCTGAAAATGCAAGTTGAAATTAGAAGTTTGTTTGGAGGTAGTTGGCTACGCTGAGGGCTGTGGGTTGTTTTTGTTTCGCTCTTTTTGCCCAGGCTGGAGTGCAATGGTGGTTTTTTTTTTGGGGGGCAGGCTCTCTCTGCTGCTCAGGCAGTAGTGCAGTGGCACGATCACGGCTCAGCAACCTTCTGGTCTCAGGCAGTTCTCCTGCCTTAGCTTCTGGAGTAGCTGGGATTCTGATCCTAGATCCCTTTTGAGGATAAAATGTGTAAGAACAAATACCTTGGTCATCTCTCACACCCTCCGGGGGGGTCAAGCTAAGAAGACCTGTGTAAGAGGATATGTATTATAAGATTGTGTTCCACTACAGAGGGAGATAATGTCAAGTAGGGTGTATGTGTCACAGCAATCAGAAGTTAATGCCTACCACTCCGGGAGAACTCATACTCCTGTGGTAGTGTTTAAGGAACTGCTGACACATTCTTCCAGCTTTACCTTTTGTGTGCTTCACTATGCAAAATGAATGGCATTTGTGACCATCTTGCCATGAATCTGTGTTTCAGTTTTCAAGTTAACAGACTGTTGTTCATTGATTACATTTTCAGTTTTTGCTCTCTGATAACGTATCATGGCCTTAGTCATTCACATGACCTCTTTTTAAATCCCAGTGTACATCCAGGAGGAAGAAGCCCATAGTCCAGGAATCTGGGAGGAGGTGGCTGGCACAGGAGGAGAGTGCCCCTCCACCCACCTGGGGAACTGGTCTTTGGTTCTTCCACTGCCTTTGCACTAGATCTACTTATGTGTGTTTGTGCAAGTTGATAAACATGCAGAAATCCATGTACTCCTCTTTAAAAGTAGGAAAGGTGGATTAAATTATTTTAAATTGTTTTTGAAATCCTCTCTAGCTCTGCAGTTAATTATGATTTTATGGGTTTCTTTTGGGAAGATTTCTTTTTTTTTTTGAGATGGAGTCTTGCTTTGTCACCCAGGTTGGAGTGCAGTGGCATGATCTTGGCTCACTGCAACCTCCATCTCCTGGGTTCATGCAATTCTCCTGCTTCAGCCTCCCAAGTAGCTGGGATTACAGGCATGTGCCACCATGCCTGGCTAATTTTTGTATTTTTGGTAGAGGCAGGGTTTCACCATATTGGTCAGGCTGGTCTTGAACTCCTGACCTCAAGTGATCCACCCACCTCACCCTCCCAAAGTGCTGGGATTACAGGCGTGAGCCACCACGCCTGGCTTTCTTTTGGGAAGATTTCTTCTAGACACAATCTGTGTTGTGAGACTTGTAGGCAGAGTCTACGTTGTGAGACTGAGACTTCAGCCTCAGAGAGTGCTTTCTAGACCTTGCTTCTAGGTTTGAGACCAACTTAGGTTTCCATGATCATAATAACGAGGCTTGTACAATTGTGATGAAACGTTTGTTTTCATATGTAACTTGGATGATTGTGTAAATGTTGTTTTTGTCAAGTGTGTCATCTAGGTTTTCAAATATACAACATTGGGAGTCTCTCTCTTTTTTTTTTTTAAAACAGTACTTTAAAAATTTTTGGTGACTTAACATTGTTAGTGGTAACGGATAGTTTCTGACAACCGGGTATAATCAAGGAACAAAGTTCCTGAAAAACAGCTGCATTTCAATCTGTGCACAGTGTAATTGTCATTAGCTGGTGGAGTCTGGTTTCTGCAGAAGCTGATTTGTATATCCTGTATAAGAACATCTGGTTTGAGCATTTAAAAATCTTTTAAAATTACCCTGTAGACATTTAGCATTTATTGGCTTACTCCACCAAGGATGGAATAATGGGTTGTAGAATCCTTTCTCATGCTTATTCTTACCTTCGTTCATTCAGAAGCACTTGGTTTTCCTAAAGTGTCTAATGAGCTTTTAGAGTTTGATATGAAGTGTGTAGGTTTGTATTATAGAAATTAGTACCTGGTTCAGAGACCCCCAAGGCAGAATGGAACACAAACTCCTGATTTCAGTGAAATGCTTTAAAAAATAAACATTTCATTTTTGTATATTCTGAAGAGATTAATCTGACCCTAGCTTTCCCTGATAAATTGTCAGAAAACTGAGACGCGGAATAAGACATATAGGGCAAATGGGCTTTATCTCTCTTGGTGATAGCACTGTGTTAAGGAGGATTCTGAAGATATGTGCCTGGGGGTGTGGAAAAGAATGACCTAATTTGTCAACCATGCCTTGCCATAGGTGGAAGGAATGGCATAATTGCCAGCTACCTCTTGAACATAGCCTTTTTAAATTTTTTCCAAAGTAGTACTACTGTGATAATGGATAAGGAGTTGAAATGGCTTCTTCTTTTTTTTTTTTTTTTTTGAGAGGGAATCTCACTCTTTTTGCCCAGGCTGGAGTACAGTGGCACGATCTCGGCTTACTGCAACCTCCGCCTCCTGGGTTCAAGCGATTCTCCTGCCTCAGCCTCCCGAGTAGAGTAGCTGCTAGGTTTGAGACCACCAACCTGATTACAGGTGCCTGCCACCATGCCTGGCTAATTTTTGTATTTTTAGTAGAGACTGGGTTTCGCCATGTTGGCCAGGCTGGTCTCGAGCTCCTGACCTCAGGTAATCTGGCCCGCCTCGGCCTCCCAAAGTGCTGGGATTACAGGCATGAGCCACCATGCCCAGCCTGTGTATAGTTTAAACCCTAATTTTCTTGTCTGGGTTAGTTTTTTTCTATTATTATTGCATATATTTTAAGTGACCTCCTTCTAATGTTGGCTGTTTTTACCTGTTTCAAAAACTTAAGCTTTTGAAGTATGTGATGACCTAATCAAGCAAATAGGGGATAATAGCATTTTATGGCATTATTACCTTTTCTCTTTTTTTTCTTCTGCACCTTTGCATCAGATATTCTTTTAAAGCAAGACAATTCTTTGATACTGCATCTCAGGAAAGAGGTGGCATATACATAGTTTATTGATGGTTGCTCGTTAGTTATAGGCTGGTGCTTTGCACTGGGGCAAGAAGTTGTGCTTCCAGGTCTTTTATATAGTGAAGAGCAGGGAAGAAATAAATCTTTACTACTGGCCGGGTGTGGTGGTGTGCGCCTCTAGTCCCAGTTACTTGGGAAGCTGAGGCAGGAGAATCGCTTGAATCCGGGAGGCGGAGTTTGCACTTAGCAGAGATCACGCTCCTGCACTCCAGTCTGGGTGACAGAGCAAGACTCTGTCTCTCAAAAAAAAGTATCTTTACTATTATAAGTGTAGTACACAATCATCGTAAAAAGTTAAAATCATGGCCAGGTGCAGTGGCTCATGCCTGTAATCCCAGCACTTTGGGAGGCCGAGGCGGGTGGATCACCTGAGGTCAGAGTTCGAGACCAGCCTGACCAACATGGAGAAACCCCGTCTCTAGTGAAAAAAAAAAAATACAAAATTAGCCGGGCGTGGTGGCACATGCCTGTAATCCCAGCTACTAGGGAGGCTGAAGCAGGAGAATCGCTTGAACCTGGGAGGCGGAGGTTGCGGTGAGCCGAGATCACACCATTGCACTCCAGCCTGGGCAACAAGAGTGAAACTCCGTCTCAAGAAAAAAAAAAAAGTTAAAATCATATTAAAGGTCATAAAGAGGAGGAAAAGTTCCCAACTCAGTCTGTCTTGGAACCCTTTGGTCACATTTCTCAGAGATGACCACTATGAACATTTATATTCTTTCAGAAATGTTCTATGAATATACAAGCAATTGCTGTAGGTATTTTCTCTCCTCCTATTATATATAAATGCTCTTATATTTTGGGTTTTTTCCCTGCAGTTAGCCTGTTTTTCTCCCCTAATATGTCTTGGGCATCTTTCCACATCTGAGCATTTAGATCTAACAGAAAAGAATTCTGAGTAGATGGAAATAAGGATAAAAGCTCAAGATTGGAGACCATGGTGACTGACTGCCTTTTTTGTTTGGTTGTGAATTCATTTACTCCCATGTCAAGGGAAGTTAAAAAAATACATTCCAAGTACAAATGATTGGAATGTTTTGTCATAGCTGCTCTTATTCAGTTGCTGACTCTTAATTGAGTCAGCAATTACAGAGTCCTGGAAGGGGTTTAATAGATTGCCTTAGAGCTCATAAGCAGTGATTGGATTATTTATACATTGGCAAATGAGAGCTGCTTGTGATTCATTCAGAACCACTCAAATTTAAAATTCCTTAAAGTCTTGAGAAATGCTTTCTTGGTTTTTAAATCTGAGTTCAAAAATAACTTATAAAGAATTTAAAGTGAACTAATGTATTATAGTACATGGGCTTTATGAGTAATGCTCCTAAGAGTAAATATTATAGTTATTTATTATGTGGTCAGTTATCATAATTTTTTTTCTTTTGGAGGAGGTGGCTATTGCTAATGTAAACTTGTCAGCTGAATATTTGTAAGTTTTACCTCCTTCCAGAGGTTCTGTATTAGCTTGGGCCAGCATTTTCCTTAAATAAGTTTTGATGTATGACGTTATAAAGAGCACATTTTTTTGCTTGAGATATTTAGACAAGATTAAAACATTAACGCTTAAGAGTTAAGCTATTTGTCAGTTAAATGTATGACTTTATTTTTGACTAGATATAACCCTTTAGTTAAATTGAGAATCTGTGTTTGAGTTATAGTCATAGTAGCATTTTTAGATTCTGTGAGCATATGAATTAGATAATGTTGCCAGTTGGAAAACTTCATATTTAAGCGATTAATGTTTACTTTAAAAACTGAGGTAAGAAACCAGCTGGGTTTCCTTCACATTCATTTAGGGGCAGGTGGACAGATTTTATTGTGAAGTTATAGGTCATTATATTTGGGTATTTAGAACTGTATATTCCATAGAAGACAAAAGTGACCAATTATTAAGAATATAATGTATCTTTTTGGGGGAGTATTCTATGTTCAGTAATTTAGGAATCAAATTATCAGGTACCTAGTGTTTAAAAAATAATTTGAACTATGTGAACTTAAACAGAAAGGAGTGGCAGGGCGCGGTGGCTCACGCCTGTAATCCCAGCACTTTGGGAGGCCGAGGCGGGCGGATCATGAGGTCAGGAGATCGAGACCATCCTGGCTAACACGGTGAAACCCCGTCTCTACTAAAATTACAAAAAAATATATATATATATTAGCTGGGCGTGTTGGCAGGCGCCTGTAGTCCCAGGCTGAGGCAGGAGAATAGCGTGAACCCGGGAGGCGGAGCTTGCAGTGAGCTGAGTGAGCCATTGCACTCCAGCCTAGGTGACAGAGCGAGACTCCAACTCAAAAAAAATAAAATAAAAGAGAAAGGAGTAGCTCATAAAATACTTAGTTTTATATAAGACCACCTGGTTTCTGAAAATACATTCTTTAGTACCTTTAGGTATTAGATTTTAGCTATTTGACAGAATGGAAGGGCATCAATAAATTTAAAAGTGAATACAGGAGAAGTTATTCCAGTTAAAGGTCAATTAGATATTAAAGTAAAAGCATCTCAAATTCAATAAAGTGGAGTGAACATAAGGTAACAGTACGGGAACTAAGGCATTCATCCAGTAGGTTATTTTAATACATAGTATTGCATTGGGTGATATATAAAAGTATGTAGCGGTCTTTAATTGAGTACCTTCTAGAACTTCTTGAGTGAAATAAATAAAAATGGAAACAGTAGATAAAACTGATACTTTGAGAGAGAAACCAGCCTTTCTGCATATGAGCCATAAGACAAAATCACTAGGTTGTAATCCTTATTATAGCTATAGAGTTTATGGCCTGATAAATGGGCCCTGTTCCACCACAGAGAGTAAGTAATTCTAGTAACTGGACAGTTTGTTTTCCTCAAATCAGTCCTTGTTTCCCAGGAATAGCATTGAATAAACATCCTCAAATTCTTAGTTACCTTTCCCTTTTTTTGTTTCTTTTTTCGAGACAGAGTCTTGCTATATTGCCCGGGCTGGGGTGCAGTGGTATGATCTTGACTCACTGCAACCTCTGCCTCCCGGGTTCAAGCGATTCTCCTGCCTTAGCCTCTCAAGTAGCTGGAACAACAGGAATACACCACCAAACCTGGTTAACTTTTTGTGTTTTTAGTAGAGACGGGGTTTCGCCATGTTGCTAGGCTGGTCTTAAACTCCTGGCCTCAAGTGATATGCCTGCCTCGGCCTCCCCAAGTGCCTGGATTACAGGCGTGAGCCACTGTGCCCAGCCCTCTTATTCTTTTGTAAAAGTCCTTCTCTCCTTGTCCATGACGTTCTCATTCTTTCTTAGAATCATCACATCAGTCATGACCACGCCCAGGTCACTGAACTTGTTCGCTCAAATTCCTGAGCCACCCTAGGGATGGGTTCCTTCACATAGTGGCTCCTCTGAATCTATTGCATGCAGATTTTTCCCAGTTTCAGTCAGAGGAATGTAAATTTCAAGGTTTTCAGGTGCCTTGCTATCTCATGTGCATGTAAGCAGTAATCTGGTGACTTTTATAGCACTTACCACACTGAAGCCACTTGTCTAGTTATTTGATGTTTCCTCCAGGTAGACTGTGTGCTCCTGCAGTGCAGACATTCCATATCTTGTTCACCGTATCTCTGACGTCTACCTTGATAAAATTTTCCTCAAATTATTATGTTAGCTAATGTACTGCATTTTAACCCACATGACAGAAGGGATCCAAGGAGAGAGTAATCTGCATATAATCTAAATAGGGGTTTGGGCCAGTGGGTAAAGCCTGTGTTTGCATTTCCTGAGGAGATGGTTCTCCGGCAGCTGCCACAGATGCTCAGTTGTCTTGGTGCATCTCTTCGTGCAGTGAGTGGAGTAGAGACACCAGAGGATTGTTAAGTAACTGGTCCAGCCAGGGTCTTTGGCCAGTGGCCTTTCCAGGCAGTGTTCTGTTTTTAATTTAACTTCCTAGGTAGTCTTCCTCTTTTTGGGCAAACTCCCAAATGCCCACTAACTAGCTCTTTTGTCTCTGTAGCTATTATGTTTCTCGTGGCAAGTGGACACTCCAGGCTCCGATAAGCTGGATAACTTTGCATCAGTTTTGAGGAAATGTAAACAGAATGTCAGGGTGAGCCGTGTCGACTGGATCCAGAGTTCTGAGGGCATCTATTGTAGCCACGCTGAGAGGCCTTGTTTCTGACCAGTCTGAGTTGGATTCAATCTCTGTCCCGTACTGCAAGGTCCCATTGCAGTGTTCCCTATACCTACCATCATGGTCCCCCTTCTCTGTTATGTCTTTTTTTTTGAAACAGAGTTTACTCTTGTCACCCAGGCTGGAGTGCAGTGGCACACGCTCAGCTCACTGCAACCTCCACCTCCTGGGTTCAAGTGATTTTCCTGCCTCAGCCTCCTGAGTAGCTGGGACTACAGGCATGCATCACCACGCCTGGCTAATTTTTGTGTTTTTTTTTTTTTTTTCAGTAGAGACGGGGTTTTCCCATGTTGGCCAGGCTTGTCTCGAACTCCAGGCTTCACATAGTGGCTCCTCTCTATCTATTGCATGCAGATAATATGCCTGCCTCGGCCTCCCAAAGTGCTGAGATTACAGGCATGAGCCACTGCACCTGGCCCTATGTTATGTTTATTTCATATTTGACTTGAGAGAATCTGTTCTCCAGAAATTACTGTAATCTTTAGAGACACACACATGAAACATTTAAGTCATGATGCAAGGCAGTAGTTGATTGAATACTGACAAAGACTCCTTTGACCAAAACTTTAGTCACGCTCCTCCGGTCCTCCGCGTGAATGGGCACTACCTTGGGCTTCTCTTTGTATTATTGTTGAATCCAGTTGAAGCAAAAATCCTGTTAAAATCAGTTTAGGGAAAATTCTTCACCTGGGTATCTGACCACTCTGTCCTATCTTATCCTGGCCTGTCTTCAAGAATAATCCTATCAAATTAGCCATAAACCCCTTATCCTTGATATTTCTGTTTAGTAGTCAGTCTCCTATCCACCGGCCCCACCCTCCTCCTTGGTTATAAATCTCCACCTCTTTTGGAATCTGAGTTGGGTTCAATCTCCATCCCCCTCTGCAAGATCCCATTGCAGTGTTCCCTGTACCTACCACCATGGTCCCCCTTGAGTAAAATCTGCTTTACCATTTCTAACAAGTGTCATGAGGAATTTTTTTCAGTGATACTATTAAGGTAACAGTGCATTGAAAAGCAAGGTGAAAAAGTTCTAAAAGAGGAAGAAAGTTGAACTGAGCAGTACAGAATATAAGTGTTTGGAGTTGGAGTGGTCAGTGGCTTTGAGCTGAGCCCCAGAAAAGTGGTGGGATTAGGATAGGGAGCAAGGAGCAACAGGAGCAGCATTAGCAGAGAATGAGAACTGAAAGTAAGCAGAGTGTTCAGGGAAGAAGCCTGGCCCAACCAATGCAAGCTCTGGGTTTTGGGGCTTGCTAGAACAGATGCCTGAGTAAAGCTGTGAGAAGTCAGAAAACTTCATTTTTGGCTGGACACTTTGGACTTAGACCTATTTGTAATGTGGAATGGAGGGAGAGATCTGCATATAGTATTTTGATGAGGTTGCCTCATGGGGTGTAGTTAATTTGTTGTTTTAATAATTGGAAGTGGGAAGAGATCATAGTTTGGAGAATAGGTGTTTAAAGCTTTCTAGGTACAAGTAGTTGAAGGGCAAACCCACAGGGCATATGGGGACTTCAGAGAGTCATAACATTATGAATCAGTAAACCTTGGCAATTGGCTATAAGGTGAGAATGGATGTGTATGAAGATGCTACCCAGAGTAATATGCTGTGTTACACATATGTTGGTAAGTACGGTGCTCTGCCCCAAACATGCCCCTTTTTCTGGCTACCTCCTCTTTGTTCTTCAGGACTCAGCTCAGTCTTACCAGCCTCCTCTGACTCTTATCCACCTTTTGTATTCCTGTAGAACTCCGCATTTACCACTGTCAGGCACAAACAGTAGTGAATTTCCGTTGTTTTCCTGTCTGCCCAACTAGGCCAGAAGCTCTGTGAGGTCAGGGTTAGTAATTTTCATCCAGCACCTCCTAATATATGAGATATTCAAATGTTTGTCGGCTGCATTATGTGCCATTATATCTTCTTGCTACTTTGGGGTGTTGTGAGTAGCCATTTTAATTGATTATTACTTATCCTACTACTGTCTAGATTAGTAATTAGCCATTGCCCTGAGAGTCAGGAAAGGTGATGATGCAGATGCTGGCTTTTAGTGGGGCAGATGTTTGCAGCATACAACCACTGTATTGTGTAGCTGAAAGATAGTAACATGTATTTTGATTTTCTGATACAGTAAGTCATCCTGGGTGAGATAAATCAGCTTGATGTCAAGGTTTAAGTACTTTAGAGCCACAGAGGAGGAAATTCTGCTGAGCACTAACCCCCATACTGTGCCAAGTTCCCTGGAGAAGCAAATACAGCACTCTCAAACCCTCATTACTCAAGATCTTCAGCGGATGAAAATGGATTTCATTAGAAAGAAAATACTATTTTTACTCTTCTTTTACTTGAATAATTTTGCTTAAGAGAGTATTTATGTGTGTTTAGGTGCATCATTGTATTTTGGCCAATGCTTGCGTTCTTTATTTAGTGACTGTTGAAGTGCTTCCTCAGGGAGTTGTGTTTGAAAGCTGGAAAGTAAGCATTTTGATTCAAAAAGATTCTTAAAAGCTACTCTGTTAGGTGAATCTAATTTTTAAATTTTTTTATAGAGATAGGGGTCTCCCTGTGTTGCCCACTCCGGTCTCAACTCCTAGGTTCAAGCAGTCCTCCTGCCCTGGCGTCCCAAAGTTCTAGGATTACACATGTGAGCCACCGCGACCAGCCTAGTACTAATTTTTTTTAGCACTCTTTTGTAATGTTGGCTTTGGGGAGCTGAAGCTGTTAGGAGTGAGTGGTCTTCTGCCTTTCCCTTTTCCCTTTTACCTCTTGCTGGATCCTGAGGGGACCCAGAGGTGCATTCTCTAGAAGGTTGGAGAGCTTACCTGTCTGCAGTTGGTGTTTTTGGCACACACAGGGCAGAGAAAACAGTTGAATAGGGAGTGGACCACTGGTGTTTCTTGGTTATGGAACCTGAGGGCTGGAGTGGGCTTACCCCAGGCCAAGTTGCAGATTGCCTGGTTATGGGTGAGTGGGGCTTTTGGAAAAGGGATGGAGTGGGTTTTAGGACTTGACTATGCCTACAGCATGAAACCCCAGCTTGTAAAGCGTGTCCATAATATAGCTCATGACCCATACTGATCAGGACTTATGTTCAGCCTTTCTCTTGGTACATCATTTTAATGGCTTTTGAAGAATCAATTGATAAACAAAAACTTTAACTGGGTGAGTTTCTCAGGAAGAAAATATAAAATATTGCAATTATAGATTAGGGACCTAAATATTTGGATGAATTGTGTAGATCCATTTTTTAAGTGTAGTATAGGAAAAACTTTTCATCTACTTTTTTAGGTTCAGTTCATGCGAGTCTGAATTAAATGACAAAAGACATTACAGGAGAAAAGGCAAACTTCACTGATGTTGATATTTTTATGTGCCAGATGTGGGTAAAGGGAAGGAGACTTCACCGAAGAGAAAAAACCCAAGAAGAGTTAGACCTGAAGGCTTATATACAATTTTAACAGAGGGTGATAAATTGTGAAGTGACTAGTCAAAGGAAAAGGGAGTTTAGGCTTTTTTGACTGCTCTTTTGTAGGCCTTTTTAGAGTGGAGCTTTGGTTTTTTAAAATTGCTTTCTTGTTCTATCACAGTGGTTCTCCACATTTTTCTTTTTTTTTCAAGACAGAATCTCACTGTGTCACATAGGCTGGAGTGCAGTGGTGTGATCTCCACTCATTCCAACCTCCGCCTCCCGGGTTTAAGTGATTCTCCTGCTTGAGCCTCCTGAGTAGCTGGGATTACAGATGCGCGCCACCACGCACGGCTAATTTTTGTATTTTTAGTAGAGGCAGGGTTTCACCGTGTTGGTCAGGCTGGTCTCGAACTGCTGACCTCGTGATCCTCCCACCTCGGCCTCCCAAAGTGCAGGGATTACAGGTATGAGCCACCACACCCAGCCCGGTTTTCCACATTTTTTTCTCCACACCATTCCTATGTGCCCCACTTCTATTGTTGTGTGTATGTGTGTGTGTGTATGTTGAGACAGGGTCTCTGTCGCCCAGGCTGGAGTGCAGTGGTGTGATCTCGGCTCACTGCAACCTCCGCCTCCTGAGTTCAAGCGATTCTCCTGCCTCAGCCTCCTAAGTAGCTGGGATTACAGACACCTGCCACCACGCCCGGCTAATTTTTATATTTTTAGTAGAGACGGAGTTTCACCATGTTGGCCAGGCTGGTCTCCAACTCCTGACCTCAAGTGATCCTCCCGTCTTTGCTTCCCAAAGTGCTGGGATTACAGGGGTGAGCCACCATGCCCAGCCACATTTGCATTGTTAACACCACATCATACATATTGTGATTCCCAATGAGGAGGAGGTTGGGATGTACTTTTCTGAGAGGGTGGATGGGTAGGTAGGTGATGGACTACCATACTTTTTCTCACTTGAAAAAGCTCCCTTTCATTTTTAGGATTCATTGAACTGACAGACCAGTGCCCTAAAGATGTCAGGTTGATCAGTAATTTTAATTTGGAAAAGCTTTTTGTATTTGTTTAGAGAGCTGCCCTGTGTGAATATAACCGCGAGACCATCTGTATAAGTTCATTACTGGCCATTCCGTCTCAGTTCACTGCCTTCTTACCTAAATGCAGCCTTTCTCATACTTGAGGGTAGTGCTAGAATTCTGTTATCATCAGCTACCTGGGAGGAGTTGGCCAGGTGCGCTGGGTCTTTGTACAAACTGACTTCTTATTTTGGCTGGATTTGGGTCTATTTGTCCTGAAGGGAGCTGAGGTGAAGTGGAGTGGAAATAGTGTTGGATTTGGAATTAGAAGCTCCATTCCCACAACGTGACCTTGGGGAAGTTGCTGCTTAACCTTTCTTGGCTTTAGTTTCCTAATGTGAAAGGGAGGGGTCTGGATCAAAATTGTATAATGTCTGTGGTTCCTTCCTGTTCCCTCTGTGGGGTTAGAGATGGCTGGAGGAGACATTTGCATTCCATTACCCGATTTGTTTTGTTTCTTTCGCCTTTAGGGTTATTTTAGTAAAATTTGCCTGAGAAGCATAATCATGCCCAGTGCAGTGTAAATATTCACACATCCAGGCACAACCCCACCCCACCCCCCACATGTACGCATAAAATATGAATCTGTCTGTAGTGAGGAAGCACAGTACAGTGTTCATTGCTGTGGATTTTTTTCTGCAGTGCTTGCTGCCAGTCAGCTAAAGATTCCTGGAGTAGTTATAGTAATAATGTCACAGGAATATAGAAAGAAACCTGGCATCTTTGGGAGACCTACTGATATGTGACTTCTCCACCCCTCCCCCTCCTTTTTTAACCTGGTTTGTTAATGATTGCACCTAATTATGTATCTTTGGTCTTTTTACTGTTTACAATTCAAATGCTACTTAAAGCCATTTGTTTGCTTTTGTTTGCTGTAAATCCTGGGCTGCCATCTGAAGCACAACTTGATGATTGTGTATTATCATCTTGGGTTAAGTGCTGTCTCATTGCTTTGCAGGCTGCCTGCTGTTTCCCGGGGAGATCATGAAACGAGGTCGCCTTCCCAGCAGCAGTGAGGATTCTGACGACAATGGCAGTAAGTCCTGCTTTGTTGTTCTTGGAGCCTACCAGGGTTTGGGTCGGGGTAAAAACATGATTTTTTAATGTAATGCTTTAAATTGCTGAGGCCCTTTGCATGTCAGGCAGGTCAGAGAAAGCCAAAGCCTGGAGAAACGTACCTGAGTGTGATACTGCAGGTCTGTAACCAGATCTTACTGGGTAAGGTTGACTGCAGGCAAGCATTCCTGAGGCTTCCTATTTGTTATCCTGGGAGGAATAATCCAGTTCCAAGAGTCACTGGTGTGTCTGGTTTTCCTAAACATCATTTATGGTACTTCGCAGTTGCGCTTTATGAAAGGGGAACTTAATCAAAGCCAGGTAATCATTAACTGGTTCAACTCAATACAAGGGGAGGTTGAAGACTGCCTAGTGTGATGTGAAAATTATTAAGTACAGGTTCTTAATAGGTCGAAAGTCCCTGCTCTTCACTTGGTTTTAATGTGACTATATTGAATACTACTGCTGTCTGTATCTCAGCTCTCTGGCAACTTCATATTTTCACAGTGCAGCTGAGAACCAGAAGTTAGTTGGCTTCCAGGCAGTCAAAATAAATATCACACAGTGTCTGTGTATTGAGAAGCTAACAGACTACTCAGAGAAGAGCTCCCCTCAGATAACAGAGGGAAATTTTGTACCTAGCACAGTGCCTGAGCTCTAGCCCGTTAGCTTATGTTTTACATTACAAATTAAACCCAGGACACCTTGAAAGAATGTGTGATGGGAAAGGAGCTGGGCCTGCTTTCAAGGAACTCTGCTTTAGACATATGTAAGAAGAGCTCTGATGTGAAAGTCATCAGGGCAGTAATAGAGATGTCTTTTTGATGCACTGTGGAAACAGATACAGATACAGATTCAGAGGAGGGGAGGGCAGGGAAACCTGCAGAGGAGATGAAAGTTGTATAGATCCTTAAGGATGAAATACTTTTTAGGCAAATAGGGTTATTTTCAGTTTTCTGTGCTCTAAGTTTTCAGCAAGTTAAAAGCTGCACATTAGAAAGCAAGGCTTTGCTGCTGTAGGTGCCACCCTGTTCAGAAGAGGGGACCAGGAATATGAAAAACAGAACTCAATGTGGTATTTCGGTTGGTGTGCTTGGCACAGGCACAGGCACGGGGCTTTTGGGGAGGAGAATTGGCCGTTATGGGAGAGTGTCAGGTGTGAAGGGCTTGCAATGAGGACCTCTAAGGAATTGAGAGTTTTAGGGTTGACTGCTGATGTTGGCAGCAGGAGAGAAGTGAACTAGTTGAGAGAGGGTGTAGGGGCTCCAGAGCGAAAGACCTTTCCTCTTATTTCAGAGAAAGGTATTAAAGGTCTGTTTCCAAGTGCAGGCAGGTAAAGCCACCTGTCCGAGCCTTTGGGATGCCACCTTCTGAACTTCTGAGGCGCTTGTTGTTTCATAACCCTGCCTACCTGTTTTCTAACGTTTATAGTTTTAGGCATTTTACTCCTTGAGGCAAAAACATCATTGGGAATTTCTTCTCTGCCCCTGTGTGGCGCCTATCAAAGTGTCTTTGTGAGTTATAAGTACTCTATAAATGCTCCTTGCTTGAGTACATAATTTTGTCCTACATTAATTAAAAAAAATAGTCTTGCCTGGCCTGGTGGCTCACGCCTGTATTCCCCAGCACTTTGGGAGGCCGAGGTGGGTGGATCACAAGGTCAAGAGATTGAGACCATCCTGGCCAACATGGTGAAACCCCATCTCTACTAAAAATTAGCTGGGCATGATGGTGTGTGCCTGTAGTCCAGCTACTCGGGAGGCTGAGGCAGGAGAATCACTTGAACCCAGGAGACGGAGGTTGCAGTGAGCCGAGATCGTGGCCCCTGTACTCCAGCCTGGCGACAGAGCGAGACTCCGTCTCGAAAAAAAATTCTTGCTTTTAGGGTGAGAATTAGTCAGAAGACTGCTTGGTGAATTACCTCCATATAAAGATAATGCCCAATAAAAGCTTAAGAGCCCTATTTAAATATTTTTCTTGGCATTGAGCATCAGGTGTATGCTCACTCTGTCTGCTCTCGTCACTGCCTCTCTTCTTTGGGAGAGCTGTGTTAGAAAAGTTTCTCCTGGATGTTCTCTCAGATTTAGAGCCTTCTCTTTTCTGGACTAGCATTGTCCCATAGGATGAGAATGTCCTAATCTAGTGCAACTGAGGAACTGAATTTTAAACTTTTACTTAATTTTAATGAATTAAAAAATTTGAAGACACATGTGGCTAGTGTCCACTGTGTTGGACAGTGTAGTTCTGGACCTTGGCTTAGTTTAGTCCCTTTCAGTTGTCCAGAGGGTCTTAGTAGCGCAGAAGGCCTCATATTAGTCAGCTCAGGATGCTACAAAAAAGTACCACAGCCCCCGGTAGTTTAAAGCTACAGAAATTTGTTTTCTCACAGTTCTGGAGACTGGAAGTCCAAGGTACTGGCAGGTGTGGTTTCTTCTGAGGCCTCTCGTGGTTTGCAGATGGACTTCTTCTCACGTGTTCTTACTTGGCCTTTCCTTTGCACAGGCATCGCTGGTGTGCCTCAGTGTGACTAAATTGGATTATGGCCCACCCTAATAGCCTCATTTTAACTCAGTCACCCCTTTCAAGGCCCTGTCTCCAAATATAGTCACATTCTGAGATTGGAGGTTAGGGCTTCAAAGTACGCATTTGGGGATGGGGGTACAATTCAGCCCATAAAAGCCCTAGAAGACCAAATATTTCTTTTTTTTTTTTTTTTTTTTTGAGATGGAGTCTTTGCTCTGTCGCCCAGGCTGGAGTACAGTGGCATGATCTCGGCTCACTGCAAGCTCTGCCTCCTGGGTTCACACCATTCTGCTGCCTCAGCCTCCGAGTAGCTAGGACTACAGGTGTCCGCCACTGCACCCGGCTACTTTTTTGTATTTTTTAGTAGAGACAGGGTTTCATCATGTTAGCCAGGATGGTCTTGATCTCCTGACCTCATGATCTGCCCACCTTCTGCCTCCCAAAGTGCTGGGATTACAGGCGTGAGCCACCACGCCTGGCCAAATATTTCATCTAAAATATATATGTTCAGGATGGGCATGGTGGCTCATGACTGTAATCCTGACACTTAGGGAGGCTGAGCTGGGAGGATTGCTTGAGCCCAGGAATTGGAGACCAGCCTGGGCAACAAAGCGAGAACCCATCTCTATTTTAAAAAAAAAAAAAAATTCCACCTAGAACTCTGGTTAGGAAGGAGGAAGAGAGTGTCCACAGTCCCCACCAAAAGTGTGTCTGTCAACTCACAAGTCTGTACTGGCCTCCGTCAAGAAGCTGGGGATGGAGAATTAAGGTAAATATTTATAGGTTATCAAAGGGTTAGCCTAGGCTAAACATGGAAATCTGGTGGTGGAGGAGAGGAATGATAGTTGCTAGTAGAAGGTTGGCTGTCCTTTTGTCATACAGCTGGTTCAATATAAAGTATATATTGATGCTTTACAGCCATGCTGTCTGTCCACGCTCAATGATTTGATAAGGTGGATGATGGTAGTGGTAAACGCAGAGTTCTCATTAAGAACCCCTGAAATGCCAGGCTTATAAAAAGATGCACATACTCATTGCCATGGAACACACCCCTTTCCATCCCCTCTGAAGGCAGCTGGTTCACAGCCTCTGCCACCAACTCACTCATTTGCACTGGAGCCTTCCTTTTGTATATAACTGGGTGGCCTGCGTCATGGGGTGTGCCTGCTGTCCCTGCTTTCAGGTCCACAAAATGAGCCCTACCTGGGTTAACTGCCCATACTCTGCCTTCCTTCAGCCGGGCCTGTGCATTTGGAAAGTTCTGCTTACAAGAAAGATAGGGTCTATGCAGTGGCCACACCTCAGCCTCTCCAGCCTGCAGGCCTGACAGAATTTTGGCAGCACTTCCCAGCCCAGTGCACACCATGTCCAAGTGAAGGAGAGGCAGCTGCAGACGTCAGCATGGGGCTGCAGCACGAGCCACAGCCATGGCTGGGACTTGCTGGCCTCTGGTCTGGAGCCCTTTGCCTTGTTTTCTGGCCTGGTCCAGAGGAATACCAGTGTGGTATTTACAGTTGGGGACGGACAGGCATTTTCTGTGCCAGGTGCAAGCCCTTATACAGCTGCAGTCATAGTTGAAGCCTTTCTCCAGGTGCCCTGGAGGCCCAGCCCTGCAGTTGGATGGAATAATGTTGGGGTGTTTGCAGGCAGCGTCTGCAGTTGCTGGGCTTCTGGGACTGGGTGGCTCAGCCAGTCTCTGAAGTTACGCATTGCGCCAGAGCATGGCCAAGGGAAACAAGTCCTTAATTTTCTGCTTTCCAGCCCAGGATCCTGTCCTTAGGGATTTGGCACATGTGGGAATAGGGTCCACTAACTACTTTCAGTACAGTTGATCCTTGAACAACTCCCCCTACCCTGCAAATCAAAATTCTTTGTATAACTTTTGACTCCCAAAAATTTAACTAATAATAGCCTACTGTTAACCGGAAGCCTTACTAATAACATAAATCAACATATTTTATATGTCATATGTATTATATACTGTATTTTTACAATAAAGTAAGCTAGAGAAAATATTAACATCATAAAGAAGAGGAAATATATATGTATATATATAAAATATACTATTCATTGAGTGAAAGTAGATAATCATAAAGGTCTTCAACTTCGTCTTCATGTTGAGTAGGTAGAAGAGGAGAAGGAGGAAGAGAAGGCGTGGGTCTTGCTGTCTTAGGGGTGGCAGAGAGAAAATTCTCACGTAAGTGAACTGGGCAGTTAAAACCCGTGTTGTTCAAGAGGCAACTATGTTTCTAAAACCTAAAGGACATACCATGTTATCTTCAGTAAACCTGTAGAGGCTAATTTAAACATCAAGTAACCTTGTTTTTATCAGGAATTATATATTATTGTTTATCTCAGGCAAATAGTAGCTCTGATCAGCACTGTTTTTTTTTTTTTTTTTGAGATGGAGCCTCGCTTTGTTGCCCAGGCTGGAGTACAGTGGCATGATCTCAGCTCATTGCCCGCTCAGCTCACAGCTCACTGCAACCTCCGCCTCCCAGGTTAAAGTGATTTTCCTGCATCAGCCCCCTGAGTATGATCAGCATCTTTATATATATGTAGCAAATGGTGTTTTTGTTGGTTTTGGTTGTTCTTAAACTTTGGTGTCTCTCAAAGGTCCAAAGGGAGATTGGTCTCATTCCTTACTTCACAAAGAATGATAGAAGTGTGCTCATACTGTTAAGATTTTCCTAAAGTTATAGAGCAGGACTTCTTATTCTTGTCTGACTTCCTTAAATTTCAGAGATTTGTTGACTTTCTTTGGGAAGAAGGTCTGGAGCCAGGCTCCATGTGGGCCCTCTCTGGTCTCCCTGTTTCTGCACCTGAGCTAGGGTGGAAGCAGTCTGTCTTCCCACCTATCAGAGCCAGGCTCTGCCCCATCACCTGTGATAAGGAATGGGCAGAAAGGAAGCCAGCTGAAATTGAAAATTAGTAATTTTCCCACTGACTTGTACTTGGACCTCAGCAGAAATGGTGGGTGAGTGTCAAATGTTTGTGTGTCAGTTGGTTGAAGGCCTAAGTGTATTTAAGTATGTTGAAACATTTCTGGGCCAGTTCTTTGAATGTATGTATGATGCCTTTGTTTGTTGGAAGTGGAAGTGAGTTTGGCTGTAGAGCTGGGCTACGCTGGGGTAAAAAACTATGGTAGGTATAGGGTCAGCCTCTGGTCTAAATGACAGTTATATCAGATGCTTGTCTTCTGTCATGCCGCTAAAACAAATAAACAGTAACTAGATTAAATTTCCCTAATTTGAGATGGGAATTAACACAGCATTGCTTTAGTCTAGTACAAGGCTAGCTTGGCTTTTAAGTAACTCATAGATGCGTTTGTCAGGTCTGTGTGCCCTTGCTGTGACACCAGACTGCTGGACTCGATACTTGCCAGTTTTAAGCATCTTACTTTGTTAAGCTGGTTTAACACCCCTAAAGACAGATACCAGCATATTATTTAGTGTCCAGAGCAGTGACTGAGACAGGATGACCGCTGTTTGATCAGTGGCAAGGTTCTTTCATAGTTTGCATTTTGTGGTGCAGCAAACACGAAGACTGCCATTCATTCTAATTTCTGAACCTTTCATGCATGGCACAACATGAGAAGCTTATCACACACCAGCTACCAAATGTGGAAGGTGTGTGCAGTATGTGTTAGATTTACTCTTCAGGTTTTCCTTATTTTAGATCTAGGGCAAGACAGCATGGCTATTTTTAATATTTCAAAGGGGAGTGAGTGTTGGAGATGTCTGTATAATAGGACCTGAAGGAACGTTGTGCCCGGGCAGGGTCCATGCTCATGGTGCTACAAACTCTGTGCCTTTTATAACTTTATATTAACCCAAAGGATTCTGTTTTAATGGAAGTTGGGGATATTAAAAACAAGACAATGTTTTTCCCCACTCAGTCTTTCCCATGTTTAACATGAGGTAATGTAATATAGAATTGTTTTTAACAGTGTATGTCAAGAATTTTAAGTCCTTTAAATTTGTCAGTAAAGTGAACTTAACTTTAGGTAATAATTTTACCTTGTGAATGGCAGTAAAATACTTTTAGACATTATTAGCAGATTTTTAGAGTTCCTAACTCCTTTCCTGAAAGCGAAAAGAAAGTAAAACAAAATTTTACTCGTCATGTGCTTAAATTAGTTTGTCATTAAATATCAGCACTCTGGAAACAAACAAAATGCAAACCAACCCAGTGTAATCTTACCACGCGGTTTTTAACAATAGCAAGCACACTGTTTTTAATAAGTGCGTGATGTTTTGCTGTAGTATAAATCACTGACTCCTGGTCTTTTTAGTATTTAAAATATTCTAATTTCTGGTTTGACCCCACTGTCCCACCCCCAATATTTTCCAGAAAGTGTTTATAAATTTTGTTTTAATTAAAAAGGAGTGTTTTGATTTTAATAATATTCTGGTAGCTTCCTGACCTCCTGGGAATGTCTGGGGAGAGCCTGGCTGTAGGGAGAGGTGTTGGTGTAGCAATGTCAAGACACTCCCTTTGAGTCTCTAGCCTGTGGCCTTCCATGAATGTTTCTGTAGATGTAGGTGCATTCCAAGCAGGAAACAGTGGCTCCACAAATCTATCTTTAAATGTATTATTGCTTTATTTTCCTTGAGCTCAAACGCATGTCTTCTATTAGGTGAAACAGGAGTAAATTCTTAGTGCCTGCCACCTTCAGTTCATGGGTTACAGCAATGGTTACAGCATGATTGACTGTCCTCAACAATGACATTTAAAAAAAAATTATCTACTTTTCAAAGAAATATTGAGAATCTGCTGTGTGCACAGCACTGACTAACTTAGCTATGCTCTATGTTGTAAATTCTGCGTCTTATACCAGTGGCTCTTGATAGATTAACTTTTTGGTACAACAAGAAAATGAGAAGGAATAGATCACCAGCAAATACCTGCTCCTGGAGATGGAAGGCAGAGCAGTTCCCTCGGGTTCACAACCCCCTCCCAGATTCTCACTTGGTTCATCAGCAAAGTCTAGGTTTTATACAGACCACTTGTGTAAAGTAAAATAGAATTTTTTTCCCCTTACTGTTAGTGGATGGTATCTCAGTGATAAATGTTTAATAGCTTTATTGAGAAATAATTGACATACAGTGAGCCTCTGAGCCTCATATATTTAAATTGTGTACTTTGATACGTTTTGACATGTTTATACCCATGAAATCATTGAAATCAAGATAATCCTTCCCTCCCACTTTTCTCTAGTCTTCCACTGATCTACTTTCTGTCACTATAGATTAGTTTGCATTTCTAGAGTTGTATGTAAATGGAATAATACAATATGGACTCTTTTTTTTTTGGTCTGGCTTCTTTCACTCAGGAGAATTACTTCAGCATTTATTCATGTTTGCATGTATCAGTAGCTCATTCCTTTTTATTGCTGGATGGTGTTCCACTGTGATGGTGTTCCACTGTATGGATATACCAGAGTTTTTTCATTCACAGTCTGTTGGTGGATGTTTAGGTTGTTTCTGATTTTTGGCTTTTCTAAATAAGCTGCTAAGAGCATTCCTTATGCCAGTGATAATTTAAATTTAGTTTCTTTACCAGTCTTTCCCTGTCTGCAAAGTGAGTTTAATAGGATTAATTTTGCTTTTCCTTCTTCTGTATTGTATCAACACTAGGTAAATTAAGAGGAAAAGGAACAGACTATTTTTGGGTGGACTAGAGTTTCTCTTGGTTATTACTATTGGATACCAAGTATGTAGCATCTTTGTATATCTGTTTTTAAAAGCAAATGTGGCATAGACAGCAATTTTCAGGATTTATGAAAGCAGTCCTAGGAAAAGTTTTCAAATGAGTGTCATTATTTGGGTTGTGTTCTATGCCAGCAAAGCTGCAAGCTTCCTGGGAACCTTGGAAACTACTTGGGAGGGATCCTGACAGATCCTCAGGAAGAGACAAGAGGGTCAGAAAACCTGAGAATGAATGAATTTGTTGTTTCTGCTTTAACCCTGAAAGTATTTGACTCTGAAGACCCTCTTCTCCCTACTTCATGTTAATTTTTAAAGTATAGCAGTGGAGTGATTCTCTAAATTTCTGGCTTTGTTCCTTATCATTTATAACCTTTTCCATAGTAATTCAAAGCAGAGGAGGACCATCCCTTTTTGTTCTGCTTCTCTTCCCTTCCCCAGACCTTCTGATAATTCCATCCAGACACTGCGTGTGCTTTTCCTCGTCTCTTCTTTCAGGCTGTGGACCGGCTGGAGGATGGCCTCCAGGACAAGAGGGAGAAAGAGAGGCCTCTTTATAGACCCTAGGAGCCACCCAGCCACCTTCATCTCCAGGTTCCTAACTTGGCGTCTGTCTTCCTTTTTTCCAGTAATGACCAGATTTAGAACTTCTGCAGGTTGGGCTCACCCCAGTGTGCCCAGAATATTTCTTTCAGTGTGGGAGTGAAATATTCTTGTTCATTTAGAGTCTAAAGAGGCACACTTAGTATTTTTTTAAAGAAGAATTTTCTAAAACATTTACTGAAATGCCATGGGGCCACCAGCAGGAGCTCCAGTTCTGCTGATTGTGCTGGTGGAACAGCAGTCAGTTGACCTAGTAATGAGCCTCAGAACTGGTGCTCAAGGGTAGTGCCGATGTTGTCCCTGTCAGGGAAGCATGGCAATCCCATTTGGTCTTGGTCATCGCAAATCTGATGATAGGCTTATGTGCAGAATCTATTTCTTAAGGTCCCCAAGGTCTTAAGGGTGCTTTGATTCTCTGTTCCTGTCTCTGGAATCTGTAGAGATAAGAGCTTCCTGTCTGAGTGACAAATGATTTCACTGGCAGAATGGCAGTTAACCTTAAGCTTTTTTGGCTTTTATTTTTCTGGATTTTGTTAATTTCTGGAAAATGGTACAGTAGGTGTTCAGGATTGGGGTGATGATTATTAAAAATAGGAGGTGGAGGTGAATTATCAGAAAGTTGGACAAATACTACATGTGGGTGTTAGGGTTGTTTCAGATCTCTGGCAGCAGTACGGCACCCACAAATGGAAGGTTTTGCACTTAAGTTGTCTTTGTAACAAATTAACAGGAGGCAGAGGCAGAGATGGAGAAGAGGAGCTGGAATTATTGGGAAGTTGAATTGACCTACCATTGATTGTGTCCTGAATGAGAAGAGTCTAGGACAACTCTTAGATTTCTGACGTCAAGTAGAAATGGTGGTAATAGTCATCAAAGTAGGAATGTAAGAGGCAGAACAGGTTTGGGTAAAATGTTGAGCTCAGTTTTTATAATGCTGAGTTGACAGATCTAAGGAATACCTTAGGATTGATGTCTTATGTGAAGGTGAAACTGGATCTGGAGCTTGGGAGGGAGGTTAGTCTGGGAATGTAGGTCTGGCAGGTTCCTCTGGGTGTGCTGGGTAAGACTGTGGACATGGGTGAGCACCCCCGGGGAGAATATTTGGAGCAAGAAAAGAGCAAAGAGTTCAGGAGAAACCCATGTTGATGGGGTACATGGAGAGGAGGAACCCACAGAGTGGAAAGAGAATTGCCACTGAGGCTGAGGGAGTATTTCAGGCAGGATGGAGTTGTTGGTGCTGAGAAGTGTCAGGGCAGAGAAGAGATCAGACTTGGCAGCAGTTGGGAGACCCTGTTAGGCAGCAGTTAGGTACCATGTTCTGGGGGAGGCCAGATGATAGGAGTAGACCCCCCTTTGGAAGAAAGGCAGAGAACAGAGCCAACTGGAATTTTCATGGGAAAGTGGAGCAAATTTTAAAGGTTATTTGGCAATTGGCCCCTTAGTCTTCACTAAGTTTGTTTACCTCCCGTCCTCTCTTCTTATGGCACTATGCTAGCTATTTACTACACCATAGGCCTGAGGTTCCCTGTCTAGGGATTGCTAAGTTTTTAGGCCTTGTAGAGTGAAACCTTTTTTTAAAACAGTGTTTTAGAAAGCTTCCTGAAAACTCAGTAAGATGTTTTTCTTTTCTTTTCTTTCTTTCTTTTTTTTTTTTTGACAGAGTCTTGCTCTGTCCCGCAGGCTGGAGTGCAGTGACGCAGTCTCGGCTCACTTCAGCCTCTGCCTCCTAGGTTCAAGCAATTCTCCTGCCTCGGCTTTCCGAGTAGGTGGGATTACAGGTGCCTGCCACCACGCGAAGCTAATTTTTGTAGTTTTAGTAGAGGTGGGGTTTCACCAAGTTGGCCAGGCAGGTCTTGAATTCCTGACCTCAGGTGGTCCACCTGCCTTGGCTTCCCAAAGTGCTGGGATTACAGGCGTGAGCCGCCACCCCTGGCCTGATATTTTTTCAATTTGTATTTAGCAGCATGAGACTTTGAACCTCTTCAGTGCAGGCTTATGGGTGAAGACTACACCTGCATGGTGTTCTTAAAGTCCTCTCTTCTGTTGGGTGTGGTCCTTGATACAGCATCCCTGCACAGAATGAGCACATTAGGCCTGCTTATGAGAGGTGAGAGTTAAATAACTGATGGACGTGGAAGAGCTCTGTGAGAGCCAGGAGGGCATCACAGGTGGTCTCATGGTGCAGTGCTGAGGTGAGCCTGGGATGAGTTTGGGTAAGAAAACCCCTGAGAACACTCAGTGACCCCTGCAATTTCTAATGGTTCTTATTTGGATATTTGTTTCTTTAGGCCTGTCAACTACTTGGTCCCAGAATTCCCGATCCCAGCATAGGAGAAGCTCCTGCTCCAGACATGAAGATCGAAAGCCTTCAGAGGTACTTCTTGAATGCTTGCCTGACCGTGCATGAATATATGCTATCCCATATGCCTAGTTGAGTGGTATCTATTTGTGCAGTCCTGGGCAAATTATTCAAATCCTTGTGCTCCAGTTTCCAAATCTGTAAGACGGGGAGAACACAAGTGTCTACCTCATAGGATTGTTGTGAGGATTAAGTGGGTTAATTCACATAGACTAATACATGCAAAGCATGTGAATAGTTGCTGGCACATAAAAAGTGCTCAGTAAATGTTAGTTATTATTATTAATTACATTCTTTTTTTCCTTTCTTGTTGCATCTTCGCTGGCTCCCAACAACTTTTCTTCCTCTGGCCAGGATATCAGCAGGTTCAGCTGCTGCCAAGTCACTGCCAGCCTCAAGTTAGTTTTAGCCATGGGTTTGTGGCTTATTTGGCAACAAGCAAAACTCTGGGACTTTTGTTTAGGGGATTATGCTGAAGGCTTTCCCCATTCTTTCTCAATTTGTTTCTCATCTTATGTTTCCTCTGCTCCCTAACTTTTGTTATCTATCTATCTAAAGTTGCTTTTAGGTGCATTTCTTTCTGCTGGTCTTTGTTTAGGGGTCCTTATGAGACCTGAGGTCTGTTTATTCTAAAGACTTTTGCTAGGCTTTAAATCATCGAAGAAAAACATTTTATTTTATCACAGTTTTCAAGTGAGAAGGTTATAGGAAGAGTTTCTTTGGTTGAATGCTTTGCTTTGTGCTGCTTCTTATGGGATGAGTTCACAAACAGCCTCATCCTGTAATGGCAATGCATAGGCAGATATTCCTTGGAGGAACTTCCCAGGCTCTAATAGGGAACGTCAGAAGGCTGCCCTGCTGTGGAGTGGAGGAGTTATTTGGTTGTGGAATAGCTTCCTCCATGAGGAAGTAGTTTACATCCTTTAGAATTGTGGAAAACCATCCCAGGAGGCACTTTAGCATGAGATCAAATGTACTTGGGAAGGTAGCCACTTCTTCCCCTTACTTTATTTCAGGCCTTTTTTCCTTTGAACCTTTAGTGCTCTCTTCCTTTTCTTTGCCAAGGAGTGTCTCTGCTGCTCTTTATTTCTTAATTCCTTGTGCTGTGTCTGTAACCCCCAAAATACCTTTCTGATGTTCACACTAAACTCCTGTTACTTCAGCACAGGAATACAAGGGGGACTTAGCAGCTGTGACCTGGTGTGACGAGGGCTGGTCCCCAGTGGTGTAGTTCGAAACCTACTTCCAGCAGTGACACCAAGCATGGAGAAGGGGGCCCAGCAGCACGGGTTGCTGTGCTGGCTTTGTCCCAGCCCTACATTTTGGTCCAGATGTTTTTCTCAACCCTGAGTCCAAACTATATGTATGGCACTAACATACTCTACCAGAGACTCCAGAGTTGACGTCCATTTGAGGGCCTTTGTTTCAGTTCTTGACTGAGTCTTTGAGCAAAGGAATAGCAGGCTGCCTTTTTTTCATTTCATTGCTTCAGTTTGATTTTCTTTCTTTTTTGGCAAACTCCTTTGTTTTTTATTTATATCAGTTAGTTGGAATATGTTTTTACCTGATTGGCTCTTGAAGGTATAGGCCCATCTCTTAGGTTTTAAAGTACTTTTCTCTTGGGGGCCAGGGAGTTGGTGTCCACTGGGCTGGGCACCTGCTTCTGCGGCTCTATGCTTGAAGGGAAGGATCCTGGTATTACACGTGATTTTTGTGGGAGGTGCATGGCCTAATTCTTGCTTGTTAATAGGTCTTTAGAAATGAAGAGTGGCATACTGGGGAATAGTCCGTATGGAAAATGACAGGCAGGAGAAATGGCCTCTTTATTCAGACACTGCCTCAGACTTTATTATGGGGAAGTTTATTAAAGTGATCACTAGCCTGAAAAGCCACCAGGAAAAACAAATATGGACCTATTAGCAGGCGTATGATGTGAACTGTGCTTAGTAGCACAAGAAAGAACTCCCTGTCCTGAGAAAAGAGAGTTCAGCATTGTGACTTGTGTAAACAGACAGGGCAGCTTACAGATGCAAGCTTGCTCGATGCCAAACACAACTTTGGGCTGGTCCTGATGTCAAGGTCAGAGCTTTCTTATGCAGCCTTAGACACCAGTGGGCCAAGGACGAGGCTTGAGAGGGAGCCAGCTGTGCAGCCCTGGCTGGGAGGCGGTGTTGTGCTCCACCCCAGGGGCAGGCCTCACTGACCAAGGATGAATGCCACAGGCCCAGGAGTCTGCAGTGGCATAGGCACTGGGATGGCTGCCTTTCCTGTGGTTTCCTTCATTTGGCCTGTGATAAGGAATTGGGGAGCTCTCTCGGTAGAGGGGCACTGTTGGATCTGCCTGTTTTTGGCAGAGTGGGGAGAGGGTAGTGACTTTCTCTATTTCCTTTCCCCACAAATAACTCTTCCCAGGTAGAAGTTTTGCCAGGTGAAGGTGTGCAAACATGTTTTTTGCAGGCCCATCAACCCAGTGGCCTGTGGTTGCTTCTCTTCCAGATTTTTCTAGGCCAGCCCAGACCTTGACTTCACCAGCTACCATACCATAAACCCTGGTGCCCTGGGAGGTAGGGCCTGGGTGGGGGCAGTCTCATTATAGAAGGTGAGTCCCTGGCCAGGAGCAGTGGCTCATGCTTGTAATCCCAGCACTTTGGGTGGCCGAGGCAGGTAGATCATTTGAGGTCCTGACCTCAATGGTTTGAGACCAGCCTGGCCAACATGATGAAACCCTGTTTCTACTAAAAACACAAAAATTAGCTGGGCGTGGTGGCGTGCACCTGTAATCTCAGCTACTCGGGGGTGCTGAGGCAGGAGGATAGCTTGAACCTGGGAGGCAGAGGTTGCAGGGAGCCAAGACTGTGTTACCGCACTCCAGCCTGGGTGACAGAGCAAGATTCCATCTCAGAAAAAAAAAAAAGGAGATGAGTCCCTGGTGGTTCTGGGTTTTGGCTTGAAGTTGTTACATGGTTAGTGGAGTTATATTTCTAGAGCACCCTTGAGTGCAGTATCTCCCTTCAGAGATTTCCAGGTACATGTTTTCAGCAGCCCTTTTGGTGAACTGAGAGACATTTTTCAGAGGCGGACAACAAGATTTTTTGTTGTTTTTGTTGACGTTGTTGTGGACACTATGGACTGAGGGAGTGAGAGGGCAGTGTTCCCTCAGCACTGCCACCCCCCATGCCTGAGTGAGGTAAAAGGCGTGTCAGGCAAAGTTTTTCTGTAATAGGTCAGGCTTGTTCTATGTTGATACAGTGACCTTGTTACATGGCAGCTCCATGGTTACATTGCAGCTGCCAGCACTCTGAATAAGAATGCAAATATCAAATGTCAGTGTCCCTTTCTCTTCCTTTCCAGGTGTTTAGGACAGACCTGATCACTGCCATGAAGTTGCATGACTCCTACCAGCTGAATCCGGATGAGTACTATGTGTTGGCAGATCCCTGGAGACAGGAATGGGAGAAAGGGGTCCAGGTGCCTGTGAGCCCGGGGACCATCCCTCAGCCTGTGGCCAGGTAGAGATGCCCTGAGGACAGAAGCCTCTCCACCCACCCTTGCTCTTCTTCCCTGACAGCAGGCATCTGAGAAGAGACAATTTCTGTGGGAAGAGACAGTTTCTGAGTTAGCATTAAAATATCATGAGGCCTCAAGTGGAAATAGAAATTCAGGAGCAACATACTTCAGGCATACAGGGTAGTGGTTTTGAGGGCCATGAGCCTCCAAACTTAACATTACAGCCACCACTGTGGGGAGGTGCTGCTTTCTTATGAGAGGAAGGCAAATTCCAAGACATCCTGGGAAGTGATGGGCTAGGGGAGGAAAATTTGGGTGTTCACACGTCTGCATCCTCTTTTCCTGCCCTCCGTATTCGCTCTGGAGAGTGGCTCTCCTGGAGAGAAGCATCTGGCTTTGTTGGGAACTAGCGCGGGCAGCTGCTCTGCCTACTGCGGTTGCCTCTGCCTTTGGAGGAGGACAGGTGTTAGGAGACCTGTCAGTTAGGGTTTGTGGAGAGGGGAGTTTTGGAGGGATTTATTTTGACTGGTCACATTATTCTTGGGGTACGTTCTCTGGATTTACTGACTTATCTTTAAGGATCCCTCAGGGTCGAGTCCCTGCCGACTCTCCTCACAATCAGGTTGCAGCTAGTTTACTCATTTCCTCACTGTGCCACTCTGTGCCACCTGGAGAGTCCTGTTAGGAGGGAGGCTTGAGTGCCCTCTGTGCTCAGCCGGCACCTGGCTTCTCCGCCATCATCAGTTGGCTGCTGCTTTGCGAAATAGTGTCTTTCTCCACGCTGAGTCATTACTGAACTTGCTTCCTGGCCCTCACCCACTTTGTGTCTCTTTTTTTGGGCACTTAAGATTATCAAATTTGAGTTGTCATTTTGGGATCTCTGGGGAGTCTATCCAGTGGTGACAAATGCCCCTGTCTTACTCAGGTTTAGGTGACCAGTCAGGAGTGCCAGGATGGCCCCCACAGGCTAGAGTCTGGACCTGTGGAATGGAGTGGTCATGGGGCCCTGCGGGGCAGACCAGGTATCTGCCTCAGAGCCTGTGTCTGAGATGCAGCATCACCTGATTCAGCACTGGCAGCCCCAGTCCAGGAATCACTTGCTGAATGCTTCACTTTCAGTGGGGAGCCAGGACAGAAGTGAGCATTAATACAGCTTGTGGAAGTTTTACAAGCTGTATTAAAGTTGGAGCCCTGAGCAAGTTGGATCCCTGCTCTTGGCTGAGTAGGAGAAATAAATCCCTTCAGTTTGTCCATGTCAGTGTCACGTAGATAAAATCACTCCCGTAATATAAGGGTGATGAAGGTACTCTGACAGACTCTGGGCAGCCTGTTGACAGTAATTTAAACTGTGGAAATGCATATGTGGAAGGACTTTGTTGAGGCCTGGGGTCTGTGATTAGGAAGATGGCCTTTTTTTGGTTCCAAGTCGGGAGTGATTTGCTCTTGCACATGCAGTCTTATTTTGAGTGGGGTGAGTTGGAAGGCACCACTCCAGGTGTTAAAGGTCGGGAGAGATTGTGTGGCAGTACCAGGAGGAGAAACTTGTGCTTTTGTTCCTGGGATCATGGGTATATGTTGGGAGAGTCAGTCCCCTTCTTGGCTGGGACTCTGTTTCTTAGATTTTTTGGTAATGGCCGGGGTCTTATTTCCTTTTTTTTGTTTGCGTTTGAGACAGTCTCACTCTGTTGCCCAGGCTGGAGTGCAGTGGTGCAATCTTGGCTCACTACAACCTCCGCCTCCTGGGTTCAAGCAATTCTCCTGCCCCAGCCTCCCGAGTAGCTGGGGTTACAGGCGTGTGCCATCATACCTGGCTAATTTCTGTATTTTTAGTAGAGATGGGGTTTCACTGTGTTGGCCAGGCTGGTCTCAAACTCCTGACCTCAAATGATCCGCCTGCCTCGGCCTCCCAAAGTGCTGGGATTACAGGCTTGGGCCACCTTGCCCCAGCCCAAGGCCTGATTTTCTTTTCCCTCTCTCCCTCTTTTTTTTTGTGAGGTGTGAGGGTTGGCGGGTTTCTCCCTCTGGTTCTCAGAGTCTGCTGCGCCTGCCCTGCCTGTGTGGTGCCCTGGTTCTAATGGCCTCCAGCAGGGATGGGCAGGTCTGGTTAAGGGAAAGTGATTTAATGACTAACTCTTGAAATGTATGGGTCAGTGTGTTTTGGTGTTGGCTGCAGGCCAGAGTGGTCAGAGGTGGTGGGCAGGGCACAGCAGGGTCCCGGGAAGCAGATTTTGAAGGCTTCTACAGTGTTTTCATTTGTATCTATTGCCTGTTAGCAGGCTTTAACAACTTCTAGTTAAGGTTTTATTAGCAGTGACATTCAGGTTTTCAGCCTCTGGTGATGACCTGGGGCTCTAAGGGTTGGAAGAGGAAGACATTTGGGGCCTTGTGGCACACTTCATTGTCTGTGGCTGAAAGGGTAACCTGGCTGCCTTGTTTTTTTATTATCCAGGGTTGTGTCTGAAGAGAAATCCCTCATGTTCATCAGGCCCAAGAAGTACATCGTGTCATCAGGCTCTGAGCCTCCCGAGTTGGGCTATGTGGACATCCGGACGCTGGCTGACAGCGTGTGTCGCTATGACCTCAATGACATGGATGCTGCATGGCTGGAACTGACCAATGAAGAATTTAAGGAGATGGGTGAGAGACCATGTATTCTATTATTTTATTAACCAATGATGAATAGAGACATTTTAGGCAGGTAGGTGAGTAGCAGAAAGCTCCTTATTGCCAGTTGCAGGCAGCTCCATCATAGCTTTAGTCAGTGAGAATCGCAGCCCTGCCTTAGATCTCAGCCTGTTTGGCTGTGTCAGATGTGCTGAGATGGTTTCAGAGTGGAAGCAAGGCTCCTCGGCTCAGGCACCAGGGATTCCCATCCCCGCTCTGATCTAACTCCCTCATTCACTTACCTTAAGGAAGCTGAAGTCCAGGGAAACGAAGTGACAAAAGGGCATGGCCCACAGTTACCTGCTCTAGTGTTTTTTTCCTGTGATGCCATTCGGATTCCTTCTTTAGCCGTGGTTTGCTGCTTCTCTAAATGAACACTCTTCCAGGCATGCTCCCCATTTCCAAGCACATCATGTGTGTTTTAACTTGAGCGATTTTCCTTATGTCATGCTGCAAACCTGGAGTTCTTTTTCCCTCCGTTTATCTCTGTCCTGGCTTTCCTTCAGTGAAGCCTGACATTAGCTGTGTGCCCAGCCCTTCTCCACCTCTTTTCTGCAAGCTCATTTTAGCGTATGTAGACGTTGGAGCATCTCATGGTGTTGAGACTGGGATGGCGTATAGGTCTCATCTCACATGCCAGTCCTGATTGCTAAGGGTTGCCTTGAGGGTCTTGATGAACAAGACAGTGGAGTCAAGTCTGGGCTCAGTGTGAAAAACTGTGAGGATTAATTAGCTTTTGTGCTGTAGGTACACGGTGGGGAGGTGGTGGCAAGGGCCATGTATTGTAATCTAGGACATAGTAAATAATCACAAGATCGGCCGGGCTTGTTGGCTCATGTCTGTAATCCCAGCACTTTGGGAAGCCAAGGTGGGCAGATCACCTGAGGTCAGGACTTCAAGACCAGCCTGGCAAACATGGTGAAACCCCGTCTCTACTAAAAATACAAAAATTAGCTAGGCGTCGTGGTGGGTATCTGTGGTCCCAGCCACTCAGGAGGCTGAGGCAGAAGAATCACTTGAGGTGATTCTTCTCAAGTCACTTGAGGGGGTGGAGGTTTCCTTGAGCCGGGATTGTGCCACTGCATTCCCACCTGGGCAACAGAGCCAGACTCCATCTCAAAAAAAAAAAAAAATCACAAGATTTTTGTCATGGTGGATTTCACAGCCTTGAAGGGCCAAGACCTTTTGCGTCTTTCCAGGGAACGTAGCATAGGGTGTGGCTTGCAGTAGATGCTTGTCCTGCCATTAGGCTCACCACCTGTTGAATGGGAGTGATAATGTAGACTGAGCTGAGCATGGTGTTGTCTTCTACTCGCTCAGTTACTCAAGTGTTTTTATAGACAAAATAGACTTCCTTCTTCTTGGTCCTGCTTTAGGTATTAATGGCCAAAACATTAGCAGGCCACAAGGTGGTTTTATGGCATGAGTTCAGGAGTTCTCAGAGATCTTTTGGAATTGAATACTAAATTTTAGCTTCACAGATGATACAGTTTCTGCTGTGTTGTAAGCACATTATAAAGACCAGTGTAATACACTTGACTGGAATCTAGGTGTCCTGTGTTAAGTCAGAGGACTCAGCCCAAAGACTCTTCGCATTTATGAATGGTTTAAATAATAAGAACTGGGCTAATCCATATTTGAAGATACTGTTGAATACATTGGCAAGATTAATTTTGTAATTTTATAACATAAACGGAACGCATGCTTAAATATGTTTGTCTTAGCTGTTATTGGTCTTTTTTTCTTTCTTTTTTGAGATGAAGTCTCGCTCTGTGGCCCATGCTGGAGTGCAGGGGTGCAATCTCGGCTGACTGCAACCTCTACCTCCTGAGTTCAAGCGATTCTCCTGCCCCAGCCTCCCAAGTAGCTGGGATTATTGGCACCTGCCACCATGCCTGGCTAATTTTTGTATTTTTAGTAGAGACAGGATTTCGCCGTATTGGCCAGGTTGGTCGTGAACTCCTGACCTCAAATGATCTACCTGCAAAGTACTGGGATTATAGGCATGAGCCATCGCGCCTGGTGTTTCAGTCTTTTTTGCATTTGGTTAACTATGTTTTTCAACCTTGTAGAAGTAAGAGGATGAGGAGGGATAAACCATTTAAAAATATTTGAGTGCCCAAAGTGAAATCTGTTTTGAGAGAACTGTTTTACCTACCAAGAAAGGCAAATTTTTAAAAACATCCATACCATTATATGAAGTCATGGTTTTGAAGTCACTTACGTGTTAGTTGTTATGTGTAATGAGTATAATGAAATGACTTATTCAACAATGTATGTATTTAATATCCTTGAATCCTTTTAAAATTTACCTTTTGCTTTTCCATTTACTACACTGCATCTTCACTACCTGACCATAGGAAAATAACAGTTTCCTGGAAGACTCTCCCCTTTGAAGATTGTTTCTTAGAAGGATCTGATAAGCATTTAATAAAAAATTTTGGGGCCCTCAGAGATGGATGCATCGATGGGTTGATTGATTGATAGATTGAGACACGGTCTTATGTCACTCAGCCTGGATCACAGTGGCACAGTCATGGCTCACTATAGCCCCAACCTCCTGGGCTCAAGCAGTTCTCCCACCGCAGGCTCTTGAGTAGTTGGGACTACAGGTGTGTGCCACCACGTCTGGCTAATTTTCATATTTTTTGTAGAGATGGGGTTCCACTATATTGCCCAGGCTGACCTTGAGCTCTTGGGCTCAGATGTGAGCCACCACGCCTGGCCAGTGATTGGATTTATTTATTGTACAATTATTTATTCATTATACATTATTTTTAAGTATAAATAAACCAGTACTATTTTGTAATATTTATTAATATGGATTTATTAAAATGGGTTTTGTGGCATTTTTAACTTCAGGAATGCCTGAACTAGATGAATACACCATGGAGAGGGTCCTAGAGGAATTTGAGCAGCGATGCTACGACAATATGAATCATGCCATAGAGACTGAGGAAGGCCTGGGGATCGAATATGATGAAGATGTTGTCTGTGATGTCTGCCAGTCTCCTGATGGTGAGGACGGCAATGAGATGGTGTTCTGTGACAAATGCAACATCTGTGTGCACCAGGTATGTGGGGCAGGGAGGCCAGAAAGAAGAAACCTGGGGCATGAGCCTGTCTGCTGTGGGAGTGTATGCCTGGAGTCCAGGATTCTTCCTCCGAATGGGGTCTGTGTTTCTACGATTTAAAGAAATGTGCCCTATAGACTTTATTTTTCCCTAGTAGGTTCTTACAGTGATTGAAATATATCCTCTGCTTTTGCAGCCAGAAGGATAGCACCCTCTGTGGAAATCGTCTTTCTTCACAGTGTTTTATTCTTATCCATAAAAGTCAAGTTTACTTAAAAAGAATGTATGAGCCCCCTCTGTCCTACTGTAACACTTAAATTTAGGTATTAAGAACACTGAGAAAACAAACCTTTGAAAAGGTGGTTAGTGTGCTGTATTAGTTTCTTACAGCTGCCCTGTGGAACAGACAAATTACTACAGACTGTGTGTGCTTAAAACAACAAAAATGTATTGTCTTGTGGTTCTGGAAACTAAAAGTCCAGAATTGAGGTGGTGGCAGTGCTGTGCTTCCTCTGAAACATGCAGGAGAGCCCTTCCTTGCCTCTTCGTAGCTTATGGTGATTTGGGCAATCTTGGGCATTCCTTGGCTCGCGGCTGCCTTCATCATCATGTGTGTTCTCCCTGTGTCTCTGTCTTCACATGGTGGTCTTCTTTTTTTTTTTTTTTGAGATGGCTGGAGTGCAATGGCGTGGTCTTGGCTCACTGCAACCTCCGCCTCCTGGGTTCAAGTGATTCTTCCTCCTCCGCCTCCCGAGTAGCTGGGACTGCAGGAGTGTGCCACCACACCTGGCTAGAGATGGGGTTTCACTATGTTGGCCAGGCTGGTCTCGAACTCCTGACCTCATGATCCGCCCACCTTGGCCTTCCAAAGTGCTGGGATTACAGGTGTGAGGCACCGTGCCCGGTCCACATGGCGGTCTTCTTAGAAGGGTACCAGTCGTATGGGACTAGAGACCCACCCTACTTCAGAGTGAGCTCATCTTAAATAATTACATCTGCAATGACTACTTCTAAATCTAAAGAAGGTCACATTTTGAGATATTTGGAGTTAGGACTTCAACATGTCTTTTAGAGGACACAATTTGCCGTCATATTTGTGAGCATGTGTTAGGGTATAAGCTGAGCTGTTAGAGGAAAGCAGCCCCTTTTCCTGAAGACGATTTCCTGTCTTAAAAAACAGGACAGTAGGTTTTGGTGATTGCTTGCTACCATCCACAGAAAGGGAAACCCTTAGATTTCAGGAGGATGGGCGCTAGGTAACTTAAAAAGTTTATGACAATCTCAGTGCCTCTTTTTTATTTAGTTTTTAATGCAGTAATGAAGAAATTTGGATTTGGGTGGGGACATGTGCCCACGTATATTCTTAGGATTTAAAAGGCTATCCTGAAGTACTTTCTTTAAATTCACCTGTTGATGCTGAGATTTAAAGCAAACTTAAAAGAAAGACTTGTATGGAATAGGTGCTTGGTGACTTCTTGGGAAGAAGAAGCACGTTTGCTCCATGAAGTTCTTGATTACCCTTTGCTTCATAATTTGTGACCTCCTAGGCTTTCCCTCTGTCTGAAGACCTCCCCAGCTGTGGCCCAGTCCTGGCTCCTTGATAGGGAGACCTGCGACTCCTGCTTCAGTCATCGCCGTCTGTTGCTCTGGATCTCACACTGTCTGGGAAGTCTCCTTACGGTAGTGAGAATTCCTGTGGTGGCTTTGTTCTGTGACATGAGCATCCTGATGACCAGTGTTGCTTTTTTGGTTGCTGGTGCTTCATGTATTTACTTGGCTGACTTCTCAGTCTTTTTCTTGTCTTTACTTGCTATTTTTTTCCCCATGAAAAATTTTTTTGAGTAAAAGCTTTCTGCTTGAAAACTGGTCAACCCCTGTGTTATCAGTGAGTTAACTGATGTCAGGGCAGGCTTGTGCAAGCTCTCACGGTGGACGTGTGGCAGAGTTGTAACTTAAGGCTTTTGGATGCCCCCTTCTCACCTTCTCTTCTTTCTGCCATATCACCTTTTCTCTTTTCCTCAACATTTACTTCATTTTTCCTTTGAGAAATCCTTCATGGCTTATCTTTAAGGCATACTTTATGTAATCTCCTAAATTAATTTAGACCTGCTTTTCCAGGAAAAAAATTTCTTCCTTCACATGTGGCTGTAGAATGTCTGATACAGACCTTTAGTGTTTTGAAACCTTTATAGTGTCACTTAACTCCATTAAAAATTTTTTTCTAGTAAGTCTGCGTTGACGGTAGCTTATTTATGGCCCCCAAACAGCACTCTGAGGCTTCCATCTGAAGTGTGACTTTTCTTTGCTCAACTCTCATCCTTGTGGTTTCCTCTTTGCATCGTCGTGGGTATTCAGATTGCATAGTGGCTGTGTTTTTTCTGTCTGAAGAATTAGAGCTATGCTACTGTGACTCTCGACTTCCTGACTTCCAGGTCATTTATGAATAAAGTGCTGAACAGTTGGGTTTTTAAAGGGCTCTCTGAATATGCTCCTGGTACCATCGTGGTTTTTATTTATTCAGTTATTTAACATTAACCTTTTCTGTCTTTGAACTGTCTTAATTACTTTAGTTGTAATAGCCTTGATTTCTGCAGTTTATGCCATCTTGTTTAATTTTGCCATCTTGTACAAAACAGGCTTTGTTTTATTTTTTAATTTAAATTGTTTTTTTTGTCTCCATTTCTGAAAGGCTGAATTTGTTTTAAATACCAGCTAAGGAGACGACATTCTTCCTGTGTAGAAGGTCTCCTTTTTCTGCCCTGTTTTGTTCACTGGGAGAGTGCTGGGATCTAGTTGGTATGGAGTTTGCTTAGCCTAGGGAGTGTGCATGCTTCTCTCCTGTTCCATTGCCATCTCATTCAGCAGCTTTGGGAGATTCTCTCAGCTGCTGTATGCTTTTTCTCCACACTCTGTATTCCACCCCACCTCTGTCAGTAAAGTAGAGAAATAGCTTCTCTCACGGAACCCTGTGGAGTGTTTCGAGGACTTACTGAGGACTTACTGCTCAATATTTAGAAACTTGGTATGGATGGGTTTCTGCGGCAACACAGCAAAGCAGATTTCATTTAAACCTTTCTGTCCTCAAGTAGTTTCCAGGACCACCCTCTGCTAAATAAATATGTATTGTGTCAGCAGAGCTCACCTCTATTATGAATACATATTCACCTCCTAAATGCTCCTGTGAGGCTGCCGGGCATTTTCCCGAGGGGAGACGGTCGTAGCCAGGAAGCTGTGGGAGCGTCTCTGCTTTGGTGGTAGTTCTGTTAAAATCTTTCTAAGTGTTTAAAATGAATAGATATAATGGGAAAAATAACATTTTCTCTTTCTCTCTATTCCTCTGGGATGTGCCGTGGCATCACAGGCCTGTTATGGAATCCTCAAGGTACCAGAGGGCAGCTGGCTGTGCCGGACATGTGCCCTGGGGGTTCAGCCAAAATGTCTGCTGTGTCCGAAGAAGGGTGGAGCTATGAAGCCCACCCGTAGCGGAACCAAGTGGGTCCACGTTAGCTGTGCTCTGTGGATCCCTGAGGTACGTGTGGTTCTTTTTTTGTTGTTTTTACTTTTTTTTAAGACAGAGTTTAACTCTGTCGCCCAGGCTGGAGTGCAGTGAGCTGGATCATGGCTCACTGCAGCCTTGACCTGCTGGGCTCAAGTGATCCTCCCACCTCAGCCTTTTGAGTAGCTGAGATTATAGGCATGTGCTACCAGGCCCAGCTTATTTTTTATTTTTTGTAGTGAGGGGATCTCACTTTGTTGACCTGGCTGGTCTCAAACTCCTGGGATCAAGCAGTCCTCTTTCCTTGGCTTTCCAAAGTGTTGGGATTACAAGCGTGAGCCACTGTGCCTGGTCAAGCATGGTTTTTAATAGCACCTTAGCTCAGAAGGTCCTGGCTTTTAACTGGGATTTAGTGGGTGGGTGGAGAACCATGCATAAATAGGCAGCATTGCAGCTATGAGTAAAAAGATACCTTTTAGTTGCTACCTTTTTCCTTGAGGAAAAACTGAATCTTAAGCACACTCTCATCTTGTCATGGAATGTAGATTCATGGAAATGTTAGCTGGAAGCAGCAGTCACTTGGGACTGGAAGTTAGTGGTGGTCACCCAGCCATCACAGTGAGCCTTCCCATCGCGACTCTCACTCTCAGGAGCAGACCTGTAGCACTTAAACAGCTGTGGCCTGGGTGTGTCATTCCCCAAGGATCAGCTGTACATCCTGTGTGTGGCAAGCTGTACTTGAGTTGAGGCACCACCATGGTTAAAAAACCACCACTCTTAGGCATACTTTGGTGATTTTTATTTAAACTCTTATTGTGCCTCAACCTTTTTAATTTCAGGTCTGGTCTAATTTATTTCTAGTCTCAGACCTTGACTAATATAATTTGCATAGCTCAGTGTGAGAATATAATTTGCTATTCAAATTCCAGCATGTTTTGGGTGTGATTTTGGTACATTTTCCTCTTGGGGAATATTATTTGAGGATGATTTGGATTGAGGTTTCATGATTCGGGTCTTGGTAGCACTGAGTCTCGTGGTTTGGTATTGATGGGATACAATTCGGTGATCCAGGCTGAATGCAGAGATGATACCTTATTTATCTTTGTAATTTCCCATCTTGAATGTAGTCATGTTTCAGACTGAAGAAAATGGTTTTTTTTGGCGAGAGATTAAAAACAGGTTATATTTACTTACCCTGTTGTTGACAACCTATTTGAATCGATTTAAGATGGATTTTTAGTCTTCACCAATTTGTTATGAGCTAGAGATTATAGACGGCATTGTCCTGGTACATGACTCTTTGTCATCAGACGCTCCGGTGAGAAGTGAAAACTCAGTTATCTAAGTGTTTTTGACAGACAGGGATGTCTGTCAGATGGGGACTGGGCTGTGAGCTCAGTTGTCACTGGGGCTGTTCTGAGGCTTTTAAAGTAAGGGTTTGCTTTGAGTGGGTGCCCCTTGCCACTGTCTGGTAGGAGAGATGTAGGAAAGTAATGGATCTTTTAGTTTCTGACATTCATGTTCAGCCTTTGACGACCTGAGCCACCCTGTCTTGCTGTTTTCCGACCTTTAGGTGAGCATTGGCAGCCCAGAGAAGATGGAGCCCATCACCAAGGTGTCACACATTCCCAGCAGCCGGTGGGCGCTAGTGTGCAGCCTCTGCAATGAGAAGTTTGGGGCCTCTATACAGGTAATTAGCTTCCTAAGAATGGCTTCATTTTCCTTTCCTGCGTGGTGGGGAGCAGGATGAGGGAAGGCTCTGTGAACTGTCCAAGGGTTTGGAGAGGGGACTAGAATCCAGGAAGCAGGACGAGGTTCCCAAGGGGTGACTCCAGCCCCAGTACACACACCTTTAATAGGCTAACTGTATCCGGTGTAACTAGAACCCAAGCTTTCACAGTCACAGGGTAGTTCAGAAGTTCCCCTGAGCTGTGAGGCGGTTGCAGTTTGTCTCTCGCTACCCTTTCTGCCCAAAGTCTAGCATCGCAACTTCTTTCCATAGGCCAACACCTCCTAGCAGTCTTAGTGAGATGTTCCTTGACACGGCATTTGAGAGTTGGCCACCCTCCCACCTGCAGTCACTGAGTGTAGCTGCAGACCCTGGCCCACCTCTGTGGCGGCCTCCTGAGATTGCAGGTTTCCATGGTGTGCGCACATCTGTTAGTAATCAAGGGGACATGCTAATGCATTTGCAGTTGGAAAAACAGAGACTCTTTGAACACGGCCTGGGTAGAGGGGCATCTGTGAGGAGTTCCTGTGTATGCTGTCATCTCATTGGGGCATCATTTGGATGTCTGATTCTTTATGGCACCAGGCGCGCATGCACGTGTGTGTGTGTGTGAGCGTGAGCGAAAGAGTGCGTGCACACCTGTGTGTAAACATGTTGCCTGCCTGCTTTTGCATATCCAGGTACAGACAAGTATAGGATGTCATGAGATAGGGGAATTAAGGAGGGAATATAGATGGCATGCTGTTTTTCATGTGGTCTAAGACCCTACTGAGAAGTTCGTTTTTAGGCCTCACATTATTGACATCTAGACAGTCAGGATTAGAGAGGCCTGCAGTGCTGTGTGGCTGATGGGGGCCCTTCAGGTTAAGTTTGGATCTTCTCGGATGTACTAGCACAGGCCACAGGCTCTTCTTCCTTGGTTTCCTCATTGAATTCTGGGAGCAGAGGCACTGTTTTGGGATGGCTTCTTTCTCAAAGCAGCTCAGCACAGACATAAGCTCCGAGAGCATGGTCATCCTGTCAGCCATGGGTTTTAAAGAAATGACCTCATTTGGCAAAGTCGGTTTGTATTTTGACTGATAAATACTTTTTGGGAAGGTGGTTTTAAAATTTTTTTTTTTTTTTTTGAGACAGAGTCTCACTCTGTCGCCCAAGCTGGAGTGCAGTGGCATCATCTCGGCTCACTGCAACCTCCGCCTCCCGGGTTCAGGCGATTCTCCTGCCTCAGCCTCCTAAGTAGCTAGGATTACAGGCGCGCACCAGCAAGCCCGGCTAATTCTCATTTTTGTATTTTTAGTAGAGATGGGGGTTTCACCATGTTGGCCAGGCTGGTCTCGAACTCCTGACCTCGTGATCCACCCACCTCGGCCTCCCAAAATGCTGGGATTACAGGCTTGAGCCACCGCGCCTGGCTATTTTTAAATTTTTTTAACAAGCCAAGTGGTTCTACTTTTCTTCTTTATCACTTTGACTAGTGTTCAAGAATCCAAAATATAACAGAAATATTTGGAGGGTGGGTCATGAGACAGCTGGTGGGATTTGGCTGGGGACCTTGAAATAGTGGAGATATTTTTGGCATGTGAATACATGACAAACGCCTCTGGCCCGAGTTGGATTGGGGAAGGAGGAGGAAAGAGTGGAGCAGGAAGAGAAAAGGGCAGGGAGCTGATGAACTTGAGTGTGTGTGTGTATGCATGTGTGAGTGTGTGTGTATGGGTGTGTGTGTGAGTATGCGTATGTGGGTGAGCATGCATATGTGTGCATGTGTGGGGGTGTGAGTGTGCATGTGGTTATGTGTATGTGTGTATGCATGTGTATTTGGTTATGCATATGTATGCTGTATGCATGTATGCGTATTTGAGTATGCGTGTGTGAATGTGTATGTGTGTGAGTATGCATGCGTGAGTGCGTATGCGTGTGTATGCATGTGTGCATATGTATGCATGTGTGTATGCGCGTGAGTGCGTGAGTATGCACATGAGTATGCATGTGAGTATGCATGTGTATGTGTGTATGCGTGTGAGTATGCTTGTGTATGTGTGTATGCATGCGTGTATATGTGTATGTGTGTGAGTATGCGTGTATGTGTGAGTGTGCATGTGTATGAGTGTGTAAGTATGTGTATGCACGTGTGCACTGGCAGGAAACAGGCTGCAGCAGACCACATTCCCCGGTGTTCTGAGCGTAGAATTTATGCCCTTGCCTGAGTATGCCAATCTGGTCCATAATTAATGTTTAAAAGAGGTGGGCGAATGGGATCTTTGTTTCCCTTTTGAAGAGAGATGATATAATGACTTTTTTGTTGCCATTGACCTCTTTTTCCCAGAACATTAATCTAAAGAAGAGGCCAAAGAAGGCTGATGATTTTTCATATCTTCACAGAATGGATTGATTTTATTAAAAGAATTCCTCTCTGAAATGTCTGCAGCTGTGAAGGCTCTGGTTTACGTTTCTGTAACATCTGTTTGCTGAGTCAACCTGAATGGGAAAACCCAGAGGAAGGCCATTTGGCGTTTTTACAAAGTCCTGTATAAATATTCTGCTGCAGTTCATTTCTCTTTAGGGTTAGAGCGCTTGGGTTAAGTGTAGTTTAAGCCAAACACAGATAGTGTCTCAGTCATCTGTTCCCACTTTTACTTCCCACTTGGCTGTGTGCTACAAGGGAAGACACTTTGTCTTCTCATGACAGTGGCCAGGTGTGTATGTGTGCGTGCTTGTGTGTGTGTTCTGCCACCAAAGCTGATTTCATACATTTCTTAGAATTGAGGTTATTTATAGAGAAAATACAGATTTATGTCAGTCTCTGTGGTTGAAGTGTTTGTAAGGGTGGAATGGTGAAGGGAGCTGGATTTTCTCCTCTTCTCAGTAAAAGAGACCTCATAGTAATGGAAGAAAGCCTGGTTGGCAGTGAGTTTCCTCTTAAATACTGGAATGATTAGGGGGAAAGCCTCAGCTCTAGCCTCTGCCATCCTTGGTGATGTGATTCAGGATCTGTTGAATGAGTTGAATTCAACTTCTCAGTTGGCTTGAAGCCGCTGGATTCTACAGCTCTGTGCAGCCCCTGGCATGCCCCGGTGATCACTTGGCTTCACACAATGCAGTGCTGCTTTTCAGGGACTGGCTTCAGTCACCATGAGGAACCACCTTCTAGGGATTTGCTCAGCAAGATCAGTGGAGGAGGAGTTAATCACTTTGCTCCTGCTAGACCAGAGGCTTGTTGTCTGGATCAAAGGCACTAAATTGTGGCCCTGTTTAGGCAGTGAGAGGGGAAGTGTTCTTCTGCATAGGTTGCTGATACCTGGCCTCTACGTTGACCTCCCTGTGACGCATGGGAAGGATCTTTCACGGTTCTCCTGCCTCTCTTCAGTGGCCAGGATCGGCGTGCACCGATCTCAGGGCTCAGAGCCCTCCATGCATCTGGTGAAGCTTCTTCGCAAGTGTGAAGACCTTTCCCTACCTTTCCTGTGCTGGATTCCTCTTGTCTCCTATTTTTTGGGGTTTTTATTCAGTTTCTCCTTCGTGCTGCTTCAAGGAAGTGCACTGTTCATTTTCTCACTCGTGTTGGGACTCTTCCTGGCTGGGGAGTCAGGATTTATGTTCAAACTGTGAGTAGTAGTCATTCTTCCCAAGGAGGTTCTTATTCAGGTTTGCACCAAAAGAGCTCAAATCTGTAAGAAAACCCAAGTTAATGCCTGAAAGTGGACTTTGCATATTGAGTACAGATTCTTTTGAATATGATCCTAGTGCCACACCTCCTTTCTCTACACATGTCATTTGTGTAATCATGTCTGCTCCAAGATGGGATTTGGATGCAGTTACTTTTCTGAGGAAGTTAGGGTTTGGTTGATTAAACCTTTCATTTGAAGAGGGCCCTTAAATTCCAAGACTTGGCTGGGCGCAGTGGCTCACGCCTGTAATCCCAGCACTTTGGGAGGCTGAGATGGGCGGATCTCTTTTGCCCAAGAGTTGGAGACCAACTTAGGCAACATAGGGAGACCTCATCTCTATAAAAAAAATTCCAAGCCTTACCTCTTTTAAAACATGACAGGATCTTGCAGGGTTAATCCACGTACAACTTTCCTGTCATGGCACATGCTTGAAGCATGGCTCTTCTCTGTGCATGTGTACATGGGGTGCCTAGCACTGCAGGCCTTCTGCCATCATTGCTCTATAATGGTCTATTCTCATGTTCTTTGTGTGTTCTTGACAGTGCTCTGTGAAGAACTGCCGCACAGCCTTCCATGTGACCTGTGCTTTTGACCGGGGCCTGGAGATGAAGACCATCTTAGCAGAGAATGATGAAGTCAAGTTCAAGTCCTATTGCCCAAAGCACAGCTCACATAGGAAACCCGAGGAGAGTCTTGGCAAGGGGGCTGCACAGGAGAATGGGGCCCCTGAGTGTTCCCCCCGGAATCCGCTGGAGCCCTTTGCCAGCCTTGAGCAGAACCGGGAGGAGGCCCACCGGGTGAGTGTCCGTAAGCAGAAGCTGCAGCAGTTGGAGGATGAGTTCTACACCTTCGTCAACCTGCTGGATGTTGCCAGGGCTCTGCGGCTGCCTGAGGAAGTAGTGGATTTCCTGTACCAGTACTGGAAGTTGAAGAGGAAGGTCAACTTCAACAAGCCCCTGATCACCCCAAAGAAAGATGAAGAGGACAATCTAGCCAAGCGGGAGCAGGATGTCTTATTTAGGAGGCTGCAGCTGTTCACGCACCTGCGGCAGGACCTGGAGAGGGTAATGATTGACACTGACACCTTATAGTGACTTAGAGAAGAAGATGCAAAGAGGCGAACGCTCGCCCAGAGCAAGAAATGATAGCCAGTCATATACTCTCAGACCCTTGTACACACCACAGCATGAGGTTGTGTTGGTTAAAAATATTTATGGGCTGGTAAACTCATTGTACATATGTGCAAAACTGCTACTGAGTGGGGAGCTTCTTTGTGGTTTTTTTTTTTTTAAAAACACTTTCCCATTAATCTTTACTGTTTTGTAAGATCAAATGGGGTGTGTCTTCCCCACCCCCATTCCTTCATTCTAGAGCTAGAGTGAATGAGCCCCAAGAAAATGACCCAAGGAGTTGACTCAGGATGGTTTACAGACTGATTTAGAAAACCAGAACGGATTTCATTTCTAATGGAGGGGGCCAGAGATGGGAAAATTTCTTGTTCAGTCCGGGGAAACACACCTAGGTGCTGGTGATGGGCTTATGAAGGAAGCTAAGCACGGCTGCTCACTGGCCCCCACTTTGTTTCTTGGGTAATTCACAGGGGAATTCCCAGTACTGTCATGGAGCAGAGCAGGCAGTGGGTGCTGATGTGTGTGCATGAGCTGTATGTACACATGCATATATCTGTTACAGAAGATACTCCTGGCAGTGAGGTGCTAAGTCATCACTGAGGCTGTGTGTGTGTGTGTGTGTGCGCGTGCCCGTGTCCATCCATGTCTCTGTTGTGTGTCTGTGTGCGGGTATGGGTGGGATTCCTGGTGGACAGGGGTGTCAGATCTGTCTGAGGAGCCCCAGTCATGCTCAGCACGCTACAGATGTGTTGTTTGTCACACTGAGATTGCTGAATGTCGTGGCTGTTGGCTGCCGAGCCTCAGCTGCTGGCATTTCCTTCTGCTGTTTGCTGCTTTTGTGCCTCCCCCACTTTCCATCACCTCTGGAGTCCCGTCTGGACGTCCCTTCCTGCTACAGGAATAATGAGGCGTGGGCTGCCTCCCGCTAGGGCCTCCTGCTCCCTGTAGGTAGTTTCTGGCTGAGGCTTGCTAATTGGGGATGCTTCTTAGAGCATCTTCCACATCAACTCCCCTGGCTGCTGGCTACCGATTAAATTCATTAGTGTGAAAGAGGTGGGAGTGAGGTTTTCTGGCCTGAAGCAGTCTGCACTGAAAGGTACCCAAGTGGCCTGAAACAGTGTAGGGAAAGACCTGGGAAACACTGGACCAAAAAAGCCTGATCTCATGGAGACCTGCATGGCCCTGTTAGAGATGGCGTAGAAGTGAAAGTCTTAAAGGGAGCATTAGAGATCCTTTTAATACACGACTGAGTGCCAGCTTATTTGTGATGCCCCTTCCCAGACCAGGTTAGGATTCCTGGGAAGGCCGCGGATTCCGGCCCTGGAAGAGGCAGGATCCTGGAGCAGTTTTGTGAGGCTTTTGTGCTCCCATACGCCCCCTGGTGGTGAGTGTAAAGAAGACTTTGCCTCTCACAACTACATGTATGTGTGGCATTTTTGTTAGAGATGAGAAAAGGATTGAGAAGGATAAACTGGAATCCTGGTAAGAAGCCTTTATGCCAGCCCGACACCTGCTGTAATTGGGGTGCATGAGCTATGGAGTCAGATAGTTGTTGGGAGGGGGAGGACAAGAAGTCTATTGTTTGGACTGTGTTTGTCTCACAATCACCACAAAATAAAAGTGTAGAAAATGCTTGTGGTGTACTAACTCTTTTCTGTACTTAAGTTACTCAGATTAACATGCACTTCTAATTCTAAACATTTTTTTTGGAGTCATCACTGTCGCTGTTTAAGTAGAACAATGCCAACGATGTATGAGAAACAGGGAATAAATCAGGATTTGTGTGTGTATGTGTGTGGCATTACTTACATTTACTTTATTAAAAAGCCTAAGGAACTTTAAAGAATTTGTATTCAGTTTATTTTTATTTTTTCAAGACAGAGTCTCACTTTGTTGCCCAGGCTGGAGTGCAGTGGCGTGATCTCGGCTCACTGCAGCCTCCGCCTCCCGGGTTCAAGTGATTCTCCTGCCTCGGTCTCATGAGTAGCTGGGATTACAGGCGTGCGCCACCATGCCTGGCTAATTTTTGTATTTTTAGTAGAGACGGTTTCACCATGTTGGTCAGGTTGGTCTTGAACTCCTGACCTCAAGTGATCTACCTGTCTTGGCCTCCCAGAGTGTTGGGATTACGCCACTGTACCCAGCCTTAGACTCAGTTTAAAATGGGCTTATTGTAATGAAAAAAAATACGCTACCCAAAATTTGCCATGATGCCTGTGATGGTGAAGGCATTAAACAATTGAAATCTTTGCCTTGCCCAGAGAGTTGCAGTTATTTGTAATTATAAACAGTAAGTGTATCAGGGCAGGGGTGACAATAAAAAACCAATCATTACTACCAACTTGTTTTCTCAAGTAAGTTAGTTTTCTGTTTAATTCACACAATATCAGTTTATAGCAGATCCTCAAAAATCATTTAATACCTGTGACTACAATCAAGGCATATGATCATTCTCAGACTGACAAATAAGTAGCCATCATTAGAAATGCAGACAACTGAGTAATTATGGTGACTGCTCTTCCTTCAGACACACACCTCGGGGCATTGCATACCTGGGTACCAGTTCTGGATCTGGAAGTTAGGTGACAGGAGTAGATTTCAGGAGGGCTTGGGAGCACACAACTTTAAGAAGACACAGTTGCTGATGTGGTGGGTAGCCATGTCATTCCCAAGGCTGCCACTTCACTCTCATTCCTTTCCCCTAAAAGATGCAGTAAATGTGAGTTCAGCAAATGAGTATTTATTCAGATAAAGACGTGCTACCACTGCACTCTGGCTAGCGTTATGGAAAGTGGCCAAGTCCTGGGGGCAGTCCTGTAGTCACTCAGTGGAATGGTCACCTTTGAAAATCTGGTAGTGGCTACAGTGTCCCCTGAACAAAAGGCACGTTCAACTTTAGTGCTGCAAACAGTTTTGGATTCAAGAAAACACTGAAACCACTTTTAGATGTCTTAGAGCAGTGTATCTCAGGGTGTTGTCCCTGACCCAGAAACTTAGGAATGCAGATTCATGGGCCCCACCTCCAAAGGGTGGTTCTGTTTTGTGGGTACCCCATGTTTCTGTTTGGGAACACTGCTTTAGGGGAAAGGGATGATCAGGTTTAAGGTGGTGTGAGAGTGCACCTGGAGATGGTTTAAATGTTTTTTAAGATACCTCCTTGCAGGCAGTTGGGAGAAGATAAAGCAGGGGAGGGAGCTTGGTGGAACGGGTGCAGGAAGAAGGGACAAGCTGGATGTGTTTTGAGGATGGGAGAGCATCAGTCCAGCTCTGCAGGTGGAGGTTGCTGAGCGTTGTCCTATAGGGAACTTTATGCATAAGGGAAGTCAGGTTTAGAGTCCTCACTACTATAAAGTGGAGTTGGTCAGGGCTGATTTGTTCCGATTGAAAACCATGCCCTTTGCTTTTTGGGTTTACATTTAGATATTTCCCATCAGAGATCATGAGGAATAGCAGTGGGATTTTTCTATTTAGCAGCCATGGTGTGGTCAAAGCTACCAAAATTAAATTTGAATAATATACAAAGTTCAAATTCCCTGGCTTCCCCGTTTTCCATTTTTAAGGATAATTTCAAGTAAGAGAGATGTAAGTATTTCTATTACATGTCTGATTTGAATATGAGAGCAACCTGTCTGCTCCTAAGATGTCAGGATTTGTTTCCATTTTTTATTTCCAGGAGTCAGATTCCTTGTTAATGTAAAAATGGTTCTGTTTCCTAGAAGTTTTGAATCTGCTATGGATCTAGGTCTGGCCCCTCGTTCTTGAGCTTCACTCTTAATTTCCCCTGGGTGGAACAATATCGAAGAGAGGAGGATGTTAGCCACTTCCATTCCCAAGTTGGTGAGAATTTCTATAAAGGACACCTGCTTCTTGGATTGAGGGTGTGCAGCTGTCAGAGAAGGGAAGAAACTACCTTAACTAGGCTGATTGACATCCATGTAATATTTACTATGAGACAGGGAGAGTGTTTTTATTCTCAATTCTTTAAATTTAAAATAAGACAGGAAATGTTAGTGACATAAGGGATTGTTAGAGAAAAAAAGATGGGAAGATCCGTAAAGTGAATTTGTTAGGGGCAGGAGAAGCCTGACTTGGCATTTTCCTGTTTAGGCCAGGAGATATTACCATAATGCAAATGTGAAAGCCTGTGTTCTGTCTCTCTTAATGCTTCATGTCCTCTTGCAAATGAGACTGCCTTCAGCACAGCTGGAATTATTAGGGTTTAGTCTACACTTACGCTCTACACCAGAGTGCAAAATCTTTTGTGTCTTCACAAGGCTTGTTGATGCTTGTTGCTGTCCTCACTGCCAAAAGAAAAGGTTGGTGACCTTTGGACTTTTTCCACTTAAAGTAGGGTGATACTACTTTATTGAGTTTATGGGGAAAAAATTATAAAGGTGTCAGGGGAAGAGTTTGCTCATAATGGGATATTTTTAGGAAAGTGAAGGCATGCCTGTAGGAGCTAATGGGAAAGATGTGGTCAGATAAAGATGCTACCACTCCTGCCACTGAGATTACTTAGGAGGTCTTGTCCACATATTCCTGAAGAAGGGTTTAATTGTGTATTTGGTGTGCTGTGTCTGACATCTGTGTTTGCAGGTCCGTGTAATCTAATCAGGTTGACCAATAGAAGATTTTAGGACTGAAGGATTAGGGGAGTTTAGAGACTAATTCTTTAAGTTTTGTGTATTGAGTGATGACAGGTGGGGAACAAATCTAAATGTTGATTACTGAGCATAGGTTAGGGTTATGTGATCCAAAGCAGTCACACATCAGATAGGAAGTAGAGCCAACTCTTAGCACTGGGTCTTTTCAGTTACAAGCGAATCGGGAGAGGGCAATACCAGTTTTTCAAGTGATGATGCAGAGAACTGGACTGGAGATGTCTAACCAGCAAATCATTGGCAAAGCTGGAAATTTCCTAGGCATTCGCACACCTCATAGCAACACATAAGCTACCTGCTAACTCCAGGCCTTTCAGTGAGTTCAGTGTGCAGTTGACAAAGACATTTACTAGGATTCTTGGTAACCATTTGGTCTTCCAGTGGGCCTGGTGCAGGGGGCTCCACTTTGATGACCCTTGGCCCCATGTTTACCCAGTTCAGCCTCAGAAGATAGTTGATAAAGTGCAGAAGTGGCTTCTGAACTGCTTTAAAGCCATTGGCCATCCAAGTAATAGAAGATATTGATGCAATAATTAGCAAAGTCGACTGGCAAGAGGTTGCAAGTTTTGACTTGGACACCAATGGCCTCTGTGCCGGGATGGGTTAGGTGTGATGGAGGAGGCAGGACTTTTGTAGGAGTTCTCTAGGTGTCCCTCCCACTCCTGTGGGTCCCTAACCCTCTTCGATGTTGCTTCTGCCTATGTTGAGGGCTATATGTGGAATCCTTCTTATCTGCCCAAAAGGAGATCAGAGATTGGATAAAATGTTTAAAGTACCTATTGATTTCAAGTATCTGTCAAGGCCCTAGTAGGAGTAATTTCTCTTAGGTAAAGAAATTTAAAAAGCACCAAAGTACTGTTATACTGTATTGCTTACTTAGAATCTTTATTCTCTACATTCTAGGTTCGGAACCTCACTTACATGGTGACCCGCAGGGAAAAGATTAAACGGTCTGTGTGCAAAGTCCAGGAACAGATATTCAATCTTTACACTAAGCTTTTGGAGCAAGAAAGAGTTTCAGGTATGCATTAAGCCCTGGTAGGTCAAAGTATAGGGCAGGGGTTTGTAAGCTTTAACACTGTTGAGGAAGAAATAATCATTTCTTAATTTTCTTATAGAAGAATTTAAGAAGCATAGACGTTCATATTTAAAGGAAGTCTTTAATTTGAGGCATCATGTTTAAGGGAAAAAGCTATGAATTTGCCCTCTATAAATATGGGTGGAATCCTGTGTTCTCTGCTTACTGAGCAAACACATGAAAGTCTTTTGAGTCTCCCTAATTTCTTCATGTGCAAAATGGAGATATCGCAAGCTACCTCTTGGAATTGAGAGACTAAAATGAAACAGTGACTTATATATTACACAGTACTTGGTAAACACATCATGGGGATACCTAACAGGTTTATATTCAGCCTTGGGCTCTATCTGTAACATGGTAAATATGGTCAATATATGTTAAGACTGTACTTAAGACACAGTCCATTTTTAGATAATGTTCACAGTAGATTTTTTTTGTGTAGATGGATTGTTGACTATTTCTGAGATTGAGCACCAAATATTTATTTAGTGTCTTCTATTTTATATTGCCCTGGGCTAGGCAAACAGAAAAAGAAAACTAGGGTATATACTTCCTCTACTCTGGACAACACATCAGTTACTTGGGAGATCAAGGGCAAAGATCAAGTTGGGCAGGTTGTTTAACCTCTCTGAGATTCCGTTGATCTTAAAGTTTGTTTTAGAATCAAGACCCCTTAAGTGCATTTGAGCCCTATATTCTGTGATCATAAGCCCCCAAAAGTAGGTAGTATAAGGATTTCAGAGAAGCAGAGCTGCTGAGTGTGGATCAGGCAGAATTAGGGACCCATGGAACAGGTAGGTCTTAGACTGGACTTCATTGGAAGATAGTCAGCCTCTCTCCTGCCTTGGACTGCCCTTTAAAGTTCTAGCTGCACCATTCTTGGTGCTTGCGTTGTGCAATCATAGTTGATTCACTCTTGTTTTTGTGCATTTGTGGCTTTTTGTCACTCCATCTAGATTATTATGGTGCACAGAGAACAAAGAAGTTGTTATAACCTGTTGTGTTGAAATCCAAATTCTGGTTTATCTAACCAATTATGTGCGACTAGAGGGAGCTCGGTCATCTGAAGAAATAAAAAAAGGTTTAGGGAGGTTTAAATAATGTTCTTGAAGTGTTACATAGTTTGAATGCAATAACTTGTTGATATCCTAGATATTTTCTTCCCAAGATTAAGTATTTTCCAGGTGAATCAAGTGTATATCATTAGCTGGAACTTGCAGTTTAATTGTTAAGATTTTAAAAATAAATTTTCTAAGTAGGGTGTCATATGTAAAAGTAGGTCGATTCAGATTCCCTAAGGTGAGCTCTCTCTTCATGATTCCTACCTGAATACAAATAAATGAGATCTGTTTAACTGCCTTGGAAGACTGTCTGGTGCAGATCACCGAGCCTACAGCAGCAAATGCTGAGCTGGGATCACTAATACAAGTTGTGCCTGTGGAGTTGTGCCATTGGAGGGCTTTCTGCAACTCTTAGGTCATTATGTAATGAGTGATTCCCTGTAAAAATAAGCCGTAAAGAGCATTTTCATCTGGTTTCATTTGAGTTATTTCTCATGGATATTGCAGGCAGGTTTTTGCATTTCATGGCTGAGGTTTTTACTGGGTGAGCGAATGATATTCTTAATAAGTCTGGGAGTTATTTTGTGGTAACAGAGCTGTAATGTAGATCTGCATTCAGAAGTCCTACTATTTCAGAAAAGGAAAACAAATCTTCCTTTCATTCTGATGTAAGAACCATAGGTATGATCAGTTGAAAACATTTATCTTCCTGTAGGATTCTGTTGAGTAATGCAGTTGAAACCCTTTAGGGTGCTTTTTTTCTTTTTCCAGTCCTAGGCTTCAGTCGTGTTCTTATTCATGCCTAAAGGCTGTCTCCTGCCTGAAGTAGAGCAGATGGTCATGATTTATATGTCATTTAGGGTCCATGGTTTAAACTCTGTGATTCTGAGAGTGGGTAGGGTCATTTGCTGAGAGTGTCCTCAGTGGCAACAGTGCTTATGGGGGGTGGGAGGGTCATGAGTTGGAGGCTCTTTAGAGACATGGATTACAGTCAAGGAGATAGAAATCAGAGTTCAGAAAATGTTAGCCTCTTCTTACCATTCTCTTTTCCTGTGGCAGGTGATTGAGTAAAAGAAATATATGCAGTGTGATGTGAAGGTTGATTCTAATGATTGATTCTTGAGAAAGCAGCATTTCCAAACCAGCAGGTTGTAAAACACCTCCTGTGGTCATGACAGCTCTGTGTTCTGAGTCGCTAGCTATGTTTCATTTGCTTGCAGTGTCTGTGTCTGGTGAGCACTAGGTTCTCATATGGCCTCCTGTCTCATAACCTGGGGGCTGAACCTTGTTTTCTTGGTGGCTCATATCTTATGGGAGACAGAAAACATGAGAACTGCTCTTTCTAGATGATCTTGAGGCTGTTGTAGAATCATGGTCTTTATGACAAACACTAATGTGTTATGAATTCACCTGCTAGGGGTAACAACTCATTAGTGGGTTGTGAGATGAATTCAGTGGGTCATGACCAGTATTAAAAACAAGTAAAGTATAATAGGAAATGTCAGAGTACATTATCAAATGATGAGGGTTAATATTATTTCGTGAAATGTGAACTCTTACTAGGTCATGCTGTGGAATTTAGTCACTGTGATTTGCATCAAAAAATACGAAAAACATCAATTTAACTTACTTCAAGTTGAATGACAATTCAGTTGAATCCCACAAATGTATTTTGCACATAATAATAATGAACATTTTTGGAACGCTTACTATGTGTCAAGAATTATTTCACACATTTCCTTTATTCATTCACATGTTTACATGTACTTGTCCTCGTAATAGCCCTGTGAGGGTACAGACACATAGAGAAACTTACAAGCCCCGAGCCCTGCTTTTTGGGTCCTCTCAGTCTCGTACGGGAGGCAGAAGACTGGACCGTGGAGGAGCGCGGCGCAGGTGCTGCTCTGTAACCAGGTAGAGGGAGCAGAGGCAGCCATCAGCCACCTGATGAGTTCTGCATGGAGTCCGCTCTGAAAATCAGATCAGTTATTTTGTTTGGAGGAGGTCTAGTTTTATGAAAAATTATGTGAGCTTCAGCTGTTTTAGAAAATGTGGCATATTGAGTCTGCAGATTGAATGGAGATTCTCAAGGCAGGTCATCTCTTCACTATAAAAACCAAATTTGTACAAACTTGGTGGTGTAAGTGTTGTGTTGTTGGGTGGGGAGTTCACATCAATTGGGCCACACTAAGGGTGTAGAATTTTATTCTTTTGGATTTGCTTCTGCTGTAATTTTTCTTTATTTGTGGTTTTATGTTTATAGGTGTGCCTTCTTCCTGCTCCTCCTCCTCACTGGAAAACATGCTTTTGTTTAACAGTCCTTCTGTTGGCCCTGATGCTCCCAAGATAGAGGACTTGAAGTGGCATTCTGCATTCTTCAGAAAACAAATGGGTACTTCCTTGGTTCATTCGCTGAAAAAGCCCCATAAGCGAGATCCTTTGCAGAATAGCCCTGGAAGTGAAGGCAAAACCCTGCTGAAGCAGCCAGACCTGTGTGGTAGAAGGGAGGGGATGGTGGTCCCAGAGAGCTTTTTGGGTTTAGAAAAGACCTTTGCAGAAGCACGTCTCATATCAGCACAACAGAAAAATGGTGTGGTGATGCCAGACCATGGGAAAAGAAGAGACAATCGTTTTCATTGTGATCTCATTAAAGGAGACTTAAAGGACAAATCTTTTAAACAGAGTCACAAGCCTCTCAGGTCCACAGATGTGTCCCAGAGGCATCTGGACAACACAAGAGCTGCCACCTCCCCTGGAGTGGGGCAGTCAGCACCTGGCACAAGGAAGGAGATAGTGCCCAAGTGCAATGGCTCCCTAATCAAAGTAAACTATAATCAGACTGCAGTCAAAGTGCCTACAACACCTGCCAGCCCAGTGAAAAACTGGGGAGGATTCCGGATTCCAAAGAAGGGGGAACGGCAGCAGCAGGGAGAGGCCCACGATGGGGCCTGCCACCAGCACTCAGACTACCCATATTTGGGCTTAGGCCGAGTTCCAGCCAAGGAAAGGGCAAAAAGCAAATTAAAATCCGACAATGAGAATGACGGGTATGTCCCCGATGTGGAAATGAGTGACTCAGAGAGTGAGGCATCAGAAAAGAAATGTATACACACCAGCAGCACTATCAGCAGAAGGACAGACATTATCAGGAGAAGCATCTTGGCTTCTTGATGCAACAGAGATGATGCGGAAGCCCTTTGGGCTCGTCATTGGGTTTGCTAGAGGAGAGCTCTGATGTGGGGGAGAAGCAGAAACCCATTAATCCTGAGCTACACAAACACATTTACTTGCAATTCAGATTAATTTTTTTCCAGAGTCATTTTTAAATCATTTTTGTGAGAAGTTTGTGTTATTTGCAACTTGTTGAGGAAACAGAAGAGTAGATTGTAACCATAAGACACTGCTAAGACTAGAACCCGAACTGAACACTAAAATAAAAATGAAATGTTTTAAAGAAGGCAAGGCTTAAATAAGCCTCATGAATTTTTATAGCCCTCTGCATTCTTCCCAAAGCACAAACTCATGGTTACCTGAATATAGGGAACCAGATATGGTTCTTGAGAAACCCTCATGGTACCATTCACAGCCCATAAAGTTTATTTTCTAGGACTGTGGTAGATCTTGAAATCATATTTATATTTGGCCCTCAAGGCTATTTTTGTTGCATTATAGCATATAGGCAGCAGCTCTGAAGCTTCAGTAACACTAAGAAATTTATGTGTAAATATAGCAGTCAGGGAAGAGAATTTTAAAAAAGGTCATTATTGAAGAAGCTGAGGGGACAGGGTAGAGCTGCTGCAATATGGAGATTTAGGGTAATATGGCAAGGTCCTGCTGCTTGAAGCCTGTGAGTGGGTTGTGGATATGGGACTGGTGGAGAGTGAGACTGTTAGGAAAGTTGTATCTATGAATAAGGGCAGTTGAAGTAGAATTTTTACCAGTCCACTTGACCTTCTTCTTCCCTAACCACTGGCTCTTGAGCCAGCTTGGGATTTCCCTGGCCATTGCCAATACCTGGCCATCTGGCTTCCAATAGTACAGTGGCTACTCAAGTTCAAGCGAAGAACTTCCAGACTCTGGTGACTGTTACTTCCCAGAGCCAACCACTAGTGCATATGTTAGGGAATCTGGGCTTCCAACATGAATGGATTCCTTAAGAAAAAGGAAAAAAAAAAAAAAAAGAAAAAAAGAAAAAAAAAAGAAAAAAGAAAAAAAGAGAAAAAAGCGAAATAGGTTATATTTTAAAAACAATAGAAAGGCAATAAGTTGCGATAAGCTCTTACTATTGACCAAGGTTATACAGGAAAGAGACTGAAGTGTACCCTTGAATAGGTTTTCTGTAGTCAGAGTTCTAAACTCTAATTTGTAACTTGGACTTTCTAATTGCAAATGGCAATAACTATTAAGTTATCAGCAATAATAAATTTAGCATTAAATTTGAGTACAATGTTTTGTTTTTGCACTCCCCATAGTGCGTATGTATTAAGACAGTGGATAGTGTTTAGGTCCTGTTAATTTTCTTTGGAATTCAATGTGGTTGTGAATCAAACTTAAGGAAGGAACGTTTAAATAGCAATGAGATACAGAATTATGGGCCTTTGGAACAAGCCCGACTTCCCCTAAATTCTCCTTAGTTTGTTAATACCAGTATTCAGATTCCTGATTCATTTATACATCTGTTTCCATATGGCAGGGACATTATGATACTTAATGAATAATGCTTTGAGGAGTTCTGCAGTTAACTTTCAAGTCTTCCAGATGATTGTCAACAACAAAAAAGGCTTATTGAATCCCATCTTGCTATGCAAGTTTTATCAGATGATCAAATAGTAGATCTGATACATCCCCATTGTATGTACGACATTTTCAAACCAAGTCTTAACTTTTCAAGGACATTTTAGTAGCTAATTCAGGGGAGGGGGAAGAATGATGCAGGTTTTTAGATTGACTGACTATTTTTGAGTTATGGGGCTCATTTTGAAAGACTGCTGTCCAGATCAGCTTGTTGCTGCAGATAATAGAAGGTTCTTATGAATCCAAGTTGTATATTCACTTGTAGGATAATTTAAAAATTAGATTTTTTTTGCATATGAGCAAAAACCTTTTGCTGGATACAGGAGAAGGTTGGACTTTATCTACAGTTATCTTTTGATTACAGCAACAGCTCTGGGTGAGAGTAGAATTTATAGAGGGATAATTTGTCAAGCCATAGAAAGAAAATCTAAATTAATCTAGTAAGTGTATGACCTCTCACCATTTTAAGAGGTATCAGATTCATTTGCACTATTAGGAATGCTAGTTTTGTGCAAAAATAATGCCTTACCTGTTTTTTCCCCACATTTAGGTTGAAAAGCTTTCAAATGTTCCAAGTTATGCTGAACCAAAAAAAACAAAACAAAAACAAAACAAAAAATATTAAAAAAAACCCACACAAAAACAAAACACACAAAAATAAAAAGCCCACACTTTTTATTCCTGCTTCGAAATGCAAATGGATAGAGCACGGTTTCTCTGACAGTATAATGATAGCTTTGTGAGTTAGTTTCATGTCATGCTGGGAACTCTCTATGAGGTGGCCATAAGCAGCAACCAGCCCAAACACCCACTTGCGTTCTATTAGTATGGAACCATTTGCATTTGTTTTTTTTAAGCTTTATCTTTCCTTGTGCATCCTGACCAAGAAATATCTTTGATTATGATTAATGTATTATGTCAAAATGTAGGCTAGTTAAACTTTTGTAAAGTTGCCTGGAATGTCATTTGTTAGGTTATAAACACAAGATCTAAATGAAGGGTTTTATGTGTTGTGTACAAATCTTATTTTGAAATGGACAAACTTGTCATTACATTTGTAACCTTGTACAGAGGATTTTTCACTATGTGCCTAGCTTGGTGTCCATTCAGCTAAAATTGAAAAAAAAAAAAAGGTGCATGAAGAGTTAAAAATCAAATTAAAGTATATGTAGAGATGACTATTTTATATTACATGACCCAATCCTGTATTTATTTCTACCCCCTTTTTGAAAGTATTTATAAAACTAGTTGAGGACAGCTGTATTTTTTTGTTGAACTATTTAGTAGAATTGTGCCTTTTTGTCTGTATGTGAATAAATGCTGTACATTTTGCAATACATTTTAAGTGTCTTTTGAAATCTGCTTTTGCTAAATATTTAAAGGTATATATGACTTAGCAGTCCTGAATCAGTTGTTTACTGTCTTCCACTTTAAATCAGGAATGAGAACTGTAGAGAACATATCAAATTTGTGCAGAGCACAGATTCACTGGGCTGCTTTCTGGCTCAACTCTGATGGCGAGACTGAAAAATAACGGTTTGAGTTTAGTCTTCCCCACCTGGAGTTCTTTCCAGAATACAGTTTTGGATCTGAAAACAGAATCGTTGAAACAACGTAGACTTCAGGGTCAGAGAGAACTGTATTTAAAGGCTAAACTATAGTTTACCAGGCACATGACATTGGCCAAGTCACTTAACCGTTTTAAGCCTCAGTTTTCCCAGAAAGAGGATAACATCTTAGTAACTTAGATATTGAAGTAGTTGTGATTATTTAAAGCAAGTCCATTGAGCACCTTACAGAGAGCATATATTAGGCATTTAGTAAGTGGTAGGCTATTATTTTTATTAGGAACAAGACACTGATGTTTACAATATTTTAACTAATGAGCTTTCTGAGGTGAAAAAATATTCCTGAATGATGGGACGGTTGTATTTTTAATACAACCTTTAAATAATTTTTAAAAATAATTTTTCAAAGAGCAGTTTCATTAAATGCTTTCTTTTGATCACAGAACTCTGGGACAGTAGGGCAAAAAAATATTATCTGCATTATACACCTTAAGACTTGGCCAAGATCACAGCAGTAGGTACTGGCAGAACTGGGCCTACACTCTCATTCTCATTTCTGAAAAGATTGTTTCCTGCCTGAAACAATCTTTTGTACATCCACTACATGCAGAAATTAGCATATAGTGAAATGCACCTTTTTCTTTATGTTGGGAACAGCAAAACTGGTGTGAATTATGCATTCTCATGTAGATTATAATGATTAGGATCCAAAACAGGGTAGCTATCTTAATCTAATTTATAATTTTTGTAAGGATTTGGCCAGTTTAAAAGAAAAAACAATTATTCGTACATTTTGCTAAAAGCTTCTCATTTCTCCTTAGTGACTATTTACTTCCATATTGCTTGCTCTGAGTAAGACCCCTGAGAGAAACAACTGATTCTTCCTACAAGGTCTTAAAGTTGAATAACCACAATAGTTCCCTAGGGAAATTAAGTCCCCAGGAGCCAAAGGAAGGGCCTATCATTGGCAGCTGTGCAATCTGTGATGGGAAATGTCACACCAGGGACTCACGTTCATGTTTTCACCCAAATCACTGAAAAAACAGTTTCTACCTTTGAAGCATTAGCCATCTGCAACAAACTTCACAATTAACTTCAAGGTTGAAATCTTCAATATGATTTCCCTTTAATGCTCAGAACTCCATTAGATGATGTGTTCTAGTCTGAGGTAGGCTTTGATTGTCTGGTCATTGAAAAAGAGGATAAAGGCAAATCCAATGGTATCTACTTCCTTCACTTCAACTGTTCCCTGTACTACTTACTCAGTTTGGTATTTCTGCAATCCAGCTTTTCTGGAGTGTGAAGAGATTGCTTATTGGGCATCCCCTCTTGGATGTATACAGGTACTTGAGATTTTGGAACTCTTTCTATATCCTGTTTTAGAGAATGTCCTCCTAGACTGAAACCTGGGAGTCCTTTATGAATTCTTCAACTCTCACAGCCAAATAGTGATCAAGGCCTGTGTATTACATTTAATATTGCCTTAATATTTTTTGCTTCGATCCCACCACCATTTGCTATATAATTCAGGTCTCTTCATTTTTTGCCTGGATTACTGGTTTCCTTAACACAAGTCTTGCTGAAATTAATCTCTCCAGCATTTGGCTGAAGCCTTGCCAATGGTATCTCCATAGTGATGACTTCTGAAATAAAAGCTGATTTTGTCATTCCACATAGCCTTTGGGGGAACCTCCTGACTTCTGTAGATAATTACAAAGGTTTATCAAGTGGCAGGCACTGGTATGTATTATGTTAATTAGTTTAATCCTTATAACGTGAAGTAGGCACTATTATCTCCAATTTACAGATGAGGAAACTGAGGCACAGAGAAATTAAGTAATTTGCTCAAGGTCAGTAGGGGTAGATCTGGGATTCAATCCCAGCCTGTCTGGGATTGAGACCCGTAGGCTGTACTGCCTCTCAGAATATAAAAATAGTTCACACATGGCCGGGTGCAGTGGCTCACGCCTGTAATCCCAGCACTTTGGGAGGTGGAGGTGGGCAGATCACGAGGTCAGTAGTTCGAGACCAGCCTGACCAATATAGTGAAACCCTGTATCTACTAAAACTACAAAAAATTAGCCAGGCGTGGTGGCACACGCCTGTAATCCTAGCTACTCAGGAGGCTGAGGCAAGAGAACTGCTTGAACCTGGGAAGTGGAGGTTGCAGTGAGCTGAGATTGTGCCACTGCCCTCCAGCCTGGGTGACAGAGTGAGACTCGGTCTCAAAAAAAAAAAAAGTTCACACAAAGTAGTTAGCATATTTAGGACTACACGTGTAAACTTCAGTTAAATGAATTGGTAAATTTATTGGTAAAGCCAATAAACTTGGTTAAAACATGTTAATGCACTGGTTAAAAGACTTTGAGTATAACCTAATAGATAATGAGCAGGATAGTCTGCTTACAGTCAATTAGTTCCAGCCTTATTCTAGGGAGAATGGAATTAATTGTCACATGCATATTTATGTAACACACATACATACAAACATATTTACAGATCAAATATATGTATATGTAATCAAAGAAAACAACACTGCTATCAAAGAATAAAAAGAATAACTGAACTCTACATCCTAACTGCTTGGAAAGTTAGTTACAGAAATACTTAAAATCACATAGTTTCTTGATGTTGAGAACTAATATCTTAACACTAAATTAAAGCTACGTAAAACCTCCAAGTCGGCATTTTTGTGATATGAAGTATAATAAATCCAGTTATTTTTACAAATGAATAAGCAATGCAGAATTAAGTAGCAAAGATAAAAATAATGTGTATTGTCATTCCTAATGTATCGCCAATGTGTCCTGATATTCTCACTACTACTTGGCTTATATATGGCCGAGTTTTACAAATTACATTTATAATTATGGGTTAATGTGATTATTTTACTCACTAATCTGGGGTGATTGATAGTTCTAACTTCAGGATTATGACCAGTGTAAAACAATTTCTTTATGAAGCAAATCTTTTTCTTTGGTGTTTCCCTTCCCATGCAACAGTTTCAAAGAGAGCTTTTCTCCTTTTTCCCACCAACTTTGGCTCTAATTCAGTTCCATCCTTGGAGCTTCTCTTTTTTATATCAAAAGCTTGTGATGGTATCTTTGCCTCAACTAGTCTCAAGTACTCTAAGTAAATACCTTTCAAACTCCATACTTTAAAATATCACACTCTGAAAGGAAATTATGCATTATATCACTTTACAATAACTAAACACAATTTAACATTTTTTTGGTCGATTAAAATTGGTGAAATTGTCATCACTCATTGAAGAAATCTGGAAACTTTCAAAAGAGGTATTAAGCTAATTATTATAACTTCCTTTGCTTAGATCTATTTTTTTCTACTACTTTACTTACATTTAGCTTGTGGCCAATTTCTTTTCTAGGTCTGGAAAATTTACCAAATCCCACTAGATACGAAGATACTTTGTTCTAGCAAGTTTTTAGGGCTATATACATAATCTGAAAACCAAAAGAGCTTTTCGGGTAGTGCCAGTCAGAAAGGGAATTAAAACAAAAAGAGGCTCACTCGGGAGGGGGGAGGGATAGCATCAGGAGATATAACTAATGTAAATGACGAGTTAATGGGTGCAGCACACCAACACGGCACATGTATACATATGTGACAAACCTGCACATTGTGCACATGTACCCTAGAACTTAAAGTATTAAAAAAAAAAAAGCTCACAGCTCAGACTTGTTTTAAGGTTGATGAATGAAAAAGTGGAAGTAGAATTTTTTGAAACCTATTTGGCATCTATATGTTCAATCAAGAACGCTGATCCTTGAACTGCAAGGACAGAGTGGACACTGGTAAGATGATGAGGGTCACTTGAAGTCTAGAATGTGTGAAGCATTTACATGAGAGCATCTAGATGTTTACAGTGAGTTCAAGCCTCCTGACCCAGATGAATTACATCCCATGACACTTGGAGAACCTATAAAGGTTACTTTTGAATCACTGTCAGCAAATGGGAGAGGTGTCAAAATTATAAATTCCTCAAACTCTAAAGATACAATGTTGCACAATAGTACAATTCTGGTGTTGACCAGATCTGGTCCAGCTGTGCCACCTGCCAGCTATGTGACCCCGAGCAAATGATTTAACTTTTACTATACCTCATATCTTTGGAAAGGAAATAACACCTACCTAGAAGGGCTGTCGAACTATATGAGGTAATAAATGCAAAATGTTAGCATGATGCACAGCACATGACAGATGCTCCACAAACAGACATTATTAATACACATAAGCATGTTACCATAATCCAGAGAAACTCTCCACTGGATTGTTTTAGTTATTTGAAGAAATATGCTTATAACTTCTCTTATTCTCTTTTATCCCATAGAGTAGTTTAAATGAAAGGAGATCTAGTCTCACTTTTAATCTTCCTAGATGTAAATATTAAAGATTTCCTTATATTTTATATTATGCTCTGATAACTTTTTCATTCACTGAAAAAAGGACTGTGCTGCCATAGAATGAAAACATTGAACGAAAACTTCCATAATGCCTTATCAAAGGAATTAAAGAGTTTTAACAAACATAAAAGGAACATGCTGTGATTACTAGGATGCCACATGGATTTACTAAGAAGGCTAACTTACTTTTCATTTTGGACAGGATTACTAGATTACATCTGGAAAATATGACTAGTATGGCATAAATGAATTTTTGCTTGGCAGAAGGCTGGATTTTTCTTGATGTTGTTATGCTAGTGTACAAGTAGCAGTATGGGCCAGATTAAAAACGGGTTGAATTACCACATCTGACATGTGCTGATCAGTTTTATCCATTAAGGGAGTTGGTGCTTGGTATGCTCTAAGACTGTCTATATTTCAATCTGTCTGGTCCTCTTCTTTTTTTCAATGGTTCGAATGAAAATATGGGTAGCATGTTTATCTGATGTGTGGCTAGCATTCATTGTAAATCAAAAATTGCCTGTGGTGCAATAAATATGGCAGTAAATAAAGACAGACATGGCCCCTATCATACCTTTAGAGCTATCAAATGAGGTAACAGAATTAGGAGCTAAAATGACCTCAGCAGGTTATAATAATGTAATTAAATTTAATAGGGATAAATAACTAGTCCTGCATTTGGGCAAAGATCTGGCTTAGAAACAAAACCTTTGAAAAAGACTTAGGATTTTAGTTGATAACACGCTCAATATCTGTCCAACAGTGTGATTCAACTTTCCCTCCAAAAAAGCTAACATAATTTTAAGCTGCATTAATGGAAGTGTAAACTATAGAATAGTAATTCACATTTTTTCCTCATCCTAAACCCTGAAAAATATTATATATGTACATTTCAATGAATCACTAACTACAGTGACCCTCGAAGCATGATTTCCTAAGAAAGTATGTTTCGCAATCTTCTTGGGGTGGGGAAAAGAGAAAGGGTACATAGTTTGAAGCCGTATCTATTCTCTGGAGATCTAATAAGTTGTCTGCTTACACATAGGCAAGTATCACACATGGGGGGCACCTATGAGAACGTGGGGCACATGTGAGTGTTTTGTGGTGAATTCTTGAGCTAGAGGGTACCAGTGTTGTAAAAAATTTCTTTTCAGATGCCTTTCTGTCCTATGACTTTTATTATCTAAGCATATTTTTCTTCGTTATATAAATATTATTAACATTGTCCCCAAAGCCATATATTTTTCTAAGGTTTAAGGGATGGTAAGGGACAGGTTTTTATCTGTAACTTCAGGGTACTGCAATCTCTCTGTCTACATGTTGTTTATGTGTATGTATGTATGTTTTAGGTAAACTAGACAAACTTAATTATTTTTGATAAAAATTTTTGCAAAAAAGCTCATTACAAATTTATTTTGAAAAAAATGATAAAAGACATTATGGTTAAAGAACAGCATTTATAGTAAAATGTTTAAAGTGTTTTTTCACTCTTTCTTGATTTGAGAGTTGGTTTGGCAAGACTGTGTAACTATGAAATATTTAATATTTGCAGACTTAATGAGTGACTGAATTGTTGCTAATGTTTTCCAATGTTTGGGGTGGTTATAATTCTCACACCAGAGAAGAAATTAGAAGATTGTTGCCTGCCCTAGTTTGCATATTTGTATACAAAGGGAAGAAGAGGTAATCATATCTCCTTTCTTCTTCAGGGAGAAACAATAAAGAAACATGAATAAATAAAATGAACTAGCTGTGTTGTCCTCAATTGCAGATCTATATCATTTCTTACCTCTCTTTCCTACTCATTTCTCCTGTATAGTAAAATACAGTTCACAGAATGATACTATTTGTATCATTTATAAGTGAAGACTGACCTGTATGAGAAGTGTTAAAAACTCCACTACATTTTTACATTGGAAATTATTAACAAACTTTTCTGAAAAGAAAAAAACCATCAAGTTTAGTTCTGTTGCTAAACATAGCTTAAGCCTGTTCAAATTCAACAGAGGTCAGAAAGGCATATTATCTGCATATTAGCAGCCTATTCTTCTCTTGGAGAATATCTAAGTACGCAAGGAGATCCAAGAGAAGATGGGTTATCAGGATGTGAAGAGTAGTTACCTGTGGCCAAAGTTTGGAGAAAGTATCTATGTTCAGAGATTTTACCTTGAAAAAATGTGTCTGGAAAGTTAGATTTTTTTGAAAAAGTATAATAATATAATACTTATATTCCATTTGCTAGAGTGTTAGTTTCTGAAGTGCTTTCTTCTACAGTCTCATACTTTTGTCAGACATAAAATTCTAACATCCCTAAAATTTTTAAAAAACAAATTCTATGTTCTATAAATATGAATATGAACATAACTCTTACTACATGGAAATTAGTCTGTGAATGACCTGGGAAGGAATTTAAAGAATCAAATGAAAAATTCTTTAAGAAATGAAAATAAGCTATGTGCCTCCCATCTGATTACCATTTAACTGCCATATAGGTATGATTTGGTCTCATCATCGCATTTGATACTATCAACCATGTGCCTTCCTTGAGTGTTTTATCATGTTGGAGTCTCTTTGTTATGACCCTCTCATTTCTCCTATTTAGTCTCCTTTAATGACATCTTTGTGAGTTCATTCAACAAATAAAGACATTCCTTAAGGTCCTGTTCTTAAAAACTCAGTTTTTGAAAAAGGAGTTATTGAATACCCTCCAAGTGCCAGGGACTATATTGGGTGCTAGGGATAAAATGAATGACAGTACATGTGGTCTTAGAGAGCTTGTACTCTGTTGGGGGGAAGATGACATTAAAGAAAATATTCCAAAAAGAAAGAGTTAACTACAAATTTTGACAAGTGCTATGAAGGGAAACTACGGTGCACTATTAAGAGCAATATAAGAAGGGGATCTTACTGAGGCTAGGGAAGGCCTCTGAGGAACTGATATTTGAGTAGAGATCTGAAAAGTGTATAGATAAAAAAGTCCATGCAGATGCCAGACACGGTGGCTCAGGCCTGTAATCCCAGCACTTCGGGAGGCCGAGGCGGGCAGATCACCTGAGGTCAGAAGTTCGAGACCAGCCTCACCAAGATGGTGAAACCCCATCTCTATTAAAAATAGAAAAATTAGTGGGTGTGGTGGCGGGTGCCTGTAATCCCAGCTACTTGGGAGGCTGAGGCAGGAGAATCGCTTGAACCTGGGAGGCAGAGGTTGCAGTGAGCCGAGATCATGCCTCTGTACTCCAGCCTGGTGATGGAGTGAGACTCTCTCAACAACAACAACAACAAAAAAAAAAAAAAAAAAAAAGTACATGCAGAGAGACCCTGTATTGGGAGGGAGGATTATATATTGACAGAAGTAAAAGAAGGCCATCCAAGTCAGAGCATAAGAAATGGAGGGGAAGAATAGTGTGGGAGGAAGCTGAAGAGATTGCTATTCACATCATGGAAGGCCCCAAGGGAAGCTCTTCCACTTCCACAGCTTCAATTCTCAGCTCCACGCAGAAGACTCCTATCACACACCCGGGCCTGTCGAGGGGTGAAAGGGTAGGGGAGGGACAGCATTAGGAGAAATACCTAACGTAGATAACGGGTTGATGGGTGCAGCAAACCACTATGGCACAGGTATACCTATGTAACAAACCTGCATGTTCTGCACATTTACCCTAGAACTTAAAATATGATAATAATAATAAAAAAAGATTCCTATGACTATCTTAACTGTTAGCACCATTACTAAATTTCTGACTGATGGCTGAATATCTACACGTGAATGTTTTCATGTCACCTTCAACTCAAACTCATTATCTTTTATCTGGACAACTGCAGCAGTCTCCTAATTGGTTATCCAGATGCAAACCTCTCTGCTTTAATCAACAGAAACCAGGGTGCGCTAAGTTCAAACCAGAGAATAGGAACATGTATCTATGAAGATCAATAGGACTTCAATAGTTCAATGCCATGCAGTCTTAGCACCTAAGATCTCCATTTGATTAGTATTGCTTTAAGTAACATGTAAAAGACACCTTCCAAATTCTTAAATATCAAGTTCCATAAATACTGAAAACCGTAAGTTAAAAATGAAGCACTACAATCATACATTAAAATACATGACAGCATCATTTTAGAAAGTGCACAATTTATTACATTTATGAGTTCATAATAAAATGGATACTTAGGAACTTTAAAAATGAGTTAGAAGTAACAATTAGATGTAAAATTCTCAAATCTTGGAAACTGAAATATTAAATTCTAGAATTTTCTTAAAAACTCTTTCTTATGAAAGAGAAATTTGCATAGTTTGAAAATTATTATGTCCTTTCAAGGGAAAAAGGAGGAATTAAAAAACAGACACATTGATGAAGGCAATGAGTTCTTCTCAGCTGGTTTATTCTCCACTGAAGCTCAATATAGGATTATATTTTCTTTACTTACAGGAAGTGGTCACTGCTCTGTTTTCCAATAACCCTCAAAACAGAACAACAATGCTTACGCGAAATAACACAAGCCTTAACTATTATACTTTGCAGGCTTTACCATTTCAATACACTTCTAGTCCAACTGCTTTCCCAACTCTAAAGTTCTGTGAGTGAACTATGAATATTTTTAAATATTTTCCAGATTCATCAGGGAGGCTGCTTTTCTTCTCTGCACTGTAATCACACTGAGCTGCAATTAAAATAAACAATCGGTAAGTAGTTACTTTTTCTGTGGAAAATCTTAGATTAATACAAAGAAGAATGCATCACAACCTATAAGTACTGAAATGGTCTTATTGGAAAGGGTTTTGTAAATGATCTTTTTCTTTTTGAGGCAATCTTGCTCTGTTGCCCAGGCTGGAGTACAGTGGTACAATCACAGCTCAATGTAGCCTTGACCTCCCAGGATCAAGTGATCCTTCTACTTCAGCCTCTTCAGTAGCCACTACACCTGGTTAATTTTAATTTTTAATTTTTTTCAGAGACAGGGTCTCACTACGTTGCCCAGACCAGCCTTGAACTCTTGGGCTCAAGCAATCCACCCACCTTGGTCTCAAAGTACTGGGATTATAGGTGTAAGCCACTGTGCCCAGTCAGTGATCATTTTAAAATTAATTTCTATTTTACTCTTGAAACTTTAAAATGTCTATTAATTTAGAGAAATGCAGGTCAAATAAGACATTCTATAGCTCAGGGTGATACGCTTAGAATTGTAAAACATATTCCAGATGGATGAAAAACATCTACATAAAAGTTAATCAGGAAAGTTTCTAAAACACAAACTAATGTAAGCCAACACAATGCAAGGCTGATAATAAAGTGATGATAGATTATAACAAGTCTAATAGAAAAATAATCTTTAAATGTTAGTAGGAATTAATAACATATACACATAGTAAAAAAAGATCTAACAGTACAAAACGGTAGACAGCATAAAGGAAGTCTCGTTCCCATTGCTGTCTTTCATTCCATAGACCCCTCTCCAGATACAACCACTATTTCCAGTTTTAAAGTATGTTTCCGTAAATATTTTAAATGAGAATATATGTATTTCTTCATTCCTTTAATTTAAAAAATGATGAAAGTATTATAAACACTTTTCATCTTGTGTTTTTCTTCTAAATAATCTACCTTAGAAATAGCTCTATATTAGGCCTACTATACTTTATTCCTCTTAATAGCTGCAAACTGTTCCTCTGTGTGAATACTCCATATAACCAGTCTGCTATTGTTGGGTATTTGTATGGTTTTTAATCTTTTAAAAGGAGAGACAATGCTTCAATCAGTATTTTTATATGTTTGCTTCCTGGCAAAAATGTTTCCAGGTGCAAGTGTGGGTCAAAGGTTATATACATTTACAGTTTTTGAAAGATACTGCCAAACTGTGCTCCGGAGACTGTACCAACATGTGCTTATATCAATAATATGTGAAAGTGCCAGCACAATGCATTTCCAAACTTCATGATCTGATAGGTAAAAAATGATGTGATTACAGTTTAAATTTGTATTTGTCTTATAGGTGAGGATGAACATCTTTTTAAATGTTTAAAAGCCATCTGTCCTTCTTTCTCCATAAACTTCCTTTATATATTTGTCTACCGGACTGTGGCATTTTTTGAAAACTTAGGTATCCTTTATATGTGTTTAGGGCATTAGCCTTTTGTCATATATGGTACAAATATTTTTCTCGGTTTGTCACTGACTTTATGACTTTTTCTGATACAGAAATTTGAAACTGTGATTATATTTATTAATTTTTTTCTTAGCTTCTAGGTTTTGTGTTCTTGCATTGAAAGGCTTCACCACGCTGATTTAAAAAACTCATATGTTAACAGAACACAGTATGGCATTCAACTATTTAGAGTGATACACTTAGAATGGATGAATAACGTGTAGAGAAAGTTAATCAGAAAAGCACATTTAGAGCACAGTGCATCAGCACGATTCAGGGCTTGTATTGAACCAGTAACACGATGCTGCACTGCACTATGGTAAGTGTGATGTGTCAGAGATGATAATAATTTTTAAATTTTCTTCATTTTGTTAATATGCATTTAGTAGGATATTATTTCTAATAGCACTTTTTCAGTTTTTATAGGAAAATTAGAAGATTCAGAGAGGGTAAAGATAAAAATTAAAAAAATAAAATGTACGTCTTACAAACAAAGTTGATCACTTGGACTCATTTAAAACAGAAAAAATATTAACTCCAGGGAAGAAATTCCTTTTTGGGTAAGGGAAAAGTGCTGAATAATTACCTTCCATCTTCAAATAAGAACAGAATGGAAGGAGAAAAGCTTAGGGAAAGATTTGTTACAGAACAATTCGTGAAGTGGTTACTGACAAAACATTTTAAAAAGGTTAGTCAAAAGAACGGTGGAATCTTTGCCATTGGAGAGTTTAAACAACAGAAGAAACATCAGTACTAGACTGTTTAGGTTTAATTTTTTCAGGGGAGAAACTAAACTAGATGCTAACTGGTTATATAATTAATGTCCTGTAATCGTTCCCTTTTTACTATAGAACTCAAGGTAGTTGATTTTCGTAGACGTTTTCTTTGCCATTTGCCTTAAAAAAGGTAAACGTGAAGCTTTAAGGATTATGATACAGAAATTTAATTTCTTACATATCTGTCTAAATATCTACTTACCACTATAGGAAATGCTTTACATGTGTTAATTCTTTTGATCCTTTAATAACCGTATGAGGGAGGTATTATTATCCTATATTAAACATGAGGAAACTGAGGCTTAGAGAAGTTGAAATTGCCCAAAGTCACAAGCTTTTACTTAATGGCACTAAATGGCACTAAGCGATTTGCCTGACACCAAAACACATACTTGCCAGATACTGTCCAGTGCACCTAACTTCTGTTACCTTATAACCTAAATACATTCTTGCATAATTAGCTAACCCATTAGTTAATTCATAACTTCATAAGACATAAAAATTATTTGAAAAGGCTGTAATTACTTTCAAGAGGGAGAGTAACAGAAGGATAAATTATTATTAAATTTTCTTTAAGTGGCATGCCATGTTCATAACAGAAGTAGATTCAAAAAAATCTGTAAATATCATGAACATAAACTGAATTCAGCAAGCAGAGTGGCTTTACTATGTATAAAATGCTGTAATAGTTAAGAATAATATTAATTTTGATTGAAATAATACATTTATAAGCAAATATAATTAATAATATAGTAATTTGATTTGTTTTTGTTTTCTCGCCTCCCCTATCTATCTATCCATTTCAACTGTCTGTGTCTAGTCTATAATCACTGAACTGGTCTCATTTTGTTCCTCATATGAGGGACTATTGCTCCTACTTTACAATCAAGGGCCTACTTCATTTATATGATGTGTGTGTATTAAGAGAAATTATCCCTTAGTATTTCATTGTTATTCTGCATTTTCTACTCTATTTCCCACTGGACAACTTTTATATTGTATTTTAGATTTTTTTGGTCATATGAAAATATGCATTAAGTAAATTAACTTGTAAGCCAAGGAATTTTTTTCCACTGATAAGTAAAATAAAAACAAAGTTAGTGAAATTTGAAATATTACATTCAAAGCAATATTATCTACTTTCAAATCTGTTAGTGAATCTCTGCCTGGTTTTAGATAGGACATAATTCTAGAGCAGTGTTGTGTAACAGAACTTTTTGTTATGACAGAAATGTTCCACATCTATGCTGTCCAATGTGATAGCCCTAGCTACATACAGCTATTGAGCACTTGAAATCTGACTAGTATGATGGATGATTTCAATTTTAAATTTAATTTAATTTAAATTAATTTAAATATAAATAGTGGCCTGTGGCTAGAGGCTATGATTGTTAGACAGTATATGTCTTTTCTGTTTTTTTTTTTTTTGTTGATACAGAGTGAGGGTCTCACTCTGTCCGCCAGGCTGGAGTGCAGTAGCACAAACGTGGCTCACTGCAGCTTCGACTTCTTGGGCCCACGCCATCCTCCTGCCTCAGCCTTCCCAGTAGTTGGAAACAGAGATATGCGCCACTATATTTGGCTAATTTTTAAAATTTTTTGTAGAGAAAAGGTATTGCCATGTTTTGCAGGATGGTCTTGAACTCCTGGCCTCAAGTGATCCTCCTGCCTAGGCCTCCCAAATTGCTGGCATTACAGTTGCGAGCCACCACGCATAGCTTATTTTTGTTTCCAATGTTTACTTTTTCAACCTCACATATTAAAGGGATTAATTTTAAAATATGTTAATCTAGTAAAAATAAACTATTAAGTTCCCTGGGAACTTCTAAAAAACTTATCTTTGAACTGTTTATTATCTAGGGATAAGAGGATGCTCCCTACCTGCTGGGAAGCTGAAGCAGCTCTCTCTTCTGCCTGACTTAGACGCCTTTGAAGTCTGTTGGCTTTTTCTTGATGCTCTAGAATTAGCTTTTCATTCTATTAAGGGGAAATAGAAAACAAGTTAGAAATCCATATGTGACATGGAGATGTTTTGTGGAATAATCAACGAAAAATCTGGACATCACTTTACCACTTATAAAATACAAAGAATATTATCTCCAAATTTACATTTTTCAAGTTATGAGCTTTAAAATACAAACTTTGTTTTACATTCTTAATAAATTGTTTTCTTTCTCCCACATGCCAGCAAAGAAAGTGAATTAACAAATCTCAAAGCAAAATGACTCGGAAGAATAAGACTTTCAATTTGTGAAGGTCACTGCTTCAGAATCACCTGGACTGTGAAAACACAGACTGCTGGGCCTTACAACCAGAGCTTTAGTAGGGGTGGGATGAACTGTTTCTGTATGTTCCCCAAGACATCTGCATACTCCAGAGTCTATTAGGGTCAAAAGAGCTATTAGGCACTGTTAGGGGTTGAATTGTGTCCTAACCCCCAGTATCTGGGAATGTGACCTTATTTGGAAAGAGAGTCCTTGCTGATGATCAAGTTGAGATGAGATCATTAGGGTGGACCATAATCCATATGACTGGTGTCTTCATAAAAGGGGAAATTTGGACACAGAGACACACATGTACAAAGGAAAGACAAGTTGAAGACACAGAGAGAACACAATCTACAAGCCAAAGAATGTCTGAGGCTACCAGAAGCTGGGAGAAAGGCATGGAACAGATTCTCCCTCACAGCTCTCAGAAGGAACTAACAATGTCAATACCTCAATTTTGGACTTCTAGCCTCTGGAACTAAGAGACAATTATTTTGCGTTGTTTAAGCCACCCAGTTTCTAATACTTTGTTATGGCAAGAACTATACAGGCATCATGAATACAAAGCTGTCACAACATACTGTCAGACAGACAAGTGCAAATAATCTATCAATTAAAAAATGGAAATTAAAAAATGGATTAGCTCTCTCCACACTTACTAGCCTGGTTATAGTACATCTGAAAAAAATATTTTTGTACAACTAGAATTGTTAAACAGTTTTTCTGGCACTTATCTGAATGAGATAATAATACAAGCCTAATCAGGAAGAGTTAGAAAAACACATTTTCTATGAAGAACCAGAAACTTATAGTTCCCATGTCCTAACATACAAGTGATAAGAATGAATGTTATGGCTATTACAGTAATATAAAATATTGAAATAACAGTATCCTGCTAAAATGAGCTTATTATATTTCTTATTATGCCCAAAAGCAAAATTAAATGTTATGAAGAGAACTATATTGGCTGGTCCAATTTACCAAGATGTTTAAATATGTAGCCTCTAAATTTTAAGAAGCACATCATATGCTAGAGAAAACGGGGGAAAAAATTCCATCATCTGTAATAATCATTTTCATATTTATACGCAGACTTCATATAATGCAACTTCTTCTATACTGCTACCATAATGGTTGAGGAACAGTTCAGATTGGATAAATCCTAGTATATGCAACTGTTCCTTTTCTATTCATCATTTTGGTTGCTTTTGATCTTCCTATATTATTAACATTACTGTACTGAGTACCTTCTTTCAAATTTTTTTTGTATTTTAAATTACTCATTAGAATAGATATCTGGAAATGGGAGCTACCTGAAAGATTATTTCAATGGCTATTCCTCAATTAACTTCTAAATGGCTCATATCAATTCATAATGCCATGATGCTTAGGAGTAACGATTTCACTATAGCTACTACAGTAGACCACAAAGATGGAGTAGACCATATATTCAGAGAAATTCCAACAAACATTTGAAGTTAGAACATCAAATGAAGAGATCTAAAAAGCCTCAATCATAATCCAAAAATTGTTTACTTTTTGAATGCCTCAAGGAAAAAAACTTGAACTCTTGCTATATTTAGTTCTAAGGCATAAATCTAAATATATTTTAATATATTCCAGTAGGCAAAAGTATTTTTTATGTGATGTGTCTTTTGGGATGGATTAAAATGAAAAAAGATGAATGGGTTAAAAAATAATTTTAGAGATGCATAAGAATAAAGGGGATCCTAATACGTTCTCTGAAATACTACACAAGTTCTATTGGTAAAACAGAAATAAGAGCTCTACCTTTTATTATTTACATATGATGAATCACTGATGTTCAAAGCTTTTATTCACATTATATTGCGTGTGGGCTTTTAGGGTTATGGATGATTTCTGTATTGTTATTTCCAAGTAGAGAAATAATTTGGATTTGGCTCAGGTAAAATTCTATAACATGTGTATCATGCTGCAGCAGAAAGCACTTCCCAGGGGAGTCATTATCTCACCTCAGCTACCTTTTCATTTGCCATTTCCAGCTGAGAAAGCAGCTCTTGGGTATGAAGTTTCTGTCGACTCAGCTCACTCCTATTAAGAGCACCAAAAAATCCATTAATATAATTGTTCCAAATAGAAAACAGAATCTTTATTAGCAAGATACATGTTCATGATTTGAACAAAAATATCATCTTGAGGTGGAAAATAAAGTCACTTACTAATAGACCATATCTCAAGGACTTGTTTATTTCTTTTTAACAAAACACACATATACTCTAGAGATTAGTTGCACAACAATGTGTATACATGTAACACTATTGGATTGTACACTTAAAAATAGTTAAGGTGGTAAGTTTTATGTGTATTTTATCATAATTTAAAAAATTTTATCACAATTAAAATGGTAAATTTTATGTATATTTTGCCAAACTAAAAAAAGCAAAATAAAAATACATATTTTAAAAGTACAAAAGTATCTTCAACATTATTTTGAGATACTATTAGACACTAAAATAAAAGCATACTCATATTAAAAAGATACAGTATTTATTATTACAAAATCTTGTAAGCTACTGTGCTTCTTAGCTATAATATGCTTTTTTTTTTTTTTTTTTTGAGATGGAGTCTCATTCTGTAGCCCAAACTGAAGTGCAGTGGCATGATCTTGGCTCACTGCAACCTCTGCCTCCCAGGGTCAAGTGATTCTCATGCCTCAACCTCCCGAGTAGCTGGGACTACAGGCTTGCACCACCACGCCTGGATAATTTTTTGTATTTTAGTAGAGACGGGGTTTCACCATGTTGCCAAGGTTGGTCTTGAACTCCTCAGCTCAAGCAATCCACCCTCCTCGGCCTCCCAAAGTGCTGGGATTATAGGCATGAGCCACTGTGCCTGGCCTTAGTATGCATTTGTAAGATTCATATACAGTGCTTTTTAGGGGAGCTCAACTCTTAGAAATTTAAGGAAACATTAATTACTCCAGTATCACTTCAGTGCAGTATAGTTAGAATTCTTATTTATGTTTTGGTTGTAAATGTACTGTGTTTTACTCATTCATATCATTTATGCTTCATTAGCTGAAATTATCTTACGCACAGAACTGTCTTCTTCTTCTTGTTCAACGTATAAGTATTCTATTGCTTTTAGCCAAATGTCACTTCAAGAGTTTCAGGTTAAGGGTACATACAATGTAGCCTTAAAAGTAATCTGAACAAATATCAGATAAATTTGTGAGTATTACATATAAGGAATCAATGACATTCAAAGCTTTTCTTCACATCACACTGTGTGTGAACTTTTAGGGTTATGATGATTATGGATGATTTCTGTATCATTATTTCCAAGTAGAGAATTAATTTGGATTTGGCTTAGGTGAAATCCTTGATTCAGTATTGGCTTTTATCCTTTGACCTTACTTGTGCTTCTTAAATCAATCAACAGATTAGCACTTCCAAAATAACTTCAGCTTTGATTTTTTTCAAATGAGCCAGCAAACAGCCTAAAAACTTGGTAAGCCTCTCAAGTATCCTATAGTTGAGTGAATAGTTGCTAAAAATAACAAGTAATTTGTTATAAATATATAAAACAGAAAGCAATGTCATCCACTATTCAATTATACAAATAGTTACTGAACATTCGTTACAGGCCAGGTGCAAGGTATGTGGTGGCAAACATAATTGTTGTCATCACAGAACTGACAGACTACGAGGGAGATCAGTTATTCTAACTTAGTGATTTCATAAACACAGGTTCATTGACTATGAGGAGTTTGGGTATCTATCATTAATTCCATGACAGACAAACCAAAATATATTGTTTTAGCTTTGAGTGATAATGACAAAATAGAATAAATTATTATGCTTACTTTAATGTATCTTGTGCAGCTTAAAATTACTGCCCAACCATCCCCCCGACAACATAAGAAAAAAAACAACTAAAGAATGATAAACAAAATGACTAGTGGTCAGTCTTCTAGGTCAAATGTAATTACAGGTAAAAGTTACGCATATTAGTGCTGATGAAAAATAAATTGTGAGTATAATTGAGATTAAGAAGAAACGATGAACACATTTATAAAGTTAGCCAACATTCAGTTTACACAAAACCTTTTCAGGAAAACACCTACTGGTATAATTTCATGCCTAAACTATTATTCACTTACTTACTCAAGACAATCTTAATGATGGATAGTAATGATTTTCCACAATATTTAAGATCACAAAGACACAAATCATTAAATGAAAATATACTTTGTTACCCTTAATCTATGTAAATATTTATCTCTTTATATATCAAGCTCTGTCTCCCCCATTGGATAGTGAGCAACTTCATTATTCATCTTTGTACTCAACAAAGCTTGGCAAATAATAGTGAAAATGATGTGATGATGATAATAAGAGCAAACATTTCCATAGTATTTGCTTACAATGTGCCAGGCACTGTTCTAGGTGCTTTCATAAATTAATTTAATATTTAGTTTGCATGACTAATATATAAAATCTCCATTTTTTTTTGAGATGGAGTCTTGCTCTGTCCCCCAGGCTGGAGTGCAGTGGTGCCATCTCGGCTCACTGCAAGCTCTGCCTCCCAGGCTCATGCCATTCTCCTGCCTCAGCCTCCCAAGTAGCTGGGACTACAGGCGCCCGCCACCACGCCCAGCTAATTTTTGTATTTTTAGTAGAGATGAGGTTTCACCATATTAGCCAGGATGGTCTCAATCTCCTGACCTCGTGAGCCGCCCTCCTCGGCCTCCCAAAGTGTTGGGATTACAGGCGTGAGCCACTGTGCCCAGCCCCGAAATCCCAATTTTTACATATGAGAAAATTAAAAAACAGAAATTAAAAAAATAAGTAACTTGCCTAGGGTCACATAGCCTGTCAGGTTTTTTGTTTGTTTGTTTGTTTGTTTTTTGAGAGAGGGTCTCACTCTGTCACCCAGGCCAGAGTGCAGTGGCACAATCACGGCTCACTGCAGCCTGCACCTCCCAGGCTCAGGTGGTCCTCTTGCCTCAGCCTCCTGAGTAGCTGAGCCTTCAGGTGCATGCCATCATGCCCGGCTAGTTTTTTTGTATTTTTTGTAGAGATAGGGTTTTACCATATTGCCCAGGTTGATCTAGAACTCCTGGGCTCAAGCAGTCCTCCCACCTTGGCCTCCTGAAGTGTTGGGATTACAGGTGTGAGCCACTGCATCTGGCTGCTTGTCAGTTGTACAGTCAAGGTTAAAAAAACTTGGTCCTTTGATTCCAAAGTCCGTGCTCTTAACCACTGCCCTATACTGCAACATGGCAGGCAAATAATGAAAGTTCATTGAGTAAGTAACACACACACACACACACACACACACACACACACACACACACACACACACAGAGTATATGTGTGTGTGTATGTGTATTAGGCCTTCTAGGAATATGAAAATTTATATACTTACTTGGAAAGCTAGCAATTAAATTTTTACTTCAGACTTCTTCCCTAAAAGTCCAGTCTTAAATTCAAACTTAACAAGCCTAATATCAAGCTTTTTGCATTGTCCCACAAATCTACTTCTCATCCTGCTCCTCAGTTTATACTGACATCTCAGCCCTAGGTGTCTAGGTTAAAAAGCTTAAAGTCAACTCCTATTTCTCACTTTGTCTTTCTTTTTTTTTTGTGAGATGGAGTCTCACTGTGTCTCCCCGGCTTGAGTGCAGTGGCGTGATCTCGGCTCACTGCAACCTCCGCCTCCCGCTTCAAGTGATTCTCCTGCCCCAGCCTCCCCAGTAGCTGGGATTACAGGCACCCACCACCATGCCCAACTAATTTTTGTATTTTTAGTAGAGATGGGGTATCACCATGTTGGCCAGGCTGGTATCAAACTCCTGACCTCAGGTGATCCACCCTCCTTGGCCTCCTAAAGTGCTGGGATTACAGGCATGAGCCACCGTGCCCAGCTTCTCACTGTCTTAAATGCAACATCTCATTTACCCTGAAAGAGACTCTCTCTTTGATACGTCTCTTGCATCTATTTTTCATTCCTATTCAGTGTTACCATCCCAATTCAAGTCCTTAGAACTTAATTCTTAGAGTTATTGTAATAACGAGCTGCTTGGGTTTCTCAATATCAGGTGAAACAATATATGTAAAGCACTCTACCACAGGGCAAATGAATGTACTCAACTAATATAGTGGGTTTCCCTCTCTAAACCATGTATCTCTAGCATATTTCTCTTTCCAAAACACCACTTTAATAATTTGCTTCTTTGAGTGATAATCTTCAATGGCTCTCAGCTATTGGACAAAATAGTCCAAATTCCTGAGAATGTCATAAGATCCTCCAAAATTTTGTGTAATTTATCTTTCCAACCTTATCCCCAAAAGGAACCTTCCACACTTCAGTTGGGCTCTCACTGTCTCGAAAACAAACTGCATATGTATTACCTCAGGATCAGGTTTATATTATTTTTTAGATTGTGTTTTTCGGATTTCCCATTACAATTCTGCCCATTCTTTAAGACTGCACCCTTGGTGGGGTGAAGCCAAGATGGCTGAATAGGAACAGCTCCAGTCTACAGCTCCCAGCATGAGCAACGCAGAAGATGGGTGATTTCTGCATTTCCAACTGAGGTACCGGGTTCATCTCACTGGGGAGTGTCAGAAAGCGGGTGCAGGACAGTGGGTGCAGCGCACCTAGCATGAGCCGAAGCAGGGCGAGGCATTGCCTCACCTGGGAAGTGCAAGGGGTCAGGGAATTCCCTTTCCTAGTCAAAGAAAGGGGTGACAGACGGCACCTGGAAAATCGGGTCACTCCCACCCTTAATACTGCGCTTTTCCAACAGTCTTAGCAAACGGCACACCAGGAGATTATATCCTCTGCCTGGCTTGAAGGGTCCTATGCCCACGGAGCCTCGCTCATTGCTAGCACAGCAGTCTGAGATCAAACTGCAAGGCGGCAGCGAGGCTGGGGGAGGGGCACCCGCCATTGCCAAAGCTTGAGTAGGTAAACAAAGTGGCCAGGAAGCTCAAACTGGGTGGAGCCCACTGCAGCTCAAGGAGGCCTGCCTGCCTCTGTAGGCTCCACCTCTGGGGGCAGGGCATTGCCAAACAAAAGGCAGCAGAATCCTTTGCAGACTTAAATGTCCCTGTCTGACAGCTTTGAAGAGAGTAGTGGTTCTCCCAGCACGCAGCTGGAGATCTGAGAACAGACAGACTGCCTCCTCAAGTGGGTCCCTGACCCCCAAGTAGCCTAACTGGGAGGTACCCCCCAGTACCGGGTACTGGCTGGGTGCTCCTCTGAGACAAAATTTCCAGAGGAACGAACAGGCAGCAACATTTGCTGTTCACCAACATCCACTGTTCTGCAGCCTCTGCTGCTGATACCCAGGCAAACAGGGTCTGGAGTGGACCTCCAGCAAACTCCAACAGACCTGCAGCTGAGGGTCCTGACTGTCAGAAGGAAAACTAACAAACAGAAAGGACATCCACACCAAAACCCCATCTGCACGTTATCATCATCAAAGAGCAAAAGTAGATAAAACCACAAAGATGGGGAAAAAACAGAGCAGAAAAACTGGAAACTCTAAAAATCAGAGTGCCTCTTCTCCTCCAAAGGAACGCAGCTCCTCACCAGCAATGGAACAAAGCTGGACGGAGAATGACTTTGACGAGTTGAGAGAAGAAGGCTTCAGACGATCAAACTACTCCCAGCTAAAGTAGGAAGTTTGAACCCATGGCAAAGAAGTTAAAAACCCTGAAAAAAAATTAGACAAATGGCTAACTAGAATAACGAATGCAGAGAAGTCCTTAAAGGACCTGATGGAGCTGAAAGCCAAGGCTCGAGAACTACCTGACGAATGCACAAGCCTCAGTAGCCGATTCGATCAACTGGAAGAAAGGGTATCAGTGATGGAAGATCAAATGAATGAAATGAAGTGAGAAGAGAAGTTTAGAGAAAAAAGAATAAAAAGAAACGAACAAAGCCTCCAAGAAATATGGGACTATGTGAAAAGACCAACTCTCGTCTGATTGGTGTACCTGAAAGTGACGGGGAGAATGGAACCAAGTTGGAAAACACTCTGCAGGATATTATCCAGGAGAACTTCCCCAATCTAGCAAGGCAGGCCAACGTTCATATTCAGGAAATACAGAGAATGCCACAAAGATACTCCTCAAGAACAGCAACTCCAAGACACATAATTGTCAGATTCACCAAAGTTGAAATGAAGGAAAAAATGTTAAGGGCAGCCAGAGAGAAAGATCGGGTTACCCACAAAGGGAAGCCCATCAGACTAACAGCTGATCTCTCGGCAGAAACTCTACAAGCCAGAAGAGAGTGGGGGCCAATATTCAATATTCTTAAAGAAAAGAATTTTCAACCCAGAATTTCATATCCAGCCAAACTAAGCTTCATAAGTGAAGGAGAAATAAAATCCTTTACAGACAAGCAAATGCTGAGAGATTTTGTCACCACCAGGCCTGCCTAAAAGAGCTCCTGAAGGAAGCACTAAACATGGAAAGGAACAACCGGTACCAGCCGCTGCAAAAACATGCCAAATTGTAAAGACCATCGAGGCTAGGAAAAAACTGCATCAACTAACGAGCAAAATCACCAGCTAACATCATAATGACAGGATCAAATTCACACATAACAATATTAATCTTAAATGTAAATGCGCTAAATGCTCCAATTAAAAGACACAGGCTGGCAAATTGGATAAAGAGTCAAGACACATCAGTGTGCTGTATTCAGGAAACCCATCTCACCTGCAGAGACACACATAGGCTCAAAATAAAGGGATGGAGGAAGATCTACCAAGCAAATGGAAAACACAAAAAGGCAGGGGTTGCAATCCTAGTCTCTGATAAAACAGACTTTAAAACAACAAAGATCAAAAGAGACAAAGAAGGCCATTACATAATGGTAAAGGGATCAACTCAACAAGAAGAGCTAACTATCTTAAATATATATGCACCCAATACAGGAGCACCCAGATTCATAAAGCAAGTCCTTAGAGACCTACAAAGAGACTTAGACTCCCGCACAATAATAATGGGAGACTTTAACACCCCACTGTCAACATTAGACAGATCAACGAGACAGAAAGTTAACAAGGATATCCAGGAATTGAACTCAGCTCCATACCAAGCAGACCTAATAGACATCTACACAACTCTCCACCCCAAATCAACAGAATATACATTCTTCTCAGCACCACACTGCACTTATTCCAAAATTGACCACATAGTTGGAAGTAAAGCACTCCTCAGCAAATGTAAAAGAGCAGAAATTATAACAAACTGTCTCTCAGACCACAGTGCAATCAAACTAGAGCTCACGATTAAGAAACTCACTCAAAACCGCTCAACTACATGGAAACTGAACAACCTGCTCCTGAATGACTACTGGGTACATAACAAAATGAAGGCAGAAATAAAGATGTTCTTTGAAACCAACGAGAACAAAGACACAACATACCAGAATCTCTGGGACACATTCAAAGCAGTGTGTAGAGGGAAATTTATAGCACTAAATGCCCACAAGAGAAAGCAGGAAAGATCGAAAATTGACACCCTAACATCACAATTAAAAGAACTAGAGAAGCAAGAGCAAACACATTCAAAAGCTAGCAGATGGCAAGAAATAACTAAGATCAGAGCAGAAGTGAAGGAAATAGAGACACAAAAATCCCTTCAAAAAATCAATGAATCCGGGAGCTGGTTTTTTGAAAAGATCAACAAAATTGATAGACCGCTAGCAAGACTAATGAAGAAGAAAACAGAGAAGAATCAAATAGACGCAATAAAAAATGATAAAGGGGATATCACCACCAATCTCACAGAAATACAAACTACCATCAGAGAATACTATAAACACCTCTACGCAAATAAACTAGAAAATCTAGAAGAAATGGATAAATTCCTTGACACATACACCCTCTGAAGACTAAACCAGGAAGAAGCTGATTCTCTGAATAGACCAATAACAGGCTCTGAAATTGAGGCAATAATTCATAGTTTACCAACCAAAAAAAGTCCAGGACCAGATGGATTCACAGCCGAATTCTACCAGAGGTACAAGGAGGAGCTGGTACCATTCCTTCTGAAACTATCCCAATCAATAGAAAAAGAGGGAGTGCTCCCTAACTCATTTTATGAGGCCAGCATCATCCTGATACCAAAGCCTGGCAGAGACACAACAAAAAAAGAGAATTTTAGACCAATATCCCTGATGAACATCGATGCAAAAATCCTCAATAAAATACTGGCAAACCGAATCCAGCAGCACATCAAAAAGCTTATCCACCATGATCAAGTGGGCTTCATCCCTGGGATGCCAGGCTGGTTCAACATATGCAAATCGATAAACATAATCCAGCATATAAACAGAACCAATGACAAAAACCATAAGATTATCTCAATAGATGCAGAAAAGGCCTTTGACAAAATTCAACAACCATTCATGCTAAAAACTCTCAATAAATTAGGTATTAATGGGACGTATCTCAAAATAATAAGAGCTATCTATGACAAACCCACAGCCAATATCATACTGAATGGGCAAAAACTGGAAGCATTCCCTTTGAAAACTGGCACAAGACAGGGATGTCCTCTCTCACCACTCCTATTCAACATAGTGTTGGAAGTTCTGGCCAGGGCAATCAGGCAGGAGAAGGAAATAAAGGGTATTCAATTAGGAAAAGAGGAAGTCAAATTGTCCCTGTTTGAAGATGACATGATTGTATATCTAGAAAACCCCACTGTCTCAGCCCAAAATCTCCTTAAGCTGATAGGCAACTTCAGCAAAGTCTCAGGATACAAAATCAATGTGCAAAAATCACAAGAATTCTTATACACCAATAACAGACAAACAGAGAGCCAAATCATGAGTGAACTCCCATTCACAATTGCTTCAAAGAGAATAAAATACCTAGGAATCCAACTTATAAGGGATGTGAAGGACCTCTTCAAGGAGAACTACAAACCAGTGCTCAAGGAAATAAAAGAGGATACAAACAAATGGAAGAACATTCCACACGCATGGGTAGGAAGAATCGATACCATGAAAATGGCCATACTGCCCAAGGTAATTTATAGATTCAATGCCATCCCCATCAAGCTACCAATGACTTTCTTCACAGAATTGGAAAAAACTACTTGAAAGTTCATATGGAACCAAAAAAAGAGCCTGCATCGCCAAGTCAATCCTAAGCCAAAAGAACAAAGCTGGAGGCATCATGCTACTTGACTTCAAACTATACTACAAGGCTACAGTAACCAAAACAGCATGGTACTGGTACCAAAACAGAGATACAGACCAATGGAACAGAACACAGCCCTCAGAAATAATGCCACATATCTACAACCATCTGGTCTTTGACAAACCTGAGAAAAACAAGCAATGGGGAAAGGATTCCCTATTTAATAAATGGTGCTGGGAAAACTGGCTAGCCATATGTAGAAAGCTGAAACTGGATCCCTTCCTTACACCTTATACAAAAATCAATTCAAGATGGATTAAAGACTTAAATGTTAGACCTAAAACTATAAAAACCCTAGAAGAAAACCTAGGCAATACCATTGAGGACATAGGCATGGGCAAGGACTTCATGTCTAAAACACCAAATGCAATGGCAACAAAAGCCAAAATTGACAAATGGGATCTAATTAAACTAAAGAGCTTCTGCACAGCAAAAGAAACTACCCTCAGAGTGAACAGGCAACCTACAGAACAGGAGAAAATTTTTGCAATCTACTCATCTGACAAAGGGCTAATATCCAGAATCTACAATGAACTCAAACAAATTTACAAGAAAAAAACAACCCCATCAAAAAGTGGGTGAAGGACATGAACAGACACTTCTCAAAAGAAGACATTTATGCAGCCAAAAGACACATGAAAAAATGCTCATCATCACTGGCCATCAGAGAAATGCAAATCAAAACCACAATGAGATACCATCTCACACCCGTTAGAATGGCAATCATTAAAAAGTCAGGAAACAACAGGTGCTGGAGAGGATGTGGAGAAATAGGTACACTTTTACACCATTGGGACTGTTAACTAGTTCAACCATTGTGGAAGTCAGTGAGGCAATTCCTCAGGGATCTAGAACTGGAAATACCATTTGACCCAGCCATCCCATTACTGGGTATATACCCAAAGGATTATAAATCATGCTGCTATAAAGACACATGCACACATATGTTTATTGTGGCACTATTCACAATAGCAAAGACCTGGAGCCAACCCAAATGTGCAACAATGATAGACTGGATTAAGAAAATGTGGCACATATACACCATGGAATACTATGGAGCCATAAAAAAGGATGAGTTCATGTCCTTTGTAGGGACATGGATGAAGCTGGAAACCATCATTCTCAGCAAACTATCGCAAGGACAAAAAACCAAACACCGCATGTTCTCACTCTTGGGTGGGAATTGAACAATGAGAACACAGGGACACAGGAAGGGGAACATCACACACCAGGGCCTATTGTGGGGTGGTGGGGGGGGGGAGGGATAGCATTTGGAGATATACCTAATGTTAAATGATGAGTTACTGGGTGCAGCACACCAACATGGCACATGTATACATATGTAACTAACCTGCACGTTGTACACATGTACCCTAAAACTTAAAGTATAATAAAAAAAAAATTAAAAAAAAAGACTGCACCCTTGTCCCCCTTCTTTTCAGGTCTCCTTTCCATTCATTTTAATCCAGACAGCTTTCTTTACACATCAAATCTCTATGATATTAAATACTTATTTTATGTATAAGAGATTTATCAATCCTGTATTATAATGCTAGTATTTTACATATATGTATAGATATGCACATATATGTACACACACATACATACACACATTCTTCTAAGTGGAATAGGAACTTTTTTTTGTTTTTGTTTTGAGATGGGGGTCTTGCTCTATTGCCCAGGCTGGAGTGCAGTGGTACAATCATGGCTCACTGCAGCCTTGACCTTCTAGGCTCAAGTGATCCTCCCACCTCAGCCTCCCAAGCAGCTGGCTTGGCTAATCTTGCCTGGCTAATCTTGTGTTTTGTAGAGATGATGTCTCATTATGTTGTCCAGGTTGGTCTCAAACTCCTGGGCTCAAGCAAGCCTCCCACCTCGGCTTCCCAAAGTGCTGGGATTATAGTTGTGAGCCACCGTACCCAGGAGAAACTTTTAAAAGAAGGATTATTTTTAGTTTCCACAGTATCTACCACGCTGCTTTACAAATCCAAATGGAGTCATGCATCAGTTAATAATAGGAATACATTCTGAGAAATTTATCATTAATTTTATTGTTGTATGAACACCACAGAGTTTGCTACACAAACCTAGATGGTAACGTCTACTACACACCTAGGCAAAATATTAATAGTATAGCCTACTGCTCCTAGGCTACAAACCTGTACAGCATGTTACTGTAGTGAAGACTGTAAACAATTTTAACATTGTAAGTTTTCGTGTATCTACACATAGAAAAGGTACAGTAAAAATACTGTATAAAAGATAAAAAATGGTACATCTGTATAGGGTACTTGCCATAAATGGAGCCTGCAGGACTGGAAGTTGCTATGGGTGAGTCAGTGAGTGAGTGGAGAATGAATGGGAAGGCCTAGGACATTACTTTACACTTCTGTAGACTTTACAAACACTGTATACTGAAGCTACACTAAATTTATAAAAACATATTTTTTCTTCAACACTAACCTTAGCCTACTGTAACTTTTTACTTTATAAAATTTTTAATTTTTTAACTTTTGACTCTAAAACACAAATGTACAGCTGTACAAAAATATTTTTTCTCTATATCCTTATTCTTTGAGTTTTTTGTTAAAAACAAAGACACCAACATATACATTAGACAACGCCTACACAGGGTCAGGATTATCAATATCAGTGTCTTCCACCTGTACATCTTGTCCCACTGGAAGGTCTTCAGGAGTAATAACACACATGGCACTGTCACCTCCTTTGATAGCAACGCCTCCCTCTGGAATATAGCTCTTGAAGGACTTGCCTAAGGCTGTTTTACAGTTAACTTAAAAAAAAAAACATGTAGGAGTATGCTCTAAGATAACAATAAAAAGTACAGTATAGGAAACACATAAACCAGTAACACTGCTGTTGATTTTCAAGTATTATGTACTATACATAATTGCATATGCTATACTTTTATAAGACTGGCAGTGCAGTCGTTTTGTTTAGCATCACCATAAACACCTGAGTAATGCATTGCACTAAGACATTATAACAGCTATGACGTCACTACGCAACAGGAATTTTTCATCTACTTTATAATCTTATCAGAACACTATTATATATGTGGTCCATCGTTGACCAAAATGTTATGTGGTACATTACCATATTTGCTGATTTATGGCTAAATTTCTAATTTTCTAAAATTAGAAAAGTTCTAATTTTCTAAATTATAGAAAACATAGTAGTTAGAAAATTTTAATCCTTATTTGCTCAAGATTTACTGAGGAATTTATCAGAAAAACCATATTTTAGATAAAAACTATTGGTATTTATTTAGACTTATTTATATTCTTCTTTCTCCAAAGAAATTGAAGTGGCTAAGAAAAGCTTATTTTTCATTCAAGCATTTCTTTCAACCTTACAGTTTTCTTCCAAATGAAATTTTAGAAGGTATTAAAGGGTGAAGAGAAAAGTGATTTCACAAACTCTATCCCCTGAGACTTTCCTAGAGCCTTCCTGTCAGTACTTTGTATCTTCTTATTTCTCTGTCAGGATGTTTCATTGCAGGGATAAAGGAAAGACCCGGGAGGATGATTCGACTCTTTGTTATCTACAAGACATTTTCCCTTCATTAGAGAAAATAATTGAGAGTTCCCTGTATCATGAATGATTTAGGATAAACATTAAATAAGACTTTCCAGAAAGTTTCACAGTGGTATTACAGTTGAAACACATGCCCAGTAAGACTATATAATCTCTTCCCTGGAAATCTTTAAGAACAGAAACATTCATACCTATCAGAGATGATTTAAGTGTAGCTTGCCGGAAGACACAGAGATAGAGGAAATTTCATTCTGGTATGATATTTTAAAGAGTATTTTGCACCAAGTAATTGAAATAAAACTGTACCCAATTTCTCTATAATTTCTGGCTTATTATAGGGTATAAGGATCAAGGTGTAATTACTATCTTCCACTAATTTTAAAGTACATATAGAAGAATGAGGAATCCCTTATAGTATCACTGGGAAGTGCTTAGTTCATCAGTGTCTCATACGTTTTTAGTTCACTTATATAATTCATGTTTATGTGACAGAAAATCTTACTCATCCTTACAAAACATAATTTAGAAATATACTTGCAAAATGTAATTTCTGTGTAAGTAAAAGTTTACTAAGTAATTTACATATGAAGCAATTTATGTTGTATGTATTAAAAAATTAAATGCTTAAATAAACAAAATACTGTAATCAACACTGATATGCCATCAGATTAGACCATTGTTGGAAGATCTTTCAGCCCTTCCCTCTCTTCTCCTGAGTGCCCACTGTTTGTTGTTCCCATCTTTATGTCCACGTTGTACCAGTCTTTTAATCAAAATGTTTTCTCAACTAAATCATATTGTTTCCCACTTAAGTCCAATCAATTACGAGAGATGTTAGTAAAGCAAATCTGTAATATCATATAATATTAAGATCTAAAAGGCAAAATAAATATTTTCTGAACAAAATATTTAATCCTAGTATGTGGCAAAATGGTTAGCAAATGCAAAGATTGTAATCTCAACTTTTTGTATGGCTTCAAAAGACCTGACTGCTAAAAAAGAAAATTCATTCCAAAGTTTCAAATCTTTTCTCATTGTTAACTAAAAATACCATGGGTTAAGGCAGGCGGGTCAGCGTTAGATATACTGGAGAACTTTGGGTCAGTGTTAGGTTCTTTCTTTCCCTATTTACACTTTCCCCCTAAGTGATCTTGTCTAGTCCATGACTGTAAATATAACATTACAAATTTCTATCTTTAGCCTGACCTCTCTGTGCTCTTCACTTGTGTATTCAATGACCTACTTGACACGTTTACTAGAAAAAAACTAATAAGCATCTCAAATGTAACCTGTCCAAAATGGAAACTACTTCTTATCTATCTCTTCCTAAGTTCCCTTCTTCCTAGTAAATAAGCATTGCCATCTACCTGGCTGCTCAAGTCAAAAGCTTAGGCATCATCTTTGATTCCTCCTTTTTCCTTCATGCCCTATATTTATCAGTAAGTTCTATTCTACCTTCCAAATGTATTTCAAAACTGCCCACTTCTCTCCATCTCCACTGAAGATAACCCTATTCTAAGCCACTATCATCTATTGCCAAAACTACTGTAAAACTCTAATATCTGGTTTCTCTGATTCCATTTTTGCTCCCTCTCTAGTCTATTTTCCATACAGTAGTTATAAGTGGTCTTTAAACTCTAAGGATGTTTCAAATTCTCCAGTGATTTCCCACTGCTGCACTTTAGACTTTTTTTTAACCTTAAAATAGTACTACTTAAACATTCTACTTAAAATGAGTAAAAGTATCTCATTTAGAATAGCCCACTCAATCTGATCCCTGCTGAGGTAGCTTTTCAATATTACAGCATTCTTTCCCCTCACTCACTATACTCACTCACATGAGCTTACTCCTTCCTAACACTGGACCTTTACACTTGCTATTCTTCCATCTGCCTGGAATATTTTCCTGACTTTTTAGTATAATTTCTTCTCATTTTTCAGACCTCAGTTTAAATGTCACCTTTTTAGACTATTTTTTTTTTTCTAAAATAATCTAGCTCTTCTAACTCCTACCTCCATTCCAGTAATGTATCACATGACTCCATTTATTTTCTTCATACCACTTTAAACATCTTAAATTGTTTATTTGTTGGTTCTGATTGTTATATTGTTGGTTCTTCTCTTACAGCCTCTCCCCACTAGAATGAAAACTCCTAAGGAGAAGCTACATTCACAAGGCTTAGAATGTAACTGGCAATCAAAAGGTGTTTTTTTTTAGCCTATGCATGCTTTAATTAATTCCACAGAATCAGTTGCCTAGTCCATCCAGTAATAACATTTCTAATATCTTACATCTTGCCTTTTCAAAGTTTTTGCTAAGTACTTGCTCTCATATCAGAACTAATGAGATAATTCAGTGATTATATTTTCTTTTTTTTGAAACAGAGTCTCGCTCTGTCGCCCAGGCTGGAGTGCAGTGGCGCGATCTCGGCTCACTGCAAGCTCTGCCTCCCGGGTTCACGTCATTCTCCTGCCTCAGCCTCCCAAGTAGCTGGGATTACAGGTGCCCACCACCACACCTGGCTAATTTTTTTCTATTTTTAGTAGAGACGGGGTGTCATGGTGTTAACCAGGATGGTCTTGATCTCCTGACCTCGTGATCCGCCCGCTTCGGCCTCCCAAAGTGCTGGGATTACAGGCGTGAGTCACTGCACCCGGCCGATTATATTTTCAAAGTAGCCATCAAGTGATATAATAAATTTGGGAGATTACTAATAGGAAAATCAATGTGTTCTAAAGCTTTATTTATAAAGATCCTTCACAGGAAGCTTATTTTAAAGTTATTTGAAGAATGAACTGAAAGTTACAAAGTAATGGTTGAAATTTCCTCACAACATCTATTGTTAAGTGCTCATCTTAGAAGGAGTTTGGGGAAATTATGAAGTTCACTCATTTAATAAATACTGAAATGAGTGCCTGTTACATGCTACATACTACTGTGCTAGGTGCTAGGGAGACAAGGAGGAAACAAGATCTAGTCACTGCCATAGTGAAACTTATGAACCACTAGAAATATTGGAAAGCTACTAGGCTTAAAATAGGTAGCAAATGCTATAAAAACTTCATGGTGCTATGATAAAACATATGGAAGAATCGGGGGTTAGAGCTGTCTCTTCAGAGGAAGTAGACTTTTAAGCTGATATATAAAAGATAAATAGCAGTTAGATGGAAAAAGGCAGAAGAAGGAAAAGAAGAGTGTCACAGTCAAATCCGTGTGTGAAGACCAGGAAAAAAGGATAATAAATTCAGGAAACAAAAGAAGTTCAGCATGAATGAGATACAGAGTGTTACTAGGAGGTGGGGGTGGGAGTGAGAGAGGAACAAGCTGGAAGTGCAAGGAAATACAGATCACAAAGAACCTTATAAGTCGTAACAGGAAATTGGCACTGAAGTATTTTAAGAAGAGAAGTGACGATTCGATTTGAACATCAGGAAATCTTGCTGACTGTAGCAGGAAAAATAGTAAGGATATTAATCCATAGTCAAATTAGAGTGTTATTGCAGTAATCCAGGTGAGCAATGTTGACAGCCTGAATGATAGCAACTGGAAAGAAATGGACAGATTGAAGAGATATCTAGGAGATTGAATTAGTAACACTGGGGTTTGGGTTATGAGGAGGAGTCCAAGATGATACCCAGAGTTTTTCTTGAGCAACTGGGTAGATGATATTACCATTCACAGAAATGGGAAATATAGGATGAAATAAAAATAAAAACTTCAGCTAGGGGTGAAATAATGGGTTCAATTTAGACTAAACTCAGTTTGAAGTACATATGAAAATACTCAGTAGAGAGTTGGAAATACAGACTATTTCAAAAAGGTCTGCATTAGAAGATGTTTTATAATAATAATTGGCCCATTTCTGTTTTTCTCTATCATAGAAATGAATATCCTAACCCATATTGAAAGTCAAGAGTTTCCACACTAATTGTATTTTAATTGTGACTATCACTGGCATATCCATTAGCTGAAATGGTATGGTTATGAGAGTATGAGCAAGGTTTTCCCTGCAATGTATCCATCTCTTTGAAAACATCACACATACTTTAAATAAAACAAATAAAAGACATATGAAATAAAACAAAGTTACTTAATTATGGGATAAGAAATTTAAATTTAGGCTAACATCTTGGACACTTTAATTAATTACTATAATTGCTTGGACCAGTCTGTTATGATTGAGGCACCGTTTAAGGTAAGGATGAGCCATGTAGATTTTGGCTGATACAGTACAAAGGAAAATTCCTTCAATGCATGAAATGCTTTAGTGATGACTGATGATTAAATTGCATAAGGTTCTATTCTATATTATATGAGAGAATTAAAAACAAAAGGTGCGCTATTCATTTCAGTGAAATGATGGATCTGCCAGCTGCAGCAAGCACTTTCCTTGGAACTCTCTTATGACAAATTAACATAGCATGTGCCAGATGTTTTTTTCTTTTTCCTGTTGAATTATGCTATAATATGCTTCAGTTACTTTTAGTAATTATGTATTTTGTAATTTGCTGGTACCTGCAGCTGCCTCTCATCCTGTTAATTAAAAAAAAAAAAAAGAAAGAAAAAAACAGTTACAGCAGCCAAACATTACAGATATACAGCCAAGGAATTATATTGTTTTACAAAGTGAAGAGAATGCCTTAGGTGCAAATGCTGTGTAGTTCACTCTATATGTACAGTTTGTTTTGGACAAGCGAATATTACATACTGTATATTCATGTGTTCATTCATTTATTCAATACAATCTAATTGAATAATTAGATTCCTTTCCCAATTAAAACTGTTTAATCTGGTTAATAAAACCATAAATATTTAGATCCCTGTCTGCAGCAGAGACAACAGTGTTCACCAGACATTCCATGTGTACCATACATTTCCCAGACTTCTATGCAGTTCTCACCAATGGAGGTAAAAGTTAGTGATATATATAATTTCAAAACTGAGTTAGTTAAGTGCCCATGTTCCTCTTCCATTCCTCTCTTTCTCAGAGGTGATCTCAGGAAACCACGTGTTAAAGAAGGCGTACACTCTAGTAGAGCCTTCCTGCCAAACTGCCTAAGACATGCAACGTAAGCAATAATAAACCTTTGTTTTGTTTAGTCCCTAAGATTTCAGTTTGTTTGCTGTGGTGGCTGACATTGCTTAACATAATAAACTGCGTAGATCTGACCTACTCTTACATCACTATTGCCTCATTTTGCATACTATTTCTTTTACTTCAAACATACTGATTGTATTACTGCTTTGGCGGTCTTTGAACTAGCTGTTCTCTTTGCTTAAAATGCTCTTTCTCCTGATCTTTATATCCTTTTTATCATTATATCTCACCTTAAGATTCATTTCTTCACAGGATCTACCTGGTCTACCACCCTCAGATATCCAACAATCCATTATCACACTGGCTTATTTTAAATTTTCTTTCTTTTTTTACAGACAAGGTCTCGCTCTGTCACTCAGGCTGGAGTGCAGTAGCATGATCATACCTCACTGCAGTCTTGACCTCCTGGCTCAAGTGGTTCTCCCACCCCAGCCTCCCAAGTAGCTAGAACTACAGGCACACACACCATGCCCAGAAAACTTTCATAATTTCTGTAGGGACAGGGTCTTGCTATGCTGCAGAGGCTGGTATCAAACTCCTGGCTTCAAGTGATCCTCCCACTTCGGTCTCCCAAATGCTGGGATAACAGGTGTGAGCCACTGCACCCAGCCTCTAAACTTTTTGCATGGTACTTATTATCTGATAATTAACATGCGTATGTTTATTTATTCAATAATTTCTACTTCACTGTCAATAATCTAAACTTCAAAAAAATAAGAATCTTGTCTTTGCTGTATTCCCATTACTTCAAGAACAGTGCCTGCTCAATAAATACGTGATAAGTGAATAATATGTAGACTAGGAATATGTCCGAGGGCTGGCCAAGCACTTTTGGTTTATTGGGGTGGTTGTTCAGTGTGACTGGAGCATAAAGAACTTGAAGGCTGGAGGCAGAGAGGCAGACTGCAGATAAAATATGGCAGAGAAAAGACTGTGAAAAATCTGTAGGCAACAATAAAACAGAAGTCTTTAAGTAGGCAGGGCCAGTATACTTACTTTTTAGTAAAATAACTGTAACAGCAGTATGAAAGATGGAATAGAGTGGGGAAAAATTTGATGGCAGAGAAACCAGAGTGAAGGCGGCCACTTTAGGAGCCATAGTTAAAGATGTGAGGGCCCTGACCAACTGCAGGGACACGTATGTCACCGCATGCTTATACACATGCAAGTATTTCTATAGGACAGACTCCTGTACCAGGAACTGCAAAAGGATCTGTACAGTTTAAATTTAGTTAGATTTTGCTACATTACCTTATAAAAAGTATTTGCCAGTTTACATTCCCACCTATACTGTATGACAACTCCTGTTTCCCCATGTATTTGTAGATGCTGGATGTTAACCATCTTCTACATTTTGCCAATTTGCTGGGTAAAAATTATTGCTTAAATTTGCATCTCTTTAATGAAAAGTGAGGCTGAACTTGCTTTGCTATGTTTAAAGGAGATTTGCATCGATACTTTTGTGAGCTTTGTTTGAACCACTGAGTTCACATACTTTGTCCATCTTTCTATTAGGTTGTTAACCTTTTAATGTGGAACTTGATGAATTTTGCACATTAACCCTTTTAAAATTTTTCCAGTATCCCATTTGTCATTTATCTTTGTTTAGTATCTTTCTTCATAAAAATTTTAATTTTTATGGTTAGATCGATTAATCACTTTTTCTTTTTTGGATTCTGGGTTTTGTGTTTTGATTAGAAAGTCTTCTCTATTCCAAGAGAATAAAAATAATTTTATTTCTTCTAATACACTCTTTTTTACACTTAGCTCTTTAATACGTCTGGAATTTATTTTATATATGAAATAAAGAATATTCTAAATGATTTTCTATCTTTTTAACATCATCTTTTCACCAATGATTTGAAATACCACCATTATCATAACCAAAATTTCTGATTTTATATTTTTTTTTCTTTTTCTGCATTCTGTTCAAATTATCTATCCTTGTGCCAATACTGTTTTATGTATTTTGATATCTGGTAGGGAAAATCTCATTTTTTTCCCACAGAGGTTTGTTGATTTCATCTATAAAAATAGTAACAACAGGCCAGGTGCGGTGGCTCACGCCTGTAATCCCAGCACTTTGGAAGGCCAAGGTGGGTAGATCACCTGAGGTCAGGAGTTCGAGACCAGCCTGGCAAACATGGTGAAACTCCATCTCTAGTAAAAATACAAAAAAATTAGCTGGGTCTGGTGGCAGGAGCCTGTAATCCCAGCTACTCGGGAGGCTAAGGCAGGAGAATCGCTTGAATCTGGGAGGCGGAGGTTGCAGTGAGCCAAGGTTGTGCCATTGCACTCTAGCCTGGGCAATAAGAATGAAACTCCGTCTCAAAAAAATATAATAAATAGGTAAATAAAATAACAACAATCTCTCATTTAAGTAAGATTAGTACATATATACTGCAGTTACAGATACTATACACTAATAAGTTAACTAGTAAAACAGCTTCTTCTTTGAAGCTCAAAATTCTTTGTGATACATACATTGCAAGATAAAGTAGTAGTAGCTAAGAGGGGATAATTATAGAGGAATTAATAAGATATTACAAATTAAACTTCAAACCAAAAGATACCATACAGAAACTCAAATTTTTAAAAAGCTTCTGATCCTAAGTTCTCCGATACTAAGATGAAAAATTACCTATGAAAAAATTATTTTATTTAATTATTTGGTGTTACATTTAGTTTTGACCATAGTTACTTATGGGTAGATAATTTTAAAAATCACAGGTACTGGTAATCATATTTAATTGTCAGTTGCGAAAAGGTATAGAAGTTTCCACGGGGAATAAAGCAAGTCAAGGGAGGACTACGTATATCATGACTATACTTATATTTGGTTTTGCCTCTAATATTCTCCTAACTGTAGCAAATAGGTGGACAAAAGCAAGCAAGAAAATAGCAACTTAAAAGAATTCAATTCTTATGAAGTAGAGAGGACAGAGGCAAACAGCCAAGTACTTTCAAGATTCAATGCATACAACTAATTTAGAGACCAAGGAATGCTAGCACTTTTTAAAAGGCATATTTTCAGGGGGAAAGCTTTGATGCTTAATACATCACAATAATGCACACAGAGAAGCAGGATGCTGAGCCCTAACCTGAAAAGGCTCACTTTTGAAAGCGAGTAATAACACTTTTGATATGAATGCTAGAATATATAATGCTGTGGTATATATAGAGACATCATTACACGGAGAGTCAAATGCATCAAACAAGCCATTTACTTTTAAAATGCTCTGTAGTTTATTTTGCAATTTATTATTAATTAAAGACCTAATTGGTTCAAGACTTGGACTATACCATTGAATCACTAAAAACAAAAACACTTCTAAGGAGAACAAATGAATTCTTCCCCAGAGATATGGAAGTACCATCTAGCAGTTAGTCTGGTACTTTACTGATGCTCAATATGGATGCTATTGTATGTCAAGGGTAGATTATCACCTTTGTAACGTATTTTTTCATTAAAATTAAAAATAAATTTTTTAACTTGAAAATTATAAATCTATTATGACTGTCATAGAATTTTGTATTATGACCAATAGGTAAGATAGGTCAGTGAAAATACTTCAGTAGATACATTTTATTGATTTCATGCATAATCTTCAGTATTATTTATGTTCTCCAAAAAGGAGGGATACAATTCATATATATAAATCTTGCCTAAAATCTACTGCCTTCTAGAACTAGTAATCTTTTTGTGCAAGTAAAAGTAAGTACATGGGCTTTTCTCTCCTACTCTTCCTCCTCCTCCTTCCCCTCCTCCTCTTCCCCTCCTCCTCTTCGCCCTCCTCCTCCTTTTTCTTTGTATATATATATAAATAGAGACAGGGTCTCAATGTGTTGTCCTTTACCAAGACTTGGTTTTTAAGGCTGGGCAGAAAAGGAGGTAAGCTTTGAAACAGAAAGAAAAAAAGATGGCAAAAATCCTAGTGATATTTACTGGATTTACTGGATTCACATATACCACTGGTCAAGATATAAACTGCAATCTTGACTATTTAGGCTAGGCAGGGCTTTGTTACCAAATGTGATTTGCTGAGCATATCTGGCCAGTGCTGGCAGAAAGTTCAAATAAATTTAAAAGCCAAGATTTCACTTAAGTAGGAATTTTCTTTAGAAGGTTTGTTGGTTTGCTTCAAATTGCTTATTCCATGAATTATTTCTATTTGTTTCTCTCAGGGTAGTTAACCATTTCATGTTGCTACGTTCGGCATTCTGTTGTTGTGGAAAATTGTTTTTTAAAACAATTCTTTGTATTTAACTGAACATCTAACAAGGAGGCACTACAGCAAAACAAAAATAAAATCTAGGGACAAATGAAGAGTTTGTTCTTACACTGGAGCATTACAGCCAAGTTGACAGGAAACACAGGCATGGGAAAATATAACTGCAGTGTGGGAAACTGCAGAAGTTCTCTTCTGATTGCTTCTCTTTTCTCAGTGAAACAGGAATTGAAGTTATTGCCTAAAAGGGATGATGGGGGAGGAGTTGCAAAAAGATTTGAGGACAGAATAAAGGGTATGAAATAGTCACCAAAGAGAGTAGAATATATAAAATGATTGTCTTGCAGCACTAAAGGTCCCTTTTGTGGTCATGAATTTAAAGTGAGACAACCCAGAATGGCTGTGTGTGTTTTTTCCAGCCACCTTGAGCTGAATGAGTAAAGCTACAGAGAAGACGAGTTATATTTAAACAGGGCTGTGGTTGGCCAAGGAAGAAGAGAAAGAAGGGCAGGAGAGTGGAGGATGATTATCTCTGCTGACCTCTTCTAAAATGGGGCGCTCTCAAAAATACATACAGTGCCTATTGGCTTTTTCTGTTTATTTTTCTCTTTAGCACTCACCATCTATCACATATTTAATTTCTCTTGTTTAATTTGAGACCAATTAATGTTTGTCTCCCCTATTAGAATGAAAGCTCCATGAGGGCAGGGATTTTTGCCTGTTTTGTTCACTGGTATTGTCTTTTAAAAGGTATGAGTCTTTGCTGGATAACAGCAAAGCAGGTATCAGAGTACTGGTACTCACCCGCTCCTCACCACTGCCCACAAAGAGAAGTGACTAGCTGGCTTACTACTTAGCAGCTATTTCTAAAGCACTGGGCGATTTGGATATCATTTTGATCTTTAAAACTAGTAATATTGCCGGGCGCGGTGGCTCACGCCTGTAATCCCAGCACTTTGGGAGGCCGAGGCAGGTGGATCATGAGGTTAGGAGATTGAGACCATCCTGGCTAACACGGTGAAACCCCGTCTCTACTAAAAATACAAAAAAATTAGCTGGGCATGGTGGCTGGCGCCTGTAGTCTCAGCTACTCTGGAGGCTGAGGCAAGAGAATGGCATGAACCCAGGAGGTGGAGATTGTAGTGAACCGAGATAGCCACTACACTCCAGCCTGGGCGAAAGAGCGAAACTCCGTCTCAAAAAAAAAAAGAAACTAGTAATATTATCTTTTATTGTAATAAAAAATCCTTAATGTGATAGATGTTTCTCTAAAATCTTAAATAGAGTAATAAAAAATAGGAAGTGATGAGAAATGAGATTGGACATACATGTGAAACCAGATCTAAAAGCTGTTGCAGCAGTCCAGGGATAAATGAAGAGTTTGTAAGAGAGGTCAGAGATGATGGTGATCTGATCTAATATAGGAGTAGCGGGGATGAAGGCAAATGGATTTGAAAACATTAAGGAGAAAGAAGAGAAATAATCAAACATATCTGAAAGCTGACTATAGAGGTGCACAAAGGGGATACAGAAAGAGGAGCAATCTATGGACCACATTTAGGTCATTCTATGGACCACATTTAGGTTGTTTTCAAGATCATGGTTATTGGAAACTATAGTTTCTTCTACAGTATTTGAATTTTAGTTAAAATCAATGCCAAAAAGCCCACACAAACAAATAATTTTCAGTATTCAAATGAATTAAGCTATGATGGTGTGATAACAAGTAGCAAGATTGATGAGGTTTTTTGACACAACTCATTCTAGTAAACTCCTTTAAGTTAGTCATATATGGGCTACTCTGCTTGCTCATAAAGGGGCACGGCATACTAGAATTCAAGTTGAAAGGATTCTTCTTTGGTGTTGCACTGCTGGCTAGCACACTCCTTTAAAAATCACATTTCAATAATTCTTAAATAAATTACCTGTAAACATTTAAAGAATCATTATCAAGTGCCCAACACTATACTATAGACTGTTATGCTTAACCAAATAGTTATGTTCATATATAGATACCGATTCAACATACTCTGCCAATAATTTCTAGTGGTCTGGTGCCTGTGGACATACATGCCCAGTTCACAGAGGTCTGTGTTATACGGCCAACGTGTACTTTTCTAGATTTCAGAATAGGAGTTCAAAAAATTGAATAATCCTAGCTGCAATGTTTTGTGCAATATTTCTCCTCTGGAAGTATGACCTTAATTATTAGCAATACTGATTTTTAAAAACTATTTCACCCAATTAATCCTAGTGCTTATGTTCAGGACTATGTATTCCTTTATTATCAACAGTCTTCATAATAATTCTTAGAATCAATAGCATTTTCAAGTTTGTAAGATGAGAAACAAGTTTCATTATACAGCAGTGGTACAATTATGGGAATTCAAGTTTCTTAGGTCTGTTAAATACTGGGGGCACATTATATCATGTTTTAAAAGTTCAAATGCATTTCAAAAAGCTGAAATTCTACTTTGACCAGAAAGGATCAAAACTGGAAGAAGAGTTTGGCCTAGAAAAGAAACAATAATTGATAAAATTCACTAGCTTTCATTCATTCATTCATTCATTCATTCAACAAATATGTTCTGGATATCTACTAGTGCTGGACACTCTTTTAAGAGCTAGGGATACAGTGAGGAATAAAACAAACTTTATGGAGCTGATAGTCCCATAGGAAAGACAGACTGTTTTAAAACATGTAATGAAACAAGTATAAAACATAATTACTGACAGTGATGAATGCTAGGAGAAACAAAGATAGGCAATGGGACAGAATAAGTTCTTAGTGGCAAAGCCTTATTCATCTTGTGTTTCTAGCATTTAGCAGAATGCTTGGAGAAGAATGGTCACTCAGTTGTCATATAAATTAAACTGAGTTTTAAGGGATCTGCTTTTGTTTCTGGATCCATTTGTATACATCTGCAGACTGAAGTATTAGACATTTTAAATTGCAAGGTATAATTCTGAACTTGATAGAGTGAAAAGATGGACAGCCAAGATGCTAATAATACTGCTGAACACTTTTACAGGGATACTAAAATTCTGAATCAGAGCAGATTTGGGTATTTTCAGGTAAGTGTATGAATACGTTAAAGCAAGTATATAAAATATTAATGAGCTTCTATTATTGCAGTTAATATATATCATTTTAATAGTCTACATGTTATTTTTAACACAAAAATGACATTAAACCAAATTGATTTGTTACTTTTTTTTGTTCTGAAAACAATGGGAAAATCAAATGTAATGAAACCAATAAAGGAGTAGCACTGCCTTTCTCTTATACTTGACCCAAAATATCTGCCAAGTGGCAGAAGCTTTCTCTGAGTAGATTTACAGTTTCTAATCACCAAAGCATACTGACTGACGAAAAAGCTAAAAGACTTGAAGTCTTTACAGGACATCCTCAGCACAGGCAGTCCATCATTAAGGAAGAAACATAGTTAAAAATTACGGTACATTTTTTCAAGATGTTTTGAAGATTTCAGCCAATGCAACAGACACTTACTTTTTCATCTACCGTTTCAACACAGTGTAAAAACAAATCAAAGTTAGGCACTTTTGGTCCATTAGAGCAATGTGTCCTTGTATCATAGGCTTAGGTTCCTATACTATAAGTTGCTTCAAGGTATAGTATAGTTATACGTCTTGACTTAGTTCTGACTTGTCAAGACTTAAATGTCTTGACTTAGTTCTGAGACCCTGGCAAAGAGGCTGGTCAGTTCCTGTTTTGAGAAGCTGAGTGTACAACTCCAACCACTTCCCTTATTGGGCTGTCACATTCTGGGCCACTACATCTGCCGTAATCACTCTAGGGCCAGGAACCAGAAAAAACCAACCAACCAACCAACCAAACCAGAAACAGCCACTACGCCGTGGAGCCCACTGAACTTGTTCACATCAGCCAATCTAAAACTTGTTCACCATGGCGTCACCTGTTCCTTTCTGTAAAAACCACAATAAAATGTGTGCTCACAGTTGCCCCCTTCACCTTCTACCTCGTGACTGACCCCAGTGCTTCTCGAGTGGTCCTGTGTGGTGTGCTGTGTTTGTCCAGGGAACTGTGAGCATAACAAACTGTAAAACTCTTTCCATTTTCTCTCTCTTGATCTGCATCTGGCCTCACCATCTCACACAAAGTAATATAGTTAAAATATAATGGTACACAACATATTGATTTTAGTCAAGAAATAATATTAAGATCAACTACTGTTTCTTAATTATTATGTATTATTTAAGTGCCACATTGGTTTTAATGATCCTGATACTAATCCCCAGCAATAGTTCTGATAATTTATTTTATAGCCACAGTCCATTTCAATTTCCAGGATGCTGTAATTGACCACAGACATATGTAAACTCTGTATGGGACAATAATTATTGGAAGCCAAGTTCTCGATTACTGTGCTAAGTGAGGTGGGATACTTTTAAAGAATATATGTTTGGATCTAGTAAAGGTATACTAAGTTATTCAGATTAATCAATTCAGTAAAAACTCCACAACTCTGTAAAAGCATCAAACAGAGGAAAATATAGTGAAAATGTTCCAAGACAACTTCTGAATGAAAGCTTATAATGAGAAAAGCTAACAGAATCTTGGAGCACCAATACTTCCTCTTTCCTGGATGGCATTTACAATACTGCACACTTGGGATCTGACCCTGTTACCACTGAGAGAAAGGGGTGTGGTGGAGAGATCCTCTCCATCGTTGATCTGGCATCCCAAAAGAGCATCACTTCAAGGTTAAAGTGAACCATATCTGAAAGCATGCCACTTCTCTCAAAGTCACAGGACTACAGGGAAGCTACTTTGGTTATGAACAAAGCAGAAGAAAAAACGTATTCTTCTGTGGCCACAGACCACAGATACACCTCAAAATTAACAAAGCCCAGAAACCCCACCCTTAGTTGAAGTTCTCACACCCAGTAGTGCTCTCAGGCACCCAGAAGAGGCAAAGGCAAAGATTCTCTATGGAAGCTTTACAACAAAAATTTTCAATGGCAATTACTAATAAATAGATAGAGAAACCAGATAAGATGCTTAGGAACCAAAAGAAACAGATCTGTCTGATGACAGATATTGGAGTGGTCAGAAACAAACTTTGAAACTAAGGAATACAATAAAATGGTACAGGACATAAAACACAAAATGATCACTCTAAGAAAGGACCAAACTGAACTGATAGAGCAGGAAAACTCACTTCAAGAATTTCATAATACAATCAATCACAAGTATTAACAGTGCAATCAACCAACCTGAGGAAAGAATCTCAGAGTTTGAAGACTGGTTTCTCTGAAATAACTCAGATAAAAACAAAGAAAAAACAACAGAGAAGAATGAATAAAGCTTCTGAGAAATATAGGATTATGTAAAGAGACCAAATGTATGATCTAGGATCAAACCTCCACATACCAATATTAACCTTGAATGTAAATAGGCTAAATGCTCCAAATTAAACGGCATAGAGTGGCAAGTTGGATGAAGAAGCAAGACCCAACTGTATGTGATCTACAAGGAACCCATCTCACATGCAAACATACCCGTAGGCTCAAAATAAAGGAAAAGAGAAAAACCAAATGGAAAACAGAACAAAGCAGGGATTGCTATTCTAATTTCAGACAAAACAGTCTTTAAACCCATAATGATCAAAAAAGACAAAGAATAACATTACATAATGGTAAAAGGTTCAATTCAACAAGAAGACCTAACTATCCTAAATATATATGCATCTAGCACAGGAGCACCCAGGTTCATAAGGCAAATTCTTAGAGACCTACAAAGAGACTTAGATAAGCACACAATAATAGTGGGAGATTTCAACATGCCACTGACAGTATTAGGCAGATGATCAAATCAGAAAACTAGCAAAGATATTCAGGATCTGCACAGGACATTTGACTAAATTGGCCTAACAGATATTTATAGACCTCTCCACCCAAAACAAACAGAATATACATTCTTCTCATCTGCACATGGCACATACTCTAAAATTGACCACAATCAGCTGCAAAACAATCCTCAGCAAATTAAAAAAAAAAATCATACTAAACACACTCTTGGACCACAGTGCAATAAAAATAAAAATCAATACTAAGGAAATTGCTCATAATCATATGATTAATGGAAATTAAACAACCTGCCCCTGAATGACTTTTGGGGAAACTATAAAACTAAGGCAGAAACCAATAAATTATTTGAAACTAATGAGAACAAAGATACAACATACCAGAATCTTGGGGACACAGCTAAAGCAGTGTTAAGCAGAAGTTTATAGTGCTAAACGCCCTCAAAAAGTTAGAAAGACCTCAAATTAACAACTTAACATCACACCTAGAGGAACAAGGCAAACCAACCCCAGAGCTAGCAGAAGACAATAAATAACAAAAATCAGAGTTGAACTGAAGGAAATAGAGATGCAAAAAACCATACTAAAGATCAACAAATCCAGAAGTTGGTTTTTGAAAGAATAAGATTGATAGACCACCAGCTAGACTAATAAAGAAAAAGAAAAGATCCAAATAAATAATCATAATGACAAGGGGATATTACTATTAACCCCACAGAAATACAAAAAAAAAATAACCTCAGAGACTACTATGAACATCTCTATGCACACAAACCAGAAAACCTAGAAATGGATAAATTCTTAGAAACATACAACCTTCCAATATTGAACTAGGAAGAAATTCAATCCCTGAACAAACCAATAGTGAGTTCAGAAACTGAATCAATAATAAAAGTCTATCAACCAGAAAAATCCCAGGGTCAGAAGGATTCACAGCCAAATTCTACCAGATGTAAGAGAAGAGCTGATACCATTCCTACTGAGACTACTCCAAAAAATTGAGGAGAAGGGACTTCTCTTTAACTCATTCTATGAGGCCATAATCATCCTGATATCAAAATCTGACAAAGACACAAGAAAAAAAGAAAACTTCAGGCCAATATTCCTGATGATCATAGATGCAAAAGTCCTCAACAAATACTAGCAAATTGAATCCAGCAGCACATCAAAAAGACGATCCGCCACAATCAAGTAAGCTTTATTCCTGGGATGCAAGGTTGGTTCAACATACACAAATCAAGAAATGTGATTCACCACATAAACAGAACTAAAAACAAAAATCACATTATCATCTCAACAGATGCAGATCCTCTGTCATCTGGGCTGGAGTGTAGTGGCACAATATCGGCTAAGTGAAACCTTGGCCTCCCAGGTTCAAATGATTCTCATACATCAGCCTCCCCAATAGCTGGAATTACAGGCACACGCCACCACGCCCAGCTAATTTTTGTATTTTTAGTAGAGATGGGGTTTTGCCATGTTGGCCAGGCTGGTCTTGAAGTCCTAGCCTCAAGTGATCTGCCTGCCTCGGCCTCCTAAAGTGCTGGGCGTAAGCCACTGTGCCCAGCCTAGAAAAGGCTTTTAATAAAATTCAATATCCCCTCATGTTAAAAACCCTCAACAAACTAGGCATTGAATGAACATATCTCAAAATGATAAAAGCCATATATGATAGACCCACAGATAACATTGTAATGAATGGGCAAAAGCTGGAAGCATTCCCCCTGATAACTGGAACAAGACAAGGATGCCCACTCTCACTACCCCTATTCAACATAGTACTGGAATCCTAGGCAGAGCAATGAGGCAAAAGAAAGAAGTAAAAGGCATCCAAATAGGTAGAGAGGAAGTCAAACTATCTCTGTTTATGGATGATATAATTCTAGACCTAGAAAACCAATTAGTCTCTGCCCACAAGCTCTTAGATCTGATAACTTCAGCAGTTTCAGGATACAAAATTAATGTACCAAAATCCATTGCATTTCTATACATCAGTGACATCTAAGCAGAGACCCAAATCAAGAACACAATCCCATTCACAAAAGCCACAAAAAGAATAAAATACAAATATAGCTAACCAGGGAGGGGAAAGATCTCTACAATGAGAGTAACAGAACACTGCTCAAAGAAATTGGGGATGATACAAATGAATGAAAAAACATTCCATGCTATGGATAGGAAGAATCAATATTGTTAAAATGGTCATATTGCCCAAAGCAATTTACAGATTCAGTGCTATTCCTATCAAACTACCAATGACATTCTTCACAGAATTAGACCAAAAAAACTATTTAAAAATTCATATGGAACCAAAAAAGAGATCGAATAGCCAAGGCAATTCTAAGCAAAAAGAACAAACTGGAGGCA